>NC_000006.12:71398261-73898261 GCF_000001405.40 Homo sapiens
TTTGGGAGGCCAAGGTGGGCGGATCACGAAGTCAGGAGTTCGAGACCAGCCTGGCCAAAATAGTGAAACCTCGTCTCTACTAAAAATACAAAAATTAGCCAGGTGTGGTGCCGCACGCCTGTAGTCCCAGCTACTCAGGAGGCTGAGGCAGGAGAATTGCTTGAACCTGGGAGGCAGAGCTTGCAGTGAGCCGGGATCGTGTCACTATACTCCAGCCTGGGCAACAGAGTGAGACTCTGTCTCAAAAAAATAAATAAATAAATAAATAAATAAAATAGAATAAAGAAAAAAAATCATCCTGCCTTCATTGGTATTCTCTTATTCTTGTCTAATCTAGAAAATCAACAGTGCTAGAAAAGTGTTAGTCACCCTAGGACTTTAAAATTTCCTTCAGTCAAAGTGAGCTGCCATATCCTGAGATTCAGGGGATGGGACTGCTCTTACAAGTCCTTGAGAGCTTGTTTTCTAACTCTAAACTTAACCCTAACTTCTCCAGCACTAGTCTTTCTGTTGTCTCAGGTGGTAAACTGAATGAAAGTAGTTTTAATTAGCTATTAGCATATCACACATAGTCAATAAGAATTACATGTGTACCAACAACCTGAATAGATTCTATTCTATACAAAAAGAACAGAGAAATTACCTCTCAGTAAATTGCATTTTCATAAACTGAATTTTACTTTTTAATTAGTCTTAAAATTTTAGAATTTCTAATAACTCATGATGATTTATTTTTTATTACACAGAGATTTTAGGTCAAATTATAAGAAATCAATAAAATCAAACTAGAAACTAAAGTGCAGAAAGGTTAATTATTTCAATGAACATTATTGTTTTTATGAATTAACAGTGTGTGGATTTCCTAATTTCTTACTCAGTATCTGACCATCTAAATTTATTTTAAGCCAAACATAGATTCACTGGGGTATAAGAGTAGAATGAGAATTGCAGAAAGACAACTATATAGCTGATATGGCCAAGAAAACCATTGAAAGCATATAAAAAAGAACAAACGTTTGAAAATTAAATTTTCTAGGTGGGCATTACATAGTTTAAAGATTGTAATTCTAAAGATAATTTTAATCTAACATGATTAAAGAGTAATAAATTTAGCAAAATCACTTCTTTGATATGCGCTTAGATCTATTATGCACAAAACATGAACACTCAAAGTTGAATGTTTGGATTTGCAAATTTTACCAATTCTCTGACTCATTTCTGCAGGGTTATACTCAGTGCAAATAAATCTTCATTCAAATAGGGCAACAATGTTTTTATTGCATTAACATCACACATCTTGAAAATAAATATATTGTTACTGACTGTGGGAATTATGACTGCAAATGCTACTGTTTTACGGCATTAAGATATTTATTTTATATTTAACTGCATTTCTTTAGCTTTTACATAAATTTTCCTTCACTGACAGGCTATTGGTATAAGCATTTCATCTTTTCAAACGTTTACTAAAAAATACCAAATTCCAAAATTCAGAAATGGTAGTCAGGCCCTACAAGGAAACACATTAAGAATAACAAGCTGATGATATGTTATCATACTGTAAAATATTTTATATTTTCTAACACACTTGCTAATATGTTACTTCACATCCTGAAATCTCATGTTATCATTTTTGAAATGAGAGCTGTGGAAAGATTCTCATATTACTAAGAGTTGTAAAGGCACCCGATGGAGCTCCTTCATTAATTTCTCTAACCATTCAGGGCACTGAAGTCTGTGGGGACAGTAAGTTCACATTTAGTGTTTGTGCTAAATGAATCCCCAACCTACTTTGTTTTAATTTGCATCAAAAAGCCTCTACCCTGAAAGTACTGCATTATTAAGGTTATATAATAATGAGGTATACAAATTAGGAAAGGCAGATTTAGCATCACTTGCTTGGCAACATTAACTTGCCCATCACATTCATATTGAGATTTTAGAAGTGTACATTAGCGAGACACTTCTCCGCACATTACAACAGAAGTCTATTAAAGAATATTTAATTCACTGACTATTATTTCTAATAATAAACATAATCAGAGGATACTTTTTTGCATTTTACTTACTGGCCATTAGGAGGTGTAAAAATGAGGAGGAAAAATAATAATCATAAAAACCCTCAATCTCAAATGATTTAACAGCTTCATTATGTATTTGTTTGGCAGTGCACAAAAACAACTACAGTACGCACTAGGAAATTTATCTTCCATATCTATACAGAATACTTCTTATGATATAGAACCACATGAAGAAAGTCTTCTGTATTATTTTAGTGAGATTGTTAAGACAGTTCACTAAGCACCACCTTTAAAATTTCAGTAAGGTGCTTCCAAAATTAAGATAAACAATTAACTTCCTGTTACTCTTCTGATACAGAAAAATAACGGGCAATTTTGAATTAGTGTTATTAAGCTACCAAAAATTGATACCACTCAGGAAAGATTGTTTTCCCCTTGAATGGTAATGTTTAGCTAAAATTCTAGTAAAAGAAAACAGAGCAATTCTGAGAGGAATCTAAATAGAAAGGGGTTTCTCAGGTCTAGGTAACTAATTCCCATGCAGACGGCCTTCAAATGCATTTCCCTTGCCTCCACAGTCCTCTGGTCTGGTTTTAGTTATTCTGTAGTAGAGGAAAGGCTTCATACATGTGTAATATTTATAGACAACATCATTGTAAAATGGAGTGCAAGTTCAAATCAGAGTTTTAAGGTCAGGAAAAATAAGTATCACTTAAATCATTCACCACTGACACTTTCAGAAGCTCTTAACTTCCTTTAGAAATCTCCCTTTCAAGCATGTGCCAATTTTTATTTTGGCAAATCATGAATAAAAACTAAATGTATAATACTTTTGATGATTACTCAGTGTGGTGCTATTTTTTAAACATTACTAACTTTATAGCAACACTCACATTACATTTAACTAACACATTTTGACAGTGTTTTATTTTCAGTAACTGACTTACTACAGTCCATTTTAAGAATTTTATGTTTTAGTTTATAGATATTTTATTATGCTGATATGTGAAATTTTAAAAATTATAGTAAGAAAAAAAACACATGAAAGCAATTAGTAAGGGTTTCTAATTTATGTTAAATATTAGTTTATCTTACCTAAGCACATGCATGGTAACTCTGTCCACGTAGTGGTAGAAACATAATACTGTAAACTTTAGAAGTTATTTTTTTTGTAAAATAAAAAATTGCATCCAGATCTTATTTCAATTATGAATAACACACTGTTGATGTTATTTTATTTATTTATATGTATATCTATATATATATATAGATATATTTTTTTTGAGATGGTAGGCTCGCTCTGTCGCCCAGGCTGGAGTTCAGTGGCACCATTTTGGCTCACCACAACCTCTCCCTCTCAGGTTCAAGCAATTCTCAGCCACCTCAGTAGCTGGGATTACAGGCACGTGCCACCACACCCAGCTAATTTTTGTATTTTTAATGGAGACAGGGTTTCACCATGTTGTTCAGATTGATCTCAAACTCCTGACCTCAAGTGATCCACCTGCCTCAGCCTCCTAAAGTGCTGGGATTACAGGCGTAAGCCACCGTGCCTGGACTGTTGATGTTACTTTAAAATAGTAGTTTACATTATTACTGTGGAAATGTGGGGCACAAGACATAAGAAATACTAGGTATTAATTTTGAAACTACCCGGAATGGCTTATGGAGGTTTGTATTTGTTGATTTAAAAATAATTAAAAATGCTGTAATTTTTACAAATTAAAAAGTTCCCATAACTAATTATTTACATGAACAAAATGAACAGATAAAAATGAAAAATGGAAAATTTAGGGGCAGTAAGGTAAGGAAGAGGATATAAAATAACATAGGAAGAGAACCTAAAGAAAGTGAAGGTCAAAGATTTAGGAAAAGTTTAACCATTTCTTCAAACCTATAGTCATTTACCTAGGAAATACGGTCGGGTGACCCCAGAAAAACAGCCGAGTTATTTGCTCCAGGGGTTTTCAGCTTACCAATTAAAATAGACCACATTCTCAGTTCCAGACCCAGGGCCTGGCAGAGGCCTCTCCAAGCCCCTTGCATTTCAGTGGCAGTTGATGAACCTCTCATGGCCCAGCATGACTAATAGAGTTTTGATAGCTTTATGTATGAGGGAAACTTAAAGACATTTCTAACACATATTTCTCTCCATCCCAGGTATTAGAAGAAATGCTACTATTTTAAATAGTGGTATGATCATACTGTTTTAGTATCACTTCTTTATCATCATCATCAATGGGTATTAAACAGGGAAAAGAAACTCTTTTACATTAATGGAAACACTATATATTTATAAAATACTGTGTTTTAGAGGACAAAAGATATCACTTTCATATCTTTTTAAAGTGTCTAGTTTCTATATAAGTGTATCCTTAATATTTCTATTATACACTTAAATATTTCTCTTATACACTTAAATATTTCTATTTAAGTGTATAATATTAAAAATATCCGCCATAAGAAAAATACGCATTTACAAAAAAGGAAAATTAGAAATTATGTCCATCACAGAAATCTTCTACAGGATTCTGAATCTTAAAATTGTCTTCATATATTTAGGATAGAATTTGATGTATTTATTATTTTTAAGAGATATGAGTTATTGCATAAAGCTAAGTTAAAAGTTCAACCAAATGGAAACAGTATCCACAAATTCCTAAAATACTATTCTAATCATCTGAAACAAGAATAGGTTTTTCAAATAATAGAGTTAGTTGAATCAGTATTTGTTTGTTTTAGACACTTTATTAAGCTGAGAGCTGCTACTTTATTACTTAAACACTAAGCCTATAAGGAAATAAAAGGGGTTTAATCCAAGTAATGTGAAAATAACTAACCCTTCATCTTACTTTTTTCCCCCAAATAATTGTGGTTTCATTAATGGATTTTTTTTTTGTGAATGGGTCTAAAAAACACCTATTTTGAAACTGCAGAAAGGGCAGGACAAAACAAATCACTTCATAGATTTTTCTGGGAAATATTGCCCTACTACGCTTTTAAAAAAAATAAAAATACTGTAACACATTTCCTCATTTCTCTTACGAATACTTTCTTTTTGATATTGCAAATTCTATGCATACACAGAGCACCTCCTCAATGCCCTGCTGAAGCCCTCTAAAAATGTACAGACATGGTTTTAAAGTGATTTAATTTATACCATTTTAATTCAGCTTTGTAAAAATGTATCAAAGAGATAGCAAGGTATTCAGTTTTAGTAAACAAGATAATTGCTCCTAAAGTAGCCCCTTGAAGTCCGAGGCAGTAGGCAGCTGCAAACATCCGACTGAAAGCCCATCTGTGGCTTCACAGCTTCCAGTCGAGGATGTTTACAGTCGCTCACTGTCAACAGCAATATACCTTCTTTAGCCTTCTGTTGGGTTAACCTGAAGAAGTAATCCCAGCAAGTGTTTCCAAGATGTGCAGGCAACGATTCTGTAAAGTACTGAAGCCTCATTCAAACAGCAATATTCTAGAAAATGTCTCAAATTCAAAACAAATAAGAAGGCTCATGGATGTCTATTATTCATCACCGAGCTTCTAGTTTCTATAAAATTTTGTGATATACTAAAACAACATATATAAATGGTTTCATTCATTATTGTTAGCCACAAGAAGTAAATAGGCAAGTGGCCAGGTTACTTAATATGATTTCAACATGCATTATGTAATTACAATCCTTTAAGCAAAAGTGACCAAACACAGAAACTAAATTATCTTAACAGCGTAAAGCGTACATTTAACATCAAATACTGCAGTTGAGTGAACTTAGACTACCGTGAAAATATAAAAGGTCTACTTGGAAAGTTATAAACTCTGACAAAAAAAAAAAAGACTTACATGCTGCTTTTATAGATCACTTTTGCTCTAAAGTCTGCTCCCAGAGAGGACTTGTACAGTCAGCTGATTTTTGAAAGAGTAAGCAACAATCAGGAGAAAAACAGAAAAGAATAACGAGGTATAACACAGGCATATATCAGTATGTGGATCAAAGTTTCCCACTGGAAAAACACAGAACCTATCACTCACAACAGTGACGCACATTAACTCCAAATTTGAATGTTTTGAATTCCACTCCCATTCTCTTATGAAAATAAATGAGGAAAACTGAAGGTTAAGCTCTATCAGTCACTACTTTCCTGAAGTAATTCAAAACCATTCTGAATCTAGTGAAAGATTAAGTTGATACAGAAAAGTGGGTGTGCCTTTCCCTGAGATTTGTTTTTAGATGAAGTTACCGTAAGGTTCTTAAATTGTGTAAGTCTTAGTAGTTTGTGATCTCAAACCCGAAACAAAAATAAAATCCACACAAAAAGCATCATGTTTACTGAAACTAACAAATATGAAGAACTCCATAAATTACTTTCTCAAAGCAAAGGGTAACTCTATCCCATTAAGGTTAAAAAAGTTAATCTTTGAGTCAGCAGGTGAAAACAAGCTGAATTATGTTGTGGCCTTTTTCTTTATTAACTAAGGACTTTGAACTATTAAAACTTCCTAGGGAACCAGTTTTCTCAATGGGTCAAGTCACACAGGGGAACAAAGCAAACTTTATCAGTGCTGTGCAATTCTACATTCCAGAAATTCTTAGTACTTGGCATTCATATACCACTGCTGACTAGAGCTTGAGTCAATCCACCAAACTCAGCTATGGCTACCAACCTTGTGAACTTCTCACCAAGATACCCACTTCTTTTAAGTTAGCCACGACTAGACAGGCAGAGTACTCTTTAATTAAAATAGATAAATACCAAGGCTTACACCCTGGGGGGACATTGTATATCAGTGACTCTTTACAAAAAGAAAATATTTTTACCACCATAAATTTTTCTCAAAGTGACAGGTCCCCTACTTGCCTTGGAATCTTACCACTTTTAAATAACTGTAAATTATTAAATAACATGTAAAACAGTGACAAGTAAATACTAAGCAAACAACCTCAAATAACAAATAATTACTTAAATAATTCTATTGCCACCCTCTCACTTTGAGAATTGCTGATCCAAGTGGGACCTATACTACTCAGTAACCAAAAAAACAAGCATGTAGTTTAAGTAATAATGAGTCTCAGTTAAACTGGTAAAATTGTCTGGCATCTGACTGGAATAAATCTGCTTTAGCTTTCACATAGACTTCACCTAGCTCATATCTTGCTAAAAGAGGAGCCCACATACATACAGGCAATAAAGTGCTTTTCCATTTATGAAGTATTATAACTAAGATCTTATGGTCTTTAATTATTTTGTTTAGTGAAAATTTGATGTTTATTCATGAAGTTCTGAGCAAAACGCTGTGTTTTCAAAGTTATGTTAAGGAATTCATTGGATCAGCAATTCTCCAAGTGAGAGGGTGGCAACAGAATGACCAGGACAGCTTCTTCTAACCCCACATACCTGATTGCCTCTGCCACATCCACATTGCAATTCTTATTCAGCTGATGGGGAGGCTGCTGGGTATGTAAATTTTGCAAAAGCTATCAAACAATTTTGCTACACCTTCAGGGCAGAGAACCATTGATCTAGAAGGACTGAGCTAAATAAGTTTAAGACTAAAAAATCTTGCCATGACCTGAGAAATATGACCAGTAAATCCATTTAAAAATCGTGAATTAAAAACAAATATGGCAGAATAAGATCCAATTGTGTTCAATACATCAGACTCTGATTTGTCTTATATAACCCTAGAAATGCTTACAAAAAACAATGTACCTACTTTAAAACCATAAGGATACTCTTTAGCCCTGTTAGACAAGGTCTCTAAAGTCTTCCCACCCTAAATTGCAAATCTGGATGTCTGTACCCTGGACAGGTTTTATTATCTTCCTCACATCAGTTTTGTTTTAAGTGCTTGCAGGATTAATTCTTTCTGGTGGAGGGTTTAGAAGCAGCCCGAGATAAAGTGTAAAAATTTTTTTTAGCTACCCTGAACCATTCAATCCTCTTCCACCCTTCTCCTCTCATGTCCACATAACCTTCTCGCTCTCTATCCTTGGAGTGTTTGCAGTGAAACTCTAAGAATGAACATGTTCCATGTCAGCACTGGACCCAGTGCCCAGGCTCTACATCCTCCAATCCTCCATCTCTTTGGGGGCTTAGTGTCCAGGGTAGCTGCATTAATAGTTTTGGCATTCATCTTCTGTCTTGTTCCTTTGGTAAAACACACCTAAAGGCAAGAAATCTAGGTGGTCTTTGATATCTTTTCTAGAAAGCATACATAGAACTGATCTGAAATTGAAGTGACCTAAATGTACAAACAAAATTCTGCCCTTTAAAATTAATCTTTACCTTCTCTGATTCATTCTTTTACACATACTCCACACTCTTTTAGTCCAATTCAAGGGCTTCTAATTCATTATATTTCCTGCTAACGATGATAATGATGAACCTTCCCTTGAATTTCTTTGTAATTAATACAAATACAGACCTACCTACTCCTTGCCTCATGAAAGTGGACGAATGCTGTAAGCATTTACTGGGAGTGATTTCCCATGGATTGTGAAAATGTGAAAGATTGTTAACGAATTCAAATTCTAGGAAGAAGAGTATTATCTTGGATAGTATAGAGTTTACAGTTATAAGGAATAAAATCTCTTCTACTCTAGAAATGAGTATCGCTTAAATATCATTCTCTGATAAAATGGTAATGAAAAATAAATTGAGAATTAAGCAAAAGTGTATGTACTCAAGTTTAAAGCCTTAATTTTAATACAACCTCAACTATGTATTTGTTGTATGACAAATAATGCCTGCACATGATCTCATTTCATCCCTGCCACAGCAAGATAAGGCATCTATAATCATTACCATCACAGATAAGGACAACAGGCTTGGAGAATTGAAATCACATCCGTTACTCACTTTTCTATTCTGATTTTTTTTATTGTAAGCTTTTCTGAATCATTTGTGGAGTACTGGAGGGTGTGGGTTTCAATAAATATGAAGTAGTCAATCATAGTTCAATGAAAATTGCATTTTCTTTTAAAATTGGGCATAAAAAGTTAACAAATCAAAAAATGTTTGAGAGTAGAAACAAATATCCAGATCCTTTGGTGATAAAGCAGTTCATTCAGTTACTCATTCATTCATCATATATATTCACTTGCCAAACTCTCCTCTAAGTGAATACTGACTTACTATCTATGCCGGAGTTCCTCAGACAAGAGATCTCAAAGCCTGTCAGACAGCTTTTTTGGTTGTGGTCACCCTACTATCTTCCTCCTGCACTGGGACCCCCATCTGGCTGGAGCTCCTCCTTCCTACTTTGGCTGGCATTCTTACAAGGGAGGGGGATTCCAGAGGGTCAGGGCATCCCAGCCTCCAGGCTAATAAGGGACTTTCCACCCCACTCCCATCCTGCTCCCTCCCTTCCTTCAGGCAAGTCACTGTCAGCAGTTCCCTGGCACCTCCCTTAGACCACCTGCTGGCTCAGTTCACTCCTCCCCAGGGGCTCCTGCTCCAGGAGACTCCTCTCGGGAAGAGCAACCCTAACCAAGAAACGCCCTTCTATTGAAATAGGTCTTATATCTAAAGGGACATTAGGTAGATTTAAGATGAATTTCATTGTAATAATCACATGGCTGAATTTAGACTCCAAATGGCTGTTTTATTTTTTAAAAAAGATCAAAGCTGTAAGATTAAATTATCTGCATAATAAAAACTGAACATGATTCAGTGTAAAGAGAAATTATTACAGAGGAACATAACTCTATAATATAAACTGTATTTTAAAATATACATATTATATTTATAAATTTCACTATTTAAAAAACACCCATTTCTAATTTAGGTCAACTGTACGTAGTTGATATTTCCATCAATATTTTAAGCAAGTTAAGTGATTTTGGTGACCTTAAAGAAATACTAGAAAGTAATCTGCTACTCATTCACTATTTTAAAATTTAAAAAGCATTTCTAAAGCCAAGGTTAGTTTAGAGTCTTTTATTAATCATTTTGTGTAAAACAACAATTACCACAAAAAAGCTAGATTTCTGACATACTTAGAAACTAACTCATGCTGAAATTATATAATCCTTAGGACAAGTTTACAAAGCTATGCAATGACAAAAAACATTAGCTATCCCATCAAGTTAAAGAAACGCCAAGAACGAAACTGATATAATCATTACCATGTTAAAAATTCATGATTTTTTCTCTCTACTTTTCTGTATTTTACAAATTTTTAATGTGAATACTTTAATACAAATTGTTTTAGAAACAACTGACTCATTTCAGACGTAAGAAATAATATATATTTTATATCTCAAGAGTAATGTAGACAGTACCAAGATATTTCTTATGAACAGTTCTCTATCTAGGTAATCTTTGGAAGGAGAGAACATTGCATATACCTCTTCCCTGAAGGCTATGATTCTGTCTCGATCACTGCTGTACCTACTGGAGCACCCCATAATGTGCTTTTTATACAGTGGATGTTCAGTATATACTGGCTAATTTTTAAGCTGTTGATAAGAAGATCTTTAAAACATGCCTTACTTATAATGATCCAGCATCCTTCTTTTGAAAAATTTAAAATCTCATGCTCTTTAAAAAGTGCTTTTTTTTCCCTTTAAGAAATGATGAAATAGAGACAACAGTTAATAATTGGTACAGGTTAGAGCCCTAACATGAAGATGTGGCTCCCCCCTGCCCAATCCTGTGGTCTATGAGAACTGTCCAGAGACCAGCCAATGCTTTTGCCAAGGTAGGAAGACACATAGCATTAGACTGTTCTGATAGTGACTGGCACAGACAGGTCTCTTAGGCTCATAGACTGTTCTCTCCCTGAATGGAAACCAGGATACCGACACCTTACAGACCTCTTTTGAGAAGTGACTGAGGTATGCACAAGAAAGTACCACACACATATTAGTGATTTTTCCTTATTATGACTCTGATTATGAACATGTTAGGGCAAATCAAACAGAACAGTGTTTACTAATGGAAACAAACTACTAAAATGTTATTTGGGTTTTTAAACTAGCTACATGATCTCATTTGACCTCACTGGACATCTATTTCCTCAACTGTAGTAGGAGGGTTAATAGATTCTCTCCAAAATCCTTTCAGTTATAAAATTCTATTATTTAAATTCCTTCATTACTTGAATTTATGAGGTAGAGTGGAAACTGGAGAGAAGGATGGAAGAATTTTTTTTTAAGTTAAACATACATGAATCATGAAAACAGACTTCCCTTAACTAGTGAGTTTTCCTAATACAAAGAACCACCAATTACCCTGAATTCATTCAACATCACTTCCCACACCCACACATTTTTTAAAATAGCAAGACTACAAAATAGTTTGAGTATATTTACAGACACAGTAGTCAGTAACTGGCTTATGAAGCTTTCTATAGAAGAACTTGTCTCCAATATTGTTTGTTTGGATACAAATTGGGTTTGGCATGGGAATTGGGTTGCAAGCAGCAAAATAAAAGAGATTCATATACCTTTACCCATGGCAAACAGTGACACAGCACACCGAAAACAGGGATATGAAATTCTTTACAGCAGGGTGCAGTGGCTCGCACCTATAATCCCAGCACTTTGGGAGGCTGAGGAAAGATTGCTTGAGCCCAGAAGTGAGACCCCATCTTTACAAAAATAAAAATAAAAATATTAGCCTGGCACGGTGGCACATGCCTGTAGCCCCAGATACTCAGGAGGTTGAGGCAAGAGAATCACTTGAACCTGGAAGGTTGAGGCTGCAATGAGCCCTGTTCATGCCACTGAACTCCAGCTTGAGCGACAGAGATAACCTGACTCAAAAAAAGAAAAAAAAAAATCTTAGAGTCCAAGCTTTAAATCAGGTTATCAGACCTTTATGTCACTGCACAGGAGAATGGGCAGCTGATATGGTTTGGCTGTGTACCTACCCAAATCTCACCTTGAATTGTAATAATCAACATGTGTCAAGGGTGGGGCCAGGTGCAGATAACTGAATCACCGAGGTGGTTTCCCGCATCCTGTTCTCCTGGTAGTGAGTAAGTCTCATGAGATCTGGTGGTTTTATAAACAGGAGTTCCTCTGCACAAACTTCTTGCCTGCCACCATGTAAGACATCCCTTGCTCTTTCACCATGACGGTGAGGCCTCCCCAGCCATGTGGAACTGTCAGTCAATTAAACCTCTTTTTTTTTTTAATAAATTGCCCGGTTGCAGGTATGTCTTTATTAGCAGCATGAGAACAGACTAATATAGCAACTTAACTTGAAACAGCTCTCTGCACCTCAAAATCAAAGACACTTTCAGTAGTGTTTTACTGCAAGTTAATGTTTGATTTAAACTGTTGTGGGCTACCCGAACCTCAGTTGCTCACATAAAGATTTTCTAGATTTTCAACAAAATAACTTCAAACTTCTAAAATAAAAATCAAACAAAGAATAGTTATTAAAAGACTCATGTTATGATTGCATTCTACTGTATTCACCTAATTAATATGTACTCACAGCAGGTTTGTGCTAAATTTGAATCACTAGGGATAACTGATGATGAAAATACAGTGTGACTGGCCCTAATTTTATTCATAGAGTTAAGCGTCAAGAGTGGAGGTTTTTAAAAAAAGCTCAGGTCAACCAAACAGGGCAGCCACAGAAGCAACAGCAATGAGCCATCAACTCCTGTTTTGCTCCTCTTGTCTCTGGGGAGGAAAGAGAGTCTGAGAAAGCATGGGATAGTTTCCATTAGCATCTAGGCCCAGGTTCTCTTTCTGCCTAACTCTAGAAAACCTTGGTGTGGTGGCAATCTAGGATAAAAAAATGGGGAGAGGAGTGTAAAAAATAAAAATTTCCATGATTATAGGAAAGGATGGACAAATGGGAAAAACTGATAAATGAAAAAAAATAAGAGAAAAAAGCTCCTTTTCCTGCTTTCTATCCCCCAATTTACTGGTGATTCCTCACATGTTTGAACAGCAGTTATTGCTATGCATTGATCAAGAAAAACATCTTTAGTTTACTTTGTTTCAGATAGGGATCTAACCAAACCTGCTAAGATCATACTTTTCTATTTGACAAATGAACAACTATTTTAAAATAAATTTCTTCAAATCTAGATTTTTACCATTTAGATTAGCTCAATATTTTTGTTTTGTTTTGTTCGAGACGGAATCTCACTCTGGACCAGGCTGGAGTGCAGTGGTGCGATCTTGGCTCACTGCAACCTCTGCCTCACAGGTTCAAGCAATTCTCGTGCCCAGCCTCCTGAGTAGCTGGGACTACAGCCATGCGCCACCATACCCGGCTATTTAAACTGAGTGTTTTTCATAAAAACTAATGAATAATCTACCTTTTCTATAAATAAAAGTCATTACAGATGATTTGAGAAGCATCAAAAAAATCCTAAATTCCCAAAAGAATTCTTATTCTGACGTTAGTTTTACATTCTATGGAACAAAAAATGCCACACTTTCATTTTACCTAAATTATCTATTAAGAGAATTTACATACAAAAGCACTTTATATTAACTTAAAAAATGTAATTGATGAAACCAACTACCCTAATTTAGAGTCTCTGAAACATTAATTTTTAAAAATCACCACATTGGTTAGGATTCTAAGGTATGCAAGTCTTAGTTTTATTCTTATTCTTTTCTTTCTTTCTAATGCTAGTCTTAAAATTGCCTCTGGTATTTTCTAAATGTGCTCAGAAGTCCTAGGGCTCTGGTAGTTTTTTAACTAATAAAATAAACATAGCAATAGAGTACCTGCAGTTCTGCTAACAATATTGTTTATATTATAAGTCCAATCCACAAAGGCTACAGAGAAAAATATCCAGTATAAACAAACATTACTTAGATACCAGTGGCATCTTAAAGCAGCACACCCAAGTCTCAAAATGCAAAAGGGAAAAATTTTCCACTCCCACGATGCCAGGCACAACTCCCTGGTAAAGCACTTGTCAGGTAAAAGATAGTGACATTGCCTCTGTTACTGTGAAGTTGGAGAGGAGGTGTGGGTGTGAAGCACATCAGTAATTCTCTCTCTTCATTTTTTCATCCTCTTTTTTTCCCCTCAATTTATCTCTTCTTTTCCACAATGTCTCTCCTTTCTCCATATTTCCCACTTTGAGCTGCTCTCCCATCCCCAATTCCAACAAAAAAGACAGCTTTGTCCTTTAATTCTGTTGTTTAACATCAATCTCTAAATTTTACACAACACACATTCATAAACACTACTGGATCATATTTTCAAAAGAATATACAAAGGGCAAAGAGGGGGTTGAAATGGGCTGGGGTTAAAGCTAAGAAAAAAATTATCCACTGGTATTTGCAATGCCTAACCTTCTAGCTGAGAGAGAAGTTAAACCCTCCAAAAAAGCAGGAGTCAGCCAAGAAATGAGGAGGAGGTAAGACATAAAGGCTCATGTAGCCCTATGAGAAACACATGAGCCAGTACAGCCACCTCACCAGGCCGGAACAGGCAGCTGAAACCTGAGGAGTGCCTCCTCTAAGTTTGCCCTTTACTTCTAGAGCCCAAAGGCTTAAAATTGAGGAATGAGGACATGTTGCTCTTTAAGACTGATCCCAGCTGAGTCCCTGATCCTTTCCAAGCAGACACATCTTCCCAAACTCTTGCACATACTTCTGTTGCTCCTTAGCACTACTAAGTTTTCCACTCTGCTTACACTTATCACTCTCCCCTTACTTAAGGCGTTACCATTAAATAAAACGTCGTATCTTAGTTTTCTCAATTGTAAAATGAAGATAATTATAACTACAGAGTTAAGGGGATTAAATATTCTAATATTTATAAAGTGTTTAGGACATGAAACATGTCTCAGTGTTTGGGACATGAAAGTATTTGTTTAAACAAAATAAAAATAAAGTAAACCATCTGTGAATACATATACCCAAATTCAAACAACAATAAGTTTTTTCCAATGGCAAAACAGACTTCAAACAGAAAAGAATACTGAGTGTATTGAAGTTGCCACTCTATCATCAATTCTACAGAATTACTAAGGACTGAGAAAGATTCCCTAAGAAACCGGGTTTTATCTTAAACTTCCATATTTAGTCAACTTTGGTCCTGAAACACTAATTATTAAGGAAGAAACACATCTATTTGTTTTCTGAAACCACATTTTATAAAGTGGAAATATGAGTCTACCCTTAGCATGGAACATCCTGTGTCTGACTATTCAGCATTGCAAGTCATTTGCATTCTTTAGGTATTATTTAGATAATATTATTTAAGACATTTCACTGTATATTCTTAAAAAAGAGTTTGAGGAACTCTTTTTTAAGAGTTCAAACTTACTTTCATTTCGAGTCAGGGCTACAATAAAATGAAAAGGACGGCTATGATGAAAACAGAAAAAAAAAAGGGGACAATATTGAATGACAGACAAGAAAATAATGCCAGCTTCGTGACAATGGGGCTATCTACTATGCTTATAATGCGTGAATAAGTAAATGATATAATGGCATCAAAACTTACTATAAACAGAGATCAGAGTGTTCTTGAATATGGGCCTACCTATCTGGGAAGTATAAAATTACCTCATTAAAGTGAAAACTCTGCTTTAAACTTTAATTTCCCTATTTCAAAATTGCTTTTAAGGTAAAAATGTTCTAAAAACATGCCTGGAGTCTCAAGATAAATTACCAGAAATTAACAACTATGTGGTTTTTTATTTTTCTATTAAAATTTAGGAATAAGTTTAACTATTTTTTCCTGGTCATTGAAATATAAATTGAAAAAATTTTAAATTGAAATGTCAACTTATAAACCTGTAACACAGATAACTATATTAAAAATAACTTCTGAAAGACTGATTTCACAAATTTAAGGCCTAGAAAATTTTAAACATGTAAACACCTGTTCTCTAAGTTATAGTAATATAATGTTAAGATTTTTAAAATATATTTGACTTTTTAAAAATATTGTGTTTACAACAAAATTCTACTCATAGCAATTCAAGGAATATAATTAGAGGTTTTATGAAAATAGATAAATCCTTATTTAATAGAAAGTATTAGCATTGATATTTTTAATCTACACAAATGGAATTTAAAAATTTCCAAAAGTTTCTGTTAAAGATATACAGTTTTGAAGTGTTAAGCTTGTCTAAAAGAGTTCTAACTTCTGCAGGAAGAAAAGTGCACTTCATTTAAGCAAGAAATTTCCATTACTTCTAGATTAAGAAGCCACACCTCATACAACTACTGACAGGAAAACATTTTAATTCAAACCTCTACCACTACCCAGCCTGAAGCAAAGTTTAAAAAAAGAAAGAAAGAAAGAAAGACACAAAAATACAAGCACAACTCACATTTTCAAATAAAGGAAACTCTTGCTAAATAAGTAGCAATTATGCTGAAGAATTTATATGCTAAAGCACGAATGAATATAAAAACACCAGAGCAGTCAACCATAGCTTTAGCACTTTGAGTATGATTAACAGAATGAACTTCCAAAGGTCAATTAAATGTCGACACACTTTAAAGAGATATTCTTAAGCCTGGTCAATGTATAACAGCACCTCTTAATTCAGGGGTATCCGTCTTAGTTTAGGCATAACATGCATGGGATAAATGTACATATATATACAGAATTACAACATGTCTCCAACCAGATTACTACAGAAACTCATGTATCACCTACCCTAGAGTTTTGACTATGTTAGTATTTTCCAAGTTATGAAATGATTAAAAGAAAACATAAATATATTACTATGTAACACTATCCAATGAAGATGAAATGCTTGGGACTAAGGTTTATCAAGAAGTTGATCCTATTTATTCAACAATATGAAATCATTCCCAAGGATAATGCTATATTGTCCACAATATGTATTATCCAGATAACTAAGTCACCCCCCATAACCTTCCCTGAATTCTTGTGGTTAAAGAGTTTGGAGAAAAGGAATATGACATTTAAAAATTGCCAAGTTTAGCATCAGAAATTTCTGGGATAGTATAGAACAAGTCCTGAAGGCACTAAGTGCCCATTACTGACATTTCCATCCAAGAACTCAGTAAGATCTTCAATCCCATCCCACGTGAACTAGGCCAAGTTGTCCAAGAACCTCAGAATAAGCAAAGACCACCAAGATTATCTGACCCAATTGTCTCCACTTAACAGATCAGCAAATATAGATCCAGAGAGGTAAAGTAACCTGGTTTGGCTCACACAGCTCCTTAGCAGCTGTCTTAAAACTCAGTCCAGTGCTTTCTTCTCTACATGAAGTCCATCATGTACTTTTTTTTCCCATTAGGACTTTAAGACCAGGACATAATTGTCCAAATAACGGGGGCTACCATCAGAATTCAGAGAAAGCTGGGATTTTTAAGAAGCTAATGATCTGGGAAGGCTCCAAGGAGAAGCTGGAAATTGAAGAATGAGTAGAATCTGGGTGGTCTGAGAGGAGGCATCACTAATGAGGGAAGCAATATGGGCTCAAGCATAGTGTTGAGCCTGCCATATTCCTGAACTACAGAGACAATGTTTAGAGGAAAATGGGGTTTTAAGGCCACCTTATAAGCCAGGCAAAAAAGGTTCAATATGATGAGAGAACAAATAGAAAGTTATTAGGGGACTTTTATTTTAGAAACCTGATGTGATGAACGCAGAGACTAGTCTAGCAAAAGGTGTGCAAGAATGGAAGTGGGAAGAGAGAAAGACTTGAGGTGCTTCATAGGGGTCTGTTTAATAATATTAATATCTTATAGGGTTTTTGTGAGGAACAAGTGAGCTGATAGGAGAGAAAGTATTTGTCAAGAATAAATGCCCCAGAAAGTAAAATTATATTAAAATTCTGGGGGTAGGGGCCTCTCTGACCGTATCTCCATTGTTTTGGTGACACACACTTCTCTATAAAAGCAAATCTGGAGAGGAACTGTGGATCTATTCCTATAAGATCAAAGAAATCTCTTCCCTTCAATATTTGCAAAAGCTAGATCCCAAGGGAGAGAGACAGCTGCCATCCTTAAGCCCCTGCAAGGCTATAGATCAGTAATGCTAAAATCCAAAACTAGGATTCTGTCTTTGAGGCAGACCACATAATCAGTGTGTCTCAAAGTGAGTCAAGAAAGTATATAATTAAGTGCTAAATAAGGTAGTACAAGTAAGGAGGAGAGTAGAAGAGACAGCACCTGAGCCAAGGAGGTACATGATCAAAGTTATTACCTGGCACTGCAGCACTGCAGTCCACATCCTTCTCCTATCCCTTTCCCTCTGCTCAACAACTACTACTTCCATTGTGTCCAGAGGTACTTATCCCCTCCTGTGTTGTGTTGTCTTCCTCTCTTTTCCTTCTTCTACAGCAACTCTCCAGGACTAAAAAGGAAATTTGAAAAAGTTATTATAATAAATTAAAAGCTACATATATTAAATATATACCGTGTGATTTATTAGCTGATGTTTTAATTTATAATCTTACATAATTTACAAAACAACTCCTATGAGGCAGTACTATTATCCTCATTTTTCAAGTAAGGAAACAAACTTAGAGTCAAGGATGTAGGTTGAAGCCACCCAAGCAGTAAATGGCAAAACTAGGATTGCAATCAGGACTGGTTGACTCCTCAACCTATGCTTTGAACCTCTCTTCTAAACAATCACTGCCCCCCGACCTTTTTTTAACTGATAAGCTTGAAAATTCTCACATGTTGGGCATTTATAGATAGAGATTATAGGAGCCATTATATGAGTTTGTAGATTAAAGTTTTGACAACCAAGAACAGAGGTGCCTGGGCTTAGCCACACTTGCTTGCCAAATTATCTGCTTTAGGACTAAAGTTTTTGAAATCTGAGGCTTGAAGGATGTTGAAGGGACAGCCCTCCATCCACCATTCTTGTCTGTTCTCTCTCAGGTCATCCGTCCCTTAGGGTCCATTTCCAATCATTTGCTTGAAACGGTATATCCCTAGTTGAACAGAACGCTGGGACTGCCACTCCCACAAATCACCAACAGGTTAAGGAGGATGGTGGGAGTATCCCACTAGTAGGAGGGGTCTGTGAACTGTGGTCTCTTGAGCCTTGTGTCCCAAAGCAGCCTTAACTCTGCTTGTAGGTGGTATATTCTATGTTGATTTACCTGCAGAGGTGGTTTCATGAAGGGTTCCCTGGCCACATGGCCCAACTAAGAGATGATGCCAACATGTCTGGTGCTGTAGGGGAAATGATCAGAGCAGTGAGCATCTGGGGAGATTTTAATGTTCCTGGAAGAAAGCAACATGAGCATTACAACTGTGGCAAGAAAACTCTAACACTAATTCTTAAAATTTAGTGTAATTAACTCTCACTTCTGAAGGAGTTCATTAACCCATTTATGCCAGAGGTTGCACATTTTTTTGCGAAAAATCAGACCTTGGCAATGACCTCGAGCCGTAGGATATAAATAACTCCCACAAGCTCAGCATTCCAATAATGGAACACTAGGCATAAATGGGTTTTATGAACAGAAATTCTAGGTTCTGTTCACAGACATTCTGATTATGTAAATGTGGGATGTGCCCAGGATTTTGAAGTTTTGTAAGCACTACAGGTGATTCTGACACAGGTGATCTAAGGACTACACTCTGAGATAAACTGCTGTGATCTCTTACAAGATAGCCCAGCCAGCAAATCTGCACAGAGGAGAACCCATATTCTACAAAAATAGCCTGTTCAAATATCAATGCTAAGTTCTAGGTTGAGTGGTTACTTTGAAATAAGGCCACTAGGCTTTCCAGAAGTTGCCAGGTTTACAAATGGTGAAGTGGTGGGGGGGCGTTAGTATTTTCCTGATGTCACCAAATAGACCCTCAGAGGAATAAGGGCATCTCTCACTGCAGTCCACATTCCACATTATACCTCTTCTACACAAAGTGATTGTCTAGAGTGAAGACCTTCTTGGCAAGATGCTACTTCCAGTGCTTAATTTACATTTGGTGATACACTGACAATAATTTTTCCTCACTGTGGATTTTGATTTCAAAAGGTATACTTTCCTTCATGTAACTAAATTGGTTTATTTCAAGCTATTTTAAAAATGAATTTAAAAACAGCATTCAAGTGAGATATTATGGTTACGATTAGGCCATTTAATTAGACATCCAATCACAATGCAAACAGCTACTGATTATTTAAGAAATATACCTTTACAAACGTTCGTGTTCTTCAAACAAAACTAGGTCATAAAATGTACTACGTTAAATCAATACTGCTATCTTTCTCCTAGAAACCCTATCACTTGTCTTTGTCTCTTTTCAAATGCGTATACCTGTTTTAAAGCATAAACATTTAGGCTAGATACTGGAACTAAGCTCTGTTTTTCTGCCAGTTCTTTCTTTGATACTTTCATTCTCTCCACTAAAGCATGATCATCATTCTCTTTAAGGATGAACAAGATGGACTTTTAATTATTGTCATCTGAGTATTTTATTCAGCAAATATTGGTTGAGTATCTATACTTATGCACTTACTTTTGTAAAACACTTTTGTTGCTATAAGCTCCATGAAGAGAAAATGCCCAGTGGAGTACCTGAAATCTAGAATTCACTCTCATGAAATGGTGAGAAAACTGAAAGACTTTGTCATTTACAGAACAAAATAATTTCTCCTGTATACACTACTGACAAAGTACACATGCATTATTTAAGAGAATTTTGGTTATGAAAAATGTGTGATTTTACTGTTTAGAGAAAAAAATGCAGGTTATCATGATAACCAAAAGTTTACACACCATTGTCTTGCAATACAATCTGTGACGACAATATTTCAATACCATTGCCGGACTAAACCTTTAACATTAATTATTTATCAAAATTATACATGCCACTAACACATCTCAACAAAGAAGATTATGTAAGTGAGCTGCCTTGGCGTCAGTAATACTGAACACAGTAGCTATTTTCAATCCTTCATTAAAATTAGATCAAGATGTACTTGCATTATGTGTTGCTGTTCCTGTAAGGAAGACTTACATTAGTTTTAAGATTTACTTTGGGTATAAGTGACATTTTCCTCTCTTTTTTGACATTTCTTTTTCTTCTTTGTCCCCTCCTCCACTGCCCGCACCCCCCCAACCAAAAAAAGTTTTCAGTATAATACAGAAAACAAAAACACAAACACCTGCCCTGTTCACTCTCTCTTATGCATAATAAATGCTTTGTTCTCCCCCTCAACTGGATCCGGCAGGGATCGCCCGGGGGCACCTGCCACTTCACCCTCAGACTTGGCTCTCTGTCCCCACCCTGGCCCCTAGGATTCCAAATGGTGCAGCAAAATACGACAATCCTAAGGTTCGTAAAATAAGCAATGGATAGTGAAGGAAAGCCTTTAAATGTTAGTGTTTTAAAACATCAGACTTAAAAGTTACTTCTGAGTAGGCTGAAAGGTGAATCCAGGCGCATGTAAACATATCCTGGCCTATCGCTTGATAACTCGCGCACCGTGTTGAGGCCCTAGGAAAATCTCAAAAACGGAGATGTAGTCTAAAAACTGGACGACAGCATAGACCACGTTGCTGTGGCCCCACATATTACCCACGAGAAAAATCTAAGTGGTAAAGTCACTGGTCCAAGGTCAAGCTGAGCCAGTCGCAGGCAGGGCTAGTCCGCGACCTTCTAACCTTTCCATCTCCCACCCAGCCGCGCACAGGCCCTTGGTCGCGCCGGCACCCGAAGAGTTCCCACGGATACGGTTCCCAAGTCAGTGGCATGTCAGTGCCCTTCAAGCTACCGCAATTTTATTTGTTCTCCCCGCCAGCTCCATAAAGTATTAAAGGCTCTCTCCACGACTTCTTCCCAAGCCCAGGTGCCCTAAACCACTTGAGCCCACGGCGCCTAAAGCCGACTCACCCGCAGCCCGAGGTGCGGGAGCCCTCGGACGGACTCCGGCCCGCCCCGCAGTCCCCACCGGCCGCGCTGCGGCCCCGGCTGACGACGAGTCGAGAAAGTCACCCGCGATGACCGCGGACGCGAGGGGCGGGCCGCGTCGCGCCGCCCCGCGGAGGCGCCGCAAACTTTTCCCGGTTCGCAAGTTGCCGGGATCTGCGGCCGCGGACCGACTTCCTTCGCCGGCCACCGGAGGGAGGGGGCGCCCCTACCCCGGGAGGGGGCTGGGCGAGCCGGGAGACGGTCAAGTTGGGGTCGGGGGAGCGCGGGCGCTCCGCACTCTGGGGCACGCGGGGACGAGCCCGGCCGCATTGTCTGCGCGGCCTCGGAACAAGCACGGCCGGCGGTGGCACCGGCGGGCGCGGGGAGGAGTTGCCGTCCCCTTTCGCCGCCGCCGCCCACCGCGTTCTTTGTGTGTCTCTCGCCGCCCTCCAGCCGCTTCGCCGCTCGCCTGACAGCTGATGGGCTCACCGCGCCGGGTCCCGCGTCCTCTCGGCCGCAGCCGGCGGAGCCCGGCCCGGCAGGAGGAGGAGGGGAGAAGAGGAGCGTTGACAGATGCTGTCTTGGAGCGGGCACCGCCGGGGGAAAAGTCTGGACTGCCTCGGCGAGAAGCGGCCGGTAGGCAACCGGCCCCAGCCTCGCATTCGCCTCAAAGACCCCAATTGGCTAGGAGCCCTTCCCTCCGCAGCGGCTCGCGCAGCTCCGCTCTTGCGCCCCGCGCCCGGCTCAGCGGACGGACTAGCGCGCCCGGTCAAGAATCCTGGGGAACCCGCTCCGCCCCCTGGCTCCAGCGCCCTCCAATGATGTCGGCGTACAGAGGGCTGTTCCGCCCAATCAGGTGTCGGAAAGCCCAGCCAGTCCCCGGGAGTGTAGCCAATAGAAGGCGACTCCGGCAACACACCCGCCCTGATCCACTAGGAACAAACCGCTCCGAGCCCGGGTGGTGGGACCGATCCTGGAGCCCAGATCAAGCCAAGTCCGGCCAAAGCTGTGTCGCAAAGTAAGAATCTGAAGACAGGTCCGGTGCTTAAATGACTATTATTCTAAAGAGTTGAAGATGGGAACGGTGGACGCACAAAATCTTTACCCTCGGCTTAAAACGCCTTTTCTGGCAAAAGTTTGTGTATGAAAGAAAGCTGAACAAACACGTTGTAGCACTGTTTAAGTGAAGGCCTTTCCTTTTAGAACACTGCTTTACAATGCCTAATCAGCCGGCGCTCAGGTTGGTGCATTCAGAGACCCGAGCGTTTGTGTTCCTAATAAGTTTGCTAGAATGTCAGGTAACTGAAGCAGGTTAGTTTCTATCCTGCCCCAAAACACAGACTGTCACTGGCACCACCATGTTGTGGTTTTTTCCATGAATGAAAATATAAGAGTTCTGTATGTAAATCATCTTTATTGTGAACTTTATTTCTATAATAAAGTCACACAAACTATCTTTAGTGGAAGTTGGATGAAATACCGGAAAAGAAGAATGTAGAGATAGATGATAGATATGTAGGATATCTCTATCCATCTGCCACCCATCTATCTATCAAGAAAGGACTTGAGTAAAGCACTGGCTATAAACGACTGTACCTTTTGATCACAGGACCTTACAAATAATAGGCACACTAGTTATTTGTTTATTTGATTTGAATAGGATGACTCATTTGTTACTGTTCATATGAAGTTTATAAACTTCATTGAGTTGTTTACTGAAAGTGGACTACACCATGACGAAAACAGTATTTGGCAACACATATTTGCATCTTTTAAAATAAAATTACACTTATTTGTACTTCAAATAGTTACGTCAGTTTATTTCTTCGGGTAATAAACTGTGCATTTAAAAATTTTTGTACACATGTGGCATGTTCCTTCTTTATAAATTATTTTGATGACCAAATACATTTTTTAAAGGGTGATCTGTACAATGAACGGAAAGAAGAGAGAGATCTCAAACAAGAAAAATATGGCTATATTACCTCCTTGCTTTCGTGATTGAAACTCACCATGACTTACCACATTAAGTTCGGGGGATAACATGACCCCTGAAATAAAGTTTTATCAACAGATCCAGGTTCTGGATTGACCTTGAGCCAATCTCTTAATGACTAACTCTGTTACAAGAGAACAATACGCCTGGCTCTACCTGCCTCCTTGGGGTGCTGTAAGATCCCTCCAAGATAGTGTTTGTCAAGCACTTTGCTTTCTGTAAAATACTGTGCCAAGTGCAGAACAGTCTTAAATGTGTTATTATTCTCTGTTTATTATCAGAACATTAATATTTCCTCGACTGCACATTTTTTCAACTGAAGTATATTTTTGAGCCCATCAGTTTTCTCTCAAAATAGATCTGAATGAAACTCCTGCCTGTTCATTCTAGATCAAAGCAGTACTTTCAGGGTTTCTTTCTCTTTTTTAATGAAGAGGATGTTAGAAGAGAAGAATACTGAGGAAAGAATTCTGGATGGAAAACGTTCGAGAAATTTTATTCACTCTTAGTGTATTCCTCTTAGTATATTCCTCAAAAACAAGATGTATCATAATGTCCAGTTTAATACTCTGTTCATAATGTTTAAAAACTTAAGCAAGTTTCAATGTATATGCTTAAAATAAGTTAACGTATCCCATGTCTGCTAATATAGTTTTAGATGGAAGTTGTAAATGGCTGGGTCAAAGTTATACCCATAAATCAATTACTGAATTTTAAATTTTGGGGGCATTTATTGAAGATTCACTTATCACTTTTGTACTTGTCAAAGAGGAAAATAAATGTGTATTTTTAGATTCCATGTGTCATAATATGTTTACTTTTTCCCAGAATATGGAGTCTAGTACAGAAGTTTAATTACTACTTCAAACAAATGTACATATGGTAACACTAGAATGTAAAATTTGCTGAATTTAGTTGAACCAGCAGTTGTAATTTTCAGTTAATTAACTGTATGTATTTCATTTTCTGAGTGAAAATTGTGGAAGAATTTATCAATATGAATATGCATGATTTACTAAGTATAGTTAAGTCAAAACCAGTGTGTGGTAATTTCCTGATAATCGACAAGTCCATACCCATTTATTACATGGAAATGAATATTTCAGTGATTGTCTGGGTAATATTTGTGATTTCACTGTGGTGATGTTTCATTCACTAACTGATATTTTCAGTTTTTCATCAGCGATTTTCTCATCAGTTGTCCAAAATGGAACAAAAGAGCTGAAGCTATTTTAGAGAGCTGTCAGTTTTAGCACATTTTTAAATGTTTATGAGAGAAATTGACTTTGGGGTCGGTTTTAGGATTTATAAAGATGGTTTTAAAAAAATACATAGACATAGACATTGGTAAAGGTAATTAAAAAAATACATATACATCTTTTATAAGTTGCCTCACATGATCTGTGGTAATATGACTATAATATTATTTTCTCTGTATCTTTACATTTAATTTGCTATCATCTTAAGATTGCTTCATCAGTGAATATAACGAATAACTGGATTTATATCTTCTTGATTCTGATAGTTGAAATGCTTCGGAATGTCTTGTCTTGGACAAATCAGAGTTCCACGTGACTTCTCAACAAATAACCGAGTCTAATTCATTAATCTGAAAATGATGTTCTTAGGAATAATTAAATAATATCTATATAGAGAGAAGAGAAAAACGATTAGCTCTGTTTTTCTTTCTATTTCTTACATGGATGAGAGAAAAATGCCTTTGTGAATCACAACATCAGATCCCTTTAACTCTCCTTTTACAAAACTTATGTTTTGTTGATTTCTTGAACCCAACCATGTAGTTTCCTTATTGTGTGATGTATCTATGGCAGGAAACTTTTATATGCATATGGAGTAACAGAGAGAAAATTTCAGAAAACATTGGTGAGAGGCACATTAGACTCCCTTCTCCATTTTATCTTGGGTCACAGTCCCTCAGGAAAATTTCTTTTAGAGTTAAGTGTTAGGAAAAATTTTATTTTTTCTGAAATGAGATTTTTGCAGCTTCTCCTTCTTATTTCAACAACCAGGAAGCTTGGAACTAAATTTACAGCTTAATTTAGCAAGGTACGGCCTGCTTCACTGTAACTTTTTTCTTTTTTTAAATTTTAAATTTTTGTAAGTACATAGTAAGTGTATGTATTTGTGAGGTACGTGAGATATTTTGATGCAGGCATATATGTGTAATAATTCCATCAGAGTAAATGGAGTATCTACCACCTCAAGCATTAATCCTTTCTTTTGTGTTACAATCCAATTATACTCTTTAAGTTCTTTTAAAATGTACAATAAATTTTTGTTAACTTTAGTCACTCTGTTGTGCTATCAAATACTAGATTCACTCTAATTTTTAATAAACATAAGCTTTACCTTGCCATGGTTTATTACTATTCATATATGCATTATTAGCTTATATATTTGTATGTATGCATTTTATTGAAGCTCTGTAAAATACTTTCTGAAATGAGATGAAATATATATAACTAACATTCTGAGCCTCACATAAACTCTTGAGTATGAAGAGTTAAACACAACCAGAACGTGTAGAGAGAGCAATATGAAGGATACTGCTGATATTTCCTTCACAGAGAAATAGGATTCTAATTCACCAGGTATAATATCTCTAAACCTTTTCCAGAGAAGCAAGAAGAAAAATAGATGTACTTGACTGGGAAATTTTATTACATTTATTTATTTTTTTCTTTTATTTCCTTTTTGTTGTTGTTGTTGTTGTTGTTGTTGTTTGAGTCAGGTTCTCATTGTGTTGCCCAGGCTATAGAGCAGTGGCATGATCATAGCTCACGGCAACCTCAAACTCCTGGGCTCAAGCGATTCTCCTGCCTCAGTCTCCCTAGTAGCTGGGACTACAGATGCACTCCACCATGTCCTGCTTATTTTAATTTAATTTGTAGAGATGGGAGCCTTGCTATGTTGTCCAGGGTGGTCTCGAACTCCTGGCCTCAAATAATCCTCCCACCTTGGTCTCCCAATGAGCTGGGACTACAGGTGTGGGCCACCGTGCTTGGCCCAACATTTACTTTTCAAAGTTAAAGTTATTTTTAAAAGTCATCTCCTGAGTGACATATTGTCTTAGCACTGTTGCAGAACTTCATCTTATCCAACTTTTTTGTTTCATAAGATATATTTGAATTAACTAGAAGTTGTAGGTTAAAAATATCCTTTTAAAATAGAATGGTTTACACAAAGTAGATGGTAGCATCCCTCTTCCAAGCCAGAAGGTCAGCATGTAGGAGACCCTCAGTGGAGTTAGGAGGGTTTCAGTCATAAGGGATAGAAAACTCAACTCAACTTGACTTAAATATAAAAACAAATACACATTAGTGCATATAATTAAAACTATACAACCTTGATCAAGTAAAAGTAAAGGTACAGCTAGCTGACAAAGGTGGGAGAGGAAAGAAGGGGGCCAAAGAAGAAAGCTGGGTAGGGGCATCACGCCACATAGAGGGGTGCCAAATAACTGTATTGGACAAAACATGGTTTTATCCAACTTTATTAGATAACATTTATTGGACAAGAAACAGAAATTTAAGTGGCTACTTCTACATTACAACCAACAAAACTGAAAATGATAATGTAAGTATCAAAATTGGAGAAGTGTTGAAAGAAGGACTAATGTAAGACCTCATTTTACATAGGTCATTTTATATAGCTGAGGGTCAGGTAGATAAGTAAATAATAAATAACAAATATAGAAATATACTAGTTATTTCATTATTTAAAGTTCATGTTTTGTTCAAACAAAAAGTTTACGGTTTAGTTTTCTACAGGCAGAAACTAAAAGCAGAAATGGTTAAAAGGGTTTTCCTTTGGAGGAGGGGTTGTTGTAATTACATGTGAGGAGGGTTGTGGTCTTATTTGATTTTTTTTTAACCAACTGTGAAGACGGTTTTGATGAAAATTGTCAATATTACAGAAAAAAGTCTTAGCAGGAATGTATTTAAAAATAAATGTAGGGTATCCATATATATTGGGAAACCACAGTTGTATTTAGTGTAGAATAAAATGGAATTTAGGACCCAAGTAAGAATGTATATGATGGTTTTAAAAAAGCAAACATAATGGATATATAGTGAAATTATTTTGTGCTCTTCACAAGCAATTCATAATACAGTAGATTATCTTATTTCTGTGCTCGAGAACAACTGTGCCTCCTCTGGATCCCAGAGATTATAGGGCAGATTGGGCATGGGACAGTGCTTGTTAAATGCCTGTTTGTTTTTTGATGAAGTGATTGTATCATTTGAAACTGTTTGACTCAGCACACAGGAAAACTCAATAGAAAATGTGTGCAATTGTGAGCTTCATAGTTTGAGAAATGAATGAAAATTATGGAGAAGATTCCATGGAAAGTTACAAAAGTAATTAGAAATCTGGAACACAGCCGGCTTGGAAGAATGAACATTTTTGAGCTTTGGGGGCTCCAAATTTTCAGATATAATTCATTGTTAATTTTCTGTGCAAGTGAAGGAGAATAGTGAGCCCACTGTGAAATGCTCCACGGGGGTCTATTAGAATGTTTCATCTTGGATAAGAGGGAAATCAACCCACAGGACTGGCATACTACATTGTGAGAATTCATAGACAATGAAGAATATCATTACCAGAAGCCATGGAGGAAGAAAAGGTGTGTGGGTGTGAGGGGGTGTGTGTGTGTGTCTGTGTGTAGGAGACCAGGCTGAATAAATGTTTCGATCACTGACAGTTGATAATAAACAAAATGAATCTAAAAGGCAAGTCCAGAATAAGTAAAGAAGCATGACAGAACTGAAAATCTACTGTCAGAGTGTAATGCTTAGTCCTAATTTGGAGATGATATCGTGGAAACTACCTGAACTCAAACCAAACCGTCCTCATGTAGATGGCATCTTCCCAAGGTTGTCTGAAAATAAACACAGCAATAATAAACATGTATTTTTCATCCATGTTTTTTCACTAGGAGAGCACCTTCGCATATGTAACATCGTTAGATCCTCATAACTTTTCCTCAAGATGATGAGGAGGCATCTCAGTATAGTATTTCAGTTCAAAGACACATTTGAATTCTGCTACATCAGTGGGACTCAACCAAGCCATTAATTCCCCTGGGTCTTTAAATAAGGATAACAATTATAGGTGTTGAATCTCTCTCTCTCTCTCTGCATGTTCTGAGGATGGAAACAGCTCATTTGTGTGAATATGCTTTGCAGACCCTTATGTGGGTCGCCAATGTTCTTATTAGCATGGGTTCTATTCCCATTTTATAGATAATGAAAAGGAGATTCAGAGATCAAGAGATAAATAACCCAGTTAGATACGGTGAGTCCATGGCCCCAGATCCCCAGGTCTAATTACTCCCAATGCTCATTCCACTACTTTGATCTGAACTTTAAAGTGTGATCAGTAAATACAAAATTAGAATTGTCTGGTGGTTTCCTCAATTTCTTTTTTGGATTGAAGAGTTAGACTAGTTGATTACCAGGGTCCTTTCAGCTGTAAATCTTACAATAGTCAAGAACTTGCTTTCCCAACTTGCTCTGGGGTCTCTATTCCCCTCCAGGGGAGGAAGATAATCAAACAATGGTTAAAGAGTTCTGTTTAGAAAACAGAGAGAAATTTTCCTGGCTCCTGAGGGAAGAGATGAGGTAGAGAACCAAGAAGATGATGTGAGGCTGGCAACTATAAAGAATGAAATAATTCATAAAGATTCCCTGAATGTGAGGATAGAAGAGACATAGAGAGAGGATTTCCAAGGTGCAAGTGCAAATTTCCAATAAAGTCTTCTAAACACGTAAATGGTCTTGTCTGTGGTTTTTGTAGTGGGGAGGTGTGGATGCTTATTTCTTTGTTTGGGTTTGTTTCAATGGAATCAAGTAGAGTAAACGAAAATAAAAGGTGAATATGAAAACATAAGCCTCTCCCTTACTTCCCCTGGAAAAAAGAAAAAAAATTCCTTCTCAGAAAAATTATCAGGTCTTTGGACCTGTATCTAGATGACATAGCATAGAATAAAAACAAGGAGCAAAAAAAAAAAAAAAAACTTAATTATATTTAAGCCTGTGAGAGAAACAGAAAGACAAATTCAATATGTTGAGATTACTGCTGAAAAGTAGAATGACGTATAAAGAAGCCAACATCGTGTGCTCACTGCTGTAAAAGCTAGTTGTTTGATAAAGTTAAGTATATCTGTCATTGTAAATTTTGCCCTTAATGTATCATCCCACAAACATTATGTTTAATTCATATAGGGCAGTGCGATAAATTGTGATTTGTTAAGGATATATCCTATATATTTATATAAGTAGAATAAAATCTTGAAAGATCAAGACCTAGGTGTTAATCTATGCACTTTTCTGTATTTTTTAATTGTTTCCAATAAATTCGTTATAATTAATATCCTGTTAAAATCCCTTTAAAAGGTATATAATTAATAAATCCTCACTTCTCCATTGCTACCTTAGGTATTATATAGTATATAAATAAAAAAGAAATGGCTTATATTATCTATTTTATATTGAAAATCTCTCTATTTGGACTTTTGAATGAAAAGTTTGAATATTCATTGTGATAAAATAATTTAAATTATTTTCATGACAAAGTGAGAACAAGGAATTAATGTAAAAAGACAAAATGAAATTTTAGTGTAACACCTCTAACATCTAATAGTTTTTTGGTCAACTGTTTATTTTTCTTTGAAGGATATGTAAAATCTTATCCTTAAAATATTGAAGGACTAGTAAATAATATAATAACAAGTAGTCCCAACTTTTGAAAGACAGGAATTTTCACTTTTCTTTCTTTTTTTTTTTTTCTGAGACGGAGTCTTGCTCAGCTGTGCAGGCTGTAGTGCAGTGGCGTGATCTCGGCTCACTGCAACCACCATCTCCTGGGTTCAAGTGATTCTCTGGTCTCAGCTTCTCAAGTAGCTGGGATTACAGGCACCTGCCATCGTGCCCAGCTAATTTTTATATTTTTCATAGAGATGGGGTTTCACCGTCTTGGCCAGGCTGATCTTGAACTGCTGACCTCAGATGATCCGCCCACCTCGGCCTCCCAAAGTGCTGGGATTACAGGCATGAGCGACTGCACCTGGCCGAATTTTCACTTTTGAGGACTTTAGAGTAAGTAAAGAAGATAAGTGATATACATATGGCACTCGCTGAGTGGTGTAATTTAGAACAAAGTTCTCAACCAGGAAGATTTTGCCCCCAGGGAACACTCGCTAATGTCTGGAGGACATTTATGGTTGTGACCTTCCCCTGAGGGAAGGAGGGTGCTACTGGCATCTGGTGGGTAGAGACCAGAGATGCTGCTGTACATCCTACAATGCACTGGACAGCCCTCCAGTGCAAAGAATTATCCACTCTAAAATATTAATAGGACACAGGTGGAGAAACCTTGCTTTAGATGCTTATTGCTTTTATGGAGAAATGAAATAGTACCAGCAACTTCAAAACTTAAAAAAAAAAAAAAGAAAACAACCCTTATTTATATGCTTTCTTTTAAGCAATGGAAAATGGAAATTTTATTTCCCTCTCCTGAAAGTAGAACTATTTCTAGCATATGCTTTGTAAATAAGATAATATTTAAAAATTAAAAGTGGTTCACAGTGTTTGAGAAAACAAAAATGGAACAGTAAGACTCGGAAAATAAATGTGCTTCTTCAAGTTAGCTAAGACTGGCTTTTTTTTTTTTAAGAAAAAATTCCTCAAAAGAATATTTTAGCTAGTTATTTGAAACTGTTGGGAATGTGAATCCAATGATCTGTCAAGAACATATATTAATAGTGGCTGCTATTCTCCCAAGAAATAAATGAAAACACAAAATGTACTTATTACAATGTTTTATGTGCCCTTCAGAATCTCGAGCTATTAGAAAGGCAGTTCTGGGAAATGATGCAAATACACAGGGTGATGTCCTTCTCCCCATCATCCCAGTGTGAAACTTGTGGTCTCTTAGGAAGATTCCGGGGTAGGAAAACAACAGAAAGGTAGGCAGCAGTTTGTATTGTGTTAACCCCATAACCCTGAAGCATTTTTTCAGGGCATTTTAAAATATGCTTTGTGTTGGTTAGTGCATGAATTTCAATGAAGGTCATTGCATCTTTTTCTTTTTTCCTCCCTAGAAAGGGCATTAACATGATTGCTTGTAAATAAGAATGAAGACTACTAACTAATGTACACCCATTTGTCTCATATTACTCCTTTATTACTCTTTCCCTCAAAAAACAGAGTAAGTTTTCATGAGGGATGAAAAGGCATTACATGGTTGTATTTCGTTTTAGTTTTTAATTAAACGTGCTTAAAGAGCCACAGAATTGTCTTTGGCAGGTTAGATGAAGACATGCTGGGGACTAAGTTATTTTTTGCTGTCAGAGGCTTTCTTTTTAGTATATGGTAGATTTGATTCTGTGAGGTTAATCAGAAAGGCATAAATCTCCTTCTGTAAATACTCATATGTTTTAGTTGGTACAGGGAACAGGAGGGAAAGAGGATTACAGGTTACTTTGTAAATGTTCTATACTTCTTTATATTTGTATAGTTATTTTGCTAATAATAATTTCCTTCTAGTCATAAAAGTGATATCTGTTCACTACTTAAAACATGGAAAATTCAGGAAAATATTTTTAAAAATCTCCAGACACCACCACTGACAACACAGGTCAACTTCCTTCTAATCCTTCTATAAAACAGGGCTCACTATATGCTTGATTCTACCTTCTGGCTCTACCATATTGTGATCATTTACACATTCCATCAAACTTCTTCCAAATCAAGGTTTTAATTTTTGTTTGTTTTTTGAGACGGAGTCTTGCTCTGTCGCCCAGGCTGGAGTGCAGTGGTGCGATCTCGGCTCACTGCAACCTGTGCCTCCCAAGTTGAAGCGATTCTCCCGCCTCAGCCTCCTGAGTAGCTGGGATTACAGGTGCCCACCACCGCACCCAGCTTTTTTTTTTTTAATAATGGCTGCAGTATGTGTTTTAAATGGCTGCACCAAACTCAGTTCTATAAGTGATTCTGTTTTTTTTCTCCTCTATAACACCTAGAGACATATGATGTTCACAAGCCAATGAGTTCTGATGCACACATTGATAATAAAGGCTATGGTTTATGCAAATTTTCCTCCTTGGGGATTTGCCATTGCTCTGTCCCTTTCCTTCATACTCATAAAATGCATTATAATATGAGTAAGAGTAACATTACAGAGATAACCTTGACTCTACCCTAATTTATTAAATAATGTTCAAAGTTTGGTACCTTTACTATGAGTAGTAACAAATTTCTTGTGACACACCTCACAATTGACTTTGGTATTATGTGACATCTCAGATGACTAACACTAAATTCAACTAAATGCAGTTGTCATGAAGCAATAAATGTCCCTGCTATCAAATATTCTGTAACTGTTTCCTTTTGATAACTGTCTAAAAGTAGAGCTACTGAATTGAAAGACATTAATTCTTAATATAGATTGCTAAACTTGCTTTCTAGAAAAGTCGTTCTGATTTCTAACCTCACATTCAACAATACTGGGTGTTGGAATTAAGTTTCGCTGATTTGGTAAGTAAAAAATATAGTCTTTAAAACAAGAGTATTTGAAATCGAGTAATTTAATCTTTCTCCTCTTGTTTAGTTTTCTTTTCTTCCTTACCTTTCCCTCTTTCCTCCCTTCCTATGTTTCTCCCTCCTTCTCTCCTTCCATCCCTCCCTTCCTCTCTTTTTTCTTCTATGACATATCTATTCATATTCTTTGCCAACTTTTCTATTTAGGTTTTAAGATTTACATGAGCTCTTTATATATTAGCTATATTAAACTTTTTGTCATAAATCTGTGTCAATTATTTTCCTCAGTGGTGTGCTTTTAAAACAATATTTACTTTTTCCTCATGACAGAGATTTCATTTCAGTTTTCCATACTCTTTCTTGTTGTAGGGAAAATTCAAGTTGTATTCTCCATAGTAAAATGTATGCTATTTCGGGGGACATTTATTTTAATGCCTTTATAATTAGAAAGCACTTTCCCATCCTGAGACCTGATAAGTATCCACCTTTTTTTTCCAGGAGTGTGTGTGTGTGTGTGTGTGTGTGTGCTTTCAGGTTTTTTTCTTTTTTTCTTGTGTGTGTGTGCTTGCTTCATACATGGTCTTACTCTGCAGCCCAGGCTGGAGTGCAGTGGCATGATCATGGCTCACTGCAGCCTTGATCTCTCCTGGGTTCAAGGGATCCTCCCACCTCAGCCTCTGGAGTAGCTAGGACTACAGGCACATGCCACCAAACCTGGCTAATGTTCTGTATTTTTTGTAGAGATAGGTTCCCACTATGTAGCCCAGGATGGTCTGGAACTCCGGGCTCAAGCCATCCTCCCACCTTGGCCTCTCAACGTGCTGGGATTATAGACATGAGACACTGTGCCCGGCCTCAGTTTGTAACATTAAAATATTTCATCATTCTACAGTTTGTTTTGTTTTTATAGCATAAAGGGAGGAATTATTTATTTCAATTTGTTAAATAATTATCTCACACCACCAATGATTGTCTTTTATGGCTTTACTCATTTGTGATGCCAACTTTATCTCATATAGAATCTTTTATTGTCATTCTTTTTTTTTTAAATTAGAAAAAATTTTTTAAAAACTTTTTTTTTAGTGACAGGTTCTCACTCTGTCACCCAAGCTGAAGTGAAGCAGCACAATCACAGTTCAGTGCAGCCTCCATCTCCCCGGGCTCAGGGGTCCTACTGTGTCAGCCCTCTGAGTAGCTGGGACTATGGGAGTGTGCCACCCTTCCTGGCATTGTTTTGTTTTTTAATCTACTAGAATTGGCTTGTGGTCTATCCATTCTCTACCATCGTTATATCTATTTTCCCATTCCACTGGGACAGGCTTCCCCTATTTAGCTTTCAATCTTTTTTTTCTCTCTCTCTCATTTATTCCTCTGATAAACTTTAGAATTGCTTTGAAAATATACTCTCTATCACAGTCACATTCTAAGAATTTATATTGGGATTTTCATGGATTACATTAATCTTATTTTCTTCCCATTTAGCCACAGATTTTTTTTTCGTGAAAGTATTTTTATTCCTTTTACAAGCTCTTACAGTTTTCATTGTATTGGTCACACACAATTCCTTTAAAGATTATACTTGTAATTGTGTATCGTGATATTGTGCTTATTGTTGTGAGTGGGATATCTTCATCATATTTTGACTGTCTATTATTATTAGCAATAGGATTGATTTTGTATTTTTTTCACCCTGGATCACTTAACTGAACTATGCTATTAAATCCAAAACTTTCTTCAATGATTTCCTCATATCTATTTCCCTAGGTTTTGCTTTTGTTTTTGTTTTAACTAGAAAATTATTTACTATCCAATTACCATGTTTGAGGGATACTTGGTATAGCTATGGACCCTGTCCAGCAGGGAGATTTGACTGAGAAAATCCTATTCCATTCTACTAAGAATTGTCTATAGATGTTATTATGAAGGGAAAAGGTTTGTACTTAGGCCTATTCCCTCAATAAGTACACTAGACCACACATGTGTTTCCATTTTTTTGTTTGTTTTGGCTACCACTTCTAGAATGATGGAAATGATGGTAGTAATAGTAGATATTCTTGACTTGTTTATGATACTTTTAGAGTAGCATTGTTAAGCCATATGATGTTAACTGTATGTTAATGATAAACACATATTCTTTATGATGTACATGAAATAACATTTTATTCTGAGCTTATTCAGCAAGTTTTAAAATCCAAGAGTTTATTAAATTTTATCAAATTATTTTGCAGATCAATTGAGATGTTTATATATTTACTTTGCAACCTACTGGTGTGATATATTCATTAGGGTTTATATGCATGAATTCTTTAGAGCAATCCTTAAATATTTAGGCTAAATTATTATTTTAATATGCCTGAGTTAAATATGTAAATCTTTTATTCATACTTTTGCATCTGTACTAATTATTTTTAGGTTTTACTGTGAGGGTGATCCTAGCTTTGTGAAGTGAGTTGGAATGTTTCCTATTGTTTTTCTATGTACAAGAAGAGTGTACCTCGTAGTGATGGATTTGTTTCTTGAAAACTGAAAAGCGCTTATTGATTTAAAAAAAACCTCTGCTCTGCAGCTGTCTTGAATTTAGTTATTGAAAACTTTTTCAGTTTCAATTCTTCAGTATATAGTTGTCTATTTAGGTTTGGTAGACAACTTTCTACCCCATTATCTTTGAATCTTTATTACTAAGATTTTCAAATTTGTTAAACTGATGAATTTGTGCTAATACTTTTTAAGTAACATTTTAAAATAATCTTTAAATGTGTTATTAAATCCTTTTAAGACTGTAAATTCTTATTTCTAATTTTATTTGTTTACTTTTTTCTCTTGATTAAATCTGCTAGGACTTTTGTACTACGGTTTGTTCGTGTCCTTTTTGTTGTTGTTGTTGTTTTTGTTTTTGGGACAGAGTCTCACTCTGTGCCCAGGCTGGAGTGCTAATATTTTGTATTTTTAGTAGAGACAAGGTTTCATCATGTTGGTCTCAAACTCCCGGCCTCAAGTGATCTGCCCACCTCAGCCTCCCAAAGTGTCAGGATTACGGTGTGAACCACAGCACCTGGCCTGTTCTTGTTCTTTAGGAATTTAGTACTGTAGTTTATTCGTCAACTTTACTATTTTTCTATTTTCTCATGCATTGATTTATATATTTATTTTTGATATTTTCTTCCTCTTGTTTAGATTCTTTCATTGTTCTGTCTTAACTTCTTGAATTGCAGTTGAGTTGAATTTTTTTAAAATTCTCTTTTAGTTAGAACAAAAACCATTTTAGGCCACATACAGTATTTGCCTTTGAACATATTCCATAAGGTTTGATAAATAATGGTCCTATTTTCATTATTTTAAAACAAGTTTGTAATTTTACCTTGGGTTTTTCTCTCCCATATAGCTATTTAGGAAGGCATTTGGTAACTTCCAACGTGTTGGGATTTTTGATTGCTTAAACTTTAAAAAATATATAGTTTGATTGCATTATGGTCTGAGAATACAGCTCCCTACAATTTCTGATTTGGAAACTTTTGAACATTTTCTTTGTGGCAGTAGTTGTTAAGTTGTTATAAAAAGTTATTATATTCATCTTGAAAATAAGATACATGTATTTTTTAGTTCTTGGAATAGATGTCAGTATATCTGTAGATTCATCTTTACAAATTATAAATTTTAACCAAATATCTGTTTATCCAGCGCCAAGAGAGATGTGTCACTGTCACCCATAAGAAGGTACTTTCCTTTCACATTTCTAACATTTCTAACATCCTTGATTTATGTATGTTGATATTATACTAATCAGCTTATAAAGTTGAATAACTATTATATTTTCCTTGTGAAGCATATTTGTATTAATATATAATGACCCTCTTGGTTATCATTAATATCTTTTGCCTTTGTGTCTTTTCTGAAATTAGTATTTCCTGTTTTCTTTTGTGAATGTCTGACGTATATTTGCTCATTCTTTTATTTTTAACTTGTGCATATCATTTTGTCTTAGAGTGGCTTTCTAACTATCATGTAGTTCAATGTTTTTAACCTGGATTTGAAGTATTTTTAATTATTCACAATTGTTACTATAACTAATATATTTACTCATATTTCTTTTCTCTGGGCTTGTGATTTTTCTCATGCTTTCTTAGTTATATTGCATATGGCTTATAAGCTTTTATACTTTCTAGTATTTAGTTGTATTAAAGATTACCTTTGGGTTTTTCAAAATTGTGCTTTAATTTATATTTTCTAATGATTAGGATTATAAAAGAAAAGAGATTTTGTCTCCTTTCAGACAAAATGAGGAAGTTAGCTGTTTCCTTCTCTGCTTTGTCTTTCTTCACTTATGTGTTTCTCTTAATCTACAATTTTAGACCCAGATAATGTCATTAAATTATTTTTTACTTTCCATGTCTCCCTTCTGTTTCATAACCATATTAGCAATAGTTATTGAGATTTACCTTTCTGTTTACTGGTTTTGATTACTTCCTCTGCTTGAAGTCTTCATTAGGATTCATTGCTTGCTTCACAGTACAACTTTAATATTGTCAAAAACCATACTTGGCTAGTTTGTTTTCCAAGCTCTTGGAAACCCAGGGATATAACTCTCTTTCCTTCATACCTGAGGGTCAAATTCTCTGAGAACACAATTCTTCAGACTTTTACCCTCACAATTTTTTCCCTAAGACATGTTGCTGTGTTGTTTTCTATAATTTTGTTTGTGGAGAATAAAGTCTTATAAATAGCATGTGTTTCAATTTTATCAGAAATTATTAATTTTTTCTTTCTTGGATGCTTAAAATAAGTTTTTTAAATAATTAACTTCAAGAGAAGAAGGAGGATCATGGCAGATGGGAGGCAGGACTAGATTGCAGCTCCCACTCGGACGGACAGAGCAGCATGTGGAGTCTCTCATCGTGAACTCTTGCTGCAGAACGACTGTAGGAATAAATCAAGAAAGCCGAAGAGAACTCACAGACCCTCAGAAGGAAGCAGATTGCTCCTGAAGATCCCAGAAGACACCTCAAATACTGTGCTGGTATCCGTTGCTGAGAGACTCACAAGCGGTTCACATCACAGGACTCTGTGCAGAAAACCCCTGGTACCAGCCCAGAGCCAGGTAAACTTGCTGGGTGGCTAGATCCAGAAGAGAGGTAACAATCACTACAGCTCAGCTCTCAGGAAACCACATCCATAGGAAAAGGGGGAGAGTACTACATCAAGGGAACACCCCGTGGGACAAAAGAATCTGAATAACAGCCTTGAGCCCTAGACCTTCCCTCTGACACAGCCTACCCAAATGAGAAGGAACCAGAAACCAACTCTGGTAGTATAACACAACAAGGTTCCTGAACACCCCTGCAAAATCACACTAGCTCACCAGCAATGGATCCAAGCCAAGAAGAAATCCCTGATTTACCTGTAAAAGAATTCAGGAAGTCAGTTATTAAGCTAATCAAGGAGACACCAGAGAACGGCAAAGCCCAATTTAAGGAAATTTTTAAAATGACATAGGATAAGGAGAGAAATTTTCAATGAAATAGATAGCATAAATCAAAAATCAAAAACAATCAAAACTTTGGGAAACAATGGACGCACTTAGAGAAATGCAAAATGCTCTGGAAAGTCTCTGCAGCAGAATCGAACAAGCAGAAGAAAGAACTTCAGAGCTCGAAGACAAGGTTTTCAAAATAACCCAATCCAACAAAGACAAAGAAAAAAAGAATAAGAAAATATGAACAAAACCTCCAAGAAGTCTGGGATTATGTCAAATGACCAAACCTAAGAATAATCAGCATTCCTGAGGAAGAAGAGAAATTTAAAAGTTTGGAAAATATTTTTGGGGGAATAATGGAGGAAAACTTCCCTGGGCTTGCTAGAGACCTAGACATCCAAATACAAGAAGCTCAAACAACACCTGGGAAATTCATCTCAAAAAGATAATCACCTAGGCACATTGTCATCATGTTCTCTCAAGTTAAGATGAAGGAAAGAATCTTAAGAGCTGTGAGGCAAAAGCACCAAGTAACCTATAAAGGAAAGCCTATCAGATTAACAGCAGATTTCTCAGCAGAAACCTTACAAGCTAGAAGGGATTGGGGCCCTTTCTTTAGCCTCCTTAAACAAAACAACTATTAGCCAAGAATTTTGTATCCAGTGAAACTAAGCTTCATAAATGAAGGAAAGATATAGTCTTTTTCAGGCAAACAAATGCTGAGAGAATTCACCACTACCAAGCCAGGACTACAAGAACTGCTAAAAGGAGCCCTAAATCTTGAAACAAATCCTGGAAACACATCAAAACAGAACCTCTTTAAAGCATAACTCTTGCAGGACCTATGAAAAAATACAATAAAAAATAAAAACAAAAAACCAAGGCATACAGGCAAGAAATAACACAATGAATGGAATGGTACCTGACATCTCAATACTAACGTTGAATGTAAATGGCCTATAGGCTCCACTTAAAAAATAGGGAATTGCAAAATGGATAATAATTCACCAACCATCTATCTGCTGTCTTCAAGAGACTCACCTAACACATAAGGACTCACATAAACTTAAGGTAAAGGGGTGAAAAAAGACATTCCATGCAAATGGACACAAAAGCAAGCAGGAGTAGCTATTCTTATATCAGATGAAACAAACTTTAAAGCAACAGCAGTTAAAAAGACAAAGAGGGACATTATATAATGATAAAGGGCCTTGTCTAACAGGAAAATATAAAAATCCTAAATATACTATGCACCTAATACTGGAGCTCCCAAACTTATAAAACAATTACTAAGAAATGAGATAGGCAGCAACACAATAATACTGGGGGACTTCAATACTTCACTAACAGCATTCGACAGGTCACCAAGACAGAAAATCAACAAAGAAATAATGGATTTAAATTATACCCTGGAACAAATGGACTTAATGGATATTTACAGAACATTCTATCCAAAAACCACAGAATATACATTCTATTCATCAGCACATAGAACTTTCTCCAAGAGAGATCATATGATAGGACACAAATAAGCCGCAAAAATTTTAAGAAAATTGAAATTATATCAAGTACATTCTCAGACCACAGTGGAATAAAACTGGAAATCAACTCCAAAAGGAATCTTCAAAACTATGCAAATATATGGAAATTAAATAACCTGCTTCTGAATGATCATTGGGTCAACAATGAAATCAAGTTAAAAATTAAAAAATTCTTCAAACTGAATGACCATAGTGACACAACCTATCAAAACCTCTGGGATACAGCAAAGACAGTGCTAAGAGGAAAGTTCATAGCCCTAAATGCCTACACAGGAAAGTCTGAAAGAGCACAGACAGACAATCTAAGGTCATACCTCAAGGAACTAGGGAAACAAGAACAAACCAAATCCAAATCCAGCAGAAGAAAGGAAATAACCAAGATCAGAGCAGAACTAAATGAAATTGAAATGAAAAAATAATATAAAAGATAAGTGAAACAAAAAGCTGGTTCTTGGAAAAGATAAATAAAATTGATAGACCATTAGCAAGGTTAACCAAGAAAAGAAGACAGAAAATCCAAATAAGCCCAACTAGAAACAAAACAGGAGATACTGCAACTGACACTTCAGAAATACAAAAGATCATTCAAGGTTACTATAAACACCTTTATGTGCATAAACTAGAAAACCAAGAGGAGATGGATAAATTCCTGGAATGATACAACCCTCCTAGCTTAAATCAGGAAGAATTAGATATCCTGAACAGACCAATAACAAGTAGTGAGGTTGAAATGGTAATAAAAAAAATTACCCACAAAAAAAAGTCCAGGACCAGATGAATTCACAGAAGAATTCTACCAGACATTCAAAGAAGAATTGGTACCAATCCTATTGACACTATTCCACAAGATAGAGAAAGAGGGAATCCTCCTTAATTCATTCTATGAAGCCAGTATCACCCTAATGCAAAAACCACGAAGGGACATAATCAAAAAAAGAAAACTACAGGCCAATATCCCTGATGAACCTAGGTGCAAAAATCCTTAACAAAAAATACTAGCTAACTGAATCCAACAACATATCAAAAAGATAATCCATCATGATCAAGTAGGTTTCACACCAGGGATGCAGGGATGGTTTAACATACACATGTCAATAAATGTGATACACCACATAAACAGAATTAAAAACAAAAATCATATGATCATCTCAACAGACTCAGAAAAAGCATTTGACAAAATCCAGCATCGCTTTATGATTAAAACTCTCAGCAAAATCAGCATACAAGGGACATACATCAATGTAATAAAAGCCATCTGTGACAAACTCACAGCCAACATTATACTGAATGGGGAAAAGTTGAAAGCATTCCCTCTGAGAACTGAAATGAGACAAGGATGTCCACGCTTATCACTTCTTTTCAACATAGTACTAGAAGTTCTAGCCAAAGCAATTAGACAAGAGAAAGAAATAAAGGACATCCAAATTGCTAAAGAGGAAGTCAGACTGTCACTGTTTGCTGATGATATGATTGTTTACCTTGAAAACCCTAAAGACTCCTTCAGAAAGCTCCTAGAACTGATAAAAGAATTCAGCAAAGTTTCTGGATACAAGATTAAGGTACACAAATGAATAGCTCTCCTATACACCAACAGCAACCAAGCAGAGAATCAAATCAAGAACTCAACCCCTTTTACAATAGCTGCAAAAAAATATATAATACTTACGAATATACCTAACCAAGGAGGTGAAAGACCTCTACAAGGAAAACTATAAAACACTGCTGAAAGAAAACATAAATGACACAAATGGAAATGCATCCCATGCTCATGAATGGATAGAATCAATATTGTGAAAATGACCATACTGCTGTGTCCGGAGTTGGTTCCTTCCAGTGGATTTGTGGTCTCGCTGATGTCAAGAATGAAGCTGCAGACCTTCGCAGTGAGTGTTACAGCTCTTAAAGCTGGCACAGACCCAAAGGGTGAGCAGCAGCAAGATTTATTGCAGAGAGTGAAAGAACAAAGCTTTCACAGGTGGAAGGGGACCTGAGCAGGGTGCTGCTGTTGGCTGGGTTGGCCAGCTTTGATTCCCTTATTTGTCCCTGCCCATGTCCTGCTGATTGGTCCATTTTACAGAGTGTTGATTGGTCCATTTTACAGAGTGCTGATTGGTCCATTTTACAGAGTGCTGATTGGTCCGTTTTACAAACCTCTAGCTAGCCACAGAGTGCTGATTGGTGCATTTTACAATCCTCTTGTAAGACAGAAAAGTTCTCCAAGTCCCCACTCAGCCCAGGGAGTCCAGCTGGCTTCACCTCTCACTGCCAAAAGCAATCTACACATTTCATGGAATTCCCATCAAAATATCACCATCATTCTTCACAGAACTAGAAAAAACAATTTTAAAATTCATATGGAACCAAAAAAGAGCCTGCATAGCTGAAGAAAGACTAAACAAAAAGAACAAATCTGGAGGCATCACACTACCTGATTTCAAACTACACTATAAGGCCATAGTCACCCAAACTGCATGGTACTGGTATAAAAATAGGCACATAGACCATTGGAACAGAACAGAGAATCCAGAAATAAACTCAAATACTTACAGCCAGCTGATCTTTGACAAAGCAAACAAAAACATGAAGTGGGGAAAGGACACCCTATTCAACAAATGGTGCTGGGATAATTGGTAAGCCACATGTAGGAGAATGAAACTGGATCCTCATCTCTCACCTTATATAAAAATCAATTCAAGATGGATTAAGGATTTAAATCTAGGACCTGAAAGTCTACAATTTCTAGAAGATAACATCAGAAAAACCCTTCTAGACATTGGCTTAGGCAAGCATTTCATGACCAACAATCCAAAAGCAAATGCAACAAAAACAAAAATAAATAGCTGGGACTGAATTAAACTAAAGAGCTTTTGCACAGCAAAAGGAACAGTCAGCAGAGTAAACAGACAACCCACAGAGTGGGAGAAAATCTTCACAATCTATATATCTGATAAAGGATTAATATCCAGAATCTACAACAAACTCAAACAAATCACCAAGAAAAAAACAATATCATCAAAAAGTGGGCTAAGGACATGAATAGACAATTCTCAAAAGAAGATATTCAAATGGCCAAGAAACATATGAAAAAATGCTCAACATCACTAATGATCAGGGAAATGCAAATCAAAACCACAATGCAATAATAGCACCTTACTCCTGCAAGAATGGCCATAATAAAAAAATCAAAAAATAATAGATGTTGGCGTGGATGCGGTGAACAGGGAGTACTTCTACACTGCTGATAGGAATGTAAACTAGTACAACCATTATGTAAAACAGTGAGGAAATTCCTTAAAGAACTAAAAGTAGAACTACCCCATTTAATCCAGCAATCCCATTACTGTGTATCTACCCAGAGGAAAAGAAGTGATTATACAGAGAAGGTACTTGCACATTCATGTTTATAGCAGCACAATTCACGATTGCAAAACTGTGGAACCAACCCAAATGCCCATCAATCCGTGAGTGAATAAACTGTGGTTATAAATATATGATGGAATACTAACTCATCCATAAAAAGGAATGAATTAATGGCATTCACAGCAACCTGATTGAGATTGGAGAGTATATTATATATATATATTTTTTTATTATTTATTATTTATTTTTTTTTTTGAGATGGAGTCTTGCTCTGTCACCCAGGCTGGAGTGAAGTGGTGCAATCTCAGCTCACTACAACCTCCACCTCCCTGGTTCAAGCAATTCTCCTGCCTCAGCCTCCCGAGCAGCTGGGATTACAGCTGTATGCCAACAGGCCTGCCTAATTTTTTTTGTATTTTTAGCAGAGATGGGGTTTCACCATGTTGGCCAGGCTGGTCTCAAACTCCTGACCTCAGGCAATCCACTTGCCTTGGCCTCCCAAAGTGCTGGGATTATAGGTGTGCACCACCGTGACCGGTCTGGTGAGTGTTATTCCAAGTGAAGTAACTCAGGAATGGAAAACCAAACACTATATGTTCTCACTCATAAGTGGGAGCTAAGCTATAAGGATGCAAAAGTATAAGAAGGACACAATGGAGTTTGGAGACTCAGGGGGAAAGTGTGGGAAGGGAGTGAGGGATAAAAGACTACACATTGGGTACAGTGTATACTGCTAGTGTGATGGGCCCGCCACAATTTCACAAGTCACCACTCAAGAACTTACGTAATGAAATACCACCTATTCCCCCAATAACCTATGGAAATAAAAAATTTTAAAAAATTAACTTTATTTTTTAACAGAACATAACTCAAGGTAGTTGTATTTTATTTCTTTCCCATTGATTTCTGCCCTTAATATAATGAACATTTTTTATCTTACTTCTCGGGTCCTTTAATGGTGTTATTTATGTACACTTTCTTTTTCCATCTGGGACATTTTTCATCATCGCATCTATTCAAATTGCTTATGTTTCTTTTTCTTGAGATTATCTGTAACTCTTAGGTTGAGCTTTGGTTCTTCATCTTCCGTGACTACCATCTTCTTTCTGAGGATATTTCCATCTTTTTCATTTTACTCTGCTTTCTGGGGAAACTACTCAGGCATGTCCTTAAAATTCCCGATTTGATTTTCCACAGTGCAAATTCTGGGACATATTGCTTTTCTTATGAATTTAATTCAACTATTGAATATTTTAACTGTTCAAAAATGCGCTCATTTATCTACTACTTTATTGATGAACACTGGGGTTGTTATGAGACTTTTTGCTATTACAAATTGCTATAAACACACATGTATAACTCCTGGTGCACTTAAACAAGAGTATCTCTAGGGGTTCTTGTCTGAGTGGAATTTCTGAGTTTTACAAGTACATTTTTAATGTACTAGTACGTCTTTTTTTAAATCACTCATGTCTCTTTTACTCTTACCTCACTTTCATTTCTTTTATTCTCTTTATAAATTTCTGCCCCTATTTCATAGAGAAAATACTTTCTTGCATGCTATAAACGATGATGAACATCATCTGAAGTAGTTAAAGCAACTTTAACAGGTGTGTTTTTAATATAGGAGTTGAGAATTGTGTTCCTTTTCCCTTTTCTTTCAGTTGTACTATTTTCAGTTCATTGTGGGTTTTGATTCTTCTGTTTCTATTCACATTCATATAACCATATTTTTAATGCAAATGTTATATGTCAGTACATCTCAGCACCATGATTTTTCCACTGGGAGTACTGATAGGCTAATATGCCAGCTCTTAGCCCAATTAACGCCGTATGTTCTAATTGACAGTTCTACTGCTTATGATGAAGTTTTCTTCCTAATCCTCAAATCCTGACTTTCTGTCCAGCTGGGAAGTTGTAGTACATGAAAAAGTAAAATTCCTAGCATTTTCCTCTTTCTGCCCAATTGTTCGATATTCCTGGAGGTTTCTCTCAAATCCTGGCACAGGTTTGGCTGACAGTCTTAGTTTCCTTTCCTTGTATTTTCATCTTTTTCTTTAACTTTAAACAAATTTAGGTGAGAAGTTGGGAAAAGCTTCACAGACACTGCTATTTGGGTTTTTCCTTAAAACCAGACCCTTCGTATATTTTAAAAGGATCCTTTCAAGCCAGAGAGACTTGCTTGTTGCCCTGATATCGTTAATTCTGGAGGGCACTTTGGAATTTTGTATCCATATTACTCAATTATACAATCAATGAGGAAAATGAATAATTCAAAGATTTGATCATCACTCACATACTGGTGTTTTTTTTTTTTTTTTTTCCAGCTTGGTGCTTCCTGCTGACCTACTTCCTTACAAAATAACACAACAATCAGCTGGTCATGCAGATCTTATTGAAACTAAGAAAGAGTGCCATCTGTCGTTGTGTATGATATGTTCTTCAGTATCAATCTTAGATTGCGTTGTGGTACTCAAAGCATTTCGCAGTTTCATTTTATTTTAATATTTTTTAATATCTTAGCTTCACTGTAAAGAAAACTTAAACCATTTCGATCTTAAAGATGATCAACATGAGACAAAAAGCAATGGCATTGTGTTATAATCAAACAGAAAGCCACTCCAAAAATCAACACTGTAATCCAAGTCCCATGATTTCTAGGCTGATGCTTTTCCCTTTTTCTTAGCACCTGAGCACTATTCCCTTTTATAACCAGTATTTATAACCATTTGTGAAGTGCATCTCTGACCAGTGCAGCTCCCTCTGAGATGTCTGCTCTCTCTGCAAAGCATACCTTTGCAAGTGTTCCTTGAGGAGTAGTCAGGGGAAAGAGTTACATGTTCAGCCAAGGGTGACACTCTCATATTTATTGTTTTAAGAATAATCAATATTATTGATTACATATTTTTATTTGATAAGTGAGCAAGTATTTTAATGATCTTTTAGATATCTTTTTTATGATTAGAGAAGTATTACTTGTTTTCATGCAGTGTAGGCTAGCTTGTCCAGAAAAATAGAAAGAGAGTTTAATGGAGACCTGTCATCTTCGAGAAAAAATATGCAAAAATATTTGACTCTCTATTACATTTCTAAAAGTTTTAGTTTTTTTTGAGTAATTTATACTTGGGAGAGATACATGTATCTTTAGTATCTTTAGTAGTTTGTGGCACGTAGATAGACTTTATTAACAAAAGGTATTTATTCCTTCCTATTGAGAAATAGAGATCTAGACAAATATGGGGATAACTTTAGCAAACTTATCCTTGGTAGAAGAAACAGTTCTCAGTTCATATGAGATAAATTAGCGGACACTTTCTCAAAAGAATGAATACAATAATACTAAGAGAAACAACAAACAACTAACTTTTTTTTTTTTTTTTTTTTTTGAGACGGAGTCTTGCTCTGTCACCCAGGCTGGAGTGCAGTGGTGTGATCTGGGCTGACTGCTACCTCCGCCTCTTGGGTTCATGCAATTCTCCTGCCTCAGCCTCCTGAGTAGTTGGGATTACAGGCATGCGCCACCATGCCCAGCTAATTTTTGTATCTTTAGTAAAGATGGGGGTTTCACCATGTTGGCCAAGATGGTCTCGATCTCTTTACCTCGTGATCCGCCCGCCTTAGCCTCCCAAAGTGCTGGGATTACAGACGTGAGCCCCTGCGCCTGGCCACAACTCACATTTTTTGTGTGCTTGCTACATGTCAGGTTTTTTTCTACATAAATTGTAACTTATTTAATCCTCAGTACCCCAAATGAGGTAGCGAAAATTATCTTCATTTTACAGATGAGAAAAATGATGATAAGAAACCTTCCCAAGATCTCACAGCAAGTGTCTTGTGGAGCCAGAAATCACACACAGGCAGTCTAACATCAGGGCCTACACAATACCCATCATGCCATCCTCCCTGCAAACAGTGAGCCAAGAGATTTTTCAATCCTGTTTTGTAAACAAGCTGTTAACTTTAGCCAACTTATCCTTGGTAGATGAAACAGTGCTTATTTCATATGAGAGAAATTAACAGACACTTTCTCAAAAGAAAAAAAAATACAATGAAAAGGAATAGTGCTAAAGAGGACATGCTAATGAAGATTAACCGAAAGGATGTGTCTCTTTGACACATCTTTCCACATTCTTCCATTTGTTTGACTCCATTGGGATTTGCCCAGTCCCCAGTGTAACTTTTGCTTCTTTGGCTTACTCAGCAGCCTTCAAAATGGGAAACATGAAAAGAAGCACAAGTGTCCGGGCAGCCAGCTGGCAGAGGGAAATTCCAGTCATATTGTGCATCCCCTTGTGAACTTTTTGTTTCAGTTGTTCTTTGGCACACACAAGTCAAAATCTCAGCTGGCTATCTGCTTCTTGGGGGATGACAACTACACAATATTTGAAATGTCTAAACACAGCTAACCAGATCTGGTCTTTATCTGATCAAGCTCTAGTGTTTGAAAAAATTATATGCCAACGTGTGGGTCATAGGTTGTTGAGAACTAGTTACAAGAGAATAGGAAAGAACAATCTCTTTATTCTGTGGCTTTGGGTTGCCAGTAGATTAAAGGCTGAGAAACAAGCCCCAAACATAGCTCTATTGTATCATAACCATACTCAGAACTGCTCTGTGGCTCTGCAGGGCCTAGAGCATAAAGCCGAGGCATGTCACTTGGCATTTGAGTGTTCGTGGTCTGCTGATAGGCTCCATCTAGTATCATCCCTTGCACATGCTGGGCTGGTATTCAGAGGCTACTAACTGCTGCAGCTCTGCTGTTGGCTGCACACACATGCAGTCTCATTCAATGCTTATGCTTTGATAGATGTTAAAAGTTTTTAATCTCACTCCTTCTTCGCATATGCTTCATATACCATACTTTTTAAGTGAAATCTTACTCATTTCTTCACTTAGACATTATGCCTTTTAAGATCATTTGTTCTTGTTCATTCCATTTTACATCTATCACAATGCTTAGTGCTTTCTGAGCCATAGTAAGTACTAAACAAATTTGCGATATGAATGAAAGCATCATAAATGCTTCTTTCTTTCTTTCTCTGTCTCCCTCCCTCTTTCTTTCTTTCTTTCTTTCTTTCTTTCTTTCTTTCTTTCTTTCTTTCTTTCTTTCTTTCTTCTTTCTTTCTTTCTTTTTTTGTTCAGACAGAATCTTGCTATGTTGTCCAGGCTGGTCGACTCCTAGGATCAAGCTTCCCCCTCAGCTTCCTGTGTAGCTGAGACTACAGGTACACAACACCACACTGGCTCTGCTTCTTATCTTTCCCTAAGAAGGGAAAACAACTGTGGGTATCTGTCTGGGGAGAAGGGGCAGGGAGGGCAAGGATGGGAATGTTAGCTTGAGAAGGAAGCATGTGTATGTCCTCCCCCAGTCCTACTGGCACAGAAATTTTCCAAACCTGTGGAAGTGCAAGGGAAGCCATGAAATCGTTCTGTTCCTTCGTGGGTAGGAAGAAGAGAGATCCTCCTCCAAAACTCAGATAGTTTATGTGGAAGGGGAAAAAATAAGGCCAGCGTACAGGATCCAAGGAAAGAAAAATATGGGGATCTCACCATTGAGAAACATGCAGGAGTTTCACAGTCCAGGAGGATAACATGGGCACTAGAGCTCTAACTCCCATGACAAGCAAACACCTTGTCTGCCCAAGGGTGGTGAAATGAAGATAGCTGGTATTTATTAAATATTTACTAGTACCATCTGAAAATAATATTAAAAGTCAACCTCAGGCTTTAATGCCAGGCTGCTTGGATTCAAATTCTGGTTCTGCTACTCACCGGGTGTGCTATCAACCTCATGAGATAGTCAAGAGGATTATAAAATAAATACAAATTTATAGAATGTTGAGAAGACAGGCTAGTATGTAGCAAATAACATATAGGCATGTATTAAATTGAAAATGTGAAGACATTATTTCCCAAGAAACCCTGTTTTATGTAGTAGTTTTGTGTAGTTCATCATAATTTTATAGCAGCTTCAAAACTGATGGTAATAAAAGCTGACCATCTGTATACCCTATGACTCAGCAACTCCTCTTTTAGGTATATACCCAACAGAAATGTGTATGTACAAACACCAAATGCAGGTACTAGAATATTCACAGCAGTACTCACATAATAGCCCCAAACTGGGAACTACTCAAATGCCCCTAACAATAAAATGAGAGAACAAATTGTTGTATATTCACACCACAGCATACCCTACAGCAATGAAAACAAAAGATCTACTTCTACTTGTGACAATATGGATGAATCTCACAAACATGTGGAGTGTAAAAAAAAAGCTAGACACACAAAATAATATATACTGTATGATTCCATTTACGTAAAGTACAAAAATAAGCAAAACTAATCTCTGCTGTTAGGAATCAGGATAATTATTATCCTTGTGTGCAGGGAGGCTATTGGGGTGCTGGTAACCTTTTGCTTTTTGATCTGAGTGTTGGTTACACAGGAGCACTCATTTTATGAAAATTCATTGAGCTATGATATGTTTATGTGTACTTTGGGTATGAATGTTCCACTTCAATTAAAATTTTTACAAAGTGATGTGACAATGAAAGCAAAATAGAACCTATTATAATCAAGATTTAGTAAATAATCATAGATCAATATATCAGTGAGGAAGGTGATCAGAAAGATAATCAATAAATCTTTGGGGCGTGAAGATGGAGACCTGTTAAAGCTGAGAACCAACCAAAGAAGGATTTGCACTGAACAGCTTAGCAATGAATGTTCTTCCAGAGAGGCTATTTGAGAGGTGCTCCCACATTGAGCTGCCTCACAAGAGCAAGACATCAACTGAGAAGGCATCCCTAGGGACCAAAAAGTTATCCCTGATCAACAGAGAGGACATTCCCTTGAGACCTGCTAGATGTGACAGAACATCAGTTTGAATAGATCATTAAAACTGTCCAACAGGCCAGGCACAGTGGCTCACGCCTGTAATCCCAACACGTTGGGAGGCCAAGGCGGGTGGATCACCTGAGGTCAGGAGTTTGAGACCAGCCTGGCCAACATGGTGAAACTCTGTCTCTACTAAAAATACAAAAATTATCTGAACATGGTGGTGCACGCCTGGAGTCCCAGATACTCAGGAGGCTGAGGCAGGAGAATTGCTTGAACCTAGGAGGCACAGGTTGCAGTGAGCTGAGATCACGCCACTGCACTCCAGCCTGGGCAACAAGAGCAAAACTTGGTCTCAAAAAAATAAAAATAATAAAAAATAAATAAAACTGTCCAACAAAGAAAGTGTATTAGGCCATTCTTACATTGATATAAAGAAATACCTGAGACTGGGTAATTTATAAGAAAAGAGGTTTAATTGGCTCACAGTTCTGCCAGCTATACAGGAAGCATGACACCAGCATCTGCTTTTGGGGAGGCCTCAGGAAACTTACAATTACAGTGGAAGACAAAGCAGGAGCTTACACAACACATGGTGAAAGCAGGAGTTTGGGTGGGGAGGTGCCAGACACTTTTAAATGACCGGATCACATGTGAACTCAGAGTGAGAGCTCAGTTATCACCAAGGGGATGGCCCGAGCACTCATGACAGGTCCGCCCCCAAGATCCAAATATCTCCCACAGGGTTCACTTCCAACACTGGGGATTACATTTCAACATGAGATTTGGGAGGGGACAAATATCCAAACTATATCAGAAAGCATCAAAGCAATACAGACAATCTACTCACAAGGAAAATTGTGTTGTACCACTGGGTTTTGTATCAGAAAACAAAAATGGGAACTCCCTAGAACTACTTTATGGAATTATGACGAAAAATGCTCCTGCTCCATAAAAGCTGGTGAACGCGATCCTATTCACCAACTTAGACTGTGAACTATATGTGCATATATATGTGTGTGGTGTGCATAGCATATGAATGAATACACATAAATAGATAAAACATTGCCCTGAAACATCTTAAGAGATATCGTTATAAAAGACGGTATTTGAGGTAGGCTTTATGTAGTATCAGTATAGGTCGATTCTATAGTCAGGGACATGATAGGTTAACAAGGTTCAGTACGTTGGTCTGGGAGCCTAAAGCACCTCCATATCTTTCCATCATTCAAACATATACACATTTATCAAACTGAAATATGAACTTATTATTCTACACCATTGTATCAGTGGAACTAATGAACTATAAATTCTAAGTTAGAAATGATGAAATAGCAACACATATTTTGGAACTGCTTTTACTACCAATAAAGACATTGGCAAGATGCTAGTTTAGCCATTTGGAGAGAGTTGGTGTCATGTTATTTCTATGTTAGTATTCCAAATATTCATCAGAATGTTTTAGCCCCATTGTTTTAATCTTTAATCTTTATAACTTTAAAGAATAAAAGGAATTTATGTGATAAGAAAGCCTACCAACTAAGACTTCAATACTTCAATCCTGTCTGTATAGTGGCAACCACTGGTTAATAGGGAATTGATAGAAGCAAGGCTTTTGGCTGCTAAATTGTATTAAAACTTATAGATGAGTTTTATTTCATTCTTTTGTGGCCACCTAAAATTTATATCACTTTTACTAGTTTTGAATATTTTAATTTTACTTAAGTTCAGGGGGTTTGATGGTGGCATTGGAGAAGGTGTTATACTAATACAACTTTCCTCCACTTAATTCCATTATCCCTATTTAACCTCTTCACACGCATCTCCCAGTGCTCATAGTTAAATCTCTTCTTTCTGCAACTGCCTTCTCTGACTGTTCTTGCAGCCTTAAGGGCCTTTTAGCATAGCAATCCCTATGTCCAGTCAATAGCCATTCTATCTTCTCACACTTACTATTATCTTTCACAGATAAATACACCTAAGGAGTTATTATTTATTGTCACAAAAGCAACTAAACAAGTTTCATGTGAGAGCATTATTTGTCTTAAAATAAGTAAGTTAATATAGTTTCTTTCTTTTCTAAAAATGCCATTGCTATTGATACAAATAACACAGATGTTCAGAAAATATTGAGTAGGTTGTGAGTTATGTCTGCAATTGTACCACTTATTAATATGTTGTTTCCCCTGAAGAGTGACTTTAATAATTCCAAAGTGTTATGTGATTAGATAAAAGGGTGAAAAGGACAGTTTGCTGGTTTTGTATAGAAGAAGCATACCATTCCTCGTGGAGGAATTGGTAATTCAGAAGAGAATTCAGTGGAGGAAGGCAGGTGGGTGATGCAAGCCTATGGAGATGGAAGAGCCCTGGCTTTTAAGCTAGTTGTCCAGTGATCAAATATAATAGTTAGTAATTAAAATCTGGTTGGCTTTTTTTTTTGAAACAGAGTCTTGCTCTGTCACCCAGGCTGGAGTGCAGTGGTGTGGTCTCCACTCACTGCAACCTCTGCCTCCTCAGCTCAAGTCATTCTCATGCCTCAGCCACCTAAGTAGCTAGGACTGCAGGCATCTGCCACCATATCCAGCTAATTTTTGTATTTTTTTTTTTTTTTTTTTTTTTTGTAGAGACAGTGTTTCACTGTTGCCCAGGCTGGTCTTGAACTCCAGAGCTCAGGTGATCCCCCCTTGGCCTCCCCAAAATGCTGGGATTACAGGCAGGAGCCACTGTGCCAGGCCAAAATCTGGTTGGCTCTTGATAATTATTTCTTGATTGACTGGATGGAAAAATAATTGAATAAATAAAAGAAGTGGATTTATCTCAAACAAAGGCTTTGATCTGTTGATGAAGAACTTATTTTCTTATCTATTATGTGTGGATCTTAGATTAAATCTTCAGAAAGTTAAGCTCAGAACCTATTATTTGCTGTATTCTAGATTTCCTTTTTCGTTTTGTTTTGTTTTTGTTTTTTGAGACAGAGTTTCACTCTTGTCACCCAGGCTGAAGTGCAATGGCACCATCTTGGCTCACTGCAACCTCCGCCTCCCAGGTTCAAGTGATTCTCCTGCCTCAGCATCCTGAGTAGCTGGGATTATAGGAGCCTGCCACCGCACCCAGATAGTTTTTGTATTTTTAGTAGAGACTGGGTTTCACCATGTTGGCCAGACTGGTCTCGAACTCCTGACCTCAGGTGATCTGCCCGCCTCGGCCTCCCAAAGTTCTGGGATTACAAGCTTAAGCCACCGCACCCAGCCTAGATTTTCAATCAAGAATATGCTCAATATTTCAAGAGACTCAGAAGATCTTTGCGAAGTACATATATATTTTGTTGATATATACAAATATTTCCAAGTAAAAATTCATGTGAACAACATTTAAACCAATTTTATTGCTTTGATAAAGTATAATTTTGATGAGCATAAACTTTAAGTATAATGTGAACAAAATAGTTAATTATTTTAAGGGAATTTTATTTAAAGAGGTTAGATATCCAATTGTAGACACATTTCAGTTCTTTCAGATACTAGCATTTCCAAAAAGACTAAATGACCTGTAAGACTATTGAAAAACTGACAGCTTATTATTAGTTTACCCTACCCAGTAGAGAAGATGATTATTTACTATGTACCATATACTTGACACATTTAAGTAATCCTTACTTTTTATAATTACTCTCTGTTAAGTATTATAATTTCTATTTTACAGATAAGAAATCAAATTCACTAAGTAACTTGTCAAGGATACAATACCTAAGTGGAAGAAGCAGGATTCGACCTAGGTCCACCTGCTTCCAAAACCTATTTAGTTTCTATTGCACAATGCTGTCTCTACAGTCAGATGAATGTTAGATGAATGAAGGCACACACATATACACATACACACACACATAAATGGCAAATTTCCTTACTTCTATCCTAATCCAAAACTTGTACTGGCAGCAAAAGCATACAGGTGCTGTAATTATGTAGGCAAGAAAATAAAACCTAGAGAAAGCATATTCTGAATAGGAGAGAACATGGTTTATTCTTGTAATCACTTAACTGAATGCAGGCATTCCATTGTGACTCAGATTCTAATTGAAGCACAGTAGAAGTTTAGAAACTGTGTTAATGGTTTTTTTTCCCACTTACCTTTTCCTTTGTCAATGTCATAGGGTGCTAGGAATCACTCCACTCTGAAGGATTCCCTTGTCTTCATGGCCCAGTTTCTCTGACACCGTGTTTATTCTTATGATGACCATGGTGGTAAGCGGGGACTTGACAAGATCCCTTTTGCCCTTTTATTGTCAACGGAATTTAATAGAACAACTTCTTTGAGGCTCTTCAAACATGAACTCTCCATTTCAAACTGCTTCCAAGTATGTCACTACTAAACAGAAATTTCTAGTGAAAGAAATAAACCATATGCTGCTTTTCCCTTCAGCTTATTTTAACCATATGGTACTAGAAATCGGAATGTTACAGTGCTATTAATTTAAACTCCCCGTGTTTCCAGCACTACTGTTCCCCAGTTAATTTAAAGAAATCTTTACTACTGGCCTGGAAAAACTGTCTTTGCCAAATAATTAAGAAGCAACATGAGGAGAGAACATGTAACTGAAAGGTGCACTCAAGTGGGCCTGAGCCTAAGAACACCACTCTAAACCCAGAGTTCACAGAACACATACTGAACTATTACAAGAGTTCTGTGTTTGCACTTAATTCTGGCTTGGAACAGAGCTCACAGGTTGTCACTGATATCCTACTCACTGTTTTTAACAAAAGGGCTGAGTCTGGAGCATTATCCTTCATTTGAATTACACATATTGAGTACTTCAAAAGCTACAGAAGTTATTTGAGGTAACTATAAAAATGTTTTTATTTATAGTTTTATTAAAAAGCATAAACATGTTTTCAACACTGGAAGAATGACAACATATCTTCAACATAAATTCAGTAGGACACTAAGTTTTTTAAGAAAATTATAAAATAAAAGTTTGTTCATCTTAGAAATTAGAAAAAACTGAAGAAATTAGTCACACAGAGATGCAATGTCCACTCTTCAAATATAACTGTTGATTTAAATTTTAAAAAGATAAAAGATAATATAAATTAATTTCATGTAAACTAAAAAGTGTAACTCAGAGCCTTTGCAAATTTCATATTCGTGTCTGTTCTTTGCTTTTCATTTTGTTCAGGGTGTATTGGGACACTGAGATTGTTTGGCTCTATGTCCCCATCCAAATCTCATGTGGAATTGTAATCCCCATGTGTTCAACGTGAGGCCTGGTGGGAGGTGATTGGATCATGGGGGTGGTTTCTAATGGTTTAGCAACACCCCCCTAGTGCTGTCACATGATAGAGTTCTTACAAGAGATCTGGCTGTTTAAATGTGTGTAGCACTTCCCCCTTCTCTCTCTCTTTCTCTCCTGCCATTTGGTGAGAAGGTGCTTGTTCCCCTTTGCTTTCTGCCATGATTACAAATTTTCTAAGGCCTCCAGTCATGCTTCCTGTTAAGCCTGAGGAACTGTGAGTCAATTAAACCTCTTTTCTTCATGGATGACCTAGTCTCAGGTAGTTCTTTATAGCAGTCTGAGAACAGACTAATACAGACACAAATAAGGTTTCCATTTTTTATTTTAATGTCATGTTTATCAATATTTTTCTTTATGAGTTTTGGCTTATTAAGCCCCATTTAAGAAATTCTCCCCTACTTTAAACTCATATACATGTTTAAAAATTTTTTTCTTCTAAAAGTTTTAGTTTTCACTTGTAGGTATTTAATAAGCCTGAAATTTATTTTCCTGTATAGTAGGGATTTATATCTGATTCTCCCTCACTGCCATGAGAAAAACCAACTGTTGCTGCATCATTTATTGGATAATTCATAATTCCCAACCAATTTTTAATGACAATTCTGTTGCACAACATTATTTGAGATATGTCTGAGTCTATTTCTGATCTCTGTATTCTGTACTCTTTGTCAATTTGTCTGTCCTTGGCTTAATACATTACTTTTTTAATCATTATAAATATAGAAATTGCTATCTTATAGGACAAATCCCCATTTAATGCTCATCTTCAGAGTTGTCTTGGCTATTCCTGGCCCTTTAGTTGTCCAAATGAATTTTATGATAACAATGTCAAATTTCTTAAAAATGTGTGAGAGTTTTACTATAATCATATCGCATTTATAGATAAATTTTGAGGAAAGTCTTTTTTAACTTCATATTATTGAGTCTCTCCATCCATATTTTGTTAGAACCCTAGCATCTATAGCATCTATCTTAGTGGTTATTGCTAGTGTATTGAGTTGCTATTTATTTTGTATGCTGATTAGATAAGCAGAAAACTTTCCTGATTTCTCAATATTTAAAATATTTTTTTATATTTCTATGGTTTTTCCATGCAATCATATCATCTGCAAATAAAGAGAGTCATATCCTTCTTTCTAATACTTATATCTTTTATTTCTTTTGCTTATCTTATTGCAATGGATAGGACTTCCAATAAAACGTTGAATAAAATGGTGATAGTAGTCTCTTTTATCTTGTTTCTGATTTAAAATAATGCCCCTAAGTTTTACAATTAAGGACAACGTTTGTTTTAGGTTTTTAATAGATTTTTTAAGTTAGGATAAGGAAATAGCCTTCTCTTCTGAATTTATTAAATTTTCTTATTATAAGTGCAATTATAAAAAATTAATATATGTTTCCAGCATTTACCTAGATGCTTCTGTAGTTTCTGTCCTTTACTTATTACTCTTGGCACCTAGGGGTGCCAAGATGGTTCAGCATCATAAAATCTCATGATATATTCATGATATATTTATTTTTAATAGATAGCTTAGTGACATTTGCTTGCATTTTATTTAATATTTTGGAATCTGTATTTATAAGTGAAACACTTATGTACAATTTATAAGTGAAATGCTTTCTTGTATATTCCTTGCCAGGTATTGATTATTGTTTTGTTGCTATTGTTCCTGTGGTTTTCTACAACAGTTTATATAAAACAATAATAATTTTTTCCTTGGAGTCAAGATTACTACTAATGCAATTTGGACCTCAGCCCTTTTGTGGGAATATAATAATAATCTAACTATTAACAATATAATTCCATTAAGGTTTGTTGCTTTATTGTGGTTCTCCTTTTCGTCTTGAGTTTCTGTTAGTGATTTATATTTTCCTAAATAGTATTCATTCCATCAAAGTTGTACAACTTATTTGCCAAAAATTTTTCCTAGTATATCATATGACTGTTTAAAATCTTTCTAATATCTGCAATTAGTCCTCTTTTAATTTTTAAGATAGTTTATCATATCACCTCTCTGTTTCTTAAATAGTATTTCCGGAGGTTCTAGGTAGTTTTCCTGATTCATTCTATTGTTTCTTAGCTTTTGTTTAGTCCATTTTCACACTGCTATAAAGATACTACCTGCTATAAAGACAGGGTAATTTATAAACAAAAGAGGTTTAATTGACTCACAGTTCTGAATGGCTGGGGAGGCCTCAGAAAACTTACAGTCATGGTGGAAGACAAAGGGAAAGGAAGGCATCTTCTTCACAAGGCAGCAGGAGAGAGAGTGAGCCAGGGGAAACTGCACCTTTTAAACCATCAGACCTCATGAGAACTAATTCACTATTATAAGCCCAGCATGGGGGAAACCGCCCCCATAATCCAATCATCTCCCACGAGATCCCTCCCTCAACACGTGGGGATTACAATTCTTGATGAGATTTAAGTGGGTACGCAGAGCAAAACCATGTTAGTTATATATGTATATATTATATATATTATGTATTTTATATATATATACACATATGTACATATATATAACTGATATGGTTTTGCTCTGTGTATATGTATATATGTATATGTATATTTATATGTATACATATACATATATAATATGTATACATTATATATATTATGTGTGTATATATATATATATATATATTTTTTTTTTTTTTTTTTCCGAGATGGAGTCTCACTCTGTCACCCAGGCTGGAGTGCAGTGGTGTGATCTTGGCTCACTGCAACCTCTGCCTCCCAGGTTCAAGCAATTCTCCTGCCTCAGCCTCCTGAGTAGCTGGGATTACAGGCGTGTGCCACCACATCCAGCTAATTTTTGTATTTTTAGTAGAGACGGGGTTTACCATGTTGGTCAGGCTGGTCTCAAACTCCTGACCTTGTGATCCAACTGCCTCGGCCTCCCAAAGTGCTGGGATTACAGGCATGGGCCACCACGCCCAGCTAAGTTTTATATATACATTTTTTGCTTTCATTTTTATTATTTTTTTTTACTTTCTTTATGTTTACTTTGCTGTCTTTTTTAGTTTTTTGAATTGAATACACTGGATATTTTGAAATTCTTTTTCATATTGTTTTGTTTTAATACATGCACTTATGTCTATGAATGTACATTGGCTTTATTACACACATTTTTTATATAGTACATAAAAATTTCATTCTAAAAATTTTGTAATTTCCATTTCTATTTCCTCTTTGATTCAAGGATTATTTAGGAGTTTTAGTTTCTAATATATATTTTACTATATTTTTATTCATAATTTATAATTGTTATCAAAGAACGTGTTTTGTATAATATAATTTCTTTAAAGTTTATTGAAACCTACTTTGTGAACAATATTGTTCCTGTGTACTGAAATTTTCTTTTTCTATTTTCTGGGTTATATGTAGATAATATACATATATCATCAATGTTGTTTATATTGTATGTTTTATATATTTGCTGTTTTTATTTTTTAGATATTTACTAATTTGTTATGTACTTAATCCCTCAGTTTCTAGTAAAAGCATGTTAAACCCCTATACTATGATTGCGATTTGCAGAGTTTCTCCTTGTTATTCTTCGTGGTCTAATTGTCTTGGATAATTCTTCCTATCAGTTAGGGTGTGATCAGAAAATCAGGAAGACTTTGAGTAATGTTGAGGAAGGGATTTATTATAAGGGTTGGACCATAAACAACTGTGGGCTCTGGCTAAACTGTCTGTGCTGCTGCTTGTCTGGGGCTGCACCTAAAGGCAGCAGGGCCAACAGGAAGGAAAGTGGACATGAAATGGGGAGAGCAGGAATAAGCCAGAAGCTGTGAGAAGACAATGAAAACTCAGAGGACACACTGGAAACTGTGTCTGTCTCACTGCCTTCAGGCCTCCACATTTGATGATATTAATCACCTGTAGGGGAAGCTGAAGCCCTTTGCCACAGAGCTGCACATGTTGGTGCAGAAGTCACAGAAGCTGTGGGAAGAGGTCCAGCAAGAGTCACAGGAGCTCTGGGACCAGCTGCTGCCCCAGGTGCTGCAACAGCTGAGCTGCAGAGCACAAATATGGTTGTTACTTAACTCCTGCCTTCCAAATTTCATGCAAATTTCTATTGAGGCCCGCCCTAATCTGGAAGCATACAGGGATGGGGATTCTGGAAAGTCTAGTTTCAGATTAGCTAGAATGACTGCACAAAGCCAACACAGTTTCCCTCACTATTTAGTTTCTTTCTTTATTCTTTTAAATGCTTTTAGCCTTTAACTATTCTGTTCGATATTAATGTTCTTACACTACTTTCTTTTGTTTAGGTTTTGCTTCATAGAAGTTTCTCATCCCTTTATTTAACTTTCTATTTGTATTAGACATGAAAATCCATGGCTCATATCTCCTGCTCAGGGAACATAATCAACCAGGTGTCCCAGCTGCTGTTCTTCTGGGTCCGCCACTGTGTTCATGTTAAGGCCACATTTCCCACAGGCTACTCAAGCAGCAACTGAGCATAACAGGACAACTAATGCAGGTCCATTTCTGGAACACATGGAACTCCACAACCAGGTGACCTTGACCTAAGGACTCCCAATTAGAGTGTCAAAAATGCCTTGAAACTGGATCGTGGTTTAAGAGTCTTCCTATTCAATCCTACATTCCCTCTCCCTTTCACAGGGGTCAGACCTTCATGACAGGCTGAAGAGTTCCTTCTCCTCTTCTCCCTTTTACTTTACAAACATTTCTCCAATAAATTTCTTACACATCTAATTTTGTCTCTTCTTGGTGTCTGCTTCTTGGAGAACCTGAACTAATGCACTGTGTATGTGTCACTTGTAAAGCATGTTTTAAGAGGTCTATGTTTAATTTTATTTTAATCTGACAAATTTTTCTTTTAATGGATGAGTTTAATCTCATGTTCTCTACTTGTGGTATATGATATGTTTAGTTTCACTATTATATTGTTTTCTCTTTGCCAGCCTACTTCTTTACCTTTAGTTTTCCCCTTTCATGTTTTCAATTTGACTGCTTAAATCCTAACAGGAAAAGCATGGGCTACTACAATAACAAAGCTTAAACTATAAGTGGCTTCAATTCAAAGTTATTTCTCACCCATTTTGTATGATCATTGTACATTGGCTTATTTAGTCTCTCAGAAACCCAAACCGATGAAGGCTCCATCTCAACACACACTTTCCTAAGAAAGGCAAATAAAAGAGAATATGCCAAACACTCACTGGCTCTTCAAGCTTCCATCTAGAAGTGACACACGGCACTTCCACCTCCATTGACTACAAGTAGTTACTTGGCCACTAAATTCAAGTATTGTAGTTACCTGAATACCTAAATTCAAATGGGCAAGGAAATGCAATGCTATCATGTGCCCAGGTAGAAAAGGATATTTGTGTATAGTCCTATTGAATACCTTTATTCCCCTCTGTTGGGTTGAAAACCATACAATATATTCTTATGCTTTTAATGGTTGTTCTTAAATATGCTTTAAACCTATCTACTTAACTACACAGTTGGCCTCCATATCTGTGGGTTCCGCATCTGTGGATTCAACGAAGCATGAATTGAAAATACTTGAGAAAAAGACATCTGTACTGAACATGTGCAGAGTTTTTCTTGTCGTTATTCTCCAAAACAATAGAGTAAAACAAGTATTTACATAGCACTTATATTGTATGAGACATTTCAAGTTATCTAGAGATGATTTAAAGTATACAGGAGGATGTTCATAGGTTATATGTAAATATTACACTGTTTTATGTCAGAGACCTGAACATCAATGGGTTTTGGTATCCACAGGAAATCCTGGCACTAATCCCTCACAAATACTGCAGGATTATTGTATTTCACTTTTTTAAACAAAGTCTAAATGTATGTAATATTTTAATCTTGTACCCAAATTCAAGAAAACATTAATGGGCTTTAACTATCTCTCTTTTTTTCTTTGCTTAAAATAAATAATTTATCAGTTTTCTTCTTGATTGTGTTTTTATATTCACGGGCACATTTTAAATTTCAAGATTCTAATCTTTTTTTCGTATCTCCAGTTCCTATTACATTTCTGCCTAATTTTGTTTCATAATTTAATGATTCTTTACATTAGGGGTCTACAAACCGTGGCCCATGGTCTATATCTGGGTCACTGCTAGTTTCTATAAGTAAAGGTTTATTGAAACACACACATGCTTATTCATTTATGTACAGAGTGTCCCCAACTTACTATGGTTCAATTTACAGTTTTTTGACTTTCCAATAGTGATTCCAGCTATGTATAATATATTAATGGTAGTACCCATATAACTCTTCTGTTTTTCACTTTCAGTACAGTATTCAATAAACCACATGAGATATTTAACACTTTATTATAAAATAGGCTTTGTGTTAGATAATTTCCAAATGTAGGCTAATGTTTAAGTGTTCTGAGTATGTTTATGATAGAATAAGCTAAGCTATCATGTTTGGTGGGCTAGGTGTATTAAATCCATTTTTGACTGAAGCTATTTTCAGCCTATGATGGGTTTATCAAGACATAACCACATCATAGATTGAGGAGCATCTTTATGTCTATGGCTGCTTTCTTGCTATAATAGTACAGTTGAGTAGTAAAAAAAAGACTGTGTGGCCAGCAAAGACAAAAAGTATTTACCACCTAGCACCTTACAAAAAAAAAATTTGCACACCCCTGCTTTAAATGAGTTATGGACTTTCATTTTAAAGTTTTGATCACTTTAAACATACTTTAAAACAACTCTTTTTCAGACTGTCGTACAACATTAATTTCATCTGGAGGGCTGTCTTCCCTAGAATTGCATTTCCTCGTGGGTTTTAGAACTTTGAAATATGGGCTCATTTTGAGAAGTGTTTTGTTTGTTAAATGTTATTCTTCCCTTTTTCTCTCTTCCAGTGTCTTTCCTCTCTCCTGTCTAGCTGTTTTGTAGTTATCACCACTGGGTCTCAGCACTGCAGTATAGAAACTGGTCTTACAATGGCAGTTTCGATTGATGAGGTTTTCCTTCTTGATGACTATAGGATTCTTGTGAATCCAGTCATCAAACCAGGAGAGTTGTTTGTGTAGTCACAAGATTCTTTCCTCCTTCAGCATCTCTATATTCACAGCTTGCTGTAATGCTTAGCCATCGTTAATAATCAGTAGTATGTTCTGAGCCGCTTTTGATCAGAGAAGAGGGCAGACTCACCATAGCCACTAACTTCAATTGATACCTGGTTCAAATCTCTGCTTTGAACCAGGAGAGCAAGCACCTGCTCAGTGTTGCCTGCTTCTAAACTAGGACCCTACCAGATCTGTAACTTATTCTGGTTCATCTATTTTTATTTCTGCTGTTTCTGAGCCACAGAATTGTTTATCATATTTTTTAATCTTGGACTTAGTGCTTGGCTTTCTTTTAAAAAAATTTCAACATGTTATTGGCACACATTTGGAGCAGAGGGATGCATCAAAGCATGAACTGATGGCACTACCTTGACTGAAAATCTCCATTACATAGTCGATGTGATGATATAATGGTATCTGTTTATAGTATCTATTTACTGGGTAATTAAAATCATAAGCATTGAGTTTAAATGAAGTTACTTGAGTGACTGATGATGAAGTAAATTCAGAGTTACTTTTCACAGGGGATACATCACGTTTTGCAAACTGCAGGATTTAAGTAGAAGTATTAAAGTAAATCAAATCTTTAATTCAGCAGAATAGAACTATCTTTATAGAAAGTAATATAAACTTGATTTCAAAAGAAAATCATAGTTCTGCATCTGAGAAGACAAAAGAAAAACAAAATCAGTTAGTAGAGTTTTACGTTTTATCAAGGCAAAGAGGCAAAAACAATTATATGGACAGAGAGTAAGGTATGATCTAAGCTACCAGCAATATTCATGAATTGTTTTTCATTTCATCTGAAATCTTTCATTTTAGAGCTCTAGTGGTTAATGTTCAGCTGTTAGTTTATTACTTAATGGTTTAAAAGGACAAAAGGAGTAATAACTCATTTTTTTGAGACTGAATTTTATTTTCTTATACAATCTCCTTTGTTTCTGTTTTTGATTTCTGGATTAACCTGGAGAGTCATGGTTGAACCACTGGTGGAAGGAGACTGAGTCCCTCCATCAGTGCCTGACTAGAAACATCCAGATTGGACTGTTAGATAAGTGAGAAATAAACTGATGTTTTGCCTAAGATCTGGTGGTGTATTGTTACTGTAACTAGTGTTGCCTTAATTAATGCAATGCTAGATGATACATTTCCGTCCTGCACCTGTTCTCCTAGCAGATTTTTAAAAGACTTGGAACCAACCCAAATGTCCAACAATGATAGACTGGATTAAGAAAATGTGGCACATATGCACCATGGAATACTATGCAGCCATAAAAATGATGAGTTCATGTCCTTTGTAGGGACATGGATGAAACTGGAAACCATCATTCTCAGCAAACTATGGCGAGGACAAAAAACCAAACACCGCACGTTCTCATAGGTGGGAAGTGAACAATGAGAACACATGGACGCAGGAAGGGGAACATCACACACCGGGGCCTGTTGTGGGGTGGGGGGAGGGGGGAGGGATAGCATTAGGAGATATACCTCATGCTAAATGAGGAGTTAATGGGTGCAGCACACCAACATGGCACATGTATACATATGTAACAAACCTGCATGCTGTGCACATGTACCTAAAACTTAAAGTATAATAATAATAAAAAAAATTTTTAAAAATGTTTTCAGCTTAAATACATGGTTTTCAATAGCTCTAATTTTTGTATGTCAGAGGAAATCAGAAAATTTATCTTATATTTATAAAAGTTATTTCCACATAATCAACCAATAAGTTTTTTAAACTGAAAATGAGCTTTATTTTGGTCATGAAAGGCTAATTTTAATTTGCTTTCCATTAAAGCAAAACAAAGATGCATTTTTAGATGGCTCTTTGGTCATCTGTTTCTATTCAATGGTTGCTTATTACTTAATCTTAGTTTCAAAACTGAAATGGTATTTGAATAAAGTCTATCCAAATTTGAAAGTTGTCATTGGGATGAATATGCTGTGTAGTCGACCAAGAACAGGCTTTGCCTAGTGAAGCTTGAGAAAGATTATTTTAGAACTAATAAAATAAAGGAGTTTCAACAAATCTGAACAATGTGTACCACACTCTCTTGAAACTGCTTATCTGTTTCTTCAAACAGATATTTATTGAGCAATTTCCATGTATAAACTACCATGCTGGGCCCTGTAGGCAAAGAAAAAGAAATATGATTCACTCTCTCACAGCCTCCAGGATCTTAAATTGTGGAGACAAGAGATACTCAAATATGTTACATGAGATAGTGTATGATAAATGTTAAGAGTGCTAGAGCAATAAGTAATGCAGAAAAATAATCCAGAAAAGGGATACGGAAACTCCAGCTGAGGTAATTAGAGGTTTAGCTTGAAAAAGGGGATGATTTGGTATATTTGTAACAGGTTGAACAGCATACCCAAACTCTATGTAACAGGGTGAGATGGTTTGTGGCAAGGGTGTCTTTAGACCCCTTGATTCCAATCATGAGGTTGAGGCATTCTTACCAAATTTTGCAGAGACATGATTCTGTCATTGGATGACAAATCTATTGTTCATAAAAAGTAGACATGTAGGTTTCCTACTACATATTGAGCCTGAAATAAAATTATTTTGTACATTATAATGAAGATAATAATAAATCTAGATTTAGAATTGGAAAACTTACGGTCGGGTTTTTACTTCATAGAATAAGCTGAGATAGTCACTTAATGTCTCTGAACCTCAGTTTTTTATGTAAACTGGGGATAAATATTTCTACCCTTTTTATGTGAATAGTAGTTATGAAGACCAAATGAGAAATGTGTAGGAAAGTGTTTTTTAGACTGTCAAAGGCTATGAAAATGTAAAGGGCATAATGGATGTGTGATGGATTAAAGAGAAACACAGATTTCTGTGACACTTATCTCATTAAAAGGTAGAGTCTTTACCCTGTCCCTTGACTTGAGAAAGAGGGGCTGGTGACTGTTTGGAGTAATGGAACACAGTGGAAGTGATGCTGTGGCAGCTTCTTGGGTCATGCTTTAAGAGATTAGCAGGTTCTGTGTGCTGTATTACAGGAATTTTTGCTCTTAAAACTGAGCAACCATGCTGTCAGGAAGCCCAAGAAGCCCATGTGAGAGAAACTGAGGAGTCCCAAACCAACCATCTCAGCTAAGTCCCAGCCAACAGCTATCACCAACTTGCCACTTATGTGACTGAACAGTGAATTATTTAGCCCTACTCAAGCTACTTTGTCTGACATTCTGTGGAAAACAAATGCACTTCCCCTGTCATGCCCTGTGTAAATTGCAGATTTGTCAGTAAAACAAATGACTGCTGCTGTTTTAAACCATTAAGTTTTGGGGTAGTTTGACAGTCAGCAATGAATTACTAGAACATGATATTTAGTAAATGAATTACTATGTTATTTCAGAGAGTACTATAACTCATCATACATATTTTATTTGCTTCAACTATAATTTTTATGATATAGTTTGAGGTGTCTTCACAACAAATATGCTCCAGAGGGAGGAAAAGAGGCTTCAGCTAGTTCAGGCTTCCTATGAGCACCTCCCTCATTTAACTCTTACAATGGATTGAATAATTCTTAAAATTTTTTATGGAGGAGCAGGATGAGACATGAAGCTTGTGGTAAGGTCTAATAGAAAAAAAAATCACAACAGAAAGGCTGGAGAAAAGTAATGACCTCTTCATCAGTATACTATTTTTCTTTTGAAAATAGTTCATGGTTTGCTAGAGATACTTTGTAGAAATTGAGCATCTGAATATGAAACACCAGACAACCATATGACCTGAGATGTGTAACGTATGTTTCACTAGATATTGTCTGATATACCCAAAAAACTTCTTTCAACATTTCCTTAAGTGAATGTCTTCTAAAGCCAAATTCTCTCAAGTTGTATCTATCTTAAAATATCTCTATTTCACCTTAATTTTGGAAGAATGTTTTTATGGGGTACAGAATTGTAAATTGATAGTGTAATTCTTTCTTTCAGCTTTTTAAAGGTGTCATGCCATTGTCAGTTAACTTCCATTGTTTCTGTTGAGAAGTCTGTCATATTCTTCTTTTTCTTTTTCTTCTAAATGTAGTGTGTGTGTGTGTGTGTGTGTGTGTTATGTGTGCATATGCATGTGTGTGGTGGCTGCTTTTAAGATTTTCTTTTTATCTTCGTTTTCTTGAGGCTTGACTTTGTATTTATATGGTTTGAGGCTCACTACATATTTGGTTTTGGATCTGTGGGTTGATAACTTCCATCAGTTTTTGATGTTTCTTAGCCAATGTCTCTTCAAATTATTTCTTTGGCACCATTTTATTTCTGTTCTACTTTTAGGAATACAATACACATATGTTGACCATTTGATACAGTGCCACAGACTGGGGATTGGTTGCTTTTCTCAGTTCCTAATTTTTTTTTCTTTTTTCATTTTAGTTTAGGTAATTCCAATTCACTTATCCTTTCTTTTGCTTTTTCTAGGCTGCTGTAAAACAAATCAAATAAATTCTTCATTTATGTTATTGGGTTTCCAAATCCTAGGATTTTTCTTTGTTTTTATGTTCCCAGTACTCTACTAAAATGAAATCTGGCATCTGTTCCCACATGTGAACCATGTTTTCCATTAGTTTTTCTTAAAAAAATTTAACATTTTTATATCAGATTTTTTATTTGCTAATTCTAATATTGTGGTCACATTTGAGTCTACTTCTATTGATTATTTATTGAATTGATTATGGGTCATATTACTCTGCTTGTTTTTATAACACACAATTTTTTATGCCAGAAATTGTGTGTAAAAGTACATATCTATTATTTACTCAGGGAAAAGAAATGTCTGTTCTTGTGACTGGCTGCAAGTGATGAAGCTAAAGCAATCTGATGTATAATTGAGCTGGGTTTGAGGTTTGTTGTAGCTTTTGTTAGATCTGTTAATTCACCACGTTTCAAATGTTTTACAGGCAGCATAGGAACTAGTTTATCTGGGCACTGTATAATTCTGGAAATGTCTTTATGTTTTACATCCCAGTGACTATACTACCCACATTTGGGGATTCCTGTGGTGGTCTTTTGTCTCTTTAGCTCTGCTTCTGACTTTCTAAGCCTCACAAAATCTCTTCATACTTTGCTGCTTTGCCCTTAGGTTTTGGCATGCTACTATCTTGCACTCAAGTAAGGCTCTGAATGACTTGTGGCTGATATTTCTCAGTTCAACTATTGTGCCTCCAGCTTTTGGTTTCTGTGTAATTGATCCACTTTAGAGGAAACATCTTTCTACCTTCTTTCCTTGTTCCCAGGCATTGGAGAAGCACTGTTGTGCACTCATTAAGGGCCTGAGGTGCAGGAAGCTCTCTCTGCCCTCTTCCTGTGCTCCTATTCTTCTGCAAGCTACTGCATGTGTTCAGTGAAGGCATTGTGAAATAAGACTGGCAGCTGGGTGTGTAAGTGCACTCTCACAGACCTCCTTGGAATCTCATACATCAGGCTAGCCACACACAGCTATTAAATCTTTATTAAAATTTTGGCCAGCTTCTCCTTACCTCTGTCTATAGCGGGTTTGCTCTTTCTCCTTACATATCCACAGATTTTGGGTTCTTCTTTCATAGAAAGGGCTTTTCTCTTTCTGGAATTTAATTTATTTAGATTTTGTTTTTGTCTTTAGCAATCTAATGCAAAAAAAAAAAATCATACCTTTATAACTTCTCTGGCTTGTTTCCTTTGTTACTTTGTTAGGGTGAGAGCAGTGGTCTCTTGACTTTATGCATCCTAACCAGAAGCTCTCATATCTTTATAATACATTACTTTCTTCCTTTAATTTTTCAGGGTTATTTTTGATGTTTGTAAACAATGCCAAATATTGATGTTATTCATCATGTGTTAATAAAGATGTGGAACTTAATCACAATCACATAAATTGAATTATAAAAATTTTTGGCCAGGCACGGTGGCTCATGCCTGTAATCCCAGCACTTTGGGAGTCTGAGGCAGGCGGATCATGAGGTCAGGAGATTGAGACCATCCTGGCTAACATGGTGAAACCCTGTCTCTACTAAAAATACAAAAACAAAATTAGCCGGGTGTGGTGGCGGGTGCCTGTAGTCCCAGCTACTTGGGAGCCTGAAGCAGGAGAATGGCGTGAACCTGGGCAGTGGAGCGTGCAGTGAGCCGAGATCGTGTCACTGCACTCAAGCCTGGGTGATGGAGCGAGACTCCGTTTAAAAAAAAAAAATTAATTTCAGGAAACATTCAAATAATTGTTTTAGGCGTTACCATAACTAAGCAATATGAATATGACTGATGCCTCTTCCAGATCTTAAATCTTTTAATTCAAGTAAAATCCATTACTTTTGATTTGTTCTGAAGCAAATTTTTAAAAAATTACAACTGAAACACCCTTCTTCATAAATACATGCAAATAATCTTTTTATATAGCTTCATACTTAGTAACCTTTTAATTTATTATATATTGGTATGTATTATATATAATATTTTATATACACACAAATATTTATGCCTTCAGTCCTTTTTCTGTCTCTCTTCTAGAACTTCTACCATTTCCTAAATCTCTATGACTATAGAAAGACCAAAATAAGGCATGATGTTTAAGAGAGAGAGTGCATGCAAGAGAGAGCAGGCACAATATATTTAGTAATTTTATTTTCTTTTGTAAAATTGCTACTATTTCTTCCAAAGATCAATGAATATTCCACAGAAGAGGTGCCATTACTTTAAGCTACCATGTATTGCTCTTGTGTATAGATACTTAATCCTCTATTGTGTCGATGGTTCTTGTTTATAAGGTTTGCTGCTCTCACATTAAAGGAAAACATGTAAATGTTATCAAAATACTTTTAATCTGTAGAGTAATTTCACTGATTGAAAGTGGCTAATTTGTGGCTATAACAGAAAAATCAACTGTGAACAAATAATATTTGTTCTGGTGCCTTTCTTTATGCAAGAAATACCAATTATTCTGGATTAAAGAGTTAGTCATAAAATAGTATTACACAGTGGGTAGAAGAGTCCCATATATATATACACACATGTGCATGAACAAGAAACACATGTTCTGTTGGATAGTACAAATAAGGCTGGGCATCTTAGTTGTAATAATGTGACTCCAAATTTTTCTAATCAAAAGTGGAATGGATTGGTTAATGCTGGTCATGCTGAGCTCAATAGATCTATCTCATTTTCTTCATATATAAAATCTTATTCAATCATAGGTAAAATGGCAATACAAAATAACACAAGAGCTCTAATAAAGTCTATGCCATTCATTGCTTTTTGATATGAGCTGCTTTATATTCTGATTATGTTGCTGCTATAAAATGAACAAAGAGTAACATGGAATTTGATAAAGACAAGAAAACTTTTATTAAACTTTTACAACAGTGAGATAAATTATTCATGCAATTGCATGAATAATGGTATCCATGCTGATTAAATCAGCTAAGAGGCAGCAAAATATTCACGTGCATGGCATGAGTTCCATTTTCAAATAGTTCTGAAATGAAAATGCAATATAAAACAACACAGTAGTTGGTCCACCAAAAATGGAAAGAAAAAAATGTGGAGTACAGTATTAATTCAAAAGGGGAGAGAAAAGTTTAAAGCACTTGCACTTCTGAAATCCACTAGCCAGAAGGAATGTTCAAAGACAGCAAAAATAATCCACAACTTCAAAGGAATTTAATGAAAGAGAAATAGCAAAGATGACGAGGGTGCAAGAGGGACAGACCTAGGGCTTAGAGGAGGGAGAGAATGAGTATTTATCCAATGAACCATTCATAGCCTATTCTATCTGAGGCTTGAATAAAATAGGATTCTCTCCAAATTAAGCTGTTGGGCACATGCCAGCGTTTTGGGATGATCTGAGAAAGAAGCTGCTGCTGGTAACAAATGAGGTGTCTTCTACATCTCCCCTGCCACATGTTTTGAAATTTGTGACTATCACTTGTCCTTTCATCAAAATGTTCGCAAAAGGAAAGTGTCAGAGTTCATACTTCTCTTTCCACATCACTGAGCACATGAAATGGAGGAGAAAACCCTTGCCACCCACAGAATTCCAAAGAGCTGAGTGCATGCTGCAGAACACACTGGAAAAGTAGGAAGAGAGAAAAAATAGCTCATAAATGAGCCCAGTAGAGAAGGGGGGAGGAAAAAGAGGCACGGGGGGAAAGAGACTGACCAAAATGGTAAAATTCCTTACCAGTGATGATGCACAAATCCACTCTCAGAAGGCAGGGTGCTTTTCACTAGTGAGTGGTCCATCTGATTAGAGTGATTGACATATACATGTAGGGAGGACTGGAGACCCCTCGTGTCTGTGGGACTCCCTGTGAACCTTCAGCCTTACTGGCTGCTCGTGGCCCTGTCCATTATGATTGACTGGTTTGGCTGTCCTGATTGGTCAGTGCCTGTACCCTGTCCATTCTGATTGGCTGGTTCAGCTGTCCTGATTGGTCGGAGCCTGTGCCCTGCTACCTGTTCCTTAGAATAATTATCACCTCTGTTCTTAGTCCAATCCGCTAAGAGAGCCCTGAAGCATTCTCTCACCACTCAGGGTACCTCTCCAGTTTCTCCCTGTGTTCCTCCTTCTGTGCTGCCATGTCCTCCTCCCTCCTCATTTGCCTTCTCTTCTGACTAGATGTTCATCTTTCTGGAGGCATCTGCCAGTCTCTGGGGTCTCTTAGTCCTCAGGAGTAAAGACAGAAAGGTAACCCAAGAACATGCACTTGAACTTTGTTGCTCCTTAGGAGAGACATAGTGTAATGTATACTTATTTTAGTCTTACCTTAACTTTCTTTTGAAAAAAGCCATCTGTTGTCACCCAAGTGCTTCTCATTTCTCTGGTTTCCAAGGCTCCCCTTTCTTTTGATAGTAACAGCCAGCTGAGTTCCCAACCTGCCTGACTGTAGGAATTCTAGGGCTGTTCCCCAACATTTCTGGGAATCCCTAGTGAGTGTCTAAATGCTGCATAAAGCTTCTCTGGCTTCCACTTGTCACTTGCTACCAGGGACCACCACTCTAAGGCCACACCCCACCAATTATCTCATTACGCTTTTCTAAGCTGCAGCCACTATTCCTTTAGTTCCCAAACACAAAGATATCGTGTTTGACAAAGTAAATGAAGACTTGCAAGATATGATAGGGGATTTATAATACAGAAGGGAACACCACTTTTAAAAAGTTTGTATAAATTTAAGGGGTGCACGTGCGATTTTGTTACCTTACTATATTGTGTAGTGGTGAACTCAGTGCTTTTAGTGTATCCACCACCAGAATAGTGTGCCTTGTATCCATTAAATAATTTCTCATCACCCACCCCCCCTTTCACCCTCCCCACCCTTCCTAGTCTCCCATGCCTATCATTCCACACTCTATGTCCACGTGTACACAGTATTTAACTCCCACTTAGAAGTTAGAACATGCAGTATTTGGCTTTCTGTTTCTGAGTTGGGAAAAAGAGTTTAACCTATCACTGTCAGAGTCTATATTATTTTTCAAAGGACCCCTTTGGTCTCTCCTTCTTGTCCCTGACAGTTGCCGTAGTGTGGCGCCCAACCATGGTCCATAGTTTCTTTCTTAGATTCTCTCCTCCTAAAATATAGAGCCCCAACTCCCTATATCTGGGCCTATAAGAGGAAACATTATTGGATATTATAATGGTCCTAGAAGTGTCATTCTGTCCTCCAAGAAGCCAACCATTGCTTGAAAAACAAAACAAAACAAAACCAGAACACAGAATGTATAAATTCCATTCAAAAGGATGGCATTTGAATGTTTCACCAGTCAGAACTTTCTCAAGGACTAAGTAAATTCATTACACATGCATGACTTAAAAAGGCCCTACAGAATGGTCTCTTTCTCACAAAGCAAGACTCTGCACAAAAGACAAATTTCAGCTCAACCCTTAGAGTCTCAGAAAGTTGGGAAATCTTTAGATCCAGTTTCAAGGACACCACCTCTTATACGTAATGGGTTTTTAAGTGATGCTACTGCTGAAGAGAAGATGAAAATAACTTCATTAAATAAAAAACTTATATCATAATGCTGAAACAGAATTATTTAAAGGCTAGTGATCCCTTTCTTCTTCTTCATTTTTATTTTTTGAGATGGAGTCTCACTCTGTCTCCCAGGCTGGAGTGCAGTGGCGCGATCTCAGTTCACTGCACCCTCTGCCTCTCAGGTTCAAATGATTCTCCTGCCTCAGTCACCTGAACAGCCATGATTACAGGCGCATACCACCACGCCTGACTAAGTTTTGTATTTTTAGTAGTGACAGGGTTTTGCCATGTAGGCCAGGCTGGTCTTGAACTCCTGACATCAAGTGATCTGCCTGCCTCAGCCTCCCAAAGTGCTGGCATTACAGGCATGAACCACTGTGCCCAGCCCATTTCTTCTTATACACCAAACTCTACTGCCACTAGTGGTGACTCTGTTATGTAATGGTGCTGCCTCTAAGAAAGAAGAATGACCTTTCTCAAATTATGGAGCTGAAGTAGAATTTCCTTCTCTCATGTTATCATGTTGGATCTAGTGAGTGTGATAAAATTAAATAATTAACAATATTTCTTCAGTCCTACATGTGCCAGGCATTGTGCTGGGAGTTCAGGATAAAAAGATAATAAAAGTGAATCACTATCTTTAAATTGCTTCCAGTCCAATAGGAGAAACAGACTTAGAGGTACATATTATCAGTAACGAAATTGTTTATAGGGTACAATGAATGCATTGTCAGTTCTGGGAGGGAGGAACAGAGGAAGAAAGATCTTTATTGAGTAGTTCATGTTTGAGTCCTGTTAATAAATGGTGCTTTCCAGGAAGACAATGTTAGGGGTGTTGGGGGTGCATTTTCAGATGTGTCTGCAAGTGAAGTGTGTGACAAAGCATGCATGTGAACCCTTGCCTAATTTTATCGGACAACCTTCAACTTTCTCCACTTACTGGGACTCTCCCATTGTAACTTAATGTTTCTAACATAATATAACATGATAGGATTTGGAGATGATACCTTGTTAAAACCAAATAGAATCAGCTTTAGGGTTCAGAATGACACATTCCTGCAGCAGGTGAAGGGATTCCTCCTATTTTTCCGTCCCATATCCCACTCTTTATTGTATTATACATGCTACTCTCTCTAAATGCTAATGATAAAAAATCAAATCTATGACCAAGGTGGGAGAAAATGAAGATTGGCTAATTATGTCAGTGATAGATCTATATTTACTCAGAAAAGCCATGACTGAACTAAATTATGAGTCCTGTCTGTCAAACTGCACAATATAGAGTCAAGTTGCTGATTTCAGAATTTATAACATATACTGTTTTTCCATGTGAACTTATTCATAGAAGGGAAAATTTTTAAGATGCTATCCCAGTATAAATTTATAAATGCTCCACAGCTTGAAACATATTTCCACTATGTAAATAAAATTTATGAAGGATGTGATAATTATTATGCATTGCAAGTCTGTATCAAAACATCTCATGTACCCCATAAATGTATACGCCTACTATGAACTTATAAAAATTAAAATTAAAAATTAAAAAAATTATGAAGAATAAAAGCTAGGTGAAATGTGTCTAATATATTAAATTTCAAATGTCCCTTGTCCTATGGTAGAGGTCTGTAGAAAATTCTAGAATTTGCATGGGCTGTATCCTTCACTGTATGTAAGTGTGCTAGTTTCTATTATACCTGTGATATTTTAATGAGAGATCCAGGTCTCATCAGTAAAGAAATGGGTTTTGGCTCACACCTTGACTATGTATAAACTGAACTTTCTTAGTGTCCATATCTCTGCAGTAAGTATATTTTTAGGTAGAAATAAACCTGCATCTAATTGTGATTAAGGTAAAAAGTTGTGGAAAGCAGTGAAGAAAGGTGTTGCTCCCTTTGCAATTAACCAGTCACAATATATTCAGCAGCCTTTATGTGCTCAGTACTTTGCTAGGCTCTTCGAGAGATGAAAAGAAAAGTTGGTCAAATAGCAGGCCATTCTTTTACCCACATCCCTTTTCTGGGTTCCCATCTTTCAGTAAAAATCAAATGCTAAGGGGCACTGCACAATTTGTGCTCTAACCCCTGTATCTCAATGTGACCCCATTTCTTTCTGCTTTTCCTCTAGCTTAGGGCATTTTGGCCATACTGAACCCCTTACTTTCCTCGAACATGAGAACATTCTTCTGCTGTGGAGGGCTACGATGCTGGTCTTTCCATCTCCAAGCTCTTTTCCCTGATATCCTCATGGCTTACCTCTTTGGGTCCTACCTCAAATGTCATCTTAGTAAAGGCTCCCCCACACGGTATTTAAAATTTCAACATAGCACCCCACCCCCATTATTCTGCACTTCTTTCTTCATCCTCTGCTTCAAATTTCTTCATTGCCCTTATCACTATCTATCATACTAAGTATTTTTTCTCTTTCGTTTATTGACTCTCCCTAGAATGTAGGACAAAGATCTTTTAACATTTGTTCCCACTGCTGCATGCCCAGAGCCTGGAACAGTATCTGGCACATCATAGGAGCTCAACGAATTGTTAATTCATTGGATAAGTTTAGTTGCTGCTCTCAAGAATTGTGGTGCAAGGCTTAAAATTGGGGCTCAATATTATGTGCTGCCTTGACCTCTGGTAAAATTGGTGGGATCTCAAAGGGTCTAAGCATTGTTCCCACTCTTGTTCCTGTGGATATCGTCCCCCTAGTCAAACAACCCTCCTTATCAAACAGTCTGGATGCATTTCCTGCTTATTTCTGACTAGTGGGTTCCAGTTGTGGAATTGTTCAAACAAATCACTCATATACTCTCATGGGAGTCAGGGGGCACCTCATCCTCTTGACAGTACAAAGCCTGCCTCCCACAATCCTTGTCATCCACTCTGTTCCTGAGCACAGGCTCCATGTGACCCTGTTGGCATGGTGTCCCTCTCCCGTGGTCTGTGAGTACATATGACTAATACACTGCTGTTGATCTCTCTTGTCTAGTGTGAAGTATCATGTATTTGGCCATTCCCATAACACTACAGAGAAATCCTTTCCTCACCAATGGAGTGAATAGGAGGCAATTTTAAAATGAGGAATTGCAACGTAGTGTGTGAGGCAAGATATATGCAGTAATCAAGAATAGAATTAGGAGTGTGCAAGCAAGTGGCAAATTATGTGATGCTAACTGAAAGTACCAAGGAAATTCAGAAATGTTTGCATACATAAATAATTTTAGTTTAGTAAACAAAATATTTAACGAAAAAAGTTTAAAGACTTTGAAATAGGAATAAAAAAGATTAGCAAGTGTTCTATTTAGTGCATTCTTCTGGGTTATCTCTGCCTTCCACTGTCTTTGGACTACTTTACAACTCAGAAAGTTGTAGAAAACTGGTAAAAATGCATATGACTCTTGTCCATAGAAATAAAAATTAATTATATCTGCTAAAATGCAGTAGTCTATTGCCCTATGAACAGACCCACTTTGCATCTGTTTGTTATTTCACTTCAAAGTTCCTTACTGTATATATATTTGTATGAATGGATATATATATATATATATATATATATATATATATATATATATATCTCCTTGGGATTCTTCTTTGAACCAGTTGTAACATTTTCCTTATTAATTGATGAGTGAAATAAAGTTTGTGACACATGTTCATTTTATACTTTATAAGAGTCATTATTTTATCCTTTAAACAATCATCCTTTAACCATGCCATTTCTACTAAAACATGAAAAATAGTGTCTTTTATCCTTATTCTTGTCATTAGCTAGAGAACACTTAACATTTTGAACAATATGATAAATTATAATGAAATTAAGCATGGGACATTATGATTATGTCTACCTGAAAGCAAACATCTGGAGGAAACATGAACATTTCAGGCAGCCAAAATTCAGATGGCTGGATCTCAGTAGATGAAACATCTGGATTTTGTGAATTGATTAATTTCCATCCGGCTTTTCTATTTTGGCTTCATTTAGACATAGCTTTTGTCCTGACCCCAAACTTTTTCCTGGCACTATGCAAGCAGTATTCTCTGTTGTGTAGAAAGAATTTATATTTATTTTGTTTTCTACCTTTTTTCATGCCTCCACATGGCATACAAGATAATAGCCTCTATTTTTACTTAATTATTACTTAAAACTATTGTCTGAAGCCATCAATGAGGACAAAGGAAAATAAAGACTAGTTTGTATTTAGTGTACCTGAGAAGTAATTTTATTCTGGTCTTTGGCCATGCAATTATAGGGAGACCGTTTCATTTATTTTTGTATAATTGTGTGGGTTCCCCTTACATGAGAACTATTTCTGCTACATATTCCTCTATACATATACAAACAAAAAATGTATTTTGTATTTAGCGTCATGTTCCTGCAAAGAGAAAAATAAGGAAAAAATCTGCAAAACATTGAAGACTCATGACCCACTTTAAAAACATAACTGGATACATCACATGAACTCAAGACCATGACTATGGAGGAAGGTAATGACCCAAAAGTATAACTGGACCTGAAAGTACAACGGAGCATTCCTTTTAGTTCCTTGAATATTGACTCTACGTAGCCAAAGCCAAACTGTAAAATTGATGACTTTCATTTTTATTTTCTATTATAGATTTAACACTTGGCAACTCTTACAACAACAACAACAGCAACAGGGAAAAACAACAACAACAACAACCGAAGAGTGCAAAAAGAACTAATGCAGTGAGTTGTCCCAGTTTATATTCAGTTCCAGTTTATATTCAGTTTTGTCAGTTTGACCTTCACAGGTCTGTAATTACGGTAATCACAGAGTACTGAACGTGCTAACAATCAAAGCATCCCAATTTGAACAGTTCAACAATAGCCTTTTTAATAGGGGTAAAACCGTGCCAGAAAAACTGCAAGGCTGCTTCAGCCTTTCCTGAAGATGTTGGATAATGGGGAGCAGGTATCAAACAACTCACCTCTTAAAAATATGCTGCACAGAGAGATTGACTCCAGCTGTTACTGATAGAACCACTACATGGCTACAAAGAGGGTTGTCTTCATCCCTTTGTGGCTCTGATTCTTCCTAATGTTGCCCAATGATGTGGACAAAGTATTATTTCCTTTAAGACCTTCACTTTGAACACCCAACAGTGCCTATGACATTTTTAAAGGTCAAAAAAAAATTAGCAAAATAGGTAAGAATGAGTTTGGTCAATATGCATTGCTGGTATTAGGAACTTTTTCTCCCTAAGTTAGAGGGAGAACCTCACTGATTACAAGCTTCTTAACCTCATGCTTGCTCTCTCTCTCTTTTTTTAAATTTCTTCTCCTAGTTGCCACAGATTTACTCTGAATTATCTATTATATCTTTCTCAATACTTTTTGGACAAAAATAGACATTTATAAGACTCTGGCTAAGATTAGGAGAATAATCTTTGGTTATGAAACAGTGCTGGTGATTCATGTTATTGTTGTTTTATATTTGTTAACTGGTTCTTATGTGAATTACAATCTATATACCTGTTCTTGTAACAATTTTAGAACGTCCAGGTTCAAAAGAAATTAGAAACCATCTAGCGTATACTTTTAATTATTTTTTCCTTTTCGCTCGTGGATATTTTTAAACAAATTAAATCAGTGTATAAAAACAGGTAAAATCAAAGCTTCTCCGAGCCCAGATGTCCAGATTCTCATCTGCTAAGAGTCTCTTTTATCAATGGTCCCTATCCTGTGACAGGTATAACAGAACTCCAAAGCTCCATGGAACCTAGCTCTAAAGCCTATGATTTAATCCAAGCTTTCAATGGCTGGAGAGATAAAGTGACTTAGCCAAGGTCACTCCTAACTTCTGGATTCGCATTTCTCTGACCTGCTGAGTCAACCTGAAGTGAGCACCAAAAATATTTTAGCAAGCACTTACTTGTCATTCTGTAACATTTTTCCACTGGCTTACCCTGGCTGTTCTACTCCTAAAGATAATCAAGTACTTTCTCAGTGACTTTGGCTACAGTGGAAGCAGGACTAGCCAAATCAACACTGTGGGGTAGTGCCCACCTTCCAGAACCAGCTTTGGTTAGAAAAGGGAGGGGATGATCATAGGATTTACGGCACTAAAAATGAGAACCACTTTTCACTGAGGGTAAGCAGTGCACACACACTGTGGGATGCTTGTCTAGGTTCAGAAATAACCTCCTGAAAGCCTGACCTCTCTCACTGCCAGAGTGCAGTGTGTGGGGGCCAAATAAGAACATTGCAAACTTTGTATCTCCACTGTATTTGTCTGAAGGTGTGGAAAATTACCCTGCTTGCCTGGGCCACTCAGACTGTCTTTGTTAAACAATCTCACAAGCTCTGTAGAGAGTGGTTAGATAGTGAATTCACTGGAGATCCTTATACTTTTATTAAGACTCACCTCTTATTTACTATCAAGGAAGGTAACGATTGGGGCCACTTGAATATGAAGGCTGTATGTTGCACTACTTCTGAGTCCAGAAGAGCCATTAAACTAGGAGCAGTTTAGGTTAAATTGACTGTCACAACAAAGTCAATGTCACAACAAAGAGACAGATAGGGGAAAGGAGAACTAAGGTTTATTGAGCAGCTACTTTGCAACACTCACTCTTCTAATATATTTCCCCTACTAGTTCTGCAATTCCCCAAGTACTTGTGGTCCTGAGTTAAGGCATTAAAAATCACAGTTAAATGCAAATGTTATCAAAGCACCTTATTGCATCCAGCCCAGCTTAGTTAAATAGCACCAATATCCACCCAGTTGCTGAAGCCAAAATCTTAGAGTTATCCTTGATTCTCTCCATCCATTCATATAATTTATTATTAAGATGCATCAAATCCACCTTAAAACATCCCAAATCTGCCTTCTTGCCTCCATCATGATGACCTCTCACCTGGGTTGCTACGGTGCCTTTCTACTTAGTCCATTTGCTTTACACACTTTATGAATACTTATAATAACCCAGTATGAGAGCCACTATTACAGCCCTGTGAAACACAAGTATCAGGAGCACAGAGGATCAGGATCACAGACCTATAGCTACCTGGGTATTAGGTCTGTCTGGCAACACTCACTGCAGAGTCACTTAATAGAATTTTGAAAGAAGTTAAGTAATGTTAGTCATTTTGAAATTCACAATTCACAGACTATAAAGAGAAATAAGAGTTCATAAGACTGCCTTGTCTATGTTCCTCAAAACACTACAATTTAATCAAAGGCAAAAAAAATACCACTTGAAGGTCCCAGCTTGCTAATGTATTGTTAAATAAATTACCACCTTTGAGGACTAAGCCAAATGTGCAATTTGTAAGCCAAATGTAGCACTTTTTTTTTTCCAGGATGAGTGGGTCAAAATACATCGGTAATTAGAACAAAAGAAAACTTCAGTGTTTCTAAAATACAACTGAGTGAATTCCCCCAAATTAAGTTATATTATTTATTTTGAGGAAATAACAAACTGTAGCTAGCTATCGAGCAAACTTTTTCTATATGCATCTAGTAGCTAATGTTTCCAAAGGAAGGAAATAGTTATGAATATTGTATGAAATGTTTTGCTCTGACACTCTGATATTCTGAAGTCCTTATACTAATCACTACTTGGTACTGCTCTATTTATGTCTGTTGTCTCAAAGTGGTGGAAAAGTGGCCTGTAGGAATGAGGAAAACTGATGTACAAAGTGAGGAAGGAAATTTTAAATACAAAGCAATTTCACTAATAAAATGCTCAAGCAGTCTAGAGTAATTTGGGTACTTGGTGAATCATTGCTTAGCAATTCATGAATACTGTGGGTGCTTGGAATTCAATTCCATTGTCCTCTATCTGAATTGCTATGAAAAAGGTCACATGAGAAGGAAAGGAAGTTTTGACTTTCACATGCCTGTTATTGCTAAGGAAACCACTTCCTCAGTATTCACATATTCAGCATGTCTCTAGTTTTGGCTTCCATACAAATTACATCTTGGTGTTGCATTAAGAAACAAACAAGGGTGGAGAATATTTTAAAAACTCAACTCAACTATGATATGTTCACAGAACAAAAAGAGGAGCCCTTTTAAACGCCCTTTCTTTTCTGAAGTTCTCTAGGTATGCCTGGATGGAGCCTCTAAGACCTAACAGGATGTCTGAGATTCCAGGGAAGTGGCCTGTGATCTGTCAGTAAACAAATAAGAAGCTAATACAGCTTTGTTGTGTTTTCTGATTGGCATGGTTCTGAACTATCTCCTACTTGTAGTTGCAGACAAAGAAACAGGAGATGAATTACCATGTTCTAGGACTTTGTGTTCCTTTCCAATTCAAACTGCAATAAGAAATAAAAATGGTTAGGCTTCCAGTGTGTAGATTATATAACGTGTCTCCTCTCTTTTGTGGTTTTGTCTTGTTTTGTTTTTTGTCTTTTAAAGAGAAAAATGAATAAAATGAAGGGATATTTTAGAATGACTGGCTCCCTCAATGGGCCTTATTGCAAGTACAGCTGAACCCTGGCTCTTTTGGTTCAAGAATATCTTTACTATTTGACGGTTTCATTGTTTTTATTTATATTTCTATTTTTGACCCAAACAGAAAGATCTTGTATAAGCTACCTGTTTATCCATTGTAGAAATGCAACTATTTTCAATTCTCCCTGCTGCTGAGAATAATAATGAGGATCCAGAAGATCACAATTCTGAGATATCTGAGATTTATCTGCCTGAATAGCCTGGTTCTCTCTCCCAGCATTAGGATTTATAGTTCATCTTCTGCCTTTTTGTTTTCAAACTTGTTCATGAATCATAGGTTCAGAACAAAACTGTACTATTATTAAGAGCAATCTGCAAACAACTACTCTATAGTGAACTTATAACAGAAGAGTGCTCATTTGATATTACATGGTGGCAACTATGAAAGAGGCAACTGTTAGTTATAACAAAGCTGGAAGGGATAGGATTAGGTGAATATTTGGGAAATTTTATACTAACAGAGTTAATATCAAGTGGACACCTAAAACATTTAAAATGCATGGCCTTAGAAATCATGAATTTAATTTTGATTTTTAGTATACAAGAAAGGAATATATTTATAGATTCATAGAGGAAATACAGAAAGAAACTTAGTTATTAATTTATTTATGATCCTCTATGCATATGCCCCAGATATTGCACCAAAGCACTCTATTTCTGGGTTGAGTCTATGAAAAATTTGTAACCACGATTGTACATCTTGATTTCATTATGAACTGGGATGATGATAATCATGATGATGATAATGATGATGATGATATTTCTGTAGTAATAATAATAGCTAATGTATATTGAGAATTTACTAAGAACTAGTCATTGGGGTGAGCATTTTACATATACCATCTCATTTAATCCTCACAACAACCCTGTGAGATTGGTACTATTATCCCTGATCTTCATAAGAAGAACTGAGGCTCAGAGAGGTTAAATAAATGCTTAAGTTCACTCATCTAGTAAGCAACAGGGATAAGATTTGAAAACTGGTGGTCTCTCCCCAGAGTCTGACTTCTTAATCATTAGGTGTCTGTAAAGAGAAGGCCTTTCACATAGACTAATTTGAGATGCCAAAAGGCTAAAGGAAGGAAAGGATCCCACCCCTTCCTGCCCCAGCAAGTGCATGTGTATTGCTTGTATGTGATTGTTTTGAACTTAAAGAGGCAGATACCACAGTCCTCTGGATAGGGAAGGGGTTATCCCCAGCATCATTCATTCAAGAAAGGGGATGCCTTGAGTAAGAGAAAGAGGGAGAATTTGAACACCAGGCTAGATGAAAGGAGAGGTCTTGGACTGAGTGTTTGGACGGTGGATGTGCTAAGATAACAGGGACTCCCAACACCCCACTATCTCCACCTCCTGAGGAAGGATAAGGAATTTAAAAGAGATCTATAGTGGACAGAAAGTTGGGGAAAAGTTATGTCTCGGTAAACTAAAAAATTGAGTTTCATGGTATGTCTTACATCTGTTTCATATTTAAATGTTCATGCTGTGTCAAAGACATGCTCAAAGATACCAAAGGAAGAGTCATATTTGGATCAAGCATTAAAGGAAAATCAGGATTTCCCCTTCCTTCTTGCTCTTTGGGCCAAAGAGAAGATTTTGCCAAGTGGAGGGGTGAATCTAGCAGGAAAAGGTCATATCACCTCATGCCATTGAGGAGGTCCAGCTTTCATTGCCAAATTCAGAAAATCAGTTTTGCTTTCTTTCTTTTTTTTTTTTTTTTAAAGGAAGGAAACATTCTCCTCTCAGCATTTCAAAAGTATTTCCCCTACTATTTCTGCAATCTCCTAAATATTCATGTTCCTGCTAAAGACATTAAAGGCCACAATTAAATGCAAATGTTATCGAAACACCTTAGTTGACATTTAGCCCAGCTTAGTTAAACGGCACCAATTTCCACCCAGTAGCTGAAGCCAACGTCTGAGAGTTATTCTTGATTCCCTCATCTTTTCATTCCATGTGTCAATAAGATGTGTCAAACCCACCTTAAAACATCCCAAACCTGTCCTCTTCTCGCCATCATTCCAACCTCTTACCTGGGCTGCTGCAGTGCATTTCTCCTGGGTCCATTTCCTTCCACACTTGCCCCCTCTTAATTCATTCTCCACACTTCAGTTAGGGTGAACTTTTTACAACTTAATAAAATCATATCCCTCTGGTGCTCAAAATCCTCTAGTGTTTTCCCATTTAGAATAAATCCCAAACTCCTTACCCTAGCTTATAAAGCCTTCTATGATCTGGACCTGCCTATTCTTCAAAAGGCTTCTATTACTTGCCCCTTCAACCACCATACTCTACTGTGGACTATGAGCTGTTCTTCAAATATTCCAAGCTCATTCATGTGGTAGGGTACTCTGTACAAGTTGTTTCCCCTCCCTAGATTTTCTTTCTCCCTGTCTTCACATGGCTGGTCCCTTGTTGTTCAGATTTTACTTTTACTGTTAGCTCTTCAGAGAAGACTCCTTCAGCCTCCCCACTAATGTGGCTGAGTCACTCACATCATTGTCTGTTCCTCCTGCTAGAAGGGGCTTTATGAGAGTGGGGGCTACATCTGTCTCGTTCACTGTAGTATACTTGAGGCTGAGAAATGTGCTGCCACATTGGAAGATTTCTCTGAGTACCGGTGAAAGGAGAAACACACACTTATTATTAGCCATTATGATTCAGATCAATTCACATTATACCCAAGAAGGAATAGGACAGGGAAGTTTTTTACTGGGCATGAGGAGGGTGGAGATGATAATCAAATTCCATTTGTTTCACAATTAACATAGCTAGCCCTAAAGAATGGCAATAAAGATATTGATATTCAGGATTCTAAAGTTACTGTTTCCACCCCAGCAATGACTACTACATAGTCTAAAATACAGGTGCTAATTAATTCACTGTCTACATGTACCACTTAGGATTGGCTAGGATAGCATGGTGGCAACATGTAACCCCCAAACCTCTCAGTGACTTAAACAGTTGAAGTTTATTTCTTGCTAATGATGTATATTCATTACCTCTACATATTGTGGGCCCTCAGTGACCCAATCAGATGGAGGAGCTACCATCCTGAACTTGTGTGTGGCTGTGCCAAAAGGAAAGGGAAAGAGAGTGTGCAGTGAATTACACCCATCTCACCTCTGCTCACATTTTATTTGCCAGAGCAAGTCATGTTACCAGGAAAATTTGGCTGGGTGGGGAAATGCAGAATAGCACTAATGACTACCACTGGACATCTGTCTAGCTAACAAACATAAAGTTTTCTTTTCTTCCTTCACGATATGTACATTTACTGCCTCCCAGAGGCAGAACACGCTAAAGTGCCATTCAGTCACAGCACATGCAGGTCCAGTGTGGTTCCTTATGACCCAGAGATCTATGAACTATAAGACAAGTTACCTGTCCCCTATACATCTGATATGCAATGGCAAAAGCAAGAGCATGATAACTTCATAAATACTTCCATTCAGAAAGGGAAGGAAAGGGAGATACACAGGAATCACTGATCCATAGAAACCAAACGAATGTGCTGGGCAGAAGGGATGGTCCCCAGGTGATGGGAAATATTGCTTGATTAGGCTCCAAGTCTTCAACTCAAGAGAGATGAGCAGCTTTCCTACATTTGGCCTACAGAAGACTGGGGGCTCCAGGACAATTTAAAGTCTCACACAGTCACTTTGTCAGTCCAGGTTTGTTTCTTTTTCACCAGGATATCTTTTTAAAATATTGAATAAGTTTCTGTGTTGGTTATTCTCTGCCCTTTAAATATATTCCCTTCTCTGCCTTATTCTGTGTCCCAGGAGCTGACCTCTGTGGACTGCATTATCCAGAATTCCTTATACTCTGGATTTTTGTTGTTTGGGCAAGTGGCAGACACAGGTAGGAAATTGGAGGGCAGGATTTGAGAGGGAGAGAGGTTGCAGTATTTATCCCTATCCTGACATTCCCTTCCTCAACCTTTTCACAATCCTGGCAGTGGCTACCTTACTCAGCTGGTCTTAGCTCCTGTCTAAAGGTTTTTCTTCCCTGGCTCCAGACCTCACCAGGATCCTTCCACACAGTGCTGTCCCTTTGTCCTTGAGGCCTAGGGGTGGCAAAGGTTTCCTGTGGTTGCTAATTCCTGAGTACCTCATCATTCCTAATTGGTACCTTACCTCTGATATATTTCTGTAGACTACTTCTTTCATACATTTCCTTCAGTTACATAATTTGTGTATGCCATCTACTTCCTGCCAAACTGACAAAGCTTCATTTCTATTTGACTCAAACAACTAGATGTGTCAATGGCCACCCAAAGTTCTTCTCTTGACATATTTCTTAGATGTACCATATTTATATTCTTCCTTGCTCCCATGCCTCTCTCTTCCTCTTGACTTAATTTTGAAATCTTTGATGTCTGTGATACCTGGTCCAACTGAACTGAACCCATTTACTGGTTTTTGTGGAAACATCTTATTTCATTCAGTGATGTGATGGGCATTTCCTTTTTTATTTTTTGAGACAGGGTCTTGCTCTGTCACCCAGGCTGGAATGCAGTGGCAGTATCTCCACTCATGAAACCTCTGCCTGCCGGGTGCAAGAGATTCTCCTGCTTCAGCCTCCTGAGTAGCTGGGATTACAGGCGTGTGTCACCAGGCCCGGCTAATTTTTGCATTTTTAGTAGAGATGGGGTTTCACCATGTTGGCCAGGCTGGTCTCGAACTCCTAGCCTCAAGTGAGCCACCTGCCTCGGCCTCCCAAAGTGCTGGGATTACAGGTGTGAGCCACTGCACCTGGCAGCCATTTCCTTTTATTAGTTGGTTAGGGCTGCTATCACAACATTTTAGACTGAGTGGTGTAAACCACAGAAATGTATATTCTCACAGTTCTGGAAGCTGAAAGTCTAAGATCAAGGTGTGGGCAGTTTGCTTTCTCCTGTGGCCTCTCTCCTGGGCTTGCAGATGCTTGCCTTCTTGCTGTATCCTTACATGGTCTTTTCTCTGTGTATGTATTTCTAGTGTATTAGGGTTCTCCAGAGAAACTGAACCCATAGAGAATCTGTCTGTCTATCTATCTATCTATCTATCTATCTATCTATCTATCTATCATCTATCTATCATACAGAACTGGCTCACATGATTATGGAGACTGAGAAGTCCACAGTCTGCCATCTACAAGCTGAAGACTCAGGAAAGTGGGTGATACAATTCAATCTGAGTTCAAAGGCCTGAGAACCTGGAGAGCCAATGATGCAAATCCCAGTCCTAGGGCAGAAGATAAGATGAGATGTCTCAGCTTAAGCAGAGAGTCAGGAAAAATGGGTTGAATTCCCCCTTCCTTTGCCTTTTGTTCTGCTCAGGCCCACAACACATAGAATGACATTCAGCCACATTGGGAGGGCAATCAACTTTGCTGAGTCCACTGATTCCAGTGCTAGTTTCATTGAGAAACACTCTCCCAGACACACTCAGAAAAATGTTTAATATGGGTCACCCAGTGGGCCACTCAAATTGGTACATAGAACAACTCTCACACCCAGTGTTTCTCTCTCCTTATAAGAACTAGATTGGATTAGGGCCCCACCAAAACAGCTTCTTTTAACTTAATCACCCCTTTAAAGGCTATATTCCCAAATAGGGTTACATTCTGAGATGCTAGAGGTTGGAACTTCAACATGTGAATCTTGAAGGGTATAAAATTCATCCCATAACATCCTTGATATGATCCTTGACCCAAGGCAGAATTCCAGGTGACCTTTGCTTCAAAGCCTCTAGTTTCATCTTTTAACTGTTGAAGAGATAAAATCACCTTCTGCAATCCTGCAGGTTCCCAAATTCCTGGCCACTTCCTTTTTTTTTTGAGACAGTCTTGCTCTGTCGCCCAGGTTGTAGTGCAGTGACGTGACCTTGGCTCACTCCAACCTCCACCTCCCGGGTTCAAGCAATTCTAGTGCCTTAGCCTCCCGAGTATCTGGGACTACAGGTGCGCATCACCATGCCCGGCTAATTTTTGTATTTTAGTAGAGATGGGGGGGTGGTTTCACTATGTTGCCCAGGGTGGCCTCAAACTCCTGAGCTCAAGTGATCCGCCTGCCTCGGTCTCCCAAAGTGCTAGGATTACAGGCATGAGCCACTGCGCCCAGCCCCTATTTTCTTTTATTGATGTTTAAAACCTCCCTGATTGTTTCTGAAGTCATCTCTTTTTGTGGTGCCCTGTCAAACACAGTCATGCATCGTTTAATGACAGGGATATGTTCTGAGAAATGCATTGTTTGATGATTTTGTTGTTGTGTGAACATTACAGGATGTACTTACACAAACCTAGATGGTAGAGCCTACTACACACCTAGGCTATATGGTATAGGCTATTGCTCTTAGGCTATAAACCTGGACAGCATGTTACTGTACCGAATGCTGTAGGCAATTATAATGCAGTGGTAGGTATTTGTATATTTAAACATATCTAAATATAGAAAAGACACGGTAAAAATACATTATAATCATGTAGGACTGCTGTTATATATGTGGTCTATTGTTGACTGAAACATCATTATGCAGTGCATGACTGTACAGCCAATTATAATCAATACATATCACTAACACTGTTTTCCTATCTTATTCTCTAGAGCTACATTTTCTATCTTCCATATTATCCCAGGCAACAGTTTTACCAACTGTTTTGCTACTGCATTACAACGATCACTATCATTCTCGTCTCCAGTGGCAGTTTGCTTGCTGTCTACTGCCCGGTTGTTAGCCTCTACCATATATTTTAGGCTTATTTGCTATGGTAGCACTCATGTCTAGGTACTTATTTCTGTATCATTCAAGATAGATGTTTTGCTGCCATAAAAATACACATTCCTTTCTTGCTTTGTTACTTGTCTGTCAGGTCTAAAATGGGTCTCTGGTAGTCACCCAGGGACCTAGACTGATGGAGAACCACATTCCTGAACATGCCCATGTGCTATGCCAGAGGGATAAGAGAGCCACTGCATCTTAAAACCTCTCCTCAGATATAGCACACGTCACTTTTTAAAAATAGTTTTTTGACCAAAGTGAGTCACTTGGGTGCTTTTCATTTAAAAGGGGCAGGAAACTACAGCCTTACCATCTGCTTGAGGAGAAAACCCCAAATTTTGGGTGAACAGCACTAATGATTTCTGCACAGCACCGATGCTCAGTACTTGGTATTTACTTCTGGAAATTTAGAAAAAGTAAACATTTAAGATCATCTGTGGCATAAATCATAGGTCCATGACAGTATTTTTGTTTTATAGATTCTGGGCCACTATTTCTCCCCTCACACACGCAAAAACAATATCTAGTTCCCTAAGGCCACAGAATTACATATTCAGCTCTATGGGTGTCAGCTGCCTATTGTGTGTCATTTAGTAATTTCCATACCTTTTCTTTTTTACAACTAAAGAAGTCCAAAAAGAGGTGTGAAAAGTCAGGTGAAACTCTCTTATGCTTTATTGTTCTTATGATACATATGATATGTGTCTTATTCCTTTCCAAATGCATTTTAAAGTGAAGTCATATTTCAATTTGTCATTTTCATAAAGCAAGAAAGATAGCATTTATTGTCATGCATGGCCAAGCAGACTGGCAGATGCCACTAACAAATGGTAAAAAATTCTTCTATGGCTCATTATTTCTATAAAGGCTCTATTTTTTGGTTATTATTTCTGAAAAAGACCATAAACCCAACTATAAATGACAAAAAAATACAGTGGCCATCAAACCCAATTACAGTGTGTCTTTAGAGAGCTAGTGAATAAGTGAAGTTAATCACAATACCTCATATTCTGAAAAGACCTCATCACCCAGGGTACGAATTAAAGTAGTTTCCAGTCTAAAATAGATGTGTCTGTAACAGGAATCACTAACAGTGGGTTAAAAATAGAACCAGGTACAAAACCTACAGTGGAAGAGTATGCATAAAATTAGATTGTTTTGATTAGGTACATCCTTTTCTCAGAAGCTTCTCCAGGAATAAATTACTTTGCTAAAAGTCTTTTCCCTATTATTCCATCCCTGTCTCCGACTCCAAGTGATTTTTCTAAAATACAAATCTGATCTTGTCATTTCTCTACTTAAAATTAGTCCATACAGAACTAGGTTGCTATCAGGAAAGAGTCCTGACTCCTTAACTCCTCAAGGTTTAATGCCTTAACCTCTGTAGACCAACCTATTAATGTCTGCTCTGGATTGAATATTTATGTCCCTCCACAAATTTATATCCTAACTCCCAAGATGATGATAGTAGGACGTTAGGCTTTTGGGAGGTGATAAGTTCATGAGGGCAGGGCCTCATTAATGGGATTAGTGCTCTTATAAAAGAGGGCTCAGAGAGCTTGTTTGCTCCTCTACCATTTGAGGACACAGTGAGAAGGTGCCATCTATGAATCAGAAAGAGGGCCTTCATCAGACACTAACTCTGTCAGCTTCTTGGTCTTGGGCTTCCCAGCCTCCAGAACTGTGAGAAATATATTTCTGTTCCTTTGTTTTGGTACTTTGTAACAAAGCAGTCTCAACAGACTAAGACAATGTTCCTCTTCATACACTGGTGTCCCAGCCATTAAGCTAATTGCTATGTTTCAGCACTGTTAAATGAAGTTTAGCCTTAAGCTGCCTCCTTATGTATTTTAAGTTGGGTCTAAAGCTTTCTCTGAACATCGTGAACTATAACCTACAAGGAGTTGTATACAGACTGTAGTCTATGCCTGTGCCAATCACCAAGTTCCTCAAAGGTGGCCAGCTGTTCAAATTGTGTTCAGATAAGGCAAACGTCGAGCTGTAACCAATCCAGCTGTCTCTATCTTACTTTCCTTTTCTGTATGTCATTTTCCTTTTTCTGTCCATAACTCTTCTTCCACCATGTTGGCTGTGCTGGAGTCTCTGAGCCAACTCTGGCTCGACAGGCTGCCTGACTTGCCAATCATTCTTTGCTCAGTTAAACTCTTTTAAATTTAATTTGGCTATAGTTTTTCTTTTAACAGCTGCATCCTTAACATTTGCTAGTCTCTTGAAGCTCTACTTAAGTGTTCCCTCTGCTCAGAAGTCCCCTTTGTTTTTAATTCCTCTAGGCCCTATCATCACCTCTAAGCATTTATTATTCATTATTGAGGTGGGTAATTTACATGTTTCTTCAGTTTTCTAGATTTGGGGCAACTTGAGTACAGCAATTTTGTCTTATAAAATAAATGCATGTGTGTTTATAGCCCATCCCATTTTTACAAAGGCTTTAAGGAGAACAGTCTTACTTGTGTCTCTTGTTTTTTTATATCCTAAGAGAAATACTCATTTTTTTTTCTCATGTAACTTAGGCTATAGTGTTAAGTCAGATTACAGTGAAACAAATTTCTCACAGGGAGAATTTTTTTTTATATATATATAGTTTATAAAGGTTCGCAAAGGTATTCTACTAAGGTGGCATGTTGTTGAGGTCAAGCCCTTGGAGAAAGAAATGTTTGTGTCTCAGCATGTAGGTTGGCAGTATCTTATTTTCCAAATGAATATTGGTGTTAACCATCCCATGAAAATACTCTTTCTAAAAACATAACTTGTAGAGTTATATTATATTCTGTCAAAATGTGTCTTAAGTATTATATGGAATGCCCACGAGTTCCCTTGGTTGGGGCCATTGTATGATTCTCTCTCGTATGCACAACGTGGGGGAGATGAAGTTGGGGAGGTGTACCATGAAACTACATGTATTTTAAGTTGGGCCTAAAGGTTTCTTTTTACATCATGAACTATAACCTAAATGGAGTTGTATACAGACTGTAGTTGACAATATCCCCGTGTTGTCTGTATATCTGGATATTGTATTTCTAGATATCTGTATATCTGGATATTGTATATCTAGATATCTGTATATCTGGATATACTCACTGTATTTACTTTAAGTTAATTCACAGTTCTTAGTGGAGCATGACTTTGATTGTCAGTGCCATTCCAAATCCCTTTCCTGATTCACTCCGCCTACTGCCTACATCCTCCCCTGATTTACAGGTTCCTGACTGCTTTTCTGATGTCTTTTTATAGTTCTCAATCAATTTAATGAAAGAAATTTATCTGACAAAAATTTTGAAAATCAGCCTTGCCTGACCTTCCCTTGCCTTGTTCTTCTGCATTGGCTACATGGTCATTCTCTGAGTGATTTTTTTTTCTTTCGCATATTTGCCCTGAGCTCTGGCTTTTTTTTTCTTTCACATATTTGTCCTGAGCTCTGGCTTTTTTTTTTTTCTTTCACATATTTGCCCTGAGCTCTGATCAGGGGAAGCTCTGACTGCCCTCGCCTTCCTGACTGCTGAGTCACAGGTTTACTCCATCCATAGAACTCTTTGGATTTAAGTGGCCCCCTGCCTTACTGGTACTTCTGGTTTCAGTATGTTTTTGGTCCTACCACCACCAGACACTCCTAATCCCTTCCACATCTTTTCAGAGATCCTTGTCCTGATATACTGATTTATCGTGCAATCCTGGGTAATTTATTTAACCTTTCTGTTTCTTAGTTTTCCTGTTTTACAAAGATGAGCCTTGATAAGCCCCAAACTGCCTTCACACACCTTGTGAGGATCAAGTAAGACAAAGTTTGTGAAAACACTTTGTTGAGTGAAAAGTGCCAAACTAACGTAAGATATTATTTTTATTGCAACACTGTTTTCATTGAAACATCATTCCTAGATGTCATTGTCTTTATACAGAGCTATATGGTTTTAAAAATATTGATTTCTAGTTGGATAGACTAGGATACATGTAAGAAGGAAAATAGTGGTAACTATTGTTATTGACCATATACCATTTGCCAAGTACAGTGCTAGGTGTTTTTGGTCTTATCTATTTTAATCTTTACATCTATTCTGCAATGTAGGTTTTACAGAGACTCAGAGACATAAAGTATCTTGTCCAAGAATATATAGTTTGTAAGTCACAGAACAAAGGAGTGTGTTCACTTCTGTTTTATTGCAGAGCTGTGATGTTCAACATATGCCTTCCTTGAGATGCTGATATATTCCAAATAGTTTTTGCATTTTTTTTCTGGTAATATCATAAATATGTTTCCATCCTATGTACTCCCTGCTCATGACAATCATGATGTATTGGGCAGCCTTTTAGGATGCTAACCAACAATCTCCTCCTCCTGGTAATAAGATTCTGTAGTCTACTCCCCTTGAGTGTGGGTTGGACTTAGTGACTTGCTTTTAGTGAATAGAATACAACAAAGGTGATGGGATATCACTTCTGAAATTAGTTTACAAGAGACCGTGACTTCTGTCTTGCTGGCATTTGCTTGCTTCCTCAGTTTAAGGAAACTAACTGCAGTATTCTGAATTACCCTATGGAAAAGCTCATACGACAGAGAACTGGTGGCAGCCTCTGACAACAGCTGCCAAGGACCTGAATCCTGCTAACAACTGGTGAATGATCTTGGAATCAGATCTTATCCCAGCTGAATCTTGAGATGACTGGAGATACAGCTGACACCTCGATTTTATCCTGTAAGAGACCGTGAGCTAGATAGAGGACCCAGCTAAGCCATGCCTGGATTCCTGAACGACAAAATTGTGAGATAGTAAATGTTGTTTTATCCAGCTACTGCATTTCAGGGTCATTTGATACACAGCAATAGATATCCAATACACATGGTATGTACCAAGAAGCATTATTTATGAGACTCTGCTGTGCAAATTATTGATGAATGAAGAAATTATCTCTGACATGTCCAATTTTCTCACCTAATAAGCAATACCTAATAATAGCTGAAATTGGTACTCATGTCACTCTGAGTCTATGGCATTACTTACTATGCCATGCTGCTGTGCAAGGGCCTTTAGTGGAGGATGAGGGTGGCAAGGCTGCAGTTTTAATGCTCAATGTACAAGTGAAAACAAGTATGAATGTTATATCTGAAGATAGATTGGTAGCAAATACTTTATAGGCCGTGTGTCTTAGGGGGCTTCTCAAATAATAACAGTTAAGTTAGCTGTTGCTCTGCTTGGATATATAGGTACTATGACCAAAAGCAGAGATTAATTTTTGTTTTCTGAAAGGAGTCAGATAGTGCATATTTTAGGCATGGCAAGCTACATATGGCCTGTGTTGCATATTATTCAATTTTTAAAATAAGCCTTTAAATTTTTAAAAGCTTTCTCAGCTCAGAGGTCTTATAAAAACGGTCTATAGGCCATATTTGGCACAGGCTGTAGTTTGCCACCCCTGACTAAAGTTAAGGTAACCCTCAAAGACCATGGATTAATTTTAGTTCTTTATAGGATTCCAAGAGTGAATTAAGCCCCATTGTCCTAAGTCATCTATTGCATGTAATAAATTAACTTCTCACCTGTGGATCTTGAATGGTGTTTGCTATATAAATACTTGAAAAGATTGAGTAAATAATCACTCAGAATATTTTTGTGCTTTGTGGTTCAGATGACAAGCTCTGGTTAGGAAAAGCTAGTGGCACACATACTCATATGATTATTTATTCAACAATCATTAAATAAGCAGTAACTATATGCTAAGTGTTAGATTATGTGCTGTGAAATTATCTCAAAAACATCACCATCATACAGAGTGAACTGCAAGAAATTTTGAAAATAACTTAATTTCTGAAGTCATGCTCTAGCAGAAACAATGTGATGAGCCTAATAACTATTTCTCTTTCACTTGTGTAATATCCTTGCTACAGGATAAGAGCATTTTTTTTTTCTCCACGAGGCTGTGATCTGTGCAGACCTATTGATAGTTGTCTGAGAAATAATAAGACCCCCTAACAATACATGTCTTTAGTAGACCCAGATTAGACCTAATCTTTACCCTGTCACTAACTATGTGACTTCTAGCAATTACTTAACCTCTCCAAGATACCATCTCACCATCAAATGGAGAAAATAATACTTATTCCAGTGGATTGTTGTATGAATTTAAATGAGATAAAACATGTAAAGCACTTGGGCATAATGCTTCACAAGTAGAAAAAGCTCTGCAGAAGTACAGGCATACTTCGTTTTCCTGTGCTTTCCTTTCTTGGGCTTCACAGATACTGTGTTTTTTACAAATTGAAGATTTGTGGTAACTTTTCATTGTTCAAGTCTATTCGTGCTATTTTTCCAACAGCATGTGCTCACTGCATGTCTTTCTGTCACATATTAGTAACTACTGCACTATTTTAATAATATTGAAAATTTTGAAATTATTTATATGAAATAATTTTGAATAAATTAACAAAAATCTTCAAATAATTTTGATTAAATTATTATATAAATAAAAATTGTTTCATAATAATGAAAAATATTTTTTCATTATTATTGTGGTGATCTGTGATCAGTGATCTTTGATATTACTATTGTAATAGTTTTGGGGCACCGTGAACTGCCATAATTGAATAACATAATTGATCAATGGTGTGTGTGTTCTGACTGCTCCACTAAATGGCCATTTCCCCATCTCTCTGCCTCTCCTCAGGCCTCCCTGAGACATAACAATATTGATATTGGCCAATTAATAACCACACAAAGGCTTCTAAGAGTTTAAGGGAAAGGAAGAGTTGCATGTCTCTTACTTTAAATAAAAAGCTAGAAATGATTAAGCTCAACAAGGAAGACATATCGAAAGCTAAGATAGGCCAAAAGCTAGGTCCCTTGCACCAGTTAGTCAGATTGTGAACATAAAGAAAAACTTTTTGAAGGAAATTAAACATGTTACTCCAGTGAACACATGAATGCCAAGAAAGAAAAACAGTCTTATTGCTGATATGGAGAAAGTTTGATGGTCTGGATAGAAGACTGAACCAGCCACAACATTCTGTTAAGCCAAAGCTTAATCCAGATCAAGGTCCCAACTCTTCAGTTCTATGAAGGCTGAGAGAGATGAGGAAGCTGCGGAAGAAAAGTTTGAAGCTAACAGAGGTTGGTTCATGAGGTCTAAGAAAAGAAACCATCTTTATAACATAAAAGGGTAGAGCCGAGCAACAAGTGCTGATGTAGAAACTGTAGCAAGTTATTCAGAAGATCTAGCTAAGATAATTTATGAACGTGGCTACACTAAACAACAGATTTCCAAAGAAGACAAAAAAACCCTCTCTTGGAAGAAGATGCCATCTAGGACTCTTATAGGTAGAGAAAATAAGTCAATGCCTGGTTTCAAAGCTCCACAGGATAGGCTGACTCTCTTGTGAGGGGCTAATGCAACTTGGTGACTTTAAGTTGATACCAGTGCTCATTTGCCATTCCAAAAATCTGAAGGCCCTTAAGAATTATGCTAAATCTATTCTGCCTGTGCTTTATAAGTGGAACAGCAAAGCCTAGGTAAAGGAAATCTGTTAACAGCATAGTTTACTGAATATCTTCATCTCACTGTTGAGACACATTACTCAGAAAAAAAGATTCCTTTCAAAACATTACTGCTCATTGACAATGCACCTGGTCACCTAAGACCTCTGATGGAGATGTATAAGGAGATTAATGTTATTTTCACGCTGCTAACACAGTGTCCTTTCTGCAGCCCATGGGTCAAGTAGTAATTTTGGCTTTCAAGTCTTATTTTTTAAGAAATGCATTTCATAAGACTATAGCTGCCATAGATAGTGATTTCTTGATGAATCTGGGCAAATTGAAAACCTTCTGGAAAGGATTTGCCATTCTAGATGTCAGAAAGACCATTCATAATTTATGGGAGGAGGTCAAAATATCAACATTAACAGAAGTTTGGAAGAAGTTGATTTCAACCTCTGTGGATGCTTTTGAGGGTTCAAGACTTCAGTGTAGGAAGGAACTGTAGATGTGGTGGAAATAGCAAGAGAACTGATATTATAAGTTCAGCTTGAAGATTGGACTGGATTCCTCCAATCTCATGTTAAAACTTGAATGGATAAGAAGTTGCTTCTTATGGCTGAGCAAAGAAAGTGGTTTCTTGAGATAGAATCTACTCTTGGTGAAGATACTGTGAACAGTGTTGAAATGACAACAAGGAATCTGGAATATTACATAAACTTAGTTGATAAAGCAGTGGCAGGTTTTAAGAGGAGTGACTCCAATTTTGAAAGAAGTTCTCTTGTGGGTAAAATGTTATCAAACAGCATCATACACTACAGAGAAATCTTTTGTGAAAGGGAAATTCAATCAATGTGACAAACTTCATTGTTGCCTTATTTTTAAAAAGTGCTGTAGCCACCCCAACTTTTAGCAACCACCATCCTGATCAGCAGTGGTCGTCGAGGCATGACCCTTTACCAGCAAAAGATTAGGACCCATTCAAAGCTCAGATGATCATTAGAATTTTTTAGCAATAAAGTATTCTAAAATTAAGGTAAGTACATTTTTTAGACATAATGCTATTGCACACTTAATAGATTGCAGTATAGTATAAACATAACTTTTAAATGCACTGGGAAACAAAAAAAATAGTATGGCTCCTTTTATCGTGATGTCTATTTTATTGCAGTGGTCTAGAACTGAACCCACAATAACTTCAAGTTGTGCCTTGTAACTATTATTGTTTTCAGGCTCACTTCCATGATGTCAGGGGCATCAGATACATGCTCTTATTTTTTTCTAAAGTCAGATCCAATACTACAGCCAATAATTCTGTATGAGATGTATTAATAGAAAGGAAAAATCTATAGTTTTCTCTAATTGCATTCGTCTTCTCAGAGAACTGGGCACAGCTATGGGGGGTAAAAAATGCCTAACAGACAATCTCGCATCTTGAAAATATTTTGTTTTAGAAGGATAGTTTGATTTTTTTCCTCAATGTAATAAGTTGGCTGCAAAGAATGGGGAAGGAAGGTGGGGGAAGCATAAATTTCTGATTTTAATTTTTTTTTGTTGTTTATTTTTAGAGCTTCTCTCTTACAGAAAAAAAGTGTTTGCTTTTTTGGATTCTGAAGTAAAAATAACAGAACGAAGCCTTAGTGAATTCTTATACCGTGCCAGGCTCTGAACGCTTTATGCTCAAACAGCCCTCTGAAATAGGAAAGCTTTTATCCTTCATAGTTTTATAAATATGAAATTTGATGCACAGATTGCCTATGGAACTTACCCAAGGTCATCTGGCCTGTGTGTCAGTAGCCCAACTATGAATCCAGGTAGGTTTACTTCAGAGCCCAGCTCTTAATTCCAGTACTGTACCACTGTTATATAACAGAAAGATTTTCTGAGTTACAGATGCAATTTTAAATATTCTTGTAGTCACACTTAAAAAAGGAAAAAAGAAATGGGTGCAATTAATTTTAATAATATATTTTTATAGAACCAACTATGTCTAAAGTATGACCATTTCAATATGTAATCAATATAAACATTTTAATGAGATATTTTGTATTTTTTCATACTTCACTTTTAAATCCAATGTGTACTAAATGCTTCTGCAGATCTCAATCTGGACTTGCCACATTTAAATGCTTCATAGCCACACAGGGCTGGTGGCTGCCCCACAGAAAGCACAGCTTCACCATCTGTGCAGCTAAAGTCACTTGACATTCTATTTATATCTTCTATGTTTACATAATCTTTATTCTTTTTGTTTTGGTATCTTCAAGAATGTAGAGACCAGAGCACTAAAACTGAAAGTAACTTTGGGGGCCGGCGGGGAAGGAAGAAAACCCGTAGTAATATTGTTATTGTCTAGGGGTTTCTAATAATGCCTACAGAAACTGATGCTCTTAAGAGCATTTTCTCAGATTTCTGAAATCTTTTGAGTTCCATTGCATGCCCATTTAAGAACATGAGGCTCATTTACCATATTTCCCCCTTGGCCAAGCAGAAATCTAAAAATAAACTCTTAGTTCTTAGGTTTGACCTAACTCTTTATATAAATATCCGTTTGCAGTTGTTATTTTAGAAAAAAATTCAATCCCCTAAGTCTTTTGGTTAAAACTTTAGGAAACTGATTTCTCTCCTGAACACTTCCTTCCTCTAAACCACATAGAGTTTGGGATGTGGGGGAAGGAAGCAACAGTCACATTTTATTTTGTTTTTTGTGTTTCCCACAAGAGAACAAAAGAGACAACCCCCACTCCACAAAATTTTTCTGCCATTTCCCTTTTCACCACCAAATTTTAAATGATGATTCGTGTGTGAAAAATTGGTCCCTTGATATAAAATTGAACTGTAAACTTTGTAGAGCTTTGGTCTGAAAAAGAATATCTTATCAAGTTTGGAAGTGCCCTATGGAAAACTGCCATGTCACATTTTCCCCTTTCTGTATCTCTGCCAATGTTTCCCCAACACCCGATGCACAGCAGACAGCAATAGAGAGTGCTTGTTGAAGTAAATTTCTTTTAATTAATTGGGGGAAATTCGATACAAATTTTGGATTCACTATTTTAAAAGAAAAGTGGTTTGTTATTTCCAAGTATATTGATGGAAACAGGAGAAATATTTGCATGAGAAAGGAATGATTTGTGAGGAAGAAATGACCTAAAGATGAGTTGGAAACTACTGGAACTTACAAGGCTCATCAGCTTCTAGGGGGTTCCTCCTTGACCCTATCTTTAAATGAAATTTTAATATAAACAAAATGTAAAAATTAAAAATAAAACAAAATATTTAAAAATACGTGTACAATTTTGGTCAAGAGAGATGTTAAGGTAGGTAGGAAACTTAGCAAGAAAACATGGTTATATTTAACTGGATTAGAATGAAGGAATATATATATATGTGTGTGTACATATATACATATATAGTCATGCATTACTTAACAATGGGGATACATTTTGAGAAATAAATCATGAGGTGATTCCACCACTGTGCAAACATCATAGAGTGCTTACACAAACTTAGATGGTATAGCCTACTACATGCCTATATGGCATAGCCTATTGCTTCTAGGCTATAAACCTTTGCAGCTTGTGTCTTTACTGAATACTGTGTGCAATTGTAACACAGTGGTAAGTTTTTAATATGTAAACATATCTGAATATAGAAAAGGTAGTGCAAAAATACAGTATTATAATCTTATAGGACCAATAATCTTACAGGAACACCGTCGTAAAAGAGGCCCATCATTAACTGAAATGTCATTATGCAGTGCATGACTGTGTGTGTGTATTTGTGTGTATTTGAAGACATATCTTATACAAAACAATGGATTGGGAAAAATATATGCAGTCAGAATGCCATCAGAAGACATGTAAGTGATATTCCTAATGTACAAATGACTACTAAAAGAAGTTGTAAATAAAGAAAAGAAAATGGGCCACAAACATTGTATTTTCACTAGTGAATCAAGGAAATGAAAAATATAAGAAAATTAGATGGAATATTTCACACACCAGATAAGCAAAAATTTAAAGAAGAAAACACTGTCCAACATTAGTGAAGTAGGCCCTCTACTTAGCTGCTGGGAGTGTGACTTGCTCAAACCTTTTTAGAAATTAAACTGGAAATGGCTATTACAATTTAAAACATCATACACTTTTATTTAGCAATCCCAATTGAGGAATTACCAGTACATAAACACATGTCTATTAAAGGGTTTATTACTTATAAAGTAAAAGCTCTGTAATAAACAGGTGATTTTTCAGGTGGCAAAAACCTGAAAACAAGTTGAATGTTCATTACAGAGGGAATAGTTGAATAAATTATGATATGGTAATAATATGGGACATTATAGATCTATTAAAAATAATGATGGCCGGGCACGGTGGTTCACGCCTGTAATCTCAGCACTTTGGGAGGCCAAGGCAGGCGGATCACAAGGTCAGGAGTTCGAGATCAGACTGGTCAACATGGTGAAATCCCATCTCTACTAAAAATACAAAAATTAGCTGGGTGTGGTGGCATGTGCCTGTAATCCCAGCTATTCAGGAGGCTGGGGCAGGAGAATCGCTTGAACCCAGGAGGTGGAGGTTGCAGTGAGCCAAGATTGTACCACTGCACTCCAGCCTGGGCAACAGAGCAAGACTCCATCTCAAATAAATAAATAAAATAAATAAAAATAAAAATAATGAGATTTTGATGCATTATATAGGATGGTTAGTTTTGAGTGGCAGGACTCTGAGATTCTCCTGGCTTTCCCCAAATCACAATCTGGAGGAGAAAAGAGGGGCTTCCTCTTCCTGTCTCAAAAGCTATGCCTACCAAGCCTCACCCTTCCCATCCATACACAGAAATTTTTCTCTCAGTATCCAGTGGCCATGATTGGGACATTAAGTCTCTGTTTCAGGCCCAGTGTGGTGACTCACACTTGTAATCCCAGCAGGTGGAATGTGAAAAGGTGAGGCAGGAGGATCACTTGAGCCCAGGAGTTGGAGGCTGCAGTGAGCTATGATCACACCACTCACTCCAGCCTGTGCAACAGAGCCAGACCCTGTCTCTAAAACAAAACAACCAACAAGCCTGAGCTTCAGCAGCATTAGTGGTGGGAAATCAGGCCTTCCTATGGCATCTTCCCAGTGGGAGGTAACTTTCGCTGTGTGGTTTGAGGGACAAATCAACAGGGCACCCAGGAAGGTCTGTCCCATCCTGGTTTGAGAAGCCCCACTGTGCCCTCATCCAAAAGGAAGATCCAAGTACACACTTGGCTTGGGTTCTCCCCACTCCAGTTATCTTCTGGTTTCAGTCAGGCTGAGTGCCTGGCATTAATTAGGTACCCCAAATCTATTGCTTTTTCCTTTCATCTCATGCTTTTTAAAACTATTACAAAACTATATATATATTTTAAAAAACTGTTAATGTTAATTGAATATAAGATCCTAATGAGTTTAATTTGGTTATATAGTTATTTTAAGGTAGTGGAAATACAAAATGACACCATAATTTTAAAAACTGGTGGAAGGGTCAATAAGTCATCTGGCCTTATTTGGTTAGAATGCTCAAACAGAGAATTTGTACCTGAAAACATAAAGTGTAATTTAAAAAAAAGCCAAAAAACAATTTTAAGTAAATATAGTAGACTTTATAGAGATTTCCATGGACTGATAGCTACCAACAACATTAACACTAGCTATTTTTGCTCAAAACATTTTATCAAAGTATCTTTCATACCTGTGTGTAGGTTGTATAAAATCATAATTACTATTAAGGTCATATCTTCTCATATATATCTTAGAATTTAAAGTGATATTAATAAGCTGGATAATTTCCTTTAGGTAATAAATTTAACTTCAAAGAACATTTAGTGGCTTCAAATAAGAGTCTTCCTTTTAGGACATTGATTTGTCACTGTTCCAAAGTATGTGATGTTGACTTTGAAGGCAATTCCAAAAGAGGAGTTTCCAAAAATATTTGGACAATGATAACATCAATCAAATTAACCCACAGCCTCCCAAGATGACTACTTAGACTGAAACAACATTCATTTAAATGCAAAACTCTGGCATGTTTGTTAAAAATTAGTAACAATATATAATCAGACTCGAGAGAGAGTGAAAGAAAATAATTGGAAGTGGCTGGGCATTGTGGCTCATACCGGTAATACTAGCATTTTGGGAGGCTGAGGTGGGAAGACCACTCGGGCCTAGGAGTTCAAGGTTGCAGGGAGCTATGATGGCACTCTGCACTCCTGCCAGGGTGAGAGAATGACACCCTGTCTCTAAAACAAATAAACAACAAACAAAAGAAAGAAAGAAGGCAGTTGAAACAATTCAGGAGTGGGGAAGCTTCCACCTTCATGTGGTGAGGCATCAAAAATTTTAATGGTTTCTGCTGTTAAAATCTCCATTTTTCTGGCCTTGTTCTAAAATACTAGGGACTATGTTTCTATTTTTATTTATTTCTATGCTTACATTTTCAGGCCAGCAGTTAAATTCCTTTATTTGTTCATTTTTACGTCATTTCAAATAGAGTGTTTTAGGCAAAACTCCTCTCTAATTTTATTCCATAAAGTTGCTCTCTTCTTGAGAGTCCATAATTATAGTTTCAGGGCAGATAATGTTTTTCAATAAAGATTAAAATGAGTATTTTTTTCAGGTTTCCACCCTGGGCTGCTGTGTGTCCTACAACTCCAGGGGTAGGCTTGCCTTGCTCTTTTCAGATGACCCTGCACACACCACTTACTCCCAGTACACACAAATGGTACTCCCTGGGCCTGGGGATGCAGTAGCTTTGTCATACCTAATGTTATTTGTTGTGCTATATGTTTCAATCTTTAAAGCCTGAGATCCAAAGGGGAGCTTGCATAGCCATAATTATAATTTTTATATGGTTCTAAATACTTTGTCCACGATACTTCGAAAGTGATGTTCATGCCTAATGAGATTATTGTAAATAAATTATATTTTATTTTTACAGAAGAGTATGTTATTTATAAAATATGAAGCTAGAAAAAGATGCAACTTATTTTCAAAAAGATATATCAAGGAGAGCAAACGTGGAGCACAGATGTCAATCAGGGAGTCAGGCAACTTCTTCATTGATTGCTTCATGAAAACACATAGTGTTTAGAGGATTTCTGTCCAAGTAAAGCCATTTAATAAATAACTCCTATCCCAGAAATAGTGTTCAGAAATCTCCATTCTGATTTTCAATAGTCCCCAGCTTCTCTTGCAGTTCAGTTGGCCTAGATGAATGCTCCACCAATGACCACAAGCAGAGGAACAAAGCGAGCTTCAGACCAAGGCTGCTAACGGTCTCAATAGGTTCCCTCCATGTCTCTTCCCTGCTGTAGTAGCCCAGGAGACTCTATGCTCCAGACTTTGTTGCTCCAAGATGAGGAAAGGCTTCCTGACAGAATCAGACCGTGATGTGAGCTGATCTAGAATAAAACCTTTGTTGGATTACTCTACTGAGATTTGAGGGTCAATTTGAGACCATTAAGGCCCAGCCCATCCTAAGATAACAAAATATATGGTATTTGTAGATAGGGTATTTGATCAAATTATTACAAAACAATATGATCTGGGAAAACATGATCCATGTCCCCTTTAATTCTCTGCCTTTAGAGATTGTTGTGTAGTGTGTTTCACTTCAGGGATTTATTAAATAATCTGTGGAATGGGTACGTAACTACAAAATATACTATATATTGCACCACTTTCAAAGAAACATGGTATAATAAAATATCCAGCATTTTAAATTATATGGAAGAGAATTCACTTTACCATATATCTTAGGTTCTAAGTCACACCTGATTCCACATCTTAACCCTCTAACATTCAGATACATCTTACACACAATAGCATCTTAGATTTGATGAAAGATTTTATTTTTTAGCACTTGGAAGCACATTTAGATCCTCTATAACCTTCAGTTTATTATTATATAACTAGATTATCATTAACCTGTAATAATACTTGTTAACAGAGTGTCACACCATGATCTTTTTAAGTTGCAACAGCTACCGTAAAGCTGTTTCTTATACCTGTTCTGAATGTTCCATCCTGACTAACTCTCCATTTTTTGGAGTTCCGATCCTATCACGTGTTTCTTCCATTTTTACCCTTGCTTTTCACATGAGACTTTGCCCTCTGCATTGCTTTTCCAGCTACAACTTTTGTATCTTAACCACATTCTTTTTAAAATGTGGTCTCATAGAAGATTCAGTTTCCTCCTCTTCTTGCTCACCTTGGGCCTTGGACCCAGGGACCATGCTCCTTTGCGCTCAGTGAGGCCTCTTATTGCTGAGTCTTCTGCTGTGTTTATTCAAGCCCCGTGGTTCTTCAATATAAAAACCTCAGTGCAGTTGGGGAGAAGGTTGTAACAGCAATAGATTGCAAAAAACATCATTGCCTTCTTTGCCAAAGTTAGGTTTAATAATCAAACTTCATAACACTCTGGAAATTCCAGGAATACTTGAATTATCAAGCAATTCTCACAATTATTGGCCTCTTCAGAGGACCCAGAATCCCCAGGTAAATACAGTCTGAAAAATCTTGTTCATGAGTTTATCATTTAACAAATAGGCACCTTTAAACTTACCACACATAGTTTTATAGACTCAGCCTTGAAGCCACTAGCTGATACTCTGAGATCCTGTAGGAAATTACTACTTCATAAAGGTACTTTTTCCCCTAGAGAACCAGGATTAATATTTCAATAAGTTTTTTGAAAATACCATAGTAGTAATTTTTTTCCTTAGCGAAAATAAACTGAAGTGGGACCCAAAAAAATCCTAAATGTTTATTAACAAAAGAATAATTATGTATGTTATTTTCAAACTTTGTGATCGAATGAAACTATTAAAATAAAAACTAGAAAGCCAATGTTGATACATGAAAGATTACCATGAAATAATGTAAAAGAAAGCAGAGCGAGAGTTTTCTCTACTTTAAGGTTAAAATCACAGCCACAGTTCCAGAGTAAGGACTTTAGCTCTGGGGGTTGCTTTGAATTCAACTTAATCTAAACATTCTCTATTTTTTTAGATGGACTAACTGGGGAATGAGTGCTGTTGGGGATTCTATTTCTGTGACAACTTAAATAGCACTTCCAGAGAGGCAATAGTTGAACATATTGGAGTTTGTGACTGGTACTGTCACTGAGACTCAAAAGAAATATGGGCTAGGGAGGATGGAGAGGGTACAAGGGCTGTACATGCTGCTATTGGGAAGTTCGCCAAATAAGCCAGAGAGAGCACCATGATTCATAAGCTTGGTGCAGCGACACTGGTAGAGGTTTGGGTGAGAGGTGAAGACAGGAGGCAAGGGTAGAGGCCATTTTGATTGCAATATTTAGCGAATATCACTTGGATTTTCTTCAAACTCAACCTCTCTCCATAGCCTTTTCCCCCCATTCTCAAGCACTTGTGCCAAGTTTGAAGAGAAGCTAAAAATGGAAAAGAAGTCACATAAATGAGCTGAACAATGTGTGTGTGTGTGTGTGTGTGTGTGTGTGTCTGTGTGTGGATGTGTGCGTGCTACAAAGAAGGTAAGAACTTTCTGTCTTGTATTCTAAAAAGAAGTTTTGATAATGTTGAGAGTAGAACCATTTTTCTATTCAGAGTAGTAAAGGCTGGTATAGAAGTGAGGCCAGACTCATTTCTATTACAGAGACTCAAGCTGTGGTCAGAACAGATGCAATTAGATACAAGAGAGGAATGGCATGGCCATTTGGAAACACATCGTTCCTGAATTAAATGGGAGAATACCTATTTTGCCACTACATTTTTAATGTGTATATTTACTACATATTGTCTAGGGAAACATGAGTTATATAACTACATAAAGATACACATAGCAGAAGACGCTGACTAGGACTATTCTTAAAGTCCTGGAACATGTGAGAGTACTTTGAAGTTGTAGACTGTATACATTAGTTGTTAAAAACTTGGGCTTTAGAACAAGACTACCTGGGTTTGAGTCCTGGTTGCACCACTTCCTGATGTAACCTTCAGCAGATTCTGTAAACTTCTTTGTGCTTCAGTTTCTTCATCTTTAAAATGTGGTTGTGTGAGAATTAAATAAGCTAATACATATAACACGATAAGAATGGTTTCTGGCACGCAAAGTTTAGCTGTGAGGTGGTAATAATGACTGTGATCATGACAATGACTAGGGCTCAAAGCTGATGAAATAAAAGCCAGTTAATGACCTGTATTTCAAAGAAAATATCCAACAATTGGATCTAGGCATCTCTATAACTCATTTAGAAGTCTTGCCTTGTGAGCTTCAGTGACTACATAAAAACTCTTTGCCTTCTCTCACAGACATATTACATACACACACACACACACACACACACACACACCCACACACATATATACATATTTGAGACAGAGTCTTGCTCTGTTGCCCAGGCTGAAGCGCAGTGGCATGATCTTGGCTCACTGCAACGTCTGCCTCCTGAGGTTCAAGCAATTCTCCTGCCTCAGCCTTCCAAGTAGTTGTGATTACAGGTGTCTGCCACCATGCCTGGCTAATTTTTGTATTTTTAGTAGAGACAGGGTTTCACCATGCTGGCCAGGCTGGTCTTGAACTCCTGACCTTGTGATCTGCCCACCTTGGCCTCCCAAAATGCTGGGATTACAGGCATGAGCCACTGTGCCTGGCCTACATATATTATTTGGGGGTACTTCTGGGTACTATTAACAGAATGCAGAACAGTCGTAACACAATAGTGATTTACATTTTGCTCACATAAAATCCATGTGTGTATTATTGGTCAGCAATGGCTTTTCTCTATGGAGTCAATTAGGAATCAAAGCTTCTTGCATTCTGTATCTTGACCATCCCTCAGGGCATTAAAGTCCTCTTCATCCAATTGCAGAAGAGAGCAGAGAGAAGTTACCGCTTCTTAAAGGCTTGGGCCCGGTGCAGATACATCACCTTCATTTGTATTTCATTGGTAAGACCAAGTCGCATGGTCCTACCTACATGACAGGGGGGCTGGGAAACACAGTCTTTGAATGGGTCATGGTCTCTTAGAGACATATATACATCACGAAAGGGGAGCATGCATTTTCATAGGCAGCTGGCTCTCCCTTCAACAAAAGCAAAGAGGGAGAGAGATTTGAAGAGAAATCGTGAATTGCAAGAAGGGGACAACAGGCATCTCATTCTTGACTAAATGTTTATTGAGCTGCAGAACTGGTAGAGCCACCCGACACATCCCCTGGACAGAACATGAGGGAGATCTCAGGAGATCTTGATGTTTGTTCCCTGGAGTTAGGGGTCCAAATGTGAACATGAAGACTGGTGCTTATTTCTCAGCCGGTCATTTCATAAGGCAGAAGCCTCACTGGAGCAGCTGCATCAGTGGAGTCACCAGGGTTGTAGGTTACATGGGAGGAACATGAAGGGAACATGGCCACCTGATGGACTAACTCCTAGTCCATCAGGGGTCCCACACAAGGACCTCAGGAGCTGCCATGGCTCAAGATCCTGTCTCAAAGAAACAACAACAACAACAACAACAAAAGAAGGTGCATAACACTTGAGAAAGAGGCAGCAGAAGATGTAGATGATATGGAGCTGTTCAGATGATGCCCTCCCTTATGGAGGGGTTTGGAGGCATAGGTCCCTGTTGTAGCCAAAACAGAGATATGGTTGATCCTTTCTGAAGGGTTATTAAGTAAAGGAGAGATCACAGCAAAGCTGAAGAGTGCCCCTAAAAAATTGTGCATAACAATTATGTAGAGAGTCTCACATTGGTGGAGACTTCGAGAAATAGATTCTAGGGTCACCTTCCCTCAGCATCGGGCAGCCAGCTATGTATGACCCCTGCCATTTCTTCTATTTCTTCTTCCCATGTGACAGCTCACTGGAAGAGGGATGGGATGAGTAAAAGAGCAGACCATGTCTCTTAAGAACTACAGACACCCCCAGGTTAAAGACTAAGCCTTAGCTATGGGGAAGAAGAAATACAACAGTAGAATTTGAAATGTGAAGAGTTGAATGAGGCTGTTCTAATATCTAAAAGGGACCAGAAAGCTACAACATCTTCCAGAGATACAATTAGGGGATTAAAAAAAATCTTCAGATTATGGTTAAGTACAGTGATGGGAACAAAACAAAAATCAGAGCCCCCACCAACATATCAAGTATGTCCACATCAAGACAAACCTGCTGGGTAAACAGGTTTCCTAAATGCATAGGTAGAAAAGCCGGCATGCGGACTGGAAGACACCATTTTCTCTCTACTGTCTGAACTGATTGACTCATATGGAGTCCATTAACTCTTATTTGCCAGCTTGGGTTTACCATAGAGAGGAAGGGACTGTGTGCCTGTTAAGCTTTGTAACATATCAGAGACCAAGTGGTATTTTTGTGGGGCATTTGTAACTGAGTACATCAAAGTGCAGACAGAGGGAGGAAGAAACTATTTTTCTTTTTCCATATGGCATTGAGAGCCTTGGTGCTGGTAGGATTGACAGAGACCTGTTCTTTGGAGGAGCAGAGACCAGGGAGAATCTTGGGAATTTAAATATTTAAGAGGGATATTTTAGGATCCAGGAACTCCTTCACAAGCAAGTGAGGCCTTAAAGCTAATGAAATTCAGTTTGATGATTTAAATGTTTTCATTTATATCTATAAACTGGTGAGGCATTAGGACATATGGAGTTCAAGGATGAATAATTAAGAGGAATATTTATTCATCATTCATTTTTATCAAAATATTGAATACCTACTATGTGTCACACACAAAGTTAGATGTTGGGCGTACAATCAAGGGTAAAAATTTCATGTTCAACTGGGCTAAATTTGTGAAAACAAGTATAGAGAGCTTTAAATAAGTTACCTGATCTGGCCTGAGGGTGAAGAGGATGGCTCAAGGAAGTGACACAAATGTTCAGTGTGTTAGGGTAATGGGAAACAGTGTTTTTATGTTTAGAAATTCCTTTAATGTTTTAATGCTCTTTCATAATAAATAATAATCATAAAATAAAAGAAACAAAAATCTTGACATAGTGAACAAAATGAAAACTGCTTTAAAAGAACCTCACATTTCTCCTTGTAGTCTAAGTAAATCAAAAATTATTTAACTCTCTGATGAAAGGTCTTCGTCACCTAATTTCTACTTTTACTTCTTAATCCAAAGCATCTTTCATTTGTTCATTTCCCCTTTCTTTTATTCCATTTCATGTTGGGTCCTGCCATATCCTGTTCACTTCCCCCTTGAAACAAATCACCTTAAATATTTCTTCTTGGCCTATTCTGTAATTTCAAAATCCTAAGTAGTTTCAGAGGAAGAATATTAAACACAGTTGTGGTTCTGTCACCTTTTCTTGTTATATCCTGAAAAATTAAGAAAAAGATGGCTGCTGTGGCTTTAAGGAATAAATCAAGTTAGCTGAGGAACTCAACAGGCAGGAGTGCTTTGAAAGCAAATGATGAGTCTCTCGTGATTCTCAAGTAAAGCCTGAGAAAGTAGATTTAAATGCCCTGGTGTACTATAGAAGAGGCTGAAAAAACACTGACACAGGCATTCAAACACTGACACAGGCATTCAAATCAGAGCATCCTCAATTCACACCTGTTTTTTAAACCCATGCGTGCGCACACACACACACACACACACACACACACACGTTACATGGAACGTTTCCTACTAGCCTGTAAACTGAATATAGGCTAAAAAGGTAGAACTATTAATAAATTTAGACCTTAATATTAACTGAAACATTTAGGTGGTGAGTGATATAAAATTTTCCTCCTGAAAATTAGAGTTTTCTCTTCATTTCAATGTAATAGCAATGAGCAGTCCACCTCAATGCTGTATATGTGATTCTCCTAGCTTCATTATATAGATATCAATATAATTGCAGGAATATTACAAATATTAAAGACAAATAATAATATTCTCATGGACTCACTTAGGTGCTTGAATTGAGGCAGCCCTCAAAATTTTTCATAATCCCATCCAACTTCCATTTGACTCAGATCAGAGTTCCTGACAGTGGCTGTCAAGAAAGAAATGGGACCTTTGGCTGGCGTGGTGGCTCATGCTTGTAATCCCAGAACTTTGGGAGGCTGAGGTGGGTGGATCACTTGAGGCCAGGAGTTTGAGACCAGCCTGGGCGGCATGTATAAAACCTGTGTCTACTAAAAACACAAAAATTAGACAAGTGTGGTTGTGGGTGACTGTAATCCCAGCTACTTGGGAGACTGAGGCATGAGAATTGCTTGAACCCAGGATGTGAAGGTTGCAGTGATCCGATATCATGCCACTGCACTCCAGTCTTGGCAACAGAATGAGGCTGTCTCAAAAATAACAATAAAAATAAAGAAATGGGACTTTGAATATGATTTCAAAGCATAGGAAAAAGTATGGAGTAAAGAAGAAAAAACACAGATAAGGAAGAAACACTAGAAAGTTCTTTTCCTCTATATTGACTGGATAAAATAAATAACAGTATTTGTAGATACTGCATTTGCTGATTATAAAACAACTATTTTGCTTTCTACACAAAATAGCTTTTTTTCTTCGGAGTTGTATGCTAAGCAAGAGGTCTCTGCTTAGGAAACCTATTTGAAAATATAATAAGATGTATTTCAGTAGGGAGAGAACCAACTAAAACATGAAAAAAATATTTTATAAAACTCAATAAAATACTAATGATTTTGCAAAAAAAAGTGGACTTTCATGAATGCTTAATGCAGTGTTCACAATATGGACAAAATTTTTACCTCTCTTTTCACTTAACATGGTATCAAGAGCATTTTCTTAAGTCTCAACCTTAACTATATACCTTCTTAACATGTGTATTTCTTCAAACCCAGTATATAGCTGCACGTGTGGGCTAGATTTGGGGGATATAAAAAATGTGGAGAAACTTTTCTGTTAATTGGTTTGTTGGACATCGTTGGATACTGTAAGATACTGTTACACAGTATAAGACAAAGATTGACAGATGGAATCCCAAAATATTGGGAAAGTTGAAGTTTGTTCTTTGTGAGAAAGAACTATTCCGCTAACTGACCCTCAGAGACTTATCCACTCTATTTATAATGCTGGAGCCTAGTGAGCCTCCCCAGCTTGCGGGATAAGGGGGGCGTTATCTTGCCAGATAGGATTTAAGAATGAAGGAGCAGAGGGTCTCTTTCTTCCAAAAATGATGGTGGGTGAAACTGAGCTCAGCATGCCAAATTTACCCTTAAATTCCCAGTATGATAGATTTCTCTGCTCCCCAGGAGAAAGGGAGTAAAGGAACAGAAATAGGGCAGAAGTGTTTAGGGAAAATCCCTCCTCATAGAAACCAGAACAGCTGAGAAAACGTGTTTCTCTCTAGTGGAAATGACTCCTTAATCCCCTTGGATTTTTTCATTCAACACTCTTGGTGGCTTCAGCACATGGTTCAAGGTGGCTTTGAGGGATTAAGCATCAAAAATCTAAGAAGTGTAATGCAGTGTAATTGGTAGCACTGTTTTGTATTGCTTTGAATCCTAATGTTTTCTTTTGGGTCCTATGCCCAGAGCTGTGTTAATATGCTTGAATGTTTTAAGCTTATTTTAACTAGCCACCACTGGTAAGAATGCTGACAAGTAAGCCACTAAGATCCACATACTTGACTTCAAATGGTCTAGTTCCACAAACAAATCAATGACACTTTGTCTTGCTTTACAGATGTTTGTTCAAATATATCAGTTACATCATTGTTCAGAATTTTACACCCCAGAGTTTATTCTAAAGACAGATGAAAGATATGTTTCTGAGTTCTTAGAAGTATGGGAAATATTATTCATACAAGATATAAACAATAACATTTCTGTAGACATTTACTTTTCTGTTACTATGTATAATGTGTATATATATATATAAAATACAGGCTGCTAAGTGTATTGTCCACTATGAGGACCAAGTGGGTTATGATTGCCAAAGTTGAAGCTGTTTTAGTAAGAAAAACAATTAGTGAGAGATCTCAAAGTTAAACTGTCTCTATGCCAAATAAAAAAATATGTGTTTTGCAAAACCTACAAATCTTAGTTTTCAAATGATATTGAAAAAACAAACATGCCTGAAGTACAAATGTGATAGGTGTTATTGCCTCAATTCTTACTGACTTCTGATAAACAAGTTTTAAAACAAAAGCAGAGAGAATATTAAATGACATCTTATGATGAAGGAGTTTTACCAGGAGTCTTTTGCATTTAGTGATTTGGTGGCCTTTGAAGATTTCTTACAATTTAGGGAGGGGAATTGTTCTTGGCTGAGGTCCATGAGTACATGTGGGGACTGAGAGAGGCTGACCAGAATTCTAAAATAAGTCTGTGTTTATAGTACTCACAAATCACAGCTGACTTGTGGTTGAGGCTGTTACCCTTCATTTCTAGAAAGGTGCAAGGGTGCCCTCTGGGGCCCTGGTGAGAAAGTTTTTCCTCACACTTTCTTGAATTATCTGGGCCATCAAATCAGAAACCTCAGAGGCCATTGGCAAGGTTTTAGCCAGCTGAAGTGGAGCCTGCGAAGTGGTCGCAACAGCACGATCAACTGAAGTCGGGATTGCCAGTAATTGCCAATTCCACCTCTAATTGTCCTCTAGGCCCTTCTAACAATGTGTGACATTGCCGTGCTGGCCTGCCCATCCCTCAATCAGAATGCCAAACTGCTACTTTAATGACAGGTTGACTTGTGTTGTGACTCTTTTGGTAATAATAATAATGTTCTTTGCAAAACCACACAATACTGTTTCTTAAAGTGCCCTCAAATTACATCATTTGTTGCATTAGCCATAGAGACTATAGAATCTGAAGAACATTACAGATGATCTAATTTAACCTATTTGTTCTGTTAAAAAGGAAATGGAGGGTGAGGACTAATGTGACACAACTTTACTACCACAAGATTTGAATCCAGAATTTGTTATTCTGAATCCAAATTGAGCAAAGTTTCCATTACACAATGTTTACAGCAAATGTGGGCATGAGACAGGATACATATTATTCCCAGTTTATAGATGAAGCTATTGAAGATCATGAAGGTTAAGTGACTTATACATGGGCACATGACCAAGTCAGGACAAAGCTAAGAAGGAACTCACTTCCTTTGATTCCCAGTTAGTGTTTTTTACAAACACACATATGCATGAACACAAACTCAGAAACTGAGATACAAATCTTCCATTAACCAGCTGGTCAACTATTAATCATTTACTGAGCATCAGATATTTTCCTGGTCAGTAGGGATATTTTTAAACAGGACAGAGTCAGGATTTCCAGGGTGTGTCAGCCAGCATCCAAAGTGCCCCCCAAATGATTTTTGCCTCTTTATATATATATCATATGAATATATATTCATATATATTCAATATATATATTCATGTGATATATATATTTTATATATATATATATTTCTACCCTAGTCTAGTCCTTTCTCACATTGAATAGGGATGACCTGTATAAACTATAGGACAGTGCTGGAACAACCATGTGTTACTTCCAAGTCTAGATAAAAAAGCACATTGTGATTTCTGCCTTGCTTTCTCTTGGATCACTTGCTCTTGGGGAATCCAGCTGCCATATTGTGAGGACACTCCAGCAGCCCTGTGGAGAAATCCATGTGGCAAGGAATTGAGACCTCTGTCTGGTCACCAGCATAAACCTGCCTACCATGTGTGTCAGCCATCTTAAAATCAGATTTTCTAGCCCCAGTCAAGTCTTCAGATGACTGCAGCCCTGGCTGACATCTAACTGCAACCTTGTATGAGACTCTGAGGCAGAACAACCCAACTAAGCCACTCCCAAATTCTTAACTCACAAAAAAGTATGTGAGATAATAAATGATTGTTGTTGTTTCAAGCTGCGAAGTTTTACATAATTATGCAGTGATTGATAACTAATATTGAGGAAGTGATAAACACATAATAAATAAAATAATTTCAGATGTCAATAGTGTTATGAAGAAGATAAAGGAGAACAATATGATAGAGGAATGGGGGAAAAGCTGCTTTGCTAAGACTGGGAACCTCTCTGAGGAAGTAACACTTGAGACAAGACTGAGCATAAAGAAGCAATCATGGCTGGGTGCGGTGGCTCATTCCTGTAATCCTAGCACTTTGGGAGACCGAGGTGGGAGAATTGCTTGAGGCCAGGAGTTCAAGACCTCAAGAACAACTTGGCCAACATAGCGAGACCCTGTCTCTTAAAAAAAATCAATCATGAAAAGATCTGAAGGAAAAGAAACCCAGAAAGAAGCAGGAGTAGGGACAAAGACCCTGAGTCAGGAAGATTGGCATGTTTGAAGCACAGAAAGCTACCCAATTTGGCTGGAGGATGGTGAATTGGGGAGAAAGTTGAGCATGGTAAAATCAGAGATACAGGAAGGGGCTAATCACAAAAAGCCCTGAAGGTAATGGAAAGTCATTGGAGGATTTGTGGCTAGAGGAGGCACATGATCTGATTTAAACGTTGGAAAGATCTTTCTGGCTGTGTGTAGGCACTGGATAGTCGGAGGGTGGGAACGCATACAGAAAGAGAAATTAGAGGCTGTTGCAGCTGTTCTGAAAAGTGATAGTTGCCAATTGAACTAGGGTGGCAGCAGTGAAGTGGTAAGAACTGGTTGGACTTGGGATATATTTTGAAGATAGGGCTGACAGGACTTGCTAATGGAATTGGTGTGGGGTATGTGGGAAAGGGAAATTAAGGACAACTCAGCTGTGAGCCATGTGGTTGAGAAACCACTGTTGACTTCAGGTTTTTCATGTGAAAAAAAAAAAGGTAATAACTGGACCTATCTTTGTGATATGACATACTTTATTGGACATTTCTTTAAAAAGCATTCAGCATTCAGCAGCTTCAAGAGATTCTTACTGCTCATGACCTCACTCAAGTTTATTAGAGTTGTTTTGCTTGGGAAGGCAGCAAATACTGGCAGATACCTGGCTGTGTGAAATGAACTCTTTTCTCTTAAATTATTGTGTCTTATGGAGACTTTTATTTAAGGCTTTCTGAGTTCCAGTTATAGTTACTTCTTCATGAAGATAACACTAAAAAGCAGCTTATTTCTCTATTGCTACGTTCTTTCTGCATAGAAAATATGGTCCTGATAAATATGAAAATCAAAAGGCAGTTTTCACTGGAATACAATCAAGCCTTGTGAAAAATCTTAGGCATTCAGCACCTATTTTTAATGTCAGCATGTATTTTTAACAATAACACCTCATGATTTGAAAATGATAAGGCACACAACTATGGGTACTGTTTATGGTTGAAAACTAATAGCAAGTTCTCTTATACTTTATCCTGCAAGGGAAAGACCAGCATGGGTCACTGTGGCCATATTATGTTACAGCCCCGTAAATCAGCTGTTCTCTCACTCATTCACACACACAGATCCTAGCTACTTAATATACAGTTAAGCACATTCTCTAAAACAAAATTAAAATTCATTCAAATGCCGAACAGATGTGAATAAAAAGAAGAGGGTAGTTTAGAAATATTTCCGTTGCTATCAGCAATTATTTTGTTCCATGAATGGCATTGGCTATTGGTGTGGAATGTGAATAAAGCTGGTTTGGTTACTGTGGGAGTTGGAACAACAGCAAGTTTCCCATTTTCAGTCCATGAGATTGTTTATTGAAAGTTCATTATGCTTTTCAAGCTATATTTTAAATAAAGCATCAAATTAAAATAAAAAATATTTTATATAGATAAGAAAAGGATTTTGTTCTACACATTCACATAGATATGGTCATATACAAAATGCTACAAAAGCTGATTTTTAGAATACATTTTTTGAAATATTCCTAAACCTAAAAATAACTACAGCAATAAAAATTATTGCTATCTTTATTAGTACAAAAATATCCCCTTGAACCACATTCAAACAGACAAATCAAATAATTAGAAATTGGTTTGTACTTGTAAGGTACATTTTATTTAAATAGTACTATTAGTTTACTGGAAAATTAGAAAACATAAATGTACTCCAGCTAATCAATTATGTATACCAGTGATTTTAAAAATGCAGGGTAATATGAAGAAATCTGGTGGGTGGAAATGAACTTTCTAAGTACAAAATTTTTATTAATAGGGGCCTCATTTTATAAGGAGTCCATCCAAATGAAATGTCAACCAACTCATGGGAAAGACCAACATGATGATCAAAGGAGACAAAGGAAGTGAATATTACTCTTGAAATTAAAACATGATTCTAATAGAAAAACTGGAATCAGAAAGGCTGACATCTCATATTAACCATGAATGACACTGGGCTACATATATATCTAACTTACAAGGAAACAAAACATTGTGTAATATAACTATATTAGTCAGAGTTCCCCAGGAAAACGGAACCAATAGGATGTGTATATATATATATATATATATATATATATAGAGAGAGAGAGAGAGAGAGAGAGAGAGAGAGAGAGAGATAGTGATTTATTTTAAGGAATTGGCTTAGTGTGATTGTGTAGCCTGACGAATCCAAAATCTACAGGATAAGCCAGCAGTCTAGACACCCAGGAAAAAGTTGATATTGCAGTTTGAGGCTGAAGGCAGCCTTTTGTAGAATTTCCTCTTCCTTAGGAGAGGTCAGTTTTTTTTTTCTTAAGACTTTTAATGATTGAATGAGGCTCACTCACATTATGGAGGGTAATCTGCTTTACTCAAAGCTTACTTACTGATTTAAATGTTAATCTCATGTAGAAAATGCCTTCATGGCAAAATCCAGATGTGTTTGACCAGACATCTGGGAACTGTGGCCTAGCCAAGTTGACACATAAGATTAACCATTACAAGAATATGGTAAATCAGTTCTCTCACAGATTGATGGTAAATGTACTAACTCTTCAATAATTCAAACAATTTGAATGTTTTATCAAGTTTCAACATATTTACAGTTTTTTTAAGCCAAATAGTTATGTTTCTATTCTATGGAAGTAAACCTAAGTGCATACACAAAGAGCATAAATCATAAAGGAAAAGATTAATGAGTGCAATATATTAAAATTAAAAATTTGTGTGACATTAGACATCATACACAGGTTGAAAGTAAGTAATAAGGCCGGATGTGGTGGCTCACACCTGTAATCCCAGCACTTCGGGAGGCTGAGGCTGGAGGATCACGTCAGTTCAGGAGTTCGAGGCCAGCCTGACCAATATGGTGGAACCCTGTCTCTACTAAAAATACAAAAATTAGCCAGGCGTGGTGTCATGCGCCTGTAGTCCCAGTTGCTCAGAAGGCTGAGACAGGAGAATTGCTTGAACCTGGGAGGCAGAGGTTCTAGTGAACCAAGATTGTGCCACTGCACTCCAGCCGGGGCAACAGACAGAGACGCCATCTCAAAAAAAAAAAAAAAAAAGGAAAGTAAGTAATCAAACAAGAAAGGTATGTGGGACACACAGCAGACAAAAGATTAGTAACCAGAGTACATAGAGAGCTCTTACACTCCTACAGTCAATGAGAAAAAGATTTAAAATCCAATGGAAAACGAGCAAAGGTTAAAGGGCAATTCTTGAAAGAGGACACCTGAATGACTAGCAATCATTTGAAAGAATATGCAGCCTAAATTGTAATTAGAGAAATGCAAATTAAGACAACAGTCAATTTTCAAACTATCAGAAAGACCAAAATTAAAAGTTTAACAATGCCAGCTGTTGGTAAGAATATAAATTGTCATAACTACATTGGAGAATAGTTTACCAATACCTAGGAAAACTGAAGATATGTATACCTTAAAACCTTAAAATTCTCCTCCTAGGTCTATGTAATGTAGGGAAATGTTGGCACATGAACATAGATATGCAGAAAGAATATGTATTATTTGTAGTATTATTTATAAATTCAGAAAAGAGCACATAATTTATGTATCCATCAGCAGAAAAATACATATAGCTTGATATAGTTAGCAAATAAAATATTGTATGGCAATTTAAATAAACTAGATTCATATATATCAGCATGGGTTTATCATGAAAACATGTCATGTGAAAAAAGCAAGTTACAAAATTATATATATCGTATGCTTTCCCTTATCACAACTTTAAAGACATTTAGTTGAGAAAGTCGAGTAAAAGTTTAAGAAATTATATCACTATATTATAGCATACTATGTTACACTATACTATACATGCATATGTAGTAATATTATTTTTTAAAGGAGAGCAAAACATCCACCAACATTAAAATATTGTTTATCTTTACAAAGATGGTGAGGGCAATGGGTGGCTGTGTGTGCATGTGGGCACTCATACTGTGTAAAAAGAAGGGAGTGAGGAGGTACAAAAGGGCTTTAACTGAATATGTAATGTTTTATTTTTTTAAACAGAAACAAGTTCAGCAAATATGGCAAAGTAATATGTTAAGAATGTACAACACCAAGAGTGAACCCTAAGGTAAGCTTCAGGCTCTAGGTGATAACGATGCATCATTCTAAGTTCGTGGATGTTTAAATATGTACCACTTTGGTGCCAAATGTTAATAGTAAGGGAGGCATATGCAGGGGCAGAAGGTATACGTGGACTCTCAACTTTCTGTTCAATTTTGCCGTGAACCTAAAACTGCTCTAAAAGTAGTTTACTAATTGAAAATAATGTTAGGTGATGTTTACACTTTAAAAATTATTATTTGGAGATAGACAAATATTTTAAAAATTTAATAACAATATTAGTTTTAGGTCACTTCAAAATTTTATTTCAGGTGCATGCATTACTGCTATGTTAAATATAAATATAAATAAACTTGAAAATTTACGTCTCAAAAAGCTAAGATTGATATTTCTTGAGGGGAGGTCATTTTAGATGATATACATGTACTTATTAGATATATGTAAATATATATGTGTATATGTATGTGTATGTATATACAGTCATATGTCACTTAATGACAGGGGCAGTTCTGAGAAATGCATCATTAGAAGATTTTGTCTTTGTGCAAACATCACAGAACGGTATTTACACAAACTTAGATGGTATAGCCTACTACACACTGAGGCTCTATAGAATAGCCTAAGCTCCAAACCTGGATAACATGTTACTGTACTGAATATCGTAGGCAATTGTAACACAATGGTAAGTATTCATGCATCTAAACATATTTAAAAATAGAAAAGATACAGTAAAATTACAGAGTAAAGATAAATAAGGGTACATCTATTTAGGGCACTTAATAGGAATGAAGCTCTCAGGACTGGAAATTGTTCTGGGTGAGCTGGTGAGTGAGTGGAGAGTGAATGTGAAGGCCTAGGATGTTACTGTAGATGATATAAACACTATACATTTAGACCACACTATATTTATAAAAACAGTTTTCCTTCTTCAATAATAAATTAACTTTAGCTTACTGTAGCTTTTTTACTTTGTAAACTTAATTTTTTTAACTATTAAACTGTCTTATAAATATTTAGCTTAAAACACAAACACATTGTACTTCTATACAAAAATGTTTCCTTTCTTTATATCCATTTTCTGTAAGTTTTTGGTTTTCAAATTTTATTATTACTTTTTAAAAACTAACTAAACTTTTTTGTTAAAAACTAAGGCACAAACACACATTAGTGTAGTCCTACACAGAGTCAGGATCATGAATATCACCGTCTTTCACCTCCACGTCTTGTCCTACTGGAAGGTCTTGAGGGATAATAGCACACATGGAGCTGTCATCTTCTATGATGACAATGACTTCTGGGATCCTCCCTGAAGGACTTGCCTGAGGTTGCTTTACAGTTAACCTTTAAAAAAAAGTAAATAGAAGGAGTATTCTCTAAAATAATGACTAAAAGCATAGCATAGTAAATACATAAACCAGTCACATAATCTTTATTATCAAGTATTATGTATTGCACATAATTGTATGTGCTATAATTTTATATAACTGGTGGTGCAGTAGGTTTGTTTTCTCCTTTATCACCAAACACATATGGGTAATGGGTTATGCTATGATGTTATGACATACCTAGGTAGGAATTTTTCAGCTTCATTATAATCTCATGGGACTGCCGTTGTAGATGTGGCCCCTTGATGACCAAACATTGTCATGAGGTACGTGACTATACATACACACACACACACACACACACACACACACACACACACACACGTAAATACATACACATACAAACATATTTTGCATTTCAGTAACATACTTTTCGGTTTTGCAACTTAAAATATTAATGTTTAAGCTTTTTAGGTCAAATGTGAGTGGTGTATGTATCAAGTATTTGCTTTATCATCTTTGTAAGGAAAAACATGTGATTTCCTCAATGCTTTTAGTTGACTTTCTCACTCTACAGCTCTCATAGGATTCTATAGTTTATTCCCAAACTTCAGTCACTGTTTCTTGTTGCTAGCTAAATAGGAACCTCAAGATAAAGACAAAATTACATATGATTGCTAGAAACAAATGAATCTCTTTATTATTGATAACAGAAAAGTTACTTAGCTCTTGAACAGAAAGGTTTCAGGATATTCCAGTGCAATAGTTCTATAGCTGCAGTTTTTAAAAATTCTGGCTGGGTGCAGTGGCTCACGCCTGTAATCCCAGCACTTTGGGAGGCCGAGGCAGGTGGATCATGAGGTCAGGTGATCGAGACCAGCCTGGCCAACATAGTGAAACCCCATCTCTACTAAAAATACAAAACTTAGCTGGGCATGGTGGTGGGCACCTGTAATCCCAGCTACTCGGGAGGCTGTGGCAGGAGAATCGTTTGAACCCGGGAGGCGGAGGTTGCAGTGAGCCGAGATTGTGCCATTGCACTCCAGCCTAGGTGACAGGGCGAGACTCCATCCCCCTCCCCGCCCCCAAAAAAATCCTAATGCCTAGGGACATCTCATACCAGCACATCAATCTCAGAGTAGGATCTGGCATCAGTATTTTTTAAACTTCCTAGGTATGCGACCAAAAGTCTTTTGATAATGTGTAATTCAGAACTGTAACTTTTCTTCTTCTCTCTTGAAGAAAGGTATGTCATATGAGATTTTACACTTAGATTCCTATAGCAGCCATGATAATGCCTAAAATTGGTATGGTCTTCACAGCTTTGAACCTTATGAACTCTATAACTCTTTGAATTCATAATGGGTCAGGAGCATGACCCCTTATCTTGTTAGATTTATCTTATGAATACTGCTTTACTTATGTATGTTTTTTGTTGCTAATGGCAACAGCATCTAATATTTCAAGTTTTGGCCAAAAATAATATCACAAAAATAGGTTATTTTGAAAAAAGTTACAAATACTTACCTAGAGGGACTTTTAAGAATGATTAGTTCTTAGTTAAAACTGAAAATCTGCAGTTAAGAAACCTCATTTATTTAAATATCTGGATGATATTTATAACATTTTTTATAAACATAGTGATTAAAATTTTCACTTTTCATCATTTCCTGGCAGTTGGGCTTATGTTTACCATTGATTTGTGTTTTGTTTCATGTAAAAAACAATAAAACCAGAAATAGGTGATGGTTAAGATACTTCAAAAGGCAAACTATTCCTGGTTCATAATGTATTTCATGGAAGCTTAGTTACTACTGTTGAACATTGTAATTCAGTTTCAAGAACTGCTGAGAGACAGAATCTTATTCTGGATTTCTGACATATGGTTATAAAGTTGTATGTCCCTCAGTATGTACACAGGTGTCATGATATGCACTGAAGTATAAAATCTCATTTATGGTATAATGATGTACTTTATATACAGCCTCTCTTATCATTTGAGAAACTGATCTTGTAGCTAAATCACCACCAACTTAAAGGTCTTGAAAGGTGGGTCAGACATAACGCTGGGGTGGAATATGCAATTACTGATGGAGCATAATTTCCGTGATAATAGAAAGCTATTGTTTCTTCATTCATGTATTCATTTGTTTACTAAAATTAAATTGAGCACTTATTTCATACCCTATTTTGTATTGCAAATTATTTATTTTGCAACATTAATGCCCCTTAGGAAAAAGGGATTGAATCTCCTTCATTTCAATGAAATGGAAATTTGACATTGACTAGCAGAAAATCTTTGTAATAATTATTTGACTGTTGGCATAAATTTGCTTCACAGATTAATTAGCTACTACAGAGGAAAACAAAGTTCAAGGATCTGTGAGGGGAAAGTGAAGCATTCCTCCACAACTCTATTTCACATATTTAAAGATTTTTCTCTTTTGTGAAAACCCTTCTCCTCTTTTAATATATCCCATAGTCATGTTATAATTTTTTTGCTTCTATTTGCTGTCAACCTTATGAAAGAAGTGTTCTATTATGCTGTTTTCATATCCTCATTAACAATTCATTTTCAAAAATTAATTATTGATTTTGTAAAGATGACAAATGGTTATTATAGAAGGAAATATAAGCAATATTGAAAACTTAGAAAAATAATCTTACCTCTAATTTTCTACCTCCTCAAAATCACAATCATAAACATTTAAGAAGTGTTACTTAGGAAATCTCTCTATGCATAAATCAATAGGGAGATAAATTTTAAAATATTAGAAAAATAGGATTATATTATTTATGTTCTTTTCAAATTCAAGATATTCAATATTTATTTTTCTTATCAACTCAATAAGTGAAATATTTCATATACAATAAACTCCATCCATGTAGGTGCACAGCTCGATAAGTTTTGACAGTTATACACACCCATGAAACTACCCTCACAATAAAGACACAGCAAACTTGCATCAATCCCAAAAGATTCCTCACTCCCCATTCCATGTCTCTCTGCTCTCTGTCCTAGGCAACAACTGATGTGATTTTTTTGTCACTATAGCTTCATTTACATTTTATGTAAATGGAATTATAGAGACTGTACTGTTCTTTGTCTTTCATGGAGAAGTTTTCTGAATATAATGTTGTATAAATGTCAATTAGATCCATGTGGTAATGCTTTCTAGTTCTTCTATGTTTCCAATGAATTTTTAGTCTCAATTTTCTATCAATTGTTTAGACAAGAGTGTAACATTCTCCTCTCAAAATTGTGGAAATATTTATTCCACTAATTCTATTAATTTTTGCTTCATGTGTTTTGAGGCTCTGTCATTTGGCACATATCCATGTATTATTTTTATGTCCTACTGATGAACTGAATCTTTTTTATTACAAAATGTTTCTCTTTATATTTAGTAGTACTCTTGGCATGAAGTCTATTTTTGAATTTTTTTCTGGTATCATTTCTCTTTAGCTTGAGAGAGTCTCTGGATAATCTCTGAACTAAACACTTATGAAACAAACAGAAAGTAACTTGCAGCTAAGAAGTCACTTATATTTGAGCTGTCAACAACTGCAGACATGGAAGTATACAATTTGAGTCCAACCAAGTCAACTATGGACTAAAACAAAAACTTCAACACTCTTTAAAGCAATATGATGGATTCTAGAGTCTATACAACATAATATTTATAACATCCAGGGTACAATTCAAAATTATTCAACAAAAGTCCAGAAAATATGACCCATTGCTAAGGAAAAAGACAATCAACAAATGCCAACTCTGAGATGACCCAGATGTTGGAATTATCAGGTAAGGACTACAAAACAGCTATTATAATTCTCTTCAGTTAAGTAAAGAAAAATATGTTATTGCCTTCAATACAGATCTGGAGGCAATAAGTTCCCTTACAGTTTTTATTTGTTTTACAATCTGAAAATATCTTTATTTCACCTTCATTCTTGCTGGATTTAGAATTTTGGATCAACAGTTTATTTTCTTTCAGTACATTAAGAACATTGTTTTATTGGTTTCTGGTCTTTATCGTTTCTGAGAGGCAAGTGACCATTTAAATCATTATTTTCCCATATGTAAAGTGACGTTTTTCTGTAGCCATTTTTAAGATATACTTGTTATCTTTGGTTTCCAAGAGTTGGACCATCATGTTCTTAGCCATGGTTTTCTTCTAACTAATCCTGTTTGGAGTTTACTGAACTTCTTGAATATGTAAATTTATGGGCTTTGCCATTTTTTAATGCTTTCAGGCATTATATCTATAAATATTTTGTATTTTGCATTTGAGAATGTCCATCCCCAATCTCTATCTCCTTTTTGGGACTCTAGCTACCCATATAAAGACCTTCAGAAATTGTGCCGCAGATTCCTGAAGCTCTGTTCTTGCTTAGTATAATTTCTCTCTCTCTCTTCTTCCTCCTCCTTTTCCTCCTCTTGCTTCCTGTTTTTCTCACTGAATAATTTTTATTGATCTGTCTTTAAGTTCACTTACTCTTACTTCTGTAATTTCCATTCTGCTATTAAGATTTTCAAGTAAATTCTTCTCACTTATGAACATATTTTTCTTTACTTAACTGAAGAGAATTATAATAGCTGTTTTGTAGTCCTTACCTGATAATTCCAACATCTGGGTCATCTCAGAGTTGGCATTTGTTGATTGTCTTTTTCCCTAGCAATGGGTCATATTTTCTGGACTTTTGTTGAATAATTTTGGATTGTACCCTGGACGTTATAAATATTATGTTGTATAGACTCTAGAATCCATCATATTGCTTTAAAGAGTGTTGAAGTTTTTGTTTTAGTCCATAGTTGACTTGGTTGGACTCAAATTGTATACTTCCATGTCTGCAGTTGTTGACAGCTCAAATATAAGTGACTTCTTAGCTGCAAGTTACTTTCTGTTTGTTTCATAAGTGTTTAGTTCAGAGATTATCCAGAGACTTGAGCTAAATTTAAGTGTCAAGTTCGGTTTTTGCTTTTCTGGCTCTCCCCTTTCTCAGGTATCCTTTTCACTCTCCAGCAGGTTTGGTTGTTTTTGGGGTCTTTTCTCTGGGAATAAAAAAGATGAGGAATGTTTCTATAAGAGTTTTAGCCATTTTTTTCTAATCATTCAAGTTTGATTGTCTAGTCATTGTTGACTCCGTCTCTTTTAAAATCTATTATCACTTGTTTCACAAGTACAAATTGTTTTTTCTTTTCTCCTTCAGCTGACTCTCAATGATAGTGATCCATTTTACTCTGTGAATTGTGATTTCTGTCATAGATTGTATGAGAAACCTTAGAGAGTAATTAGTGTTTGCTTCTGCAGGGGACTAATGGATTTTCACTTGTTCCAGATCGTTTTTAAGTTAATTTCTCAGAAAGGGGTTTCTGTACCATATGGGTTGCTTTAATACTAACTGCACATACATGTGGCACAGGCCTGATTTTCCTATTTCTCATAGTTAAATATTTTTTACCCATGGACCTGGTATTTTGACAAGCTTTCCAATTTCTTTCCAGAGTCTGGTAGGTGCTGGTTTTCTCATATCTGTTTTGCCTATAGGGTGAACCTTCTTGATTCTAGGATTTCAGCTCCAGCTCTCAGTGAGCTTCCTAGGGCAAGTATTACTATCCATCCTGATTCTCGTGTTAAGCCTTCAGATTTAACTCCCTATTACCACTCTGACTTTTAGTTCAGCTCAGCTATGGATTTACTTTTGTGGTTGTGGTATATTTCTCAGTGGTAAAAATGGAAGAGGAGTATTTCACTTGGCATCTTACTCTATTATATTGACTAGAAGCCTCTTTTCTATTATTCTTCTCTCACTTGTAGTCAATTAATGAAGCCTGACTTTTATTCCTCTCATAACCTTTCCCATATTTTATGTTTCCTTTTATTTTCACTCTGGTTCTCTAGCCCCAGTCCAGGCTCTTGTCATATCACACTGGACTAGTGCATTCATTTTCTAATTCCTTTTCCTATTGCCATTGTGTCTCTACTGAAATTTATTTCAGATACTGCTATCATAACACTTGTCATAAAAATTGACTGATCATGTCACTTCTCTCTACACAAGTCTTTAATGGCCCTTCAGTGCCAAGTCCAAACTCTGTTTTCAGCGTAACATGACTGAAACCTCTCTTTCTAACCATATCTTTCATTACCCTCAGCACAAACTCTGGGTTTCAGGTGAAGTTTCTCTATTCATTTAGTCCCTTTAGTCTGTTTGGTCATGCAACTTCGTCACTACTACTTTACTTCTGTTCTTATTATATCCCAAATGTGGAAAAATGTAAAGTTCCTTCCCCCAATTAGCGTACTTTTCCAAATAATATTGACAAAGTTGAAGTCTCTCTCCTTCTAAGGGTTCTTTTCTGAGAGTCTCCCACGGGTCCATGTAAATTCTACTAGTTGCCTCACAAGTCTTTTTCAATGTTTTTTTCTCTCTCTCTCTTTGGAAGCTCCTTGACAGCTGGAAGGGAGGTAAGAAACTTTACTGTATGAGGAAAATTTGACTTGTAACATTTATTTTTCATAGTTACAAAGTGTCTTCCACGTAAGTATTTTTTGATCTAGAAAGTGAGAAGGTGAACTTTGATATGAGAATAAAGGGTGTAAAAAGGAACAAGAAGTACAATAATAATTGTCACTGAAATCTGGAAGAGATTTGAGACAATGTCTTAAGAATACAAGCGGCTGAAAATCGTAGGCACTTGATTTTCACCTACTTGATTAGCCATTGTGCTTGGGGCAAGCCTCAGAAGCTGCATGAAGGCATAGTTACTTCGAAAAAACCAAAAACCAAACAAACAAAAAAACCACAAAGATGCAAGCACCAAACACACGGCTCAATTCTAGTGGGACTTATTTTTTAAGAAAAACATAAAATTGTAAGTTGTTTTAAATAGTCATTGCTTTTGCTATTCTCATCTTTAACTTTTTTTTAAACAAAAGAGAAGCAAACAAACAAGATAACCTACTAGAAAGTGCATCATACAGATACATTTTATCCATCTGTATCTAATCCTTGATAAAAACAATGTCTTTTTTGCTTTGTGGCAGAATGTGTAAAAAATAGCTCAGGTTTTGGCTGACCACAGCTCAGTATCAGCACATAAAATAGTGTGGCAAAAGAAAAAATAACTGGACAGCATTGAACAATTCATACTTAGATCTGGGCACTAAGTATGATCTTACTATACACTATACTCCATGTAGAAATTTCTAGAAGCATAAAAACTTTAACATTACTTAGAAACACAAGCATGCAGTTGAATTTGTTTCTTGAAATACAACATCCAGGTAGGTGGGGATACGTGCCCCAGGGCAGTGGTTTGATAAACGTGTTGGTAATTTTCTCATGTTAGAGATGGCGAAAGGTATTTAAAGAGAATTAATTTTCTCTTTTGCAGAAGAGGGAATAAGGTGTCAATGTGTTGCTCTAAGGTGCCATACAAGGACCACTGTGAGTTGTTCTAAAGAGGCAGTTTTCAGCTAGGTATGACAAGACTATAGACATCATGATGCTCACTAAATAGTTGCTCCCCTATATTTCCGAGTCCTCCCGAATTTACACAGTGTGTGTGTGTCTTGTTCTGGATAATGAAATGTGAGCAAAAGAGATGAGTGTGACCTCTAGCTTAAACAGTAAATGCCATGAGTGATTTTCCAGTCGCTCTCCCATCAAGAAAGTGTTCCATAATGACACCAGCCACAAAATCCTGTAGCCTTGTCAGCTAGAATCTAAGAGTAGCTGTTTGAGCAGACTCCGCCCAAACTGCTACCATCACATCCCTTACACCTCACAAAACACTAACAGCAACATAGGCGTGGTTCTTTTAAGCCACTGGAATTTACTACCTGCAGATTAATAGAAGACAGTGAATCTCAACTACCTTTTATTAAGAAGACTTTAAAGACTTTTTTTTCCTAATTGCTGCTCACCCTTACTTCACAATGAAGTTTTTATAATAATAATAATAATTATTATTATTATTATATGGTATGGTAACTCCAGCCTGTTACCCAGCTGGAGTGCAGCGGCGTGATCATAGCTCACTGTAACCTCAAACTCCTGGGCTCAAGCAATCCTCCTGCCTCAGCCTCTGGAGTAGCTAGAACTACAAGCATGCACCACCACCTCTGGCTAATTTTTGTTTTTGTTTTTCTTTTTTTTTTAGAGACGGAGTTTTGATTTGTTGCCCAGGCTCGTCTTGAACTCCTGGCTTCAATAGATCTTCCCATTTATGACCTTCTAAAGTGTTGGGATTACAGATGTAAGCCAGTGTTCCTGGCTTGCACTTAAGTTTTAATAGTACAGATATACTGCATATATATATGTTTATGCACATATATTTACACAAAAAGTAAAATTATTTTGGATTAACCCTAAGAACCAATTCTCCCCCTGTTGAGGGCAATATAATCACAAGAATGCAAGATTACCTATAACAACTAAACTGGTTCAGTAGTGGAGTGCACTACCCTTGAGAAGAGCTTCCCATAACAGGGATTGCTCATCCAGAAGGACATCTGTCAAAGATACTAAGGGCATGCTTCCCATTGAAGCTTCTTGAGTTCTTTAAAATTCTTATAGTATTTGACTTCTTCCTTGTTCCTGGCATATTGTCCTCTGATTTCTGCCATGATAAACCACATAGCTCTTGATGTTTCTATCTTTTATGTCTTTTCTTTCTTTCTGTGCATCTCAATTGCGAGTCTTTTATGAGGCTCAGTCCCTCACAGCTGTTTTTCTCTCTGTATATGCATAACTAATTCAGTCTCAAGGTTCACATTCAGCTCTATGTTTATAAATTCCCTGACCTCTCATTTGAACTTCAAGTTCATATCTCCAATTATTTAAGATGTCTCTACTTAGGTGTCCAGTTTTCATTGCACAAGTCCCCCTGTTTCCAGAAACCCAGCTCTTTCTTCCTACTTATTGAAATTTGCTGAAGCCACAATCCATGTGGACTGGCCTGAGCTTGGGGTCACAGCACTGGAACACATCCAGCAGCAAAAGTATTTTCAAAGGGGTTAAAATTATTTTTTTATGATTGTTAAACATCATGACATAATATGTGTCCACATAAATGCTTCTTAAAATCCTATTTTCCTTTCCTATCTACTTTGCCTGCATACCATGCAGCTATTCCCAAGTATTTCTTTTCCATAAAATTCCTTCAGCCATTCTAGGTCATTTCTCTTTCTCTCCTCTCTTAATTCTGCATCATGAAAGTCTAAATTGCTGTTTGGCACAAAGTTGGGAACATGTGTATGCCAAGTTTGCCATTAACATTACCTATTTCTATCACCAATTGTTGACAGACACCAGCCATCAAAAAGTCTTTTAAAGCTATGTTTGATCAAACCCCTAATCAACACCTGTTAGAGTGTCGGCCCAGCATGCAAGCACTCCCTTATCTGCCTCCCTCCATCATACTGAGGGGCTCTTCGTAGTCACTTTCTACAACATTATCATTTGGGCCTGGTTACAGATAATTAGACCCAGACTCAAAGTGGACCAATCAGAATATGCTTCCAGGGAGTTTTCAAAATAGGACCAAGGGATAATTTATCTTGCAAGCTGGATATGTAACTTGTAAGCTCAAGAACTGGCAGAAGTCAAGAGGAAACACTCATGATTTTCAGAGTGGGGCTACCCCTCTTCTGGCCTCCATACATCTGTTAGAAAGGTTGAAATGACAGCCCTCCCACATGAGGGACAAGTCTGCCCCTCGAAGGCTTTTTGCCCCATTTGCAGAACTTAGCGGTAAACACAGGTACTCAGTGCAAACCTATCCCTGTATAGAGTCCATTATTTCATCAGCAGGGGTCAAGGGGGAGACCTAATTATCTGGGCTGTCCTTCAAGATCCTTCTCTTTCTTTCCTAATACTTGTAGCTTCGATGGGACCAACAGGAAAACTCTTACCATTCCTGTTTATGTCAACTACCACTGGAAGCTGCCATGGTGCTACACTTTCCTTTTCTAACTCCACGTTCAACCTCCCCTCAATACCTAAAATCCTCTCACTGTGCCCTCTGGAACTTTTGCTTAGTCATCAGCATAAATCTTTGTCCCCAAGTTCTTTGCTGATAATATTCCCTTGATGTTGTTCTAGCTGATATCTGGTTCTTCCCTGAGGTCACGTTTTCTTTCATACCTTGGTCTTGGGAGGGGGCATAGATATCTTTCTTGCTCTTCATTGCTGCTTCTAGACCTGTGACTCTTTCTCTGTCCTAAAAATCTCTGGGACTGAATTTCCTATTATATTCTAGTATCTACTCTTTGCAGCAGTCATTGACCAGCCTCTGCATCACTCTCCTTCTTTCTTAAAGACTCCCAGATTACTGCTGGTCTCCAGAACACATTCCCATCACATTCCTCAATGATTTCAAAACCCCAACTTTCTGGCCTTTCAGGAAACTGACCTCTTCTCCACTCATAAACTTCCTTTTAAATTCTCAGTTTCCTCTTTTCAGTAAAATAGATATAATAATGACTTCCTCTTAGAATGATAAGAAGTATTAAGAAATGTTAAAAAAACTAGCTACAAAAGGTTGCCTGAAGTTGAATCTGAATGACTTACCATTTTTAGCCTGGAAACTGTGACATTGCCTTAGATAAAATTTCATGCAGAGGGCTAAAGTATATAAAAGCGGAGCTGCTTTTGTTGAAATGAGGGAGGGTGATGAGAATGGAGAGTTCTGTGGAGAATGGCCAGCTAAGTATGGAGGCCCTAGAACAGAATTTCTAGAGCTTGGCCCAGAACAGGTCGGAAACCACTGAACTACAAGCTGTTTAATTCTTGATCTTTTCTGTGTATGACCTACATATCAATTAGAGTCATTTACCTAAAAATATACTTTATTGCTTCATAAACACTTTTTCACAAAAGAAAGATTGAACTACTAATCTTGGCTATTATGGGTAGTTAATAAATGAAAGCCGGTCCTATGATAAACTTTTTGGTATTTTTGAAAAACTTTTATATGTGAAAAATAATAGAGTTAACTTTTTCTTCTTTAAACTTTGAAACAATCAAATTTTGGGGATTGGAGCTTGAAAATGTTTATCTCTTATGTTAAATTACTACACTTCCTTATGTTGGTTGATCCTTATATAATGTATTATAGTTTATTTTTTGCCTTGCCTGGAAAAATTTATATAAGCTGTTCTTAGCTTATCTTTTTTTCAGGTACAATTATCTTAATACCTTTTTAATTGGCTAATGTTGCTTTATCCTGATGATTTTGGTGACATATATTTTATTATGAAAATTTCAAATGTTTTAGCAATAGAAAATATGTAGATTAAAATTAACATGATCTAAATAATAATGTGTAACTAACTGTAGAACAACCATACCTCAATTTTGTTAGTAATTCATATTTTTAACTATTTACAATACATTTAAAGTTTCAGCAGTTGAAAACACTGCAAACATTTTCCTTCTACAATTTTTTTTGGGAGAAAACCCTCATTTATTCAATAGTATGTCTTTAGGAATTCCAGAAATATTAATGTCCTTAGTGAAAGTGGCTATACCTAGTCAGTCATTAAAGCTATCTTTTGATCACAGAAAAAAAAAAAGAAACATTCTATTCTGTTCAGCTCTGAGTGATAAGAAGTTACTTTATTTTAGAATACTTGTAAAACAGGTTTTAGTTTTGTAATGTTTAATGTTCGTGTCAAGAAAAAGAGTGTCAGCTTTTTGGACAAAGTGCCAATAAACAACATGAAAAATATGTTGTTTTATTATTACATCATTAAAAAACTATAGTTCTTATAACTGACAACTCACTGTGAACATATAGTACGTTGTAACACAGATTAGTAGTATCCTACAATAGTTTTATAAGAATCTATCTCTTGATAGATGTATTTAAAATGATACATTTAAAAGTTGACATTATGTAACAAATAACATTAATCCAAGATTGCCATGTAAACACTACTGTAAGCACATATCCCTCTTGAAGAGCATTCATAGAGATAAAAGAATTATAGAGTTTTAAAAAAGACTGGCACTGAACTTTGAATTTTAAGTACAAAAGAATACTAGTTATAATAAATAGAAATAGGCATAGAGAAGATAATTTCAACACCTAAAAACAGATTCGATCATAAAAACTAACATTAGTTAATGGATTATAACTAAGCAATATTTTGCTTTAAAGGGAAGGCGGGGAGAAAAATTGACCTTTTGTGTTTGTTTGAGTAAATGTATATTTGGCACATTTCCAAAAAGATTTTGGATGGAAGAAAATAGCTACAAAGAAGCCTATGTTTAAATATCACAGTTGTGACATAAACTGACAAACACCAGGCCCTTCAGCCTGTCACTCTCCTAGCTGAAGAAAACAAAGCAGGGACCTGAGTGAAGAGTGGCATGTCCATCAGGACGCACAATTTTCTGGCTTTTGTCATTATGTCACACATTGTATTTCTTTTAAAATATGCCTTTTTATTTTATACAAACCTTTCACAGATTTGGGGCATGTGACAAGCAGCCTAGAAAATAAAAAAATAAAAACAAAGGCAGTGGTGAAATTTAAAAATATATCCCTTAATCAATCATGTTAGGTGACACAAGACATGTCATCGTGGGCAGCATGCTAATGCTGCTGTTAGGGAGACAAGGAGAGGAGCGGAAGACTTTAATGACTACACTTTTACGTTTTTGATCGTCTGAAATCAAGCTATATTTTTGTAGTTTATTTCTATCTCAATATCTCTACCAACATCAGTTGGTGAAAGTAATAAGAAACAATAGGTCACAGATTGCAAAAAAAAAATTGCAGCATAAAACACTATGTTTGGCCAATTCGCCCAGTGTTTATTCCTAATATTTTAGGAATGATTGCCTGACCCAGAATAATGCAGCTTTGTTACTGAACACCAAAGTGTAGAAGCATCCACTCTGGTAATGACATCAATCATCCCTGAAACATTTCTTAGATTTGGCAATTCAAATGTCCATTCTCTAGCATAGAGTACTTTATACAAAGTAAGCATGTGACACATACCTGACCAAAATTCACTCTTGGACTTTAACCTAGGAAACAATGAATTACTTAGGTCTTTGATCTAAAGGCCTCAGTTATTCAAATCACCATAATTGCAGCTGTCAGGACTCTATTCACAACTGACAGAATAAAACTCAAACTGACTTAGGGCATTTATTGTCTTATGTTTCTGAAAACTTTAGATATCTGCAGCCAGAGGCCAGATCCAAGGCACCAAATAATGTCATCTAGAATCCGTTTTTAAATCTTTTGATTCTGTTTTCCTGTGTTTCCCTCTTTATCACACTGGTTCCTCCCATGCACTGGCAAAAATAGTGACTAGCAGATTCAGGCTCACTTCCTAGCAACTCGGCAACCCCAACCAAAAGAGACCTTTTTTTTCCCAAAAATTCCAGCAAAATATATCAGATCACATTCATTAGACAGATTTGTTTTATTTGTCCATCTTGAACTAATCATCATGGTCAGAGGATGAAGAGCTGATTAGCTGGGCCTGTGTCACATTCCCACCATCTCAATATCTTGGAGGAGCTGGAGGGCCTGGGGAGGGATGAATGTTTGGACTAGGTCAAACCCACACAAACAACAGGTTGAGAGTGGGAGAGCCTGGTTTGCCAATGGAAAATGACTACCACAAAAATCTAACCTTATTATCCCTAGTGTGACTCATCCTTTTTATTTTCAAGATGTCTTTGGACATCTTTCCTTAAAAGAACCATATTTGATTAGTTAAATAACTCTCAAGATGTTCCAGAGCTTCATTGCACAAATAACTGATTTACAAATTTCTGTATTTTACACATGCACAAATCAGTACTGTTTGCATGAATCCCATCAGTTAAGGATTAATTTCTACTCTTCATATATTTTACATCCTTGAGAAGAAAACTTAGCAAGCCACACAGCTGTGTGTAACCAGATCAAGTATTCTATTGAATGAATGCAATCTAGTTATTGTTCCTTTCATATACGTAATAGATTCCTTTACTCATCTTAGCTGATTGAAAAATAAGAGGCTGTGTTAGTCTGGACCCAATCAGGAGAGAGTAACCATGCAGTAAGTTGAACACGGAAAGTTTCATATAAAGAATTATTAACTAGAACGGGGATTAGAATACAAGGGGTTGGGCAATAAGAACTGGAAAGAATCGGAAAGAATATATGAATAACAGTGTTAAGGAGAGACACTGCTCTCGGTCTGAGAGAGCTCAGGTTGGAGCGCGCCCTCAGGCTGAGAGAGCTCAGGTGCTAGATCCAGACTTGGTTGGGAAGGATCACTTCCCTGGCTCACTGGCTGACAGAGGAGTTGCTGTGGTGTCCTGTGGGCAGAACTTGTTGGCAATCCTCCCTCGAGAGAGCCGGGAAAGCTGTTCATGGGGAGCTAGTTCACAGGAGGAGCTCCATAACAAACCATATAAAGGGACAGTGGGCGAGGAAGCTGAGTGCGCTGACTACCATACCCTGCAGGAACTGAACGCAGGAGATGCCGCACATGCCACAGGAGTTGGAAGCGCTCTGCTACAAATTCACTGCGTGGGAGGGGAGGGTTGCTGGAAAGAGCTACTGGCTGCTGAGTGCTACTGACTACTGTAGACTGCAGAAACTGGACATTGGTGATGCTGTGAGTACCATAAGCACCCAGTGCTGGAACCTGCTGAGTGAGTACCCTGGAACCAGAAAGCAAAATTCTTTTCCTCCTGCAGTGTCTCTCTAGCACCTTCCACTCACAAAGCTTCACGGCCAGCTGATATATATATTGAAAGGGCCCAGATCCGTTTTTATAGCCGAAAAACCGGGTGAATTTGGACCTGAGAGGCAATAAATAAATAATCAGGCCGGGCGCGGTGGCTCACGCCTGTAATCCCAGCACTTCGGGAGGCCGAGGCGGGTGGATCATGAGGTCAGGAGATCGAGACCATCCTGGCTAACAAGGTGAAACCCCGTCTCTACTAAAAAAAAATACAAAAAATTAGCCGGGCGCGGTGGCGGGCGCCTGTAGTCCCAGCTACTCGGGAGGCTGAGGCAGGAGAATGGAGTGAACCCGGGAAGCGGAGCTTGCAGTGAGCCGAGATTGCGCCACTGCAGTCCGCAGTCCGGCCTGGGCGACAGAGCGAGACTCCGTCTCAAAATAAATAAATAAATAAATAAATAAATAAATAATCAGCACAGAGGCATTGAAAAGCCGTATTTTGACACTGGTGCTGTAATACTATCTAAACTGTGCATATCTTTTATTTTCCTTATTTTCTTAAGTTTCTTTTCTTATGAAGATAGTGAGAATAAACGTATAATTCCATTCCTCAGGCAGTGAGTGCATCGATGATTCTAAACATCATTTGGCCAGCTGTGGAGGAAGAATTCGTGAGAAGCCGTCTGAGTAGCTTTCAGAAGCAAGCATGAAGTTCCAGACAATTTTAATTTTATATAGTAGTTTTCTTAACAACCCATGGGACGTTATTTATACTTTAAATTTAGAGAAACTGATTTTCAGAAGGTTTTAATAACCTTTACCATATATTCAACTCAGCTTATGGTAGGGCTAATTATTAGTATATATTAAATTTGGGGACATAAAAACAATGGTTCTTAAACTTCCAAAAATGTTATTTTCATTTTCAAGTATAATATACAAGCATATTTTAACTGCACAACTTGATGAATTTTCAAAAACTGAACCCACTTGTGTGACTAGTACACAGTTTCATAAATGATTAAGGTGCTAGAAGCTCTTTTCAGAATCCAAAGAAAGTTGAAGCCTCTTGTTCTAAAATAGACACTAACACAAAACAATTAGCTTGAAATTTCAAAATTTCCACAGAATAGCAGGAAAGAATGCCTGTGTTTATTTAATAATAAAAACAAAGTAGATTTTCCCTATGAGAATACAACAGCCTAACTCATTTGGTTTTAGTTTCTTAGTTCAAAGAACAGGAACAAATGCTAATACGGTACTAACCTCATTGATTTTTGAAATCACTAAATAATTTATGTTGAGTTTTACATTTTAATTGGTAATACATATTAAATAATAAATTGGTACTAATTATATTGCCTTGATTAAAAAGTAATGGATTTTGTTGCCGTTTTTCATAAAAAATATATTAATATATTTTTAGATGAATACAAATTTTTCTCAGAAGATAGTTGGGAAATTATCTTCATTTTTCTAAACTAGATTTTTGGCTCTTTTTCAACTTCAACTTACAGTTTATTAATCATATACACTTTGGAAGAAATTAATCACAGGTAGCAACTGTAACCGTCTATAGATTAAATATATAAGAATTTAGGATTATATTCTAAATTCTTCAATATTTGGACCCAATCGGACATTTTCAATTCAAGAAAGCACAGTGTATTAATCATAAACACATTATTGACTGGGAATTATTACTTTGGCCACCAGATGGAGCCAGTATTGTTTCAGAAATGCAATGAATCCTGATATTTTTCACATTTTCCCACTCTAACCCAAACTAAAAGTTTTAAATTTGCTTCTAAATTTTGTCAGGAATTACAGAGCTACTATTATTAATAAAATATATTATTATTATTAAAAGCTATTATCACTATTATCTATAAACAAACACCTAAATTTCCTAAGTGTAAAATGAAGGAACTGTTTTCGGTACCTATTAGATCTCTTCCTAATTTAGAATTCTCTAATACATGCTGAGAATATTTTTGTAGTACCATTTAAATTCCATTATGCTACCTTGATGGCATTCTTTGATATTTTATTATTCACAATCATGGAAGTCATTACCGATATTATAAATGAGAACTTAAAGCATGCATTAGGTAATAAGATGGGGAGAAACAGAGGTGGAATAGAAAAGATTCTTACTGGTATTTATTATGAAAGTCCACTGAATATCTAAACAAAGTTCAAAATGTAGAGCCACCTGGTCCAAGAGAATGTAAATTTGTGTGTCTATCGTCCCAGTCTGAGGCCTCTGCAAGTTCTGCATAACCCAATGTCAATTCTCATCAGAAAGATCTAGGGAGGTAACACTGAAATGTTAAAGTTATTTGCGAAAGTTGGAATGTTTAAACATTATCCTCTGTTCAAATTGGATTTTTAAAAATTTGATACTCATGAGAACTTATGATATATTGAAGAAAACACATGTTCATATATGCATAAATGCATGTATGTATCTCTCTCTCTAATGTTGGTTTCTGCTGTTCCTTTGTTTTCTTTTCCCACGTTTGGTGCATAATAAATACCTATCTTCCAAGAAGTTGATTCATATATGTATATTCTTAATATTTCAACCTCACTCTTTTTGTAGCATACTCTAATGAAATCATCGCTGATACCATGTTTGAACATGAAGTTGCTGGTGAAAGGGAAAATTTGAGCTGAGAGAAGAAATAACCTCACAGTAACAGAAAAGAGTTAATACAAAATGAGGCCATGGCAGCATTTTAGGAAGATTGTGTACACGTTGGTGGCCAGGTCGTGACAGAGCTCAGCAACCTTTCAAAGCCAGTAACTCAGGGGAGTGGAATTCACACAATTAGACTAAGCATGTAGTGTGAGAAATGATTTGACAATATGTGAAAGGCAAGAACAGGATGCTGTAATTGATTTCACCTATAAGAGGGCAGAAGGGAAGTTGTAGGTGAACAATAAGAGAAGTTGAGCTTTTGATGTTATATAAACTTAATGGGCATAGTTCAGAAATGGCATGTGGTCTCTAGGTTACTGTCAATTACAATCTAAAAATAAGGAATGGTTGCTGTTGCTAGGACTGTACCTAAATAGAATTGTGCTATGATTAGGCTAATGAAATATAAAATCTGTTTTGGGGACTCATTCTCTAAACGTGAAATTGGGGGGTGTGAGAAAGGATGAAAAGGAACAAGGAAGTCAAGCTAATGGCTAAGAATATAGACTCAGAGGTGATATTGTGAGTTCTAATTCCTGTGCTGCCACTTTCAAGCTGGGTGAATTCAGCTTTCTACATCTATGTTTTCTTATCTGGAAAAATGGAATAAAAGTGATATTATTGCAAGCAGTTGTTAAGATTAATTGAGATTATATGTAACAATAGTCCTCAATTTGTGATATATGCTTGGTAATGTAATGATAATGGTAGTGAATAGTATTAATATCTCCAGACTATTTTTTTCCAGGAGATACTTGGATGGCACTGAGCAGCAAAGAACACCTCAGAGGAGGCAGTTTATCCTATTTACTTACTGGAGGAAATAGCAAATGGCTAAGATTTGCCAAAGGACTAAGTGCCCCTTACTATGGCAGGAAAAAGTATTCCATTCAGGTAATGAAGTCCCCTGGGGAAATACTAAGAGGAGAAGAGCTGCTACCATCCAAGATATACATTTTCTAAGTGGCTTGCCTGTGGGCCCACTTTCCTGTTTAGTAGCGGGGATCCTTCAGAAATGTTGCTCAAGGACTAGGAAGATTGGACAAATGTCCCACCTACTGCATCTCTCTAAATCTTTATAGCTTGGGAAAGTGTCTAATTCTTAACAGAGCATTTCACTGATAAGGAAATTTTACTTACAAAGGAAAAAGAAAGATGCAAATATAATTATCTACCAGAAATACAGTTCTGCTAAAAGTAGAATTTCTGAAAATTCTTGATTCGTCATGAGGACCTTTGATTGCTCAGAAGGTAGAAGGAGCAATGAAAATATTAGAAACTTCAGAGTTTGCACAGGTAATGTGCTATGGATAGCAAACAAGTCGATGGCAAAGAATGGGTCAGGGAGGAGTTTTGGCACCTGTGGGACCCCAATTATTCCAGTCATGAAGGAGAAAATGTGAGCCTGATTCTTACAGAAGCCCCATAACTACAGTGGGATACAAGCTAATGGAAAATGACTTATCAGGGGTTTATAAATATGGGGTATGTCCATTGGTTTGGAGTCTTGGTCTTTAAAAAAACCTAAGGAGCAACAATTTATCATGTCATATTGGAAAAACCAAAGTAAACTTATGAACTTTAAAAGGAATATTCTCTCCAGGTCTATATGAAAAGTGGCCAAGAGGAGCAGTGGTGTATTTGCCCACCGCTGACATGGGAATCCACATAGCTATGTGCACAGATTTGGTCTCTTATATTGTCTTCACAGAGAAATGCCAGCGTTCCTAGGGAAGTAGCCGATTCCATACCTTAGGCAATGGAAAATTCAAAATAAGCAAAGACCATCTTACTATTGCTGGAAAGCAAGAAATCTTTTCAAGGATGTTGGGGGTAGTGCTAAAAAAACAAAAGCGCAGCTTAATGAAGCTCCTTTTGATGAAGTTGTGACAATCCGATTTGAGTTAATGGAAATAAGTATTTTTTAATTCTTGAAAATTTAAGAGATGTCTATTATAAGGGGCACAGTAATTCGAAGAGAAAAGAAAATCTGTTTTAATGTTTATTTTTGTTTTAAGTTCTGGGGTACATGTGCAAGATGTGCAGGTTTGTTACATAGGTAAACATGTGCCATGGTGGTTCACTGCACCTATCAAGCCATCACCTAGGTATTAAGCCCAGCATGGATTAGCTATTTTTCCTAATGCTCTCCTATCCCCCATGCCACCGCCTGACAGGTCCCAGTGTGTGTTGCTCCCCTCCCTGTGTCCATGTGATCTCATTGTTCAGCTCCCACCTATAAGTGAGAAGAAATAAAAATTTAATGGTATTTGTTGTATTGTCTTTAATTAGTAGAGAATATTTATATATGAATATCTTGATTTATTATTAAATTTATATTTATATAGATATGCATTTCTTTTATTCTGTGTAATTAGGAAGTGAGTGAGTCAAATATATATGAGAAATGTAGTAACTGGAACAAGAATTTTTGGTACTACTGAGTACATTGAACAACCAGATACAACAAGGTCCCACATTCAGAAGTGCTGGTTCACGCAATAATCAAGTAGGAAGAAATCAACACTAGGGGTACTAAGATTGCGAATTAACTAACAAGAGATATAGGAATAAACAACTGAGCAAGCCCTGTGACTTATTTTCTATGAGATGAAACCTCAATGGTGCCTCTAATAATATGCCATAACAAAACATATGTGAGTTTCTGATAATGTTAGCAGTTGAGGTCTACACAAAATGATGAGATGAGTTATAAAACACTGGCCATGCAAGATTGAAAAGGAAATGCAGAAGAGAACGTAAGATGCTAGGTTGCAAAAATCCTAGGTGAAAAAAATGAAGTTAAAAAGCCTTAGTGAGCTAAAATATAAGATTTAACTATAAAAAGCAAAACAAACAATTCAGAGAGATGACTAGAGCTCACATGTGACTCATTTTGGCAGAAGTAGGCAGATTCTTTGCCCAGCCAAAAAGCAATTGGTTGGTTACCCAAATCCTAGAACCTCAACAAATCTGAGATGTTAATTGGATGAGGAGGAAGCAGGTTCAGTTTCAAAAACATGCTATAATACAAGAAGGCATAAAAACAAAAATGAGAAAAATATAAAATAATGAAGAAATACTGAGAAAAAATAAACTCAGAGTCCAGCTTTTTACAAAATAGGTGTAAGTGTAGCAATACATTTTATACTCACTGGATTTGTACACATTTTATCTCTTGTTTTTGGAGTTTAAAAATATTCAAAAGAATTAGTCATAGTAGAATTATAATTATTGTTTAAATAATGGAAGTGACTTTAATTAAGTAAAGCTTTAATCAATGTTTAACTGTTTAAGGAAATTTAATTTTCATAGTTTTGGAAATGTATAAGTTTAATAAATTGGACATTAAATAAAATAAAAGTGATGGTAAGTGCTCTTTTCAAATAACAAAAAGCTCTTCCAGATATTAACTAAGCTAGTCATTAAGTTAAATTAATAAAATCTTTAATTTAAACCAACAATTTGATTCCAACACTGCAGAAATAGGACTACCAGAAACCAAGTAGTGGGCACTGTCATTAGTAACTGGCCTGGTGTTCACAGTGGGGTGGTAGAGTGGGTCAGATTGGGGGTGGAACAAGGAGTGGGACCACAGGTAGAGAAGCTTCGCCCAGTGTTATACTTTCTGCCATTATTGGTAGGAATTGGTGAGAAGTGGTTTGGGAGGGTGGCTTCCTTTTCATAAAAAGAAAAAATTATTTCAAGAATGATTTAGGGAGGATTTCTTCTTTCTCTATCTTTTGGAATAGTTTCAGTAGGATTTCGAAAAATAAAGATATACAAACAGCCAACAAACATGAAAAACATGCTCAAAGTCACTAATCATCAGGGAAATTCAAATTAAAACCACAATGAGATATTAGGTTGTTGCAAAAGTAATTGTGGTTTTTGTCATTACTTTTAAGGCAAAACCGCAATTACTTTTGCACCAATCTAATACCACCTTACTTCTGCAAGAATGTACACAATTAAAAAGTCAAAAAACAATAGATGTTGGCATGGATGTGGTGAAAAGTGAAGACTTTTACACTGCTAGTAGGAATGTAAATTAGTACAACCACTATGAAAAACAGTATGGACATTTCTTAAAGAAATAAAAGTAGACAAGCCTGACCAACATGAATAAACCCTGTCTTGACTAAAAATACCAAATTAGCCAGGTGTGGTGGCCGCTCCTGTAATCCCAGCTACTCAGAAGGCTGAGGCAGGAGAATCACTTGAACCCCGGAGGCGGAGGTTGCAATGAGCTGTGATGGCGCCATTGCACTCTAGCCTGGGCAACAAGAGTGAAACTCCATCTCAAAAAAAAATAGTAATAACTAAAAGTAGAACTACCATTTGATCCAGCTACCCCATTACTGGGTATCTATCAAAAAGAAAGGAAGTCATTGTATTAATATAAAAAACATACATGCACACACGTTTATAACAGCACAATTCACAATTACAAATATATGGAAGCAACCTAAGTGCCAATCGACCAATGAATGGATAAAGAAAATATGGTATATATACACCATGAAATGCTACTCAGCCATAACAAGGAACAAAATGTTTTCTGCAGCAACTTGCATGCAGTCGGAGGCCATTATTCTAAGTGAAGTAACTCAGGAATGGAAAATCAAATATCGTATGTTCTCACTTAAAAGTGGGAGCTAAGCTTGAGGACGCCAAAGTATAAGAATGATATGATCGACTTTGGGGACTCAGTGGGGAAGGTTGAAAGGGGATGGGGGATAAAATACTACATATTGGGTACAGTGTACACTGCTTGAGTGACAAGAGTGCACTAAAATCTCAGAAATCACCACTAAAGACCCATCTATTTAACCAAAACATACCTGTTCCCCAAAAACTATTGAAATGAAAAAATCATTTCAAGCTCCTCCTGAAGATGGGTAATAATAAGGTGGGGCTTGTTCCCTTTTCATGTGTTGGTTCTCATTTATCTGAATGTGAAATATGGTTCTTGTGGGGCTAGAATATATGTAGGTCAGACAGGGGTGAGAGGTGAAGAGGCAAATGCCACGTCCAGCCACTCCCAGGCATTATACAAGGACAAATCTGAGTGACAGGATTTTAAGGCATATTTTTGAAGCTGCCCTGTATTCTGCATGAGCAGCTTTTTGATTCAGATTCTAAATTTAATGCTTGATCTGTCATCCCGACAAACAGCATCATTACTCACTTTTCCGCCTTGGATTGCAAAGATTTTCAGCAGTTTGAATTGAGTAACAAGAAGATTCTTACTATTTGCTGCTCAAAACTAGTCTCAGGAATGTCAATAGTTATTTTTCAATATAAGAGGGCTGTGTGGTCAAAAAATTTTGGAAACTACTAGATGAAACACGATTAAAACTATTTTCTTTATTGTAAGACTTTCTTTGGGTGAGGACTCATTTTTAAGGTAGACACTTGTAAGCCCGGGGCTCCGCAGAACATATTTTGGAAATTGCAGCTACTTCCGGTTTCCTCCCCATTCCCAGTGCTCTGAAGTCTGGTTGGGGGCAAAGAGTGGATCAGTAAACAAAGAGTAACAAACAAGCAAAAATGAGCCAAAGATAAACATGATCTATTATTTGCATGATAGTGAATAACAGACAAAGCAAAACAAAACAAAACAATCTCCTCTCCTCTCCGCTAGACAAGCAAACAAATGGAAACAACAAAAACATGATCTAAGGTAGTAGAGACATCTGGCTTCACAAGGGTCTTTGTTGCTTATGAAACATATGCAGACACTGGGTTCTAGACCCTGCCTGCCCAGCTAAACTAATAGTGCCTTAAAGGATTGTGTTGAGGGCTAAATGAGATTATACAATGTGAAATGTCGAATATAGTGCCTGTTACATGGTAGATGATGTTCAAGAGATGGTAGCTGTTCTTGTAATTTTAATATAAACACATTACATTAAAATGTTCTTTTTTGATATAATAAATGCCTTTGAAAAAAAAAATTTCTTCAAATATTTACACTGTGAGTACAACCAGTGTCTCTAAATCTAGTTTACTGAAATTAAAGTAATACTGTTGATAAATTTCCCAAAATGTCTAGGTAAGTCTCAGTTTTAGATGTGTGCTTTAATTTGATTAAAGAAAAACTCCTAGCAGAGCCAGGATATGTTTAAGAGAGACTGTTCACTAAAAGGGTTCAAACTTCAGGGAAAACTCTGAAGCACAGGCATAGGCTCCACTGGCTCAGACTCTTCCAACTACTGGGGATTGATTGATCTCTCAGGGTTGTACTGAGAATATGGGAGCTCAGAAAGACTCAAGTACAAAACTGGACTAACAGTGCATTTACAATAAAAACAATAACTGCTGAGTGGACTAGGTTCCTAGATTCTTGTGTTTTCTGGCTGGTGTAGCCTTTCTCTGAAGTCAACATGAGAGAAGGCTAAATCGTATTCTGAAGTTGGCTTGATAAGTGAGTCACAGAAGGGAAGTGGCTTATAATGACAACTTGTTTGGTGTCTACTATGTGCCAGATGCTCTGCAAACAGTATCTCATTTAATAGCTTCACAAACATTCTGTGCGTTTGGTACCATTTGAGCCCCATTTTACCATGGAGAAAACTGAGAGATAAAGTAAACTACCGTTGAAGACATGGCTAGTAAGGCCTGAAACTTTTCAGGCCAAAAGCCTTGGTGATGTTCTTGACAGCTGTCTCTCTAACATTCCACATCCAATCTTTCAAGAAATCATATTTTTCTCTCCTTTCAAAATATATCCAGAATGACTTCCTACCACTTTCATTACCACCACCCCAGACCCTGCCACTGTCATCTCACACTTGAATTACTGCAGGCATCCTTACAATGGCGTACAGTAACCTCTTCTTTTGATTGTATCTCTTGCTACTTTTCCATGTCTTCACTCAACTCCTGTCACCCTGGCCTTCTTGAAATTCCTCAAAAGTACCAGCAATGTTCCTATCTTTGAGGCAGTTGCTATAGCTAGTCCCTGCATGGAGTGTTATCCCTCAGATAGCCACTTGCAGACTTCCTTGCCACCTTCAGATCATTTCTCAAATATCGCTTTTCAACAAAAACTCCTTGATCATTCAAATTAATTATATCTTGTTTCTTGTTTTCATTTTTGTAGTACTTATTTGGTTTCTGAAATACTATATGATTTACCTGTTATGCTTAATGCTTATTGTCATCTGTTACATAGAGTAGGGGGCTCTCTTTTTTTCTCACTGACATACCTTGAGTGTCTAGAAAAGGTATTTGGCACGTAGTAGGTGCTAAGGAAATATTTGTATGGTGGATGAAAGACTTACCTGATTGCAAAGCCCATGATCCTTCTGCTGTATGGCCATCATCTCAATGAAAGAGAACTAACCAGTCAGATATTCTGTTCAAAGATCCTCTTACCCAGAGACTTCTTAGATGAATAATACCAAAGTTTTTATTTCTAATTTTGCTTCCAAGCAGATCAGTACCTTTCTGACAAAATTTTCATTTATATAAAGAAAAATCTTTTAATATATAACAGCCAATCCTGGCATACCTGAAGCTAGTATCTTTAAGGTGATTTTGTGTATCTATGTTTCCTGTTGAGAATCATCTCAGGTCCTAGTTTTTGAGCAGGGGCATGTTGCACAACACACTGAAACTGCCAATTAAAATGCTGATATCCTAGTACCCATAAGCCATTGAAATGTACCAAATTTACAATGTTGTATTCAAAGTAAAGTTTACCAACACCTAGGAAGAGCATTAATTTTTTTTTTGATCAAAACTTTTGGCCAGGTTTTTGGGTTGCTACGTTTGGTTATAATGCACATTGGTGACAGTTTTCTTTGCATATTTTGAACAGATGAGAAAATTAAGGTACCATTAAGAAAAGTAAAACTAAGAGGGCAGCGAGAAAGAAAATGATATTTGAATTCCCAGCTGTGGCTGTTGCAAACAAAACAACAACAACAACAACAACAACAAATTAGCCTGTTTTCGTGGACTTTCCAATTAATTACATGAGCCAAATAAATCCCTCCCCAGCAAACTCCCCCACCAACCCACTGTTTAACAAAACTGGTTTAATTTGGGATTTCTTTCTCTTGCAACTGAAAAGTCCTGACTAATAAAACAAGGTTCCACAGTAGAATCACCTCAATGTCCTGCATCTCATTCAATTACACATAGAATTCGTGTATAAAATAATGACGTGATGCTCTGAAATAATAATCAAAAATCAATATTAATCAATTATGTTTTAGTTTCTTCTTTTGCCCCTTATCTTCTTCCCTCTTCTCTTTGCTTCCCATTTTTCCTACTCTGTTAGCCTCTGTCTTTATTCCAAAAGGTTTTAAACTGGTTGCATCTCCTACATAAAAAGGAAGAAAAGTGGATGTTACAAGCAGATATTTGTGTCAATGGTTATAACAACACATTTTCTGATTATTCTTCAGCTATCAAGAAATTAAATAAACCAGTATTCTCATTCCCCAAATGCCCTGTTACCTGGCTAACAAATTTTCCTAGCAAGTAAAGAGTCATTCCATCATTCCATAAGGTTTTGTTTTTTTTTGTTGTTGTTTTTTTTTTTTTTTTTTGCACTTTGCCACTTACTAGTTGTGTTACCTGTTTAAATTATTTAACCTTCTGAAACTTGGTTTTCTTATCCCTAAATGAGAATTATGAAATCTGCCTGGAATGCTCCCAAAGTGTAATAATGTAATAAGACAGTAGATACTGGTCTGAAGTAGATGCTCAATAAATGGCAGTTATTTTTACATTATCTCTATGACATTACTTTTGCCCACTATTTTTAGAATCAGGAAGGAGAATGACATAAAGGTGTTCTTACTCAGTCTTTAAGAATAGCTAAGGAAAATAGGACATTGCTAAGTAAGCAAGAAAACTCCTGTTCCTATTTCGTGCTTACACTTGCAACAATGCAAAAAAGCTAAAAATTAAGTTTATTTTATGGTAACCTCCCAATTTTCTATCCCTGTACCAATGATTTCCTATGTTTCTCTTATTTTAAAGATTTGATCTGAAAGATAAAACCAGTGAGGTGTATCGGCAGAAGTGACAAAGTCCTAAGGGAAAGAATGTTCTTTACTCCCATGCAGATTCAGCATCCCTTTTCTATAACAGAGCAAACCGAGCTTTACTGGGTTAGCTCCACATTTGACTGCAGACACTGTCCCTTAAGCTAGATTTTTACCAACCACAATAATGGCATCTATTTCTCTTGCATCATTTCCATTCAACAAATATACATATTTTCAATGGCCTAAAACTCCAAGTATGCAAAGCATGCAGCCAGGAAGGGTGAAAGAATGCTAAAAGAAGATTGTGAAGCAAACATGGCATGACTTTGTTGTATCGGTTTTTCTTAGGCAGTTTCTTTTGGATGTTTTTTTTCTTCTTCCAGTGACCGATTAAATGTTCATGTCTATAGCAATGAGGACCCTTAAAATTAACTGAATATCTTAAAGTACAGAGTTTTTCATAACCATGCAATATGTCTTGAATTAATCTTTTATTTTTCTCATAATAGGTATCAGTACAAAAATAATGTCTTACATTTGCACAGTGCTCAGAGATTTACAAAATGCTTTCATACACTTTATCTCATTTTATCCTTCTAATAAAATAATAATGGAGGCAGAGTTTGCCTGCATCTGTCTCTCCATTTTAAAGTTGTAAAATTTGAGGTTTAATGTGTGTAAATATTTGGCCAAAGGTCACAAAGTGTGTAAGTGACATATTTGGTATCGATTTCTGGGCCTAAGTGCAGCACCATTTTTTGCTATAGCATATTTCAAGGGTTTTTTGTTTGTTTGTTTGTTTTTCTCGTTTACTTATTTTATCTATTTTAACACACTAAACTGAATACCTTCTTTGTGCTAGTAAAGTCTTGTTTTTCAGATGAATTCAGAACTCCTTTGTTTTCATTTGAAAGAAGGAGTCCATTTACTTTCCTACCAAATCAAGCTCCTGTAAGATACTGATTTGCCTCATCATCTTTTAGTAAGCTGAAAGTGGTTATTTTGGAAGTATGAATAGCTAGCTTACAGCATACTTACTCCACTTCCTTACCTACTAAAATCTTCATTTAGTTGTACATAGTGGGGGCACAAGACTATGCAGCAAATTCTGCACATTCTTGGGACATGTGTTTTAGAGTAGCTGTGAATAAATGGGGAAATCTCATGAAAGTTTTCTTGTCCTAAATTATTGAAGATTGATAAAGTGAGAGAGAGAGAGAGAGAGAGAGAGAACTTCCATGTATGCATTACCTCTTTATCCATGTTTTCTTTTTTTCTTCCTTAGTTGGGTAGTGATAAAAACTGGATGATGATATACTATGCTGAAATAGAATGTCTGGAAAGATTTGTCTGGACTAAGGATGCTGAACTGAAAATAAGAGAAGTGCTAATATTTCTTATAATCCAGGTTTTGCGCAATACTTCCCTCTATGCACCTGGTTCCCCTCCTTATTCCCCCACTCTTTTTTTCAATAATGGACCTTCTTTTCTTTGTTTGATATCTAAATGGTCTCTCTCTCTTTCTCTTTCTCTCTCTAGCAACAGCATATCATTAGTTTTACTCAAGAGTAAATTCAGGCTTCTATTCTTTCAGACCTAATGGTCCAAGGAGTCAACAAACTCATCTGGAACAAGTGCTGGATATTCCAGTACATCTCAGCTCAGCTGAGTGTTCTTGCTCTGGCTCTGTTATTGTTAACAGGGTTCATGTGGAAGTCATAAGTATCAAAAAACAAATGAAAATGCAAGAGCAGCATGAGACTCAGTGAGATGATTAAACTTTTGTATAATTGAAATTTCAGAAATGGGGAAGAGAGAGGATGAAGCAGAAGGAATATCTATGGATATAACTATGTTAAATTCTCCAAAGTAAAGATTCAGGAAGTGCAAGTGCTACCAAATTTAAGCAAATTCATGTTGTATTAAAATGGCTAAAAATCAAAGACAACGCTAAGGAAAATAAGGCATTAAGGAACCACTGGTAAGAAACAGAACTGACCTCTATCACAGAAAATTCCCCATTCCCAGAGTTGTGGGCCTTGACAACAAATGCCTGGCAGGATTGCGTAATTGTTATAAATCGGTGACTGCTATGATGCCTCTGTTGCTCTCTCTTTGGAATGTGAGAATCTGATTGAAGTTATCATCTCCCCATCTCACCAATGTATTTTGGATGTGTGGCATGAAAATAACTACTTAGTTCACAGATCCATGGCTTAAGAAGAGCCTCTCTCAAAATGCTGCCCTTGAGAAATTTCACCTAAGAAGCCTCATTTGCATCAGGACCCCATGCAGATGACTATAGCCTGGACTTCAAGCCCGATGCAGTGAGTGGATGAGATTTTGGGGGTCTTCAGAGGTGGTGAGTAAATCTGGTGTGTGGAAGAGATGTGAATCCATGGGGCCAACAGAAAGACTAGGGTAGATTTTTACAATAATGCCCCCAGTGAATCAAGCCTCCCAGTATCCAGGTGGCATAAAAAGTAGGTATCTTAGTTAGCTAGGGCTACCATAACAATATATTTTAATGTAGATGCCTTAAACAACATACATTTATTTTCTTACAGTTCTGGAGGCTGGAAATCTGAGACCAGGATGATATAGCATGGTTCTGGTGAAGGCTTGCTTCCTGGCTTGCCGATACCTACTTACTCTCTCTGTCCTCACATGGTAGAGAGATAAAAAGAGAGAGCAAGCTCTCTGGCATCTCTTCTTGTTAGGATACCGATCCCATCATGAGGGCACTGCTCTCATGGCCTCATCTGACCCCAACTATCTCCCAAAGGCTCTGTCTCTAAATACCATCCATTAGGGACTTCAACACATGAATTTGAGGGAAACAGCACTCAGTCCACAGCAGTGGGGGAAGAACAAAAAACAAGGAATCAATGCAACACATAGAAAATAGTTATAAAGACAATAGATATTAATCCTTTATATCAATAATCACTTTAAATGTGAGAGGTCTAAATATATCAACTAAAAGACAAAGATTGTCAGAATGGATTACAAAAAAAAAAGACCCAAGTAAATGTTGGCTGCAAGGAATGAATCTATGTTAAATATAAAACTCAGATAAGTTAAAAGTAAAGGAATGGAGGAATAAATACGATCCTGACACTCATCAAAAGAAAGCTGGAAGAGCCACATTAATATCACACAAAGTAAATTTCAGAACAAGAAAGATTATTAGGGATATAGAGGAGCATTACATAATGATACAGGAATCCATTCTCTAAGAAGATATAACAACGCTAAACTTTCATGAACCTGAGAACAGACTGACAAAATACATGAGGCAAAAACTAATAAAACTGCAATGAGAAAGAAAATATTCCGCCATGATAGTTGGTAATAGATCTCTAGAAGTACACATAAACTAACAAGTGATTTTCAGTTGAGAGAGGAACTGTTAATCTGGGGATAAAGACAGGAGAGTGACTTACTTTTTATTTTATGTCATTTTTTAACCTTTTCACTTCTGTATCCTTTACATCTACTTGTATTACAAATGAATACATAAAAAAGAAGGGAAAAAGTCTTTGGAATGAGACTTGAATTCAAATAACAATTCTGCCACATAATTAGTGCCTCAGTTTTCTTATCTGTGGAATATGAACTAGAGTATCACTCTTCCAAAATTGTTGTGATGATTGAGGTAGATATGTATGTCCCATGTGGATGACAGTGCCAGACCCTTGATAAGCTCTTGATAACTACTACTTTTATCTTAGGTATGATTCACATAAAATTTAACTGTGGTTGAGCAGCAAAGTTCTCTCCTAATTATTTTTTAGTGCCCTAGGTTCTCTAAATTGTATTGTGTATGTTAATTCTGTAACTTTCTGCCACTCAAGTTGGATGATTCATATGCACAGAACTCAGGAATTTATTCTCATGTCACCAACTGACACCGGTGCATTAGACACCAGAGCACGTATTATTTGTGTCATCTTAATTGTGTCATTTTAATTGACACATAATAATTACACATATTTATGGGGCACAATGTGATGTTTCAATACATGTATACATTGGTAAATGATCAAATTAGGGTAATTAACATATCCATCATCTCAAACATTTACCATTCTTTTGTGGTGAGAACATTGAAAATCCTCTCTATTCTGTTTCATTGGTTTATGTTTCTGTTTTTATGCCAGTAGTATGCATCTTTGGTTACAACAGCTTTGTAGTATATTTTGAAGTCAGGTAGTACGACACCTCCAGTTTTATTATTTTACTCAAGATGCCTTTGGCTATTTGGGGTCTTTTGTAATTCCATATGAATTTTAGAATTGTTTTCCTATTTCTGTGAAGAATGTCGTTGATATTTTGATAGGCATTGCACAGAACCTATAGATTGCTTTAAGTAGTATGACATTTTAAAAACATTAATTTTTCCAATCCATGAACATGGGATATTTTTCTATTTATGTGTCCTCCTAAATTTCTTTCATCAGTGTTTTCTGGTTTTCATTATAAAGATCTTTTACCTTCTTGGTTAAATATATTCCTAGGTTTTTTTTGTAGTTATTGTAAATGAGATTGTTTCTTGATTTCATTTTCAGATACTTTGCTATTGGTGTATACAAATGCTACTGATTTTTATAGGTTGATTTTGTATTATGCAGTTTTACTGAATTCATTATGGGTTCTAACAGCTTTTGGTGGAGTTGTTAAGAGTTTTCTATATATAAAATCATGTAATCTGCAAACAGAGACAATTTGACTTCTTCTTTTCCCATTTATTTATTTATCCTGCCTAGTTGCTCTGGCTAAGACTTCCAGTACTATGTTGAATAGAAGTGGTGAAAGTGATTGTCCTTGTTTTATTCCAGGTCTCAAAGGAAAAGCTCTCAGCTTTTTCTCATTCAGTAGGATGTTATCTGTGAGTCTGTCATATATGGCCTTTATTGCATTGGGATACATACTTTCTATACCTCATTTGTTGAGAGTTTTTTTTTTTTATCATGAACAGATGTTGAATTTTGTCAATTTTTTTCACCATCTATGGAAATGATCATAGGGTTTTTGTCCTTCTTTCTGTTAATGTGATGTATCACATTATTGAATTGCATATGTTGAACAAGTGTTGCATCCCTTGGATGAATCCCACTTGATCATAGTGAATGATCTTTTTGATATTCTATTGAATTCAATTTGCTAGTATTTTGTTGAGGATTTGTGCTTGTATGTTAATCAGGAAACTCTATAGTTTTTTTTTTTATTGTATCCTTGTCTGGTTTTGGTATGAAGGTAATACTGACCTCACAGAATAAGTTTGAAAGTATTCTCTTCAATTTTCTAGCATAGTTTGAAAATAATTTGTATTAGGTTTTCTTTAAATATTTGGTAGAATTCAGCAGTGAAGCTGTCAGGTCCCAGGCTTTTTGTTGATGAGAGACTTTTTATTACTGCTTCTATTTCCTCGTCATTATTGGTCTGTTTAGATTTCTTTCTCTTCATAATCCAATCTAGGTAAATTGTATGTGTCTAGGAATTTATATATTTCGTCTGGTTGTTCAGTTTGTTGACATATAATTATTCAAGTCTGATTTTATTTATTTGTGTCTTTCCTCTTTTTTTTTTTGGTTTAGCTAATTAATTGTTCTTTTTTGTTTTTTTGTCATTTTAGATAGAGTCTCACTCTGTCACCCAGGCTGGAGTGCAGTGGCATGATGTCTGCTCACTGCAACCTCTGCTTGCCGGGTTCAAATGATGCTTGTGCCTCAGACTCCTGAGTAGCTGGGACTGCAGGCGTGCACCACCACGCCTCACTAATTTTTGTATTTTTAGTAAAGACGGGGTTTCACCATGTTGGCCAGGCTGGTCTCGAACTCCTGACCTCAATTGATCCGCCTGCCTCAGCCTCCCAAAGTGCTGGGATTATAGGCGTGAGCCACCGTAACTGGTCAAGAATTGTTCATTTTGTTTATCTTTTCTAAAAAACGGAGTCTTTGTTAATATTTTGTATTTTTTTCTAGTGTCTATTTCATTTATTTCTGCTCTGGTCTTTATTATTTTCTTTCTTCTCCTTGTTTTTGGTTTAGTTTGTTCTTATTTTTGTACAGTTTCTTGAGTTACAACATTAAGTCGTTTATTAGAGATTTTTTTTAATGAAGCTGTTTATTGGTGTAAACTCCCTTTTATAACAGTTTCTGCTATATCCCATAGGTTTTAGTATGTTATTTTTTCCGTTTTCTTTTTTCTCAAGAAAATATTAAATTCGCCTTCTAATTTCTTCTTTAATCCATTGTTTATTTAGGAGCTTGTTTTTAAATTTCCATGTATTTGCAAAGTTTGTGAAGTTTCTCCTGTTATTGTTTCTATTTTTATATCATTTTGGTCAGAAAATACACTTGATATGATCTCTATTTCCTTAAATTTGTTAGACTTGTTTTGTAGCCTAACATATTTATCCTGGAGAATATTCCATTTGCAGTTGAGAAGAATGTGTATTCCACAGTTATTTCATGGAATGTTCTGTAAATGTCTGTTAGATTCATTTGGTCTGAAGAGCAGTCAAAATCCAATGTTTCTATGTTGATTTTCTGCCTGGATGATCTGTCCATTATTGAAAATGGGGTGTTGACATCTGCTATTTTTTTCCCACTTCCCCCCAAACACATATTGCAAGTATCACAGAAAATTGTAACAACACATGTGACACAGGCTGGTTTTCAACACATAGTGAGCCCAAGCATGAAGGGTGAGTACTGAAGATCTACAGAGGTCAGACTGGGAGCCCTGACACAGGAAGTTTGAATGTCCCAAAACAGCTTTTTCCTCCCACAGTCCAGGCTCATCACTTCTTGCTAATCTAAGGTGGCTTATCCACACACAGAAATATAGGCTGCTCCATATATGTTAATAATTGCTCAGCTGTGTTTCACGAGGGATCTCCACAAGCCAAGCCCCAGCTCAAATTCTGTACAGGAAGTTCCTGTTGCTGTCAAAGAACTCTCGCCTCCTCTGCACTACTTTGCTGCTGAAGCGACCCGGCTCCCCTGCCTTCAACTTCTCCAGCTTCTGATCACTTGGCAGCCTACCATCGTCAGTTCTTCTGGTGCTCTCAGAAGCACTGGAGTACTTGTGCAGCTCTCTCTGATGACCTAGGACTGCAGCAAGAGGCACATAGCTCTCCTTCTTCAGATTCTGGCTTCCTTTATTCCTTCCCTTCCATCTCCTTCGTACATTTGTCCTGTGAGTGTTTGACTATCACTTTCAAAGCTATGGTGTGATTCGGGTCTTTGGATGAGGCTTCATGCCCTGTCATAAGCAAAGAGCCTGAGACAGAGTGGCCTGCAGGGAGTAGCTTTGAGGTATTTCCAGAGCCCTGGAGCTACTGGAGCAAGTGGGCAACCCCAGTTTTCTTAAGGACTTTTTGATCCTGCTTCAGTTTCAGCTCCAATGTGGGTACAAACTTGCTTTTTAAAACTCTTGAGATCACATCAGTGCTGACATCAAAACCTTCAGCCAACCTGGGAACTGACCAGGACTCTGCAAATTCCTTGTGTAAATACTGGATCTACTCCATGGGTTCCCATGTCAGGGTTCTGGGCAGAGCACCAGGTGTCTCCATTTGCCTCCAAATTTTCTGGAATCGGATTGCTTTTTTCTGTCATTGCAGGGTGCTAGAGGAGAGAGCCAATGGCAGAAGCCATGTGTGGAAGCAGGATGGATGTTTGAAGAGCCTCAGGCTAAATCATGGAGCACCTAGCCCTCTTCTCTTTGATAGCAAGGGCAATCGGTCCGTATCTGCCAGCTTGGAGCTGCTCTGTAAACCCAGAAACCTAACACCTAGAATAATAACTGCCTGTAAGCATGCCGAACTCTCTAAACTGGTGATGAAATATGTCACTAGTGAAGGGACTAGTGGTCCCAGGGGAGCTGGACACCTGACACTGTGCTCTGGACATTGGGTAAGAAGAAACAAGGGCCCCTGTGCAGGTAGCAGCAGGACACCTGGAACCAAGGGGGTGTGGCCTGGGGTGCCAGGGCATGAGGCCCTGCTTCAAGCTGAGGGCCCAGGGAGGAGCCGGTACCTCTCCACCTCCTTTAGCTTCCATTCCTCTGGCTCCTAGTCAGAATTGTGTTCCAGCTCCCAGATGATAGGGCCTGGGCCTGCCACCCCGTAGATCATGAACCCACAGTGAGGAATGGCAACACAGACATTCAAGTCCAGCTAGAGACTCAGAGTAACCACCACGTCAATGCGTACTAGCCTTCAGCATCCTACAACATGGCAGCAGCCTGACATCTCCTCTTATTATTGTATTGTAGTCTCTTTAGATCTACTAATATTTGCTTTATATATTTGGGTGCACTGATGTTGGGTGCATAAATATTTATGATTGTTATATCCTCTTGCTGAACCAATTCCTTTATCATTATATAATGATGAATATTTTGTTTCTACAGTTTTGGATTTAAAGTTAATTTTATTTGATATAAGTGTAGCTTATATTCATCCCTTCACTTTCAGTCTATGTGTGGTCTTACAGGTGAGGTGAGTTCTTGTAAGCAGCATATAGTTAAGTCTTGATTTTTTGAAGAAATATTTAACCACTATATATCTTTTAATTGAATAATTTAATTCATTTATATTCAAGGTTATTATTGATTGATAAGGACTTACTCTAGCCATTTTGTTAAGTGTTTTCTGGTTGTTTCATTCTTTCTTTCTTTTTCTTTCATTCGTTCATTCATTCATTCATTTGTTCGTTCATTTATCTTTCTGGCTTGCTGGTTTTCTGCAGTGCTAAGCTTTGATTTTTTTTCTCTTTCTCACATTTATGGACTTCAGTATGTAAAACATCCTTGTATCACTGGTGTAAAACCCACTTGATCATGGTGTATTATCTTTTTGATATGCTGTTGGATGCAGTTAGCTAGCATTTAGTATTTTGCTGAGGATTTTTGCATCTATATTCATCAGGGATATTGGTCTGTAGTTTTCCTTTTTTATTGTCCTTTTCAGATTTTTGTATTAGGGCGGGACTGGCTTCATAGAATGATTTAGGGAGGGCTCTCTATTTCACTATCTTTTGGAATAGTTTCAGAAAGATTGGTACCAATGCTTTGAATATCTGGTAGAATTCAGTTATGAACCCATCTGGTCCTGGACTTTTTGTTATTGTTTGCAATTTTTTTTTATTACTGATTTAATCTCACCATTTGTTATTGGTCTGGTCAGAGTTTCTATTTCTTTCTGATTTAATTAGAAGGGTTGTATATATTTCCAGGATTTATCCATCTTCTCTAGATTTTCTACTTTGTGCATGTAAAGGTGTTTGTAGTAGCCTTGAATAATTTTTTATATTTCTGTGGTATCAGTTGTAATATATCTCATTTTGTTTCTAATTGAACTTATTTGGATCTTCTGTCTTCTTTTCTTGTTTAGTCTTGCTAGTGGTCTATCAATTTTGTTTATCTTTTCAGAGAACCAGCTTTTTCTTTCATTTTTTTTTTATTTTTTTTATTTCAATTTCACTTAGTTCTGCTCTGGTGTTTGTTATATCTTTTCTCTTGCTGGGCTTCAGTTTGGCTTGTTCTTATTTCTCTAGTTCCTTGAGGTGTGACCTTAAATGGTCTATTTGTGTTCTTTCAGACTTTGATATAGGCAGTTAATGCTGGGAACTTTCCTCTTAGCACCACTTTTGCTGTATCCCAGAAGTTTCAATAAGTTGTGTCACTCACTATTACCGTTCAGCTCAAAGAGTTTTTAAATTTCTGTCTTGATTTTATTGTTGACTCAAAGATCATTCAAGAGCAGATTATTTAATTTCCAAATATTTGTATAGTTTTGAAGATTCCCTTTGGAGTTAATTTCCACTTTTATTCCACTGTGGTGTGAGAGGACATAATGTAATTTTGATTTTCTTTTTTTTTTTTTTTTTTGAGACAGAGTTTCTCTCTGTCATCCAGGCTGGAGTGCAGTGGTGCGATCTCGGCTCACTGCAACCTCTGTCTCCTGGGTTCAAGTGATTCTCCTATCTCAGCCTCCCTGAGTAGCTGTGACTACAGGCGTGTGCCACCACCCCAGCCTAATTTTTTTTTTTTGTTTTGTATTTTTAGTAGAGATGAGGTTTTGCCATGTTGGCCAGGCTGTTCTCGAACTCTTGACCTCAGGGGATCCACCCGCCTTGGCCTCCCAAGTGCTGGGATTACAGGTGTGAGCCACCATGCCCAGCCAATTTTGATTTTCTTAAATTTATTGAGACTTGCTTTGTCACCCATCACATGGTGTATCTTGAAGGATGTTTCATATGCTGATGAAAAGAATGTATATTATGCAGTTGTAGGCTAGAATGTTCTGTAAATATCTGTTAAGTCCATTTGTTCTAGGGCAGTTTAAATTCATTGTTTCTTTGTTTACTTTTTGTCTTGATGACCTGTCTAGTGCTGTCAGTGGAGTATTGAAGTTCCCCACTATTATTGTGTTGCTGTCTATCTCATTTCTTAGGTATAGTAGTAATTGTTTTATGAATTTGAGAGCTCAAGTGTTTTTTATATATATATAAAATATCACAATTCTAAATAAATATATATATATTTATTTAGGATAAATATATATATATTTATCCTGTTGGACTAATCCTTTACCATTATATAATGTCTCTCTGTTTTTTTTTATTCTTTTTGCTTCAAGTTTGTTTTGTCTGATATACGAATAGCTACTCCTGCTTGCTTTAGGTTTCATTTGGTGGAGTATCTTTTTCCACCCCTTTACCTTAAGTTTATGTGAGCTCGTATGTGTTAGATAGTTTCTTAGAGACAGAAGATACTTGCTGGGTGGATTTTTATCCTTTCTGCCATTTGTATCTTTTAAGTGGAGTATTTAGGCCATTTACATCACTCGACATTAGTATTGAGATGTAGGGTACTGTTATAGTTATCATGTTAGTTGTTGTCTTAGTATCTTTTGTTTTGTGTGTGAGTTATTGTTCTATAGGCCTTGTAAAATTTATGCTTTAAGGAGATAATACGGTTTGGTTCTGTGTACCCACCCAAATCTCACCTTGAATTGTATTAATCCTTATGTTTCAAGGGTGGGAGCAGGTAGAGATAATTGAATCATGGGCACAGTTTCCCCCATGCTGGTCTCATGATAGTGAGTGAGTTTTCATGAGATTTGATGGTTTTATAAAGGGCTTCCCCCTTCACTTGGCAGTCATTCTCTCTCCTGCCACCCCATGAAGAGGTGCTTCCAACATTATTGTAAGTTTCCTGAGACCTCCCAAGCCATGCCTAACTGTGAGTCAATTAAACCTCTTTTCCTTATAAATAACTCAGTCTTGGGTATTTCTTCATAGCAGCTTGAGAATGCATTAATGCATTAAATTGACACTGCAGAGAGTAGGGTGCTGCTATAAGAATACCCAAAAATGTGGAAGTGACTTTGGAACTGGAAAACAGGCAGAGGTTGAAACAGTTTGGAAGGCTCGAAAGAAGACAGGAAAATGTGGGAAAGCTTGGAACTTCCTAGACACTTGGAGGGCTCAGAAGATAGAAAGATGTAGGAAAGTTTTGAACTTCCTAGAGACTTGCTAAGTGGCTTTGACCAAAACGCTGATAGTGATGTGGACAATGAAGTCCAGGCTGAGGTAGTCTCAGATGGAGATGAGGAACTTGTTGGGAACTGGAATAATGGTGATTCTTGCTACTCTTTAGCAAAGAGACTGATGGCATTTTGCCCTTGCCCTAGAGTTCTTTGGAACTTTGACCTTGAGAGAGATGATTTAGTGTATCTGGCAGAAGAAATTTCCAAGCAGCAAAGCATTCAAGAAGAAGCAGAGCATAAAAGTTTGGAAAATTTGCACCTTGATGGTGCAATAGAAGAGAAAAACCTTTTTCTTGGGCGAAATTCAAGTATGCTGCAGAAATTTGCATAAGTAATGAGGAGCCAAATGTTAATCACCAAGACAATGGGGAAAATGTTTCCACGGCATATCAGGGACTTTCACAGCAGCCCCTCCCATCACAGGCCAGGAGGCCTAGGAGATAAAAATGGTTTCATGGGATGGTCCCATGGTCCCCTGCTGTGTGCAGCCTAGGGACTTCGTGCCCTGTGTCCTAGGTGCTCCAGCCATGGCTAAAAGGGGCCAAGATACAGTTCCGGCCATGGTTTCAGAGAGTGCAAGCCCCAAACCTTGGCAGCTTCCATGTGGTATTGAGCCTGTGGGCACACAGAAGTCAAGAATTGAGGTTTGGGAATCTGCACCTAGATGTCAGAGGATGTATGGAAATTCCAGGATGTCCAGACAGAAGTTTGCTGCAGGGAAGGAGCCCTCATGGAGAACCTTTGCTAGGGCAGTGCAGAGGAAATGTAGGGTTGAAGCTCCCACACTGAAGCACTGCCTAGTGGAGCTGTGAGACGAGGGCCACCATCCTCCAGACCCCAGAATCGTAGATCCACCGACTGCTTGCACTGTGTGCTGGAAAAGTCACACTCAGTGCCAGCCCATGAAAGCAGCTGGGAGAGGGGCTGTTCCCTGCAAAGCCACAGGGGAGGAGCTTCCCAAGGCCATGGGAGCCAACCTCTTGCATCAGCATTACCTGGATGTGAGACATGGAGTCAAAGGAGATCATTTTGGAACTTTAAGCTTAGAAGACTGCCCTACTGGATTTCAGACTTGTATGGGCCTGTTGCCCCTTTGTTTTGGCTTATTTCTCCTTTTTAGAATGGGTATATTCACCCAATGTCTGTACCCCCATTTTATCAAAGAAGTAACTAACTTGCTTTTGATTTTACAGGCTAATAGACAGAAGGCACTTGCCTTGTCTCAGATGAGACTTTGGAATTGGACTTTTGAATTAAATCTGGAATGAGTTAAGACTTTGGTGTGATTTGGGGAAAAACATGATTAGTTTTGAAAACTTGCCTTGTCTCAGGTGAGACTTTGGATTGTGCACTTTTGAGTTAATGAGTTAAGAATTTGGGGGACTGTTGAAAGGGCATGATTGTGTTTTGAAATGTGAAGACATGAGATTTGGGAGGGGACGGGGTGGACTAATATGGTTTGGCTCTGTGTCCTCACCCAAATTTCACCTTGAATTCTAATAATCCCCATGCATCAAGGGTGGGACCAGGTGGAGATAATTGAATCATGGACAGTTTTCCCCATGATGTTCTTGTGATAGTGAGTGAGTTCTCACGAGATCTGATGGTTTTATAAGGGGCTTCCCCCTTCTCTCGGCCCTCATTCTCCTGCTCCCCTGTGAAGAGGTGACTTCCACCATGATTGTAAGTTTCCTGAGGCCTCCCCAGCCATGAAGAAGTGTGAGTCAATTAAATCTGTGTTCTTTATAAATTATCCATTCCCAGGTATTACTTCAGAGAAGCATGAGAATGGACTAATACAGGAAGTTCTATTTTGGTATATTTCAAGGTTTTGTTCCAAGATTTAGAACTTCTTTTAGCATTTTTTTTGTAATTCTGGGTTAGTAGTGGTGAATTCTCTCAGCCTTTGTCTGAAAAAGACTTTATCGCTGCTTCATTTATGAAGTTTTGTTCATTTATCAAAATCTTTTTTATTTGTCTTTGTCTGATTGGGTTAATTCTAAAGCCTGCCTTCAAGCTCTGAAGTTTATTCTTCTACTTGTTCTAGTTTAGTGTTGAAACTTTCCAGTGCAGTTTGTATTTCTCTAAATTTGTCTTTCATTTCCAGAAGTCGTGATTGTTTTTTCTTATAAGATCTATTTTTCTGGAGAATTTTTCATCCATATCTTGTATTGTTTTTTAAATTTCTTTAAGTTGTTTTTCACCCTTCTCTGGTATCCCCTTGAGTAGCTTAATAAACAACCTTCTGAATTATTTATCTGGCAATTCAGAGATTTCTTCTTGGTTTGGATCCATTGCTGGGGAGCTGGTATTATTTTTTGTGGGTGTTACAGAGCCCTGTTTTGTCATCTTACTGGAATTACTTTTCTGGTTTCTTCTCATTTGGGTGAACTATTTTATTAGAAAGTCTGGAACTCAAGGCCTGCTGTTCAGATTCTCTTGTCCCACAGGGTGATTCCTTGATATGGTGCTCTCCCCCTTCCCCTGGGGATGGGGCTTCCTAAGAGCCAGACTGCAATGATTGTTATTGCTCTTCTGGCTCTAGCCACCCAGTGGGGATACTGGGCTCTGGGCTGGTGCTGGGGAATGTGTGCAAAGAGTACTGTGATGTGATCTGTCTTCAGGTCTCCCAGCCATGGATACCAGCACCTGATCTAGTGGAGGTGACGTAGACTCTGTGAGAGTCCTTGGTTGTAGATATGTTTAGTGTTCTGGCTTTCTCTAATGCTGGTTATGCTAGCAGTGAATTTGTTGTGTGGACACACTCAACACCTCTGGTTGGCCAGGCATGGTGGCTCACGCCTGTAATCCCAGCACTTTGGGAGGCCGAGGCAGGTGGATCACCTGAGGTCAGGAGTTTGAGAACCCTGGCCAACGTGGCAAAACCTCGTCTCTACTAAAAATACAAAAAATAGCCAGGTGTGGTGGTGTGTGCCTGTAGTCCTACCTACTGGGGAAACAGAGGCAGGAGAATCACTTGAACCCAGTAGGTGGAGGTTGCAGTGAGTGGAGATCATGCCACTGCACTCCATCCTGGGCAACAGACCAAGAATCTGTCTCAGAAGAAAAAAAAAAACCTCTGGTTATCCAGGATGTTGCAGGCAGTGGAATTAGCTGTTGTCTTCTTCTTCCTAGGATCAGGGTTATTATGTCATGAGTTGCTATAATAACCTAAGTTGGTTAGTCTCCAGTCAGGATTTGGCACTTTCAAGAGAGCACCAGCTGCAGCCAGGACTTCTTTGTTATTATAATGTTTCTGTAAGTAGTTCCAAGATAAGGGGGCACAACAAGCCATGCAGGACCACATGCAGAAGCACCAGGTTGGTCAGGAAGCTGAGGGCACATGATGATTTTTATGTGGCCACATCACCCAATTTTATTTGTCCATTATAGGCTTCTCAGGATCCTGGCATCTTAGCTATGGATATCCCAATACCTGCCAGTCACAGCACCACAGATGTTGGGTGTCTAGGAGCAGAGAACTCAGAGCAGTGATGACAAGATATAACTATTTCTTTTTTCTTTCAGCACTTTGATTATATTGTCCTATTGTCTGCTGGCCTACAAGGTTCTGCTAAGAAATGTGCTCATAGTCTAATGGGGATTCCCTTATATCTGACTTGACACTTTTCTCTTGCTAATGTTAGAATTCTGTCTTTGTCTTTGACTTTTCAAGTTTGATCATAATGTCCCTTGGGGATGACCCGTTTGCATTGAATTTGACCATTAAACTTCCTAGGTCTGATGTCTGTATCTTTCAGAAGATTTGGGAAATTTTAAGCTATTATTTTGTTAAATAAGCTTCCTGTGCCTTTCCCTATCTCCTCCTTCCGAAAATTGCATAGTGAATATTTACTTAATCGTGTCTCATAAGATCTGTAGGCATTCTTTATTCTTTTTAATTTTTGTTTTCTCTGAATGGGTTATCTCAAAATATCTGTCTTTAAATTCAAAAATTCCTTTTTTTTTGCTTGATCCAGTCTGCTGTTGTAGGTGGTAGTTGTATTGAGTTGTATTGTTCCTTTCATTTATTGAATTCTTCAGCTCTAAGAATTCTGTTTAGTTCCTTATAATAATATCTGTCCCTTTGTTGACTGTCTCATTCAGATTATGAATTGTTTTCCTCATTTCATTTCCCGTATTCTCTTGTGTCTCATTGAATTTCCTTAAAATTATTATTTTAAACTCCCTTTCAGGCATTTCCTAAATTTTCTTTTGCTTTTTGAGGTCAGTTATCAGAGAATTATTGTGCTTCTTTGAGGGTGTTATGTTTTCTTGCTTTTTTGTTTCTTGTGTCCCTATCTTGATATCTGCACATCTGGTGAGAGAGTTGTTTCTTGCATTTTTATGGGGTAGCTTTTTTAGAGAAAGTTATTTTTTTTTCCTTGCAGATGTGTCCTAGGATGTCAGTTGAGTAGTGTGCATTGGCTTTGGTTCTAGGTAGGTGCAGAGTATGCTTATGGGGTTTCTTCAGCTGTAATCAATGCCAGTGATGCCTGTGAGTTTCTCAGTGGCCTCGGCTATAGAAGTTTGTGGTGGCAGTGGTATGGCTTTGCTGGGGCCAGGACGGTGGGCTGCTTCTCAAACGAAGGGGGTTCATTGGTTTTGCCTCAGCATCCCTGTTGTGCAGAACCACCTGTACACTGGAGAATAGGACACTACATTGGCTTGGGTGTTGGGCTTACAGCTGTTATACTGCCTAGCTTCCAATTATTGATATTGTGGCACTGTAGCCAGGTGTGTAAGCATGGTGGAATGGCAGTGCAGCCTCAGAAATGGAGGAGCACAGTGGCTACTGTCCCCCTGAACAGAATGTACTCTAGCAGTGACTTCAGTTTCAATTTGGCAGTGTGTCAGAGCAGCTTGCATCACAGTGGGGTTGATGGGTCCTGGGGGTTTGGGGTGGGTTCCTCCTCTGGAATAATGCAGCCATGTGAACTCCAGGCAGTTCCCTAAACTTGGCTCAGGGCCTTGTATTACTGCAGAATTGTCCAGTAGTAGAGACTTCAGGTATCTACAGCGGTAATGGAGTGGCAAACGGAGGGGGCCTCCTGTTTACCTTTTCCCTGCATGGAGGAGTCTTTCTTAGTTTGGAGCTGATCTCAACTAGGGAGATGAGATGGAAGAGGTGTATCATTTTCTTCCCTTCTCTATGCTACCAATCTGAGTTTCTGTTCTCCATATCATTTTCTGTACCACCTCCACCCCCGCCCATACTCCAGTGCTCTCCTTTAGACTCTAGCTGAAATGTAGTTGCTTATTTATTGTTTTGGTCCTTTTTATGAGGTGACAAGCATTAGGCACCTTTAGTCAGCCATCTTGCTGACATTACTCATCATCTTCATTTTTGACTGGGTTTAGTGCCCAGTTCACTAAGACCTTATCATCTCTGCCATCTGTTGGGCACAGCTCTTAGTAATGAATACCTACCTGCAGATCCTTACATGGGTTTTGTTTGTTTGTTTGTTTGTTTTTGCTTGCTCAAGCTTCATAGGGCAAAGTATAGAGCAAAACGGAGCAGAAGCTAAGAGTGCAGGCAGGAAATAAGAAGTAAAATAATTGGACAGATTTTCTGGTTGGCTCAAATTTTTTTTTTGAGATCAATTCCAAAATTATTTGCTTAATGGTTTAGGTATTGCAGGACAATATTTGTTTAGACGTAACATTGTAGTAGATTGAATCAATACAAAATCACTCTTAAGTCACTTCCATTTACAATGTATACGAAATATAAGAAAGGTAGCATAAGTTGGGCTGGGCATGGTGGCTCACGCCTGTAATCCCAGCACTTTGGGAGGCCAAGGCAGGTGGATCACCAGGTCAGGAGATGGAGACCATCCTGGCTAACACGGTGAAACCCCGTCTCTACTAAAAATACAAAAATTTAGCTGGGCGTGGTGGCTGGCATCCGTAGTCCCAGCTACTCAGGAGGCTGAGGCAGGAGAATGGCGTGAATCCGGGAAGTGGAGCTTGCAGTGAGTCAAGATCATGCCACTGCACTCCAGCCTGGGGACAGAGCGAGACTCCATCTCAAAAAAAAAAAAAAAAAAAAAAAAAAAAGTAGTGTAAGTTAAAACAGGTGTCATAATCATAGTCATTATTCAAAAGCACAACGCAGAATTTGACCATGAAAAGTAATTACATCACTTTGAGTAAACTTTTGAAGCTTTTTGACATTTTGAAGCTAAGAATTTATAAAAGGTTAAAGGATCAAAAATTAATTCTAAATAAAGGTTGGTTCATGCATTTTAAGGCAGGTCAGCCTTATATAAATGTACTGTGACCAGACGATGCTGCTACTGTTGTGGTATGAAATGTTTAAAAAGGAAAAATCTTTGTGCTTTGTTGATTCAGAACTATTTATGATGTGCTATCTTTTCCTGTTATCCCCTATTACTTGTGTCTTTGTATTGTCCTTGAATTCTCAAAGGTGACACCTTATTGAGGTTTATATTTGTATTTGGCAATTTTCTTCTTACTCCTACATGTCTAAAGTAACCATATTTCTAATTTTAAAAAATCATGAAGAAGTTATGCTTTCAATCGAGATGTAATAACAGGAACTGGATTTACAGTCTGGCCAAAACAAAAAAAAAGTACAAATATGAAACAATGGTTTTTTTTTTTATTTTATTATTATTATACTTTAAGTTTTAGGGTACATGTGCACAATGTGCAGGTTAGTTACATATGTATACATGTGCCATGCTGGTGTGCTGCACCCATTAACTCGTCATTTAGCATTAGGTATAACTCCTAATGCTATCCTTTCCCCCTCCCCCCACCCCACAACAGCCCCCAGAGTGTGATGTTCCCCTTCCTGTGTCCATGAGTTCTCATTGTTCAATTCCCACCTATGAGTGAGAACATGCGGTGTTTGGTTTTTTGTCCTTGTGATAGTTTACTGAGAATGATGATTTCTAATTTCATCCATGTCCCTACAAAGGACATGAACTCATCATTTTTTATGGCTGAATAGTATTCCATGGTGTATATGTGCCACATTTTCTTAATCCAGTCTATCGTTGTTGGACATTTGAGTTGGTTCCAAGTCTTTGCTATTGTGAATAGTGCCACAATAAACATACGTGTGCATGTGTCTTCATAGCAGCGTGATTTATAGTCCTTTGGGTATATACCCAGTAATGGGATGGCTGGGTCAAATGATATTTCTAGTTCTAGATCCCTGAGGAATCGCCACACTGACTTCCACAATGGTTGAACTAGTTTACAGTCCCACCAACAGTGTAAAAGTGTTCCTATTTCTCCACATCCTCTCCAGCACCTGTTGTTTCCTGATTTTTAATGATTGCCATTCGAACTGGTGTGAGATGGTATCTCATTGTGGTTTTGATTTGCATTTCTCTGATGTCCAGTGATGATGAGCATTTTTTCATGTGTCTTTTGGCTGCATACATGTCTTCTTTTGAGAAGTGTCTGTTCATATCCTTTGCCCACTTTTTGATGGGGTTGTTTGTTTTTTTCTTGTAAATTTGTTTGTGTTCATTGTAGATTCTGGATATTAGCCCTTTGTCAGAGGAGTAGGTTGCGAAAATTTTCTCCCATTCTGTAGGTTGCCTGTTCACTCTGATGGTAGTTTCTTTTGCTGTGCAGAAACAATGGTTTTCAATATATTGGACATCAGGCAATGCATCACAGTGATTACTGGGAGAGAGGAAATGAACAAGGTGTACAACATTAGAACCTTGAGTGTGTTTCCAGGTTGTGGTGTAGGGAGGGGAACCCAGTGATCTCCCTGGGTTGAGGAGACAGAGCTAACAGTCCAAGAGAATATAGTTACTAGAGTTTGCTGGACGAGAGTGCTGGATAAGACAGATCTGTACAGAGAAATAACTCTGAAGATCTGAATAAGGTATTCTTTGGTATCTTTGGATATTAGCATTGCAGAAGGAAATATAATGAACTTGAAGTTAAAGTTAAAGAGTCCTGGCCGGGCGCGGTGGCTCACGCCTGTAATCCCAGCAGTTTGGGAGGCTGAGGCGGGTGGATCACGAGGTCAGGAGATTGAGACCATCCTGGCTAACACGGTGAAACCCCGTCTCTACTAAAAATACAAAAAATTAGCCGAGCATGGTGGCGGGCGCCTGTAGTCCCAGCTACTCGGGAGGCTGAGGTAGGAGAATGGGCTGAACCCAGGAGGCGGAGCTTGCAGTGAGCAGAGATCGCGCCACTGCACTCCAGCCTGGGTGACAGAGCAAGACTCCGTCTCAAAAAAAAGAGTCCTGATCAGTGTATTCAAGTGAGCAAACTACTCAAGGTCCAGAAAATAGCTCCTTGAAAGGATTAGAGGGAATAGCATCCAGCAATTACACAGGGCTAAGAATAGTGCCAGTTTCTACCTGCCGGAATAAAAAATCTTTACTTAATAGGGCATTGAGTAAAGTACACAGGGCCTTTCCTCAGTTGTAGGAAATAGCCATAGACTGAGCACGGCTCCAGTCCTGCATAACAAATCTTAAAAGCAGGATCTGACTTACTCAAACTGTTTGCAGATAATTGTATCCTAGAACAAAAGCTGAGAATATTTATAGCAATACAAAAAATTCAGTACTCAACAAGGTAACACAATGTCTGGCATCCAATAAAAATTATCATGCATGCAAGAAGCAGAAAATCAAGATCCATAATGAAAAGAATAAGCAATTGAAACTGACCAAGAATTGACATCGAAAATAGAATAGCAGAAGAGGACATTAAACAATTATTATGGTTGTATATAATATGTTCCAAAAGTTAAGTGAATACATGTAAGATATAAAAAATGCCCAAATCAAATTTCTAGAGATGAAAACTAAAATATGTGAGTTGAAAAGTATGATGGATAAGACTGATGACAAATTAGCATTGCAGAAGAAAATATAGTGAACTTGAAGTTAAAGCAATAGAAATAATTCAAAGTAAAACACACAGAGGAAAAAGAATCAAATAACAAAGTACAGGACATTGATAAGCTGTAGAGAAATATTAAGTGATCTATGTATGCAATTAGAATCCCTGAAGAGAGAGAAAATAAAAAAACTTCGAAGAAATAATGGTCAAGATTTTTCTAAATTGATAAAAGCCATAAACGCACATATTCAAGAAATTCAATAAATCCCAAGCACAAAAATTATGAAGAAAATTGCAAGAAAGCACATTTTTATCAGATTGCTAAAACTACTGGGAAGAGAAAATCTTAAGATCAGCCAGAACAAAAAAGACACATAAGAGAAACAAAGAATGACAGAATTTTATTTTCATCAACAATGCAAGTGAGAAGACAGTGAAGCAACATTTTTATGTGTTATATAAGACAAAACATTAACCCCAAATTCCATAGTAAAAATATATTTGAAAACTTAAATGAAATAAAAATTTCATAGAATATTTTAAAAAGCTGAAAAAAATTCATCATTAGCAGGTCTGCAATACAGGAAGCATCAAAAAAAGTCCTTTAGTGAGAGGGAGAAATATATCAAATGGAAATACAGATTTACACAAAGAAACAGCAAGCACTGAAAATTATAACTGAATGAATAAGCATGTGAGATTTTTTTCCTATTGTAAAAAATCTGTTCAAAAAATAATTGGCTGTTAAAACAAAAACAATAGCAAAGTAGTGTGGAGTTTATAGCATTTGAAAATGTAAAACATATTGTAATAATAACACAAAAGCAAGGATGAGAGTTAGAGTAACATAACACTGTAACATTCTTATGCTATAACAAAGTAATATAATATAACTTGAAAATATACTGTGATAAGTTAAAGATGTATACTATAAATCCTACAGCCACTACTAAAATAAAAAATAAAGAGCTAGATCTAATAAGCCAATTGAAGATGTAATTGAATCACTTAAAACATTAAATTAATTCAGAAAGGGAAGAAAAAAAACAGATGGAATAAATATAAAACAAATATCAAAATTATAGGTTTAAATCTGACCATATCAATAATAATATTTAATGTAGATTATCTAAATACTTCAATTAAATCAGCAGTTATCAGACTGGATAACAAACCAAGACCCAGCTCTATGCTGCCTACAAAAAACACCCTTTAAAAATAAAGATACAAATAGGTAAAAAATAAATAAATGAAAGCATAGAAAACATATACCATATGAACATTAACTAAGAAAACCTGGAATGGATATATTAGTATCAGAAAAACTCTTGCTCTGAAATCTATGTATAAATATATTCATGGATAAAGAAAGTTATTTCATAATGATAAAGGATCAATTCTTTAGGAAGACTTAGAAATACAAAATGTTTTCATGCATCTAATAACAGCTTCAAAATACATGAAGCAAAACTCATAGATGGAATCTATTCAAAAAACACCAGGACTAATAAATGCTAATGGCAAGGTTACAGGATACAGGATCACTTTTAAAAAAATCAATTGTGTATACTAGCAATAAAAAAATCTGATATTACAATTTAAAATATCATTTAAAATAGCATCAAATATTTAATACCTGGAAATAAATCTGACAAAAGATGCCCTAGATCCACATACTGAAAATTGTAAAACATAGCTGAGAGAAATTCAAGAAGCCCTAAGTAAATAGGGAAACATAATATGTCTATGAGTTCAGAGGCTCAATACTGTTAAGACATTAAATCTCCCAAATTGGTTTACAGAATCAATTCAATAAAAATGCCAGAGGGGTTTTTGTTTTTGTTTTGCAGAAGTTCAGAAACTGGCATTAAAATTCATGTGAAAATGCAGAGGGTTGAGAATAGACCAAACAACCTTGAAAAAGAAGGAAGTTGTAGAATCAAAATTACCCAACTTCAAGAATCTTATAAAGCTACAGTAATTAAGACAGTGTGGTATTTGCATTAAGAGAGGGAAATAGAATAATGGAAAAGGATAGAGAACTCAAAAATAGATTCACACATGTATGAACAAAGGCTATTCAACAAAGGTGAAGTGTAAATTCAGTTGAGAAAGAATATTGTTTGCACTGAGTGATACTGAAAAAAGACCATATCCATATGCCCAAAAAATAACTTCTATTTATGTCTCATAACATATATAAAAGTTGACTCAAAACGGATTATAAAACTAAATGTAAAACTCAAACCAGGCAACTTATAAAAGTAAGCATATGAGAAAATATTTGTTACTTTGGGTTAGGCAGAAGTTGCTGAGATAATATACCAAAACTATAATTAATTTGACTTCATGTAAATTTAAAACTGCTTTTTCAAAGATACTGTTAAGAGAATGAAAAAAAAAAAAGCCACAGATTTTGAGAAAGTATTTTCAAATCTAATAAAAATCTTGTATCCATATTACACAAAGAACTCTCAAACTCAAAGTTAAGAAAATGCTATAGGGTGAATATTTGTGCACCCACTCCCAACTCATATCTTGAAATCTTAACCCCTATTGTGACGGTTTATCAATAGGTGATAAATGCTCTCATAAAAGACACTTAGGAGGGCTCCCTCACCCTTTCTGCCATGTGAGGATATAGGGAGAAGATGATTGTCTGTGAAATAGCAGCAGGCCCTCACCAGCCACTAAATCTGCTGGTGCCTTGGACTTCCCAGCCTCCAGAACTACGAGAAATAAATTTTTGTTGTTTTTTGCCACCCAGTCTATAATATTTTGTTATAGTATTCCAAATGTGTTAAGACAGAAAACAACCTAAGGTAAAAATTGGAAAAATGCTTGGAGAGACATTTCAGTAATCCAGATATAAGGATGGCAAGTAAGCACACACAAAAAAATATGTTGACCATCAGTGGTCATGAGAGAAATGCAAATAAAAATGACACTATACCATTATAAACCTTTTACAATCATTAAACTAAAAAAGACAAACTAAATTTACCAAGTGTTGGCATGTATGTGAAAGAACTAGAACTCATGCATTGCTGGTGGGAATGTAAAAAGTTGCAAACACTTTGGAAAACAATTTGGTACTTTGTTTAAAAGTTAAATAGATACAGTACTTCTCTCTTATCTTCAGTTTTGTTTCCCACAGTTCCAGGTGTCTGCAGTTAACTGTGGTCCAAAAATATTAAATGGAAAACTTTAGAAATAAACAATTCATAAGTTTTAAATCAAGAATTGCACACCATTCTGAGTAGCATGATGAAATCTTTACCACTCTGCCCTGTTCTGCCTAAGACATGAATCACCCTTTTGTCCAGTATTTGTGTGCTGTATACACTACATGCCCATCAGTCACTTAGTAGCCATCTTGGTTATGAGATCTACTGTCTTAGTATTATTTTATTATATTATTAATTATTATGGTTAATCTCTTACTGTGCCTAATTTATAAATTAAACTTTATCATAAACATGCATATATAGAATAAAACATAGTACTGTATATATAGGGTCTGATATTATACATGGTTTGAGGCATCCACTGGGGGTCTTGAAACACATCTTCCATGAATAAGGGGATCTATTATAATATATTCCCTACTATACAATCCAGTCATTCTATTCCTAGGTGTTTACCCCAAAGAAATGTAAACATATATTCACACAAAGAGTTTTGTACAAATGTTCATAGCAGCTTTATTTGTAATATTCCCAAGCTGGGAACAACAGAAATGTCCATCCAGATGTGATTAAATAAATATGCTCATGTCCCGATTGTCCAGTGGGATACTACTAATTCATAATAATGAGTAGCCTATAGATACATAGTATAACTTTCAGCTGTGTCCAACCCTTGGAATGTGAAAACTTTTTTGCTTATCTGTGGTGGCACATATCACGAAAATTATCCACAAACCTTTTTTTTTTTTTTTTTAAAACTCATCAGCTATAGTCAGTGTTGGTGTATTTTATGTGTGGCCCAAGACAATTCTCCTTCCAGTGTGGCCCAGGGAAGGCAAAAGTTTGGACACCCATGAATGAATCTCAAAATAATTATGCTGAGTGAAAGAAGCCAGAGAAATGGAGTATAAACCTTGTGATTTTATTTATTAATATATAACATTCTAGACAATGCGAATGAATCTACAGTGACCAAATTCAGATCATTGTTGCCTGATAATGGGAGATGGGTGAGTGGTATGAGGAAGAATGGGAAGGAGGGACATGAGGAACGTTTTGCGGGTGATAGATATGATCTTTATTTTGATTGTGGTGTGATTTCATAATACACCCATATATATATAATTGGGCACTTTATTTATGTCAATTTTACCTTAAGAAAGCTGTTTTTTAAAAAAAAAATACAGGAGAAAGCCAGGAAAAAAATGGAGACATACAACCTTAAAATATTTTTTCCTGATTGTTGAATTTATAAGGTTAAATACCTTAGAACATACATTTAATAATTCATTCAACAATCATTTTAAAAACTATCTGAAACTATATAATTCAAGGATATAAAAAATGTATAGTCACGATGTGCATATCCCCATCTAACTTCTATAGACATTGATAGTTATCTGACAATTCAAACTTTCTAAAACCAAATAATCTTTTTTAGGAGATAAATTTTGTTATTAGATAACATTAGTAGGGTATTACAGAAAGTATCTGCCGTGGAATCTTGGCTCAGATTCCCGCTGTCTCTGTGAACTTTAGCAAGTTACTTTACTTTCCAATATGCAAAGTGGTGCTCCACCTTGATCTTCTGGTGTCCCTTTTACTGTCTTGGTGGGCCCTTACCCTGACTTCTGTTGGCCTGCTAGTTCATTTTCACACCCAGCCCCCATCCTTACACCTCCGTGGTCCTTAGCTGATGACTGACAGTTGTGGGAGTTAGAAAGTCTTGCCTGCCATTGCAGAGGTCTCTTGCCATACGAGGTTTCATGAAGCAGGACTTTGACTGAAATCCTACGCATATCTGGCTTCTTTCTGTCCTTTTCCTTGATTCCCTCACCCTCTTCCCTATTTTGTTGGGAGTTCTTCTTTCAAAAATCGCTCGCACAAGAATCTTCATTTCAGAATCTGATTTTGGGCAGCCAGATTCAGGATAGTCCTCATAAGTAAATGGGGATGGCAAAACGTACCTTGCAAATTTGTTGCTAGAACCATGATATAAGGTCTAAAGCTACTGACACACAGGGCCTTCATTAAATAGCAAACATCCTCCACTTGCTACCTAGTGCAAGTTAGCTTAGCCTAAATACAGCGTAATAGTAAAGAGAAATATTGTCAAATAGGAAAAAATCATGAGCTTTCTAATCAGAGCCTACTTGGGCTCAAATCTCAGCCATGTCATTTGCTAGCTATGTTGCTTCATAGGTTACATCATTACTTTGTACCTCTTTTTATTCTGTAAAATGGGGATAATAACACCCAAGGTTGATAGAAGTATGTTCTGTGTTATAACTGAGACTTAGGTCTGGCATGAGTTAAGCAATATTCCCTCTTCCCTAAGTATCTATTTAAATATCCTGCTTTATCTTTGAAATGAGAAAACTTCTAGGAAATACAAATATGAAATGCAAAAACAAACAAAAACAATAAACTAAACAAACAAAACCAAAAATCCCTGAACTTTGTTCACAACCAAGATTCAGAAACAAATAATTTTTATCTGGCTTGGGGAAAGTGTGACAAACAAGACAATTTTGGTGATGTGATTTTGGAAGCCCTGAGAATTCATAAGGGGGAGAAGAAGTGTAATACAATGAATCCACTTTATTCAGCAATGGGAAGTGCTATGAGGGGACCAGTCATTCTGGACAGAGCTCAGGAAATGATTACAAAAAGTTCTGACTCAAGAGTTTCCTGAGAGTTGAAGGTGCTCTCGCACTTTGTAATACTTTAGGTTCCAACTAACTATGCTGTTCCATTCCCCAGAGCATTCCTCAGTGGAGCTGTGGTGGTTTCCATCTCAGTCCTTTCATGCTACCAGTTGACAAGAGCCATCTCAAGAGCAGAGGTGAATTGAGAGGATTCTTTTCTTTTTAACTGTGGTAAGAATACTTAGCATAAGACCTGCCCTCTTAACAAATGTTTAAGTGTGCAATACATTGTAGTTTATCAGAGGTATATGTTGTACAGGGAATCTTTAGAGCTTATTCATCTTGTTTAATGGAAACTTTAACCCTATTGATTAATAACTTCCTATTTCATCCTCCCTTCGGCCCCTGGTAACCAACATTCCACGCTTTGATTCTATGAGTCTGACCACTCTAGATACCCTATATAAATGGAATCTTACGGTATTTATCTTTCTGTGACTGGCTTATTTCACTTAGCATAATGTCCGCAAGGCTCATCCATGTTGTCCATTTTGTGGAATTTTTTTTTTTTTTTGAGACGGAGTTTCACTCTTGTTGTCCAGGCTGGAGTGCAATGGCGCAATCTCGGCTCACCACAACCTCCGCCTCCTGGGTTCAAGCTATTCTCCTGCCTCAGCCTCCCAAGTAGCTGAGATTACAGGCATGCACCACCATGCCTGGTTAATTTTGTATTTTCAGTAGAGACGGGGTTTCTCCATGTTGGTCAGGCTGGTCTCGAACTCCCGACCTCAGGTGATCCACCCACCTTGGCCTCTCAAAGCGCTGGGATTACAGGCGTGAGCCACCGCACCCAGCCAGAATTTCATTTTTTTTTAAGGTTGAATAGTATCCCATTATATGTATATGCCACATTTTCTTTATTGATTCATATTTCAATAAACACTTAGGTTGTTTCTACATCTTGGTAATTATAAATAGTGCTGCAGTGAATATGGGAGTGCAGGTATCTCATTCGGATCCTGATTTCAGTTCTTTCAGATATATACCCAGTCATGGGATTGCTGGATTGGATGGTAGTTCTATTTTTAATATTTTGAGGAACCTCCATACTGTTTTCCATAGTGGCTGCACCATTTTACATTCCTCCCAACAGGGTGCAAGGGTTCCAATTTCTCCACATTCTTACCAATACTTGTTGTCTTTTGTTTTTATGATAATAGCCATCCTTACAGGGGTGAGAGGATATATCATTGTGGTTTTGATTTGCATCTCCCTGATGAATAGTGACATTGAGCATCATTTTATATATCTGTTGTCCATTTATATATCTTTGGAGAAATGTCTATTTAAGTTTTTAAGCCCAATTTTAAATCAAGTTATTAGTTCCTTATGTATATTTTGGAGATTAATGCCTATTAGATATATAGTCTGCAAATATTTCCTCCTACTCCATAGGCTGCTTTTTTTTTTTTTTTGAGACAGAGTCTTGTATCATTCAGGCTGGGGTGCAGTGGTACACTCTTGGCTCACTGTAACCTCTGCTTCCTGGGTTCAAGCAATTGTCATGCCTCAGCCTTCCAAGAAGCTGTGTTTACAGGTGTGCACCATCACACTTGGCTAATTTTTGTATTTTTAGTAGAGACAGGGTTTTGCTATGTTGCCCAGGCTAGTCTGGAACTCCTGGCCTCAAGCAATCCACCCGCCTTGGCCTCCCAAAGTGCTGAGATTACAGACATGGGCCACTGCGCCTTGCCTAGTTTGCATTTTCATTCTGGGAAGATTCTGCTCTTCGTGGATGCAGAGGTTGGGGAGGCAGAGGCATCCAGGGCAGTGAAGAGGGCAGGCAACACTGGTGAAAGATGAAGGGAAGAAGCCAATGATAAGTGATCACTCAGTGGGTTCATGAACACATATTGTACATACTATATATTCAGCAATACATGAATGGAGGTTTTCAAGAGATTAGGAATTCTGTACTGAGCAGGTGGGACACAGAGAAACAAGACTGGATATTAACATTAATACAGCCTCATTCTTATCCATGGGCATTTGAGACCTAGGTACATTCATGTTACGTAAGAAACAAGTGAGAAAATAACTATAAAAGGCTTAGTACTAGCCTAACTATACTAGGCACTTATTTTCTTTATTGCTTGCTCTCTTATATCTTACATATATAAGAGCAAGCTATATATATGTGTGTGTGGGTATATACATATATACATACATACATATGTACATATATACATATATAGTATGTATATGTATATATACATATATACTATAGTATATAGTATATATGTATATATACATACATATATATGTATGTATATGTATATATGTATACACGTACATATATATGTACGTATATGTATACACGTACATATATATGTATATGCATACATGTACATATATATGTATATGCATACACGTACATATATATGTATATGCATACACGTACATATATATGTATACACTTATACATGTATATGTATGTATATATATGTACATATATACATATATACATATATATACACATATATATACCCACACACATATACATATATATATACACTCATAACATTCTAATTGACATTTTTAGAAGAAATAAAATGGCATGAAAGGTATTAAAGAGGCTAGAAAATAACAGGAAAAAGTGTACTCACTTCTAAATTAGATGAACATATTTTATCACATAAGCTTCATGAAGAAAAAGCCTTGTAGTAAGGTTTAATACTTGAACCTAAATTTCTTCAATAATTCATAATAGAAAAGCCTTGAAAAATATGGTATCATGCCCAGATTTATTACTTTAAAATGTGAATAAGAATATTCACTTTTTTAACCTCTCCTCCCAAATGAGCCATTTAGAAACAACGCAGCAGTCTAGAACCCAACAGTTTGCAGCCTGTATTTCACAGAGCCTTAGGGTTTCCCAAAAAAGGTATGAAAGGTGTGAAATTGTTAAAAGAAAGCATTGGTGAAAGGAGAATGATCCCTTTACACTTTTTCTGTTTTAAGTATTGTGACTCAAGGCAAGATTTCATTTGAAAAAATAATTCTGCTGTTGAAAAATAAAGAGAACAAAAAGAAGAGGAATAAAAGCCATCATTATAACAGAAAGATAATTGACTAGGAATCAAGACGTGGGATATAATCTAGCCATGTGATTTTAGGCAAATAATTTACATTTTGAATTTTGACCTGCAAAGATTAAGAGCAACATAGCTTCTTTAACACTATTAAAGGACACTAGAATGGATTAACAAGTGATGCTAGTTTCAGCTTAAAAAATAATTTGAATTTCAATTTCTTAGATATGTTCAAATGACTATAATTAGAACATCTATACCAAGTATTTGTTTTTAAAATTATGCTAATATTAATACCTTGCCTATCAATAAAAGTTACTATTTATTGAAGTATTATTTCATTTAACTGAATTCTTCCCAGAACCCTATGAGTTTCTATTATCTCCATTTTATTAATAAAGGACAATGAAGCTCTGAGATATTCAAAGACTTGCCAAAATTAATTGTTCTCCAGGCCTTTATGAGCGATGAGTCTCTCCTTTCTACCCCACAGGCAGTCTTCTTTTAGGATCATTTTGGACCAGCGGTGGAATTTATTTGTGGAATAAATACCTGAGTGTCAAGGATATTTTGGGTTTCTGTAATTTAATGAATCAGTGTATATTGGAATCAGTTTTAGTAAGAACATATACATGATGACCATACGGTCAAGATTTTCTTGAACAGACTCCATTCCAAGTGTTTTCCACCTGCTTTATTAAAGTATAATTGAGAAATAAAAAATGTATATATTTACAATGTAAAATATGATGCTTTGATATCTGTATACATTTTGAAACTATTAAATCAACCTTATTAGCAACTTTTATCTCACATACCTATTTTTTGTGATGAGAACTATTAAAATCTACTTTCTTAGCAATTTCAAGTATACAATACATTATTATGAATTATAGTGACTATACTGTACAATAGATCTTCAGAATGTATTCATCTTAACTGAGACTTTGTACTCTTTAACCAGCATCTCCCCTCTTTCCACGCCCACAACCCTTGGCAACCACCATTCTAGTCTCTGCTTCTGTAAGTTTGACATTTTTAGATTCCATATATAAGTGAGATAATGAATTGCAACTGTTTCTCCCCATTTGTTCACTAAAGGCAGAATTTCATTAAATATAACTTGCTTGGCTAGATAAGTGGGAGAGCAGAGCTGAGATTCAAACCTTCATCAGGTTCAAATAGCTATGCTGTTAATATTTGGCTTCCCAATACTTTCTTATCCAGTGAGTTTTAACGCAACTTACTATCAACATTTTAATTCCAAAATAGTAATCCATTTACAAAAATCAAACTAAAAGGATCTTAAGGCATTGAGCTTCTTCCTCTCCCTTTCAGACTTGACTTGTTTAAGTGCTGCATCATTAATCCTAACAGAGATCTTATGTCTGAGCAACTTCTAAACTATTCAGTAACTATATTAACTCATTCTCTAAATTGTGGTGTCTGGATTAATGAGGTATATTTCTATATACATAGAGTTATGTAAAATGCTGTGCATCAATAAAATACATTTATACAATTTATTAGGCTTTCTTATTCTTGGGTTGTTTGTTACTGGATAAATTACATTAAATGATGAATTTACTCTCACTATTTGAGACAATGGGAAGATGAACATCTTTGAAACATAGCTCAAAGTTATAACATTCAGTCAATCACATAGTTTATTGTTACTTTAATTTCGCTTCTGAGATGGTAAGTTATTTTTCCTGATTGTTAATCCAATATTATAGCTGGGTCTAAACTCTCACGGATCCCCTAAGCCTAAATATTTAATATATTAGGCTGGCTACAATGCAAAATGGCTGAGCTGCAGACTTCCAGCCTAAGGCTGCAGTTTAGATTTTCTTCTTTCTTTTTTTTTTTCCCTGTATATTAAACATCACAGCAGGATCCTGTTAACAATTAGTGTTTATTGGTTATGGGGTATCTGTTTTACAGTGAGAGAAAAACTCCGCACACCACTAGGTACACAGCAAAAAGACTGCTATAATGAAACATTTTATAATTGGGTTGCATTTTATAGTACCCAAAACTGACATAGGAAGAATTAGAGTTCAGACATTTACTCTCAAAATTCAGAATTGGATTAGTTACTAGTGCTACTAACATTCCCTTACCTTATTCATTTCCAAAATGATTATAAATACATATTATTATGGCAGCTGTCCTCCAAAGAGCCTAAGGCAGTTTGCACAGAGTAATTCTCTCCCTGCCTCTGGGAAAAGGGGAGGAAGCTTAACAGAAACTGCTCTCACCCTAGTTCTATTCCATAGTCTCAATGACCTAAGTAATATAATGGAAGATCTGGATTTCAAACCCCATAGGCCAATGGTTATGCATTAAATCAAACATATTACAGTATATATAATTACATGAACCTGACAGACTGAAAAGTAAGATATATTTATTAATATTATTAAATGTTTCAGGAAAGGTCGTTTTGCATGAGTGTTTAAAAGCTTGGGTTCTCTTTTCAGACTATCTGAATTTGAATTCAGGGACCAGAACAAATAGTTTTGGTAGATTAATTACAGTGAATATAGATGAGATCATGTCTCTCTCTCTCCCCTCATTTTCCCTTCATTATTCCCACTTCTCCCTGTTTCTTTATAAGGAACACTATGAAGAAACACTCTACCGTGCGTCACAGTGGAGTTGGTGCGGCATTCCAGTAAACATAAGGCCACCCAACTTCTAATTACAGCTCTGCATCCCAATCCATTGCATAATTCTGCTTCAGTACAATAAGGGGGTTGGGCTAGGCCACTAAATATTTGTTTTCTTTCAGACTACATGGGCATAAATTTAACATGGTTTTTCTTTGTTCATTCGGAACCTGTGCTACCCACTCAGCTACCTACTTAAACAGGCTCTGGAAATATTACTCACCTGCATCCCCACAGAATCCTCACATTTTTGTCTGGGAATGAATGGCAAAGAAAACACATTATTTTTGTAATTTGTGGGCGAACCCGGCTCTTCTAGTTGTAGAAAATTTTGTAATTTAAATCAAATTAAATTTAATATGTGTTAGTTTTTAAATTTAAGGAGTATGCTCCTTCCGGTGGTTAAAAAATATTGTAACTTAATTAAATGCATTCACATTCCCATCCTAGGTCTGAACAAAATTTCTAATTCTGGAACTATCTTTATACATGTATGCATATATTATTAATATCAATAGTGATACCTTTACTCTTGTTTTTTTTTCCAGCTTATGATTTGCCAAAATCTCTAGCTGTCATACCTACTTCTATTGTTTAGCTGTATCTCTTTCAGTTTTCTTTCCCCTATCTTTTATAAATAAAACATGATCCTTAAGAATGAAATATTATTAATGCTGTGTTATTAGACTGAAGGCAGCTCAATATTTCATACACATGTCTTATAATGAATGAAATACAGCCACACAGAGATGTCCACAAAGCAAGCACATAACATAGAAACATGTATTCATACTGAGGATAGAATGCTGAACAGGAATTCTAGTAGCTATATTTTGTGATTTTGTTTTCCCTTTTGCAACTAACCTGGGATAAATGATTTAATGTTGTGTCTTGATCTTCCATTTGTAGAGGAAAACCAATAGCAAACCTGTTTAAACTGCAAGATGAGAGTTGGTGCTGCACAACTTTGGCATTGGTAAATCATATTGTTAGTAAACCTGAAAACAGTCTGAATCTTGAAGCAGTTAAACTTGGGGATAATCATTTACCTTATCCAAAAGATATATCATTTATTTGTAGAACTCCACGCTATGAATGTCAGTAGACACATGTATGAAGAAATATATTGTGGACAAGTACAGGGGACAAAAGTATAGTAAATATACTATACAACAAAGCAGAAGATGATCTGTGCTTCAACACTAGCGTCAAGTTCTACAGAAATTGAAAGGTAGACGCCTCAAGGAACAATTTTACTATTTCGCTGGCAATGTAACCAGAATAACCTGAACTGGAAAATTAAAGGAGTAAATTACCAAATATCAAATACTGCAAAAAAATTAGGTAATATTGTACTTTCCTGAAGATCCTTCTTGAGATTATATGGGTCACATGTTGGATGGCCATGTACTTTATCTTTCAAAACAGGGACACTTTTGAGATTGAAAGAAGATATATTAATTACTCTGGATAACAGGTACAAACTAGGACTGTCTTGGGCAATCTGGGATGCAGTGTTAAGTTTGAAACTGAACACAGTTAGAGACATTAACATACTTGCAAGCTAACAAATTAGCCTGCTACCATATGTCTGCATATGTGCATACATGTATGTGTGTATGTACATATTTATGTGTGTGTGCATGCTTTTACACTCTAACAGAAATACAAGACCTCTAGTCAGATCTGAAAATAGATCTCTTATCTCTCTTAATAGAGCATCTTTGGTCAGTTCCCACACCCCAATTCCCCATGTGGCAATTTTGTGAGAGTCAGATATACCTGCACAGGTGGCACAAGACAGAACACCACATTGTGAAACTCAGAACTTACATAGGGCAGCTGGCATGCCTGCACATCCTCTTTGCTGGGGAGTGAAAGAAAGAGTTAGGGAGATAGAGATAGAGATAGAGATAACTTTGCTCTGGAATGTGAACCAATCCTATCTGGGGCCAGAAGGGGAAGGTGTCTACTTCATCACCTTCACCACTCTGGAATGTAAGTGAGTGACTCCCAGGAGCTAAATATCTGTGGGTCTCTGGAGGTATTGGAGGTATCTATCTTTAAGATTGCTATTCAGTTATCTGTTTTTTTGTTGAGATGGAGTTTTGCTTGTCACCCAGGCTGGAGTGCAGTGGTGCAATCTTGGCTCACTGCAGCCTCCACCTCCCGGGTTCCAGTGATTCTTCCGCCTCAGCCTCCTGGGTAGCTGGGATTACAGACACGTGCCACCATGCCTGGCTAATTTTTGTATTTTTAGTAGAGATGGGGTTTTGCCATGTTGGCCAGGCTCGTCTCGAACTCCTGACCTCAAGTGATCCGGCTGCCTCGGCCTCCAAAAGTGCTAGGATTACAGGTGTGAGCCACTGTGCCTGGCCTCAATGATCTGTTAACCCAGGTGCCAGTGCTCTTTGCTCAGAAACATTACAGTATTTATTAAACATTGTCTGCCAATTGTCACCCTAGTTGAATATCACTGGGTGCATGACTATCTTCTCAAAACCAAAGACAGTTACAGTTAATTTCATAATTTTCAGTGAAACCTAATGCTTCACTAGGTTTCTCAGATAGCATATTTGGAGCTAATTTATGTATTTATATCTGAATTGCACATCCAGAGTGAATCCAGTTGAATTCCCCACAGATTTCTGAGATGAGAAACATAGGCATTAGGTCTATTTTTGGTAGTAAACTACAGAAATCTGATTTCAGCTAGCTTAAGCCCCCGAAATAGAATTTGTTATAAGGCCATTGGGTGTCAGAAAACCTAAGGGAAAGACGAGCTGAAAGGAAGGATTCTGCCGCTCTGCATTTTTTTCCTGATGCTTCTGCCTCATTCTTCTGTCTCATTGCAGATCAGCTCCCTTTGTGTCTCTGTCTATATGGCTTAATATGTAAAATAAAGAATACTTCTGTTTCAAAAAGTCCTAACATAGCTTTTAATGCATATTTTACATATCTCTCTGTCTTAGGCTTTGTGGCAAGAAAAAAAGATTCAATCAAATTACTTTGGGCCATTCGTGTAATAACAAGGGAGGCCCTGTGGAGCTTAAAGAAGCAAGACTCATGGGTTTCCAGATAGGCAGAATCTAACACTGAGTCAGAAACTGGAACTGGGTTAACTTTTAGCCCCTAGGAACTTAGATATTGTTCATCTTTTGCGTTTAACATAATTCAGAAACACACTCTGTACTGGTGCTACCAGCCACATTACCACGGGGCCATCTTTCTGAATGTTGCCACCTGAGCACCCTGGCCTCCCTTTGTATGTTTCCAGCTTCTGGTAAGAACTGCTCAAGTCTCCTTTTAGTGGCATCTTTGGGATTTCTGTATGGCTGAGACTCAAGGGCAGGCATGAGGTTTGAAAAGGGCCTTAAAATGATGTTTTCATTATTAATAAAATTGCCTACGTTAAGGAATTGAGGTGGGGAGTGATAAAGATTATGGAGCAGGAGTGAGTCTCTTTCCCAAGCCAATGTCAGGTCTAAAAATGTACACATTTCTGAAAGAGAAAATCTGATTGGAATAGAAAGTGGCTGTCATCTCTGGGTAGAGCTTTTGCACTGCCCTCAAGTCGTGTGCTCGCTCCCTGGCCTAATCAGGAGTGTCCAGAAAGGCATGGTCACATGGCATAGCTCAGGATTATTTCCATAGGAGCTGCCTGGACCGTATTACCCCAGTTTCCTGTATCATCGCCACTGGTATTCCTTTGATTAAAGCGGAGGGAAGCTTATTTGTAAGAGCGCCAAGTCATAGACTTGAACCACAGCTCTATGGTTTGAAGGGCTGGTGACTTTAGACAAGTTATTTCCTGTCAGTGAGGCTCCATTTTCTTGTGTTTAAGATGGAGATACTGACCCCAGTTGAGAACAGTAGTGAAGACAAAATGAGACAGTGGATATAAAAGAATTGTGTGGTTGGTAAAGCCTTGTGAAAGTAAAGGGTTAACATTTGCAATGCTGTAAAACTTTCAGAAGACTTGGTTAATATTAATAATTAAATAGCCAACACTTCCTGAATGCTTCTGCTCCAAAAACTTTGTGCATATTATTTTAATTAGTCATCATAATTACTATATGGGGTACATACTATTATTGTTTCTATTTTCAGATGACAAATCTAATGTACACAGAGGTTAAGTAACTTGCCCAAGGTCACACGGCCAGTAAGTAAAGTTAGGATTTAAACCCAGATAGTCTGGCTCCAAAACCAGCACTCTGTTCTACCTAGATCTCTAAGACTCTAATGAAGTTTCATGGTAACAAACAGTATAAAAATATAAATTAATCCATAAGGTAGAAAAATCAACTTCTGTACTGTCCTAAGGAGCTAGAGATAACCTTAAGAAACTAAGATTCTTATATAAGAAGAGAGTCTAATTTATACACAGTGAATCAGGCCAAAGTTGTGTCACTTGCTGGTTTAAAAAGATTACTTCCATTTTTTTTTTTTTTGTTTTCACATTTAGATTAGGAGGCTTTCCTTATTCTGTCAGAAATACTCATAGGTGTTAGTGAACACTGTTGGGTGTGTTTCTGGATTAAAGAAGTGCTAGGCCAGCAAATTAAATCTTTTTATCTTTTGTAAAGAAAATAGCTCTATAATTGTAAACTCTTTCTGTTAAGAAACTCAGTGCCCTTCAGCCGTAAGCAATCATAGGCCCGTATAAACATTGATTTTTTTGAATTCCACAGTTTCTAATTTCCCTAGTTAATATCTTGATGTATACATATAGATTTTCTGAAAATAACACAGAAAAATTCTACTGCTCAAAACTGGTTCCATAACAATTATGCAGCTTTTTATAATTGAAAGTTTAGATAGACAGTTTTGTTCTCTTAATTTTCATTTGTTTTTGTTTTAAAAAATTAACATATATTTCATATTAATGCATAGTTATTTTTAAGTTAAGGGGTCTAAATACTTTGCATGATTCTCACTGTCCATGAACATATAGTACAAAAGTAGTAAGAAAACACTAGTGAATAGTAATTCACTAGTAGTGTTATTGTTTTAATAGTTAACAATCATCACAGGTTTACTATGTTTTAGGCACTGTTTTAAATGTTTTTGTATGTAATTATTTTAATCTGCACAGCTTTAAATCACTGGGGTGACAGAGATTACTAGTTTTCCCCCCAGTATCTGTTCTCCCCTCTTGCTATAGCGATAAAGTTTTAGCAAGGCATGTGGCATCCCTTGAAACTAGATGTGGCCATTGACTAGGTTCTGGCCAATGGGATTGTGAGTGGGAGTGATGTGGGAACTTCTGGATCATACTCCTAAAGGAAATGAGGACATATTCCCTTTTTTCTTATCCTCTTCTGCTAGCTAGAATGCAGATATCCAGGTGGCAGCTGGAATAGCCATCATGGTCCATGAGGTGGAAGCCACCTTTTGAGAGAGCAGAATAAAAAGACACAAGGAGTCAAACTCCACAGAATCATGGTGCCACCTTATCAGCCCTTGACTCCTGTATTGAAGAGAAGCAAACTTCTATTTCATGTAAGTGGCTATTACTTTTGTTCTTATTATTATACAGCCAAACCACTACCATAACTACTGAAGTGGATACCATCATCATTCTCATTTTAAAGTTGGATAAACTGAGACACACAGAACTTAAGTGATGGAGTGGCAGAGCCAGGGTTTGAACCAGAAAATCTGGCTTCAGAGTCTTCCCTCTTAACCACAGCCCTCTACTTTTTTACTTTCTCTGATCAGATACTATGCATATTTGTGTTTAATTAATTTTAACATGTGATTTTCTGCCATTTGTGACTTAGGGATGGGAGGATGAGAAGTGTTTTCTTTTTGGTGTTTTTGTTGTTGTTGTTGTTGGTTTTTTCTTTTTTTTTTTTTTTTGCCTTTCTGCATTTTCTATCAGTGAAGAGATCATGTTGAAATCAATCTGGATGTGTCAGATTCATGCAGGGAAGGATGGTGAGGCTGACAATGGAATCAGAAACAGGGAGGCACAAGCGATGATGTGCAGAAGATAGGGATGGGGAGGTAATGAAATGGAGACAGGAATGTGATTAAAGACAGCCAATTTCTGTGCAGCTGATATAGAAACCAAATAACAAGTGTGTGATAAAGAAGAAGGAGATAAAGTAAGTATTTTCATATCACTGACAGATCTGGCCCCATGTCAGGTGCAATCAAGGTTGCCTGCATCTTGCAGTTGGTCCTACTAGCTGCAGGTACCCTGGGACAACAATGATCCTGCAGCCTAAAGAAACGCATAATGTTCTCGAAACTTGAGTTTCAGTGTGACCTTCTCTACATGAATCTTTTCAGCTTTAGGCCTTCTGGGGAGGCCTCAGAACAGCATTTCCTGAAGCTTCATTTAAAGATACTGTTTCGCTCCCCTGTCTGTCCTGGCTTCTTCTCCTTCTGTCAGCTTTGTGGCAGCAAAGGCAAGGTAATGCTTGGTATTAGAAAGGTATGATGCCTAAAATTAGAAGACTCCGAAATCATTTCAAATTGACCCCTCACTTTTCATATAGGTTGACCTAAATTTCATTTCAGAACAGAGATTCTTCCTCTCACCACATAATTTTTGAGCATGTTTCTTCACTTTTCTCTATTCCATTTTCCTTAGGTGTGAACAAAAGACTTGAACTAAGTGAGTGCTGAGGGCATTTACAGGAATAGCCTTCCGTGGTTTGCCCTTCTCCATAGCTTTGAATTTCCAAACCACTGAAAAAGAAGTCATAAACCATGCATTTTCTTCAATACTTCCTTACTCTTCACTGCCTCAGTTACTTAGATAATGGGAAGTTTTGTGTGTTCATGCCTTTATCTAAGAAATCATGAAAGAGGAAGTGTATCATTAGAAAAGGTGACTTCTATTTACTTACATTGAGACTAAGGCAAAAAGACAATTCCATCTTTAGGAAAGTGGATCTGTTCCAGGGAGAACAATGAGAAGATGTATCTGGACTCCACATTTCTGCCATCTGGGCCTGCTCTCTCATTGAAAAGAGAATTTCCTAACTTCTAACTTCATAAACGTTGCTCTAGGAGAGAAGTAGTAATGACCCTCACTGACAAAGAATGCAATACAATTCAGAATATGCTTGATCCAAATCATCATCAAGTTGATAGTGCTTTACACTTGGCAAAGTGCTCTCACACTACAAGTCCCCCTGCCCAATGTGGGCAAAACACAATGAATAAAATATGATCCCCGCTCAGAAGGGGCCTATAATCCAGGGTAGAAAATAGACACACATACATTAATAATTCTAACTCAAGACATACCCCATTTCTGCATTATTAGAGGTACAAAGAAAATGCTAGCAGAACAGCAGAGGGGGAGGTTACTCCCCATAGGGCTGTAAATGAAGGTTTCTTGAAAAAGTGAGAACGTGTCAAGGCTATTGCTAATAGCAAACATAACAAGTTACTTTACCTATTTCTTTAATTTCTTTTGATTTTTACAATAACCCAAGTGAGGACGTAGAAGATGAAGAAAAAATTGGAAAATGCAGGGAATTTGTTGTCTTATGGTTACAGACAGAAGGGGTTGATGCTGCTATTCACCCCAGAGAAAACCACAGATTTGCCTGTGTGAGAAGCATCTAGATTTTAGAGCACTTCCTATAATTGGAGAGTGTGCCCGATGACTTTTGACTTGTAGGCACATAAAGTGAATTTTATGCATGCTTCAATCTATATTTTAAGTCTGACCATACCTAACTTGCTTATCAACAGTAGTCATTTTAGTATAATGAGAATATGTGATTTTTCCTTTTATTTATTTTCCAAATACAATTTAAGGGTAAGCCTTTAATAGAGATATAAAATAAATAAAAATAAATAAAAAATTAAAAAGGAATAGTGACAGAGTAAAAGCAAGAGAGTGAGACATGAAAATGTTTTTCATATATAGGTTTCTTACATTTCATTATTTTGTGAATGAATATATTGCAGTGCTTATCTTGATCCTTGAGAGTGCATATTGTTATTAGCAGACTGTCAGCTGGTGGAGAGGGTACAGATCCAGAGACTTAGAAAGCTTAGATTTTAATCCCGGTTCTCTTGCAAAAAGGAAAAAGAAAAGAAACAAAAAAATCTTTTGGTAATATGCAGTTATGTGCGTCCGCCATCTTTCTTCTTCACTACAGTTCTGTGCTTTTTTGTTATTGTTTTTTTGTTTTTGTTTTTGTTTTAGACGGAGTCTCGCTTTGTCGCCAGGCTAGAGTGCAGTGGCAACTGATGTTGGCTCACGGCAACCTCTGCCTCCCGGGTTCAAGCCATTCTCCTGCCTCAGCCTCCTGATTAGCTGGGTAGCTGGGACTACAGGCGCGCGCCACCACGCCTAGCTAATTTTTGTGTTTTTAGTAGAGATGGGGTTTCACCATGTTGGCCAGGATGCTGTCGATCTCCTGACCTCGTGATCCGCCCGCCTCGGCCTCCCAAAGTGCTGGTATTCCAGGCGTGAGACACCGCTGCCGGCCAGTTCTGTGATCTTAATAAGCCATTTAACCTCTGCCTTAGGCAGCTTATCTGTTGAGCGGTCATTTCCCTCGTCAAGTGCTTGTACAACATTGATAAACATATAATCTGATATTTATGTAAAGTAGCTATTTTTAAAAAAAAGTATGGCTCCTCCCTCGAATCGCAGCCTCTGGGACCAGGGTCGCTCCATCCGTGCTCCGCCTCGCCATGACTTCCTACAGCTATCGCCAGTCGTAGGCCAAGTAGTCCTTCTGGGGCCTGGGTGGTGGCTCCGTGAGTTTTGTGGCAGAGGTTGCCTTTCGCGCGCTCAGCATGCACTGGGCCTCTGGAGGCTGCGGCGTGTCCGTGTCCTCCGCCCGCTTCGTGTCTGTCCTCGTCCTCCTTGGGGGGCTACGGCGGCGTCTTGGCCGTGTCCTACGGGCTGCTGGCGGGCAACGAGAAGCTCAATATGCAGAACCTCAGCGACCCTCTGGCCTCCTACCTGGACAAGGTGGGCGCCCTGGAGGCAGCCAACGGCAAACTGGAGGTGAAGATCCGCGACTGGTACCAGAAGCAGGGGCCCGGGCCCTCCCGTGACTACAGCCACTCTACAAGACTATCCAGGACCTGCGGTACAAGATTCTTGGTGCCACCATTGAGAACTCCAGGATTGTCCTGGAGATCGACAACGCCCGTCTGGCTGCAGATGACTTCCGAACCAAGAGTGAGACGGAGCAGGCTCTGCGCATGAGCGCGGAGGCCGACATCAACGGCCTGCGCAGGGTGCTGGACGAGCTGACCCTGGCCATTACCGACCTGGAGATGCAGATCTAAGGCCTGAAGGAAGAGCTGGCCTACCTGAAGAAGAACCATGAGAAGGAAATCAGTGGGCTGAGGGGCCAAGTGGGAGGCCAGGTCAGTGGGGAGGTGGATTCGGCTCAGGGCACCTATCTCGCCAAGATCCTGAGTTACATGCGAAGCCAATACGAGGTCATGGCGGAGCAGAACTGGAAGGATGCTGAAGCCTGGTTCACCAGCCGGACTGAAGAATTGAACCGGGAGGTCGCTGGCCACACAGATCAGCTCCAGATGAGCCGGTCCAAGGTCGCTGACCTGCGGCGCACCCTCCAGGGTCTTGAGCTGCAGTCACGGCTGAGCATGAAAGCCGCCTTGGAAGCCACACTGGCAGAAACGGAGGCGCGCTTTGGAGTCCAGCTGGCGCAGATCCAGCCGCTGATCAACTGTATTGAAGCCCAGCTGGGCGATGTGCGAGCTGATAGTGAGCGGCAGAATCAGGATTAACAGCAGTTCATGGACATCAAGTCGCGGCTGGAGCAGGAGATCTCCACCTACCGCAGCCTGCTCGAGGGCCAGAAAGATCACTACAACAACCTGTCCGCCTCCAAGGTCCTCTGAGGCAGCAGGCTAAGGGGCTTCTACTGTCCTTTGGAGGGTGTCTCCTGGGTAGGGGGATGGGAAGGAAGGGACCCTTACCCCCTGCTCTTCCCCTGATCTGCCAATAAAATTTTATGGTCCAAGGGGAAAAAAAAAAAAAATATATATATATATATATATATATATATATATGTGTGTGTGTGTGTGTGTGTGTGTATATATACGTGTGTGTGTATATATATATATATATGAAAAACAATACATGCTCGTTGTAGAAATGTGGAAAACATGGCGAACTAATCAGAAATTCATAAATATCACCCGTGACTTTACCACCCAGGGAGATCCACGTTGCTTGCACTTTGTTGAATCTGCTTCCCGTTTGTACTTCTGTTTCTGCATTTCTCCAGGCTAAGAAAGGTGAAAGCAGGGAATCCATCTGCCTTTATCCGACTCAATGATCCTGGTCAGGCAAGGAGGCACTTAACCTTCTGTTGAGTGGATAGGAAATAAGCATGGTTTCCTTATTCTCTCTTGCTCTCTTTTTTTTTTTTTTTTTTTTTTTTTGAGATGGAGTCTTGCTCCAGGCAGTGCAGTGGCATGATCTCGGCTCACTGCAACCTCCGCCTCCTGGGTTCAGGCAATTCTCCCGCCTCAGTCTCCCGAGTAGCTGGGATTACAGGCACATCACCACACCTGGCTAGTTTTTGTATTTTTAGTAGAGATGAGGTTTCACCATGCTGGCTAGGCTGGTCTTGAACTCCTGACCTCAGGTGATCTGCCCACCTCAGCCTCCCCAAGTGCTGAGATTACAGGCGTGAACAGTTGCACCTGGCCACTTCCTTATTATCTTTTTCAAAACTCTTATTTGTGACTCAGGCTGAATTTATTCCATGCCTTAAATATAGGCCTTTATCAAAACTTGGTACCTCTTGATTTTTTTCAGGGCCTGGCTCCTGTTTACCATTTAGTCTCCCAGTTATCTTGTGAGGCTTCTAGGACAGACTTCCCCTGCCCTGGTGCATACTTGTAGAATGATAGAGTGGTAGATGTAGACAGGCCCAGGGAATCTTCTGCTCTCTTTTTTAGTTTCCAAGAGGGAAATCCAAGGCATCCAGAGGGAACTAGATCAAAGTTATAGAGAAGGTTCTCTGCGGAGCCTGGACTCACCTTGAAACTCCTATAGCCCCCAACCCCAGAACAGAACATCTAGAACCTGATGATATAGTCGATCTTGAGATATCCCTGTCCTTGTGTAGAGAAGTCAACTAGAGTTTAATTTATATCTCTACTCCAACTTATGAAGCATTTCTTGGCTGATACAAGGTCTGATTTAGATTTTTTAGGATTTTCTCCCCACTAACACTACAAAAAAGAATCCTTAGGGGTCGTCCTTATAGCTGTCACATTGGCCTCTGTTGACCTTAAGTTTTCCTCTCAGAATACCCTGAGCTGCTTCATTTGCATTATTTCAGTCTTATTTTTCTGTTTTTGGTATTACATGTTCTGTCATCTGTACACATTTTTGTGAGCATAGTCTTTAACACAGGAATAACCAGGAAAGATCTGAAGAATCCCAGTCAGCGGCCATGGTATGTAGTAATTCATGTTAGCGCCTGAAATAATTGTGTTCATTTTAATGGAATTGATATAGTTTAGGCATAAATCTGTGTTGTTTTGGTGCTCAGCTCTACAAAAAACGTCTCCCTTTAATTATAAGAAATTTTCACGTTATAAGAAATAATCCTCTGAAGTATATTTTTGGTGTGGAAAGGCAGGGAGAGTCCATCTTCCATTCATCCTGAGTCTTCTGTCAATTGCTTCCTATGAAGATGCCAGTCGCTCAGTGATCTTGATTACAGGCTTGATTCTCAAGGCCCAAGAGCGGCTGAGCACATTAAAACACACACTTTGGATGCTAAACAAACCACACAGTAATTCCGGGAGAGTTTTAGAAACATTTCTGCTTTGCAAAGGGCTTCAATCACATAATCTTCCATTTTTGTTTCTTTGTTATACATTTTTTTGTTTCTATTTTAATTTACAAATTAAAACTGTATACATTTATGGTACACAACATAAAGTTTTGAAATATGTATATATTGTGAAATGGCTAAATCAAGCTAATTAGTATATGCATTACCACACATACTTATTAATTTGTGGTGAGAATACTTAAAATCCACTCTCAGCAATTTTCAAGTACACAATACATTGTTATTAAGTATAGTCCCCATGTTGTACAATAGCAGCCTCTTCAATAAATGATGTTGGAAAACTGAATAGTACTAGGCCCTTATCTCACACTATATACAAAAATCAACTCAAAAATAAAGACTTAAATGTAAGATCCGAAACTGTAAAGCTACTAGGAAAAAAAAATATGTTTTTAAGAATTTTTGTGCAATTTGTGTGTTATTATTTTTCAATATGGTGCACTTCCATATAATACGTGCAGATCGTTAGTACTATATTCAAGTGTCAGGAAATTTTAATAAAGTAAGGAGATATATATTAAAGGCCACATATCTTCAAACACATTATGCCCTTTAAATTATTTCCTCTCAATCCTAGCAATGACCGAAATTAATCTTTGGTCATTGGGAAGAATGTGGCGGTGTCTCTTTTAGCAGCAGGCACCAGTTGCAACACGACATTGACCATGCAACATCAACTGAAGCAGCCGCCAACTCGCCAGCCAGGCGCACTGGTGGGTCTCCGGCTTCCCCATTGCACTCTGCGCGCAGCGGCGGCGTTTCAGGAACCCAGGCCGGCCGGGCGCTCCTTCCCTCCCAATTCATCCAGGACCTTGCCCTCGCGGAGCCAGTCTCCGCGCTGGCACCGCCCCACTGTAGCTTTCCAGCTGAGCTTTTTAGCCTCTGGTCCCCGCGCAGCGAAATGCGCTTGGGGAAGGGAGCAAGTGGTGGTGGCGGCGGCGGCAACCTAAGAGGCAGAAGGGAAGAAACGTGCAAGGCCTGCGAGAGTTCCCCATGGAAGGAATTCCATTTTGTGCCTGTAGACCGTGGGAAGCTGGGGTCTCCCAGGGTGGAACTGCGGGGCGCTGTCCTCCCCAAAACGCAGAGGACAGGCAGCACCAGTTGCAGAAGGTACCGCGGGCCCATTTCCCACTCGCCACCAGAGTTCAGTTCGGCAGAATTCTAACCCCACTTCCAAGAACCCACCATTGGCCCCTCTGGTTGATTATGATGATTCACTAATTTTCTGTTTAAACCCTGCAGCATTTTCCCAATGTCGGCACTTCTAAATAATTTATCCCCCCCTGGACCGTTATGGAACCTCCATGACCGACCTACCTCTCAGCCCCTTATTTATAGCGTCCTAAAATACAAGGTGTTTTAAAATCCTCAAAAACATGACTGGCTCTTTGAATGCATTTGGGGCAGCCGCTTTCTGGTATTGGTGTGTTAGACTTCTGTCAAAAATACAATTACAATGCAGTTTAAAAATATTGGTTTTTAGCCTTTTTCCCCTCTAGTAATGTACAGCATGAATCACACTAGGAGCATAGTCTGGAATTTTAACCTTATTAATTAACATAATTTCCTCATCACTTCTGTGAGTCACGATCATATGAAAACTGCTGAGAGTTAGAAATAAGGTACAATGCAACACACCTTTTCTAAATGGAGATCCCAACGTCCTCCTCCCCACCCATTACAATTTATCTGGGGATTAATAGGTAAGAGTTTAAAACCTTGTAACTATTAGCGATGGGAGCAACTCGTGAAAAAAGTTGCTAATTTGATTTGGTTCGGCGCTTTATCAATTCAACTAATTTGAAAAATAATGTTAAACATAATGCTGAAATGTAAGTAATGCCTTTTGCTGCCAGGGAGCAAAATCTAAGTGGGGTGTGGTTAGAGATGAAAATACAGACAATAGAAGATTGTGGGTCAGGGTAAGATATTGAAAGAAAGGACCTGGAGTTTCCAGTTCCCCTCCCTCTCCCGGAATAGAAGTTCAGCTGAAGGTGTCCAGTTGTCTGCCCATCTTAGCAGGTGACATTTGGGGAAGCCCCCTTCCAGGGGCTGTGAGATTCCAAGGCACCTCCTGCCAGGGTTGCTTCCACCTAACAGTCTTTTCACTGTTCAATGCCCCTTGTTACTTCTCTTGCTGACCATAGGGCTTGGCCCATCTTCTTAGGCTTCCCGGAGCAGAAAAGGCAAGAATGTTCCAACTTCTCCTGTCCTGTCTCCAAACAACTGTCCCAATCTTCTAAATATTTTGAAGATTTCCAACTCCATCATATAAATATAGAAATTGGAACAATTCTACATCCAACTACATCCTTGGGTTTGAATTCTGGCCCTGTCACTTATAGCTGTGAAAGTTTGGACAAGCTATGAAATCATTTCAAACCTATTTTCTACATTTGTAAAATGGCAATAGTAATAATGCCTATTTCATAAGGTTGTGGTGAGAACTAAATGAGATATTACATGTAAAGCCCATGCTCATCACATGATGAGCTATCAATAAATATTATTTCTTTTATTTTGTTGTTGGCTTCACTTCCTAAAAGCTGTGTTATTTTGGGCACAGTTCATTCATCAAATGGAAGAGGGGCAGGTAATAGTAAAATCTATTGTTGGTGTTGTTGTGAAGATTACATTAATGAGTGAAAAGCATTTAGAACAAGACTGGGCTTATACTAAATGCTAAAGAATGTTAACTAACTTTATTCCATTCATTGATGTTTAGATCTAGACCCTTAATTAATGGTGGACACAGAAGGAACACAGAGTCAGTTCTCTTTTCTGTTCTGTAGGTGTTCAGTGGTGAAGAATGGAGCACATAGTCTTCCTTCAAGAAGTCCCAGACTGCTGTTCTCCTCAGTGTCCACTATCTACTTCCAACCTGCTTTCCAGGCTGCACCACTAGGTCTTGCTCTGACCTGAGGGAGGGACTAAATGGAGGTAGAGTTAGTGTTTGTTTTGGCCCTTACTTGAGGACTGGAAGACATGCAGGGGATACCTATTCCGAAGACACAGAACCATCCTAAATTTATGGGATATAGAGTGATTTGGTGTTCTTAAGGGACACTTATGCTTCCCCCTTCAGGCTGACTGGTCGTGGATATCTATTTTCTAGTCTTGATTACTTCAGTTTGAGGCTCTAGCACTTGCTAAATCACACAAGCCCTTGGGAGGATGTATGCTGTTAAGTTGTCTTCAGTCAACATTCCTCAATTCCTGCAGCCAGGATTGACTGAGCATCTAGTACGGAAGGTTGGGTATTAGAGGCCAGATATACGTTGAAGAGAGCCTATCTGGTAAGCCCCCTTTACACACATCAAAGGCATCCTTATAGCCCTTTATTGGCATTTGCTTTGCAGATTATGTAGTGGTGCAGGTACAGTGAACCTAAAGGTGCTGGGTTTTCATGAAGGAGAGAAGGCAGGCCAACCAGATAAGAGGAATGAAAGAATGGTACCCAAAAGGTCCTTCTTGACATTTTTTTCTAACTGAGTTTTCACAGCTGGATGCTTAAACACCAGGTAGGGCATGAGAGACAGGTGTCTATTCTGCCACTTATCTAAAGTTTCCTAATTGCACCAAAGCATACATCACATACACTTTCGAGAGGCAAAGCTCAGCATTTTAGTCCAACGGCCTGAGGAAACAGATACCCCTTGATCTGGAAAACGCTGTTTCTTGCTCTTAGGGCTCAATATCGCTCTCTATAGTTGTTTTGAAAATAGCATCACAATTGCTCACTTGGCATCAGGAATGGGGTGGTGATAGGGTTGATGAGAAAGAATGTGTTTCTACTATAAGTTAAAATATTTTAAAAATATTTGGATGTCAGATCTCCTTGGCTGCCAAATTCTTAGTTCAACTTTCTCTTTATTTTCACTAAAACTGAAGGCTTTTCTAAAGACAGAAGGCAGAGTACTTCCTGACATCTAGTACTAGATTTTTGCCTTATTGGCTAATGCTTTAGGGTTAAAACAGAATATATTTTGGCCATGTGGTTATCTGAGAAAAACTTTTGGTCATGTTTAGTTTGTGGAAAGAAAATTTTTTATCCCTTTTTAAGGATGATGAAGGATGGAAATGAGAACCAACTCCCTAGAAAAATCTGCAAGACGGCCTGTGAGATACAGATACTTGCCTCCTAAATGTAGGCAGACTGCTGAGTGTTTTAGATCCAGTGATTACACAATCTGTTACAACATAAATAGATATCAATTTTAAACTAAAAATGGATTTTGCTAGTGGGTCATGTGTAACAGCTCTCTCCAAATTAAAAAAAATCTGATTGTAGTTAACTATGAGAATTTTAGCAGACTAGAACTATGAAAAAGATTAAAGAATCTGTTTTCCATACAGTATATCTTTCTAAACCAAAACCAAACAGCTATATGTGCATTAATTTTCTGAATAATCCTGGGAAAGGTCTCAGTTATGCTGGTGATTATATCTGTATAGAAATGATTGAGAACCAAGACACTTTTTTCTTAAAACTATGCTTTTACTTTCATGGAAACTAACCCAGTGCACACTTAATTGGGTTGTTTGGTAGGCAAGATTTTAATCAGCACTATTGTAGGAGAGAGTCAAATTCTTGGCAGGGCCTGGAAAAGAGGGTCTGAGATCCATGGATACATCCATAAATATACTTATCAGATTTAATGTATAACACACAATATATGTGGAAATTGCACAGTCTATTTGGAAACACCAGCATTGCTAATATCCAAAGAAATGAGAGAAAGGCTTTGGCCTAAGTTCCTGGAACATTTGTGATTGCTGTTTTGAGTTACAGGAATAATTTTGCAAAAGGTAAAGGGCTTCAGAAAGACCACCTATCCCTACCCTACAGTGTTTAGTTAAATAATTCATAACTTTCAGCCACATTTAATTAATTTTCCACCTCATTACTCTTAAAAATGCTGTCTCATATTGAATAATGACTTTGTGTTTATTTGCTGAGTAGACAAATTAAGTCAGAATAAAAGTCAGAATAAGGGCTTTAAATTTGCAAATGTAGAAAACTGTTATTTAAACAATCTAAAAAGAAAATAGGAGACATAATTTATTATATAGCATTTAATTATGCTATTTAAGAATGTTCACACAAATTTAAAACAGAATTTCTTAACCTGGGTCTGTGAACTATAGACCAATTGTTAGGCCACACAAGGTCTGTGAATTACTGATATTATAAGCAGAATTTCAAATGTGTGTTCATATGTGCTCTTTATTGGATACAGATTTTCTCACTTACATGAGATTGCCAATGGTGTTCAAGAATTTTAAGAAACCCATTTAAAAACCACCAATTTAAATGAGCCATGCATGCCAAATTTTAAGTAAAAAAATATATGTAGATAATTTGTAAAAGTTGCCATAGAATTAATCTTCTTTTAAATGATAATTGAAGGATATCTGAGAGCATCTCTTCAAATAAATATTTTTCTTAAGTGATTATTACAAGCAAAGAATGCCTTATGCTTTCTTGGCGTAAGGTACTGGTTGCAACATTTAAGGCATGGACTTTGTCACACTGAGTAGTGACATTCATTTGTAAAATTGATAGCATGAAAAAATAGAACAAACTTGCTATCTCAGGGAACTGAATATTTGGATTATTGAAGAATTATATAATGTGATAAACATGGATAATTTTTTTTAGCAATTTAGTACATATCTCTCACTTTTGATAAGTACTTTAGAGTTTCCCAATCACTTTCATATCCACTATCTTGTTTGAGCGTCACAACTACCTCATCATGCATAGATTGTGGGAATCCTCTTGTTTTTTGATAAGCAAAGAGAGGTTGTTGCATGAGTTCACCACAGCTAATATGAGCCAGATTTCAATGTAGGTCTCCTGACTTCTAAAATTGTGGATTTTTAAAATGGCAACTTATTCTTTCTCTATGTGTAACAATAGAAGCTATTATTCTTTAATAACTTAGAGTAGAGGGCACTCTCAGGATCATGTGTTGATTGCTACTATGACTGTTGCTATCACTATATAGTTCAAAATAAAACTTCTCATGATTTAAGGCTTCTGATAATTTGGAGTCTAAGCATGGTGATAAACACTATCTCAGGATTGTTTTCTAATAAAAGTAATTGTTAACAAAGCTCACTTTGAAAGTGGCAAGTTTCGGACTCATTCATAGTCATATCAGTAAAATCATTACTTTTATCATATAGTTCCTGCCTTACCCACTCTAACACATATCCACATTTTGTTTATATGTAACATATAACAAGAAAAGATATTCATCTCTGCAAAAAGCAGCATAAAATAAATATGTTTATGGAATAGGGACATTAGAAAAATTTTCAGGTGATTTACATAGGCATGTTTTGTATTATAAAATTCTAAGTTTGGTTCAAAATTATTGACTGAGTGCTTAAATTATCAGGGACTGTGACAGGCTCTAGGTATACAATGGTGAATATGATGAACCTTGATAGAAGTTCTCAAGGAACTTGTATTTGATGGAGAATTGGGACTCTAAGATCCGGATTGTGTCCACTGATATTTTTTATATACAATATTTGTATAGTGAATATGTGTGAATTTGTAGAAGTCAGGATATCAGGATATTGGTAGAGACCTCTTTCTACCAATTAGTTTCATGTTGTAGATGGAAGCTACAGAGTTCATGATTGGTCTTTCTAGATGCCTGTCCTTTGTAAAGAAGAAAACTTTTCCTATTGAGGATAACAAGTTCTCTGGTATGAAGGATCTTTCAGCAGGGATTTGACAAGCTCTTGGAGAGTTGTGGAGGAAAATTCAAACATAAGTGAGCAGTCACTATAAGGAAAATTACAATTTTCCTCCAATTAGAGATCTCACGACTTCTGACAAACCCTTTGAACTTAATGCAGCCTTAGGTTTCTTCAACTTATGAAATGAATTAAATCTATTTTGTCTATCTACATTATAGGATTGTGATAGCTCTCTGAATAATTTAACAAATATATATTAATGTATAATTGCTGAAGATTAGCAATTTGCCTTGCCCATTTTTTGCTTATAGTTTTGTTTTCTAGAAAAAATCAATAATTTATATTCCTCCCCAAACTAAAAAAAGAGCCCAGATTTTTAATTTTTTGATAAAATCTCATTATTTTGGAAAAATTATTAAATATAGACTCATTGAATTTACCTTTGTTGTTGGTTTATTGACAATAATTAGAGGGAAAATAAGTCTTATTAAGTTATAATTTACATGCAATCAAATTCATGCTTTGTAAGTGACAAATGATTTTTAGTACATTTATAGAATTGTGCACCCATCTAGTTTTAGAACCTCCTACCATCCCCAAAATATCCTTCAAACACATTTGTAACCATTCCTTGTTCCTCAGCCCCAGGAAACCACTGATTTGCTTACCACTTTTATAGACTTGCTGTTACTGGAAATTTCAGATAAGTGAAATTATGCAATCTGTAGTCTTTATAGTATGACTCCCTCTACTTAGCATAACGTTTTTGAAAATCATCCATGTTATAGCATTTATAAGTGTTTCTTTCATTTTAATTCATGAACTTATTGTGTGGTATCAATATATACATTTTGTTGATACATTCACTACTTTATGGGCATTGAATTGTTTTCAGTTTTTAGCTACTATGAATAATGATGTTGTGAACATTCACATACAACCATGTGGAAGTAAGTTTTCATTTCTCTTGGGTAGATTGACACTTTGGAGTAGAATTACTGGAATTTACAGTAAGTTCATGTTTAATATTTTAAGAAATTGCCATATTATTTGTTCAAGTAGCTGTATCATTTTACATTTCCACCAGCAACTCATGAGGTTGCCAGTTTTTTCGCATCTTTGCCAACACTCAGCATTGTCAGTCTTTTTGATTATAACCATTCTAGTCGATACATAGTGGTACTTTATGTGGTTTTAATTTTCATTTTTCTAATGACTAATGATTTTGAACATCTTTTTACATGCTAATTATCCATTTGTATGTATTATTTGGCAAAATGTTGATTCAAATGTTTTGCCTTTATTTTAATTTGGTTGCTTATCTTATTATTATTGAGTTGTAGAACTTCTTTATGTATTCTGAATACAAGCTCTTTATCAGATATATAATTTGAAAATATTTTTTCCTGATCTGTGACTTGTCTTTTAATTTTCTTAACAGAGCTTTTGGAAGAGGATACTTTAATTATGATGAAGTCCAATTTATTAATTTTGGTTTTAGAGATTTGGCTTTTGGAGTTCAATGTAGTCACTCTTTGCCTAATCCCAGGTATCAAAGATTTTGCATGTTTTCTCTTTGAAGTTTTATATTTGTAGGTTTTACATTTACGTCTATGATTCATTTTGAATTAATATTTGAAAATAATGTAAGGTATTTAGAAAATTGGTCAGGAAGACACTTTAGGAGATTGGAAAATAGTGCCTTTAGCAAGTAAATGTGTAAGAAACAAACTGCCTAAATGAGCTCTTATCTTTTCTATTATAAAATGGGGACATTCTTATTACAAAAGAAGATTGGAAGGAACTTCTGATTTGCAACATTGGAGTAGTAAGGACCAGATTTACACTCTAACCTCAAACAACAACAACAAAAGGTAAAAATATACAAAACAATGTTTTTTAAGATACTGGACTTCAGGCAACAAAATATAGTGACCATTGAGAGACAGGAAAATGAGGTGAACCCTATGATTTCCCCAGTTTACTGCCTTGACAGAAATTGCAGATCTTGGGCAAGGAGGGAGAAACCAAGTGGAGCCCAGCAGATTTTCTCAACTAGGAAGAGCAAAGCAGTTAGAATTCTTAGAAGACACTCCTGGAAAACGGAAAGATACACAGGGAGAGAACTCTAGGTATTTGCAAACAGTCTCCTACAGTTTTCAGTTGAGTACTGTTTAGTGCATGAATGTGAGAAAACTATGCTAGGCCAGAAAAAGAACTATCCAAAAGGTTTAGCTGTAACAGTTCATGTGGCTCATATCAGACCCTAAATTGTGTTTGTTCACACTAGACAGACTAGACAGTCTCATAATCCACATAGCATTAGAGAATAATTAGCTCTAAACTAAATATGACCTGGTCCCACCTAACAAATATAAAAAGCAAGGCCCAAGGGGATCAAACTGTTTCCAAGTAACTTAACTGCATCACAGGAAAAAAAAAAAAAAAACCTTAAGTACTATTTATAGGAAGACAAAAATATCCAGCAACAAACAAGGTAAAATTCATGATTCTTGAGACCTAATAAATAATTACTGATCATGCCAAGAAGGAAGAAAATAGGACCTATGATGAGAAAAGAATTAATCTATCAAAATTGACCCAGAACTGATGTTAAAATTTTCATATGAGAACATTAAAACAGCTATTATAACTTTATTTCATACATTTATAAGTTAAGCAAAAACATAGACAATATAAAGAAAAAGACCCAAATCAAATGTCTAGAGAAGAAAACTACAAAATGGGAGATAAAAAATATACAGTGGGATAGCATTATGGCAGATTAAACATTGTAGAAGAAAAGATTGATGATCTGAAAGATATAGCAATATTAACCAAAATAAAACACAGACAAAAATAATAATTAAAAAAAATAATCTGAGCATCAGTGAGTTGTGGGATAACTTCAAACAAAATCCTTGAATGTGAGGAAAACAGAGAGATCAAAAGTATTTGAAGAAAAATGGCCAGAATTTTTCGAAATTTGTTGAAAACCATGAACTGACATATCCAAGAAGTTCAATCAACTTGAAACACAAGAAACAAAGACTACATCAAGGCACATCACAATCAAGTTGTTCAAAGCCAGAGATAAAGAGAAAAATCTTAAAAGCAACCAGAGAATAAAGACACACACACACACACACACACACACACACACACACACACGATATAGAGTAACAAATATAAGTTTGACATCAATATGTCATCAGAAGCAATGGAAGCAAGAAGACAGTAACACAACATTTTAAAAATACTGGAAGACAGAAAACAAAACAACATCAACAACAATAAAACTCTGGAATTCTATACCCAGAATTCACAATGGAGACAAAATAAAGTCCTCTTCAGACCTATGAAAGCTAAAATAATTCATCACCTGCAGACCCTCACTACAAGAAATGTTACATAAACTCCTTCAGGAATAAGGAAGATGGTACCAGGTAGAAATATGAGTGGGTGATCTAAAGAGAAGAGGAGCACCAGACACAGTAACTGTATTTATGTACATGAACTGTTACCACGAATCCTTTTGGATAGTTATTTTTCTGGTCAAGTGTAGTTTCCCTGCATTCATGCAATGAACAGTAGGAGACAGCTGAATACTGGAGGGGACTCTTTGCAAATATGCAGAATTTTTTTCTCTGTGTATCTTTCTGCTCTCCAGTACTCTCTTCCAAGAATTCTAACTGCCTTCTTCTCCCCAATTTAGAGAGAACTCCACTTGGTTTCTCCCTCTCTGCTCCATGATCTGGAATTTCTATCAAAGCAATACACTAGGGCAGTCACAAGCCTCACCCCATTCATTTCCTGTCTCTCAGTGGTCACTGTATTTTGTTGCCGAAAAGTCTAGTTTCTTGAAAAGCATTGTTGTATACATTTTGCCTTTTTGTTGTTGTTGTTGCTCCAGGTTAGAGGGTAAATCTTGTCCCTACTACTCCAACGTTGCAAATCATAGGTCCCTCCCAATCTTCTTTGGTAACAGGAATTTTCTCATTTTCCAATAGACAAGATAAGGGCTTATTTGAGCACATAATGTGTTCCTTACACATTTGCTTGCTAGAGATACAGTTTTCCAAGCTAGTCTCCTGAGGAGTTTTCCTGATCAATTTTCTAAAAAGTGGCAAGATATCTTTTCTTTGACCCCTATTGATCCTTTTAAGGAACACAACAATTTAATTGATAACATTCCTTTTATTATACAGTTTTCAATTAGTCTTGGCAGCTTTCTTTTTATTGCTTTTCTCCTTTATGACTGGATTGCAGTCCCAGCAGAGAAGCCCCACTCCTTTGTCAAATATGCTTCTGAAAAAAAGCTTTTTGGGGCTAACTAGCCTATAGATGGTTTCTTCCAGCTGCAATTTAAAGTGTTGATCTGAAAGGAGAGCCTAATTTATTTGATTTCTGATTTCTATGATAGTATAAGTCTCCCTAAGCACTGTAAAGAGTTAAGGTCAGCTGCAGCTAATCATCGCAGGATTTGAATTTCAAAAAAATGGAAATGGAAGGTTTTTATTGAAAGCCCTTAGATCTTTTGCTTCCTTTCCAAGACTTACAGGAACACATTTTTTTTTTTTTTTCATTCTCAGGGCAGAATGAAATCATTATTCAGTCTTGTCCTAAAGGAGTAAGACTTTAGCTAATACCCATTTAAAAATATTTCCTTTTCTTAGCATTATAGTCCTCATTGGATTTAGCGAGGATTACTGAGCTCTTGTTTTTATTTTTGTTTTTTATTTTTCCTTTTGTAAAATAGGTCAGGCTCCTCAGAGGCAAGTAATTCAATAAAATAGTTGTCTAACATGTGAAGTTTAAAAGACATCTGTTTAAGAGGACTAGACAGGGGAAAAGGGAGGAAATGACCTATATATATATTAAGGCTTCTGCATACAAATATGCCCACTCATTTTGTGGATGGAGACTTACTGGCAAATCCATTAGAGCTGCAGGGGCAGCCAGGGCTCTGAGCCAGGTTGCCTGGATTCAAGTCCTGGTTCTTGCCCTTATTAGCTGAGCAATCTTGGCCAAGTTACATATTAAATAATTTCTGTGTATTTCCATTTCCCCAGTAGTAGGTGGGGGTAGTAAAATCACCTCTTTCATAGATTTGATATGAGGATAATTCAAGTTAATATTTATAAAGCACTTAGAATAATTCTTTGTACACAAAACATACTGTATAAGTGTCATATAAAATATGCATTTTAAAATATATTTACTGGGAAATATAACCATTTGTTGACCCAAGAATCACCCCATATTTGGAACTGTCATTTATGCAAAAGTTATGAAAGTTGAGCTCTAGTAGGAAATTTAATTCAAATATCTGTAAAAGTATTTACATAGAAAAGACTATTGTTTCCTACATATAGGAGCTTATAACAGAACATTTTTAAACTCAAAAGTGTCTCTCCAGGTATTAAGCACAATGCTAGGCACTAAGAATTTAAAGATGCATAAGGCCCAACCTTCATTTAAAGAACACTGCAGTTAAACAGACAAATAATTGGATCACTTAAAAATAATATACAGGTGCAGTACCAACAATGTTTCCAAAGAGTACCGGGTAAGAGCAGCCAATCGCAGGAGTATGGGGGTGGGGGGATTGGGAAAATAGGCCAAAGAAAGCTAACTGGAGTTGTTGGGTGTAAATCAGGCCATGAGGCAGGAAAGGGTATTCCGGGCAGAGGGAGAGAATCGTCATTGTGATCCAAATAACAAAGTCAGTCATATTTTCAGCACTGCTGCAGCTCCTGATGGGTCACTAGGTTTTGGGACTAGACTCAAGCTCTGAACTTTAAGATACAATTTTATTATTTCTCGCACATCTGAGCTCAGTCTCAGTGATGACCCATAATCACTAGATTCATAAGAAGCTGATTTTCAGCCATATATCACATATGACTATACACAGAATTTGAAATCTTGCACAATAGCCAACTGACCATATGTTCACAGAGCCCCCAATTTTTAGCCTGTTTGTTGAACTCATTTAGGAAATCAAATTAGAGATCAGAATGTTGACCACTCAGCATCAAAATGGAACAAAGGTCATAGACATTCTTGGGACACATTTCCAACAACCCAGGTTAGTGGATGCTCTTCACTTTTTCAATTTGCAAATATCTCAACCTCAATGACACCTATTGCTCCTTGAGGGTTAGAAGAAGCATCCTTTTCTGGAGACAACTGAATAAAATCTGTTAACTTACTGCTTTATGGCTCTCTAGTTTTAGAATTTGTGCAGGATTATGGATTTAAGATACCATATTTCAGGCTATTATATTACAATGTGATTGACTTGGCAACAGCTTTCTCTAATACCAAATCAATAATTATGTATGTTGTTTTAAAGAAATGCTATGTATTCTCGATTGGATATGGTGGGCTCATTTCTAGACAAAAAAATAAAAAAATAAAATCCTTTCCCATTGTAAGTTAATTCTGCCATGTTGATATTCATCAACTGTTGATTTTTGTTAGATTTCAAAATTCAGAAAATTTTTCTTTATGTTATCTCTCAATTCAGAGGCTTTTTAAATTTTTAATTTACTTTTACTTTTGTAGCTGACTGCTTACTGACTAATGCATTTTTACTTCTAGGGCCAGGCAATGAAAGAACTGCTTAAATACGCATCTCTGGTATGCAGAGAGTATTAGAATTAAAGCTGAGAAATGAAAACCAAAACACTATGAGAGAGAAAGTTATTATACTTCATTTTCAAACTTCAGACATAGAAGAGAAACCCCAAATGTACTATATTTTCATTTCTTGCATTTTCTTCTTTGGTATGTCACCCAGGCCAAATTCATGCCCTGTCCTCTTCGACACCTTTAAGTCAATTTCTAACCATATAAACTCATTAAAAGTTGTTCATGTTTTTTGAAATTTTGTCTTGCATTTAATAAATCAATAAGTAATGATTTCCCAAGTTGAACATTGTAATATCTACCAAAAGGGAAAGAATCATCTGTGAAAAACATAGTCATAGTTCTTTGTCATTATGGATCTCAGATTATTACTGGGGAGACAAAATACATATATGAAAAGATATCAAATATTTTTTAAATTAAAAATCAGTATGTAAAAATTGCTTTACTAGAGAATATAATCACTCGCATTTCAAAATTTAAAAAAGTTATAATAGGGGTTTAGAGTAGTTCGGAAGCTTTAATAATTCAGGTGGGACTGGTGGTGACTCTTAAAGCATGGATAGGTTAACCAACAAGTGGCACAGATTTTAGAAAAAGACGAGCATGAGAATAAGCAGAGATAGAAATGAGTGTGTGTTTGTGTGTGTGTGTGTCTGTGTTGACGAGCAGTCTATAATAAATATCCCTATTGGGAGAAAGAATGTTCCTGTTCTGAAAGACAGGTAAATATATTTGAACATGTAAAAATAGCTATCATTTATAAAGTGCTTACAATGCTAAATGTCCTACATAAATTATCTCTCTTCATCTTTAACCAAAAATCGGTGAAGTAGATAGCACCATTTTCATCTCCATTTTACTGATGAGGAAGCTGGGGCTTAGTGCCTAAGGTCACACAGCCAAAGAATAGTGGAGCCAAGATTGGTACTTAGAAAGCTTGACTGCTGAGTCTAGGATACTTTTAAAGGAGAATCAGGCCACATATTTAATGACCTTAATTATAAGAAACATGAATTCCAACCTGACATTTTAAAGTAACAGAAGACCATTATAGTTCTGAGTGACATAAAGAAACTGACATCTAAAGATGAGTTGTCTATCAGAGGTACATAGAGTGATTTGGGATGAGCTGATGAAATCAATAGGGAGAAAGGGGTAAAAGTGAGGACAACTCAATAATAAAAATTATCACCACTTCCTTATGTCTCTGCATTGTTTGTAGTACTGACAGATGTTGGGGTATAGTAAAAAGTTGGGCAGCATAGCCTGCACTCCTCCCAGCACTACTCATTCCCCCATTGAGCTCTTTCTGAGGTAGCTGAAGGAGCTAGACTGGGCCCCATGTGTGAGGTACTTTAAGGTTTGAGTAATTTGGCCAGCTGTGGAGATATTATTTTGTGAGCCAGGAAATAAAATGAATAATACTCTAGATATCTGGATTGGGTGTAATTCATTGCTTAAGCATGCATGATACTCACCTCAAGGCTCATTAGACCTGGCTGTAATTCAGGATATGCCCTCATTTTTATTGACAGACACCATGGCCATGAATGGGTTTCCGGTATGCTAAGCATTGCAGTATGATATGATTTCTGACTTTCTCTTTTCTTCTTCTGCTTACTCCTTGGCTTTTAACTAAATTCTACTATACAATAGTCATTTTGATTGATTCGTGCTTTTAATGTTTTCAAAAATTCCAATGTGCTTTGACACTGGTAGTTCTGTAAAACAATGATGTAAGTAGAGAATTAAGTCCAAGCAGCAACAAATTTTTTCTTTTGAATTCAGCAGACAGAAATATTTTAACTTCCTAGCCTATGCAATATAGAAAAATGTTCATGTTTAAAAAAGGAAAAAATAACTGAAGTATATAGGCACTACAGTCCCTGAAATTTTCTGTAACAAAAACAACAAAATAAGAATGCTTTCATGTTGTAGATAGCCATATTTTAAAACTCAATGAGCAGTATTATTGCCAAGAGTAATTAAGTTATTCAGATTTTGACCATATGGCATATAGCTACAATAACTGTTTTAATGTCCCTTTTTACTAATTCTATCATCTATGCTACTTTTTACTTTGGAGGCTGTTTCTATTGATTATTTTTTCCTTCATTATATGGGTTGTATTTCTCACTTCTTTGTATATCTGTAATTTTTGACTGGATGACAGATGTGAATTTCATGTTGTTCAGTGCTGATATTATTTTTGTTTTCTTTTAAATATTCTTAAGCTTTCTTCTGGGTTGCAGTTAAGTTACTTGGAAACAGTTTGATCCCTAAAGTTGCTCCTTTTAAGCTTTGTTAGGTGAGACCAGAGTATTAAATTTAGGACGAAATACTCCTCACACTGGGGCAATACTCTTCCAAATACTCTACCTAATGCCTATTTTATTATGATTTTTCCCCCTATTTTGGCTGGTGGGAATATGAACTATTTCCCACCTTGTGTGAGCTCTGGAGGTTCTCCTGCTTGCTCCTTGCTACTAGTTCTCTCCCTGCTCAGGTGGCTTCCTCACACACAGGTGCTCATCCGTACCCAGCTGAAGCCCTCTACCAATATCTCTCTCTCTCTCTCTCTCTCTCTCTCTCTCTCTCTCTCTCTCTCTCTCTCCCTCTCTCTCCCTCTCTCCCTCCCTCTCCCTCTCCCTCCTCTCTCCCTCCTCTCCCTCCTCCCTCTCTCTCTCTCTCTCTCTCGTTTTTCTCTTCCTTTCTCTTTCTCTCTCACCCTCTCTGTGCAACTCTCTTGGTCATTCTCCTCTCTCTGTGCAACTCTTTCCTATCCAGTATTTTGCTCTGCAAATTCCATCCACCTTTGCCTCTGAATTCTCAACTCCGTCTCCTCAGCGCAGGAAGACCTTCAGACTCCCAGCACGGTGGCCAGGAAACACTCTGCAAGCAGTAAGTGGGGACATCCTGGGGCTCACTTAGTTTGTTTCCCATCTCTCAGAGATCTTTCTCACACTGTCTGTTTTTTGATGTCTAAAATATATTTAGACTAGTTTCTTAGTTGTCTAATGATAGTGAGTATATCTGGTCCTGGTTACCTGTCTTGATTGGGAGTGAAAGTACAGTTATTCAAATTTTTAAATATGTCAAAAAATAAAGTAAAAATTTGAAAACTTTTGGTGCTTACAGTAAATTGTTAGACTTACTTGTGCTCGAAATTCAATCTAGACTCACTTAGAAGATATCCTGCAAGCCCTGTAAGCAGAGGATCTCTTCCAAATTCTCGTTATGTCTCTTCATAGCGAAAATTGATGTTAAAATTATATCGTCCTACATATCAAATTTTTGTGAAGAGAAATGAGCCAAAAAAAGAAAAAAAAAAGAATTTCCAGAACAGCGATTGTGGAAGTCTGTTAACCACATTTGGGATCGAAACAGTGGTGATATGTATATTTATATGTATACGAAAACCTACATACTTTGTTTGGAGTGGTGTTATAACTGATTACTGACAATAAAATGTTTGAGTGCAATGGGTGTTATGATTAATTGAGTTTTTGGTTAAACTAATATTAGTTTGATGCCTCTTGTTTTATTCCTTGCATTGAAAAATTTTCTAATATTGATTATATTCCTGGTAACTAGAGAAAATTTGATGTAATTAAGCTTTTGTGAACTTAATTAAGTTTATATTTTTCATATATCTATGATTCAAGTAGTGTATCTAGGTCAAAGTGTTGAACATCAGTAATCACTTTGTAGCACTGTAGATGTGGCTAATGTGGTTTCACTGGGGCTCAATGGTCAGTATATTGATTAGATAAAAGATATTCAGCATCTAGAAAACCAGACACAGATATATTCCCACATCGGGGCTGGCATATAGTCCAGAGGAGGTTCCAGGAGAGCAAGCAGGAAAGGTCTTGGCTAGTGGGGAGGTGACAACTAAGAATCCAACAGGAAGTAATAGATGGCTTACAGGTGGGAAGGAAGGTCTGGCAGTAAATAGAACACTCCAGATCCAGGAAGACTGTAACTTTTGGAAGACCTGGATGTAGGTAACCTGGGAAAACACATGGAAATTAGAGCATTAGTCTCAGAAGAAGATGGAGTAGGGAGGGACAGGCAAGGCAGTATTCTCCAAGGAACTGGGAGAATGAGAAGAGGGGACTTAGATAAACACGAGAGTAGAAGTACTGAATGGTATTATAAAGTGACTTGATTAAAGTCGTATTTGCTACAGGGATGAGAATGTGGTTTCCCCGGCACCTTGCCTATGGCTATGGATCTGATCTGTTAAAGTGGGGTCACACCTAAACATGTAAATGACTGTAGACACCCATGTGAGAGACCTTAAAAAGAATGAGCCAGCCAGTTTGTTATAATGTTGGAGAATGTGCTGTGTGTACCATTCCTAACCCTTTAAATCAACTCCACAAAACTCCATAAACATGTGCTGAGAGTTAAAAGCTGTCAGGGCTTATCACACGGGGAATCAGTCCAAACCTCCTCTCTTTCACCTGCTTGCAATATTCCCTCATAGCAGCTCTCCTTGTGTTTCAGGACTTCAAATCCTCCAACTACATACTCTCAATTTTTCTTTTGACACTTGGTACCTTGCCCTTGATTAAGGTTTTTGCTTGGCCTGGTCTTTCTGAGCATGTTGGGCCTCCCTCCAGGGCATTGCTTTGGAAATTCACTCTCTGATCCTTTGCTGTAGACCCTGTATGCCATCAAAGACCCTGTGGCACTGATTGGTGTGTGTCCTTTAACCCCTTGATCAGTGGACAGTCTCGACCCTGAGTTCTATCCTAGCAATGACTTATTTGAATAAATACCTGAGGTAAATTTGTTCTCTTTGGTTTGGTTCAACACCCTTATATTAAATATCTATTGTGAGTCAGGGCAGTGATCTAAGTCCTGCAACTGCAAAGATCAGCCTCCACAGCTGAGGAGGTTGCAATTTAGGGTGAAGAACACACAGGTAGCAGATAATTACATTAGGGTGTGATGAGTGCTTTGAAGAAATCCACAGATGCATTTGCTAAGAAGAGGGGGCCATTTATTCAGGAGGAGAGAGACATTTAACCCAGTATGGAGAGGAAGAGGTGGTTAGAAAATAGGAATGGTTTTCCCATTTGCCTCTTTGTGTCAACAAAAAGAGCATGGGAAAATTCTAATCAAATAGTTTTACCAGATGATCATAAGAAGTCTAATAATGGATTCAAAATACAGAACCATCTACAAAATACTTTGAGTGGACAGTTTTCATCATAGTGCTCTTGGGGTGTGGTTAGAGCCTAGTTTTAGAAATTACCAATCATTTGGGGTGCTGAACATAATTTCCAGCTCTATCATTCCCAGCTGCATTCATGTCTCCAAGCCTTGGTGTGTCCTGCGCAAGTATAGATAATAGTTACTTTGCAAGTGTGTCAGTTATTAATTTATTGCCTCTCATTTCCACATGCACTCTTCAGCATATGTTCTGTGATAACAGGAGTTTTTAAAGCATTTCTAACTTAAATTGAGCACAATGCTAGGTTTTCTTAATAGAGGATGCTGGAAGGACAATGGGAAAGAAGAGGTTTCCTGCAATTTCTGGTGTGGGATGGGGAGATGAGCAGTGTGGGTGTGAGGCTATCTGGTAGAGACTGTCCCAGCCACAGGCTCAGGATGCAGTCTCTCTGTGATCTTGCAGCCTAGGCCTGACAATGCCCATTCTGCAGCTCACTTTACATGGAACCTGGAGCACTGTGCAGCTTGTATGCAGCTGCCAGGGCCCAGAGACTCACAAAACAGGTAGTCATTCCTTCTGCATTCTCTGCCACATTCCCTTCACTCTGAAGGCCTAGCCAGTGCCCAGATTCCCACTGCATATTCATGCCACCAGTTCCTGCTCACATGCCCACTACTTACACTCTGGAAGGTGGCCTGTCATTTGCCCAGCAACTCTAGACCAATTCTAGCCTGGCTAAATTATCAAACGTCTCCACTGTCTAGTGGTTGAACCACCCCTTCTCCAACAAAGTCTTACCCTCTTCCAAATTTCCTTTATTGGTTACTATCAGTCCTGGAGTACTATATAAAATTTCTTCTTATCTTTTAGTTTCTACTTTATTATAGTTTAATTATTCTTTATATTCAACTTTCCCTGTTTAACCATTATATGGTTTCTATCTCCTGACTGGACCTGGACTGCAGCAGGATTTATCATGAGGAGTACATGAAGTAACATTTGGCATAATAAACGATAACAATTATAGCTAATCTTGTTATGTCTTCCTTCTCTCCAACAAAAACCTAAAATTCGCTTGTAAAAATATGTGTGTGTGTGTTTAAGGACTTGTCTGTGGGCATGACTAAGTTCATTCAATGCTAGTTGTGCTTGTCCTTCAGTGTGCTACACTGTCACTTATTACCAGAAATGTAGATTTGAGGGCTTTAAAATGTAGATTTTAAAGGAAGCTTTAAGATCATCTAGTTCAACTCCATAGAAAGAAATTGATTAACAGTAAAGCCAAGATTCTTGCTCAACGTCACAGTGAATTCTGGGTGTACCTGTAAAAGAAGCCATCTATCTTGACAACCAGTCCAGGGTTTTCTCTATAGCTGGAATTTATTCTCTATATGAGTTTTAAAGACAGAATAATCTAGATGGCTGTATTAGTTTCCTAGGGCTGCCGTAACAAATCACTACAAACTGGTGCTTTAAAAAAATGGAAATTTATTGTCTCACAGTTTTGGAGGCCAGAAGTTCAACAACTGGCAGGGCTGTACTCCCTCAGGGGCTCTTTGCCTCTCCCAGCTTCTGGTGGCTGCCCTTATTCCTGGGCTTATGGCTATATCACTGCCTCCATCTTCACATTACCTTCTCCTTTATATACCTGTATTCTCTGCTTTGTATCATTTATAAGGATGCTTGTCATTGGATTTAGGTTTTATCTGAATAACCCAAAGTGATCTCCTTATCTCAAGATCCTTAACTTAATTACATCTGCAAAGACCCTTTCTCCAAATAAGGCAGCACACACAAGTTCTGGGGACTAAGATGCACACATACTTTTATTAGGGCCACCATTCAGCCCTGTACAATGTTCTGTGTGTTTTTTTTATTTTTCTTTCTTTTTCTTTTCTTTTCTTTTCTTTTTCTTTTTTTTTTTTAATTAAGATGGTGTCTCACTCTGTTGCCCAGGCTGGAGTGCAGTGGCGTGATCTCAGCTTACTGCAACTTCCGCCTCCTGGGTTCAAGAGATTCTCCTGCCTCAGCCTCCTGAGTAGCCACCATGCCTAGCTAATTTTTTTGTATTTTTAGCAGAGACGGGGTTGCACCATGTTGGTCAGGCTGGTCTTGAACTCCTGACCTTGTGATCCACCCGCCTCGGCCTCCCAAAGTGCTGGGATTACAGGCGTGAGCCACCGTGCCCATTCTGTTTTGTGTTTTTAAAATAGATTTAGATCTCTAAGGTCCAGGATACAGTGCTTCATTAACTCAGTTAATAAAATACAGAAATGTTTTTCCAATAGTTATTTATTCCCCGGGCATATTATTTACCAAAGTGCTTTGCTTAGGTTTTGTAATAGTAGTCATGCTATGTGAACTTAGAGTGGGAAATACTTAGTCATTTTTCTATTATGTATCATAACTAGGTGTTTCACATAGCTGACAGGCTGATCCTAATGCAAACTTATGTATGAGGAGAAGCTGGCTGTGACACACCCTTGTGTAATATCTTCCCCACACCATCAGGCAGGGGCTTTTACTAATATCTGAGGTTAAACTTTAGAGGACATACCTAAATCTCTAAGAACTTACATAAAGCATTAGAAAATCCAAGGAAAATTTTGTCCCAGTGATCACATGGACCAGTCTGTTGGCTACATTTTATAGAGGTTTAACTACAAAAGTTTCCTTCAGGGGTTCAAATATAACCCATTATTTCTATGTTAAGCTGACATGCTGTGGAAGAGTTCCTCTTATATCCTACAACTTTGCCCCTTTTTCTTTCTCTTACATCACTTTACGTTTACTCCCATTTAGGTGGAAGTGTTTTTTTTTAATATTCATTAAATTAAATGAGGTTAATTTTGAGCATAATAATAGACTCTGCTTGAGCGGAAGGAATAGGTGCTGTGGTTGTGGAAGAGGGAAGAAGACATGTTCTCACATAGGAATGTTGGTTAAAAAATATGTATTAGATTCAGGATAATTGCTAGTAATTAATTCTAGAATGTAGACAGCAGGGAATGCAGGCTCACTCACCCTCCTATTACCCAAACTGGGTAAGTCTTCATAAAATTATGCTTTGTGATAGGTCATTTCCATTTCGTACTGGTACTGGTGGTAAAAAAAAAAAAATATATGATTTCTAAAAAATGTATTGGTGACTATCTTTTCTCTCACATATGTTTGTCTTTATTATTTTGGGATATGCTAGGAGTGATAACTTTTTCTAAACCAAGTTTAGGATCTTAAGATACAAATTAAGTTAGATTGGCTGAAAGCTAAATTCAGATGATTATATTTGCCAAACTTAATGTCAAAACACAAGTTGTTTCTTCTTTTCTTGCAGCAGCTAAAAACAAAAACAAAAGCTAAACTCTGCCTTCTAAAAAATGGAATTCCCTACAGAGAAGATTCCCTACATGTTTTTCTTTCTGACATTTAGATGACATTGAGTATCACTGATTCTTCTTACACATGTTTTCTATCAAGAAAAACTCAGAATTTCCTTCATAAAGGACAAAGCCATGAGTATTCTTGATACACAAATGCTTTAGAATCTGCTTGCTTTCTCTTTAAAGTGCTCTCTATTTCAAAGTTCTTATAATTCTTTTGACTTCAGGTAGAAAATCTCAATCAGGATGTTCTCTTTAACATTTGCAAATATCCTTTTCTGCAGGAAGACAATAGCAGTGGCATGGTCAGAGATTGCGGGGTGAACCTCGCAGCATATCAGAGAGTAGCCACTTGTGTTTGGGAACCTGGAAAGCTTTGTCCTGTCACTTTTCACAGTGCAATTGATGAATGGATTAGCGGAATGATAAATTGATGAAATGACAATGGAAGAAAAGAAAGAAATGGGTCTGAAAATAGAGATTTTCTGGTTTGACTGAAAAATACTGTTTATGCTTTCTAATACTCTACTGTCTGCTCTTTGCCTTCTCCTTTCCCTTGCCCACTCTCCTCTCCTCTTCCATCCTGGTCGCAATCTTTCACAGCTCCTCTTCCACTGCGTGCTGGGAAAGTCTACATATTCATTCAGTCAGCAAATATTTTTTGGGTTTAATCATGTGTTCTGCACTATGTTAGATGGTGGCTATAGAGTAACGAATAAACAAGATGGTGGCTCACATGGAGCTTTTAGTCTAGCAGGGAAGTTAGATCCTGAACTAGCAGTTCTGTGTGGCACAAAGTGGAAGAGTTCTTCACCAGAGTTCCAGAGAGCTGTTCCCTGTGAGGGAAGAGCTTCAGCAAGGTAGCCCAGATTCTATATGCAGGGCTGAGAATAGGACAGAGGTTCCCAAGCCCAGTGGCCAAGTGGAGGGCAGAATGGAAGATGGGCAATAAAGGCTCTGGAAGAAAGTGAAGAGACTTTTTGTAGCCACCTAGATTGAGAAGTTTTAAGAAGACAGACAAACATCTAAACTGTTTTTTTGGAAAGCTCTCTGCATGAAACACTATGTAAAATCCCTGGGCTTTTAAGGTAATACAAATAAAGATTTTTAAAAAATATATTCTGGCTGGGTGTGGTGGCTCATGCCTGTAATCCCAGCACTTTGGGAGGCAGAGGTGGGCGAATCACAAGGTCAGGAGTTTGAGACCAGCCTGGCCAATATGGTGAAACCCCATCTCTACTAAAAATACAAAAATTAGCCGAGTATGGTGGCACATGCCTGTAACTCCCAACCTCGGGAGGCTGAGGGAGGAAAATTGCTTGAACCCAGGAGGCGGAGGTTGTAGTGAGCCGAGATTGTGCCACTGCACTCCAGCCTGGGCGACAGAGAGAGACTCCATCTCAAAAAAAAAAAAAGTTATATATATATGTTCTGCAGGGTTTCCAGAATGGGATTTGCGTTTGTTTGTTTCTAGGTAACAACCAGCACTACAGTGCTGAGAGGAGGAAAGGGGGTCGGGCTTGCCTATAGACCGTCATCTCATCAACACTCTCGCTCATTGACTCTCACTCTGACTCTCTCTCTCTCTCTCTCTCTCTCTCTCTCCCCCTCTCTCCCTCTATCTCCCTCTCTCCCTCTCTCCCTCTCTCCCTCCCTCCCTCCCTCTCCCGCTCTCTCTTCCTCTCTCCCTCTCCTTCTCTCACTCTTCTTTTTCTCTTTCCCCTACCTAGTGTTCTTAGCTGGTGCTTATTTAATTGTCAGCTGAGTTTCATCCTAAAGAAATAAACCTTTTTTCCAATAATTCCTGCAAAATTTCTACTAAAACTTTCGATTAGCCCAGCTGTGCTACATGTCCATCCCAGAAGCAATCTGGGCAGGGTATGTAAAACTTTTACATAGGCAGGGTATATAAAACTTTGAAGGGCCTCCCTAGAGTTGGAAGTTGCAATTTATTGAATTATGAAACATCCAAATAATTACTTAGTATGCACGAAATGTTTGAAAAATATTTAGGAAAGATGAATGTTAACATAAATGATGAAGAATATTTACAGCAGTACACACAATTATATAAGCTGTGTGTCATTCCCAATCTTCTATTTATAAATATTATTGCTATTCAAAACAGTAAAAGAAAAGTAAAAGGAAATAAAACGTTAATCTCTAGAGTAGATGAAATTAAGAGTGTTTTCTTTACATTTTGTTAATTTTTTACATTTAAAAATGATGCAGATTATTTTAATAACAAGAAAAAAGAAATAATAAAAGTTGCGATGACTGTTCAGATTTATAATAGCAACACTGAAGAAAATCTTGTTTTGCCCTAATATAGCATATCCCATGCTAATAAACTATAGGGATTTTTTTTTTGCTGTGGTTAATAGCTAATTGTCATTCTTCCATTGTTTTTTATTTCTTGTAACATCTTTCTACTCTTTATTGATTTAGTGGCCTTGTTCTTGGCATTTCTTTGATAATACATAAAGTATCAATTTTTTTCTCTTCTTACCTACATATCTTGACCTCTGTTGCCTTTACTTTAAGCCTTTCACTTTCAAACCTGTTATTTACTTTAGAACCTGTTTCTTTCTTCTTTTTAATTTTTTTTCTATTTGGGGAAAAGAACTCTGCCCTCACATAGTAACTCAGAAATCTAGAAATACAGAATATAAACCTCAGTTACTTACTGTGTAGTTTTTTATGTTCTCAAGTAATTCCTTTAAGGTTTATGGCTGGAAGATCCTCTGGAGAGATCATAGTTCAACCCATTTATTCTTTCTTTGTCTCTTGCATTAAAAAGTGAATAAACTAAGGTTTCGAGGGGTTCAGCAATGGCTGAAAGTCAGAGAGTTAGTTAACTGCTGAGCTTTCTAGGACTCCAGATAGCTAACCCGGTATTCTTTCTTTATACGCTGCTCCTGACTTCTTTCTTCTGCAATTTCCTAACCTGTAAAATGGCGTTAAGTTTTGGCTCCCTAATAGAAAGCAGGTTATTGTACCATGAAGTTTTGGCTCCCTAATAGAAAGCAGGTTATTGTACCATGAACGCCTCTCTGCAGATGAGAGTGTTGTCATTCAATATTGTCATTCCATGTAGATACGAAAGGCAAAATCTGAAGAGACATATGTAATATCAGAACCAAATACTAGAATGTAGGTTATATTTAATGCTGTCAACAAATTTATTACTTCAAATTATTTTAATGCCAAGTGCATTGTGTAAGTGTTCCTACTCTGATTGTGCAAATTTGAATATGACAGAAGCTGAACTCATGAGCTTCCTCTACAATCCTCAAAGCTGTACCATCTAGCCTGTTGAATGAGATGAAACCCAGGTGATTTTACTTTCCTCTCTTCCTCTCTGATGCTTTTTATTCAATCCACTATACTTAATCTGTATTAGTTTTAACTTCAAATTGTCTCTTGCAACCATTCACTTTGTTGCCTCCCTCACCCCTGCCCCTTTCTCACCAATCTCAGACCTGTTATCTCTTGGAGAGGCTCCTGCAGAACCCCCCGATGTCCACCTTTCACTCACGGTGGTCTTTGAGAAATGCAAATCTGCTCACTAGATTCTCCTGCTGACAAGTTCAATGTCTTCCTTTGCTCTAATGATAAAGGGAAATACTCAGCATGACCCTCAAGACCTGCTCTGTTATCTTCAGAATCTAACTCTGCTCTTCCTCTTGCTAGCTTTCAGGCCCTGGTACTTACCGTGCTCTCCCCTCCTTCCCACCCCAAGGTTTGTGCATATGTTGTTTTCTCTACCTAGGCTACGATTCTCTCACTCTTTTCCTCTAAAGAACTCCTACTCAGTCTTCAGATATTTGCTCAATCTCTTCTTCCTCCCTCTGGGAAGGCTTCTTAGTCCATCCTGCAATGGGAAAAAAATCACTGTTAGATGCTGTTATGGCTCCTTTGTCTTTTCCTTTCCTTTTCTTTTCCACTACTGTGATTTTCCATTTATTTGTGAGCTAATTTGATTAATGTCTTATTTCCATTAGACCACTGTTTCTAGTTTTTACTCATAGCATTTAGAGGACACTCAGTAACCAATGATTAAATCAGTGAATGTGTATTTAATATTCTGCAAGTGTTACATTTATAACAGAGAGGCAGCCTATACATTTTCCTGCTGCATCTTGTTTAGGAAGGGGGCTGGTTTCCATAAAAATCGGAATTTATCTTTTAGCTTTCAAGGAAACGCTGGAGAAAATCATGCAACTATGTGGGCTGTTGACCCCCAAGATATGTACTGTCCAAGCTTAACATGGATGTTCCATGACACTTAGCAATCCTTGGCACATACTTGTTCAGCACACTCTTCCATTCATTCCAACTGTTCTTCCAAATCCAAATTGTTCTCTTTAAGTTGCCTACTCTGCCTCCACAGTCTTCATCATTCTTAACTGGAGAGATCTCACCTGAGACTAGTGAATCTATCAAGACTCAAATCGCTTCCTATACACACATCTGCAACTGTGCCTGTCTTTATCCCCTTCCCTCCCATCCAAGACTAATCCATGCTCGCATGTTCTAAATCCCACGTTTTCTTGTTCCCTTTAGAGACTCACTAGACCAATTCACCAGTCTTTCTTCTGTATTTCCAACTTCCTTTCTACTGGCTCTAACCCTCCAATGTTTGTCCTTATAATCAAAAATGTTACAAACAAAACATAATCTATAAATATATCATAAATAAAACCAGAAACCTCTCTGTAAAATGTAAGAAAATTAGATGCACCTTATCCTAAAAAAATGAATGTTTGAATTTGACTAACAGTATCTATACCAGTGATGGATAATATTTTCTCTTTCATTCTGTTCTGGCAACACCGGCATCTTTGCTATTCCTTGAACACCAGAGTACATTCTCAATAGAGGGCCATTCTCCCTTTCCCTGTAACACCTTCCTCCAGATAACTTCATGGCCTCTACCTTTATTCTGGTGTCTTTTCCAGTGTCACTTCATCAGTGAGGCTTTCTATGACGAACATATATTAACCAGCCCTTCCCCAAGCCCCCATCCTCCATTTCTACTCCAGGTTCCTGATCTTCCTTATACTGCTTTATTTTGTGACCACAATATAGTATTTGTCCTAAGCTCTTCTCCTCTAAGAAGACTTGCTTTTCTAAAATAAAAAGATTCACTTTTATTTGCTAATTGATTAATATCTTCTTATCCTTTAAAACTACTTTATGTCAATCCTGGGATTTGGAAACACCCCTTTCTGCCCACACTCTGCCATCTGTCGACTAAACATTGTTTTTAGTAGTTCCTCTTGGTGTCGTCTCCTATCCGCACACTGCATCTTCCCTCCTGACTGGACATCGCTGCTTGGCTGGCTTCCTTATTTAACACTGCTCTTACATGCACCCCATCCACTCCATTGGTTTCCACAGTTCCATGCTGGTACACGTTGCTGTAGAAAGGCCCAGGAACTGTGTCTGCCAGCTTTTCCACTGCACATCAGTGCTTACCCTAAGGTGGGTGTTAAGACACTGCTCAGGGCTAGTTGATTCATCTCCATAAGTCACTTTTCTTGCAGTGACTCTCCCAACCTTTGCAATCCCCTTGAAGATTCATTTCTGCTCTGTCTCTGAAAAGGCCAATTTTGCTTTTACCTCACCACTGGATAAAGACTACCAATTCCCTGATTTATACCTTCTACACAAAACATAACACGCACATGCACACAAATTTTTAAAAACGATCCTCTGTATTTGTTCTTCTCTTTGTTGACTCTTACCTTGGTGGAAGTAGTTCCCTGCCTTGTGATTTGGTACAATATCCTTTGATCATCTCCTGTTTGTTTTATTCCAGCCTCACTCACTCTCTTATTACAATGATTCCCTTTTGCAACCTCTGAAGGGACATTGTAAAAAATAAATAACCCCCAAGCCTCAAACCAAAATCAGAACAAAATTCCATTAATTCTCTCCGTTATGGGCAGGGGGATTTTCCCAGACACAATCTGACCACGTGTCTACCTCCTTTCCTGCCCCTCACCTCAGCACATTTGAAGGCTTAGGATACATTTGAAATTCCTTCACATAATCTGTATAGTTACTCTTTCCTCAACTGTTTTAAGCTGTTCACACTTTGCTATAACTAAATACCTGAAACTGGGTAATGTATAAAGAAAAGAGGTTTAATTGGATCACTGTTCTGCAAGCTCTACAGGAAGCATGGTGCTGGCATCACTTTGGCTCCTGGGGACATCTCAGCAAATTTACAATCATGGCAAAAGACAAAGGGGGAGCAGGCATGACACATAGTGAAGCGGGAGCAAGAAAGAGAGCGGGGAGGTGCTACACTTTTAAACAACAAGCTCTCACAAGAACTCATTCACTATTGTGAGAACAGTACCATGTGGAATGGTGCTAAACCATTCATGAGAAATCCACCTCCATGATCCAACCACCTCCCACCAGGCCCCACCTCCAATATTGGAGATTACGATTCAACATGAGATTAGGGCAGGGACACACATCCAAACTATATCACCAGCTCTCTTCCTTTGACCGGTCTACACACTTTTCTCTTATTTGTGATAATCTAACTTCCCAAAAGAATAAGCTACATATTCAAAATCACTTGCCAATTCCCCCTTAATGCTTTTTTTCAGCATTCTACTGAGACTGCTCTTGAAAAGGTCACTAGTGATCCAAATAACAAGTCACAGCAAAACTAGTAGCCTGTTCTCTATCCTCGTTATCCATTCAAATGTTCGAAGATGCTCTCCAACATTTCTTCTTAAATGCCTTATTTTCTACTGACTTTCAAAGAATAAATTATTTTTTCATTATTTTCCTTCTGTCTCTGAGTTCACTTTTCTTAATGTGTTCTTTCTGGGTCATCTTTCTTTCTCCACCTCCTACAAATAGTTACTCTTCCAAAGTTATCTTTTCTATGTATTTCCCTCTCTACACACCTGACTGGATGATGACTTTATTGCCTTCCTTGTGTTCCCAGATACCTTCGCATTTGAAAGATTTTACTTAGTCAAATCAAATCTGCCTGGTGCTAGTTCTACATACAGATAGTTCTAGAAATGCATAATATATCCCCCTGATATGGTTTAGCTCTGTGTCCCCACCCAAATCTCATCTTGTAGCTTCCATAATTCCCACGTGTTCTGGGGGGGACCTGGTGGGAGATAACTGGATCATGGGGGCAGGTCTTTCCCATGCTGTTCTCATGATAGTGAATAAATCTCACAAGATCTAATGGGTTTAAAAATGGGAGTTTTTCTGCACAAGCTCTCTCTCTTTGCCTGCTGCCATCCATGTAAGATGTGATTTACTCCTCCTTGCCTTCCGTCATGATTGTGAGGCCTCCCCAGCCATGTGGAACTGTAAGTCCATTAAAACTCTTTCTTTTGTAAATTGCCCAGTCTTGGGTATGTTTTTATCCGCAGCGTGAAAATGGACTAATACACTCCTTTAGTTCATTCCAGGACTCTTTATAGAAGGAACTGAGCTTTAATAACATTTATAGCTTCTTATATGCCCATCAATGTGCATGTATATTCTACATGCTTAGTATTGTTTGAATGAAATTAATGGAGTTTGGGCAAGCCAAGGTCATGCACTAGATAGCATCATCCTATTCCAAGACCATAGCTTAAGTCAGGGGCTTCCTAGGTTTGCATTTTCTGCATCAAAGCATGTAATAATCAACAAATATGGACTAATAAATAAAATTTAATCATAGATCTTGGCAAAATAAATCAAAATTATGTATAGTCTGTAGTCAGCAGTCAAGTTTCATTAGGAATTGAGTTGAAAAAATGCTTATTATTTTTCTAATACACAAAATAGAATCCATCTATTGTTTGATCAATCAACCAGTCAAGGAAATCACAGAGTTTTTATTTTTTTGCTTTGTTTTGTTTTTCTTTAGTATTATGTTTGCCTCTTGACTGTGTTTTAGTTCTGCCCATCAATCAAGGAGCTGGGAGATATAAAATAACACTATTTTCCATAGCTACAATAAATATGTGCCAGGTATGAGCGGAATAACTCCATCTAATCCTCACAATGCAGCATGTAAAATGTTATAATCTCCATTTTACAAACGAATAAAATGAGGCTTATGAAGGTAAAATAACTTGCTCAAGGTAAAACAGCTAAGAGGCAAAGCTAGAAAAGAATGAGGTGGTATGTGACTACAATGCCCATGATGTTAAAGAGTATGATTTCTAAGTAAGGATAAGAAACCATGGGCTAGTCCTTCCCTGCAGAGGGGTTCTGTTTGGCTCTTGGAGTGTTTACATATATTTCCATTTAATTTGAATGTTTTATGTTGGGTGTGCCCCAGGCCTAGAATTCCTTCATGAAGATCACCTGGCTGATTTCTACATCTGCCTAACACCTTTAGTCGTGCGAACTCTCCACCTCCATGATGAGGCATTCTCTCTGCCTTTACTGAGTTTGTAATAGAACTGAGGGGAGAAGGATAGAAATGAATAAACGATATCAATATAACAGATCTAGTAGATGTTATGAAATATTTTAAGGTTCTCCATAGGTGAAGGGAATACATATGGAACTGAAGCTCACATTTATCCAGCCGTGTACTAGAAACAGTGCTATTTTATAATCATCATTTATACTTCCCTTCCCAATAATTCTCTGAGGTGAGGCTTTTAAAATCACCTTTTATCAATGAGGTGCCTGGATTCTGGAGAGTTTAGGTCATTTCCCAAGACCACACAGCTGGTAATAGAGGCAAGACTCAAACACAAGCTACCAGACTCCAAATCCAAGATGATAAACAGTCTTTCATGCTGCTTCTGATTTGATCCATTATGGTAAAAAATGGGCATATAAGGGCACTTCTGGTGGGATTTTGAAAAGTAACATTTTATCAAAGCATAATATAACTACAGAAAGGTACACCTATCAGAATGTATTCTGCATTAACTTTTTACAAACTGACTATACTCAGACAATGAGGACAAGATGAGGAAATAGAACATTACCCCCAATTATTCCCACTTAGGCTGAAGCCCCCAGTTGTTCCCACTCTCAAGGCTAAACACTGTCCTGATATTTAATAGCAGAAACAGTTTTACCTATTTCTCTGATAAACAGACTCACAGAGTACGTCCTCTTTTGGCTTTTGTTTTTCTCATGTATTGTTTGTGAAGTTTATCCATATTGTGGCATGTATTTGTAGATCAGTTCTTTTAATGTGGTGAAGTTGATTGGGTTTGTATTATTATGTTTTACTTTTATATTATATAAAGATACCACTGATTGTTTTCTCTCTTGATGCACAAGAAAATTGATGTTTAACCAGAGATTCTCAAAATACTATTATTTAAGCAGATGCAAAAAGTATGAAAAGGTGAGAGCTGCTTATGCCAGGATATTATCTGCGTGTTTTTGTAAATTTATAGTAGTTTTGATGGAGACTGTCACAGTCTATTTTGGAAGATTATATATTATCACTTAGTTTTTATAACCTCCTATGCATACTTATTTTGTTTAATGGGAATTTTTATTCACTTTTTTTGAAAGAGTCTTCATATTTGAAATGAGTCATATAAAATAAGATGGAAAATACCATAAGCAAAATTAATCATAAATATTTACATAGTAAAGTAAATCTCACATCTATGTTTTTAAATAGATTCCATAAAAAATAGGGATGATAAACATAAAAGGGAATGATATGTTTTCACTTACATTCTTTGAATTGTATAATCATTTAAATTATTTTGCCTTTAATCAGTCTATTTTTAATTCAAAAGTTTCTTCAAACAGTCCTTCAACTACTCATACATACACCTAGAGGAAACTAAAGATTTATATTTCATCTTCAATAAAATTTTCCTTTCATTAAGATGCTCTCTCCTTTGGGCTTTTCATCCTATCTCTATAGCCCTCGACTCCTCCACCCAGAAGTATATGTTAAACAAAAATAACAAAAACAACAAAAACAGATGGATCTTCCAGTTATAGACTTGTTTTTTCAGCGAGACCTAGCAAAGGCACAGAAAATACATGGCATACGGTAATTATTATTTTACAGTAACGTCTCCACTGATTGCCTTGTTTTAATCTCTGGTGCAATCTCCTACTTTGAATCACTCTCCTGGTTCTGATCCAAAGTGTGGTTTGGTTGCCGGTTTCCAGAAAGGCCCCAGGCCAGACTTGCTTCTACTCTGCTTCTACTCTTGCTTTAATTCTTCTGGGTTAGACCTCCTGCCATCTCCACAGCCTTCTCTGCTGGATCCTGATGCTTTCAACATAATGTTGAACCTCCTGGCTATGTCAGTCCTCTTCCGGTCCATGGCCTGAAAGCAGCTGATTGGTTATCAGCCTGGGAGTTTGGTTTTCTTCAGAGATGGGCTGAGAAAATTATTCTGCTTGCCTGTCACACTAGAGCAGTGGTCATAACTCTGGCTAGCGATTATAATTAAGTAGGGTGCTTTAAGAAAGTTCTGAGACCCAGATCCCAACCCCAGAGATTCTGAATTGTTATGGGGTATGACCTGGATATTGAGATTTTAAAAATTTATGCAGCCAAGTTTGAGAAGCATTTGTGTTCCTCTTTTCTCTGAAGTATAGGGTACTTTAAATATGAGACAGATTTCTGTTTTGACAAGACTTTGGGGGCAGTATTTAGCTGTTTTCTTTTTGCTGGCACCTTCCTCCTACTATCTAATTTTTTGGCCCAACTGTGATTAAGAATACACTTGTATTCTCATCTGAGTTCTTAATCCTCTTACCTATTTGGACTTTCCTCCAACTGCCTGATTTCTAATTTAGAATCCCACTTCATTTTACATTTCTAAAATAGAAAAATAGAAATCTACATGAAGTGGGATTCCAGGAGCACCCATTCCCTGCTCTCCCTGTAGACCAAGCCCTGATCTTCTCCCTGTGGTTCCTTTGTGAACCCTTGGACCCAGCGGCCTTCCTGGATCTCCCCTATACCTTGTATTGTTAAGCTCTGTTTGGTTCATTTCACTTCTTGTTGTTTGCCTCTGACACTAAACTTTCTTTATGTTGTGGCATAACTTTGAGGTGCAAAGCTGGGGAGTGTGTACAGTGCATTGCAGGATGGCGAGTGCAGAACTTCTCACTGGGGTTTCTCCAGGTCTATTAGTGATCATGTTCTCATCATCTGTTTTTTCTGACATAGCCCCTAACATGGATTAAGTTCTTTTTTTGTTTGTTTATTTTGTTTTGTTTTGTTTTGTTTTGAGACAGAGTCTCACACTGTCACCCAGGCTGGAGTGCAGTGGCATGATCTCGGCTCACTGCAACCTCTGCCTCCCGGATTCAAGCAATTCTCCGCCTCAGCCTCCCAAGTAGCTGGGATTACAGGCGCTCACCACCACGCCTGGCTAAATTTTTTTTGTATTTTTAGTGGAGACAGGGTTTCACCATCTTGGCCAGGCTGATCTTGAACTCCAGACCTCGTGATCCACCTGCCTCGGCCTCCCAGCATGCTGGGATTATAGGCATGAGCCACTGAGCCCGGCCTGAAGTTCTTAACAAAATGAATTTATTAACTTATTCACAAACATTCATTGAGTATCTTGTGAGTCTGTTTTTAGTTTTATAAAGTAATCAAGGGCTGACACATAGAGTCTGTTAGTTATTATTGTATTTTCATCTAGCAGTAAAGATGTCCATAGCAGATAAACATTATCTTAGAGAGTCAATTTGCTGATGACTACCAATTTAAAGATACAATAGAAGAAGTCGTCAATATCTCTGATACTATCAAAACATATTCTAAAATCTAGATTGCTTGAGCAGGGTAATGGGTACTAGTACTACAAAATGAAAGTGACCCTTTTAAAATTAGTCTTTTGATTCATGCAACAAACATTAATTGAGCATTTATTATATGACAGATATTGCTTCTGCCCTTAAAATATACAGAATGTGATGTACAGACATCTAAAAAAATAGTAACAGAGTATGTGCCACATACACACACATATGAGAGAGGAGGATAATAGATAATGTGGTAGAAGCACAAAGCCCCCAAGAAAGCAACTCTACTTGGGAAGAGGGGCAGTTGGAAAAGTCTTAACAAGGAGGCACCATTTAAACTGTGTCTTGTAAAATTTTAGCAGGTGTGAAGAAGAAGAGCATAGTCATTCCAGACACAGGACACCAAGTGTAAGGGAACAGGGCAGTGGGAAGGCTGCTAGGAGCATGAGTGGCTCAAGAGAAGTATGTACCCAGTACATAGCTCTGAGTAGATACCCTCAGAAGGGTATCAAATGAATGACTGTTAGGAAAGATTCCTGAAGGAATTCACTAGGTGGCACTCTTTCTTCTTTCGCAGTGTCTTCATAATAAGCGGCAGAATATTTGGAATTATTGATGAATTTTTGAGTTTCCTCCAGGTGTGTGGTGTAAATAGATACAACCTGAGACAGTATAGCCTTTCTGTCTCTGTAGATGCTTCAGGGAATGCCAAGAATGAGGATTCTCAAGTGACATGAAAAACACAAACAGAATCATTGATTAAGATGCTTGCATTTGTGATAATCTGGAATTCTTTTTGCCTTGGTAGGTTTTTGTCTGTATTTGCAATTCTTCCATTTCAGTCTTCATTTAAAGTTTTCTACTCCTGGAGAATGTTTGTAAAAATATTTTTTTCATATATCATCTACTGACTCTATTAGAATCGAAACTTATTTCACTTTTCATTTTGCAAACAAGAATATTAAAACCTAATAAATGTAATCTAAGTTTCAATAATCTCAGTCATAAATAGAAGATTTCATGGAAAAGGATTTTATTAATATATAGCTAATAATTTTTAATTACAATGAACTCAATGTCTTCTGGAAATAGTTGAAATATAAAAAATTCATAAATAAAATTCATACTGGGTCACATGTTAATTTTGAAATATACAGCTTCACAAATCAATTAATTAGATATTATTTTTGCCATTGATTTTGACATCTTTGGAGAGAGACTGGCAGGTATTTGAATAACATGTGCAGTGAAGTGACAATTAAATCTAAAATTCTCTGGAATAATTACACTTCCAATTATCCTTAATAGTGCTGCCGATCACATTTTGTTGTTGTTGCTTCTTAATGAAACAAAAAAATATTGTCCTGATGTGCCCTTTTCAGGTTCATCTTCTTAAAATTTTTTTAACTTTTTAGAAAAACTATTAAAAGTAGTTGCAGTAGAAATTCACATTATAGCAAGGTAATTTTTTAACGGAATTCTGATAAGAAAGTGGCAACAATGTTTTCTAAGATTCCCAGTTAAACTTGCCAACATTCTCATTGAGGATTAAATAATAAAGCTAGGAGAGGATAAATAAAGAAAACAAATTTTAAAAATCAAACCTTAAAGAGAAAGTCTTTGTGTAGTATTTCTATGTATTAGATACATGATTATGGAGAGTTCATTTTACATGTAGTAGAATATAATAAGCATTGTGAAAGGAGAAGAAACAAAAGAAAACATACAAAGTTTGTTGTTTTTCCATTTTCTTATTGTTTGCACCTAAAGCAGATCTTAGAGATTGATTGCAAACTTGTCTGGAAATTTCCTTGGGGTGAAATACTGATAACTATTTTGAAAGGTAGCTTTCTTTCACATGTAGGATTACATGGTAGACTCCTTCACTTCCGATTGCACTTATCCCTGTATCTCCCTTATGATCCATGATCTATGTATGAACAAGCTATGCCCTTGACATAGTCTGTTCTTGAGTCCCAGAATGCCATCCCTGATTTCCTAGTGAACTGTTCTTCAAGGCTCAAGTTGAACATCACTTTCTTTTAAAATGTCCTAGAATTCTCCTCTCTGTTCTTCCAGTCTGCTTCCATCCTGCCAAAGATAGTTGCTTGTTGTGCAAGTGAATGCTAATGCTTTTTAACTTTTGGGCTTCTCTTCTTCTTCTTAGGTGCCCATTAAATTATTTCCTAGTTCTTGCAGTTGAGGGGTACCACTTTGATTGTAGCCAATTGAATATGGATGGAAGGGATAAATGCTGCTCTAATATTTCATAAAAGGCTCTCATATGCAAGACTTCACTCTCTTGCCCTTCTGACCTTGAAGACAATTTATTGAAAATGATTGTACCACAAAATGGGAAGAACTTGTGTCCCTGTGTTACTGCTTGGATTTGGTCCACTATGAAGAGAGAATGAAAGTTCAATGTATCAAGCCACACAATATTCTGGGGATGATCTATTATACAAGCTAGTATGATTGAGGCTCTTTGTCCTTACTCCATTCCTTGTTCCCAGTTCTCCCCTCCTCTCAAACTACTTTCACTAAGATCTTCAATGGCCTATTTATTGCTAAATCCAATGATCACTTTCAGTTGTTGGACTTTTCATTTTTGGATTACTCCTAAACCAACATCTAACCCTTACTCCTGAGCTTCACATGGTGCATTAAGTACTTGATATGGTTTGGCTTTGTGTCTCCACCCAAATCTCATCTTGAATTGTAATCCCATAATTCCCACCTGTTGTGGGAAGAACCTGGTGGGAGGTAATTGAATCATGGGGGCAGTTTCCGCCATGCTGTTCTCATGATAGTGAGTGAGTTCTCATGAGATCTGATGGTTTTTTAAGGGGCTTTTCCCTCTTTGCTCAACTCTCCTTCTTCCTGCTGCCATGTGAAGAAGGATGTGTTTGTTTCCCCTTCCACCATGATTGTAAGTTTTCTGAGGCCTCCCCAGCCATACTGAACTTTGAGTCAATTAAACCTCTTTCCTCTATAAATTACCCACTCTTAGGTATGTCTTCATTAGCAGCATGAGAAAGGACTAACACAGTAAACTGGTATCACAGAGAGTGGGGTACTGCTACAAGGATACCCAAAATTGTGAAAGTGACTTTGGAACTGGGTAACAGGCAGAGTTTGGAACAGTTTAGAGGGTTCAGAAGAATACATAAAAATGTGGGAATATTTGGAACTTCCCAGAGGCTTGGAAGGCTGAGAAGACAGCAAGGTGTGGGAAAGTTTGGAACTTCCTAGAGATTGTTGAATGGTTTTGACCAAAATGCTGATAGTGATATAGACAATGAATTCCAGGCTGAGATGGTCTCAGATGGAGAGGGACTTCTTGGAAACTGGAGCAAAGGTGATTCTGTTATGCTTTTGCAAAGAGACTAGTGGCAGTTTGCCCCATCCTAGAGATCTGTAGAACTTTGAACTTGAGAGAGATGATTTAGGGTACCTGGCAGAAGAAATTCCTAAACAGCAAAGCATTCAAGAGGAAGCAGAGCATAAAAGTTTGGAAAATTTGCAGCCTGATGATGCAATAGAAAATAAAAACCTGTCTTTGGGGAGAAATTCAAGCTGGCTGCAGAAATTTGCATAAGTAATGAGGAGATGCATGTTAATCACCAAGACAATGGGGATAATGTCTCCAGAGTATGTCAGAGATCTTCCCAGCAGCACCTACCATCACAGGCCTGGAGGCCTATGAGGGAAAAGTGGTTTCCTGGGCCAGGGCCAGGGCCTCTCTGCTTTGTACAGCCTCAAGTCATGGTGGCCTGTGTCCCAGCTGCTTCAGCTCCAGCTGTGACTGAAAAGAGTCAAGGTACAACTCGGGCCATTGCTTCAGAGGGTGCAAGCCCCAAACCTTAGCAGCTTACATGTGGTGTTGAGCCTATGGGTGCACAGAGGTAAAGAATTGAGATTTGGGAACTTTTGCCTAGATTTCAGAGGAGGTATGGAAACTCCTGGATGTCCAGGCATAAGTTTGCTGCAGGGGTGGAGCCCTCATGCAGAACCTCTGCTATGGCAGTGCAGAAGCTAAATGTGGGGTCAAATCCCCCACACAGCAGTCCCCTCTGTGGTACTCCCTAGTGTAGCTGTGAGAAGACGGCCACCATCCTACAGACCCCAGAATGATATGTCCACTAACAGCTTGCACTGTGTACCTGGAAATGCCACAGGCACTCAATGCCAGCCTGTGAAAGCAGCTGGGAGGGGTGCTGTACCCTGCAAAGCCACAGGAGCAGAGCTTCCCAAGGACATGGGAGCCCACTTCTTGCATCAGAGTGATATGTGGATGTGAGACACGGAATCAAAGGAAATCATTTTGAAGCTTTAAGGTTTAATGACTGCCCTATTGGATTGTGAGTTGCATGGCGCCTGTAGCCTCTTTGTTTTGGCCAATTTCTCCCACTTGAAATGGGTGTATTTACCCAATGCCTGTACCCCCATTGCATCTAAGAAGTAACCAGCTTGATTTGGTTTTACAGGCTCATATGTCAAAGGGACTTGCCCTTGTCTCAGATGACATTTTAGACTTGGACTTTTGGGTTAATGCTGGAATGAGTTAAGACTTGGGGGAACTGTTGGGAAGGCATGGTTGTGTTTTGAAATGTGAGGACATGAGATTTGGAAGGGACCAGGGACAGAATGATATAGTTTGGCTTTGTGTCCCCACCGAAATTTCATTTTGAATTGTAATCCCATAATTCCCATGTGTTGTAGTATGGACCTGGTGGTACGTAATTGAATCATGGGGTGGTTCCCCCATACTTCTCTCGTGATAGTGAGTGAATTACTACGAGATCTGATGGTTTTATAACGGCCTTTTTCCTCTTTGCTTGGCACTTTTTCCTGCTGCCATGTGAAGAAGGACATGTTTGCTTCCCCTTCTGCCATGATTGTATGTTTCATAAGGCTCCTCATCCCTGCAAACTGTGAGTCAATTAAACCTCTTTCCTTTATAAATTACCCAGTCTTGGGTATGTCTTTATTAGCAGTGTGAGAACAGGCTAACATAGTACTTATTTGAAATCTTTTCCTAAATGTCTCTAAAATAGCTTGAATTGAATTCACCATCTTCCTTTCCAAATTTGCTTCTCCTCCAGTGTCCTTATCTCAATCACTGTTTCCCTCTAATCAATCCAGAAACCCCACTTTCTCTCTATATTGTCTATCCAATGAATTTCAAATACTTTAATTCCATCTTCTAAGCATCTCTACATACATCAGTTTTCTCCCATTTGATGACCATCACCCTAATCTACAATAACAGCTTATCTATTTAGACCAGTGAAGTCACCTAAGCATTGGTCCCCCAGAGTTTAAAGTAGTCTGTAGTCTGCCCTGAATCAGGATGATGAAATTCCAAAAATTCAAATCTGTCTATTTAAAACTCGTCAGTAATTTCCCCTTGACTTTATGGTAAAGCCCTTGTTTTTTCCAGCCCTTCCATGTCCTGTGCCTGCATACCTTTCCAGTATATTCCTTTCCACTCTCTGTATATGTTTCTAAGATAATAAACTTTTCTCAGCTGTTACTACGTTCAATTCTATCTGGCCTCTAGACCTCCAGACATGCCAATTCTTTTGCCTCAGGTTTGGTAAAATCCTAGTCATTCTTCAGGTAAAAGCTTAAAGATACTTTCTTCAGGGATGCCTGATGGGTCTCCTAGACTACATCTCTTCCCAGAATGTTCCTTGTATTACATATATATAAGATCTTTAGCACTTGCACTTTTCACCACTCTATCATAGTATCTTTGTGCAGTGACTAGCCCAAAGGAGAAAAATTAAGGTTAACTAATTTAATTATTTTACTTATGAGATGGTAGCATAAATGGTATTTTCATGTATATTTCTTCCACTGTATTTTTGAAATCTCTGAAGTCAGAGGCCAGAATTTTCATTGTTAGTGTAGTATCTGGCACAGAGATGATATTTAAAAGCATTGAGTGAATGAATGATTGAATTAGAAAAAAGGATGCTTGTGTTTGTCCCCTGTACTACGAGGTAGGCTGTGGCAGTTAAGTGTGATCAGGGTTATGACTGTGGAGGTATAGAGTGCTGAGAGACTATAATCTCTCAGTCAGGGGCAGGCTCAGGAGGAAATGTACATGCTCTTTAGAGCTCTACCCATCAAGTATATAAAACTGGAATATGAACTACAAATGTATGAGTATTTGTGGGCAGGTTTTTTTCTGACCCCTTAATAGAAGATATTGATGGAGCAAATGAGGAGTGAGGGAAAAGCCTTCACTGGTTGGGTAAAAGCTTTTAGTGCAGAGTTGAAAATGAGGTGTGAAGAATGAAGCTTCAGGCCAGGTATGAGAGAAAAGACAAGTGAAGTGCAAGAAGAATGGGGCTGTACAAGGGAATTTTAAGAGCTTGTGGTTTACAAATTTATGTTCAATGAGGAACATAAATAATGATTTTAATGAATATTTAAGTGCTTCAGATATTGGGCTGTTTGAATTAATATAACTCCATACTGAGTGGGGAATCATATAAAACCAAGGGGTTTAGAAAAGAAAAAAAGAAGCACTTTTTTTTTTTTTTTTGAGATGGAGTCTCACTCTGTCACCAGGCTGGAGTGCAGTGGCACAATCTCAGCTCACTGCAACCTCCTCCTCCTGGGTTCAAGTGATTCTCCTGCCTCAGCCTCCTGAGTAGCTGGGACTACAGACATGTGCCACCATGTCCAGCTTATTTTTTGTGTTTTTAGTAGAGATGGGGTTTCCCTATGTTGGCCAGGGTGGTCTTGATCTCTTGACCTTGTGATCCACCCGCTTTGGCCTCCCAAAGTGCCGGGATTACAGGCGTGAGCCACTGCGCCCAGTCAAAAAGCACGTCTTAATTGAAATTTTATTTTTTTTAATTGAAAAATAACAATTGTACATATTATGGGGTGCAGTGTGATGTTTTTACATGTCTACAATATATAATGATCAAATTAGGGTAATTAGCATATTTATCAGGTCAAACATTTGTCATTTCTTTGTGGTGAGAACATTCAAAATCTTCTCTCCAAGCTATTTTGAAATGTACAATATATTATTTTTAATTATGGCCACTCTATGTGCAATGGAACACTAGAACTTATTTCTTCTTTCTAACTATAACATTGTACCCATTGACCAACCCCCCCCCCCCATTAGCCCTCCTCCTTATCCTTGCCAGACTCTGGAAACCACCATTCTAATCTCTACTTCTACTAGATCCACTTTTTTAGATTCTACATATGAATAAGATCATGCAGTATTTGTCTTTCTGTGTCTGGCTTATCCTACCTAACATAACGTCCCCCAGGCTCATCCATGTTGCTCTAAACTACAGAATTCCATTCTTTTTTAATGGCTGAATAGTATTCCATTGTGCAAATATATTAGTATCCATTCATCTGTTGATGGACACTTAGGTTGATTACAAATCTTGGCTATTGTGAATAGTGCTGCAATAAACGTAATAGTTCAGATGTCTCCTCAACATACTGATTTCATTTCCTTTGAATATATGCTAAGTGGGATTGCTGGATGATACAGTATTTAATTTTTTGAGGAACCTTGATACTGTTTTTCATAATGGCTGTACTAGTTTACATTCCCACCCACAGTGTCTGAGTTCCCTGTGCTCCACATCCTCACCAGCATTTGTTCTTTTTTGTTTTTTTTTCCCACACTGTGAATATATTTAGTTTATTTGGCCTTTTATTTCCAGAACAAAGAGAGTAGAGACAAAAATGCATAAGTGAAGAAGGTATTCAGTATTCAGCTCAACTCTTAGTTTTTCTTTTTCCTTTAAAAAATCATTTAGAGGAGAACAGAATAACCTGAGAAATAGGACAGAAAATTATGCAAAAACAAAGAGATTCTCCCCACACACACTATTTAATAAAGATTGGATCAAAATAACCAACCAAGCACACACACCTACACCCTACCAACCACCAAAAATCTTACAAAATGATAAAGGAGATACTTTTAAAAAGTCAAAAATATCCTTGGAAAACAAGAAAAATTGCCATCAACAAACCAGAAATGTTAAGAAAAGATAGAATGGAGAAAAATTACATCACAGAAAAATAAAATGAAAAGAAAATTCAACTTAATTCATATGGAGGAGGCATCTAAGGCAAACATTGGAGCAGTTGGGGAGGGGGTGTACAAGCTGACAGTTAAGAGATAAAGAAGTGGGGCAAAGAAACTGAGGAATTGGTCAGGGAAAGTAATTGACGAAAGAGATTTGGAGTAGCTAGTCTAGTCAACTCCTTCCTCCTCCCTACCTGGTTCTAAATTGGTGCACAGGAAGCTACAGACTGCCAGGAAGAACAGGCATCTCCCACTTTTTGAAAATGAGCTATTAATACACTCTTGCTTTGATTTTGGAGTTTTAAAAATTAACACATAATTCTACATATTTATGGGATACAGAGTGATATTGTCATACTTTATATAATGTGTAATGTATAAGGTGTAAATGTTCACCTCAAACATTTATTATTTATTTGTGTTAGGAACATTCAAAATCCTCTTTTTGCTATTTGAAAGTATATAATAAATTATCCTCAGCTATAGTCACCCCACAGTATTATAAAACACTAGAACTTATTCCCCTTCTCTAGCTGCAATTTTGTATTATTAACCAAACTCTCCCTACCCTGCCCGCATCCCAGCCTCTAATAAGCACAGTTGTACTCTCCACTTTTATGAGCTCAACTTTTTTAGCTCCCACATATGACTGAGAAAGTATGGTATTTATCTTTCTGTGCCTGACTTATTTCATTTACCGTAATGTCCTCCAGGCTCATCCATGTTGCCATGAGTGACAGAATTTTATTCTTTTTTATGGCCAAATACTATTCCATTGTGTATATACATACTACATTCTCTTTACCCATTCATCTGTTGATGGACACTTAGGTTGCTTCCAAATCTTTGCTATTGTGAATAGTGATGCAATAAACAGGGGTTGTATATATCTCTTTCTTCATAGCTTGAGGTCTTGGATTTAAGTCTTTAATACACTTTGATTTGATTTTTGTAGATGATGAGAGATAGGGGTATAGTCTCATTCTTCTTCACATGGATATTCAGTTTTCCCAGGACAATTTATTGAGGTGTCTGTCCCTTCCTCAGTGTATGCTTTTGGCACTTTTGTCAAAGAATGAGTTTACTGTAGATGTATGGGTTTATTTCTGGGTTCTCTATTCTGTTGCATTGGTCTATGTGTCTTTTTTTTTTTAACCCAGTCCCATGCTGTGTTAGTTACTATAGCCCTGTAGTATAACTGAAAGTCAGGTATTATGCTTCCTCCAGTTGTGTTCTTTTTGCTCAGGATGGCTTTGGCTATTCTTAGTCTTTTATGGTTCTATATAAATATTAGAATTATTTTTTCTATTTCTGTGGAGAATGTCATTGTATTTTGACAGAAATTGCATTGAATATGTAGATTGCTTTGGGTAGTATGGATATTTTAACAATATTGATTCTTTAAGTCCATGAACATGGAATAGCTTTTTTGATTTCAGTTTCAGATAGTTTGGTGTTGGCATATAGAAATGCTACTGATTTTTGTATGCTTATTTTGTATCCTGCAACTTTACTGAATTTATCAGCTCTAATAGTTTTTTGGTAAAGTCTTCAGGTTTTCCCAAATATAAGATCATATCATCTTCAAACAAGGATGATTTGACTTCTTCCTTTTCAATTTAGATGCCTTTTATGTCTTTCTCTTGTATAACTGCAAAAGCTTTCCATTAGTTCCTATTTAGTATGATACTAGCTGTGGATCTGTCATATATGGCTTTTATTGTGTTGAGGTATGTTCCTTCTATGCCCAGTTTTTTGAGGCTTTTTTTTTTTATCATGAAGGATGTTGAATTTTATCAAATGCTTTTTCAGCATCAACTGAAATGATTATATGGTTTTTGTCTTTCATTCTGTTGATATGATGTATCACATTGATTGATTTGTATATGTTGAACCATCCTTGCATCCCTGTGATAAACCTCACTTGGTAATGATGAATGATCTTTTAAATGTGTTGTTAAATTTAGTTTGCTGGTGTTTTATTGAGGTTTTTGCACCAATATTTATCAGAGATATTGGCCTGTAATTTTCTTTTTTTGATGTGTTTTAGTCTGGTTTTGGTATCAGGGTGATACTGGTCTCATAGAATGAGTTTGGAAGCATTCCCTCTGCCTCTATTTTTTAGAACAGTTTGAGTAGAATTGGTATTAGTTCTTCTTTAAATGTTTGGTAAAATTCAGCAGTGAAACCATCATGTCCCAGACTTTTCTCTGCTGGGAGACTTTTTATTATGGCTTTGATCTCAGTAATTGTTAATGGCCTATTCGGGTGTTAGGTTTCTCCATGGTTCAGTCTTGGTAGGTTGTATGTGTCTAGGAATTTATCCATTTCTTCTTGGTTTTCCAATTTATTGGCAGATTGTTATTCATAGTAGCCACTAATGATCCTTTGAATTTCTGCAGTATCCACTGTAAAGTCTCCTTCTTCATCTCTGAATTTATTTATTTGGGTATTCTCTCTCTTTTTCTGAATCTTGCTAAAGTTTTGTGGTTTTGCTTATGTTTTAAAAAATCAACTTTTCACTTTGTTGATCTTTTATATCTTTTGTTTCAATTTCATTTATTTCTGCTCTGATTTCTATTATTTCTTTTCTTCTACTAGTTTTGGGTTTGGCTTTCTCTTGCTTTTCTGATTCTTTAAGATGTATTGTTAGATTGTTAATTTTAAGTTTTTCTACTGTTTTGATGTAGGAATTTATAGCTATAAACTTTTCTCTTAATACTGCTTTTGCTGTATCCCACAGGTGTTGGTATATTGTATTTCCATTATCATTTGTTTCAAGGAATTTTTCAATTTCCTTCTCAATGTCTTCATTGACCCACTGGTCATTTGGGAGAATATTGTTTCATTTTCATGTATTGGTATAGTTTCCAGAGTTCCTCTTATTATTGATTACTGGTGTATTTCCATTGTGATCAGAAAAAATACTTGATATGATTTCAATTTTTTGAATTTTTAAGACTTTTTTGTGGCTTAACATATGGTCTACCCTTGAGAATGATCCATGTGCTGAGGAGAAGAATGTGTATTCTGCAGGCATTGGATAAAATGTTCTGTAAATATCTCTTACGTACATTTGATGTATAGTGCTCATTAAGTCTGGTATTTCTTTGCTAATTTTTTGTCTGGATGACCTGTCAATTTCTGAAAATGTGGTGTTGAAGTCTCCAGCTATTATCATGTTGGGGTCAATATCTTTCAAGCTGTAACAATATTTGCTTTATATATCTGGATGCTCCACTGTTGGGTGCATATATATTTATAATTTTTATACCCCCTTGCCAAATTGACCTTTTTATTGTTACATAATGACCTTCTTTTTCTCTTTTTATAGTTTTTGTCTTAAAATCTATTTTTTTCTGATTAAAGTATAGCTGCTCTTGCTCTTTTTTGATTTCTATTGGCATGGAATATCTTCTTCCATCCCTTTAGTTTCAGTCTGTGTGTGTGTTTATAGGTGAAGCATGTATCTTACAGGCAACAGATCAATGGGGCTTATTTTTTAGTCCATTCAGCCATTCTATGTCATTTAATTGGAGAGGTTAGTCTATTTTCATTCAATGTTATTATTGATAAGGTCTTACTACTGCCATTTTGTTATTTGTTTCCTGGTTGTTTTGTAGTCTTCTCTTCATTCCATCTTTCCTTCCTGTCTTTCGTTTTGTGAAGGCGATTTTCTCTGGTAGTGTGTTTTAATTTCCTGCTTTTTATTTTTTTGTGTTTTATGTTTTTTGAGTTGAGGTTACCATATGGCTTGCAAATAACGTCTTATAACCCATTATTTTAAACTGATAACAACTTAATGGTGATTTCAAAAACAAACAAACAAGCAAGCAAAGAGTAAACCAATTAAAATTCTACCCTTTAACTTCAGCACCCCTGCTTTCTTACTTTTTGTTGTTTCTATTTATACTTTATTATACTTTCTATGGCTTGAAAATTTGTGGTTATTAATTTGATAGATTCTTCTTTAATCTTTCTACTCAAGATATTAGTAATTTACACACCACAATTACGGTGTTATAATATTCTGTGTTTGTCTGCTTACTTCTAATAACCAATGAGTTTTGTACCTTCAGATGCTTTTTTTGCTAATTAGCATCCTTTTCTTTCAGATTGAAGAAATCCCTTTAGCATTTCTTATCAGACAGATGTGCTGTTAATGGAGTTCCTCAGCTTTTGTTTGTCTGAGAAAGTCTTTATTTCTCCTTCATGTTTGTAGAATACTTTCACTAGATATACTATCCCAGGATAAAAGTGAGTGTGTGTGTGTGTGTTTTTTTTTTCCTTTAGCACTTCAAATATGTTATGCCACTCTCCCCTGTCCTGTTAGGTTTCCACTGAAGTTTGCTTCCAGACATGTTGGAACTCCTATGTATATTATTTGTTTCTTTTCCCTTACTGCTTTTAGGATCCTTTCTTTATCCTTGATCTTTGGGAGTGTGATTATTAAATGTCTTCAGGCAGCCTTCCTTGGGTTAAATCTGCTAGGTATTCTATAACTTTCTTGTGTTTGAACATTGATATATATCTCTAGGTTTCAGAAGTTCTCTGTCACTATCCCTTTGAATAAACTTTCTACCCCTATCTAGCTCTCTACTCTCCCTTTAGGGCCAATAACTCTTAGATTTGCCCTCTTGAGGTTACTTTCTGAGTTTCGTAGGCATGCTTTATTCTTTTTTATTCTTTTTTTTCTTTTGTCTCCTCTGACTGTATTTTCAAATAGCCTGTATTCAAGCTCACTAATTCTTTCTTCTGTTTGATCAGTTCTGCTGTTCAGAGACTCCAATACATTCTCTAATATGTTAATTGAAATTTTCAGCTCCAGAATTCCTGCTTGATTCTTTTAAATTATTTTAATCTTTGTTAAATTTATTTGATAGGATTCTGAATTCCTTCTCTGTGTTGTCTTGAATTTCATTAAGCTTCCTTAACACAACTATTTTGAATTCTCTGTATGAAAGATCACATATCTCTTTCACTTTGTGATTGGTTACTGGTGCCTTATTTAGTTGGTTTGGTGAAATCATGTTTTTTCTGTGTGGTCTTCATGCTTGTGGATGTTGGTTGGTGTCTGGGCTTCAGTGGCTTGGGTATTTATGATCATTTTTGTGGTCTGGGCCTCTGTATGCTCATCCTTTTTGGGAAGGCTTTCCAGGTATTTGAAGGGACTTGGGTGCTGTGATCTACATCTTTTGTCACTGCAGCTATATCTGCCTTAGGGGGCACCTCAAGCCCATAATTCTGTGGCTCTTGCAGACTCATAGAGCTACCACCTTGGAGGTCTTGAGTAGAATCAAGAGCTTCCCCTGGATTACTAGGTAGAGACTCTTGTTCTCATCCCTGACTTTCTCCCCAAAAAATGAAGTTTTGCTCTCCATGCTAAGCTGCCTGCAGCCTGGTGGGGGAGGAGTGACACACGACCCCTGTTGCTGCCACCACTGGGGCTGCACTGGGTCAGACCTGAAGCCTACATATCACTGGGTGTCACCCAAGGCCTGCCAGGATCACTTCCTGGTTACCACCAATGTTACTTCAAGGCTCTAGGACTCTACAATCAGCAAGTGATGAATCCAGCCAGGCTTGTGGCCCTCCCTTCAGGGCAGCAAGCTCCCCCTTTGTCTAAGGAAGGTCCAGAAATGTCCTGGAGCCATGGCCTGGAGTCAGTAACCTTAGGAATCTACTTGGTGCTCTATTCTACTACAACTGAGCTGGCACCCACCCAAACCACATGACAAAGTACTTCTTACTCTTCCCTCTCCTTTCCATAAGCAGAAGGAGCCTCTTTCTGTGGCCACCACTGCCCCAGGGCCATAGCAAGTACTACCTGGCTACTGCCAGTTTTCACTCAAGGACAAAGGGCCATTCAGCCAGCTTGTGATGAATGCTGCTAGGCATGAGTTTCTTACTTCAGGGCAGTGGACTACCCTCTGGCCCAGAGTCAATCAGGAGTCAAGGCCTGGAATTGAGTACTCCAGGAGCCTGCTTGGTGCTCTTCCTCACTGTGGCTGAACTGATAACCAAGCTGCAAGGCTGCAAGGCTAAGTTCACCTTATTCTTCTCTCTCCTTTTCTCAAGCCAAATGAGTCTCTTCTCATGGCCACCACATCTGTGAATGTGCTGGGTAACACAAAAAGTCAGCATAGTGCAGGGTCTCATTCAAGGCCTGCATTGAGTACTGCCTGGGTAACACTGATGTTTACTCAAGGCCTAAGGCTTTTTAGTCAGCAGGTTATGAATCCTGCCAGGACTCAGTCCTTCCCTTTAAGACAGTGGGTATGCTTCTAGCCTAGGGTGTGTCTAGAAATGTCCAGGAGCTAGGGCTTAGAATGGGGGCCTCAGGAATCTGCCAGGTGCCCTATTCTACGATGGCTGAGCTGGTATCCAACTTGTAAGACAAAATCCTTTTTACTATTCCCCTCCACTCCTCAAGCAGAAAGAAGGAGTCTCTCCTGGAGCTGTGAGCTGTGCTGCCTGAGGCTGGGAGAGGGGCAACACAAGCACTCACTTGGTTACGCTCGCCAATGGCTCACTAGCTTGCATGCATCCCAAATTCACTGGCTTTGAGCCTAGCACAACACCAGGACATGTCTAGGAATTTCAGCTCTTTTCTACACCGCCTTTCAAGTTTATTTAGGATGTCAGAGCACTTTAGCCCATAGTGTCAGGGCTTTTGGGAACTCACATTCCAACCACTGGGATAGATGATTTCCCTCTGGCTAGGGCTGGTCTAAATGGTCACCAGCCCTGTGGCCTCTGCAGTCACTGGCGATTTCTGCCCTGTGTTGCTTTCCACTCTGACAGGCAGCACTGAGTTCCAATGCAAAGTCCCACAATCACTGTGCTCTCCCTCGCTCAAGTGCACAGATTCTCTGTCTGCACCACACAGCTGCTCCTGCTCCAGGGGGTTGCAGGAAGAGTGGTGTTGGCAATTCAAGTCTGTCTTTTCTTCCCTTTTCAGTGCTTCTTTTATTGATGTAATGTTAAAACCAGGTACTGTGGTCATTCACCTGATTTTTGGTTCTTATAAAAGTGCTTTCTTTTGTAGATGGTTGTTCAATTTGGTGTTCCTGCATGGAGAGGGGCAGCATTTGCTGGAGGCTTCTATTCAGTTATCTTGCTCTGCTTCCCAGCCTTTTTTATTGTTTTGATAATAGTCCTCTCGACTGGGTTGAGATGAATCTATTTGTGCTTTTAATTTGCATTTCCCTGATGATTAATGACAGTGAACTTTTTTTTTCATATAGTTGTTGACCATTTGTATGTCATCTTTTGAGAAATGTCTGTTCAGATCCTTTGCCCATTTTTAATTGGTTTATTTGTGGGGTTTTCCTCTTTCGCTGTTGAGTTGTTTGATTTCCTTGTATATTCTTAAAAGTAATCCTTGTCAGATACATAGTTTACACACATTTTCTCCCATTCTGTAGCTTGTCTCTTCATTCTGTTGATTATTTCCTTTTCTGTGCAGAAGCTTTGTAATTTGATGTAATCTCATTTGTCTATTTTTGCTTTTGTTTCTTGTGCTTTTGAAGTCTAGTCTAATCTTAAAAATCCTTGCTCAGACCAATATCATAAAGCATTTCTTCTGGGTTTTCTTCTAGTAGTTTCATAGTGTTAGATCTTACATTTAAATATTATTCCATATTGAGTTTATTTTTGTAAGTGATGAGAAATAGAGGCCTAGTTTCATTCTTCTGCATATGAATATTCAATTTTTCACAAATTGTTAACAAAATATTAACAAACTGAATCCAACAGTACCTCAAAAATATTTTTCACCGTGATCAAGTGGGATTATTCCAGAGATGGAAGGATGATTCAACATATGCAAATCAATAAGCATCATACATCATATTAACAGAATAAAGGACAAGAGCCATATGATTATCTCAACAGATGCAGATAAAGCATTTGATATAATTCAACATTCCTTTATGATAAAAACTCTGCACAAATTAAAAATAGAAGGAACATGCCTCGACACAGTAATGGTCATACATGACAAACCCACAGCTAACATATTGAATGGGAAAAGTTGAAAGCTTTTCCTCTAAAATCTGAAATAAGACAAGAATGCCCATTCTCATCACTCTTATTCAATATAGTACTGGAAGACTTAGCAAGAGCAATTAGGCAAGATTAAGAAATAAAGGGCATCTAAATTGGAAAGGAAGAAGTTAAATTGTCCTCTTTGCAAATTATATGACTTTATATGTAGAAAATCTGATGGACTCCACAAAAAACTCTTAGAAATAATAAGAAAGATCAGTAAATTTGTGGGACACAAAATGAACATCCCCCAAATTAGTACCTTTTCTAAATGCCAATAGCAAACTATTTGAAAAGGAAATCAAGAAAACAATCCCACTGATAATAGCTATAAAAAATACAATACCTAGGAATAAATTTAATCAAGGGGGTGGAAGATCTCTACATTAAAAACTATAAAATATTGATAAAATAAATTAAAGAGGACACAAATAAATGAAAAGATATCTTGCATTCATGGATTGGAAGAATTAATATTTTTTAAATGTCCATATTACCCAAAGTAATCTGCAGCTTCAATGTAATCCCTATGAAAACAACAATGATTTTCTTCACAGATATAGAAAAACAATCCTAAAATTTATATGGAACCACAAAAGACTCAGAATAGCTAAAGCAATCTTGAACAAAAAGAACAAAGCTGGAGGCATCACACTACCTGACTTCAAAATATGCTGCAAAGGAATAGTAACCAAAACAGCACGATACTGGCATGAAAACAGACATAGAGACCAAAGGAACAGCATAGTGAACCTAGAAATAAATCTATGCATTTGTAGTCAACTGTTCTGACAAAGGCCCCAAGGGCACACACTGGGGAAAGGACAGTATCATCAAACAACAACAACAACAACAACAAAAAAAACAACCACTTCTTACTGATATTCTCACATAGCTGTCTCATCTGATCTGCACTGAAATCTAATGAGTAGTGTGGATTAGTATTATTATACCATTGTACGCACATAAATTAAGGCATTGAGGAGTTGGGTGGCCTAATCAAATTCACAGGTAGTACATGAAAAATGGGAAGTCAGCCAGGTCTTCCCACGCTAATCCCACACACCACATGTTCTCTAGTACCCTCTATGCTACCACTGAAAAAAAGAAGACATAATATTGTATTATTTTATGATTAAGATTTTAAAAATGAAAATGGTCAGAATGAAAAAAATATTACTTAGGAAAAGAATATTTAAAAAGGTACATAGAACTTTATGAAACAAATCTTGCCTTTAAATACTTGGAATACAAAACTCATGGCCTATTTGCTAACAGAGGAACCTATTTCTATTTAAGCATGTTTCTTTCTCTAGGCTACCACATTAACTGAGCTTACGTATTTATACATTAATTATTTCATCTATTCAACCAACATTTATGAGCACCCGTTGATACCAACCAGAAGAATAAAAGATAAATAAGATGGAGTACCTGTCTCAAGAAGTTCACTAATAGCAGGCAAGAAGATGTATTAATAGACAATGAAACACAGTAACATCAAATGCATTGATAGAAAATAGACACAGTGCTATAGGAGCACCAAGATGAGTCATATAATTCATTCTGGAACTGGGATCATGAACGATTTTCTTAGAGGTTGACCTGAGCTCATTTATAGGTTGAAGAAGTAAGACAGTAAGACCAACATAAGTGTAGAGTATAGACAGAGAGGAAAGACACGTGTGTTTGTGAGTATGTGTGTGTGTATTTCAACTATAATCAAGTGTATATCTTGCAGAAGCATAATTACAAAATAAGGGGTGCAGAAAATATGACCAAAATATGAAAGGTCTTGTCTGTCATCCTGCCAAGGAGTTCCAACTTTATGGTAGAGATTCACAATGGAGGAATCATTAAAGAACATGTCATTAATATATTTGCATTCAGATAGGTGTCCCTGGCTATTGGGTGAAAAAAAAATGGACTTAAATAGCTGGACTGGAAGTATTTTAATTATCTTTAGGACAGGTTATCCTCTGAAGCAAATACTAATCTAATTCATATATTCATGTGAATGAAACAATGGCAAAACAAATGAATAACAACAAACCTTACAAGACTAGAACATAAGTCAATTTTCTCATATTTTATAGTTTTGTTTACATAAACAGTGTCTGAGGATTTTGAGACTTTAGATTCTGTGAATTTCAAGTTCATTGGGTAAGAGTAAATAAGTGATTAAATGATGAAAAACAGGTATTCAACAATAATATCATTAAAAAGAGACATTAACTGCTCAACACACAAAAGGTAACTTTTAGTAAGAAGGTGTTTCTGAAAATAATCTGTAAGGAAGAATTTAAAAGAAGGTTGCTGGGAGCCTGTGATATGAGATGGTGAGTGATTAAGTTTGACAGATGAGGGCATACCAAGTTGGTGTAGCACCTGGACATTTGGATCACATGATTGGAGGTTTTTATCTAAATGGATTTCTGCTTGTGAAAGAGCTCTAGTATCTTGAGACAATAGAGGATTAAGAATCCAACCAATGCTTCAAAATGAGAGGACTAGAAGGAGTTAATACAATGGACAAAGTTTTATTTCTCTTATATTTTTCACACATAAAATGATGAATACAGATATACCTTGGATTTAAAATCCCACAAGGAAATTGTATACTATATTTGGGGTGACAAATTGTTTTCTATTGATCAGTGTTTCTAGGACCAGAGAACTAGGCAAGAAGAAAGATCAATCTCAAGCTTTAAAAGCTCAGATTGAGTTTCTGCAGATGGTATTAAGTGTCTTTCTGAATGATAGTAGTTGCTCTAGTATAAAAAATGATATTGTTGAAAATACTCAAAAGACAAAAAATGGTGAATATTTTATCCAAATTTTGCCCCAAAGATAATGGTAGCTCTGTATTGCCTGACATGCTGTTACAAGCAAAAATAAAATTTTAGGACATAAGAGAGTTTTGAGGGAGTTCCCCTTGGCTCTTTCTATGGATCAAGTGAGGAGTCTCAAGGAGTAACTTGCATTTAAATTTACCGCTAAAAGGAAAAAGCAGGTAGAAGATTCCTTTTAAGGAAAAATACCATATTTATCCAAAATTGATCTTTTAAAAATTCTATATCTAGTTGTACTGACCACTTTAATTGTTCTTAAACTTTGTTGGACATCAGAATCACTTGAACTTGCTGAATAAATATCTCTGAGCTCCACCCAAAAACTACTGAGTTGGATTTCAGGGAATGTCTCAGAGATAATATATGCTTTGTGAAACATAAAAAGAGCATTTTTTTTTACATTGGTGAGTTATGGCATGTGCAATAAAGTAAGTTTTAAAAACTGATGGCTACTGTCCCTTGCCTTTGGTCCAGTAATACATATATACTTTTTCAATTTTGTTGAAAAGGGAATTTAAAGGAAAGGTTAGTACTAGTTAGTGTAGTCAAAGATTATTAATCGTGGCAGTTAAAGTTAGTTAAATTTTAGGATTCAGTTGTCCAAAGAGAAAATAATAGTTATGATAACATTTGAATTTTTGCATTGGTTGTTATCTGAGACTTGCTCTTTGTAGAAATATAGGTCTGAAGCGGGAGAAGTGGTCTTAAGTCTGCAGCTTTGGATAGGAACTACAACTAAGAAGAGGATAAATTTAAACAATACATGCAATTTGAAATCATTGACACAGACATTTGAGAGCTAGGAGAGGGAAATGTCAAAGATTACTAAGGCTTTTGGTTATCACTGCCCTCTGGAGAAGGGAGCCTACCTGTATCTCCTGAATACAGCAAACGTCAGGGGTCTAGAAATTATCACAGTTGCCTAATATAGTCAAATTTCTGTATTTGATGGAAATTTATTTATCTTGGGGATTGTTATAAAGTTGATTTAGTTCTTTGTATTTTGTATTCTACAATTGTTACATACAAATTGACTTGAGTACTAGTTTCCTGTTTTAAAAAAATTATTTATTTCTACTTAGCACTGAAAGGAAGTTAAATTAAAGATTGTTGATTACGTATTCTTTGTTAGGATTAATTGTCTTTGGGTGTTTGAGCACCTCCCTCAAATAATGACTAAATAGAACTTAAAAATAAAAACTTCAAAAATTCACAAAATTAGGTGTTCTGGACTGCCTTTACTTGCTTTTAGGAGGTGCACACATTGGAACATGGAAATGAATTTTATACAAATATCTGTTCTTTCTCTGTGTATGTTCTTTGGCCAATATTACATTTGTGTGATATTTATAAGATAGAGGAAATTGATTAACTATCAAAAAAAGATTAAAAAAGGAAATGACACACTTTCTAGAACACTCTGTGATGACCTGTGAGTTGCAGAACATCAAGCTTGTTTTCACAATGGAAACTTTCATTTCCTGTATTAAAAAACAGACCATAGTACAATGATTCCAGAGAAAAGCTTAAAAAAAGAAGTGCCTTCCTAAGTGATTTTTAGTGCTCTTGTAAGAAAATATATTATAAAATAAGAAATAAAACTTTTCATAATCACACATGCATTTTTTATTTCCATATTTTTTACCAATAAATTACTCCAATCTGCAGGAGTTTAACAGTAATAGTTTTGTGTTTCTCCATGTAGGCTACACAGAGGATAAATAAAGAAATAGGTTGATTATAGAAGTAGGTAACACCAACCTACACAAAAGAGTGTGGTATGACTCACAGTCTCACTGAGTGATTTCGCTTTCTTCATTCCTTAAGTAAGGAACCTATTTAACCTTTGTGCATTCTAAAATACACTGGTTTGCCCAACTGCCTCCCCTTTGTTTGTCACCCACTTGACTGGCCTAATTGTATGATCAGTGATGATTATGCACGTGTCTTTTGGTATGTATTCTGAGGGACACAACATTTGTAGTAGTTCAAGCCTTCTGAAAACACAAACACCAGGATAACAGCGTTAACAGCATGGCAAGATATTATGGAAGATGTGGAGAGAGAGGGAAGAAGCATCTAGAATGAAAGAGTAGGTGAGTTCAGAAGATTTTATCAAAGGGACAGCAAATGAAGGGGTAAAAACCCACATGGAATGACAAATGCTCAAAAAGGTGAAAGCTTGGAGTCTTCCCTGTCTTTTATCCCCAGGAGTCCCAGACAATATATGATATATAGTGTTAACCTGTGCTCAGCAGCATCCTCACTTTTGGTACTTGGTATTCTTTATTGTGTCCAGAAATTATTTGCAGGCACATCTCTTTTCTAGAGGAAGTATTCAGGTAAAGGATTCCTCAACTTAACTATTAGCATCAGACTTTCAGCAAACGCCATCATTTTTTGCCTTACGCATTTCGCAACCAGCTTTCATTTTCAAGGGAAATAGAAGGTTAGGTTCTGCAAATTGAGGTAACATACCTTCTGAGCTTTTGAGGTTTTGAGGGAAATATAGTACAGCATCAACTTAACTCTGAGGTGGGGTGGGGGGCGGTCAAACATTGATTAAATTACTAATGTACTTGTTTATAGAATAAATATGTAAGTTTATACTAAATACTAATATACTGATATGGGATAAAATGTACGTATACATTTTAAGATGAAATAGAAAACTTTAAATAAAGTTTAAACTGAGAGTTTAAAAGAAATAGTTGGAAGCAGAATCAGAATAACACCTTATAAAGCACAACAAAGTAGAAAAAAATGAGAAAACAATAGAGGATAAAAGAATATAAAAATATATTAAAAGCAAGTAAATGGCATTAGTCCTTAGCAGAATTAAACTGTTTTTCTATCTTATTTTTCTTTGTTTCACTGGTATATTAATTCTATTAAAGGAACAATTCTGTACTTTCATTTTTTTCTTTGTATACAGCTTTTGTTGTCAGATCACATTTACCAATTTTACTCAATATCTAATTGTAAGATTTTAGTTTTATCTCTTTTTTCTCTTTTATGAATTAACTTTGTATGTTCACATTATCTTGTTTGTTTAATTTTGTCTAAATTTTGCCATACATAGAGACACAAATGATTTTGTATCCAGCCATGTTGCTAAATGCACTTATTAATTATAATGGTTTGTAGATTCTTTTGACTCTTTCTATATATACAAAATTAGGAATAATAAAGAACTTTTTCCAAATTTTTAGGATTTAAACATTTTTGTTCTAACCTTATTACACTGATTAGGACCTCAAGTATAATGTTGAATAAAAATGGCAATAGAAGGCATAGTCTATATGATGTCAATTCTTCGATATTTTTGGAAACTTGTTCTATGGTTCAAACAATCAGTTTTGGTAAATATACCAAACATGCTTGAGAAAAATGCCAATATCAAGGGCAGTATTCTAAATATCTCAATTAAGGCAAGTTTATCAAATTTAGGGATGTTCAAGTCATTTGTATCTTTATTGCTTTTGTATTTACCTCTTCTATCAGTTACCAAGAGTGATGTGTTAAATCTTCCAACTGTAATTTTGGATTTCCCTATTTTTTCTTTTTTTATTTCTGATTTTTAAATTCATGTTTTTAAATTTTTATTCTATTTTTAATTGACAAATAATTGTATATATTTATGGGATAAATTATATATATACACATAAATATGTATATATTCATGCATCATATGCAATGTGATGTTTTGATATATTCACATTGTAGAATGATTGCATAAGCTAATTAAAATATTTATTACCTCACTTATGTTTTTTGGTGTGGTGAGAACATTTATAATCTACTCTTTTAGCAGTTTTGAAACATACAATACATTATTATCAACTATAGTTATCATTCTGTACAAAGGATCACTAAAATTTATTCCTCCTGTCTAACTGAAACTTTGTAACCTTTGACCAACATCTCTCTTCTCTCCATCAAACTTTCTCCCCAGCACCTGGTAACCACTATTCTATTCTCTACTTTTTTTTTTTTTTTTTTTTTTTCTGAGATGGAGTCTTGCTCAGTCGCCCAGGCTGGAATGCAGTGGTGCGATCTCGGCTCACTGCAAGCTCCGCCTCCTGGGTTCACGCCATTCTCCTGCCTCAGCCTCCCGAGTAGCTGGGACTACAAGTGCCCGCGACCACACCCGGCTAATTTTTTTTTTGTATTTTTAGTAGAGACGGGGTTTCACCATGTTAGCCAGGATGGTCTCTATCTCATGACCTCGTGATCCACCTGCCTCAGCCTCCCAAAGTGCTGGGATTACAGGCGTGAGCCACCGCGCTCGGCCTCCATTCTCTACTTCTATGAATTCAGCTTGTTTAGGTTCCAAGTATAAGTGAGATCATATGGTATTTGTCTTTCTGTGCCTGGTTCATTTCACATAACATAATATTTTCTAGTTTCATCCATGTTGTCACAAATGGTAGTATTTCCTTCTTTTCTAAGGCTAATTAATAATCCTTATTAATTATGTATATATGCCACATTTTTTGTATGTTATGTATATATGCCACATTTTTTCTTTATTCATTAATCTGTTGATGGACACATAGGTTGTATCTCTATTTTTGCTATTGTGAATAATGCTGCAATGAGCATGGGTGTGCTGATATCTGTTTAATATACTGATTTCAATTCCTTTAGGTACTGTCTTAGTCTTTTTAGTGCTGCTATAACAGAATACCACAGTCTGAGTAATTTATAACGAATAGAAATTTATTTCTTACAGTTCTGGAGGCTGGAAAGTCTAAGACCAAAGTGCCAGCATCTGATGAGGGCCTTCTTGCTGCATTATCCCATGTGGAAAAGCAAAAAAAAAGGAGAGAGGGAGTGAGAAAGGGAGAGGAGGAAAGAGGGAGTGGGAAAGGGTGATGGGGAGAGAGGGAGTGAGAAAGGGAGAAGGGGAGAGAAGGAGCGAGAAAGGGACGGGGAGAGAGGGAGTGAGAAAGGGAGTGGGGAGAGAGGGAGCAGGAAAGGGAGAGCGGGAGAGAGGGAGCAAGAAAGGGAGAGGGAGTGAGAAAGGGAGAGGGGGAGAGAGGGAGCAGGAAAGGGAGAGGGGGAGAGAGGTAGTAGGAAAGAGAGGGGGGGAGAGAGAGAGAGAGAGAGAGAAGAGAACTGAACTTATTATTCTCACTCCCAAGCTGACACACCCATTCCTGGAAAAAAAAAAAAAAAAGGCAGCATTAGGCTATTCATCAAGGTTCTATCTTCTAACATCGTCACATTAAGGATCAAATTTTCAACAGAAAAACTTTGGGGGAACACATTCGCATCATATCATCTGCTTCTGGTCCCTCAAATTCATGTCCTTCTCATGTGCAAACTACGTTCATTCTATTCCAATAGCCCCCAAAGTCTTAACTCATTCTAGCAGGAACTCTAAAATCCAAAGTCTCCTTTAAAATCAGATATAAATGAGATTCAAAACATGATTCATTCTGAGACAAGTTCTCCTCCATCTGTGAGACTGAAATAAAAATGTATCCACTTCTAAAATACAATGGTGGGACAGGCTAGACATTTCCATTTCAAAAGGGATAAATAAATGAAAAGAAAGGGGAAACTGGTTCCAAGTAAGTCCTAAAGCCAACAAGACAAACAGCATGAAATCTTAATACTCCAGAATAATCTTTAACTCTTTGTATTACCTCTGGGCACACTGGAGCAAGGGTTTGGCCCCCAAAGACTTGGATAGCCCTGCCCCCCATGGCTTTGCTGGGCTCAGCCCATGAAGCAGCTCTTATGGGGAGGCTCATCCCTGCAGCTCTCCCAGACTGGAATTTCAAGCTGGTAGCTTTACAGCTCTGTGGTTTCAGGGGTGGTCCCATCCCCACCACTTTACTAAGCCTAGTAGGGACTCCGAAGTGGCTTCAACCTTACAGCTCTGCTGGGAATTGCCCTAGTGGGAACTCTGTGGTGGCACCCCTCCTGCAGCAGGATTTTGCCTAAGCCCCCAGGCTGCCTGATACATCCTTTAAAATCCAGGTGGCTGCCATGGCCCAATAGCCCACACACTCTGCGGGCCTGTAGAATTAGCACTATGTGGATGCTGCCAAGGTTTATTGCTTGCACTCTCCAGAGTAGCAGTCCAAGCTGCACCTAGTCCCACTTAAGCCATGGCTGGGGTGACTGAGGGGTGCTCTGCCAGAATGTGGGGAGCAGAGATGGGACATGAGGTGGCACAGGGCAACAAACGCTGAGGTCTCAAGGGTGCCTCTCTGAAAACCTTGCCCCAAGGCCTTGCTCTGGGCCTGTGATCAGAGGTGCAGCCTCAAAGATCTCTGAAATGCTTCCTGGCTTATTCTCCCATTGTCTTGATGAATAACAACAGCCTCTCTTTTCTATACCAATTTTTTTCTTAGTCCATTTTGTGTTACTATGACAGAATATCACAGGTTAGGTAATTTATAATAAATAGAAATTTATTTCTCATAGTTCTGGAGGCTGGGAAGTCCAAGATCAAAGTGCCAGTATCTTGAAAGAGACACACATACGGAGAAATAGCAAACTATGCACCCAACGGGGGCTAATATCCAGAATTTACAAAGGATTCAAATAACTAAAAAAATGCATTAAAAATAGGGAAAGGACATGAATAAACATTTTTCAAAAGAAGACATACAAATGACCAATAAGCATATGAAGAATGCTCAACATCACTACTAACCAGAGAAATACAAATTAAAACCACAACAAGATACTATTTTACATCAGTCAGATTGGCTATTACTAAAAAGTCAAAAAATAACAGATGCTGGAGAGGATGTGGAGAAAAGAAAGGCTAATACACTTTGGATGGGAATGTGAATTAGTACAACCTCTATGGAAAATAGTATGGCGATTTCTCAAAGAACTAAACATAGAACTACCATTTGATCCAGCAATCCCACTATTGGGTATCTATCCCTAAGGGAAATAAATCATTATATCACAAGGACACCTGCACTCATATGTTTATAATGGCGCTATTCACCATAGCAAAGATATGGAATCAACCTAAGTGTCCATCAGTGGATGACTAGATAAGGAAAACGTGGCATATATATGCAATGGGATACAATGCAACCATAAAAAATGAAATCATTTCTTTTGCAGCAATGTAGATGGAACTGGAGGTCATTATCTGAAATGAAACAACTCAGACACAGAAAGACAAACTGCATATTTTCATTTATAAGTGGGAGCTAAACAATGTGTACACATGGATGCAAGAGTGTGGAATGTTAGACAATGGATACTTCGAAGGTTGCAAGCTGTGGGAGGAGATTGTATGATGAGAAACTACTTAGTGGGTACAATGTACATTATTCAAGCGATGGATACCCTAAAAGCTTTGAATTCACCACTAACTACACAATCTATCCATGTAACAAAATGACACTTGTAGCCCATAAAATTATACAAACTGAAAAAAAAACCTTTTTAATGATATAGAATTTCAAAGTTATTTTCTTTAATCTCTTTAATAATATAATTTTCTTCTGTTTTATATAATTTCTTCTGAGAAGTTGATTTTTAGCAGTGTCATTGTTCATTTGAAGGTAATATGCCATTTTCCTTTGACTGCTTTAAATGCTGTTGTTTTGTTTTGTTTTTGACTTTCAGAAGTTCAACTATGAGGCACCTCTGTGTGATTTTCTTTTAGTTTAAATTTATTCTTCTACAGATTTGTAGATTTCTGAATCTGTAGCATAATGTCTTTCATCATTTTGGAAAATGATGAAAATCATTCAAAAATTTTGAAAATCATTCAAAATTTTCATCATTTTGGAAAATGTTTGGTCATTTTATGTATTACTTCTGTCATAATTCTCTATCGCCTGTGCTGGGACTACAATTGCACATATACTAGGACTTTTCACTATGTCTCACATTTTTCTCAAGTTGGTTTTTAAAATTTTTTAACTATTTTTTAGTTTGGTTTAATCTGGACATTTTCTATTGACTAGTCTTGTAGTTTGCTATCCTTTTCTTCTGCTGCAATAAATCTGTAATTTTGTTTCTAAAAATTAGTTGTTGCCCTTTGCATTTGATTACATTTTAATAATTTTTACATTTTAATAATTTACATTTTAATAATTTTTTGTAGATTTGATTTGACTTTTTAGTAGAGTCCAATGTTGTGGTGACATTTTCTATCTTTTCATTTATTTTCCTGAGCATTGAATTAGTTATTTTAAAGTCTCCTCTGACAACTTCAGTATCTTAATCACCTAATATTGATGAAAAATAGATCACCACATATTTTTACTGACTTTTTTTCTCTTGGGTTTGCTAATCCTGTCTTATTTCTTGACATTCCTATGTGTTATAGAAGATTGAATAATAAAAAATATTAGAGATATTTGGAGGCATTGGCTGCTGTTTTACTCTTCCAGAGAGAATTTATTTTGCTTTCTCACAGGCAGTTAAAGTACAGGAAGCTGGACTGGAATTAATTCAGTTTTGTGAGATCCACTCTGTTTCCAACTTATTTTCACTCCTATGATACTGTTCTTTCTGACGTTTGCCAGAAATCTTAGATGTTGATCAGGGCCCCTTCTCCGTAGAGAGCTCTGGACTCCATTTTTTTTTTCCTATCTTTATTATTTTTCCAAGATCTCTGCTCATCTTTCCAGAGAACTGGACACTGCTTTGTGCTTGGCATCTGCTTCCACAGAAGCACAGGCAGCTTCTGTGCTGCTCAACAGATAGCACATTCCTTCAAGGGAAACATGAATCAAGGTATTGGACTCCCCAGCTGTGTTTTGTTTCTCTCTGGATTAATTTTTCTTCAAGTCCAACCTGCATGGCTATCCCTGAACTCCAAGTTCTGCCTTCCCAGCCTCCCCAAAATCTCATCTCAGGTTTCTGTTAGCAAACTCTTTCTGCTTTTCTTTTCTTTTTTTTTCCTCCTGCTTAAAAAATAGCAAATGTCTCAAGTGAAAAAGTGCCACAGAGTATAATGTTCACCTAAATGAGTTTATTTTCGCTCTGAAATTCTGTGTCTCATGTCCTGTCTCCTCTGGTCTGTCATTCATTCCTTCAAATAGATGTTTTTGTGCTTTAGTCTAAATTTTCTAATGGTTCATTATGGGAGTATTGGTCAATATCAGCTATTCCACCAATACTGAAAGCAGGAATTTTTGTTGTTGTTCTTGTATTTTCCGTTCTTAAATTTCCATTTGGTTCTTTTTTATATGGTTTTTTTTTTCTGAGAATGTTTGTGTGGTTTTTTTTTTTTCATTTCAAGAGGGTTCATAGTTGCTTTTTGAGGTATGTTTTAAAAAATTATAGATGCTTTAAAATCTGGTCAGATCATTCCAATATCTGTGCTGTGTTGATGTTGTGTCTGTTGATTGGTTTTTCTCATTAAACTTGACATTGTTCTGTTTCTTGGCAAGATAAGTTACTTTTTATTGTATTTAGATCATGTTACTCATTAATACCAGGCTGGCATGGCAGTCAGGCCCCTCTCACACACAAAGCCTCCACAGACACCTATCATCCAAGAGGGAGCACCATGTAGTTGCTACTGGGTTGTGGTGGTAACGTCTGCTGACATAGTCTGGTTTCAGCTGCTGCAAATGACAGGGTGGGGGAGGGCACTTTTTTTCTCTGGAGTGTTTCTGGTGTCACCCAAAAGGTTACGCCCTGCATAGGCACTCCCTTCCAGGTCCTTTGGCTAAAGAAAATGGGCTTATTTTGTTTTGTTTTGTTGGTTGGTTTTTGTTTGTTTTGTTGGTTGGTTTTTGTTTGTTTTGTTTTGCTTTTTGGGGTTGTGCACTTACCATTCTTTCTAGCTTGTGAAATTTTCCAGTGTCCAGGCTAGGATATTTAGGAGGCAGAAAACATCCTGCCAGTTTATTCCTTGAGTATAACATCTTTAAGAAGGATGCCTTCTTTTCTTCACATTTCAGAATCTTCTTATGTTTGTTTTACATATTTTGTCCCGGGTTTTTAGGTGTTATTAGGTGAGAGGTATAGGGTGAAATGTGTCTACTACCTTTAGATAGGATGACATGGAAATCTTCATTATAATTTTTTAACATTTATTTTCCATTTAAACATTGTTTTATAAACTTTTAGCCCTCTAGCATCATGTAGAATGAAATTTTTACAATGATCTTGCTCCTGGGTGGAAAGGAGCAGTCAGGACAGAGCATTATACAAATCACTTAGATTCTGGCCCCTCAGCTCATATGCGGAGGATAAAATCCTGGAGACCTGCATTCTTTTTTTTTTTCTTTGTAAAATGAGGCTGACTGTCCTTAATTTTCTCAATATAAAATCTTTTTTTTACTACAGTAAATTTTTAAAATTCCTATAATTCTAATAAAAGTTTTAAAATTGTTCCAGATTCCCAAATCCAGGCATAAAAAATATATTTTATCTTGGTATATTTCATTACATTATTTTTCAAATTACTTAATATTTTTAAAATTTTAATTTCTAATCTCTTGAAACTTCTTCATTAGCAATTAAACATGTATACATCTTTTATGAAAATTAAACAATAACAGCGTATTTCCAGACTTTGTTTTTTTCTTTGGCTACCATCTAGCTCCTATTTCACTTGCTAGCCAGTTTCTCAAAATATTTAAGTTTCCACTTCATCTTGTGTCACTTCACAAGCTGTTGCTGTCTGGATGCTCTGCAAACCCCTGAATCTTAGCTCCACAGGGTCACCGATTACCTCCCTTCTCCTAAATGTGGTGGACACTTTCTAGCCTGTACCTTGCTTGAACTCTGCATTTGATTACTGTTTGACATTTCCTACTCCTTTCAGTTTTTTACTTTAAGTAAAACAATCAACTTTATTTTTTCCAAGATGACTTTTTAATTTTTTTAATCAGAAATACAAATTCATGTAAAACATTCACATGATACTTAAGAGAAACTCAAATCTGCTTTCCCAGTGTACCACTCCAGAGAAGGGCACAATTAGGTTTCTGCTTATAATTTCATTAGATAAAAACTTTATATTTGACATGATACTATTTTGGTACACTTAAAAATGTTCTTCTAACTCATGGTAATTTTTTTTATTGCCCTTTGGCCATCCCCCTTCAGATGATGTGAGCCCATGTCTTCAGAGAATAAAAGAATTTAAAAAATCATTCCTCAGTTTTCTGAGTTTCAAAATAGCTATTGAAACACATGTTAAAATAATAGTTTTAAGAAAAAAGGATTCAAATTATGAATTTAGTCTATTTGAGTTATGTCCTCAGTGTTTTTTAATCTCAGAAAACGATGCTCACATCTGTACAGTTGTGTAATCCAGAAATCTGGAAGTCATTGAAGCTCCTCACTCACTCTCATCCTCACATCCCATTAATTATAGAGTGCTACCAGTTGTATTTCCTAAATATCACTAAATTATTCTAGTTTTCTTTCATCTTTACTGCCATCACCCTAAACTATTAGAATCTATTGTCGGGATTTCATTCTATAGTAGATATTATTCTTGTAAATCTCCATCCAAAGTGTATGTATCTGGCTCACCTCAAAACTATTTCCATATTTGCAGCTAGAATGATGCTTTTGGAGTGCAAATGTTATTGTATTTTAAAACTTTTTAAACTCTTCAGAAATTTTCTATTGCTTTAATAATGGAATTTTTAAAATCCCAATAATGGCTTACAAAGCCCTGCATGTTATGCCCCGATTTTCACTCTCCAGCCTCCTTATTCATTCTCTATTACCTTACTCTCAGCTATAGTCATACTGGTTTCTCACTTCTTCCTGATATGGTCTGGACCTATTCACACACACTGAATTGACTTCCTGCACTTTCCTCAAAGTGCATTCTTAGATCATTTATCTTTTCTGATTTTTATTACATATTCTAATTTTTCTGGTATATTTTTAAAATTTCCAAATCATTTTATTATCTTGATACTTTCTAGAAATGATTTTCTTCTTTTTTAAAAAATCGGTCTCCTTAGAGACTGTCAAAAATTACCAATGTCAACTATATTGCAAGTCATCATGACAGGGGTTTTGGGAAAAGTTTTCAATGAGCAATAATTGCATCTCAGACCTCAGTGGCTGTGATACTACCACTGTGCAAAGCTAGAACTGATTTTCTATAATTTTCACATATAAAATTGTATTATTCTTAAGTAACATTACCTACTTTACAATATTTATTCTGTCTGATTTCTTCCTTCTTATTTAATTATATTGTTTAATACTTTCAGAACAATATTCAGTAATAATGGAAAGAGCAGGCATCTCTCCTAATTTTCTAATGTGTATGCAACCATCATACTCTCTCTCTCACACACAAACACACACACACGGAGATACATACATACACACACAGAGAGAGAGAGAAGAGTTGACATGGCAAACCTGAGACTGCCCTCTGTAGAAAGACTTGCTTGCAAGGTTGGCCCTTGGGTGGCATCTGGATCATGGTAGGATTCCTACCATTTCCTGTTAAGAATACCTTATATGCCTAAACTGTGCAAACAATATGGTTTATGCTGAACATCTTTCCTTCTGAGGTTTTAGAAAATGCTAGGCAGACAGTGTCTGTGTGACCAGCTCCCAGTAAAAAACTGGGGCCCTGAGCTTCTAATGAACATCCCTGGTAGACATTTCACTTGTGTTGTTATAACTCATTGCTGGAGGAATTAAGCTCATCCTGTCTGACTCCACTGGGAGAGGACCATGGATTTCACCCCGTGCCCTTTTTTCCTTTGCTAGTTTCATTTTATATCCTTTCACCGTAATAAATCATAGCTGTGAGAATATACAACTATATGCCAAGTCCTGAATATACAACTATATGCCGAGTTCTCCTAGTAAACTATCAAAACTAGAGTGGTCTTGGAGACTCCCAAAACACACAACACCTGCATATATACACATATATAAATACACATGCATATATATATATGTATGATTATGTTAAAGGAGCACTTGCCATTAAAATATTCATTAGATTCTACCAGTGACTTTTTCTCATCTGTTGATATGATTATATCATTTTTCTCCTTTGACTTAATATATATTTTATAAATTGATTTCTTATCACCAAGTCATTCTTGTTTCCTGATGCTCTCTCTTCTTGAATTCGGTGACAATGCTGTACACTGGATTATTTCCCTCCCTCTTTGAAGGCTATTTCCATCTCCTTCCTGCATGAGTTTCTCTTTCTTTCTTTTTGTGTCCTTCAGGTATGTTTGTGCCTTGCGCTCGGCTCCTTTTTTTTCTTATTTTTTAATTATAAAGATTATAATTAAAAATTATAATTTAATTCTCAGACTCTCTTATGCATATTCATTATTTGAAGTATGGCCCATATGCATATGACATATCAAACTCTGTTTCCAGCAGCTCTGACCCCTTTCTGCATTTCAGATGCATAGATCAAATTTCCTCCTGGGCATCACCCCTAGATGTCTCATTCTCACTACAAACTCAATGTATTTAACATTGAACTCATTATCTTTCCCTCACTTACTTCTTTGTTTTCAATCTCAGTTAATTACACTAAGCTATAAAACTGGGCTTTATCCTTGACTCCTTTCCCTCACTCATCCCACACAAATTATCATTCTCCAAGTTCAGTTGATGCTGTACATCTTTCAAGCTCATGTAGTTTGCTCCCCCTCCACTTGTACTAGCTCTAGTATGGGCTCCTTCAACTTTGCTGCTATTATTAATAAAGTCTCCCCCTGGGCCCTCTGACTCCAGGCTGCCCATCAGCCAGTACATTATCTACAGTGAATTTATGGATTTTTGTAACTTGCAAATTTGATCACCTCTCTCCCCTGCCCAAACTTATCATAGTTCCATTGCCACTCAGAAGATTAACAGTTTTTACTCTGGCTTACAAAATTCTTCATACCCCCTAACACATTAAGTTATAACCCCTTAAAAACACACAACTTCAAATAGCCACACTAAACTACTTTCTGGAGAAAAATTAACTGGACATGCTTTTCTGATATTTCTCCAAGTTTGAGTTGGGATCTCTTTCAGGATGCTCTCCTATCATGCACACATGTGTACTGTAGCACCACGAACATGGATTTGAATTGCCTTTATTCTCTAAGCTAGAAGAGCTGTGAGAGCAAGGACTATGCATGCCAACGTTGCCACCTTATAGTGAGTGTTCAATGCATACGTGTTGAGTGAGTCAGTGAATGGTGATACCATAAATGTAGTTTTGATTCCTGCTTTATTTAACATCACCATCAATGTTCCTAGCTCCCCACAGGCCTTTCAGAGGGAAACTACTCTTTACTTAACCCAAGCTGAAAGGCAATGATAAACAGCCATATCTGGAAACATGTGGGCATGTGTGTTAGCCTTCTTATTGGCAGAAAGAGAATTAATGGGATGGCTTTGGAAGAAAAAGAGATGCAGAGTGGACAGATTAGCAGGTTCTCTCCCAATTCCTGATGGCTTTTTAAATCCTTGCTAGTTTCACTTCATGTGTATCCTTATGAAAAAATTCCCCTTATTTGAGATAACTTGAGTGGAACTCTTCCTTGTATTGAGAAAACGAGAAAACAATAAGTGTTTTTCTCATGTCATTTAAAGTTCTATAAAACCCCTTTAAGAACTGAATATATTCAATACAAATTAATGACTATTTTACACTTTATGGATGTTTACTCAATTATTTCTTTTTTATTATAAATATCTGTCATATACATTTTTGTACTTAAAAATCCTTGTGTGCATTTAAAACTATTTCTTTAGTGTATAGTCTTAAAAATGGCGTTCTGGATGAAATACGAATTTTTGAAAAGGCTATTGGTAAATATGGTCAAATTATCTAAACTGCTTTCTGGAAATTTTCTACTAATTAATCTTCCACTAAAATGGGTTTATTTTAAAGTTTTTATTGCAATTAAAAGAGGTAAACCCTTTGCAAATAGATAGTCATGGGCTGCAAAGTCAAGCTGGCTATTCAAACTCAATGACAAGTTTTTTTTTTTCCCTCTCAACCCACTTTCTGCTGCTCTCCCATTTCACATACACAATGTGAGATGAAGGTCAGGTGAGATAAGGGTATTAGGCATGACTTACAAAAGCTATAGGCACAGGATAGCTAGCTGACTTCTGGTATGGTAATAACAATATTGGTGTTACTATTTCTATTCCTACTTGCTTTTGGCACAAATGACAGCCAGTTCTGCAAATGCTAAAGCTGTTTTCCACTGCCAACATGTTCTACTAATGATCACTGCAAAAATGCCAGCTGCAGCTATGGAGGGAAGTATTTTTCTGATTTTCCTGACTTTAGGAATAGAAAGAAGAAACAGTACCAAATGAACGTGAATTGGAACCCAGTTAGATAGAAGTCTTTCCTTCTCTGGTTCCATACCTTCTACCCAAAGATGTCACACGACACTGCTAGGGATAAAATTCCCCATTTGCCCTCTACCTAGGTTTTTCTTCTTAGACTGAGGATTGCATCCTCATTACATTCAGAAATTGGTGGGTCTGATCATTATATTCCTATGAAAATAGGAGAAAAGTGCCAACTCTCCTCCTACACTACCCTGCTCACTAACATCTTTTGAAATTTCTGAAAGGTTTGGAAGGGGAATTGATGCTTCAGACAGTCTTCATTTAGTTTCCTCTGATCTCTGGAAGTGGTACTGATCAGGACCACACTGAGGAAGCACAAATGCTGCTTGGAATTAATAGCCAGAACCAAACTCAACGAGTGACAAGGAAATTACCTCTCTGAGAAGAGTTCTGGGAATGGGAGTGGGCAGGTTAATTGCACTCCACAATCCCCAAGGCCACCTGGCCATAGCATTCATATTTATTTCAGCCATGGCCCTGTCATGTTGATTACATAGTTAAAACCAAGATTGTTTTGCATAGGTTTTCTGGGGCAGCTCAGCTGCTTAGCTACTCACAAGCACTAATGACCTGGAATCAGAGTGACAGGATAGTCTCAGGCCCCATTCCTCTACTGTGAGCTCCTGCCAATGTCTTTTTTTCTTCAAAAGAGCAACTAGAAAATAGGAAATTTGTCTTAATGTTGTCTTTTGTGTACATTTTGTCTTTAATAATAAAATGTGTATACTGCTCGAGGGCTTACTCTGTGCTAGAAGCCCTGTGTACATGATCTTCAATTCTTACAACCCTGCTAGATATTTTGGTTTCCATTTTGAAGGTGAGAAAACCAAGGCTCCAAGAGTTTAAGGAATTTCCCAAGGCCACAAAGCTAAAGCTGCTAAAGCCAAGATTTGATTCCAGTCTGCCTGATGACATGAGTTGGGCTTGTCCTCCCTGAAAACACTTCCCACAGTCTCCATTCGCAGCTTCCATGAGAGCAGTGGGTGTATCTTGTCCAGTGTTAGTGACCAGCATGATAGAAGGAAGCACAGAGAGTAGGGGTTCAGGCTAAGAATGGCAGCTAAATACATTAGTGTTGGGAAAGAGATATGGTATTTACATTTAGCTAGAGATTTTAACATAAAGGAAGTTCATTATACTTAAAGCTGACTGTTAAAACTTCACAGTAAAAATTTAAACTGATTCACTTTCCCATTGGCCCAGTGGCTCTAACTTCTCTCTTGTTCTCCCAGTCCACACTAGCAAGGATCAAGGGTGCTCCTCAGGTTGTGTAAATCGGATCATGTCACTCCTTCACTTACAAGCCTTCAGTGATTTCCCATTGCCTTAAAGATTAATTCCAAACTCCATAAAATAGCAAATTAAGTTCTTAACTTTTACTATTCCCCCATTTTCTTCTCCAACTCCTCTTATTCTACCCATACTGAATTACCTGAAGTTCCTTGAGCAAACTCTTTGTCTGTGTCTCTGAGTCATTGTATGTGCTGTTGTTTCTGGCAGTAGTGTCTGCACTCACTCAATTCACCCCTCATCTCACTTCTCTCCTCCAAAACTCAGTCATGTCAGAGTCTACTACTCTCAGAAGCACTCCCTGACTACTTATCCTCAGTTCCTCTCATGAGGCCTGGCTATGCACTCCTTTTCTGTTGCTCTAGCTTTCCATACTGACTGTCATCAGTGCACCTTATAAGATGGCATTGGGCTATTTGACTTCTCTCTGACTAGACTGTGGACTCGGAAATATGTTTTGCTCAGTAGCACATATTAAGTGGTAATAATAAATACTAAATTTAAGAATACGACTATGTTAGGCTCTCTCTGGCAGTTCCTAAATTCTTACCTTCCTTGGTTCAGAGAGGTAAAAGATTTCTGATTTACCACTTTTCCTGAAAGATATAACTAATGTAGAATCAGTTCAATTTCAAATATTTACTGAATTTCTACAGCAAGCTTCTCTTGGAGTCCTATTTCTCCATGATAAATAGAAATACTGTTTATCTAAAATATAGGGCTTATAGAATAGGTTACAAGCAACAGTTTTTGAAACAAAAATTTGTTCCAAATAATGTAAACCATATATTGTATGCCAAATTGATTACATGCAGCAGTATATAACATAAAGACCTGAGTCAGTCTGTACACTGATATTTGCTTTGATATCAAGTGCAATGAGTGGATGATAAGATCCTCTGGAGGAGTCAAATAATGGATGTCAAATATCTGCTTAAAATATATCTTCATGTAAGGCAAACATTTGAAAACAATATGAGTTGATTTGGCTTCAGATATATTCTTTCTTTATATTTTTGGTCTATGTGAATGAGAGAAGGAGTAAAGAATAAGATTAGTTTAATAAAAAGGTTTGGTTAAGCTTGAAATTAACATGTAAATAATTCAAATGCCTTATTCATGGGCAATACTTGTGTATTCTGTTTAGCCTAAGTAATTTAAAATGTGGAGCTGCATTGTATTATTTTACACATAAATATCAATTACAAGTGATTGAACCATGGGATTGGACTTAGAGAGAAAGTCCAGGTTTTCAGTTCACACCCTATCACAGGCAATGTGGTCTGCAAATGGATTTTAGTGTAGACCCCCAGAGAAAGGATAATGGTAGAGCATATGAGTTTCTTCCACATTCATGGGGATTCTATTCATTCACACCATCCACAATGTACTTTTCTTAGAAGAGTGCTTTAAGGATCCCTCTTCTAGAATAAAACAGCATAATTTCTTACTGCAGAAAGGAGTGAAGAGTATCATATATGAGTTTTGTTTTCAAAATAATTTTCAATTGTTAACACATTAAACTAAATGTATGTATGGATTATTTGTACAAGCATTTCACATTCGAGAGTCAAAAACAAACAAAAAGAGTAGAGTTGGTCAGTGTGGTCAAAAAGTAAGCAACCTTTACTAGGGTTAAATAACTTGTTTCTAGGTGGCTTACCCTGCATTTCTCAACCTTTTTAAATGATTGTCCCACTGGACTAAAATGATTGTATAGAGTTTAACTTTTTCTGCTTGCACTATGAGCTTCATGTTATTTGTTTCCCACCTGTAACAACATATAACTAGTACAGCACTATAAGCTTCATATTATTTGTTTCTCACTCTTAACAATATATTACTGGTCCTGTTTTTGCAAACTGCATAGTACCATCACCCTACTACCTTGAAAATCACACGTCAGCTTTTACATGCACAGAAGCTAACCCACCACTCAACCAACCACTAGACATCAAAAGATAAGATTTAGATGAGAAAGTATTTCATGGCGTCAGTTTCCTATCCAACGTTAGTATGTAGTTCTAAGGATATTTCCTTTCTGGTCCAAAAGATTTATTAAGGGAGGGGTATTCAATCCTGTAGGAGGTGAACCCTATCCTGTAGGAGGGGTTCCATGAAGTGACTGACACCTCAAAAAGGTATTCATGGTGTTCACTTCCTTAAAGAGAACAGGGTGCAGATGTAGAAAGATTAGGAAAGTGCCCAGTTATACAATTATATTGTCAGCTTTTCCCTTAAACTTCAAGAACTGATGCTTTGTTTCTATAAATGCTTACTTCAAATCTTGTGGCCAAACTTTCACTTTTAAATATCATAAAAATATCTATTGCTATGTTTTTAAAAATAGAATACAAAAAATCTTCATGTCCTAAAAGTTGAATTTAGGTACATGATGAAACTTCATTAAGTCCACCCTAGCTAACAATCCTGATTAAACACTTGAAATTTAAAAGATGAATATTTTAGCCATTTTCCCCCTTGAGAACTTTCAGTGTGGTAATCTGTTAACTGTTTCATTAGGTGAGCAATATAATCAGAGACCCATAGTAGCTATAGAAATTACTAAGTTTAATGATTCAGGAATCCCCTTGAAGTAGAAATAATAACTGAATAATCTACATTGATTAGTTTTGCTTGTATCATAACATCTCTTGGGATCATAATATAAAACTTATCACTCCAGTATTTTTCATTAATTCATTTCTTGTATATTCCAGTACCCAAAAGCAATTCTGCAAATGCAGTTTACCATTTTATTCTTTTTTTAAAAAAAATTGCTTTTGTCTTTGTTCCTCAGGGACTTTTAGATCTTATAATGAAAACTCATTATGTAAATCTCATAGCAAAATCAAAAGTTGTTTAAAATATGTGGGCCATCTCTCTGATTCTTGAATTATATCATGAAGCACTGTACACATCGTGTGGACTTCTGTCAGTGAATCCACAATAGCCACTTCCTTAGAAATAAAACTATTATGCCTTGTGAAGAATATGAACATATTAGGCAAAAATTCTGACCTCACGGAGCTTACAATCTTTGATTTTTAGAAGACAACATAGAAAACAATAATTTTTGAATAATATGTGGCTGATTGGTGTGATTAAAATACAAAACATAATTTGTGTACTCAAAAAGATATTGTCATTCAAAGGGTCACTTTGGCAAACTAAGTCCGTTGGAACTGCCACAGCATAACAAATTTGGAATGCTGTCACGTGGATTGGCTTTCAGAGTAAGTTACAAAACCACATGAGACTATCTGTCTCTTACTGACATACTTTTTTAAAACCTGAAGATACTATTGCCCAGCTTTATTGACTTGACTTTTACTGGTTTTTCAACTGATTCAAAAATCACATTTTTAATATCCTCATCCTGAGGATTAAGTTAACCTTTATGGTCTTAAAGCTTGAACCTTATATTTGTTTTATCTGAGTTCCTTCCTCAGGAAATGACCTTCAGGCCTCTCAGAAAAGTATCAAAAAACTGAAACTCACCAGTTTGCCACATACAGACAATGAGATGCTCAACCCCTTATTCATCATGATTGCTTCCTTGCCCTTCCCTAGTGCCTGTTTTCTTACACATTGTTACATTTCTTCCCTGCTATATAAACCCCTAGTTTTAGTTGGTTAGGGAGATGGATTTGAGACTGGGCTCCTTTCTCCTTGACTGCAGCACCAGATTAAAGCCTTCTTCCTTGACAGTACCCATCTTCTCAGTCACTGGCTTTCTGTGCTGTGAGCAGCAGGACCTAGACTGCCTGGTGTTTCAGCAACACAATAAGGATAAGTGTGCGCATTATCTTTGAAAATGTATGATATCTTAAGGTGGCAAATTTGTATTTCTAATATTTGCATAAAATGTATGTATATATTTATATAACACATACATATTTGTATGATAGAGAACAATCTTATAGGATTTTAGACGGATGAGATTTGGATAGCAGACAGAAGGGAGGAGAAGGCATTCCTGATAGAGAAAAAAATTAAAGGAATAGTGGAAGGAATTAAGTAATGTTTCTAACCACAGGGAGGAGACCAGTGAACATTTCAAAAGTTGATTGAAAAGTGATTTTGACATATTTCATAAAGGGTAAAAAAGAAGGGCAAAAAAGATCAAACAAAGATTTCTAGCTTTGGTTATTAGTGCCCATTAGAGAAAGAGAGGTGTTGACTCTAAAGTAAAGATGGTGATTTTGCATTTAAAACCATGGAATAACCATTACACTTTATAATTTAAAGAGATGAACTTTATTATATGTGAATTATGTCACAATAAAGTTTCATTAAAATAATAACAATGAGCTTAATCATGTAGTGCTTTTAAAAACTTTAACATTAAAATATTTACCTGAAATTATATATTAATGTGAAGGCTAGCTCTACCTGAATATACCTAATGTGAACTCCCTGGAGTGTAGTCCCTTTTCCACATCTAATCTCTACACATTAGAGAAAAGGCATGGGCTATTGAAAACCTTAAATTATACAAAAAAATTTAAATAATGCAAAAATCTGTTTATATTTATGAAACAATTGCTACTGATTTTAATTTCTAATATTTTATAGTAAAGTGAAAGCATTATGAATTTGAAATACTTCTGGTTTATATAAGATCTTCAAATTTTCAAATTAACAGTAAACTAGTTATAAAAATCCTGAACAATATAAATATTTTATCTGTTTTTAAAACCAGTAGGAATCTGGTAGGTCAATATGCACTTTTATTATTTCAAATTTTTACTTAAGAACTTTAACTGTCCCTCTTTGTCAAGGACAGAGTATTGTAAGTTTACCAATATATGAACAATGAACAGATGTTATAGAAAATAGTACATCATTCCCAAATTAGTAAGTCAACAATTCTTGCCTCATGAAAAAGTCTTATTCTGAAGTGATTCTATTTCTCATGATCATAATGACATTGATAGTTTATAATAACCAAAACAAGCCTATTGTGTTGTTCTTTTTATGTTTATTACAGAAGACCTATAGGTTTTTATTTTTTGCTATTGTTAATTTGTTTCATTATCTATGATATAAAAATAAGGAGGAGCTATGAGACTGCAATAATTGCGTTTAGTCTATAGTTTGCTTTGTTGCCAGACTTTATATTTGGGATGTCAGGAGACACCATTCTTTGTTGCCTAGTCTTTACTGCCTCCATCTTTATTGGCCTAGTCAGTAACTAGTCTGGTATTTTGTTTATTCATCTTAGTGTTGAAGTCCTCCTTGGACATGAAGACCTGCTCTAAATTGAAGCCAATTTGATAGGGAATTCTCATACTTTGTTTAACTCTTACAAAGTTGTTCTGAGAGGGTGGATGTTTTTGAGACATGGTTTTTTGTCCCACCACTTGCAATGGCAGATTCTACCTTCTAATGGGTTAGTCTACCTGTTAAGATACTGACTTCTGATACAACATGGATGAACCTCATAAACATATCCTATGTTGTATTAACTAGGGTTCTCCAGAAAAACGACAAAAAATAGAATATATACGAACAGATAATTGAGAGAGGATTTATTAGGTGAAGTGGCTCACATGATTTTGGAGGCAGAGAAGTCCCATGATGTGCCATTTGCAAGCTGAAGAACCAAAGAAGATGGTAGGGTGGCTGAGTCCACTTTTCAAGTCAACCAGGGGAGCTGATGGTGTGATTCTCAGTTTGAGACCAAAAGCTGGTGGGGAAGGGTAGTGGCTAGTGCGAGTCCCAGAGTCAAAAGGCCAGAGAACCTGAAGTTCTAATGTCCATGTGATATAGTTTGGCCGTGTCCCCACCCAAATCTCATCTTGAGTTGTAACTCCCATAATTCCCACATGTCATGGGAGGAACCCAGTGGGAGGTAATTGAATCATGAAGGCAGGTGTTTCCCGTGCTGTTCTCGTGATAGTGAATAAGTCTCACGAGATCTGATGGTTTTAAAAATGGGAGTTTCCCTGTATAGTCTCTCTCTCTCTCTTTGCCTGCCTCCATCCATGTAAGATGTGACTTGCTCCTCCTTGCCTTCTGCCATGATTGTGAGCCCTACCAAGCCATGTGGAACTGTAAGTCCATTATACCTTTTTCTTTTGTAAATTTTGTGTTTTAAAACCATCAGTCTTGGGTATGTCTTTATCAGCAGTGTGAAAACGAACTAACACACTATGATCAGGAGAAGATGCATGACTCAACCCTCAGCCTATTTGGTGAGGGTGAATCATTTACTCAATCCATTTATTTATTCTTCTGGAAACACTCTCACAGACATACACAGAAATGATGTTTACCAGCCATTTGGGTATCCCTTAATTCACTCAAGATGACACCTAAAGCTAACCATCACATAAGGAAAGAATCTTGTCACACAGACCACATAGTATATGATTTTGACACTTAATAGTCACATCTATAGAAACGGAAAGTAGATTGGTGCTTGCTTAGGGCTGTGACAATGGGGACAGAGGAAAGGATGATGGCTAAAAGATAAGGGATTTCTTGGTGAAGTGACAAAAATGATTTAAAGGTGTGATGATAGTTGCATATATCTGTGAATATATTAAAAACATAAAATTGCATATTTTAAATGGGTGAATTGTGTGGTATGTGAGTTATATCTCAATAAAGACATTTACAATTAAAATAAGTGAGAACAAGGAAACATGAAAAAAAGATTGATCTCTGTAGGAACGAAGTCTGAATTTGCCACATTACTGCATGGGATTCCTAGTTACCCCCTGAACCACTGTTTTCCCTTCTCCATACCCTTACACACAAACACACACCCCTTGAGCTAGCTGCCTGCATTGATTTCTCTGCTTTTCCTTATTTTGCTTGGTTCCAGTTTCCTTCCTTTCGTTCAGGTTCACTGCTCCTAGGACCGCAGTACCTCCAGTGGTTGTGTCCTCTGTGTATTTCTTTGCAATGTCTGCACTCTTCTCACTGACCCTGTGAATTATTTAAGATGTAACACAACGTCTAGTCAAGTTTAAGGCTGTAGTAACTATTTTACTTAATGATAGAAGTCATGTTTTAGTTGGGCCTTGATGGGGTTACTTTGCCCATAGATATGGAGAAGGGTCTATACTCCAGCCAGCAAAAGTCACGATAAGGAAAGGCGTGCTGTATAAAAAAAAATAAAAAAAAGAAACAAACAAAAAAAACCAAGAACGTTGTTAAAGCAAAGTGTAGATGAGATGGATACTAGAAAAAGAGGCACAGCCGCAAGTGTGAGAGGTCTGGTATCTCATGCTGAGAGGAGTAGGGAGGTGGTTAACCTTAGACAGTGGAGAATTCCTGAATATCTGATAACTGAGTCAAATACAGGAGAAATGTTTGCCTGTGTATTATCACAGTGCCTCTTCATGGCATCAAATTCTATTCTGTGTTTGCACCATATGGTCACACAAAACTAATCTTCCCTTGAAATGATCATTTTATGTTTTAAAACCATCATTAATTTAATTTTTATTCAACTCTAATGGTTATCATGAGTCACATTCATTATCATCATTATTATTATATAAGTTTTTGTGTTAAATGTATTAACTAGGCTTTTAAATTTCTAGCTAAATATTTTATCCCAGAACCTTAGGTTTCATGCTAGTTATTTTGTAGCCATGACTGAGCAACCTAAAAGCTTCAAAAGTTTTGGCACACAGGTTGCATAAATTAGAGATAAATAGATTCTTTAAAAATTAAAAAATAATGACAAACTATAAAGTAAAATTGCTAAGCAAAACTAATATAAAACTCTTAGGAATCATATTGATCACATTGTCAGATTGGTTAATTTGCATATCATAGCCACATCAACAAGGTGTCTTTTAGTTATGGGCTCCCTGTAATGTTTTATCTGACACCATTTTAATAAGATTCTGTCAGGATCCAAAGAATCAGTTTTGTTCACTGCCACTCTATTTTCTTTCAACCTATTTAGGTAATTATTAATGTAGCTATGCTAATGATCATTTTTCTATTTACAAACAGTCTCTAGAACATTCTCAAGTGGAAATGATCACTATCTCCCCTTAAGTCCCAGATGTTTCTGTTGTCACACATTATACCTTTCATATCCTACTTTGTATCTAGTTATTGTGCACCTTATCTCTTCCACTACTGACATGCTGCTTGAGGTCCAGAACCACATTGTTTTTCCATTCTCCATTGTGCCTATCAGAGCACCAGGAAAAAGTAGGCACTGAAGTGTCTTTAAACATGAATGACAAAACAGTATCACTACGTTTTCCTCATGATCCTGTTTTAAGCTCCCATCAGCCAAGCATTGAGAGTCCTTTAGAAGTTGTTACTATCCCCCATATTTTAATGTGAATTATCAAATGCTATTTTGGAAAAAAACAATATCTTAACAGGATGAGGAGTAGACATATATATATCCTCTGTATAAACATACCATATATATATTTATATATAGTATGTATTTATATATAATATATATTTGAATTTATATATATCCTTAAGAATATATATGTACTTAAATATTATTAGGGAGTAGTACAGATATGTTTTATACAATTTAGTTACTAATTCTCAAAAGTGAACTAAAAGAAAATTTTCAGAGAAAGACTGGAAATTCATATATTTCAAGCAAACAATTTAGGTTTGTCTGTTGTGACAAGAAGAATGTGTCTGTTTGTGCTGCTTTAAATTTATATTGATAACAGATGAGTTCCTTTAAGTTAAGGTCATGGGTCAAATTTATTAATGTGCTCTTTCCCTAATCAAAATTATGTGTACATTTTGGTTGACAATTTGTGAACTATTTATTTTGACTTATTCAATGATTTGTTAATTCAACTGCTTTAAGCTTTTAAAACCCTCGGTTTCTATATAAAACTATGGCTCATGATCTTGGGATATATCCATGTGTTGTAATTGTTTTTAGTGCCTCGTTGTCAAGTGACACAAAGAAGAATTTGATGGCAGGCTTTGGAATTCTTTTCTTGTAAGTTGATATGCAACGCATTCCAAAATAGAATATCTGATATGTCCATAATTGGTAATGAATTTAGGTTACAAAACATTATTGCTACATTTATATGTTAGCCAACAGAAGGAAGCAAATTCTATATCTCTCCAAGCTTCATCAAGATTTGATGGGTAATTTGGTTGGCCCTAAGGGTTTCTTGGCTGGTGAACAACCTTGGCTAATGGGAAAAGATTCCTTTGAAATACTGTGGATTTTTTTCATAAATTAAATTAGTCGAAGACAATGAAGAATTGAGGATAGAGGATAAATCAGTGAAGAGATGGACCATTGCAAAGGAAGGAGAATCTTGCAGCATAACGACTTTGAGAAATAAGAAACTATAAACCTATGTATTTGAGGATTTGAGGGCTGAAATGAAAATTGAAAGGAAAGGATAGACCTCTATGAATGATTAATCAAAAAATGTAAAACTTAGCCAGAAGTAGTAAAGTTCAAAGTCATTATTGAAAGTAAGAATGTATAATTTTTTAAGTTAAAATCTATAGCAAAATATCATAGAACTTGGAAAATAATGTATCATTTTGGTGCTGCTAAGAGGAGAACATTGAACTAGAGAAAAAAAATTTCAGAATTTAATTTTGATGAGTATGTTTCTGTCATTGTAATTTTGCTGATTATTGTGGTTTGATATTTTTATGCAAAAAAATAGGAAAATCAGAGAAATTAGAACATTAATCCCAATAAAATGTTTAAAAAATAATTTCTAAAATGGCTTCCCAATTTGAATGAAAGTAAAATTCAAAGTATTAACTGTGAATGAAAATCCCACCATGATCTGGCTTTGCTTCTTTACCAAGCTTTTTGCCCCGATCTCCTACACCCATCCCTTACTTCAGCTGCACTGGCCATCTCTGCTATTCCTAGGACATGTCAAGCACATTCCCATCTCAGGGCCTGGCTATGCTTTCCCACTGGAACACTTTTCTCCATAATTTTGGCATGGCCAGCTCCTTTATTGCCTTCAGATCTCTGCTCCAATGCCACTTTATTGATGCATCTTTCCTGACATCACTAAATAAAATAACACTCTCCTTTCCATTTCTACCCCCTTTACCTTGTTTCATTTTTTTCATGGCATTCAATGCCCCTGACACATTATTTGCTCATGTATATATTTATCTCCCACATGTAATGTAAGCTCCATGAGGGCATGAACTTTGATTCATCACTGTCTCCAGTACATGAAACAGCGCTTGGCATATAGCAGATCCTCAATAAATATTTGTCAAATAAATGAATAATAAGTAGTAATATATACAACCTATTGTTTTAGAACTCCCTTAAAATAACATTCGTAAAGGAAGAAATGCTCCTGGTTAGTTGTGAGAACTCGTTGAAGGCAGGAGTAGAGCCATATTTGTCTGCTGATCTCTAGCATCCCGCACTTCTGGAAAAGAAACAGAATGAACCAGCAATGGCAGACAGTTTAAAATGAACGATCAGTGAATAGTTGGAAGAAGCAGTGACACAGATAACCTGATAGAGCAAGCAGTCCTAGAATCTTCAGAGTTGTTGTACAAAGATAATCATATGCACACACATACACAATTGGTGCAAATCTTCCTCTCTGAAAAAAGAATTATTCATAGAGAGAGAGCACCTTCTTTCTCTGCTCATTGTTGCACATCCAGTCTGAACATTTTAATAGGGACTTACAGAGTGGGTAGTGAGATGCAATACTTCTTAATTTACTAAGAATTATCTGTAGAGTAAAATATGCATGTTCATTGATTTACAGCCATGACCTAAGTCTAATTTTTTTATAACTTTTAATCTCGGGTGATTTTCACAGATTGTTTTACAGACACTAATCACTATGAGATAACCACAAAAAAATGAATTTTTCTTCAAATAATGTTAGAAAAGGCTGGGTTAAGCAAAGTTAAGCAGGTTTCCATGACAAGAATTCTCAGGATCCTTAAAATATACCTTGTGAATCAGAAAGAAACAGGCATCTAGATTGGCTCTATGCAGCTGTTGCTGACTGAATACCATGTGTTATCTTTCAGTCTCTTTTTCCAGTGTTTATAACATTTGTAATTTAAAAAGTAGAATGTTCTCATTCTATAACCAGCACACAAAGTAGTTGAGCCAGCTCCAGGCAACCTTATCCTTTATTTCATTTGTTATTTATCTGTCTTAGGTAGAACTGGTTTAAAACTTTTAAAAATTTGTTGGAGAAGATTAGTACTGTAATGTAAACTTTTTTTAATTCAAGAAAATATTGTGCATCTTTATTGGTTCTGAGGAGACAAAACTCTGGGAGGAGAGTTTTAAAGTTCAGGGGACTTTGGATTGATTCTTCCAGGCCTGTCAACCAAGTATTAGTGGTCTTCCTGCTTTCTCCCTAGTTGCGTGACAATAGACAATGTAGAGAAGAGACCTGATGCCAGGGAGTGCTCCTTTTATACATACTATGTGGGCAACCTTCACCAGACTGACTTGCCTAGTCTCCAACCTTACCCTTTATACACTCTTCCCCATTAAGAAGGTATGTGGTGTCTCTTTGGAGACTCACAAAGGGCTGATAATCTATCGAAATGCCACAGTTTGGGGACTGCATTTCTCTTCTTCCAGACCAGCATGAGGTAAAGATCTAGGCAACTGTATCTGCTCTGGAGACCCATATGTTTCCTCCAGTGACCCATTCCAACATCTTTATAGAAAGTACCAAATTCCTAGTGATAAATGGTAGATATGTTATTCTTCCCAATTTAAAAAAACAAACTATTTTTTGAACAGGTTTAGAGGTAAAGAAAAATTCCAATAGTTCAGATAGTTACCACGTACCCCACATCCAGTTTCCCTATTACTAACTTCTTATCATCAGTATGGTACATTTATTCCAATTAATGAACCAATATTGATATATTATTTTTAAGTAATGCCCGTACTGGATTCAGATTTCCTTACTTTTTACCTAAGATCCTTTTTCTGTTCCAGGATCCTATCCAGGATATCACATCACCTTAAGTCATCGTGTCTCCTTAGGCTCCTCCTGGCTGTGACAATTTCTCAGGTGATCCTTGTTCTTGATGACCTTGAGAGCTCTGAGGAGTACCAGTTAGATAAATTGTAAGATGCCCTCCTATTGGGATGAGCTGAGGTTTTTCTCATGACTAGACTGGGGCAATGTGTTTTGGACAGAAAAACTATAAGAATACCATTCTTATCACATCATATTCAAGGTACTTACTGTCAAAATGACTTTTCACTGTTGATGCTGATCTTGATCACCTGGCTGAAGTAATGTTTGTCAAGTTTTTCCACTGAAATGTTACTCTTTTCCCCCCTTTTTATAAGGTATCACAGGCAGCCTCATTGATTGTGCTTCACTTCATTGCAGTCTGTAGATGTTGCATTTATTATAAAGTAATGGCTTGTGTAAACCCTGCACCAAGCAAGTCTATCAGCTCTACTTTCCTGACAGTATGAGCTCACTTCATGTCTCTGGGTTACATTTTGGTCCTTCTCACAATATTTCAAATTTTCATTATTATTTTATCTGTTGTGGTGATCTGTGATCAGTGATTGTTAATTCACCCATCTTTGATATTATTATCATAATTGTTTTAGGGTACCATGACCCATGCACATATAAGATGATGAACTTAATTGCTAAATGTTGGGAGTGTTCTGACTGCTTCGGTGACTGGCCATTTCCCCATCTCTCTCTGTTTCTTCAGGCCTCCCTATTCCCTGAGATGCAATAATATTGAAATTAGTCCTATTAACAAAATTCCAGTGGCCTCTGAGTGAAAGGAAGAGTCACACGTCTTTCACTTTATTAAAAGCTGGAAATGATTAAGGTTAGTGAGAAGGCCATGTAGAAAGCCAAGACAGGCTGAAAGCTAGACCTCATGGGCCAAAAGTTAGCCAAGTGGTGAATGCAAAGAAAAAGTTTTTTGAAGGAAATTAAAAGTGCTACTCTAGTAAACACACAAATGATAAGAAAGCAAAACAGCCTTATTGCTGATATGGAGAAAGTTCAGGTGGTCTGGATAGAAGATCAAATCAGCCACAATACTCCCTTAAGCCAAAGCCTAAACCAGCATAAGACATTTCAAGTCTACGAAGGTTGAGAAAATTAAGGAAACTGCAGAAGAAAAGTTTGAAGCTAGCAGAGGTTGGTTCATGAGATTTAAGGAAAGAAGCAGTTTCCATAAAGGTGTAAGGTGAAAGAGCAAGTGCTGATGGAGAAACTTCAATAAGTTATCCAGAATATCTAGCTTAGATAATTGATAAAAGTGGCTACAGTAAACAGCATATTTTTAATCTAAACGAAACAGCTTTCTATTGGATAAAGATATCATCTAGTACTTTCATGGCTAGGAGAAGTCAATGCCTGGTTTCAAATCTTCACAGGGCGGTCTGACTCCCTTGTTTGGAGCTAATGCAGCTGGTGACTTTTAAGTTGAAGTCAGTGCTCCTTTATCATTATGAAAATCCTAGGGCCATTAAGAATTATAGTACTTTACCTGTGCTCTATAAAGGGAAAAAAAGAAGCTTGGATGACAGCACATCTGTTTATGCCATGGTTTCCTAAATATTGTAAACCACATAATTGTTTGGAAGAATTTGATGACTGGGGGAGAGGGGCTCAAAACTTCAATGGAGGAAGTCACTACAGATGTGGGAGAAATAGCAAGGGAATTAGAATTAGAAGTTGGGCCTGAAGATGTGACTGAATTGCTGCAATCTCACCATCAAACTTGAATGGATAAAGAGTTGCTTCTTATGGAGGAGCAAAGAAAATGGTTTCTTGAGATGGAACCTACCCATACTGAAGATTCTGTGAACATTGTTGAAATGACAACAAAGGATTTACAATATTACAGAAACTTAGCTGGTAAAGCAGTGGCAGGATTTGAGAGGTTTGACTAAAATGTTGGCAGTTCTTTCAGGAGTAAAATGCTATCAAACAGCATTGTATGCTATAGAGAAAGGAAGAGTCACTTGCTGTGGTAAACTGTATTGTTGTTTTATTTCAAGAAATTGCCACAGCCACTCAACCTTCATCATCTACTACTGTGATCAGTCAGCAGTGATCAATGTCAAGGCAAGACCCTCAAACAGCAAAAACACTGTGACTCACTGAAGAGTCAGATGATCATTAGCAATTTTGGGGAATAAAGTATTTTTAAATTAATGTCTATACATTTTTTTAGACATAATGTTGTTGCACATTTAAGAGACCATAGTATAATATAAACATAACTTTTATATGCAGTGCAAACCAAAAAATTCCTATGACTCTCTTTATTGTGACATTCTTCCATTGCAGTGATCTGGAACTGAACCCGCAATATCTCCAAGGTAGGCCTCTGTTTCTAGGGAAGTCATTATGTATGATCTACATTTAGGGAGTGGCACGACCTCCTTGAGGACTGAGTATATTCTGTTCAATTTTACCATCAGGCTTTATATGTTTGTTTTTATGCAACATTTTACAAGGGTTGTGCTAAGTTATTGATGACATTTATGCACTTACAAGACAACTGGCATACTATTGTGACTTGGGTAAAGGTGCAGAACTGGGTAAAGAAAGAAAATGTTCTTTTCATTTACTGGACACTTTGTGGGCAGTAGACCCTGGCCACAAACATAATGCTGTGGGTATCAAAGATCTGCTCTCAAGAAGGTTATAGTTAAGTACAATAAACTAGCACAGTTTTTTAGATAGAAAATCTGTACGAAGGTATAGACAAGAACTTTAAGACATAAATAATTTTTTTTTTTTTTTTTTTTTTTTTGCTGCCTGGAGTCAAATTCCCATAGGGTATTTCAATGTCTCTCAGTCTACTAGGAATTTAGTGTAAATAGATATGCGAAGGTGGGTCTTCCAATTAGCCAGATGTGACCCCGTTGATGTCCTAGAGGAGAGGCATGGTATATAACCCTTAGCTTTTGCTGGTGGGTTCTCAAAGGGCCTGAGAGCAGCATGATCCCTTGAGGCCCCTGTGATATAAGCCACAGAATGACTGGGCCAGTGAAAAAGTATTCTTCCATTTTACCCAAATGACTTTTTCACGAGCTGCGTAAGTTTATTTTTATCTTCCATTTGGCCTAAAATAGTAATTTTGCTTCATTTCTTTAGGCTTTTGAGCCTCAATTATATATCCTTGACAAGAAATTCCCAAAGAGTATTTCAGATCACCAGGTCACAGGATGTCAATATACAGTATACAAAAAAAAAATGATTTCTGTAAGTATATAATCTTGAAGTTTCATTAGGCTTAGTGAACTTAAGGTTTATTTTCACTCTTTTCTTTTTCTTAATTAGACCTAAAATAAACACAGCTAGAACCAAAAGTATACTAATTGAATTCCAAATTATTCCTTTTTTTCTTTTGCCACACTGAAAGAAGCTTAGTTCTGTATGGTGTCCAGGTTGGCCTATAATGGCTGCTGAGTAAATTTTGACTGTTACAAACCGACTACAGTGATCCAGCCCCACCAGCCCAGAGTTTGTTTAGGGTAAATTCTGCCACATTTCTGACTGAGACTTAGAGGGAGAAGGCTGAGAAGGCTTTGGGAAAGCCTTAAATTAGATGAATAAGGAAGAGATTTTGGATATCATCCTTTATGAATTGGTTCCTGGTCTGCTGTGGCTATTTATGAGCACAAAGGGCACTCGCTTGGGGGCAGTCGGACATGCTGAAGATGGCAGAACAGAAAGACGAAAAGAACTTTGCTGCTTATAATGTCACCAAATGACCAAACTGACAAATCCTGGAGCCATTTGTGAGATGACACGTTTTCCTTCTTGTTGTTTTAGCCAGTTGGGTCAATAGCCAGTTATTTTCCATTTGTAGCAAAATAATGCTATAAGATTCTAGGGTTGTATTCATGTAAACCACACACATGAAGGGATTTAGAGCTATTTAAGATAGTTCAAAGGTAATGTTTTCTCTACTTAGTTTTGCAATATGTGCAGACTTTAGAACCTCATCTCTGCTAAGAGGAAATGCCACAGAATAGGTTTATTGAAGAGAGTTCTTCTTGGTAGTATCTGTCTTGTTGTCTTAGACTTATTTTGGGTTAATGTCCTAACATATGTTTCCTTTGGGAAATTTTTCTCCCGATTATAGTGGTGGGCCTCATTGTATCTCAGTAACCTTAACCTCTAGTTATAGTTTTCTTTGAGATAGAAAGGAAAAAAGTGTTTTTCCTACTTTCAAATTCACCACTTAACACTTTTGACATGGGATATACGGGTGTTTTTCACCACACACCAAACAATTCTCCAGTGTATACTGACTGGATGTTTTACAATTTAACTTAATTCTGACACTATTCACTTGGAGTTAGAATAAGATCGTACAAGTTAAGGGTTCATTCCCACAAGACTGCCCCCACTTCACATGCCAATTGCAAGTAGTAGTAAGTCGTCCCTCATACTTTTTACTGACCAGCTATAAACTGGAGTAACCATTACTCCCTTCTTAACTTCAATTAATTTGCTAGGACAACTCACAGAACTCAGGGAAACATTTACTTATGTTTATCAGTTTAATATAAGGAATATTACACAAGATACAGAATAACAGATAAAGAGCTGCATAGGACTAGTTATGTGGGAAGGGGCGTGGAAGCCCTCTGCGTAAGACACCCTTCAGGCACCTTCATGCGTTTAGCTATAGGGAACCTCTCTTTTTACATTTTTATGGAGGCTTCATTATAAAAGCATGATTGATTATATCACTGACAATTGATGATCAACTCAACCTTTAGTACCTCTCCCCTTCCCAGAGGTCTGAGAGTAGGGCTGAGAGTTCCAGCCCTTAATCACATAGTTCATTCTTCTGGCAACCACCTCCTCCCATCCTATCCGGGAGCCCACCAAGTGTTACCTCGTTAGAATAAAAGACACTCATATAATTGAGGAAATTCCAAGGGACTTAAGAGCTATATGCCAGATACTCCTATCACTCAGAAAATTGCCGAGGAGTTAGGAGCTCTGTGTCAGGAACTAGGTCAGAGACCAAATATTAGAACAAAAGATTCTCATAACACCCCTATCTGCAACAAAGGGCAAAGAACAAATATATATTTCTTATTATTTCACAATATTGCAAGTTTGGACTGAGATGCATGCCTGGCCCAAGCTAGGCCACTTAGGCCCAAATACTTCCAAGCATTCTCTTCAGGGCATTTGGATTTGGGTCTTCGAGGCATGGGTCAGTTTTTATTAGCTCTTGAACTGAGAAGTGATGCAAATTAAGGTCTGGGTCAATCATGCTTGGCCTTGTGCATGTCAAAGTAGAGAAAGCAATTTTTTTAGAAAAAGAGAAAACTAAAGGGAGAGAAGCAGAAATAAGAGACCATGACACTTCAAAAAGACAAAGAGTAATTTTGGGTTCTTTATTATCCAGTTTCTGGATCGATTTGCTTCTGAAGGCTAGCCTTGGGTTCCATGAGATAAATTTATGCTTGCTAATGTTTCACTCTTTTTGTTGAAAAATCAGAGGCTTATGTTACTTGCAGTCTTTTAATACTTGACCAAAATACTTGTGAGCTGAAAGAGACATAACAGGATTTAATTTTTCCTGTTTCGATAATGCCTCAGCAATTCACATTCATTTATGGCACTAATTTCAAACTACCTGGTATTAGAGCTACAAGGTGATGTTTGTAAACTATTTTGATAGTGTGTGAGTTTAAGAGCAAAGATTTGCCTTATTCATGTTTTTACTCATTAAATCTGGAGGTATTATTCTTTGCCTATAATAAGAATTTAAAATATTTGTTGAAAGGTAACGATAGCCTAAAGAAAGAGAAAATATTTTCACTGATCCAAATTTAGTGTTTATTTCAGGTATTTTATGAATAGCTCAACTGCTGAATAAAGACACATCTTAATAGAAATTATTTGCTTATCCAAAGTTATGTAACACAATTAAGTCCTTTTTTCAGGATTAATCAACACTGTTACCCAAGGAATATTTCAAAATCATAACAGAAGCCATTGTAAGGTTTTTGCATATTGTTGGAGATTAAATAGTTCTTTTTAAAGCAAACATGTTCCTTTTTAATTAACTTGAAAACAATAAATTCCAAATGAGATTTTATTGACAATGATCTTAGAACATTTTACTAAAAGGAGGCATTGCTGTAGGGGTAGTATTGCTCTAATTACCCTTCTTTTAAGCCGTGCATGAATTATTCTCTTTGAATAGTGAGAGTCAACCCTGCAAATACCGTGAGCAAGATGGGCTTAGAGTTCCCCTTACCTTGATTAAACATTGGATAATCTTCTTCCCAACTCTAGGCCTCTGATCTTCGTTTGCTTAGAGTGTTTACTGTAGAAAACTTGTCATTGCAAATTCTTTCTCTGCCCCTCTGAAAGGTTTATAAATGTCCCAGCCTCTTGCCAGTTTTGCAAGTCAGGAATGTCTTTCTGAAGAACCTGTAAGCTATCCCTTTAAAGTGTAATTAAGGAAGATGGTGCAAGTGGCTATGGCTGGGATATCAGGTATTGCCCAGTATTGATGTGAGGGTAGGAGCCTAGCTTCCTTGGGAATTTTATCTTGAAGATAAGAGAAAGTTTACATCTCTTTTAGGTAAGGCCAGTTAGCAAACACAGATATCCTACAATGCCTTTCCTCTCCCCATAGCTCTTAAAAACTCTCCAGTGCCCCTTTTTATTTGGCAGAGTTGAATTCAGAATGGATTCTGGTAGTCTTCCTTGTCTGTTTAACTTAGTTCAGTGAAATTTTTGCTTGGACAGTTTGGAGAAAAGAAAACGGTAATTTCCCTCAGCAGTGTTTATAAAATGCTTTTGGGAAATTATCATTATTGAACATTTTCAATTTTGAGATATTTAATTGCCCTGTACAATTTATTTGTGAGGTAGTAATAGATTCCCCTTAAATAAGGATATGCTAATAGGCTGTACATCTCTTGCTGTCAGAGAACACCCTTCCCAGATTTTACTTCTGCCCAGTTGGGTGGGGGGAATGGCTCAGATTCCCTGGTAGTGCTGAGGTGTCTGGAGTTTCTGGAGTCATTTGCTTCCAAGACTCAGGGTGCACTCAAAGAGATCACTTTGTTAATAAGCAAGGATTGTCCTATTGAAATCTACCATTGCATACTTTCTGATTTTTACTGATTGTAATGCTTACCTTCTAAATGCTGCAGGCTTTAATAAGTTTTGATAATGGACATTCCCATCTGTGTCAAGTATTTTCCCCTGCTTTGATAAGAGCACCTTTTCAGGTGAGCACAGATTTGTTAGGGAACCTGCTGTAAGCAAATAACTAAGCTGCTGGCAGGACTCTCACCTTCCAACTTTGTTTACCTACTCAAGTACCTGGCTTTTATGGGTGGCCCCCTTTTCCTGGGATTTCCCATCAGAAAGACTGTCTGAGGGCTGGATTGGGGAACTGCTCACAGATGAGAGGCAGTAGAAGGAGGAAGAGGATTTGCAAAGGAGTGTCAAGGAAAGAAGGGTTGGAGGCTAAATGAGAAGAAAGTTACCACATGACATGGAAGAAAACTAGGGGAGCTGGAAGGGATCTTTGACTACAGAATGCTTGAGAAAACAAGAAATTTTTAAAAGAAAATTTTACAGTAAGGAAAAACACAAAAGATAATAAGACACACATTCTCACCACTCAAGATTATTATCTATGAACATAGGATCTCATTTGTTTGCACCTATCACTGCATTCAAGAACACAGTTGAATCTATTGAGTTAACTGATAAACATTTCACCTCTATTCCTCTGATACTACCTATTCTAAAGTGTATTAAAAAAGAATTAAAGAATCATATAAATTTGGACCATAATAATAGGAGTATTAGAATTAGAAAAAAGTTTCTATATAATAGGTATTCATCACTTTTTGAATCTTTGGAATTTTTCAAAGGTTTATTCTAAATTTTAAGAAGTATTTTTACTTTAGAATATCCAAATACCTGGATTGAAATATTTTCTATTCGCCTTCAAGTTTATTTTGACTGATTGCTACTTAATGAGAGGTTTTAAACATAACGAGATGATAGTATTTTTAATTACTTAAAAGGTGGCCTGTCTGCTGAATCTGGTCCAAGAGAAACTTATGATGGAAGATGCATGGCAAAGCCTGTAGAAGATGAGGGTGAAGCCATTGAGCGTGGAAGGTTAGAGAGAATGATAGGAATCCTGGATAGTAGTGTGGCAGAAGAGGGATTTGGAGAAGAACACATATGGAATGTAATATTAACTAAGCTGATTTCTGTGCGGTGTGCATTTAAACTATCCCCCTTAAAATCTTCAGGAGAATCTACTGAAAAAATATATAGGAAATCAAATCTATATTTCTTGCTGCTGCTTTTGATGAGAAAGGATTTTTTTATGGTGAATAAAGATAAGCTAAAGCTGTCTACAACAGAAGTTACACCTGAGCCAGCTGCATGACAGTTACCTCTAAAAGACTTTGTGCAGAACTCCTTCACCATGTACAAATGGAAGAGCAAATCAATTGGTCATATTTAATGAGTACCTACACTGCATGAAATTTGCAATTGAATTTTGTATCTGATAAGAACTAACATATGCTGTTGACACTATTTATCTTACACACTGAATAAGATGGTTTGTTCCATCATTTGTATACACTCTGGCTAGACATAAATATATAAGCATGGCTTTCTTATTCTTTTATTATGGAATTACCCATTTGCTCAGCTAACAGTTATTAAGCATATACTATGCTAGATGTAATAGTGCCAGAGATGGTTTCCTCAAGTTGCTCATGATTGAGGAGCTGGGATAGACATCTAAACAGGTGATTATGGTACAACACAACCTGTGAAATCATAGATGAATTTTTTAAAGTGTTACATAAGCATGGGAAAAGAGAGTAGTAGTTGGATGTAGAGCAGGTTAAGAAAAATACTAAATATTGTATCTGCATATTCTATTACATGCTAAACCAGAACTTCCCTTCAACTTTCATAAAGGCTTTCCAATTAATATTTAGGGACAAGAACTGTTCTAATAACACAGATATCGTTTGTTAGAATGTGACTGTTTTTTGTTTTCTGGTCAGTTAACAAACATTGGCATTCACATACTAGTTATAGAGCTTGGCACCCAAATTTTGGAATGGAGAGGAGATCAAAGCAATCTGCTCCAAAATGAAGCCAACAAGATATTTCTGCCAAGAGATGATGGCAGTGCTCTAAATGGAATCTTCTTGTGATGGTAGAACTATTTCTCACTTTCCTTTCCTTTATAGCATATCCTGTTTACATTTGGTTAATAAATGCAAATGTAATTACCACCACAGAGCGGGCTGCTTTAAACAAGTCTATTTCCAGAGAATTTCATTTAGGCTCCGTTGACCCACATTTACCTATGGAATGCCATCACTGTGTTATCCACATTTCATGCATCTAGATGTCACCTAGTAACAGGACTACTGAAAACATATTTGGTTTTCATGTGAGATGTATGTTCATTTAGGCAGGTATTATAATTTCTGTGTTAGCTGTTGAATTCTGTAAATTAATCAAGGCATTGTGTACAAGTTCAAAAACCTGAAAACCAATAACTGATTATCTCTGCTCTCCAAGTTGAGGCAAAAGAAGTATTTTTAGATAAGGATAATATGCAGGTATGTAAAGATTTAAAATTAAATAGTAGCAATAAAAATTTTAATTAAAAAAACTAAGGAAAAATTGTGGTATAAGGAGGTTAGAGGATACAAAGCACAGGATAATACATTGGAATCTTGGATACAAGATCATAGGAGAGAGAAGGAAATGTCCTCTCAGTAGAATACCATCTACAGATGTGGTTGGTTGGTTGTTGCTGCTGTTGGTGGTAATGGTAGTGTTTTCTTTCTGTCAGTATTTTGATTCCTACTTTAGATAATTTAAAGTTTAACTTCCTGATTAGGATCGTTTGTCATCCTGATTTAGTCATACTCTAATATCCCTGAACAAGTATAATTTCCTCAGTACCAGTGGGACCCACACTTTAGTAGGCGCTAGAAATATTTGTGGGTGCTTAACTGAAAATGCAGATTTCCAAATTTCTTCTTTGAAATTCTGCATCAACATATCAAGAGTGGGGCCTCTGAAGCTGCATCCCTATGAATATCCCTAGGAGATTTTACTTTTATTTACTGTTAATATATTTGGTATACATTTATATATGGCATCTGTATTGCTTCTTTTTTTGTTTTTTTTTTTTTTTTGAGATGGAGTTTTGCTCTTGTTGCCCAGGCTGGAGTGCAGTGGCACGATCTCGGCTCACTACAACTTCCGCCTCCGGGTTCATGCAATTCTCCTGCTTGAGCCTTCTGAGTAGCTTGGATTATAGGCACCCACCATCATGCCTGGCTAATTTTTTGTATTTTTAGTAGAGATGGGGTTTCACCATGTTGGTCAGGCTGGTCTCGAACTCCTGACCTCAGGTGATCCAACCACCTAGGCCTCCCAAAAAGTGTTGAGATTACAGGCATGAGCCACTGCACCCGGCCTGCTTCTTTTTGTAGATTACTATTTTGTGTCCTTTGCCAAGTTTTTACTTTCTTTTTACTAATTTATAAAAAATCTTACAAAACATGTATCATCTTGATATATATCTATATCTTGATATTGATCTATGGCATATTCCATTATTTAGAGAGAACTAGAGCAATTGGTTTCAGTGGGATTATGTCTTTGAAATATTAGCAAAATTTTAGCTAAGTTTCCCCTGGCATTCTCTGTTCCCCTTTTTTCCTCTATTGTCAATTCAATGTGAGAGGTTATTCTGGATTCATGGCTTTAGATTGCTAAAGAATGTGTTGGCAAAAAGCAGCAGAGGAGGAGCTATTTCTGGCTTTTAAATTTCAAGGGTTCAGGCCCTGCCAGTAATAGAAAGGACTAAGGGTAGCAAACAATAAATTTGAGACAAAAACATGATGCAGTCTTTCTGCATTCAAATTTTAGGGGAAAAAAAACTAAGGGGAGAGAAGGAACTCTTAGTTTCCTTCTGACTTGGAAAGGAAACTAAGGGTTCTTGGGGACCAGGAGGCAGCCTGTGAGGAATGGGCCTTGTTCCTTCCCTCCCCAGGAGTCAGTGCAGGAACAGAACCCCTGACAGGCCTGAGAGAAGAGAGAACTTGTGTCTCCTTTTCTTGGTTAATTTGTTAGTTGATCCCTGGGGATGAGACAAGTCCCAAGAAACAATTTCGGTGATGTCCCTAGGAACACAAGACCCCAGCTAACCTCATAAAGTTTCTAGTTCTCCATATATGGTGGGAGGACAGAATGAGTTCTTTATTCTTGAGAGCTGAGAAAAAGTAGCAAGGGTTGAAACTGGATCTGTGAAGAACTTGTAGATAGGAATAAAAGATGACCTGAGAGCTAATTATGTGAAACAACAGTTGAGGATCTCGACCTCTTGCGCTCCCTTCATCCCATACCTTATCAATGTGCAAACTTGATCATCTGGTTGGATGCAGAGCCAACTTCAGGAAGAATGCAGAGAGAGGATCATAAATTAAATCAATTTCTGAAAAGTAGACAAAGGTGTAATCTGTGCACACCCATTCTGTGTACAGTGCTTAGCCTGGTAAGATGTCATCTTAAAATTGTAATGGAAGGCCAGGCGTGGTGGCTCACGCCTGTAATCCCAGCACTTTGAGAAGCCAAGGAGGGTGGATCACTTGAGGCCAGAAGTTCCAGACCAGCCTGGCCAACATGGCAAAACCCCATCTCTACTAAAAATACAAAATAAAATACAAATTAGCCAGACATGGTGGCACAAGCCTGTAATCCCAGCTACTCAGGAGGCTGAGGCACAAGAATTGCTTGAACCCAGGGGGCAGAGGTTGCAGTGAGCCGAGATCATGCCACTGTACTCCAGCCTGGGCAACAGAGAGAGACTCTGCCTCAAAAGGAAAAAAAAAAAAAAAAAAAAAAAGAACTGTAATGGAAGCCAGGTGCAGATGCAGAGATGCAGATGCAGACAGGAGGCATGTTAAGAAGCACTCCAGAACCTGGAACACTCGATTCCTTTCCAGATCACCCCTGTCTTCAAACAGCTTTGTGTTAGTTGCATTATGAAAGTCCCATCTTTATCCTGGTTACCACTGTGGGAGAAGGCAGAGTAAGGTTTTCAAAACAGGTTATTATCACATTTGCAGCAAAGCTTTGCCTGCTCTGTTAGCCCCAGGTTTGACCTTGTGAAATCAGTTGGGTATTTACAGAGTGAGCCACTGAATCTCCTACATCATCTTCTTTTATCTTTGTTCTCTTTCTTGATTCTCTTTTATTGGGTCTATAATTCTCTGGTGCAGGTTCAGTTTATAATTCTCTGGTGCAGGTTAGTTGCCTGGGCTTATTCACCAGGAGGCCAGCTTCTGTCTCCTAATCTAAGGCTGTATTTCCTGATTTAAGATCAGAGATTGGCAAACATGTTCTTCAAAGGCCCAGATAGCAAATATTTTAGGCTTTACAGGTTACACGGTCTCTTTTGCCACTCTTCATCTCTGCTATTGCAGCACAGAAACAGTCATGAACAGTATGTAAATGATAGGCATGGTTTTGTCCCAATAAAACTCTATTTACAAAGCAAGCAGCTGGCCAGATTTGGCCAGTGAGCTTAGTTTGCCAACTCCTGTCTTAGTAACTCCCTCCATTTTTTTATCTAAGAAGCTGCTTGTTGGAAATCAGGACTTGAACTATGGTAGGGGGAATATTCAAACGTAATCTGTTCACCTTTCCAAACGAGGTACTGGAATGAGCTTGCACAGCACCACACTGACTAGACTATTGGTGTTATTTAAGGTTGACTAACACAAACTTTGAGAAGTGAGTTGAGCTCTGATCCTAACTATAGGAGTCAGACAGTCCACATTAATGGGGATAAGAGCCTGGGGTGGTAGCGCACATCTGTAGTCACAGCTCCTTGGGAGGCTAAGGTGGGAGGATTGTTTGAGACCAAGAGTTTGAGACTGCAGTGAGCTATGATTGTGCTACTGCACTCTAGCCCAGGTGACAGAGTGAGACCCCATCTCCCCAATCAGCCTAAGGCATGGACAGCATCTTCTCTCTTGAGGTATGAGCATGTGAGCAGTGGGCTTGGGTTACACCTCATTTCTGATATATGGAGAGTCCTTTTGGGAAGGGTTGAGGGCCCCTCACTGTGTGTGATCTTCTTGGGTCCTGGTAGGTCCTTAAGGTGGGGTTTGGGATCCTTTCTGGGCTGCCCTTCCCTTATCCCTGAGTTCTCAGAGAGACATAATAAATGTCATAGTTGTTCTCGGTTGTGCTGAGGCAACAGAGGAGAAAGTGCCTCCTCCATAGGCCAGAGGGGCACTTCAGTCATGGTCACTAGTTGTTCTAATGGACAACCATCTGTAGCCAAGTGAGCGAGTGGCTGTGGGAGCCAGGGGAGATGGAAAGCAGCTGAAAGGCTCTCCTGGAGCATGTATGGGCTCCTGGAAACTTCCAGAACAGCTGCTAGAAACTCGGAGCAGAGCAAAGTTTTGACAAACACACCAGTGGGGACTTGAGTTACAGTTGGAATATAAAAAGAACTATAAGCTCATTTCATATTCAGCAGCTGATGAGGGCACTGAAATAGGTTAAAACTGCTTTCTAAAGCCCATGGGTATATTTATCAATATACATATATTGTATTATGAGTTTGGTTTGTTGTGTACACCTGTGGTCTGTTTTATATGGGAATTTTCTCCAAATATTTAGGATTCAAACTTTTCACTGTTATAAACTTTATAACTATCATTGTGAATACAGTGTAGTCTGTTTTTAAAATGAAGTCCTTGAGATACATTCCTAGAAAGAGATCTGCTGAGTTAAATTACATGAACCTTTTTAAGATTCCTGGTATGCAATACCATCTTGTTTCTGACAGAGTGTGAAAGTGCCTGTCTCATTTAGCCTTCACCAACACTGGATATTTGGAGAGGTTATTGCTAACTCGATAGATATTTTAATTTTATTTATTTGTTTACTAATTAAGTTGAATACTTTATGTGTTTTTGACTATGTGTATGTTATTTACTTTTTGAATTGGCAAGCATCATTAGCTTTGTTCTCCAGGTGAGGAAGCTAAGGCTGAGAAAGCTTAAGTGACTTGCCTGGGGTCAAACACAGAAAGTTGTAGTCCTGGGATGCCAGCCTAAATTCTGGTTCTTATTCAGTGCTCATTTCATTGTTCAATAATATCCTGAAAGAAGAAGAAATAGGGCTTTCTCAATTTTCTGTTTCTGATACTCACAAAGCATTCTTTTTTATTATTATTAATTCCTGGAAATTGCAACTGACACCAAAAATCTCAGGAGAAATTTATTATAAGAGCATACAAAGCCTCATTCAAAGATGAAGGTCAACAGAGACAAAGTAGATACAATTTCAATCTGTTTTAATGAATCAAGACTGATGGAATGAATTCCCTTTTGTGAAAGAAAAAAAGACTGTTACTGTGATTTCCTTTCAAAAGAAGATTTTATTCAGTCTTTGATTAGACTAAAGAGAACATAATATTTCAAGGACAAAATTCACCTTTCTCCAGATGTAGAATCATTTTTTTTTTCATTTGGAATCCATACTTATTTTCCATTAAAAATTAAATTTGTGGGAAAGTAGAATTGGGGTTATGTCAAAAAACATAGAAGAAAAGACTAAGAAAGTCCTTCAGCAAAAGCCGAAAGAAGTCTTCACTCAAATTGATCCTTTCTGTTGAGTCCTCTCCCTTCTCAACTGTAAAGAGCTGTTTGAAGTTCTTGTCCTGAGACTCTTGTTTCTCCTTCTGCCTCGTCCTCTGATGTCCCTCCAGTCTGTAACTCCTGCTTCCAACTTTTAATTTCCCTTGTTTTTTAAAATTAAAGTTTTTTTATGTGTGTATATTTAAGGTATACAATATGCTGTTTGTGGATACATATAGATAGTAAAAATAGTTACCATAGTGAAGCAAATTAACATATCCATGATCTCACATAGTAATCCATTTTTTCACATTTTCTCCCCTGGGGAATTCTTCTCAAAAGATTTCTGGACTGGGGCAGCTGCTATGGGTGCTTTCCCAGCCTGCGCACTTGGGATCCCAGACAAACATTCGCTTCTAGCAGATGCTGCTGCTGAAAATTCCTACTGCCCCGAGCCTCTGAATTTCCTGGGCACCTTTCCCTCTTCTACTGTGGTGCACATTTCCTTTCCATCATCATCATCTGCTGTGAATCTTTTCATGAGACCTCTCCTTTCAGTTCAGGTATGAAGGCTCAGGGGTGCATGAGTGGAACTGCTCTGTAGAAATGACTTGGGTGTGCAGGACTTTTGGTTCTGGCAAGGGGAAAAAGTAGCATCCAGGAGGAAGGTCAAGGACTTTTCCCAGGTCCATGTCTAGTTTGAGCCTGTGTGAAACAGCCAGAGATCTCAGAGACTCATATGAGGGCTAAGCCTTTTTCAAAAGTTTGAAACCAGATGGAAAGTTGGGGTCAGGCTTAAGTTGGTGAAAAGCAATGACTTGAGAACCTAATGGATGGTGCTCTGGCTGTAACAGGAAGCTGTTGAAGATCCAGAGACTTGGAAAGGTATCTTTCAAGTATCTTTTAAAGGTAAAAAACATTTGCCATAAGCAACTATGTTACTTTGTTGGCCCACTGGTGTTAGGAACATTTTGAAGTGGGTTTAAGGGTATGGCATGGGTACATATGTTAAGACCAATTCATATTTTGTGGGACATATTATTTTCTATTTACTGTTGAAGATTATCCTTAAGTACCAAAGCAATGGAAGTTCTTCAAAAGCAATTGTGAATATAAATTAATTTAAACAAATTATTAACTGGTACCTGTGGTCAACATTTTCATTATTTAATGCTTTCTTGATTTTCAGGAAACTCAAAAGTTCTTGTTTGAATTGCCTGACTTTTTTATGCTTTAAAATATTAGACTCCAAATTCTGGTATGCTTCAATTTGGATTTTTTTATTTGTCTCTTAACTATTTTTCTTGTCTCACATAGGAAAATTGGTAAATTTACCATGCACATAGGTAAATTTTATTTTAAAGCAAAAATTTTAGATGATCTATCTAGAAAGATCAAATTATTTCCTAAATATATTTCTCTTTCCTTAATAGCAGAATTTTAATAGTGCATAAATCAAAGTGTATGAAAATAAAGATTACATTAGAATATGAAATAACTGGAGAATTAAGAATTCAGAGTTAAAGTTAAGTGTTGGTCTTCTGAACCTCATTTTAGTTATTTAGAAACAACTAATGAGATATTAATTCTGGTTACTATTATTCTTGTGTCAGTTCCAGCAGGAAAAGTACCAATCCCAAAAACTTTTAAAAAGTTTTCTTTTAATTTAAACATCATATTGAAAAAATGTTTTATATAGCATATGATTTGACATCCTAAGATTAAAATGTTTAACCTAATATTAATATATTTAACTAAAAATAATAAATATGTAAATTTTAAACATTTGTGGAGATAAATCTAGAACTTTCAATTGCATTTATTACAAACATCTATAGTTGAAAAGTTATTCCAATGTAAATGTTCTAAAGGAGAGTATTTTGGGAGTATAGGTTTGTCATTGTAGTTAATAAAACTGTGATTTTGCTTTAATTGAAATTTTATTAACCAAGTTCTCCTGAAATGATGAGCTTTCTTAATTTGGCAACATCCAATATCAATTTAAGAACTTCCAATGACTTCCCACTTATTGGTTCCTTGCCTAGTTATTTAATTTAATCAACAAATATTGATTTCATAATAAAGGAAAAAAGTCCTGAACGTTTCAATGGTTAATGAGAAAACAGAAAATAATTTCATGTCTGTTTAAGAGAATAAAATAATGAGGTATTGACAGGTGACAGCGTGCTGGCAGCCCTCACAGCCCTCCCTCGCTCTCCGCGCCTCCTCTGCCTGGGCTCCCACTTTGGTGGCACTTGAGGAGCCCTTCAGCCCACCGCTGTGGGAGCCCCTTTCTGGGCTGGCCAAGGCTGGAGCCGGCTCCCTGAGCTTGCAGGGAGGTGTGGAGGGAGAGGTGCAGGCAGGAACCAGGGCTGCACGCGGTGCTTGCAGGCCAGCGGGAGTTCCGGGTGGGCGTGGGCTTGGCGGAACCCCCACTCGGAGCTGAACTGGCGGCTGGCCCAGGCAGTGAGGGGCTTAGCACCTGGGCCAGCAGCTGCTGTGCTCAATTTCTCACGGGGCCTTAGCTGCCTTCCCCCAGGGCAGGGCTCAGGACCTGCAGCCCGCCATGCCTGAGGCCCCCCTTCTCCGTGGGCTCCTGTGCTGCCAGAGCCTTCCCAACTAGCGCTGCCCCCTGCTCCGCAGCGCCCAGTCCCATCGAGCACCCAAGGACTGAGGAGTGCGGGCACACAGCACAGGACTGGCAGGCAGCTCCACCTGCAGCCGTGGTGCATGATCCACTGGGTGAAGCCAGCTGGGCTCCTGAGTCTGGTGGGGACTTGGAGAACCTTTATGTCTAGCTAAGGGATTATAAATACACCAATCGGCACTCTGTATCTAGCTCAAGGTTTGTAAACACACCAATCAGCGCCCTGTGTCTAGCTCAGGGTTTGTGAATGCACCAATCGGCACTCTGTATCTAGCTACTCTGGTGGGGACTTGGAGAACCTTCGTGTCCACACTCTGTATCTAGCTAATCTGGTGGGGACTGTGGAGAACCTTTGTGTCTAGCTCGGGGATTGTAAAGGCACAAATCAGCACCCTGTCAAAACAGACCACTTGGCTCTACCAATCAGCAGGATGTGGGTGGGGCCAGATAAGAGAATAAAAGCAGGCTGCCCAAGCCAGCAATGGCAACCCGCTGGGGTCCCATTCCACACTGTGGAAGCTTTGTTCTTTCGCTCTTTGCAGTAAATCTTGCTGCTGCTCACTCTTTGGGTCCACGCTGCCTTTATGAGCTGTAACACTCACCGCGAAGGTCTACAGCTTCACTCCTGAAGCCAGCAAGACCATGAACACACCGGGAGGAACGAACAACTCCAGACGCTCCAGATGCGCCACCTTAAGAGCTGTAACACTCACTGCGAGGGTCCGTGGCTTCATTCCTGAGCTAGCGAGACCGGGAACCCCACCAGAAGGAAGAAACTCTGAACACATCCGAACATGAGAAGGAACAAACTCCGGACGTGCAGCCTTTAAGAACTGTAACACTCACCGCGGACGGTCCGTGGCTTCATTCTTCAAGTCAGTGAGACCAAGAACCCACCAATTCCAGACACGGTATCCTTGCTGCAAGGGACTTAGAAATAACAGAGAGTTGGAGCAGTGAGGGACATCACAACTTGAGACTTATGAGTATAAACTTTTGGATAGAACAAACAAAGGGCCATATCCTAATCTGCCGCTCATCAGCTGTGTCACCTTAGGTGAGACTCAGTTTCACCACCTGTAAAACACAGATACTAACAGTCTCCTTCTCGAGGGATTTTGCAAATATCAAATGTGATAATAAATGTAATTGTGCTTGGCCTAAAGTAAGTACTCAATTCATTATAGGTTTTATTATTATCATGAATGAGACTTTCTTCATTTTATTAGATGAGGAAGTTGAGGTCCAGGAAGATAAATAAAAGCTCAAGGTATTTCAGCTTATCTTTTTCATTCTATGTTAGATTTACAGAATCTAACCTGGTTAGCTAATTGAAATAAGAATTACAATCTGAACACTGGGGTCTCCAAACATTCCCTAATATATCTCTCTCTGTCTTTCCACAAATATAAATATAAGGCTATTAAACACTTGAGGAGGGCAAACTCAAATCACACTTCCACAAAGCAGAGCTATACAAATACATACTCACACACACATATTGAGAAAAAAATGCATTATGTACATTTGCTATGTCATTATAGAACAATTACTCCCTGATGATGGACAGAATGTTTTGTATATATTTTTATGAATGTTCTATTCTAGAGACATCTGTGAGATAGCCAAATCTAACAATTGTCTAAGTCTCGGGACACCTGTATTCTAGCTTTGGCACCCTTTCTAAGCTATGTGACATAAACGAGAAAATTAACCTTCCTTAGTCCTTATGTTCTCATCTATATGGGGGGAATGATTATGTTTACCTCCCAGTGCTATTATAAAGTTCAGTGCTTTTAAGGGTATAAATATGGATTTCAAACTCTAAACACTATACAACTGAAAAGGATTAGTGAACAAGCTTTAAACCCCAGTGAGTAGCAGGTAATTACGAAAGTTTATATAAAAACATGTTTCAGTTAACAAGATGAAAGGAAAGCATAGATTTTTGAGCTAAGGGGAAAATGTATCAATAGATTTGAAAATTTTATTTTAGCCTGATCTGCCTTGATAGTGTTGTAATTTAAGACTGATTTTTTCCCTATAATTCTATGTTGTTTTATTTGCAGTACAGCCTTCCAAATAATTTTATGTTTTGATTTCAACCCAATGTATAATTTATAGCTAAAAACCAAGCCATTTGAAATAAACTTACTTACAAGCAGTTGTTCATAACTCTTATGTGTAAGCTGATAATTTTAGGAAAATTAAAACTTTTATTTTGATTCAGAGGGTACATGTGCAGATTTGTTACATGAATATATTGCATGATGCTGAGGCTTGGGGTAAAAATGATCCTGTTACCCAGGCAGTGAGCATAGCACCCACTAGTAAGTTTTTCAATTCTTCCCCCCTTCTCATCCTCCTCCCTCTAGTAGTCCCCAGTGTCTCTGGTTGTCATCTTTGTGTCCATATGTACCCAGTGTTTAGCTCCCACTTATAAGCAAGAATAGCCAGTATTTGGTTTTCTGCAAAGGACATGGTTTAGTTCTTTTCTTGTGTGTGTGGTTGTATTCCACGGTATCTGTATTCCACAATTTCTTTATCGAATCCACCATTGATGGGCACCGAGGTTGATTCCATGCCTTTGCTGTTGTTAATAGTGCTGCAATAATAAGTGAATATGTCTTTCTGGTGGAAATATTTATTTTCTTTTGGATATATAGCCAGTAATGGGATTGCTGGGTCAAGTGGTAGTGCTAAGTTGTTTGAGAAATCTCAAAACTGCTTGCCACAATGGTTGAACTAAAATATATTCCCACAAGCAGTGTTCCCTTTTCACATAGCCTCGCAAAAGTCTGTTGTTTTGGGGATTTTTTTTTTGTATTTAATGTTACTGAAGGCTTTATTAATGCCTTAAAAACACAAAAGTTCTTGAACATACATTTATTATCTGGAGGAATAAATGCACTCCAAATGCTTATCATCAGAACTCTGGAAAAAGACGTATAAGTTCTGGGCATTTTGGTAATAGCTGTTCTGATGGGTGTGAGATGCTATCTCATTGTGGTTTTGATTTGCATTTTTTTTATGATTAGTGATGCTGAGCATTTTTTAAATATGTGTGCATGTCTTCTTTTGAGATGTGTCCATTCATTTTTTTTGCTCACTTTTTAATGGGTTTTTTTTTTTTAACTGTTGAATTGTTTAAGTGCCTTATGGATTCTGGATATCAGACCTTTTTGGATGCACAGTTTGTGAATATTTTCTCCCATTTTCTAGGTTGCCTGTTGACTCTGTTGGTAGTTTCTTTTGCTGTGCTTAAGCTCTTTAGTTTAATTAGATCCCACTTGTCAACTTTTGTTTTTGTTTAATTGCTTTTCCTCAAAAAGCATTTAGGATTTAGTAATAAATTCCTTGCCAAAGCTGATGTCCAAGTTGGCCTTTCATAGGTTTTCTTCTAGGATTCTTATACTTTGAGATCTTATGTCTACATCTTTAATCCATCTTGAGTTAAATTCTGCATATAATGAAAGGTAGGAATCCAGCTTCATTCTTCTGCATATGGCTAGCCGCTATCCCAGCACTATTTATTGAATAGAGAGTCCTTCCTCCATTGTTTATTTTTGTCAACATTGTTGAAGATGTGATGACTGTGTAGCTGTGTGGCTTTATTTCTTAGGTTCTCTATCTGTTCCACTGGTCTGTGTGTCTTTGTATCAGTACTATGCTATTTTGGTGACTACAGCCTTTTATAATACCTTTTGTAATTGCATAGTTTGAAGTCAGGTAATGTGAGGTTTCCACTTTTTTTGTTTGTTTGTTTGTTGTGTAAGCAGATAATTTTGAAGACAAAGAGGAAAAAAGATAATCAAACTTGCAAGTTTGAGAAGTATAGAAGAAGAGAATAAGTAGTGCAGATCAGAAAAAGGAGAGTGGAAAAGATTTAAGAGGACAAATGGTGTCCTTAATCTTTTCAGTGATGTTGAATTTGACTTTGTCATTAGTCACTGTGATGAAATCAGTTAGATATTGGGACCTAAAATGCTGTGATTATGTAGATGGCAATTTAACAGTTATGAGATGAAATCACCTTACAACAAAGTAAGGAAAATAACAAAGGCCAGAGACTGAGAAAGGAAACATCATTATTATATTATTTCTAAGCAGTAATGAAAGATGTGAAAAGACAACCAGCAGAGGATATAATCGCTAAATCCAGGGCAATAGCAAGAATGTGGAAGCTTAAAGGAATGAAAGAAGGGGAATGAGGCCAGGTGCAGTAGCTCACACCTGTAATCGCAGCACTTTGGGAGGCCGAGGCAGGTGGATCACGAAGTCAGGAGATCAAGACCATCCTGGCTAACACGGTGAAACCCCGTCTCTACTAAAAATACAAAAAATTAGCTGAGTGCGGTGGTGGGCACCTGTAGTCCCAGCTACTCAGGAGGCTGAGGCAGGAGAATGGCGTGAACCCAGGAGGCGGAGGTTGCAGTGAGCTGAGATTGCACCACTGCACTCCAGCCTGGGGGACAGAGCGAGACTCCGTCTCAAAAAAAAAAATAAATAAAAAGTAGTTACTCAGCAAATAGCCATTCTTTGATTAACTCACTCTCAATACTCTCAACACATATGAAATAAACACCTACTAGTAGCCAGACACCACTCTGCATCCTGAGTACGGCAGTGAATAACACAGACACAAGGTCCTGATCTTGTGTTGCAAGCATTTTGGTGGGAACACACAAACAATAAGCAAACAAATATGTATGTCGGTTAGTTATAAGGGCTGTGGAGAAAAGTTAAGCAGAATAAAGAGGGATGGGGTCTTACATCTACATCTTTAATCCATCTTGAGTTAAATTCAATGTTTAGACAGGTGGTTAGGGAAGACCACTCTAATGGAAGGTATTTGAAGAGAAACATGTAGGAGAAGAGAAATAGCCACGTGGTTTTCTAGGAGAAGAACATGCTAGCTAGAAGGAACAAGAGCATGCTTGGAATATTTAGAATTGTGAAGGTGGAGAAAGAGGAGATAGGAGAGTATGTAGAGGGCTTTAGAGGTTACTGTAGGACTTACTTGGAAGAAGATCGAAAGCTATTGGAGAGTTTTGAACAGAGGCGTGAAATGATCTGATTTATATGTTTAAAAGATTGTTTTAGCTCTTGTGTGGAGAACAGATTGTAGGAGGAAAGGCACAATTAGGAAGACCAGTTATAGTGATAAACAAATGCTAGACAAGAGTGATTTGGAGCCCAATGATAGGATAAATGTGATAAGTGGTCATAATCAAGATAGATTTTGAGCATAGAGCCTACAGAATTTGTCAGTTGACTGACTAAGGAGCAAAATCCAGGAAAATAGCAAGAATGTGGATGCTGTTGGATTAAAGGAATAAAAGAAGAGGAATGAAGCAGAGTAAGAGGGAGAGAGAGAAAGATGAACAATATATGGAGGATATGTTCCATAAATAGAAACATAGGCATTTTGTAGAGCTATTTGAATTCATCCAGTTATGATCAAGGAGAAGGTTCAGAAGGAAATCAGATTATTTCACTCCTCTGTTCGAAATTCTCCAATAGCTTCTGATCTTTTTCCAAGTAAATACTACAGCAAGGAGGAAGAGAAGAATGAGTCAAGGATGATTTCAAAGTTCAGGGCCTGAGCAACTGGGTGAAGTGTAGAATCAAATACTAATCTAGGGAACACCCCATGTAAGGGTCAAGTTTTGATGGTGGGTTTGGGAATGATCAGGAGAATAGGTTTGGGTGTGCTAAGTTGGAGACGCCTATTTGACATACAGGACTCCAGAGCTCAAGTGAAAAGTATTGAGTGGAAATTTAATTTTAGACGTATTTGGCATTACAGATGATATTTAAAGCAATTGGACTGGATGCACCATCTAGAGCGTGTGTGTGGCTGAAGAAGAGAAGAAGCTCAAAGGTCTGATTCTTTCAGGATCCTAAGGAGGCTCTCCAGCATCTGAAAGTTGAGAAAGTAAGGAGGATTCAGTAAAGGAGGACTAGCAGAAAACACCAGTGTGTTAGGAGTTGAAGAAACTGTTTGAAGGTGGGCGTGATGACCTGTGTCAGATATTGAGTGACCATTCCATTTAGCAGCATGGATGTGAATGATGATCTTGACAAGAGGAGATTGGTGGAACAATGGTCATGAGTCTTACTGGAGAGTATTCAAGAAAGAACAGCATTAATGGAAGTACAGACAGAGGAGTCACCACTTTGCAGAGTTTTGCTTTATAAGGAGGCAGAGAAAGGAGAATAGTTTTTTAGAGAAGGATTAGGATAAGTTGAGTTTAAGTATCATTTCAAAACATTTTTTATAACTCAGATAATACATATGATCGGGAATGATAATATAAGAAACCTAGTTATGTTATTTTCAGGTATTCCAGGTGCTTCATTTGCATTTCTGAAAATAAATTTATGTTTTTGTGCACACATTATGCTTAAAATTCACTGTGAAAAGTTGCCCAAAGCACTGACAATGCTTCTGTCTTTTTTCATCCAATCACTTGTGATCTTTGTATCTAAATATTACATATACTTTAACTTGCTACAGGTAATTTCATTTGTCTTTGAAAGTACAACCCAGAACATTTTTAAACCATGAAGATTGTGTTAGACATTGTTAGCTGCCTGCCAGCAGCCATATCTCCTTCTTTTTTAATAGAATTCCAGTTTTGTATAGAATGGCAAGCTGTTTAGATCCAAGTAATGAAAATTCCATTCCCCTTTGCCAGATATCATATGTTTGCATTAATAGCTGCAATAGCCATCTTGTTATCATGAGGGGAAAAGCCAATCAGCTGAGGATGGCAGAGGAGAAGGATAGTAAGAGACTTGGTTTTGTGTGATACTGTTGCAGTTCTGTACCAAATCAGTAAACCCTCACCACTAGTCTTACGTATATAAGATAATTAAATGTCTTTATTGATTAAATCATACTTCCTGGGGAAGTAAAAGCTGTCACTTGTAGCTGAGAACATATGTAACTGATACAATTTTGACTTTAATTGGTGGCTAAAAATCAGAGGTGGAAGTAGCTTAGATTTCTTACTGAAAAACATCCTTTATTTCCATTGTGGTGCTTTCATCTAAAGGAGTCTATAAATGCTTTATTAATAATAATAATATCAACAGTAATGGTAGCTACAGCTTATATAGTACCTACTTATATGTTCCAAGCACTGTGCTAAGTACCTTAGTTATATCATTTCATTTAACCCAATAAGGCAAATCATATGTTTTCCATTTTACAGATGAGAAGAGAGAGGCACAGAAAAATTAACAACTAACCTTCCAAAGGTTATACAACTAGTTATTAGCAAAGTTGAGATTAGAACCTGTGATGTCTGCCCCTGAAGTGTGTACTCACATGGCCAAGACTCCCAAGGGTTATGAAGAGGATCTCTGCTTGCCCCTGTCTTCAACATTTTCCCCTTGCTTTCCCATTGTGTTCAACAAGTTCTAATTGCCAGTTACCCTACCTAAATTTTTTCTTTTTCTTATTAAGTATCTTAATCATCTTATTCTTATTGTAGAGTGGAACAAATTCTTTATTTTCCAGGAAGAAGGGGCTCGAATGCAAGTATCCTCTCTTCTTGATACTTTGGGCTAGTCCACAATCTTGCAACACATTCTTGGACCTTCTTTCCACTTAGCAATTTTGTGTGATTATCAGTGCTGATTATTCTTCCATTTTCTTGGTGAAAGTAGTATGTTTCCTGTTATTATATCAATTTTCTCTGTCAAGCAGCACTGCTAACATAGATTGTAAGGAATTCATAGAATATATATGGGCAACCAAAAAATAGAATGTCTGCATATATCCATAGCAACTAATATACATCATGTACAACCACTAAATAGGATATTTCAATGGACATGTGTATATTCTATAAATTGTGTGTTTTAAGGTATAATAATATAAATTAGCTACCTATACACATTATATATACTGGGTATATTGTCAGCTAATTTTTACAAATCCCTATGACGTATTTTTAGCCCTCATTATATAGAGGCTCAGAGAGGTTAAGTAACTTGTCCAAGATCACACTGTTACTAAATAGCTATATCATCTCACCGTAAACTTTTATGACATCTGGTACATCTTCCTAATGGTTATCCTCAATTGTAATGTGTACTTATTTTTATGATTGTTTGATTATTGTTTTACTGATCTATAAGGCAGAGCTTATGTCTTTTTTTGCTTAGCATTTTATTACCATAACCAAAAACAATGACTGATGCATAGTAGCTGCTCATGAGATATTGAAAAAAATTAAATTGTAAAATTATATTATTGTATTAAAGTAAAATATTTTTATACTTTTTTAAAAGTAAAATATAACATAAATAAAAGTTACAGAGCCTATATTCAGACAAAATCTAACTCCAAACCCAGTCTTCTCTGGCTAGTTTACCGCTCTTCCTTTCAAAGTATCTTTCTTTTATTTTTTTTATTTATTTATTTATTTATTTATTTATTTATTTATTTATTTATTGAGACGGAGTTTTGCTCCTGTTGCCCAGGCTGGAGTGCAATGGCGCGATCTTGGCTCACTGCAACCTCCGCCTCCTGGGTTCAAGCAGTTCTCCTGCCTCAGCCTCCTGAGTAGTTGAGATTACAGGCATGCACCACCATGCCCAGCTAATTTTTTTGTTTTTGTATTTTTAGTAGAGACGGCGCTTCTCCATGTTGGTCAGGTTGGTCTTGAACTCCCAACCTCAGGTGATCAGCCTGCCTCGGCCTCCCAAAGTGCTGGGATTACAAGCGTGAGCCACCAGGCCCGGTCCTTCCTTTCAACGTATCTAAGAAATCATCTTAGTTACTACCACAGGGGTGCCATCTAAGTTCAAGGCGCCAAGTCAAGCATATACCCTGCCACTCTCTCCTTTTGTTCCCATGACATACACTGCTGAACAGTCATTGCCCCATTTCCCACTGAGCCTAGATTTGTATTCAGAATTCTTCTCCACTCAGGACTTTAGACAATTACTACCTCTCAATTGTTGTTGACTAAGATATAAATCTAGAGGATAACTGAAATAAAAGTTTGTCCAATTAAATTTATAGTAGCTATTTCTTCCACAAGCTATTCCAATACTGTGGGGGGTGGGGGCGCAGTCAGAACACTAATATTAGGAACAATTAATTGTATTATATCATCACATTTATTAACATATTCTGAAAGTGAAAAATATCTATTTATCTATTTACCTATCTAAACATATGTGGAGGGTGAGAGAAAGAAAACACGTTACCCTTCTGACAGAATCCCGCAGAAATCCCTTCTCTCAACACATAGGCCCGAAATGATATGGGCCAGAATAATAGATGCTCCTTTATCTCAAGTGAGTTATGTTTTTTCACAAAGATGTCTGTACAGGGAAACTGTTGTCTCGATTGGTCTTTGCTTCACATAACAATTTGTCCTTTCAGGAAGACTGCCCATCGATTTTGTCACACACCCATAGTAGGCAAAACCAGCCTCAAAATGGTTGCCATGCTCACAGTTCCCTTCTGAGGAAACTTGCACATTTCCCGATGAGGGAAGTATCCCTAGGTAGTCCCTTAATAAGCTACCTGACTGGTACTGCATGACCTCAGCCTTGATCACAAGTGATGGAATTGGATGTGGATATTGATGTAAGGAAAGTACAGTAATAGGCTGGGAAAATGGCTTTAAGGTCAAGTAACCTGGGGATTATCTCAGAAACTTTAAATGAGAGATACTGAGAAAGTTGAGGGTGTTAGCAGTAGAAGCAGATGCTGAAAAGACACAGACACAACAGTAGGCAGAAGTCATGAGGCAATGGGCTTAGCAAGAATATATTTTTTAAATTTGTATGTCTGTACAAAAAAATAAAAAAGTCAAGGCATATGAGTCTAATTGGTCTAATGTCCTGAGAAGTAATATTCTCTGTTAATGTGCTAAGACATGTTTTACATAAACCGGGACTTTTTTTTTACAGTATCTTTAACCACAAATTACTTTCAATAATATTCCTGCAGCAATTTCCAAAATATAAAATTAAAATTTATATTTTTTACAATTTCCAGATTTGGCTGTCTTTACCTTTCTAACAGTTAGTTCCTATTTGATTTGTATTCCTGAGAAAACACTTCATCTGTTTATAAATTCTCAGAACTTTATGTGTGCAGTTCCCAGGGTGTTCTGCAGGTTATAATGCCAAATGTTTAAATTGGTCAATAATGACAAAGGATGTTGAGTACTTTAGGAAATGGAATTCTAACTTAAGAGACGCAGTACCTCACAGAGGAAGAGAGAAGGAGATGGTCATTGATTAGGTGTTCGATGAGCGTATGATAATGATTTGGGTAAATGGAATTTGCTAATTTTCTGTCTGAGTAAATACACTAATAAGACTCACTTAGGTGGCTGTTAATCAGCATTTCTGTTAGCAATACGACTGAGAAATATTGATTTGGCTGTGATTGTAGACGTCCAATAAATGTTGTGTGGTCCCATGACTGGTTTGTTGCCACAGGGTATATTTGGCATAAATCAGGGGAATCAGGAAGCAATAGAGACACGTTAGACAATTCAATATGATCTGATGTCTTTTGCAATCAGCAATGTCATCATTACTTATATTTTCTTTACTAATTAATGTGTCAAGATATTTTGAATTTAATATATTTTTATTTGAGGCTAATCATGACAATTTTCTAGTATTAATTTAATCGATTCAATTTAATTCTCTTTTTCTAATATATATCTCAATTTTATTTGGTTTTCTTGCTCATTTTTGTTTTGTTCTATATGGGGTAGTAGTTATAACTTTTGTTAATATTTTATAGATAATTTTCATTATCTTTGATTTTCATTATCTTTGGTTAAATATTTTTTTCTTGATTAAAATGCAACAGATTTTTATTGAAGAAAAGTTAGAAAATGCAGAGAAGTAGGAAATGAAAATAAAAATTCTTGAAGTTACAAAGATGGCCAGTCTTTGTTCTGGAACGTAATAAATTATTATAATAGTTGGAAGAAAATAAGATGAATTTGGGTGTTAGAGAGCTAATATTTATTTCAATTTCATATTTAATAGACATAAGTTACAAGGGTAATCATATGTTTTTAAACTATAAGATGCAAAAAAATTTGTACCAACCTCTTCTATTCTGAATATTAATTAGCTATTTTTACTGGTAAAAATATGAGCAACAAGATTAACTTCAAGTTTTGAAGAAGGAAAGTTAATCAAAATAAGAGCAGAATTAGAAAATTTATATATAATAGTAAAGATCAATTACAAGCAGTAATTACAAGGATTAATAATTTTTCCTTAATATCTATTCTATTTTTATTCTTATTAATACAGCATCCAATATTTAGATAGGCATAAGGTGGCCTAGAATAATAAATGCAATTGCAACTAGGTGTAATTATGGGAATACACTTTGATAATAAATGCAATTGCAACTAGGTATAGTTATGGGAATATATTCTGGCCAATCATGAGTAAGTGGACATGTTCTGTAGAAGCTTTGGAGAATCTTCCTTCAAAGAGAGCTACTGAATGTCTTTGCTCCTTTCTTACTTTGCTTTTCCTCTCTTTTGGACCATGAGAACAAAGGTAAAATGATGTACTGGAATAAACCTAATACTTAAGGTCTCCATGAATAAAGGCACTAGTCTGACTTAAAGATCCCTGTCTGAACTTTCTGGGAGACAGGGATAAAATTCTACATTTATCAAGCAACTGTTAATTGGAATTTCCTTGTCTCTGTCATCTAAGCTAATTCTGCCTCATAAAATCAACAAAGCTAAAGAATGGCTCTTGGAAAAGTAATATATTTGCAAATCTCTAGGTACATTCACCCCCGTTTCCAAAAAAAAAGGAAAACAAAAAATGAGAGAAAGAAAGAAGGCTCAAATTTGCAATATGAGGGAATACAAACTGGTACCTAAGTTCTACTGTCATCAGGAAGATAAAAAGAAGATATAGAAAAAGTTGTATCAGTAAGCTTGAAAATATAGATGAAATTCTAAGAATTTTATTATCAAATTGACTTAAGAAAAGATAGAAATCTTGAATAGTCTTATAACCATTAAGGAAATTTAATCAGTATTTTAAAACTTCCCCATAAATAAACCACCGAAACTATTTTATATGTAAGTTCTACAAAATATTTAAGGCATAGAATATTAGTCAATTTTTGCCAGGTTATACTACATACAAGAAATCTTAAAGTAGCAGTGTCTTATGCAGCATGTCATATTTCTTGCTCACATGATAATATTATTTTGCTGCAGCTTTGCTGTAGCTCTTCTCTAGCTGTGCTTTAGAATCATGTCTTCTACATGTGTCTTCTAATTCTGGGACTCAAACTGAGGAAACTTTCTCTATCCTGGATATGCCTTTCTCACCATAGGGGACACAGGAAGAAGAAAGACTGCATATGTATCCAGTTGTATTATGGCTCCTTCTTGGATGTGGCACATATTACATCCACTCACATTTCATTAGACTGAGCAAGTCACGTGACCAAGTCCACAGCAGCGGGGTCAGAAAGCATACTGTTTTCAGAAAGTACAGGGCTAGGGAAGAGAGATATTTCTGAAATAGAACAATGGACTATAATATAGTAAAACATAATATTCAGATGAATTCAGTGTACAAACAAAAGTAAAAACCCTCCAACTTGCTTTGAGAAGATATTACGAAATTGAAACAAAACAAGCAGGAGCAGTACAAGAGAGAAATATGACAGCCAATCTTACTCATTAATACAGATACAAAAATTCCAAACAAGACCAAAACCAATACAGCAATATTTGAAAAGATAATATTTGATGACAAAGTTGTTTTATGCCAAGAGTGCGAGTTTTGATTAGCGCTAGAAAAGTAAAATAATGTACCTAAGTAGTTTACCATACTAACCGATGAAAGAAAAAAATACTACCATCATGATAGATGCAGGGAAATCATTTGATACAATTCTCTTTTTTTTTAAAAAAATTATTTTTTAACTTTTACATTTAGGGGTACATGTGCAGGTTTCTTACATAGGTAAACTTGTGTCATGGGGTTTTGTTGTACAGATTATTTCATCACCCAAGTGTTAAGTGTAGTACCCATTAGTTATTTTTCCTGATTCTCTCCCTTCTCCCATCCTCCACCCTCCTATAGAGAGGCCTAGAGAGTGTCGTTCCACTCTATGTGTCCAAGTGTTCTCATCATTTAGCTCCCACTTATAAGTGAGAATAGGCGGTATTTGGTTTTCTGCTCCTGCGTTAGTTTGATAATGGCCTCCAGCCCCATCCATGTTCCTGCAAAGGACATGATCTTGTTCTTGTGAATAAAATTCAAAATTGAATATTTCAATTAAAAATATTAGCAAATGAAGAATAAATGAGAACTTTTAAATTTTTAATTAAGAAATTGTTCCTTATGAAACAAGTTTAACTTACCAAAAACTTGCAAAAGGATTTCTGTATACACTTCCTCAGCTTATCCAAATGTTAAGATCTTACATAACCAAAGTGCAACTATCAAAACACAGGAGTTAACATCAATACAATACTTATTGAGTAATCTACAGTCCTTATTCAAATGTCATCAATTATCCCACTAATTTACTTTCTCTGAGACAGAATTTAATCCAGAACCAGACACTGATTTATTTTTCATATCTCCTTTGTCACTATTCGTTTCTCAGTTTTTTCTTTGCTTTTATAAACTTGATACTTTTGAAGAATAATGGCCAGTTATAGGCACACCTTGTTTTACTGCATATTGCTTTATTGCGCTTCACAGATAACTGTGTTTTTTACAGATTGAAGTTTTGTGACAACCCTGCATTGAGAAAGTCTATTGGTATAATGTTTATAATAGTATATGCTCACTTCATGTTTCTGTGTCACATTTTAGTAATTTTTGCAATATTTTATATTTTTTCATTTCATATGCTACAGTGATCTATGATCAATGATCTTTGATGTCACTGTTAATTATTTAGAGGTTCTGTGATCAATGCCCATATAAAACTGCAAACTTACTAAATATTGTATGTGTTCTGACTACTCCACTGACTGGTTTTCTCTGTCTCTCTCCCTTTTCTTGGACTTTCTATTCCCTGAGACACAACAGTATGGAAATTAGGCCAGTTATCAACCCTACAATGTCCTCTAAGTGTTCAAGTGAAAGGAAGAGTTTCAGGTCTCTCACTTTAAATCAAAAGCTAAAAATAATTAAACTTAGTGAGGAGGGCATGTAGAAAGTTGAAATGGGCTGAAAGCGAGACCTCTTGCACCAGGTAGCCAAGTTGTGAATGTAAAGGAAAAGTTCATGAAAAAAATTCAAAGTGCTACTTCAGTGAACATGAATGATAAGAAAGTAAGTAGCCTTATTGCTGATATGGAGAAAGTTTAAGTGGTTTGGATAGAAGACCAAACCAGCCATAACATTCCCTTAAGCCAAAGCCTAACCCAGAGAAAGACCTTAAATCTCTTCAATTCTGTGAAGGCTGAGAAAGAGGAGGAAGCTGCAGAAGAAAAGTTTGAAGCTAGCAAGGTTGGTGCAGGAGGTTTAAAGACAGAAGGTCTCTACAGAACATAAAAGTGCAAGGTGAAACAGCAAGTGCTGGTAGAGAAGCTGCAGCAAGTTATCTGAAGATCTAGCTAAGACAATTGATAAAGGTGGCTACACTAAACAGATTTTTAATTTAGATAAAATTATCTTTTATTGGAAGGAACTGCCATCCAGGACTTTCATAGCTAGAAAGGAGAATTCAATGCCTAGCTTCAAATGACAGGTTAACTTTCTTGGTAGGGGCTAACGCAGCTGGCGACTTTAAGTTGAAACCAATTCTCATTTACCATTCTGAGAATCCTAGGGCTTCTTTAAGAATTACTCTAAATCTACTCTGCCTGTGTTCTATAAATGAAACAACTTGACTCCAGCATATGTTTACAGCGTAGTTACTGCATATTTTAAGCCCACTGTTGAGACCTGCTACTAGGGAGAAAAGATTCCTTTCAAAATATTAATGCTCATTGACAATGCACCTGGTCATCCAAAAGCTGCGATGGAGATGTAGAAGGAATGCACCTGGTCATCCAAAAGCTGTGATGTAGAAGGAAATTAATGTTGCTTTAATGCAACATCCATTCTGTAGCCCATGGACCGAAGAGTAATTTTGACTGTCAAGTCTTATTATTTAAGAAATATTTTTGTAAGGCTATAGCTGCCATAGATAATGATTCCTCTGATGGATCTGGGCAAAGTAAATTGAAAACCTCTAAAAATGTCTCACCCTTCTAGACACCAGTAAGAACGTTCATGGTTCATGGGAGGAGGTCAAGTATCAACCTTAAAAGGAACTTGGAAGAAGTTGCTTCCAACTCTCATGGATGACTTTGAGGACTTCAAGACTTTGGTGGAGGAAGTCACTGCAAATGTAAATGATTGTTACCAGAGACTTAGAAGGGTGACAGGGAGGTGGGGATAAATTGGAGATAGTTAATGGGTAGAAAAATGCAGTTAGAGAGAATAAATAAGATCTAGTATTTGATAGCACAATAGGGTGACTATAATAATAATATCATATATTTTAAAATAATTAAGTGTAGAATCAAAATATTTCTAACACAAAGAAATGATAAATGCTTGAAGTGATGAATACTTCAATTATCCTGATTTCTTCATAACACATTGTATACCTGTATCAAAACATCATATATGGCCCATAAATATATACAACTATTATGTACTGATAATAATTAAACATAATAAAAAAGAAATAATAGAATTAAAACTGAAGCCTGAACATATGACTGAATTGCTGCAATCTCATGACTCAATGTAACAGATGAGGAGTTGCTTCTTATGGATGAGCAAAGAAAGTGGTTTCTTGAGATAAAATCAACTCCCAGTGAAGATTCTGTGAGCATTGTTGAAATGACAACAAAGGTTTAAAATATTACATACATGTAGTTGATAAAGCAGTGGCAAGGTTTGAGAGGATTAACTCCAATTTTGAAAGAAGTTCTACTCTGAGTAAAATTGTATCAAACAGTATGGGATGCCGCACAGAAATCTTTTGTAAAAGGAGATTCAATCTATGCAGTAAACCTCTTCATTGTTGTTTTATTTTAAGAAATTGCCACAATCACTCAGCCTTCAACAGCTACCACCCTGATAAGTCAGCAGCCAGCATCGTGGAAGCAGGACCCTCTACCAGCAAAAAGATTATGACTCACTGCAGGCTCGGAGGATTGTTACTGTCTTTTTTTTTTTTTTTTTTAGCAATGAAGTAAGTTTTAATTAAAGCATGTATATTGTTCTTGTAGACATAATGCTATCGTATACTTAATAGACTACAATATAGTGTAAACATAACTTTTGTATGCACTAGGAAGCCAAAATATTCTTGTGACTCCCTTTATCATTATATTTACTTTATTGCAATGATGTGGAACCAAACCCACAATATCCTGAGGTGTGTCTGTATTTTGTAGCATGTTCCTTAATTTAGGTTTGTGTTATGACTCCCAATTGTTAAACTCAGGTTTCACATTTTTAGCAAGAACATCACAGAGGCGAGGTACCATCTGTGTACATCCTACTAGGAAACTTACAATATTGATATGTCTCCTTAATGAGAATGTTATCTTTATTCAACTCATTAAGGTAGGGTTTGCTGGGGTTTTATTCATTGTAAAGATACTATTTTCCTCTTTCTAAATAGGTGTCTTGTGGAAATACTTTTTGACTGTGTAAATATTCTGTTTCCCACCACACTTTTGCCTGCAATTTTCAATATCCATTGATGATGCTTGACTGCAAAAAATTATTACTGTGGGATTTGCTAAAATGGTCATCTTTGATTTTCAAGATTATATCTTTGTCTAATAATTGAAATTCAACTGTGAGGAAGAGCTTCTATTCCTCCCCTTTTATTTATTAATTCGTGTATTTATATTCAATACAGACTTGTGAATATTTGTATACTCTCTGGGTTATAATTCATTACTCCCATTATATCTTTTATTCTTCAAATTGTCCTAGTTTTGATAATTGGGTGCCACTTCAAGTTCCGTCCTATGACCTTCTAAAATATCCCCATCATTTTTTGGAGCACTTTCTTCTTTTCTAGGCTGAAAAGATGTTCCAGGCTCATCATGTACTTTATGTGTCCAGCCTGAGAATCAGTCATTTCTTCAAGAAACTCTAGTTCTTTTTATTGGAGAATGATAATTAGAAATGAAGATCTGGGTGCAAGATGTACTTGGTGTTACTGGTATTACTGCTTTTAGGCCTCCATCAGCAAAACTGAGCTAGAAAGTATAACTATGAATATATATTAATATTTACACACGTCTGCTTATAAATATATATTTAAATATATATTAAAATCATGAGTTCATGCTGATTATTCCAATCCCATGTCTGAATGTATTCTAGCCTCTGCCCTGTCTCCTGAGGATCTGGGTGAGAATTAAATCCTAGTTTCTTCCCATTTCAGGTGGCTGCCCAGCATTGCTAGAGTTCCTTGGCTGTAGCCACATCACTCCAGTCTCTTTTTATGCCTTCCCATCACCTTGTTCTCTGTGTGTCTGAGTGAAACTCCAGGCTGCCTCTTTCTTAGAAGGACCTTTGTAATTACATTTAAGGCCTAATCAGATAATCCAGAATAATCTTCCCACCTAAACATTCTAAATAATATTTATAAACCATTTTCCCAACTAAGGTAATAATCACAGGTTCTGGGGATTAGGGCATGAACAAATCTTTGGGAGCCATTATTAGCTTGTCACAGTAACCAGTCTCACTAATTTCTGGTTTATCTTTTCTAATTTTTTTTTACTTTTTCCAGACATGAAAAGATATATAAATTTTCTTATTCCTCTTTCTTTTAATAGTAAAGGTAGCATACAATAGATAACCTTTTACATTTTACTTTTTTCATTCAACAATATATCGGAGAAATAAGTTTGTATCTATTCATAGAGATATTTCATTTTTTACAACTTCATATAACTCCACTTTGTGGATCTACTATGGTTTTTTAATCCATTCTCCTATATAAGGATATTTAGGTTGTTACTAATAATTTACAATTTCAAATAGTGCTGCATATGTATTTTGGTGTTGCTGGAGATGTATCTTCAGGGTGAATTCCTACAAGTAGAATAGCTGGGTCAAAAGATAAGGGTATATATAATATTGCTGGTATTTCCAAATTCCCCTCGAGAAGCATCACACAGGTTTGCATTCTTACCACCAATATATGTCAGTTCCTGTTTCCCCAGTAGCTTCCCCGCAGATTATATTGTCATAATTTTTAATAGTCACAAGCCTGATAAGAAATGTTTTAATTTTCATCTCGTTAGTCATGAGTGAGGTTGAACGTCTTTCCATGTATTTAAGGGCAATTTTAATATCTTTTTATTTTTAACTGTCTTTTCATGCATAAGGGAACTTCTGAATTCACCTAGAGGCCAGGTGAATTGTGCCTCTAAATAAATCTGGAGGCACATCAGATTAATAAAGAATTGCTTAAAGTATTTCATTTTAGATTAGAAACAATAAAAGAATGATATTATCACTTTTATTCAACATTGAATTAATTGTCCTGGCTAGCGAAGTAAAGCATGAAAAAAATAAAAGGATTAGGAAGGAAGAAAATAAAACCATCATTATTCATAGGTAACACAGTTGTCTGTATAGACAAACAGAAAACATTCACCAGTAATATATTAGAACTATTGAGATGACTTAACAATGTTTCTAGTTATAGAATCTAAGACAATTGCATTTATAAATATAAAAAAAGTAATTTATAAAAACATACAATTAAAACTGAACAAAATGTTAAATGCCTAGACATAATTCAACTTAAACTTTCAAGGCATTTATTGAGAAAATTATAAATTTCATATTTTATTGAAAGTCATTAAGGAAGATCTGATGAATGGAGACATGTTTATGGATAAAAGACACATTGTATAAAATATAACTATTCTTCTCAGGTTGAGAAGTACTAGATTCTGTTCAAAATCCCAAGCCATTGCAGTGCAACTTGTCTAGCTGAGCCTTACATTTACATGGAAAAGCAAAGACATTCCTGAAGAATTAAGAACCAGATGGAGCACTGGTCCTATGAGACACCACGACTTCACAGAAGAGGAAACCCAAGTGGTTAATAAGCATAGGAAAAGATGCCCAATTTCACCCATATTCAGGAAAGTGTATATCAAAAATTTTAAGATATCATACCACATTTATCTAGTTAGCACAAATGATAAAGATGAACAAGCATAAATAGAAAGCAAGTGGATACTTTATACTTTGCTGGTGACAATGTAAAATTTAAAAAGATAATCTAAAGCATTTGATTGTATCGAAAGAAGGTAAAAATGGGCATGTATTTTCATTGGAGAAATTCCATTTTGAGACACATACCTAAAATAAATTATTTGATATATATACTCAGAGATAAGTACAGTAATGCACCTAATAGCAACATTTTTAAGAATAAAACATTGGTTAACAACCCAAATTTTCTTCTGCCAAGGAATAAACTATTGTATCGTCAGACAATAGCAAATTTCTATAGTGGTGAAGATAAATGACCTTCATCTGTAAGTGTCAATGTGGATAAATCTCAAGAACAATACTGAGCAAAAATCAAGCTGCAGAAGAATATATATTCTGTAGAGTTCATAAATAGATAAAGATAATGTATTGTTTAAGGATACATTGCTAGGGATATGTGGTAAAACTATTTTTAAAAAGTAAGGATATGATAAACACAAACTTCTTGATAGTAACTACATTCAGATGTTGGAGGAGAGAGTAGGGTGATATCAGGAAAGGTCACACAAAATTTTAAGGTTCTAGAGTGTTTTATTGCTTAAAACAGACATACTCATCACACCTTACATATATGCCACACATACTTTTGTGAATATATAAAACCTGGAAAAAATAAGCATTGAATATATAAAACCTGGAAAAATATAGATATTAATTGGAAGCATCAACATGACTCATTATTCTTTGAGAAAATGGTTATTTATTTTTTTTTTATGAGAGGGCTGACAGCTTCTCTGTTCCTCCTCCACTTATCATTGGCACATACACTTATTCACCACTGGCTGATTATGTTGACCTAGAATATTGTTCTCCACTGAAAAAAAAAATCCAGACTCAGAATCCAATTTTATGTCTTGGGACAAGCAAAGCCCAGATGAGCTGTGACATCTCAACAGAAAGCAAGAAACTTTCAGAGAGACAGAGGAAGAGCCTTCAGCAGTGTCAGAAAAGACAAAACAGGAAGTGAATGCTGCTGGTTTACTAATACTGATAATTTGAATGTCTAAAGGAAAACAATACCATTATTTTGAACCAATCGAGTTTGGAAAAGGTCATGAGTCTATAATAATGCTTGAAAAGAGTAAAATGCTATAAGCTGCTGGAGAAGATCATATAGGTCAATAGGAGCCAATTTAGTAGGAGCCCAGTTTCTCATAGGTGAAAAAATGGGTTAAGTCAAATGATTAAAGGGAAAGTGGACTAAAAGTGGACTACTTTTATTTGTTTAATTAGAACAATACTATCCTCTCATTGACTAGTTCAAGTAGTTATTGAAGTATTAGTAAGGAGCATTTGCTCTACTCTGGCTGAGGTATAAGATGTGTCTTACAATGACAAAGAAAGACGAGCCTGCTGAGTTAATACTGTGAGATATTGATCTGAGACCAGAGGCTGGATTGCAAGTGCAGGCTTTAGGCATGGCAGAAGAGATATACATCTGAGTGCTGAACTTTCGGGAATAAGCTGCAATGTACTTCACCTGGTGAGCAGGCAGGTGTGGAGCCAGTATGCAGAACAGTTGAGGCGCTCTCAGGAGCTTCATGGAATGCTCAGTCCCATCAGGTGGAATTCTTGCCCTTTTGTATAGCTGTGAAGGTAGCATTGTTGTGTCCCTGTTCTGCAGATATATCTATTATATACTTTACTTGCATTAAAGTGTATGCATTCTTGGCTTGGGTCTGCCTTTTCATCAATCACTGACATGATTGTGTCAGCTCTGCATGTTCCAAAAACACTAGTTCTAAGGCACTTTGAAAGTGTTATTAAAAATGAAAAGTATTGTGAGATCAAATAAAATTGGAAAATTCTGTGCCAGTCAGCATTAAACAGGAGTCATTGAGACTTCCTAGAACCTTTAATAGGTATTGTGAATCTCCATAAAAGGAATTGCATGTAGTCAAAATTTTCTACCCTGATTTTACCATTAATTCCATATATCAAGCAGACTTTCTTCTGATTCATGTTCAGAGAAATATATTATGAAAACTGTAAGACTATTCACTATATGGATCATTCCTTTCCCTTCACTGTAAATACCATATTTCCCTTCCTGAAGACACGCAACGTCCTGTCCAGTTGCATAAACCAAGTGGAAAATTTGTGTTTCTGGGTACTTCTCCCTGCATTACACTGGATTCCTAATCATCTCCTTCCTGGGCCACAAGAAAACAATTTTCCATTCCATTAAAGATTAGAATTTTGGATTTGTTGATAAAATTACTGGTAACATTGTTTGGGCACATATGAAAGGATAGAAACCATTAATAATAGATAACTTATTGGGGACATTGGAGCAGACCCTTGTTATCTTCAGAGAAGACACTTTTCTAATAGAGAATGGAATCCTTGGACTTAGAAATGATAAGCTAAAGTACAAAGCACCAATACATTCATTTATATGGAGGGCATGATTTTGGGCTATTACATTAGGCTAGGCATGGAGTCTTACCTAGAGATGCAAAGATGTACCCAAGGAGCTCACTCACAGACCAGTAGGGCCTGAGGAACCAGCACAATCATCAGGACAGGGAGATGCATCCATGACAGGTGTGTCAAGGAAGCTACTGGCATACAAGAAGGAAGGCACACAGACTAGAGGGGAACTGATTGTCATTCTGACTGACTTAGAGATCTTCTTTGACCCCCTGTCATGTTGTCATTAGGTCTAATAGCTCATAAATATGTCCAAAAGTGAACTCTGGTCCCTATTTTCCAACCACCTTCTAACCCTGTTCCTTTTCTATTCTTTATCTAATGAAGTAAATGCCACTGCCCTCCACCCATAAATTTGAGCCAAAACCCAATGAAACATCCTTGAAGGTTCTCTTTCTAGGATAAATTTTACTTCACTGTCCCAATATAATGCAAATCTTACTGTTCTGTGATGAATATGCCTATCTTTAATATGTCAGCCACTCCTAACAGATTAAACACAGGTCATCCTATGTTTAACCTCTGTAATCTTTTCTCAGGAATACAGAAATAACCTCCTAGTCTCTCTGACTCCACTCTTGTCAACCCATCTCTTCCTTCTACATTCAAATCTATTCCCTCTATCATTTGGTAAAATTGCATATGAAGGCACGTTATCCTTAAGTATCATAGTTTGATGTTTCGTCATTACTTTTAGAGTAAAATCCTCAGTGTTTACTCAAGGCCCTAACACCTTGAATAATCTGGCCCCTGCCCCATTCTTCAGCATCATTTCCTACCACTTTCACCATTGCCTACAAGACTCCTGTTTCTCCAACACATGATCCTCTGTCCTGTCTCGGTTTGTTTACATTTGCTGTTCACTTTCCTGGCTCAGATCTATCTTTTGGGTGGCAGCTGAAATGTCATATCCTAAGTTGCATTCTCCCTGACCATCCCATATCTCCTCTCCACCCTACCCAACTAGTCATGGTCACATTACCGTCTTTCTCTCCTTCACTGCACTTGTCACAATCTGAAATAATATTGTTTGTATGTTCCTGTTTTTTCATTTGTATTGTTTTGTTTTTGTCTATTTCCCCTTGATTAGAATGCAAGCTCCACTATGTAAGGCAATTTATCGATGTGGTTGTCTTATACATCCTCAGCACCTTGCACAAATGGATGCTCAATGAATTCTTGGTGGTTGAATGTGGAAGAATTGAGAGACCTGACTGCATCAGTCCATTGGGAAGGCTGGTCAATATAGTAAAGCAGGAGCAACAAAAATATCTACAATACTCGTTGTTTATTGAATGTACTTTTATGCAAGTTATGATTGTAGCCACTTTAAACACGTTATCTGACTTAACCTTTATAACAACACTGTGAATTAGATATTATTATAGATAATGCAGTTGAGGCTCAGAGAGGTTAAGAAATTTGTCTGAAATATAACTTGTAAGTAGAAGAGAAGGGATTGAAACGTAAGTCTGACTTTAACATTTGTACTCCTGATCGCTCTTGCATCCAAGTTTCCACAGAGCAACTGGTGGGAGAGATTTGAGGAATCCATCAGTTATGTGATGACCATTCTGTTGGAATTCCTGCCATCCAGGTTCCTCCTGGAGGTAATCTATTTGTATAATTAAGGCACAATAAACAAGCTTGTTAAACTATTAGCTAAATTAATTCATTTGTCTGATTTATCATTTTCTCCTTTCATCTGATACAGAATATTGCCCCAAGTGAAATGAACATGGTAAGATTGAATTTGATAAGGAAGATTGCTGGTAGGGGGAAATTTAGAAGCTTAATCAAGTAGAAGAAGGAGAGACTGGGAAACTTAACAGGAAAATAGATAAATGAATAAATGTTACCATTTATTCATTTTTGTTAAATTATTCTTCTACTTGATTAAGCTTCTGTATTCTCCCAAATATAGACTTGAGTTTCCATATTAAAATAATATAATTACAGATTTTGTAGCAAGAAGGAACCCACATGAAATCATGCTGTCCACTTTTGTACCTTCAGCCAGCTAAGGTATTATTAACTATAGTTTGCCTGGCAAAGCCCAGAAAAGTTAAATATTTGCCCACATTTGGCCTGAAGTAAGGGGTATGTCTATAGAGAGGTCTCTGAGTTCTAGGTGAAGCGCTTCTTCTAGAGATCAGGTTCTTTATAAAATATAGATGGCAGAATGTCCTCTTCTTACCCCTTGGATGTCCAAGTCCTAATCCCTAGAACACATCAATATGTTACCCTACGTGACAAAAAGAACTTTGCAGATGTGATTAAAATTAAAGACTTTGAAATGGGAACGTTATTCTGAAATATGCAGATGGACTCATTTTAACCCATGAATTTTTTTTTTTTTTTTTTTTTTTTTTTTTGAGGCGGAATCTCGCTCTGTCGCCCAGGCTGGAGTGCAGTGGCGCGATCTCGGCTCACTGCAAGTTCTGCCTCCTGGGTTCACATCATTCTCCTGCCTCAGCCTCTCGAGTAGATGGGACTACAGGCACCCACCACCACATCCGGCTAGTTGTTTTGTATTTTTAGTAGAGACGGGGTTTCACTGTGTTAGCCACAATGGTCTCGATCTCCTGACCTCGTGATCCACCCACCTCGGCCTCCCAAAGTGCTGGGATTACGGGCATGAGCCACTGCGCCCGGCCTAACCCATGAATTCTTAAAAGCAGGGGACCTCTTCCCTGTGTAGTCAGAGGGAGCCATGAATACATAAGAAGAGTTGGAGAGATACAAACTTGTTGGCTCTGAAGATGGAGAGAGGACCATGGTCTGAAGAATATGAGTAGCTTCTAGAAACTAGAAAAGGCAAAGACTTCTCCACTAGAGCCTCCAAAAAGGAATGAGGCCTGCTGATACCTAGAATTTAGCCCTTGAATTTGGACTTTTTTTTTTTTAAGACGGAGTCTTGCTCTGTCGCCCAGGCTGGAGTTCAGTGGCGGGATCTCGACTCACTGCAAGCTCTGCCTCCTGGGTTCACGCCATTCTCCTGCCTCAGCCTCCCGAGTGGGACTACAGGCGCCCACCACCACGCCCGGCTAATTTTTTTTGTATTTTTAGTAGAGACGGAGTTTCACCGTGTTAGCCAGGATGGTCTCGATCTCCTGACTTCATGATCCGCCTGCCTCGGCCTCCCAAAGTACTGGGATTACAGGCGTGAGCCACCGCGCCCGGCCAGAATTTAGACTTTTAACCTATAGAACCATACGATAATTTTTTTTTTTTTTTTTTTTTTTGAGACAGAGTCTCGATCTCTAGACAGGCTGGAGTGCACTGGCATGATCTCGGCTCACTGCAACCTCTGCCTCCTGGGTTCCAGCGATTCTCACCTCACCCTCCTGAGTTGCTGGGATTACAGGCACGTGCCACCACACCCAGCTATTTTTTCATTTTTTATTTTTAGTAGAGACAGGCTTTCACCATGTTGGCCTGGATGGTCTTGATCTCCTGACCTCGTGATCCACCTGCCTCGGCCTCCCAAAGTGCTGGGATTACAGGTGTGAGCCACCACACCTGGCCATAAATGTGTGTTTTTAAGCTATGAAGATTGTGGTAATTGTTATGGGAGCAATAGAAAACTAATATATAGAAAATCAGAATTGTAAACTATTACTAACATTTTACATAGAATGACTCAAAAGACAGCACATTTCAGTAACTCAGGTTGAAGGCCTGCATGACTTTATTACACTCAGGATGCTCTCGAGTAAAAACATTCATTCAGTGAACATGGGTTACCTTCTTGCTTGTTGAAGGGGCTCATTCAGCTAGAGTTCAAAGCCTAAATAATACAAATTCCTCTTTCACAAAAGAACACAAACATATTTCTTCCTTTGTCAGATGATGAGAGACAAAATTTCATGAGGGAAGCTATGGCTCTGATTCTAGCCAACAGACTTTGCTTATTGTTTGTTTTGTTTTGCTTGTAATATGGTTACTTAATATCTCATCCTTATCATGAATTTGAGTCAGTTAATGAGAATTTAGAATTTTTATACTATTAAAAGATCAAGTGAGAGTTTAAATTCAATCTGTGTTTTTATGAACCTACCTGCTTTTGGTTAATTTCCTGTTTATTTTTAAGGCTATGTGAGGGTTATTATTGCTTCACCTCATTGTAGAAAGTACAATCTCCTGATTTTTAATTCATCTTCTTTTCCTCCTTCCCCCAGAAGAAAACAGAAAACAGCTGTACTGAGAATTAGAACTGTTATCAGGCTCAAAACATTTAATTAAACAATGCATTTTATTATTTCTAATCACGTTGAATTAATCTTCTTAGTTCTGCCTTTATATTAGTCAGGGAAGGCTGGGCTATGTTATAGTAATAAATAAATTATCAGTGGCTAAATACAACAAAAGTTATTTATCATTCAAAGTCTATAGTATTTCTAAATCAGGTTCCTGCATGTAGTAAGTTAAAAAAATCCAGATTTTGTTTTCCAAACTGTGGCTTAACGTCTCATTTCAAGACCTCCATGTCTGTCTAGGCAAGAGAAAAGAGAGATTATTCTAGTGCACCAGCTTTTAAATGCATTCCTCTTGAAGTGGCATGTGTCATGTCTGCCTCGTATATTAATAGCAACCCTAACTTCATAGTAGCTGGGAAATTAAGAGGAGTATATGGGATTCAATGAGAAATATACACCTGCCACAGTCTTTCAAGTCCTAATATTCAGTTTCACAAAAATGTCCCTATTACATGTAAAATTACTACTGGGAATTTAAGAACAAGAAATGTTGTAAGTTGCATGTTGTCATAAGGCACCAGTTTATCTGTCTTTATCTTAAAAACTCAAGCACAAGGAAGGAAAGTGGAAAAAAAACTAATAAATACAAAAGTTAGATCTGAGGCGCCTCAGTTATAAATGAAAGCAGAGCATATGCAATATGTATTAATAGAAAGAGCATTGGTGAGGAGTTGGCTTCTGTTTCTAGCTCTGCACATAATGGTGCTTGGTAAATACTTGAATGAATTAATAAACTGTCATTGTAATCAGGATAAAGCGTCTTGATTCTTGTATTTTTATCTATAAAATGAGGATTCTGGTTGGCCAATATAAACTTTTCCCATCTCTAAAACTCTATTAATTGCAGAATTAGAACAACCCAAACTTCAAAGTGAATAATCCTAATGATTTATTTAAAGCAATCATTTTCAAAGTCTGTGGACCCCTGCGGGTTTCTGAGACATTTTCAGGATTCTATGAAATTAAAATCACACATGAGTAAGAGATCCATTCAAAGTGAAAGGTAGACTGCTCAATTTTAATGTAATAGAGTGTGAAAGTTGATCGTAATGATTTTAGATTCCACATTGCAAGTAATCTTTAAGAAATTACTACCTATTAAGTGTTGATGTAGTATTAATGAAGGATATCCATGATTATTTGAAAAGGCTCTTAAATTCTTTTCCTTTTTTTGACTACGTATCTCTGTGAAATCAGATTTTCTTCATGTACTTTAACCAAAACAACATATCATATTCGATTTAATTTAGGATCAGTTATGAGAATCCAGCTGTCTTCTATTAAGCCAGGCATGAAAGAGATTAGCAAAAATGTAAAACAACACCACTCTTCTCACTTGCTTTTTTTGAAAATATAGTTAATTTTCATAAAAATATGAAATTTATGTTAATATGTAATGGGGTTTATTATTTTTAAATGAAATAAGAAATCTGTATGTGAAACCACTAACTTTTAATCTCTACTATGGTATATATTCATGTTTAATCTAATAATCTAATCTCTAAAATGGTACATATATCAAGAAATATAATGTATTTAAACAAAAACTCTTTGGGTGCTTTAACAGTGTTAAAAGTGTAAGAGGGTCCTGAAGAGAAAAAATTGGGAATGACTTGTTTAGAGGGTAAGTATAGCATTTGACATTGAAAACAACATGTCCTCAAATGTGAATTTTTTTCCATTATAATTAGAGGGTTTTCATTTGTTTGTTTTTGAGACAGAGCATTGCTCTGTCACCCAGGCTGAAGTGCAGAGGTACGATCACGGCTCATGGCAGCCTCTGGACCCACTGAGTGAACTCTCACTCAGCCACTTCTGGGCTCAAGCGATTTTCTCACCTCAGCCTCTTGAGTATGTGGCTATAGGCATGTACCACTATGCCTAGCCTACAGATATGTTTTTAAAGGCACATAAAGAAATAATAATACTGTATTCCAATTGAGGAATGTGAAATAATTTACAGATTGCTTTTATATACTTTTCCCCTCTGATATGCATTCTCTCTTTCTTTACTAAGAAAGCTAAAACCTGGAAATGGGAGGCGGGTTCAATCTTATCAGCTGTAATGAACTACCCAGACTCCCTTGAAGATAAGTCAGTAAGTACCAACCAATAAAACAGAATTGATGTAATTGAAAGTTACTGAGTGGGACTTTGGAAGTTTTTAAAGGACAGGGATTTTACTTGTTTTCTTTTTTTACTCTTGTTCCTTTTGCTATTTGCCCTTCTCCTTTTGCAAGGGACTATGATGTATTTGCCGGAACTCAGCATCCATATTACCAGTATGAGGAGAAGGTTCATAACATAAGGATGAAAGAATAAAAAAGCAGAAGCAGGTTTAGTCCCTGATAATATCAAACCACCACACAAATCTGGACCTGCCTACTCAGTGTATTTTTGTTCTCAAAGAAAGAAACAAATTCTTATATTGCTTAAGTCATTGGTATTTGTGATTTCTCAACTGAGTTCTTAACTAATGCACAGGTATTATCTCACTTAGTTTCAATAATTCCTGAGGAGATCAATAAGAAAGTTGTTCTAGGGCTGTCATATTAAAGTATTGCAAATTGGTTGGTTTAAACAACAGAAAAACTTATTGTCTCACAGTTCTGGAGTCTAGAAGTCTGAAATTAAGGTCTGTGCAGGGCTGGTTCTTTCTGTGAGCTGTGAGACAGAATCTGTTCTATGCCTATTCCCCAGCTTCTGGCAGTTTGCTAGCAATCTTTGGCATTCTTTGGCTTGTAGATGCTTCAACACAGTCTCAGCTGTAATATTCACGTGTTCTACCTGTGTGCATGTCTCTGTGTCCAAATTTTCATTTTTTTTTTTTTTAAAGAACACTGGTTATACTGGAGGAACACCCAAACTAATGACATTATTTTAACTTGATTACCTCTATAAAGACCCAGCCTCCAAATAAGGTCACGTTCTGAGTTACTGGGGTTTAGGACGTATTTGGGAGGGGGTCACAATTCAAGTGATAATAGTATCCAAAGTCACACAGCTATTAATTGGCAGGATACTATAATCTTCTAACTTTAAGTCCAATGCATTTTCTTCTAAAATGATGTTTTTTAAAGTATGAATCACCTTTGCTGGAACTACTTGAACATGCATCTGTGTTTATGGTGTTAAAATTCAGATTCCTAAGCTCTGCTTCAGGCCTACTAAGTCAAATACTTTGAGTGTGAGAGCCTTGGACTTTATTTGTTAATATGCAGTAACATTGATTTTGGGGGGTATGAAGTTCTAAGAGGCTTAATACATGTACAGATTCATGGAACCACCATCATAATCAGGATGCAAAACTGTTTCCTCATTCCCCAAAAGGTCCCTATGTTATCCCTTTGTGATTACATCCCTATAACTAACCCCTACAGTACTGCTCTGTTCTCCATTACTACGGTTTTTGTCAAGAATATAAATAAATGGAAACATATAACATCTTACATTTCGGAACTGGCTCCATCTCCTCGTGATGCCTTTGAGATTTATCCAAGCTGTTGCATGTATCCGTGGTGCCTTCCCCTTGGTTGCTGAGGAGCACTCCACTGTGGCGATGGAGCAGGTTTGGTTGATCCATTCATCCATTACAGCACATTTGCTTTGTTCCTAGGTTTGGACAATTACAAATAAAGCTGCTATATACATTTATGTACAGGTTTTTTTGAGGATATAAATTTTCATTTCTCCAGGGTAAATACCCACGAGTGGGTTTGCCGGGTCATACAAAAAGTTTATGTCTAACTTTATGAGAAGCTGCCAAATTGTTTTCCAAGGTGGCTATACCATTTTGCTCTTGAATCAGATTTTTTAAACTAGCATTTTAGGTGATTCCTAGGAATAGGGCAGTTTAAAAATTCCTCACAAATGCCTCTAGTGGCTCATCCAGAGAGGAAATCTATTAGTTAATAAGATTATGGTAAAATAGGATTTGTTTTTTCCTAAAGGTCTGTTAACTTTCTGTATCAAGAAAATTATAATCTATGTACAGAATTCTATACTTTTCACTAATTTTCACTAATCTCCACTTCACTAATTTTCACTAATCTCCAAAGACAAGAATACAAATATTCACAGACAATATGCCTTTACATCTAATAATAACTTGTTCTTTATTACGAAAATGCTTATTAGAGCAGTTTCAAAATGAACTCTTAAAATACACAGAGAGTGGAGGTTACGTATAAATATTGTGCTGAATAATTAACCCAGAATTTTCTCTAGAAGTATATATTATTTATAAAAACTGTCTCAGGTATGTTTTTAATTTTTAGGATTTCCTTAAATAAATTGAATAAAAACTGATTTGAGACCTACAACAATAAAGATGTAAACTCTTACTAATTCTTGGTTTTAAAAATCTCCTACAGACTGAAATTTGTCTCTTTATTCTGTGGGATACTGTCCATCACTACTGCATGCACACAATAGAATTTGCCAGGTATAAACATAATAAACATCTTTGGACCTTATACCTAGTAGTAGAGTGACATTGATCTAAATCAGTATCACTACAAAATGCAGCTGGGCCAGCAAAAATCATTAAGGGCTAGCTAAGATTGTTTAAAGAAAATAACCTAGACTCCTGGGTACACTCTTTGGGTAACATTGATTTCTACCTCTATTATTGTAATCAATTTGGTATCATACATATTCTGTAGAATAATTAGTTAATTTTTTGAGGGCATGAAGTTGACTGAAATTTTCAAGTATTTTGTTGTAACTGAGAAATGTAACATGCAAAATAACTTTTGGTAGAAATATATTTGGCAATGTGCCATATGGGAGACTCTAACATGAAAGAAAAATTGATAATAATAAGAGACTCTTCTCCTTTCAGGTGTGTATTTTGTGGCTCTCATTAGTCCTTGCATTAGCCAAATTACCTTCATCTATGCTTTTTCCCCTATATTTGGAACCAACTAACATTATTGAAAATTGCCCAAACCATCTCTCTTGTTGGGTTTTTGGGGGAATTATTAATGAATATAAAGTGCTTTGTAAATTTAATATACTATTTAAGTACTAGAAATGTCTTTTGTTGCTCAATGAAAAGATCTAATCATTACAGAAAATTAAATTTTGTTTTCATTTATCAGATTATATTTTTGCAAAAGCATCATATAATTAAATGTTGGTGGTGTCTTTTTTCATAAAGATTTCAATTTTTATACACTTTTGTCATGAATGCTTGAAGAACAGCCCTTCAGTAGCTACTAGATTTCATCAGAAGAGTTTCTAAATGTGTTTGATGACAAGCATTAACACTATGGAAAAAAATATACCCTCTTTGACATTATAAAAGCATCAGAACTACTGTATGATTTATTTGCTTATATGCTAAGTTACCATAATGTTTTTGGTGAATAAATAGCATATCAACATATGGCCTATGGCCTGGTTTATGAATTTTTTTTTTTTGAGACAGAGTCTCACTCTGTCCCCCAGGCTGGAGTGCAGTGGCACAATCTTGGCTCACTGCAACCTCCACCTCCTGGGTTCAAGGGATTCTCCTCCCTCAGCCTCCTGAGTATCTGGGACTACATGCACATGCCATCACACCTGACTAATTTTTTTAGTTTAGTAGAGACAGGGTTTCACTATGTTGGCCAGGCTAGTCTTGAACTCCTGACCTCAGGTGATCCGCCCACCTCGGCCTCCCAAAATGAGGGTTTTATTAGTATCAGTGCTGGACATATTGATTACTCGTTTGTCACTAAGTCATACTTAATATCTCTGAGCCTCAATTTCCTATATATGATGTGAGGATTGATATTTTACTTCATGGAGTTACTGACAAGGCTAACTGTTATTGCAGAATTCAGTTTACTCAATCTTGGAAAACTTTCTGCTTAGAAGCTATTTAAGAAAGACTAAAATTAGCTATTCAAAAATTTACTCATTTGATATTTTCTACAATTTTCAGAGAGAATATATTTAAAATATTTTGTGCTTGTTATGAAGTGTCATTAAATAAATGTTCCTCAGACAATCTCTAAATACTAGTGAAGTTTACTTTTGCTGCTTAAAGGGCAAACACAGAAACCTAGGAGCATAGAACTGGACATATAAATGGTGCTGAATAACTGTATTAATAAGTGAAAAAAGGGATTTAAAATAATTGAGTTCAGCTATCAAGCCAGGTATAATGATACATCTTCACGTTTGTAAGTGATATGAAATAAAATCCTATAATAAGCAAATTGAAACCCCTCTATCCACACTAAAATTATAACTAAAATGGAAGAGACTAGAATTATAAAATATGTCCTACTTATTATTGTTCCAATCATATACAGTTTGCCTGTCAATGGATGGCCTTAAATGGATGCCAGTAGGAAGATAAGAGCACCTAAATCTCAGAATTAGCCAACAGGGTTAGGCAATGACCATTGCTGATATTCTCATGCCTGAACATAAATTCTTTGTTTCAGTAGATCAATGTACATGTGTTCAAATGATCAAGAGAAAAAGCAACATGTCTACGGTAAATCAAAAAGATCAAACAAAAACAATCTCTGAAGAAAATGTTCTCTATAAAATGTCAGAGCTTGACAGGGCAAGGGTGCTAAGAATTGAATACACTATCCTAGAAAAGTATTTCTTATTATTTAGCAATTTCCGAGTTTCATTGAATCTAAGATGCCATTTATTGAAAGGAACACTATTATTTTAGATGTGACTAAGGAACAAAAATGTCACCACCAATTGTAATTATCAGATGTTATTAATTATATAAATTTCAGACATAAAAATTGTGTATCATAGAATGAACAAAATACAGTATGCAAAGCACTAATTGGAGATAAAGAAATACTGATCAGGAAAAAAAGAAATAACAACAATGGTCAAAGCCAGAACAATTCGAGCAACAAAATAATGTATTATGTTGGTGCAAAAGCTATTGCGGTTTTTGCCATTACTTTCAATGGCAAAAACAGTAACATTTGCACCAAACTAATAATACTGTATCATGGCCCAAAGTATAAAATAAATATCTGTAAGTCCACACTTATATAAATAATTGAATAAATAAATTGGGGAGAATAGAGAAATATGCCTTGCAGGAAAATTCCAAGTAATTTATGTAGGTACTCTGCCATCAAGGAGGTAGCACATAACTCTCTACTGTTTTCGGTTTGTTTGTTTCTTTTAGACCAAGTCTCACTTTGTCATCCAGGCTGCTTGAGTGCAGTGGCACGATCTCAGCTCACTGCACTCAAGGAGCCTGGATGACAAAGTGAGACTCCCAAGTAGCTGGAATTACAGGTGTGCAGCAGCACGCCCGGCTAATTTGTGTATTTTTAATAGAGACAGGGTTTCACTGCTTTGGCCAGGCTGGTCTTGAACTCCTGGCCACAAGTGACCCACCCGCTTCAGCCTCTCTCTACTTCTTAAGTGTGGACTGTGCATAGGGACTTCCTTCAAAGAAGTACTGCATAGAAAGGAGTAAAAAACTTTGTAGTAGAGAAACTTGACAAACACTACCTCAGCCAGGTAATCGAAGTCAGCATCAACAGTGATATGTCATGTTGATAGTACATACCCTTAATATGATGTGATGAAAATGACACTTTACCTCTGTGGTCTTCCTTCCCCAAAGCCATAACTTCAGTTTCATTAAGTTTCATTAACTTTCAGTTTCATTAAGAAAACAGCAGCAAACCCCAATAGAAGGGCATCTTATGATATACCTGACCCGTACTCCTCAAAACTCTCAAAGACAAGGAAAGCCTGAGAAATTAACAGTCAAGAAGAGCCTAAGGATACAGGATCACTAAATGTAATATGGTATGCTGTATGGGATTCTGGAGGAGAAAAATCACATTAGGTAAATGGTGAGGAAATCTGAATAAAGTATGAATTTTAGTTAATAATGTATCATTGTTAATAATTAATTGTAACAAATGTACCACACTAATGTAAGCTGTTAATAATAGGTAAAATGGGGTTTGGGGGAGATGGGAACTCTGCACTATCTTTGCAATTTTTCTGCAAATCTAAAACTGTTCTAAAATAAAAAGGGTGCTTTAAAATATGCATTGCAGAATCAAGAAAATACAGTGTATAAAGCACTCATTGGGGATAACAAATACTGCCCTCCCATCTTCCATCAGAAGAAAAACACTGGGAATGTGATATTGATTTGTGTATTTGCACCTAACGGATCCTTAATGAATTTGCCAAGGATAATTAATAAATATGCCAGTTCATGTTGTGAGCTTAAGTGAAAAATATAGTTCTTATATTCCTTGAGCAAATTCATTTTTCAAAGCATCATGCTAGGCACTTAATTATTGAATGATCACATCAAGCCCATGGGGATTACGCCTTTAAAAAAATAAAAAAAACTAGGATCTAAGCTGTTAAGAAATGTTTGCTAGGGCTGCCATAAAAAAGTACCGCAGACTGGGTGGGTTATTTTCTCACAGTTCTAAAGTTCAGAAGTCTGAGATCAAGGTGTTGGCAGGGTTTATTTCTTCTGGGGCCTTCCTCGGGTTTTCAGTTGGCTGTCCTAATTTCCTCTTCTTGAAAGGACACTAGTCAGATTAGGGCCCACATGAATAATTTCATTTTAACTTAATTACCTTTTTAAAGACTGTATCTCCACAGTCACATTCTGAAGTACTATGAGTTAGGATGTCAAATTATGCATTTTGTTGGGGGACACAATTTAGCCCATAACAATGTCCACATTGATCTCTTTGACTACTACCCTCACCCCAGTGATGGAGGTATGATTCTAATCGAGATCTTTAGTACTCCAAAGCTGGTGCTCATTTCTTTATAGTATCATAGTGGTCACCAGCCATGGTTTATTTATGTCTTCTAGAATACTTCAGCCACAGGAGAAGCTAAATTTGTCCAGCTTTGTTTTATCTTTTTTTTTCTTTTACATGATATTCCATAGTAAACATTTTACTTAAAAGTGGGAACTAGTGCTATAGTGATATAGTAGATTCCAAGACAGACCTATATTTAGACACTGTTCTGCTACTCTATACTGTGCTCTGTTTCTCCCAAGATTTTTAGTGAGCATTAAATGAGATACAGATAAACACTTGGCTTGAAACAAAAGATGATCAGCATTTCCCTTATTAAGAGAAAATAGTATTATAGAAAATCTACCTCTCAAGTCAGTACAGTAAATACATGAGGAGTTCAGTGAAATGTTCTTTAAGAATTTGGAAGTGAAAGAAATATGATTGCCTTTTGAGAGTTAAACTTTAAAATCATCACATAATGGATAAAAACAGTCTCTTCTAGCAGCAGGAGTTGATGTAATATGACTGGAGCTATTAATACAGCTAACGGAAGGATGTGTCACTCCAAGGTAGGGGGTTGGACAGCCCATGGGAGCTTAGGAAAAGGAGTCACAGAGACAAATATTAGCAGAACCCATCTGGGTACTTTTGGGAAACAGGAAATTTGAGCCAGTAGATTTTTTTAAATATTAAGTTCCCATTGCCAAGTTTCCAACTGTGTGATTAATACTTTAGCCTGTTTTAGTCTTAAACCATAAAACATTCACACATTCCAATGAGCTTCTTGTACTTGAAAACCAATTGTACCTGATCTCAGTATGATATAGATGTGCTTACAGAGATTGTGTGGGTCTATCATGCTAACCTGGGTATTTAGCAACCTGTTGTTTTTTTACTGTAATTAAATAGAACTTTATGTATTTGGTTAATGTGACTGAGCAATAGATCCATTATTTGTGTACTTAGAAAGTCTGGTTTCTGCCTCTGAATGACTATGAACCCAATTCTTCCATATTTTGACTTTAACCTATAAGGGCTAAGATTTAGGGTTATTAGATTTAGCAAATAAGGATATAGAAAAACCAGTTAAATTTGAGTTTCAGATAAACAATGGATTTTTTTTTTCAGTATAAGTATGTTTCAGACAAAATTTGGGATATGCTTGTGTAAAAAGTGTTGAATGTTCATTTGAAATTCAAATCTAACTGGCCATTCTGTACTTTACCTGACAACTATAGAGAGACCTCTTTTAATACAGCTGCTAGTATTAATATACTTAAAGCCCTTAGCACAGACTCATACATAAACACTATAAATGGTAACACATTTCCTGTCTTATGTAAACAAAGTTATAGTATATGAAAAGTAATCACCTTTGTTGACACCTATTAACTAAATAGAAGGCCCATAATCCTGTGCCCTTTTACTCTTCACAACGGAGACCTCAAAGGTCGGTTATTGACTCTTCTGTTTAAGCAAGATCATGTTGCTTGTATTTTGACCATGAAGTTTCCAAATAATAAAATATTTATGAAATGGCCAAAAACTTTTGCTTCCCCTCTAAACCTGAGTGATTATAAAATAGTCTAAACTCTTCCCTTCAACATTCCTTCCTGCTGGCTGGGACGGACTTATGGTGCACCTTAACCCAAGTGTCCCAGGGTTTAAAAAGTGCTTCTTTTCAACAGAGCCATACTACTTCTAATCACTTTCTATTAGCACAGGGGGCGTGGCATGAACATGTAACTGACATGAACTGCTCTAAAACTTGTGTAGGCAATTTTCCTTCAAGGTAAATGAATGTCAGTGTAGGAGAGGATAAACATCTTTCCTTCATCTATCCTAGGTTCATAGCTGAGGCCCCTATAACAAAAGACAGATTGGCAAAAGAATAGCATACCGATTTATTTAATTTGTATATAATATACAAATTTGTATGTGATACAGGAGCCTTCATAAGGAAATAAAGACTCAAAGCAACAGTTAAACATGACTGTATTTTATTGAAGGTTTGAAGAGTGGACCACCGTGGAGAAATAAGATGGAATAAAGGGGATATAATCTAATGGAAACTAGGGGAAATTTAGAAAAGCCTGTTTGTTCAGATTCCTCTCTGTGTCCTTTCATCTTCAAAGATAAGGATGGTCCTTTCCTCTGGATATAGGGAGAGCATTTCTCACAAGAGGGTCTTATGACTTGCTTTAGGGGAAGGTCAGAAAAACCTTCCTAGGTGTTACGACCTGTTTTACAAGAAGAGGGTAGAGGAAGATGAGAATGAACTTTCTACCTTGTGGTTTTCTCAAATTCCTCAGCTTCAGCTATTTTAGGGTAGCAAGCCCTGGACCTCATCATTGGAAGAGTGAGTAAGGCTTGGCACAAAGAAGCAGCTATAATCTAGGCTATCCAAAGCCCTAAGAGACTTCTAAAATAAAATAAGAAAATCTTGATGAGTAATTCAATATTCCCTTTTTCCACATTTGTCTGCTACACCAGAAATTTTCGTAAGATTAAAAGCTGTTAACTAATCTTTTCAATTACTTGGTTTATTAAGCTATCCAGGCAGCAACTTTCTCTAGATAATTTGTGTCAAGCTAATCAATACATTCTTCCATTTGTTTTTCCTTCTTTTGCATTGTTCTTTAAGGAAACCTCTAATGTCACGAAATACACCAATGGGTCCACTCTCTGCTAGATGGAATCTACTTAAAATGCACCACATGGAGCAAAAATCTGCCGTTCTAAAGCAACGCTTTATGTAGTTCCTGGCTTGGACACATATGACCAGGTGGAAATGACCAGCAAAAATATATGGTTAAGTTAGAGTTGGGGAAGCACTGTTTTTTTTTCCTAACTGTAGTTTTTAATATCTTTTTTCCTGTTTTATGAAAAGACAATGACGTTATCAAAAAGTAAATGCAAAAAACATGGGAGAGGAGCAGAAAAGATATCTATTGGGTACAGAGCTTAATACCTGGGTGATGAAATAATATGTACAACAAACCCCCATGACACACGTTTACCTCCGTAACAAACCTTCATGTGTACCCCCAAACCTAAAATAAAAATTTAAGAAAGAATGTGTGCTTTATATTGTCACTCAGCACTCTACATCCATGTGTGCATCTATTTTAACCTAACAACAATAATTTGAAAGGAAAAATAATGTATCGTAAAGCAAATTTTCATTGATGGGAATTATATGTAGAAACTCTGGCCTTTCTTTTCTAGCCTGCTTTAAAGGCTAGCTTTCCTCCTGTTACTTAATTCAACAAATAAGATAAAATGGTGGTTTAAATTATGTGTCTTGTGGAGGGATTTCATTGGCAAAGTCAGAGTGTGTGCATTCCTTAGGAAATAATTACCCTGACAACAACAAGCACTTACTCGGCTTCTTTTACAGAGACTCACAAGATGCTTTACAATTAAAACACAGCAAACTGACCTACTTTCTTAAGGGTGTTCAGGAATAGGGATGAACAGATATGTCTTTAGTTTTAAGTCCAGACAGAAGAGTACTATGAATAGAATCTGCAAAGAAATTCTAGGACTCCAAGAGCCTGGAGCTCATGAGTGGGATAAAGCAAATAGCCTGCTGACTCTGACCTTAATGATCAACCAGGCACATATGGTCATCACAGAAGATCTAACAAATTTCCTGGGACTCATTCATTAGCCAAGTCATCAGTGACTAATATACCATTTAAGTTGGTATTGGGTTTTATGGGGATTTAATTCTGGAATGTATAACTGGAGGGCTCAGCCACCTGAGCCAGGCAGCCAAAACCACTGACTGAGGACTACTCCATCTTAAGCTCCAGGTCACAATAGATTCTTTTATCACTGATGACGGAAGCCAACTTGTACTCTGAAGTAGAGTGTGTAGGGGGTAGAAGAGAGATATCTACAAGATAGCAGCCCAAGCTGAGGTCAGAGCACTTACGGAGTAGAACACCCTGGAGCCAGCAGTATATTAAATACAACCCTGGAGAGGCTTTTGTCACCAACAGTTCCAAAGGCTTTATCTATATGACTTTTTAAGCCAAAACAGCTTTAGCCAAGTTGATCAGGCATACACTTTGAATGTTGAGGGCATTTATCATCTCTGGCTGGCCTTCTTTACCATTAGGATTCTCTTACTGAGAGAAGGAAGAGCCTGAACATTTCTTAGGGATTTGGGCTCAGCCTTCTGGTATTCCTCCCAGAGGCTCCAGGCCCCTAAAGGCGTAGTCATCTTCAGATACTTGCAGACGGTCAGCCTGTACTATTTTAGTATGGAAATTACAGTTGATAAAAATCAAGTGTTACACCTAAATTTATGTTTTAATAACAAACATAAAAAATATTTCAACATCAGGGTAGATCAGTAGTCTTCAACCAAGGGAAATTTTGTCTTTTCAATTACTTGGTTTTTGATTTACAGGGGATATTCAGCAATGTCTGGAGACATTTTTCACTGTCACTACTCAGGGTGCTACTGGCTTCCAGTCGGTATAGGCCAAGAATGCTCCTAAATATCCTACAATGCACAGGACAGACGCCCACAACAAAGAATTATCTGACCTGAAATGCTGATAGTGTTCCAGTAGAGAGAACCTAGATTAGATTATGTTGCATTCAAATTATTTTGATCTAGTTGGGGATACATATAAATTGAGAAAATTTCAAGATAGTGAAATTATGACATAAATTAGAATATGGGGCATATGCTGCAGGATTTGATAGAAGAGTCCAACCAGGATTTTATAGAATGTGTAGAGAAGCTTTCAGGGAGGAGGGAAGATTTCAGCTGGACTTAAACAATTGTAATACATAAGCAGCAAGGAGCCAAGAAGAAACAGCATATCACCCCCCAGAGAGAAGTGGTCAAAAGTGCAGCATAATGATACCATTCTTCCAGTTCCATGTGAATACACAGAGTATTAGGGAGCCTCCAGGAATTTTCCTGTGATTGAGCGCCTCACTTCCCTTTTCTGTCCCTTCCATATCCCAGGAAGTACACCTAATGGAGAGATAAAGCAGAGAGCAGGTACTGGGTGGGGACTGTGGAATAACTTGCCAATAGCATGATGGTGCCAAGAGTGCTGCCAGTAAGGTGACCATGCCAACAGCCATGCAGGCTTTTTGATCTTCAAGAAGACTTAAGTGCCAGTACATTTGTGCTTTAGTCAGTATGGGCTACTATAACAGAACATCATAAACTGTGTGGCTTGTAAACAATGAACATTTATTTTGCGTGGTTCTGGAGGCTGGGAAGTTCAAGATGAAGGCAATGGCAGATTTGGTGTCTGGTGAAGGCCTGCTTCTAGGTTCATAAATAGCATCTTCTTCCTGTATCTTCACATGGTAGTAGAGGTAAGGGAGATCTCTGGGTACTTTTTTTTTTTTATCAGGGGCACTAATCCCATTCATGAAGTCTCCACCCTCATGATCTAATCATCTCTTAAAGGCCCCACATCCAAACACTATCACATTGGGGATTAGGTGTCAATGTGTGAATTTGGGTAGGACATAAATATTCAGTCTACAGCAATTTGGTAGTTTACTAATTAATGTGCATCTCAATTTTTTCAGGCCTTTTCCATTTCCTATAGTTGAGGATATGGGGCTCTGCCTCACTCACATGGATTTATTAACAGCATCTGTCATGTATTTCTTTGTCCTGTTTAGTAGCAAAAGTCACAGGGGTCTCAACCATTCTGATATTTCAATTGGTCTGAAGAAAGAAGACTTTCTTTCATCCTTCATAATCAATACATGTAGACACAGCAAAGTGGGGACAAGGTCAGGAGAGACTTTGAAACTGGAGATAATAATGAATGAAGTTATCCTTTTGCAGATGGAATTTATCCTACTCCAGTGTAGGTGGTAACATATTTCAAGTCTCTATTTAATAGATCAGAATATATGTCCAGGTAGAAGGGTTTCACTTCAACAAATACATCAAAACTGTTTTCTACAAGATACTGTGTTGGGCTACATGACTAGAATTAAGTGTGTGATAAGTAGTACTAGTAGTAACTGGTAGTAAGTGGATCTTAGGTAATAAAAATCAGAGGATCTGACTGGCAATTTGCTACCAGGAGGTTAGTGATCTATATGAAGTGCACAGAAAAGGAAGCCAAAGGACAAGTATTTGGTAGTTCATATTCACTAGTGTTCAGAAACAGAATACTTTAATTCTAGAAACTCATTACCTATTCTTGAGTTAATTAGAAACACTCCTCCTAAGTAAGATGGGTTATTTCAAGCACTTTGTGACCATCTTTCCCCAATTTATTTTGATGCTATTTTATTTAGTGATCCTCTGACCTTGAATTTGTTTCTTTCAACAGCCTTGCCTAGTAGATGGAAATGCCCTGAATAGTAATAGGCTTCAGGTCTCAAGTTAAAAACCTCTACCAAGACTTTCCACTTACAAAATATTTGAACTTTTGCATAAGCTTATTGTACATGGTTGCAAATCCAGTGAGGCTGAGTGAACACTGATTTTTATCAATGCATTCTATGGAAAAGGAAAGCAAGAAGGCAGATTGGTTTCTTGAAGTTAGTCAGTTAATCTGTGCCAGAGCTGAAACTGAAAAGCAAGCCTACCTACTCTTTCCATGATACTAATAATCTAAGAGAATTGATAACAGAAAGATCAAGAGGTGAAAGAATGAGCCCCAGAGAGAAAAAATGTGACGGCTTCCCTCTGACACTTCTCTCAACCTATACTCCTTCCACTTTTGCTGCCCTGTCTCCTTGTGGTTTCTAGGACTTTGGTTTCTATTCAGGAGCCTGCTGGGTGATTCACATTTCTCTCTTGCACCCTGGAGTCATTGGGGATGGCATCAGAGATGAGGGGAAGAGAAACTGTGGCATCTCTAGAGACATGCTTAGAAGAGGGAAGATTCTTCCACGTGGCCTGTAAGAGGAAGTGACACTCACAGAGATGAATGCCAGAGTGGCCTGGGGAGGCAGATATTTTGAATCTTGAGCTTATTATGTCTTTCTGGATTTTTAGGTTTGGACAAATTGCTGCATCTGTCTGCCTTGGTATTGTTGTTTGTAATTCTAGAATGAGAATGCAAAAGTGCTAAAAGGAATGTTAGATGCTTTACTTTTAAAAATCCTGAGCTAGCAAGTAAATATACTGGAAGGAATTGGATTTCTCAGATCATTTTGAGATTTGGCCAATCATTCATTTCATATACTCACCACATTTAATTAACCAGATATAGTAATCATTGTAAGCCCTAGAAAAACATTTTCTGCATTCTTTGTTTCTTAATAGTTAATTGATCCAATTCCTTTGGGAGGGTGACATACATGAGACTCTTTTTGGGACTTAGCTTTCTTTCCAAATTTTAAATATCACATATTATTGTCAAATATGCTATATTAGGAAATTCTGAAAAATAAATCTTTAAAGAAAATTCTATAATAGAAGGATTGTGGATAAATTCATCATATTTAAGATAATACTTAATTATCAAAACAATTCAGTAACATGTTTTAGGGGAATTTTACATTAACTTTTGTAGTGATATATAAAAAGTAAAGTAGGAGTTTGAGAAGTGGAATTATTATTTTTATTATTACTTTTGAGTCAGAATTTCACTCTTGTGGCCCAGGCTGGAGTGCAATAACACAATCTCAGCTCACCACACCTCTGCCTCCTCTCCTGGGTTCAAGCTATTCTCTTGCCTCAGCCTCCCTAGTAGCTGGGACCACAGACACATGCCACCATACCCAGCTAATTTTTGTATTTTTAGAAGAGACGGGGTTTCACCATGTTGGCCAGCCTGGTCTCAAACTCCTAAGCTCAGGTGATTCACCTGCCTCGCCTCCCAAAGTGCTGAGATTACAGGCGTGAGCCACCACTACTGGCCAATAAATACCTGCTCCTTACTCTTATTAGTTGTAATATTTGGCCTGAGAAGTGGAATTATTAAAGTGCCACAAAGTCTTAGGCAAAGAGATAAAAAACCTCAGGAAAGTGAATCCCTGCCAGTAACAAGTCAATTATTCTTTTTTGCTTTAAACTGCCAGTTATTAGATTCCAAATTTATGTAATAGCTTTAGGGAAAACCACATTTGTTTATAGTTATGTATCTTCAGATGCAAAGGTTTGTCACCTGGTTTCAGCTTGAAGCAATTCCTTTAAGCTTTGAGCTTTTCTCTTCAGAGCAGCAACAATGTGGAATGTCGAAACTTAATTTTTTTTGTGAAGTGCCACGTGCCTCTGGAGCTGCCTAGGTTCCATGACTATGTACTTTGTGTTCTGCCAATTTTGATTCATTTTTATTCCTTATGAAATCTCTGTACCAGAAGATTTAGGAATAAAAAGACTTGCAACAATAACTTGTTACTGCACAAGAAGCAGAAACTGCTGCTGCCTTACTGTTTTTTTCTTCCCTAATTCAAGAAAGAAAAATGTTCTGAAATTGTATACCATAAAGCCTCCAAAGAACTTTTGCCTGTATCAAAACCCAAATTCAAAAGCCACAAACTGGAAAATTAAAACTTTAAAATACCCTTGACTAGTGTTTGTCGTCTAAACTTAACTGCAGTACATGGACAGGTTTTTAATTAGGAAAGTGTGAAAACAAATAGAATCTTAAGCAAATTTCTTATTTTGGAATATTGTTGTGATGTTGAGGATGAAAGTTCACAAGAACGTGCCTTAGTTTTGTAAAACTTTTTCTAAGAGAAAAGAATTGGGGAGTGATACATTTCTATTCATTTCAATATTGTATGTGTGTTTTTAATACCACATGGTAGGCTCATCAATTGCTTGCTGGAAAGCAGATTCTTCTTGCTGTGAATCTGATTCCCGAGACTCTCTTGATTCATTTAATGGTTTATGCTAGGTAAATATTTCTTGAAATTCTCCTTCTCTTTGAGTGTGGTCAGCAGCAGGCAAACAACAACATAGTATTATAGTCTAAAAATTTCAGACAGGTAGATGTGATCATATTCAGGAGCCATATACTTTTGGAAAATAATTTATTTGGATGTTTTAGAATAAGGGATGTTCCATTAATATGATACAATAAAGAGGAAAGATAAGAAACTATTGTTCATATTTCAGTGGCTAGAACCTCAAAATCTTGGAAACGGTAAGAGATGCTCCTACTAATCTGCTATTCAATTCTGAGAAATGTCTTTCTTGGCACAGTCACACTTGGGAGCACTCAAATGAATTCAACAGAATTGAATTTAAAGCACTTTAGTAAGTATAGTGGAGGACACAAAAGTTAAGACAATGTACTTACTGTATTCTCCCATAGTGTGCTTTGAATGACACTGACTTAAGAATTCAATAAAAGCACTTATATTTATTATTTTTGGACTGCTTTTTCCTTCCTAATAAACTGCAAGCGCTTTGCACAGGAAAGCAGGATCTTGCATATCTGTGTCACCAACAGGTAGTACAGTGGCAGACTCATAATAGACACTCGAGTGTTTGTAGAGTAAATGCTAAATTTTATTTTGTAATAGGAAAATAACTGTTATCTTATGTTAATATATTTAAGTGTAGTTTCTTCTATTAACCAACCTTGCTAGGCCTGCTAGATTGAAATAATAATAAAGAAAAAGAATTCCAGCTCTCCCTTCATTAAACCAAGATATGCTATGTTTACTAGGGGGTAATATCTAAAAGCAATTATTAATATTTCTCTTTTACTGTGCTCTCATGACTATGAATGTCACCCTAATTGCCCAGAGCCATCTTTTGGAAGAAAAACTTAGGGTACGGAAATTAAGACTGTAACAAGATAAATGTAAACAAAAAAATACAGGTAGGATGCAGCTTTGGATGCTCAAAGTTAGAAACATATCCTTTCAAGTCATGTTATTTTTCTGGAAAAGGATTTTCCGATTCCTTTAGCTCTCATGTAGCATACCAAGGGTTTAAATTGGCTTTATAGTCAGATAGAAGGATTTCATGTAGGGAAAGTAAAAGGAAACTCAGGCTCTTTCCAATGCCTGTGGATTATGGAACAAGTAACAGGCACAAGGAGAAAGAGATATCAGAGCTCATCAGATATATATGTCCAGATTTTACTTTCTATGTGCTTAGCTCACTAAGGGCTGATAAGGAAGGGTCTCATGCTAGCATACAGTGCCCTGGGTGCCAAGCAAGGGCATCTGCTGATAGGCATGGACTTGGGGTACTCTTGCCTGCACTCCTAATTTTTAACTTGGGAAAGAGACACTTTCTTTAGCTTCCCCTAAACAACTAGGGCGTGGCAACATCAACTGGAAGGCTCAGGGAGAAATTAAAGGCCTGAGGCATTTTTGTTCTCCCATATTACCCAGAGTTACCATGGGGCATGAATGCTTAATTGAGGTGTAGAGGGCCAGCCATCAGGTCCTTTATGGCAATGGAGGCTGAGGGTAAATGACCAGGCCAAGGCACTGAATGGAGAAAGTGTGCAGATTTAGAGGTCTTTAGGGCACAGAAGTTGAGAAGGGACCCAATCAGCCAGGGAGCTTCACCTAGTTCTGACCAAGCCAAGATCACACTGCACATTTCACCAGTCGTGAATTCCACCAGCCATGAATGAGGGCAAGCAGAAAGCAGATGAATAATCCCCAGAGACTACATGGCTGAACTTGACAACTTGTAAGTGAGAACTTCTAAAGGCTATGTAATCATATGTGGATGAAAACTTTACCTTGTTTCTGCACATCCAAATTGTAATTAAATTCTGCAAACCTAATTATGAGATAATAGTTGTTTGTCAAAGTCTGGGAATAGAATGGTCTGGTTTCAACCTGTCAATGATCAGGCAGTATTAGCACAGGGCAAGGTCTCTCTTAATAGCTATTTGGAGCAATGCACTTGCAATTCTTTAATCAAAAACTGTTACTGATAGGAGAGCCTCATCCTGCTAAAGTCCTCTGAAATTTGTCATTCCAGATCAATTATAAACAAACTTGAGGATATTTATATTGATGGTTATATTGATGGATATAATGACTGCTTTCAATTCATTTTTGATATCCATGATAATAATGACTTTTAATCAAAGATGTAAATTCCTAATTAGAAATTCTTGTTCCATTATTTCCTATGCAGCAACAGAAATAACAATTTACTGTATATTAAATTTAATTTACACATATAATCTTTTACAATCTCCCAATCACTCTGAGGATAGAAATTATTATCCCAATGTTTGCAACAAACTGACTTTCCAAGATTTCAGGTAAATTGCCAAATATTACAACTAGTAAAAGTAAGGAGCAAGTATTTATTGGCCAGGAGTGGTGGCTCATGCCTGTAATCCCAGCACTGTGGGAGGCCGAGGTGGGCGGATCACTTGAGGTCAGGAGTTCAAGACCAGCCTGGCCAACATGACAAAACCTCATCTCTACTAAAAATATAAAAAGTATCCAGGTGTGGTGGCGGGTGCCTGTAATCCCAGCTACTAGGGAAGATGAGGCAGGAGAATCACTTGAACCTGGGAGGCGGAGGTTGCAGTGAGCCAAGATTGCACCACTGCACTCCAGCCTGGGCGACAAGAGCAAGACTCCGTCTCCAAAAAAAAAAAAAAAAAAAAAAAAGTAAGGGGCGGGTATTGATTAAATAAATCCTAATCATAAGTCAAGGACTTTCCATAAGTGATTTGAATTAATCTTCAAGACAACCCTATCAAATGAATATTCATATGTCTATTTTATAGAGAAGAAAAATTAAGTAATTTGCTTTAAGAATGCATAGCAAGATTAGAACCCAGGTCTGATTTGACTTAAAAGCTGCTGTTCTTTCCACTTTCTATTTTGCCTTATAATTGTGTCTGTGGAAGATCAATTTTACCACTGTTTAATGTATAATGTATTAGAAAGCCTCATATATTATTGGAAGGATGAAACAGCAAATTAAAACAACAAATTGCAACACAGTCTAAACTTACTGAGTTCTTATTATTCTATGTTTAATTCTCCTATCTTGTAGGAATGAAATGAGCTAATATATTAAAAGTGAAAAAATAGGCCTGACACATAGTACATGTTTAAATCATTTCACTTTTCTCTTCCTCTATAAACTTAGAATATAGAGAGATAAATGGACAGACAGGTATGCACACATAAACACATGCTCCTCTATATATCTCTATATCATATATACCTTTATATAGTGTATAATACATATAATTAAAAAACCATGAAATAGTATTATAAAACTATAAAGGCTAAAAATAAAATATTTGAACTACTTGCATTTTCATTTTTTAATGTAATGCAAGATACTTTGTATATAAGTGAAAAATAATTTAAAGTGAAATTCTTACAAAGAATACTTAATGACCACTTAAATAAAAAGAAATATCAGTTTGATCAAGCCTAAAATCATTCAATTAAATTATTAAAATTACAAAGCTTTATTTTAGTGTTAGTTGACTATATATTATTATTGTTGATGTCAAATAAATGGTATTGGCTATAGTCAGGAAAAAGAGCTTAATGTTATTTGAAAATCAAAATGTTTGTTCTCACTCATAAGTGGGAGTTGAACAATGAGAACACATGGACACAGGCAGGGGAACATCACTCACTGGGGCCTGTGAGGGGGTCCCCTGCCAAGGGAAGGGAGAGCCTTAGGACAAACACCTAATGCTTGTGGGGCTTAAAACCTAGATAACGGGTTGATGGGTGCATCAAACCACCAAGGCACATGTATCCCATAACTTAAAGTAAGATTAAAAAAATCAAAATATTTTAAAACATACCAAATTATGAGTTTGAAAAAACCTATAATTGGAGAAAATATACTCTGATAAATGCACACAGCAAAAACACTCTGAAATGCTGGACAATGGGATGTCTGGATGGCTCTCTTGCTCCCTGGGACTTCAGCCAGTCCATATGGTCATCTAATAGGAAGCCTGAAGACTGTGGGTGATCTTGCAGACCATATGTGCTGCAATACCTAGGAACAACTGGGGCTTGGCTAATGACGTGGCAAAAACCTAAATTTAGATTTAACTTGTTTTTATTGAGCAGAACCCAAACCTCATTGGTATTTTTGCACATTGCTTGCTTTGTTTATCAATAACTTTGAAATGAGGCTGCAAAAATATAGCCCTTTCCACTGCAGACATGCTTCAAATGACCTATTTTGGAATGAAATGCCTTTCATTCTACAGAAATATTTTAAAAGCCAAAAGAAATAATGTTGTTGCAATTCTCCTTGTGCTGAGAACTAAGACTGGAGCCCACCAGTGGGTTGGCATTATAATTGCATCTGTAAATGATCCAGGGTACCTGTCTAAACCAAGACTATCCTCTAATCTTAGAGCTGACATTAAAGAAAAGAAAACAAAAACCATGAATGTGTAGTTGCTAGGATTCTAGAAGTCCCTGGGGAGTGCTTAAACTCAGGAATGGGCAAGAAGAATGTCAAAATAGATGGAAAATAAAGATCTGATGAGATGATCATCAAAATCATGAGATATAGCATTCTCCCTAAATCTTCACTCTGTTGTCTATCCTTAGATGAGCATCCTGTTTTGTGAGAGTCAATTTCATTTGAATACTTCACCTTCTTTATGTCATTTTAGCACCACTTACAAATACAGCAAAATTATCACCAGGAAATAGAGTAAGGGAGACAGGGACAAGTAAGATAGAATTTAGGGGGTGTGATATTCTGAGCTGTGTTCTCTGTTTAAACTCACCAATTAATTTTTTGCTTAACCTCCAATTTTATATTGATTAATACACATCAACGAAGTACCAATAATATTAAGAAGCTTACTTTCAACTCAAGATTAATGAAGATACATTATAAAATGGAGGAAAATTCCTTTACACAAAAGATAAGCAAGGAAATACTTTAAGACAACGGATGCACTTATTTTGAAGAAATTCTACACCTCCAACAAGAGAGATGGGTGTTTTCCATCAACAGAACTACTTTTCTAGCTCAGTATCCTTGTGAACAATTTGCACTCGATTAAGAGGCGTTAATTCTGATCCTCCTTCTTAGGTTTCACATGTCAAAGACTACATCTGATGTTTAGAAGCAAATTGACATTCCAATTAAGCTTATGTAAATGTCAACATCTATTTAATTTATTTTTACAGGTTAGAAATCAAACGGGTGTGGGGCTCTCTTTTAGTTGGTATTGTGTTGTTTAAATTTCTGTTTGTTCCAGATTATGATTTTAAAACTGGTAAATATGCCAAGGAGATGCCACATTTAATTCAGCACTGTGTTGTCAGATTGTTAGGAAGCAATTTTTATTTTCTTGAACAGAAGTGAGATCACTTGAGTAATATTAACTTTAATGTTCAAAATTGGCTTGGGTTACCCTCAACATCACACTTGATGCAAGATTACAAAATGGGAGAACTAATGCTTAGGTGTTTAGAGGGTTCTGAACATGTCAAGCACTAAATTCTCTGTTAATTTATCAGCAGGCTATTTGATTATCACCAAGTAACAAATTTGTTTCTATATTTGTGGAAACTAATATAGAGAATGATATTGAGACCACAAATTGCTTCTCCATGTAGCAATGGTGTCATAAAGATGAGAAATATATTTCTGTTACTGGTTTTAAACCTTGAAGGCTGAATTTCACACGGAACAGAAACTCCTATATAGTTTAGATGAGCCACTATAGTTAAGAGGACAAAATAATACTTTCATTCAATATAGAGACAATAAAAAAGAACAATGAGCAAGTAGAACCATGAAATCATGGTCATTGAGCTACATATAAAAATGAAATTAATATTCCAGATGATAGGAATTTCTATAACAAAAGTCCTGTGGGCATTCTCCCTGAAAATGTTGTGGAAGAATCCCAATAGGAATAGATTTACTGATCCATTAGCAAATATTTATTTTATTTATCGACCAAGGACAATTCAAGAGACAAAAACCACATCAGTTATGTAAACAGAGAGAATTTTATATAAAGAATGATTAATTAGGTATCCAGTTATTAACTAGATACCTAGTTAATGTCACAATTATTGTAATGAGCATCAAGGACAAAGTGGCACTCGAGAGACCCTGACTTTCAGAAAGCTATGATGATGTTTAATAAAACAGAATGATAATCCCAGAGGCAAAATAGATGGGAACCAAATGAGGGTTTTGTTTAATCTGTACAACCCAAAGAAATCAAGGTGGATATTTAAGGGGCTGAGGCAGTACCCAATAAACTACTACAGTTCCCTTGATCAGTTTATATACTTGGGCTAGTTTTCAGACCCAGAAGCCACAACTGAAGGAGAGGCTGAGTTTCTAGGAGGAAGAACTCTGCAACACCACGACAATTGCATGTAGAGTAGTTATCCCTGCTTTCCTCTCCCAAAAGGACCTTCCACCATTTACTCAGGTTATCATACATTGATTAAAAGACAGTATTAACAGCTTTGAGAGCTATTCAACACTATATTTGTGTTGACACTTATTCCTGGAAACCCACCAAAATTTTGTCATCTTGTTCCTTCTCTTAGAGTAGAAGGTGCATGGGCAACAGGTAATGAATGGAGTTTTGGCTCAGGTCCATACAGCTCACAGTGGGCTGTCTATATCCACCCACCCAAGCAGGGATCATTTTCCTGGTTTGTCAATGTATTTTACAGTGGACATATTTTGTAGTTACAGAAACTCACACTGGTTCTTTGACCTGTGGAGTAAGAACTATCACAGGAGCCAGGTAGAAACTTTTTTTTTTTTTTTTTTTTTTTGAGACAGAGTTCCACTCTTGTCACTCAGGCTGGAGTGCAATGGCACGATCTCAGCTCACTGCAACTTCCGCTTCCTGGGTTCAAACAATTCTCCTGTCTCAGCCTCCCGAGTAGCTGTGATTACAGGCACCCACCACCATGCCAAGCTAATTTTTGTATTTTAAGTAGAGACAGGGTTTCACCATGTTGGCCAGACTAGTCTCGAACTCCTGTCCTCAGGTGATCTTCCCGCCTCAGCCTCCCAAAGTGCTGCCCCATCCCCACTCCCCAAATCAAGATAGTAAATCAAAAACAACATTGCATCCTGAGGAGACATCAGGGATTAGTGCCTCCCATAAGGACCTTAATGTACAAGGAAGGGATTTGCCATCATATCTTCACTAATTCACCACCTGTTCCCTGTGTATATGACATGGATACTAGAGGGTAGCAGTGGAATACTACAAACTTAGCCAAACAAATAGTATCATTTATACCTGCTGTGCTAGATATGATAGCTTTGCTAGAACAGATGAAACAAATTAGATATACCAAATACAAATTTGCTAGAACAGATTAATACAAATATAGGATCATACTACATCTCTCACTTCTCACAGCTAAGAAGGTAGCATAATGCCCTAGAAGCTTCCTTGGATTCTCAAGTTCTGGAGGGGGCATATTACTCACATAGGAGTAGTGCTTAGACCCATTTACTGAGTGACATAGAGGGCTAGCTTTGAGGAAGGCTCATAAGAGAAAACGGATCTAGGAGTTAATGGTTGTAGTCCAGATGTTCCTGTCACATAGACCTTGTGACCTAGCAGATCTCATCCATTAGAGGTAACCATGATGGGAAAAGATGCCACAATGGAGTTCATGGCAAGCTCAGATATTAGAATCACAAGATAGAACTCAAGAGTTTTGGAGCAAAACCATGTCATCTGCAGCAGAAAATTTAAAACTATTCAAAAATCAGCTCCCAGCATGCTATTGCATCCTGATAGAAACAGAGTCCCTGGCCATGGAATAAGTAACCATATGTCCTTAACTGTTCATTATGAGCTAGATTCTACAGGGTTGCATGGGTCTTGTAGCAATCTTTTATAGCACAGAAGTATTATATCTACTATTGGGCACAAACAAGGCAAGAGGCACAGAGTGTGAAGATCTTTGCATTATATATTAACAAACGCCAGAGACACATTATCTCCAAAAGTGTGTAATGAGTCAGCTAGTTGTCATACAATCTCTGTTACAGCTACCCCAGTGTTAGCCCCATGGGAGCATAAAGAGAGTATTGTGGTGCAGGGATAAAGGCTATCCAATTGTACTACTCTGTTATTGTATAAATGATAGTGTGTCCTCCAAAATTCATGTTGAAACTTAATTCTCAATGCAAAAGTATTAAGAGGTATGGCCTTTGGAAGGTGCTTAAGTCACCTCCATCCTGAATGGAACCTATTATCATTAATGGGATTGGCATCCTTATAAAAGGGCTCAATGTTAAAGGGAGTATTTTCTTGCCCTTCTGCTGTCTGCCATGTGAGGACACAGCAACAAGGTGCCATCTTGCAATCAGTGAGCAGCCCTAACCCGGTACTGAATTTGCTGGTATTTTGACCTTGGACTTCTCAGCCTCCAGAACTGTAAGAAATAAATTTTGGTTTTTTACAAATTATCCAGTCTAAGGTATTTTGTTATAGCAGAAAAAATAGACTAAGACAAACTCTCATACACTTAAGCTGACAACAATTGCTGCTACTGTCAAGTGTTCAGTTTGCCAAGCAACACTGACCATCCCAAGCTCCTGATATGGCACCATCCTTTGAGAACACCAGCCAGCCACTTAGTAGAAAGTTGATGTTATTGAACCCCTTCTACTCTCCTACAGACAGCAATTCATCGTGACTAAAATTAATGAATATATCAGCAATCTGTTTGGCTTTCCTGCCTTTAGGACTCAAACACCACTACTATTCAAGCTTACAGGGTGTTCAATTCAAAAATATAGGAAACTGCCTAACATTGCATAAAACCACAGGACCTATAGGACCACTGCAGGACCATGGGATCCACTGTTTCTATGACATACTGCACCATGTAGAAGCTGCTGGCCTGATAGAGTGATGGCCTCTAGAGATGCTGGTAGGTGATTGGTAAAGAAGCCAACAGCAAAAACTCCAAAACCTGTATGGTTCACTAATTTGGGAAAACTCAACATTCTCTTTCTCTTTTATTTATAGAATACAGAGGTTCCCAGATTTGGCTGCACATTAAAGTCATGTAGAAAAGCTTAAAAAATCTGGATGTTCATGCTATACATCATACCAATTAAGTCGGAACTTCTGGGGGTCAGACCAAGGCATCAGAATTTTTAAAAATTAAAAAAAAATCCCCAGGTGATTTTAATGTGTAGCAAACACTGATAACTGCTGCATGAGAGATTCTTGAGGCACATTTGTGATTAAAGAGCCTGAGGCGTAGTGCAGTAAAATATTTGTTTTCTTTGTTGAACCCAGTTTGCAAAATAAAGTTGTTCATTCTTTGTGTATCATTTATAATATCTCAAGTAATCCTCGTATCGCATTGATATATTCTGAGAATACTTCTTCAAATAATTTAAATATAACCTGCACCTTCCAAGTATGTATATCTGAAGGGTTAAACATCGCATCTCATTGTTTTATTCCATTTGCATTTCCTTGTTTATTAGTGAGGTGAACATCTGTTCAAATGCTTCTTTAAAGGTCAGAAAGCTTTCAGTGTTGCTGCTTGTGGTTATGGACAATTCAAACAAGGGATTAGGGGAAGAAGGTTCAGAACATAGAGGAGAGGGAAGCCGGTGATCTGGGGAAATCAGTCATTTGGACTCAAAGCCCTGGGTTTTTCACTGGTGTCAGTGTGGCAGCGTGCTTTGTCCATGAAAATTTAGAAAGGCGGTGACGTTAAAGAACTTGTTCTCACATTCATCTGTGTAGCCAGAAATATTAGCACAGTGCATGTCGGGTTCTCCAAACACATTGGTGAATGAACTTGTGAATGCAGTCTACTGCCATGGCATTCCTGGACCTCAGTAGGGGTTCGTGGAACTGCATTAGTTTTCCAGGGCTGCCATAACACAGTACCACTGCCTGGGTGGCTTAAACAACAGAAATTCATTTTCTCACCATTTTGGAGTCCAGAAGCTCAAGATCAAGCTGTTGCTAGATTGTTTTTTTCTGAGACTTTTCCTTTTGGCTTATAGATGGCCATCTTCTTCCTGTGTCTTCCCATGTTCTTTTCTCTGAGTGTATCTGTGTCCTCATTTCCTCTACTTAAAAGAATAACAGTCATATTGAATGGGCCCACCCCACTCACCTCCTTTTAGTTTAATTACCTCTTTAAATACTCTTTAAAGATCCCAGATACAGTCACCTGCAGAGATGCTGGGGGTTAGGGCTTCCACATTCTACTTAGGAATTTTCTATGAAACACAATTCAGGCTGTGACAGACACTCTGCAGGCAATCATATTTCCAAGTGGTCTAAAGAGGTGGCTTTGGCGTTGTATACAACTTACCGTGAGTCATGTATCTAGCCTGAACTTTTGTGGATCTAGAAAACTTTTTTCTTCCTCCCTATCAGTCATATGTGTGCGTGTGTGTGTGTGTGTGTGTGTGTGTGTGTGTGTGTCCCACAGAAAGAGAAACTGTTAGAAAGGGGTCCTCTAAATAAGTTGGATTATTGGAATATGCTAACAGGACCCTGGTCTGCACAGGCATTAATAAGGGTGAGAGACTGGTCATATTTCTCCTCTCCTGTCTAATTCCCATGGAGAGTTACATCTTTGCCTGACAGTTTAGAACCTCTGAAAAGATTCTGGGAGATGCCTGGCAAATGTAGCATTGATGATTGTCTAGCCTCAAGACTGACTACAGATATAATTCGTTCTTAATATTGCTTCCTTTATGCCATTGTAAAGAGGTAGAATTTAAGTCAAGAAGGGCTTTAAAATACTGTGATAAATTTCTTACAAAGTAGAGATTATCTTTAAGAGTCCACTTATATCTAGAGCTATTCTTTGCTCACTGAAGAATTCCAGCAGTGTTTTCTCCCATCTTGGGGTTTCTAATCATTTCCATTTCCCTTGTATTACTGGGTTATTTTTACCTCTGTTTAAATGATGTAATTAAAAACAAAATACAAGAGAAGGCTGATAGAATAATATGTGGAACCACTCTTTTTCTTATTGAGTTTTCTGTCCATTGGGAAGACATTGAATTGCTAATGTTTTCTTCTTATTTGGATTAAGAGATTTAGGACCTGTCGATATTTTCAGGTATTTTGTATCTTTCTTTGCAATTCTCAGTCACTTGAAGAAAATACTTATATTTTCATTTTCATTAAAGAGGAACAGAAAAGGCAGCAAATCAATCCAGAGCCCTCAACCCCATCATGAGGGGCTAAATTTCATACTACAATAAAGAGATAACAATTGCAATACTTCATTAAATTTGATATAGCATAATTACTGATTTATTTACAAGAAACTTAAAACTGTCATACTTATGAAAATTTAGTTACCTATATATTTCATGAATTTTTATATGACAAAAGAAACAAAAATATCTATAAGCTAAAGATTGCATAAAACATCATACTTAGGGAAATTGGAGAAGAAATCTATGTGTGATCTTGCTTTTCTCGCTAAATCTAATGCTTATAATTGCAATTAACATGTCTCTATAGTAAGGATAATTTCAATTCTGTAGTAATATTTTTCTAATAATGAATGTAGGTACTATGAAGACATACAATGTCCCAGTTATATCATTTATCTATACATTTATCTATTTACACTAGTTTAGTGAATTCTACTCTACCTCAGCTACCTTAGCTGTTTTAATGTGTGATTAGAAGCTACAGTGCATATTTTGGGGGGGTTAGGGTGGGCTCTTTAGAAAAGTTTTACTTCTGGATCAACTTCTTAAGGTGAGTGTGCTTAATGAAATAATTCAAGCTATAAAATGGGTGTAATAATTGCATATTGAAATTGTGGTAACAAGTAATTGTATTAATATATTAATAAAATACATAGGCACAACACACTAAGGGCTTGGCAATTGATGTAACCAAGGTTGTAGATTGCAACCAAGATTGTTTCAAGGACTCTTGCATGATAGCTGGAACAAGGAAGTAGAACATAACTGGTATAATGAGGAGCTTTGACTTATTGAGGTATGAAAAAAACAGTTTGATCATCCCAGTAACTATACTATCTGTGTGCTGCAGAATTCCTGTTTTACTCTGGAGGATGGCTCTCTTAACAATAACCCCAATCAATCCTATGATTTTCAGTCACTTTCGATTTTGTTAATACTGAAGACTCAGTTACGTTTATTCAGACTAGTGGTTAGTCATAATCTTTGTGCTGGCTCATTGTTGATAGCCCTACAGCAGTACCTTTGACACCCGGGGAAGATAGTTTTATTTGTTTGTTTGCTTTATCAGCTCTCTCTCCCATAGAGCAAAACTATGTTCAGTAATAATCATAAAATAAAATAAATAATATTAATGGCCAGAAAATAAGATTTTCTATTTAATTTCATATATATAATCATGCCAGTAAAATTTTTAACTACAAAAACTATAAAAGTACAAAAAGGAAAAAACTAATGGTTTGATACTGTTCAATTACACTAATAAATCTTTTGAAAAAGGAGAAAAAACTTGTACCTAAATGTTGGGTTGTCACAGCAAAGAATAATAAAATTACAGTTTCTGTTTCAAGACAGTTTTATAAATTTGTCAATGATTTTGTCATAATTGCTGTCTTTTTTGTGCACATACGTGTTCAATAGACAGTATATATAGATTCAATCCATCTTTACTTATACTTCATTAATTAACACTTATTAATTTTAATTTTTAAAAAGTTTCATTTTCTTTAAGCAACAGCTATTCCAATTATTAAGAAAAGTTTTCAACATAAGGATACATCTGACAGAGATTTGTAAAAATTTCATTCATAAAAAATTCTTGAAATTTCAACATGTATTTCCCCCCAGGATTAACTGTATTAGCTTTCAAATGTCTTTGCAATGGAAAAGCAATTAGACACAGTTAAAATCCTCCAAACAGTCACACAGCATGGCAGAATTGAATTAACTCAAGTTGTATCTCTTTGTCTTTATGATCCTTGTGCTTTTAAATGTTTTAACTCTGAAATGCGTTGTCCTTCATGGGTTGGACTTACAAACTACACCCAAAGTGAGCTTGAATTATGCTGAATTATTTGCATCCTTTTGAAAACTTACTCTATAAAGGAACATATGTGACAGTCTTGTGTGTTGAAACACTTACTGTATAACTGAAAGTTTCCCCAAATTAACTCTGATGTACATGTTATTTTTGTTTAAGGATAAATAATCAAATATTCTAATTTGAATATTACTCATATATTATTCAACTCACCTGTAATTGAAACAAATGTAAAATTAGAGCAAAAAAATTTGTTTTGTTGTATTTTGTTTTCAGGAAAGAGCATTGATCACTGATATTATTGAAGATGCTGAATATCTATCTTGCTTGCACCCAGGGCAGCCCTCTTCCATGTGTTCTATTCTTAGCCCTACTGTTAGCAAACAATATTTTATGGGTCTTTCATATTTCTGATTGCTTATAAGTGGCGGCACTAACTGCCTTTGTCCTAGACTGTCTTTCCACAAATGTTTGTACTGAGAACAGTCTTGAAAGATAGAGATAGTGTCTTCCTCCAGATTAAAGGGCACATGTGCTTACTGTCCAGTGTATTAAATATAGTCTCTTCCTCCACAGCAAAGGACAAGCATAATGTCAACTGAAAAAGAAATTGAAGTTCCCTAACTTTGGGGTTCTCTTCTGTAACATAACCCTCTGCATGGACAAGCATCACCCGGTCTTCTTCACATGACCCTGTGGAAATTGGGCTCAGGAAACTGACATAGATGCTGACAATTTGTGCTACTGCTATTGCTAAGAGTAATAAAGTTCTTTATTTCTGACCCAGTAGTCTCATGTCTTTTACCGGCATCCATGAAACTGTACCAGGCTAACTTGCTACCTTGCAAATAGGGTAAAATCTCACTTCGCGTATAACATGATTCTATTATAAATATTTTGAAGACAAATTAACCTGTTAAAAGTGCAAAGGAATGTAGATGACCTTTAAAAAATGAATAAGAGGCTTTCTTGATTTCTTAGATGGATTATATATAAAATGCTTTGGTCTTTAAATGTTACCTGCATGATGATTGGGTCATCCGTGTGTTGACACAGGACAAAAACCAGAGACATTCCAGAGTCATGCAAGAAACAAAGAGTGAGCAAGTGTTAGATATGTTCCACAGAAGGTAGTGGTTTACTGGAAGGGATGCAGCTATGGTTTAGTGTGAATGGTTAAACAGGAAATGCTATAAGGGAGCTGAGTGAGAGGTAAAGGACAAAAGTCAAAAACAAATGATGCCAAAAGAAGGTAAAGTAGCTGAAGGCTGGCTTAGAAGAGGCAGTGCTAGTGCAACCTCATGACCTTTGTCAGGTCTCCAGTCTTTTAACCCTGCTAAAAATACACATGGGCAACTCCACATCTTAACCTGCCATCTCAGATCTGAAATCTGTAGGCATATTATATATCTGACTTGCTTTCTGTTTCCTTTCTTTATGTATTTTTTTTTTCATGTTGGATTACTCCCTTTCAAATTTGAACATTTAAAGAGGAAAATCAATTAAAATCTGTTCATTGCACTTTCCCACCTTTGGAGGTTGTTGTGGAAGGGTTTCGTTTGTTTGCTTTCCTTTATTTTAATTTACTGTTCATGATCTCCATTACAACTCATTTAGAGACTCCTTTTCCCTGGTTACTAATCCCTTTAGAACTGGTGGCTATTTCACAAGTACTAATATCATCATTATTATGCACTGGCATGTTCTTAGGGAGACAGAGTAGGAAACAGAAAATATCTACATCTTTTCCCTGGAGGAAACTCTAAATGGACCATGATAGGGGCTAAAGAGACCATATTAATGTCACAGACTGTAGGGAATATATTATCTGCAGACTTTTACAGTCATATAGATAGTATATTACATTAAAGTTTAAAAATTGTATTTTAGACTAGAATTCTACTCTAACTATTAAAGATGTAAAAATTTACATGAGACCAGTTGAAAATGATTCCTTATTCCCTGGTTTTTAGAGTTAACTTAAAGCTGTAAGGGAAAGCTCTAGATTGAGAGACTAAGACTATCTGGGCATGCAATTCCATGTTTATTGAGCACCTACTAGGTTCCAGGTTGGGAGTCAGTGCTACGGATCAGAGACCTATTAAGCAGCAGGACCTGCTCTTTAAAAACTATAATATTAATTTAAGAAACTGAGCATGAGTATGAATTTCTTGAAGAATATTTCCAACATTTTAGGAAGGAAAAAAACTTTAAATATTAATTCTAAATAAAAAATGTGAGTAATGCTATCTCATTTTAAAATATGGATATATTTTTGTTCATTATTGGCGACAGAAATGTTGGTTTTAACCAGGCAAGCCTCTTGAATAAAACAATTCGCTTTAGTTATTTTGTGCAATAAGCAACATTTTAGAGGCAACTTACAGAAATGACCAATGTTTATCAGTACACGCTCTGAAAAAAGCTCAGGATGAGGAATCTCATTAAAGAGGTAACTCGATGTCTTGAGACTGCACCTAATCACATCCTATCAGTCACGGTTTCAGATATGAAACTAGAGCATGTGAGTGGGAGTGAAATGAAACTTCCCTCCTTTGTGAGCAAGCGTCAGCACAAGTGAGCGAGGCCAAATGCTTCTCAGGAGGCTCAGGCTGGGCCCATGCAGTGAGAGGCTCTGTATCCTCCTGCTTTTATCTCCACCCCACCCCCACCCCCAACCTTTCTTCCAACCACCTTACACTATTTTCAGATATTTGCTTGCATTTTCTCCACCACAGTTTATCAAGCTTATCAAAAAGGGGAAGATCAGCACTTTGTTATTATGGGAAAAGGAAAAATGATTGGATACGATGAAAATCTAAAAATTAATTCAATTTTTAAAATCATCAGATAAAAAATTATTGAAAAAATTATGGAGGCTAAAAATAAAACAAATTTTAAAGAGAATATGTAAAGAATATTTACCACCCCTAACTTCTCTCTTTATTCGAAGTACTCAACTTTTACCAGTTGATATTTATGATGGATAGATTTGTAATTATCAAATGTGGAGCTATTTGAGCCATTTCCAAAGGAGTTAACATTGCTGTAGATACCTTGATCATGTTCATTTGCTGGTTATGTACTAACGAAGGACAGAGGCTATGTTCTACTTCTAGTGACCATCAAAGAGGGAATGCAACAGAGTCTCCCGTAGACACTCAAAAGTGTTTGCTGAATGAACTCATTTGCATGTAAAGAAATGGGAAGGGAAGTTTATGAAGAATTCTACAAGAAGGTTTCTAAATGCATCTTTTTTTTTAGGTGATCTTATACATGTTATGTAATAATAATGTACTTATATTTTTTCTTTAACTACTGGACCTGGAAATCTTTTCAGGACAGCAACTATACTTTTTTTCATTTTTGGTAATCCCTCAAGCCAGCACAGTGCTAGAAACATGACAGATGCTCAACAAGTGTTTATTGTTTTATCTAATTACTTGTGGCTATTAATTCTTGCTGTGAGCAAAAAGAGACCCTGCTCTCATGCAAAGTTAAAGAAAAAACATGAAGTCTTTACCAAACGACATTTAAAAAGAAAAAAAAAAAACTAAAAACTTGAATAAATGAAAGACATTATGTTCCTGAATTGAAGAGATTGAATATCTTAATATTCAAACCAATTTTAATGTTGAATGCAATTCAATAAGAATGTCAATGAGAAAATAGATGGATAGATAGATAGATACATGACAGAGATATCAATACGTTTTGGAAACTTATAGGTGATTTCAAGTTTATTCTGATAAAAATAGCCATTTCGGGGAAAAATTTGTCACGAGTGGGAAATGTACTACCAGATATAAAAATAAAAAACCTCATTAATTAGAAACGTGGTTCTGAGAGAAGATGTACAAGCTCAAAGAGATCAGACTAGATAGCTCAGAAATAGATAAGGCATATATAGAAAATTAGTGTGTGATAAACATGGTATCATAAAATATTTGGGAGAAGAATTAATAAACTATGCTAAATATGTATATAGTTAAATGTTCTTTCATCAGTGATGCTGCTTTATCAAAATGGATTATAGAGATATTAAAAAGTTAAATGGAAGACATAATAAATCTATTAGGAAAAAGAAAGACAATATGAAAGGTTCTTTTACTGATCTTGAGATGGAAAATTAAATTCTACATATAAAAGGAATGCAAGAACACTCAAAGGAAATAATTTATATTTTTATTACAAGAAGTAAAGAATTCTGTGTTATTATTCCAATTCAAAGAAAAAGCAGGGTAAATCAGAAAACATATTTGTAACATATACAGCAATTTTTTGTCATTTATATATAAAGATTTCATGGAGAAAACTCACTAAATCTACCCATTAAGGTGAACAAAGGGCATCATGGCAGAGAGTGCCAGTTGGCCAACAGAATTTCCCTCTTTTCAGTAGTGACAGAAATGTAGTCTGGCACATGGCTAGACTCATTCCCAGCCTACCTCATGGCCACATGTCTAAGTCATCTCCAGTAGAAGAGAAACAGAAATGATGTGCCACTTCAAGGCCAGGGCTTTTCAGGGGGTCTGCATACTGCACCTTCCCCTTTCTCCATCTTTCCTATTCTGCCTGTGTGGTATGACCCAATCTCAATAATAAAGATTTAGGGGGTGGCAGAGCCTGGGTCTCAAACAGCTTGTGTCCACCTGCCAAATTAACACCTACTGGACAGGGTGATAAATAAACCTCTGTTTATTTCAGACTTTACTTAATATTAGCTCACCTTAATACACAATGCTTAAAAAAATGCAAATGACTAAAATACACTTATTTTCATTAAAAACCAAGAAAAATTAAAACACACTTTTTGTCTACCAAATAATTATTGCAAATATGGAAACAACAAATGCAAAAAAAGTTTATTTTTAGTAAAGGTTCAGGGAAACTACAATTCTCATATAATTATTGAGAATGCATGCTGGTCCCAATTCTTCCAATACTATATATATATATATATATATATATATATATAGATACAAATATATATAAAGTGTCTTGAACAAATCACATATTTTAAATTAACAACTTGTCTTTGATAAATTTATTCTAAGTAAACAGTACTCATGAAGATATATGTGCAAAGATGTTCACTGCAATGTTCCTTATAATGACACATTTGGAAGCAAGTTAATACAAATAATAAGATGAATAACAGTAATTTAATTTAGTGTATTGATATGGATTGTTTAGACCCATTCAAATTGTGTTTAGTAAATTTTATTTTATTTTTTTTGTGTGTGTGAGCAACAAGGCTGTTTATTTCACTTGGGTGCAAGTGGGCTGAGTCTGAGGAGAGAGTCAGCGAAGGGAGATGGGGGTGGGGCCGTTTTATAAGATTTGGGTAAGTAAAGGAAAAAGGGGGATTGTTGTCTGGCGGGCAGGAGTGGGGGGTCACAAGGTGCTCAGTGGGGGAGCTTTTTGAGCCAGGATGAGCCAGGAGAAGGAATTTCACAAGGTAATGTCATCAGTTAAGGCAAGGACCAGCCATTTTCACTTCTTTTGTGGTGGAATGTCATCAGTTAAGGCAGGAACAGGCCATTTAAATATCACTCTTTTGTGATTCTTCAGTTACTTCAGGCCATCTGGATGTATACGTGCAGGTCACAGGGGATATGATGGCTTAGCTTGAGCTCAGAGGCCTGACATTCCTGTCTTCTTACATTAATAAGAAAAATAAAACATAATAGTGTTGAAGTGTTGGGGCAGCGAAAATTTTTGGGGGTGGTATGGAGAGACAATGGGCGATGTTTCTCAGGGCTGCTTCCAGCGGGATTAGGGGCGGTGTGGGAACCTAGAGTGGGAGAGATTAAGCTGAAGGAAGATTTTGTGGTAAGGGGTGATATTGTGGGGTTATTAGAAGAAACATTTGCTGTATAGAATTATTGGTGATGGCCTGGATATGGTTTTGTATGAATTGAAAAAAGAACAGAATAAGACAAGGAGAAAAACAGGTATTAAAGGACTAAGAATTGGAAGGACCCAGGACATCTAACTAGAGAGTGCCTAAGGAGGTTCAGCATAGTCCTTCCAGCAAAGATTATTTATTTACTTTAAGAGGGAGTTAAGAGTGGCAGTTTGGGGATAGCACCAGGAGATATCAGCTGTGATGGCTTGGAGAAACAGTGTAAACCAGCAGTGTAAACAAGAGCATGGCATTTATGAGTAGTTGAGAACGGTGAATAGGAGTATGACAGACAGAAGATAGTAGGGATGACAAGTTTTGTTTTTTTGTTTTTTTGTTTTTTTTGGTGGGGGGGTGCAGTCCAAGTTGGTCTGGTGTCTGGAATGAGACTGGGGCCTAATAAAAAGGAGCGTCTATACAGGAGCTCAAATGGGCTGTACCCTGTAGCATTCCGAGGATAGGCCCGAATTCTGAGAAGGGCAAGTCGTAAAAGTATCGTCCAGTCCTTTTTAAGTTGGTGGCTGAGCTTGGTGTGGTGTGCTTTTAAAAGACCATTAGTTCACTGAATACTAAGAGCCTGAGAAACTGCTTGGGTGATTTGACTAATAAAGGCCAGTCTGTTATAGGACTGTATAGAGGTGGGAAGGCCAATCTTCTGACAGAAGGGAAGAAATGACCGTGGTGGCCTTCTTAGACCCTGTGGGAAAGGCCTCTACCTATCCAGTGAAAGTGTTTACCCAGACCAAGAGGTATTTTAGTTTCCTGACTTGAGGCATGTGAGTAAAGCCAATTTGCCAGTCCTGGGAGGGGGCAAATCCCCGAGCTTGATGTGTAGGGAAGGGAGGGGGCCTGAATAATCGCTGAGGAGTAGTAGAATAGCAGATGGAACACTGAGAAGTTATTTCCTTGAGGATAGATTTCCACAATGGAAAGGAAATGAGAGGTTCTAAGAGGCGGGCTAGTGGCTTGTATTGTAGCATAGCCTGCCTTTGCTGGTGTGTGGCGATTAGGCCTGGTGGAACTGCCATCAATAAACCAAGTGTGATCAGGGTGAGAAACAGGAAAGAAAGAAATATGGGGAAATGGGGTGAATGTCAGGTGGATCAGAGAGATACAGTCCATAGGGGTCAGGTGTGGCATCAGGAATAATGTGGGAGGCAGGATTGAAGTCCAGGCTAGGAACAATGGTAATTGTGGGAGACTCAACAAAGAGTGAGTACAGCTGAAGGAGCTGGGGAGCAGAAAGTGTATGTGTCAGGTGTGAGGAAGAAAATAGATTTTGGAAGTTATAAAACTGTAGACAGTGAGTTGAGCATAGTTTGTGATTTTAAGGGCCTCTGAAAGTATCAGGGTGGCAGCGGCTGCTGCACGCAGACTTCAGGGCTAGGCAAAACAGTAAGGTCAAGTTGTTTGGATAAAAAGGCTACAGGGCACGGTCCTGGTTCTTGTGTAAGAATTCTGACTGCACAGCCCTGCACTTCAGCTGTGGGTAATGAAAAGGGTTGGGATGAGTCAGGGAGAGCTAGGGTGTGGGCAGTCTCTAAAGCTGTCTTCAAGGAAAGGAAAGAGGAGTGGGGAAAGGATTTAGAATCTATGGGATCAGCTAGGTTTCCTTTTGTGGGTTTATATAATGGTTTTTTAGGATGGCAAAACCAGGTATCTAAAATCGAAAGTATCCAACCATGCCTAGGAAGGAAAGGAGTTGTTTTGTAGAAGGTGTTGGGGTTTGAGAGATCAGTCGGACACTATTTTGCAGGGAAAGCATGTGTGTTTTTATGACAATTATGCCAAGACAGGTAAAAGATGAGGAAGAAATTTGGGCTTAACTGAAGTAATGGGGGCCGTCTGTGAAGGCTTGCGGCAGTACAGCCCAGGTAATTTGCTGAGCCTGATGGGTGTCAGGGTCAGTCCAAGTGAAAGTGAAGAGAGGCTGGGATGAAGGGTGCAAAGGAATAGTAAAGAAAGCATGTTTGAAATCCAGAACAGAATATTGGGTTGTGGAGGGAGGTATTGAGGATAGGAGAGTATATGGGTTTGGCACCACACGGTAGATAGGCAAAACAATTTTGTTGATAAGGCACAGATCCTGAACTAACCTGTAAGCCTGGTCTGGTTTTAGGACAGGTAAAATGGGGGAATTGTAAGGAGAGTTTATAGGCTTTAAAAGGCCATGCTGTAACAGGTGAGTGATAACAGGCTTTAATCCTTTTAAAGCGTGCTGTGGGATGGGATATTGGCATTGAGTGGGGTAAGGATGATTAGGTTTTAATGGGATGGTAAGGAGTGCGTGATCAGTCACCAAGGAGGGAGTAGAGGTGTCCTATACTTGTGGGTTAAGGTGGGGGGATAGGAGAGGAGGATGCAAAAGAGGCTTTGAACTGGGGAAAGGGGTGGCAATGAGGTGTGGCTGTAGTCCAGGAACAGTCAGGGAAGCAGAAAATTTAGTTAAAATGTCTTGGCCTAATAAGGGAACTGGGCAGGTGGGGACAAATAAAAAAGAGTGCATAAAAGAATGTTGTCTAAGTTGGCACCAGAGTTGGGGAGTTTTAAGAGGTTTAGAAGCCTGGCCGTCAATAGCCACAACAGTTGTGGAGGCAAGGGAAACAGGCCCTTGAAAAGAAGGTAATGTGGAGTGGGTAGCCTCTGTATTGATTAAGAAGGGGATGGACTTACCTTCCACTGTGAGAGTTACCCAGAGCATCTATGATGGTCCTGTAGGCTTCCGAGGCAATCGGGCAGTGTCAGTCTTCAGCTGCTAAGCCGAGAAGATCTGGGAAGGAGTCAGTCAGAGAGCCTTGGGCCAGAGTTCCAGGGGCTCTGGAAGTGGCTGCCAGGTGAGTTGAACAGTCCGACTTCCAGTGGGGTCCCGCACAGATGGGACACGGCTTAGGAGGAATCCCGGTCTGTGGGCATTCCTTGGCCCAGTGGTCAGATTTCTGGCACTTGTAGCAAGTTCCTGGGGGAGGAGGTTCTGGAGGAACCCCTGGCAGCAGCGGTTCAGCTGTTTTGAAGTTGTTGTGTGCTAGAGATGTGGCTGGGGTTTCTCTCACAGTGGAGACAAGGAATTGCAACTCAGAAATACATTGCTAATTGGCTGCCTTTACTCTATTATTGTACACCTTGAAGGCGAGGTTAATTAAGTCCTGTTGTGGGGTTTGAGGGCTGGAATTTAATTTTTGGAGTTTTATTTAATGTCAGGAGCAGATTGGGTAATAAAATGTATATTGAGAATAAGACTGCCTTTTGACCTTTTAGGGTCTAGGACTGTCTCAGGGTTGCTGCCGAACGAGCCATGAACTGGGCTGGGTTTTTCATATTTGATGAAAAAGAGCCTAAATGCTAACTGATTTTGGGAGAGGTCAGATAAAGAAAAAGGAGTATTAACCTTGACTATGCCTTTAGCTCCAGCCATCTTTTTAAGAGGAAATTGCTGGGCAGGTGCGGGAGGGCTAGTCGCAGAACAAAACTGTAAGCCGGACAGGCTGTGAGGAGGGGAGGTAATAAAAGGATTATAGGGTGGGGGAGCAGAGGCTGAGGAAGAGTTGGGACCTGGCTCGGCCTGGCGAGGGGCAGCCTGGGGAGGAGGGGAGAAGTCAGATGGGTCTGTAGAAAAGGAAGATTAGAAAGACTCAGCGACGCTTGGGGTTGGGACTCAGAGGACAGGTGGGAGGGAAAGAAGGAGGATTTGGGATGAGTCACATTGGGAACAGAGACTAGGGAGGGAACAATGTGTAAAAGAATGCCTGGACATCAGGCACCTCAGACCGTTTGCCTATTTTACGATAAGAATTATCTAGATCTTGTAGGATGGAAAAATCAAAAGTGCTGTTTTCTGGCTATTTGGAACCACTGTTTTGTTTGTATTGGGGTCAAGCGGCATTGTAGAAGAAAATAAGGCATTTAGGTTTAGGTCAGGTGTGAGTTGAAGAGGTTTTAAGTTACTGAGAACACAGGCTAAGGGAGAAGAAGGAGGAATGGAGGGTGGAAGGCTGCCCATAGTGAAGGAGGCAAGCCCAGAGAAAAAAGAGAGTAGAGACATGGAGAGAAGGTGTGGGGAGTGCTTGCCCCCCCAGGAAAGTGGAGAAGGGATAGGGACACGGAGAGAAGGGGTCTGGGGGTTCTTGCCACCCAGAAAAGTGGTACTTGCCACTAAGGGTGAAGGACCAAGGCAGGCATCCCCGCATGGTCAGACATCTCTGAAATGTGGGTGAATAATCAGGCAGGTGTCCCCGTGTGATTAAACACCAAGGGAAGACTGTCTTCCCCAGTCTGTGACCCACGCTGGAGTTTTGGGTCCATGGATAAAATGCGTCTCCTATCTCTACAAGAAAAGGAAAGGAACTGAAATTAAGAGAAGGGAGAGATTGACGTGTGGTGCCAAGATTGAAAGGAGAAAGAAGTTGAGGGATAGTGACGGAGGTTGAAGAAGAGAGTAAAAAGAGGTCGCTTACCTGATTTAAAATTGGTGTGATGTTCCTTGGGCTGGTTGGTCTGAGAATCTGAGGTCATAGGTGGATCTTTCTCACGGAGCAAAGAGCAGGAGGACAGGGGATTGATCTCCCATGGGAGGCCCCCAATCCGAGTCACAGCACCAAAATTTCACTCGCGTCCTTGTGAAGAGACCACCAAACAGGCTTTGTGTGAGCAACAAGGCTGTTTATTTCACCTGGGTGCAGGCGGGCTGAGTCCGAAAAGAGAGTCAGTCAGGAAAATTTTTAAATTACATTTAAATACTCATATCGTAATGGTTAGTATAAAAAAGCAGCACATAAAATGAAATGTAGAATATATTACCTAATATATAGAGGGAACACCAGAACTGTATATATTTATAAATATAGACAATTTAATTACACACACTCATATATTTGACAGGATATATGACAAAATATTGTGTTTAAAACAAGTGATTTCTATAATCTTCCCTTTACCTTTCCATAATTCTTTGTTGAGTTCTCCACAATAAGTGTGTATTAGTTTATAGTTAGAAAAGAAGCAATTTTGAAAAGAGAAAATGGGCTGTCAATAAACTAAAGTAGATTTGTGAAATTGTATTTGTCAATATAGCAATCATTATAGCAATTGATTTAAAACTGCTGCTTTTTAGAGGACTATGTTAGCTTTATTTAGTTTTGTTCTCTGTTTATAAAACATTTTATAGTTTTAGAGTTTCCAAGATGTAGAATTTTCTACGGAGTAGTATGAAGCTGACACTTCAGATATCAAATACTTAAAAAAGCTTTTTATTAACATATACATACAGAAAAATGCACATATTTAAAATGTATAATTTTATGAGTTTTCACAACTGAGAGGACTCATGTAACCCATACCTAGAAACATCATCAGCACCCAGAATACTTAACGTTCCCTTCTAATCACTTACACCCAAGGTAACTGCCTAGACTAATTTTGTATATATTTTGAAGGGAATGAAATCACATAGTATGTTTTCTATTGTGTTTTGCTTCCATCACTCAACCTTACAGGTATGCAATTTATCCATTTTGTAGCATATATATATATTTTGTTTTGTTTTGTTTTTTGAGATGGAGTGTCTTTCTGTCGCCAGGCTGGAGTGCAGTGGTGCAATCTCAGGTCACTGCAACCTCTGCCTCCCTGGTTCAAGCGATCCTCCTGCCCAGCCTCCCGAGTAGGTGGGACTACAGGCATGTGCCACCCCGCCCAGCTAATTTTTTGTATTTTTAGTAGAGACAGGGTTTCACCATGTTGGCCAGGATGGTCTCCATCTCTTGACCTTGTGATCCGCCCACCTCAGCCTCCCAAAGTGCTGGGATTACAAGCGTGAGCCACTGCGCCTGGCTAACATATATTTTTAGATTATCCATTCTCGTTGCTGTGTGGGATTCCATTGTGGAAGTACATTCCAATTTATTTGTATATTCTACTCTTGATAGGCATGTGAATACTTCTGATTTTTAGCTGTTATGAATAGAGCCTATAACATTACTATACATGTCTCCTAGTGAACATATGTATGCAATTTAATTAAACATGTATCTAGATATTATTGCTAGATAATAGGGCATGTATATGATCAGCTTTAGTAGATATTGCCAAACATTTTTCCAAAGTCGTTTAATCGTTTATATTCTCATCAGCAGTGCATGAGTTTTAACTGCTCTACATGCTCACTAACACTTAGAAGTATCTTTTTTTTTTCTGTTTTTTAGTCCTTCTGGTAGTGGTGATTGACATCTTAACAATATTAAGTCTTCCATTCAATTAATATGGAATATTTCTCACTTTATTCATATCGTCTTTATTCTCAATAATACGGATTAGTTTAGAGTGAGTACATATTCGTTTACAGAAGTACACTAAATTTTTCTTTAGATGTATTCCTAATCATTTGATGTTATTTGACACCACTGTAGATGGCATGTATTATTTTCTCTTTTTAAAGTGCTCTGTGGTGCTCTATCCTAAGAATTCTAGCTGCCTTGCTATCCCCAGACTTTCATCTCTGTCTTCCCAACCCAGGGAGTTCTCCCTGCTTATCCTGCTTCTTCCTTCTTGGGTTATGGCCTAGACGCTCTCTCAAAAACTACGCTGGGACAAGTTTATGTCTTGTCTCATTCAATTCCTGTTCCTCACAGATCATAGCCCTTCATTTCCTGACATCCAGTTTCTTGAAAACCATTTTTTTTTCATATATTTTATCGTGTGTGTTGGGAGGGCAGAGTGTACAGATTGTTTCAGGCAGGAGTACAAATCTTGTTCTTTTTCCTCCATCCTGGCCAAAAAAACCGCAGAAGAAATAAAGTCCGTAAGCGTTTATTTTATTATCATTTTAAAACAATATGGATATATTTTAGTACTTTTTATATGCATGTCAAGTTTTACATACATACAATTTTTAATGAAATTCTTAGGAGCTATGGAGTCCCTATTTTGAAAAGTTAACACAGTTTGAAAATAGGTTAGCATATTATAAGATGTTTTTCAATGCTTTCTTTTGAAACATTAGCAGAGGAAGCAATAGGGGAGCCAAATAGAGACTGTGGAATAACAACTGGGGTTTCTGTCACTGGTAAATAGAGGTAGTAAATGGACAGCTATTTGTTGCTTCAATGATGATTAGGTTACACAGGAAGCCTGTAGAAGCAGAAAGGTGACAGAGTTGTAGAGTTAGAAATGTAAGGCCTAAAAGAGCCCTGGTCAATTTAAAAATATACAACAGAACAAGACCATTCTTTCCAAGTTTAAGGGAAAAAGCCTCACTAATTTAATGAAGCAAAACTTGATGACCGTTTGGACATTTCAATGGCACTAATTCCCACTTAGGTTTTTGTACTCTTTTAGGATCCTTCCCTAAATTATGTGTTTTTCAAAACACATCTACTTTGCTATCCTCTTGGGCTTACATCAGTCACAGAAGACTCCAGCTTCAATCTGTTCTGTAGGGAAGTTAATTTGGAAGCCACAATTATAAATTCTCCAGTCCACCCTATCCCCACCACTTACTGTTACTTGACATTGGGTCATTTTCATTCTCTTACTCAGTCTCTTGAAGCATCTGAATTTGTGGCTCCTCTTACTTGTACCCTGCTGTATGTAAAGTGCTTTCACATGTGATGTTTAAGACAACAATCCTAAAAGGCAGGAAACTGAAGTTTAAAATTATACATTATACAGTCAAATGAAGATTTGAACATCAATCTCTCCTTATTCTAGCATCTAATCCCTTTTCACACCATCATTTGATTCTCTCCTGTCCTGATGGTGATGGTGAGGACAGGACACAAAAGGAGAGTCAACCATCCGAACCCACCTATATGAGGTGACAACTGCCTTTCACCTGAAGTTGAACACCTGCAATCTGGAAGAGGAGAGAGGCAAAGCAATTCTAACTGGTCTTGCAGACTCAAACCTAAAAGTGAAAGCAAAGTCATTATAATAAATTTAGGTATCAACCCTAAGTCAAAACATTGAAGAAAGGAGTATGTGTTTTATTCAGGCAATCCTGAGTTCTAGTCAGTCATATCTCTTGCACTTACTAGTGGTTCAACCTTGGGCAGGTAAGTACACTTTCTGAGCCCCAGTCTCCTACTCTGTAAGATGCAGGTAATAATACTCATACCAGTGGTGTGCTGGTAAATAATTAACAATTGACTCTTTCTGGAAAGTGTTTCCATATTTATACCTATTTAACTTTATTATAAATTTTTGATATAGACAGTACAAATAATAAGATACGCAATATTATTTTTTGCAAAGTGCACCTAACCATAGTAATTTCCATGTGATTTGCCATTTCTTTATAAATCCACTATCATTTTTATAATCCAACAACAGCATCACAATATCAGACTATGAATAAATGCTTGATTACTATCCAATTCAGCAAAGAAACTCTTCATGTCATTGACAAGTGAATGTAGTTCTGATGTGAATATTGGTTGATAATTTTATTTATGTTAATGAGTAAGACAAAAATGAAACAGTGAAGACATGCTAGAATTTCACTCATTCATCAATGATGTGAATGAATTCTTTGTTGAATCTAATAATAGTTATCAAATACTGAAAGAATGTTTTCTAAATTTTTTGTCCTATTCATGGTGTAATAGCTACTGACACATAGAAGCAAGAAATGGTCAGCTGTTTCCTGTTTTAATGAAAAGTAGGCTAAGGTATATCAAGCTCTTTTTAGTGTGGTTGATTTCTATGATATAAAGACTCTTGCCATGGCCAATTTGAAGCTCCCTATGTGATGTCACTAAACATGGAGTTGGGAAGAGAAGTGCAGAAGCACACCATTGTATGTTTCCACTACATGTGTACAAAAAGTACAAGGAGACTCAGCATAATTTATATAAAATGTCCTAAAATAATTAGGAAGTATTTTTTAAAAATTTAATACCTGTGTTCTTAATGCAATTTATTTTTAATGTGAGTTTATATAATTTAATTTTTAATAAGGATAATGTTTACTAACTATCTCAAAAAGTTCTGAAAATATAACAATCAACTCTCACTAGCTGGTGTGAGCTGGCTCCATCACACTCTTTCTTCACTACAGGACAATTGAGATGCTCAGAAATTGCATAGCTAACGTTCCTGATATATAGAACCTGCTAAATATGTAGCTATAAGCTACACAATCCCCCCACCCCCTACTAAGGAAGATAGGCTCACTAGAAATATTTTTACTTTGTTGTTTTAAAAAAGGCATCATATTGTGGAAAGATCTCTAGGGTCAGGATTCAGTATTTACTATTACTAAGGTTTACTATTCTAAGCCTGCTTCTTCATCAGTAAGTACGGATAAGTATTATGTATGCATCATAAGGCTGTTGTACATATTAAATAAAATAATGTCACAAAGTCCCTATAACAGCACCTCCTAAGTATAAAGTGCTAAGTTAAAAAGTTATGGGGCAGCAAGTTTATATCTAATCTTGAAAGAGTTCGCATGATCTGACAAAGGTCTTATTGATCCTTTCTGGCTCTATCTGTACTCTGTTGTCACTCATCTTCACAGCACTAAAAACATCTTCCAGACCCCTTCCTGCAACATTTGAATGTGCTCATCACACATTGTGAGCTTTTTTGTTAAAGTGGAAGAAACAACAATATGAACAAGTCAGTATCCACCCTTGGGTCATTACGCCCCCCAAACTGTATGAATAGTGTATTACCCTCATTATAATGCTGTAAAGCATAGTTTTGTTATTTAAAGTGATTTAAAGTTTGATATGGCTTAGAGAATTTTTGAGAATTACATGATATTCCTTGAGATAATTGAAAATACTCCAGGTGTCACAAAATAGGAAAGGGAATTACTAACAGGAGCTTAGGCAAAGTGCTAATAAGCAGGGAAGAGAAAGTGGGCTGAGTGCTTAGCAGCAGCTGCCTGATGGAGTGAGCCTGGCAATGAACCTAAGCCCCTAAAGAAGTTTGTACTGAAGAAAACAGATCACAAAGGGAACCTGCAGTGACTCTCTTCCCTACATGGGGCTAAACGTGGGGTGGATTGGGAAAGGAGGACACTGCAGAAAGAGGAAGGGAAGAGAAAGGAATGCAGTGTTCTTTTCCCTCCCCAAAGGCCATTTTGCATGGGATCTGGAGCTTTCAGAATAATTAAGGAGATGAGAATAAAGCTAGAAGACTGTAGAGTTGTATATTTTCCAAATCTGATTGTAAGAGCTCTGTGAGTTCTTCATTCAAATAAAAAAAAAAAAAAGAGGTTTTGTTGGTGGAGCAGAGATCAAGAAACTTGAAGCAGGAGGATCTTGCATGTCTGCAAGCATTATGAATAAAGTCAAAGATGTATAATGGTCTTAAGGGATCAGACAAGGCTTATCAGTCTCCCACATCATTCTTTGATAGACTAGTTTAGTTTATGGATGGGATTATACTGTAACCAGTTTTGTTGATGGGCTGAGCTCAGCAGTGCACACTTTATTTTTCTCTTTCATTGCTTTGAAATAGGTTCCATAAGATCTGTCAGCACTTGGCTAATGTCATAATTTTAGATTACTTTTAGGTGTAAAAAACATATTCATTATCAGTAAAATCTTAGGCTACTTTAAATACATTCTATGATTATTCCCTTTTTAGAGCCCAGGTTTGATCCAGAGAATGGAGAACAGCAGAAAAAATATGGATGGGTTGTAATTTTGACTTTCATCTTTCTCTTCTTTCTCTCCCATGTACTATGCTATTCCTCTGGCTTCTCCAAGTTTGAGAGAGGAGAGGCAGAAAAGAAGAGAAAGAAGAAGGAAAAGAGTAATGTCTTTTTATTTAGCCAATGTGGCTTGTGATTCTTTCTTGGGGACTGGCATGTCATGGTAGGTACACAAATACCTGGTCTTCCATAGAGCATCTCTCTAGAGATCCCCTTCTGAGAACCTGCATACTGCACTCTTCCCCAATATGGTGTTATTCTCTCTGGCTGATTTCCTGATCTCTTGCTTCCTGTAACACATCTTTGCCTTTTCTCCTGGAGTCCCCTCTCCCCCACAAAATGCTTTCTAGGTGGAGTCATTCCAAATGACTTGAGTCAAGCTAAGTGCTGTGGCATCCACTTGACTCCCCAGGTGAAAAGCAGCTGAAAGTTTTGAAATGCACATGTAGTCTTAATATTCCTGGGTGCATATGTCAAGTTCTCTCAATATCCCTTGTGCTCTATTCTGAATAGTTGAGGAGAATATCAAAATTCCTACAGCTCAGTAGCCATTTAGCTAGGGCAGTGGCAATAGGGGATGTCTCCCTGGGTGCAGATCATAAGGAGAAGCATTTGGTGTAAAAATTTTAAAACAGTAATAAAACTCACCAAAAGTCAGTTTTTAAAATTATTACTAGGCACTTGACAACTCTAAACAGTATCAGTGATAACATATTCCTTGTGAAAAAATATTTTGTTAGTCTAAGTTCTTTTTGAGTATTAATAATACATAATAGGCTTCAAATTAGCATATTGTTATTACTTATCCTTCAGCAAAGGTCTCCATAAGGACATTAATTTGGAGAATCCTTACTTATACAGTTGCCCCCTGATAGACAAAGTCTTGGCTTCAGGGATTCATATTTGAGAGTAACTTCCTAATAGTATGTAATGGTTGACGCTCACTTCAAGTGTGGTTTGTGTCTCCACCCCCTGTGGTACTACATATTCCTGCATTTAAATGGTAGATTACAAATAAACAGTGACCGCACAGTGATCATAGCGGCAAAGGAACAGAACACAAGTTACTTCATTCCTGTCATTCATTGTGACCTCTTGGAGTTTGTATTTGTGTTTAAAATTTAAAACAGTGAAATAGGTGCAAACTGCAAGGGGCAATATTTTTGTTTGGTAAATATAAATATTGGTTTACTCATAAAACACTTTATTAACTTTAAGGCCGGACACAATGGCTCTCGCCTGTAATCCCAGCACTTTGGGAGGCCATGGTGGGCAGATCACTTGAGGTCAGGAGCTCGAGACCAACCTGGCCAACATGCTGAAACCCCATCTCTACTAAAAACACAAAAATTAGCCGGGTGTGGTGGCGCATGCCTGCAGTCCCAGCTACTCAGGAGGCTGAGGCACAAGAATCCTTTCAACCCAGGAGGCAGAGGTTGCAGTGAGTTGAGATCGCACCACTGCACTCCGGCCTGAGCAACAGAGAGTGACTCTGTCTCAAAAACAAAAGAAAACAAGACAAAAAACACTTTATTAACTTTGAATAATATTTTTAAACTGGAAACATTCCTTTAAAAAATGGCTTGTGCTCTTACTTTTTATTTAATTGTGCTAAATCGTAATGTTATTCATTACTGTGACAAATCAATATATAGATAGAATTTTACGATGTATATATTAATGTAATTAAAATGTTCATTTGTTGTATATTTCTTTTTTGTGCTATAATATTAATTTTGGCCGTGCGTGGTGGCTCATGCCTGTAATCCCAGCACTTTGGGAGGCCCAGGTGGGCAGATCACCTGAGGTCAGGAGTTTGAGACCAGCCTGGCCAACATGGGGAAACCCCGTCTCTACTCAAAATGCAAAAATTTAGCCAGGTGTAGTGGTGTGCACCTGTAGTCCCAGCTACTCAGGAGGCTGAGGTGGGATAATTGCTTGAACCTGGGAAGCAGAAGTTGCAGTGAGCTGAGATCGCGCCATTGCACTCTAGCCTGAACAACAGACCGAGACTCCATCTCAAAATGCAATAATAAAAAAAATTTTATCGTTACTTTACTTTTTACTGACATGTTTATGTTTATGAAGCTCAATGAAGATTTTTCACAGTCTGCATTTATTTTCTGGCTAATATTATTATTTCATTTTAGGGCTATTACTGATGAGATGTTTAAAAACTACCCATAATCAACTCTAGAGGTTACCATTGAACTGGGGCTAAGATACCAATCTCCCCACTTAGTAAACAACTTTCCCGGTCTCTCTAAAAAGTTCTCTTCAGGCTTTTCCCTTGGCTCACCATTATTCCAAATTGTTTAGAATTTGAGATTTAAGAGAAAGTTCACAGTAACTAGAACTTTTACATCATATTTATTTGTATTAAATTCCTTTCTAAAATTCCTCTACTCCTTCAGTAATATATTTGTATGTGCTTCTGCAGGCTGGAGTATTAATCTAATGGAGATCAAAGGAATATGGTGGCAAGAAGGGGGTTCTTTCTGACCCTTTCCTTTCTGAGCTTGTGTTCATAGAGGGGAAGTTGGGGTAGTGGATTAGCAAGGGCACTATGGCTTTACATAAGGGTTCATAGGTCATGCTAGAGAGCACCTGCAGAGGAGTCAGCACAGCCGGAAGACCTACCTGGTACAAAGATGTACCAGAAAGTTTCTAGGCTGAAGACTGAGACCAAACTCTGATTTCCTTGTCAGTTAGGAAAGCCTGCACATTTGAAAAGGGAGCAAGCAATCCCAAGGGAGCTCCTGGGTTACAATTCTATTCTATAAGTGTTTGCAATTTATGGTGTGCCAGAAAAGAACAGGACTGGGTTCAATGTAATAGATACTCCCTGGTGTACTATATACCCCACAAAGCAGGCCATTAATTCTCATTGATTTGTGTCCGCAAGAGTCAGCACAGAGGTGACATTCAATTCTGACACATTTCTTACTACAGCCCCCAAAGCCCTCTGCCCATTTCCAATTAGCCCCTCACTGAATGCATGATGCATGATGTATTTCAACATCTTCACATTTTGTTGTTAAATTATTTTCATTCTCTAAGTCTGAACTCGAATGCCACTTCCTTGCTTAAATACACCATAAAACCCTAAATTAACTATGTTTTCATCTGTGTACTCATGATATTCTGATTTCACTTCTTTTATCATTTTTTATTTAATTTTCAATTGTACTTGATTTGTTTTCACAGCTGTTACCCTTGACAGAATTTAAATGCTTTGAAGTTAGAGTTCATATTCTGTGTACTTTCAAACCTGTATCTACCTTTCTCTTCAGGGTTTAATGAAACACATGAAACTAACACATTTAGTTAAATGCTAAAATAATGACCATGTTGATCAGAGTGGTTGCTGCGTAGTAATCAAAAACCAGTTTCTAAAAAATCTAACCAGTTTCCAGTTTTTATTGAATACCTGTTATACTCTATATCATATTAGTAACACAGTAAATATTTCAACTAATGAAGAAAATGTGAAAAGGTTTGCCCAAATACTTTGAGGATTCAAAATATAATTGTCAGATGAATTGGAACAATTAGGGAAAGAGAGTGTCTTAGTTCATTTTGGGCTGCTGTAACAGGATACCTGAGACTAGGTAACTTACAAAGAACAGAAATTATTTTTCTCATAGTTCTAGAGGCTCAGTAGTCCAAAATCAAGGTGCAGGCATCTGGTGAGGACCTTCTTGTTGTATTATATCATGGCAAATGTATCACATGGGAGAAAGGGAACACCTACTTCCAAGAATATGAACCCACGGCAGCAGTATTGGCATGAATCCATTCAGGCGTATGGTCCCCCCTTGACTCAAGCACATTCCACTTGACCCCACCTCCCAACAACATTGCATTGGGGATCAAGTTTCCAACAAATACATTGTTGGGGACACACATCATAGCAGAGAGGTACCTTTCTTTGCTATAAGATTTCTGTTATCAGTCTCACTGGGATTGATTTAATGAGTCTAGGCACAAGCCAAGGTCAAGACTCCTGAAATCAGATTGTCATACAAAGGATGCAACTAGGAGTTAGAATAAAGTTACCTGCCCAAGTTTAGAGACATCAAGAGAGGGAGACCTGAGAGTGAAGAAACAAACAAAAACCATAAACTAGCATAAGCCTGACATCAGAGTGAGGTGGTAGGTGGAGGTAATTTGGTTCAGCCCTTACTGAAACGAAATGGGCCAGAGAGTCAGATCATCATCAGGAAAGAAACTTTTAGGGGCTTTAAAGTTAGTAGAATCTATAAATGTCTTTTTTTTTACTTTTTGCTCCCTTTTATTTCTCTTTTGCAGGCTGTATTCCATGTGCCTGGACTAGCTTCCATTAAGGATCCTGATTAATTTATGATTTTAATACAAAATAAGCATGTAAATAGATAAATAAATCCTCAACTAATTACATGGAAGCCACTTACAAGTTGGTGTATAGTTTTGACACAGAAAAAAAATCTGCTTCAGTGTCTTATTCCTCATCTAAATGTTCTCCTTATATTCAAAGTCTCAAATAATACAGATGTGACCCCACTTTCTTAAGAGGAATCAGCATGCAAGGATTCATATTGTTATGATAGAATACCCTTATTTCATTTATCAAAGATGTGTTTAAAATATTGATATTGCAAATAACATATTTTTTGATTCCACTAAAGGTAGGTTTTTGTCCAGTTTTTTTGTTTGTTTGTTTTTATACAATTGTGGTTTACAGAGCTTGACCTGGGGAAAGGGACAAAAAATTTAACCTAACAGGTCGGAAATACAAGCAATTAAACATTCTTCAAATGCCAACTGAAATTTTACTTCCTGAGTGAAGCCTTCCCAAGTTTCCTAGTCAGAATCCCTCGTGAAAAATCAGGAAGGAAACTGAATCACTAAAATCATTTTAGAAGAATATTCCCTAATATAACAGAAAATCAATTATATAGAACTTCAGAAACTAAAATGTTGCATAAAATTGTACGTATGACATAGAAAACCTACAAATGCCGGTACTTTTGATCCCCCAATTTAAGTCTTACGTTTATATCCACCATTGCAGAAACAAGCAAGACTAAAGAATGCTCTTCATTGTATTAGATAGTTTTCTATAGGTGTGCTATTCACCTCTTATTAGAAAAAACAATTAATTATGGTTTAGTGAGAAAGCATTGGCTTGAAAAAAGATCTGGTTTTGAAAATGGACTTCTCCATTTTTGGGGTGGGCGCATTTGAGGAAGTCTCTCTACCATTCTGAGATTTAGTTTACTTGTCTATAAAAAAACATAATGAACCTACTTCACACAACTGTTGTGCAAATTTATTGTGATCATGTCTGCAAATCATATTTTATACAATAGATAATCATATTTGTAATTTATGATTTCAATAAGTTGCATATGTCATTACCACTATGTAGAAGGTCAGTACACCTTGCTTATTTGGTTTTCACTTTTAACAACATACTGACACATTGTCTGCTCTTTTGTTTATCTGTTACTTTCAAAAGAAAAAGATGGGAGACACTAAAGGATGATATGGGATAATGTAAACTGGAGAGAGGTGTGTGTTGTAGTATAGCTTCGTGGAATTTTTCATAACTGGAAAGAGCCATACGTGTAGATACTGAAGGCACCTTGGAAAATCAAGGGGAGGTTCCACAGCTCCAGGAATAAGTATGGCCAGTGGATATATTATTTGTTCACTGGGTGGTGGGGACTGGTTGAAGAGCAGCCAGCACATAGGTATATTGTTGATATTGGTGTTGCTTTAATTTGAATTAAGTTTCCTAGATTGAGCACTTCTCCTAATTTTCATATATGCCCCTTATAGTACATACACAATGTAGAAGTTGCTGTACCTTAACCCTTACAGCACGTGAATTTAGTCTCCTCCATCCCTTGGTTTACAGCTAGGTATCTAAGAAAGGTAACTGACTGATCCAGGGCAACAGAGTTCTTCATGGACAGAACCACCCAATTGAGTGGGAGGGTGCTAGCTCCATCTTCCTCACTTCAATCTCTCAGAATTTTGTTTCCTTTTTTGTAAAATGTGGGATTTGGCTAGCACCAGATGGTCTCTGAGATCTTCCCTAATTCTAAGCCTCTGAATTCAAGTCTTAGGAAGCTGAATCAAATGTTTTTTTCTCTACAATAACAATTTCTCCATTCTCTCCTTTGAGGGAATAGGACTTATATACTTAGGAGCCAATATAATTCTGACTCCAAAAAAGTTCCTATGTATGTATTTCATAGATTCAATTTTGCATATCAGAAATAATATACTGCCAACCTATGAACTGCTAAAATTGTTGATATGTAAAAGGAGAGGAAAAGGCCAAATAATTTGATTTTTTTCTGATGCAACAAAGAATAAAAGTAATTTTGCCTTTACTATTATGGTTATTGCTGACAATTTGTTATATCAGAAAAAAAATGGGTCAGGTTTAAATACTCTGCTGCTTATAAAAATATCCAAAACTATAAAACAGTCTTTGTATGTCTTTTCTTTGAAAGGGTGGATATTTTAAATGACCTGGCTGGCTTTGTGGATCAAGTCTTTGTTTCCATGACACTGCAACTAGCAGAGGGCAAAAAGCTGGTTGATTCACTGGCTTTTTCTAAGAGGCAGAGCTGACTGCAGCAAGTTTCCTAATACCTACAGGTACTAAGAGCTTGTTGTATTAACTTGAGAAAGGATAATAGGAATTATAGTTTCTTTTAGTTAATTTTTACCCAATTCTTAACTTCAGTTCAAGAGACGATTAGAGAAATTCCCCGAGACAAGGTTATACATTACACATTACACTCTATACTGATTTCTGGTCTTCATTTTATGACTCTTGTCATCAAATCCCATATCACACATAATAAAGATTTTGTCTCAGTGCCACTCAGTAGGATGATCAAATCACTTATTTTTATTGCATTTTCATCCATGTACAATGACAAGATCTATTTTGTTTTTATCTCATGCTGAAAAATAGAATTTCTGGAGTCTGTCATGTGTTCTTTTGTTTTGGGGCAATTGCCATAATCTATTTGCAAGATTATAAATCTATTTAAATAGCATAAAGCTATCAACCTGACACTTAACTAAAAATGTACTTAATTTTGTTGTTTTTTAAATTCATCTCTCTCATTTTGATTTCCACCCCTAAGAAGGTCATAGGGCCACTTAGTTAAGGGGTGGAAGGGGATGAGGAATGACTTATTGCTGCCTATAAATTGAATGAGTGCGGCAGAGAGTGACGAGAGAAGATCTGAAGTTACATAGACCTTGAAGAGGCCACTTGGGGCTGCTTTTGCTGCCAAACCATCAGTATTTATGACATCTTCTTTCAGGTTGTAAAACGCTGGCCCTGGGTATTATATGGCAGTTATATTACAAGGGTCACCTATCCTGCTTCTGAATTTTTGCTCAAAATATTCCCTATGTCTAGACTTGTCCCTCCCTGCTCCCTATTAAGTGTGACTCTTGTACCTAAATTTAAATCTAAACTCTAAACTTGATTCTTCAACAAATCTTGTCTGAGTTGATACAAAAAGGCATACCATCCTACCCCTCTAAGCATTCTTTTTAACTTTCTAAGATAATTATTTCTATGAAGTGTAAATTTTAAAAGTATTCTAAATACCTACTATAAGACAAGCACCATAATAGTTAATTTTGTACACCTTTGTGTGCATTGTCAGAATTTGCAAATATAAAATCTCAGATGTGATGAGAACTGGGTAGGACCTTCTGACCCAAGACAACCTCCCTCCCGTAAATCAGGGCAGGAAATCCAATATGCCTTGGCCTTCTCTCTGGTTCTAAATTAAACAGTCAAGCCATGAGTGAAGTGACAACAAAATTTGTCATTAACACTTAGATGTGATAGGTTTACCCCTCAATATTAAGGGTCTAGAGAACTCTTATAAGGAAGAGAATGTGCTATAACTGTAGGGCAGTGGTGACCATCTGAATCAAGCCCACAGCTTCCACATGCATCTTGAGCCATGCAAATCAGCTTTCCAGTGACCTTCTAGGAATTACTAGGAGCTGTCTCTGTTAGTCTTCTCTCTAAGGCCTTCTCTTCAGACAGCCAACTTTAAAAAAGAGAGACGTATATTGCACGTTCAAAAGTATTCTTTTTCATAGAAAATCAAAGAGCTCAAAATAGTTCATTCCCATCTCTAAAGGAATACTGTTACAACATGAGTTTTCCTGAAGCAGAAGCTCCTGACTGTGCCCTTGCTCTCATGACCTGTTTTGCTGTTACTTCTTGTAATGATAAAAAGGTCTTTCTGGTATTCCTCTATCTCCATTAAAGTTGCTTATAAAGCAAAATCGTTTGTAGCAAACCCAATCTCTCCATTTACACACATTTAGAAGTAGGACATGGGTTTCAGTGAGGTGCCAATGAATCCCAGTCTCTGGAAGCCCTTGCCCCGACCTTATTGCTCAGGTTGCTTGTAAGATTCCATTATGTGCAGCAGAAAAACACTATGCACAGCTCTGTTCTTATTTACTTAGGCAAAAATCTCCAGAACTTGTTTGGAACGTCTTTGTGGAGGGTATAACTTAGTGGGCTCTTTGCCTTATCAATTGTAATACATTAAAAATCTGTATCAAATATCACTGCATACCTATGAAGGAAACTCTCAGTATCCCTGAAGGCCCTGTAGTAAATGTTTGAAATGAAAAAAGAAGTAATTAAGTACAGTTAAAAGAGGTGGCTTATCTGAGAATAGAAATCTGACCTAGATAAATTGGCTCTTTCTTCCTTTCCTTTCTTTCCCCTTCCTCTCTCATACACACGACTCTCACTCAAAGGGCTGATCTCACCTAGTGTGATCTTTTTCCAGCAGGTGACAATGAAGTGTGATGGCTGGGAGGTCTAACCTATTCAATGAAAACTTTTTAATTCAATTTCTCATTTCTTTGAGCTACCAGCCTTCCTGTGTCCCTGATTTGTTCTCAGAGGTCCCTAATTCCCTTTTTCCTTTTAGAATCTGGACTGCCCTTGCCACATGTGCCTCTGAACTTGGTGAGGTGTTCAACATGTCACAGAGCTCAGCAACGACTCCATTCAAAACAAAACATTAAGATCGTCAAAGCAAATAAAAAATCCCAGCAGAAATTCCCCCTTACAAAGGGTTTGAGTAATTCAGTTGTGGATGTAAGTGCTGCTGTAACAAAGAATTCATTATTATTTCTACTGTTACTTCTGAGTACCACATTTCCCCCTTTATTTTTTCAAAATAACTTCCAAAATATTTTTAAATGATTCAAAAGTTGTTTGCCAAGCTAATACTTGCACACAGCTTAAAAAGTCAGTGTGTTCTAAATGGCAGGCTTTTACTGTGTCCTTGCCCTATTCCCTAGTTTTGATCCTTATAAACAATCACATTTAACTCTTTTACCTGTTTCTCTGGCATCCGCTTTCATATTTGTAGCTAGTATTCTTATTCTGCTTTTATTTATTAGTGAGGTTTGGCCATTACCTTTTTATTTGAAGACAGACAATTTAACTTGAAATCCAGTCTCTTCCTTGCACTGCTTCTTTCCCATAAAGGGTAAATCAAATATTCTATGTTTAAATTACTATGATTATGTGAATGTTGTTCTTACTCTGCCAAATACTGCACAATAATTTCTTTTCTTGTACAAATTTTTGATAATCCTGAAGTTAATAATTAGCTTGTTTTGTCATTTGATGAGTTTTATTTGTAAAGATTACTAATTCTTTCCACAACTTTCTTACAACTTCTTAGTGCAATTTGCCATATAGTCTTATGTTTCATTTTTAAATTTTTTCTAGAGACTTTCCTCCCAGAGCTCTGATTCCTCCAGTTCAGTCCAGATTGGCGGCTCTCAAGGCCTGCTTGCAGACGCCATCTTGGAACTTCCCTGCACCAGCATCCAGAGACTTCCTTTTGCCTCTTTTCTGTGTGGAGTCTCCTGATAGCAGGACCCCCATGCCTTCCCCTTTCTTGGTTAACTTCTTGGTGTTGTAGCTCATACCCTTGTTTTACTTTCTAAGAAAGGATGCCTAGGAGGTAAAATTTTGAGATCTTTTAAATCTGCATATTTTTAATTCTACTTCCTCATTATTTAACCAACAGTCTAAAAATCTAGTGTAAAAATTATTTCACTCAGAATTTTGCAATTTTGCTTCTCAAAGTGATGTTGAAAAACTGATATCATTCTAATTTGTATTCCATTTTTATGTAATCTGTGTTGTTCCACTCTGGAAAATTTTAAAGATTGTCTCTTTATTCTAGGTATTGTGAAATTCATAATGCTGTGTCTTAGTGTGTCTTTTTCTTTTTTCATGTATTCTGCTTAACTTCAGTAGACCATTTTAATTAATTGATGTATGGCTTTTGGTTTTAGTAAATGTTTTGTATTATTGCTATTATTTTTAAACATATCTGTTTCTGTTACTTGGGTGTTTTAGTTGGACACTGAAACCTTTAGAATTATCCTGATATTTTCTTATATTTTCTCTTCTACTCTTCATCCCTTTGCCCTTTTGTTCTACTTTCTGGGAGTTGTCTCAATTAGATATCTTGGGTAGATATTACTGGTGCTCATCAACATATATGGCTCTCCTCTCTTTCCTGAACATGTGAAATGATTACAATTCCTTGTGTCCTTATACTTCAAAGAAGCTATGTGACTTGGTTTAGTGAATGAAATACAGGGACTTAGGGTAAAACCATTTAAGAGCTGCTATGTGATTGTCCATGTTCTCTTTCCCTTCCATGGTGAACCCAGAAGTATCATATTTAAATAGAAACTTCACAAGTTTGGAGCAGCCTAGTGGAGAAGCTAAGACTCCATAGAGAGAATAACGATGTTGGAGAACCACCCAGGTTAACAACAGATGGTACAAACAAGAAATAAATTTTCATTGTGTTAAATTCTTGAGTTTTTTTGTTGTTACCACAGCAAAATTTTGTAGATCCTAAATGATTACATTTCCAAGATACTTTCTTGTGATTTTATTCGTCTTTTTTTGTGGCAACTCTTACTTGATTCATGGATGTAATAGTGTTTCATAACCTAAAAGTGATAAGAATAACATGTTACCTTCCTTTGCTTCTGTATAATCTGGGTACATTGTGATTTCCTAGTCTGCATTTCTTGACTTCTGGCTTTCCTCAACTTTCAGGGGATTCTTAGCTCTCAGTTCCTTTTAGAGTGAGGCACTAAGAAGCTGATTGGAAGCACTATTTGCATGACATGGCTTGTTGGTTGTTGGACTTCACTGTAGCATAGTCAGCATAGTGAAATGGAAGCCTGAGAAGTGTTCCTCTCTCCTGCCACTATTTTGCACTTCATGATATAAGCCTAGTTGCAAGTGTTGGGGGAGATAAGTAGATGAAGGGAAGTAGGAGAAGATTTCACCTCCCAGTATGACTATTTTAAATTAACTTTTCTATTTCTTAATCCATACCCACTTATGTGCTCTTCTACTGTCCCTGAGTCTCCTTCTCTGGTTCCAATTTTCCAGACAAAAAAATAATAAATCTCCATGCTCATGTAGGGCTGGGGCAGAAATTGGACCGTTTAGGGGCAGTGCTGAGGACCTGAAGACCTAATTGTTCCTTGGGCAGGACTATAACCAATCCTTTTTTTTCTGGCTTCATTGTCACCCTTGTCTTTCACAGTAATCACACCTATGGAAATTCTGAGACAAGCTGCAGTTCTATGAGCAGTTCTGCTTTCTTCTTATTGTATCCCTTCTGTCTGCATTTAAGTTCAAGTTTCTCTGCTCTTCCATGTCACTCATCTCTCCTCTGCCTGCTGTTTATATTCTAACAATGGGTTGAAGTCTCTCATCTGCTGATGCTCTCATTTTCTGTTCCTTTCAGTTTTATACCTCATTTATTCCTCTACTGACATTTTGGAAGAGATTTATTTTTGAACAAAGATAAAGAGATATATGAAATCTGCCTGGTTTATCTAGAATTGTCTCTGAAAAAAAACTCATATTATGAGTTAAGATGGTCAACATTATTAAGACACTGATTCATTCTATGAAATGTAATGTGTGCCTTTATGCCCTACGATGTGCCAAGTCCTACATGAGAGGCCATAAAGAATAAGTTGGAAACAAGGTAAAGTGAGAATGAGGTGTGCAAAGACACAAGATGAAAGAGTCAGTAATTGAAAGAAGGTCAGCTAGTTGGAACACAGCACGGAGAAAGATAATGTTGGAGAGAATTGTAGGAGGAGTCCTGAATAGCCATGTTAAGAATTTGGAATTTTAATTGAAGGGCAACAAAGAGCCACCATTGCCTTTTTAGGAAGAAAAAAATTGACAGATCAAATTTGCATTATGGAAAAATAATTCTGGCTGGAGTATGGAAAGACTAGAGGCAAGAAGAGCAATTAAAAAGTTATCAGAAATGGTAATAAAATGATGGATGTTAACAAAGAAGTGGGTATGGAGAACATGATGTGATATTTAGGGATACTGAGTTTGTCAATGATAATCCAATATGATCAGTAGACAGTGGGAATCTGAAACTCAGAAAGTCAGTATGACTTTTAAATGTATATTTGGGAGCATAAATTGTAGTAGAGTACATGGGGGTTAGTGAATAGCCAGAGTATGTGTAAAAATGAGAAGAACAGCTGGCTTAGGAATCAACATTTGAGAAATGGATAGGAAAATTATTATCAAAAAGAGTCTGAGGAGTGATCAGGTGGAAAAACACTAAAACCACTAAAGTACTAGGCTATAGAGACCAAGGAAAAATTGCCTTTGAAGAGGATGATCCATAGCATCCACAGCTGAAAAGATACCAATCAGTTTGAAAACGGAACAGGATGAGATTGAAGGATATTTAGGAGGTATAACTGACAGGAATTCTAGATTGGTTGACTGCAGTGTGAGGAAAAAAATCTCCCATGTTTCAGGGTTGGGTCCCCAGATGAACAATGGTACTATATCCTGAGATTAAAACTCCAGGAGAATGGTAAAGTTTCAGGCTTGGACAAGCAAAGTTCTGAGAGTTTGAAGTACCTCTCAAACATCCAAGTCAAAATGTTCGGTGTGGGTGTATTTTTTGTTGTTGTTGTTTGTTGTTTGTTTTGTTTTCTTTTGAGACGGAGTCTTGCTTTGTTGCCCAGGCTGAAGTGCAGTGGCGCAATCTCTGTGCACTGCAACCTCCACTTCCCGGATTCAAGTGATTCTCCTGCCTCAGCCTCCTGAGTAGCTGGGATTACAGGCGTGTGCCACCACGTCTGGCTAATTTTTGTATTTTTAGTAGAGATGGGGTTTTGCCATGTTGGCCAGGCTGGTCTCGAACTCATGACCTCAGGTGATCACCCACCTCGGCCTCCCGAAGTGCTGGGATTACAGGTGTGAGCCACCATGCCTGGCCCAAGACAAAATATAGTTAATGAAATTTTATATGTGGGTCTCAGGCTTGGGATAGGGATCTGGTTTTCCTGATGTCAGGGAAGGTAAGGACTAAGAAGACAAGAGTTTATTCAATAATGAGGGCATTGTTTACCTTGGAGAAGCAAATGCTTGGTGCAAGAGAGAAGTCATATTACAGTGACTCTGGGAGAAAATGAGAGGGGATGAAGTAGACTCAGCCAGTGTATGGGTCCACCACCAACTGCATGAAACTTTTCCCTACAACTTAGTTCAATAGTCATATCCACTCTCTATCTCACTCCCTTTCCCCTTCTGCTTCTCCAAACTTTCCATAACTTTCTGGTGTCATCCCCATATTTGTAAAAAATTGGCAATTCTACTATACTTACCCTGCCAATCCTTAAGACTAAATTAATACAATCTCTGGCTTTTCTGCTCTATACCCAAGCTGTTAAATAATTTGATTAAATGCACACAACTGTACGGTTTGTTTCAAAAAAAAAAAAAGTATGATCACAAACCCTATTGCAGCATGGAAACCTTAAATAACTATTTGCTTTCTCATAATTCTTCAGAATTATTTCAAACCTCCAAAATTGTTATTGAAACTGAATGCTAACAACTTGCTCCCATTGGAAAAGTTCTGAACACAGTGAGCAGGAGGAAGTCCTTCACATTTGTACCTGTAAGAATATGCATCTCAAATCTAAATATTCTTTCCTTCTTCTTGTAAAGGATGGTTTAGCATAATTATCACCTACTTCCCACCATGGAGGAAACCACAGGCAATCTATAAAGTACCCGTATAGATAGGCCTAGAAGACATAGTTCCACTTGTCCAAACAACCCAGCTCAAGCCTCGATCCATCTTTTTAAAATGCAAATGTAACTATGTCACTGCCCACCTTGACTTGCTTCAAAACTTCCTATTGCCTTCAGATTGAATCCAAATTATTTGGCATCCCTAAAGTGCTGTATGCAAATGCATAGAATTATGAACAAGCATGGTTCTTTAGGAGAACTGAAGTAGTTTGGAGGTTGATAAAATATGGCTTGGTATAAGACTGAAGAGGTAGGTAAGGAACAGAACATGAAAGACATTGTATCACAATAGTAAGTTGTTCTGTTAGTGCTCAGAAAGAATGAAAATAACAAAACCACAGCTGAGATGTCAAGGTGCAAATGTTGGTCTCTGTTGTGACCAGATAGAGGCCATATGGAAAGACAACTTAATATTTTATGTGATGATCTTTTGGTCTTAGGGTGAGTTCCTTCCTATTTCATTATCACTTTGAAGAATGTGGCCATTGCTAAACTAGGCTTGTGGGCAGGGTGGATAGGCTGTGTTCACAGCCTCAAGTAACAGTATTCATTTTCAATTCATGTAATTATTTTCCTCCTATTGGAGTTCCTGGTCAGGTCTGCCTTGCTTGCCTCTTTCTCCCTGTACCTTGTGTACAACCAATTGTAAATCTGAAATTTGAGTTAACCTTATATATTGGCAATGAGAAAGTACATGTCTAGTCATTATTAATGTGCTCCACCTGTCCCCAGACAACTATTGATTTGCTTTGCGTCAGGTTAGTTTATATTTCTTAGAGTTTTATATAAAGGAAATTATGTAATATGTACTTTTTGGCCTGGCTTCTTGCCCTGAACATAATTATAATGAGATTTATTCATGTTATTGCATGTATCAGTAGTTTATTGTTTTCCCTTGATGAATAGTAGTTCGTTTTACAGAAACCAAAATTTTATTTATCCATTCACCTGTTGATGGATAATTAGGTTGTTTTCAATTGCTGGCTATTACAAATAAATCTGCTATAAACATTGGCATACAACTCCAAGTTCTTAAATAAACATATGCTTCTATTTCTCTTGAATAAATACCTAGAATTGGAATGGCCTGATAAACATGTATGGGTATATTTAATTTTTAAGAAACTGCCAAACTATTTTCTAAAGTAGTTTGCCATTTTTATAATTCCACCTGTGGTGTAGCCAGTTGCCCCACATGGTCATCAACCCATAGTATGGTCCATTATTTTTTAAAATTTTAGACATTTTAATAGGTATGTAATGGTATCTCATTGTGCATTTATTTTGTATTTTCCTAATAATTATGATGTTGAATATTTTTTCCGTGTGCTCGTTTACCATATGTATATCTTCTCTGGGACAGTGTTCAAGTTTTTTGCCCATGTATATGGGTTTCTTATTAGTGAGTTTTGAAAGTTCATTATAGATTTTGGATAAAAGTTCAGTATTATACATATTCTTTGCAATTATTTTCTCTCAGCCTGTGGCTTGTCTTTTTATATTCTTTTAAAAATGTTTTCAAAGGGCAATGTTTTAAAATTTTGATGAAGTTTAACTTATCAATATTTTCTTTAATAGATCAAAAGTTTAGTGCTTTATCCAAGGTAATTTTGCCAAACTTAAAGTCATAGTGATTTCTTTTATGTTTTCTCACAGAAATGTTAAAAGTTTTAGAATTTACTTTTGTTCTATGGCCAAGTTGAGTAGTTTTGGTATTTGGAATGAGTATGGACTAAGTTAAGATTTTTTGGCATAGGGATATCTGGTTGTTTCAGTTCCATTCATTGAAAAGCCTATCATTGATCTACTGAGTCAATTTTGCTTCTTTGGAAAAAATCAAATATATATGTCTACCTCTGAGCTCTCTATTCTGTTCCATTAATATATTTGTCTAAGTTTAATACCACCCTGTCGTTGTTACTATAGCTTTGTAATCGTTTTTTAAATCAAATAATGTTTTTCTTTCTACTTTATTTTTTCAAAATTGTTTAGGCTATTCTAGGTCTTTGCACATCCATATGAATTTTAGATCTCCATCTCATTTTCTAAAAACAAACACAACCCTGAGATTTTGATTGAGATCATGGTTAGTCTATAGATCTTTTTGGTGAAAACTGTCTTCTTCACAATATTGAGCCTTCCAATCTAGGAGAAATCATATCTTTCCATTTATTTAGATCTTCTTTAATTTCTCTCTGCAATGTTACAGAGATTTCACTGTACAAGTCTAATCTATGTTTTGTCATATACAAATGTGTTCCTATTTTTGATGCTGTTGCAAACTATATTGTTTTTGAATCTCAATTTCTAAGTGTTTGTTGCTAGTATATAGAACTATGATTGCTTTTTTGTATTTATCTTGTATCCTGAAACATTATAAAACTCATTAGTTCTGGTAGCTTATTTGTAGATTCTATTGATTTTTCTACATGAACAAACATATGAACTGTACACAAAGACAGTTTTACTTCTTCGTTTATCAGGCCGTACGGCATTATTTTCTTTCTTGCTTTATTCCACTCTCTAGAACCACTAGTGCAATGTTAAACAGAGTTAAAAATAGACATTCTTCTTTTGATTCTGAACTTAGGGGTAAAGCATCTGGTCTTCCATGAATAAATATGATGTTAACCATAATTTTCTCAACAATAATGTTTGTCAGGTTAAGAAAGTTTTCTTTCATTCAAAGTTCTCTGAGAGTTTTCATCTGGAGTGGATGTTTGGCTTTGTCAAGTGTTTTTCTTTATTAATACGATCAGCTGTTTGCTTATAAAACATGTTTTAATATGGTGAATTATACTGATTTATTTTGAATGTTAAACCAAGCCTGCATTGGTTTTAATTGATATCATTTTGTTAAAAAATTGCACATCTCTGTTCGTGATGTGTATTGGTTTGTAGTTTTATTTTCTTATAATGTCTTTGTGTATTTTCATGATCAGGGAAAAGCTGGCCTCAGGGAATGAGAGATACCTTCTTTACATTTTTTCTGAATAAATTGGGGTATAATTCATATGACTTCATTTTTAAATGCTTGGTAGAATTTTCTAATGAAATCATCTGAGCCTAGAGTTTTCTTTGTGAAAAGTTTTAAACTATAAATTCAATTTATGTTGACCATTTCTTTTTGAATGGGCTTTGGTACTTTGTGTTATTTGCTGCATAAACGTTTAGGATTGTTATGTCCTTTTGACACATTGATGCTTTTATCATTATGAAATTATATTTTGTAGCCCTGGCAATATCCTTTGCTCAGAAACCTGCCTTGTCTGATACTAATCCAGACACTGAAGCTTTATTTTTGTATTATTACCATGGTATATATTTTTCAGTCTTGTATTTTTGACTTATATTTGTCTTTGTATTTAAAATACATTTATTCTATGCAATATATTGTTGGGTCTTGTGTTTTTTTAAAAAATCAATACAACAATCTTTATCTTTTACTTAGGGTGTTTAGGCCATTTGTATTTAAAGTGATTATTGATTTGATTAATTGTTCATCTATTATCCTGCTATTTGTTTTCTACTTTTCCCCTTGGTTATTTATTTTTCTTCTTTTTCTGTCTTCCTTTGTATTTTAAAAAATTATTTTATTGTATTTCTTTTACTGGCATATTAGTTAATAACTAGTTTTGTCATTTCAGTTGTTGCTTTAGGGTTCATAATATACATCTTTAACTTATCACAGCCTACCTTCAAACAATATTTTAGCACTTAATATGTAGTATAAGGACAATACTTTCATGTCTTCCCTTCCATAAATAGCCTTTATGATATTGTTGTCATATATTTCAAGTATACATATGTTATAAACACTACAATACATTGTTGTTATTTTTGCTAAAGTGTCAGATATTTTAACAGAGGTTTAAATAATAAGAAAAATATTGTATCTATTTACTCACATAGTTATCATTTCTAGTGGTGCTTGTTCTTTGTACAGATCCAGATTTTCATGCAGCATCATTTTCCTTCTGCCTGAAGTACTTCCTGTAACAGTTCTTTTAGTGATAGTTTTCTGGTGATGAATTCTTTCAGTTTTTATATATCCTCGCCTTTGATTTTAAATATATTTCTGATGTCTAATGAATTTTATACTGAGTTTTCTTTCAGTGTTTTTTGTGTTTTTCCACTATCTTACCAGCCTGAATTTTTTACAGTAAGAAATCTGCTGTCATCCTCATCTTTATTTCTTTTTACATGGTGTGTCTTTTTTATCTCACTACCTTTAAGATTTTTCTTGTTATCAATGATTTTGAACAATTTTATTAGTTGTGTATTAGTATAATCTTTATCTTTCTTGTGCTTAGGATTTGTTCAGCCTCTTGTATTTGTGTATCTATAATTTCATAAACTTTGGAAACATATTTGGTCATTATATTTTCAAATTTTTTTTTCTGTTCTTTCTCCTTTCTATCCTTTGGAGACACCATTTACACATATATGAATACATTTGATGTTGTCCTAGCTCAATGATGCTTCTTTTATTTTGATTCTTTTTTCTCTTTCAAGGTTTTTTTCAAGTAGTTTCTATTGTTATATCTTTAAGTTTACTAATTATTTATTCTTCAATGGCTGGCATTAATCTGACATTGATTCAATTCTGTGTATTTTTCATCTCAGACATTACAATTTTCATCACTAGGAGCTTGATTTGTATTTTTACATTATTCATGTCTCTACTTCTCAAATATATGGAAGATGTTTTAATGTTTTTTTAATGATCTTGTCTGCTAATTCTAATATCAATATCACATCTGAGTCAGTTTCAATCAGGTGAGATTCCCCATTATGGGTTATATTTTCCTGTTTCTGTGTATGCCCTTTGATTGGGTATCAGATATTGTGAATTCTGCCTTGTTGAGTCCTGGAAATTTTTGTATACATATAAATACTCCTAAGTTGTGTTCTGAGATACAGCTAAGTTATTGGAAACAGCTGGATTCTTTCATGTTGTGTGTATAATATTTTTAGATGTGATCATTTCAGTGGTTAGTCTAGGGCTAATTGTTCTTCATTACTATTCAAGACCAGTCTGAGTACTTTACTCAATGGCCTGAGAATTATGAGTTTTTTTCAGTCTGCTGGGGAGTATGAGTACTATTTTAAGCCCTGTATGACCACCAGGTACTGTTCCAATTCTTTTTCAAACATTAGATAGTGTTCTTACACACATGTGTTAGTCAGTACTCAGCTAAGTATTTGAAGGGACCCTCTGCAGATCTTCAGAGTTGTCCCCATGTGCAGTTCTCTCCTTTCCATTACTTGTACACACTCTAGCTGTGTCTCTCTGGATGCTCAGTTCCATCTAATCAACTCTGAAATTCTGCTAGGGTCCACTTGGGTTAAATCCTCCCTTCACTGCATCCTAGATATTCACTCAAGGAAATGACCTGAGAGAATTGTAGGGATCCCCCCACTTGCATGCCATTTCTCAGAGATTATTGGTTTTTATTACCTGATGGGTGGTATCCTGAAAACTGTTCTGGAGATATTTTGTCTGGTCTTGTGACAATTTCAGATGGCAGAGCAAATCCAGTCCTTTTTAGTCTACCTTGACTGGAAGTGAAAATCCCGACTCATTTATTTTTAAAGTTTGCTTTTAAATGATAGGAAGATTGGTCTCTAGTATATCATTTTAGCTCACAGTATATTTTTATGGTAGATAATAGTAGCTTCAATTTATGCCTCGTAAATCATTGATGTAATTTTTCTGTCTGGTTATTTTCCTTATCCTTGTATTTAGGGATTCCCGTCAGATAGCTTTTGATTCACAGAAAAATGTTTGTTTAGATCATAATTTTTGCATTAAAATCTCCTTAAAAGTCTCTATTTTTACTAATTCTTTTACATATTTTCTCAATTTTATAGCATCCTATTATTAATTTTCACCTTTCTTAAGACCTATATAACTACAATTAAAAAGATGCTGAACACTAGTCAAAAACAGCGGTGGCCATTATTTCCACATGTGATGTAAGTTTTTTAGGTTACAATTTTTTAATAAGTTGTAACAAAGTCAATTTTCTCATGAATACACTCATTTTAGAGCAGGTGCACAGATTTTTAAAATGTAACTTAGTATTTATATACTCCAATCCAAGGTACATTTTGCCCTATATATTTATGAAAATCATTATTTAAATGAAGTGTTTTGCTTTCCTGGGGCAAGTATGACTCAGGAAAGATCTTCCCTGAAGCAATCTGACTATTAATATACTTCTTGGCAAGAGTCAAGGTCATATTTATAAGGGGGCATGTGATAGGTCAGTTCAAATTTTATCACATGTATATCTTCTCTTTTCATTGAAGTTTAATGTTGAGAAGCCTTAGTAATATCTTTTAACCTTTATTCTACTTTTTTTTTTTTTTTTTTTTTTTTTTTTTTTTTTTGCCACAGACCTGTTGTTTAAGACCCAAACTCTTACTTGAACACTCAGTATGAAAAACATGAAAGCAGGCTGTGCACTGTTGGATTACTGACATCATGGAAGCACTGAACCAGGAGGTATTTATCCCTTTTGTACTATTTCACTGGTGTCTTTTGATGTTACCAAAGTGTAGGCAGAGCACCCCATATTTTCTTAGACAGCCAGTAGTCAACATCTGATCCCAATCCAGAGTTGGTGTGGATGAGCAGTTAGAATTATAAAGATTAAAAAGTTGTTTCCTGTCTCTTCCAAATTGTGTGATAGAATATGGAAGCTCTGGCTCAGGTTGCTCATACCTGTAATTCTAGCACTTTGGGAGGCCAAGGCAGGAGGATTGCTGGAGCTCAGGAATTCGAGACCAGCCTGGGCAACAAGGTGAAACCCAATCTCTACCAAAAATACAAAAAATTAGCTGGGCATAATGGCATGCACCTGTGGTACCAGCTAATTGGGAGGCTGATGTGGGAGGATGGTTTGAGCCTGGGAGGTGGAAATTGCAGTGAGCCAAGATTGCGCCACTGCACTCCAGCCAGGGCAACAGAGCCAGACCCTGTCTCAAAAATAATAATAATAAATGAAATTTAAAATATGAAAGTTCTGATGGATGGGGGTAGCTTAAACAACCATATTTATGGCTTTTACATTGCTATGTGTGTTCATTCAATCAACTATTTTTGAGTATTATAAGTTGAATATTATAGAGAATATTATGGGAAGTGAGGCAGGCAAGTGGTTCACACCTGTAATTCTAACACTTTGGGAGGCTGAGGCAAATGGATTGCTTGAGCTAGGAGTTTGAGACCAGCCTAGGCAACATGGCAAAACCCCATTTCTACAAAAATACAAAAATTAGCCAGGCAGGGTAGCATGTGCCTGTGGTTCCAGCTACTCAGGAGGCTGAAGTAGGAGGATCACTTGAGCCCAGGAGGTCAAGGCTGCAGTGAGCCAAGATCATGTCACTGTACTCTAGCCTTGGTGACAAAGTAAGATGCTGTCTTAAAACAAACAAACAAAACAATATTATGGGGGACTAAGAGAAATCGAATTTATGGCTCCTGGCTATAACTTTGAGTTCATCTTAAGCTCTAATGTCCTCATTCTTTATGAAATGAGAGTATGAAACTGCATGTCAGCATTCAGTATGACAGGAGCATTGGAGCAGATTTGAAAAGGTGAGTTTCAATGTTTATAACTGCTTAGGGCATAAAACTGCCCAAATAGGTAGATCATCTAGTGATGCTTATATGGTATAATTTGTGAGCCAAAGATACCATAATTCCTCTGGTATAAAATGTGTTTTCTCCCTGCTGATCATACGGAGATTTTAAATCACTATTGCATAAAATTAATTCCAACTTTTCTAAATTGGATCCACTGTCAATAAAAAACTGGACTACTATTTTCAGGGCAAATCTTTTATTTATTTATTCATTCATTTGTTTGTTTATTTATAATTTGGGTAAAATATACATATATAATTTATCATCTTTACCATTTTTAAGTGTACAGTTCAGTGGTAATAAGTATATTTATTTTTTTCCCTCTTTATCCCTCTCTCCTTCCTACCCTTTCTGACCTCGGCTAACCGCCATCCTAATGTCTGTCTTCATGAGATTCACTTTTTAACCTCCCACATGTGAGTGAGAACATGTGATATTTGTTTCTCTGGGTTTGGGTTATTTTACTTATTATAATGGCCTCCAGTTCCACGTATGTTGCTGCAAATGATATGATTTCCTTCTTCTTATGACTAATATTCCCTTGTGTATATGTATCACATTTTCTTCATCCATTCACATGTTGATGGGCACTTACATTGATTTCGTATTTTGGTTGGTGTAAATATTGCTACAATAAACATGGGAGGGCAGACAATACTTTGAGCCTGGAATTTCATTTCCTTTGGATATATACCCAGTAGTATAATTGCTGGATCATATGGTAGTTATAGTTTTAGTTTTCTCGAGAAACTTCTAGACCATTATCCATAGTGGCTGTACTAATTTACATTCCCACCAACAGTATACTAGGGTTTCCCCTTCTCCATATCCTCACAGCATCTATTATTGCCTGTCTTTTTGATACAAGCCATTTTAACTGAGGTAAAATAATATCTCATTCTGACACTGATTTGCATTTCTCTGATGGTTAGAGCTGTTGGGCAGTTTTTCACATACCTGTTGGCCATTCATATGTCTTCTTTTGAGAAGTATTTTTTCAGATCTTTTGCCCATTTTTATTGGATTATTTCTTTTTCTTAATAATTTCAACTTTTATGTTAGATTCATAGAGTACACGCGCAGTTTAGTTACATGGGTATGTTGTGTGACACTGAGGTTTGGGGTAAGAATGATCCCAACACCCAGGTAGTGAGCACTATGTCCAATAGGTAGTTCATCCCTTACCCCCCTTTCCAATCCTCTCTAGTAGTCCCTATTATCTATTGTTTATTTTCTATATTTGTCTGTTCTCACACTGCTATAAAGAAATACCTGAGACTGGAAAATTTACAAAGAAAAGAGGCTTAATTGGCTCATGTTTCTGCAGGTCCTGTAGGCTTCTGCTTCTGGGGAGGCCTCAGGAAACTTAGATTCATGGCAGAAGGTGAAGGGGAAGCAGGCATGTCTTACAAGGCAAGAGAAGGAGGAAGAGCGAGGAGAGGGAGGTGCTGTACACTTTTAAACAACCACATCTCATGATAATTTGCTCATTATCACAAGAACAGCATGATGAAATTCTACCCCCATGGTTCAATTACCTCCTATCAGGCACCTCTTCCAACACTGGAGATTATAATCTGACATGTGATTTCAGTGGGGACACAAATCCAAACCATGTTTTTCCACCCTGACCCCTCCCAAACCTCATGTTCTTCTCACATTGCAAAATACAATCATCCTTTCTTAACAGTCTCCCAAGTTCTTAACTCAAAAGTCCACAGTCCAAAGTCTCATCTGAGACAAGACAACTCCCTTCTGCCTATGAGCCTGTTAAATAAAAAACAAGTTAGTTACTTTCAAGGTACAATGGGGATGCAGGCATTGGGTAAATACTCCAATTCTGAAAGGCAGAAATCAGCCAAAAGAAAGGGGCTACAGGCCTCAGGCAAGTCCAAAACCTAGGAGGACAGTCATTAAATCTTAAAACTCCAAAACAATCTCCTTTGACTACATGCTTTACATCCAGGGCACACTGTGCAAGGGGTGGGCTTCCAAGACCTTGGGCAGCTCTGCCCCTGAGACTTTGCAGGAAAAGCACCCATGGCGGCTTTCACAGGCTTCTATTGAGTGTCTGTGGCTTTTCTAGGTGTATGGTGCAAACTGTCAGGAGGCTGCACACTGCAGCACATCCCTGGGCCTGGCCTATGAAATTATTCTTCCCTCCTAGACCTCCAGGCCTGTGATTGGAGGGGCTGCTGCAGAGGTCTCTGAAGTATCTTCAGGGCCTTTTTCCCATTGTCTTGGCTATTGCTCCTTGCCTTCCTTTTAGTTATGCCAATTTCTGCAGCCTGCTTCAATTCTTTCCCTGAAAATGGGGTTTTCTTTTCTAACGTATGTCCTAGCTATGAATTTTCCAAACTTTTACACTCTGCTTCCCTTTTAAATATAAGTTTCAGTTTCAGGTCATTTCTTTGTTTCCATATGTGTGAATAGGCTTTTAGAAGCAACCAGGCCACATCTTGAACACTATACTGCTTAGAAATTTCTTCCACTAGATACCCTAAATCATCACTCTCAAGTTCAAAGTTCCACAGATCCCTACAGCAGGGGCACAATGCCACTGGGTTATTTGCCAGTGCATAACAAAAGTGACCTTAGCTCCAGTTCCCAATAATTTGCTCATCTCCGTCTGAAACCTCATCAACCTGGCCATCTCTGTACAGATCACTATCAGCATTTTGGTCATTCAAGAAGACACTAGGAAGTTCCAAACTTTTCTTCATTTTCCTGTCTTCTTCTGAGCCATCCAAACTGTTCCAGCCTCTGTGCATTACTCAGTTCCAAAGCTATTTCCACATTTTCAAGTATCTTTATAGCAATGCCCCACTCCTGGTACCAATTTTCTGTATTAGTTTGTTCTTGCACTGCTATAAAGAACTACCTGAGACTGTGTAATTTATAAAGAAGAAAGGTTTAGTTGGCTCAAATTTCCATAGGCTGTACAAGAAACATGGCTTGGAAGGCCTTGGGAAACTTTTAATCATGGCAAGCCTCACAGATTGCTATTTCCAAAATGGCAGCATAGAAGCAAACTGGCTTTGCTCCCCCACATCCCCTCAACACAGAAAACCAAAAACAAACATATAACACTGAGATTATTATTATTATTTTTTTTTTGAGATGGAGTCTTACTCTGTTACCCAGGCTGGAGTGCAGTGGTGCAATCTCGGCTCACTGCAATCTCTGCCTCCCAGGTTCAAACAATTCTCCTGCCTCAGCCTCTCGAGTAGCTGGGATTACAGGCACATGCCACCATGCCTAGCAAATTTTTTGTATTTTTAGTAGAGATGGGGTTTCACTGTGTTAGCCAGGATGGTCTCAATCTCCTGACCTCATGATCTGCCTGCCTTAACCTCCCAAAGTGCTGGGATTATGGGCGTGAGTCACCACGCCCAGCCAACACTGAGATTTTTACCAGCAATGTACCATAACTCAAGTATAAGGATGAAATAGTTCCCACAGCCACAGAGAAGTGAAAAAATTTCAAGCAGAGGGTAAGAGAATCAGACTTCTACATCCACAATGCCCGATCTCCCATTCTGCTTGGTAGCAAACACTTGGAAAGTCTCCTCCAACTCATAGTTTCTAAACTGGAAAGTGTCAGATTGAGGCTGTTAGCCATTTTACCCCATCTTGGGTGCCTTTTCAGCAGACTCATCTTTGCTTTAAGCCAAGAGTTCTGGGAGCATTATAAGTATGTGAAGAGAGAAAAATCCCTGAGGACAGCCAGAGACAAAGGAAAGAACTACTGAGAGGTGAAGTTGGCTGGGCTTCCGGGTGGGGTGGGGACTTGGAGAACTTTTCTGTCTAGCTAGAGGATTGCAAACACACCAATCAGCGCTCTGTGTCTAGCTAAAGGTTTGTAAACACACCAATCAGCTCTCTGTAAAAATAGACCAATAAGCACTCTGTAAAATGGACCAATCAGTGCTCTGTAAAATGGACCAGTCAGCACTCTGTAAAATGGACCAATAAGCAGGATGTGAATGGGGCCAAATAAGGGAAGAAAAGCTGGCCACCCAAGCCAGCAGTGGCAACCCACTGGGGTCCCCTTCCATGCTGTGGAAGCTTTGTTCTTTCGCTCTTCACAATAAATCTTGCTGCTGCTCACTCTTTGGGTCCGCACTACCTTTAAGAGCTGTAACACTCACCGCGAAGGTCTGCATCTTCAATCCTGAAGTCAGCGAGACCATGAACCGACTGGGAGGAACAAACAACTCTGAATGTGCCACCTTTAAGAGCTGTAACACTCACTGTGAAGGTCTGCAGCTTCACTCCTGAAGCCAGTGAGACCATGAACCCACCAGGAGGAATGAACAACTCCGGACGCACCACCTTTAAGAGCTGTAACACTCATGGCAAAGGTCTGCAGCTTCAGTCCTGAAGTCAGCAAGACCACGAACCCACTGGAAGGAAGAAACTCCAGGCACATCTGAACATTTGAAGGAACAAACTCAGGACATGCCATTTTTAAGAACTGTAACACTTACTGCAAGGTCCGGGGCTTCATTCTTGAAGTCAGTGAGATCAAGGACTCACCAATTCTGGACACATTTTGGTGACCATGAAGGGACAATCACCAAGTAGTGAGTACCATCGGACCCCTTTCACTTGCTATTCTGTCCTATCTTTCCTTAGAATTCGGGGGCTAAATACCAGGCACCTGCCAGCCAGTTAAAAGTGACTAGTGCAGTGACCAGACTAAAGACACGGGTGTCAGCCTTTCTGGGAAAGGGCTCTCTAACAACCCCCGACTCTTTGGAGTTGGGAGTGTTTGTTTGCCTAGAACCAGCTTCCGCTTTTCCTGTACTTCTGGGCTGAGCTGAGGGTTGACAGAGAGGAAAGCCATTCAGCTCCAGGGTCCTGACAATAAGTTGGTTGACACTGTGGCCATGAGCAGAACTCTCAAAGTCACGTCACCCAAGTGAGACTCTCCCCTCTATCCTATCTATCCTAATCCTTGCCTCCTGGGTCCTAATGTTTGTCAGGCAAACTTTCTCTCACCTCTCTTCTCTGAGGATAGTCCTGCTTCTAGAAACCACACCCTGTCTCTGGTGCTTTTCTAGTTTATCTTATAAGAATGATTTCTAGTATAAACTTCAGGACTCTGTTACCTTCTTTAGGCACCTGGGCTCACCAATCAGAAAGACATAATTTTTGCCCAAAGCTCCATTGTAGGGGGACTATCTGGAATTTTAGGATCCCTCCTCAGACAAGCAGATCTAATAAAAGCTATTCCTGAAGCTAGGATATGGGGAGCTTCAGAAATTCTATCTTTCCTATTCATATAAGTGAGGACAAAAGGCATCACCCTTCCAACACTGGAAATCCCTTCCCTCCCTCAGGGTATAGCCCTCCACTTCATTTTTGGGGCATAACATCTTTATAGGGCATGAGTAAAATCCCAATACTAAAAGGAGAATGCTTAGGACTCTAACTCTAACAGGTTTTCGAGAATGCATCAGTAAAGGCCACTAAATCCAACCTTCCCCAGTCCTCCTTGTGGTCTAGGAGGAAAACTAGTGTTTCTGCTGCTGCGTCAGTGAATGCAACTATTCTGTTCAGCAGGGTCCAGGGGCCATTGCAGTTTCTTGGGCAAGAGGTGTTTCTGCTGCTGCATTAGTGAGCACAACTATTCCGATCAGCAGGGTCCAGGGACCATTGCAGGTTCTTGGGTGGGGGAGAAACAAACAAAAAAACAAACCAAAACTGCAGGCAGTTTTGTCCTTCAGATGGGAAACACTCAGGCATCAACAGACTCACCCTTGAAATGCATCCTAAGCCATTGGGACCAATTTGACCCACAAACCCTGAAAAAGAGGTGGCTCTTTTTTTCTGCACTACAGCTTGGCCCCAATATTCTCTCTCTGATAGGGAAAAATGGCCACCTGAGGGAAGTATAAATTACAATACTATACTGCAGCTTGACCTTTTCTGTAAGAGGGAAGGCAAATTGAGTGAAATACCTTATGTCCAAGCTTTCTTTTCACTGAAGGAGAATACATGCAAAGCTTGCAATTTATATCCCACAGGAGGACCTCTCAGCTTACCTCCATATCCTAGCCTCCCTATAGCTCCCCTTCCTGTTAGTGATAAGCCTCCTGTAATCTCCCCTTCCCAGAAGGAAATAAGCAAAGAAATCTCCAAAGGACCACAAAACCCCCTGGGCTATCGGTTATGTCCCCTTCAAGCTGTAGGGGGAGGGGAATTTGGCCCAACCCGGGTACATGTCTCCTTCTCCCTCTTTGATTTAAAGCAGACCAAGGCAGACCTGGGGAAGTTTTCAGATGATCCTGATAGGTATATAGATGTCCTACAGGGTCTAGGGCAAACTTTCTATCTCACTTGGAGAAATGTCATGCTATTGTTAGATCAAACCCTGGCCTTCAATGAAAAGAATGCGGCTTTAGCTGCAGCCCGAGCATTTGGAGATACCTGGTATCTTAGTCAAGTAAATGATAGAATGACAGCTGAAGAAAGGGACAAATTCCCTACTGGTCAGCAAGCTGTCCCCAATATGGATCCGCACTGGGATCTAGACTCAGATCATGGGGACTGGAGTCATAAACATCTGCTGACCTGTGTTCTAGAAGGACTAAGGAGAATTATGAAAAAGCCCATGAATTATTCAATGATGTCCACCATGACTCAGAGAAAGGAAGAAAATCCTCTGCCTTCCTCGAGTGGCTATGGGAGGCCTTAAGAAAATATACTCCCCTGTCACCCAACTCACTAGAGGGCCAATTGATCCTAAAAGGTAATTTTATTACCCAGTCAGCCACAAATCAGGAGAAAGCTCCAAAAGTGAGCCCTGGGCCCTGGACAAAATCTAGAGGCATTATTAAACCTGGCAACCTTGGTGTTCTATAATAGGGACCAAGAGGAACAGGCCCAAAAGTAAAAGCGAGATCAGAGAAAGGCCACAGCCTTAGTCATGGCCCTCAGACAAACAAACCTTGGTGGTTCAAGGAGGACAGAAAATGGAGAAGGCCAATCACCTGGTAGGGCTTGTTGTCAGTGTGGTTTACAAGGACACTTTAAAAAAGATTGTCCAATGAGAAACAAGCCGCTCCCAGTCCATGTCCGCTATGCTGAGGCAATCACTGGAAGGTGCACTGCCCTAGAGGACAAAGGTTCTCTGGGTAAGAAGCCCCCAACCAGATGATCCAACAACAGGACTGAGGGTGCCCAGGGCAAGCGCCAGCTCATGTCACCCTCACTGAGTCCCGGGTATGTTTAAGCATTGAAGGCCAGGAAATTGACTTCCTCCTGGACACTGGTGCGGCCTTCTCAGTGTTAATCTCATGTCCGGGACAACTGTCCTCAAGGTCTGTTACCATTCAAGGAACCCTGGGACAGCCTGTAACCAGGTATTTCTCCCACCTCCTCAGTTGTAATTGGGAGACTTTGCTCTTTTCACATGCCTTTCTTGTTATGCTTGAAAGTCCCACACCCTTATTAAGGGGGGATATATTAGCCAAACCTGGAGCTATTATCTACATGAATATGGGGAACTTAGTTACCCATTTGTTGTCCCCTGCTTGAGGAGGGAATCAACCCTGAAGTCTGGGCATTGGAAGGAACAAACTCAATCCCCAGCCTTAAGCCTTCCCACAGGAGAAAACTTCTCTTTATATGTCACAAGGAGAGCAGGAATAACTCTTGGAGTCCTTACTCAGACTCGTGGGACAACCCCACATCAGTGGCACACCTAAGTAAGGAAATTGATGTAGTAGCAAAAGGCTGGCCTCACTGTTTAAGGGTAGTTGCAGCAGTGGCTGTCTTAGTGTCAGAGGCTATCAAAATCACACAAGGAAAGGATCTCACTGTCTGGACTACTCATGATGTAAATGGCATACTAGGTGCCAAAGGAAGTTTATGGCTATCAGACGACCGCCTACTTAGATACCAGGCACTACTCCTTGAGGGACCAGTGCTTCAAATATGCACATGTGCAGCCCTCAACCCTGCCACTTTTCTCCCAGAGGATGGGGAACCAATCGAGCATGACTGCCAACAACTTATAGTCTAGACTTATGCTGCCCAAGATGATCTCTTAGAAGTCCCCTTAGCTAATCCTGACCTTAACCTATATACCGATGAAAGTTCATTTGTGGAGAATGGGATATGAAGGGCAGCTTATGCCATAGTTAAGGTGATGTAACTGTACTTGAAAGTAAGCCTCTTCTCCCAGGGACCAGCACCCAGTTAGGAGAACTAGTGGCACTTACCCAAGCCTTAGAACTGGGAAAGGGAAGAAGAATAAATGTGTATACAGATAGTATGCTTATCTAAGCCTACATGACCATGCTGCAATATGGAAAGAAAGGTAGTTCCTAACCTCTGGGGGAACCCCCATTAACTGCCACAAGGAAATCATGGAGTTATTGCACTCATGCAAAAACCCAAGGAGGTGGCAGTCTTACACTGCTGAAGCCAACAGAAAGGGGAAGGAGAGGGGAGAACAGCACCATAAGCGGCTGGCAGAGGCAAGGAAAGACCAGCAGAGAGAAAGAGAGAGACAAAGTCAAAAACAGAAGGAAAGAGAGAAAGAGACAGAAACAGCCAGAGAGAAAGAGAGAGAAAGAGACAGAACCAGAGAGAAAGAGAGAGAGACAGAAACAGCCAGAGAGAAAGAGAGAGAAAGAGACAGAAAGAACCAGAGAGAAAGAGAGAGGAAGAGACAGAAAGAGAGAGAAAGAGAGAGGAAGAGACAGAGAGACAAAGAGGGAGAGAGAGAAAGAGAAAGGAAGTCAAAGAGAAGGAGACAGAGAGGAAGAGACAGAGAGACAGAAAGTCAGAGAGACAGAGAGGAAGAGACAGAAGAAGTCAAAGAGAAAGAGAGATATAAGTAGTCAAGAAAAAACAGTGTACCCTATTCCTTTAAAAGCCAGGGTAAACTTAAAACCTATAATCGATAATGGAGGTCTTCTCTGTAACCCTATAACACTCCACCTTGTTGTCAGTGTAAACAAGGGCATAGCCTGAAAGCACTGAGGCCACTGACAACCTGTAGCCTTCCTATCAAAAATCCTTAACCCAGCAGGTTTCCTAACAGGGGATCTAAATTTTAATTAATTACCATACAAAGGTCCGACCAGATCTAGGAGGAACTCCCTTCAGGACAGGATGATACATGGTTCCTCCCCGGGGATTAAGGAAAAAAGACACAATGGGTATTCAGTAAATGATGAGGAAACTCTTGTAGAAGCAGAGTTAGGAAAATTGCCTAATAATTGGTCTGCTCAAATGTGCAAGCTGTTTGCACTCAGCCAAACCTTAAAGTACTTACAGAATCAGGAAGGAGCCATCTATACCAATTTTAAGTTAACATGGACTGAACGAGGTCTTATTAACAGCAAAGAATAATTGGAATCCCAAACTTACAAGGTTTTCAACAAAAGTAAAGTCTGCTAAAAGTTAACAGTGTAAACATACATTATCCTAATTTCTAATCTTGTGGAAATGAGACCCTATCAGTACTGCTCAAAGCTCAAGTCTGTCAGCACAGAGCCATACAACTAATACCCCTACTTATAGGGTTAGAAGTGGCTACTGCTACAGGAACTGGAATAGCCAGTTTATCTACTTCGTTATCCTACTACCACACACTCTCAAAGGATTTCTCAGACAGTTTGCAAGAAATAACAAAAGCTCTCCTTACTCTACAGTCCCAAATAGACTCTTTGGCAGTGGTGACTCTCCAAAACCACTGAGGCCTAGACTTCCTCACTGCTGAGACAGGAGGACTCTACACTTGCTTAGGGAAAGAGTTGTTTTTACACTAACCAGTCAGGGATAGTGAGAGATGCTGCCCAGCATTTACAGGAAAAGGCTTCTGAAATCAGACAATGCCTTTCAAACTCTTATACCAACCTCTGGAGTTGGGCAACGTGGCTTCTCCCCTTTCTAGGTCCCACGGCAGTTATCTTGCTATTACTTGCCTTTGGGCACTATATTTTTAACCTCCTTGTCAAATTTGTTTCCTGTAGAATTGAGGCCATCAAGCTACAGATGGTCTTACAAATGGTACCCTAAATGAGCTCAACTAACAACTTCTACCGAGGACCCCTGGACCAACCCACTGTCCCTTTCACTGGCCTAAAGAATTCCCCTCTGGAGGACACTACAACTGCAGGGCCCCTTCTTCGCCCCTATCTAGCAGGAAGTAGCTAGAGTGGTCATCGGCCAATTCCCAACAGCATTTGGGGTGTCCTGTTTAGAGGGGTTATTGAGAGGTGAAGCTGGCTGGGCTTCTGGGTCGGGTGGGGACTTAGAGAACTTTTCTGTCTAGCTAAAGGATTGTAAACACACCAATCAGTGCTCTGTGTCTAGCTAAAGGTTTGTAAACGCACCAATAAGCACTCTGTAAAAATAGACCAATAAGCACTCTGTAAAATGGACCAATCAGCAGGATGTGGGTGGGGCCAAATAAGGGAATAAAAGCTGGCCACCTGAGCCAGCAGCAGCAACCCGCTGGGGTCCTCTTCCACGCTGTGAAAGCTTTGTTCTTTTGCTCTTTGCAATAAATCTTGCTGCTGCTCACTCTTTGGGCCTGCACTACCTTTATGAGCTGTAACACTCACTGCAAAGGTCTGCAGCTTCTCTCCTGAAGCCAGCGAGACCACAAACCCACTGGGAGAAATGAACAACTCTGGACATGCCACCTTTAAGAGCTGTAACACTCACTGTGAAGGTCTGCAGCTTCACTCCTGAAGTCAGTGAGACCAGGAACCCACCAGAAGGAAGAAACTCGGGACACCTGTGAACATCTGAAGGAACAAACGCCGGGCACACTATCTTTAACAACTGTAAGACTCACCGTGAGGGTCCATGGCTTCATTCTTGAAGTCACCGAGACTAAGAACCCACCAAATCTGGACACACTACCATCCCCAGCCCTGGAAACTCTGCTCTGCTACTCAGCTAAGGGAGATGCTAAATCAGAGTGGCTCTTCAGCATCATCATGGGGTAGGAGATTCCCTGGTTCAATATGCATAAATTTCCTGGTTCATAAATCCCTAGATCCCTGGGCATAATCCCCTAGAAAGCCTTGACACATTCCTGGGATAAATCCTTTGGAACCTCCCCATTTCAGGACAGGCTGCACTCCAATCATTTACCTGAACTAAAGCAACCTTGGGCTTAAGATGCCAACTAGAGCAGGAAAGGAGGCAGCGATCTAGTGGTAAACATTAAGCAAATATATTCAATAAAAACCAAACAGGCCATACATAGAAAACTGGAGTAAATAACTAATCCTTCAATGAAAGACATAAATATATACTCCCCAAAAGGATGAATCTAACATCCATTGACTGACCCTAATGAGATGGCAATGTGTGAGCTCTCTGACCAAGAATTGAGTGCAAATCCTGAACAAAATTTCATAAATGATAAGATGTTCTTGGTGAGTTTCAGAATCCTAATTTTGAACTTTTTCCCCCTTAAACTATATTCTCCAATATAGTGATTTCTATGTTTTCATGTTGACCTGTGTCAGCATTAAAAAAATTCCAAGACTGTTGCTTGGGAGATAGGCATGCTAACCTTGTTTCTTCCACTAAGTAGCAGTTTCCTCATCTGCAAAATGTGGAACTTTACAGGCATAATCTCTAAAGTTATTTAAAGTTACCAAATTCTGAAATATTTAAGGTTTCCATCAAGAGGGAAAGGACTTAATATTTCCACGTAAAATGCTGGTAACATTTGTCACAAATAAAATGCATCTAAAAGAGATACACTTAAAATGGATGTGCCAAGTGTTGACAATTTGGGAATTAGAGCTTCATTATTTCTGCTAACACCATCATTCTGAGCCACTCAAACACACTTTCTCTTTCCATTTGGATATGCTTTTTATTCACGTATGTACTTCATGAATACTAACCTAATAAATATTTACTGAGTGTATTTTATGTAGTTCTAGGTGCTGTTGCAAATACTTCTAATTTCAGAATTTTTTTCTACAAGCTAATATAAAATGTAGAAAATTGTAGCGTCTGAAGCAAGTACTCTATAAAATTATGACACTGAAATGCATGTAAGAGGATGATCTGTACACCAGCTACCTCTCTCCCTGTTCCTATGCCCACCTGCGGCAATGGTCCTCTCACGGGGGCAGCAGCTGCGAGGGGTCTATCCCTTGCAGACCCCTGACCCGAGGACGGATGAATGAAGTACACTGACACACAGATATTCCGCTTTGCCAGTCCAGCTGAGGGTGTCCAAGCCTCTTACAGACTCCCTGCTGAATTCTGTAAACAGCTGTGAATATGGCGCTGATCAGCTAGTGAGATTCGCATTTATTCAGTAAGATTAATTAACAAAGGCTTGAGTCAACACCGTTAGAGGGTAATTGACATTGTGGACTTCCCAAGTAAAAAGCACTTAAGCACCTGCCATACCTCAAAGGTTAGTCTTAAGATCATATGAGTAAACAAGCTAGCTAGGTAAGCTACTCTGTCTTCCTTTATTACTACTTTAACTTGTTTAACTAATGGTAAAGGGACCAGGCTGACTTCAGCCAGATCTATTACTGAAGTTATGCAAACTTCTCAGCCTTCCAAGGAGATTTGTGTCTATCTCTGTAAATATCTCTAATATTTTTCCTACCAGCCTGATTGAACCCTAACACCCATCTACATCCTGGCCAGTCCTTTAAAGTTTCTTCCCAAATATTTTGGATGAAAGGGAGGAGATAATTTTGATGTATGAGGCAGAAATTATAGAAGGCATTATTTGTGTAAAATACTGAGGTGGGCACTCCATTTATCCAAAGGATAGAGGAAAACATAGCCAGATGAGATGGAGGAGTCTAAGAGTAAAAGTGCATATCTATATATATGTATTTTTTTTTACCAGCAATGTACCATAGGCTTGTCTTCATGCATCACAGAAATAGATTTTTTTTGTAAAGGTGCAGCCTGAATATGTGTGCATGTGTGTGTGTGTGTGCATGCACACACATTTGTGTTTCCCCCCACATAGAATATATGTTTTAAATGGGGAAAGGTTTTTCCTTTGTGTTTTTTACCTGCAGACATTCAAATATCCCATTTATTTTATCATACTTATGATAAGTCTGCACTTTAAAGGAAGTCCAGATATGCAAAACTATAATTTAAGAAGACACTTGCATTAGAAATAAATGCCTTAAAGTAACGCATGCTTCTATGAGCTCACAACTGAATCCTTCATGTCTAAACTATAGCATCCATTTTTTAAGGTTTCTCCAACTCTCAGACTGTACATTTGTCATCATCATTTCATTGTTTACATGTTTATTTTGGGAATGCAACATTTAGAAAGCTGAAAGCTACTTCAAGAAATGTGAAGTGAGAATTTCATCACAAAGTAAATACTGAAATCAAGTGGCATTTATTTTCACACATCTTTTATTGAATTTTATATTTTTGGATATCACCTTTTAACAAGCTTGCAACGAAGAGGATATACAACACACACCAACTGTCAACTGAAATTCATATGTTAAATTGTGTTAAAAGTTGGAAAATTGGAATTGATTATAAGGCAGTCTTTTTTCCTTTTGACTTCAGAAAGCTGAAAACCTAATCGTTAAGAAACTGAACAATTTTTTAAATTCAAACTGCAAGCTAAATATCCGAAAATATCAGTACTGAAAGGCTTCAGAATGTTTTCTGAAGCCGTGATTTATTTAACAGATGATATTGAGAACCTGAGATGTGTAAAACATGGTGATAGTCATCAAACAGGAAAAGAAACAATTACAGAAAAGTATAAGGCAGGGGACTAACCCAAAAAAGTTTACAATAGAAAAAAATAAGAATTACCTCTGCAACTCTAGTAATTGACTTGTTGATAAAATATATGTCAGACACTTATAACATTTTTATATCTTTGGACAAACTAGAAATCATTTGCCTCATGGCTTCTAATATTATAATACTAAGCAAAACTGATCTAAAGCGAAGCTCTTAAAATTCAATAAGAAAAGTTCATCACAAAAGGGAATCTCCATCTTAGAAAGAAATCACTATTCTTGTCATTCATTCAACACCAGCTCAAACAGATCACAAAATAATAAGGTTCACTCAGTATCCTGAGGAAATCACAATGGCTCCTCCATACCACCAGCATGACACACCTGGCATTTCATGTTTTCTAGAGGTAAATTAGTATGTTGCAGGCTGCCTGTGGGGTGACCATCAACATCATCACCTTCAGTTCCACTGACCATCTATGTTCACAATTTATAATGTAGGGGTTTTCCAGAAGCAAAACAAGAAAATGTGTAGGAATTGAAAGAATGGCAATCCATTCTGTAGATGAGCTCTCTGTGGTCAGCTGCCACAAAGGATGGTAACTGCACCAGGTTGCCAGGTGAACTTATTCCACAAATTTAAACATGGATCCAACTCAACTTGTCTTAAAGATTATCTTATCTGTGTCTGCATTACCCAACTTAAAGTCCTGATACTAATTTATCACTACCCTAGACATTAAGACTAGACTTATTTAGAACCCCTAAATCAAAACAATGTAGGTTTGGATTGCAATGATTCCCAGTTTTAGGGTATCTGAATGTAGTCTCTGGAATAAATATGCTAAATGGATAACTGAAAATATTAAAAGGAACACTTAAAGATAAAGTGAGGACTGAGAACCAGATATATAGAAAATTAGTTTCTAACATTTGAAAATACACATTTCAAAACAGTAGTGGTAGTATTGGCAAATGAAAGAATTTACAGAAAGTTAATAAATCTAGGTGGTAAATACAGAGAAATTGTCAAAAGAGGCAGAATCCTCAAACTTTGAAAAGTAGATTTGGGATGTTAGAAGCTATAGGAGTGTTAAGTCCAGGAATAAAGTGGAGTCACTGGTTATCAGGGAAGATAGGAAGTTTTTTGACCTCTACTCACATCACTCTATAGGGAGAGTTACATAAGTTTGGTGATTTTGTTTGTTTCCTTGCAAAATACTTATTTTATAGCCCTAAGATCTAATTGATTCCAACTAAATCAGCTGCATAATTTTGTGAACCAAGAAATAAAATTAGATGTAGTCTAAAATACATCATAATTTTTAAAGTTTTATTTTATTTTTAATTGACAATAATAATAATTACACATATTTAGGGCAATACGTGTATACCTTGTGTAATGATCAAGTCAGGATAATTAGCATATCCATCTCAAAAATGTATCTTTTTTTGTGGTGAGAACAATTAATATCTTTTCTTCTAGCTATTTTATAATATACAATACATTATTGTTAACTACGTTCACCCTCCTGCACAAACAGAACACCAGAATTTATCCTATCTTTGTGTACTACTTTTAAGTCCAGTTACATGAGATGCTAATGCGTTCAGTTATTAAAATATGACATATGTCTGTGCAGGAAAGAGGAGAGCCAGAGAACTTTTCATGTGATAGTAAGATGTAGCACAGAGTGGGAATCTGGCCCCGTGTTACATATGTGTGTGATCCAATGGAGAAATCTTCACCTCATGGACTAGGCATGACTGAAAAAACACTAGATGGCACAGCCATATTTTCAAATCTACCAATGTTCTTATCTTTGCTAATTGCTTGCTAGAATCTTAGCGCCAGGAGAGCAGGGGCTTGGCCTATTTGATTCATTACTGTATCCCTATAGAACAGAACTCAGTAGTCATTAAATAAATATTTGTTTAAAGAATTTACAAATGGATAAATTTGTCTACTAGATAGACTTTATTATTTTTAACTAAGTTTCAATCAAATTGTTTAAAAGTTTCCATGTAAATGAATTTTTAAATAAACAATATCTTAAATGCAATGGGGAAAACTTTTTATTGAGTTCTCTGATATTTTGAGATGTGAAATACCTTCAGTATTAAAAATTTTAGCTTTGTGCATTGGTATATACATACGTTTTCAACATATTCCACTACATTTTATAAATTGGGTGTCTATTAGAAAGGTATTTATATATAATAATATTTATGAATTATGATACATAATATTTAATGATGTATTGTGTGTGACACTATTTTATTTTATTTTATTTTATTTTTTTATTTTTCCATAGGTTATTGGAGTACAGGTATTGTTTGGTTGTATGAGTAAGTTCTTTTGTGGTGATTTATGAGATTTTGGTGTACTCATCATCCGAGCAATATACACTGCTCCCCATTTGTAGTCTTTTATGCCTCACCCCTCTCTCACCCTTCTCCCCAAATCCTCGAAGTCCATTGTATCATTCTTATGCCTTTGTGTCCTCATAGCTTAACTCCCACATTTCAGTGCGAACATATGATATTTGGTTTTCCATTCCTGAGTTACTTCACTTAGAATAATAGTCTCTAATCTCATCCAGGTCACTGTGAATGCCGTTAATTCATTCCTTTTTATAGCTGAGTAGCAGTCCATCAAACCCAGCTGAGTGGGTTTCTTTACCCGCTTATTGATTGATGGGCATTTGGGTTGGTTCCACGATTTTGCAACTGTGAATTGCACTGCTATAAATATGCCTGTGCAAATATCTTTTTCGTATAATGACTTCTTTTCATCTCAGTAGATACCCAGTAGTGGGATTGCTGGATCAAATGGTACTTCTACTTTTAGTTCTTTAAGGAATCTCCACATGGTTTTCCATAGTGGTTGTACTAGTTTACATTCTCACCAGCACTGTAGAAGTGCTCCCTGATCACTGCATCCATGCCAACATCTACTGTTTTTTGATTTTTTGATTATGGCTGTTCTTGCAGGACTAAGGTGGTATTGCATTGTGGTTTTGATTTGCATTTCCCTGATCATTAGTGATGTTGAGAATTTTTTCACGTTCGTGGCCATTTGTATATCTTCTTCTAAAAAATGTCTATTCATATCCTTAGCCCACTTTTTGATGGAATTGTTTGTATTTTTTCTTGCTGATTTGTTTGAGTTCGTTGTAGATTCTGGATATTAGTCCTTTGTGAGATGTATAGATCGTGAAGATTTTCTCCACTGTAGACTGTCTGTTTACTCTGTTGACTGTTCTTTTTGCCATGCAAAATCTCTTTACTTTAATTAAGTCCCAACAATTTGTCATTGTTTTCATTGCATTTGCTTGTGGGTTCTTGGTCATGAAATCCTTGCCTAAGCCAAGGTCTAGAAGGGGTTTTCCAATGTTATCTTCTAGAATTTTAAGAGTTTCAGCTCTTAGATTTAAGACCTTAATCCATCCTGAGTTGATTTTTGCATAAGGTGTGAGATGAGGATCCAGTTTTATTCTTCTACATGTTGGCTAGCACCATTTGTTGAAAAGGGTGTCCTTTCCCCATTTTATGTTTTTGTTTGCTTTGTTGAAGATCAGTTGGCTGTAAGTATTTGGTTTATTTCTGGGTTCTCTATTCTGTTTCATTTGTCTATGTGCCTATTTTTGTACCAGTACCATGCTGTTTTGGAGACTAGGGCCTTATAGTATAGTTTGAAATCAGGTGAAGCTTCCAGATTTGTTCTTTTTGCTCAGTCTTGCTTTCACTATGTGGGCTCTTTTTGGGTTCCTATGAACTTTTCAGAGTTGTTTTTTCTAATTCTGTGATGAATGATGGTGGTATTTTGATGGGGATTGTATTCAATTTGTAGATTGCTTTTACAGATGGTCATTTTCACAATATTGATTCTACCCATCCATGAGCATGGGATGTGTTTCCACTTGTTTGTGTCATCTATGATTTCTTTCAACAGTGTTTTGTAGTTTTCCTCATAGAGGTCTTTCACTCCCTTGGTTAGGTGTATTCCTAAGAGTGTGTGTGTGTGTATATTACATATACACACACACACATATATATACACACACACATATATATATACACAAACATATATATATACACACACACACACACATATATATATATATATATATATATACATATATTTGGTCCTATTGTAAAATGGGTTGAGTTCTTGATTTGATTCTCCACTTGATGGCTGTTGGTGTATTGAAGAGCTACTCATTTGTGTACATTAATCTTGTATACAGAAACTTTGCTGAATTCTTTTATCAATTCTAGGAGCTTTCTGGATGAGTTGTTAGGGTTTTTGAGGTAAATGATCATATCATCAGCAAACAGTGACAGTTTGATTTCCTCTTTACCAATTTTGAAGCCCTTTATTTCTTTCTCTTGTCTGATTGCTCTGCCTAGGACTTCCAGTACTACGTTGAAGAGGAATGGTGAGAGTAGGCATCCTTGTCTTGTTACAGTTCTCAGAGGGAATGCTTTCAACTTTCTCATTTCAGTATGATGGCTGTGGGTTTGTCATAGATGGATTTTATTACAATGAAGTATGTCACTTGTATGCCAAGTTTGCTGAGAATTTTAATCACAAAGCAACGCTGGATTTTGTCAAATAATTTTTCTGAATCTATTGAGATGATCATGCGATTTTTGTTTAATTCTGTTTATGTGGTGTATCACATTTATTGACTTGCAGATGTTAAACCATCCCTGCATCCCTGGTATGAAGCCCACTTGATCATGGTGGATTATCCTTTTCTTATGTTGCTGGATTCGGTTAGCTAGTATTTTGTTAAGGATTTTAGCATCTATGTTCATCAGGGATATCCGTCTGTGGTTTTCTTTTTTGGTTATGTCCTTTCATGGTTTTGGTACTAGGGTGATGCTGGCTGCACAGAATGAATTAGGGAGGCTTCCCTCTTTCTCTATCTTGTGGAATAGTGTCAATAGGATTGGTACCAATTCTTCTTTGAATGTTTGGTAGAATTCTGCTGTGAATTGATCTAGTCCTGGACTTTTTTTTTGTTGGTAATTTTCAAATTATCATTTCAATCTCACTGCTTGTTATTGGTCTGTTCAGGGTATCTAATTCTCCCTGATTTAAGCTAAGGGGGTTGTATTTTTTCAGGAGTTTATCCATCGCTTCTAGGTTTTCTAGTTTATGCTCATAAAGATGTTTATAGTAGCCTTGAATGACCTTTATATCTCGGTGTCAGTTGTAATATCTCCCATTTCATTTCTTACTGAGATTATTTGGATTTTCTCTCTTCTTGTCTTGATTAATCTTGTTAATGATCTATAAATTTTATTATCTTTTCAAAAACCAGCTTTTTGTTTCATTTATATTTGTATTTTTTGTTTCAATTTCATTTAGTTCTGCTCTGATCTTGGTTATTTCCTTTCTTCTGCTGGGTTTGGGTTTGGTTTCTCTAGTTCCTTGAGTTGTGAACTAAGCGTGTCAGTTTGTGCTTTTTCCATTTTTTTGAAGTAGGAATTTAGGGCTATGAACTTTACTCTTGGCACTACCTTTGCTGTATTCCAGAGATTTTGATTGGTTGTGTCATGATTATCATTCAGTTCGAAGAATTTTTTAATTTCCAACTTGATTTCATTTTTGACCCAGTGATTATTCAGGAGCAGGTTATTTAATTTCCATGTATTTGCATGGTTTTGAAGGTTCCTTTTGGAGTTGATTTCCAGTTTTATTGCACTGTGATCTGAGAGAGTACTTGATATAATTTCAATTTTCTTAAAATTATTGAGAATTTTATAGACATCATATGGTCTATCTTGGAGAAAATTCCATGTGCTATTGAATAGAATGTGTATTCTGTGGTTATCGGATAGAATGTTCTGTATATATCTGTTAAGTGCATTTGTTCCAAGGTATAATTTAAATCCATTGTATCTTTCTTGACTTTCTGTCTTGATGACCTCTCTAGTGCTGTCACTGGAGTATTGAAGGCCCCCACTATTATGGTGTTGCTGTCTATTTCATTTCTTAGGTCTATTACTAATTGTTTCATAAATTTGGGAGCACCAGTGTTAGGTGCATATATTTTTAGGATTGTGATATTTTCCTGATGGACAAGGCCTTTTACCGTTATATAATGTTCCTCTTTGTTATTTTTCACTGCTGTTGATTTAAAGTTTGTCTGATGTAAGAGTAGCTACCTCCACATGCTTTTGTGTCCATTTGCATGAAATTCCTTTTCCCACCCCTTTACTTTAAGATTATGTGAGTCTGTATGTGTTAGGTGAGTCTCTTGAAGGCAGCAGATTGTTGGTTGGAGAATTCTTATTTATTCAGTAGTTATCTTTTAAGTGGCATTTTAAGTAGTTATCTTTTACTGTATCTTTTTTGGAGCATTTAGGCCATTTACATTCAATGTTAGTATTGAGATGTGAGGTACCACTACACTTGTTGTGCTATTTGTTGCCTGTGTACCTTGGTTTTTTGGTTTTTGTTTTTGCTTTTTAAATTGGATTTTTGTTTTATAGGTCCTGTGAAATTTATGCTTTAAAGAGGTTCTGTTTTGATGTGTTTCCAGGATTTGTTTAAGATTCAGAGCTCCTTTTAGAAGTTCTCATAGTGGTGGCCTGGTAGTGGCAAATTCTCTCAGCATTTGTTTGTCTGAAGAAGACTGACTCTTTCCCTTATATATGATGCTTAGTTTCACTGCACACAAAATTCTTGGCTGATAATTGTTTTGTTTAGGAGCCTAAAGATAGGGCCTTAATGCCTTCTAGCTTGTAAGGTTTCTGTTGTTAATCTGATAGATTTTCTTTATAGGTTACCTGGTGTTTTCATCTCACAGCTCTTAAGATTTTTTCCTTCATCTTAACTTTAGGTAACCTGATAATACACCTAGGCGATGATATTTTTGCAATGAATTTCCCAGGTGTTCTTTGTGCTTCTTGTATTTGGATGTCTAGGTCTCTAGCAAGACTGGGGAAGTTTTCCTCAATTATTCCTTCAAATATGTTTTCCAAACTTTTAGGTTCCTCTTTTTCCTCTGGCACACCAATTATTCTTAGGTTTGGTCATTTTACATAATCCCAGACTTCACTGAAGCTTTGTTCATATTTTCTTATTCTTTTTTCTTTGTCTTTGTTGGATTGGGTCAATTCAAAGACCTTGTCTTCAAGCTCCGAATTTCTTTCTTCTACTTGTTCAATTCTATTGCTGAGACTTTCCAGAGCATTTTGCGTATCTATAAATGTGTCCAATGTTTCCTGAAGTTTTGATTATTGTTTCTTTTTGCTATCTATTTCCTTGAATATTTCTCGTTTCACTTCTTGTATTATTTTTTGGATTTCCTTGCATTGGGCTTCGTGTTTCTCTATTGCCTCCCTTATTAGCTTAATGATGAACCTCCTGAATTATTTTCCAGGTAAATCTGGGATTTCTTCTTGGTTTGGATCCATTGCTGGTGAGCTAGTGTGATATTTTTGGGGTGTTAAAGAGCCTTGTTTTGTCATATTACCAGGGTTGGTTTTCTGGTTCCTTCTCATTTGGGTGGGCTGTGTCAGAAGGAAGGTCTAGGGCTGAAGGCTGATGTTCAGATCCTTTTATCCCTTGTGGTGTTTCCTTGATATAGTACTCTCCCCCTTTTCCTATGGATGTGGCTTCCTGAGAGCCAAACTATAGAGATTGTTATCTCTCTTCTGGATCTAGCCACCCAGCAAGTCTACCAAGGTCCGGGCTGGTACTGGGGGTTGTCTGCATAGAGTTCCATGATGTGAACCGTCTGTGGTTCTCTCAGCTGTGGATACCATCACCTGTTCTGGTGGAGGCGGTAGGAGGGTGAAATGGACTCTGTGAGGGTTCTTACTTGTGGTGGTTTAATGCTCTATTTTTGTGCTGGTTGGCCTCCTGCCAGGAGGTGGGGCTTTCCGAGAGTATTAGCTGTGGTAGTATGGAGAGAATCAATGGTGGGTGGGGCCCTAGAACTCCCAATAATATATGTCCTTTGTCTTCAGCTACAAGGGTGGTTAGGGAAGGACCATCAGGTGGCGGTAGGGCTATACATGTGTGAGCTCAGATTCTCCTTGGGTGGGTCTTGCTGCAACTACTGTGGGGGATGGGGATAAGGTTCCCAGGTCAATGGAATTCTGTACCTAGGAGGATTATGGCTGCCTCTGCTTAGTAATGCAGGTTGTCAGGGAAGTGGGGGAAAGCTGGCAGTCATAGGCCTCACCTAGCTCCCACACAATCGGAAGGCCTGGTCTCACTCCCACCATGCCCCCCGACTAACAGCACCAAGTCTGATTCCAGGCAGTGGGAAAGCAGGGCTGACAACTTGATCCAGGCTACCTAGTTCCCAGCTGCAAAAGAAAAGGGCTTTATTTCTTCCCCTGCCTATTGAGCCTGCATACCAGATTCACACCCTCCCCAAAGTTCTGGCCAGGAAGCTTCTCAACTGGTTCAAATTGTTACAAAGTTTAGCTGGAGACTTCCTTCTCCCTGTGACATTTTGCCCACACCTCTGGCCACCCACCCAAACGATCTGTGCGATGCCAGGCAGGAATGGCCCCCTCGGAGACCCAGCAAGCTCCCAGGCCCTTTCTGCCTCCTTCATGTAGCCCTATATTTCACTCAGCTCTCTAAATTGACTCAGTTCCAGGTAAGGTCAGAGTCTTCTCCCACAAACTAGACCTTCAGTTTCCCCCATGCGGATCTGTTTGGGGCTGGAGGATCTCCCTTTGCCACTTCCGCAGTTTGGGGACTCACAGTATTTGGGGTGTCTCCTGAGTCCTGGGGGAGCAGTCCTCTTCCTTTAGAGGGTCTGTGGGTCCTCTCAGGATTGAAGGAGGAAAAATTCACAATGCAAGCCTCTGCACCCTGCTCTGTCCATCTGAGTTGGAACTTTAATCTAGTCCTGCCTCCCATCTGCCATGATGATCCACAATCTCTATTTAAAAGAGAATTTCCTTTAACTAAGAACAGTCAAATTAAAAGAAAAAAATCACTAAAACCTAAAAGCTTATTCACAATTTATAAAATTAATTTTAGCTTATTCATTTAACAAACTATTTTATAGACAAGACACTTTATCATACAGATGTAATCATGATCTTAAGTAATGAACTTTACTGATAGTGTTTCTTCACTGGGCATACATAGCTGAGGGATGTGTGCAAAATCCTCTGTACATTGAAGAAGTATCTTATCTGAGTGCTTGGGCAAAGCCAATGAGATCATTAGGAAGGAGGCCTTGCTCCTTTTCTCTCTTATACTTTATAGCTTTATCTCTTCTTTGGCTCCTCAATCTCAGTATATAAATGTTTGTCTCCCCATATTCCTTTTATAAACTTAAGGATCCTCTAGGTACCACTATTTTTTTCCTTTCATTCTCTAAAAAGCCACTAAAAAGGTAACTAAGAAAGAAAAACAATAGGATAACATCTGCCTTTTCCGTTGCCATCTACTTCACCCCATCCTTCTCTAACTCATTGATATGGTTTGGCTGTGTCCTCACCCAAATCTCATTTTGAATTGTAGCTCCTATAATTCCCACAAGTCATGACAGGGACCTGGTGAGAGGTAATTGAATCATGGGGCCGGGTCTTTCCCATGCTGTTGTCATGATAGTGAACAAATCTCATGAGTTCTCATTGTTTTATAAAAGGCCATTCCCCTGCCCACACTCTCTTCCATGCCACCATGTAAGACGTGTCTTTGCTCCTCCTTCACCTTTCACCATGATTGTGAGGTCTCTCCAGCCATGTGTCCATTAAACCTCTTTTTCTTTATAAATTACCCAGTCTTGTCTATGTCTTTATTAGCAGCATGAAAACAGACTAATACACTCATGATTAGGCAGCACATAGCATAGTAGTTTGGAATGTGGGCTCTGAAGCCATACAACACAGTTTCTACTCTTTATCTTACACCTCCTGACTTTGTGACATTGGTTAAATATTTTTAATTTTTATATGCTACAATAACTTCATTTGTAAAATGAACGTTACGATTGTACCTACATCTTAGGATTGCTGTGAAAATTAAATGAGATACTTTTAACTACTTAAAAATGATAATACACAGTACTTAGTGTGTGCTGGAAATTGTCATTGTTTTTAGCCCATACTTCTAAACCCATCATCTAAATCTTTTACTGGCACAGATCATGAATGTCTCAAGTGACTATATTTCAAGAATTCCAGGGACAGTCCCAGTGTACACCTGTTGTCTCAGCATAATGATTGGTAGCATTCTGTTTTAATCTCAAAACTCTCTCAGTTTGGAAATAAATTAAATGCTCATCCTAACACTGACTTGTAATTGAAAAAGCCAGTAGGCCCATTTTTGTACCTTCTCAGCATTACTTTAAATTATAGTGCATACTCTTATTTCTAAAATTCTTATTCTGAGGCTTCTGTAATTGGAAGAATCATGCCCATATCCACTGTACCTTCCCATGAGGGTCGCAAGCACTAGCAGGTGGCAAGCTCTCACACAGCTTCTCACTGTAGTCCAGGACTTCCAAGGGAATGCTTGCTCATGGATTTGACCAGGTTCACAAAGATTCTACCACTTCTGCAATAGTCCCATGATTATTATGTTCATATGTATTTATATTGAATATCACCTATACAACATTTAGAAAATAACTATGTCCCATTCCTATATTTTGCTAAATCCTTTCAGTAGCTGGATTTCCATTTCTTCTCCATGTTTTTTATTTAATGGCTTTAAAGATTAACGATTCTTGCTTTAAGTTCAACCCATGACCTCTTTAATGAGTTAAAAGCATCAAGATACAAAATAGCAGATTTCATCATTGAAAAAAAATCACCCATCTAATTCAGAAAGTCTGTTTCTCTTAAAAAAAAAAAATTTCGCTGTGCCAAAACATGTGAAACCCTTGTCGAATCTCAATCCTGTGCATTCACTTTATGCCCCAGGATGCATTTGGAATAATGGAGCATCAGGTTAACTATAGCTGAACCAATGACCAGAAAATATCTTCTACCAGCATCACACTTTTTAAATCTTGACCTTATTTAAGAGAAGGGATGAGAGATGCCCAAGTAACAGCTGAAACTAAGCCACTCCCCTTCATTTGAGAACAGATAATCTAACGCCATTGATTCTTCTTAATCCCAACCAAGTCATCCTTTTAATCAATTAAAAGCAGGGACTAATGCACCAAGGTGAAACTCTTACCTGTGTGTAGTAACAGTATTGCAACATTCCCTGATTATTGTCAGGCTGTAAGACTCAGATTCTGCTCTGATTCCTTAATTGACCATCTTTCCAATTAATACAAAATCTTTATGGGCTTGGATCAACTTTAAACTTGCAGTTCATTTAGCAGAGGCCCACATGTTTTTCCTTATGCTTCTCGCTATCATTCTAGAAGCTATTTTACCCTATCCATACTTCCTTGTCTGGATCTTAGCTATACGGAAAGAGAGCTCAGAATCATTGTTGCTGTAGATACAACTCTTAAATATTACCTATTAACCACATTCATTGCTTCCCACTTAACTGGATGTTCTAATAATAATCACTTGCAGAATTTGTTAGGTGGCAGTAGAGTATTCTTATTGGTTAGTTCTCCAGTTCCTCCCTTTGCCCCAGGCCTGGAGTATGCCTCTATTATAATATTCTCCCATGCTTTTGGGCTTCCAGAATGCTCATGTCTGAATATATCCAAGCAAAAATAGTATTCTTTTGCTGCCACTTATTAGCCGTGAGACCTTGAGATATTTACATATTACTCCTGTGACTCACTTTTCCAATTTGTACAAAAGAGGATAATAATACTTTATTTGCCTATTCAACAGGTTTTCTATGGATGAAACAAGACCGTGATGTTATACATGAAATGCTTTTTAATTATAAAGTAATATACAAGTTAAAGTATATTATCATGATGCTACTGATTCACTGATGGATATGTATATAACTCTACGTATAATGTACTTTATTAGAAATAGAATCTTTGGTGTGTCAACTTAAATGTTAAATTTTAGTGTTTCTTAATGTCTCAGGCAAAACAAGGACTAGCTAATACATTATTTACAATGGGGAAAACAGCAGAGAAAAATATCTTGTGACTATTATTTCTATTTTTTTGTGTACCTTGTAGCATTTTATATAAGCCTGATTCACTTGTCATTTTCAACATGTAGGTGACTGTGGTGACAGGATAGTCAGCTTTGTAAAAAATGCATTCAAACCTATTGCTCTGGACAAAGCCTTCAACATACATTTAAATCACAAAAAGTGGATAGGGTGCTGGACAATGTAGTCCAAAGACTTGTCACCTTAGGTGAGCATAATACTGGAAGGGCCCTAAAGCTGCAAGATGTTATCTTTTGAGACATACTTTTTTTGGATGATTAATTTTCTTATTATTTTACCATTCTATTTCTGTCTTGCTTTTACTCACTGACCTTGTTCACTTTTACTAATAACATTGTTTTTGTATCTAATTTATTTTGCTTATACCTTTCAACAGTAGATATTTTTAAAATATGTGTAAATTTATTTGTAATAGCATAGCACCATAATTTTATACAAAGTAGGTAGGATTATTTGACAAAAAGTATATTTGAAAAAAAAATTCTGAATACTACTGAAGTAATATAAAATGACAGTGGTTGATGAATTTCCAATGCTAGGTTTACAGTACTGAATATATTCCTGAAAACATGAATTTGTATTGCTAAACCTTCTATACCAAGACTTTTCAGATATACTAACAATAGAATCTGTATTTATTGAGCTTACTCATTTTAATTAAAACAAGTATTGAATACTGACAGATTAAATACACAGTTACAAAGAATCATTCACTTCCTGAACCCTTACTTTAAAAAGGAAAATTTTAGAAAATAACAGTGAAACTTAAAACATGTTGTAAGAGAGAAAAGAAAGGAAGCTTGTATTTATAAAGAGGCATTGTATTAGTCCATTTTCACACTGCTGATAAAGACATACCTGAGACTGGGCAATTTACAAAAGAAAGAGAGAGGTTTATTGGACTTACAGTTCCACATGGGTGGGGAGGCCTCAAAATCATGGCAGATGGTGAAAGGCACATCTCACATGGTGGCAGACAAGAGAATAGAACTTGTGCAGAGAAAGTCTCCTTTTTAAAAATCATCAGATCTCACATGACTCATTCACTATCATAAGAACAGCATGGGAAAGACCCACCCCCATAATTCAGTCACCTCCCTCGACATGTGGGAATTGTGGGAGTTACAATTCAAGATGAGATTTGGGTGGCGACATGGCCAAACCATATCAGGCATATTCATAAATGGGGAAATAAAAGAGATTAAACTTAAGATTTGATTGTTATGGCCAATGGGGCACAGGGTCAGGAGACAAAACTCAGAGGTAGAACAATGGGGAAAATATCACTGGAAACATCTTCACAAAAGTCTGGGACTCCAAAGGGCTCCTGTGTAAGAGTATAGTAAAAATAACACCTGTTATAAACTACAAGAAGAAAAAATTACATTTCTCAAATCTTGGCATTGAATTGAGTGAAAAACTCTCCCTTGGTTTATAACCATAAACTGTTCTTTTTTTAAGTTTGAGGAAACACATTTCTTTCATAGGTTAAAAATAAAGTGAAGTGGGAAGCCATGTTCAAGTTGACATAGTGGTTGCAGCCGCTCAGCACACTGATCATCCTGGCACCCCACCCCCAGGGAAGCCACACTTGAGTCAGCAAATCAGCTGTGCCCCCTCAGTGCCTGAACTGACATGGCATAATCTACCTTGCACCACAAATGCCACAAAACCCTGCAGCCTAGGCTGCTGAGGCACCTGCAGCCACTGTTGACACAGATTACAGCTGAAGAAGCTGCACACATGGTACACTACTACACCCACCCAGAACCAGAGCCAACCTACCCTACTCAAATGATATCCTAAGACACATCTGCAGATGATAGTGTTTCCTTACAAAACACACTTTATGAAATTGGAAGAGGGGTCTTTTACCCCATCTGCATAGATATCAATGCTAGGACACAAGAAACATTAAAAAGCAAGAAAACTTGTCACCACAAAGGAACATAATGTTTTTCCAGTAACTGACCCCAAAGAAATGGAAATTTATAAATTGTCTGAAAATGAATCCAAAATAATGGTCTTAAGAAACTACAACGAGATACAGGAAAATACAGATAGACAATTCAAGGAAATTAGAAAAGCAATTCATGGTCTAAATGAGAAATTCAACACAAAAATAAATGTAATGAAAAAGAATGAAGCAGAAATTTTGGAACTGAAGAATTCAATGAATGAAATAAAAAATGCAGCTAAGAACTTCAACATCAGACTAGATCAAGCAGAAGAAAGACTCTCTGAATTTGAATACATGTCTTTTTTTATTTTATTATTATTAAACTTTAAGTTTTAGGGTACATGTGCACAATGTGCAGGTTTGTTACATATGTATACATGTGCCATGTTGGTGTGCTGCACCCATTAACTCATCATTTAGCATTAGGTATATCTCCTAGTGCTATCCCTCCCCCTCCCCCCACCCCACAACTGTCCCCGGTGTGTGATGTTCCCCTTCCTGTGTCCATGTGTTCTCATTGTTCAATTCCCACCTATGAGTGAGAACATGCGGTGTTTGGTTTTTTGTCCTTGTGATAGTTTGCTGAGAATGATGGTTTCCAGATTCATCCATGTGCCTACAAAGGACATGAACTCATCATTTTTTATGGCTGCGTAGTATTCCATGGTGTATATGTGCCACATTTTCTTAATCCAGTCTATCGTTGTTGGACATTTGGGTTGGTTCCAAGTCTTGCTATTGTGAATAGTGCCACTATAAACATACATGTGCATCTGTCTTTTAGTAGCATGATTTGTAATCCTTTGGGTATATACCCAGTAATGGGATGGCTGGGTCAAATGGTATTTCTAGTTCTAGATCCCTGAGGAATCACCACACCGACTTCCACAATGGTTGAACTAGTTTACAGTCCCACCAACAGTGTAAAAGTGTTCCTATTTCTCCAAATCCTCTCCAGCACCTGTTGTTTCCTGAGTTTTTAATGATTGCCATTCTAAAGCAATGGCAACAAAAGCCAACATTGACAAATGGGATCTAATTAAACTAAAGAGCTTCTGCACAGCAAAAGAAACTACCATCAGAGTGAACAGGCAACCTACAGAATGGGAGAAAATTTTTGCAACCTACTCATCTGACAAAGGGCTAATATCCAGAATCTACAATGAAAACAACCCCATCAAAAAGTGGGCAGAGGATATGAACAGACACTTCTCAAAAGAAGACATTTATGCAGCCAAAAAACACATGAAAAAATGCTCATCATCACGGGCTATCAGAAAAATGCAAATCAAAACCACAATGAGATACCATCTCACACCAGTTTAAATGAATACATGTATTTTAAAATAACCCAGGAGAATAAAAAAGAAAAAGATTGAAAAAGAGCAAAGTCAGTCTATTGGACTTATGGGACAAAATTAAGTGAATAAATTTTGGCCTCATGGGAGTCACAGAGGAAAAAGAAATGAAGAATGTCACAAAAGTCTTATTTAAGGAAAGAATTGCTGAAAACTTCCCCAAGTCTTGGGAGAGATATAGACATCCAGATCCGCTGAAGCTCAAAAGTACTCAAATAGATACACCCCAAAAGGGTTCTCTCCTAGGAACATTATTTCAAAATGTCAAAACTCAAAGACAAGGAAAGAATTCTAAAAGCAGCAATAGAAAAGCATCAAATCTCATACAGGGGAACTGCATTAGACTCTCAGTGAGTTTCTCAGCAGAAAATTAGCAGGCTAGCAGAGAATGAGATGATGTATTTATACTGCTGAAAGAAAAAGACATCTTCTAGACAAGAATACTATACCCAGAAATGCTACCTTTCAGTTATGAAAGAGATATAAAGTCTTTCTTAAACAAGCAAAAGCTGAGGGAATTTATAACTACTAGACTGACATTAAGAAATTCTTAAAAGAATGCTTCTACTGGAAGAGAAGGAACAATAATTACAAACACAAAAACATATAAAAGCATAAAACTCACTCATTGAGGTAAATTCATAATCAAATTTATGACACTCCATTATTGTGATGGTGATGTATAAATATTTCAAATATCTAGTATACAGGTAAAAAAACAAATGGCCCAAAATAACTATAATAGCTACAATAAGTAATAAAGGAATACACAGGCCAGGCATGGTGGCTTACACCTGTAATCCCAGAACTTTAAGAGGCCAAGGTGGACGGATCACAAGGTCAGGAGATCGAGACCATCCTGGCTAACACAGTGAAACCCTGACTCTACTAAAAAATACAAAAACTTAGCTGGGCATGGTGGCACACATCTGTAGTCCCAGCTACTTGGGAGGCTGAGACAGGAGAATCGCTTGAACCCAGGAGGTGGAGGTTGCAGTGAGCTGAGATAATGCCACTGCACTCCAGCCTGGGCCACAGAGTGAGACTCCATCTCAAATAAATAAATAAATAAATAAATAAATACACAATATAAAAAATGTAAATTTTTGCAAGAAAAATATAAATTGTGTGTGTCTAGGGGGTAAAAGTCTAGATACATGTATGTTACCTAAATTAAATTGCTATCCGCATAAGATAATCTATTTTAATGATGAGACATTCAATGTAAGTCTCAGAAAACACAAAGTAAGAAATGACATTGCATACACAAACGAGAAAGAGAGAGGAATCAAAACAGCACTATAGAAAAATTACCAAATTGCAAATATATGCATGAAGAGGGGAAAAAAGGAACACAGGATGTACAAAACAACCAGAAAACAATTAACAAATTGGTAAGATTAAGTTTTTACCTATCAAAAATAACCTTGAATGTAAGTAAATTAAATTTTCCAACCAAAAGACACAGTGACTAAATGAATTTTAAAAAATGCGATATAACTATATGCTGCCTAAAAGAGTCATTTTTAGCTTTAAGGACACACATAGGCTGAAAATAAAGGGATTAAAGAAAATATTTCATGCAAGCAGTTACAAATATAAAGCAGGGGTGGTTGTACTTATATGAGATAAAAAAGACTCCAAGTCAAAAACTATTATAAAAGAGTCAAAGATAGTCATTATTTAATGATAATGACTCAATTTATCAAGGGAACATAGCAAATATAAATATATATGCTCCCAACATTGGGACATCTAAATATATAAAGCAAATATTAATGGACATAAAGGAAGAAACAGATAGCAATACAATAATAGTATGAGACTTAAATATCCCTCTTTCAACAATGAACAGATCAATGAGACAACATTAACAAGGAAATGCTGGGCTTGAACTGTACTTTAGACCAAATGGGCCTGACCGACATACGTAGAACTTTTTATCCAACAGCAACAGACTGTACACCCTTATCTAGTGTACATGGAACGGTCTCCAAAATAGAACATATGTTAGGCCACAAAACAAGTTTTAACAAATTCAAGAGGATTCAAATTATATCTATATTGTTTTTGACAACTGTATGTAACTAGAAATCAATAACCAAAAGATTCTTAGAAATTTTCCAAATATGTGGGAATTAAGCAACATGTTCCAATGAGCCAAAAAAAATACCAAAAGGAAATTTTAAAATACCTTGAGATATAAATGCCTACGTTAAAAAAGAAGATACATTTCAAATAAATAGCCTTGAATTATAATTCAAGAAGCAAGAAAAATAATAAAATACCAAGCCCAAAGTTAGCAGAGAGGAAGAAATAAAAAAGAATAGAACAGAAATAAATCAAATAGAGAGCAGAAAAATGGTATAAAAATTAGTATAACCAATAGTTGATTCTTAGAAAAAATAAACAAAATTGTCAAACTTCTAGCTATACTAAGAAAGAAAAAGAAAGAAGGCTCAAATAAACAAAATCAGAAAAAGAAGTAGAGATCTTACAACAGATGCCTCAGAAATAAGTATTATAAGAGACTATTATGAATAGTTATGTCCCAACAAATTGAATAACCTAGAGAAAAAGGATAAATTTGTTGAAAAAATGTGACCTACCAAGATTGAATCTGGAAGAAATAGAAAGCTTGAGAAGACCAATAACAAATAAAGAGATTGAATAAGTAATTAAAAACCTTCCAATAAAGAAAAACCCAGGACCAGATAGCTTCATGGCTGAACTCTACCAAACATTCAAAGAATAATTATGACTAAGACTTCTTCAATTCTTCCAAAAAAATGGAGCAGAGGAAATGCTTCCAAGGACAGTTCATGAGGCCAGCATCATATTGATACCTAAGCAAGGCAAATACACTCCACAAGCCAATATTTTTTCTAAAAAAAAAAAACCCACAAGCCAATATCTCTTCTAAATATCAATACAAAAATACTCAATAAATATTAGCAAACCAAATTCAGCAACACATCAAAAAGATTGTACATCCTAAACAAGCAAGATTCATTTTGGGCATGCAAGGCTGGTTTAATATTCACAGATCAAACAATATGATACATCAAATTAACAAAATAAAAGATAAAAACCACATGATCATTTAAAGCATTCAACAAACTTCATCATTCTTTCATGATAAAAGCTTTTAACACTTAGAGCAGAGAAGGAAAGTTCCTCAACACAATAAAAGCTGTTTATGAAAACCCCACAGCTAATTTCATAATCAACAGAGAAAAACTGAAAGCTTTTCCACTAAGATTCAGAACAAGGCAAGGATGCCCACTCCTTTCACTTCTATTCAACATAGTAATGGAAGTACTAGCAAGAACAATCAGAAAAGAAAAATGAAATAGAAGGCATTTAAATCAGAAATGAAGAAGTGCAAATTTCACTATTTACCAATGGTATAGTTTTATATATAGAAAACCCCAAAAACTTCACACACACACACACACACACACTGTTAGAACTAGAAAATAAAGTTGAAGAACACAGAAATCTACATACAAAAATTAGTAGCAATTCCAAACAAATAACCTAGCTGAAAAAAAATCAAGGAAACAATCCCACTTATAATAGCATTTTTTAAAAGTACTTAGGAATAAATTTAACCAAGGAGGTGAAATATTTATACATTGAAGATAGTAAAATATTAATGAAAGAATTTGAAGCAGATACAAATAAATGAAAAGGTATCCTATGTTCATGGATGGAAAAAAATATGCTTAAAATGTCCATACTATCCAAAACAATATATAGATTTAATGCAATCTCTATAAGAACTCCAATGGTATTCTTCACAGAAATAGAAAAAACAATCCTAAAATTTGTATGGAACCACAAAAATACCCTGAATAGCTAGAGCAATCTTGAGAAAGTAAAACAAAGTTGGAGGCGTTACATTTTATAATTTAAAATTATATTGCAAAGCTATGGTAATCAATACAATGTGGTGCTGGCATGAAAACAGACACATAGGCTAATGAAACGGAAGACAGTTCCCAGAAATAAATCCAAACACGTATGGCCAAATAATTTTTGACAAGGGCACCAGGAGAAAACAATGGGGAATGGATAACCTATTCAATAAATTTTTCTGGGAAAACTAGTCTTCCACCTGCAAAAACATGAAACTGAAAACTTATCTTACACCATACACAAAAATCAATTCAAAATAGGTAAAAAACCTAAAACCACAAAACTCTAAGAAAATAACATAGATTAAATATTAATTAAAATTTTAAAAATTAGATTAAATGATAATAAAACCATACAATAGTCAAATTTGTGGTATCTGGCTAAATAGTATTTAAAGAGACATTTATAGTGCATACATTAGAAATATAGAAATTGTGTAGATGAATTTCCTAAACATCTAACATAGAAAGTTAATAAAGAACAACATAATATACCCAAAGGAAATGGAAGGAAGAAGATAATACAGATCAGAGAAGAAGCTAATGTAATAGGAAATAAATATAAAATAGAATCTATAAAGTAAAAAGTGAAAAAAGTTACCTGAAAATATTAAGTATTGAAGTGAATATAGTGCTATGATTAGAGTACTCATGTACTGCAGGTGCAAGTGTAACTTGGTACAACCACTTTGGAATACAATTAGACATATATACTATAGTTGAAGATGAACATACTGTACAACCCAAGAGTTCTAGTACTAGTTTTTTGTATAATACAGAAACTATGGAGACTGTGCATCTGGAAATAGATGCAGAAATCTTCATAGATGCACTCTCTGAAATAAAAATGTATTATTTTTTTAAAAAGGTATGCATAACACAAATGACATTAAAAGTAAAATGGCCAAATTATGGTATATTCATACAATGAAGTCCTAAAAAGTAATAAAAATTAAATTATAGCTATATGCAGTAATACTGACAAATCTTTGGAAAATAATATTGAAATAAAAGAGAAACTCAGAAAATAACCAGTGCTATATTTTTTAAAATTTAAAAAACATGCAGAATAAATAATATACTATTATAGATAAATAGGTATATGGTAAAAGTATAAAGCAAAGCAAATAAATAAAATACAACATCAGGATGGTTTTTTTTTTTCAGAGAGAAAGAGAAAAAATAAATTTTTTTTCTGATGGAATCAGAAAGGGGCATGCATGCATCAAAGAAAATAATTTTCTCTTCTGATATTGGGTTGTGAGTGTAGGAATGTCCACAGCATTAGTACATTTGTATCTTAGAGATTATTTGTTTATTTATTTATTATTATACTTTAAGTTCAGGGTACATGTGCACGATGTGCAGGTTTGTTACATATGTATACATGCGCCATGTTGGTGTGCTGCACCCATTAACTCGTCATTTACGTCAGTTATATCTCCTAATGCTCTCCCTCCCTCCGCCCCCCACCCCATGACAGGCCCAGATGTGTGATGTTCCCCTTCCTGTATCCAAGCATTCTCATTGTTCAATTCCCACCTATGAGTGAGAATATGCGGTGTTTGTTTTTTTTTTCCTTGCGATAGTTTCCTGAGAATGATGGTTTCCACCTTCATTCATGTCCCTACAAAGGACAGGAACTCATCCTATTTTATGGCTGCATAGTATTCCATGGTGTATATGTGCCACATTTTCTTAATCCAGTCTATCATTGTTGGACATTTGAGTTGGCTCCAAGTCTTTGCTATTGTGAATAGTGCCACAATAAACATACGTGTGCATATGTCTTTATAGCAACATGATTTATAATCCTTTGGGTATATACCCAGTAATGGGATGGCTGGGTCAAATGGTATTCCTAGTTCTAGATCCCTGAGGAATCGCTACGTTGTCTGCCACAATGGTTGAACTAGTTTACAGTCCCACCAACCATGTAAAAGTGTTCCTATTTCTCCACATCCTCTCCAGCACCTGTTGTTTCCTGACTTTTTAATGATCGCCATTCTAACTGGTGTGAGATGGTATCCCATTGTGGTTTTGATTTGCATTTCTCTGATGGCCAGTGATGATGAGTATTTTTTCGTGTGTCTGTTGGCTACATAAATGTTTTCTTTTGAGAAGTGTCTGTTCATATCCTTCGCCCACTTTTTGATGGGGTTGTTTGTTTTTTTCTTGTAAATTTGTTTGAGTTCATTATAGATTCTGGATATTAGCCCTTTTTCAGATGAGTAGATTGCAAAAATTTTCTCCCATTCTGTATGTTGCCTGTTCACTCTGATGGTAGTTTCTTTTGCTATGCAGAAGCTCTTTAATTAGATCCCATTTGTCAATTTTGGCTTTTGTTGCCATTGCTTTTGGTGTTTTAGACATGAAGTCCTTGCCCACACCTATGTCCTGAATGGTATTGCCTAGGTTTTCTTCTAGGGTTTTTATGGTTTTAGGTCTAACATTTAAGTCTTTAATCAATCTTGAATTGATTTTTGTATAAGATGTAAGGAAGGGATCCAGTTTCAGCTTTCTGCATGTGGCTAGCCAGTTTTCCCAGCACCATTTATTAAATAGGGAATCCTTTCCCCATTGCTTCTTTTTCTCAGGTTTGTCAAAGATCAGATGGTTGTAGATGTGTGGTATTATTTCTGAGGGCTTTGTTCTGTTCCACTGATCTATATCTCTATTTTGGTACCAGTACCATGCTGTTTTGGTTACTATAGTCTGATAGTATAGTTTGAAGTCAGGTAGTGTGATGCTTCCAGCTTTGTTCTTTTGGCTTAGGATTGTCTTGGCAATCTGGGCTCTTTTTTGGTTCCATATGAACTTTAAAGTAGTTTTTTCCAATTCTGTGAAGAAAGTCATTGGTAGCTTGATGTGGATGGCATTGAATCTATAAATTACCTTGGGCAGTATGGCCATTTTCATGATATTGATTCTTCCTGTCCATGAGCATGGAAGGTTCTTCCATTTGTTTGTGTCCTCTTTTATTTCATTGAGCAGTGGTTTGTAGTTCTCCTTGAAGACCTCCTTCACATCCCTTGTAAGCTGGATTCCTAAGTATTTTATTCTCTTTGAGGCAATTGTGAATGGGAGTTCACTCATGATTTGGCTCTCTATTTGTCTGTTATGGGTGTATAAGAATGCCTGTGATTTTTGCACATTGATTTTGTATCCTGAGACTTTGCTGAAGTTGCTTATCAGCTTAAAGAGATTTTGGGCTGAGACGATAGGTTTTTCTAAATATACCATCATGTCATCTGCAAACAGGGCCAATTTGACTTCCTCTTTTCCTAATTGAATTCCCTTTATTTCTTTCTTCTGCCTGATTGCCCTGGCCAGAACTTCCAACACTATGTTGAATCGGAGTGGTGAGAGAGGGCATCCCTGTCTTGTGCCAGTTTTCAAAGGGAATGCTTCCAGTTTTTGCCCATTCAGTATGACATTGGCTGTGGGTTTGTCATAAATAGCTCTTATTATTTTGAGATACGTCCCATCAATACCTAATTTATTGAGAGTTTTTAGCATGAAGGGCAGTTGAATTTTGTCAAAGGCCTTTTCTGCATCTATTGACATAATCATGTAGTTTCCAGATAATTTATAAATATTGGTTTGTTTCTACTTAATACTTAATAAAAAATATTTTTTAAAATGAGCCCTACAGTTATAAGATGAGACCTAAGGAGAAAGATCCCCTCACTAGGGTAACTTGGACTTGGTACGTGGGCAAGCTGTGGGCAGGCTAGACAACCTGACCTACAAAACCTGTTCACAAATAAGAAATTCAGAAAATTTTTAAAATGTGCTTTTTGAAATAAAAATGTCCTCTGTAAGAATCAAGCTCATAAAACCTTTACATGCCTCTGAGCATTGCTTCAACCAGCCATTCCTTTCATCTACTCAGTTCTCTCCATGTCTGCACTGCAATTAGTCCAAGTTGCCATTCTTTCTTCTTGGACTATTGCAGTCATCTCTGAACGAGCTGCCCCACATTTGCCCAAGCTTCCTAAGATCCATTTGTACTGTGTAGTCAGAGAATTTTTTCCTCCAAAAAAAAAAAAAAATCCTATTACCCTCAACTCTTCCCTAAACTCCTACTCAAATTGTGCTTTCAATGACTTGTCATTGCTTTCATAACAAACACAAATGCCTTAGCTGCATCTGCAAGGCTTGGCATGGTCTGGCCCGAGCTTCTGCCTCTTTCTTTTGCACTTCCCTCTGCTTGCTCTCTAAAATGTATCCATACTATCTTCTTGGTTCCTGACAAGTATCTGTGCTTATTCTCACTTTAGGGCCCGTGCAAATACAGTTTCCTCTAAGAAATATTCTTTATACTCCCCAATTTCTGCTGCTTTACATTTCTCAATGATTTCTGTTTTCATCTTTACTACCCAATCAAAAGTGGAGATGTAAAAGGAGAGAATAAACAAGCATGTGAAAGAAGGATCAACATCACTAATCATTAGAGAAATTAAAAAGAAAATTTATGATGAAATCTTCAAAATCAACTGCACCAAGAGCAAAAATTGGTAAGTAAGACTGAGTTAAACTAAAGTACTTCTGTCCAGCAAAAGAACTATCAACAGAGTAAAAAGACAACCTACAGAAGGGGGGGAAATATTCACAAATTTTGCATTCAACAAACATCTAGTATCCAGAATTTATAAGGAATTCAAGTTTAACAAGCAAAAAACAAATAACCCCATTAAAAAGTGGGCAAAATACATGAACAGACACTTCTTAAAAGAAAACATACAAGCAGCCACAAACATGAAAAAGTGTTCAACATCACTAATCATCAGAGAAATGCAAATTGAAACCACAATGAGATACCTTCTCACATCAGTCAGAATAGCTATTATTAAAAAGTTATAAAACAACACATGCAGGTGAAGCTCCAGAGAAAAGGGAATGCTTATACTCTGCTGGTGGGAATGTAAATTAGTTGAGCTACTGTGGAAAGCAGTTAGAATATTTCTCAAAGAACTTAAAACAGAATTACCATTCAACCCAGCAATCTTTGATGGGTGTATACCCAAATGAAAATAAATTATTCTACCAAAGACACATGTACTATATTCATTGCAGCACCATTCACAATAGCAAAGACATGGAAACAACATAGACACCCATCAACAATGGATTGGCTAAAGAAACTGTGGTACATATACATTATGGAATACTATGCAGCCAAAAGAAAGAATGAACTCATGTCCTTTGCAGCAACATGGATGAAGCTGGACGTCATTATCCTAAGTGAACTAATGCAAGAACAGAAATCAGAATACCACATGTTCTAACTTATGAGTGGGAGCTAAATATTGAGTACAGCAGGACAACAATGGACACTGAGGCCTAATGAAGGGAGAAGGCTGGGAGGAGAGTGAACGTTGGAAAAAAAGACAAAAAAAAAAAACAAGGTGAGAATAGGAAGAATTAATTTAAACTAGAGGGTTAAAAAGGAAAGACTAACTACTATAAATCTTATACCATCAGGGGACATGATGTGAAGTGGTATGACAAAGAAAAAGAGAATAATTCTTGAGTTAACAGTGGAAAACAAAAACAGAGTTAAATCTTGTGTTATGATGAACTTCGAGAGTCAAGTATTAATAGAAGAGGACCAGTAAAGAAATTAACAGGAATCTAAGGCCTGTCATATTCTGTGCCCATCCTGGCATCTCTGTTTTCTGAAATAAACGCTTCTCTACATCCAGATTATTTAGTGTGCACCAATTGGGATTTGCTGGTTTCTGTCTTTTGCCTTTGTTCCTGCTGCAACTTTCTCCCAGAATGCTATGCTATTCTCTCCTTCATTCATATCATGTATTTTATTCAAGACAGAGCTGAAGTTTCACCTCTCATAAGAAGCCCTCACTAATCATTTCCTACTCTAAAGTACTGTATATGTTCTAGTACTTAAGATTCCATTTAGCACTTAATTACTTGAGGTGATGTACCCAATTACCTGGGAGTCAGACATCTTCAATTTCAACCATCCAGAGTAAAACAAGGAATTGGAAGCAATTAAAAAAAAAAGAAACCAGATGACTTATAGAAAAAAAATAGCACTCTTTTAATCCATGTACACATGAGTCAGTGTCACTTAAGAGTCTAAATGTACCGAGGAGCCTTCTGGTTTCCCCAGAACACACATATGGTTCACGAACTCTACCCTACTCTCTCAATTCCCTTTACAAGGACAATCAAAATTCTGTTTTGTTTTCACTGTCTGACAGCCTAACTACCTAGCCCACTGTATTGGTCTGTTTTCACACTGCTATAAAGGACTGCCTGAGACTGGGTAATTTATAAAGAAAAGAAGTTTAATTGACTCACAGTTCCACATGGCAGGGGAGGCCTCAGGAAATGTGCAATCATGGTGGAAGTGAAAGCAGGCATGTCTTACATAGCAGCAGGTAAGAGAGAGAAGAGCACAGGGGGGAACTGCCAAACACTTTTTAAAACCATCAGATCTCCTGAGAACTCATTCATTATCAGGAGAACAGCCTAGGGGGAGACTGCCCCCATGATCCAATCACCTCCCACCAGGTTCCTCCCTCAACATGTGGGGATTATAGGGATTACAATTAGAGATGAGATCTGGTTGGGGACATAGAGCCAAACTATCAACCACTGAAAATCAACTTTGAATCAACTCCTATGAAAAGGCTGTAATATCAGGAAGCAATTAGTAATAAGATCTACAACACCAATGTTATTTTTGAGAGGGAGACTTAGATGAGAGGCTGTGTTAACTATATTTAGGATAATTTTTACTTGGGTAATTTTGAATGGAATTCCACTCATATTCGAGGCATTATTTAAATCTGCCTAGAAAATAAGTGGAGTTGGAAGAACACTGAATCTTAAAGGAAATGGAGTATCTATGCAATATTACAGAATTAACATTAGCAGAACTTCATGACACTAATGTTCAAACTTTACAGCTTATACCCTGCTGTTAGATAAAGTTTTATTTTTCTAACTTAGTTGCCCAAACCTTCATAGTTCAAGAGGACTAGGGACTTATTTAGTGAGTTTTGGAAAAATTGTCCCAGGCCCTAGTGGAATAGGAAACATCTGATAAGTCAAAAGGCAAGCCCCATCTGCTGTTTACTTCTGAGCTTTTTGTTGAGTAGTTGCCTCAAGGCTGTATTTCTCAATCCATTTATTATTATTAATTATTATTATTACTGCCCCTTTAAGGAGCCTTTAAAAATATTTTTCCTGATCACTCACCCATCAAATTTTAATATCACAGGTGTAGTCTATATCTGTTTATATACTCTATGTATATAATAGATATGTATATCTGTGTTTTATTTGCAAAAAGAATAAGTATAATTATTTTAATTCAGTATAAGACTAAGTACAAATTTTAAACTAAAAGCTAAATTAAAAATCGCAAAGCTATTAACATTTAACTTTTTAACTGTATTTGTTGACTAACTTATTTACTTACATAAATTTTCAAATTACACATTTAAGATATCAATTTATATAAATTTTTTTTTTCTCTCTCTCTCTGTGACTGGAGGCAAGTTTGCTAGCTGAGTTGCAAGGCCCTGAACTAAGTCACTGACTGGTGTCCACCTGGGAAGTTGCCAGCAGTAGCAAGGCAGGCTGCTGACTGGGGAGGAAAGCTTTGGGCACCAGGAGAAAACAGGGCAGAGGGGAAACTCTGCCTCTTGTTCTCTGCAGTTCACAGTGGTACCCCTGTCTGTTGTGCTGTATGTCTAGATTTGGCCTGTAGGTCACACTTTGCAATCCAGTAACCAAATTATTAACTTGTAAGGCAGTAAATAGATTTAGCAGGCTAATGTGTTATGTGAAATTGTTCCATTGCACAAAATGTTACATCAATGAGTAATATTATTATGCTGTCCTATATTTCTTTTTGTTTCCAATTAGCAGGGATATTTTTATTGTATCTGTTGATGGAAGTGTTTCTTTAGAAACAAAGTCCTCTAAACCAACAGAGACCAGTAATACAAAAATAGGAGGCAACCTTAGCAGGTATATTATAATTAGCAGTGATGATATATCTACTCATGATTCCCAGATGTGTTTATTTTGACTATACCCTGTTCTATGGCAGAACACACCAATTCTGCAAGGTGTAATTTTGCAGATGGCAGTATAACTGAATCTTCCATGAGCCATTTTATCATTCTGCTGAGCCAGCAATTTCTGAGAAATGGAGTAAGTTGTAAGATTACTGCAATTCAGAAACATTGTCACAGTTGTTATGTTTCTTTTGTGGTGAAATGAGTCACTTAAGTGGAAACAATGTTATGTGGACTGAAAACAGTCACTATGGCAATTTGAAAGTTCATAGATGATGGTGCTAGCAAAAGCGTGCGACAGCCATGGAAGACAAATCTATATCTGGAACATGTGGCTTTTGCTCTGAGGATATATCTTCACCTCTACTATGATGAAGCAGATCTGATGTAATTTATGGGTTAAAGTAGGGGGACCAAGGAACAGCTGGTCCCCCCAGGGCATGATGATTATTGACAATTAAACATTGGCTCCTAATGTTGGTAGGTTGGGCATTTAGCAGTGGTGGTAGTTGTCTCACACTTGATGGGGTAGATGCCCTGCTCTTAAGTCCCTGCATAAGCCTCTATCACCACCTTCATGGTCACTTTGTACATGGGTCCATTTGGCAAGTAGCAGGTGGCTGAGTAAAGAGAATGACTGACATTCGCAAGATGGTTCATTTAATCCACCTAATTATTGATAGCCTCTCAAAATTATAAAATACATGTTAATATTTATGTACCAAACATCATGGTGGTTTAATAAACAAAATAAATTCTTCTAGAAAATCATGAAGAGCTAAAAATTTGTGCACAAAATTATGGTGTTAGATTTTAATACATTTTCTCAGAACTTAAACATCAGTAGATAAAAGAAATCAAAATGGTATTTGAAGATTGACTAAATGAGCTCAGTTTTTATTCATATAAATATACATATAGGTATATATGTGTTTGTATCTATACTCAAGACATTTTTCTATTATGTCCATAAAACACCAAACTAATCATATGTTAGACTGAATCACAGAGAACAGCCATTTTTATGGATCAAAGCAGTAAAATATTGGTAATTTCATACAATTTGATCTAATAATTATAAAAAAAATTTAAAGAAATATAATAAACTCTATAGATAGTAATCAATGAGACAAACAAACAATAAAACCTCTCCTGCAAAAAACAAAGATTTTAAGAAACTAATAATCAAAACTAAAATTACAAGTTCATTAAAAAATTCAAGAAAGGAGGGGACAACATAAAAATATATGGCATCTACATAAACTAAACTCAGAATAAATTGTATTCTTAAAATGTACAACAGCAAGTTTTAAAATCAATATATGAAATGTTAAAATTAAGAAACTGGAAAAGTAGTAAATAACTTTAAAAAATAGAAGAAAGGAATTATTCAAGATAAAATTTTAAATTTGATCTTAAAACCTTAAGATTAAAAAAACAAAAATAGGGTAGTAGGGAAAGACAGAAGCAAACACCATATATATATATAGGTTTCTATATGTGTGTGTGTGTATATATATATATATAGAGAGAGAGAGAGAGAAGCAAACACCATATATATATATATATATATATATATATATATATATATATATATACACACACACACATATTTACATATAGAAATAATATTGATTGGGCCTGGTGTGGTGGCTCACACCTGTAATCCCAGCACTTCGGGAGGCCAAGGCAGGTGGATCACAAGGTCAGGAGATTGAGACCATCCTGGTTAACATGGTGAAACCCCGTCTCTACTAAAAATACAAAAAAAATAGCTGGGCATGGTGGCGGGCACCTGTAGTCCCAGCTACTCGGGAGGCTGAGGCAGGAGAATGGTGTGAACCTGGGAGGCGAAGCTTGCAGTGAGCCAAGATTGCACCATTGCACCTCCAGCCTGGGGGACAGAGCAAGACTCAGCCTCAAAAAAAAAAAATTGATTCTGGCATTGTGACCTTGAAATCTGTAACCTTGGTGAAGTTATTTAGTTATGATAACTTTTTACAGGTTCTTTAGTATCTTATATACATTTCTTCTTTTCCCATCTGTATTCCCTTCCTTTATTTTTTGTGTTAAACTAACTAGGACCTCTAGTGAAATGTTGAATTTAAAAAGTGAAAGTACTTAGTAACCTATCCCCCGTAGGCTGTAGGTTGTAGGTTTCCTAGTCTAATTCTTTAATTACGTTTAGCAAATTATCTTCATTACTAATTTGCTAATAGTTTTCATCATGAATTAATATTGAACTTTGCCAAATGCTTTCTCTGGACTGTTGAGATATGTTTTGTTTTATTCTTTTTGGTCTGTTAATGTGGTGAATTATTTTGATTGATTTTAGATGTTGAACTTATCTTGTGTTTCTGGGATAAATATACGTTAGCAATTAGATATTATTTTTTAAATATATTGTTGGAATCACCTTGTTAATATTTTGTTAAAGATGCTTACATCTACATTCATGAGAATGACCCCTTGTCACTGTTTTGTGTACAAGGCATCTCTCTTGTTTTTGTATCAGAGTAATACGGGCATCAAAAAATGTGTTGGGATACATTCCATCTCTTCTACTTTCTGGAAGAGTTTGTGTGGGGCTGGTATTATTTCCTCTCTATGTGTTTGTAGAGTTCTCTGGTGAAGCCATCTGGACCTGGATTTTCCTTGGAGGAAGGTTGTTAACCATGAATTCCATTTCCTTAATAAACACAGAGCTTTCAAGTAATCGATTTCTTCCTGTGTGAGCTTTGGGAATATATGTACTGTAAAGAATTAGTTTGTTTCATTTAATTTATTGAATTTATTGGCATATAGTTGCATAATATTCTCTTACCATCTTTCTATTGTCTGCTGGATGTGCTCTGATGTTCTTTTTGATTTATGATCTTGTTTGTTAATTGGTGCTTTCTTTGTTTCTTGATAATTCTAGCCTGAGGCTTATCATTTTGTTGATATTAAAAACTACTTGTTGTTACACTGATTTTGTTCATTATTTTCTATTTTCTGTTTCATTGATCTCTGCTGTTGTCTTCACCATTTCCTTCCTTATGTTTACTTCCAGTTTAGTATCCTCATTTTTTCTTTCTAATTTAAGATGGAAGATCATAGTATTTATCTGAGACATATTTCCTTTTCTAATATATGCATTTAATGCTTTAAATTTCTCATTAGCATTTAGCTACACTACATAAATTTTGATATGTTGTGTGTTCATGTTCATTCATTACAGAATATTTTTATTCTCTGACTAATTTGAATTTTGGGTCCATTTTCTATTTATAAGTATGTATTTGTGTATTTTCTAGACATATTTCTAGTTTAATTCCAGTGTGCTCAGAGAATATGTGTTGCATAATTTTATTTCTTAATTAGTTATTGAGATTTCTTTGATGGCCCAGAAAATAGTCTATCTCAGTGACTATTATCATGAATACTTCAAAAGAATGTGTGTTCCACTGTTGTTGGATAGAAAGTCTTATAAATGAACCAGGCACGGTGGCTAACGCCTGTAATCCCAGCACTTTGGGAGGCCAAGGCAGGTAGATCACGAGATCAGGAGATCGAGACCATCCTGGCTAACACGGTGAAACCCTGTCTCTACTAAAAATACAAAACAAATTAACCAGACGTGGTGGTGGGCACCTGTAGTTCCAGCTACTCAGGAGGCTGAGGCAAGAGAAGGGTGTGAACCTGGGAGGCAGAGCTTGCAGTAAGCAGAGATCGCACCATGCACTCCAGACTGGGTGACCGAGGGAGACTCTGTCTCAAAAAAAAAAAAAAAAGTCTTTTTTTTTTATTTTTATTATTTTATTTATTTATTTATTTTTTAAATATAGATACATCACAAATTTAGATTTTTATTATAATTTTATAACACAATTTTAGTACATAAATTTAAATCATACTAAACTTTTAAGAGCAAGTTATTTACATAGATTGATCTAGTTGATTTTCCAGAATTTGAACCTTTTTATTATTTAAATTATTATTATTATTTTTTTTTCCATAACTTCTTTTTTTTATTATTATTATACTTTAAGTTTTAGGGTACATGTGCACAATGTGCAGGTTAGTTACATATGTATACATGTGCCATGCTGGTGCGCTGCACCCACTAACTCCTCATCTAGCATTAGGTATATCTCCCAGTGCTATCCCTCCCCCCTCCCCCAACCCCACCACAGTCCCCAGAGTGTGATGTTCCCCTTCCTGTGTCCATGTGATCTCATTGTTCAATTCCCACCTATGAATGAGAATATGCGGTGTTTGGTTTTTTGTTCTTGCGATATTTTACTGACAATGATGATTTCCAATTTCATCCATGTCTCTACAAAGGACATGAACTCATCATTTTTTATGGCTGCATAGTATTCCATGGTGTATATGTGCCACATTTTCTTAATCCAGTCTATCATTGTTGGACATTTGGGTTGATTCCAAGTCTTTGCTATTGTGAATAATGCCGCAATAAACATATGTGTGCATGTGTCTTTATAGCAGCATGATTTATAATCCTTTGGGTATATACCCAGTAATGGGATGGCTGGGTCAAATGGTATTTCTAGTTCTAGATCCCTGAGGAATCACTGACTTCCATAATGGTTGAACTAGTTTATAGTCTCACCAACAGTGTGAAAGTGTTCCTATTTCTCCACATCCTCTCCAGCACCTGTTGTTTCCTGACTTTTTAATGATTGCCATTCTAACTGGTGTGAGATGGTATCTCATAGTGGTTTTGATTTGCATTTCTCTGATGGCCAGTGATGATGAGCATTTCTTCATGTGTTTTTTGGCTGCATAAATGTCTTCTTTTGAGAAGTGTCTGTTCATGTCCTTCGCCCACTTTTTGATGGGGTTGTTTGTTTTTTTCTTGTAAATTTGTTTGAGTTCATTGTAGATTCTGGATATTAGCCCTTTGTCAGATGAGTAGGTTGCAAAAATTTTCTCCCATGTTGTAGGTTGCCTGTTCACTCTGATGGTAGTTTCTTTTGCTGTGCAGAAGCTCTTTAGTTTAATTAGATCCCATTTGTCAATTTTGGCTTTTGTTGCCATTGCTTTTGGTGTTTTAGACATGAAGTCCTTGCCCATGCCTGTGTCCTGAATGGTAATGCCTAGGTTTTCTTCTAGGGTTTTTATGGTTTTAGGTCTAACGTTTAAGTCTTTAATCCATCTTGAATTAATTTTTATATAAGGTGTAAGGAAGGGATCCAGTTTCAGCTTTCTACATATGGCTAGCCAGTTTTCCCAGCACTATTTATTAAATAGGGAATCCTTTCCCCATTGCTTCTTTTTCTCAGGTTTGTCAAAGATCAGATAGCCGTAGATATGTGGCGTTATTTCTGAGGGCTCTGTTCTGTTCCATTGATCTATATCTCTGTTTTGGTACCAGTACCATGCTGTTTTGGTTACTGTAGCCTTGTAGTATAGTTTGAAGTCAGGTAGTGTGATGACTCCAGCTTTGTTCTTTTGGCTTAGGATTGACTTGGCAATGCGGGCTCTTTTTTGGTTCCAAATGAACTTTAAAGTAGTTTTTTCCAATTCTGTGAAGAAAGACATTGGTAGCTTGATGGGGATGGCATTGAATCTGTAAATTACCTTGGGCAGTATGGCCATTTTCACGATATTGATTCTTCCTACCCATGAGCATGGAGGCTTCTTCCATTTGTTTGTATCCTCTTTTATTTCATTGAGAAGTGGTTTGTAGTTCTCCTTGAAGAGGTCCTTCACATCCCTTGTAAGTTGGATTCCTAGGTATTTTATTCTCTTTGAAGCAATTGTGAATGGGAGTTCACTCATGATTTGGCTCTCTGTTTGTCTGTTATTGGTGTATAAGAATGATTGTGATTTTTGTACATTGTTTTTGTATCCTGAGACTTTGCTGAAGTTGCATATCAGCTTAAGGAGGTTTTGGGCTGAGACAATGGGGTTTTCTAGATATACAATCATGTCATCTGCAAACAGGGACAATTTGACTTCCTCTTTTCCCAATTGAATACCCTTTATTTCCTTCTCCTGCCTAATGGCCCTGGCCAGAACTTCCAACACTATGTTGAATCGGAGTGGTGAGAGAGGGCATCCCTGTCTTGTGCCAGTTTTCAAAGGGAATTCTTCCAGTTTTTGCCCATTCAGTATGATATTGGCTGTGGGTTTGTCATAGATAGCTCTTATTATTTTGAAATACGTCCCATCAATACCTAATTTATTGAGAGTTTTTAGCATGAAGGGCAGTTGAATTTTGTCAAAGGCCTTTTCTGCATCTATTGAGATAATCATGTGATTTGTGTCTTTGGTTCTGTTTATATGCTGGATTACATTTATTGATTTGCGTATATTGAACCAGCCTTGCATCCCAGGGATGAAGCCCACTTGATCATGGTGGATAAGCTTTTTGATGTGCTGCTGGATTCGGTTTGCCAGTATTTTATTGAGGATTTTTGCATCAATGTTCATCAAGGATATTGGTCTAAAATTCTCTTTTTTGGTTGTGTCTCTGTCTGGCTTTGGTATCAGAATGATGCTGGCCTCATAAAATGAGTTAGGGAGGATTCCCTCTTTTTCTATTGATTGGAATAGTTTCAGAAGGAATGGTACCAGTTCCTCCTTGTACCTCTGGTAGAATTCGGCTGTGAATCTATCTGGTCCTGGACTCTTTTTGGTTGGTAAGCTATTTATTATTGCCACAATTTCAGCTCCTGTTATTGGTCTATTCAGAGATTCAACTTCTTCCTGGTTTAGTCTTGGGAGAGTGTATGTGTCGAGGAATGTATCCATTTCTTCTAGATTTTCTAGTTTATTTGCGTAGAGGTGTTTGTAGTATTCTCTGATGGTACTTTGTATTTCTGTGGGATCGGTGGTGATATCCCCTTTATCATTTTTTATTGCATCTATTTGATTCTTCTCTCTTTTTTCTTTATTAGTCTTGCTAGTGGTCTATTTTGTTGATCCTTTCAAAAAACCAGCTCCTGGATTCATTAATTTTTTGAAGGGTTTTTTGTGTCTCTATTTCCTTCAGTTCTGCTCCGATTTTAGTTATTTCTTGCCTTCTGCTGGCTTTTGAATGTGTTTGCTCTTGCTTTTCTAGTTCTTTTAATTGTGATGTTAGGGTGTCAATTTTGGATCATTCTTGCTTTCTCTTGTGGGCATTTTGTGCTATAAATTTCCCTCTACACACTGCTTTGAATGTGTCCCAGAGATTCTGGTATGTTGTGTCTTTGTTCTCATTGGTTTCAAAGAACACCTTTATTTCTGCCTTCATTTCGTTATGTACCCAGTAGTCATTCAGGAGCAGGTTGTTCAGTTTCCATGTAGTTGAGCAGTTTTGAGTGAGATTCTTAATCCTGAGTTCTAGTTTGATTGCACTGTGGTCTGAGAGATAGTTTGTTATAATTTCTGTTCTTTTACATTTGCTGAGGAGAGCTTTACTTCCAACTATGTGGTCAATTTTGGAATAGGTGTGGTGTGGTGCTGAAAAAAATGTATATTCTGTTGATATGGGGTGGAAAGTTCTGTAGATGTCTATTAGGTCCGCTTGGTGCAGAACTGAGTTCAATTCCTGGGTATCCTTATTGACTTTCTGTCTCATTGATCTGTCTAATGTTGACAGTGGGGTGTTAAAGTCTCCCATTATTAATGTGTGGGAGTCTAAGTCTCTTTGTAGGTCACTCAGGACTTCTTTATGAATCTGGGTGCTCCTGTATTGGGTGCATCTATATTTAGGATAGTTAGCTCTTCTTGTTGAATTGATCCCTTTACCATTATGTAATGGACTTCTTTGTCTCTTTTGATCTTTGTTGGTTTAAAGTCTGTTTTATCAGAGACTAGGATTGCAACCTCTGCCTTTTTTTGTTTTCCATTTGCTTGGTAGATCTTCCTCCATCCTTTTATTTTGAGTCTATATGTGTCTCTGCACGTGAGATGGGTTTCCTGAATACAGCACACTGATGGGTCTTGACTCTTTATCCAACTTGCCAGTCTGTGTCTTTTAATTGGAGCATTTAGTCCATTTACATTTAAAGTTAATACTGTTATGTGTGAATTTGATCCTGTCATTATGATGTTAGCTGGTTATTTTGCTCGTTAGTTGATGCAGTTTCTTCCTAGTCTCGATGGTCTTTACATTTTGGCATGATTTTGCAGCAGCTGGTACCAGTTGTTTCTTTCCATGTTTAGTGCTTCCTTCAGGAGCTCTTTTAGGGCAGGCGTGGTGGTGACAAAATCTCTCAGCATTTGCTTGTCTGTAAAGTATTTTATTTCTCCTTCACTTATGAAGCTTAGTTTGGCTGGATATGAAATTCTGGCTTGAAAATTCTTTTCTTTAAGAATGTTGAATATTGGTCCCCACTCTCTTCTGGCTTGTAAGGTTTCTGCCGAGAGATCCACTGTTAGTGTGATGGGCTTCCCTTTGTGGGTAACCCGACCTTTCTCTCTGGCTGCCCTCAACATTTTTTCCTTCATTTCAACTTTGGTGAATCTGACAATTATGTGTCTTGGAGTTGCTCTTCTCGAGGAGTATCTTTGTGGCGTTCTTTGTATTTCCTGAATCTGAACGTTGGCCTGCCTTGCTAGATTGGGGAAGTTCTTCTGGATAATATCCTGCAGAGTGTTTTCCAACTTGGTTCCATTCTCCCCATCACTTTCAGGTACACCAATCAGACGTAGATTTGGTCTTTTCACATAGTCCCATATTTCTTGGAGGCTTTGCTCGTTTCTTTTTATTCTTTTTTCTCTGAACTTCCCTTCTCGCTTCATTTCATTCATTTCATCTTTCATAGCTGATACCCTTTCTTCCAGTTGATCGCATGGGCTCCTGAGGCTTCTGCATTCTTCACATAATTCTCGAGCCTTGTTTTTCAGCTCCATCAGCTCCTTTAAGCACTTCTCTGTATTGGTTATTCTAGTTACACATTCTTCTAAATTTTTTTCAAAGTTCTCAACTTCTTTGCCTTTGGTTTGAATGTCCTCCCATAGCTCAGAGTAATTTGATCGTCTGAAGCCTTCTTCTCTCAGCTTGTCAAAGTCATTCTCCATCCAGCTTTGTTCCGTTGCTGGTGAGGAACTGCATTCCTTTGGAGGTGGAGAGGCGCTCTGCTTTTTAGAGTTTCCAGTTTTTCTGTTCTGTTTTTTCCCCATCTTTGTGGTTTTATCTACTTTTGGTCTTTGATGATGGTGATGTATAGATGGGTTTTTGGTGTGGATGTCCTTTCTGTTTGTTAGTTTTCCTTCTAACAGACAGGACCCTCAGCTGCAGGTCTGTTGGATTACCCTGCCATGTGAGGTGTCAGTGTGTCCCTGCTGGAGGGTGCCTCCCAGTTAGGCTGCTCAGTGGTCAGGGGTCAGGGACCCACTTGAGGAGGCAGTCTGCCCGTTCTCAGATCTCCAGCTGTGTACTGGGAGAACCACTGCTCTCTTCAAAGCTGTCAGACAGGGACATTTCAGTCTGCAGAGGTTACTGCTGTCTTTTTGTTTGTCTGTGCCCTGCCCCCAGAGGTGGAGCCTACAGAGGCAGGCAGGCCTCCTTGAGCTGTGGTGAGCTCCACCCAGTTCGAGCTTCCCAACTGCTTTGTTTACCTAAACAAGCCTGGGCAATGGCGGGCGCCCCTCCCCCAGCCTTGCTGCTGCCTTGCAGTTTGATCTCAGACTGCTGTGCTAGCAATCAGCGAGACTCCGTGGACGTAAGACCCTCCAATCCAGATGCGGGATATAATCTCGTGGTGTGCCATTTTTTAAGCCCGTCAGAAAAGCGCAGTATTCCAGTGGGAGTGACCCGATTTTCCAGGTGCCGTCCGTCACCCCTTTCTTTGACTAGGAAAGGGAAGTCCCTGACCCTTTGTGCTTCCCGAGTGAGGCAATGCCTCGCCCTGCTTTGGCTGGCGCACGGTGCACGCACCCACTGACCTGCGCCCACTGTCTGGCACTCCCTAGTGAGATGAACCCGGTACCTCAGATGGAAATGCAGAAATCACCCGCTCTGCGTCGCTCATGCTGCGAGCTGTAGACCGGAGCTGTTCCTATTTGGCCATCTTGGCTCCTCCTCTCCAAAAAAAGTCTTATAAATGTAAATTAAATGTAAATTCATTCATGATGGTTAATAGTATAATTCAAATTTTCTATATTCTTTTTTTTTACTTATATCAATTACCAAATGAGTTATGTTTAAATCCCCAGGTATAATTGTGGATATGTTTATATCTCCTTTCATTTCTAGAAGTTCTTGTTTTATCTATTTTGATGTATTGTTATTAAATGTGTGCATATTTAGAATTTTTTTTCATTCTTGGCTTGACCCTCTTTTCATCATGTAACATCCCTGTTTAACCCTGCTTCTACTCTTTGTTCTAAAGTCTTCTTCATCTGATATTAATAAAGCCACTCCAGATTTCTTCTGATCAGGCTTGGATGGTATATCTTTTTTGAATTCTTTTACTTTCACCCTATGTATAAGTTTATATTAGGGTAGGTTTATTGTAGACCATTAGTAAGTGGGACTTACATATTTATCAAGTCTGGCAATCTCTGCCTTTTAATGGACATGATGAGATCATTTACATTTAATGTAAATTTTATAGAATTGGGTTTAAACCTATTGTTAGGCTATCATTTGTGATTTTGATCTAATTTTCTTTGTCCTTTTCTCTTTTTCTGCTTCCTTTTTGGATTATGTTTATGATTCCCTTTTATTTCATTTATAGACTAGTTATACTTCTGTGTTTTATATTTTTAATGGTTGCTTCAGAATTAAAATATACTTTTATTTTCTTTTACATATTATGGTCTACTTGCAATTAATACTGTGTCAGTTTACATATAGCATAAAGACCTTTTAGTTACATTAAGTTTCCTCTCTCTCTTTCTTTGTACAATCTTTATCATATATTTTACTTGTAAAAATTTTGTAAATCCATAATACATTGTTAATATTTTTGTTTTAATATGTCAATTATCTTTCAAAGGGATTAAAAAGATCCAAAATGCATTGTAAAATTTATTATCAATTTTATAATTCTCAGTTTTTTTATTCCTTTGTGTAGATTCAGATTTCTATATATAATCATTTTCTTTAGTTTTGAAGCATTTCTCTTAAAAACAGTCCTTTTCTGTTGGCAATAAATTCTTTTTTTGCTTTTCTAAATAATGCTTTATTTCACTTAAGCTTTTGAAATTTATTTTTGTTGGATCTAGAATTTTAGGTTGACAAATTTTATTTTCTTCTGTCAGTAATTTACAATGTTGCACCATTGTGTGTTGGGCCTTATATAAGTTTCTGAATACAAGTCTTCTGTCATTCTCTGTTCTACTATACAAAATATCTATTTTTTTCTGGATGCCTTCAATATTTTATTTTTATCTTTGGATTTCAGCAGTTTGGCTATGATATGTCTGCATGAGTTTCTATTTATATTTACTTCATTTAGAATTTTCTGAGCTTTTTCAATTTGTGGTTTGTTGTATTTTATTACTTTTGCAAAATTCTCATCTATTATTCATTAGATATTTCTTCCATCATTTTTTCTCATTCTCTCTCCTTTTGGGACTCCATTTAAAAGTATGCTAGTTTGATATTGACCCATAGCTCCAACATGCTTTGTTCTTTTTGTCCCATTCTAATTTTAAATTTTTTTCTGTTTGAGTAAATTTTATTGACTTATAATCAAGCTCACTGATTGTTTTCTCTATTGTAATCAGGTTGTAAATAAGCCCCTCAAAAAACTCCTCTGTTATCATGGTTTTCCTTTCTAGAGGTTTCATTTGATTCTTAAAACTCCTTTTCTGTTCATATATGTATTTTACCTTTTCCACTAGATTCTTTAGCATATTCATCATAATTACTTTGAAGTCCATTTTAGATAGTTCCAATGTCTGGCCTATCTCTGGGTCTGATTCTGTTGACTCTTTCATGTATTGAAAAATGGGCCCTTCCTTCTTATTTTTATATCTATCTTATGGTATTTGATTGAGTGACAGATATTATGTGTAACAAAACAGTCAAAATGAGAAAACTGTATATATGTCCCAAATGGGTATGCCTCTTCAACTTTTAGGCCTTTAATGTGGGGGTTAAGTAGATCCGGTCAGTAGTTTTAAACCAGGGTTGAGTTTTCTTGTTGCCATAATTACTTTCAGTGTTTCATAGGCTTCAAATTCCCCCAATGGTAAATTGCTGATATCTTATGACTTGACTGAGATCAGGATGACCAGAGAATGGTTTTCATTGTTCCTCCTCCATCTTCTGTGCCACTGAAGCAGGTCTCTCCCAAGCTATCTCCATCCCTCTGCAATAGATTGCTATTTCTTGTTATTCAGGACAATACTTTGTGAGCAGAGAGTAGAGTTCTTGATTCTTCTGCTCCAGTGTCAGCATTTGGCAGAAACTGTGCATCTAAATTTCATGGGCAGGGCAGTCTCAGTGTGCCAGGCTGTCCTTTTTTTTGACTGGGACTCTCTCTGTCTTCTGTCACCCAGGCTGGTGTGACCATAGCTCACTGCAGCTTTGACTTCCCAGACTCAAGAGATCTTCCCACCTCAACCTGATGAGTAGTTGGGTCTACAGACATGTGCCACCATGGGCAGCTAATTTCTTTTTCTTTGCTCTTCTTTCTTTTTTTCTTTTTTGTAGAGATGAGGTCTTGCCATGTTGCCCAGGCTGGTCTTGAACTCCTGGGCTCAAATGATCTGCCAAAGTGCTGGGACTACAGGTGTGAGCCACAGCACCTTGCCCCCCTTTCTTAATGCAGGGTTTAGGTGCATTTGGTTTCCTGCTTTCACATTTCCCATGGCAACCAAATTCTGCCTTATATCATTTGGAGTCTTTAGTGTGAACAAACATTTGAGAAGCTGATCTGACATGATATATTTACAATACCTAGTGTGAATGTATAGAGTGACATATTTATAATACCTATAGTAAATGAAAAAAAAAAGAAAATGTGAGATCCCATCTGAAAGAGTATAGATTTAAAACCTCATATCTTGGTCTTAATACTATAAATCCTTGAGACTATGCCGATTAAGGTTAGTCTAAATGTTTGAAGTTTTCATGTTTCTATATTGGACACTTGCTTGAACCACAATCTGTCAGGAGACAGATCAGGAACTTCAGATGCTCATGGTAGCTCAGAAGCACAGAGACTGATGTTTAGGGAGGTAATGCACGTCAACATTTTGAGCTTAAAACTTACCAGGAGTTTTCGCATTGTGAGATTCTAAGAGATTACCACAGAGTTTCTAGAGATGAAGCAGAGATTCTTCTACCCTATGTTCCCCATGACAAAGTCCAGTTTTTAATAAAATTAGATTCCAATTCTACTAAAATGAGTTTTTCTCTATGGGTTCTATAACATACTTGATATGGCATGTGGAAGGAAATATGTTAAACTTTAAAAACTTCAAAGACTCTAACCTTTTAAATTTTGAGATTACTCTGATAAATGGAGGAGGCAGTTTTCCAGAGATTGGAAAAGGAAAAGGCAAGCCGATGAGAGACCCAGACAAAACGTTGAGAATTACAGGCAGATTTGGAAGAATTTGGGGCTGTATCAGCTGCTTTTTATTGAAAGAAAAAACATACCTAGCTGCTTTAGATGAGTTCAAGTTTCCAGGCACTGATGAATTTCATTTCGAAGTACAGAAAATACTTGCAGATATGATTATATAATCAATGCTAGTCATTATAAGGAGTTGTGGATCAAAAAAGAGGATTAAGAATATGAGAGATGAATGAGCTTTTAATTTTCAAAGTTCAAGAAAGCAGTAAATTCTGACTGGAAATAACATGGGTTTAACATAAATTCTCAGTAAAATTTTACAGCTATTTATTAGGCATATGGCTAGTGACAACTGATAAAAGGAGTTCACTAAAAACATTATGAATTTTCTAAGAACATGTCTTATCAGCCAATTTAATTTTATTTCCTTTTAAACATAATGAAAATACAGTGTATTCTGAGGCATTAGACAAAGTCTCTCATGAATATATTGTAGACATGTGGAAATAAATGGTGAAGTTGATTTATGGTCTTGATTACAGGGTTCAGGTAGCTCTGTCTTCAGCTCTGCCCTGTTTAATATTTCATCAACAACTTAATTGAAGATAAACATGTCATGCTTAGCACATCTGGAGGCAGCAGAATTAGGAGAATGGTTAACATGTTAAGTGGCAAAATCAGAAATCTAGAAGAACACAATAGCTAGAAATAACACATTGAGATGGTATCTAAACAAAGTAACATAAAATCCTTCATTAAAATTTTAAAAAGTAAATCATATAGCCATACACAATTAACTTTGAGCCTAAAAACTATTTATTTACTTCTTTTTGTTTAGCATAAGCTTATACTGACACATAGGCTGGGAGCATTGCTTTTTTTTCTTTTCATTTTGCTTATTCCTCTAGTAAGTCTGCCTATATTAAGGCATTGCCCTTTGGAAGGGAACAATGCTTGTGACAACGCACATTGGTGCTGGCTTGGCAGGAATCAGCGAGCCTGGTTTAGGTCAATTCAGTGACCCAGACTGTGGTTGGTCTTTTGGTAAAGGATTTACAAAATAAGGACGTTTTTCCAAGTCCTGAGGTTCAATATTTTGAGCAATGGTAGGCATAATCAGGGCCTCAGACCAAATCCAGTCTGCCTATTTTTATATGACTGGTAAGCCAAGAATGGCTTTGATGTGTTTAAATGACTGAAAAAGAAGATCAAAAGAATAATAATATTTTATGACACTTGAAAATATTTGAAATTAAAATTTAAGTGACTATAAATAAAGTTTTATTGGAATACAACCACCATATTTTGCCGTTAATACATTAGGTCTTCTACTTCATTCTTAATGACCCTAGAGCATCCTTTTTTGGTGCCAAAAATATATGACGAATCTCTTAGAGTACCTTTATGCTTTTTGAAAATATTTTTGGAAATGCTTTTATAACCAGTGTCACTTGCAACAAACTTCGCATGTTCATCAAAGTAACCAGATACAGACAGAAACTTCCTGAGCTCTATTTCTTACAAACTTTAAAGCTTTATTGGGTATAATCAGACTAACTTCCATGTTTATACTTGGCTAACTCCTTCACCTTCTTCTTAAGAGGTCTTCCTTTGCCAACCTATTAAAATTACAATCTACCCAAACATCCATTCTTGAATTCTATAGCACTTACTACATTCTAATATACTCTATTTTTTGTTATTTATTACACTTATTGTTTATTATGTTTCCCTTTCCACTTTGGCGAGATATTTGTCTGTTTTATTTATCAGGTATCATAAAACCTGAAACAATGGTTGTTACACAGCAGTATTGAATAATTATCTGCTGAGTGAATAAAGAGAGCAAAATAGTTTATTGCTAGAAATCCTCCGTTTTCCTGAAGTAAAATGTAATTGTGACATCATGATTATGAAATCTATTTCTACCTTAAAACCAGGCAGAAAATTTCTGATTATTCCTGCCACATGCTCCATATTTCCTTAGAAAAGATTATTGTGTGCATTCCCAGGTTTTAATTTATCGGAGTCGCCACCAAAGAAATTATGCAGCTTTGTAATTAAGTAGGGCATGTATATGCTTGCTTTTGTGGCAAGCATAAATCACAGTCTACCAACTTAGCTGTGCAAGTCTCTTTTCATTTTTTATAACTCAAATTAGTATCTAACCTCAAGCTACTGTTTTACTGATCTAGTAGAAAACTGAACGTCTGTCCATTTAGAGACAGAACCAAGACATTGGTAGAGAGTGAGCTGAGGGACATTAGTTCTCCATCATAGATCTAGCAGATGCTATAGAGACCAACATCACCCATATCCGCCTTTCCTTTTCAGGTTCAGTGGTTGTGCACTGGGACCTACGGCTCTATTGCAAGAATGTCTGTGACCAAAAGTACTGCTTAGGAAGGAAGATATAGCTTCTCTTTTATCTTCAGAACCATAGTCCTCTCTCTTGGTTCTACCTAACCAGCTGCGAAAATCTCTTTTTAATCTTGGGTCTTTGGTTTTTCTAGACATTCTGTCTATGTCTTCAAATTCGTTTCTCCCTTTTAAATCGTCTTTAAATGTTCTAAGTTCTCCTAAGAGCCTAGGCTTTCAGAAAGCAAAAATCAGAGAGACTTCCATGTTATTTTGATTTTGACTCTGTCATACAGTTTCTCATGGGCATGAACAGCTAGTGGCTTCTTTACAGAAAAAGGGAGAAAAATGGGGGAAAATAAAAACAATGATATCTCAAATTATACAACACTTATTTTTAAAACTACCTTTACTCTGGTGAAAATCAATGCCTCAGTGAGGTTATTAAACTCTTCTCTTCCAGGCTTTGCTAAGTGATTTTTGTGTCGAACAGGTAAACTGTCAGATAAATTGGGTAGGCATTAAAAGATAATTTTGAACATTTCACTATTTTTTCAATCAAATAATTTTTAAAAATAGCTTCTTGCATGGTATTGATTATAGAGCCTTATTGATATAAACAATCCGAGCCATATTAAGAAGAAACAAAGCTTTATATAATTCAAGAGTAGTTTTAGTCTTAGGTGTTTTATGAAGACGGGAAGGCAATTTAAAGTGAAAACTACTTAGGCTTTAGGAAATTTTTCTGTGCTGGAAATTATTCCTTTGCCTAATTGTTATTGAAAACATCTTTTAAGCATATATATATATGTGTGTGTGTGTGTGTGTGTATGTATATATACACATATGTGTGTGTGTATATATATATGCATGCTTAAAATACATATATATGCTTAAAATACATACACATGTATATATGTATTTCTCAGAAAACTTTCCTTTGAACCATTTCTTGCTAAGGATTCACTTCCTTCAAATAAAGTTACATAACCTTTTCAGGAAAGGGAAAAAAGCAACTTCCCCCCTTCTCTAATGCTCATATCTAGCAATTCCTTTTTTAAAACATTTTTATTGTGGTAAAAATATATATATTACATAAAATTTGTGATTTTAACCATTTTAACTATACAATTCAGTGTTCTAAGTACATTCACAATGTTGTACAACCATCATCATTATCTGTTTCCAAAACTTCTTCTATCATCCCAAACAGAAACACTGTGACTATTAAAAAACAACTCCTGCCAGCCCCTGGTAACTTCTTATTTGTTTTCTGTCTCTATGAATTTGCCTATTTTAGATATTTCATGTAAATTGAATCATACAATATTTTGTCCTATTGGGACTCACCCATTTCACTTAGCATAATGTTTCCAAAGTTCATCTACGTTGGAGCATGTATCAGAACTTCTATCCTTTTCATAGCTGAATAATATTCCACTATACATATATAACACATTTTGTTTATTTACTCATGTGTTAATGGACCCTTGTGTTATTTACATCTTTTGGCTAATTCGAATAGTGCTGCAATGAACACTGACGTACAAATATCTGTTTGAGTCCCTGCTTTCAATTGTTTGAGGTATATACCTAGAAGTGGAATTGTCTGATCATATGTAATTCTGTTTAACTTTTTGGTAAATTGCCAAACTGTTTTCCACAGTGGCTGCACTATTTTACATTTTCACCAGTAATGTATGAGAGTACCAATTTCTTCATGTTCCTGCCAAAACTTGTTATTTTCTTTTTTATTATTTTTATTACAGCCATCCTAGTAGGTGTAAAGTGAGACCTCATTGTGGTTTTGATTTGCATTTCCCCAGTGACTAATGATGTTAAGTATCTTTCCATGTGCTTATTGGCTATTTGCATATCTTCTTTGGAGAATTGTCTATTCAAGTACATTGCCCATTTTTCAAAAAAAAAAGACTTGATTATTTAGAGCAGTTTTAGGTTCACAGCAAAATTGAAGGATGGTACAGAGATTTCACACATACCCCTTCCCCCACATAAACATAGCATCTCCCAGTATCAAAATTCTGTACCAGAATGGAGCATTTCTTATAATTTATGAACCTATGTTGACACAAAATTATCACCCAAATTTCATAGTTTACATTAGGATTTTCTCTTGGTATCGTACATTCTATGGACTTTAACAAATGTGTAATGACATATACTCACCAATATAGTATCATGCAGAATAACTTAAGCACTAAAAATAGATCTGTCCCTCCACCCAACAACCACTGATACTTTTACTCTCTCCATTGATTTACCTTTTCCAAAATGTCATGTAGTTAAAATCATGCAATATGTAGCCTTTTTAGATTGGCCTTTTTGACTTAGTAATATCCATCTAAGTTTCCTGCATTTTGTTTCATTACTTGATAAATCACTTCTTTTTTAATGCTGAATATTCCATTGTCCTAATGTCACAAAGTTTATTTATTCATTCACCTGCTACGGAACATCCTAGTTGCTTCCAAGGTTTGGCAATTATAAATAAGCCTCCTATAAACATTCATGTGATAGTTTTTATGCAGACACAAGTTTTCAATTAATCTGGATAAATACCAAGCAAGGCAATTTATGGATCATATGGAAAGAGTGTGTTTAGTTTCTTTAAAACTAAATTGCCAAACTGTCTTCCAACATGGCTGTACTATTTTGCATTCCCACTAGCAATGAAATAGAGTCCCTGTGGCTCCACATTCTTGCCAGTATTTGGGGGTGTTATTGTTTTGGATTTTGGCCATTCTGATAGATGTGTAGTGGTATTTCATAGTTTGCAATTCCCTAGTAACATATGTTGCTAAGTATCTTTTCTTATGCTTATTTGCCATCAATATAACTTCTTTGATGAAGTGCTTGTTCAGGTCTTTTGCCCCCTTTTAAGATGTGTTGTTTGTTTTCTTATTGTTGAGTTTAAAGAATTATTTGTATATTTTGGATACGGTTTCACATATGCAGTTTGCAAATGTTTTCTTCCAGTCTGCAGCTTGTATTCTCATCCTCTTGACAGTGTCTTTCACAGAACAGAAGTTTGTTAATTTTAATAAAGTCCAGCTAATCGATTATTTATTTGATGTTTTGTGCCTTTGGTGTTATTGCCACACTCAAGGTCATTGAGGTTTTCTCCTATGTCATCTTCTAGGAGTTTTACAGTTTTGCATTTTACATTTAGGTCTGTGATCCATGTTGAGTTAATTTTTGGGAAAGGTGTAAGGTGTCTAGATTAATTGTTCTTGCATGTGGATATTCAGTTGTTCTAGGTTCGTGTTTTGAAAAGACTATCTTTGCTCCATTATATTGCCTTTGCTCCTTTACTGAACATCAGACATTTATGTAGGTCTATTTCTTGGCTCTCCATTCTGTTCTATTGATGTATTTGTTCTTTCACCAGTACTGCACTATTGTGATTACTGCAGCTTTATAGTAAGTATTGAAGTCATATAGTGTTAGTCCTTCAACTTCTCCTTCAAATGGTGGCTGCTCTAGGTCTTTTGCCTCTCCATATACTTTCGAAACAGGTTATCAATAAACACAAAATAACTTGCTGGAATTTTGACTGGGATTCCATTGTACCTATAGATCAAGTCGAGAAGAACTGACATTTTGATGTACTCAGTCTTCTTTTCTATAAACATGGGCTATCTCTTCATTTATTTATTACTTCTTTGATCTGTTTTAATAGAGTTTTGTAGTTTTCCTCATATATATCTTTTGCATATTAGATTTATACCTAAGTATTTCACTTTTTAGGGTACTAATGTAACTAGTATTTTGTTTTCAATTTCAAATTCCACTTTTTCGTTGCTGGTATATAGGAAAGTGATTAACTTTTGTATATTCACTTTGTATCTTGCAACCTCAGTGTAATTGCTTATAAGTTCCAAACATTGTTTGTGTGTCTGTGTGTCAATTCTTTTCAACTCTGTACACAATCATGTTTTCTGTGAACAAAGACAGTTTTGTTTCTTCCTTTCCAATAAGTATATCTTTTATTTCCCTTCTTGTTTTATTGCATCAATTCAGATTTTCAGTGTGATGTTGTAAGAAGGTTGTGAGAGAAGACATTCTTTATCTTGTTCCTGGTCTTAGAGGGAAAGCCTCTAGTTTCTCAGCATTAAGTATAACATTAGCTGTAGGTTTTTTGCAATGTTCTTTATGAAGTTTAGGAAATTCCCCTCTATTCCCAGCTTGCTGGGAATTTTTTTTTTAATTGTGAATAGATGGTAGATTTTGTCAAATGCTTTTTCTACATCCATTGATATGATAATGTGATTTTCTTCTTTAGCTTGCTGATGTGATGAATTACATTTTTGAATTTAGAACCAGCCTTGCATACCTAAGATAGATCCCACTTGGTCATGGTGTTTAGTTCTTTTCATACATTATTAGATTTGATTTACTGAGACTTTGTTGAAGATTTTGACCCTGGTATTTATGAGAGATATTAGTCTGTAGTGGGTTTTGTTGTTTGTTTGTTTGGTTGGTTGGTTTCGTTTTTGTCTTTTAATGCCGTTGTCTGATTTTGGTCTGATTTAAATGCCTTAGTCTGATCAGTCTCACGGAATGAATTGGAAAGAATTTCCTCTGCATTTTGAAGAGAAAAGATTATAGAGAATTTATATAATTTTTTCCTTAACAATTTGGTAGAATTTGCCAGTAAGCCCATTGGGGCTTGGTTCTTTCTGCTTTGGAGGGTTATTAACTATAGATTCAATTTAAAAAATAGATATGGAGCTATTCAAATTGTCTATTTCTTCTTGTGTGAGTTTTGTCCAATCATGTTTTTCAAGGAATTGGTACATTTCATCTAGGTTATCAAATTTGTGGACATAGAGTTGTTCATAATATTTATTATCCATTTAATGTTCATAAGATCTGTAGTGATATCCTCTTTCACTTCTGATATTAATAATTTGTATGTTCTTTCTTTTTTTCTTAGTTACCCTGGCTAGAGGTTTATACATTTTATTGATCTTTCCACAAAACTAGTTTTCAATTTTGTTGATCTTCTCTATTGATTTCCTATTTTCAATTTCATTGATTTCTGCTGTAACCTTTATTATTTATTTTCTTCTGCTTAATTTGGATTTCATTTTCTCCTCTTTTTCTGGTTTCCTAAAGTAGAACTTAAATGATTAATTTTAGATATTTATTCTATTCTAATATATGTGTTGGATGCTATAAATTTCCCTCTAAGCACTGCTTTCACTGCAACCCACACATTTTGATAAGTTTGATTTTCATTTTCATTTAATTCAAAATACTTTTAAATTTTTTTTGATATTTCTTCTTTGTCCCAAGTGTTATTTGAAAGTGTGCTATTTGATCTCCAAGCATTTGGGAATTTCTCAAATATCTTTCTATTGTTGACTTGTAGTTTAATTCCATTGTTCTTTGAGAGCAGACATTGTATTATCTCTATTCTTTTTAATTTGTTAAGGTGTGTTTATGCATCAGAATGTGCTCTCTCTTGGTAAATACTCTGAGTGAGTTTTAGAAGAATGTGTAATCAGCTGTTGTTGAATAGTCAGTTTATTGGTGTTGCTATTTAGTTCAACTATGTCATTATGGATTTTTTGCCTGCTGGATCTGTCCATTTCTAATAGAAGAGTGTTGAAGTCTTCAACAATAATTGTGGATTCATCTACCCCTCCTTGAAATCCTATTAGTTTTTGCCTCCGATATTTTAATGCTCTGTAGTTAGGTGCATACACATTAAGAATTTTTATGTCTTCTTAAAGAACTGATCCCTTTATCATTATGTAATGCCCTTCTTTGTCTCTGATAAATGCTCTTGCTCTGAGCCTTTGCCTCTAGACTATAAACTTCACAAGTGCTTCTCAGTTTTTCCCTCCTTAAGGTGGGCTGGGATGAGTAGAATTGGCTGGAGTTGGATATTTCCATTCTCCTACATGAGAGGCTGGAGAGGGCTCTAGTTGGGTATTTTTCTTGCCCCAGGTTGGTTAGGTACTGAGAAAAACCTGATAGTTTATGCTTTGGTAAATAGTTTCTCTTGAGGGCAGGCCTTAAAAATAACATAAGGCTCTCGTGTATTTCAAAATGGTTAATTTCCCCTCCCTAGGCCACTAGTATGAGGGAATTTTTCTTCAATCTTTCCTTTGAGAACCTGGTTGATCTCCTAGAGGTAAAAGTCACAAATGTGTGTGCCCCCCCCTTTATAATTGGGTCTTCCTGGAGTTTTTAACTCTCTGACTTGTCCACGTTTACCTCGAAGCAATTCGTTAATTGCAGTTTAGGTTTTCCTACTACTGTGGTAGTGGGCCCCTCAGAGGTTTCTACTTGTGCTCTGGTAACTTGGTGATTCTTTGTATTCACCTGTCAATTCATCCAATTTGTGGGGCAGCAGTTTGCCCTGTGACTTCACTTCTCTGACAGATCTATGAAGAGTTGTTGATATTTCATTTTGTTTAGCTTTACTTTTTGTTAAGATGAAAGGAAGACTTCCAAGCTTCTTTCATGCTGAATGAGAAACCAAAGTCTCTCCTTTGTTTATCTTTAAATTCCGATTTCTACAAGATTTTCTGTTTCACCTAGGGTCAGTTTAGGTAATTTGTTTGTTTCTAGGAGTAACAATACCTTTTTAAAAGGATTTGTGTTTCTTGTGTAAGGCAGAGAGCTGAAGTTTACATCACTTTATTTCAGCCATAAACTTTCACCCTGTACCTGAAAATCATCCTATAGCTCTTCTTAAAACTGAAATGTTTAACTTTCTCATTAGTTATCTGAAATTATTCATCTCAATCTTTAAAATAAATTCAATAAGCCTCTTACACAATCATCTATATACTATGACTAATTTTGCCTCATCAGTAGTGTTACAGAGGGCTGTGATGTGTGGTTAGGTGTTTAAGAACCAAATTTCTACCATCCTACCCCATCTGTCTCCTTTTTCCTCACTGTTCAATGGAAGCATATCAAGGTTTCTCTTGCAATAAGTCTATTCTAACTGTGTAGGTGCTTATAACTGACTCACCACTCAACTACCTGAGAATGGTCACACTAATACATTTTTTAACAGTATTCCACTTCTTAAAGGTGATAAGCTTCCAATATGCTAAAATAATTATCCTTTACAAATATCACTCTATGTATACAGCAATGTTTTACCAATATTAGCAGTGATACAGTAATAGGAAAATAAGCAGAATGTAGATGTCAGATCAATAGGCCGAGCTCAGAATTTCAAGAGGTGCTTTATAATACTTGGTCATGTTCCTGTACGATGATCTCGTGATATAAGTGTTTTTTCCCAACCAGAATGACTATATTGTGTATATCACTATATACAATAGATAAATGGCTAACATACAAAAGAGAGGAAACATAGCTGTCATGTAAAAAATGGTTTTAGTTTCTCTTTATCTCTTTTCTCTTTTTAAATAATGACAATGGTTTCACAGATGTAATTTGTGAGGAAAAAATTATAATTGAGATTAAAAGTTTAGTAAGTGAAAGAAATATGAGAATTATGTTAGCACATTAAATTCTATGATAACACAATTTATGGTAAATAATTAGGCATCAGGGCAATTATGAGCAGATGTCTTAGAACAACTAACCTCTCAGCTAGCCTTTGGTCATGTGTTTAGACATTTGACTGTTGGTACTGGTTCTTCTGAGAATATTGTCTCTGGAAGCCTTCCCCAAGGAATTTCTTTCCACCTTCATCTTTTCCTAAGCTGGTGATGGCTATAGTCCCAGTGGGCTTCTGTTTTGCTTCCAGGGCTCTGTGACTATCACTGCCTCTAGTAGGAGACTCCCCGAGGAGCTCACAGCTACCTCCAACACCAGGCTCTCCAGAACTGAAGCTGTGCCATCTTCATTAAAGAATAAGCTCCTGTCTTGCCTTGAAATTTGGTTACTTATGCTGTAACTATAAAATATCATAGAATAAATCAAGATAAATCATGCTAATAAACACAAATTTAAAAAAAAAACTGTAACTATTACTGAACTGCTGTCTAAGTTATTCCCACACCAAATACAAAAGCTACTACAGTTAACTCTAAGGCATAATAATTTCTACTTTCTTCTGAAAAGGAGCATATCCATGCTGTCATCACAGGCTAAGGACCATTTCCCTAAAAATTGGAGGAATGTTGTGCTGTCTGTCGGTAATTATGCTGCTTTCACAAAACATTTATCCGAAGATCCAAGAAGTAGTATTCCATCTGGAAAACTAGCAATTTCAAATTCAGTCTTTTCGCTAATTATTATGGTATAGGGCTTCCAGGTATAATTTTAGGGATTCCAAAAAGCATTTTGCTAATGATAAATTAACTATGAACATTTTGGTTCAATATATGTACAGAATCATGCCATCTTTATCTTTCACTCTTACAATTACTTAGAGAAAAATACATTACTTAAAATATAGTTCTTAATTTAAGTAAGCAACATAAAAGTAAATATTTATGCAACAATAGATTAGAGCATGACTACTTATTTTACAGAAAAGAAACACAACCTTAGTTTATATCCAGGGCTGGTAAACTATCATCTGCAGACCACTTGTTTCTGCAAATAAAACTATATTGGAACACAGTCATGTCCACTCATTTACATTTTTCCTATGGCTACTTTTCTGATACAAAGGCAGAGTTGAGTAGTTACAACAAAGATCATATGGCATGCAAAGCCTAATATATTTACTATGTGGAACTTACCAAAAAAAGTTTGCCAATACCTGGCTTAGATTTTCAAACAAGAGTGTTTTCAATGGTGGGCATCTCTGATGAATTTGGGGGTTTTCTTAATAAAACTTTAGCTTACTCATGACTTATTGTGAGTGCATCTGCTATTTGTAGGAGATCCACCCATACTTATAATGACTTTGAAAAACCCCATAATTTCCTTTTAATGCAGAAAGTCATGGGTTAATGTTCTATTAAAGGAAGAGAGGTGATGCATAATTCTATCCTTTTTGTATTAAGGACAGAATTGGTTGTCTATTAGCAGCAACCTATGTTTATATTAAGTGGCCAACCATGTTCATATTTTGTACCAATGGGTGGGATATGGTGGGGAATGGGAACAAAGACTAAATTGGCCTTATGGTTTTTAACAATATCTGCAACTTTTTTGCTGCTTAGCTACAGAAAAAAATACACTACACTCACGTAGTGCAATCCTCTATCTTTTCTGCAGTTGTACCCAGGTTGCTTAGTACTGTTGGAGAAAATGTGCACACAACTGCACATTGGAGACACCAGATGCCCATGATCTAACCTCAGTCAAGCTTTCCTAAAATCCTTGTTTATATGGTCATCTCCATTTCCCATTCCCATATATTTGTTATATAACTTCATCATGATTCTTTCCTCATGAATTACTCTCAAAAGATTATCTTTACCTCTTCTTTGATCAAACAGCAACTTCCTCTATGTCCATCTCTTTCCCTCCAACATGCATTAAATCTCTATATTCAGACTTATTATCTGCTTTTCTTTCATTTCAAGATAACACAGAGGATCGCACTATAAAATCAAACTCATGTGAATCAGGGCTCTTATCCCTAGAAAGCTTGCTAATAATTTCAAAGATACAAGCAATCAAGAGGAAGTGATGAAGCAGAGAGAAGTCCAAGACCTCCAGTGCAGCCTCCACACCCAGTATTTCATTCCTGAAACACCCATCCTAACCCTTGTTCCTGATCCCACCCCAACTTTTCTTACTAACCACTCTCCGCCAGTGCAGATGATGCCTCTTCATTTGTTACAACTCAATTTAGATGCTGCTGCTTTCAGTAATCCTTCTCTGAATCCCTGTCTGGGCAGAGATGCTCAACCCATATGATTGCAGACACCCCATGCTTGACTGCATCATGTTACTCTCCTCGCTATATTGTATATGTTTTTCTATCTCCTCCCTGGATGGTAAGCAACTTGTAAGTAGAATTATGTTTTTCTGTATCTCTAGCTATTAGCCTGGTGCCTGCACCAAATTAGGTGTTTAATAAATGCTTGTTAAAGAATAAAAAATATTAAGGATCTCTGCCCTCTGGTACATTATAGGTTAGAATGGGAAAAGTCACATGGGGAGAAGTGATATAAATACAGTGTAACAAGGGCTTTAATAGATGAAAAAACTATAAGAAGATCGGGGGGACCACTAACTCTGTCCCAGGTAGTCAAGGGGAATTTCATAAAGGCAGAGAAAAAATAAAGCTGCATTTTGAAGAGAGAATAGATTTTTTTCCAGGCAGAGACAAGAAGGAAGGATGTGTGGGGTAGAGAGAATGCTGCACCTGAAGTCATGATTATCATTCTGCAAAACTCAAATATAACGATGAAAATTAGGTACCTCATGTGATAAATTATTCAAGTGTTATGCTTTTGTTTTGTTATAGAAGGCATCTGGTATTTCAGTATTTACAAAGGAAGTGAATTTAGCCTAACATTTGTATTATTGGATGATGGAAATATTTTTAAAATTAGTGCATAACTTGAAGACAAACTTTTCGGTGGCTCATTATGCAATGATTATTAAAGATATACTGTGAATTATTGATTTAGAAAGCAATTGAGTTTTAAAACTGATAAAACTAAACTAATAAGCATTTCTTTTTTATGATTCATGCATCTGAGTACACAAGCCAATTATTTATATTTGTTAATTAAACAATTATTATTATTAATTGAATGTTCAAATAACAAGTGGAAGTTCTCCATCATTTGCCCTAACATTCAAGATGAACTTTAAGGTAATATTGAAACCTTAAGGTACTATTTTCATTGTGAAAATGGATAGGAAATATAGTTTTGTAAAATAAACCAATGACACATAAGCTGGTTTTAAAGGTTAGTGCAATGTACAACAGCTGATAAACATATCAAAATCTTTAAAAATTACATGTAGTGAATTGTAATTTGCAAGAAGAACTTCATTTATCACTGGTTGTTAGTATTCTCATTGTGATTTAATACTCATTACAGACCAAGTTTGGAGAATGAATGGGCTGGGAGAAGGTATAGCAGATACATACAGATTATGAAAGTTTCCTGTGCTTTGAGTATTTACCCAGACAATTGTTTGTGGGTTCCTAGATCTCCAGAGGAAAAAAGGATGCGGTCCACAAGGACATTTACATACTAGGGAAACCAGGCCCTGTCCACAGAGGATTACACATTCTACATCCCTGGAGAAACTAAAGATAAATGATATAAAATGGAAATAGTGCAGAAGGGACAGAGAAGGAAGCTCTAGAAGAGTGATTCTTAACCTGTGCTGATTGTGTCCTTCTCCTACCCCCAGGAGGGGATATTTGGCAATGTGTGGAGACATTTTAATTGTCACAAGCAGAGGTTGCTACTGGCATTTAGTGGGCAGTGGCCAGGGATACTACTAAACATCTTATAATGCACAGGATCATCTTCACAACAAAGAATTATCTAGCCCAAAATGTCAAAGTAGTGCCAAAGTTAAGATACTGCACCATTACTGTCTGCAGTTGTTTTTATGTGAAGAAACAAAAGAAATATGGATAAGAAATTAATAGCATTCACTTTTAGGTTATAAATGAAAAATATAGTTTTATATGGTATGCAAAATGAAAAATTTATTTGGCATATACAAAACAATATAAAGAAAAAATAAAAAATGTCTTGTCATCTCATCATCCAGAGGAAACCATTATTACATTTTTAAACTAATTTCTAGAAGTTATTGTGCAAATAGGTTAGAAGGACACTATTAATCAGATGGTAAAACTGCTGCATTGGACAAGGGTATGCTATCAAGGTAAATTGGTAGAAATAACATGAGAGAAATTAGTAAAATTAAAGAAGAAATGTACAGGTTAATGAGAACTTGTGAAGAGACAAGCAAGGAGAGAGAATCCCAGGAATCTATTTTGAATGAATTGAGTAGAGTTAAGTGTTTGCAGTGACACACACACCCTAATTCCTATGATTCTAGCGATGGGGCTAGTATCTTCTAATAATGTTGAATTAGAAAATAAAAACAAAACACTTGAAAATGAAATAAATAGTAGAAGCAGACACCTTGATTGGCAGGGACGAGTATGCGTACTACAGTCAGAATATGATATCTTTTGGGAAAATTTTGCATTATGTATAAATTGGTTTAACTAGACTTGCATGAAAGATAACTTTTGTATGTGATGTGCATTTGTTTCTTCCAGTGGTTTGTCTCAACCAGTGCCAATCACCGTAGCAATTAAAAATGCATACATCTTCATCTGTTCTCTATTTACTGACATTATTGCACAGAAAACTTCGTATTAGGCAATGACAAAACATTTTTTCTTGACGGCCTATGTCAGTGGGTTTAGAATTGGAACAATTGTTAGTCACTCCAACAGATCCCTCCTGTTGACTAAATCAATGAGAGGAACAACAGGAATAGTACAAGGGGTTAACAACATGCACTATGTGAACACACGTGTGTTATGTAAAAACTTGGGGTCGTAAAGCATAGAGATTTAGTAGTCTGTTTTTTCATTTGGCATATGACATGAGCATCTTCGCATTTTATTAGTCTTCTAGACTTAATTTTATCTTCTACACACAGAGAATTCATCACATGGCTCTACCATAATTTACTAAACTAATCCTATTTTTGAACATATAAACTGCTTATAACTCTTCTCTGTTATAAAATACCTCACATCAAGCATCATTATACAATAGTTTTTAAAATGAAATATATTTAGAAATAAATGTTGGGTGTATAATCAATTCACTGGACTTTTTGCTATTAATAGCTTTATTGAAGTATAATTTACATATCATACAATTTACCCATTTTATACATATAATTCAAAGATTACAGAATCATTGAATTGTGCAACCACCACTAATTCAATGACTACAGAATCATTGAATTGTGCAACCACTACTACAATCTAATTTTAGAATATTTGCATCACTCCAAAAAAAAAGTCTTCTGCCCATTTACGATCACTCCCTTTCCCTAAGCAAACACTGATTTACTTTCTGTTTCTATAGATTTGCCTTTTTTGGACTTTTCATATAGATGGAATTGTGGAGTATATGTTCTTTAGTGTCTGGCTTCTTTCACCAAGCATAATGCATCTGAGGTTTATCCATGTTGTGACGTGCATCAGTACTTCATTCCACATTGGGCTTTTAAAGCTATCAATCACCTATCATGAGCATGCATGCTTTAGGTAATTTGACTTGGAAATTTCTTTTTTTTCTTCCAACTTTTAGGTTCAGTGGGGACGTGTGCAGGTTTGTTACATGGGTAAATTGTGTGTCGCAGGAGTTTGATGCGCAGATAATTTTGTCACCCAGGTAATTGGCATAATAACATTTGCCAATGGTACCATTAGGTAGCTTTTCAATCTTCACCCTCTTCCCACCTTCAGACTCAAGTAGGCCCTGGTGTCTATTGCTCTCTTCGTTGTGTCCTTGTGTTCTCAATGTTTAGTTTCCACGTATAACTTCTGATGTGTCTCACTATCTGGTGAGTAGGGTTGATGGCAGATCTTGGCTGAGTATCCACATGCCTCTTACACACCCAGATGTGAAGTTAATGACCTTTATTTTAATATTTGGATGCAGTTTAGGGCCTAAGAATTTCCCTGTTCTTCTCAGTTGGAAAACACATGATTTCTTCTTGCATTCCTTTTTTTCTAGATGAGTATTTCAGTCATAAGATTATCCCATTAGCTCTGATAATGATTGATCAAAAGACAAAATATATATGTTTGACTTGAAATTTTAACCTAACTAAAGATACTTTGCTGGTGATTAGCGATGGATTTGATTTATCATGGTAAGATATCGAGAGACACAAATTTTTTTTTAAAAGGGAAGTCATGTTTTAAAAATCCGTCAATCCAGAGTACTTAAACTTAGTAGAGGACAGTTTACTAAAACCTCATAAACAAGAGTAGGGAAACAGTAGAATGGCCCAGGATACATTCTAAAATATCTGAGGGGAAGGGATGTTTTTGGAAATATTATTAAATGTCAAATTGTTCCAAAAATAAAAGCTAAGAATATAGATAGCTAAGGTAGAGTGTGGTAAGCAGCATGATGACCCCCAAATGTGTGCACATACTGATCCAAAATGAACTTGGCAGATGTGATTAAGGATCTCGAGATGGAGAGATTATCCTGGGCTGTCTAGGTAAACTCATATAATCACAAATGTCCTTACAAGGGAAAGAACAAGATATGAGAGTAAAAAAAGGAGATGTGACAATGGAGGCAGACATCAGAGTCATTCAGAACCATGGGCCAAAGAGTGCAGGAGGACACTTGGACTCCTGTAGCTGGAAAAGGTAATGAATGGATTATTCCCTGGAGCCTCTAGAAGAAACACAGGCTTGATTACTCCCTAATTCTGGCCAAGTTCAACCGCTTTGGATTTCTGACCTTCAGAACTATAAAAGCATATATTTATTGTATTTTAAGCCACTAAATTTTCGGTAATTTGTTATAACAGCAATAGGAAACTAATACATAGAGGCCTATGATAAGGAGAGAGGGAGAGGACTCTGACCAGCATTCAGGGGGAAATGTGAGGGAGAGGAATGCCAGGAAATCCTGAGCAAACCCAGCTTCTGGAAGACATGCTGGGAGCAGGCCTCCAGCAGCGGTATCCGGGCTGGGGCCTGGGTTGTCCTCAAAAAGCTCTGAAATTCAAGCATCACATATCTTTCTGCTCTCCCTTCCTGCAGCACACAAATGACTCCAAAATGACTAATTCCAGTTTACCTTCAAGATGGGGCTTAACTAAAATATAACTTAAGTGCCCCTTTGTCTTATGTTTTTACTTTGCTTTGTATGAGATTGAAATTGATATTATTAGGCAGATCTAGTTTTGCACTTTGCTTTTCCTACCTTCTAGCCATGCCGTGGTAAGCAAGTGACATAACATATTTACAATTTAATGCCCTCATCTGAAAAATGAGGAAATATTCGTATCTACCTCGTGGAGTTGCTAAGGAGATCAAATGAAGCAAAATGTTGGTGTTTAGACAGACATTGAAAACAGTAGCCATTATTTTTATCACCATCACCCCCATTATTATCGTTTAAAATCCCTTAGTACCTGACACATAGTAAATGCTGTATGTGTTGCCAATATAAATAAAAACAAATTAGGGGTCAGGTAGGGCCTGGAAATTGATGACCCTGAAAACAAACTCTGTGGATGTCACAGAACTGCTGATGGTTGGCTCCACTTATTTGCAGATGTGCTGTGAAAATAAAGCTACACACAGAGGTATTTCATCCTGCTCAGCAGGGCAGCCTCTTACTTTACCAGCGTTAAATAAAGTGGGATTACTTCAAATATACTTCTAGAGCTTACTTAATGGAATTAACAATAATTTGCTATTTTTCCTTTTCTGTATGATCATATAGTTGTGATTACAGGAAAATTTTAAGAAAAACCCTTGATTTGTTCCATTAACAAAAATTATATCTGTGAATAGCCTTGTTTTCCCACTAAAATATCCCTGCATTTTCCCACGTTACTTATTATGTTTTATTTTTTACTACATGTAGTCTTATAACATATCATGTGTTAAGACTTTATTTAACTCATTTGCGAGAATGGGATGTATCTTCAGTGTCAAGTGTGCAATTAAAAATATTTTTTTCACAATGACTATGTACAAAAAACATGGACAGTGTCAGTACATTTTCCAGAGTAAATATATTGCTCTAATCACTTGACTTGATGAAAAGAGCCAGTGTCTGCTTCCTCAGGAAAGTTCATAATGCATCCCTCATGTTTGATTATCTGTGTGGCTCCCTCTCATTCCTTCTTCAGATTGCTTTCAAATATTTTCTTCTCAGGAGGCCTTATTATCCAACAACCACTTTATTTAACTATTGACTGTTCCTTTTTCAGCATTCGTTCTCTTTACTCTTCATCGTATTGTATCTTTCTCAGAAACACAATCTCCGACACAATATATATTTTATTTATTTTCTGTCTCATCTCTATATATTTCATGAGGGCATGATTTTTGCATATTTTGTTTACTTCTGTGTCACCAGCTCTTACAACAGTGCTAGGCAAATTGCAGGCATTCAACAAATATTTATCGAGTTAATTAATTAGCTGTGCTTTGTGTCTTGCTTCTCCAGTTCTGTAGTCCCAACAGGTTGAAGTAAAACTGCAAACTAGTCAAAATCTCATTTAATGTATTTACTGCAATTTGTGGGAGGGTATAAGAGATAGCTTGGTGGCTGTTGTCAGGACATACCCCTTGTCCTCACAGAAATGTTGACAGATTGCTAGGCTTCAATTAGGGAATTAAGGGATGATGATTATTTCCGGGCTCGGAAACTCAGGTGTAAGAGAATTTGAAATGAATTAGATCTGTATAAACCATCATGTATCCCCTTAGACCATTAGGCCTCATAGATTATTAATTAGACCATTATCCCCATAGACCATTCTGTCAGATCTATGTGGCAGGCAGAGGAGCCCAGGTGATAAAGCAGCCAGGCATGGAGACCAGTGCCTTCCACATGGGTACACGGAGGATTTGGCTACCTAATGAGGAGTTGCTTTCTTTCTTACCACCACTGCATGGAAAAGGACTAGTGACAATTTACTTAATTTTGAAGTGGCTTGAGCAATGGTGGCTACTATAGTAGGGAGAGTGATAGACCTGACCTGTCAGAATGCAAAGCACATTTAGGCGCTTATACAACCTGAATGAGAACATGTCTAATGACTCACGGTGCCCTGGCTCCAATTCCAAGCGGCAATGCCCCTATTTTAGGAAGATTTCCCTTGCTGGAGTAGAGCCCTCTTCTGGTTCTTATCCGATTACCCTGGATTGAGAATTAACAAGGCATTATTTCCTAATTTGTTAGGGCTTAAACTCTTAGAGTGACCTTTTACTCTGTTTCAATTAGGATTGTAGAAGAAATCCAACCACACTGGTTTAACTAAATATTTTATTTTCCTGTCATGTAAAATGAAGTTCAGAGATAGCTGTACAATGTTATGAAGATTCTGTCTGTTTCTACCTTTCCCTGTAGGTGGCATTCATCCCCTTGTTTACAAGATGATTGCTACAACTCTAGACATCATGTCTATGTCCGTTTCCGATGTTAAAGGAAGTGGGTGGGGGGAAAAGACAAAAGGGAGATGCTAGCAGAGACTGTCGTCTTTTAATCAGGAAAATAACCATTTCCCATTAGATTTCTGCTTACATCTCATTGGATAAACTGGACCACATGGCACTCCTACAGGCAAGGGAATATGAAAAGTATTTTTGACTGAAATCACTGTGACCCTCAACAGAATCGGAATGTTCAGTTAGCATGGAAAAAGAAAGAGAATCAATATTAGTTAAGCATTTAATATTAGTTAAGCAATATTCGTTAAGTTAATGTTAGTTAAGCAGATCGTGCCATAAACTATTACCGCTTTCTTGCCTTCACACCTGCTTGCTTTTTCTTCCTCTCAGCCACCTTCCTCCAGTTTCCATCCCACTGCGCCATCCCTATTCACATCCTTGCCATGTCCTGCATATATAGAACAGAAGGCACTCGCCACATAGTGATCCCTGCTCTGCTTTCACACTGCCATCCCCAGATTCCTCTTCCTAAAGGACCACTCTGCATCCTTCCCTCACTCAGAAGCTTTCATTTATGAAACTTAGCTCTGGCCGGGTGCGGTGGCTCACGCCTGTAATCCCAACACTTTGGGAAGCCAAGGCGGGCGGATCGCGAGGTCAGTAGATGGAGACCATCCTGGCTAACAGGGTGAAACTCCCTCTCTACTAAAAATACAAAAAATTAGCCGGGCGTGGTGGTGGGCACCTGTAGTCCCAGCTACTTGGGAGGCTGAGGCAGGAGAATGGCGTGAACCCGGGAGGCGGAGGTTGCGGTGAGCCGAGATCGCACCATTGCACTTCAGCTTGGGCAACGAGAGCGAAACTCAGTCTCACAAACAAACAAACAAACAAAAACAACTCATTGGGTTTTCCACACTTACAGAGTGGGAAATTATGCTCCTTTCCTTTTTTTTTTTTTTTTTTTTTTTTTTTTTGAGATGGAGTCTCGCTGTCTAGCCCGGGCTGGAGTGCAGTGGCGCAATCTCGGCTCACTGTAAGCTCCGCCTCCCGGGCTCACGCCATTCCCCTGCCTCAGCCTCTGGAGTAGCTGGGACTACAGGCCCCCATCACCACACCCTGCTAATTTTTTTTTTTTTTTTTTTTTGTATTTTTTAGTAGAGACAGGGTTTCACCGTGTTAGCCAGAATGGTCTCGATCTCTTGACCTCGTGATCCATCTGCCCCGGCCTCCCAAAGTGCTGGGATTACAGGCATGAGCCACCGCGCCCGGCCTATGCTCCCTTCTTGAGGGTGAAGTACCCACATAAATTATTTGGAATTCTTCTGCATAGGATGTTTGTTTTACTCCCCCATTTATTTATTTATTCAATCATTTATTTTATCAATATGAAATCATGGCTATTTTATTTTATACTTTGGGTTTTAATTCTGTAATGCACTGAATGTTTTTGTCTCCCCAGAATTCTTTTGTTGAAGTCCTAACCCCAATGTGGTGGTGTTTGGAGGTGGGGCCTTTGGGAGTAATTGGGTTTGGATGAGGTTATGAGGTGGGGCTCCAGGATGGGGTTAGCGTCCTTATAAGAAGAGGAAGAGACAGCAGAGCTCCCTCTGTCTCCACTAACTGAGGACACAGTGAGAAGCCAGGGCAATCTGGTAAAACCGCTATTCCCACAGGGATTATTCAAGCCTCCTTTCCTTGTTTATCTATAAGCTCTTGCTCTGGCAGGGAGAAACATGGTTCCCATGTACTGCCATCTCATGACATAATTATTCAATTCCATTATCAGAACTGTTAACCTGTACTCCCACAGGTAGTAACTTTATCAAATGAGAATAATGTTTCTTCTTACATTTTGAAAGTTACTTACACCAGTACCTTTTACACTACTGTCTTCAGTGAAGTTGTTTCACACATGGGTAATATGCTTAGATTTTCTTATCACAATCTTTATTCTTTCCTGTGACCTTCTGTCAACCTTCTAAATATATTTTTAATTAGCATGTATTAAGATTCACTCTGTATTGTATAGCTCTATGGGTTATGGCAAATGTATTATGCCATGTCTTCACCATTACAGAACATTCAGAATAGTTTCACTACATTAAAAATATTCCTATGTTTCATCTATTCAATCCCCCTTCCCACTGGCAATCACTGGTCTTGTACTCTCTCTATAGCTTTGCCTTTTACAGAATGTCATAATTATAATCATATAATATGTAGCCTTTTTAGACCTGCTTTTTTCCTTAGCAATATGTGTTTAAAGTTCATCCATGTGTTTGTGGCTTGATAGCTCACTCCATTTTATTGCTGAATAGTATTTCATTGCACGAATGTACTGATGTTTGATTATCCATTCACCTATTAAAGGATATTTTGATGGTTTCTAGTTTTTGGTGATTATGTGTAAAGCTGTGTATTTGCATGCAGATTTTTATGTGGTTATGTTTTCAACTGAATTGGTTAAATACCTAGAAAAGCAATTGCTGGATTGTATGTTTGGCTTTGTAGGAAACTGTCAAAACTGTCTTCTAAAGTGGTTGCACCATTTTGTATTTCCACTAGCAATGAAGGAGAATTCCTGTTGCTCAGCATTCTTGACTGCATTTTCAGTTTGTTTGTTTGTTTTTTTCTCATTTTAGCCTTCCTAATAGCTGTGTAGTGTATCCCATTGTTTTAATACACAATTCCGTAATAGTAAGTTGTTTGTCATACTTTTTTTTTTGTCATCAGTAGATCTTTTTTAGTGAGATGTCTGTTCAAATCAAATATTTTGCCCATTTTCATTTGGGTTGATTTTGTTCTTGTTATTTGAGTTTTAAGAAGTTTTTTTGCATGCTTTGGATACAAGTCCAATATGATTAGATATGTATTTTGCAAATATGTGTATATAAATCTAATATTCGATATGTGTATTTGTAAATATTTTCTTCCAGACTGTGGCTTGTCTTTTCATTCTCTTAGCAGTATTTTTTCACAAAGAAGTTTTTTATTCAAAAATGCATAACATCATTCTTTCTTTAATCATCATGCTTTTGATGTTATCCAAAAACTCATCATTAAGCCCAAAGTCACTAAGATTTTTCGAATGTGTTATTCTATAAGTTGCATAGTTTTGCATTGTACATGTAGATCTATGATTTACCTTTAGATAATATCTGTAAAAAGTGTAAAATTGATGTCTAGATTCATCATTTTTGCATATGAATGCCCAATTGTTCTGCACTATCTGTTTAAAGAACTACTTTGTCTCCATTGAATTGTCTTTGCTCCTTTGTCAAAGATTAGTTGACTGTAATTGTGTGGATCTGTTTCTGGGCTCTGTATTCTGTTCCTTTGAACTATGTTTCTATAATTTCGCTAATAACACACTGTCTTGATTGCTGGAACTTTGTTGTAAGTCTTGAAGTCTGGCTGTGGGGTCCTACAACTGTATTCTTCTTGGTTTTTACTATTATTATTCTTATTTTTAATTATACTTTAAATTCTAGGGTACATGTGCACAACGTGCATGTTCAGAGTGAACAGGCAACATACAGAATGGGAGAAAATTTTTGCAATCTATCCATCTGACAAAGGGCTAATATCCAGAATCTACAAAGAACTTTAAACAAATTTACAAGAAAAAAAAACCCCATCAAAAAGTGGGCAAAGGATATGAACAGACTCTTCTCAAAAGAAGACATTTATGCAGCCAGCAGACATATGAAAAAATGCTCATCATCACTGGTCATCAGAGAAATGCAAATCAAAACCACAGTGAGATACTATCTCACGCCAGTTAGAATGGTGATCATTAAAAAGTCAGGAAACAACAGATGCTGGAGAGGATGTGGAGAAATAGGAATGCTTTTATACTGTTGGTGGGAGTGTAAATTAGTTCAACCATTGTGGAAGACAGTGTGGTAATTTCTCAAGGATCCAGAACTAGAAATACCATTTGACCCAGCAATCCCATTACTGGGTATATACCTAAAGGATTATAAATCATGTTACTATAAAGACACATGAACATGTATGTTTATTGTGACACTATTCACAATAGCAAAGACTTTGTACCAACCCAAATGTCCATCAATAATAGACTGCATAAAGAAAATGTGGCACATATACACCATGGAATACAATGCAGCCATAAAAAGGATGAGTTCATGTCTTTTTCAGGGACAAGAATGAAACTGGAAACCATCATTCTTGACTTGTTTTTTTTTTTTAACTATTTTTGGCTTTTGCCTTTCCATATGAACTTTAGAATCAGTTTGTAGGTATTTATGTAATAGCTTGTGGAATATTGATTAAAACTGAGGTAAACCTACTGGTAAATTTAGGAAGAATCAACATCTTAACAGTCCTGAACCTTCCTACCAAAGAATATGAACTATGTCTCTGTTTATTAATATTTAGATCAAATTTGCTTTATCTCATTGGTGTTTTGTAGTTTTCTGTGTATAGATCCTATACATATTTTATTACATTTATACCTAAGCACTTCTCTTTTTGGGGGTGCTAATTTAATTTTTAAAATCTCAAATTTCAATCTTTTTTGCTAATGTGGAAGAAAGTAATTCAATTCTGCAAACTTACTATAATCTCTAGTTAATTCTAGGAGTTTTTCTGTCTTCTTCTTTGAGGTTCTTTACTTATATAATCATCTGTAAACAAGGAAAGTTTTATTTCTTACTCTCAACTGTATTTACATTTTATAACCCATTTCACTGGCTAGGACTTCCAGTATGATCTGGAATAGAAATAGTAAGAGGGGATATCCGTGCCTTATTCCTGATCATAGGGAGAATGAAAATGCCCTGCTTCCCACAATTAAGTATCATGTTAGCTGTAGATTTTTTATAGATTTTTTTAATCAAGTTGATGAAGTTTTCCTATGTTCCTAGTTTCCTGAGAGTTTTTAATCGTGACAATTTTAAAAGCCTGACTTACCAATGCTATTTTCATGAATCATGCTTTGATATTATCAAACATGTAAAATATTTTTTCTACATCTATTGATATGTTTATGTTATTTTTCTTCTTTACTCTGTTGATATGGCAGATTCTATTGTCTGATTTTTGAATATCAATTCAGCTTACATACCACTTGGTATAATTATTTTGTATATTATTGGATTTGATTTACTACGATTTTCCTGAGGATATTTGCATCTGTGTACAAAAGAGAGAGTGGTGTGTAGTTTCGTTTCTTTTTTTTTTTTTAATAATGTCTTTACCTGGTTTTGGTATTAGGGTAATGATAGCTTAGTTAATTAAGTAAGTTTAGAACTATTCCCTTGGCTTCTATTTTCTAGATACATGATGAAGAATTGATATCATATCTTCTTTAAGTGAAGTAGAATTCAACAGCGAAACTATTTAGGTCTAGTGCTTTCTTTTTTAGACTATTAATTACATATTAAACGTATGTAATAGATATAGGCCCATTTATATGATCTACTTTTCCTTATGTAAGTTTTGGCAGTTTATGACTTTCAAATAATGGTCCATTTCCTTTAAATCATCAAATATGTGAGCATAGGGTTGTTTATGTTTATTCATTGTCCTTTTAATGTTCATGGGTTCAGTAGTGATGACTGCTTTTTCATTTCTGATATTAGCAATTTCTCTCTCTCACTAATTTTTGAATAGCCTGGATAGCAGTTTATCCATTTTATCAATCTTTTCAAAAACACCAGTTTTTGAGCTCATTGATTTTCTCTACTGTTTTCCATATCACTGATTTTTGCTTTGTTTTTTATTTCTTTTGTTCTGCTTGCTTTGAGCTTAAATTATGCTTCCTTCTCTGATTTAATAAAATGGAAGCTTAGATTATTATTTTAGCTCTTTATTTTTTACTAATATATGCACTTAATGATAAAAATTTTCCTCTAAACACGTCTTTGCTGTATCGCTCAATTTCTAATATGCTGTATTTTCATTTGGTTTAAAATATTTCTTAATTTATCTTGAGAGTTCCTAGACTCATGTGTTATTTAGAAATGTGTTATTCAATCTCCAAATATCTGAGTATTTTCCAGCTGTCTGTTATTGATTTCTTATTTACTTCTATCATCTTCTGAGAACATTTTTCATATTATTTCTATTCACTTAAAAATTTTAAGGTGTGTTTTTTTTTTTTTTTTTTTTTTTTTTTGAGACGGAGTCTCGCTCTGTTGCCCAGGCTGGAGTGCAGTGGCGCGATCTCGGCTCACTGCAAGCTCTGCCTCCCGGGTTCACGCCATTCTCCTGCCTCAGCCTCCCGAGTAGCTGGGACTACAGGCGCCCGCCACCACGCCCGGCTAATTTTTTTTTGTATTTTTAGTAGAGACGGGGTTTCACCGTGTTAGCCAGGATGGTCTCGATCTCCTGACCTCGTGATCCGCCCGCCTCGGCCTCCCAAAGTGCTGGGATTACAGGCGTGAGCCACCGCGCCCGGCCTTAAGGTGTGTTTTATGCTCCAGAATATGATTCATCTTAGTCTGTCTTCTACATGAGCTTGAGGAGAATTTGTATTCTGCTGTTGTTGGAAGGAGTCATCTATAAATGCCAATTTGATCAAGTAGATTGATAAGTACTCTTAAGGCCAACTATATCCTTACTGGCATTCTGACTCCTTGATCTATCAATTACTGAAGGAAGGGCATTGAAGCCTGCAACTATAGTAGTGCATAGGTCTATTTTTCCTTGAAATTCTATCAGTTTTTTTCTCATGTATTTTGATATTCTGATGTTAGGTTCATACAGGCTAAAAAATGTTATGTCTTCTTGGACACTTGATCTCTTTATCATTATGTCACGCTATCTTTTTCCTTGATAATTTTTCTTGTTCTGAAGTATACTTTGAAATTGATATAGCCACTCCCACTTTCTTTTGATTAGTAATAGCATGGTATATCTTTCTGAGTAAAGAATATCATTGGTAGTTTTTTATTTGGTAGATAAAATTGCATGTATTTGTTGCATACAACATGAGATTTTGAAGTATATTTATATTGTGAAATAGTTAAATCTAGCTAATTAACAAATGCATTACCTTACACAGTTATCTTTTTTTATTTTTATTTTTATTTTTTTGGTGAGAGCACATAATATCTACTCTCTTTGCATTTTTCAAGAATACGATATATCATCATTTCCTAAAGTCACCATGCTATATAATAGAACTCTTGAACTTATTCCTCATACCCAAATATAATTATATACTCTTTGAACAACATCTTCCCATCTTCCCCGCCTTTCTAACTATCCCAGCCTCTAATATCCCCACCCCAATCTCATCTTGAATGAGATCTCAAATTGTAATCTTCATGCGTGGAGGGAGATAAACAGTAGGAGCTGATTGGATCATGGGAGTGGTTTCCCAATGCTGTTCTTGTGATAAGGAGGGAGTTCTTGTGAGATGTGATAGTTTAAAAAGTGGCAGTTTCCCTTTCTCTCTCTCTCTCCTGCCACCATATAAGAAGTACCTTGCGTCCCCTTCACCTTCCACCATGATTGTTAATTTCCTGAGGCCTCTCCAGCCATGTGGAACTGTGAGTCAATTAAACTTCATTTCTTTATAAATTATTCAGTATCAGATAGTATCTTTATAGCCATGTGAAAATGGACGAATTCACCACCATCCTACTCTTTACTTTTTTGAGATGAACTATTTTAGACTCCACATGAGTGAGACTATGCATTATTTGTCTTTTTGTGCCTGGCCTATTTCACTTAACATAATATCCTCTGGGTTTATCCATGTTATCACAAATGACAAGATTTTGTTCTGTTTTATGGCTGAATTATATTCCATTGTGCAAATATACCATGCAATTTTTATCCATCTGTTCATTCAATGATGGACACTTGAGTTTATCTCCTGTCTTTTGTGAATAGCATTGGAATAATCATGAGAGTGCCATATCTTTTTGACAAACTGATTTCATATCCTATGGATATTTACTCAGTAATGGAATTGCTGGATCATGTGGAGTATTATTTTTAATATTTTGAGAAAACTCCATACTTTTTTCTATAATGGTAATAATCATATGCATTCCTGCCAACAGTGTGCAATGGTTCCCATTTCTCCATATCCTTGCCAACACTCATTATCTTTTGTATTTTTGATAACAGCCATTATAACAGAAGTGAGGTGATATTTCATTGTAATTTTGATTTGCATTTCCCTGATGATTACTGATAAACGGGTTTTCATATACCTGTTGGCCATTTGTATATCTTCTTTTGAAAAATGTTTATTCAGGTTTTTACTCATTTCTACATTGGATTATTTATTTTCTTGCTATTGAGTTGAGTTCCTTATACAGCAATACATAGCTAAAATATGATTATGTGTTTTGAGGAATACGTTATGTGATTTTGTTATGTGAACATCATAGAGTGTACTTACACAAATATAGATGGTATAGCCTATTGCTCCTAGGTCACAAACCTGTACGGCGTGTTATTGTACTGAATACTATGGGCAATTGTAGTACAATGGTAAGTATTTGTGTATCTAAACTAAAAAAGAACAGTAAAAATATGGTATTATAATCTTATGGGACAATGGTTTGTTGCTGACAGAAACATTGTTATGTAGTACATGACTGATATTTTATATATTAATTCCTCATCAGATGTATAGTTTGCAAATATTTTCTTCTATTCTATAGGTTGTCTCTTCACTCTGTTGATTGTTTCCTTTGTTGTGCAGAAGCTTTTTAGTTTGATGTAGTCCCATTTGTCTATTTTTACTTTTGTTGTCTCTGCTTGTGAGGTCATATCTAAAAAACCACTGTCCAGACTAATGTCATATAACTTCTCACCTACAATTTCTTCCAGTAGTTTCATAGTTTTGGGTTTTACATTTAAATTTTTAATCCACTTGAGTCAATTTTGATATGTGGTAAGATATAAGGATCTGATTTCGTTTTTTTTTTTTTTTTTTTTTGCAAAAGGATACCCAGTTTTCTCAAAACCATTTATTGAAGAGATTTTCCTTTGATTGTTATGTATTTTTAGCATCTTTGTCAAAAATCAGTTGGTTGATAATGCCTGGATTTATTTCTGGGCCTCTTTATTCTGTTCCATTGGGTGATATGTCTGTTTTAATTCTAGTACAATGATATTTTGTTTAATATAATTTTGTAGTATATTTTAAAATCAGGTAGTGTCATGCTTCCAACTGTGCTTTTTTTGTGCAAGATTACTTTGGCTATTCATAGTCTGTTGTGGAGCCATACAAATGTTAGAATTATTTTTTCCATTTCTGTGAAGAATGTCATTGGTATTTTGATAGGAATTGCACTGAATCTGTATGTTGTTTTGGATAATATGAGCATTTTTACAATATTTATTCTTTCAATCCATAAATATGGGAAAGCTTTTCATTTGTGTTTACTTCTTTTTCTGATAAATGTTTTATAGTTTTCAGAGCAGAGATTTTTCACCTCCTTGGTTAAATGTATTCCGTGTATTCCTATTTTTTGTATCTTATTGCAAATGGGTCAATTTATTTTTTTTACTCCGCATGACTGTGTATTTAAAGTGAGATTTTATAGACAGCATATAGTTGGGTGTTTTTGAAAAAATCTACTCTGACAATCTCTGTCCTTTAATTGGTGTTTTTAGACCATTCATACTTAAAATGATTATTGATACAGTTAGATTCATATCTACCATGCTTGTAACTGTTCACTATTTCTTTCTCTTGTTTTTGTTGCTTCCTTCTACTCTCTGTCTGACTTCTCTGGTTGCATAATAATTAAGCATTTTATATGATTCCATTTTGGTTCTTTCTTAGAATATTAATTAGAGTTTTTTTTCCTTTTTTTCAGTTTTAAGTTGTTGCCCCAGAGCTCACAGTATACATTCACCATTAATCCAAGCACGTTTAAATAACATTCTACCACTTCATGTGCATTGCAGGTACCTCTTAATAGAGTATTCCCAATTTCTTTTTCCCATTTTTATCATTTATTGCACTTATCTATAAGCTGTAATATCTATAAGCTATAATATTTATAATATCTATAAGCTATAATATCTATAAGCTATAATATCTATAAGCTATAATAACACAAACCATGGCTATTATTTTTTTTAAACTGTTATCATTTAGGTCAACTAAAAATAATAAAAATAAAATATTTTATTTTACCTTTGTTTATTCCTTGTCCTATCTTCTTTTTAGATGCAGATCCAAGTTTCTGACTTAGATGAATTTCCTTCTTCTTGAAGAATATTTTTTTAACATATCTTACAGAACATGCCTATGGAAATGAATTCCCTCAATGTTTGTTTGAGAGAGTCTTAATTTCTCCTTCACTTTTGAAGGATAGTTTTACTAGATATAGAATCCTATGTTGGTAGCATTTTTTCTTTTAACACTTTAAGAATTTCATTACACTCTCTTCTTGCTTACATGTTTTCTGAGGAGAAGTTCGCTGTAATTCTCATCCTTATGTGTTTTTGGTTGTCTATAGTTTGAATATGATAAACCAAAGAATAGGTTTTTTAATCATTATTTACTCTTCTTGGCGTTCTCTGAGCCTCCTGGATCTGTGGTTTGATGTTTGTCATCAATTTTTGTAAAGTTCTCAGCCGTTTTTCCTTAAAAATGTCTTCTGCTCTGCTCTTTCTTCTGCTTCTAATATTTATGCACATATTACAGGTTTTGAAATTGTTCCACAGTGCTTAGATATTCTGATTATCATTACTGTTAGTGTCTTTGATATCTATCATTTTTTATTAGAGGTTTCATCTCTGTGCTTATGCTACCCACTTGTTCTTGCATGTTGTCTACTTTTTCCATTAGATCCCTTAACATATAAATCATAGGTATTTTCAGTTTCCTACTGATAATTCCAAAGTCTGTGTTTATATCTAGGTCTGGTTCTACTGCTGGCTTTGTCTCTTCTGAATATGCTCTTTCTTGCCTTTTGGCACACTTTGTAACTTCTTATTAAAAGAATAGCTTCTTATTCTCTTCAATACGAATTGAAGAGAAAGGCCTGTAGTGTGAGGTTTTGGTTGATATGGCTAGGAGTTGGCTGTGTTTACTGTTTGCTGTGGCTGTAGTTGCCAGAGGCTTTAAGTTCCTCTAGGATTTTCATTTTTATTTTCCTGTGGGTTTCCCTCGAACACCTCCTTAAATAGTTTTTGCGCTTTGCAGCATTTGCAGCTATAATTCAGTCTTATTTGTTGGAACTCTGTTGCTTTGGTGATAAATTATGGAGGAAGGAGAGTACTTCATGATCTTTTGATTAAATCTCAGTTTTTCATTAGGGCTTATCCCTAGAATGTGACCTTCACAGTGTTTCCTAACTTTTCTCCTCCCCGTAGGAAAGAGATTGCAAGACTAAAGTTTTCTAAAATTGAATAAATACCCTTCTCCTTAGGTGTAATAAGGCTATGGTAAAGTCTTTTCCCTAGAGAGTAGCTCTTTTCAATGAAGAAAATTCTGAGTATATTGCAAAAAAATTAATTTCCATCTCATTAGAGCCACAAGAGTGTTTTTGTTTTGTTTTGTTTTTTGGCTCTGAGAACCTGGTGGGGTTCCTCAAGGTAAAATAGATGAAATGTGGGGCTCCTCCTAAGACAGCAGCCTCCAGGAGTTCCCCATTCTCACACTAGTCCACACTCAGCCCCCAGCAATTAGTCAAAATTACCATTAAAGTTTTCCTACCAGTTACTGGCCCCAGTGGTTCTGCTCCCAATAGGCTCATCTCAGCTGTGATTTTCTGTGTTCACTTGTGTTTTGAGATTTCAGGGTAGTAGTTTGCCCTGCAAACTCAGTTCTCTAATGGATCTAAGAAAAGTCATTAATTTTCTGTTTGTTCTCTTTGGTTCTTATTGTGAGGATGGCAGTGACAGCTTCCAAGCTCTTTTCATGTCAAACTGAATCTAGAAACCCCCATATAGTTTTTCATCTTTCCATTGATTGCCACCATGCATTATCTGCCCAGTGACATCATAGGCTCTCAATATATATTGATCAAATCTAGCCAGGCAGTATTGATTACTGTAGCATGTAAAGTGTAAGCAGCACCATGATGTAATACCTCAGTTTCTCCTCCTGAACAAGTGGGGTCAGGACAGGGCATTGTTTTTATTTTCATTGGATCAGGTCAACTTGGCCTTTGTCAAAATTATCACACTTATTAACATTTGATATTCAACATATGATTCTGCTTGATTGAGTTCTATGTGAGAATGATCAAGGAGAAAAGGGAAAAATGATCTCTACTTGGTATTAAAATATGAATTTCCTTAAAGTTCCTAGAAAATGTCTGGATGACAACAGGGAAGATTTACTTCCTTGTCTGGGAAAAACAAGACTATTCTATTATTACAAATATAAGAAAGAAAAAAAGAACTGTAAGGCAGTTCCTTTCTGGGAAGCATTGATATTTGAGTAAATCATACTATACTTTTCACTTGCTGAGTCCAAAAACATTATCAGAAAAATGATATTTAGGCTTTTGTAGTTTGGGCATGTAGTTAGAGAATTTTCTTGATACAAGTAAATATTCCACAAAATATATTTTTATGAATTAAGTATGATACAGGTTGAGGGGATACATTTATCCTAAAAATATCAATGATAGATTCTAATATTCCAGTAGTTAAGTCTTAGAAAATAGTAGTATTACTTGTAATTAAAGTTAATAAGTAGAATAATACTCAAATTTGAGGCATAGATCGAGAATTAAAGGAAGAGGGAGGAAGGGAATAAAACAGGGAGAGAGAGAGAGATCACATATGGAAGTAAAAAGAAGAGAAGCTCTAATAGTTTGGATGGGTTTTGGGAAATTGTGGATCATAAAGTAAAGTTTCAAAAATATAAGTTTTCAAAAATAGGAGCTTTAGTCTGGAACATATGAGTATGCTAAGGTCACCTGGACCTGGACACAGGATTCACTTGGAGACTGGAGGCCAGTACTAGATTATTTCTCATGACTCAGGGAGTAAGTAGAAGTCAAAGGCTTAGAAGGGGCTCTAAGCTAAGCCTGACAAATGGGACTGCTGAGGCAAGTATAGGAGGCCAGGGCTGGGGATGGTGGCTCATGCCTGTAATCCCAGCACTTTGGGAAGCCAAAGCAGAAGGATCACTTGAGGCCAGGAATTCAAGACCAACCTGAGCAATATAGTGAGACCTCATATCTATAAAAACATAAAGAATTAGCCCCCCACACATGCCTATAGTTCCAGCTACTCAGAAGGCTGAGGCAGGAGGATGCCTTGAGCCCAGGAGTTCAAGGCTGCAGTGAGACACACCCATGCCACTGCACTCCAGACTGGGCAATACAGCAAGACCCCGTCCCAAGAAGGGGCAGGGGGAAGTACAGGAAGCCCTGGAACAGAAGAAGCCATAACTAAACTCAAGTTTGCCTTTGAAATATTGTTTTCCTTCATTTTCCTGAGTGTAGCCAGCCAGCTTGGGAAAGCTAGCCAACCTCATCTGCCATTGCAAAAACTCAAGAGATTGGTGCCAGGCCTCACAAACAAAAAAAGGGAAATGAATGGCTATGAAAATAAAGTAAGGGTCATAGTAAAATCTGATGAGTCTCAATCATAGGAATTGTGAATCAAAGAGAAGTATAGTAATCTCTGACTTCAGAAATTGTCAATTCAGCCAAAGAGAGCAGCAACTATGAATGAAAAACTGATACATTATCCAAATATAGTCCATTCTTTGATAAATGTATGAGCCCATGTTGCTGCTTGTTGTCTCAATCTACTTCACTAAACATATGACACGATTTATAAATATATATATTGGTCCACACACTTCTGCTGCTCAAACTACTGGTTGTCAGGGATAGAGCAATCTGTTCAATGCAATCGGAAAATGTCAGCCCTGCCTTTAACTCTTCTGTGACTTCCCTCCCCCTTCTTATTAGGGCCAGAATTCGTTGTTACCTACAAGCTTTTACATGACCTGGCATTAACTACCCTATAGTCTGATCACACACTCATGATTCTTTATGGAAGCAATATTCCATAGAACTCTCTGCAATGATGGTAATGTTCAATACCTTTAATATCCAATACAGTAACCAATTGTCACATGTGACTATGTTAGTTAAAATTTAAAATTTAGTTTCTCAGTTGCGATAACCAGATTTCAAGCACTCAATAACCATATGTACTAGTGGCTATTGTGTTAGACATTGCATAGAGCTTGCATCAATGCAGAATGTTCTATTTGACAGTGATCCTTTAGATAGATTAACCTTGCTTCAGTTATTCAAATACCCTAAAATTCTTCTCACATAAAAGCTTTTCCAGATGCCCTCTCTCTCCCTACCTCTTTGCCTAGCTATTTCCTATTCATTTGGGCAGAGGTTTTAGAACCCAAACGTTTTATATTCCTGTGGATTACTTCCCCTTCACAGTACTTTTACTAATTTTAATTAATTATTGATTGATTCTTTCTCACTGCATTGTAATCTTTATTATGGCAGAGACTATGTCTGTACACCCATTTATAGCACATCTGACAATTAGTGAATGGTCATTAAGGGTTTATTTAGTAAAAGAATAAATAAATGGGTAGAAAATAGATGACCATATGGGATTGAGGATATTTTTCTTAAGAAAATGTTTAAATAAGAGGGTCGAGAAAAAATTAGTTTTGGTAAGAAGCTTAATATTAGTTTATTATTAGACATTTTATCTTTGAGGTGATGGTGGGCCTGCCTATTTAGCCATTGGAAATGTGGAACTGAATGCTGGGAGAGAAAATTGGGCTGGAAATGTAAAAGTCACTTGCCTAAATACAAGAGTTGAAGGCCTGGGACTGAGTGAGATCTATGCAATAGTATAGTCAGAGACCAGGTGACAAAATGTGTGCCACCCACCAGATGGGGAGAGAGAAGAGAGAAATCACTAAATAAACCAAGGAGGGGTCACTCAGGGAGACTAAAGTGCTCCCAAACTATCTAACATCATGGAAGCCAAGGAAGGAGAATGTCACCAACAGGGTCATGTGATAGGCCCAGTCCAATCAGAAAAATTTGTCATTTAATATCCTGCTAGAGAAAAAAAGGGTTAACCAGGGTTGGACATAGGTGCAGTCAACATTGTAGAAGAAAAAAAAAAAAAAGAGTGCTATGGTTTGAATGTGGTTTCTTCTCCAAAATTCATGTTGAAACCTAATCACAAAGGTGATGGTATTAGAAGATGGTTGAGTCATGAGGGAACCTCCCTCATGAATTGATTAAGGCCTTATAAAAAGGGCTTGCAGGAATGGGTTCACTCTCTTCCATTCTTCTGCTATGTGAGAACAGAGTTCACCCCATCTTTCTCTTCCACCTTCTCCCATGTGAGGATGCAGCAAGAAGGCCCTTACCAGACACCTTGACCATTCACTTCCCAGCCTCCAGAACTGTGAGAAATAAATTTATAATGTTTATAAATTACCCAGTCTGTGGTATTTTGTTATAGCAGCTCAAACAGACTAAGACAGGGAGCAAAGTAGCCTATGAATGAAGGCTTAATCTAAGCGGGAGATCCTGGAGCCCAGGTTGGTTAGCTGTCATTCTATTCACACAGGCAGGAGTAGATGGGCTTCCTGGGATGGAGGATTTAGTGATCACAGATGGTGATTTGAATAAATGTGCATAAGGCATTGAGAAGTGCGATGTATGTTTTACAGGTCAGGTTCTCCAAGAAACAGACTGTAAGACTCTGATATTTGTGCACAGGAAGTATTTATTATAAAGTGTTCTTGGGATCAACACCGGGGAGGAAACAAGGGAAGTAGGACTGACCAAAGCAAAAGGCTGGACTGTGATGAAGGGAAGTATAACAGTGACTTCAGCCAATCCTATAAGGAGCTCTGAAACTGAGATGGCCCTAGAAATGTCACTATCCTTTCTTTAAACTATATAGATGGGGCAAATCCTTATTTTATAGATTTGTAGAGATAAAGCAATTAGCCATTTCCACAACTGCCACCCCTTCAACCTTCTTGCTTATTATAACTGTATCCGTCTGACCTCTATAATTTTGGCATCCTGTCATCCTCACTTCTGTCAGGGAGTCTAGTCTATAACAGCATCTCTTAATATCACTTCTGGCATAGAGAGGGCAGCCACAATTGAGGTTTTAAAGGTGCTGGTGCCTGTTCCACAAGCTTATTTCTTATTGTTTTGGTAAATGGAGTGTACTCCAGGCTCTTGTTCAGAAGATATTTGGCTGTTGGTTTTTTTGGCCTTCTATCGTAAATCCACTCTAGCATGCTCCTTTCTCTGATTTTTTTGATCCCGTCTCCCGCTGTCTGCCCCAGAAGTTCTGGCATTTCTAATTCACTTATTGTGGTCTGACACTTCTCCATGTTTCCAAGAGTAATCCCAGGAATGTGTCACCACTGTCTCCCAGAATCCTTGTGAGGATGTGCATCCTGTATCATGAGGAAGTGCTTCTATATCCACATTGATAAACATTCCACTATGTAACTTTATTTCCAGTCTCTCTTGATCTAGTACATTCAGGATCCAGGACTGTAAGTACTTCTCAACTCCTACTGATACCTGCTGGCAAGGTCCTAGCATTCCTTCAGAGTATAGTCCCTGTTCTCTGTAAATAGGCTCAGCATTACTCTGGCTGGGTTATATTATGACTTAACCATAGTTACCATTGGTCAGGTGGTCAGAAAGAAAGGTGAGGTAATATCTTATGAGAATACTGAATCTGTCTTCAGATGAGGACACCTAGCCTTTAACACAAAGGAATGAGCTATTTTGGCTGAGAGAGTTCAAGGTAATCTGGGTATTTAACCTTTCTGAATGCATAGACTTACATATTCTTATCCCATGTCTCAAGGTTCCGAGCCTTCTCAACTCAAGCTCTGATCTTGGTGGAGCAGGGTTACTGAAGTTGAGAATTAAATCAACTAAAATGTTTTATTACTATTAGAATTCAGACCTGGGTCTGAATTTCATCTTTTTTTCTGTTTTCCAGCTGCAGGAGATGAGGCTCTTTTTTACATGCTCCTATCTTCATCTGTTTTGTGCTGCTATAACAAAATAACTGAGACTGGATAACTTATAAAGAACAGAAACATATTTTCTTATAGTTCTGGAGGGTTGGAAGTCCAAGATCAAGGTGCTTATAGGTTTGGTTGTCTGGTGAGGGCTGGTTTCTGCTTTTAAGATGGTGCATTATTGCTGCATCCTACAGAGGAGAGGAATGTTGTGTCTTTACAGGGCAAAAGGTGGAAGGGGAAGGACAAGCTAACTGAATGTTAGGTGTAGCTTCTTTTCTATGAACTTTGATCCCATTAACGAAGACAAAATCCTCATGGCTAATCACCTCGTAAAGGCCCACCTCTTAATACTATCACACTGGCAACACCTGAATTTTGGAAAGAACACATTCAAACTATATCAGCCACCAAGGAGGTCCTTTGACTTTTACACCTAGACATTATTGGTGATTAATCACCCTAAGGCACTCAATGTCTTTCTCCAATGCATCAGTGAAACCTAACAGAAACCATCCGATTCCATAGTCTTCATAGTTATACTTCTCCCGTGCCTCTCAAATGCCTGGGATATTGCACTCATAAGTGAAGTCCTGTCTGTTGGTGTCCCATCCCAGCTCACTACCAATACAAATTGTAACAATTGCATTATTGCTAAATGGCAGGGGCTATACATATTCTGCCTACAATTAGTGATAGGTTCTTCATTGTCAGCTGGCCAGCAGGTGATTCAGCTCCACAATTACATTTCTGAGTCTACTTTATTGAACCATTTATGGTAGAAACTGTTGAAGTTCAGGTTCCCAGGGAAACATATTCTGAAACTCTATGATTAGCATGCAGGAGGTTTACTGTGGTATACTTTAGAGAACACCTGTGATGGAGAAAGAAAATATGAATTGGGCAGGAAGAAAATTTAGCTGCCACACAGCTGCAACTGTAAACTCCACCAATTGCGCAGGGACCTCTAAGGTTAAGATGCCCTCCTCCTTATACCAAATGAAAAGGCTGATTATTTGTAATTTTGCAATATTAGCCAGTCATTGAACAAGAACACTTCTTCTCAGAAGGGTATATAAGGCAAGAGTGCTTTCTTAGTCTCAGGACACAGCTGTGATTTGTGATCAGCCAAACTAGTGGCCTCAGCGGTGATATGTACTTCAGTTCTGAAGGGGGATCTCAGTGAAATATGACAACATCCACTACAGTATAGATTCCATTGGAAAAATCAGAAGGTACTACATGTAAGATTTCTGAAGTACAGTTGACTGAAAAATATAACGTTAAGTTTATGGATTGAGGAAAACATGCAGAAAGTTAAGTCTAGAAGGAAATGGAGATAATATGTTGCCATGGATATCAGAATTCCCAAAGACTTCATGAGACTAGTGATTTCATGACTATGATTTTGTTAATTCTATTATGCTCATCTATATCTTGCAGTAGGATCATTATTGTTATACTATACTCACTGCATAGTTTGTACTATAACAGAGAAGGGATAAAATATATAACTTAAACATTACATGGATGAAATGTATTTTGGTGTAGAATGAAATGATGTGTTATTTTCAACATCAACTGCATAGAATGTGCCTACCTATCAACAGCCACAGGCCAACTTTTGAATCAGTACCTGTGGCCAAGGTAATACTATACACTATGGTGAGAAAAAGACAGTTCACAGCATGGCTTAGGCAACTAAGTCCCAATTCTGAAACTAGGGTCAACCCCCAAAGCCACACATTTATAGGGGTAAAATAGATGTAGATGCGAGCACTATTCGATGTAAATATGAACTAAGATAAATGGCAACTTTTTAAGCTTTTATTTTGAAATATTTATAGACCCACAGAAGACTGCAAAAATAGTAGAGTCCAATGTACCATCACTCAGTTTCCCTCAATGGTGACATTTTATATAACTGTAGTAGAATATTAAAACCTGGAGGGAATTAACGTTGGTACAATTCTGTTAACCAGACCCATTCCATTTTATTTATTTATTTATTTATTTATTTATTTATTTATTTATTTAGAGATAGAGTCTCACTCTATCTCCCAGGCTGGAGTGCAGTGGTATGATCTTGGCTCACTGCAACCTCCGCCTCCCAGGTTCAAGCAATTCTCCTACCTCAGCCTCCTGAGTAGCTCGGAATACAGGTGCCTGCCACCACACTCAGCTATTTTTTGTATTGTAGTAGAGACAGGATTTTGCCATGTTGTCCCGGCTGGTCTCGAACTCCTGACCTCAGGTGATCCACCCGCCTCGGCCTCCCAAAGTGCTGGGATTACAGGTGTGAGCCATGGTGCTCAGCCCCATTTGCATTATTTTTTAAACATTGATTCGTATATGTATGAGGGTGAGGTGAAAGGGTGTAGTTCTAGCAATTATATCTCATGTATAGATTCAGGTAATCACTACCTGCTGTTTTATCAGCATAAAGAAACCACCTCATGTTCATGCTATACATTTATATTCACATCCATTATATTATCTCATCCCTATCCCCTAGCAACCACTAATCTATTCTCCACCTGTATAATTGTATCAATTAGAGAATGTTATATAAATGAAAATATACAGCATGTGACTGTTTGCTCTCATCTTTTTTCACTCCATATAATTCTCTTAAGATCCATCTGAGTTGTTGCACGTATTAACAGTTCATTACTTTTTTATTGCTTAGTAACATTCCACAGGTATGCCAATTCCAGGATTTCTTTAACCATTTACCCACAGAAGAACATTTGGTTTGTTAAAATTTATTTGCTATTACTAATACATCTGCTACAACAGGTATATTTATAGCTTTTTGTGTGAACATATGTTTTCATTTCTCAGGGAGTAGTGCTCACTAATGTGACTGCTGGGTCATATAGTAAGTGCAAGTTTAATTCTATAAGAAACAACTAGACAATTTTCCAAAGTGGCTATAACATTTTACATTTCCACCAGCAATATATGTGAGACTTATTTTCTCTGCATCCTTGCCAGTATTTGCCACTGTCACTATTTAAATTTTAGTTCTAATAGGTATGTAGTGATATCTCATTGTGGATTTAATTTTCATTTCTCTAATGACTAACAATTTCGAAAAATAATTAGGTTTTTTTCTTCTTTTTCTTTTTTTCTTTTCTCAAGCTTATGGTCAACCAGGAGATAAATGATCAGCTTTGATTCAAATAAATTTGCTAGGTTAATATTTCTGGTTTTCCTTAACATACCTTTTCATTATATGATACTCTTACTTCATGATTCAAATAAATTTGCTAGGTTAATATTTCTGGTTTTCCTTAACATACCTTTTCATTATATGATACTCTTACTTCATAAAAGAATTCTTAAACTCTGTTAAATTCTGCCTGCCATATATTGTTCACTACCTTTTTGTACTTTAGAATGTTGGAGATTTCTAGATCCTTAAACACTACTGGTGAAATATGTAATTTTACAAAGTAGGAAACTGAGGCCTCGGAATATTAAGTAATTTGTTCAAGATCACACCATCAGTGTGGAACCAGAATCCAGACAACCAGTCTCTTGGTTCAGTACCCTTTTTCATACCACTGTGTCTTGTGAAACTGTATGCGTGTAACCACACAGGTATGTGTGGTTGATGAATGGTTTTAGGTTTAATACTTCTTTAGCACCTTAGCCTTCCAGTACCATTAATTGAAAGAATAATAAAACATCACATATCATTATTTAAACTTACACAGCATTGCAAGTTCCATCTAGCTGGATCCCTGGGGACATACAAAGCTAAGGGAGTGGGGATAGGGTGACCAGGGATAAATAGGGTAGATGTAAAATTCAGTCAGTAGAAAGGTGAGTGGAGCCTTTGAACTGCTCAGTTTTGAAGATAGAGAGAAATAGAGAGAAGTAAATCTAGGGAAAAGAGAATACCTTTAGAAATGGATACTCCCATGAGGTAATAAACTGGGAAAAACTTAACTGCTTGATAGCTTTTCCTTGAACTAAAATAAGGTCACATATAGCATTCAATTTAAATTCCTTCCCTTATATTTTGCAGTTTGCTTTGGTTCCTACTATATTTTTGATAAAGTCTGATATATTCACTGCTATGGTCCAGATGTTTGTGTGCCCCCAAAATGTATATGTTGAAACCCAGTCCCCGATGTGATCATGTGAAGAGGTGAAGTCTTCAGGAGGTATATCATGGAGAGAGCCCTCATGAATAGGCTTGGTGCCCTTAAAAAGAAGCATGAGGGAGCTTGTTTGCTTCTTCTGTCTTGTGGGAATGCAACAAGATGAGACCTTCAATGAACCAGAAGATGATTCTCACCAGACAACAATTCTCCTGTCACCTTGATCTTGGACTTCTCAGTCTTCGGAACTCTCAGAAATGAATTTATGTTGTTTATAAGCTACCCACTCTATAATATTTTGTTGTTGCAGCCCAAATGAACTAAGACACTCACCTTGATAAAGTCTGAGATACTCTCCTAACTCTCTGTGGAGATGGTAGATGGAAATAAGAGTCAAGACCAGGTGAAAATGGCCTTATCTTTCTTACCCCTTCACTATAATGGTTCTGAAGCACCATAAACCAGGATGCTGAGGGTCTGTAATCTCCAAGTTCCAGTTGATCTTGAGGAAATTGTGCAGTTGGCCATGGCAGAGAGAAGATAAAGACGGCCAGAGAAGTAGCAGGAAGCAGGCAGTCCAACTAAGAGAATACATGAGACAGCACACTCTGCTTGCTTCCCTCTTCAAAAATACTAGAGGGAGATAACCACATGAGGAGAAATCGGATTTTATATCACTAAAGAAGGAATTATGTAATATCAGCTGAATATGAAGATAAGTAAAACTCAAATCAGACTAAAACATAAAAAATAAGGTATCAGTGGATTTTAGGTATCCAATTTATCAAAGAACTGTAGAGAGTAATGGTACTTGTAGTCAATAAAGGGAGATTTGAATTGGGGACTTTTGGAAATGATACAGTTTATACCAGAGTCTAGGGAATGGCCATGAAAATGGATGCTGAATGGAGTAGATTTGAGAAAATTGAGATATGCAGTGATCAAGGTATTAGATGGATCATCTATGGGGATGTTGAATATATTTCCCATGAGAGCAGATCTTGGGGTGAAAAGGAAGACTGTGAACTAAAGTCTTTGGTAAATGAGATCAGGGCGTGGTAGAACAATTCTGAAAAGGAGAAAGGGGTGTATGCAACAGAGTAGAACACATTGTACAAATTGGAAGGAGAATAATAATCTGAAAGCTGCACTACTTGAGGGACCAAGGAAAATACTTGGTCTATCTCCTGGTGCTGTGAAACAGAAGATGAAGGACAATGATCTACATCAGTCATGCTAATATAATAGAACCCCAAAGGATATTAATAATGCATACCCATTGTTAGAAGAAAAAATATGATAATGCATCTAGAACATTTAACAAAGGCCAGGAACATTTAATAGGCTCAGTACATGTTATTACTTTTATGCAAAAGCTGGGTATATTTAAAGGAAATATAACTTTCCATCTTACAGCTAAGAAAATTCAAACTCAGGGAGATTAAGTGACTTGCTCAAGTCTGTAGGCCTGATTAGTGCCTGAATAAGGAGCCAAATCCCTGTATTCCTCTATCAGATTTCCTCTTTGCCTGCAAGGGCTGTGCCATTATGGATAGAAAGGAGTTTTGTCTAGGGCTTCTTTGTGTGGGGTTGGATTGCCCATCTCAAAGTAGACAGTGGAAAAGAGGAAAATAGTCAAAAAATCTTCCCAGGAAACAGTCTCAGGGTTTCAAATTAGAGCATTCTAGGACGGAGTGTTTATTTAAATCTGATTTTTAAGTATCTCTGTTTAAATCAAACATTATTTTAATAAAAATATAATTAATAAAGATTAAATCTAGTAATTGTGTTTTCCAACTTACTAAAAAACTAGTGCTTATGAAATAATCTAGCCTTAGAAATTATTACCCAAATCCATTTCCACTTAGGAAAGTGAATGTTTTTAGCTTTTTAGATGGTAAAGGTAACATTTTCTTTTAAAGTCAATTTAATATGTCATATTCTCAAGCAGAGATCCATCATAACTGGAGAAGAATCTTACTCAAAAGCTGGACTGGGGAGAATGAGCTCAAGACTTTGGCACTTCAGCTGGGCTCAGTGGCTCACCCTGTAATCCCGGTACTTTGAAAGGCCAAGGTGGAAGGATCCCCTGAGGCCAGCAGTTCGAGACTAGCCTCTGCAACATAGCAAGACCCCATCTCAATACATACATACATACATACATACATACATACATACATACATGCATAAAAAGTCTTTGGCACTTCAGTTCATCCAGCATTAACTTGCAGAAGACACTCTCAGAAGACTAAAGCCAATAAATTGTTAACATATCTAAAATGAAGACTCTTCATATCAGATAAAATCAAAATTAAATAACTCACAAGAAATTAATGAATGCAAAAAAAAGGAAATTGGAAGAGAATAGAATGTGGAGAAATTATTCTAAAACATTGCCAATTAAACATGGTAAGTTTGACTAATATGGAAGGTGATCAGCCTGAAAAGAATGCACAGAGGCTGTGAACTCTGATTTTGAATCAGGAGACAAGTATTGAAGAAAAATACCTCAAACTAAAAATAGCTAAGAATGTTAATCCTTGGAGGAAGTATATCCATGGCTGGTATGACCAACCAGAAAAGAACAGAATTATGTCCCTTATTCTAGGTCCAAGGACAAAAACATTCCCACTGATTGAATTCCTCATGAAATAAATTACAATAGTGGAAACTTACCAAAAATCAGATTAAAATAGGTATTTGGCTGAATTTAAGCCAAAATATGATATCTAGTTTCAGCCAAATACATTCAGTGAAATCTCTTCAGAGCCAAATGTTCTTTGAAGCCAAAAGCCTGTATTTTTGCAAATTACTATAACTGTGTATAAATAGGGTGGCAATATAATCTATCATACAAACTAGGACACTTTTAAGTGAAAGGAGGTGCTGCTGATAATTAATGCCAGTACAACAGGGTCTAACTCAGATGGTCCTGGAAAAATCAAGACATATGATTACCTTATATGTTAAGCATTTTATTGTTTAATATATTATGGTGGTGCTCACAAAAGAGTGCTGAAAAATCATAGGTGGATGTGATGATAACTTAAGTCAAAACTCTAGGATTTGAGTTCATTGGTTAGCCAAGATTCCATCTCATTAGGTATTGCAGACATTCTGAAATAATTTATTTCAAAACTTTCTAGAAATTAAAAACAATTATAGCTTGTGTGTACAAAATCTTGAAACCACAAATCTGTTACTGGCTTATTTTTTGGAGTAGAAATTAATTAGTACCTTGTTCTTAGTTCTTATGTGAATGTGCATGTGTGCACAAATTTCTACTGATTAGACATTAATGGAATCTTCACTTTTCCCATCATCAAGAGAGCTGCAAAGCCCCTTTCAGTCTTCAAGCCAATCTTTGATAGAATTTTCAAAAGAAAAAGAAACATTGCTTTTTTAAATTTTAGGGGAAAAAATTGGCCAGAGAAATCAATTAACAAATTAAATTCAAACATATTTCTCCTTTTGAAAGTTTTGCTGCTGATGATGATAGTAATGATGATGATGACAAAATGATGATGAAAGGCTCTTGATATCCCTAACTCACCACCTGTTCCTTCTCAGCACACACCCAAATTCCCCATCTCACCATATGGAACTACGACCAACTGACTTACTGCTCGAACCAAACAAGGAATCGTAATTGATCTTCTCTTCATACACTCCATGCCTCATCACTCAACAGATCTCCAGGCTCTATTTGCAAAGCACATCTTGCATGTGTCCACTTTTCTCCATTCATATCACACTACACCAGCCCAAGCCACTTTAATTTCTCCTAACCAGAGTTCCTATTTCTGCACTCCTTTGCTGCCACAGTTTTCTTGCCACCCACAGAAGGTATAATCTTTTCCAAAATGCAAAGCGTATCGTTTAACTTCTTACTTAAGCTCTTCAGTGGCTTCCCATTGTACAAGAATAAAATTTCACTCCTTGACCTGGCTGACCAGGCCCTCTGCGAGCTCATCTCCTGCCATTTTCTCCTCCCTTCGCAATGGTCCTGCCTCATTGGCCTACTTTCTGTTCCTCCAGAACACTACTCTTTCCTGACTCAGGGCTTTGTCTTTAGCTTTCCTCTGCTTGTAACACTCCGTGTTGAGCTCTTCTTAGGCTAGTTCCTTTTTATCCTTCAAAACTCTGCCCTACAGGACCCCTTCTTAAGATTTCCATGGCTACCTATTTTCCCAACAGTTAGGCTTTATTATATCTGGCAAGTTTTTTCTGGAGTAATTATTACACACTAATTGTTCTTGTGTGTTTATTTATTTATGCCTATTTTCTCCAATTTCATTGTCAGCATCTAGAGCAAGGGTCAACAAACTTTTTTCTATAAAGAGGCAGATTGTAAATATTTTAGGCTTTATGAGACATATGGCTTCTGTTGCATCTGCTCAACTCTACCCCTATAGCATGAAAGCAGCTGTCGACAATACATAAAACAATTGGTGTGGCTGTGCTCCAATGAAACATTATTTACAAAAAAAAAAAAAAAAAAAAAACAGTCATTTGGCTAAATTTGGCTTGTAGGCCATAGTTTTGTCAGTCCTCTGTAGGGCCCTTATATGCTTTTTTCCCTACCATATCACCCTCAGCACCTCACACAAAGCAGGTGTTTGGGAAATACCGAAAGAATGAATGAATGGAGTTCCTTCTATTTTCCAAGCACTATATACATATTCACAACCTTTCATCCCTACTAAATCCCTGGAAGCTAATCATTTTTATTTCCATGTCACAGAAGAGTAAAATAAGGCTCAGAAAAGTTTATGAATTCATCAAAACTTACACAGCTATTGCATTAGTTTCCTAGGGCTGCCATAACAAAGTACCCCACACTGTGTGGCTTAAAACAACAGAAATGTATCCTCTCACAGTTGTTGAGGATAGGAGTCCAAAATCAAGATGTCAGCAGGATCATGCTCTCTCCAAAGTCTCCCGGGGAGAATGATTCCTTGCCCCTTCTAGCTTCTGGTGGCTCCCGCCATTCCTAGGCTTGTGACAACATAACTCCATTTTCTGCCTGTGTCTCCACATGGCCTTCTTTCCTTAGTGTCTCTCTGTGTCTTCATATGTGGCCTTCCCTGTGTGTCTGTGTGTTCTTTCCATTTATAAAATGCCAGTCATTGGGTTCAGCACCCATCCTAATCCAATATGAGTGCATTTTAACTATTTTCAATCTGTATGGTCACTTTCTGTGTTTCTGGATGAACATGGTTTTGTAGGAGGGATAGTATTCACTCTGCTACAGCTATAAAGTGGTAGTGTGAGGGTCTGAACCTAACACCATGTCAATAATTTTTTATTCTGAAGTTATTACCTCAGCTATTAAGTTAAATTAACAATTAACAGTAGTGTCAAACTTTAGAGTTATTTTGAGAAAAGATGATGTGAGAGCATCAGTGGAAAGGAGAGCGAAATACCTACCTTTCAGGAGCTTTGTGTATGTCATAGTTTCTGACTAATATCCTAAAAATAATGTTACTGTTGAATTTAAGGGCATTTGATACATATTTTATGACTAGAGATTTAAGATGTGTTTCTACAGATATCATTGGTTGAACAAGGATAATCACATCCAAAGTTTCCTGTTTCTTTGATTAATATCTTTGCATACTAGGCCTGTAACTCAAGGTTTTTCCCAAAGCTTGTCTAAAGCGTGTTTCCTCCATCAGGGAAGAACATAATTCTATGGTCTAATCCATTTGGGAAATGCCAAACCAAACCAGGTAAGACAGATTTCTTTCCTGCAGTGAATACTTGCTTGTTAGCATTGTTTTTATTTATTAAGGTGTAAGAGAGAGGTATTATGAACATTTTTCCACACTGATTGAGCATTTTCAGAAACTAATCTGTGCTACACACTTTGGCACACCTACTTTGGGTATTTGCTCACTTATCTAAGTGCAGATAAGTTCTCTTTTTCTGGAGGTAAATCTGTGAAGACACTTCTCTTGGGTTTTAGAAATTGGTTCTGAACCCCTCTGTAATGGATGAGATTCCTGATAGAAGAGGAGACACTGATGGGCTGAATCAAGGCTCTACTAATTTACTCATTTACTCATTCATTTATGCACTCATTTATTTCACAAAGACACATGGAGCCCAGGGAAATAACTATAAAGATGACTGAGACATAGATTTCTCTTCATTAAGTTATCCAGATAATACACATCAATCATCATTTCTTACAGTAATTTTAATGAATGGAAACCACATATTATGGACTGAATTGTATCCCTCTCAAATTCATATGTCTGAGTCCTATCCTCCAGTACCTTAGCATGTGACTGCATTTGGAGATAGGGTCCACATTAAAGAGATAATTAAGGTTAAATAAAGGAGGGTCCCTAATCCAATAAAACTAGTGCCCTTATAAGTAGAGGGAGAGACACCAGGGATGCATGTGCACAGATGAAAGGCCATGTGAGGACACAGCAAGAAGGTGGCCAAAACAAGCCTAAGTAAGAGAGAGGCCTTGGGAGAAATCAAACCTGTTGACACCTAGATCTTGGATTTCTAGCCTCCAGAACTGGGAGAGAATAATAATTTCTGTTATTTAAGCTACCCGGTCTGTGGTATTTTGTAATGACAATTGGAGCAAATTAAAGCACTGCTGTTACTTGTTCATTAGGTCCTTGACTTCAAGAGCTTTCCTCAGCTAGTTCTAATGTCTACTGAAGCTTTATAATTCCTTTACTTGTATTTTAGAAGAATTTTATTAGAACCAACTAGATTGTAAACCTCTTGAGAACAGGGAATTTGTCCATTGTATCGCTGCATTTCCTGACTGACTGACAGAGAGAAAAGCATCTGGTAGAACAAATATGTCATCTACATTTCTACTTCCTTCTGTATATTAATAATTGAGGGATGACCTAATACATCTCTTGGAAAGAGAAAGAAATAAGAAAAAGAGAACTACAAAGTGTTAAGCCCATAGTTAGATGCTTCACACGTCTTCTTATTTAATACTTTTCTTCTATTGTGAGATAAATATCTTTATCCCCATTTTGCAGATGAAGAAACAGAGTTCAGAGAGGTTAAGTGATTTGGCCAAGATCATAAAATCATAAAATGTCAATGATTGCTTAATTATAGGAAAGGGGAAATCTGGCTGTACAGCAGAGCTTATGAAAAATAACTGAAACTTTTAGTGGACTACATGTTTATTTCAGTGACATTCTTATAAGTGATATGGCCATCAAAAAGTTAGAGCAATATTAAGTTACACAAATAAAAATAATGACTATACTGCGTTATTGGGCATTCACTAAATGTCAGGCACTGTTCTTGGTTACACATATTCTTGATACATATTCTGGAAGGCTAGTGAAAAAAATTTAAGTGTCTTCAAAGGCAGATGACCAAATGATCAGTCTTTAAAATGAGGCTATACTGGTTGGATAAACTGTGAAGATTTACTCTGGAGAAGATTGAAGAGGACATGATAACTGTGTCAAATATTTGAAAGGTTTCCAGTAAGAAGAGGGAGTTAGATGTAGCAATGGAATTCAGAGGAAGTGAACCTTCCACTACTGAAAGTATTCAAATAGATGTGTCCATGTAGAAGCAACTCCTGCATTTTATGGGAAATCAACTAAAGTCTTAAGTTCCTTAAACTTGAAGATTTTAAGATTAATAAATATCATCATCCTAGTCATTTTCTTCTCCATTAACAAAGTTAGGCTTGGAGGAAAAAAAATGAGTGCTGACTTCCTTCTGGAGCTATTCTAAACAGCAAAATAAACTATCATCAAGGTGAACAGACAACCTACAGAATGAGAGAAAATTTTTGCAATCCATCCTCCTGACAAAGGTCTAATATCCAGAATCTACAAGGAACTTAAATAAATTTACAAGAAAAATAACAAACAACCCCACTAAAAAGTGGGCAAAGGACATGAATAGACACTTCTCAAAAGAAGACATTTATGCAGGCAACAAACATATGAAAAAAAGTTCAACATCACATCCTTAAAGAAATGCAAATCAAAATCACAATGAGATACCATCTCATGCCAGTCAGAATGGCTATCATTAAAAGTCAAGATACAACAAATGCTGGTGAGGCTGTGGAGAAATAGGAACACTTTTACACTGTTGGTGGGAATGTAAATTAGTTCAGTCATTGTGGAAGACAGTGTGGCGAGTCCTCAAAGACCTAGAACCAGAAATACCATTTAACCCAGCAATCCCATCACTGGGTATATGCCCAAAGGAATATAAATCATTATAAAGATACATGCACATGGATGTTCATTGCAGCACTATTCACAATAGCAAAGACATGGAATCAACCCAAATGCCTGTCAATGATAGACTGGATAAAGAAAATGTAGTACATATACACACCATGGAACACTATTCAGCCATAAAAAAGAATGAGATCATGTCCTTTGCAGGGACGTGGTTTGAGCTGGAAGCCATTATTCTCAGCAAACTAACACAGGAACAGAAAATCAAACACCATGTTCCCACTTATAAATGGGAGTTCAACAATGAGAACACCCGGACACAGGGAGAGGAACACCACACACTGGGGCCTGTGGTGGGGCACAGGGAGAGAATCAGGACAAATAGCTAATGTATATGGGGCTTAATACCTAGGTGATGGGTTGATAGGTGCAGCAAACCACCATGACACATGTTTACCTATGTAACAACCCTCCACATCCAGCACATGTACTCCAGAACTTTAAGTTAAATTAAGTTAAAAAAATAGCCTAGGAGAGAAACATATCAATTCTCTCATCATCATTGCTAAGGAGTCTTGACTAGGAAATTGTTGTTCAATTTAAACCCTTTTCTATATTGATTCTTTTATAATTATATCAAGAAAATTCAGTCTCCAGGTTTCAAAGCTGATAACATTACCTATTTTGAAAAGATTGCCTATTTATTTCTGCCTTTATCAGCAAGAGAAGCTCATCCTTAATGCCTATCATTGGGCTAGGCATTAGCAGAAGCTTCTTAAATACAATAGGATATGGTTGAGTGTTTTTCTTATCTGGGATCAGTGTTTCTTGGGAAGTACCTACAGAGATACTCTGAACTACATGTGAGTGAGTATGATGATAGCGAACATCATTAGAGGAATTAGAGTAGATAACTCATGTGTAAGCACCAGAGAGCAGTTATGTGATGTGATGGGGCTACCTAGAGCCAAAAAACACAAATTAAAGATTTACCGTGTTGTGGGGCATCTTGATACACTGCAGAACAGTCCTAGCGAGGACGGGTCAAGAAAGACACTGCATTGATGAGTACAATATACCCAGAAAATCCAGGCTGTTGGAGGATGTGTGTGTGTGTGTGTGTGTGTGTGTGTGTGTGTGTGTGTGTATCAAAAGCATCCAAAAAATCACATTGTTGTGGCTGTGAACACTTAACTAGTAAATAAGAAAGACACGGTGGCAGGGAGGAAAAAGAAAATGTATCCACAGGGTGTTCCATTCTGCTGTTCAGAACATTGTGGTTGCTCAAATAATATTAATGCTCTATGATGAAGATGGTAGCGAGGATGATGATGATTAATGCGACCCATGCAAAATAGGGCTGGGGAGGATGACATAGGCGAGGGACCAGAAGAGGGAGGATGACTCATGGGTGAGGGGTACCTGGGGATAGAGCGAGGTGCTGTGCACGTTGGCGACTGTAGGGGTAGCGGCCGGGGCACGCGTGGCTCGGACCCGGGGAGTGGGCGGGTGGGTGCCCGTGGGCGGAGCGGCGCCGGGACTGAGTGGCTGGCAGCTATGTCTGCGAGAGCAGCGGCATCACCCTGGATGGAAGCCTCTGAGACTCCGCCTAACTGACACCCAAACTCTCCCTCTCCCTCCCGCAGCCCCAAATTGGAGGCAGCAGAGCCTGGGAGCAGCCTCCACGGCGGCAGCGGCCGCCCCAGTCCCAGCCCCAGCCCCAGCCCCAGCCCCGCCCCCGCCCCGCGCCCCGCCGGAGACGCCCGGATCGGCGGAGCCTGGCGCGAGCCCTCGCCCCCTCGCCTCTCCCGCCGCGCCTCCGCCTGCCCGCCCCCGCCGGCCGAGGCTGGGCTGCGGGAGGCGGCCGGGCGGCCCCGAGCTTCGCTAGGGCGACCAAAACAAAGGCAGCATCCGGGGCTGGGTGGATGCAAACAACCATGAAAGACTGGGTTCTCGCTCTCCCCGGCTCTGCTGCTGCTGCTGCTGCCGCCGCCGCCGCTGCTCCTCCTCCTGCCGCCGCCGCTAGGGCTCCGCTGTGAGGGGGAAGCAGGGGCGCAGCTGCTGGGCGTGCATCCGAAAGGTGAGAGCCAGAGAGCGAGCAGAGGGGGCGGGCAGGCCACGAAAATGTCCTCGGCCGTGGGGCCCCGCGGTCCTCGCCCACCCACGGTGCCTCCCCCCATGCAAGAGCTGCCCGACCTGAGCCACCTGACCGAAGAGGAGAGGAACATTATCATGGCAGTGATGGACCGGCAGAAGGAAGAGGAGGAAAAAGAAGAAGCCATGCTCAAGTAAGCCAGCCCCAGCCGCGCCATCCATGCCTCCGTGCCTCCATCCGTCCATTCACCACTCACTCCCCTAGTCCTCGCGGCTGAGTGTGGGGAAGGGGCTGCCAGGGTGCTGGGTGCGGACGGAGGCGCCCGCCTTGGGCCAGGGGCGCGGGGCTTGAGCAGGGAAGAGGTCAGGGGACCGGAGGAGGGAGGGGATATGCCACAGATCCAGGAACCCAAAGGCCGGGGGAGGATGACTTGAGACTGGGGTGCAGAGGAGGGATGGGTGGACGGGGGCCACGCTCGTGGTGGGAAGTGCAGAAGCTGAGAGGTGCTGATCCCACCCAAGTGGAAGGTCCCTGGGCTGGGAGCAGGTTAGGGGGCAGGGGATGAGTAGAAACAAGGGGAGGCAGGATGAAGAGGTGCTGAGGACAGCTCCTCTTCTCTTCTTGGAGTTGTTTAGCTGGTCGGGGTTACCCCAGTGAAGGCTGCCTATATTTATATAATAAAAATGCTTATTTTTAGTGTTCATTTTAGTAATCATTCATCTCACAGATCAAGGTTGGGTCTTTTTTTGGGCAATTGCCATCTTTGGTAACCTGCCTCCCCAGCTTCTCTTTAACCTTTTATTCAGAGTCTTCTACACAGCATACCTGTGTGAAGACAGATTCTCTTCTCCATATGTAATGCCACTGGCAATACAAAGTTTTTAATCATGGGAGAAGCTGACAGGGACTCTGGCCTGAATAACATAGAGGTTCCTCTTTAGTGGTTTCCAAGAGACCTCTGGGGCCTGTTCAGTTCCTGGAGGAAACAGTCCAATAAGGGATTGGGAATTTGCACTCCTCCTCACTTCTTTAGAGCGCATCAACCCTTCAAGGGATTTCTGTCTGATGCCCCATTTTCCTGGTGATGGGGAGAAGATGGGACTACTTGCTGGTGGTGCAGGAGTGTGTGACACTGTGCTGCTGCTTGCCTCAGACAAAACTGCTTACAAGGGACTGGCAGAGAGACGGGGCTTTCCTTGCTTAGCATCACCCATAGAGTAGAGCTGAAGGAGGCTTCAACCCTGCCTTTTCTTGGGAAGTCTTCATGTATTCAGGAAAGTTTTCACTCTGAAGCAGGGGAATGTAGGGGCCCTGACTGTGACTGACTCCTTGGTGTCCCCTGCTTAGGCTGGAAGGTGTATCTGGGGCCAGGGGATTGGCATGAAGAGCCAAAAGGAACCTGTTGCATCTGGAGTTACCTGATAGCAAAAGAGGGGTGGGGAGGGAGCAGGGGTGAAACCCAGACACAGAGCACATTCTGCATGGCCTCTCCCCCACCCCCTAGAAGTGCCTCCTCGAGAGAAGATGCTGCCGAAGAAGATTTCTTCTGCTTCCCCTCAGTGCAGCAGTGCCTCATAGGAGAGGAATGGAGGGAGGCTGCATTCACAGACCGATGGTTCCCCAACCAGGGCAACTGACACTCAGATAGGGGAGGGGGATACTGAGGGAGAGATGTGGCTGTTAGGTCACAGCAAAATAGTAGAAATCCAGTCATTCCTGTTCTTTCATTGTAGATTCAGAAAAGGGCCATTAACTCCGAAGGCCAGAGCTGGCCTGGTTCTATAAAGAGCAGCAGGTTTCTGAATTCCCTGCTCCTTCTCATCCAAAAATCAAATACTTTAAGCCTGCCGGCTTGAGGGAGGCAGAACCCTCGTTAATCTGCTGCCTGTCCCTAGTGGAAGAATGACGTCCCTGGTGCTGCAGGCTTCCCCTCTTCTGAGACTGGAAGTAATGGATGGTGTCTGATAGTGCTGCTGTCTGTCTGTCTGGTTGTCAGTCCGTCTGTACTCACTGGTTACAGCCCCTGCCACCTGTCCTGAACACCTTTTCGGCTTGTCAGGATTTACAGGTTTGCTGCTGTTCCTTTTGCTGTTTGCTGCAGACAGCAGGTGGATGGAGGCCTCCAGTAGCTAGTGGAAAATATAGGCTGCTGCTTGCCAGAGTCCGGATAGGAAGGGGAAGGCACGGTGCAAGTAGTGGCCATCATGCCTCTTCATTGGCTGTCTCAAGCATGGTGGAGAGTGAGGGATTTTAAGTGGGAGTGGGTGAGTTTTAGGACAGAATTCCAAACCTGCTAACTGCCAAAGGACAGCAATTATAAGATTGTATGGGCTTATATGGGCAAATAAAAATTAGGAGCACTGTCCAACTGCTCATGTCTAACACATCTTTTCCGCTGCTTTTCCTGTGACTGCTTTCTACTGGCTTGCATATATTGTTCCTTTGTTGCATGGATTCACAAAATATCACTGTATATGATGCTGTTATACAACAGCTCTCTATAATCCTGGACCTCTGTATTAACTTTATCCATCAGCCTCCTCTGCTAATGTCTTGGCCTTTTGTTCAGTGACAGATTGGTGAGTGTTTTGGAATCCCAGTTTGCTGCCATGTAAGCATGTCATATTGTCTGCAATTAGTGGAAAAGTGCTGTAATTTTTTTTTATAGGGGACACTTTATGTCTTAAAAACTGGGGATAATGGGAACTATTTAGATGACACATATATATGAGGACATAATGACACATAGTCATAGATGGTGGCCTTTTTAAAACTTTGTGTTAAAATAGATTGGAAAACAGGATTCTTTTAACAGGGCTTTAAAATATTGTTACATCAGAGAAAAGTTTTTGTGGTAATTATGGGTGATCATAATCACACATCTGAGAAATTACTTTCACAAAACGCTCTACAAAGCTTAAGTTCTGGCAATACGGCAATTAGACTTAAAATTCACTTGTGTTATTGGTGCAGAACTATCTCCTTAAGCTACCTACTGTGCATGCTGTCTCTTTTCACAATGTATAAAAATAGGCGCAGAGAGAAAATAGAAAATGATGGATGAATATGTGAAACCAACATTATAAAATATCAATTAAAATGTATTTGTAAGTTTCATCGGCCTTGATTGTAAATTACTAGTTGAATTTGGCTTTGAGAATGTCTTTAAATATGTATAAATGGAAAAAAATCAAGCTACTTTAAAATCAAGATTTTAGAAGATTTTATTTGAAATTGAAAGTACTTTATCATAAAAAGAATTCGTTTTGTTGGCAAAGTACACTAATTTTAAGTTTAATGGCCATATAACTGGAAATAGTTGGCTCCCACAAATTATGTTTAATGATTGACTTAATTATCTGCAAATTAGAGGTCTTTTCTTAATCTTAATAGTGTTTTGGATGTGAGTGTGTGTGTTCTGAAGGCTTTCTGAAACCTAACTTTCTCGATGAATACTCCTTCAAGTAACTGTTACTAGACATCATGAGCCAATATATTACATAGGCTGAAAACTGCATTATCTGGGACCTAAATCAGAGAAGATCTCATTAGATCTAGGATCTTACTCCTTTTTGTAAAAAAAAAAAAAAAAAAAAAAAAAAACTTCATAGAGAAAGCAGCTACTGAATAGTAAGAGAAGAGAAAAAATGTAGAGAGTTAAGGCGATGGTTTGAGGATGAGAATCGAGTACCATATTGGAATATAATGTAAATAGGTAACATTTATTGAACATTAACCTCACACTAGCTCTTATTTTAAGTTATTTAATCTAATGCCAAATAGTTAAACTGTGCTCAAGTTTATTATAAGTATAAATATTTGGATTCTCACAATAGCCTGTGCAGAAGGTAAACCAAATAATATAATTCTCACATCCTCACACTACCCTCAGAGAATTTAGTAATATCCTAAACTGACTCACATAACATGGTCCAATCATGATTCAAAATCAGACCTTTTAGTCTAAATCCAAGTATTTTCCCGTACACTACACTGTCTTCCTACCAAGAAGCAGCCTATATTTCATTTATATTTTCTTTAAATGAATTTATAGTCTTTTCTCAGTTGCAGAGAAGTGGCTTGGCAAAAAATTAGGCTGATTCAGATCAGCTGCTGATCACAGCAGAGCCTGGGGCTTCACCTATACTCTTTCATAGAGTGTTAGAAGGTAATAAAAAGCATCACAGTGTAGTGGAAAGACCATTAAGTTTGTATCCGAGTGTTTTTAGGTTCTAGTTCTAGTTCTGCCACTTACTGTGCAAACATGGGCAAGAAAATTAAATTGAGATTGTATGAAGTTTCATTTTTTTCCTACAAATCCTTCAGTCCATGGTATGAATTGATTTATAAAGAGTATTGACTTTGGGCTTCTCCTTCTCTTCTTAACAGGTCACCTAGCATTTGCTTTCTAATCATCCATAATTACTACTTTTTTCCTGGAAAGGAGAGAGAAAGTAGAATGAGAAGAATTCCTGTAACTTCAGCTTTCCTCCTCCTTTTACTTACTTTACACAAATATAATACTGTGGCCTGAAATATATCCATAAGGTTCATTATGAGAGATCCCAGTTACCAACTGGGAAAAGAAGAAAAGTGGAAGGAAAATCTGGGGAACCTTGAGGGGGATGAGGATAGCGTTCCTATGTATGCAGGTATCATATTTTCATTAGGGTTTGAAAAGATTTTAATATCTTACACCCCAAAATATGAAAAAGGCATTATTTAAGTAAATACATTACTAAATTAGAAGGAGAATATGGAAACCAGTGTGGGCTGGATGTGCTACTGCTGACTTGACTAATAGAAGCATAATGTCTTGGGAATGTTATTTGCTCAACTTTTTAAACGAGGAAAACAATTTTTGTAAACTTGTGCAGTGAGCTTCCTGGAAAGATATCAAATATGAATTCCTAAAATCATATTATTATCCGCCCATACCTGTAATAAGCAGATGGATGAGGTTGCAGTACCATGGCTTATAAAGTCAATTGTATTGCATTTAATTTGTCCTCATGGGCTGTTTTCTACTTTTATACATTTGGTCCTGTGAGTTGGGTATTTTAGAGTTGGTCCTGAGAGTCAAAGTAAATTTGCCTGAGGCACGTGGCAGCTAGCATAATGAATCCAGAATCCATGTACACTGACCTCAAACCATTATTGTTCTTTTAAGTCTTTAAAAAAGTGCATTGAGTGCTGGCTATTATGATTTGTTTCCCTCATCTGTTGGAAAGGAAACTAACATTTATCGTGTACCTTCTATGTATTATGCATTTGACTGGATGCTTTACAAATTTTACTCACCCAGGCTCACCTCTTGAAGAGAATTCTAGCCTGTGAGTATTTATTAGTTTTCCAATGTTAGTGAAATTCCCAGAACTAGCTTGGCATCTTCCTGACCCTTTGCTCATGACATTTGATTCTGGAGTCCAGAGAACAAAACTTAAAGGAGTGAGAGAGGAGCTTCATGTGGCTAGTAACATGTTCCACCCTTTTCTGAGGGTGGACTCTCCAGAACTGTCTGGCTTCCGCAGTTCTGGCCCCAGGTGACTCTCTAACCCCATTTGTACCTGGAGTTTTCCTTATCTGCTTGCTGTTTTGCCCACAGGGTTCCCTAATACCATAGCATTTTCCCACCATTCCACCTAACCATGAGTTATCTTTGTTTGCCACTATTGTTCTGAATTTTATTTATTAAATAGGCTATTTCTAACAAAGTGTCATATGATATTTAATTCAACAAGACCATTGTTTCAGGTATTAGAATTAGGTCAGGCATTAGGCTGCTGGGGTAGAATAAAGGCGAATCCTCTGCTTACAGCCCAATGTTGGCTGAGTTCCTATCATTTTAAAACTGCCGTAGTCAGAAAAAGAGGTGAGTGCTGGATAGTTGGATAGAACACTGGACTAGATTCTGGTCTTAACATTATGACTTTTTATAGGTGTGAACATTGTCAAGATAATCCATCCAAGCATCAGATTTTATATGTAAAGTGGAATTTATAATGGCAGTCCTTCTAATCTGTGAAGCTTTAAAATGATAGTGGAGTCATCATATCCTCCAAATTGCTGTTTCCAAGAAAGGTGCCATTATTATGCTTATTTGTTAAAACTGTAGAACACCAAGATTATATTTTCCAGTAGTCTTTGAAGGTACTAGGGGGCTTGGGAAGATGAGCTCTTGGAGAAGAGCCCACCTATCCTTTCATGCTAGCAATGCAGTGTTGCCAGGGTTGCAGCTCCCAGTGTGAGAATTTGACAAGGAGTTAAAAGGTAAAATGAGTTCAGGGCTTGGTCTGAGACTATATTTACCTTCTTTCTTTTCTTTTTTTTTTTCCCCTCTCATTAAATAGCTCGTACATGTTTTTAGCACAAAAAGCAATGTGGGCAAAGTGATAAAGTTTGAAAGATCTAAAAGGCAATCCTAATTCAAAAATGAGAAGAGAAATTAGCTTGGGGTAATTTCCTCATCTTTTACAGAAAAAAATTTGGAGAAATACAGTAATAATTTTAGTGTCACTGGGTTTAATAAATTCTTCATTTTCAGAATTAGCTGAATAAGGGGTCATGTATATTTGTCAGGTAGTTTTCTTTCATGTCAGTTTACCATTGAGTGATGTAATAAATTGCATGTGTTTAAGAACTTTTTAAGATTCTTTATTGGATGCCTTAGGTTTTCTGTATTTATATTCTCACATTCTTACATCGAGTTTATATACACTTATTTTGACTAGATTACTTTTCTGTGGACAGCAAGAGGGGGTTATTCTGCAGAATTGATTTTAGATGTTTCTGCTTCTGTTGCAATATTGTGAAAACTTCCTGTTCATACGAATGCTTACTTAAAGGCAAAATAGAGCTGTTTAAAAGGAAGGTGACTGTACATGTTGATTTTCCTTTATCTGTTTATACCAATTTCCTGCTATTATTATGTATGGTAACCCCTTCTCTCAATTTTGAGTTTCAACCCGGATGACAAATTATATTGTCTTCCTCTTTTTAAATCTTGCTTTCTCTTCCCCAAATTCTTCATTTATAACTTCAGAAAATCAAGCAATTAACAGTGTTAAAATATATCTCAACAATAAGTAATGCAAGCAAGTGGTAGATATAAAATCTTGATCATTGTTTGGTAAATGGAGAACACTTTTTCTGAGAATGAGGTATTATCAGCCAGGCGTGGTGGCTCACTCCCGTAATCCCAACACTTTGGGAGGCCAAAGCGGGTGGATCACTTGAGCTCAGGAGTTTGAGACCAGCCTGGCCAACATGGTAAAACCCCGTCTCTACTAAAAATACAAAAAATTAACCTGGTATGGTGGAGTGCACCTGTAATCCCAGGTACCCAGGAGGCTGAAGCAGAAGAATCGCTTGAAACCAGGAGGCAGAGGCTGCAATGAGCTGAGATCCTGCCACTGCAGTCCAGCCTGGGCAACAGAGTGAGACTCTGTCTGAAAAAAAAAAGGAAATAAGGTATTCTCTTTTATGGAATCTCAACAGAATGATGCTTTTTATGGCAAAGCTGAATTTAAAATTTCAAAACATTTTTCAAATAATAGTAGTTATGAATTGCGACTTCATACAGGACTGTCTTTATGAGAATTCTCCTTTGAGCCTTGCAAAGAGCAGCCTGCAGTTTACCAAAGACATCTTTAATGTGTGAGAATTTATTTAAATAGATTTTGGGATGTAATATTTTGATATTCCTCTGAGTTTAGATGGCAAAATGAGGTAATGTTACAGAAAGTAATTGCATGTTATTTGTAATATTTTGATAATTCCTCTGATGTTTAGATAGTAAAATAAGGTAATGTTATAGAAAGTAATTTCATGCAATATGTAAGTAATCAATGCACTTAATTATAATATTAGCTATTTTAAAGCATAATGAATGAAAGATATTTTGTGTAATATAGAAAATAATACCATGCTAATGATTTATACATTATTTAGTATTTGTTTGTATTACCCATCATTATGCCAGGTAATTTAATTATCATCTGGAAGATGATAGTATATTTACATAGAGAAGGTATGTAAATTGAAAACCAATTAAGATATCTGTACTGTCATATAAAAGTCTTACACTACTTAGCTTCTTTTAATGGACTCTCATGCATAATATACACACTCACAAGTGGAAACTAATGTAGTAATCTTGATGGAGTTTTCTTGCTGTATTTGCTGGACTTTACATCGTCCATTTGATTAGTTCACAATTTACATACCTACATATGGCTTTCTGTACTTAAAGCAGTATTGCTTAATATTTGAAGACTATTTTTAATCTCAAGAATATATTTTAAAGTTGTAAGTTATTGGTGCACAAGCATTGTGTGCCATATTATTGTTTTTGTTGTTTAAACACAGCTTTTAACCAATGTAACAAGAAACTCTTTGAGGCCGGGTGCGGTGGCTCACGCCTGCAATCCCAGCACTTTGGGAGGCTGAGAAGGGCGTATCACCTGAGGTCAGGAGTTTGAGACCAGACTGGCCAATATGGCGAAACCCCATCTCTACTAAAAATAAAAAAATTAGCCGGCGTGGTGATGCATGCCTGTAATCCCAGCTACTTGGGAGGCTGAGGCAGGAGAATTTCTTGAACCCGGGAGGCGGAGGTTGCAGTAAGCTGAGATTGTGCCTCTGCACTCCAGCCTGGGTGATAGAGCAAGACTCCCTCTCAAAAAAAAAAAAAAAAAAAAAAAAGAAGGAAAGAAAGAAACTCTTTGATAGGATGTCTAGCTGCTAGCTGTTTTGTTTTCAATTTATGTGGTTTTTATTCTGGAAAAAATAGGCAGATTGTATATGAAGTACCTAGGGTATGTAAAAATCAATGTATTGGGTTTCTTTAACTATATGGTAGTATATATCCACATTTAGAGGTTCTATCCAGGTCAGAAAGATTACTTAGCGTATTGGTAGAAAGAGATGAAAACAAAAGTAAAGTAACCAAATGGCTTTTCCTTTTATATTTCACACAGCTTAGCAGATTTATCTTCCTTGGCTATCTCTGTATTGCAATATATTGGAGCTTAAGCCTTCTTTCCTAACCCCTTTGTTTCTGGGAAAAAATGAAGACATTTTACATCCTAGTATCTGGAATAAAGGGATATTGAAATGAACAGTCTCATTTATTTTAGATATTGAAATTTTAGTAAGATCCAAAATCCTAAAGAGATTCTAATTTTATATTATTCATGATTGTGACAGTTTTCATAAAAGTGTAATTTTGAAAAATAAAATACAGTAAAGTCTTCTTATATTGAGAATGGATATTTCAATTTACAGCTGTCTGCATACCCTAGGTCAAATCTAGCCACCTAATATATAGCAACCTGAAGTAAAAACTTGATGCTAGTCTGAAAAAGATATTATGGTCTAAGTATCATGCCAGACACAAGCATTAGAAAGGGATTTTATGGTATTTAGAGCTCCAAAAGCCTAAGCTTTAACAGTCACTATTGGGTACAACTATGATGGATAATCAGTCCAGGGGCTATCTAGTCCCTGACTTCCATAAATGCAGCATAGTTAAAGGCTATAGGAGGTCCACATGCAATAGAAGAGAAATAAACATGGTACCAGGCCACAAGAAGCAGATACTTTTGCTAGTAAGGTTGTGCAAATTAAAAAAAATATGACATACGCACTTTGGGAAAAGACTAAATACTCAAGAACACAAAATAGTGCAAATTGAGTGGTGGTTATGATAAGAGGTGAAGAATCTTTTGAAGCTCCCTCTTGCCCTTGCTTCTATAATTCCATATCCTTTTGATTTGCCTTCAATGTTTCTAAATGCTTCTATTTTATCTTCTCTTGAATCTCAGATGTTGGCGTTCTCATGGGGTCCTATTCTCCATATTCTCCCATTTTATATGCAGTTCCTTGTGTATCTCCGTCAATGGCTCCAACCATGTATATGTCAATGATCCCTAGATCTATATTACTGCATTAGAATTTACTACTAAATTCTGGATTCATGTCCTTAGCCACCTGTTAAATTTCTCTACCTGAGTGTCCTATAGGCACTTCAACTTTATTGTGTCCTGTTATAAATTTCTTGACTTTCTGCCTAAACGCAGTGTCTCTGTATTTCTTGTCTGTGTGGGTAGCATCACCACTGCAACTCCTCACTTCACCCATCATCAAATCCTACAGATTTAATCTTTTGGAATCTTTTAAATGTCTGTCTTATTTTCCAATCCCATTGTCATTACCTTAATGTAGGCTCTCTTCAGTACTTATCTGGATGCCTGAAGGAACCTCTTGATTCATTTTTCTGCCACTAATCAAAATTCCTCCCATCTGATCTGATCTCCACATTGCTGCCAGAGGAATCTTTCTAAAATTCGTCTGATCATGTCTCTCCCATAAAACCCGCTTGCTTTCAGAGTAAAGTTTAAACTTTGTAATCTGGATCCTACTTGCTATTTCTGTTCTTTGGTCCGTGAATACATTCCTGCCATAATCTTGCTGAACTAGTTTTCAAGGGTAATTGCTATTTCACAACATGGTAACCCAACTCATACTTTTCTCTCCATCAGAAATATCCTTTTACATCTGACTAAGTTTTACCTAGCCTTTTGAATTAGCTCAAGTGACACCTTATCTGGTATATCTTCCCAGACTTCTCAAATAGATTTTGGTATTCGTCTTAACCTCTTTTGATTGTTTTATTTGATTTTTCTATAACCTCTTTCTCTTAACAGTGTCCTCTCAGTACAGCATAAATTCTGGAAAGGAGGACCATTCTTATTTGAATCCCTCATATAAGCATATTGCCTGGCATAGAATAGGTGCCCATTTTTTAAAATTGTATATGGATGGATGAATGAATGAATGAATGAATGAATTAGATTCAAGGAATGTGGACTGGAGGAGTCACCCAGGGCTGCTAACGGTATAAGTAGGAGGATAGAGTGGGATGATTATTCTAACCACGGGAATTCAGTCAGCAAATTTTGAAAACAAGAAGTGAGTTGAGTGCTTTTAGTTATCGAGAGAACCAGGTTGACCAGAACTTATGAGGAAAATATATTGGATACTAGACATTATAAGGTAAAATTAACATGTAATTTTTGATGGCCTGTTGTATCTTGATTTATCATTCTTAGGTTTTTGAAAGACAGCATTCTTAAAGTATTTGAATATAGGTGAGGATGTAAATTATATATTTTAAAAAGTAATCCTCTGGACAGACATGCTTAATGGAAACATTTTCTTTGAAATAAAACATCACTAACTTCCATGACAGTTTATAGCATAGTACTGTTAGTTTTCTGATTTGATATTTAGAATTAGATCAGTAGTGTATTGCCAGAAAGCATTCTACTGGTTATATTTTTTAATAAAAAAGGATACCTCAGTTAAGCCATCTTCTAGACTTAAAATCCTTGAAGGAAGGTATCTTATATTAATCATCTTTTCATTTTCATTGCCCAACTCTGTAACCCATACATAATAGGCCTCCATCAAGTGCTGTTGAACTAAATTGTATAGCCTGTGTGCCCAGGACACAACAGCACTGACTTTTGCATTTCAGAATTAGGCTGAGTTGAGGTGTGAGTGGGAACTCAGTGACTATGTCATCCAACACTGGTAAATTCTCAGCTCACCTGCAAATACCTGTACCTAAAGCAGCATCACTAATACATGTCAGATGCCTCAGAACCTTTCTGAACATAGTGCTCCAGGCCATCAACTGATAAGAGTTGGCAGGAAAGATGGCAATAAACATTCTAGCCACTGAGGATTTATTTTTACTCTAAGAAGAGAAAACTGAGGCCAGAGACTCAGGATTTCATTTTTCATTACTGAGAGAGCTAGGGATAAGACTCCAGGTCTTCTGTGTCCTAGTACAGTGGTTTTTTTCCACCGTCACCCTTTTTACACTTGGTTCCATTTTAACTACCAACACATTCAAACATTTAATTTTTTTCATTTCTGTTTTTATTTGCTTTCTCTTTGAGATACTATTTGTTATAGAAAACTCCATGAGAACTTATAATTACTTTGTTCATTTTGAATTTGGTTTTATTAAGTAAATAATATATAAGTAAATTATTGCCAGATTATATAAGTACATTATTGCCAGGGACTAAGAAATATTTTATTTAAAGATTCCCTTTGGAATCATATTTGTTGGAATTTTATTTAAGCTGTATCAACATTTCTTAATTGTGATAATTTTATTTTTAATTTTAAATTTTTCCCTGAAAGGTACATTTTTACTAGCAGTAATTTAGTTATGATTCCAAATAACTTTTCCTATTATGCTTTTGAATTATGTATATATTAAAATAATGTTTTGGTTTTTTTTACTCTTAAAAGCCAGTTGATTTTTGCTTACAAAGAAGAGCTTTCTTTGGTTCCTCTTCACTTGGAGGTTTGACTTCAATTACTGTGGGTCAGTAATTCAAGGAAAGTTAGTGGGATGAGGTGTGAATGGCTACTCACATATATATCTAAGAACTTGTATTTGTATACACACACACACACAAACACACACACACATATATATATATACTCTCATCTCACCTGTGCCTCCATACATGTAATCTCACATACCCACATCCCTGAAGACTTGAAACATTCTTCTATAAAGTCTTAAGGAAGTTAATTCTATCTAATTTACCAGAATTTGTATATTTGTATGATCTAGACATGACTTGCATTACCTTTTGCACCCACAGCCCTTTCTGTGGATTTTATGGCAGTGGCTATTCTGGAAGAAGCAGCCCTACATCCATATGATCCCAACATGGCTGTAGCTAACTGGACTAATGGTGGACAGTTGGCCCAAGGCCAGGTAATTTATCGACTGGCCAAATACTAATGAGAGTGTCTTTCAAATTTTTAAATAGAAAATCATCAGAGGGCCAAAGAAAATGAATGATCCACATTCATTTGTTCTTGAAGCAAAAATAGATTGGGCACTACTCATGATATGCTAGGTGTGGTACTAGAATTAATAGCCTTTTGTAGAAGGAAGTAAATTTTCTTGAATAATCACCCACGTAAAATTAAAATCTATGATAAAGGCAGCACAGAACATTGTATAATATTTTGATAAAATAATACTTTATCAGGAATTTTGACTAAGATCAGGTTATCCAGGTGTGCTTCCCATGGAAATGACAGTAAGGACTGAGCTAAGATCTGAGAATGAACAGAAGTTAAGCAGGCAAATAGGGGTGAAGTACCCTCTAGAAGTAAAGAATGAGAGCCAGTGATGGAAGGGGGAGTGGTAAGCCTGAAGCACTGGAAGGAAGCCAGTCTTGTGGAAGAGGAAAAAGTCTGCAAAAGGCAGGAGTGTGGTTTGAGAAGAATTTGGAGAGGTAGGCAGAAACTAGACATGGTAGGGCCCACCAGGTCATGTTTTAGAGTTTTTTCTTTATTTTAAGAGCCAAAGGGTTTTGAAGAGAGATATGATATAATCTTATTAGCATTTTTAAAAGATCATTCTGGCTGAAGTATCAAGAGCAGATTAGATGAAGTCCTGGGGCATGTATGTGTAGAGACCAGCTGGGAGGCTACTGTAGAAATCCAGGTGGCAGATGTTAGAAGCAGAAACTTTGGTGGTGATGGCAAAATGTTAAAATTTGAGAGAGATTTGGGAAGCAAAAACCACAACTGTTATTGTTGTTTTAATTGATTGAATATGGGTTGATGTCAGACTTGTGCCACCAAGTTTTGGGAGTATCTGGAGTGGTGGAAGAGAGATCCCAAATTTAGTCCTGGTTATTTGGCTTTGTGGTAACTTTGAGAAATCCGAGAGAGATATTAAGCAGGTTAAAGGTCAGGAACTCAGAAGAGAGTATGGGTTAGAAATGTAAATTTATGAGTCATGTGTACACAGATGGCCATGAAGCTATGGGTGAGGCTGAGTGATTAAATTCAGACAATAAGAAAGCCTAGGAGTAAGCTTTAATGAAGTTTCACTTTTAAAAATTGATAGAGGACAATAGCCCTGCAAAAGCATTAAAGAAGAAATGGCCAGAGATATAGGATAAAAACCAGGAGAGCCTTGTCTCACTAAATCAAAGGGAAGAGAGTATTTTGAGGAGGCTAAGGCACACTGACTATGATAGCTAAAATTAGATGAACAAACAAGGAAGACTGGAATCACCTAATGTTGATAAAGATAATGAGAAACTAAAAGTCTTATATATTGATTGTGGGCATGATAGAGCCACTTGAGAAAACTCTGGCAGTTTCTTAAAGAGTTTAGCGTGCATCTACACTATGACATAGGAATTCCATTCCTAGATATTTATATAAGAAAAATGAGAACATACACTGACAAAAAGACTTATTTAAGAATCTTCATAGCAACCTTATTGTTAATGACCCTAAAATTGAAATAGCTCAGACGTCCATCAGTAGAATGAATTTAAAAGCTGTGAAATACTCACACAATGAAAAATTCACTATTCCACAATAAACAGGAATAAAACATTGATACATAAACAACATGGATGAATCTCAAAAACATTATGGTAGATAGGAAAAGCCAGACACAAATCAGGCAGACTGCATGATTGATTCCATTCATATGAAGCTCCAAAATAGGGAAAGCTAATCTATGGTGGTGGATATGAGATTGGTAGGCTCCTCTATGGTGGCAAGGGTGAAGGACTGGCTGGAAAGGGGTAGGAGGTGACTTTCTGGAGGGTTGTAAATATCTTAAATATTGATAGAGGTATGTATTATACATATGTATGCATTTGTCAAAACTGACCAAACTGTTTACTTACTACGTGTGCATTTCACTGTATTTAAATTTTACCTGAATCAATTTTTTAAAATGAATTCTGCAGAGACATCAAATAGGATGAGAACTACGAAAGAGCTATTGTATTCGGTAACAAGGAGATCACTGGTAACTTCAGGAAAGGCTTTTTCTACAAATTTATGGGGTCAGCACTAGATTGGAATGGGTAGAATGGGAGAAAGATGAATAAAAACAAATAGTTGTTGCATGTAAATCTTTCAAGGAGCTTGGCTAAGAAGGGGAAAGAAGCATGAGAAGATAGCTAGAGGAGAATGAGGAGTTCAATTTGGGTTTCTTTAAGATAGAATTTAAATGGATAAAGTTAAGAATGTTTAGAAATCAAAGAAGGAGAGAATACAGTGGAGGAGGTGGTTTGAATAAAAGAGAGAGTGTATTTTGTGACGGGAAAGAAAAGATGAGGGACCTTCTGTCTGTTTCTATTTTTTCTGTAAGTAGGAGTTGGCTCATCTTTTGAGAGTGAGGGGAGTTTGAGATTTGAGGATAAAGAAAAAAGTCTGAAATAGTTGAGTTGGGGAGCAAGAGTGTGGGTTTATCAGCAAGACAATTGATTACTGATCTACAGATGAAGCCATGCTGGGTCATGTATAAGATGAGTCAACAGAAAGGGAGAGACTGACAAAAGCATGCAGATAAGAGAGGCTTTTTGGCCCATGAGACACAAAAAGAAGAGTCTTTGATTTGACCTCTCAAGCTGAATCATTGTGAAACCTGGGTCAACAATTTCCTATGTATGTGATCTTTCTTTTTTTCTTCAACAGTTATTTTAAGTTCTGGAGTACATGTGCAGGATGTGCAGATTTGTTGTAGGTAGTTGCTGGTTTGCTGCACTCAGATCAACCCACCTCCTAGATATTAAGCTCAGCATACTTTAGCTATTCTTCCTGATGCTCTCCCTCCCCTGCCCCCGACAGGCCCCAGCGTGTATTGTTTCTCTCCATGTGTCCATGTGTTCTCATTGTTCAGCTCCCACTTATAAGTGAAAACATGTGATATTCGGTTTTCTGTTCCTGTGTTAGTTTGCTGAGGATAATGGCTTCCAGCTCCATCCATGTACCTGCAAAGGACAGAATTTCATTCCTTTTTATGACTGCATAGTATTCTGTGGCGTATATGTTTCACACTTTCTTTATCCAGTCTATCACTGGTGGCCATTTGGGTTAATTCCATGTCTTTGCTATTGTGAATAATGAAGCAGTGAACATACATGTGCATGTGTCTTTATAATATGATGATTTATATTCCTTTGGGCATATACCCAGTGATGGGATTGCTGGGTCAAATGCTATTTCTGAGTCTATATCTTTGAGGAATTGCCACACTGTCTTCCACAATGGTTGAACTAATTTACATTCCCACCAACAGTGTAGAAGCATTCCTTTTTCTCTGCAACCCCACCAGCATCTGTTGTTTCTTGACTTTTCAATAATCGCCATTCTGACTGGCGTGAGGTGGTATCTCATTGTGGTTTTGATTTGTGTTTCTCTAATGATTGGCGATGTTGAGCTTTTTTATCATATGTTGATTGGCCGCATGAATGTCTTCTTTAAAAGTGTCTGTTCATGTCCTTTGCCCACTTTTTAATGGAGTTGTGTAAAACTCAAAACTATAAAAACCCTAGAAGAAAATCTAGGCAATACCATTCAGGATACAGGCATAGGCAAAGATTTCATGACCAAAACGTCAAAAGCAATTGCAACAAAAGCAAAAATTGACAAGTGGGATCTAATTAAACTAAAGAGCTTCTGCATAGCAAGAGAAACTATGATCAGAGTGAACAGACAGCCTACAGAATGGGAGGAATTTTTTGCAACCTATCAATCTGACAAAGGTCTAATATCCAGAGTCTACAAGGAATGTAAACAAATTTACGGGAAAAAAACAATCACTATGTAATCTTAAACTGACTTCGTTTGAGTAGGTTTCTGTTTCTCCCAACCAAAAGAGCCCTGATAAGGATTAGTAGTGTGTGTGTGTGTTTTTTTTTTCCCTACATGGAATTTGACTAAGTCTGCATGCATATTAAGTCTGCACTAGAAATAGACTAAGTTTTGAGTTTCCATGTTGAGACAAAAGAAAGATATTTCCATTTCAAAAATTAATACATCTGTTTTCATACATGTATGTATATATGCATGTACATATACACAAATTCATATGCAGTCTTCATAAATTGGCATTCTTCCAACAAGATAAATTATCCTTCCTCTTTTTCACATGTATCTTTCATCTAGTCAGTTTATGTTTTTGTCCTTTCACCTGGGATGACCTTGTTTATTATTATTTGAAAGGTCTGGAGGATACAGAATAAAGAATGGCATTATTTCCTTCAGATCTTTTACCATGAGGGACAGTCTGATACCCACAGTGTGATAGGGAAAGCTCTGACCACACTAGTTTGACTTGTTTCCCATTTCATGGTTGCAGAGTAATTTGGATTTGTTTTAGGCCAGGCCCCTCAGAAGCAGACTCTGAGATGGAGATTATTGTGCAAGACGCTTATTAGGGAGTACTTTCAGGATCAACACCTGTGTGGGAAGGGAAGTCAACAGATTGGAAAGTAGGAGAAAGTGGGCTATAATACAAATACAGTAAGGCCTCAATGAGTCCCTTGGGAGTTCTGAGACTAGCTGGAATATCTTGCTTTGACCAGTCACTGGATTTAGGCTGCCTGGGGAAGAGGATCTAGCCTTAGGAGAGGTGGCTGGCTTCAGCAGAGGGCAATTTCAAAGGGAAGTCTGATAGCTAATAGCATCCTGACATCTGGAGGAGTAAGACCCCAGCCTCGCAATGGACATCTGGGCTTAGTGCAGCATCCACTCACTGATTTTAGCTGAAAATTAAAATAACAAGTTTGGGAAAGCTAATATTTCTTAACTACCTAAACATTAAAGGAATTCACAGGTTAAATATCAAGTCAACTATAGGATGATGAGAAACCTAAGATTTATTGACAAAATGGAATATATAAGTCAACTGGTAAGACTGTCCAGATTGTGGACCTCTTTTGGGGATTTACAACATCATCCAAATCTTAAATTACAAGTCTATCTATAGAACACTTGCAAATGCCTGTGAGGCAATGAATAAGAGTTGTGGAGGGTAGTGACTTCACTGAGGACATTTAATTTGAAAGGTTTGGTTTCATGAAATCGTTAGCTCTATAAGATTTCATTTCACTAATTTTTTGTAAATAAGACAATATAGCAGGAATCTTATACAGTATTGAAGATATGCAATAATGGGATTTTACTTCAGTGACCTAAGTTATAGGGCAACTATGGCATATGGTCTTTGGAAAATTCCCTCCTCCCATTTAAGCCATTGTTCCAAAAACAGTCCTTACCTCTTCCTTTGGTGTGGGTGCCTTCTGTTAGCACTAAACTCTGAGGACTTTTTTTTTTTATATGGGAAAATAGAGCGGTACATTTTAGAAGATCTATTCCATAATTTAGTCCAAATATCTCCACTAAATTAGCAGTGTGTTTTTGTTAGAAAAATTAAGACAAACAACTTTCACTTCTCAGTAACCTAGCATGATACAACTTTCTCACTAGCATAGTTCAGTGTGAATCAGGTGGCCCTCTTCTATCTTGAAGCAGTGATCCCTGAAACACATGGCCACAGCTGGGGAAGAGAGGGAAAGAGCAGGTAGAATTAACATACATTATTGTTGCCATTGGCCAGGACCAGGCAACTGCAGGAGATGATAGGAAATGTAGGAGAGCACATGGAATATTTGCTGAGCACTAATTTCAGAAATTTAAGTTAGAATAATTTAATAAATTAATATTTTATCAATTAAGCTACCTGTTTCCAAAAATGTACCTAGTTTACTTTCCTTGATTTAAAAAAAATTAACTTGTTGAAGACAGAAAAAAACTGGGATGCCTGGGATTTGAGTGAGAAGAGCGTTAGCAGCCAGATCAGTGGTTTCCACACTGTGTCTGGTGCAGTTATCCCAGAGTGTTGGGGAATAATGTTGACTGGACAAGAAGGCAACAGGGCAGGCTCCAGGTGTCTTGGCTCTACACCCTACTGCTTGATTCCCAGCTCTCTATCTGTTTTGTATTTTGTGGGGAAAATGAGTTCTGCTGCAAAAAGAAATATCTGATAACTACTCATCTACTCTATCACCCTCCTTTTAAAGCTATGGAGTTTTACACAACCATCTAACCAATATTTTGGGGCTATAGGGACAAAGTCCCTGTCCTCCTTATGCCTGTACTCCAGTGTGTCCCAGAAAGCTCCAGTGATTTCCTAACATCAGAATAAGATCTAGAACCCATTTTTCTAACTTTCAGTCTGGCCTGAAGTGACAGTGAGATTGTCAACTGAGAATATTCTGAAAATTTTGGCATGGAAATGACTGTCTAGGGAGTGTCTTAAACAATGGCTTCTATCTTGGAGAAGGGACACAAACCTCCTAACAGTTATTTTAAGTCTAATATGTGGGCCTTGTTTGGACTTCACTTCTTTCTCACTTATAACCTTTAGTGTTGAGCAAATTCTCCTCTCAGAGTACAGTATGTTTGTTTTATAGCACAGTGTCATAATCAACAAATAACATTACACCAACAGCAAAAAGTGCTCATATGTGCACTCCTTGTTATTCTTACTTTGACTCCATGCAGTTGGTGTGACAGTTATGGATGCTATCCCTACTTTACAGAAAAGAAAACAGAAAAAATAATTTAAATAAAGGTTACACAGCACAAGTAGTAAATGTTCCACAGAACTGGGAAACAAAGTTAACTATTATTACAACTGGATACTAAAATGCAGGTAATAACTGAGAATTTCTCTAATGTAAACTCTTACCACTAGTAGTAGTAATAATTATTATGGGATGCATGGAGCGGAGTGCCTGAGTGTGTGGATTTCTAAATCAATGAGGCCTGGGTTCGAATCCTGAGATCCACCACTTTTACTATATGATCCTGATAGGTCATTTAAACCCCTCCCAATTGTCTTATTTGTGAAATGGGGATGGGTGGGAGGAGCAAATAGGATAACAATGGTAATATATTAAGAATACACTTAGCACAGCTTTTCACATGTGGGCAACATTAACAACTTTTGGCTATAATAATGATTATTTTATAACAATGTGAATTCAAATAGTACTACACACTCAGTATTCACATCTCTTTGAGTATAAAGACAGGTGCATCTACACTGTGTGAGCACTGTTTAAAGGAATTTTGAATCACAATTGGAGCTTTGGTTCTTACATTGTGCTAAGCCAGAAGACTCTTATTCATTGTAGTGATTTTAGCACAATGCAGTTACCTGAGCTTTGGGAATACACAGAAGTTGGGTGCTTTCTTTTGAACTAGGGTAGTAAACCTTCTTTTAGCAGCACTTTGGAATAGATTTACCCTGCATTATGCTTACAGATTTAATTCCTCACATTTGTTGTTTTACTAAGGAAGCATTTTGGCTTACCCCTCAGTTTATAATCTCATATGAATGCATGGGAATTTATATACATTATTCATATGGTCTGTCTTCAATGGAAAAAAATACCCTATCTTGAGTTTTTAGCATGGAGGAATACCTCCAACTAGGAAAACTCACTGTATAAGAATACCTTACTTAAACAATTAACAGATTTTTCACCCTTAATCAATGGCATTCCTGAGTAAATATTTAAAATAAATGCTGTAAAAATATTAAAAATGCTCTCTAAAATGTTGCTTGAATGTAGGTCTAATGTGGACTTACAGCACAGAACAGCTGACATAATGCTGACATTTTCACACAAAATTAGAAGTGATAGAAAGTTAAAAATTTTTCTAATATTTTAAAAATACAGACATCACAGCTCTACACCTTTGCTGAGATCAAAGGTGTAATAAAAATACTCAAAAAATAATCCAATGTGTAATAAAAATTTCTAACTATCAATACCAAGTTTTAGCTCACAGCGTATATACATACTTCCATAATACCGCTTATATGTCAAATTATCTACATTTAACTCATGAGAAAATCAAGTGCATGGAACAAAGACCTGTGTTTTGTTGGTGAAACTCTAGTAAGTTGGATATATTTTCCATAGCATTTATGAAAATTTTCTAAAAGATAAAATCCTACCAGAATTTTATTTATACTTAAGCTGGAAATGACTTAAAAAGGATTTGGGTAACCCTGAGAATTAGTCCTTAATTGTTTTTCCTTCAAATTTGAAAGTAAGAGACTTTTGCCTTTATTATAGCAGGCATTGCTAAACCTTTCACACCACATGGCATGAAAAGTGGGCAAAGTGTTTCTGTTTACCTTTTTGGATTCTTGGTTCAAGACCAAGGCTGGTCCTGGGCCCCTGCCTCTACCCTGACCCCAAAGAGGCAACTCCTTGGCTTTTAGTTTCTGTTTTTATTCCTTTAGGGAAGAATTGATGGCTAACTTGGGAGAAATTTAGTCACTTTATCTTCTTTTTTCCTTTCTTTGCTCTCTCCTTCTTCTCATTACAGGAGACAGAAATATGAGAGCCCCAGTGGGGAATTTTCCCAGAAGAGAGAAATGAGGCATCCGTTGGTCTATAATGCCAGTCATTTCCGGAGAGGAGTGATTTTTCTTGTCTGGCCCTTAGGGCTCTCTCCTGCTGGATGAACCCAGCCCTTTGTGCCATCTGCCTCAGGGATACTGGGAGGGAGACCTGGAGAGGAGTGGTACAGATAGGAGGTGGACACTGCTTCATATGAGCCTCCTCTACATGACTGCTCCTTCTTAGAGAGCCTTCCTGTCAGGGTGCAGTCAACTTCTCTAACTTTAAATGGGTGGCTGCATATAAGTATCTAATTTACTCATAGGCTCTGAGGTGTTACAGACAAAACGGTAACCCTGGGTGAGGCAGAAAGCACATTTAGAAAGGAAGAGGATGCTGCGTTGGCAGCACAGTCATTGGTAAATTTTGAACACCCCCTGTTATTTTCCCTTCAGCATGATGTTACAATATGTTTTGTTCAAGCCTAAATGAACCTTTTCATCTTGTAATTAACATTTTTACAGTGTTTCTCCTACCACCATATATTTTTGTTTAGAAAATTAAGACCCAGAGCCAAAGTCAATGAGTAAAAGTGTTTGTTTTGCAAAGAGTATGTATTTAAGCCTGTAAGAGATGATTAGAGAAAATCAACAATAATTTAATCTAAACTTTCTTGATTTCCTCATATATCAATATTTAGATTCTACTGTATTTCTTTTTATTTTATTTTATTTTGAGGCAGAGTCTCGCTTTGTTGCTCAGGCTGGAGTGCAGTGGCACAATCTTGACTCACTGCAAACTCTGCCTTCCGGGTTGAAGGGATCCTTCTGCCTCAGCCTCTGGAGCAGATGGGACTACAGGCACCCACCACCATGCCCAGTTAATTTTCTTTTCTTGTATTTTTAGTAGAGACGGGGTTTCACCAGGTTGGCCAGGCTGGTCTCAAACTCTTGACCTCAAGTAATCCACCTGCCTCGGCCTTCCAAAGTGCCGGGAAGTGCTCAGCCCTTCCAAAGTGCCCAGCCTGCTGTTTATTTCATACTTAAAGTTTTAAATATATTGATGAAATAGTCTTTTTCTAACATTAAGTGATAGATACCACGGAGTGTGTTTAGTGGCATACCTTTCATGACATGCATTTTGACATATATGAAGAGTTGACTCTCTGAATTCTGTGGGGCAAATTGACATCCAAATCACAAGTTAGCTGAGGAATTCCTTGATTCTAATCTTGATTCTGCTGTCTCTAATCTAACCCTCTAGGGTCTCTGAGTTTTCAAGAATGTTTTATTCATTTTAATTAATTAATTACTTAATTAAAATAATGTTTTGGCGCTGGCTTGCATTAGAAAATACAGAGGTATACTAAAATTAACAATAATTATGTGATTCTGTAACTTACTGCCAAGCCTATTAAACTCTCAGGAAGCTCTATTTTTTATGTATATGTCAGAGCTAGTTTTTAATTTATCTGAAGTGGTTTGTAATTATTGATAATGCTGATAATAAAATTTATATTGTTTGGATCAGAAAAAAAATTTAAAGTAGACTCTGCCTTTTATTAAATACAGTTTGGATTCTAAAATTTGCTTGCTGGCACAACAATCTGCGTATTGTTGGTGTGATCCTGTCTGCCCTCCTCTCATAGAACACAAAAAAGCAGCCCGGATGAGGAGTCAACTCACCTCTTTCTAAACGCTAATTATTTGCTGTAAGTTAAATGGTCAGAGGATGTCAGTGTGACTGTCTAGGTCTTTGTTCAAAGATCTAAAAGGTAGCAGGGAAAAGTTAACTCAGGTGTGGCAAATAACTTTTCAGTAGTAAGAACCTCTGGAAGGCTGTGAAAATCAGAAAGAGAGAGAGGTACTTATCTGCACACACTTTTCTCCTGGTCAGGAGAAAATTAAAAATGACTACCCATTTAACGTAATGTCTGTTAGATAAGCTGACAACCTTAGGTTTAAGTAGAAATACAAAAACTCTGCATTTTAAAAATATATTATTTTAGGAGGAAAGAACACAAAGTAAAACAAAGGTTTCAGTGTATTTGTCTGACTCTGGAAGCTTTGGAACACAGCAAAATATTGTGCATTCTTGGACTGGACATATTTTAGTCAATATGCTGACTATGGGATCCCTGGGCTGAAAAGAGGATCTGGCCCAGGCAGTGGTAGCCAGTTGGTATACAATGTCCCGTCCATGCGTACACACTAGGCCACATTATGAATACTGTCCAAATTTTATGACTTGAACATACTCATTCCTACTCACTTTCTAGGTCTTATCAAAGCACCTACTCCCTTCACTGTGTTCTGTATCCCTCATTATCCAGGATTGATTTTAGAGATACTTCATATATGTTTTTTGGTGATGTGTAGCACACATAATGTTGTTTGTGGAGAACCTTTGCATACGTACTGTGTGCCTCTGGCAGAGTGCACACACAGGGAACAAAGGAAGCTGGTTGGGGTAATTTCTAAGTGAGTTTGAATATTCCAAGGAAAGCATGTAAAAGGTGCCCTCTGATAATTTGAGCATTTACCCTGAGCCAAAGTTTAATTAATTTTTCACTACCTTTTGGCCTAGTAAACAGTGGAGAAGAACTTGGGGAGAGTTGGCAGCTCTGGAGGATGAGATGATCAATCTGGCTCCAATAGGAAGATTAGATTGAAGGAAGATAAAGGGATATCAGGGTGATTAAAGCTGTGCCAGGGTGAAGGTTATAGAGGAGTCAAATCTAATTTAGGCATTAGGTTCTAAAGGTAGAACAGTATAGAAGGTGCCACTTGAGTATTGTTGAAAACCTCTTTGGAAGAAGCCATATTGAAGACAAACATCATAGTACGTCCCACACAGGCAGTTTACCCTTCGACATTGAATTATGCAGTTCTGTTGAGCTCCAGATTCCATTGTTGGCTTATGTTTTAAGGGCCATGTTGCATTAAAAAATGTGTCCATGTGTCATTGAACTCATTGAATACCATAGTCTTACTCAACTTGGAGAGTTCATCTGTGGATGAGAGCCACACAAGAACTGAGTTGGCCCCTTGGGTAGAAGATCTTTAGGCTGATTTAGGGTAAATACTTATGGAGAGAATTAGAATGGTAAATGGACTTCTGCCCACTATTTAAAACAATTTTCTTATCTATCTCTCTGTCTCATGCATATGGTTAAATTCTTATAAGTTAGATGCTTGTATGATGCAGATGGATTGTCCTTGTGGTCACTTGGCAATAGTAAAGGAAAGAAGCTTCCCTTAGATCCCCATACTCTGGCCCTTGGTGGATTTAGCACTGGAAATATAAACATTCATTTAAATGAAGTATTTCTCTTTTCTCCATGGATCAACTCTATGGAAATAGGCTACTGTTGTTCTCACAAAATCTCATTCACCAAAGCTTTGAACATGCAAAAGTTTTGAGATCTTTGCTTAACACATATCAGTCTAAAGGTGAAGTACTGAAGGGTGTTTATTTGTTAAACATCTGTTGGTGCTTTCAAATTATAAGACATTGGTCCTGATGAGTCAGTATATAGCAAGAAACACATATTTCAGGTCTTGAAGGGATTTCCATTTTTGGCCTTGCTATTGTTTACATTTGATATTTCTTAAATTTGACCTCCCTTTACCTTGGTTTAAGACCCCTGGGAGTGAACTCCTATCAATGGTACTTGTGCTGAAAGGAGAAAATGCTTTCCCCTCACCAATGTCAAAACTTTTGTATTCAGTATCAAAAACAATGTTCTGAAATTTTTACTGCTTTTCTGTGGATATAAGATTTTTATTAAGTCTTCAGGTTCATATCTTGAACCTAGTCAGTTGAGTCAAGAGAAGAATTTGGAATTAGGTATAGAAGAAAACTGAAGATGAAGAAGTTAGCTTAAAATATGGAACTTAACCCTGCCTCTTCTGTGGTCTATAAACCTACATCAGAAGGAAATACACGTTTCAAAGAGGCAAAGACAATTCTCTTGTTTAAGATAACACATTTTTGAGTTAGTCATAATTTGTTTTGTTACTGAAACATTTGAATACAAATCTCTGATACCCAAATTAATTATTTCTCACCATTCCTCCCTTCCCTGGGCTATTTATTTCTTGCTTTGTTGTGTCTCCAATAAAGCAAACATAAAATACAGATGTAAAATGCTACAGTAGAATTTATGTAATCTACCTTGTTATTGCTGTTATTATAACTGCTATTAAATTGTAATAGTTTATAAAGCCTGAGTGTCTTTAATGACTTTTTTCATATGATTACATATTTATTTAAAATGTCATTGCGTTATTCTTAAGGATAGTTCCATAAGCTTCTCAGAGCAGTGACTCGTTGCAATGACCAAGAACATCTTAAATGGTAAAGAAGGTGTTCAAGAGGTCTCGATGAAACATTTGGCAAATATTAGACCTTAGAAATGAACACAAGCTTAAACATTTAATTTAATTGAACAAATATTTATTAAGTATTATGTGTCAGGTACTGAATCATATTGCCCAATAGAAAAATCTATTAGCAAAATAAATAGAATTTAAAGGAGAAAAGTATTTGCTGTCTACTGTGAACCCAGTGGCATGGGAAAGAAGGATTTGATGTTTCAGTATTATTTTGCAAACAAAAGACCAATACCTTTATTTCAAAATTCTAAGTAAAAACAAATGTGAAAAATGAGCTTCATGGAAGCTTCTTAAATTTCACGCACCATCCTTTGTTCTGAAAACAATTGAATCTAATCAGGTGTGGTTTGAACTTTTTAAGGCAAATGGACTCAGACTCTCTTTTTCTTTATTCAACCAAAAGCTCCTTTGATTGAATTACTAAATCTATGTATGTGCTAATGCCTTAATATAGCCCAAAGTTTCTATATTGTCTGTTTTTATTAAAAGATGTCTATTTACTTGAATATGTGAAATATTTTATCATTAAAATTAGTAATATAATTGTATGTTGTAAAATATTTAAATGTGGGTCTTATTAAAAAAGTTCCAGGGAGATAATTAGGCTTGGCACCTCAATCCATAGACAAATAGATGAATTGACATGATGCGAAAAGGAGGGGCTTGAAGGGACGGTTACTTGGTAGAGCACCAAATGTATTTTGACAGACACTAAATGCTTTTTATAGACAATAATGTTGTTTTGGGAAAATCAGTTTATCTTTTTATAAGTTTTGCAATCTACTTGAATGTGCTTAAAGAATATATTTTATATTTCTCCTGCCCCCGCCCCATCTCTTTGTCTATACTGGGAATTCCATAATGTAACACCCTTAAATAGAAAACAGTTACAGCTAATCCTATTTAAAATGGTTGCTAAGGGACTATTCATAGGAGCTTAGAAATGACTCAAGATCTCCCTTTAAGGAGTAAAGCAGGAAAAGTAAAGAAAAGAACACTTCTAGGAAGAATTTTAACATATGGGTTTGTGTCATGTGGTTTCTGGTATGTAGGATGTAGGAATCATTTCCCAATCTGTGAGTTCCAGGCCTTCCATTGAGCCCTGAACCTAATGCCAGCACACTTCTCTCTCCTCAACTCCTGAGGACACCCCTGGGCAAATGGGGCTACACAGCTGGGGTTAGGGTAAGAAGGACACTTCCTTTCTCTACAACTCAGGTATGGTAGAAAGTGACCTTATGATAGCTAAAAGAGTATCTATAGCACTACTAACCAACTCCTTCAGAAGAAGAGCCAAAGTAGTCATTGGGGTGTGGTGGGGAATAAGGATAGCTGACCAGCTGTACTCCACTCTTTACTGCCCATTTTAGGAAAGGCAGAGTCCTATTTCATTGTGCTCTGAATGTATGACTTCTGCTTTTCCTGTTTCAGGATGAATGTGCAATATATAGTTTTCCCTTCATCTATGAGAGTGACTTGTATATTTCTTTGTGAATAGGAAAATATGATCCCAGGGTTTGCCATGTACCAGGCAGATTATGCTTCTACTATAAACAATGTTTTCTCTCTTTTTTTTTGGCCAGTTGCAAATATTCATAAGCTTATAAGAGAAAACTTAGAATGCCAAACCAGATATTCCTTCTGACAAACAGGAAGTTAGAGATTTCTTTTTTCCACAAAAAATTTAAGAGTGGATACAAGGACTTCTTTAAAAATTAAAACTTGGCCATAGAGTTTAGAACAAATAACACAGTCAGAAATTTCTAATTCTAACTAACAAAAAGGTTAGGTTGAATTAGTCCTCAAAACTAAAAGTAGAATTAGGGTGTGATTAAATATCTAATTTTAATGATAAATGCCTCAAGTTATTCTTAGATGTTTATGTTAAGAGTAATTTAGATATTTTAGAATTTATATTTAGAGTAATTCAGATATGTTTATAAACCTATGTTAGCTAACACTTACTGATTACAAAACACAGACTTCTTATTCTATAAAACCACCGAATCGAGAAATCATTGTAGTCTCCATTGCACTTTGCCAAAAGGCTTTGAGATCTATCTGAGGCACCATAATTTTATTTGTTCTTTACAGGGCAAAGTTAACTCTTCAGGGATAAATGGCCTCTGATTACAAGCTTCTCAAATCCAAACAAATCAAATGTTAAGAAACAAAACATGCTACAAATTTAGGGCCTCTTTTGCTGGCTTTAGGTTGCATGAGGGTCATAGTCATCCTAAGTTAACAAGCGTTGTGCTGCCTACATCACTATCAGAGTACCTTAAATACAGTGGACACTCAGCAAATATTTGAATGAGTTTAAGTATAAAAGGAAATGTACTATTTTGATTTAATTCTATTTGAGGAGCTTGTTTTTTTATAATGATGACATCAATTTCCACATGGCGAAAGTATCCCTAAATGTTGCATACAGACCCAAGGCCTTCTATTCTTATTTGTGGGTATTATTCAATGTTTTCCTATCTGTCTAAATCCTGTACCCTTATATATTGACAACTTTTCTATTTACAGTTATACTGACTAATGATATGTATGTATATGTTTTCTTTATTTTCCATATATTACTTTTTATCCTTCCCCAATTCTGTCACATATACTTTTCACTTTTATCTCCACTTTCCAACTATGGTCAGGCTGATCCAGAAGAAATCAGTCTAGTGACATATGAGATAACCTGCCTTTCTTTAAATAATAGTTCTGAATGTAAAAGGCCAGCATCATGGAATGTGTTTGCTCTGTGTAGGTGGTCCAAGCTATTTTCTGATTGTTCACATGCCTTCTTTCCACACACCTGTGAATCTTTTTCACTTGAGAACACCTAGTATCCCTTGCTCCACAAACTCTGTTTCTTCTCCCTCACATATAACAAATATGGCTACTAAGAATGTCAGGGAGATAGCAGAGCTTAGGCAAGTCACTTAGCTGCTCTCTGACTCAGTTTCCTCTTCTCACAGGATTGTTTGGAGGATTACATGAGTTAGTATTTATAACTCATGTTATATATATAAAGCATTTAAAACAGTGACAGACACATAGTGAGTACTTGTATTAGTCTGTTCTTACACCGCCAATAAAGACATACCTGAGACTGGGTGATTTATAAAGGAAAGAGGTTTGATGGACTCACAATTCCACATGGCTGGGAAGGCCTCACAATCATGGCAGAAGGCAAAGGAGGGGCAAAGTCATGTCTTATATGGCAGCAGTCAAGAGAGTGTGTGCAGGGGAACTCTCCTTTATAAAACCATCAGATCTCATGAGACTTATTCATTATCATGAGACCAGCCAGGGAAAGACCCTCCCCCATGATTCAATTACCTCCCACCGGGTCCATCCCACAACACATAGGAATTGTGGGAGCTACAATTCAAGATGAGATTTGGGTGGGGACACAGCCAAACCATATCAGCACTCTCAAATTCTTTGATAAATAAAATGGGTATGGAGGAAAATTAGTGGTGAGAAAAATGGCAATATTTAGAAAGCAGAATAGGAATTTCTCACTTCCAATGTGAAGAGTTTAAGAGTTTTGTGGGTTAATGCTTGAAAAAGCTGGAATGAGCTCCCAGGATAGGTTTTCACTCAATAGTCAAGTTGTTTCTAGCAAAAGCCAATTAGAGTAACTAGCATTCAAAAAGATCATTTCATTGATGAGAGTGTTTGTAGGCTGTTTCCAATGTTACAGAGTATTTTCTCACAGACTCCATAGCTGAAATCATTGTCCTACGAAGCGGTAATAAAATTTTACTTTTCTCTATCTCTTCTAAAAATGTACTGCCTGCTCTCCTTCCAGTGGTTAATGAGTCACCTGAACCAACTGGTATTTGTATTCTAAGAATTCACTCTATCTTTGAGTAATTCTAAGCTGATTTTAAAATTACCCTTATAAAATTATTATTGCTCTGGATTTCTGAGTATATAATTAATTTTGTAATGTGGAGATCATTCCTTTCTAGAATTATAGCGAACCGGAATACTTTTTTGAAAGATGCCTTGAGAATTCAAAAGGGATATTGCTCAGTTAGTAAATTTTATCTTAAAGACTTGATTCATAGGCAGACTTGCAGGCTCACACTGAGCTCGTTTATTCTAACTTGTCTAGGTTGTGATGTAATTAAGTAAGTCAGTTAATTAGTTAGTTATTGCCAGTTAGGATGGGAAGTGGGACAACCAGAGGCTTTATTTCTTCATTTAATATTTATTAATTGAGTGCCTGTGGTTCAGAAGATATTACAGTAATGACAGCCAATGTTCCTACCCTCACAGAGCTTGCATTCTGGGAAGTAAATGTAGTATTATGGAATTGGAGGTGTTTATATTCCAGTGTTTGAAAAAAGACTTACATTACCATTCTGCTGCCTACTGTGTGACCATGACAGATTTTTAACCTCTCTGTGCTTGTTTCTCTATATGTAAAATGGTAATAATAAAATTACTTACTTCGTAGGGTTGTTTTAAGATTAAATGAGTTAAATACACATAAGGAGCTTAAAACAGTGCCTGTCACATAAGGGCTATGTAAACACTGGCTATTACCATTAATTAGTTATGTATCATTATATGAGGTAAGTGTATAAAGGGAGGCAGAATAAAGGGATAGAGAAAAATAGGAGCTGCTGTTTCAGGTAGGATTGTCAGGAAAGCCTTCCCTGAGAACAGGATAATTTGAGCCAAAACCTGAATGAAACAGAGAAATGAACAGTGCTAACATCTAGTGGAGAAGAATTCCAGGCATAGGGAACAAGTAGTGAAAATGGCATGAGGTAGCAGAGTGCTTACATGTTGAGAGTAGCTGGTAAGTCTGTGTGATAGAAGTTCCATGAGCCAGGGAGAAAGGATTAAGCTAAGAGACTAAAGAAGAGGGAAGAAGGTCACCTAGGGCTTGGTTGGACAAAATTTTCAGCAAGGAATTATAAATTCTAAATAACGAAAAGCCAGCAGAGGCTGAATCAGGGGAGTGACAGGATTCTGTCTGAAGAATATACTGTGAGGAGACAAGTGTGGACCTTAAGAGACCATTCAGTAGTTTATTGCAGATATTCAGGTGAGAGACGGTTATAGCTTGAACCAACCAAAGCAGTAATGAGGATGGGCTGGTGTTTGAGCGATTGACTACAAAACATATTTCAAAAGTGAAGCGAAAAGATTTTCTTATAGGTTTGATTTAGTGTTAGTAGAACAAAGGAGTCTATGATGTTTCCACTTTGGGGCCTGGGCATCTGGATGACTAAGGTACCATTTGCTGTGATGGTGTTCACTTGGAGAGGAGGTCCAATTGATGGGTGGCATTTTGGGACATGTAAACTTTGAGATGATGATTAGCTATGCAGTTGGAGATGCTAAGTACGTAGTCGAATATTCAAGTTGGGGAGTTTAGGGAAGTATTTGGGGCTGGGGATATAAATTTGGAGTGGTCAGATTGTAGATGTTTTAGGAAGCCACGGAACTTGAATTAGATCACCAAGACTAAAGGAGATGAAGAAGAGAGGAGAGGTGAAGATTAGCTGTGGGAGTGCTAATTATTAAATGGAGAGAAGAGGATGCAGAGCCAGTAGAGGAGATAGAGAGAGGTGATCAATGAGACAGAAGATGACCAGGAAAGTGTAGAGTTCTGGTAGCCAAATGGAGAATCATTTTTAAGAAGGGTAGAATTAACTAATCCTGCCAGATGCTTCTGAGGAAGGGAGTAAAGATGAAGGTTGACAGTTGCCTGCTGAATTAGACACTGTGGAGGTCACTAGTACCCTTGTCAAGAGCAAGACCCTTGCAATGGTGAAGACAAAAACATAATTGGAGTGGATTCAAGAAAGAATGTGAAATTGCAAAGATGGACAATCCTTTTAAAGAGTTTGGATGTAGAGGGGACAGCAGTATGGGGATAATTTGACAGGGTCATGAGGTTTAAGTTTTTCTTTTAAATGAGAAATATCACAGTGCATGTGCTGTTGAGAACAGGCCAATTAAGAGTTTAAAAGAAAAATCTTGATGGTGTACAGAAGAAAGGGCATAATAATGGGATCAAAGTCTTTGCATAAGCCATTGTGGATGAGCTTGAGCAGAAAAGAGGAAGAAAAGACTATAGAGCCAGGACAGTTCATGCATTGAAACTGATAAGAGGTAAATTAAATGGGTACAGACCAGGAGGGTAGTAGATGTTAGAGTGAAAGGCGTTTGCTTGGCATTAGCATCCTTCTATCTGACTAGGGCCAGAGAGAAGGCTGGGCAAGAAAGAGAGAAGGCTGTAGTCAGATAGAAGGATACTAATGCCAAGGAAACGCCTTTCACTCTTAGGCAGCAAAGATTAAAGCAAATCTTAAAGGCATACCTTAAGTTTTTAAACAAAAGAACAACGTAGTTAGATGTGGGTTTCAGGAATATAAATTATGCATCCCAGTGTCCATTATTGGAGGAGGAAGAGTTTGGGGAAAAGAGTCAAGTTAGGAGGTATTAAAATAGCACAGGCAAAGGGCACTTTATATTTGTTTTATAACTTATAAGTGCCCACTATGGTTGGTGCTACTAGTGATAGTGTCAGTGGGGAGAGATAGGTGGGAAAAATTAATGAAACTAATAGAGATTCAGTCAATAAATGTGGACGACTGATTAGATGTGGTATTGAGGAAAAGATAAATGGGGGTCAGGAAAATGGCAAAATTTTGACCGTGGCTAACCTGGGAGAGCATGGTATAATAAATATAAACAGAGGACACGGGAAGGAAAAAAAAACAATTATGGGTGGGAAGATTATCAGTTCGGTTTTGGCATATTGAAATGCCAGCTGGCAGTTTGAAATGCCAGCTAGCATCTAGGTAAAGTTGTCTAGTAGGCAATTTAAAATTTAAGACTGGCACTTGGGAGTCATCAGGATACTGCTTATGGTGAAAGTCATGAGAATGGATAAGCAAGCCATGGAAAGGGTGAGTAGAAGAGAGAAGTAAATAATGTCAGTGATGCAACTTCATAGCCTATTTACATTATGGAAGGAGAATGACGTGGAGTAGCCAGAGATTGAGGTAGATACGGGGCGGTGAGAGCCAGCTAAAGAGTAAGCCCTGAAGACTGTAATGTTACTGAATCCAAGAGAAAAATGAGAATGTTTTAAAGAATGAAAGGCTGTTCAATGGTATCAGAAAATCCAAAGAGGTTAAGAACGAGAACTCAAAATATGTTGCTGGATTTTGATCCTTTGCAATTGATGGATGATAGCCAAACAACATAAGTAACAACAAGCACCACAACTCTGACTTCAACTCCAAGCTTCAACTCTGACTATCATGACCAACAAAACAACAATATTTTGCCACCAGGGGAAGAAACAGACAATAAAAACACCATAAACATGAGAATATACTCAAATGTACAACTGTCTGGGGCCAGTTAATATAAGATTCAAAGAGTGCAACTCATTTCAACAAACCCTAAAGGAATCAGTAAATTATGGTTTAGTATAATTGATGCTTATAATGTTGAAACATGAGTCTTTCAGAGAAGATTCATTCACATTAGAAATTCTTGGTTTAAAAATCAGTTGCACTAAAATGCAATGTAGTATCCTGAATTGGATTCTGGAACTGTGAAAGGACATTAGTAGTAAAACTGGTGAAATCCAAATAAAGTCTGTAGTTTAGTTAATAGTCATATAGCATGGTTGATTTCATAGTACAATATGTCTGGTAATATATAACATTAAGGGACACAGAATGAAGAGTTATGTGAACTCTCTTTACTATCTTTATAACTTTTTCGTAAACCTAAAATTATTACAAAATAAAAAGTTTAATTTTTAAAAATGACCAAAAAAAATCCAGTGACAAATGTAATTTAGAAAGATTTTCTACCCAAATAATTAAATGAACAAACTCTTGGTGCTTATGTAGGTAAAATTTAATTAGTGGGTACTCTGTTTATGAGAATTAACTCATTCCATCAATGTTTTTATACAAATGAGGTATTATGTCCTGAGACTAAATAACACTATCAATAAATTTTCCTATAAGTCACCTGCTTTCTCCAGTTGACTTTTAGATCTGTAGCTTAACTAGCCAGCATTAAATGAGCCTATTTACACAACAAAATGAACTGCAGTTCTGCTTTTGTATTTGGTCTTTCCTTACAAAAAATAGTCAATCATATTCCTTGCTAAGAACAAGAAAGAGAAAGGTACCCACTGTTAATTAAACAAACCAACAAATAAGGTGTTGTAATATTTTTAAAAAGTACTTATTACTTATTTGCCCTTCCTGAGACATATATCAGATACTTCTAATGGGTGATTATTTGCACATGTAATTCATATTAATAATAACCAAAGCCATTCTTCTAGAAGTCCTGGATAGGAGGACATCTGTGCAGCGGAGGCAGACATGCCTCTCCCTGGTCTCATTGAAGTCAGTGAGGTTGTTAACTAAAACTCTGGTCTTCAATACAAGCCATTATTTTATTTTATTTTATTTTTTGAGACAGAGTCTTGCTCTGTCACCCAGGCTGGAGTGCAGTCTCAGCTCACTGCAACCTCTGCCTCCCAGGTTCAAGCAATTCTCCTGCCTCAGCCTCCTGAGTAGCTGGGATTAGAGGCACCCGCCACCATGCCCAGCTAATTTTTGTATTTTTAGTAGAGACGGCATTTCACCATGTTGGTCAGGCTGGTCTCGAACCCCTGACCTCGTGATCCACCCGCCTTGGCCTCCCAAAGTGCTGGGATTACAGGCATGAGCCACCGCACCCACAAGCCATTATTTAGCTACTTTCTTGTCAAAGGGAAGCTAAAGTTCCAAACTCCCATTTTCCAATGCAAGTATTAAACTTTACAGACAATTGTTCTGAGCATAGTGATTCACAAACACAGACTTGATTTGGCCTCTTGCACAATCATACTTACTGAATTGCATTTTGGCCTTACAGGAAGTTTGCCTACTGAATTAGCAAGCATTAAAACAAATTTGCTTATGAAAAAGAGATGACAAGTTTTTGAAGGCTTTTTTCATAAGTAGTGAATCATTCAAAATCTAAACTTTGTATATATAGCATACTTCCTCTAGTGGGAACCATAAGTGTAAAAAAAAGTAGTCATTTAATACAGATAGCAACCATAAAGAAACCTATTTTTGTCTTTATTACGCAAATGCAGTTGAGGAAACTGGCCACCACATCTTGAGGTATTTCCTTTATGGGAATTTCTGATGACATTTCTCTCTGGTTTCTTTACCAGCACTTATCTCAAGTGATTGTTCTGGTTGTCATTTTGTGGATATTGTAAATTTTTGTTTTGGTTGCCAAGAAAACCAGAACTAAATTTGCATCTTACCTTTAATCACTATATAGAATCCAGTGGCATACATATGTATACTCACCCAGCTTCGGTCTATTTCCCTGTTCTTATTTCCACATAGTTCCACTTCTCACATATACATAATGCTGTTTTTACATTTCTTAGTTCTTCCTCAAGTCATTTTTCATTGTGCTAATATATATATAACATAATACTTATCATTTTAAGCATTTGTAAAGTGTACAATTCAATGGCATTAATACACTCACAGTGTTATGTGATCATCATCAGTATCTATACTCAACTATATCTTGGTCCTCAAGAAAAACCCAGTACCCAATAAACAATAACTTGCTCTTCCCCTCTCCTCTCATCTCCTGGTAACTCTATTATACTTTCTGTCTCTATGAATTTGCCTATTTTAGGTACCTCATATAAATGCACTCATGCCATATTTGTCTTTCTGTGTGTGGCTTATTTTTGAGGCAGGTGGATCGATTGAGCCTTGGAGGTTTAGGCTGCAGTGAGACATGACCCCATCACTGCACTGCAGCCTGGACGATAGAGCGAGATCCTGTCTCAAAGACAAAACAAAACAAAAACCAGAATGTTTTCAAGGTCCATCTACTTTCTAGCATATGTCAAAGTTTCATTCCTTTTTATGGCTGAATAACATTCTCCCAAAATCCTTTTTGAATGAAGTAAGGTATAAAAAAGGAGGAGGAAGAAGAGGAAGAGAAGAAAAAGGAGGAGAAGGAAAGCTCGTATAGTTTATTCCTATGAGAGGAGTATTTAGGTTATGTGTTAGCAGAAATGGAGTAGGATGTTAGTAGATGTTAGCAGAAATGGATATTGCTGCCTGCTAATTATGACCTTGGAAAAGTCATCTTATTTTCTCAGCAGTAATTTCTTGTGCTCAATAGGAGCAGTGACCAGACTCCATGGAGGAATAAATAAAATAAAATATGAGAATATGCCTAAGGTGTACATGCTCCATAAAAACGATAGCTTAAAAAAAATTAGTGTTTAATTGGCTGGCACCCAAGATCTGCCTGTGGGCTAACTTGTGAGATAAGTGAAATTGATATTTAGGACTTTTCTCCTGTCCACTGTCAGGGCCTCTCTCTCCTCCCACAACTTCCATCCTACTCTTCCAGATCTCAAGGCACTCATGTTCCATTTGTAATGTTCTACAGTTTCCGCAGATAGGTTTCTATATTTAAAACAGTTTCTAAACAGTTCACAACTTCTTTAGAGTTCAACTCCTAATTAACCTTAATAGGCTAGCATGTGATAGATTCATGAGGGGCATTAATATTTAATAACAAGCAAAAAATCATGCAGTGCTCTTTGTTTGATTGAAAGGCGTTAGAATTCTCATTTAGAATTCTGATCCTACAACTGTCTTATGTAGTGCGGATTTTCTTCAGGATACAAGGTGGTTAGATGGGAGCACTGTCTTTCTCAGTCTCCTTAAGCCATATTAAATGGAAAGGGGCATGCGTCACTGTCATCTCCACCCTGTGGTAAAGACATGCCTGTTGATAATGGTTACAGGGCAAGTTCCACACCTCAGCATGCTGCCTAATACTATACCTCTTTTTGTGACTTTTCTTTTTTTTTTTTGAGACAGAGTTTCGCTCTTGTTTCCCAGCTGGAGTGCAGTGGCGTGATCTTGGCTCACCGCAATCACAGCCTCTCAGGTTCAAGCGATTCTCCTGCCTCAGCCTCCCGAGTAGCTGGGATTACTCATGTGCCACCATGCCCAGCTAATTTTGTATTTTTAGTAGAGACGGGGTGTCTTCATGTTGATCAGGCTGGTCTTGAACTGCTGACCTCAGGTGATCCACCCACCTCAGCCTCCCAAAGTGCTGGGATTACAGATGTGAGCCACTGCGCCTGGCCTTTGTGACTTCTTAAAATGGCATTTGAGGAATCACACTACCTAGATATATTTTGATGCTTTTTCTGCTTAGAAAAGAGGGACTGATTCTACTCTTGTTTTGGTAATTAGCTAATCATGTTATACATTTTCCCTGAAAGATCTTAGTAAACTATCTTTCCTTGCCATTGTATTCTTTTTGCCCTCACTTTCTGCTAAATTGTTTGTTTGATTGTAGTTTTGTCTTATTAGGCACTTGCATGTTTCACACTTGAAGTAGTTTTATTTTGCTATTGGATAAATTCTACCATCAAAATATCTGGTAATTGGGACCTAGGTTAGAGTTTATAATATGAGGAAGAATACAAAACACATATAATGTCCTCAGCTCTCTACAAAACGTTTGGTAGACAGGCTGAAAGAAGATTCACTATTTAAAAAAGAACAAGTTTCTATTTTTGCCTCTAAGGGAAATGAGCTTTGCCCACCCAGTAACCAGCTTGGTAATATCATCTGCAGGGACTTACCCTCAGGTTAGTTCCAGTAAAGGAATTTAGGGACGTAAAGAGGACGTAAAGATTGTGAACTAATAATTTATCACAAGTCAATAAAGATTTGTTCCTGTCTCTGCATTTTTATCTTTCTTTATTTGTTTTAAACATAAGAAAATAGACTGGGCGTGGTGGCTCACGCTTGTAATCCCAGCATTTTGGGAGGCAAAGACCGACTGATTGCTTAAGTCCAGGAATTTGAGACCGGACTGGCCAACACAGCAAAACCCCATCTCTGCAAAAAAAAAAAAAAAAAATGCAGAAAATTAGCTGAGTATGGTGGTGTGTGCCTATAGTCCCAGCTACTCAGGAGGCTCAGGTTGGAGGATGGTTTTAGCCCAGGAGGAGGAGGTTGCAGTGAGCCGAGATCGTGCCACCACACTGCAGCCTGAGCAACAGAGCAAGACCCTGTCTCCAAAAAAAAAAAAAAAAAAAAAAGATTTAAGTGTAAGAAAATATTGCTAAAAAATCTCTTTGAGGGTGTTGCCTTCACCAACAGCATGCTACTTCGAATATTAAGATGTTACATTTCTTCCTTTACAAGAATGTTCTGTAACAGAGTCTGGGTTCCTCAGTGGTAGGGACTGTGCAGTGCTGTCTTGGCATGTGAATTGCCTAGTACCTAGTAGGTGGTGAATGAGCACTCAAGTGCATACATCAATGTTTAAATAACTGCTTATTGGAAATTGGTATATATAATATTTTCCTTTCAATGATAATGGGTTAATGAGGAATAATTTGGAAAGAATACTAATTTCACTTTTGAGGTTTTCTGCCCTCTTTTATTTTGGTACTATTACACCTTTTGAACAATTGGATTTGTCAGTTTGGATGATTAAATGTGACTCCGTCTGACCTTATCCATCCGTTGCCTGCCCTCCCTCCCTAGCTGCAATATAGTGAAATCAGTGTGATAAAGGCTATGACAGAGCTCCATTTATTATTTGTAAAATGATGGAGTTGATGAGACTTCATAGAGATCTCATGAGAAAAGAAATCAGGAAATGGTCAGGCATACGTTAAGTTAAATGTTATTTTCCTTTTTTGTTTGAAACAGGAATTATAGAGGTAAGGCTGATGGGAAAAATGATTGCTAAAGAGCAGGTAATTAGGTATAAATGCAATTGAGAACAATGATTTAATAGACAATTGGTGTTCTACTAAGTTGGAATATCTATTTGATGTGGTATATAAAATTTGACTAGTTAGATGAAATTTCTAACCACCATGTTGGTTGATATTACAAATTATAATGTCATAGAGCAGAATTTGTGGGAAAGGCAAAGGTGCAAAATGGTCCAGCTGTTTAAGTTAGTGACTGGATTACTGCAGAATCTAATTTGAATAAAGAAAGAAAAATTGAGACATTAAAATAGGACTTTGTAAAAACTTTCAAAACTAAGGATTGGCTTTAGTCCAAGTGATTATGTCTTTGGACAACCATGTTGTTGTCTTACCAATTACATTATTTTACAGGTATTATCCCTGTGGATTTTTTTACAAGAAATGTTTTTACTGAAATATACATGAAGAAAAGTTAACATATCATGAATAGACAACTTGATACATTTTCATAAAGTGAATACATCCTTGTAACCACCCAGCATATCAAAAAACAGAACATTTCTGCTCTCTCCCCATTTCAACCGTTACTCTCAAAAGTCAATACACTCTTTTTATTGTTGTTGTTGTTGAGACCCAGTCTCACTCTGTCACCAGGCTGGAGTGCAGGGGTTTCACCATGTCGGCCAGGATGGTCTCCATCTCTTGACCTTGTGATCCACCTGCCTTGGCCTCCCAAAGTGCTGGGATTACAGGTTTGAGCCACTGCGCCCAGCCCTTCTGGTGCTTTTTAAAATATCACCAAAGATTCTATTATATGTTTAATCTATTAGATAGAGAATTGGTGAAGTGCCCAATTAATTCAGTAACTTTAGATATGAACTTTGAATTGCTAAACTAAAAATATTTTTCTCCTCTAGAAAACTTTCCCATGTTTAGCTGTACAAAAGTCTTCCATCTCAGGTCACATTAATAATGACACAGATTTAAAGACCCAATATTTTCAAGTATGAAAGAATATAACACACATTAAAATACTGCTATAAAGTCATCTATATAAAGCTGATTTAATTTTTACATGTCCACATAGATCTCTGCTCAGCATTGTACAAACAAACCCAAACTTGTCTCTCATTTCTTCACTATAATGAAAGACCAAATATTCCTATTACTTACTTTGGGGATATGGTTGATACCCGTCAATTAAGTTAATGAACAAACCTATTATAGAATTCAAGATATAACAGCAGCCCAAACACTTCTAAGTGTTTAACTTCTAAGTTAACACCAGCCTAGTAACTTTTGTATTAGTCATGATGTGAATTTTAACTACATAGGTACGATTCATGATATCATTTTACAAAATCAGGATATAATATTTGTTAAATACCACCTAGACCAGCAGAGATAATAGGCATTGTGCGGGGTGTAGAATAGAAGGATGAATAGGTGTTATTAAATTCCTTTCAAATATTAGAAAACAGAGTGAAGCTTATACACCCAATAAATGGCAAACCAAGCTATATCCTGAGTCTGGATCCAAAGTGAGTGTTCTTTTCACTTTGCCATATTGCCATTCCAAAGTACTGCCATTCCAAAGTGAACTTTATCTGAACTGATTAGAGGTACAGAAAGAAGGCAGAAAAAAATTTAGAAGAAATGAATGGCAATTAATAATTTATCCACATATATATTCACTCTAAGACAGGAAAATGGAGAGAATAGAAGAATCTTTCTCAATACCTGTGTACCACTCTACTCTCTTCAGCAACCTTCTATTTTAGATTAACAGAACATGGCTACTTAATATAAACTTAACAGAGTTACTCTGAAGGATAAAGACATTCGGACTGATTCACAATTTTCTTACTTGGTACTGCACAATTTTGTGCAATGGTTTGTAAAATTATTACAGTTAACTGCATAACATAATAAACTCAAACAATGTTGAATATGTATAAGTGTATCCTGTGATGAATAAAAAAAAGTCACAGTGAGTTAGAATTAAAAGGCTAGTCTTGGGTGAATAAAGGCAGATGTTATTAATTGACTGATTAGACAAAATTCGTTGAAATTCTCAAGGGCATACAGTATGAAATACATGACTGTGAACTTGACTGTGTGAAAATATGTTAGGATTATTTTTGATTACATAGTAGGGAAATATATTATTGAATTATACCGAAGATTATTGTTTAATTTCTAGGGAAATCTATACTCCTTAATATTCTGGCCACATACCAACTAATGGTTAGCTCTTCTTTTTTGAACTTTATCATTACTTTGAAAAAAGAGGAATGTATTAGCATCAGTATCCTAAAACCACATATGTTAAAATAAAAAATTAAAGACAAATTTATAATATTTGAAAAATAGAATTCAATTGCCAGGTAGGCAGAAAGCATTTATAAATTGCCACTTGCCAATTTTATTTTTGAAACTACACAATCTTTTACAGAATTCTACAGTTATTTTATGGTTGAAATCATGGAAGAGTCTTCATATTTTTCATAAGCTAGAAAGTTAGTATGGTCTGCAGAAATTGTAGAAATCGGAATCTTACATTTTTCAAATAATAGAATGCATGCGCATTTTTGTAACAGATGAGCAATATGTTAGTGTACGAATGAAAAGACAAACTCTTTGCCCTGCCCCAATCACATTCTGCAGAAAAGTATGTGATGATTCCAGACATTCATTCTTTGCATATATAAACAAATTTATAAGTATTTATACGTACATCTTTGTATACACATATAGGTACAACAGATAAATAATTTCATTAAACTCTTGAAATCCGATTTTTAAAAGATTTAACAGTATACCCCGATCATCCTTTTATTCAGAATGTGTAGAATGACATTACTATTTTAAATGTTACTGTATTCATGTAACAATGTTTATTTAACCAATTCTTTATTGATAGTTTTTCCTTGTCATTATTTGAAATAATGCTCAAAGTCCATCTTTCTACATATATCCTCTAAACTGATTAAATTTGAATTTATTTTTTCCATCTTTTATCTGATTATCCTATGGAGGGTATATTAAAATCAGTATTAATTACTGAGTTTTGGAAAATTTTAGTTTATACCTATTCTTATAGAAAAGAACATGTACAAACTGAAATTTCACTCAAATAACATTTATATCTATATATTCTTTACTAATCTATCATTTTGACTAAAAATTAGCTAATACTTTTTTTCTTCATCAAGTCCTTGAATTTCTAGAGAGCACTGCATACAGCTGTGTTTCTCAATCTTGACTGCATATTAGATTTTAAAAGTCTAGATTCCCAGGCTGCATCAATTGAATTTGAATCTACAGGGGTGGAACCTGGGCTTAGTAGAGTCATCCAGATGATTTTAACATGCAGCCAGTGTTGAAAATCATTGACACAGAATAGCTTATTTTGAATGAGATGTTTCCTGGGGAAAAATAGAGAGGAAGCAAGAAAAAGTTTAATAAATCTCAAAAGAAAAATTTTGCCAAGTTAATGTGTCATCAGGAATTTACTATATGTCAAAAACATGCTCACATTGTGCTATTTTTTGGTAAGAGACTGAAAGGCTTCATTTTCAGGCTGAATTTGGTTAGTGAAAGTAAAGAGAGAAATTGCAGCATCTTGCACCTCTCCTTAGCACTTGTCTGGGTTGCACTGTCTATTTTCTGTTTTTCTACATCATTATTTAATTCATGTTTCTCTTCCCTGGTAGAGGGTACTCTCCATGAGAGCAGAGCTTCAGGCTATTTCAGTTCATGCTGTGTTCCTAGGGTCAGGTATAGAGCCGACACAGTTGGTGGTCAGTATTGGCTCCATGAGTTAATGACTAACACTTTGGTAATTCAAAAGAAGGTAGAAGGTAATCAGAGCATAGAGGTGACAGCATGGGAGCAGATAGCTTTTATTTTGTATTTTTAAAAACTCTTATATGCCACATTTAGAACAAAGTACATTTTATTTGGAGAAGTCAAATGGGGGAAAGTGTGAGAAAATGATAATAAAGAAAATTATTGGAGAGAAAAAAGACTATTTAACAAGTTGGTGAGCACATATTTTAGTAAGGGAGAAAACCAGTATATACTATTCTGAAAAGCCTGTCTTGTATTTAGGCAGGAAACTATTCAAAGAGGACTTGGTTCCCATAAAGTCCATTTTAATCAGAAGGGAGAAGATTTGGAATGGAATGAAGATACAGTATAAAAGATCTGGGTCAGTTCAGCACTAGAGGGAGGTTTTGAAAACCCTAAATTATAAAAAAACATTTTTCTAAAAGTTCAGTTGAGGCCGCGAAAGATATGAAAGTTATCATGTTTAACATCTAATATTAAAATTAATGGGACTGGCATCATGTGAGAAAGAATAAGAATGATTCTAATGTGCTCCAGGACTCTGTAAAACTTGGTGTGAAATGTCTATTCCAATTGCTGAGAAAAAAAAAACCAGAATATTTCAGTCTAGTTTTGAGAACTTTTATTTGTATATTTGAGGAAATAATGAGTAATATTTTAATGGTCAATGACATTATGCAGATGATGACAAGTATTGCCAGATTAAGATAGACTTGGTTTTATTGTGTAAATCCTGAAAGTCCCAAGTGAATGGGAATAAGGGTGTGAATACATGAAAATATGTATGTGTAAAAAAGAAAATAAACTAGGTGGCCTATTGAAATGTTTATAGTTCATTATGTTGTTGTATTCTCGTTTCTACCAATACTATTTCTCACTCTTTGCCAACTGAGAAAAGGACAGAAGAGTATTGTAATAACGCTAAATGGTGGCATTAAGAAAAGCTCTAATTAACATTTAGAGACATATTTCAAGACTATTTAAATATGATATCTTCCATCTTAATTTATTTTAGAATATTTTTAAAATTGACATAACAGACATGATAAACAATAAGGTTATTATAATAAAACCTGAAATTCAATAAAACTTGGTATCATTTTTGTTATGCTAGTCTTTCAGATTTTAGAAGGTCTGAACATTTCGTAGAATCAGATTTCTGTTGCTGATGGAAAGACCCTAGAGATTAGTCAGTCTATTACCTTGTTTTATAGATGAAAACTGAAGCCCAGCAGGTAGTTACTTTGAAGGCTATGAGCCATGATCAGAATCCAGGCTCCTTTAATTTCTTTTCTTCTGCTCTTCTGTATAATATTTTACTGGTTTTTGAGTGAATCGGGTCCAAGTATATGTCCCCTATGATTTCCCTTGTCTTTGACAAACTCGAAATTCCTTTTCATAACGAAAATCAAAACTATCTTTTCTCTATGCTCTGAAGCTTGCCTGAAGATTTACAAATGGAAATAATGTTAGCACAACCCAAATCTGAAGATATCTGGTATAAGTGTTTAGATTCTTTAAGGTAAAGGTCAGGACTGGAAAAATCAGAATGGATTAAAAGCAGAACCAGTGTAAGCACAAAGACCAGCATCTACTCAATATGCAAAGCAGAGATTGGCCTCATATTGACCCTTTTATATTATGAAGCCACTAAAAATAGAAATAAATCCTGATATAACTAAATGCATATTATTGACACTAGTGTTTTTGACACTTGGAATAGATTTTTGTGTTCATAGTTTCATGTATTCCTGTATAACTGCTATTTAAAACACCGAATTCAAATACATTGACCCTTAAGGAACTTAATGCTTTCCAGTTCAAAAATAGTAAGCCCTAAATAATTTCATCAAATTATTTTGCATTTAAAGCGGTCATGTAAGACCTCAGGAGAAATACTTGCTTAATGTCATATATTTAAATACAGGGCATTTACATCCAAACTCTAATTTACATATGCTTATGAAATATAAAAGAGAACAGCAAGAAAATCTGACAGTAATATAAGATTTGACCCGAAGAAACACAATCTTATTTTCAGTGAGTAAGCTCTACCATGTATAGAGGAATTTAAAAATAGCCATTTGCAGATATATTGAATTATCTGTCATCTAATAATAATAATAACAACAAATTCATCATTAGTGATGACTAGTGAGTGTCATTCAAGGAAAGATAGCTTGACATTCAAATGTTCTACAACATGCCACGGATTTTTTCTTTTAAGAGACAAGGTCTTTTGAAAAGTGTCTGTTCGTGTCCTTTGCCCACTTTTTAATAGGGTTCTTTTTTTTTTCTTGTAAATTTGTTTAAGTTCCTTATAGACCCTGGATATTAGACCCTTGTTGGATGCATAGTTTGCAGAAATTTTCTCCCATTCTGTAGTTTGTCTGTTTACTCTATTGATAGTTTCTTTTGCTGTGAAGAAGCTCTTTAGTTTTATTAGATCCCATTTGTCAATTTTTGCTTTTGTTGTAAATGCTTTTGGCATCTTTGTCATGAAATATTTGCCTGTGCCTATGTCCCGGAATGGTATACATGCAGCCAGCAATTGTATTAAAAAAAGCTTTAACATCACTGATCATTAGAGAAACACAAAAATCAAAACCACAGTGAGATACCATCTTACACCAGTCAGAATGGCTATTATTAAGAAGTCCAAAAAATAGCAGATGCAGGCAAGGTTGTGGATAAAAAGGAATGCTTATACACTGTTGGTGGAAGTGTAAATTAGTTCAACCATTGTGGAAGACAGAGTGGCAATTCCTCAAAGACCTAAAGACAGAAATACCATTTGACTCAGCAACCCCATTACTGTGTATATACCCAAAGGAATATAAATCATACTATTATAAAGACACATGCACACGTATGTTCATTGCAGCTATTCACAATAGCAAAGACATATAATCAACTTAAATGCCCATCAGTGATAGACTGGCTAAAGAAAATGTGATGCATATAACCACGGAATACCATGCAGCCATAAAAAAGAATGAGATTGTGTTATTTGCAGGGAGATGGATAGAGCTGGAGGCCATTATTCTTAGCATACTAAGGCATGAACAGAAAACTAAATACTGCATGTTCTCACTTATAAGTAGGAGCTAAATGATGAGATTACATGAACACATAGAGGGGAACAACACACAATGGGGCTTTTCAGAGGGTTGAGGGTGGGAGGAGGGAGAAGATCAGGAAAAATAACTAATGGATGCTAGACTTAAAATCCGGGTGATGAAATAATCTGTAAAACAAACCCCTGTGACACAAGTTTAGCTGTGTAACAAACCTACACTTGTACCCCTGAACTTCAAATAAAAAGTAATAATAATAAAAAGAGATGGGGTTTTACTGTGCACTATGTTGCTCACTCAGGCTAGTCTCTAACTCCTGGGCTTAAGCAATCCTTCTCCTTTAGCCTCCAGAGCAGCTGGAACTATAGGCATGTATTATCATGATCCCATGGTAAAATTTTGTGGAGTGAGATTGGGAAGTAAGTTAATTTGAGAAAAGAAACTTCATAAAAGTGACATGTTTGGAAAAAAATTATAAAAAAAGATAGAGGAGCAAAAGGAACATAAATTTAAAATTCTTCATTGGGCTCCTAATATTCCTTTTTGAAATACATTTTACTGAGCACATACTTTTATGTGCAAGGTGCTGTTCTAGGCATTAAAGGATATAATAGCGACCCAAACTGACAATAATCCATCCCATCAAGGAATTTGCATTCTAGTGATTTGTACTTCCTATTATCAAAGGCATATCATCAGTGCTTCAGATATGTATAAAGAATGGGAGAGTGGGGAGTAAGGTGGAAGATAAAGAGAAAGAGGATAGAACAGGAAGCAGTGAAGGGTGGAAAAATTGTGAAACAGAAGTAGATTAATTTCTGGGGCTATGTCTGTTGTGAAACCTCCTCTGACTCCACTTCTACCTGAGGTATCCTCTCATGTACCCTAGTAGGTTTGTCTGTTTTCACCTCGGCATTCATCATCCCACTCTTTTCCCCGTGTGTTTTCTTGTCTTTCTCCCCAGTTGACTCTGATCTACTGAGTCGTTGATCTTTGTATCACAGAGTCAATCATGGTGCCTGGCACACAGTAGATGCTCTAATCTATATTATTTGTTCAACAAATAGTAATTGCAATTATCTGACAAAGTATTCAGTTATTATGGAGAAATATGCATCTATGTATTTGACCATCTGCATTACACTGGAAACGGAAATGGACTTTTTTATTGATACATAATTTCCCTTTGAATTTTTGAAGACCAAAATACCAGTGGCAGAGAGAAGAGATGGTGTGAGGGAGAGGATTTTAGCTGCCCTACTTCCCTCATATAAATGTCTATCAGCTCTTCCTCAATCACACACACACACACACACACACACACACACACACAAGTTGTATTAAAATACAATATGAAATTAGCTTCAAAAGAGTTTCATAGGACTTTCTTCCAATCAGATTTCCATTCTAACACAGTCGTTCCAGAGCTGATACCATCCAATTACTATCCATTTGAAATAATTTCAAATCTTAGGAACACCTTAATATATCTTTTAATTATTTAATAATTTTATAAAAACACAATATGCAAAACAAAAGTCCAACCTGAACCTCTTACTTTGTGGGCCTTACTGGACTAAGGGAAATCCATAACTTTGATGATTGCAGGTAAAGGTATACTTGAATTAGTGTCTGGAGAACTCTCCCACCTCCTCAAGTTTCCATGGCAGTACAGTTTTAAGTTCTCTCTCAACCCTGTGCAGAAGATCCGGGATGTGGGAGTAAAAGGGTGAGCATCAGTGTGTGCTTAGTTCAGTTAAAATTAAATTCCAAGAGTTCCCTAGAGCACTTTTATATCAGCTTGACCCAACATTACCTCTGGTATTTGCTTCAGCAAATCATTTAAAACACATAACTGTTGTCTTTGTTTTCAAGTTTATAGTCAGAGTGGTTTGAAAACTCTTGGCGCCTAACATAAAAGCCAGAAATAAATACGGAACATATTAACACTGAATATAGGTTGCGATGAATCACAGTTTGTCAGCTTTCAAGTATTACAATTATCTACCTAAAAATACCCTACTGTACTCAGTCACCCTCCCTAGCTGTTTACCCTGCTCGTCACTGTAACTTCTAATGCTGTTACACGTTTGTTTTTAGGTTGTAATGTTAGCAGCCCTCAATATTTTATACTTAACAGTTATCTTTTAATTACCATATGTTTATCTTTTGAGATAAATACAGTAGTTCACTAATCACACTAATTGTAGGTGGGCATTGCTAGCATTACTGAGATTTATAGATTAGTCATTGTGGGAAGGAAGGGGAATCAATATTAGCGGGATTATATTAGTGCTGGCTAATTGAAGAGGAAAAAAGGTTAATGCAGACTTTGATCTTGGACTCAGTCTCCTAGGAATAACTCTCAAATGACACCAAATTCCTGCTGTTTAATATTAAATATCTGAAGCACACCTGTGCGATTATTGGAGCGCTCTGCCATTATTATGTTTATTTATAAATGCCCCTGAATTGTATTTGTAGAAAAACCACCTTTTCTTCTAGAATTAATGTGTATTTGTGTTCATGTGTGCATGTATGTTCACCTGTAACAATAGAGGTGAGATAAAATTCAGAATTAAAACCCTAAAATTGAACTATTTTTAACATTGAGACCAGTGATAAAGTAAGCAAGTTGAATAAAAAGACAAATTAAGTAAGTGCAGTTTGAGTGGGGAAAAAATATACAGAGAGAAAGCATCATCCTAAGGTAGCCAGATGGATCGGTTTCCTTGGAGCTTTCCTTGCAGTTCTGAGTGAGACAAAAATTAACCTAAAGAATTAACCCTTTCCTCTCACTTCTCAGAATACTAAGTTAGGTGTTATATTGAAAACTCTTGAATTCAAACAGAGATGAAGAGTCAATATTTTATCAAGTCATATGGATTGATGAGGCAAAAGGATTTCCTTTCCACCCCATATCTCATTCTGTAAGCAAGACAAGATAATTTATGTATCAATTAATAGTATGTCAGACACAATCTTACCTGATTTAAGTGTTATGAAGAATTTTTCTGATGCCATATATTTTCACATATGTGTTGTTTTCATTTTGATAAGAAAAAAACAAAAAATTTATAATCACATAATTAAAATCTGTTAAAAATGTTTTAAAAAGCATAGGGTTTTCTTAAGCAAATGTGGTTTGGTGTAGATGTGGTAGCTGGGCAAATTAAAGGAACAAAATAGCTTGTTCTTGCTTTTATAAATATTTTCCCTCTGGCCCGTTTGCTGTTGGCCTCTCTTCCTATTTATTGCTCTGTCTGTCCTGTCTGGACTCAGACCCATCCTGATATGCTCTTAAAAATATGTACAAATACGAGTTGTAACTGAGGGCTGCAGGAACTGGCTGGACTTTCTCCTGTGCTGTCAAAGCCATGACTAAAAGTTTAAAGTAGATTCTGCGAACACAATTTCAAAATCTCCCTCTCATGATTTCTGCTGTTCTCTCTAAAATATTATGGACATAGAAATTTTCCTGAAGTAATCTTTCACCGGGAGCACCAAAGAATCACAACTGAAAGTATGAACTATTGAAAAATTAATCATGGCTGTTTATGCTGGAAGCTGACCAGGTAACTTCTCCAGTTCATATCTCAGAAAGAAAATACTGAGAAATCCCAGTGACTGTCCTTTGGGCGCTGATAGAACACAGTTTTAAGCTTGAAGAAAAGGAAGGTGTGGGCCGGGCGCGGTGGCTCACGCCTGTAATCCCAGCACTTTGGGAAGCCGAGGCGGGCGGATCACGAGGTCAGGAGATCGAGACCCCGTCTCTACTAAAAATACAAAAAATTAGCCGGGCGTGGTAGCGGGCGCCTGTAGTCCCAGCTACTCGGGAGGCTGAGGCAGGAGAATGGCGTGAACCCGGGAGGCGGAGCTTGCAGTGAGCCGAGATCGCGCCACTGCACTCCAGCCTGGGCGACAGAGCGAGACTCCGTCTCAAAAAAAAAAAAAAAAAAAAAAAAAAGAAAAGAAAAGGAAGGTGTGAGGGATGGTTATAAGGGACTGATGACTGTAAAGTACGAGTAAAAGGGTTCTGCACCTGTGGATTAGTTAACCAGCTGCCTCCCTACACCACCTAAAGCAAAACTAATCAACAAAAAACCAATAAAATGCCCACACAAAGCAGAATGTTTAGTTCAGTTCTTCCCTTTGGAAATAGTAATTTAGAACAATGAACAGTGTTATCTTGAGAAAGAAAATAAAGCTTCCTCTATGGAACATGCCCTAGATTTTTGTGTTTTTATGTTGGAATTAAGCACACAAATAGCTGAGTTTAGAGAATGATCTGGTAGATGAGAGGAGTCTTAGAAGATTGTTTTTGGCTTTGGGGAATAAAATGCCTTCTGGTGACTACTCTTTATCCAGTGCCGCATCCGTTTTGTAAAACTGATTCTGAATAAGGAATCTCTGTAAAGCCCACTTTTGCTAAAGGGGGTTGTGTGTACAGTAGAATTAGAAGTCACTCCCCACGTCCTTTTACAGTTCTCTTAACCATCAGCTGAACAGTGGTGTAGTCAAATGGCTGACAGTCAGGGAAGACTAAAGTATTAGCTTTCTATCACTGTCCAGTTCTGCTGTAAAACTCTGGGAATCTGGAGGAGCTTGAGAAGAGGCATCACTCTCTGGCTTACCTCTTTGGTCTCACCAGCTGATGGTCGGTGCTTTCCTTTTAGCCAGTGTAACTATTGGCTTTTCTGCTTCAACTTACCTGTGTAGGCTTAACAGAGGCAAGCACTTTTCAGAGTCAAACTAATGGGGAACAGTGTCTTAGTCCATTTTCTGCTGTTATGCCAGATTGCCACAGAATAGGTAATTTATAAAGAATAGAAATGTATTTGGCTTATAGTTCTGTAGATGGAAATTTTTTTTAATTTAATTAATTGATTTTTTGAGGTAGAGTCTTACTGTGTCACCCAGGCTAGAGTGCACTGGTGCAATCACAGCTCACTGTGGCCTCAACCTCCCAGGCTCAAGCGATTCTCCCACCTTAGAATCCTGAGTAACTGAAACCACAGGTGCACGCCCAGCTAATTTTTGTATTTTTTATAGAGACAGGGTTTTGCAACGTTTCCCAGGCTGGTTTCAAACTCCTGGGCTCAAGCAGTCTGCCTTCCTGGGCCTCCCAAAGTGCTGGGATTACAGTGATGAACCACCACACCTGGCCAGAGGTGGGAATTTTAAGATTAAGGGCCACAGCTGGTGAGGGTCTTTTTGCTGCATCATAACATGACAGAAGGCATCACATGGTGAGAGAGGGTGAGAGTACATGAGACAGAGAGGGAAAATGGGGGCTGAACTCCTGTGATAATGGCATCAGTCCATTCATGAGGACAGAGCCTAATCACCTCTTAAAGGTCCCACCTCTTAATATTGTTTCAATGTCAGTTATATTTCAACATAAATTATGAAGAGGACAGTTAAATCATAGAATTCTACCCTGGGTCCCCTAAACTCATGTACTTCTCACATACAAAATATATTCATTCCATTCCATTAGCCTCTAGAATCTTAACTCATTCCAGCTTCAACTCTAAAGTCCAAAATCCGGAGTCTCATCTGAATAAAATAGGGGTGAGACTCAAGGCATGATTCGTCCTGAGGCAAATTTCCTCTAGCTGTGAAATCAGACATGTTGTCTACTTCCAAAATACAATGGTGAGACAGCCACAGGATAAACATTCTCATTCCAAAAGGGAGATACAGGCAAGAATAAAGGAGTAACTGGTCCCAAGTAAGTCGAAAACCCAAGAGTGTAAACAAAATTTAGTCTTAAAGCTGGAGAATAATCTCCTTTGACTCCATGTCCCACATCCAGGTCACACTGAGGGGGTAGGTTGGAGTTGTGCCTGCAGTCTTCCCATGCTAGAGTTGCATGCTGGTGGTGGATGTACTGTTCTAGGGTCTCTGAGGTGGCCTTGCTTTCATGGCTCCACTAAACATTGCCCTTGTGGGGACTCTGTGGCAGCTCTGACTTCACATGTGCACTTGGCATTGCCCTAGTAGGGGCTCTCTGTCATGGCCTCACCCCACAATAGTTTCTGTCCATGACATTCTTTGACGTCTATGTAGACAACACTATGCCTACACAACTGTTGCATTCTGCATGCCTGAAAAATTAGCACCACATGGATTCCGTTCATGTTTATGGCTTGTATCTTCCAGAGTGGCAGGTCAAGCCACACCTGGACATGCATGAGCTGTGGCTGGAGTGGCCACAGAGCACTGTGCCAGAATTCAGGGAGCAGAAACCTGAGGTGGCTCTGGGGAGTGAACATGGTGGGTACGCTGGGCCCACCCCCTGAAACATTCCTGCCTTCCTACAGCTCTGGACCTGTGATGGGAGGGGCAACCTTGAATGTCTCTGAAATGCTTTTAGGGTCTTTCTCCTATTGTCTTTTGAAGGCATAGTACCTGGCTTCCTTTTATCTATACTTATCTCTATATCAAACAGTCCTTTGATCACACCCTCGGTTTGCTCTCCTAAAAAACATCTTTTCACTCTTTACATGGTCAGGCTGTGAATTTTCCAAATCTTTTCATTCTACTTCCTTTTAAGTTATAAATTCTGTCTTTAAGTCATTTCTTTCCTCTCACATCTCACTGTATGCAGTTAAAAGAAGCCACCCAGCAGCCTGAATGCTGAATGTTTTGCTGTTTAGGTATTTCTTCTATCAGATATCCTAATTTATCTCTCTTAAATTATGCACTCCATAAATTCCTAGGATGTGGACACAGTTATGCCAAATTCTTTGCAACTATATAACAAAGATGGCCTTTACTCCAGTTTCCAATATCTTGTTCCTTAGTACCATCTGCGATGTCATAAGAATGGCCTTTGCTTTCCATACTTCTATCAACATTCTGATCACTCAAGTAATCTTTAAGAAGTTCTAGACTTTTCCTACAGCTCTCCTCTCCTAAGCTCTAACCAGGATCAATCTTCATGCTCTACTCCTGGCAATACAGGCTTTTGGTAGCCCACTTCTCCAGTTTCTTCCAATCTGTACACATGACCCTGTTCCAAAGCTGCTTCCACATTTTCAGATATTTGTTATAGCAACAAGCCCTCTTCCAGTACCAATTTTCTCTTTTACTCTGTTTTCTGCAGCTATTACAGACTATCACAGACTAGATAATTTATTAAAAATAGAGGTATATTTGCCTCACAATTCTGGAGGCTGGGAATTTCAAGATGGAGGGGCTGCATCTGGTTAAGGGCCTTCCTGCTGCAACTTAACACTGTGGAAGGCAACAAATGGTAGAGAAAGTGAGAGTGCAAGAGACAAAGAGGGATAAAGGGGACCAAACTCCATTATAATTGATCTAATTTATTCATGAAGGCAGAGCTTTCATGACCTAATAACCGCTTAAAGTTTCCACCTCTTAATACTGTTACAATGGCAGTTAAGTTACCATATGAGTTTTGGAGGAGACATTCAAACAGTGGTTAATATTACTAACTCTAATTTGGCCTCCTGAGATAAATAACTCAATTTGAAATAACCAAATAGTGGTAAATGGAGCTACTGGGCCTGGAGTTAAATACCTGCTCTGTTACTAAGTATCTGTGTGAACTTAGACAAATTAATAAAGTTCTCTGATTTTTAATTTCCTTATCTGAATGATGATAATCACCATATTCACCTCACTGTGTTGCTATGAACATTAAATAAGACCATTGTCATGAAGGATGGTGTCTGTTCCTTAATAACTACTCAAGTTATAATGATCATTCTTATTAGGAATTACAGTGGTGTTTGGGGCTATGGGATGGCATTTTAACTGAGATTCTGGAATTCTTTCTTCCAATCACATCCATATTTCTGTTCTTGCTCCTTTCACAAGCATTACTATAGTAGCATATATCCAAAGATGAAATAAAATATTACTGTACTATCAGCTGGCAGAATTTTTCAAAATCACACTGGAAATTCTGCTAAACACAGGGTTCACACATGGAGTCCAGCAAAAATCTAAACTCTCTGCAAAAATTTAAACCTTAGGATATTACTATATCAATATGGTTGCATGGATGGAAGAGTGAAGAAGAATGCTGAACTACCAATCTCATGGAATGGGTCAAAGAGAGTGCTTTTAAAAGCACAGTAAACTTGCCCACAAGTAAAGTGTGGTCTGTCAAAGAAAAATGTACTGTGCAGAGTTAAATGGGCAAGGAAGACTTTATTCAAGACTATTGCAATAAGGGTTAAAACTATTGCAATAGGGGAGAGAGATTGAACTGAATTCTGCTAAAACAAAATGCAGAAGGATTTTCAAGTGCTAGGGTGAGCTCATGGAAAAGTAATGGAAGATTTGGCGAGGTAAGTTGGCCAATGGGATTAGGCCATCTGTGTTTGATAATTGGCACTTAATGGAAGTTAGGTTTCCCCATTCCACAGAGAAGGGAGTTAGGGGCACTATCTTCTGTTAAGATTACATTTCAAAGGGATGGCTCCCAGGTCCTTGAAAAAAGACATGTTAGGGTTGTGAAACTGGCAAGAGGCTCAGAAGATTTATGTCTCAAAAGGGCTGAGAAAAAGTTTATAATTGCAAGGTTTTTTTTTAAGTAAATGCTTTGAGAAATGGGAAGTCAGGGTCTCATAGTCAGGAAGAAACTTGTCGAAAATTTAGTCAAGTTGAGGAGAACCTTAAGGCTGGCTTGTTCAGGTCTATGATTTTGACAAATATAATTCCTTTTTCCTTATATCATGATGTATCAATGTAGTTTTTTTTCACCCGGGCATATTTAGTTCAGTACTCACCGAATAAACCTATGTAATTGTCCATTTATCCTTTTTATGAATAAATATGTTTTTCTAATTATAAAAATAATTTTTATTGTATAAAAGTATTGTACCTAAACTAAGAGAAAGAAAATAAAATTTACCCACTACTTAAAGATAATTACTGTTTGCATTCTGTTGGATTTATCTATCCCATCTTTTGCTAGTTATACACATTTGTTTTACAAAAGTGGCAATCATAATTGGAATATCCATTATCACCTGCCTTTTTACATAGAAGTGTGTTATAAATATTGTTCTGTTATTGTTTCACATTCCATGTTTTATTTACATTTCTTTACTTGTCCCTCATTTTTGATGATTGATGTAGCAATTTGATTTTATTTTTTGCTGTGGTCTAATATGCAGGGTTTTCTTCCCCTTCTTATGCCATCTTCTGAGTTCTCTCATCCTTTCTTCTGTTTCTTGCTGCACAGAAGTCAGCCCTTTCCTCCACAATATCTCCAGCTGGTGGAGCTAGCCTTTTGCTCCATATTATGTCTGCTTTGAATCTACTTGTCACATTCCTACTTACTGCTTCTCTGCCCAGATTCTTCTGAGTAAAACTTGGCTTGAATTGTCTGCTTGGTTTTCGTGGGACATTATCTTTCAGAACTCATACATTACAGCTTTTGACCAGGTGCTACACCAATCCAGGGCAAGCCTAGGCTTCGTGATCTGGAATAGGGGGTCCAGGACCATACAGGAAATTAACAGTCACTTCCCATCAGTACTCTTCTAATTTGATGCCAGTTTTACAAGACTGTCTTTTCTGCCAGTTGACAGCTTGCCTTTGAAAGAACAAATCCTTGGTAGATGTAGGTGTAGGCACTGATTGGTCAAATTATCTTCTTTCCCTTTCTTTCTGGGTTTTCTAGTACTATGCTTTAGAATGTTGAGGAGTGACAGTATGCACCACCATGGTGCCAGAGTGGAGACTGAGAGCACTTTCTTTTATTCTGCAGATCTTCATGGAATTCCTTGTCACGGCCTTAAACATAGCATATGGCAATCATTGACTCCGTGTGTAAGGCCAGTATAGGTAACTCCATAACTGCTAAAACTGAGTCAGGCAACTAATTCTATGTTCATTGCTGTGCCATTAATATAAGAATTAAAAATGAACTGCTTAAATCCTCCCTTGACTAGACTCCATAGAGAGGAATCATTTAGGTTGTAAATGACACCTAAAATTGATCACTCTAAATTTAGTTAAATATTTTTAGTAGAGGTCATTTTCCTTGGTTTATATAGATATTATACATATATTCTGGCAATTGGAATTTTTTATTTGGATGTCAAAATATTCAAACATGTATAGTAAAATACTTTGTTATTTTTCCACAGCATATTTTATGTACATTATATATTATGGTTATAGTTTTATGCTACGTTTAATTGTAACATTTGTTAAGCAACACAGAGATACAGGTAGCTCTTTTAGATTCCTGGAGGGTTTTTTGTTTGTTTTTTAAAAATGTATAACCTGTTACTATATTATCAGAAGTTACCTGGTATTTTGTAAAGAGATATCAAAAGTGACAAAAAAATTAGCTTTGAATCAAGAATAAAAAAAGAATATCACATATAAAAATTAGATGCTTATAAATTATAATTTTTTCTGAATCTCTGAATATATGTGTTTATCCATGGACAATTTATCTAAACATGCACTAATTTTGAGCACTACTTTTAAGTGAAAAATGTGTACAAATATTAAATGTAAATTTATATAAATATTAAAACTAACCATAAGTATTTAACGACTTGTGCTTTAAAAAGGGAAAATGAGTACTAAAAGGGAAAGACATGTATTAAGATAAGATGTAAGTCAAAATATATTATAACTTGTATTTTAAAGAGTCAAGATACCGTCCAGTTTATTTGAATATGTTCTCACATACCATGGTTACTACTAAAATAGTACTGGCATGTCTTTATGAAAAGAAAGAAAAAATATTTTTACCTACCACTGAGTTGTAAATAATTAATTTTCATTTGTAGCTTGAACTATTTTTAGGTGACATTGTACCCTCAAATTTTAACTATAATTTTCTAATTTGGTTACCATAATTTCTGACTATGCTTAGCTATTTGAAACCCATTATACTGGTGATCAATCAGAACAAGATTCCTTTGGGAACAATTTGTTGATTTCTGTTAATTTTAAGGTTGTCTAGGAGGGATGACTTTATATATAATTTCCCACTGGATTATCCCAAACACTTTTTGCCCAAAGACTCATCATTCTGAGTGGGTTAGAATTTGTGATTTCTGTGAAAAAATGTTCAACATGGATGAGGAACCAGTCACTCTTTGAGAAGGACAAACTTTCCTCTTTAATTTGTTGAATTTTTACCTGTGCTTAAATTTAGCACTGCTTTAATAATCAGTAATTCTAATGATGCAGTGATTCTGTACACATCAAAGGACCGGCTGTTAGTGTGAATGCAGCATAATGCAAGCTGGTTACTAAAGGGCAGTTAATATATAATAATATAGGCAATAAGCATTTTTTCCTTTCAAAAGCAGCAGTTAATTATTATAAATGTCAAAATTGTAGCTGTCATAGTTATTTTGCTTCCAAATCATTTCAGCGTATCAGCTTTCCGATGGCGTATTCGAACACTAAAGTTATGATCCATTCTTTGAGTGGAAGCCCTCACATGTAAAATTGCCAATCCAAAGTCTTTAATGGCTTCAGTCTATTAAGTGATAGGAACTTACAAACTGATAAACTTAAGTTATTCTAATATTATTCAACAGATACAAATTGTTTAGTTAGAAATTTTAACGTGTAATATAGGAAATCAAATTCCTTTAAAACTTTTTAATTAATCATTTTTACTTAATTTTCTTGAAACATATCATGCCTACATAAAATATAATGCCTAAAATAGATGATGCCTGTCAAACTCTTTAAACATTACATCTATTACTTGGTAAAATACTATTATGGTTAATGTAAAATCTAAGATGAATTAGGTATTATTTTCATCTTCATAATGCGTCTTATTACAAAAATTAACTAATGAGATGTTTAGTATTTAAAAATAGGCTACATACATGTATGTGATTCTGTATTGCTTAAGACTTGTAAGTGAATGCTGTGTGCATAATTTTGAGAAGATTGTTAGAAAATAGATGTATAAGCATAGAATTGTGTAGAGAAGAAGAGGCACCCCTTTCTCTTGAGGTTGTAGCCTCCTACCTGGGGCACAGTGTTGGGAGTGGAGGACAAGCCGGCACTTGTCGGGGCATAACGTGCAACCATTCTGGGAAGCTTTGCTTAACTCTGATGTGAGAGAGGGATTGAAGGCTATGTTGAGGAAGATGGAGTAATATTAGAAAATGTACAGTTGGTGTGAAGTGGGTGTTAGAGAGAAGAGAAAGGGAAGTTGCCATCCTGGTGTGAGGCAGAAAAGTAGTGAGACCATTGAGAAGTGAGAGAAAATAATGGGAAATAAGGCTGGAGAATTTTTATGAAAAACAGGCTAAAGATTTCATAACATTATCAATAAAATCCATTTGTAACATTGGTGTGTGGACTTTATCTCGTGATCTACATAGAAATCATGTGAGATGTCGGCCGAAGAGTACTCAACTAAAATATTACAATGTATGCACTGGCATTCAGATCATACATTGATATTTATCTAGATTATAGAAAAAGCTCTTTTTTGACAATGTACCACTGACTTTCAATGAATTATTTAGACATTGCGTTGTTATCTTAAAGGTAGTAACAGGGGTCTAGATAGTAACAGAGGTGGTAAAGGGAAGGGTCCTGCAGATTTGGCCCCATACAGAAAAGTATAACATCTATGTTTTCCTGAGTTACTATGTGCAAACTTTCAAGACCTCTATCTAAATTATCTCCTGTACTAGTAGGGTTCTAGTAGGAAAGAGATGGCATGGAAAAAGTGGTAATTTGGACAGAGTTTAATAAAAAGACTAGCTACAAAAATGTGGGCAGCACTTACGACAAGCAGCAAAAGATGGTGAAGTAATTCAGAGCCAGTAACAGCAGAGGACTGTGCCTCCCCAGTCCTGAAAGAATAAGGAGAAAGAATTCTGAAAGACAGAAAGACAGCTATGGGGAAAAAAAGAGATATTGAGGGTTGCAGCTCTCAGTAAAGGGACACAGCACTGGAGGGACATACACATGGATATGATCTAAAAGGCAGGGTGCTGTGGGGATAAATACCTCATCCAGCTCACTCTTCACCTTCTAGTTTGCCTGTGTGTCCCTTTCATTGGCAAGACCAATCCAGAGCTAGAGGGAAGGAATTCTATTGACAGTACAAATAAATAAGCCTCCCAGGCCTCAGAGTATTGAATACATGAACACAATAAAGATCATGTATGACAAGCCCATAGCTAACATCATACTCACCAGTGAAAAGTTGAAACCTTTTTTCCTAAGATCAGAAACAAGACAAGGATGCCCACTCACACCACTTCTATTCAACATAATACTGGATGCCCTAGCCAGAGCAATTAAGCAAAAGAAAGAAAGAAAAGGTATCCAAATTGGAAAGGAAGAAGTTAAATTGTCTTTGTTTGCAGATGATGTAATCTTTTTTTTTTTTTTGGAGATGGAGTTTCACTCTTGTCGCCCAGGCTGGAGTGCAGTGGCATGATCTCAACTCACTGCAACCTCCGCTTCCTGGGTTCAAGCGATTCTCCTGCCTCAGCCTCCCAAGTAGCTGAGATTACAGGTACCTGCCACTACGCTCAGCTAATTTTTGTATTTTTTAGTGGAGATGGGGTTTCAGAAAACCTTAAATATTCCACCAAAAAACTGTTTGAACTGATGAATGAATTGAGTAGAGTTACCTGATACAAAAGCAAAATCCAAAAGAGAAATCAAGAAAATAATCCGATCTACACTTGCTTCAAAAAATAAAATAAAATACTGTGGAATAAATTTAACCAAGAAGGTGAAAGATCTATACACTTAAAATTATAAAGCATTAATCTATGAAATTGAAGAAAACACAAATAAATGGAAAGATACCTGTGTTCATGGGTTGGAATGATTTACAGATTCAATGCAATCCCTATCAAAATTCCAATGACATTTTTTAAGTAAACAGAAAAATACAATTCTAAAATCCATATGAAACCACAAAAGACCCTGACTAGCCAAAGCAATCTTGAACAAGAAGAACAAAGCTGGGGCCATCACACTATCTAATTTGAAAATTTACCACAAAACTGTAGTAATCAAAACAGCATAGTGCTGGCATAAAAACAAACATGTAGATCAATGGAACAGAATAAAGAGCATGGAAATAAATTCATGCATTTATGGTCAATTTGTCTTTGACAAAGATGCTAAGAACACACAATGGGGAAAAGGCAGTTTCTTCAATAAATGGTGCTGGGAAACCTAGATATCCACTTGAAGAAGAAAGAAATTAAACCCTCATTTCACACCATATACAAAAATCAACTCAAAATGAATTAAACACTTAAATGTAAGACCTGAAACTCTAAAACTATTACAAGAAAAACTTAGAGGAAAAGCTCTGTGACATTGGCCTGGGAAAATAATTTTTGGGTATGACCCCAAAAGTATAGGCAACGAAAGCAAAAAAAAAATAGACAAGTGGGATGATATCAAGCTAAAAATCTTCTGCACAGCCAAGAGAACAATAAACAGAATGAGGAGACAACCTAGGGTTTTAGAGAATATATTTGCAAAATGTACATCTGATAAGAGGTTAGTATCCAAAACACAAAAGGAACTCAAACAACTCAGTAGCAAAAAGATAAATAACCTGATTAAAAAATGGACAAAAGACCTAAACAAACATTTCTCAAAAGAAGACATACCACTGGCCATCGGATATGTGAAAAAGTGCTCAACATCACTAATTCTCAGAAAAATGCAAATTAAAACCACAGTGAGATATCACTTTACACCGTTAAAATGGCTAATATAAAAAAGATGAATGGTAACAAGTGTTGGCAAGGATATAGAGAAAAGGGAACCCTTTTCTCTCCAGCAATGCCACTATTGGATATATATATCCAAAAAATATGAAATCAGTTTGGTGAATATATATCTGTACTCCCATGTTCATTGAAACATTATTCACAATAGCCAAGATATAGAATCAACCTCTGTACATGAACAGATCAATGGATAAAGAAAAAGTGGTATATATACATAATGGAATACTGTTCAACCTTATAAAAGAAAATCCTGTCATTTTTGACAACATAGTTCAACCTAAAGAACATTATGCTAATTGAAATAAGCCAGGTACAAAAAGACAAATACCGCATGATTTCACTTATATGTGGAGTGTAAAAGTCAAACTCAGAAACAAAGAATAAAATGGTGATTATCAGAAGTTGGGGTGAGTGAGAGGATTGGGGAGATGTTGGTCAAATGACATAACATTTCATTTAGATAGGAGCAATAAGTTTAAGAGATTTATATTACATCATGATGGCTGCCGTTAATAACAATATATTGTATAATTTAATATTGCTAAAAGTAGATTTTAAATGTTCTTGCCACAAGAAAACAATAAGTATTTTAGGAAAGGCATATAGTTTAGCCACTGCATAGTGTATACATATATGAAATATGTTACAAACCATAAACATGTACAATTTATACTTGTCAATTAAAAATAAAATTAACAAAATACAAACATATACATACACATATATATTATATATGAATGTACTATATATCATAGTAGATATGTTTGTACAGGCACTCTAAATTTCTTAGCAGACAGGCATTATATTTCATAACTAGTTTTAGTTTAACAAGTACCTAGCACACTAATCTCTCATTAAATTCTTACTAAATAATTATAGGTGAATATATTCAAGGTGGATAAATGAATGTGTTCAAGATACTGAAGTAATGGGATTAATTTCATGAGACATCAATTGAAATCAATATTATTAGCAAAGAGTCACAGGTTGTGTATCTTATACACCATACAGTGAAAATATTCATTTAGTTCATTTCTCCAGCATCCATCAAACAGGCCTCATACATATTACTAAATGCTGAGGATATCAGATGAGTTGTTCTGATCATTAGTGTTGTTCATCAGATATTTTTGGTTTTCTTTCTTCTGTGCACTTGCTAGGATTATGCTTCTCCAATCTCTTAAATTAGGCATGATCATGCAACTTACTCTGACCAACAAAATATAAAAATAAGTAACATTGAATATTTCTTAATAGAAGCACTTAGGAGGCAGTGTTCAGTTTGCCACCTTTCTCTCCCTTTTGCCCTGGCAATTTATGATGACACTAATTGTAAAGCCTTCTTGAATGTGAACAGTATAGAACAGAGCCCCTGCCTACCTGACATGGCACATGCTACATGGCTTTCTGATGATACACAATTTCTCCTCTGTAAATTAGAGACAATAAGACCAACCTCATAAAGATGTTGTGAAGATTTAATGCTCTTAACAAAGTGATTGGCACATAATGAGTGTGAAAAACATGATTTTTATAATTATTACTAGTAATACTACATAGGCCATAATAATTTCATTGATGGAGAGGATAATAGGTTGGGCACTGGGGATGGGCACAGCTAACCTAGAGGAGAAGGCAGGAAAGAACACTACAGGCTGAAGTGACCTGCGAACTCCTCTGGGCTGTCAGAACAGGGATGCCCTGGGGAAGTGTAAAGATTCTGTAATGCTGACCTTTCCAATTCATATCCCCTTATGTTTTCAGTCTTTAAAGATTAAGGAGAATCTAAGTTTACTCATCAAACCTATAAATAGAGTGAGGGCATAAGCTAATTCAGGCCTGCAAAGCAGAGGCAAGGGACAATTAGCAGGGCTTCAAGTACAACCATCATATGTAAAGGCTGCCTTGTCCCTGGTGATTAAAGTACATTTCAAACTCTGCTGAATACCTTTTTGTAGTATGAGAATTTGTCCATCTAAGTGCTTATGGGTGTATTTTTATGCCTTTCAATGCAATATGCTAGTGCAGATTCAGGATATATTGAAATAGGAATGAAAGAATGAACATAACTTGCAACTCTGATCTCAGTACCCTATATTAGGATGTATAATTTTTGGGGACATCACCTCCTAAATTCCTGGTTCTGGGCATAGCAAGTTAACAAGAAAGGTCCTCTAAATTATATGATTATCTTTTTCTCTTCTTTCTCCAACAATGGGGAGAAAAAAGAGTGAGAGAGAACAACTGCTCTATTCGCCATGCATCATTAAATACATTTTTTGCAAGCAACCACCAATTTTCTTTTACACACTGAAGTAGGCTATGACTGAGGCTATAGACCACCTCAGATAATGTTTCAAATTTGTCACTTGTTTTGTGGGCAAAGTCGCCCCTCTAAACTTCAGTTTTCTCACCTGAAAATGAAGAATAAGTATACCCTCTTCACAGACATATAGGAAAAATGAAATGAGCTAGCCATGCTGATAATCTCCGTAAATGTTAAACTTACTTAACTCAAATGGCTATGAGTTGTCAAGTCATCATGTGGTATTACATACAGTGTTTAATTATAAGATCTCCATTTAACAGTCAAGGACAGAGTAACTGGAATTCTTTTACACTGCTGGCAAAAATCTAAAATGTTATAGCCATTTTGGAGAACAGTTTGACAGTTTCTTATAAATTAACATACACTTGCCATATGATCCAACAGTTCCACTCCTAGGTATTTACTAGGGAGAAATGAAAATATATGCCTTCACAAAGACATGGCTTCAATATTCATAACAGGTTTATTCATAATAGACAAAAGCTAGACACAATAAAATGGCCATCACCTGGTAAATGAATAAACAAGTCATGGTAAATCCATAAGGTAGAGCACTACTCACAAAGAAAAAGGAACCAACTACTGATACATGCAAATGCAAATAAATCTCAAAAAATTATGCTAAGTGAAAGAAGTCAGACAAAAAACTACATATTAGATTATTTCATTTACTTGACACTCTAGAAAGGGCAACATTATAGAGATGAAACAGACATCATTGATTATCATGGGGTCTAATGAGGAAAGGGGAAGGAGGTTGACTACAAGAGATAGTAGAGAAGTCTTTTGGGTGATACAAGTGTTCTTGTTTTTACTATGGTGATGGCTACAGGACTGTGTATATTTGTTAAAGCATCTCTAACCGTACACTTAAAACAGGTGAATTTTATTGTATAGATTTTACCTTAATCTGAAAAAAAAAGCAGTTATAATGGAAACCTCTAGGTAGTAAGAACACCAGAAACTAGTCAAGAATTGCAACCCAGAAAATAATTCCAGAAAGGAGAAAACCAGAACTTGGATATTGAGTGTTTAGCCTCCCTGTTCACAGTAGTAGACACTGGACATTTGAGCCTATCATTAGGATTTGGTGATAGCAAACTAAGTCAAGATGTGAATTAAAAGAACAACCTTTAGGAAACCTTCAGTTGCAAAGCTATTAGAATAATTTTGGAAGTTTCTTCTCTAATTTCTGTATGTGTGTCTGAGAACTAAGATTTGTCCAAACATTTCAAGATTTATTTTTAAAATAGCTTGTTTCCCTCCAGAAACATTTTTTTCCGACTGAGGCAGCTTCTACCTTTACAGCTAGTTTTTAAGTATTATGGTCTGATGCATTTTTTTCCAAAGTGAAGAAATAACATGACTTTCTTTTTAAATTGAAAAAAAGGAAAACTCAAAAGGAAGAATGCCTGAAGCATGGCTTTTGTGCATGCTGGTTTTTCTTATTTACGTATTTTATTGGGCTGCCTTGACAAAGAAAGCCAGCATTTTAAGATGTTATAACATTTTAGATGAGAAGACATATACTGTTAAATAGCTGTAAATCTTGGCATTTAAATTCTTTCTTAAAATCAGCATGCAAACATCAAATACACTAATGGTCAGTCCAAAGTTGTAAAATTGGAAGACGTGATAAATCAAAATAAGCACATATGGAGGTTAAGATGCTGTTTTTATACTTTTTTCCCTTTTCTTACCTATGATGGACTGTTCAGATTATGTTTCCTTTAGTGGATGGATAACATGGTAAATGAAGACTTGTTTTCTTTAATTATTTTTCTACCTAAAGCTTGTATCAACTTCAACTTGGTTAGCTCTTTATTGCGGGAGGTTTTGTTTTGTTTTTTCTTGTTTTCAGAATCACCTGATGCTGACAACATTGCCATCACTGTATTAATAATGACGACATTCACTCAACTACATTCTTACATTCAACCAAAAATTTTGGAGTGCCTTTCTAATGTAACATTTCAAGTAGAGTAAAAGACCATTTTTTCCACTTTTCTTTTTCTTTTTTTTTTTTTTTGTGTGTGTGTGTGTGTGACAGAGTCTCCACTCTGTCACCCAGGCAGGAGTGCAGTGATGCAGTCATGGCTCACTGCAGCCTTGACCTTCTGGGCTCAAAGGATCCTCCTGCCTCAGCCTCCTAAGTAGCTAGGTAGGACCACAGTTGTGCACCACCACGCTTAGCTAATTTTTTTTTTTTTTTTTAATAGTGACAGGGTCTTTCTGTGTTGCCCAAGCTGGTCTCGAACTGTTGGGCTCAAGCCATCCCCTGCCTCAAATCCCAGCACTCTCCCAAAGTGCTGGGATTATAGGCGTGAGCCACCATGCTTGGCCTGTTTACCTAAAGTTTTCTACTCAGTCATGTGGTAAACCAAGCCTCGAACTCAAGTCTTTTGACTCCTTGCCCTGTTGCCCTACCACACTTGCCTTTCTTTATAAGATAATATCCCTGCTCCCTAGTAAGGTGAAAATTGGACAATTGAATGTGGATGTGAGGTTGTCATGCTTTCTCCACCCAGGTCTCATGGAATGAAGTCAGATGAAGTGTTAAAAGACAGTCCAGATTGGTGGCCCTATGACAGTTCCATCATGCATGGGCAGGCCTGACCCTGACTTACAATGTCTAATGTACAGTGTTATGTACTCTTAGGTGGAGTTGTTGGGAAACCTACGTGGGATTATTTATGGAACCCTAGGAAAAGCCTTGTGAATCTCCAGCTTACCTCCCACTGCTCCCACTTCCCACCATCACTCTATGCCAAAATTCTCTAGTAACTCTGTCATTTGGGTGAATGTATCAAAGTGACCTGCTAAATATAGTCATTATCTATATTGAAAAAAAAGTTCCAGTATGTTTATTCAGTTGTTCAGCAAATATATATTGAGCACCTATTATGTGCCAGACAATTTTCTAGGAACTAGAGATATAGTAATGAATAAAACAAAGTCCTGTCTATCACAGAGACTCTAATCATTCTCATTGATACTACTACAAATTCACTTCTGAAATCGGGAAATTCGTGAGGCCCTTGGGAATCTATATTGAATGAGGTAAGTAGCTGATGGAGGAAGGTGGTGTCCCCTCAGAGAGCAGCCCTAGGGCAGGTTCCTACTGCGAAACACCAGGAAAACTGGAACTTGGGCATCATGAGAATATGCTAGGAAGTTTGGATCTGCAATGGGAGGAAACGTCTTTTTTGAAATCACATAGCTGGATATCCCCACAGGGCTAAGTAATGATTCTGGAGCAGAGAGGAGAAATATGAATCTCAGGGCACAGCGTTTATTTCTCAGGTGGTCTGTGGGACAGCTGGAGGGTCCCTGCTGATCTCAGCTGGGGTTACTCATGCTTCCTCAGGTTGGCTGGGTGGAAGTCACCTATGCTAGGCTTGGCAAGTCCTGGCCTTCAAGCTGCAGATTGGGCTCAGATTTGTTCCATGTGTTTCAGGTTTGTCTCACAGTAATGGCAGTCAAGAAGGCAAGCTCCAATGCAGAAGCGCATCTTTTTTTTTTTTTTTCATTTTATTTTTTGAGACAGAGTCTCACTTTGTCACCCAGGCTGGACTGCATTGGTGCGATCTCGGCTCACTTCAACCTCTGCCTCCTGGGTTCAAGCGATTATCCTTCCTCAGCCTCCCAAGGAGCTGGAATTAACAGGTGCACACCACCACACCCAGCTAATGTTTTATATTTTTAGTAGAGACTGGTTTTCCCTATGTTAGCCAGGCTGGTCTTGAACTCCTGACCTCAAGCCATCCACCCGCGTTAACTTCCCAAAGTTCTGGAATTACAGGTGTGAGCCACCTCGCCCGGTCAAGGAGCACATCTTAAGCCCTTTCTTGTGTTATTTGCTAACATCCCATTGTCCAAGGCAAGTCACATGGCAAGGCCCAGTTCACATGGTGGGAAATAAATACACCTTGGCTACTGTGAGTTTAAAGCAAATGGCATAGCTAAACTTGGTAACAAAGAAGTGGGACGGTGGGGTGGAGGTAAAAATGAGTCAATATTTTTGAACAATACTTTAAGCAGGGGGGAAAAAGCATTAAGTGTAGAGAAGTAGATCCATTGATGTAAATTGTTTTTGAAAGCATGTTAACATTCTGACTTATTTCTCATTATTTTTCCATTATTTCATATCCTCCCATTACCACTGTACTTTCCCTTTCAGAATTAGTTTCTTTCCTAAATATAAAAACATACTTACCTATTAGAATAACAGTACATTGAAATAGCTTAATTTAGTGACTTCCAGCTGACTCTCCAGGATTCTCAAACCACTTAGGGCTGAGTTTTCAATGAGGAAGAAAGCCAAAGCAAATGCACCTGCTCTTCTGTTGAGACCACTGAGTTGCAACAGCTCTAATAAGGATGCGAGAATTACAGCTCTGAGACTATTTTCATGCTTCTCCCCAGCCAAACAGACTGAATTAAAGGACTGTTGCTTTTTACCTTTAGGGTCTTAAACTATCTATGCCTTTAGAAGAGTTAAACAGGGTTAGAACATAGTGATGGACAACTTCCACTTATTTATCTAATTTTTAAAGTAATAGGAGTAGATGAGACTTTCATGACTTTTTTTTGCCTTTTTAGGTATGTTTCTAATTAAAATAATTTTTAAAGCCTTTGGTATGAGATGTTGCTGTTAGAAACTGCAGCTAATGCCCATGATTTGTTAGAAAATAAATGTCCTTTTCCTTATCGTAAGATATATGATATAAGACATATTTTGGTTCTACAGAGAATGTAGATAAAGCCTTTCAAAATATCAATTTTAGGATTTTCCCAGCAATAAATCTTAGTATAATCTTAAGTAATATTTTCTGAGAAATACTGAATGCAAATTTACCTCTCAAATCATCTACATAACAGGTAATGCTTTTTTAAGATACAGTAGCATGGTTTGGACTTTTCCTGAACTCTGCTTTAAAGCTCCTTTAAGATTTTCATGTATATGAAACAATTCATCTTGATGCAAAATTTTCCTACATAAACCTGTTTCTTAGCTTTAACTGTATTTACATTTATCCTTCTGATTCCAACATGGTAAAAAGAAGTAAATTATTTTCTTTGAAAAAGTGTATTAATTATTTGACTTCCGTAGTTGTTTATTGGAGTGATTGCTTTCCAAAGCACATTAAATTATATTCTACTGGCATGAAGGATGACATATCCTTAAATTAGTAGAATTTTGACGTTTTTTAGTCTATTAGTAATTTTTCTTTTTTTTTTTTACTTCTTTATTGAGATATAACTTACGTAAAGTAAAATCCACAGATCTGAAGTTCTTAGTCTGATGAGTGTTCACAGTTGCATCAGCTGTGTTACCACAACTCAAACCAAGCTATAAAACATCACAATACCACTCCTCAGCACACACACACACACACACACACTCCACACACACACACACACACACACCTAGAGGTGACTACTTTCTGATTCTTGTCATCATTGATTACTTTTTACCTATTCTTAGGCTTTATAAAAATTGAATTATATAGTAAGAACTCTTGTGTCTGGCTTCTTTGCTCTAAAAATATTTGAAATACATCCATATCATTGCATGTGTTAAAAATATATTTTATTCTATGAATATGCCATGATTTTTTTTAGTTAGTTATTCTATTGATGGACACCTAGATTATCACTAATTTTAAGCTATTATGAATAAGACTACTATGAATATTCTATGGACATTTTTTTTTTGTGAGACAGAGTCTCGCTCTGTCATCCAGGCTGGAGTGCGGTGGCATGATCTCAGCTCACTGCAACCTCTGCCTCCCAGGTTCAAGCGATTCTCCTGCCTCAGCCTCCTGGGTAGCTGGGATTACAGGTGCCAGCCATCATGCCTGGCTAACTTTTGTATTTTTAGTAGAAACGGGGTTTCACCATCTTGGCCAGGGTGGTCTCGAACTCCTGACCTCAGGTGATCCTCCCATCTCAGCCTCCCAAACTGCTGGGATTACAGGCATGAGCCACCGTGCCCAACTTATGAACATTCTGGTACAAATCATTTTGTAGACCTATATTTTTATTTCTCTTGGGTAAATATTGAGAAATCAATTCCTAAGTCATAGGATAGGTTGCTTTGTTACTGATTTATAGTAATTCTTTATGTATTCTGGATTCAAGTCCTATCTGTGTACATATATGTAATGTATATGTATATGTACATATGCACCTAATTATATGTAATGTATATTTAAGATATGTAATGCAAATATTTCCTCTGAGTCTAGGAGTGCATATTTTTAATTTTAATAGTGTCTTTGGGGAAAATTGTTAAGATTTTGATAAAGTTTAGTATTTAAATTTTTATTGTTAGGGAAAGATCAGTAATTCTTAACTACTTAGTGTCAAAACTAAAAGATTACTTCTAAAGTAAGGGGGTTATTTTGAGTTACATAGCAACAAACTATGGGTGATTTGAATTGATAAAGACAGTGTCACGTTTACTGTTTCTTGCCAATGTTTTAATTGGCTAATTTACTACTTAATGTTATATATAAGAGGAAAAGGTAGAAAAGTTTTTCAATGAGGTAATTATGTAGTATTAGAGACAATGTCTCACAAAATTTCTCTATAGGTAAAAGAAGATATAGTTATTTGCCTAAAAAATATATATATATATGAAATGTATGTATGAACAGTAGAAATGTTTAATCTGTAATATTTCCACTCTACTGTTACTATGACATATGTAGTCTTCTTACTGCAAGGATTAAATTTTCCCACGTATCTAATTTAGAAAATGCAAAAGTACTTTAGGATTTTAAGATTGTTGTATTGTTAGGTTTTAATCTTTCTCTTTCTTTCTTTCTTTCCACAATTCTATTTTGCTTCTCTCGACAGGATTTCACATAAAGCCTTAACATAATATAAGTTGAAACTTACAACCAAGAAAAAATTGATATTATTAACATGTTTACTATGTAAACAGAGTTATTATAGTAAACTTTAAGTTTTGCTCTGAGCTTCCTTTGATCCCTGACCAAAACAAATCATGATAAACATTTGTAATATAAGAGGAATATCACTTTTCTTGGTGTTAGATTTTGAAAAAATTAATGTGGAGTTTATTAGAATGGAATCAAACTGATGCAGTAGTCAGTGACTTCACCACTATTTTACAGTAAAGACAGGAACCGACTTCATACAGCTATTTCTTGTATCGACCTCTCATAAAAGCTGAGGGTATAACATTAAAATGGAGTTCATGGAAAGCTCTTTTATGACCGACTATGATAACGTGGTCCAAGTTATGGAGTCCTCTTGTGGTTTAGCTTCCTCTAAGGAAAGGACTCGTTTCATCTCGTTGCGCGAATGAATGGCTCATTCTTCAACAGCAGTTCCCAAACACCTGCTTGAACACATTAGAGTCACCCAGGAGAGCTAATAATGTGAAAATTTCTGAGCCCAAATCCCAGCTCTGTAGGTCTGAGCTGGGACCCAAAGAAGTCTTTGCTTTAAAAGCTTCTTTAGATATTTCTGATATATAGCCAGGTTTGGAAGCCATTCATAGATAATTTGCCCTGAATTTCATTTCTGTCCGTTGGCCTTTGTATATGGCCTGGTTATTAGAGAAGTTTGTAAAATCTGCATTTGTATTGGACCTAGAGTAAAAATATTGCACAACAAAGGGAGTCAACTTTTAAGAAAGTTATTAACCAAAAACTTCTCTAGAGTAATTAGGTCTCTGGAATATATGCCTAGTGAGAGATAGTTGATGGACTGGTGAAAAACAGAAGTGAAGAGAGGATAAAGGGGAAACAGGACCACTGAATTTAAATTTATGCAGAGATGGTCTTTTAGAAAAGCAGCAAACTTACTCTATGCAGCTTTTCAAGAGCAAAGTTATAGGAGTGATGTGTGAAAGTTACATAAAGGCAGATTTCAGTAAACATTTTTAAAATAATATTCCAATAGTAAGGAATTTTTAACAATAGAGTTGCTATCCCAAGGCTGATGAATTCTCTGTAGTTTTAGGTTTGCCTGCAGTAGAAGCATGAATGCTAATGAACAAGTTAATGACTTTGACAAAAGTGGTGACAAATTTCAGTCTTAGAGTTTGAAACCCTCTGATGTTTTTCTATGTACATGAATCTATAAATAAGTACATGCAAAGTAAATACCAGGGTTAATTAGAACTCTGGAAGTGACACACTGAAGAGCAAGGTGAATATTAGTTATATGTGATAATATAATTAAAATTATTTTACAACCCTCAAGAACACTAAATGACATGACAGTGTATAGACATATTAAAAGTATAATAAACTAAATTTTTAGCCGATAAAATAAATATATTTTAAATGACATTTTAGGAGAAAAAGAGTCAGCCTTTATTATAGTATTAATTCAAGATTCCTATGCTTGATCTTGTTGTTTTTATCTGTATTTGGATATAATTAAATTTTAATTAAAAATTAATTTAAGCAACTTCAAGGAAATAAAATGGTTTAGTAATAAAATAAGAGTTGAGCTTGTGAATCTAATGCTATGGCAACTTATACAGGGCAGAGCTGTATAAAGGCTTTATCAAGATGTTGTTATTTAACCTTCTTACCACATAGAGTTGCTTTGAGGATCAAATGAGTTAATGCATATAAAGAGCTTAAACGAGTCCCTATCATAGTGCTTAATAAATCTAAGTTATTATTATTGCTACTATTATTGATGAATAGAGTGACTTGTTTTTGGTTGGTGATCATAACATTTGTCATGGTACGTGGCACAGAGCAGGTTTCCTGTATTTGTTCATTGATTACATCCAATCACTATGTAAAGATTCGATGTCATAATCATCAGGGTTTCCCAGTGAAGCTGTGGAACACACTACCATTTCATATATTTCCAATGTAGACATTTCTTGAACTTTTTCCCAGTAGTTGGATTGTTGCTATTAAACAAATTCTCTTATGCCTATATAAGAACGTGTGCTTCCTGAAGAAGTTGGTGGTGGATAAATGAGAGTACTCAGTCTGAAATTATTTCTGGAGTTCATTACATTTGAGTTTTGAAAGGACTAAAAATTAAAGGAATGGGAGAAGTGGTCAGGTAATTTGAGGTAAGAAAAGTAGGATACGGAATGGAGATCAAAGTGACAAAATGATGTTCTAAAACTGTGATGTAGATTTACCTGACTTAGGAAATAAGATATAATAGGAATTGTGAATTTTTGGTAGATACAGATTTAATACATGACAGGTAATGGGAGGTGAAGTCTGGAAATGACAGTTCAGGAATAATTAGCTCAGGTGAGGCCATAAAAATGACAGCCCTATCAGGTCAAGGGGGAAGCAGATGTCTTAGAGCATGTTCACCTTTGTCAGTGAGGAGTAAGAAATCCTGTTTGCTAGATTATCTTTTCAAATGCCATACTATTCATCCATTTTTCCCTAAATGTTTGTTCATATTTCCATCAATTTGGATGAAGGGGATGAAAAAGTTATTTACAAGATTTATTTGCTTTTCTCATTCTACATGCAAAAGATAGACAAAGAAGCAATCATATTCCAGTATTAAAGTTGCCATGTAAGTGTCAAATTGATTTGATTTCCTTTTTTTGGTCATATTTTAGGAAAAAGAGGCCTGTGACCTCTTGACAAAATAAAGAAATATTCATTCACAATAGAAAATGAAAGGTGTATATTTCTCATGTGGCACTTTAATATTTTTACAAAAGTAAAAGCCCAGGTAATAACACATTTTCATATCTCATTGGCTCCAGTTTTTCTCTAACTTTCTAGGCAGGTGAATCAGTTGAAAAAATAGTTACAATTAATTGAAAGTAGTGCCTGAAATAGTTCATTAATGCTTTTCCAAGTTCCATTTTCCCATTTTATTTTAGCTATTTAAAATCCACTTAAATCCCACCAAGGAACCATTGTGGGACCTCTCAGTAGATATTTATTCAGCTATTGGGCTCCCAGATGAGGGAGGAAAATGAATGCTTTGTGGGGAAAAGACATACTTACATACATAGAAGTATCTAAAAACATTATTCAAAGAGCTGTGGTTTTGTGATACAAATAGAAAACAGAAAACTCATAGTTGTAAAATAGCTCTGGCAATTATCCTTACAAATGGCATCAATTTCCCCCTCTGCTACCAAATTTCATTTTTTTATCCTTTTTTTTTTTAAAGTGTGGACAACCATTATCTGATAACTATCTCTTACTGTTTTACAACGTTGCAATATGGGAAGGGGATGTGAATTAAAGACTAATGCTTACAACTCGAAATATTCTATTGTAATTTTGTGGCTCCTGCTACATCTTGAATGATAATGAAATAATTTATTTGCTCAACACAAAATACTTCACAGATATCAGGTAATTTTGAAATGATGAACTGTGCTTCTAAGAAGAAACTATGGTATTTCACAAATAAATTTTGTAATTTGGGTGACATTATCCTTTTTAAACTCACAAAGCACCAGTCATAATATATGATATGTGACTATGTGACATGACCAAAAGCATGTGGGATTCGGAGCATGGTTCCAGGCCCACTGTAGGTGCCAGAAATCTTAGCTGGTATTATTAACTGTTGTTTTCCTGTTTTGTTGTTTATTGCTTTTCATATCTAAATAGGTTTACATTTCTTGACATTCATCTTGTTTTACTGAATTTATTTTTTAAGTTAATCAAGACCATTTTTAGTTATTTGCTTCTCTTTGAGAGAGTTAATATACCTGTTTAAGTTGATGTTATTGCCTACTAAACAATCTCTCACCTCTCTCTCAATGAAGTCGGTGATTGTTTCTTATGATGGAGAGACTACACACAGCCTGGCTTGGGACAAAGCCAGCAGGTGAGACTAGTGGTTTTCAATGGGGCACATAAGTTAGCTGTGAGGGGTGCTGGAATTTTTTACTAGTAGAAATGGAAATACTAAAAGCTATAAACAATTTTATCTTTAAGATAACCTATGTTAGTTCCAAGATTATTCCTGTAATACTGTCATTTTCACTTTTTGATCAATATGCTTTCTTTAGTGGAAAATAAAATGACTGGGACTTTTGTTTATACAACTAAAGCCCATGATGATGTTTCACACAGAAGCACCTTCTGTCATGGGTCGTGGAACAAAACAGGCTGAATCTGTGGATCCAGACTATGTTTCCTACCTTGCTGGAAATATTAGATGTCCTTGTAGTTTTTCTCATGTCCTCTCTAATTACTGTAGATTGTCATTCCCAAATTAGTTTTCTTTTTTTAAAAAAACTCACTCTAAATCTAAAAGACTAACCCTTCTAAGCAGGCTTCAGATGTGTTTACCTAAATATTCAAGTAGACATGGGTTAGTGAGAAAGAAAGAGAGTTAGCTAGAGTTAGAAGCCTGGCAGAGTCTGCCCTACCCAGGCCTACCCAAGAGCGCTTCCTGTAGAGAAGCTGGGTACTCAAGAAGAAGTGAAAAAAAAATTTTTTTTTTGCACCCAACAAGCCAAAGAGGAAACTGCCAATTTCTTCCTGCAGAAGACATAGTGACCCCACTAAATAGTGAAAACATAACTATTAGTGAATGATAGGTGGAAAGAGAGAGCCCTCTCAGATGTCTCCCTTCTTCCCCACCTCTGGCACAGGTACAGGTGGGAAAGAAGTATTGAGGCAAAGTTTCTGCCTCTAGGAACTGAGTTAGAAATACGTGAAGAGGTAGAGAAATAATTTTCATTCTCTAAACCTTTCCAAAATGAATCTAATGCAGGATTGTCCTGCATGGATCTTTCTGGAAGAAAATGGAGATGGCCATTATGGTCAAATGAAAGGTGACATTTTGAGAAATAATCCCTTATGTGTTTATTTCATGTAATCTGCCTTTACCTCCTCAGCAACTTTGTTTCGTCACTAAACTCTTCTCCTCTTCTCTCCGTCTTCCCCTTCCTCACCCTACCGCTTGCTTCCACTTCCCCTTCTCTCCTCTCTTTCTGTATCTTTAACTTCTCCCTTTCCCATGGGTAATTACTCACCTAGATTTGTACCCATAAGTAAAAAAGACCATCTTCCCTTCATTATACCCTCTTTTCTCAGTACAGCTTTCATCTATGTTTGTAGCAATTATCTTCATTTTCTCTTTATTTTCACATCACCCTATTTCTCTTCAGCCCACTGCAGTTCCACTTGAGCTTCACCTCTTTCTCCTTCTGGAGAGTTCAAAGCATGATTTCAGACCTCATCTTATTTGATACCTCCCTCTGATACACTGACTATTGCTTCCTCTTCTAGAAATTCCTTACTTCTCAGTGGATAGGTTTTGTTTTGTTTTGTTTTGTTTTGTTATGTTATCATATGGAATGAACAGGTTTTCCTTTGCAGGTTTAGTGGCAGAAAATTTCTGGCATTCTAAGTTTTTCAAAAGTTGTGTTGGATTTGCAGGCAGCACACGGTTTTTGGAGAATGAATGCAGGTTAGTAAGTAGAAAATAAAAGCAAATGGGAGAATGAATATGTAGGGAATGATGGCAGATATAAATCCATAAGTAAGTAAAGTAAGTATTACATTTTAAGAATTGCTGAATGGAGAAATAAACTGATTGTGTTAACAGAAAATAATAGCTTGAGTAAAAAGAGGTTAATTGGACATGTTGCCAAAATCTTGGAGACAATATGAGAAACTTATAGAATCAAGCCTGTTTTTATTCTGGAGATCTAAAGGATGATAAATGGGGTAGACTTCAATGATTAAGAAGACCAGAGACTTTACTTTTTACCTATTATTTTCTTTTCTTATCAGTCTTTGAAAAAATGGATTTCCAAAACTTAAAATCTCTTATTAATCTTTGTAGTGAATCTTTAGTTTATTATCACTTTTATTTTAGACTCCTAGACTTTTCATATTGTTTTGTGAATAATTTCCTGGCCTCTTCAGGGGAAGGTCAACATTTCTCATCACTCACTGTTAAAAATGGCCAGCTGGTTTCCCTTGCCTTATAACTAGGAACCTACTGCACCTATCTTCCATGCCTTTTGAAAGTAAAAATTACTCTGATAAACTCCCGAAGCTTCCCTGAATGCACACTGGTGGTGTAACAGGACCTGATGGTTTGTGATTAGTACATCTGGCTTTTTGAAATGTCAACATTCACTTTTCCCTTATGGTGTAGAATTTTCACTGTTCCATCTTCATCTTATGGATAACAGTCATCACGTTCATTTGTTCACTGATAATTGACATGAATATACAAATTTTTATATAAAATGAGTTTTAAAATAATATTCTTCAGCTTTTCTTCATTTAGAATTTGTGAATGGAAATGAGGTTGCTTTTAAAGACCTCCTTTAAAATATATATTTGAAGATATTTTTATCAATTGCATTCTACTTGTCTTGCAAATGAATCTTTTGTCTTTTCACCTTTATTTTTTTGTATTATAGAAACCCTTTCTCTACGTACCAGATAATTTGTCTTGCATTTCACATTTCATAGTATTCCAGTATTGCCATTGGTCTTAAGGTCACTTTACACTTCTAGTTTAGCCAGCTCAATATTCTGATGTCACCATTGTTCTGCTTTTATGTAATATTTCGTGAATATGGTCTGGTAATACTAGAATAATGTTTAAAGAACATTGAATTATGTAGGATGATTTGAATACTTTCATCAATATACCTATATCAGGAAATCAATGATATTGAAACACGTCTGAGGTTGCTGGACTCTGTAACTTCACAGTTGATGTTTATCAGTTTCCATTCATCTTTTAAGTATTAAAGACAGAGGGCTGCCTGGAATGGTGGAAAGGACATTAGTTTTAATACCAAACCAACCTTGATTAAAATCCTGACTTCTTAAGGTATGAACATTTGCCATTTATCATTGGAAAAATAATTTAACCTCTTAGATCCATACTTTCTTCATCGGCCAAGTAGGAGAATCATATGCCCCGGCAGGGTGGTAAGAAGAATACGTGAGATATGCTGTGAGTATTTTGGTACATGATAGGTATTAAATATGTAGAAGTTCTTCTTATTTTCCTGCTCTCTTTAGAAAAAATCAGAAAAAGAGGATTAATTTTCTCTTTACTATTAAGAAATTTCCCCATATTTAATTACTTTAATGTCTTATTTGATAAAATATTGATACATCAGATGTTAAATAGTATTTCACTGGTTCAAAGCAGTAATTGGATATTAAAGAGTCCTTTCCACTAAATAGGTCATATTCTGTGAAATACTCTTTTTCTTGTGCAGAAAGAGAGTGAACGTTACTCAAACCATATGAACACAAATTTAGTGAAGTTAATCAAATCATAAAACTTTTTGGTTATTTATTTTTATTTTATAAATATTTTATAGAAACTTGCTATAATATGACAAAAACTATTACCTAGAATCTGTTTTAAATCACTGTGTTTTACCATGTTAAATTAGTTACTGAAGCTTGAAATCTATAGATTTTCATTCTTTTTATCTTCTTTATTCATTTAACAAATATGTGGTGAGTTGCTATTACATGTAAGACACTGTTCTAGGCTCTTAGCATATGTCAGTGATCCAAACAGACAAAGATCTCTGATCTTGAGTAGTTCGTATTTCAGCAGTAGGAGACAGTATATCTCAGAAAACAGTAGAGCAACGTGAAGGGTGCATGGAAATATCTGGATGTGGTGAGGGGAGCAGATTGTAGTAGTAAGTAGGATAATTAGGGTAGGAACCATCAAAAACTCGACAATTGAGCAAAGACTTTAAAGAAGTAAGGGGTTTAGTCATACCAGTATTGGGAAGAGCATTCCACACAGCAGGAAAGGTTGGTGCAGAGATTTCAAGGCAGGAAGGTAGATGGAGGGATTAGTGATGGGAGTCCTGATGCTATCCTAAGGACTCTGGCACTTCCTTGTGAGTAAAGTAGGGAACTATTGGGTAGAGGTGGCAGGACCTGATTTATCTTTCAAAAGAGTCACTCTGGCTGTTGTGTTGAGAATAGACTCCAGGAGGAGAACAATAGTAAATGCTGGGTGACCAGTTAAAAATCTATGGTGAGAATTCAAATGAAAGACAATATTGGCTCAGGACAGGGTGGCAATAGTGGAGGGGCTGATAAGTGGTCAAATTCTACATAAATTTAGAAAATACGTCCAGTCTGGTATTAGGACACAGGATGTGAGAGAAAACAAGGAGTCAAGTCTAAAGATTTTCACTTGAACTGCTGGAGAAATGTAGTTATGATCAGCCACGGTGGAGATGGTTGCTGGAGAATCAGGTTTAGGGGAAAAAAAAAATGAAAAGTTCTATTTTGGAAATGCTGATTTTGAGAGGTCTGTTAAATACCCAAGTAAAAATGTTGAGGAGGCAGTTAGATGTTAGAGTTAAGAAGAAAGAATCAGGTAGGAAATAGGAATGTTGCATGTATTTGGGGTACTTTATGGTTAATGTCATGTTGAAGAATGGCATGAAGCACTGAATGGGGGGTGTAGAAGGAAAGGTGGCCAGCTACAGAGCCCCTGAAGTCTCTTCTTGTCTGTTTCTGGTTACTTTTAATCAGTGATCAGCAAATCAGAAAATTGTATATTTGAAAAACATTTCATTTTGTCAACCTCATATTATCTTAACTGCTCCTAAGGTCTCTTAGGACCAATGTGGACCCTACAATAACACTTGGGAAGTAGACACAAACACATGTATTTCCCCAACACTATTTGGAGATAATTGTCTCCATTTATGATAGGAAAATTCAAAAACCGTAACATTAAGAACAGAAATGTAAATGTCCTATAGTCTACTATTTGGCCGCTTCCTGCACAGTAACTAGTTTCCTGACATTAAAGATAAAACCATTTAAAGTTCAAATTCAGATAAAGTTTCACATAAAATAGTGGTGGTTTTTTTTTGGGAGGGAGGGTAGAAGGTAGTGATTGCAGGCACCAAAATGGAAAGTCAAAAGAGAGAAAGTAATTATGTAAATTGTGTTTCTTGAAGGCATTTAGAATTTTTAATTCACATACTCTTAAGTATCTGAAAGCACATTTAGTTCCTGTTTGGAGAGATGAAAGCCTTGCCATAGCTTCATCTGCAGGCTTGTGGCAATGTTAGTTTCTCCCGTGTGTACGTGCACTGAAGAGTGGAAGTGGCTGAGTGGGCAGTTGGCAACCATTCATCGCATTGATTGCAGTCATTCATAAAACCCAGCAGCGCTGAGGGCGGAGTCAGGAGGAGCATTCCCCTGAGGCGGTTGCAGAATGTCTTATTTGCATAAATCTTCAGTGATGCTTCAGTGATGAGGGAATGCTCACATGCAGTTAGAAGACTGTCGAAGAGCCCCAATCTGATAAATCTGAGTAATTAAAGACTTTGCAAAAAATAAGAGGTCAAACTCTTTGAATTCCTAGTCCTTCAATCCGTGGTAATTCTGGGAAGTCAGCATTGTGGCAGCTTTTGTGGTCTCCTTATGTCGGGCTGAAGGAGTGAATTACAGAGACAGACCCCTTAAAAGCTGCAACATACTGAAATATCATTGTTGTGTCTCTTAAAGTATTAGGGGTTTATATTATTATACCAAGTCTAATGCATAGGAGATAGTGGAAATTGCTGAGGTTACACAGTTTCCATATGTTAAAACGGTCAAAACTATTAAGGTTTTATCCTTCCAAACTATGATCCAATTCAATTATAATTTTAAAGAAATGGTAATCCACACAAGCAAACAAAAATCTTGTGATTAGAAGCCCCCGAAATTGGGTAAATGATTAGCAACCTGAAACAATTAGTTTCCTCCCTTCAAAATGCAGATTCAATAGCTAGCTACATTGCTCTATTCTTGAATATTTGTCCTGTGGCCAGGATATATCTTATTATGGAAAATGTGTTGTTTTCCTGTTATATTCAGATTAATTCTAAATATATTGCTTTTGAATATTAATGTGTTTATTTTTATTATTCAATAAAACTTTAAAATTCAAAAAATTGAATGAAGTTTTTATCAGAAAGATTCTATAACATACATAGACAGAAACAGTATATTAACTTGAAATTTTAAACCAAAACCACTGGGACTTGAGATTAGACAAGAATTTTCTTACAAAGATAGGGCCCTTTTTAAATTGTTATTTTGTTTTATTTTTTTATTTGAGTTGGAGTCTAACTCTGTCGCCCAGGCTGGAGTGCAGTGGCACGATCTCAGCTCATTGCAACCTCTGCCTCCCAGTTTAAGCAGTTCTCCTGCCTCAGCCTTCTGAATAGCTGGGACTACAGGCATACCCCACACACCCGGCTAAATTTTGTATTTTTTTAGTAGAGATGGGGTTTCACCATGTTGGCCAGTCTGGTCTCAAACTCTTGACCTCAACTGATCCACTGGCCTCAGCCTTCCGAAGTGCTGGATTACAGGCGTGAGCCACCATGCCCAGCAGATAGGGCCTTTTAGTCAGAAAAAAAAATGTTTGCTTACAAACCTATCTTTAGTGTTGCTTAATACCTTATATTTGTTAGAAAATAGTTACTTCAGCACATATTTTTAAAAACTCTTAAGTAGTAGATTTGTTTTATTTGAAAGCTTTGTATGAATACCTAAGACTTGAGGGGAAAAAAAGAGATGAATTAAGATTTCTCATAGATTTAATTCTTTAGAATTTTTCCAAGTTGGTGATATTCCAGATATTTTCACAAATCAGTGCATGTAGATTAAAAATGCTGCGGCCAGGCGCAGTGGCTCACGCCTGTAGTCCCAGCACTTTGGGAGGCCAAGGCGGGTGGATCACGAGGTCAGGAGATCGAGACCATCCTGGCTAACATGGTGAAACCCCGTCTCTACTAAAAATACAAAAAATTAACCAGGCGTGGTGGTGGGCGCCTGTAGTCCCAGCTACTCAGGAGGCTGAGGCAGGAGAATGACGTGAACCTGGGAGATGGAGCTTGCAGTGAGTAGAGATTGCACCACTGCACTCCATCCTGGGCAACAGAGCGAGACTCCATCTCAAAAAAAGAAAAAAAAAATGCTGCATCTGCTATTTTTAGTTAAGTGAGAATTGCTAAAGATTTTCGAATGCTTTGAAGTTTAACTTGCTGGACATTTTAGCTTGTGTAAGTTATATTAAAATTTCAGAGCTCAGAAATCCTAGGACATTACACTTCCCTAGCAACTGCATTCCTGAATGTTTTGAAGGCTGATGCATGATTGGCCTTCTCCCACCACACCGGGGAAAGAACACAAGGCTTTGTGGTTTCTGTGGATGTTGTTGACTCACATCTCTTGACCAATTCATCGAAAGTTTAGCATCAACTCTTGATGAACACCACTTTTTAAAACTTTTATGCAAAGGGAAGGTGTGTTGAGGTTTTGAAATAGCACCGTTTTCTTTTCTTGTCATGTAACATATTGATTTCGGCATCTTACTGACCTTGTTTGGAATGAGCAGTGTGTGTGTGCACGTTTCTGTGTGTTGTGTCCATGTTTTCCTGTATTATTTCTTTCAGAAGTGGAGAAATTTGCCATGCAGCCTTAAGCTCTGGGAAAACAGTTTATCTACCACTGCCTCACCAGTGATCCACTTCTGGAATAATATGACTGGCCTTAAATATGAGCAGGGTAGTCAAATCTCCAAGAAGCCTCCATGAAAGCTCTTAAGAACCAGATTCATATTTGAAGCCTTCTGGATCCTAAGGGGCATTCTGTTTAGCAAAGACTAAGATGTGAGGTCTAAGTTTTATAACCAAGCCTTCTCTATTCAAAGCCATGTTTATTTTAAAGCTTTTGAGAAGAAGGAATATCTGGGCCATCCATGTTCATCCTCAGATGGAGGTGTTTTCTGATTTCTGCCAATAAATGTCACCAGTGCTCTGTAAGCCCTGTTTTCATGAAAGTAGGAGTATCTCCTCCTGCTGCCCTTTGGAGCTTTGTTATATTGTCTACCATCTGCATTTATTTTGTGATGCATGACTTAAGGCACAAAGACATTTAATTACTTTTTTTCACATTTTGGAGGTATCTTTTCTTCTTTTACACACACACACACACTCTTTATATATGAACATTTCTTTGATCTTTTCCTCCCCTCCTAGCATGAGGAAATTTTGAACAAGGGGGATGCCTTGAGGCCTCTCAGATCTTTTTGCATAAACAGAAAGACCTGTGTGGTGATTGATGGTGTGAAAGAAAAGTCTGTATTTTTTAGTAAAATAGCAAAAGTCACAGAATATCCTGCTCAAAATTTAACATATCAACGCAACAGCTGTTCCTATTTTTAAGCTTTCAGACATCTTCATATGGTCATGCCAAAGCTTTCAGTAGCTTTTCTGCTATGGGAAAAGCTGCTGACAATCATGTTATTGATGCTAAAAGGAAAGTCAAATACAGAGGCTAGCACAGATTTTATTCGGGTATAATTGAGCTTTTGGAAGCCTGAGTCAAAGGTTTCCAACTCCAAGGGCTTTGCTGGGGCCCCAAGGTTAATGTTGAAGGGGCTTTCAAAGACTTTCCCTTAGAGTGTTTTTCAGTACCGTGTTTAATTTCTAGATGTGTTCTACCCTTTTTATAATTAATAGTGCGTTGTGCTGTCTATCATGCGCCCCAGGTGTGTTGTCAGGGACATGGCGAAGCCTGCTGCCTGCAAAACACCAAGAAATGCTGAAAACCAGCCCCACCAACCTTCACCGTGAGTATGGCATTGGTTTTATTGACTGAAAATGTCGTCTCTTACACAGATCATGGTTACAGATTTATTCACATTGCATGTGAGAGTAGATACTCTGGCTGCTCTTGTATATGTAACAAAAAGGCTACTGTTGAATTAGATAAAATTAGCTGAGCTCTGGATTTAATATTTTTGTTAAGTGATGTTTCTAATACCATATTGAAAGGATTAAACTAGTTGAAGAAAAGGGACAGTTTTCTTAGGGCTCTAAAATGACAGCAATTCTTTTTTGTTTGTTTGATTGTTTTAGATTTGGAATGTGTATGAGCTGGAATATAACACCTCAGAGAAGTATGGAGGCAAGATACAGACAGGGTGCTGAGTGGGGGCCAGTGTGTTTAAGGGAAATGCATAGGTAGTCCATTATCTAACCCTCAACATATATTATTTAAAGGTAACTGACAATTTTTAAAAGTTGATTGTCGGCTGGGCACGGTGGCTCATGCCCGTAATCCCAGCACTTTTGAAGGCTGAGGCGGGTGGATCACCTGAGGTATGGAGTTTGGGACCAGCCTGGCCAATATGGTGAAACCCCGTCTCTACTAAAAATACAAAAATTAGCTGGGCGTGGTAGTGGGCATCTGTAATCCCAGCTACTTGGGAGGCTGAGGCAGGAAAATCACCTGAACCTGTGAGGTGGAGGCTGCCGTAAGCCAAGATCGTGCCACTGTACTCCAGCCTGGGTGACAGAGTGAGACCCTGTCTCAAAACAAAAACAAAAACAAAAACAAAAGTGGATTGTCCATCTAGTTTCATTTTTATTATTGAATTCTTAAGTGTAGATCCTAATGATTAATTAAATGACCAACAGAAAGAGTTTCATTCACATTTGAAACTCAGAGTTGACTGATTTGATTTCTTCTCTACTCCCTGCTTTACCCTTTATTTGGTCATTGAAATGCTTATATTTTGTATATTACATACAGTAACATATCATTTAAAATTATTTATGTTTTAGGATATGAAATGTGGTAAATTTCAGGAGGCTTAATAGGTGTTATAGGTTTTACCCCAATAAGTATACTTGAATATCATCTTCCACATTTAATCAGTATTTTCCAAGAAATAAAAATAGTTTTGAATTAGCAATAGTAAAAATGATTGATAATTACATTTTAAAAAGTACAAACTTGGAAGAAGTACTTTAAATGATGTTGTCATTTTTCTTTTGCCTATAGATATTCTGACTGTATGTAAAGCCATTTTTGTATGATGGAACTTTTTGGATAATTCATAGAAAACTTACATCCCCAGTTTTCATCTTATATTCTAGGAATTAGAAAACATTTTATTTATTTTAGAATTCAAATTCTTTGAGGAATTAACATTGATTTTAAAATCTCTTTATATTCCACGTATCGAGGTTTCATTTTAATTGGTCTCACCTATTCCAAAGTTCATTTTAAATTACACATTATTAGATATGAACTAGCATTTGCCATCCTCCAAAACAAGACATTAGATAATTTTTCTCTTACTTTGTTTTCACTTTCACAGTTGTAGAAATCTGTCGTCACTTTAATTGCACCTTGTGGAAACTTCCCTGTGGCTCTTTGAGTTTAGTGGCCGAGAAGAAGCAACTATAGATTCTTTGGATCCTGCTTTTTGACAGTCTCTTTGCTCACTCAATTCTTTTCTGTTTAAAATAATGAACTTCTCTGCCAGTGACTTGAAGAATTTAAAGTTTGCTTTCATTCCTTATGATAGCTGATTCTCTGTAGAGAGTAATGTTTGTGAATGGAACTCTCCATAGCCACATAAATCCCTTTTTAGGTTAACATGGAAAGGACAAAAATAAATTGGGAGGGGGTAATTGAGGACAGGCTTTAGCTTATAGATCAGTATTTTTAAATTTGTAATTTATGATTTTCAGTGGGTCTGAAAATCAATAGAGGCTAGTGACCAGACCTCTTTTAATATTTTTTTTAAAAATAAAAGATAATAGAAAATATGAGTGCCCCCCAGGTTAGTATTTTAGGACAGAACTTAGATTTCTCTATATGGTAACTGTGTCAAAATATAAAATTTAATAAACATTGCAGTTATGAGGATTGCATTAATGGGTTTTAATTAGAGGAATGGCATAATCAGATTTGCTTTATCAGTGGATGTGTGTGTATAGATAATATGTATTATTTGCTTTGAGAGAAGTAGGGAAAATGGACTATGAATGTGAAGTGGGCAAAACTAGAGACAAGTAAATCAATTAACAAACTATTGCAATAGGTCAGGGAAAGATAATAAGGTCTCAACTTAGAGGAAGGAGTAGTAGAGGTTATGAGAAGGAGACATTTCAAGAGCTAAGTGAGAAGTAAAATGGGCAATGCTTGATTGCCAATTGAATATGGGTTTTAAGGAAAGAGTTTAGGGGGATTACCATATTAATGGCTTGGGTGACTAAGAGCCACTACCAAGAAGTTGAATTAAAGCTGTAAACCAAATCTAGGCATAGATGGTGTATTAGCCTGTTTTCATGCTACTGATAAAGACATACCTGAGACTGGGCATTTTACAAAATAAAGAGGTTTATTGGACTTACAGTTCCACATGGCTGGGGAGGTCTCACAATCATGCTGGAAGGTGAAAGGCACATCTCACATGGCAGCAGACAAGAGAAGAGCTTGTGCAGGGAAACTCCCCCTCATGTTATCATCAGATCTCATGAAACTTATTCACTATCATGAGAACAGCATGGGAAAGACCTGCCCTCATGATTCAATTACCTCCCACTGGGTCCCTCCGCCAATACATGGGAATTCAAGATGAGATTTGGGTTGGGAACACACCCAAACCATATCAGATGGACAGTGGTGAGTTCAGATTTTCATATAGTGATTTTGTAATACCTGTAAGTTATCCAAGCATATATATCTAACAAGAGGTTGGCTCTGTTAACCTTTAGCACTCAGTTAACTGGGGAAATAGATGACATCACCACAGGATACATAGAAAAAAAAATAAGAGCGAGCCCTAGGTAAAAGCAATGTTTAAGGAATGAGTAAAGTATGAGGGTCCCCCAACTCAGCCAAGAAGTAGTAAAGAACCAGAAGCCAAGGTAGTAGAGGGATTCAAGGGGAATGCCCAACAGTGTTAAATGCAGCAGAAAATCAAGAAATAAGGGATGAAAAGTGTGCTTTGGTTTTCGTCATATAGAGGCCATTGGTGGCATTTACCATAGCATTTTCAATATATAAGTGGGTGGAAATGCTGTACTTCTGTAGGCTTGAGGAGGAAATGAGAAGTCAGGAAAAGGAGAGGGTAAATGTACATGACTTTCTCTAAAAGCTCAACCGAGTAGGGAAAAAGAAAAAGAGTAGTTGGTAGAGAGACAGGAAGCAGGGTGATAGTACTCATATCACTTGGTGTATTCTATTATGCAAGTCTAGACTGATGGATACACATGTCAATATACTTTATATTTTTGATAACTATGTACATAAACTATCCAAATGTTCCTTTTAAGTTATTGTTAAAATGTCACTCAGTCATATTTTAAGCATGCTGCCTGAGTTGTCATCACTTAATCAAAGTAATAAATATATCAAGATATTACTGGAGTTCAATGAATTGAGTCATATGCCTGCTATTCCTTGGGTATAAGATAGAAAAATGAGATATATAAATGAGATAGAATCTTTTTCTTAAGAGTTTCTTCTCAAGTTGGGGGAGGAGAAGATAGATAATCAAATAAATTATAATACTGAATAATAAATACAATACTAAAATGCGTTTAAAAAGAGAAAATGATTTATTCTGTTTGGGCTTGATGTGGTCAGGGAAGGATTTACAGAGCTGCAACAGTAATACGGATTTTTTGTTTGTTTGTTTTTTGAGACGGAGTCTTGCTCTGCCACCCAGGCTGGAGTGCAGTGGCATAATCTCAGCTCACTGCAACCTCTGCCTCCCGGGTTCAAGTGATTCTTCTGCCTCCCAAGTAGCTGGGATTACAGGCATGCGCCACCACACCCAGCTACTTTTTGTATTTTTAGTAGAGACAGGGTTTCACCATGTTGGTCAGGCTGGTCTTGAACTCCTGACTTCGTGATCCGCCCACCTTGGCCTCCCAAAGTGCTGGGATTACAGGTGTGAGCCACTGCGCCCGGACAGTAATATGGATTTTAAAGACTGAATAGTTTAGTAGGTATGTAAATTTAGGTACCATCTTCCAGAAGCAGAAAACAATTACCCTGAGACCCAGAACATCAGGTTGTGCTGGGGTAATTTAAACCATATACTGACTACTGGAATCTGTATGCATTGTATTTTTCTTATTTGGTCTTAAGGTCTCTCTCAACAGTGGCTATAAACTCTAGCCCTGTGTCAATGGGGCTCCGGGTGGGTGGTCATGGATGTTTACAGTGTGCCTTTCATGGAATAGTTCTTCATCTTTGTGAACGGCCTAATGCTAAAGTGACTGACCTGTGACCAAATGCCCCTCTCAAAGGAAACTTGTTCATAATGGCAGATACCCCTGTGGCTCTTAACTGACCTGTGTCCAGTTTATTCCTACCAAGATGTCAGGAGAGTTGTCCAGGAGAGCCCTGGCTAGGAGGAGAGTTAGGTTCAGGTGTGTCAGTCAAGTGAGACACAGAGGAGGCAACACAATAAAACACATGAAATAACAGAAGCAGTGTGTCACTGATAGATCCTAGCGAGAAGGGGCCGGCATACCTCCAAGGGCCAATAGGAAGCTGGGAGCTGTCTTAGAAATACACGTGCAACTAGCTAGTGGAGAGCAAGAGAGAGAGAGTGAGGGACTCATAGGCCAGAGCCTTTACTGGTGTCCAGGCTCTTACCCACGCAGGTTTTCCTCATGGAGTTCTAATTGGTCAGTGTAGATAGAGCAAGGGGGCACTAGCTCAGTGGAGTCATGCTGTACTGAGAGGTGGTCCCTGTGGCATATCTGGGGAGGTGTTGGGGGTCAGTGGGCAAATCACATATCTTGTAACTAGCTGTCCCATGGGAAGTTGTTTCACCAGGAGGCAGTTGTATGAGGTAGATCTGGATTGATCACCTTAAGGAACAGGGAGGAGGCAGAGAACTGGCAGCTGTGCCAATGGTTGCTAAACTCTGCTTCTGGTATGAGAACGTTCAATTTATATTTAAAATGGATGCCAAGGTAACATAAAATTATAGGAATTCACTGCAGTGTGTGTGTATGTGTGTATGTGGTTTCGTGGGTGGGTGGGAATTTGTGTGTGGGCATGCGTATAGGTGTAAGTGTGTTAAAGAGGGAGAAAGATCAGAGGCAGGAAGTGCTGCATCAGAAGAATAGGACAGTTATCTAATTTGGAGAAAATAAGCAACTCGTACCTTGGCTTTGGTTTTACTTTTAATACTGCGTTTTATTTTGAAATTTGATTTAAAATAATCTTTTTTGTGTGTTTTTCAGAGTTATCATGGATTTAAAAAGTCCGAGAAAGACTTGGCTACTCTTCAGTCTCAGGCACATATGTTAGGGGGACCAGGTAGGAGAGGCAGGAGGTAGAGAAGATTTGAGAAAATTTCATGTGTGGTATAATTAGAATATAGTGATTCATTAGATGTGATAAGAAAACAAAGGAGGCAAGATAAGTCATTTTAGCTCAAGAGATTAAATGGATATGATAAAATCAAGAAGAGAGCTAATTTAGGCACTAAGGCAGGTTTACACACAGCATTAGATTCGAGTATTAGTAGCCAAGGAAATCTCCAATTGCAACACTCAGAAAACAGTTGGCTATTCTATTTCAAACTCAGGAGAGACTTAGAAAAGATACATTAATTTGTAAGCAATTACCTTATAACATAAACCATTAAAACAAGTGAAATAGCATTGGGAGGAGGTGTAGAGATAAAAGGAAGGAATATAAACGGGTGATGGGTGCACCAGGTTCTCACAAATCTCCACCTAAAGAACTTACTCATGTAACCCAAATACCACCTGTACCCCAATAACTTATGGAAAAATAAAATTTTTTAAAAAGCCAGACACCAGTGATATCGAGACATAAGTGTTATGTCATTGTTTTGCATAGACTAGGTGATAAACATCATGTTATTAAAAATTCTGTCAATATATAAACATTTCATATATACAAAAAATAAACAATCTATAGTGGGTATAACCAGTACTTAAACGAGGATTGGAGGACTTAAGAAAATTATGCAATGTCATGCAAAAACAAACTTGTCCCGGTTTTTCTGGAACTTTCCGTATTTTAGCACTAAAACTCCCATGTCCTGAGAACTTCTGTTAGACCTGGGCAGACTGAATGGTTGGTCACCCTAGAACTAATAAAGTTAGAATTTGAAGGTGAAAATCCAGAAAGAGAATATGATAGCCAAGGAAAAACTATGCTTAGCCAAATTATGTTTGCTTTTCTGTGGAAGGTGACATTATCAGGAGTAAATTGAATCATGGTACATGAATCAGTAAATTCTGATGTTTTGTTTTGTTTGTAGTTTTTGCTGGTGATTACCTGTTTTTAAAAAATTGAGATACAATGCACATACCATACAATTCACCTTTTTAAAGAGTACAATTTAGTGGTTTTCAAAAAGCTGTGCAGCCATCATCACTATGTAATTCAGGAATGTTTTCATCACCCTGAAAAAGAAATTTCATACCTTTTAGCTTTCATTACCCCATTCTCCTCAAAATACAGCATCTGAAACCATTACTTTCTATATTTATGAGTGTGCCTATTCTGAACATTTCCTATAAATGGAATCATATTATATGTGTCTGTTTATATCTGGCTTTTTTCATTTAGCATAATGTTTTCTAGACTCAGAGCTTGTATCTGTACTTTATCCCTTTTATTGCCCAGTGATTGTATCGACATATCAGGTTTTGTTTATTCATCCATCAGTTAATGGACATTTGGATTGTTTCTACTTTTTGACTATATTATTAATAATATTGCTATTAGCATTTAGGTACAAGTTTTTGGGGATATGGATGTTCTCAATTCTCTTGAGTATATACCTAGGAATAAAATTGCTGGGTCATATGGTAACTGTATGTTTAACTTTTTGAGGACCTGCTAAGCTGTATTTCAAAGTAGCTGCATTATTTTACATTCCTATCAATAAGAGAATTCCAATTTCCCTAAATTCTTGTTAACACTTGTTATTGTCTGTCTTTTATATTATGGACATCCCAGTGGGTATAAAGTAGTGTCTTACTGTGGTTTTCATTTGTGTTTCCCTAGTGAATAATGATATTGATGAACTTTTCATGGGCTTATTGGCTATTTCTATATCTTCTTTGGAGAAATATCTATCAAAATATTTTCTTCCGTTTTAAGAATAAAATTGGGTTTTCTCTAAGGATGATCTTTCAAAATATGTGTTATTTGTCTTTTTTATTTTTGAGTTATAAGTGTTCTTCACATGTAATGGATAGAAGATCTTTGTCACAGAAATGATTTGCAATATTGTCTCCCATTTAGTGAATAGTCTTTTCATTTTCTTGATAGTACTTTTGAAGCACAAGTTTTTAATTTTGATGAAGTCTAATTGATCTATTTTTTCTTTGGTTATTTGTGGTTTTGGTCTTGCATCCAGGAAATCATTCTCATATCAAATGCCATTAAGATTTCCCCCTGTGTTTTCTTCTGAGAGTTTTATACTTTTAGATCTTACATTTAGGTCTTTGATTCATTTTGAGATAGTTTTTATATATGATGTATGTGTTTTTATACATGTGTTTGTGTGTATACTTTTCCCATAGCAGATTAGGAAATATATATTTTTATGCTTGAAAATATGATTTCTTATTTATAATCACATCTCAGATTTATGTCTTACATCAATTAAAAGATTAAACAAAAGTGTGAATGGGTCTTTGATATTGTGAATAGTTGGATAAAAGCTCTTGTCATTATTTCTCTATGACTTTAAGCTCTGCATACTAGACATGATCTTCAGACTGCGTGGTCTAATGTTCACAACTCTGTGTCCTACAATAGCGGATGGCAGAAATGTCAGGGACAACACAAAAGAATGGATAATCCACTTGTAGACTGTTACCACCTCAGACACATCCCCATCATGAATATAATTTCTCTCAATGTCTGGGAAAGACCCTATAAACATTGGAAACTGGCCCACCTTTCTCTGTTTTGGGAGCTCTTGCACCCTTGCTGCTGCTGAGCCATGTGGTCTTTCCTTCACTGCTAAAACAGCTTTGGCTGAGAAGATAGCGTTAAAAGGAAGAGAAATGAATTTCTTCAACAGGTGGAAGAGTATGCAGTAGAGGAAACAATTCACTGCTTTTATGCAATGAATTGGCCTATTTATTCTCTCTTCAACAAATATTTAGTTTGTACTGTGTGCATAACATATTGCCAGGCCCTGGATATTATCATGAACAAAGCAGAGTCTTTGTCCTTGTAAAGCTTGGAGTATGGGAGGAGACAATCTAAACAACAAACAAAAATAGATGATAAAACCCTTCTCTTTTAACAAAGGCCTAACCTGAATGCAATGAAAGAGAGCTACACTGGGAAAACTATTTAGAAAGACTGCTCAAGGAAGGCTCTAAGAGGAGGTGACATTTAAAAAGAGACTTGAAAGATAGAAATCAGCCCTGTAAAGAGCCAGGAAAAGGGAATTCCAGGCAGAAAGGATGATGGTATGTGAAATGGTCCTTATGTGGAAAACAGAGTATCATGTTTAGGGAAGTAAAGAAGCCCAGAGAAAGCAAGTGAGTAGAAAGAGGGCAATGGCTGAGACAAGCAAGGGTTCCATCCTAGAGCTCTTGTGGGTCTTTGGATTTTATCTAAGACTTATATTGAGAAACCCTTAAAGCACTTTAAAGAAGGGGGAATCATGATCCAGTGTTGCGTAGCAAACGGGTTGTAAGGAAAGAGAACTTTTAGGAGACAGTTGTGGCAGTTAAGGCAAAATATAATGGTGGTCTGGACTCTACTGGTGGCAGCTGAGATGAAGCATGTGGAATTTGGCCACATGCCAAAAGTCATGAAGTTTTGAAAGCAGTGAGGGAGAACAGAGAAGAGGAACTTCTGTGCACTAAGGGGAGGAGGCTCTAATCGTATGTCTAATCTCTAATATGCTTAAGAGGGTCACTGTTCTTTGAATGCGGAATGCATATGTACATATTTTCTCATGAAATCCTAAGCATCCTACTATGGATGCAATTGTATCTTAAATGGTATCTATTGTTGAATACTTTAGAAATCTCACTTGTATTACTGTAGGTATACTTATATAGCACTTCAAATATTGAAGACAAAAATTATGTAAAATTGAATAAAAATTGAAAGACTGCTAGATTTTTCCACTTATTTAAACTTATTTAAAATTTTTTATTGTGATTTTTTTTACTCTGATAGTCTGTTGGGACAGAAGATTCAATAATTTTCTAGGTGTTTGGATACCCGTGAAGAAACTGATTTTTAAAATATATGCTAGATACAAATATTGCACCTTTTAAAAATATAGCTCATTTACTGAGTAAAATCCAGTCAAGAAGAAAAAGAATATGTCATATGCAAAGGATCTTTTAGTCATATATTTTATCATGAATGAAGTTATTTTTCTGAGACAGGCCTTCTCTGTACTATTTTTAGCCATGTTTATAACAAAATTGCATTGAGTCTTAATTTCTTGCTTCGTTAAAAGTTGTTTTCACATAAAATAAGAGATGTTTAATGTCACAGGCTATAGTTGTATTACCACCTGCAGTAGGGATCAATATCAATTTTCTATTGATATTAGAAAAAATGTCCAACTAGGAAAAAAAATGTTTTCGCATTTTAGAATAAAGTCAGTAGAGCCAGTAATTTGAAAATAGAGAATTCTAGGAACACTGACATTTCCAATTCATAGTTATAATTAGGAAGTGACAGAATTTTAAAAAATTGTGTGGCTTTTATAGTCTTCATTCTTTTTATATGATTTGCTGGCTTATGCAAATCGTTCTATGCCAATTCACAAAGTCTTACAAAGCCCCTTGTTCTGCCATAGCTATTTTAATGATAATATTGTGTTTTTCTCTTTCTGAATGCTCAGAGAAGATGGTGCCCTCTTCAATTTCTTGACTATTAAAAGCATTTAGTTCTGGAAGAGTAGAACTTAAGTAGTTCTACTATGTATATGTGTGTGTGTATGTGTATGTGTATGTAACTAAGGTCATGCAAGCCCAAGCAGACTTTTGATTGAGTGTATTTAATGGCAGCTTTACATTAAGCCACATGATGTGGCAACAGCTGAGATTTGATGATGCTTGTACTTGGCTGGCATATGGAAGACAAAACATGACCTATGTTAGTGGCTTGCCCCAGGGTCACCCAGCAGGACAGGGGAAGATAACTGAACTCTAGACCTGAAAATCCGTGAAATTTTAGTCATATACATGACAGCATTGTGTATTCCATAAAGTAGTATATAAATATTGTCCATATATTCTACTCAAGTAGCAGTGAAAAATCTCTACATTATTCATTTATTTTGTTAATTTAACAAATATTTACCATGATCTTACAGTGTACTTGACACAATTTGAGAATAATTTTTTTGGTCAATCCTCTCAAAACATAGACTGTATCTTTATCTCTGTATGTTTCTTATTCAGGGGAATGATGTAAAAATGCATAGAATCACTTTTTAGAAGTTTATATTCCATGACATACTACCCCATTATGTATCAAATGCTCCTTACTATGCATGAGTAGGGTAGCCAGGAAACGTGTATTTGGAAAATTTTCCTAAGTGATTTTGGCATATTCTCTTGATTTAGAATCACTGATATGTACCACTAATATGCTCAGTAAAAATGAAGATTAGATGGGATGGGTGATAATTTTATAAGTCAAAATTAATGTGAATATCACTGAATTGGACCTCTCTTTCAAAACTCATGTACAGATATTGCAAGGATAAATAAATATTGGCAATATTATTATTAGAAAGTTGCTGTGCCTCAGGGCTCAGCCTGGTTACTCTGTGAATCACTGCTATTTCCTCTGCTCTTCTACAGAGTCATTTGTCCAGGATGAGAACAGTCTGCCCGTGCCAAGAAAATAGTTGGTTGTTGTGAAAAAACAGGAAGCTTATAGCCAAAGGAGGCAAAATATAATGGTGGTGTGGACTCTACTGGTGGCAACTGAGATCGGTACCCACTGGCTACTGCACTAGTGTGAGAAGGAAGATATTAAATAAAAGAAAAAGATAATGCCTAGGACCTTGGGCAAAGCATGCAGTGAATTAATGTGTATTTAGTGGAAAATGATAATGGTGAATAAATGAATGCACTCATGTATTATATGTATAACAAATCTTAAACATTATTAATGTGGGTAAAAGTTCAGGAGTCAGAATGAAGCCATCAGGCAAGGGGGACATTGAATATATAGTCTGATTTGAAAAGCATATTTGGCCAATGAGTTGGAGGAATACAAACCTGTGAAAGGCAGTTGAGGCCAGTTTATGAATGTCCTTGAAGTCCAGCTTTGATAAATGGATTTTACTCTGAAGGGAGACACCAAAGTATCTGAACATGGAGCTATCTAGTTGAAAGGAAAGTTTCAGGATAATGAATTTTTCAGGAATATGCATGATGGATGAGCGTACGGCATTCCTGGAGAAAAAGGGACCAATTAGTAGATGATTAAAATAGATGAGACATGGCTAATAATAGTAAGAATAATGGCAATGACTCCAGAAAAAATGGATGAGAGAGACATTTGAAAGAAGAAACTGGTACGCCTTAATGACAAGTGGATGTAGTTATGAAAGGGACAAGTAAGAGATAAGACAAAAATTTTCTGAGATTTTGGGACTGGGAATTACCAAAGGAGAGTTAATAAAAAATAAGGATAGAAAAGGCAAGTACTTCTAGGGAATTACATTCCTAAAGTATGCATTTCTTTTCTGATTCCTGAGAGAAATCCACAGAAAAGAAGATTCTGTGGCACAGTGGAGAGAATCATTCCATATGGGAACATCAAAAAGAAAAAGAGCACACATCTAAATTTTCAAAACTGCTCACCAGTCTAAGTTCTGCATAAGATTAAAGCAGAAGAGTGTCTAATTTTAGCTTTTTGCTGATTTTCTATCAACTCTGGTAACAATAACTGCAATTATATGCTGTTGTGTTTTAGGCACTTTATGTGCATTTAACCCTCATGAAACTTTATAAAGTATTGTTACTGTCTCCATTTTACATATGAGGAAACTGAGGCACATAAAAGAAAATCATTTGCTCATGTTCATTTACCCACTAATAATCACATTCATTTACCCACTAACTTCTGGTTATTCATTTTAACTATTCAGGTCAGGATTCATTGGCAGCATTCTTCTTGCTCAATCTTGGGCTAGGATCTAGTGGGGTTAGAAGACAAGAATACCATAGGATTCTTAATTCAAATAATTCATTCTAATATGGTAGACATAATATATAATCAGTGAGTAGGTCACACTCTTTGTGGTATTCACCCCACATTAGAAAAAATTCATAGAAAAGATGAAAGTTGACAGAGAATGTACAAAATTGCCATTGGTAATGTTTTCATCTAAGTTTCCTTATTTATAAACCATGAAGGCTCTTCTTTATTTTGCTTGCAGAAAGGGGGTTTAATCTCTAATCCGGCAATACTTTTAAAGAGCACTAGTCATTTGGCAGTAAGTCGTATGCTATCTTGGGATATGTTTTCTCTGGTTGCCTTAGTTTATTTTTTTTTAAATCATTCACTTTTTCATTTCTTTTGCCTTGTCTCCCCACCTGCAGTGTTCACCTCTTGAAGAAAGAGACTGTATTGCAGGGAAGTCATTGGTGTACTATAATGCATACTACTAAGCTATGCCATTGGAACTTGATATAAATTGCTTTTTTTTTTGGTTTGAACTATGATTTGATTTGATTTGAATACTGAATGCCAATTGACAAATGATTTCAAGATGGATTATATTATCTCCCTTATTGATAATGGCAAACCAAGCCGCTAAACATTATGGAGTAGAGGATATGGAGGATCAGGGAGGAGAATAAAGGCATCTTTCATTTTATCACTTTGATTTTTCTAACTCTGCATTTCCATGCAATTCCAGGGAGCCATTTCCACCATCTATTATCCTTTGAAGCATTAAAAGTGTTAAAATACTTGGACTGGTTCTTTGCAGTCTTATTTTACTATGAGACCTTGTTAGTATGATACCTCAGCTGATAATCTTGGGCCACATTTATGAGAAATGTTCAGGCTTGGAAAACGTGTGACTTTGAGTTCTATTTCAGGGTGTGTGTGACTGTAGGTATTAACACAAAATTTAAAGTTCTTGCCTTCTACAGTGCATGCTACTTTACACATAAGAGTGCTCAAATATTATGTTGTTTGTTCCAAGTTTAAATGGAACTGAACTCAGTATTTCCTTCCACATCACACCCCAACAAACCCAAGCACAGTCACACTCATGCATCCTTCTTCACCTTCTCTCATCTATTTATGACATTTCCATTCTCACAGTCACACAGATGGGAAACCCCTGAGTCATCTTCAGCTCCCCACTTCCTTGTGTGCTCCCTAAGTGTAATCAGTCACTATGTCCTGTCAGGTCTAATTCTGAATCTCTGAATCGTCTCACATCTGTTCCTTCTGTCAGTTCTCACTCCCATCCTCATATTTCAGGCTCTCCTTTTTGCATGGGGTTGGATACCCCTTGGCCTTTTGTCTTCTATTCCTTTACTAGTCTAATTCATCCCACCCAGCTTTGCTCAGAGCACCTGCCCTCTCTGAAGGCCTTTAGGTCCAATAGTCCATGTATAAATTAAGTCCTGCCTGCACAGTGCCTGATTGTCTTCTCTTCAACACTAACTTCTCTGGTCTAAATGTTTTACAAAACCACAATATTCCCTACTCATTGAAGATGTCCTTCCCTTCTATTTCTACCCCGAGCTTTTGCCACTGCTTGTTTTAATATCTCACCCACTCCTCTTTTTCCACCAATGATAATCCTGCCTGTGACTCAAGTCTCTGCTCCAAAACAATTTCCTCCAAAACGTACTTGACCACCCCCTTCACCAAAATTTTTTCTTCCCTGAGCTTTGGTTATACCTGCCTTCCTAGAGCACACATTATGTTCTATTTGTGTGTTTCTTGGATCTGCTGTAAGTTTATGAGCTCTATTTTAGTTCTCTATTATTTTCCTAATTGTTGTAAAAAAGGGTCAATAGGTTCTTAAGTGGGATTGCATACCAGAATGAAACCACCAAGAGCGTGCTTATGCTCTCACTCTCACACTTGGTCTCTCTTTCTATTTCTCATTTAAATATTAAGTTTAGAGATTAAGTTATACAGGGAAAGGCCCAGTCAGTATTGTATAATCAGAAAAAAAGGGTTTTTTTTATTATTGACATAAACTTGATTTTTTTTTCTTTTCTTTCAACATTGGCATAGGGACTATGACTTTTTTCTTTTGAGAAAATTTGAGATTGTACAGCCAGCCTAAGTAAATTCTCAGTTAAAAGTAAATAAGTCATCAGATGTGGTTACCAGAAGAGGGATGTTGCAGAATACACAACAAGAGAAATGACTACTTGCCATCTTCTTTGTGTTTTCTTTCCAGACTGTCCTGAATGCTCAGATGTGGAGCACAGGGACTGATTTATGTTTTTTCTGCACAGATTTTATGTCTACTAACTACACAAAACTTGGGGGAAATAAATCGTGGATAAATTTTAAGTACAAATATGAAGAAGCTACTTACATAGCAAACCATCTTGTATATTTAAAAGATGTTCTTTCTTAAATTCCATTTTTATCATATTACTGTCTGATTAAAAAACGTATTTTGGTTTGCTGTTGCCTATTATGTGAAGCCTAAATTCCAATGTCTGGATTTCATGGCATTTATCTTATCTTTGCTAATTGCTATTATGTGTTTATCATAGGTTTCCACATGCTTTCAGTAACATTCTGTAACTTATGAAATATGTTAATTTTTACTTATTGATTGATTTATGTATAATCAATTGTAAGTATAGTTGGTTATTTCAATAGCTATAACCAGAATGTATTAGAGACAAGGAAACTGTATTTTTAATTGAACATTGGATTTCTCTAATATGTTTCTATCAGCCTGAGAAGAATGCAAAAAGGCTTAAAAAACATCTCTCTATTCTGAAATGCTAAATAATTCTTAGATGAAATAGAAGGAGGCACAGAAAGGGAAATGGGAAGTAAAGGTTGTGGACATGCCTAGAGGGACTCAAAGCTAATGTTAAGAGGATGATCTTTGAAGGAAAAGAAAAAAAAAAACTGTACTGCTGGAGCTACACTGTGACAAATAGGGCTGTGTCTCTACCTTTTACAGAAGCAGCAAATGCACAATCTTATGAAAAAAATGTAGAAACCACAGTGTTACTAAAATTTTTTATCTGGCAATTTATAATTTACAAGCCCTCAACACGTTAAACCTTAGTTAATTTTTTTCCCAGAGAAGAAGGCATTATTATATTATACTTTGTGCTTTGAGAAAATTAATGCTCAAACTGGTTGCCAGTACTTGATGGAGCTATTACTCAGACGTCTGTTTCCAGGTGCTCTTTTTATTTCATTGCATAGAAACAAGCAGAACATTGTAAGTTGAGTCCTGTAAGTTGAGATTGTAAACCTTCATATCTATGTATCCATCTGTGTATGTATGTATGTATGTATGTATGTACATATCTATCTATCTATCTATCTATCTATCTATCTATCTATCTATCTATTATGTTTGTATCTATCATCATTATTGCCTATCCATCTATCTATAAGCTGATGAGGGTGGTATAAAAGGAAAGTCCAACATCCTCCCCTTCCCTATTCCTTAGCACTCCTACACTCTTCCTCCTTCACACAAGCACTTTGTACTCCACCAATACAGATTGTAGTTCACCAGCACACAGCAATGTACATGAGACAGCCCATACTAGCTTGGGAGAGTCAACTGTTAGATATTCAAAAAGTTTGCAATCTAGTTTAAATAGGGCTATTATTAAAACTGAATTATGACTGGGCATCATGGCTCATGCTCGTAATCCCAACTCTTTGGGAGGCCATGGCAAGAGAATTGCTTGAGCCCAGAAATTTGAGACTAGCCTGGGCAACATAGTGAGACTTCTGTCTCCAAAAAAATTAAAAAATAAAACATTAGCCAGGCATGGTGGCGTGTGCCTGTAGTCCCAGCTACTCGGGAGGCTGCGGTGGGAGGGCCACTTGAGCCCAGGAGTTCAAGGTTATAGTGGGCTGTGATACACCACTGCACTGCAGCCTGGGTAACAGAGTGACACCCTGTCTAAAATAAAATAAAATAAAATAGATAAATTATATTAAAATAAAGGTAAATGCTCAACTCACCAACTTCCTAATTATTTTGATACATGTCACGGTCCATGCTCTTGAGTTATGTACGTCCATTATATATTATATCTTCATGATGGAAATACTGCACTAAACATCTTTTACCAATTCCATGTTAAAGTGACATCCTATTTAAAGTTTGAAATATGTCTTGGGTGGGAGTATTTACACCATGGAAATTGACAAACCCTATAATTCAGTAATTGGTACTTTCTTTTTTCTTTTCTGTTTTTATTTAGTTAGTTTTTGAGAAACAGCCGTTAAACATTTATCAGCAGACCACTGCAAACACACTCTGTTGAGTCTCTCCTTCTTGCCTTTGTAAATGTTCTTTCCTCTGCCTGGAGTGCCCCTCGCTATGTCTGAGACATACATGTATATGTATGGACACACACACACACCAGTAAACTTCTTTTAATCACTTTAACTAGTGTCATTTCTTTCCAAAAGCTGCTTATGCCTCCTAGGCAGGGTTAGTCTCTCTACTTTGTAGTAGTTCTATACTTTGAATATCTTTACTTTAACATATGTCATCCTTTATTACACTTAGAATTGCTAGATTTAGCAAATAAAAATACCAACCCTCATGAAATTTAAGTTTCAGATACAGTTAATATTTTTTTCATAAAAGTATGTCTTATTCAATACTTGGGCATACGTATACTGAAAAATTATTTGTTGTACGTCAGAAATTCAAACTTAACTTGATGTCAAGAAACCATCACAACTTTGGGTTTTGTTTTTTTTTTTTTTTTTTAATGTTTCACCCTCTTAGTAGAGAGATACTAGGTCTTTTCTCATGGTGTCCATAATGTCTAGCACAAAGAATGGCTCATAATAGGAAGCTTGTTTGTTTGTTTTAATAATATGCATACCATGATTTTTCTTATTCCTCGTCTGACTGAATCATTTCTAAATATTTCTGGTGGACAAAATCAGGAAAATGGAGATGGTGGAATTAGGACAACCAGATAGAAGGCTAAGGCAATAGGCCAGATGAGTGATGGCAATGTGTGATCAAGAAACTGATGATGCCTTGTCGTGGGGAGAAGAGCATGGATTATAAATAAGAATCTAGTGCAGAAACAACTAGACATCATGACTGGATATAGATGTTGAATGAGGAGAAAATAGAAATGACTCTGAAGTTTCTTATTTGGGCAATGGAGTTGATGGCACCATTAACTGAGAGAGAAACAAAAGATGTGTAGTTGATAAGAAGCAGTAGAAATAATTGAGGGATTCCATTTGGGATATTCTAAATTGGATGTGTTGTGACCAGGCATGATATGAAAAATATTTTTCCACCAGTCCAGTGTGGGCATTGCCATTAGAATGAATATCAATCAGTTGGAATGGGCAATAGCCCAAGGGTGCTGCTGTGTGAGAGTGCTTTTGACTCAGTAAAAATGTCCAATAGGGAATCATAACTAAGGGTCTGAAACTCTGGGCAGAATTTGTGTCTAAAAATTTTGGGGCTCCTGACTTAAGGTGACACTGATGCTCAGGGTGTAGATGGTAGCGTTTACAGAGTATTTGGAGAAGAGGATAAATGATGGAGCCATAGAGAATATTTATATTTACATGACATACAGAAGAAGTAAAAATAGTCAAGGAGAAATATGCAGAGTGGTTAGATTTTATATATGGTAGAGGTGATGGATTATCTTGCTTTCATGTCAAGCTCCTCCACATTTTTTTGGTAGAGCAATTGTTACGTTATAAATGATACTGTATAAACCTAGGGGCTTCTGTAAAATGTCATCTTAGTTCCAGGCTGCTATTAAAAAATGCTTTTGACTAGGTAGCTTTAAAAGCAGACATTTATTTCTCATAGTTCTGGAGGCTGAAAGTCTGAGATCAGCGTGCTAGAATTGATCAAGTTCTGTTGAGGACCCTCTTCTTGGTTTACAGACAGCTATTTTCATATGGTGTCCTCACAGGCGGAGAGCAGAGATAGAAGAAGCAAACTCTCTTGTGTCTCCTCTTGTACAGGGCACTAATCCCATTTATGAGGGCTCTGCCTCATGACTTAACTCTCAAAGGTCCCACTTCCCAATACCATCCCATTGGGTATTAGACTACAACATATGAATTTTGGGACGGTACAAACATTCAGTTCACAACAAATATCAAACACCACAGATACCTAGGGGCTTGACCTTTTGTGCTACAATAAGACTACACTTGGCTGGATCTAGTGGTTGATGAGAGATACACAATATCATTATCAATCCAGAAGGGTCGGCTACAATAGAAAACAAAGATATGTAGACTGGGAGGAAGGTGGACTTATTAGTCAAGGGTTTGAAGTTGATTGGCTGAGTAGCCTTTCTGGTTTCATTTTGTGAAGAGAAGAAAGGGCTGGGAATAGAGAGTTGCCTGTGGTGTGTCATTGATTGTGTCCTTAGAGGGCTTTTGCTGTTGTCATATTTCTCAAACTTGATAATAGGAGCAATTTTGAGTTGATGAGAAGGCATTTGCATTTGAACAGTGAGTGTTGTTCTAGTTCTGTTACTCAAGGAGTTTCTAAGGAAAGTAAGACTGCCAAAGTCCATATGGTCTGGAAAAGAACACCATGCTCAAATATGTGTGGGTCAGCAGACTGCTGGAGTTTTTTTTTTTCTTCCAATTCTGAAAGGATGCTTAATCATTTGTCCCATTATTGAAAATGTCACAATAATAATTATAAATGGTTCTTTGCTTCCTGTAGCAGCAAATCTAAATTCTTTCAGTTGACATCAAGATTCATGCTAGCCTGCTTTCAGTAACCAATTTTTCATATCTAATTGCCCCAAAATTATACCACCAGCTTTACTGAGTCTGAATCCTGATTGCCACATGGGCTCATCTTGTTGTTTCCTATTGCCATTTCCTTGTCTATCTTATTCTTTTCATTCAAAATTCCATCCAGTTTCTGCTTTGCCTATCCAAGTTCTTTGGGGTCCATGAGAACTAAATTCAAAATCCGAAATTCTTTACTTAGGAATTAAAAAAAAAAACTTGTGTGTTCTCATTGAGCTAGTAATCCCATTTCTGGGAATATTTCAGGCAGAAATCCGATGTCAGTATGTAATAATATATATACAAAACGTGTTTACTGTGATAAATTGGAAAAACATGAATGTCTACCCATAGGAAAATGGCTGAATAAATTATGGTATTGCCCTGCTGTGAAATTCTTGTTATTCTTAGGAGCTCCTGAAAAGAATTGAGCATCTTCAACTAAACAATGGGTGAACCTAGAGAGTTGTTGGAATAATTAATTAAACTATACAATTGTGACTGGCCCATAGCAAACTGTAATACAGAGTAACTGTTATTACAACTATTGGTAACATTATTTTTTTATTTTTTATTAGAAAACATAGGAATGGGATATTTTTATGTGAATAAAGTAATTTGTATGTTACCATCTACATGTGGGGGCCATTTGTTAATACAACAGCATCATATATACATGCCTAAGTGGGACTGATTCAGATTATTAAACAATTTTTAAACAACTTGTAAGGAAAAGGCACAGCTTAATAAAAGGTACGCTAGCTCTGAGCAGCTGGATTGCCAACACCAGTTTGTAGCTAGCTCTTTAAAAATCCAACACCAAAGACTAATGTATAAACAATGGAAGAAGTATGGAAGTATATGCATACCATTGTCAATAGTGGTGCATTATACACATGGGAAGGGAGAGGAGGAGATCATTCTACTAGAACACTGCTCTTGCCTGAATTGCTACAATAAGCATATATTACTTTCTAATTAAACTGACTCAAATTAAAAATAATGCTTCTTTAGTACAGTGACTAGCACATAACAGGTGCTCAATATTTGCTAACTGTTATTTTCATTATAGGCAGTCATTATTACTGCCTCAAGTTCCATAAACTCCAGAAATCTTCACTAACAACATCTCCCCTATCCTTTGGAATGAAACACTGATATGTGCAGCTTATTTACAAAGCACTTAATTTCATGGGTGAAGCTTCACTCACCAGGGGGTAGCCTGCATTGAAGTTTTGTTTTGCTCTAAGGGCATAATTTTATTTAAGATGAATTCACATTTTGTACTTAATTTGTCTCATCTCAAAGCATGAGAAAAATTACAATTACAATTAGTTACAAACAAAATATTGGCAAACAGTTGCAATCAATTTATTCCAAATGGATAAGAATGTAGGTGCTACAGTTTCTTGATTACATTTGGTCGTAATCATTGATCGATTCATTAATTCAGTAGATATATGTTGAGCATCTGCTACGTACCAGGTACCGTGCTAGCAACCAGGAATAGAACAGTTAGTTAGAAAGATAAGGCCCTCCCTATCATGGAATAGGAGCTATTCCACTGTCAAACTCGAAATAAGATGCACAGTCTTTGCTGTGTCCTGCATGACCTGGCCTAAGCCTGCTCCTCCAACCCCACCTCAGGCCACACTAACCCTCACTCAAAGTGTTCCAGGGACATATGGCTTCTGATCTCAGAGCATGCTGTCCATCGTGTCAGGGACACCCACGTCCCAGCTTCTCCCAGACTGTGTCTCCTCACTGTTCAGCCCCCAGGTCTCTCATGGAAGCCATCTCTGATTTCTGTATTAAAGTAGGCCCCTCTGCTATTCTCTACCATTGCCCCTATTCATTTAATTCCTACCTCCTATCACAGCCTCTATTTATTTTATGTAGTTATATATTTACAAATATAGATTTACACAGTTTTATTTGAATGTCACCCAGAATGACATAAACTCCACAAACTCCAGAGATGTTCCATAAGCTCCAGAAATCTTCACTAACAACATCTTCCCTATCCTTTGGAATGAAACACTGATACGTGCAGCTCATTTACAATGCACTTAATTGCACGGTGAGGCTTCACTCACTACAGGGTTACAGGCATTGAAGTTTTGTTTTGCTCCAAGGGCATAATTTTATTTAAGATAAAGTCACATTTTATACTTAATTTGTTTCATTAAACAAATTGAATTAAAGATAATTAAATAAATACATTTAATGAAGCCTTGTAAGACTGTGGTCAGCTATTATTAACAGGTGATATTATTTGAGAATGCCACTATCAAACTTGAAATAAAACCTGCAGTCTCTGTGTGCCCTGCATGACCTGGCCTAAGCCTGCTCCTCCAGCCTGCAGAGGCCCAGAGGGGCCTAATTTAATAAAGAAATCGGAGATGGCTTCCATGAGAGACCTGGGGGCTGAAAAGTGAGGAGAAGCAGTCTGGGAAAAGCTGGGATGTGGGTGTCCCTGACAGGATGGGCAGTAAGCTCCGAGATCAGAAGGAACGTGTCCCTGGAACACTCTGAGCGACAGTTAGTGTGGCCTGGGGTGAGGCTGGAGGAGCAGGCTTAGGCCAGGTCATGCAGGACATGGTTGAGACTGTGGGTTTCATTTCGAGTTTGATAGTGGTATTCTCAAATAATATCATCTATTGATAATAGCAGACCAGTCTTATAAGGCTTCATAAAATATATTTTAAAACAATTAAGATAACAGAATTCTGTCACATCTAAGAAGGCATATCTAACAATGCTCTAAAATATGTTTATGTACATTAGATTTTGGTCTCAAACTATATTTGAGGAAACAAAATGAATACAGAAAGATCAATGGTTTTTTTATAAGGTCAAAATTACCAGCCTCAGCTATATTCTATTTATTTTATCTAGGACTTGCTTCACTAAGCCATACTGAAAGGAATATAGTAACCACTTTATTTTTATAAATGCCTTCCTTTAAATTGCAGACTTTATTTTTGAAATTGCCTCTGGACTATATGAATCACTTGTCTTTTTAATTAAAAAAAAAAACTTTAGTTTTTTAACAGCATTTTATGTCGATTTCCCCAGAACATCTGAACATGTCTTTTAAAAATGCCTAATTCTATACTGTTTACTTTATCATTTACTTGGCCATATTCTTTTTTGGTAGCACATCCTGAAACCCAGATTCTTTCCGTATTTTTAGGTCATACAAATGACTGTGATCAACAAATATTCCCCAAACTGAGTGTAGTTTATTTAGTATTCATTTAGTCATTGAACACAAGCACATGCTGTATACAAATCACTAGGTTAAATATTATGAAAGATATCAGACCGGATTCCTGCTCTAAGGATATTCTATTTCATAACAGAGTTTCAGTCTAGTGCTCAAATGAAATGCAGAGTCCTTTATATGTTACATTAACAAGGGAGAAATAAAGTACTGTAGTTTAGAGACTTCATATATCTAGTGGGAAGTACAAATGTATTGTTATGAGAACTTACTTATTTAAAAAATTACTTGTATGTTAACCCTTAAAATTATATAAAATAGGCCGGGCCCAGTGGCTCACGCCTGCAATCCCAACACTTTGGGAGGCCAAGGTGGGTGGATCACCTGAGATCAGGAGTTTGAGACCAGCCTGGCTAACATGGTGAAACCCTGTCTCTAATAAAAATACAAAAAGTTAGCCAGGCTTGTTGGCAGGTGCCTGTAATCCCAGCTACTTGGGAGGCTGAGGCAGGAGAATCACTTTAACGGGGAGGCAAAGGTTGCAGTGAGCTGAGATCACGCCACTGCACTCCAGCCTCAGCAACAAGAGTGAAACTCCGTCTCAAAAAAGAAAAAGAAAAAAAAAAGAAATTGTATGAAATAGAGAAGTCAGGATTTTAGAGCTAAAAGAGGTTGAAAGGATCATCTAATTCAGCTCCCTTGCATGACCTGTAATGCCACTGAGGTTCAGAGACGTCACATTAGAATATCCTGCCCAGTGGTACACGGGGAGTTTGGGTGGGGTTTTCCTGACTGTCAGAGGTACTTGCCTCCACTGCAGTGGAATCATTGGTGCCAATTTGCACCAGGAATGTTATGCATGACAGCCAAGGCCTATCTGGAGAATATAGTTTAATCTTTTTTCCTTTTTCTTTCTTTGCTTGCTTCTTTCTTTCTCTCTCTCTCTTTCTTTCTTTCTTTCTTTCTTTCTTTCTTTCTTTCTTTCTTTCTCTTTCTCTTTCTTTCTCCTTTCTTCCTTCCTTCCTTCCCTTCTTTTTCTTCTTCTCCTCCTCCTCCTCTTCCTCCTCCCCTCCTCCTCTTCTTCTTCTCCTTCTTCCTCTTCTTCTTCTTCTTCTTCCTCTTCTCCTTCTCCTCCTCCTTCTCCTTCTCCTTCTTCTTCTTCTTCTTCCTCTTCTTCCTCTTCCTCTTCTTTTTTCCTTTTATTTTTTTGAGGCTCAGTTTTACTCTGTTGCCCAGTAGGGAGTGCAGTAGCGTGATCACAGCTCATGGCTCACTGCAGCTTCAACCTCCTGGGCTCAGGTGATCCTCCCATCTCAGTGTCCCAGGTAGCTGGGACTACAGGTGCACACCACCACACCTGGCTAAGTTTTTGTATCTTTTGTAGAGATGGGGTTTCACCATGTTTCCTAGATTTATCTGGAACTCCTAGGCTCCAGCACTCCACTGGTCTTGGCCTTCCAAAGTGCAGGGATTACAGGTGTGAGCCACCATGTCTGGCCTTTGTCTTTTTTAATTTTCAAATAATCACATTTCACTTTCAGAGGACTGCTAATTGGAATTTAAATGAGCAAGTGCACTTCAATCAGGTTCTTTTTATCTAAACACACACAAGATTGTTAAGGAAAAATTGGATTTAATAAAATCAGTTGAGATGTTGATTAGTTATAGGTAAAGCTGCTTCTTGATGTTCAGGTAGTTATAACACCAGAATGATCTGTTAAGAGAGGTTTTTAAGACTCAGTCCCCATCATTTTAAAAGAGAGAAAAGAAGACTGTTTTGTCTACAGGTCCCAGACAGTAACTGGCCACAAAGTCTCTCAAGGCCCCTCTGTTCCGTGACTTTATTTAAATTTTCTTTTGTTTTGTTTTCAACACTATGTAGAGAGGAAAAGCTTCAGGTGGAATCTATGCTCATTTCTGTTTGTTCTCATGCCCAAAGTTCATGACATGCAAAGCAGAAACATAAACAGGAACATTGCTATTTTGGTGTGATTGGCATTTTGACTTGGCATATTTTTGGTGTGATTGGCATCTTAAATTGGCCTAATTTTTAAATGGGAAGACTTCCTTGGTAGAAATTAACCATGGAGTGAAAGGTCTCTGTTTCTTCTTTCTGTCTTCGGTACATAAGGACAAAACAACCAGAAACCTGAGGACAAAGCAACAGCAATCCAGGTGAACATGTCCACTCACAGCATACAGACAGTGACAGCTCTGTGTGAGTTTCAAGTTGAACCTACATCAACCGTTTTTATTCTTTTCTAGGTTTACAATTATTTTCAAATTGCAAAGTTTATAGAGTTTGGTATATAGGAGATTCTATCTAGATTTCATATAGTGGTAGGGGGCTATTTCCTTATGATTTTAAAAACTGGAGTTCTTTCAGAAATTATGGCTCAGATATGCACACAATATATTTTTATTTCTATTAAATGGTCACAAATTGAAGATTTTTTAATACTATTGTTGGTTAAATGAACAATGTTTAAGCAATTTCGATAGTCAATATTCTCACTGTGATTTTTTGCAGTGCTTTATTTTCTAAAAATGTATCTTTGTGTGACTACAATTCAAGAGCATTGTACTCTTAAGTCAGTGAGAGTGGAGAATGATCAGTGATGGTTATAGTTTGTTTTATCAAGACAGCTCGTGGGAGATGGTAATGGGAATTCCCCTAGCTACTTTTGTTTATTTTTATCTCCCTTGTCATTTTCAATATGGAGGATTTATGTGGGGAATTTAGTGTTATTACTTTAAAATTGATCTTCAGAAAGATAAAGCAAAAATCATTTGGGGTTTGGCAAAACATTTTATTAGAAAAGAAGAGAAAATATTTCCAGCAAATACGTGTAGTAGAAACCCTCTTGGCTTCTTTACCTTACCATATGTTGATAGGCTAGCTGTTGTTCAAATAATGGCATGAAACTACTAGATAATTGTCATTGGAAGGATAAATGTGCCAATAGAAAGTAGCTGCCCTCAAGAAGCATAAAACATAAGACACAGCATGGTATTGGTATAAGGCATTTTAAGAGCACTCTTTAGACAAGTCATTTTGATAATATAATGGGGACATTTTGTCACATCTTAAATATAGTTTTTTAATTGCCCAAGGAGTCTCAATCTATTCCTGAGCCTTATCCAAATGGTATTTTTCTACTTAGCTGCCTCAGAATGCTTCACCTTGTCATCATAGCTACCCAAAAGAATGTGTCAATCTCACCAGCTATTCTTTTGAATAAAGGAAAATAAACTGAAGTGGCAGTCCAGTTTTGCTAGTGGAATGAAGATTGTATTTTATACATATTAAAAAGATGAGTTATAATTTCTCCCTTAAATTATGTTTGTTGCCTTGCATGCTTCTTTCTCTAAAGCTGAACCATGATACTAAGTGCCTGGGGAAGGGAAGGGCGGGTATACTGCCCAGAACACAAAGGCCTTGTTTTGCTTTTGCATCTCAAAGCCAACTCTTTTGTTCTAGTCTTCAGCAAAGAAATTATTTTGAAATATTGCCTTTGTTAGAAAGAAATAGATGTTCTGAATTATGTGAGATCTATTAACATATCAAGAAGTAAGCTAGCATCACAGAATTCTTCATAGTGTAGATCTAACACTCTTTCTATCATGAAGGGTGAGCCATGTTTCTCTGGGAAGAAAAGACATGTGATGTAGGGGAGGTCCATTGAGCCACTCCTCAGGAATTATTTATAAAAAACAGAGAGAAGTTGAAGCAGAACTTTAAAAGCTGAGCTTATGTCTGAAATGCACTGTTCAAAACTAAAAGGAAATTAATTTAGAAATGACTGTTTCCAAATTGAATTTCCAAATGTTAAGCTAGTTCCTCAATCATTTCTGCCTCAGACTATATTTTCTTTGTACTCTTGAGGATAAGTAAATTGTAAATCACTATCCCCTTTTACAGTGATGCAGTATGAACTGAGGCAAGCTGTTCTGTCTCTGGTTTCTGATTATTTTAATCTGTAATATGACGTGTGTGTGTGTGTGTGTGTGTGTGTGTGTGTATGTTTGTGTCTGGGTCTGTCTGCTTGTTTGTGTTTGTTTGTGTGTGTGTGTTTACTGGATGTGTTCTAGATTATCTTCTTTGTATTAGTTTTCTTGGGCTGCCATAACAAAAGCTCATAGACTCAGTGGCTTAGACAACATAAATATACTTTCTGGAAGTCCAACATCAGTTTCTTCTGGGTTTTCTGGTAAGAGCTCTGTTACTGGCTTATAAATGGCTGCCATCTTATGTCCTCACATGGCCTTCCCTTGGTGCCTTACTGCACGCAAAAGAAGAGAGCTTGAGCTCTCTGGTATCTATCTATTCACATATTTTTTTTTAGACAGAGTCTTGCTTTGCCGCTCAGGCTGGAGTGCAGTGGCGTGATCTTGGCACACTGCACCCTCTGCCTTCCCAGTTCAAGCGATTCTCCTTCCTCAGCCTCCAGATTAACTGGGAGTACAGGTGAGTGCCACCATGCCTGGCTAATTTTTGTTATTTTAATAGAGACGGAATTTCATCATGTTGGCCAGGCTGGTCTCAAACTCCTGACTTCAGTGATCCACCCACCTCCCAAAGTGTTGAGATTACAGGCATGAGCCACCACTCCCAGACATCTATTCTTTTAAGGATACCAGTCCTATCAGACCAAGGCATCATTTAACCATAATTTAACCATCTCTTCCTTAGAGGCACCATCTCCCAAGTATAGCCACGCAAGAGGTTCGGACTTCAACATACAAAATTTGGAGAGCCTCAAACATTTTGTCTATAACACCTTCAAACCTAAAATTTTGTATTCAACATATAACATGACGTTAAGTCAATCCCATTTTTATATGATCAAATTGGCTATAAATAGCATCTATGTCTAAGTTCAAAACCTTATTAAAACCTTGCCTGCCTACTAATGCTAAGTGCTTGTGTTTTATACCTTTACACTCTATACTTTCACTATTATGTTTTTCAAATTTATAACTAGCAGAATCAAACTTACAATTGCTAAAGGAAAGATAATTTAATGGAGAGATTCAGGGGTATATCAAGACCTAAAGCTCTCTTTCCTAATTTGTACTTTATTCCTTTCTCTTTGAACGGATATTTTCTCTGCACTACTTATAAAGATGGCAGAAAATGACAAGCTCGTCCATGAGCCTACATTATCTCCCAGTCATAGTGCCTGTGATCACGTCACTGATGTCTATTGTCTTTGTACAGAGGGACTGTGAAGGTACACACCAGGGGTTCTTCCTGGCACAACCTCTGTGTAGATAGAGGTGACAAAAACAAGGCAACACAACCTTGGAGATCCATCATGCTGCTGGAGGAGCATTTCCTGGGGAAAAAAAGGAGTCTTACTGCAAAGATACTTTATACTCTGCCCATTAAAATTGCACTGGATTTGATTAATGATGCAAGTTTCAAATTAAAAATGAAATTAATTTGTAGATTTTATAATTGATAGGTAATAACTAATCAGATGTAGTAACTGCTCTATAATCATAAAGTGTGCATATGGAATGACAGATCAATTTTCATCAGTGTGGTCTTATTGATATTTTAAATTTATTTTGATAAATCTCTAAAGCAATAAAAACATTTTGTCTGAAACATTTCTTAATGACTACTCTGCACAGAATGTATAATATGAAGTAACTTAATTACTTTTGAAGAAAGGCAAAGTTCACTTTCATGTAATTTTAGAATAGGGATAAAATAAACTTTTTCATATTAATGAAGAACTCCATTACCTGCCCCTAAAATGATTAAACCTTGACATAAGTTTTCAAATTTAGCTTCATTTTAGAATAATAAGAACTAGAAATAAATATATTTATAAACTAGATGATAACTATATGCAGCAAGGTTTCTTTGAATACAGTATCAAAATTCCTGGTTATAGAAAGCAAGCCAGCTAAAATTCAAAAGGAATGCAAAAGCCATAAAATAAAATAGCCATTTAAAATATTTAATGAAGTGTGAACAAAGCTCATGTGCTTTAAATTGCTGTCCCTTTCATTAATTTCTTCTCTAAAGCCTAAACAATTAAGCTGAAATGTTAGAAATCATCACAAAATTTAAATAGCACTTTGGGGAATGATGTGTTTTGAAGGAGGTGTTATTGCATAAGAACTGCAAACATGAAAATAATTTTATCTCATCACAGCAAGTTAGATGCGTGTTCTATATAGAATGGTAAAAAGAGAAAAAGGAAATGTTAATGCAATTACAGGCAACAGGAACCATTACAAATATGCATGTTCTTATAAGAGAAGCTGGCTAATACAGGCTCCTATTTTAGAATCTCAGAGTTTTTAAAATGCTAAATGAAGTTGATAGGAAAACAAAATAGGTACAACATATCCAGGTGACTTTTTTAAACCTATCTCTGTGGTTACTACTGTGCCACTCTATTCTAGAGAAAAACAAGTAAATTAGCTTGCTCTTCTTAAAAACTTTTAATGGTGGAATAATATAAAAATGTATAAAAATTGAAGGAAGTTGTCCAGCATGAACAAATGCTGGACATTTGTTCATGTCCAGCATTGCCAGTAAAAAATATTGGCATCTAAAATGTTTAATGATTACTGGCAAAGATTAGAGAAGCTTCTCTCAGGATGGGATCTGTGGGTCTCCTGCCACTGCCTTCTCCCTTTCAATATGGTATTATGCTTAGAATGTTTCTCAGCACTTTATTATTTAGGAACATTTATCTACTTTATGTGGATTTTCAATATTTTTGTTTCTAAAATTTAGAATATTATTGTAATCAGCCTCAGTGGTCGACTCACTTATTTACTGCTCTCCTGGACATGTGCATGGGTGGCTGTCCCCTCCACTCTTCAGTTTCCTGTTTCCTTTGTTCAGAAGGAGCTTTCCTGGTGCCTTCATCTAGAGCAGCGCTAGAGCAGCACTGTTTCTCGCGCCTCTTCCTTGTGCTGTGCTATTATTCCTTATGTTGCTCATCACTACTTTAGCTGAGTTGTGAATCTGTTTGTTTATGGCATGTCTCCTCCATTAGAATGTAAACTCCAAGAGAACAGGGAACTTTAATCTCTTTCCCACTCCCTGTTCAATATTTAGAATAATGCCTAGTAAGTTGTTGTTGCTCAATAAATCTTTGCTGAATAAAAGGCTAAATAAGTAAATCCATATCATCGATTTGAAATTGCACATTTGTCATATGTCTATCTGCATGCCGATAGTTTTTAGAGTCTCTTTTTCTTTCAGATCTATTTTTGAATACTATATTGTGTTCATCAATATTACTTTAAAATACACTTTCATACTTAAAAAAGCAAAGAGCAAGGAGCTCCTCATTTCCTTGCCACTTCAAATACATTCTGACTATTCTATATTTATTTTCCAGGAGGAGCTTTAGAATAAATCTGTCAGATTCCAATGAACCTCTCATTCATTAAACTAAATTTATAAATGAATTTGCCTCTTTCAATATTGTCTTCTAATTCCAGATCAAGACTAGCATTACCCTTTTTCTCATTTATTTTTATGTCTATTGGATTAGTTCTGTAGTTTTCTATGTAGGTCTTTTGCAATTCAAGTTAGGATATTGTTATGATGTTTTTTCTACTTTTTAATATGATCCCTTTTACAATATTTTTCTCTGACTATAGAAATATCTTTATTTTAAGATAGATTATAACTGATCACCTAATCAAAATCTAATTTAAATACATAATTTTATTTGTCTGTTATTCTTTCAAGATAGACTATCATACCAAATGTTGGTAATCTTGCTTTCTCTTTTCTAATTTTTAGATTTTTAATTTTATGTCCATATTGAAATACATTGGAAAGGACTCCCAGAAGAATACTAAATACTAATGATGATGACGATGATCCTTGTTTTGTTCCTGACTTGAATGAGAATGCTACTAGTGTTATCAATACACATAACATACATAGTCCTGGCTATTAGTTGGTGGGATGAACAAAAAAATACACAAAGATTCAGTCAAAGATAAGGATATGAAATGATTATCTTTTGTTCTACAAATTATGTATTTGTGCTATCTTTGTTAAGTTTTCCTTTCAGAATTCTGTTGATTCTGCAAAATAAATTGGCAAGAATCCTAACCTTGGATGGTTTTAATAGTATATAAACATTGACAGCTTGAAATTTGGTCTCAATCTGGCCTTTTGAGGTAAGAAGGTGTAATTCTTTGGTAATTAAAATCGTCCACCTTTAATAATATTTAATGCACACCTCTTTTAAATTAAACGATGTTTACTAGTGTGGCATTAAGCAGGCAGGACAATTACCTGAATTTTCTAATTACTTTTTGTTGGTTGTGGGGTAAGATGTCTTTAGTGAAGTATTTTCATCTTTTGTAGTCAGCACATATTTCCAGCCTATCGTTCTCATAATTGGATGTTGATTTTTTCATAATTTCTTCCAGTTCCTGTGTCATTGTACTGTTCTGAAGAAGGATAGTTGAATGTCAGATTCCACCATCTTATTACACTTTAGATTGAAATACTCTCTACCAGATAGTTCTCAAAATTTAAGATATTAATCTGTTGTTCATATTTTTAGCATTGATGAACTTTTCTTCTCTAATTTGTTCTTTTTAGTCATTTTAATCAGTTTCTGAGAATGGATCAAATGAGGGAAAAAAAACAGTGTAAACTTACAATTTACCCTATCCTTCTTGGATATCAGTATATGATATGATATATTAATAACATAAATCTTATATGATATTAATACATCTTATAAATCAAGTGGAAAAACATATCCTGATTCACAAGTGATGCAAAAAGTTCTTGGGATATAGTATAAAATAACAACCCAAATTTTCTCCTGTAGGTAATTTATTTTTCATCAACTGAGTTCAAGATATGACAACATTTCAAGTTACATAAATATATTCCTCAAGCATATCTAGCAGATTTATAACACTGTTTTTGGAAAATAAATGACTAATAAGTTTATCACCTCTGAGACTTAGTGTAATGATTGCTACTACATTCTTTCATTTTCTGTTTCTCTTCTCTACAATCTTTTCTACAACCCATAATCACACTTAAATACTCTTACCATTTGCAAATAAACAAGTGGATGAGCCTTTCCCTAATGCATCTACCCCACTTCTACTGCTGTTCTATCTTCCTTCTCTTTTCTACCACACCTCATCAAAGGGAGGGCTGCTTCTAAAGTCCTAAAGTTTGACTGCTGCTCTTGCCATTGCATTCAAGTCTGCCCCATCTAGCCACAAATACATTTCCAGTTACCAACTCTGTTTTATGTTTATTGTCATCAGACTTCCTCAGCTTTAGACATTTGCCATTGTTTATAGTCCTATCTTTTATGAAATTCTCTCTTCTCATTACTTTTACAGCTATTAACCTTCCCACATCCTCCTCAATAATCCTTCCCTCAAAGTCTTTTTCTGTCAAACCTCTTCTGCCCACTTCTCAAATTTTTTTTTAACTACTATTATGTTGCACATACAGAGATACATTATGTTGTACATTCTGTCAACTAAATATTGCTGTCTTTGTAGTCTGTGGTCATCCTAAATTTAAAACACCTGTAAAAAAATTCATAAATTCATATTCTCTGCTTCTAGTCACTGTTTCTCAGTTCAATTAAGGTCATCAATTTCACTCATTATCTGAAGCTGAAAATATCAGAATTACCTAAAGGAGGAAACTTGATCTCCTTAGCATACTATATATGACCCTCTAGAGCCTGACCACACACTACATTTCCAGGCTTTCTGTCACCCCAGCCTCACTGCACATTCTTATCATGCTCTTCCAGTCTTCATCCTCATGCATTCTTACACATCGATATATTTTACTTTGTTCTTCTCTTGTCCTGAAACGAATTTTCCATTCTTCTATATATGAAAAAACGTTACTCAGACATTAGATTGCAGTTCACATATAATCTCATCCTCATAATTGGCATTTTGTTCTCTATGATCCACCATTCTTGGACATGTTACCATTTTAGAACTAATTATATTAGTATTTATTGTTACTGATGCCTTTTTCTCTCTTCTCCCTACTCACCCCCTGCCCCATATACACCTGAATGTGCTCTTTGTTAGGGAAGGAATAATATCTAATGTGATCGTATTATATAAACAACAAAGTTTTGCTAAATAATAAGCATAAAGAAGGATGGGGGAAAGGCAAGCATTTATTCCTATAGGTTACTATAGACTAAAACTTTGACTAATCTAATACTGATTTTGATTGTATATTGTATCAAACACGACATATTATGGTTGTCTGCAGCAGTATAAATAGTTTTCTAGGGCTAAGTTTTAATGAATTTGTATTCTTTGAGGTTTCATGACTGTCAGTAACCAGGGACATCCCTGTGATATTTTGGATAGTAGAAGGATCTTATTCTGCTTAAAATGTGGTACAGAACATTCCACAAAATAGATAAGTAAATGAATGAATTATGAGGATGAGGATATGGAAATCCTCAAAAGAGCTTAAAATGTTCATTTTATCTTCATATCTCTATAATGTAAGCTGTTCAAATGACTTTAAAAAGTCATTAAGTTAAAACTAAGGACATGGTAGGGGAGAAGTTTGTTAAAGTTTGCCACTGTGTTGGTAAGAAAGCCAAAGATGAGATCTCACACTCCATTTTCTGGCTCTCATCAGTCCGTCTTGCTGCTAAATGCATGCTGAGTTATTACTTATAAAAAAGTTACAAATGGCAGTAGGTTAAGGAACATAAAGGAAAAAAATGTCAAAAAATAGGAAGTATCAGAACGTTTTTAAAAGTTGCTTGAACTCTGTCCTGGGAGCAGCTGTTACTAAGGCTCCAACAGGAGGAAAAGATGTTATTAGCAAAAAAAAAAAAATTACAAAGTTCTAAAATGTATAGAATATGAAAGGTGATGTAGCAGCCGTGGCACTATTATTGTCAGACTTGGCAACAATACCCCAGAAGTCTGGAAAAGGGGAAAAAAAAGGTTCAAAATAGCATCCTAAAGATAAAATGTTTAAAAATACCTCAGTGGGACTGGAGAGAACAAAAGACCAAAGATGCATGGGGTAGGAGTGTGCAGACGCTGCCACAGTGCTCCTATAAGCACATCATCCCAGTCAGGGAAGCATGCGTGGCAGCCTGAGGAGGTGGCAGTGACAAAGTTGGATTTCACTGAGCAAAGGCAAAAAGCTTGTGCATTCAGAAACAAGATCACCAGTGATGCCTGTGGAACCCGCAGAGCTGTGTGAACGGGGAACTCAGGGCAGGATCAGGCAGGATGTAACAAAAATAGGATTGGGTAGGATGAGTGATGAGTAGATGAAGTTGAAAGTCAGAAGTACAGGAAAAAAATAGAACTCACCTGGAGTGTTGTTTACCCTTTCATCCAATGAAAGAAAATGGCTACATCCCATGTCAGAAATCCCATAAAGGAATAAAGACTCAGTGGAGTAATTGTCCTTTTACATAGCAGAATCTGTGGGTCTGAAGCTGCTAGTCTCCTTACTTCTGTCTCTATCTCCTGCACCAGTGGGGTCACAGGTATGCTTTCTAGCCACTAATGAAATATCCATTTTTATCTTTTCTCCAGAGCAGTCAGCTTACAGGGTGGCCAGATTATAAGAGAATTACCAGAACTCCGTGGCTGAAGTAGGGGAAGAGATGAGGGAGGACTCAAAATAACACTTAGGGTGATTATGGGGGTGACTGTGATAGGTTGGGTATAGAGGGAATGATCTCATCGACACCCTGATGTGCTTAGAGATCTCTTCATTGTCAGATCTTATGGCTCTTTTCTTGCCTTAGTTCTCCTTAATATTTCTGTAGCACTGGACACCCTTACCTAAACTTTTCCTTCTTGAAATGCTCTCCTTTTCTATATTTCTTGGTATCCGATTTTAAGTTCCATAGGGCAGTGATCATGACTGTCTTACTCACCACAGTACTTCACAGAATGCCTTCCTGCTTGCCTGAGTGGATGAATACATGAATGAATGAATGAATGAATGAATGACAGTTGAGCCATCTTCCTCACTATTCCTTTCTATTTTCTCTGACACCTAATTTTCAGCTTACTCAAGTTAACAGATTTAGCTAGCAATGGGTTTCTGGGAAAGAAAAAATAATAAAGTTATCGATATACAATTTTGCTTGCAGGTGTGTGTCTGTGTGTGTGTGTGTGTGTCTGTGTGTCTGTGTGTGTGATAAGAATTTACGTAGACTCTCTACCTAAAGTATCCCTGCTATATGACTGTGTCCAAAATGTATGTCTCCAACAAAAGTGGTCAAGTCACCTACTGAATATAGCTATGTACTTTTAATTAACTGTTCACAGTGGTCGTTCTTTTTCTTCAATTCAATTTTAAGCAATTTGAGGAATGAGGCTAAAGATCATTTTTCTTTTTTTTTCGATTTTCCTTTCTTTTTTTTAATTATTATTATACTTTAAGTTTTAGGGTACATGTGCACAATCTGCAGGTTAGTTACATATGTATACATGTGCCATGCTGGTGTGCTGCACCCATTAACTCGTCATTTAGCATTAGGTGTATCTCCTAATGCTATCCCTCCCCCCTCCCCCCACCCCAAAACAGTCCCCAGAGTGTGACATTACCCTTCCTGTGTCCATGTGTTCTCATTGTTCAATTCCCACCTCTGAGTGAGAACATGAGGTGTTTGGTTTTTTGTCCTTGTGATAGTTTACTGAGAATGATGATTTCCCATTTCATCCATGTCCCTACAAAGGACATGAACTCATCATTTTTTATGGCTGCATAGTATTCCATGGTGTATATGTGCCACATTTTCTTAATCCAGTCTATCATTGTTGGACATTTGGGTTGGCTCCAAGTCTTTGCTATTGTGAATAGTGCCGCAATAAACATATATGTGCATGTGTCTTTATAGCAGCATGATTTATAGTCCTTTGGGTATATACCCAGTAATGGGATGGCTGGGTCAAATGGTATTTCTAGTTCTAGATCCCTGAGGAATCGCCACACTGACTTCCACAATGGTTGAAGTAGTTTACAGTCCCACCAACAGTGTAAAAGTGTTCCTATTTCTCCACATCCTCTCCAGCACCTGTTGTTTCCTGACTTTTTAATGATTGCCATTCTAACTGGTGTGAGATGGTATCTCATTGTGGTTTTGATTTGCATTTCTCTGATGGTCAGTGATGGTGAGCATTTTTTCATGTGTCTTTTGGCTGCATAAATGTCTTCTTTTGAGAAGTGTCTGTTCATATCCTTTGCCCACTTTTTGATGGGGTTGTTTGTTTTTTTCTTGTAAATTTGTTTGAGTTCTTTGTAGATTCTGGATATTAGCCCTTTGTCAGATGAGTAGGTTGTGAAAATTTTCTCCCATTCTGTAGGTTGCCTGTTCACTCTGATGGTAGTTTCTTTTGCTGTGCAGAAGCTCTTTAGTTTAATTAGATCCCATTTGTCAATTTTGGCTTTTGTTGTCATTGCTTTTGGTGTTTTAGACATGAAGTCCTTGCCCATGCCTATGTCCTGAATGGTAATGCCTAGGTTTTCTTCTAGGGTTTTTATGGTTTTAGGTCTAACATTTAAGTCTTTAATCCATCTTGAATTAATTTTTGTATAAGGTGTAAGGAAGGGATCCAGTTTCAGCTTTCTACATATGGCTAGCCAGTTTTCCCAGCACCATTTATTAAATAGGGAATCCTTTCCCCATTGCTTGTTTTTCTCAGCTGTGTCAAAGATCAGATAGTTTTAGATATGCGGCGTTATTTCTGAGGGCTCTGTTCTGTTCCATTGGTCTATATCTCTGTTTTGGCAACAGTAGCATGCTGTTTTGGTTACTGTAGCCTTGTAGTATAATTTGAAGTCAGGTAGCGTGATGCCTCCAGCTTTGTTCTTTTGGCTTAGGATTGACTTGGCGATGCGGGCTCTTTTTTGGTTCCATATGAACATTAAAGTAGTTTTTTCCAATTCTGTGAAGAAAGTCATTGGTAGCTTCAAAGTGATTTTTCTTTTCTTTACCCCTTAGGAACTAATACAGAGCTGATCAGTAAGTATTTGCTGATTAATCAATTGCTGGGAAACAGGTTACTTATTTTAGCTTAAAAATTATTTACTGTTTGAGAAAATTGTATTTGCTTTCCCTTAAATTCAGGCAAATAAATAGACTAAAACCATAATCAGGTACCAGGAAAGACACTGACTTGCCTCTATTACAGTACTTCTGGAATTCAAAGGCCTGTTGTGCTGGTAAAGAAGGCTGTTTTTAACAGTATTTGCTTATTCAACTAAAAAACATGCTGGATGGCTCTTCTGAGCTTCATACTAGAGATAAAGTAAGGAATTCGATAGTTTGATCTCTCCTGACATGGGACATGTAGATTAGTGGGAGGCAAAATATGGTTCAGAAACCAAGTAAATGAGATATTTACGAAACTGGAGTTCTATCAATGTAACACAACATATAGTAAATGGAAAGACTGAAGTCTTAGTCAATTCAAGTTGCCATGGCAAATTACGATAGAGTGGTTGGCTACTAAACTACAGAAATTTATTTTTCACAGTTTTGGAGGTTGGAAGTCCAAGATAATGGTGACAGCATGGTTGGGTTCTGGAAGTGGGGGCTTGCTTCCTGGTTTACCGATGGCCTTCTTGCTTTGCTCTCAAGTGGTGGAGAGCAGAGAGCGGAAGCAAACTCTCATGTCCATTCTTATCACAGCACCAATTCCATTCATAAGGGCTCTGCCCTCATGATCTAATTACCTCCCAGGGGATCCACCTCATAATACCATCCTATTGGGGATTAATATTTCAACATATGAATGTTGCAGGGGTCCCAAACATTCATTCCGTTGCAACTTAGTTAGGGTTTTCAAGAAGCACCTATTTAGGAAGATAACATTAAAGTTGAGACTTGGAGGGCGGTTCCAAGATGGCCAAATAGGAACAGCTCCAGTCTACAGCTCCCAGCGTGAGCAACGCAGAAGATGAAGGATTTCTGCATTTCCAGCTGAGGTACTGGGTTCATCTACTGGGGAGTGTTGGAAAGTGGGTGCAGGACAGTGGGTGCAGTGCACCGAGTGTGATCCGAGGCAAGGCGAGGCATTGCCTCACCTGGGGCAAGGGGTAAGGGAATTCCCTTTCCTAGCCAAGGAAAGGGGTGACAGATGGCACCTGGAAAATCGGGTCACTCCCACCCTAACACTGCGCTTTTCCAATGGTCTTAGCAAACGGCACACCAGGATATTATATCCCGTGCCTGGCTCGGAGGGTCCTATGCCCATGGAGCCTTGCTCATTGCTAGCACAGCAGTCTGAAATCAAGCTGCAAGGCAGCAGTGAGGCTGGGGGAGGGGCGCCTGCCATTGCTGAGGTTTGAGTAGGTAAACAAAGCGGCCGGGAAGCTCGAACTTGGTGGAGCCCACCACAGATGAAGGAGGTCTGCCTGCCTTTGTAGACTCCACCTCTGGGGGCAGGGCATAGCCAAACAAAAGACAGAAGAAACCTCTGCAGACTTAAATGTCCCTGTCTGACAGCTTGGAAGACAGTAGTCATTCTCCCAGCACGCAGCTGGAGATCTGAGAACGGACAGACTGGCTTTTCAAGTGGGTCCCTGACACCCAAGTAGCCTAACTGGGAGGCCCCCCCAAGTAGGGGCAGACTGACACCTCACATGGCTGGGTACTCCTCTGAGACAAAACTTCCAGAGGAACGATCACGCAGCAACATTTACTGTTCACTGATATTCGCTGTTCTGCAGCCTCCGCTGCTGATACCCAGGCAAACAGGGTCTGGAGTGGACCTCCAGCAAACTCCAACAGACCTGCACCTGAGGGTTCTGACTGTTAGAAGGAAAACTAAAAAACAGAAAGGACATCCACACCAAAATCCCATCTGTACATCACCATCATCAAAGACCAAAGGTAGGTAAAACCGCAAAGATGGGGAAAAAACAGAGCAGAAAAACTGAAAATTCTAAAACTCAGAGTGTCTCTCCTCCTCCAAAGGAATGCAGCTCCTCACCAACAATGGAAGAAAGCTGGACGGATAATGACTTTGACGAGCTGAGAGAAGAAGGCTTCAGACAATCAAACTTCTCTGAGCTAAAGGAGGAAGTTTGAACCCATGGCAAAGAAGTTAAAAACCTTGAAAACAGATTAGACGAATGGATAACTAGAATAACCAATGCAAAGAAGTCCTTAAAGGACCTGATGGAGCTGAAAACCATGGCATGAGAACTACGTGACGAATGCACAAGCTTCAGTAGCTGATTTGATCAACTGGAAGAAAAGGTATCGGTGATGGAAGATCAAATGAACGAAATGAAGCGAGAAGAGAAGTTTAGAGAAAAAGAATAAAAAGAAACAAACAAAGCCTCCAAGAAATACGGGACTATGTGAAAAGACCAAATCTATGTCTGATTGGTGTACCTGAAAGTGACGGGGAGAATGGAACCAAGTTGGAAAACACTCTGCAGGATGTTATCCAGGAGAGCTTCCCCAATCTAGCAAGGCAGGCCAACATTCAAATTCAGGAAATACAGAGAACTCCACAAAGATACTGTTCGAGAAGAGCAACTCCAAGACACATAATTGTCAGATTCACCAAAGTTGAAATGAAGGAAAAAATGTTAAGGGTTGCCAGAGAGAAAGGTCGGGTTACCCACAAAGGGAAGCCCATCAGACTAGCAGCTGATCTCTCGGCAGAAACTCTACAAGCCAGAAGAGAGTGGGGACCAATATTCAACATTCTTAAAGAAAAGAATTTTCAAGCCAGAATTTCATATCCAGCCAAACTAAGCTTCATAAGTGAAGGAGAAATAAAATACTTTACAGACAAGCAAATGCTGAGAGATTTTGTCACCACCAGGCCTGCCTTAAAAGAGCTCCTGAAGGAAGCACTAAACACGGAAAGAAACAACTGGTACCAGCCACTGCAAAAACATGTCAAATTGTAAAGACCGTCGAGGCTAGGAAGAAACTGCATCAACTAACGAGCAAAATAACCAGCTAACATCATAATGACAGGATCAAATTCACACATAACAATATTAACGTTCAATGTAAATGGGCTAAATGCTCCAATTAAAAGACACAAACTGGCAAATTGGATAAAGAGTCAAGACCCATCAGTGTGCTCTATTCAGGAGACCCATCTCACATACAGAGACACATATAGGCTCAAAATAAAAGGATGGAGGAAGATCTACCAAGCAAATGGAAAACAAAAAAAGGCAGGGGTTGCAATCCTAGCCTCTAATAAAACAGACTGTAAACCAACAAACATCGAAAGAGACAAAGAAGGCCATTACATAATAGTAAAGGGATCAATTCAACAAGAAGAGCTAACTATCCTAAATATATATGCATGCAATACAGGAGCACCCAGATTCATAAAGCAAGTCCTTAGAGACCTACAAAGAGACTTAGACTCCCACACAATAATAATGGGAGACTTTAACACCCCACTGTCAACATTAGACAGATCAACGAGACAGAAAGTTAACAAGGATACCCAGGAATTGAACTCAGCTCTGCACCAAGCGGGCCTAAAAGACACCTACAGAACTCTCCACCCCAAATCAACAGAATATACATTCTTCTCAGCACCACACCACATTCATTCCAAAATTGACCACATAGTTGGAAGTAAAGCTCTCCTCAGCAAATGTAAAAGAACAGAAATTATAACAAACTGTCTCTCAGACCACAGTGCAATCAAACTAGAACTCAGGATTAAGAAACTCACTCAAAACAGCTCAACTACATGGAAACTGAACAACCTGCTCCTGAATGACTACTGGATACATAACGAAATGAAGGCAGAAATAAAGATGTTCTTTGAAACCAACAAGAACAAAGACACAACATACCAGAATCTCTGGGACACATTTAAAGCAGTGTGTAGAGGGAAATTTATAGCAGTAAATGCCCACAAGAGAAAGCAGGAAAGATCTAAAATTGACACCCTAACATCACAATTAAAAGAGCTAGAGAAGCAAAAGCAAACACATTCAAAAGCTAGCAGAAGGCAAGAAATAACTAAGATCAGAGCAGAACTGAAGGAAATAGAGACACAAAAAACCTTTCAAAAAATCAATTAATCCAGGAGCTGGTTTTTTGAAAAGATCAACAAAATTGATAGACCGCTAGCAAGACTAATAAAGAAAAAAAGAGAGAAGAATCAAATAGACTCAATAAAAAAATGATAAAGGGGATATCACCACTGATCCCACAGAAATACAAACTACTATCAGAGAATACTATAAACACCACTACGCAAATAAACTAGAAAATCTAGAAGAAATGGATAAATTCCTCGACACATACACCCTCCCAAGACTAAACCAGGAAGAAGTTGAATCTCTGAATAGACCAATAACAGGCTCTGAAATTGAGGCAATAATTAATAGCTTCCCAACCAAAAAAATCCAGGACCAGACAGATTCACAGCCGAATTCTACCAGAGGTACAAGGAAGAGCTGGTACCATTCCTTCTGAAACTATTCCAATCAATAGAAAAAGAGGGAATCCTCCCTAACTCATTTTATGAGGGCAGCATCATCCTCATACCAAAACCTGGCAGAGACACAACAACAACAAAAAAGAGAATTTTAGACCAATATCCCTGATGAACATCGATGCAAAAATCCTCAATAAAATACTGGCAAACTGAATCCAGCAACACATCAAAAAGCTTATCCACCATGATCAAGTGGGCTTCATCCTGGGATGCAAGGCTTGTTCAACATATGCAAATCAATAAACGTAATCCAGCATATAAACAGAAGCGAAGAAAAAAAACACATGATTATCTCAATAGATGCAGAAAAGTCCATTGACAAAATTCAACAGCCCTTCATGCTAAAAACTCTTAATAAATTAGGTATCGATGGGACATATCTCAAAATAATAAGAGCTATCTATGACAAACCCACAGCCAATATCATACTGAATGGGCAAAAACTGGAAGCATTCCCTTTGAAAACTGGCACAAGACAGGGATGCCCTCTCTCACAGCTCCTATTCAACATAATGTTGGAAGTTCTGGCCAGGGCAATCAGGCAGGAGAAGGAAATAAAGGGTATTCAATTAGGAAAAGAGGAAGTCAAATTGTCCCTGTTTGCAGATGTTATAATTGTATATCTAGAAAACCCTATTGTTTCAGCCCAAAATCTCTTTAAGCTGATAAGCAACTTCAGCAAAGTCTCAGGATACAAAATCAATGTGCAAAAATCAAGCATTCTTATACACCAATAACAGACAAACAGAGAGCCAAATCATGAGTGAACTCCCATTCACAATTGCTTCAAAGAGAATAAAATACCTAGGAATCCAACTTACAAGGGATGTGAAGGACCTCTTCAAGGAGAACTACAAACCACTGCTCAATGAAATAAAAGAGGATACAAACAAATGGAAGAACATTCCATATTCATGGGTAGGAAGAATCAATATCCTGAAAATGGCCATACTGCCCAAGGTAATTTATAGATTCAATGCCATCCCCATCAAGCTACCAATGACTTTCTTCACAGAATTGGAAAAAACTACTTTAAAGTTCATATGGAACCAAAAAAGAGCCTGCATTGCCAAGTCAATCCTTAGCCAAAAGAACAAAGCTGGAGTCTTCACACTTCCTGATTTCAGACTATACTTCAAGGCTGCAGTAACCAAAACAGCATGGTACTGGTACCAAAACAGAGATATAGACCAATGGAATAGAACAGAGCCCTCAGGAATAAAGCCACACATCTACAACTATCTGATCTTTGACAAACCTGACAAAAACAAGAAATGAAGAAAGGATTCCCTATTTAATAAATGGTGCTGGGAAAACTGGCTAGCCATATGTAGAAAGCTGAAACTGGATCCCTTCCTTACACCTTACACAAAAATTAATTCAAGATAGATTAAAGACTTAAATGTTGGACCTAAAACCATAAAAACTCGAGAAGAAAACCTAGGCAATACCATTCAAGACATAGGCATGAGCAAGGACATCATGTCTAAAACACCAAAAGCAATGACAACAAAAGTTAAAATTGACAAATGGGATCTAATCAAACTAAAGAGCTTCTGCACAGCAAAAGAAACTACCATCAGAGTGAACAGGCAACCTACAAAATCGGAGAAAATTTTTGCAATCTACTCATCTGACAAAGGGCTAATATCCAGAATCTAAAAAGAACTCAAACAAATTTACAAGAAAAAAACAAACAACCCCATGAAAAAGTGGGCAAAGGACATGAACAGACACTTCTCAAAAGAAGACATTTATGCAGCCAAAAGACACATGAAAAAATGCTCACCATCACTGACCATCAGAGAAATGCAAATCAAAACCACAATGAGATACCATCTCTTACCAGTTAGAATGGCAATCATTAAAAAGTCAGGAAACAACAGGTGCTGGAGAAGATCTGGAGAAATAGGAACAGTTTTACACTGTTGGTGGGACGGTAAACTAGCTCAACCATTGTGGAAGTCAGTGTGGCAATTCCTCAGGGATCTAGAACTAGAAATATCATTTGACCCAGCCATCCCATTACTGGGTATATACCCAAAGGATTATAAATCATGCTGCTATAAAGACACATGCACACATATGTTTATTGCGGCACTATTCACAATAGCAAAGACTTGGATCCAACCCAAATGTCCAACAATGATAGACTGCATAAAGAAAATGTGGCACATATACACCATGGAATACTATGCAGCCATAAAAACTGATGAGTTCGTGTCCTTTGTACGGACATGGAGGAAGCTGGAAACCATCATTCTCAGCAAACTATCACAAGGACAAAAAACCAAACACCGCATGTTGTCACTCATAGGTGGGAATTGAACAATGAGAACACGTGGACACAGGAAGGGGAACATGACACACTGGGCCCTGTTGTAGGGTGGGGGAAAGAGGGTGGGATAGCATTAGGAGATATACCTAATGTAAATGACGAGTTAATGGGTGCAGCACACTAACATGGCACATGTATACATATGTAACAAACCTGCATGTTGTGCACATGTACTCTGAAACTTAAAGTATAATAAAAAAAACTGAAAAAATTATGAAGTTGAAACTTGAAGGATTAATAACTAGTCATTAAAAACAAATAACAGAAGTGGAGCTTGTGGGAAAAAAAAGCAACCTGGGTATATGTTTTGAGGCATAGAAGAGAACTTGATGTATGCTGGGACCTAAGAGGACCTGAGAATGCTCAAGGGAATGATGCCACAAGGTAAGGGTGGAGAGATGTACACAGCAAGGTTATAATAAAGCTGCTTGGCATTGGTAAAGAATCTAGATTGGATTTGGAATGTGATGTGAAGCCTTTGAGACCTTTAAGCTAGAGAATCACATGACTTAAATTATGTCTTAGAAAAGACCACTCTGTTATATTTCTGGTATTATGGGCTCAGGCAGTAAATTAGAGGTGTTTGGGTTAAATTGTATGTTGAGACCATTCATTTTGTGAAAGCATGCATTCTAGGGTTATTTGGTCTTAGAGCATGTTTTGCAAAGGCATCACTGCATTTGGAATCAAGACACCTGTGTTTAAATTATGCCTGTCTCTATGTCTATGTAGGTGACGCTGTGCAAACCACTACTTTAGTTTTTGGTTTCTTAAACACTGCTAGGGTGGATTTTATCCCAATGACTCTTAAAGTCCCTTCAAGCACCATAACTATATAAACCTATTCACATATTTGTGTGCCAATCACACATATATTGTGCCAATTAGACCTATTTAGAGAATGCCCAGAAAATAACCCCAATATTGCCTACGCCTGTCTGGAGACAGCTAACAAATCTCTGAACATTGGTCTTTGCCCATGAAAAAAACAGCAATATAATTTATAAATATTATGTCATAATAAGTACAGGATTTATAATTGAGAATGTTTTACTCTAATTCTGATTATTCTGACCTTTTATTCACCAACCATCTTTTGAATGTCCAGTGTATATATTAACTGTGCTAAATGCCATGGCTATGTAGATAGTATAAGACAAAATATGTGATCCTTACAAGTAACTAGAGAAATGAAAAAGACTGAAAAAGACTGACCTGGGAACATATGATGACAATATACTGTGATTGTTGTGTGAAAATGTGGACTAAGTGTCCTGAAAATCCAGGAGAGAGGCAAGCAGTTTGCCTAAGGAGACAGCAGTGACGTTTATAAGGCTAGGTCTGTCATTTTACTTCTTGGCTCAGTTTCTCCTTCATTTCAAATGCTAGATTTAGGAAAGCTTAAACTGAGTAGTCTTCTTTTAAAATAACATCTTTACTGATATATAATCTACATACTATAAAATTCGCTGTATGAAAGTGTGCAGTTCACTGGTTTTTAGTTTATTCACAAAGTTGTGCAACCTTCACCACTATGTAATTGCAGTACATTTTCATCACCTCAAAAAGAAAACCCATACTTATTAGCAATTGTTCCCCATGTATTTTACACCTAATCCTTGGTAACCACTAATCTACTTTCTGTCTCTGTGGATTTGCTGAACCTAGACATGTCACATAAATGGAATCACACAATATATGGTCTTTTATGACTGACTTGTTTTCACTTAGTGTATTAGTCCATTCTCACACTGCTAATAAAGACATACTCGAGACTGGGTAATTTATAAAGCAAAGAGGTTTGATTGACTTACAGTTCAGCATGGCTGGGGAGGCCTCAGGAAACTTATAATCATGGTGGAAAGGGAAGCAAACATGTCCTTCACATGACAGGAAGAGAAGTGAGTGGCAAGTGAAGGGGGAAGCCCCTTATAAAACCATTAGATCTTGTGAGAACTCACTCACTATTAGGAGAACAGCATGGCAGAAACCACCCCCATGATTCAGTTATCTCCATCTGGTCCCTCCTATGACACGTGGGGATTATGGAAACTACAATTCAAGATGAGATTTGGGTGGGACACCGCCAAACCATATCATTTAGCATAATCTTTCAAGGTTCATCCTTGATGTTGCATGGAGCATATATAAATATTTCATTCTTTTTTATTGCTGGATAATATTCCATTGTATGGATATACCACTTTTATTTATCCGGACATCAGTTGTTGGACATTTGGGTTATTTCCACTTCTTGGCTATCATAAATAATGTTGCTATGAACATTCATGTATAGGTTTTTGTGTAGGCATTTGTTTTCAATTTTTTTTGATGTATAAATAGTCATGTGGTAACTCTATGTTTAACATTTTGTGGAACTGAAAAGCCGTTTTCCAAAGTGACTGCATCACTTTATAATCCCACAGGCTATGAATGAGTTATCTAATTTTTCCACATCCTTGCCTTGTCATTATCAGTGATCTTGATTTTAGCTATCTTAGTGGGTGTGAAGTGATATCTCATTGTGGTTTTTATTTGCAAATCGCTAATGAATAATAAGGTCAAGCATCCTTTCATGATATATCCTCTTTGGAGAAATATCTAATCAAATTCCCTGCCTATTTCTTTTCCGGCTCAGATTTTGTATTAGGTTATTTCTCTTTTTATTATTGTATTATATTGTTAACTGCTAGAGTATAGAAATAAAAGTTGAATATCCCTTAGCCAAAATGCTTGGGACCAGAAGGGTTTTGCATTTTGCATTTTTTTTTATTTTGGAATATTTGCATATAGACAAGGAGATACCTTGGGGATGGGATGAAAGTCTAAACATGAAATTATTTATATTTCATATACACATTATGCATATAGCCTGAAGGTAATTTTATACAATATTTGAAATAATTTTTTGCATGAAACAAAGTTTTGCCTGCGTTTTGACTGCAACACATCACATGAGGTCAGGTGTGCAATTTTCCAATGTGGTATTATGTTGGTGCTCAAAAAGTTTTTGATTTTTGAGCATTTTGAATCTTGAATTTTTGGATCAGGGATGTCCAAACTGTATAACTGATTTTTTGTATATTGATCTTATATTCATCACCCTTGCTGAGCTTGTTTATTAATCCTAACAAGTTATTTGTGGCCTGCTTAGAATTTTCTATATAGAAGATCATGTTATCTGCAAATAGGAATAGTATTCTTTGTTGCTTTCCATCTTTTCTGGATATCTTTTATTTATTTTTCTTGCCTAACTTCCCAGCCTACATTCTTTAGTACAATTTTTTAACAGAAGTGGTAAGAGCAGACAATCTGGTCTTGTTAATGTCACAGGGGAAATAACTTAATATGTCTCTGCTGGCCAGGCGCGGTGGCTCATGCCTGTAATCCCAGCACTTTGGGAGGCTGAGGCAGGCAGATCACGAGGTCAGGAGATCGAGACCATCCTGGCTAACATGGTGAAACCCTGTCTCTACTAAAAATACAAAAAATTAGCCGGGCATGATGGCGGGTGCCTGTAGTCCCAGCTACTTGGGAGGCTGAGGCAGGAGAATGGCATGAACCCGGGAGGCAGAGGTTGCAGTGAGCCGAGATCGCGCCATTGTACTCCAGGCTGGGTGACAGAGCGAGACTCTGTCTCAAAAAAGAAAAAAGTATATTAGGTGCTTCTCATAGAGGACATTTATCAAATTGAGAAAGTTCTATTTTAGTTTACTGATTATTTTATTATGGAAGATTTGGGGTTGTTTCAAATGCTTTATCTGCATCTTTTGGATGACCGTGTGGTTTTTATCTTTTATTCTATGAATGTGATATATTAATTAACTTTCAGATGTTAAACCAACCTTGCATTCCTTTGATAAGTTATATTTGGTCATGGTGTACATAATCTTTTTTACGTGTGGCTGGATTTAGTTTGCTGGTAATTTGTTGATGATTTTTTTATAAGGGGTATTGGTCTGCAGTTTCCTTTTTGGATCATATGTTTGTCTTTTGATGTCAGGGTAGTATTGTTTTTTACTCTCCATTTCATTTATTTCTGCTCATGTCTTTATTATTGTCTTCCTTCCATTTGCTTTTGGTTTAGTTTGCTCTTCTTTTTTGAATTCCTTCTACAAGCTACCTTCTGGGATTTTAGTATTTACAGATACTTTGTTTCTTGGGGCAGCTGGTTTTGAAGGCTGTTGTAGATAGGAAGAAAGGAATGGAATAAGTGAAAGTGAAAATAGCATAAAACATACTGTTCTTTCCATCTTATTCAGTATCTTTTCTTGAATAATTGCTCCTTGGATTGTTGAAAGCTTGTGGTTAATTTCAAAAGTTCTCAAAAAATTGATTTTGACAAATTTTGCCAGTGTTCTTATTGCTTTTATGGAGGATATAATTTTTGAAGGCCCTTATTTTTTATTCTAGAAGTGCTTTTTTTCTGTAGTCTTCTTTTAACTGTATTTGACAGAAAGAGAATGATCTGCAATATTTTGAGGAGACAGTTGTACATTTATGTGAACACAAAGTAGATGATGATATGATGTAGATGAGAATTAAAATTCCCTTCAATGCTTATAATAGGGAGAATAAAACATTCTGGGTAGTCAGTTTGTGAGTATGTACCATTGACATGGGACCCTGGCAATTCTTATACAGTGGGAATCCTGATTATCTTTGCTCTGGTGAGGAAATGGTAATGTGCTAATAGACATAACTAAAATATTTCATATTATTAGCTGAGTTCAGTCCATTAAATCTTTAAAAGATTGCCTCTTGAGAAAAGCGCATATGCCAACACACCCTGTAGGGTCTACTCATGATGGCCCGTGGTATAGACATAGGCAGAGACAACATGTGTTCACTACAACTGATGTAAGAGAACATGCTTCCATCTCTTTCTCTTAGTGTTTATTCCCTATTTTTATCCCTGCTCTATCTTAATATTTACATATTTTGATTCAGTTATTAATACTTAAATTTCATTTTAATGGGAGCACATTAAGGCTGAAATATATTGCCAGTGAAAACAGTGGTAATAATAATTTGCTTTTTTTGTAAATAACACAAATGCCATTATGGTAGTTTGATAAAAACTATACTTTGCTTCTTGAGATGGTATACAGTGCCTCTGTAGATGTGACTCTTTCCATTTTACCAATTGGATGTGAAAGAGACAAATTTCTTTATTTTAAATAAGAAATAATGCACACAATGGAGAACTGATATTAAAAATAAAGTAAGGTAAAAACATTAGCATGGTGGATGTACACAGTGCATCACAATGGTGGCATTTGTTTATTTATTTAAAAATATTTCAGAGCATTTATTATGTATTGGAAACTGTTCTGGATTCTAGAGATACAGTAGTAAATAAGAAAGATAAATTCTGTTAAGGAAGAGTCATGATAAATAGATGCAGTTTAATTTTCAAAAATACTTAAGGAGAAAATTTTCAAAATAAAGAGAATAGGGGCAGGGAGTATTGCTGCAACATATTGCAATAATATGTAGGTACCCAAGAAAGGGCTTAACTAAGAAAGTGACATTTCAGTAACAACCTGAAAGAATTGTGTGTGAGCCATTCTGGGCAGAAGGACATGCAAGTGCAATATCCACAAAATGGAACTGTGCCTGGATCACTGGGGAGGCATGTGTGCTTGCAGCAGAATCAAGACCAAAGAGGTTTCAAAGTGGCAGATCTTTATTAGCCAATGGAGGCACTTTGGATTCTGCTTTGTGTGAAGTAGGGAGACACTTGAAGAGTTTGGCCTGAGAAGTGATATGATCTGAGGTACCTTTGAACCATATCACTGTAGCTGCTGGGCTAAACAACCCATAAGAGTGCAGGCTAGAAACAAGGATATTACTTGAGGGCTATTGAAGTAATATAGATGAGAGGCAATGACTTTGCTAAGGGTAGTAGCAGCCTAGGTTTTAAGTATTAGTTGAATTTTAGATATATTTTGGAAGTAGAATTGAAAGGATTTCCTGACAGATAAAATATGGAGTGTAAGGAAAAAGAGTCAAGAATAATTAAGTTTTTTTGGTCTCAACAAACATAAAAATGGAGTTTCCATTTACTGAGATGGGGACGACTTTTAAAGAAATGGATTTATGTGTTTGTGTGTGTGTGTTGGTAGGGGTGGAGGTTGAAATATCAATAGCTTGATTTTAGACACGATAAATCTGAGGTGCCTATTAGACATCATAGATGGAGTTATAGAATAGGCATTTATATACACAAATCTAGAGTTTAGGAAGATGTCTGAGCTGGATAAATATACTGAGAGTTATCAGGATACAGATGTCATTTAAAGCCATGGGCTGGGAAGATTACCAAGGATGAGAGTATTGGGAGAAAATAGCAATGATCCCAGGTGTGAGCCGTGGGACATTTCTCCATTTAGAGGCTGGAGAGAAAAACAGGAAACCCAGAGAGTGTAGTAACCTGGAAGCCAGTGAAGAGTGTCTCAAGGAAGACAGTGAGCAGATTAGGATTGAGATTTGGCCATTTGGTTCAGCAATATAGAAATAATTGTTTGATTGAGCAGATATTCTCCCCAAGAATGTAAAATTTATAATTTCAAGGAATTATGTGCCATATCTTAGACTATAGTGCTCAACATTTTAATAGATGTTAGAAAAGATGCTGAGTTGGAATGCACAATCATAGCCATTAGGGAAGAAGGCCTCCACTGGCTTTTTAGATGACCTGCTTGATTAGATAAGAAATTGACTAAGAGGCGGCAGTGTGATTCCTGCCCTGTGTTGATGTATCATGGAGTTGTTTTAAGAGAAGTGCAAACCTTATGGCTCTTACTATATTTTCATACTAAAAATTCCTTATGTGGTATTACTTCATATTTGAGGTATGATAACTCCAAACCCATAGGATGAAAATACTTATATGAATTTTGAATGAAATCAGATTTGTAGGTGTTTGTACATGTATACACGTGCTGTCAGTATAGTGTAATTGGCTTTCAATTTAGAAGTTTATTTAGGCATTAAACTGTTATATCTGAGATCCCTTTATAGATTGCAGTCAACACAAACCTTGGTCAGCAAATGAGGTCACTAATATTTACTGTGTTCACTTGCCAGTGCTCAAGTGAGGATCAGATAAGAAAATTAAAAGGAGAAAATCATGTGACATTGTCATGTTATGAATAACATGTGACAATCTTTTCTTACATATAAAAACCTTTGCAGGTGTTATAGCGATCACTATAGTAAAACCCTTTTACATTTTCTATTTGAGGGAATTTGTGATAGAGATAATGCAAAACATAGACTAATCAAATGTGGATTTATATTTTGGATTTTTGTAATGTAATTTGAATGGCTGTAGACTTAACATTCTGGAAAATTATTTCACCTTGATAATCTGACTAAAGGAACTAGGAAATTATTTAAATATATTTTCCCTTTCCTGTTCTTCTTGGTTTCTGTGCTGAATCTTGGCTCCGTGGGAATGTGGGTCCTATGTCTTTGGAGGGGGATGAGAGTGATGGCATTTTATCAGTTTAGTTTTTGAAGTCTGGTTAATTGTAGTTTTTTTCCCCACATAGGCATGTGAATTTACATATATTGTCCAGATAGTTGGTCCTAATGTGGTATTCACCATTGTCTTGTAAGATCCTTGAGGATTGAGGGCATGTCTTGTTTTGCCAAGCTATACCAGATATTCTATAACTCTGAGAACTGATGTAACACCATCCCAAAGAGCTTAGGCTTCAGAGGCAGAAAACTGGGGTTCAAATCCTGCTCTGTCACTTCCACAACAAGTCACTCAACTTCTCAGAGTGTTTTCTTATTTGACAATAACAGTAATTACACTTATTTGGAATAACATATCAAAGTTAGTTCTACATATAGTCAGTTCTTACTCTTTTTAATATAGCAGTCAATTAGTATTAATTAATAATTGCTACTAATACTATAATGATAACATTCTATGATGCAAGTTTGTCCTACCTTCTTTAGAGGTACTGGAGATAATAAGGTGTCTGCATTGCAAAATCCTTTTCAAATAGTCTGCACAATAGCCGAAGTAAACCCTTAAAATCACATAGTTTTTCCTGCTTAAAACCTATTGGTGTTATCTTTGTAAAAACATCTTCACTTGTTTGGAAAGCCATGTTCTAAACCCAAGCCCTTGGCCCACTCAGCCTCTTTGCACCATGTACCAGCAGCCCTTGCCTTCTGCTGCTTTCTTATGCCAAAGTCCTTTATGCCTCAGGGTCACTGCCTCCTAGGGGTCTTCTCACTCTCCTTCCTTCACTACATCTGTTGGTCAATTCCTGCTCTCCTTTTATTTCTCCATTTGCAGTGCACTTGATATTTCAATGGTATTTGATGGTTTGTGGCTGGAGAAGTCAGAAATGTTGGACTATTCTTCCCATGAAATTCTCAAAGAACAATAATATATGGCAAAGAACTACTGTCTCTTTAGTGGGATAGTGCTGGGAACTCGCAAAGAGTACTTTGGTGAAGCAAGTTGGAGAACATGGCTTAGACTGGATAAAAGAGTGCAAGTAAGATGCCCAGACTCCAACAAGGAATCTGACTGAATTTACCCACATTTTAAATGTGAGCATTCTTTTCTGAAACTAAACCCTGTTAGAATACTAGCCACTCTTTTAATATGTTATCACTGAGTACCTGCTATATGTGATACTGTACTGATTACTGTATCTGTTTTATTTTAATTCCAAGATATTCCATATTCATTTTCTAACTAAAGTTGTAGTGAATGTGATAGAATAGATGATTCACTCACTCTCTAATTTGGCTACATTCATAAGAACATGCCCATAGATAGATAAAAGTTAATGATCTTGCCCCATATTTCATCATAAAGAGTTGGCTCACTTTAGATTGAAATTGTCTCTTACTTCTCCCTCTAAGAAGGCATTCTATGTGAGACCATAATTTTTTTAAACAATAATCTTAATAAATGTGTTTCCTTCTGTTGAAATTAAAGAATTCACATGTTTGTACTGAAATAAATTGTTGTTTAGTGCAAATATACTAGAAGCTTTCAAAATGTGATTATAGGGGCTTTGGGTATTGAAGCTGACAGTTGTTGATGAACAGTATTTGCCAGTGATATACTCAATTTGGTATACAACAACTCTTTAAACATTTATCAGATCTATACTATTTTCCATATGCTTGGAGTATACAAGGGTAAATATGATGCAATCCCTGTCCTTGAGGTCCTTATCTAGATGAACAGATAATAGCAGCAGCATGTAGTAAGTTATGTGTAAAACTTAAGCCCAGTATACCTGGTGCACGAAGAAAGAACACAGTGTCAGTTGGGGTTATATTTGTCTTGGAGTAGTAATAACAACAGAATACCCCAAATAACAAGATCAAAATTTATTTTTCTCTCAGGTCTAACAAGGTATAGTAGGAATTGTGTGGTGCCTCACCAGGTCCAGAGCTCAGGCTTCTCTCCTGTCCTGTTACTCTCCTGTTTGTGGCTTTCATTCCCAAGTTTTCTCATGGTCCCAAGTGGCTGCTGGTATACAGATAGGTCTGCATGGAGCCATCAGAAAGCAGGAAGGGGAGAATGCAGAATTCACCCTCACCTTTGAGGAGTAAGTCCCAGAAGTTGTACATAGTACATTGGCACGTATCCCATTGACTAAAAAGTGGCCCATGGCCATCCATACCTGCATATACTGAGAGTTTGAAAATACAATTTTTCTTCCAAGCAGTTTTATCCTCAAGTAGAATGATAGGTTATCTTGTTATGAAAGAGAGAAAGAATGGATATTAGGGGACAACTAAGTATAATAAAATCCCACCCAGCTAGGAGTGAAAGTGAAAAGAACTATGAAGTGTTAATAATAAAATGATAATATTAGTGTGTGATGTTTTAACTTTAAGCTATATTGTTTTCCAAAAAATATTTACAGAAAATTTATAGTTTAATTGAAAACTCACTGTAACTTGCAGCCATTGACAGCAAAACGTTTAAGTTGTTTACACATAAAGGTGGAGCATGCTGCAGGGGTATCTTAGCAGTTCTCCCAACAAGATGGAGTCCCCTGTTCCCCTTGTTCAAACTTGGGCGTTATCATTATTATATTTGCCAAATTATTACATGTAAATGTTTATGTGAATGTGAAAAACTTATAAGGAGAGTAGGTGATCCACCTTTCTAACATATTCTAATACATTAGGTACATTTATATTACATATTTGTTGTAGTATAGAAGAAAAATATTCAATACCTTAGTGTATGGTTGTTAACTTCAGACAAAATATGTAACCTCATTAAGCATTAAATAATTAGGCAATTAGTGTCTTAAATGCTTTACATTATGCAGAAAACCTTGGTGAATTGTTAAGTATGTTTAAGAAGATTTTAGTCGTGTTCGATGAAATTGGTTTGAGATTTTTGGATAGGCTTTAAACTCTTTATCATTTTTTTCCCATTTAAAATATTGAAACAAAGACTCTCTCTATCTGAAAACTTACTATCAAACCCATTTTCTGGAACATATTAGGTGCAAATAAAGAGGAATGCCTCTAATGAATGAATCCTAAAGCAGGAGGACACAGTGGGGAGGAGACTGACTAGAAAGGCAGAGGCTTTATTCATAATGTATTCTTAATGTAATATGAATATTGAAAGATGATTTTTATAAGTGACATTAAACACACACATCCAGATACACATAAATGTACAGATTTTAGTCCTTTCATTCCCTTACCTTTGACTGCTTACTCGTGCATGAGTTCTCCATCTGTGGAAACAGTTGAGAATTGCAGGCTGTTTCTGTTTGGAGTGATTTTTGAATTATTTTGCTTTCTACAGAGAAATTCAACAAAGGAAAAAAATAGTCATTTAATCTTAACTGGGAAGCTTTTCAATGTGATTTAAATTACCCAAATCATGCAAAAGACTCATTTACACTCTGAAAGAGCAAGAAAAATATTGTTAAACGTTTGATTTGATAGCTAACATATACATTTTAGGTCTGATTTATGATATAGAACAGTGTCATACTTACGTGTTGTAAATAAATAGCACAGTAGCTTTCTAATGTAATTGAAGTTTTTAACACACTTGATAGTTTTAAATAATTCATATGTAATTCCAATAACTTAAATTGTTACAATATTTTGTAGTTGTAGGGTTTTTTTGTTATTAAAGTATCTAAAATTCACTCTCAAGAAATCTAGATTTACATATATTTCCTGTAGGAAAATGTGTCCTTATTTGATAAAACTTTTTTTCTAGTCAATGTTTAAAAAATAGAGAAAGAGAAAAACTTTCAGTAAGTATGATGTTATTTGAGATATGGGAGACATAGCTTTGTGATCTTTTTTAATTTGTAAGTTTTTTTTCATTCCCATGCTATTTGTAGCTAAGTCAAGAATTTCATTGATTTGGATTAGACAGAATTGTTACATAGTATCGTTGTACTATGCAGGTATCTTGTTTGTGTAAAATATTGAAACCAAATTTATTTCATGCTGAATTTATAGAGATATTTACTTCATAGAGATATTTACTTCATAGAGATATTAACTCATAGAGATATTTAAATAAATACACTTTACATGTACTAAATATTATTTAATAAGAATCAAGTGTTTTGCACATAATATGTTTCAGACACTATACTGAAAATTTTTTGTAAGCTAACATGGAAAGGTTGACTCCTTCAAAGACATGTCCATCTAGGAGGAGAAGACTGTGTCTTAATGAGGTGAAACTACAAAGCTTTAGTGTCTCAATAACTTATCACAAAAATCAGCCTATAAAACATGATTTTAATGTACTAATTAGCTTTAAAGGAAATCTGCAGGTGAACTTACGAAGCAAAGTTCCTTTACTTGCCTCTCAAGCATTTCTCTTACTACATCTCTCTTTCTGCCTACTGGTTTTTTATTTTATTTTCTTAGCTCTTTCTTCCTTCTTGGCTTCTTTGTTCCTCATTGTAATGTATGCCCATCTTCTTCTGTTCCTAGGGTTTCTCTACAAATTCTCATTTTTACTCTTATTGTAGTTTTCTCTAGCAAGATGCACTCCTACTTCTGAATCTAATAGACTTTGACTTTATCAAAATTTACACATCATCTCTTAGTCTTAGTCTCTTCATTTGTGAAATGGAGATGCCAATCCTGACCTCATAAAGTTATTATGAAGATTAAATGAAATAATGAATGTAAAGTGTTTGACATATACAAGGCACTCAAATAATATTTGTTATTTGTATTAAAATTTAGCTCCCAGGATTTCACCTAATATCATTGTCAATATATTTAGTCAGCAATGGCTTCTTTACATTTTCTCAGTTTTCAGGGGTCTGCAGATGATCACTAGGCTACAAATAATATCTCCACCAGCTTTCAACTTAATAAAACCAAAATAACTTAAAGTAAAATGTAATACTTACAAAGCCTACTCTATAACAAGCAAATATTGGGCACTGTCCCATATATTATCAATTTAAGTCTCATAGTACTTTCCTATTTTTTCTGAATAGAATAGTAATAAATTGAAATTTAGAACAACTGACTTGTCCAATGTCACATAAATAATATATTAAATAATATATAGTAGAGCAGAGATTTGAACTCAGGATTCTTAAAATCTGTGGGTTTTTTTTTTTTTTTTTTTTTTTGAGGCAGAGTCTCTCTGTTGCCCAGCCTGGAGTGCAATGGCACTATCTCGGCTCAGAGCAACCTCCGCCTCCTGGGTTCAAGCAATTCTCCAGCCTCAGCCCCCAGAGTAGCTGGGACTACAGGCTTCTGCCACCATACCCGGCTAATTTTTGTATTTTTAGTAGAGACAGGGTTTCACCATGTTGGCCAGGCTGGTCTCGAACTCCTGACCTCAAGTGATCTGCCCGTCTTGCTCTCCCAAGTGCTGGGATTACAGACATGAGCCACCGCACCTGGCCAAAGTCTGCGTTCCTTTTTTGCCACGTGCTCCTTATATTTGTTTTAGACTTTTACAGACATTTGCTTCTTTGAGTTTGGTTTTTCCCCAAGGATCCTTCTTTGTGATGGTAAGTAGGGCAGCTTCACACTCACACATAGTGTGAAGAAGTGAAGGGATTTACTCACATAGGTGGAAGAGCTGAAATTTAAAAACAGGTTAATCTACTTCAATGTCCTGCCTCTGCTGCTTCTCTAAAATGAAGCTAGTAGTTTGCAAAATATTTATATATTGCTAGATAATACTCTTAACTATAATGCGATATAAGTAATATACCACACACCATTATTCTACCTATAATGGAATGTGTGTCCATACTGCACACATAGTGCACACAGTTGCACTAATTTTCCAAAATAATATTTTGTCTAGTAGAACTCCCAGTTGAGTTGATGGCTAGGACCTTTTTGTACTAGTTATCTATTGCTTCACTCGCATAAATTACCCCTAAATGTAGTGTCTCCCAACAACTATAATCGTCTCTTGTATCTCATGGCTTCTATAGGTCAGGAATTTGAGAAAAATTTCTATGAGTGGTTCAGGCTTGGATTCTTTCATGAGGTTACAGTCAGATGTTAGCTGATGCTATATTCAACTAAAGACTTGACTAGTGCTGGAAGATTCGCTTCCAAAGTGATTCACTGATATGACTGGCAACTTGGTGCTAGAAAAGGTCATCCTTCTACAGATGGATCTCTCCATGGAGCCACTTGTGTATCCTCCCAAGATGGCAGCTAACCTCCTCTAGAGCAAGAAACCCAAGAAATCAAGGCAGAAGCTGCAATGTCTTTATGACCCAGACTTAGAAATTGCATACTGTCACTTACTTCATATTTTATTAGCCTTACAGACCAGCCCTGCGTCAATGCAGAGAAGGCCTACATAGAGCCCGAATTTTACAGGTGTGGATTTTCAGTGGCTATCTTGGAGGTTGGCTACCACATTTCAAGAAAAACAGCAACATTTTATTATTTGTTCAGCATAGAGAGGCAGTGTATTGGGCCTGAAAGAGCACAGATGTTGAATCTGATGGCTCTACTTTCCACCTCAGATTTATCACATACCAGCTGGTGGCCTATAGTATATTATATCTAAATTCCCTTTTACAAAACTTTGGTGATTCTTTATTGTCAATTGAACAATGTATAAACACCATAGCCTGGCATTGTAGACTCAAAAATTCTGTGCCTAATGTATTCTTCTCCCCCAGCACCGCCCCCCCCCCCAACTTTTTTTTTTCAAACTATTCTTTTTGACTAGGGAAGAATCTACCAATGTGGAGTCCATTTGGGTTTTTGGAACTCTTCAAACCTCACAAATTATGTAAAATAACATATATAGGAATATGTCCTTTGTTTCTAGAGAAATTTGCCCAGATGTTCTACCATTCCTTTCTTCTAGGAACAACTTAAATGAAAACTTATACATGAAAACCTTATCTAATCAACAGATAGAAAGATCATTTCCACCATCACCTCACACAACCCCTCAAAAAATTAAATAGTATTTTGTTTTCACTATGTAGTGGCACTTTTTGTATACTGCCTTGTATCACCATTTTATAAGTTCATTTCATATCTCTTCAAAAAGCTTTTAAAGCCCTTGAGGGCAAAAGTCATTTCTAAATTACTTCTGATTCTCCCAAGACTTTTGATCTTCTAATTCAAATAAAAAGTGTTCATATTAGAAAATTTGGAATGTATAGAAAATCAGATGGGAAAATCATTTTCTTCCATCATCTGCAGTTTAAGCTCTAAATTCAGTGAGAAAAATGAAGAACAATACATTAATGAATTTTAATCATGTGTGCATATAAATATGAATGATTTAAAATGTACTAATATATTAATATTGGCAAAATTATTTGGACAGGCAAGACTTTTTTTATTGTGTAATGTGACCCCTTAATTTTCTATGCATTCTAAGACCAAACTGGCATTCTTCTGGTTTATTGGCTGCTACGCAAACTCAATCTTACATCGGAAATAGATGAACCCGGAACCTGAGCCCAGGAGGCCTTGTGGTTCATTAGCCTGGAAGACTTGAATTGCCAAATAGGTCATGTGGCCCTGTGGCTGGGGCAAACAATTTTTGCCTCTCTGAAGGGGCAACCACTAGAATGAGCTATACAAAATGATCAATTTGACCACATCTCTACCACCAAAACTCTTAAAAATTAATATGACACATATAACAGGTACTTCTTGGGAATGCCCTCAGAGAATGTAAATAATATATATATATCAAAGCAGATTTATTATTTGCTGATAACAATCTAATATAAATATTCCCTTTTTACATGACCTGTAGTTCTATCTCCCTATCAAGTTCTTGGAAATGAACTAAAGGAATACTCTACACTTAGAAATGTACACTTGACTCTCTCTTCATTTAAAACAACAGCCCTAAGAAATTTCCTTGGTCTCAGCCTCTTTCATAGATAGCTTCTTACTGTCATAAAGTTATCACCTGAGACTGTATCCCATGCTTTAATTAATCCAATAACAACAGTTTCAATTTTTATGGGTTTTTTTAATGGGAGTATAGGAGAAATTAGAAACTCAAGGATTATCAGATATACATTGCATGATTTAGATTTTGGATACTTATCTAATAGATTTTCATGGTAGCATCAATAATAATAGTCTTGATTGTTGTCTTTTGCTATTCTGTTGAGGCATTAAGTATATTGGAGACATCCGTTTTCATTTCCATGTATATTTGTTTTTGCTCAGTAAGAACAGTGTGCAAAATTACTTATCTTTAGAATTCAGATTAAAGAAAAGCCTAATCAAACTGATATGTACCAGGTTGTATAGGCTATCAAATTGTTATTAAATGGAGGGAAACATATTCTGAATTCTGACTGGATGTGTTAAGTACAATGATTATTTGATTTAGCCAAGCAGTCAACAATAATTGGTCTTACCTAGTAATGCAATATTAATTTAGTAAAAAGAATCATGTAGCCCAGTGCAATTCTTAACACTTTTGTCATAATATTTCTAATGTAACATTTCTAAAAGAATATCTCATAAGAAATAAATATTTAGTTATGTTTGTTAAACTAGTAAATATATAGACCTAAGAAGTCTATGTAATTATTTGGTTACTATAACTTAACTATGTAGATATTTCTTGTAAATATTTAATTTTTAATATCTGTAACAACCTAAGAATTTGAAAATATATTTTGCAGTGTGAAATTTCATATATAATTTGGAAATCTAGAATCTGCCAGATAGGCCAACAATGGAAGCTGAGTAATGTTTGACAGTCTTGTCCTAAATCAATACCATTTTCAACATGATGGAAAATGAAATGCTTCCTTTTTCAGCTTCTGCATTATCACATTGGTGATGAGTCAACACACCTTTCTACCAAACTCCCTGCTAAAAAGACAAACGAAAGCATGGATGTCTTTCAGTTATTTTAGTTGAATTTCCTTAGATTAAAATAGGATATTTCTTAAAATATTTTAGAGACTAAAAGTACTCAGAAGTATTCAGAATACATATTTATTTTACCAAACATACAGACTCTTAAAATCATCTGGATGCTGAAAGAAAAGTCTGTGTAAAGATGGAGATTCAATAAACATACATGTATTGCGCACCTTCTGTGTGCTCATCTTTCCTTTATATTCTGCAGAACCAGTTGGACACTAGCTTTACTTATAGTCAGAAATGTGCCATAATGGTACTGAAGAAAATGGATAATCAAGTTGTTAGACTTTTGTCTTCTCATATCTGACATTAAAGTTTTTATTGAAGTTTAAAGAGTTTGCTTGGTAACCACAGTTCATGTAAAAAGGGAATATGGAAAAGAGTTTTGCTTGGAAACTCTTTAAGCTTCAGTAAACAAAATCCAAGAGGAATTTTTGCTTTATTATTTTCTATGATGTGGCTTGATCCTATCACCTCTCTTTCTGCATTTTACGTACCAAAGTCTCAATAAAACTATTGAGGTTTTTGGTCAAATGCAGCAAATATTTGGATCAAATGCAGAAAAAATACTTTGTGATTTTTATAAGTTAGATAAGTAGCTCTCCATATAATTTTCATGTTAAGTTATAAATAATAGTTTCTACATATTATAGTCTGAATGTGTCTCCTCACAAATTTATATGTTGAAACTTCATTGCCAATGTAAGAGGTTGGGCCTTTAGGATGTGATTAAGTCATGAGGAATTAGGGCCATTACAAACGAGGCTGAATGGAGGGAGGTGCCTTGCCCCTCTGACATGTAAGGACACAGCAAGAAGGTGACATCCAGAAGGAACAGGGCCCTCACCAGACACTGAATTTGTTGGCATCATGATATTGGACTTCCCAGCCTCTAGAACTGTGAGAAATAAATTTCTGTTATTTATAAATTATCCATTATAGAATATTTTGTTATGGAAGTCTGAACAGGCTAGGACTTTCTGCAAGTTAGCACCAAAATCTTTGAAGTAGTGAGATGAAGGTGGGAGATGGAGGAATACCAAAACATCTGTCCCATATGCTCGAACACTCTAGCTCCTGGCATTTTATTATCTCCAAAATTAAGATATTAAGCAATTCCAAAGATGTAGCTAATGTAAGTTACTGCTGTTATATTTGTTGAGTGATGTCATACTTAGGCAAAGCAGGTAGATACCTCAATTAACATTGTCACATAAAAAGAGAACATGTGAGCTAATGGGAACTAGAAATGGCATATTTCAAAGAAGGGACAAGATGCATGTAGAGAACAATCTAGATACGATTTGGCCTCGAGAAGTCACATGCAAGTAAGGACCCGAGATGCCAAAGGAAGACTAAAGGAAATCAATGTCAAAAGTTTATTCAGGGCCAGACCATGTCATAGATATGAATGTTCTTTAATTTCAAAATATGGACCAGTGCTTTTCAATCTTTAATGAACATGCAAATCACCTCAGGGTTTTAGCTAAAATGCAGAGTTTGATTCATTAGGATGTGGTGGTGCCCAAGATTCTGCATGTCTAACAAGCTTCAGGTAATGTGATGCTGTGGGTCTTTGGACTACATTTTGATGTGGCTATTGGTTGCTAAAATTATTTTACTTGATTCAGAGAGACTTTTCCCTCTATTAGTTAATAAAGAGACTTTATCTATAATTTTAGCAGAATATACTTTTGACCTTTTATTTTTACTTAAGCTGTTGTAGTGTTAGGACTATCATAATGGATGTTTGAAAGTAATGTATTAAAACATAATGGAATCTAGATGTGTTATGTTAAAATTTATAATTGCAGTGACATTTCTCCATAGTTTTTTGCATTAATTTGCCATGTCATAGGCCATCATTTATTTCTATGATTATAAAATAACATGAATTTTAAAAGATACACTACACAATTACATTTTAATTATTATAATAAACTTGAGATTTAGTTTTTAAGTGGAATTTTTAATGTTATATTCACTTTTCTAAAATTTTAAATGATGTAAAGAAATCTTTGAATTCAAAATCCATGTGATCTTTTTAAACAAAACAATTATGCCATATAAATAGAAAGGCAAAATTTAAGAAACATTACTTTCAATTGCTAACTTTTATTTCCATTCTATTTTCACCAAAATAGATCACAGATCAAAGAAAGATTTAGTTCAAACTCTCTTTGTTTTACTCTTCTATTGTTAGGAAAGACGGCACACAAAGTAAAGAGCACAGAAGGAATTGAAACATACTTTCTATGGATTTTTAACTTTGGTTCTATTATTTGTCTACCATCCCTTTCTAACAAATCTCATGTGAAGGCTTTGAGGTCTTCTTGTTAGAATAAAAACAAGTAAGTAAAATAAATACAACACATGGCATGACAGTTTTTAACATTATATCTTGTAATTATGAAACTTTCTTTTGCAAACCTTTAGTTTACCTGTGATCACTCCCATGTGACCAAAGATTACACAGATGGTCATAAATAGCAATAAGAACAAACTATAAGATGACAGCTTGAAGCTACATTAAAAGAAGTGCTAAAAGAAGAGATATCACCTCTGATTTTCTGTCTGAGGGAAGTGTGGGGATTTTAGTTCCACCACTTCCTGTATATATTTAGCAGTATATAAATGATTAAACAATACTTCTGTCAGAGCCCCTACCCCATTCTTTATATCTCAACTCATCCACCCAAGAAAGCATTTTCATTTATAGCTTAGAATAGCAGTTTATGCTTGAGTATAATTTGCTAGTGATTCCAAATAAGGAAGTGTTATTCTTGCAACTGGGATTAAAAATATAGAAAATGTTTCTCAATATAGGAAAGTAATTATAGAACTCAGATTCTCTTGAATTGATGTAAACTAAAATCCGGGGGAAATAGTTGGATAGGAAAAAATTTCATATGAGTAAACACTCAGAAAGCAATAAAAACAAACCTACGGCATTATGGTCCAGCTTCTGAAGTATGTGGTGGTTAATGCCAGGCAGAGGTAAAAGCTCCTCTGAATGTCAGTATGATTCATTTGTGGTGAAATCCTGAAATCCTTACATTTCAACACCTATTTATTTCTATTTAGTTCTTTATTTATTTATTACTCAAATATCTATTACTTGAACATTTATTAGATGCATAGCAATATACTCTGTGTTATTAAGGGTGAGAAAAAGCAGATTAGAAGAGAAAGGTTTTGCCTTTGAAGCTGTAATAATAGAGATGGAAATAATAAGCATACATAAAATAATTAGAATGCATAAGCAAGGTTTTATAATATAATGTAAAGTATTGGCTTTAAGAGAAAACAATGAGGAATATATTCAAGGAAGTCTTCTTGTAGAGGGTCATACTGGAGACTAATGATGCATTTATATCAGGGGAAAGGAAGGAATGCAGAGTCTAAAGAACATAAGCAAAGTTGTATAGGAGAGAGTGAGAGGTGTGTGTGTGTAGGGGTGTGTGTTTGTGGGGAGGTATGTATGCATGGAAATGTGTGCATGTGTGTGGGTATTTCCGTGTGGCCTTAGAAACAATGAATCACCCGTAATTAAACAGAAAGAATGGAATGTGTGAGAGGACTAAAAATACAGCAAGAACTGATTCATTGTCAGTTAAAAGTACTGTCTTCCACAGTTGTTTCATGTGTGAATTTCCAGACTCCTCAAATAGACTTTAGCTTCCTGGAGCTCTCTCTGCAGTACTCACATTATACTGATATATATGGGTTTAAGTTTGGCTTGTCCTAGAGTACTGGGCTCTTTCATTTTAGCTGGAAATGAATGGTATCTGGGAGAGAAGACAGGATACCCCTGGCACATCATGGATTTATATTTATTCATGAGGGTTTGTTTAAGAGGAGTTCTGTCTGTATAAATCCTCTGTAAATAAAAATGCTCTATTGCATTTCAATCAGATTTCACCCCCACTCCTTAAGAAGAAATGTAGAATTTTAAAAAATAAAATGTGTAAAATAAATTCACAATGGGAAGCAGACCACGGAAGAGTGGTATCTGAATAAAAGATCTTGTATGTAAAATTCTATGATCTATATGTCTGATTATTTCTACCCTCTATCTCACATGACCACTTATGCATTTATTCAGAAGGATCTACGTGCCCTTATGAGTGGCATAACTCCTATTCTCAAATAGCATTTGCCTTGTAGGGGAAAACAGACATGTGGACACCTAACTCAATCTAATAAGACACTGGCTATGTGGGAGTACTGAAGGGTATATAAAAAGTACCAGGGAGTTCTAAAGAAGAAATAACTAGCCAGGCCTGCAGGGATTTATGCAGATGGGATGACAAAAGACTGAGAAAGATTTGCAGAGGAGGGACACTGGAATTGGGTCCTAAAAGATATGTAGACATTTTTCAGGAAGTGAAGAAGAAAATGAACATTCCAGGCTTGCCTGACCCTCCCGTTTCTTTGTAACTGGATGTTGCATTTTCCAGAATTCATCTTTGTATTCTTTGTTCACCTTAGATCTACAGTTCAAAAAACAAAATCACGGCTGCCTAGTTACCTTCTGTTCACTAACCATCCAAATTAAAGCCCTCTTGACAAGTTGCATGTTACAGTATGCTGACCTCAGTGGCAGTGTGGGGTTATGCGTGGGCATCTTGCCCTTATTCCACCAAATAAGCTCCTGCCTATTGCTTGCCCTACCCTGGGCATGTAATTGTTGCATGTTAATTACCTAATAAACAATCATTTACATCTATACTTATCACATCGTGTGCCTCTTTTCAAAAACAAATTTCAGTGGTCATCTCTTCCAAAATTGCCAATTTTTTTTCCTTTTAGACTGAGTTTTGCTCTTGTTGCCCAGGCTGGAGTAGTGCAAAGGTGTGATCTCGGCTCACTGCTACCTCCGCCTCCCAGGTTCAAGTGATTCTCCTGCCTCAGCCTCCCGAGTAGCTGGAATTACAGGCAGGTGCCACTATGCCCGGCTAATTTTTGTATTTTTAGTAGAGACAGGGTTTCACCACGTTGGCCAGACTGGTTTCGAACTCCTGACCTCAGGTGATCCACACGCCTCAGCCTCCCAAAGTGCTGAGATTACAGATGTGAGCTACCGTGCCCGGCCATGTTCTTTATTTTGTTGTTTGGCATGAACATTCCTTTCTACTAGCGTAACAGTGACTAAAGAAAAACCATTAGGAAATTAAAGAACAACTCTGAGAGGGTTGGTTTATAGAAATTTTTTTAAAAAATATTTTACTGCCCATAGCCTGTTTGAATAGTAACTAGTGTTATAATTTAGTCTTTTTCTATATAAGTGATAATTTGGTGTTGGGTAGGCACAGATGTCTACAGAATGAGGAAAATTAAATGATACCTTAGACTAGCATTTCTCACATGCATGCTCAGTGGTTCATAAGTTCTAATTATTTTGGTTTTGGTTTTGTGTTTTCACCTCAAATGAGTGATTCATTTACTGGTAAAATTGCCAGAAAAAATTACAAGTACCCAGTAAAATTTAAATTTCTGATAAACAATGAATGATTTTTATTATGTCCCTAAAACTTTTAGTATGGGACATACTTATCCCTTATATAGGGATGTCCCTCAGTAGGACATACTAAAAAGTTATTCTTTGTTTATCCAAAATTCAAATTTAACTGCTGTCCTCTATACTTATTTGCTAAATCTGTCAATCCCGCTTATTAATAATAAAAAGCAAATTTCTATTTTGTAAGGATGATTCACAAATACAAGATATTTCCATGGTACAAGACCTGAGTTTTTTTAATCAGTATTTCTCAGACTGGGAAACTATGGAAATGTGTTTTGCAGCTCTCAGGAATTATGTTTTCCTGGAACAGGTGTGGTGCTCCATACGCTAGCTTTTAAAACTCTGTTTTTAAAGTGGTAAACTGTAAAATTATGGAATTGCTTCCTCATTATCTGAGCTATTATCAAGCAGATAGAACAAATATCAAGAGACAATAGAGTTCTAGGAATCTGGAGTTGCAAGAGATATTAAATGTCACTTTGTCTAAGTAATTTTTATTATCACTAAGAAATGAGCCACAGCTTCTGATGTTAAGTGACTTATTAACGAGTTAGGTTAATAAACTGAGACGGATCCCAAGTCTTCCAGCTCTCAGTCTGATGTTATACAGGTATGTAAATATGAAATATACAGGTATGTAAATTAATTGCATAATTAAGATGCATAATTGTTTGGTTATTTAAATGAGCAAATTAATTGAATACAAGAACTTTGAAATGCTTCTGTTTGGACATTATAAGCCATAATAACAATCTCCAATAGTACTAATTGTTTACTATATTCAACTAGTTATCCATTGCCAGTTGCTGACAGCTGAGAGCCATACTGCTTGGTTTAAATCCTTGCTGCACCACCAGCTTGCTATGTTACTCTGGGCAAGTAACTTTTTTGTTCCTCAATGTCTTTATCTGTAAAAAGGGATTATGGTAATGATAGCTACATCAAAGGCTGTAGTAAGAATTTATGAAGATCTCTGTAAAGAATTTCTAACAATGCCTCAAATTGGTAAGGGTCTAATAAGAATTGCCTATTATTACCTTGTTATTCTTCATGGTGTTGTTAATATATCAGATACCTACAAATGGTGAGGGCTGATTATTTCCCAACCTTTATCAGAGTATATGTGATTAAGAATGTGATAAAAAGCTATAGTTTAGATATAGATTTTTAGTAATTTTATGGAAGACTCAAAGGCAAAACATTCAATGCTTTGTAGGGTTGGTGCTTTAATGTTTTTAAAGGGCATTAGACCCCCCTCCTTTAATTTAGCAACAAAGACAAATATCCAAGTTTCTGTCTTACTTCCTTCAGTGATACCATGTCTGAGATTCAGCCCCCATTTCTTCTCTCATCTTTTTAAGATTAATTAGAAAAATGTGCCCACAGTAGAAAATTATTATTTGAATTTGTGTGTTTATGCAATCCTTTCAGTGACTCAAGAAAACCAGTCCTGTTAAGCCTCAGGTTGCCTTAGTGACTTCCCAAGAGGCTTAATTATTCACTCATGGGAAGAAGAGAAAGAGTAGCTTTCCACTTCAGTTCTGGTAATTCCAGGTAGGGGTTTATACCAGCAAAGTTTGGGATATGTTTCCAAATTTAGTGGCTGTAGTGTGTTAAATTCTGGAAAAGCCACAGGGGAAACTGATGTATTTATCTCAGTAATACTTTTGGACAGAAAAGACCAAGTAATACTTTTGAATAGAAAGGTACTTTAAAAAAATAATAATAGTAAAGTAGTACTTTACCTGCTTTAAATTTAACTAAAGAAGTAGGTAGCTGTTGTATTGTTATTTGGTGGATTCAAATCTATTATAATACTCTAAGGCACAGAAAAGCTGCATATTTTTCCCTGAAATACTCAAATTCATAAAATTCTGCCAACAGTTTATGGCAACATGATCCAGATCAATTTCCTTTATGTTAGTCTCTTAGCATGACTGTGGCAAAGAGTGAATCATTGTGTGTTCCTAGTCCTCTGTGAGACCTAGGGAGACCTATTACTTGTTGTTCTTTTAAGAGCTGGAATTTAGTTAAGGAGTTTCTTAATTTTCCAAAAGCTGTAGATAAGGAGAAGTGAAATATAATACAGAAAGGCAAGACTCTCCTGGTTTGCAGTAATGTCGGGAATATCTACTCTGGAAAATCATACCCATTCATTTCTTCACAGAACTGTTTGTATGTTTATTCATGCATCCCTGCACTTATCTATTCATTCATTCATGCCCAAGGACTATGCAAGGCATAGGAGATACAAAGACAAGTAAGTACAGTTCCTGTACCCAAAGCTGCTGTTTGAAACTTATACCAAAGCCTACAAAGTAAACAGATCTACTTCCATCCTCAGCTCTGTAAGTCTGAGTCTAAAATAAATCTAATAAAATATTGGAAAATATTTTCACTTAATAACTGAGCTTTGAAGCAAATTATAATCTCCATATTAGCAGCAACCACATATTTAACACTATATCCTCACTGTGCATGACATATAGTAGGTAAATAGTTGTTTAAAGAATGGAGTAATAACTAGATATATTCTTCAAAAAGCTTTGTGTTTTTTAGGTTCAAACAAGCTGAAGCCATCTAAAGTGCAGAGCTGTTAAAGTTGTCACGCATGTAGAGTTGTTCTCAAGCTAGAAATGAAAGGGGGCAACATGGGAATTTTTAATGCTATAGTGGGAGGTATAACCTCCACTTTGCTTTTAGATCAATCAGTAAATCTTAGCCTGAACTTTCTCGTAGCAACCAGAATCTCTGAGTAAGTATCACATTCATACCAGAAACAACAGCTGTGATTTGTACATATTAAAATGATGAAGTTCTTTCCAGCTATCAGGCCCAGAACCCTTTGCCATCACCCTTTGCCATTATAAAATCCTTAGTGAACTGAGTTATGTATATTTACTTCCTTATAGCAAAGGCGGTTTGGAGGTTGGGGGTGGGGGTGGCAGGCAGCATTCTATTTTGGCATGTGGCTGAGGTGACGGGAGGATTTTAGCAGCTCGTGGGTGGGTGTTCAGGGAGCAGGTGGCACTGGGAGAAGGAAGTGACTGTCAGGATTTAGTGGCATTTGGGGGCGTGTATAGGCAGGCATTAAAAAAAAGAGTTGGATATTCTAAAAACACTTTGGTATTCTCATAATGAGAAATGTAATCCAGGGCTTTTGCTGTTCTAAGGCACAGCATTTTAGTTTGTCACCCTGTGCAGTTTTAGGAAAAGAGCCCAAAGGGTTAAAGTTAAATAAGAGCAGTAACCAATACAAAGAGTATATTAACAAAATACAGATGATCCCTTGAGGTTTTAGTTTTTTTTTAACAGCTTTATTGAGGTGTAATAGAGATATCAAAAAAACCCTACGTATATTTAATATATACAATTTGATGAGTTTGGACATATGTGTAGACCATGAAACCATCATTACAATCAAGATAGTAAACATATCCATCACCTTCAAAAGTTTTCTTGTGCCCCTTTGGGTTTTTTGTTCTTTCTTTTGGTGTTTGTTTGTTTGTTTTAAGGCAGTGCTTTTGCTGGTCAATAGTAGGCTTTTTTATGTTCTTACTTTATCAGAGAACAAACAGTTTTCACCTCACTCTTCCTATTTTTGGTTGATTTGAGAGACATCAATTGCCTCAAATGAAATGAAGCTGTTTCTGTGTATCAATTAGAACCACATCAACAACTGATGACCTTTAACATTTGGTATTACTTGGCATATATGTCCTGAACTGCACCTCGAGTTGCTCATTTCTTAAGATATCTGGGCACTCTGACGTGTACAATGAAAGCGTTTCTTCAGTTATTGATCTAACCTATGATCCCAGCCTCTTTGGAGGTATGGGGAGAATCAGTTTTGATTCAGTTCTCTGTTGAACAAACAAGCAAAAAAAAAAAAAAAAAAAAAAAAAAAAATATATATATATATATATATATATATATATATATAAAATCTATGTATAACTTCCCCACCCCCAGTTTTCCAAGGACACTATGGAAGTCTTCAGTAAAAAAGGTTAAACAACAGAGATATGAAAAACCCAGATATATTAACCACAGTGACGTTACAAAGATATTTCTAGAAATGAATAGCAAGTCTCTTTTTTAAGTAGGCTTTTGATAATCTGTGGTAATTTGTAAACACTGTCATATCAAAGCCATACAAAAGATAGTATTCAAAATCTTTGGGAAAACAGTTTTTCATAATTCAGTGCAATGTTTAAAGATAAGAATACCCTTCAAATGTTCATGTCACTTTAAAGACGTGTTAGGGCTTAAACACCTTAAATGTAGAAATTCAAATAGAAACTGATGTATTAGGCCTTAACCACTGAACATTTATAAGCTCATATTGAAATGGGAAATAGGGAGTTTTAAAACAAATGTTTACTTAACCATTTATTAGGGGTTATGAAGGGGAAAGAATCAAGGTCAGTTATGCGGCAAATCAATGGTTGTGTGGTGAAAGTAGCGTCAGTAACAGATAGCCCCAACTGCATATTTTGTTCCTCAAAGGAAGAGTGTTCAGGCTGCAAGTACATCAGAAATAACAAGGATATGTCTCGCTGTTCTGCACTTTGCAAGAACCTGCTGGGAATGAAGTATCCAAGGCTCTTATGTGGTTTGTGTTGGGATTTCTTCAAGTTACCATAATGAGGTGTTTTCCTATTGCCCTGAACTGGCTGGGCTATAAGAGTCTTCTTGTACAATGATTGTTTTAAAGTATCTCCCTCTTAGGTGTCTCCTGATGTATTTACGGTTTATAACTTGAAAAAATATTTCTTTTAATTAGCAGTGATAATCTGAAAAAAATTAAAATAGGATTTCACTGACAATTCAATATTGAAAATGACCTTATTTGACTTTTCCTAACAGTTTTCAAGTGGTTTTTGAATGCTCTTTTGTTTGTATTCATTTCTTCTCCAGAAACTACCATTCATTAAGGGCTTTCCAAAAGAAGTACCAGTATTTTTCATAAGTGCAGGTGTGAATTAGCAACATACCTGTTTCAAATAATGTTGATTGAAACATTATAGCATATTGTCATCATTGGTGTCAAATATAGAAACCAATTTAATGATTCTTATATATTTTTGGCAATGAAAAGCAAAAAATATGAGGCATATTTCTCTTAATCTCACAAATACAGAGAGAAAATGTTAATTTTTTTCTGAAGCAGATCTTCCTTTGTACCTGACATTCATTTTGACAGTATGAAGAACCTGTGAATGGATTGATCAAAGTGTGTTGACATTTTAGTGGGTTTTAAATGATTCTTGGTATTCAGGCAAGGCTGATGGCTTCATCTGCAGGTGAGCCATATTGTTAAAATATTGAAACACTTCCTTACTGCTCAGAAAAAGGTGCCCTTCATTAAATGCTTCCAAAGTACCTCTGCCTCCCAAGCACCAAGACTCTCTGTGATCCAACATCCAGGGGAGTTTTGGGACAAAATATTTTTTGTATCGGATATTCTATCTGGTTCTGTGATTTGGGTGGAGTTATTGGTTTGCATTTTAAAATGTATATTCAGAAATATTAATGGGTTACTATTATTTTTAATACCCCAAAGGAAGTTTTAGCCCAGTGTGTATTGTATCAGAGACACTTATCTAATACAGGTACAATGATTCAAAGCATTCACTGTACTTAAAAAAAATGGTATAATTAATATGGCATTCTTTGGTGGGCAGGCTTAATAAGGCAGGAGAAAGAAATACTGGATCATACAAATTATTACAATATTTGTCTTAACATTGTTTTCACTTTTTTTGCATAACTAAAGGCTGTAAGCCAGAACTGGTAACTTAAACTCACAGACACTGCAAATTAGCATTGTTTACAGCACATAGGTTTAGCTACTAACACAAAAAATTTTTTAAATAATTATTTTGCTACTGTTAGGCTCTATGATACTGGATAGAAGGTACTTAGTACCTAGGGACCTTAACTTTCTCATCTGCAAAATGAAGAGTAGAACTACATTCTTTCTCCACTTCTATACTTTGTATTCTTATGTCCCATTTTCCCTTATGCATGATAATTCCCCTGGAAGACTAGTGAAGATAGAACCTGGTGTCCAGTTACAGTTTTCAGCCATCTGTTGTTTGGACCTAAAGTGAAAGCAATAACAGGACTTAATGAATAGTAGTCACAGGCTTTCCTAGGCAGCATGATGATAATGTGATGTTTGGAAATGCCTGTCTAGATTTTGAATTCTAGCATTTAGGACAATACTTTTATTTTACAGATGAGAAACACTATGCCCTGAGAGTTAAGCCTGAAGTCAAGTTAGACAATTTCTTGAACTGAAATTTACAATTTGGGCTAGTATATTTGGGGGACATAGGTAACAACCTGAAAATTAGACCTGTACTGTTTCATATATTTTGATTACTATTATATAAAATATGTAAGTAGTTTTAGGATGAGATGTCTCAGCAAGCTACAGAATCTACAATTAAAAGAATATTAGTACCATACACTAGCACCTAATGACTAAACAAACTTGAAAAGCTAAAATAAATCTAAAAAATAGTAGATTGTTAGGTAAAAGACCATTTTATTGTTTCACTTTACTTTTGTTTACTCTTGATTTTTCTAGTATTCATTTAAATTTGAACTTTAATTTTATAAATTCCTTTCAGATGTTCAAAGATGTAATTTATTTTATTAATAATAATATGGTTTAAAAAATATTTGGTGTGTCCCTACAACCCTACAACCCCCCAAAAGCCTATTTGTTATCTGGCGATCGTTTCAGATGTTTTCTTTTTAAATTGTCCTGCTTACCTTATAGACGATACAAATTGACCTTTAATATTTGTTTTTAGAGTATAATGACTGACTTCATGCTTACAGATGCTTGTGTGCTTATATGTGTATGTGTGTATGCACATAGGAATACACATTAAGTAGCTCCAGATGGGCTTTATGCACATAATTATTCAATTTTGAAAAAATAAACAAACTGAAGTTCTTTCTGTCTATCTGTCCATCTGATTGGAATCACACTTATTGAGAAGACAGAGCATTGCATTCTGGCCATGAAGAAAAACCTGAATACCTGGCTATACCTGCTAAAGTCAGCCAATGCCAACAAATTTTGTAGATTTTTATTCATTTTTAGATAATAGAGGTTTTGAAAAGGCTTTATAAGAAAGTTGTACATTGTGAAATCCTAAAAAGCTGTCTGGATATGGTATCAAAAGTTATAGTTTTTATCTTGATGACTTAAGATGAAGGGAGGATGCTTATCTATTAAAAAGCGGAAAAATGAGATCAAACTCTTTTCTTAGGTTGTATCTCAACTTTAGGGCTTTATGAAACTTTATATGTGTATGAAATTTGTTTTACTAATACATTTTAAATTATACTGCTGCTATTACTCTCTCTTGTCTAATAAGACGTGGCCTCACTCCCTCTTCCATGCAAGTGAGGTCTCCTTCCACACAACTAAGCCTTCACTGAACAAAAAATAACTATAGCATATGCATGAGTTATCAGGGAGTATGGACCCCTAGCATTGATGTATATTTATTACTGAGCACATGCTCAATGCTGTGCAGACACAAAACACATATCTTCCTTGTATTTCATCGTTGAATCTTCACAATAACCCTATAGGATAGATACTCTTCTTATTTTATTTAACAGTTAAGGAAACGGAGACTTAATAAGGTAATTTGCCTACGTAAACACAACTGATAAATGGCAGAGCAAGGATTCACACCAAGACTGACCTAACGCCAGACTCCAACTCTAAACCATTATGTTAGCCTACTTCTCCCCATGATAGGAAAATTTTATTTACATTTGTATCTGAGAAGCCCAAGTCTTGCTTTATATTTTTGTCTTCTTATAGTTAAATATTTCTTGGTATCACGAAAACATTTTTTCTAAATGAGCATATTTTAAGATAACACACAATATTGGTATTAGTTTTGTCACAAATTGACTAAACTTTCAACCCAGATCAGACACTATAGAAAGCTAAAGTGTCTTGTATTAATAGTAGAAAGAGGTCTCTGCTGCACACTCACTACAGTTGAGAGAAGAAACCCTGCTGATCAGGAGCTGCCCTCTTATGGAGAAAGGCTATGGCAACATACTTTTACGGAAGTATTATTCCAATAGCTGTGCCTTAAGATCTCACAAGTTTCTACTGTTACTTACAAAGATTTTTTAAGATACTGGATAAATATAAAACAGTTATAAAAATTAGTCCCAATTTTATTTCCATGTTTAATCAGGTCTTAAATTATATATAACATTTTATATCAATGAGTGTTCTTGAACCACATTATGTTTAATATTTGGAGAATATTTCCTTGTATACATGTGCCGTAATTTATTTTTAAATTTCTTTACCCACATACCACATAGGGTGTCTCCAATTTTTCCAAATTACTAACAGTGCTGTATAACACTTGTACTTTCTCTGCATGCTGCATTTCTTTTCTAAGTTTTTCCTCTGTTGAGGTTAACATATTGTGCTTAGGATTTACAAATAAATAACAATCTGTTCTATCTTTAGGAGTATTTCTAATGGAGTTGCCTTTCCCTTTCACATTATAAATGCTTTTAATATGCAGACCACGATAAAAACTTAAAAATGGGTCCCCAGATTTTCCCCAAATGATGTTTGAATAAGATGTAAAATGACCACCCACAATACTTGGCCAAATAAGTATTCCGTGAAATTAGTCAGTGGAAAAAGCAATATCCTTTTACTACTCAAAATGCTCAAAAGAAATATAATTTTAACAATCAGAAATCACCCAAGAGCTAGCTTCAGACACTTGAATTGGATATGAAAATGAATTCCAACTTCTACTTTGCTTTTTTAGCTCTTACACTACACCCACTTGGTACTAATTATAATTTTTGCCATGTTTCAATTTATCTTAGACTCTGTGCTGTATAATGCTATAGTCATAGAACTTGCATGCACACACACACACACACACACACACGCCTGCAAGATCACTTACATCACTGACACTGTGAATGCAAATAAGAAATTCCTGAAAAGGCAAGTTTCTCCCTGCCAAAACTATCATTCTTATGAAATAGGAAAGAGAAAAGGTATGATAAAGAAAGAGAAATGTTTATAGTTGTCATTTTTATCTTTCTACTTTAAAATCTAGGAAGAAAATCTTTTAAAAGAAAATCAAACAATTATTCTTTATGTTTTGTATGGACTGTATGATACTAGTGGAAAGTTCCTGATGACCTGTGAGTGTGAGGAAGGAGGTCAAAACTAGAACAACATTAAAATTGGATGTTATGGCACAATGAAATTTTATGGCTAAATCATTCATTGACTTTTTATCTTCTTAAGGATATGTTCTGTTGAGAACATTTGGTTTAACTTTAAAATTCTGAGTGTGTTCCTTTGAGAACATTAATTTCACAGTAAAATTGTCAAATATAATCTGATGTTGCTTTTAGTAAATGCTAATGTACTATTAACTAGACTTTTTTCCCCCTTTTCTGCCTGACTGAGTACAACCTTACTTTATTTACTGATGTAATTATTAATTCTACTCATAGCTTAAATAAAAAGGTAACTCTGAAGAAGCATGGAATCAAAAATTTAATGAATAAAATTTCAAAGTGTTTATTGTAATTTATATATACATTAATGAAGAAAAATTTAATGAAACACATAAAAGAAAAGTAAAATTACCCATGATTAACCCAACAACCCCTGTGTGTATATTTTGGTACATATAGTCCAGATATGTATACACTGTTTTGCTTTGCCAGCTTTTTCTTTTTAATGATGTAATTAACATTTTAATATATTATTAAAAATTTATTAAAGGATTTATTAAAAACTGGTGTGTATTTTTCTGAGAAATCAGTAAATGTTTAAAAATAAATAGGTTTTTTAATTAAGTGTGGAAAACTTTTCAAATATGCTAAAGTAATTAAATAGACATTGCTGAAACAACTGGATATCCAGCTACAAAAGAAAACAACAAAAAAAATTAGACCTTTACCTCACACCGTATATAAAAATTAACTCAAAATGGATTATAAACCTAAGTATCAGAGCTAAAACTAGAAAACTATTAAAATAAAACATCAGAGAAAATATTTTTGTCTTTTAATTGGGTGAACATTTCTTGGAATGGCCACAAAAGCATAAAACATAAAAGGAAAAAATTGATAAATTGTATTTCATCAAAATTAAAATTTCAGTTCCTTGAAAGACACTGTTCAGAAAATGACTGAAAACCAGACTTAAAGAAAAAGTTTATAAAGCACATTTTTAATAAAAGACATATACCAAAAATAACTAAATAATAAGACAGCAAACGACCCCCCTGATAATGGGCAAAATATTTGAACAAACCCTTCAAAGATGATCATGGCAAATTAGCATATGAAAAGATGTGCAACATCTTTAGTCACCAGAGAAATACAAATCAAAACCACAGCAGCATACCCTTCATACCCACTAGAGTGGCTAAAATTAAAAACACAAACATTAACAAGTGTGGACAAAATCTTGGTGTAGTTGAGATTATCACAGGTTGATGTTGGGAACATAAAATGGAAAGCTACTTTGGAAAGCAGTTTGGCAATTCCTTAAGTTAAATATATGTTTAATATATTTCCCAGCAATCAAACTCTTAGATATTTAGCCAAGAGGAAGAAAAACTCACATGTGCACACAGATATATATGCCAATGTTCATAACAGTTTTATTCATAATAGCCACAATCTGTAAACAACTCAAATGTCTTGGCTGGTGAATGAATAAACAAATTATGGTATATCTATACTACTACTAGTAAGCAATAAAAAGGAACAAACCATTGATACATACAACAACACTGACGAATATCAAAAACGTCATGCTAAGTAAAAGAAGTCAGACTCAAAAGGCTACATTCTATAGGATTCTATTCATATAAAATGCTAAGAAAAGCAAAAATGATAAGGTCAGAAAACAGTGACTCGGGGAGAGAGTGGGAATTGACTGCAAAGGGATATAAGGGTACTTGTAAAGATGATAATGTTTTATATCTTTATTGTCAAAATGCATCAAACTGTACACTAAAATATGATGAGTCGTATTATATTGCATTATATTTTATTTTATTCACCTGACATAAAAAATAAAAGACAGAGGAACACTAGATCCCTCTTAGAGATTCACCAAACATATTTATTATCTTAAAAACTCTAAGACCTGAAGAAAACAATTTTTATTTCACTTTAGTAGACTGGGAAATCCATAGTATTTAATCTCATGGATAAAATATATTCTAAGTTATTTAAAATGCTTTCAGCATTTGTAATTATTAAAAAAGCTACAATGCTATTTTATTAAAATTAATTAGAATAAATTAAACAAGTTTAATGCTTTTGTTATATTGACAAATGTCTTCCTTAAAGGCTGTGCCAATTTTCATGACAGTGACTATTGCCACAGATGCATAGGACATCGTATGTTTTAAAATCTTTTCCAGCTTTATAGGTAATAAGTGGTTCTTTTTTATTATTTTCATTTGTATTTTTTTACTACTAATAGTAAATGTAAATATTTTCCAGATGTTTATTGGCCATTTATAATGTTTTCATTTTGAATTTTTTATATATATTCTTTATTCTTTCCCCTCCCTCAATTTGGGTCTTTGTATTATTTATTGGTGTTAAGTTTTTTTTTTTAAATTGAAACCCTTTAATTTAAGATGTTATGCTAAATTTCAGTATTGTTATTTTTGAAATACATTTATTTTTAATGTTTTGATAACAGAAATTTTCCCTTACAGTGTGTGTGTCTTTGGAATAATGTCAAAGACATAATTTTCTTTTAAAAAATTATCACTGCTAATGTAAAAGCAAAGTATAATATTTTGCTTCACAGATAAGTGGTTTAATAATTGGACTGATAGTGACTGATTCAGCACTTATGTGTCTCTTTTGAACTCTCAGGAAGTTGTTGAACTCCTGGGACCAGCCTATGATGATATTAACCTTAGTATCAGGTTTTCTATTTACGTAACCCTCTGGTTGGTTCAGAAAGTGCTGCCTGGTGCTGTTCTCATATCCATCATTGTGTGTGTGTGGAAAGGGGTTGGGAGGGGAGTGAGATAGGGTAGAGATTTTATTGTTGGGGGAAGGTGTTGACATGGAAGAACTTTGACCATGTTTAGATGCTGGAGTCAATAATTCCTGAAAAGTTTGAAAATAGTATTGCTGAGAATATTGCAGGGGTCCACATCCAAACACATTAAGAGGGATTAGCCTTGATTAGAAGAAAACTATTGCCTACTAGGCCACACAGAAGGATGGGAACGGGGAAAGGTATATTTGCAAACAAGATGTGGGAGGACTTGAGGTGAATCTTACCCAATTACCCATGTCATTTCTATGGAACAGGGCAAGGTTGTTTGCTATAAATTGGGGGTTCAGGGCAGGTGCCAGTTATTCATTTGAAAATTTGTACTGAGAATTGGAATTTTAAAATTCATTTTTGAAAACAAGGAATTCCAGAAGAATATTTCTTACTTTTGTAAGAAATATTTGCCTTAAATATTTGTTTCAAGCCAATAGATCATATAAAATAGATGTCTGCGACTATTTTAACAACTTCTGCTCCCATATTTATACTTCTCTGTTCTTTAACTATAAGCTATAGTGTTATATAAAAAACTACAATAATACAAATAAATTACCCCAAAGAATGCTTTTTGTTTTGTATTAAGGAAATAAAATTTGAAGTCATATGACTCAGGAAAGTAAATAATATTTATTAAATAAATTACTCAAATACCTTTTTCACTGTAGGAAGATTATGATATACATTTGACCAAAAAAAGTCTGTTTTACTGTTATATAGCCTAAAATGAAATGTTTTTAATTTACAGTGTCCTGTGTAAAGAAACAATAGATATTTTTTAAAGCAACTTCAGGTTTCTAGTTTTAGCTCCTCATTGCTTTTTTGTGACCCTCCAACTTGCAGATTGATTTTCTATTTGTGCTTCTGTTGCAGTTTTGAGATTCTTTGAATAAGCTCATCAGACATAACTACTTAGTAGAGCTTTATTTCTGAGAAGCACCATTGTGACACTCAACAATTCCAAATTAATTCCCAATGCAAATCATGGAATTTTCAGCTTCTCCATTTCTTTGAAGGCCTGATAAATGCTGCAGAGGAGGGATTCTGGGCTGGAGTAATTCTAGAAATGATGATCACATTAGACATTGCTGAGCTACCTTATTTTAATTTTCACCAGCCTTAAGCAGTTTGTTAATCTGCCTGAACTAAACACCTTGTAATCTCAAAGCTAAAGATTTAAGCATAATATATGAAAGAAAGAAGTTTAATGGAACAGAGAAACAGCTTCTAAAGCATGTAGCTACTAGATCTATAAACTGTGCGGGCTAGTTTGCAGCTATTTTGGCCTCATTGGCAATCTGGAATGGAATAAATTAGAGGACATACAAATAATCTAAATTCCCTGCTTTGATAAAATTTACACTAGGCCACTAAAACAAACAAGAAGTTAGTATCAATTACATGATTGAATTAGGTTACTTTTAATATCGTCTTCCCAATCAGAAAGTCTTTGTTAATTCTATTCTCTTTGTGTGGTTTGTGACTGAATAAGTCAGTTGGATACTGCTTGGGACTATTCACCAAAATCTTTGGGTTTATTGGGCAGTTTGTCTTTATTTGCTTTCTACTTCTATTATTCCAGTTAGTAAGCAAGTAGTAATGGATTCAAACCCATCACTACTACTAGCAAAACAACTTATACATTCAAAAATTATTTGCGGAGTGCTTGGCACTTTTCTATGTAGTTGGAACACAAACTGAACAAAGCAAACAAAAATCCCACTCTCATGAAGCTACATTTTATTGGAGAGAGACAGAAGATAAACAAAATGCAATGTTTTTAAGTACGAATGGTGGACAATGGAGCACAAAGTAAGTATTTAAAAAATCTTCATGTGGCAAATATAACAAGAGCTATTTTGACTCATAGTCCAAAAATCTAGCCCTGAACCAGAGCTCTTGCATCCAAAGCAGAAGGATTTCCCACTAAAACATTTAAAAATTATCAGCTTCATGGGTGTCTGAGTGCTTGCTTTCTTCCAACGAAGTTCCTTTGCTGGGGCTTAGCCAAGATGGCCTGTGTCCTTTTTGGCTAACACTGTGGCCTTCTCCTGAGTCCTGAGCCAAAAGCACAGTATTCTTTAAAGCTGACAATAATATGTTTTCATTCATCAGTGACTTTCAGAAAAAATGTGGACTAAAAGTTGCCTTCTCAAGAGTTGTGTGATAACATCTATAGGATGTAGAAAACAAAATAAAATAGAAAAAAAAGTTTGAGAAAAGACAAACCTGAATCTGCAGCAGTGGGTGATACTACCATAATGAAGGATCTGGACCTGGTGGATGAGGTGTTCCATCAAGAGCCTGCTAGGAAATAGGTTAAATGTAAAAATGTTAATGAAAAACGGTATCCTCCTATCAAAGTTATTTTCTTACCTTTAAAAATTTAATCATGAAAATAGGTTGAGACCAGAGAGTAAATTCATTTCTTATGTCTGAGATTAAACTCGAATTCCCACTGGAGTTAAAATATTTGAGGAAGGGGTGGACTGCAGTCTGTATAAGCCCTACCATGTGTTGGCTTTTTGCCCCTGACTTGCTGTCCCTATCCTGCCCTCATGGTGGGCATGATCCAGGGCTTTGGCAGGTGAGACAGGGAAGAAAAGGGATGCAGGCAAAGATTGCACAAAGCTGGGAGGCTGGACATAGGGGAGAAGGTGGAGTGCTGCTGATGCAGAGGACTCAGAGTGAGGCTAAAAAGCAGGACCACCAGGGGCTGAGCTCAGAGCAGACCAAGCTTACACTGATTCAGGAGGGCACAGGGCCAGAGACCAAGATCAGAATTCAAGTTCAGGGGATCCAGAATCAAAATAAGAGGTTGAAGAAACAAAAGTGTCTGAATCCTGGCAGCCTGGGCCCCATAAAGGACATAAGAACCGGGAAAATACTGCCTTGCCCTGTTGTGGGGAAACAAGTTTTTTTTTTTCCTTATGTGTTCACTGACTGGGTTGGAATGAACTTCCAGAGTTCAGAGCCCGTATTTGGGAACTCAACCCCTCTTATGGTTTAGCATGAGGGCAGAGATGACTGAGAACTTCTTATTACAGAAGCATCCATCACAAATTGCAACATCTGATTACACTTTATTTCAGATATTGTCAAATTCAATAGCAGTAAGATAGTGAACATTCTAATAACAGCAAGTGTAGTATCAGGAATTGACAAAGTGGGAGGATTAAGTGTCATTGCTTAACTTAAGCAACAGAGAAAGAACAGTTTCCCAAATTGCTTAGGTTTGCATAATACTGAGGTACGAGGTAAGGTCAGCAAACAACATAAAATAAGTTCTTACTTCACTCCCAACCCTTAAAAAGACTTTGCGTATAATTTTTGCTTTGTAGACATACGGCTTTCATTTGGGGAAAAATATTAAGGATAATGTTGAAGAAAATATTAAAGGATAATTAAGGAAGGAGAAGTACAGTAATATTTCTTAGTGGTTCCATTATTGATCCTTGCTATCTATTTTTAGCATTTTCTAATATTTTCAGTTTTTTTCAGAAAAAGCACTTATTTTATGTCATAAGCTCCACATTGAGTGAGTAAGTATATATTACTCTTGTGAAAATTCTCTTTTTAAGTGTAAAATTGAAGAAGCCATGATGAAGGCATGGTCAGAAAAATTAAAGAGAATAGGATGACTCTGCTTCCCAGAACTTACAGAATTACTTAGGGAAAAGGAAAAATGATTTTTAAGAGGCTAAAATGTTAATTAGTGATAAAGAGTTTGCACCTGACCCCCACCCCTTCACACATACACACACACCCCACCACCATCGGTTCTGCTGAGGGATGGATCTGGGCTGAGCGGAGGATGATCCTGAGCACAGACCTGTGTAGTGTTCTTGACTGTGGCAGAGATTGTAATATCTATTTTTTTAAGAAAATGTTTTGATTGACAACTCTCAACTCACAAGGACTAGACATCAAATTATTTGTTTTTTTTCCAGTGAAAACTGCCTCCTGAGGATTCTCCTGCTGTTATTCTCCTACTATGAATTCATCTCTCTTAAAGCCTTCTCCATCCAATTCTGTCCTTCTCAGTCACTTTCATTTAGTAAAAATAAGCTGGTATCAAGAGTGAGTTATCCATCCTCTTTAATATTTCAGACTCACATTTAATCCCAAGTTTCTTCCTTCCACACCTTGCTCTCTTCCGTCTCCTCAGTATATGTCACTGTGGCCCAGACCTGTGGTGGAGGGTGTAGGCTTTGGGGTGTGAGTGTGTCTTCTCTCCTCAGATACTTGACTCCCTCCTCCCTGCCTTGTCCTCCTAGTACTGGGGCTTGGAGCTGGGAGGGGAGAAGACTAGTCCTCCTGTGGCATCCAGGGTGTGTCTGGCCTCCTTTGGGGAGTCATCACTGCTTCTCTGACTCACACTGATGAGCCCTTTGTGGGGTGTATATCCAAATGTCTGTCTTTTCGTAAGGTTTATGTGGTAGACTTTTAGAAGCCTCTATGGGAACCTGCACAGTGCTCCAGTGTGGGACATCCAGGAATGACTCTATTTTATCATCTTTCTATCTTTCCTTGCCAAATGGTGGGAATGCAGTCTGCTAGCACTCTTCATATTGCCCCTTTCTCCAGTTCCAATGACATCAGATATACCTTTGAGACAAGAAGCAATTACCAGTTCCCAAGTCAGTGGACAGAATTATCAGTGTGAATCCAGTGTGAATTATCAAATTTCACACTTGAAAAAAGGAAGTGTGAAATTGAAGGGAGAGTGAAGAGAGAGTTGCCGCTATGTCAATTCAGTACCTCTTCCAAAAGATCGTTTCTTTTTTCCTCCTACCCTTTTCGTTATCTCAGTCTGACAAAGGCCGGAGACTGCTTTGTCTTCTTTTGCCTTTGAGGGTATGAAGAATAGGACCCACTTTGAACTTGGCCCTGGAAATTTTAGGGTTTTCTTCCTCAACTTTTCTTTTATCAAGGCACCATCTTTGCAATAATCTCATTCTGTTTTGTGAAGGGTAGGGAGAGAAGGAAGGACTTTACATTATCCTTCTAGTAATAGTGAACGTTTACTATGTGTTTAGAGGTATTACCTAACTCATTTGAAACTGAGGCCCAGAAGAGTTTGTCTTGTCTGTCCAAGGTCACACGCTAGTAAGTGGTAGAGCCAGAATTTAAATCTGGGTAATCTAGCGAGAGAGGCTGAGTTCTAACTACTTCCTCTTGACGCTTGTTAGATGTAATGCCTAGTCGTGGCTTGTGAAAGCCTAATCCTAAAACAGTAGGGTGTGGCTCTTAGAGGACACACCTGAGAATATTCCTCTTACCAGTGAGAATTCCAAGTCATAATGCTGTGAAGCCTCATTAAAGCTTGGTATCAACTACAAGACAGTAAATCACTGACCCCAGAGATGGTAAGATCCTAGTAAATTTACTTTCTGTCTAAATAAAAAGCTTATTAAAACAAATGATAATTATTTTAGTGTGCTCTCCTTCTGTTGTCTAATTAACTACAAAAGTGGTTAATCTTGCAAAGTATTATATAATTTAGTGCCCATTTAGCTGTTTTTTTTTCAATTTAGTACACCCAAGCATAATCAGTAGTAGATTTATTAGATGACCAAAGAAGTTTTAAAAAATGATGCTCACAGATTAGTGGTGGATTCAAACAAGGTGGAAACAAATGAATAATTTTATGCACTCTTCATGATATATTATGCTTTGCGAAAATTTCACAATCAATGGCAAATCGCAGAATTCTAAAGCTATTTATTGTAAAGATAGTGGTGTACATAGTTTCAAGTGGTTAAAACTGTATTGAGTCCTCTGGAATACAGTTGCACTTTCTCAAATGAAATGTTGATTCTGTCTTCCAACAAGATGAGTGTGTAGTCCTCACAATATTAGAGGGATTTGAAGCTCCTCCAGCTTGCTTGGTTACCAGTTAAAGACCTGCTACCTCTGTAGCACATGTATATAGTAGGATATTTTCCATCGTAAGTCAGGGAACTCCATCTAGGTTGCTTAAGGGATACTGTAGTATCTTGTGGAATTCCAGGAGGAATGATGTAGAAGGAACAGAGTAATAGTGAGAAATAGGGACAAGAGTATTTAGAGGAACTCTGGAAACTTTTACTTCCACTTTTTTATCTCTGCAGGTGTACTTCCTTGGTTGACCACTCATTGACCTGCTTTCACTCTTTTTCATCTATTAAAATTAGAAAATATTCATCATCTACATTTCTTTGGAGTGTAAGCATGGTGGACTGTAAATATCATGGACTTTGAAATTGGACCAACCTAGATTTTGTATTTCAGTTTTGTCACTTGCATACATTGGGCAAATCATTTAATCTCAATTTCCTTATGTGTAAAAATAATATGAGATTTACTGAGGTTTAATGAGAGCTAAATGAGATGCTATAGGTAAAGCATCTATTTTTTGCGTATGTGTTATTCTCTTCCTTGTTGATTTAGTTGTTGCTTGACTAGTAATATAGCACAAACATAATTATACCATATAAGACACTTTATTTGATCTGTTTTTTGTCAGTTTACACTTTTAGTATGAAAAGGGAAAGCACAAAGGTTGTATTCACAAGCTGGTGGGGAATTTGCTTCTGAGTGAGAGGATCCCTGCAGTTACACTAGTTCTACTATGTTGGACCACAGGGTTAATCTTATTTAACCCATTTACTAGCTGGAGAGACAGGAAGAGCTGAACGATAGCCTCATACTTCCTGAAGTGAACCTTCCAAGTTTAATTACGTCCCAGAACCCAGGCTGTTTCTATAGGCATTTCTCTCAGGATCTATCCCGAAGTCTAACCAACCTTGGCATAGGTCTGACTCCTCTCTCTAAAGTGTCCCCAGTCCCTATGTTCCTCACCATGACCAGACTCTTTGAACTGTGTTTCTTTCCTCCCCATGGCTCATACATACATTCTGGTAACTGTAGCTCATGTAGAAATGTTTACACCATAGTCTCCTTCAATCTGATTTTTTAGATGGCATATTTACGTTGCCTATTTAATTTCTTTCTGTGTTTCTCAAATTTCTGGGAAAGAAAACAGAGAATCAGTAGACCCTTGGCTTTGGTGGAGAAATACCTTACTCTTTACGAGTGACCCAATCAGCCCTGTTCCTGTAGTGGTTTGTTACTTTGTAGACACAGATTTGGATTGTTTTGACCATGAGATAAGATAGACAGGAGTAAAGATTACACAGAATACTTGCCATCTACCTAGAGTGTTTTTGGCATCTGCTTGAAAATTCATGGACTATACACATAAAGATATATGCAGTTATTCTCCCCAAGTGAGGTGCATTTCATTCCTTTGTGAAGAATGGTCCTGGAAATGAAACCTATTTTAATGGCTGGTATTGGAATAGAAAAGAACACAAAGAAGTCTAAGGAAATAATGCTTTTGAATCAGGAAATAAATTCAGGTTTACAAAACTTAAGAGTAGAATATCAGATTTGGCAGTAATTAATATATATGACATGAATAAGTTTACAATACTCTGTAAATACAATCAAGCAGTAATAATTCATGAAACTGTTTCACAGAGTATTGAAACCAGTCCCCAAATTTCATTGTATTATTTTTATTTTTATTTTTTTATTTTACTTTAAGTTCCAGGATACAAATGAAGAATGTGTAGTTTGTTACATAAGTATACGTGTGCCATGGTGGTTTGCTGGACCTATCAACCTTTCATCGAGGTTTTAAGCCCTGCATGCATTAGCTATTTGTCCTAATTGCTCTCCCTCCCCTTGCCCACCACCCCCCAAACTGGCCCTGGTATGTGTTGTTCCCCTCCCTTTGTCCATTCGTTCTCATTGTTCATCTCCTACTTATGAGTGAGAAAACGTGGTGTTTGGTTTTCTGTTCCTGTGTTAGTTTGCTGAGGTTGATGGCTTCCTGTTTCATCCATGTCCCTGCAAATGACATGATCTCATTCATTTTCATGGCTGCATAATATTCCATAGTATATATGTGCCACATTTTCTTTATGCAGTCTATCATTGGTGGGCATTTGGGTTGGTTCCATGTCTTTGTATTGTAAACAGTGCTGCAATAAACATATGTGTGCATGTGTCTTTATAGTAGAATGATTTATATTCCTTTGGGTATATACTCAGTAATGGGATTGCTGGCTTAAATGGTATTTCTGGTTCTTGATCCTTGAGGAATCACAACACTGTCTTCCACAATGGTTGAACTAATTTACATTCCCACCGACAGTGTACAAGCGTTCCTATTTCTCCACAGCCTCGCCAACATCTATTGTTTCTTGACTTTTTAATAATTGCCATTCTGACTGGCATGAGATGGCATCTCATTGTAGTTTTGATTTGCATTTCTCTAGAGATCAGTGATAATGAGCTTTTTTTCATGTTTGTTGGCTGCATAAATGTCTTCTTTTGAGAAGTGTCTGTTCATATCCTTTGCCCACTCTTTGATGGGTTATTTGACTTTTTTCTTGTAAATTTGTTTAAGTTCCTTATAGATTCTGGATATTAGACCTTTTTCAGATGAGTAGATTGCAAAAATGTTCTCCCGTTCTGTAGGTTGCCTATTCATTCTGATGGTAGTTCTTTTGCTGTGCAGAAGCTCTTTAGTTTAACTAGATCCCATTTGCCAACTTTGGCTTTTGTTGCAATTGCTTTTGGCATTTCATCATGAAGTCTTTGCCCATGCCTATGTCCTGAATGGTATTGCCTAGGTTTTCTTCTAAGATTTTTATGGTTTTGAGTTTTACATTTAAGTCTTTAATCCATCTTGAGTTAATTTTTGTATAAGGTGTAATGTCCCTCTATTATTTTCATCATGAAATAATAGAGGGACATTTGAGAATTGGGGAGTTCACAGAGGCCTTGCGATGTAAACTTTGTGACTGTCAAGAAATTGCTTTTTATTTCTTTTTAAAATAGAATAATAGTGGCATTTCATGAGCACCTGCTACATTCAGAGCACACTCCTGGGTGTTCCTTATATATTATTATATTTATTTCTCACAAGTACATGAGGGAGATCTTAATCTTCCTTTAAAGATGAAGAAACTGATTCAAAGATGTGAATTTTCTTGTCAAAAGTCACACAGTTTGTATTTCCACGAGTAACCCAAAGACATTTTCAAAAATACTGTAAACAGATATAGTTTGACTTCTTCTCTTCCTATTTAGATGCTTTTATATTTTTCTCTTCCCTTATTGCTCTGGCTAGGATTTCCAGCACTGTGCTGAATAGGAGTGGTGAGAGTTGGCATCCTTGTCTTGTTCTGGTGTTCAATGGGATTGCCTCCAGTTTTTGTCCATTCAGTATGATGTTGGCCATGGGTTTTTCATAGATGGCTCTTATTATTTTTACTTCACTAATTATTAGAGAAATCAAAATCAAAATCATAATGAGATATCATCTCACTTCAGTCGAATGGCTATTATTAAACGTGAAAAAATAACAGATGCTGGTAAAGTTGTGGACAAAAGGGAATGCTTATGAACTACTGGTGGAAATGTAAATTAGTTTATCCATTGTGAAAAGCAGTTTGGTTATTTCCCAAAGAACTTAAAACAGAATTAACATTTGACCCAGGAATCCCATTATTGAGTATACGCCCAAAGGAATAAAAGTTGTTCTACCATAAAGACACATGCATGCATATGTTCATCGCAGCAGTATTCACGATAGCAAAGATATGAAATAAACCTAAATGCCCATCAATAGTAGACTGGATAAAGAAAATGTGGTACATATGCACCATGGAATACTATGCAGCCATAAAAAAAAAGAGATCATGCCCTTTGCAGCAACATGGATGGAGCTGGAGGCCATTATCCTAAGCAAACTGACACACGAACAGAAAACTAAATACCATATTTTCTCCCTTACAAGTGGGAGTTAAACACTGAGTGCATATGTACACGAAGAAGAGAATGACAGACACCAGGGCCTACTTGAGGATGGAGGGTGGGAGGCAGTGAGGATCAAAAAAAGCTACTTATCAGGTACTATGCTTATTACCTGGGTGACAAAATCATCTGTATACCAAACACCCATGACATGCAGTTTACATGTCTAACAAACCTGTACATGTAACCCTGAACCTAAAATAAAAGTTAAAACATAAATTTAAAAATGTAAATTATAGAAGTTTAAAACATACTATAAAAGAATGCCTTATGCATTATTATGCATAACTGAAGTTGTTGCTCTGATTTTTCTCCTCCAAACTGGAAAGACGGTAGACTTTTTACTTTCATATTTTCATATTTTGACTTCAGTATATGAATGACTCTCTTGCCTAAAAGCTTAATTCTACCATGCCAGCCCTATGAGTGCTGCATTTGGCCTCTAATGACAAATATGACCATTATCTTTTAAATGGGTAGTTGTCTTAGAATATTTGTCTCAATCCTTAATTTCAGTATTCATTTAGCACTTTTACTTTTACAAAGGAAGTTGAAGTTGTTTATAAGTTAAACATAATAGAAAATAAGAAAATTAAGGTTAAATAATAAATAGATTACCTAAACTATATACAGTAGATATTAAAGGATATCTAAGAAAAGCTAATTTGCACACCTAGATTCTAAAATAATTCTGTTTCATGACAGCTAAAACAAGGAAAATATATATTATAATCTACATTACTTTTCCAACACAAAGTAATCTGCAGATATTTTTCTGAAGCTATGCTTAAGAAGAGCCTATCAGAGGGTGGAGGGTGGGAGCAGGGAAAGGAAAAATAACTAATGGGTACTTGGCTTAATAACTGGGTGATTAAATAATCTGTACAACAAACCCCCATGACACAAGTTTGCCTATGTAACAAACCTGCATTTGTACCCCAAACTTAAAGTAAAAGTTAAAAAAAATTCAAACTCACATATTCAGTTGTGGCTCTCCAAACTGGTGGATTTCGTTTGTTGCTGAGATAACATTGTCTGAATTCACTGCTTTCTGGACCTCCAACCATATAACCAATACATACGACAAATACAGGAGAATGGATGCTACCACGCCAACAAAACTGTGGCATATATTATCTAACTAAAAGAGAATCATTAGCAGTGTTTGGATGCAGCAAATTCAGGCTCGGATTCTTTGACATGACTGTATGGGGATAACCTTCTCTACTAGTTAAAGGTTCTGTTGTTATGTAATTATTGTCCAAATCAGTACACCTTCTTTTTCTTTTTTTTTTTTTTTTTTTCTTTTTTTGAGATGGAGTCTCGCTCTGTTGCCCAGGCTGGAGTGCAGTGGCGCCATCTCGGCTCACTGCAAGCTCCGCCTCCCAGGTTTACGCCATTCTCCTGCTTCAGCCTCCGGAGTAGCTGGGACTACAGGCGCCCGCCACCACTACTAGCTAATTTTTTGTATTTTCAGTAGAGACAGGGTTTCACCGTGTTAACCAGGATGGTCCCGATCTCCTGACTTCGTGATCTGCCCGTCTCGGCCTCCCAAAGTGCTGGGATTACAGGCGTGAGACACCACGCCCAGCCCCAAACCAGTACACTTTTGACAAAAATATCCCAACAGAAACTGTCCCAGGCAAACTGGGATGAAGGTAACCCTAGTAAAAGTAATCATTTGTTTAGACACCAGCCAGAATAACAATTGTTAAGGCTGTTGGAGAACATATTTACATATCCACCCATGTAGAGGCTTCCCTACTTAATACAGGTGCAGTTGCATAGTTGCTTAGAAATCAGTATTGCTTTACAAAATATTTCCAACCATCTCATGAATTTATAAAGTACTTACTTGATTCACCTGAAGGTGGATATAAAGTTGTTAGGGAAACCAGCTGGTCCTCTTAAAGCAAAATAATCAAACCCTGATCTTGTAAAATGTATATAGAGAAAAGACTTCACAGCGTGACTTTCTGACCTTGACCTTTATTCCCAGAACTTACCTTACTTTTGGGATTTCTCACTCATCACCAATGAAACTCTCAGACTAGCCTCAGAGAGGTTCTGTAAAGACAAATGTTCTGTGTGATTCTTCTTTTCAGAGATGACACCCATCTTTATCATTTAAACAAAAGTTTACAAAAGGCTCCAAGATTATAGATAGAAATACCCAGAAACTGATAAACATCTTGATTACGTGGTTTGATTACAAAATGGTCTACCCATCTTCATTTTGGAAGCCCCTCTGGGGTTGCACTGCCTGCCAGGTTCTCAGTGTATCTCCACCTGACTGAGTCTGTCTTTCTCCCATCCCTTGTAGGAACCCTTTCATATGTGTTTGTGCTCCTAGAGGTTCATGTAGAGGAGAGGGTAGCCCAGAAATTGATGTTTTCTCTCTTCCTGCTTTGGGTTCTCTCCTAGGTTCTGGTTCCTCCCCAAAGACCTTTTTCTTGAATTATTGACAGCAGGTCTGTGGACCCATTCAGAGGAGTCCTCCTTCCTCTTATTTCTTGCCGAGGACATCCCAAATTCTATGAGCACACCTTATAAAAAAGCTTAACATGAACATGAGAAACACAAAGTTTCGGGAAAAATGTTTTGCTTCACATAATTCACAGAAGCAGTGCACTTGGTCTGAAAATATTTATTAAAGTAGTACCAGATGACCTCTTTATCTGTATAATAAATATTGAAAATATTTGCATTATTAAAACTAGCTGTGGAAGAAAACAGCCTCCTGACTGGGTGTTTAAAGTACTACAACAGAGCTATTAATTTACTCATTTAAACATATTAATAGTGATAGTAAAAGGAACCTCCATTCAGAACTATGTATCTACTACCTGTACTGTCTTCTTATTTCTAACTTTAAATTCATGATTATCACTGGGAACAACTATATGGTATATACAGAGAATTTAACAATGACATGGTTCTATCAGATTTTTCATACAAAAGATATGTTTCATGAATTCATATAACTATGACAGGTTTCTGCTAGGCATTTTGTTTTATTTTTAATTTTTTTGAGACAGGCTCTCGCTCTGTTGCCCACGCTGCAGTATAGTGCTACAATCACAGCTCACTGCAGCCTTGACCTCTTGGGCTCAAGCAATCCTCCCTCCTCTGCCTCCTGAGTAGCTTGAAACCACAGGTTTCTGCTACCACACCCTGCTAATTTTTTAAACTTTTTGTTGAGACGGGGTTTTGCCATGTTGCCTAGGCTGGTCTTGAACTCCTGGGCTCAAGCCATCCATCCCCCTCGGCCTCCCAAAGTGCTGGAATTACAGGTGTGAGCCACCATATCTGGCCCTCTACCAGGTATTTTAAATACCTTCTAAATCATATTGGTTTAGACTTGTTAACTACTATGTATTAAAATTCAATTTATTGATTGATTAAGCTGTAAGAAGGAATAATTAAACATAATGCCACTATACAATTTGATGCCTTATTAATTTATGCTAAAATCATTCTAATGTACTTATTAGTGGTGGTCCTGTTAAAAACTGACAGCCCGTGAACTGAATTCGTCTTTCAGTCATCAGTCAATGAATCAATCAATTAAATGTGAATTATTTTAAATTTATGAATTAGAAAATTTCACATCAAAATCTGGATTTGCAGTTTTTCTGGAATAACTGAAATATTTGGCAGAATTGGATATGCCAAATTTCATATGAGCTAGAACTGAGTAGGTCCTCAATGAAGCGGCTTTTTATTTTTATTTTTATTTTTTGAGACGGAGTTTTGCTCTTCTTGCCCAGGCTGGAGTGCAATGGCACGATCTCAGCTCACCACAACCTCCGCCTCCTGGGTTCAAGCGATTCTCCTGCCTCAGCCTCCCGAGTAGCTAGGATTACAGGGATGCACCACCACGGCCAGCTAATTTTGATTATTATTATTATTATTATTTATTTATTTATTTTTTAAGTAGAGACAGGGTTTCTCCATGTTGGTCAGGCTGGTCTCAAACTCCCGACCTCAGGTGATCCACCCGTCTCAGACTCCCAAAGTGCTGGGATTACAGACATGAACCACTGCGCCCAGCCTGAAGCTGCTTTTTACAGAATCTTCCTGACCTTGATAAGCACTTGAATTTGCAGCCCCGATCTAAACACTATTTCAGTGCATCCTACACTCTGCCTCCAGATTAAACTTCCATCTGCATTACAGTAAGTGTGCCATTCTCCCACTTCTAATAAGCTTCCTCAGCTCCTCATTGACTCTGTGATCTGACCTCCAAGGCCTTCCTGTTCTGGCCTCTACCTGTTTTGTTCTGCCTTATTTTCTGCTCTCCACCACTGGGTACTATTGTTCTGATTAAGTAGGGCTACTTGTTACCAGATCACAGCTTGTACATTTATACCTCTTCTCTTTCTTATGCATTTTCTTCTCCCTCAAATTCCTTCCCATCTGTAGTTGGGTACAAATACCAAAGCCATTTTTTTAGGTCCTCTAAGCCTGGTTCAGCATCTCAGTTATATCTTCCCTGAACAGCGAAGATGGTAGTAGTTCTTCCCTCTTTTAGACTCATAACACTGATTTTTCTGACTTTCAAATTACTGAATGTATAATCTTTTATACTGAAATTATGTGTGACCAAGGCTTTTTTCAACTACTGGACAGGGTCTAAATCTTGTTCACTTTGAATTCCACATGTACTTAACACGTTTCCTTATATTTATTTGCCACTCAATAATTATTTGTTGAATGAGAAAATTTTCTTCTTTTTTTCCAGTATACTTTATGTAAGTAACATCTTCTGAGATGCAGATATTGATATTGATATTTGCGTTTCAATTAGGTAAATGATAGATGTGTGTATTTAAAATATTGATTTTTGTGAGGTATGTGATTATTTGGAACTCTAGAGCCTTGTATATAATCAAATATTTGACCTTCTTATTTAATCTTTTTTTTCCATAATTACCATGATATAGCTTGGTTCTTAATAACTCAGACCTACTAAAATAATTCAGAAGGAATTATGAAATACCTGCACTATATCTTTGTTGACATTATAATACTATCATATACAAACTATAAAAAAACTGTTAATTCAAAATTATAATGTGGTATTAAAGATTAGGTTAACAGGATTAAATGTGAAGCTTAACTGGAAATATTGAGGCATGACACCAAAAAATTTAATATCCTTTTAGTTACACAGTTAGGCTGGTCATTGCTCAATGTTGCTAACTCAAAAGCATGTGCTTACATTTAGATTATGTTTAATAGTAAGTATGGGTTGACAGTCTGTTTGTTTCCACGGATGGACTGGTCCGCTTTGCACTCACTCAGCGGCTGTGCATTACGCGCTTTCTGACTTCTGATCCTCTTCTGGCTTTTCTTCTGTTTCTTGTCAAAGTGTGGGTATAGATAAGGCAGTGGTGGTAGATGGAGAGGCCTGGAGTTCACCCTTTGTTCCCGGACCCTCCTCTAGTTTTCTGCTAAGCCTGTTTCAGCATCTCTGAGAAAATAGCTGACTGTAAAATCAAAAGAGCCGCCAAAGGTGGTCAATGTATTACATGCATAAAGTTCGAGTGAAAGTTTTTTTTTAATATTTGAAATATGTTACCAGTAATTCTAGAAAAGATTTATAACACAATAACATTTTTATTTTTCCCCTAGGGGGAATCTTTAATTGTTTTTAAAGACAGAAACAATTGCATTCTCATAAATATATTCATGGCAGTGTTCATAAATATAATTATTCAGCACAGCTATGTCAGCAAGAACTACGGGGATAACTTGTGCTTGACCTTTACTCACGGTAGAAAAGAAACCATTTTATGTTGGCACTTTAAATCTCTCAGGGGACTATTGGGACAGAGGAATATAGCCTGCAATGAATAGCATTTAAACTTATGTAGTATCTATCTAACAGGGAACTTTGAAAATGTTTTCAAATTCATTATTAGATTTAGGGGTTTTTTCTATTTATTTCTTAATATTTTATATTTTATTTAAAAGGAGTCATGAGGCAACTGAGTATGACAATTCTGTCCTTGTGACACAACCATAAACTGGCCATTTCCAAATAGTAGTTCAACTTATTTGGTCTGTATTTTTTTTTCAATTATCTATGTTTATGTGCACAAACTACTTGGATCCTATGGCTTTTTTTATACCACTTTCTCCCTTCTTGCCTCCTTCTTTCCATCCCTGTCTCACTTCCTTTCCAAACCTTTGTTAAGTACTGACTATATGGAGAATAGTTTGCTAGTTATCAGATGGGTTAAAAACAGCAGAAACCCCGTTTTTTCTAAAGAATCTCAAAACCTAATTGGAAAAATACATTTTAGTTAAGCAGACTCTGAGATAATAGTTCGAGTTCAAGTAGTTTATTTGGGAGGTAAAGGAGCTACCTGTAGGAGAATGGTAAAGTGAGAAGACAGGTATAATGATTTCCTAGGGCTGCCTTAACAAAGTACCAAAAACTGGGGGGCTTATAGCAACAGAAATGTATTGCCGCACAGTGCTGGAAGCCAGACATCAGAATTTGGGGATTAGCAGGGCCATGCTCCCTGTGGAGGCACTAGGGACAGAATGGTTCCATATCACTTCTGTAGCTCCTGGTAGTGTCAGGTGTCCCTTGGTTTGTAGAGGCATCACTACAACCGCCATCTTCACAAGGCACATCATCTTTCCTCTGTACTTCTCTGTCTCTGTGGCCAAATTTCCCCTTTTCATAAGCCCTAATGGATTAGGGCTCTCTCTAATAATCTCGTTTTAACTTAATTACTTTATAAGGACTCTGTTTTCCAAATAGTCACATTCAGAGGTACTTGGGATTAGGACTCTAGGACTCCAACATATCTTTTTTTGGGAGGTCATAATTCAACCCATAACAACAGATATGACAAGGAAGATGAAGAATGAACTTAATTCCAGGAAAACAACACTGAGGAACACGTTGAAAATACAAGCTTCAGAGTTATCACACTAAAAGGGACAAAGGAGCAGGAGTATGTATTTACAAACCCCTATCAGTCATGGGAGAGGAAGTATTAATTCCCCCTTACCTTATTTCTGCTCTGCACTTTAGGCAAAGCAGGCTCCAGTGGTCAGAGAAAGCCCTCAGGCACAGAAATGCAAGTGATGGGAGCTGGGGGCATGTGACTCCCCAGTGAAGTAGAGGAAGGGAACGTGGGAGGGACACCAACAGCATCTGCGACAATACCTGAAACAATAAGTGTAAAAGCAAACAACCCAAACTGTACTAGGGAAATACAAAGCAAGTTAAAATCTGGAGTAGCAGATGTTAACCAGAGCAGGACTTTGGGCATACCTTCAAACCCTGAAGGAACTGGTGAATGTTGTCCACTAGTGGGAGACCGACCAAGGAAGTCACAACACTCAAGGACTGGATAAAGTAGGAAGCAATCCGTGTGGAATAGATCAGAGGAGGGACCCTCCAACTATAGTGGTGTCTCATTCTAGGCAGGTGATTCACATTTACTTCTAGGTGGAATTTCACATTTTTAAATGTGGTTCTTAATGATGTGGCCACTGCATGTTTCTTAAATCTCATCTCTGTTTTAGTTTGTATTCGTTTTATCTGTAAAAACTAAAATTGCCATCAGTTTGCTAGGGCTGCTGTAACAAAGTACCAGAGACTGGATGGCTTCTGGAAGCAAGAAGTCTGGGATTGAAGTGTGGCTGTGTGGTTCCTTCTGAGGCCTCATTGGCTTGTAGATCACTATCTTTTCCCTGTGTTCTCACATCATCTTCCCTCTTTACCTCTTTACTTGTCTGTCCTAATCTCCTTTTATAAGGAGTCCAGTCATATTAAATTAGTCTAATGAAATTACTTGGCTGGATGTGGTGGCTCACACCTGTAATTCCAGTACTTTGGGAGGTCGAGGTGGGTGGATCACCTGAGGTCAAGAGTTCGAGACCAGCCTGGCCAACATGGCGAAACTCCGTCTCTACTAAAAACACAAAAATTAGCCAGGCATAGCAGCAGGCGCCTGTAATCCCAGCAACTTGGGAGGCTGAGGCAGGAGAGTTGCTTGAACCCAGGAGGCGGAGGTTGCAGTGAGCTGAGATCGTGCCATTGCACTCCAGCCTGGGCAACAAGAGCAAAACTCCATAGAAAGAAAGAAAGAAAGAGAGAGAGAGAGAGAGAGGGAAGGAAGGAAGGAAGGGAGGAACGAAGGAAGGAACGAAGGAAGGAAGGAATTACATTTTGAGGTACTGGGAGTTAGGACTTCAGCATATGAATTGTTGAGGGGATATGACTTATCCTGTAACACTCTGTCCTCTGGGAGGGAGGGAGGTAGGGAAGGAAGGAAGAAATGCATAAAGGGAAGAAGATCAGCCCACTTGACAGGAAGCTGTGAATGCAATGCTGTGACAATGTGGTTCCAGCACAGCTGGGTGCGTCATCTCGATCAAGCGATTTAACCTCACTGGACTTCATCTGGCAAATAAAAGAGCTAGACTTTGTTTTTCATTTCTATGATGATGAAGTTTAAAAAAAAATGTTTTTCAGCAGCTGAGAGTGGACTTAAGATGTGCTCAGGGCAGGCTGGGCTCTGAAGGACCACCCTAGGAGTCTCTTGTATAAATACAGGTGCGGGGTTCTGTTTGAAAGAAAGTTAAAATGATGAATTTTGTTTGGGGTTATGGTTTGGACATTCAACGCCTGCATTTTGTTCCTGTTTTTTCTAGTGTATGCCTTTTGCAGGCATGCGTTTGCTGTAACAGGCGTGGTGTATACTACAGTCACCTCTTTAAAATATTGTTATTCATTTTCAGTATATAATAGAGAGCAATAGTATGAAGGTTATTTATTTGAAGTCCTGTTTAAAATATCTGTTTATGTTGTTAATCTAAATTATGGTGATATGATTAGTTATTAATTATCTGTGATTAGAGAACATGTCCTGGTGAAAGGTGCAGGGAAGTCTTCCATGGATTAACATGGAGCAAAAAGAGAGCGATTTGGAGCTAAACAGGTCTTAGGCCAAACCCAAGCCTGAGAGTGATTTTGTGGTGCCTAATGGATACCAAATTCTTGTCAAGGCTCCTGTCTCATCTGCACTTGTATTACCAGTAACTTGACAGAAGAAGGAATTATTTTTATGAGTAGTTGAATCACAACATCCCATCGATATCTGCTGAAGACATGTATGAAAGAATAATAACACTGCCTAATTTTACTAATAGAAATTGCAAAAGGTTTGTCAAAAACCTTTTGTCCTTTTAAATGTTAACTTTTTAAAATTATTAATGTTGTTAATTTTACTTTTTATAATTTTTATCTTTTTGTTAGTTGTTTGTTCCTCTCCGAGGAAAAAAGAGACCAAGGACACTTGGAATTCTAAGTACATGTAAAAATAATAGAAATAATAGAATAACAACAATAATAATGTTAAACTTTTATTGATCTCTTACTCCATGCCATGTACTTTATCAAAGGTTTTGCCTTTATTTATCTCAATTGATACTCATATGAGGAAGATTCAATTATCATGTCCATTTTACAGGTGAAAGTTTCTGTAAGGCACAGAAAGGTTCTATGACTTGCCTTTGACCATATAATGGTAAATGATGGAGCTGAGATTCACATTCAGGCTAGCTGAGTCAAGAAGTCATGCTTTTAACCAGATATGCTATATTTATAAAAGTTGAGAAATAATCGCTTGCAGAATAGAAATCATAAATAATGTTGAGAGAGAAACAATAGAATGAGAAGCCGAAAAAAAAAAAAAAAGGAATTTTGGATGTGGATATTCCAACTGAATTTATATTGTTTTGGGAATACTCCAAGATTAAGTACAGGAACACATGCCTTTTCCATTCCATTGAACTTTTTCTCAGGGGTAGTTGTATATATGCAGGTGAAGACCATGGAGGAACTCAGATTAAACTAAGTATGTGGACAACCTCCTTTCTTGAGATATTTAAGTGCGTTTGAGATACACACAAGTTGCTAAATGATTCATTATCTTCTTACATATCTACAGATTTCAATATTCCCTTCAAATATGTAGTTAGCCGAGAAAAAAATATTTAGAGTTTTCAGTTTTCTTCGTTGCTTTCCAGGTACATCCTTGGCAGATTGGACCTATTATGTACCTGTGACTTGATAAAATATTTCCTTGCATTTCACTGACTGTAAAACTGGAATCTTCTTTATGAGGTCATTCAGTATTATAATAAATGCTATTATTGAATCTCAGTCAATATCCAAGTTTGTTTTGTCATCATACATTTTCAGATTTTTGCTACTGACTGCAGATGGATTTATCTCCTCGGCCAACCCAAATATTAGTCCACCTATTTATAAAGAAACTGGATCCTTTTCTTCTTTTGTTTTCTTTATAACTCTTCCCTGTGCTCAAAAGCAAATTATTTCATTTCTTCAAGCCTGTTTTCTCTTCTGTAAAACTGAGATAATAATAGTTTTTATATCTTAGAACAATATGAGCATTAAGCAAGACTTACATGTGTATCTCTACCCCAAACCACTTTCCCGAGGTCCCAATACTTGTAAATAACTGCTTATTCAACATCTTCATTCAAATATCTAATAGGCCTCTCAAACCTAACTTAATCTAGATGCTACTCTTGAATTTTCTCCCTCAAATAAACTCCTCCCCTGGCTTTCTAATTTTCATAATTTACCTAATTGCTGGAGTCAAAAACTTAGGAGTCACCCTTAAAACTTCTCTTTCATTCATACCTTCTAGCTGATACGTTACTAAATTCTGTGAGCTCTACCTTCAAAATAAGACCTGAATCTGGCCATTTTCAATACCTCCCTTGCTATCACCCTAGACCATCCTCCACTTCATACTACAGATATGAATTGCTTAGGTGAACCCCATCTTCTTCACCAGAGCAATTCATATCTGTTCTTTCTACCCCCTACTCTTGACTATGGATTCCTCCTGCCCCTAGAAAAAGCCAGAGTGATCATGTACATCTTTCAATGAGATCATGTCTCTCCCCTGATTAAAATACTACAGTCAGGTCTCATCCCACTAAGCATAAAATGTATGCAATTTGTCATTGATAATATGACCCTACAGCATCTGCCACCGGCCATGTATTCAGTTTCTCCTGAATACGTTGCTCATGCTGAGGCTGCTCCACTCACCTTCCTGCTGTTACTTAGTTACTTCAAGCTTGTTCCTCCCTCAGTGCCTTTGTACTTGCTATTCCCTCTACCTAGAATATTCTCCCTTAGATATTTGCATGACCTGTTGCCTCACCTTATTTTCATCTCTATTCAAATTCACTTGCTCATAGAGGGGCTGGTCAGGACTTTTTAGGATAATTTATCTAAAACTGCCCTCCCACATGCCTAGTTACTCTCCAACCTCTTACTCAGTGATCATAGCATCTATTATTTGTTGTGTGATGTCTTTATTTGTTTATGTGCTCTCTCTCCATCTAGAACATATACCCCTTGAGTTCATGGTCTTTGTCTTACTCAACATGATATCCCCAGTGCCTACAATAGTACCTGGCACATGGCAGATTTGCAATATAGATTTGTCAAAATAAGAATAAATGAATAAAATCACTTAACATATATTGCCTGGAGCATACTGAGTACTATACTCTTTTCCAATGATACACATTAGAAAATCAGAGCCTGTTATATTCTTCATTAATGTGAGTCAAGTACTTTTAAAAATCTATTTATATATTCCTCATAAATTATGTGAGGGCAATGTTTCCATTTTACAAATGGAATAACTGAGAGCTTAGAAAGATGGATAACTTGCCCAGAATCACATTATCATTAGAAGTTCATGCTTGACCCAAACTGTTCAGGAATCATACAATAGAAGGTGATTTAAATGAAAGGATGTCACTCTTTTGATCACAAGATTTGGCTGATGTCACTGGTGGGCCAGTGACTCTTCTTTTTCATGCCTGGAAGAAGAAAAAAACATCCCACAGGGCAGGGGACCAATTTTTTTGGTCCATGGTAACGAGTATACTAGAAAATGTTGTAATATCCAGTAATATTCTACCATGTTCCATCTGCCTCACAAACCTCTGCCATGAAACCAGCCTCAATTCTTTTTTCTGTTAACCTTTGTAGCTTTTTTTTATTGATTTTCAGTTTACATGGTATGGGTAATTATTATGCAAAACAATTTGAAACCACTTTTTTGTCCACAAAAAAATCATCGTGCTTAAGCACTGATAGATAAAATATTTTCTTTACTCTTACACACTAATTGCAGGTCTGCTCAGTTGTCCTCAAAGGCAGAAAAGAGGTGAGGAAGAGAAAGCAGGTAACAATAAAGCTGGGAGAAGTGGAGGAGTAGGGGGAGTAAATGAGAGAGAAACAGTTCAAAGCTATGAGAAGATTGAAAGGAGATGGCCAGAATTGCAACAGTATCATCAATGATGAACAAGAAGTGGCAATGCCCAATAGGAATTTATGAGGTGCTGGCGGGGCGTGGTGGCTCATGCCTGTAAGCCCAGCACTTTGGGAGACTGAGGCGGGCGGATCACGAGGTCAGGAGATCGAGACCACGGTGAAACCCCATCTCTCCTAAAAATACAAAAAATTAGCTGGGCGTGGTGGCGGGCGCCTGTAGTCCCAGCTACTCGGGAGGCTGAGGCAGGAGAATGACGTGAACTCGGGAGGCGGAGCTTGCAGTGAGCCGAGATCGCGCCACTGTACTCCAGCCTGGGCGACAGAGCAAGACTCCGTCTCAAAAAAAAAAAAAATTTATGAGGTGCAATGAGCTGATGGGACTGCTGAAAGGAATTGAACTGAAGCAAGCAGAGGAAGAGGAAACCTCCAGAAATAACAAACTGAGGGAGTAATCTATAGTAGATGGTGAGGTGTTTGGGAGTAATACAATTAAAGTACACTGGATGTACAGTGGAGGCTAACAATGGTTGTAACAGCTAAGGAAGTGAATGTAATATTGTCATACGGTGGAAGCATGACTTTAATGCTCTACTGAGTTGGGGGAGAAATGGGAAGCTGGACCTAATTTTCCCTGCTTCTGATTTTACTGCTGTAGGAGATGCCAGTGGCACCTAGGTGCTTTGCTGCTGTTAACGCTGCTATAGTATTAGAATAGCAGCAGCTTCTGTTGTGGCAGTGCAAAGGCGAAAGGTAGCTGAAGGCCCTGAACAGTCAGGGAGCTAACAAACTGTAGCTCACTGTCCAGCTTCTCTAATAGAAGTCTCTGGTGGTTTGTTGAGCCTGTAAGGGCAAATTCAACAATGTTTGTGATAAATATCAGATTGAAATTATTTGAGGAAGCTTTAGTTCTGCAAGTTAGTGTTGTGGCAAAGGTAAATGAAAAATATATGTCTCAGGATTTTAAAAACTGATGCATTTGTTTCTGTTTCTTTTGAATATGAAGTCAATGCTTTGTTTCCTGAGCACCTGCATTAATGCAGGTGAGCACTTGCTTTACTCACCCTATGATCTATATGTTGCTGCTCAAAACCTTCTTTATTCTTGATGCTCCTGAGAGATGAAGCTCTCTCTTTTGTTCTTACAGTATCTTTGAGCGTAGGCCAATTGTATGATTTTCGTTTTTTACTAGTGAATTGAGGCTTCAGATTGAAAAGTTCATCTTAGATCATCACTACAGCAGTCAAGACCACTCCTATCCATGCAAGCATTCTTGGTTTTGTTTTCTGGTCCATGCTTAACTTAATTTGATTTGTTTGTATGTGTTGGGATGAGATAGAGGTGCAGATACAGTGCTCAGAATAACTATATGAATTGTTGCTCCCAGGAAAACATGTATGACACTTAAATTATGTTATCAATAGTTTCAGCATACATTTTAATTTGACATACTTGTTTTGCTTATCATACCTTCCCAATTTTTCCTTTAATACCTTGCATATTATTCTCTTATATTAATGTATTTAATTAACATACTTGAATAACAAATATTCTATATGCTAGGCAAGATTCTAGGGACTAATAATACAATGATCAGCAAGATTGTGTGTAAAAATTAGCACATAGACAATTCTTGGATCATTTAATAAAAGAGGTCATTTGAAATGTGTCGTTTAAAAATATGTAAAATGGAAAATCATGAATTATTTTTATTCATATTTCATATTTCCTTTTATTCATATAATCATATGAAATATTATTACATTGATGAACTCATATTGATTTCTGATTATGAATAATACAATGGTATTAGCCCTAAGGAGCTTATGGTCAACTGGAGGAAAGGCATTATAATAAATGATTTCAACAAAATATCATTATATGATGAAGTCTATTAGGGCAAGTACTGTTGCCTGTGTTGCTCACCATTATATTCTCAGTACTTAGTCATAAAAACAATAAAGACATTCTTCAAAAGAAATTCAAAATTTTGAATTTCTTATTCTTAACAACAACTTTAAAATCAAGTTTTAAAACCTGTGCTGTACGTAAGAGACGTCCAGGGAGTGTTTTCAAAATACACATTCCCAAGCAACTCTCCTGAACCACTGAACAAGATTTTTGGGGGTAGAGCCGCAACTTTACATTTTAAAATTTCTTTGGTCAATTTTATTGCTAAGCCCTCGTTATGAAGGAATAACCTGGAGGGAGGTTTTTGTGCATGTCAAGGAGCTTTGACAAAGGCCCTCACATTCACATCACTTTTAGATTAGGAGTCAGCAAACCATAGTTTGGCCTGTAGACCAAATCCTTCCTCCCAACTGTTTTTGTATAGCCTGTGAGGTATGAATGACTTCTACATTTTTAAATGGTTGAAGGAAATCGAAAGAATAATACTTTGTAACATGAAAATTACATGAAATTTAAATTTCAATGGGTACAAATAAGTTTTATTAGAACACAGATGTCCTCAGGAAAAAGTTTGCCTATGGTGATGAGAACAGAATATACATTACACTTCACAAGATATAAATCTAGGAGAAATAGGCTCAGCACAGTGGCTCATGCCTGTAATCACAGCACTTTGGGAGGTGAGGCAGAAGAATCACGTGAGGCCAGAAGTTCGAGATCAGCCTGGGCAACATGGTGAGACTCCCCAATCTCTACAAAAAAATTTAACAAATTAACCAGGTGTGGTCATTCATGCCTGTAGTCCCAGCTGCTTGGGAGGCTGAGGTGGGAGGATAACTTGAGCCCGGGAATTCAGGCAGCAGTGAGCCCTGATTACAGGCACCACTACACTCCAGCCTGGGTGACAGAGTGAGACCTTATCTTTAAAAAACAAAGAAAGAAAGAAAACTTGGAGAAACAGTAAGTTAGATAAGATAGTCACAATCTAAAAGTATTTTGTCCTTATGGAGTTATGGGTTAGATCTAGCAAGATAAAATTCAACAGGTGAGACAGTAAGGTCCTATATGTTTGCATAAATAAAACAACCACACAATTAGAGCAATTTAGCTTTTGGAAGTGTAAAAATGATGTTGGAGTTTTAGTTGACATTAAGTTCAAATATGTGTCAGTTGTATGATTATGACCAAGAAAAATCTAATGTGATATGGACCTATAAATAGAAGTATAGAATATAAAATAAGGAATAGAAAGACTACACCTAAATAATTGATTCCAGTTTGAGATGTCCTACTTTCATAATGGAATAGATATCTGAAGCATTTTCATGGGGGAACTATTAGGGTGGTGAAGGGCTAAAAAATCGTTCCAAATAGTAAATGACTTAGCCTGAGGAAAAGAAGACTCAGGGAAGGACATAACAGATAGCAGTCTTCAAATATTTGGATTAATGTCATGTGGAAAAAGGGTTAGGTTTATTCTGAATAAGCCAAAAGGGTAATGCCAGTTATGGAGATAGTGCAGACATGTTAAGCTCAATATAAAAAATATACTAATTATTGTAAAGATGGAATTATATGCCTCACAAGGTGATTCCCTTATCTCCCTTGAAGGTGTGGACAGAGTCTGGAAGAACTCTGGGTCAGGATGATGTTGAAGGGATTTAAGGATCAGAAGGAAATTTAGATTAAATTACACCTAAAATCTCTCTCTACATGAAGTGTCTCAGAGAATAATTTTGTTGTATTATGCACATATTTTAATATTCATTGAGCATTCACTATTTGCAGAGTATTTTTTAAATAATTGTGAAGGATACAAAGGGAATCCAAGATATGGCTTCCAGGAGACAAAGGAATTTTGCAAACAAGACAGAGCCACATAAAACATCAGGAGGAATGGTACATAAACTGAAATTCTATAGTCATTCAAAGAAAGTGGGATCAGTGAAGACCTCCAGAAGGAAGTGAGCTCTGAAAGGAGCTTTGAAGATTGGTTTGAATTTGGATAAGTGGTGGTAAGGCACAGAGGTTCTAGGTAATGAAACAAGCAGGAACAAGTATCAGTTAGGAAAGTAGATATGTATGGCGGGGAAGAAAAATGCTTGCTAGAACAACATTCATTTGTTATTCATTCAACACTTAAGGAGCACCTTGGGAAACCACAATGCAAAGCAAGGTGTGAAGGGGGTTACAAAGATGAGCAAAAAAAGATTCCTGCCCTCAAGCAGCTCCCAGCCCAGTAAAATGAAAACTAGTGTCAACACCACCCTTCTATAGTAACTTAACTCCTGGGTGATTCAGCCATAAGATAAGTTACTGGAAATTTCTTGGACTGTATTCCTCCAGCTTAAAAAACTCATCAACATTTCATTCAACAAATATTTATTGAACTTCTGAATTGTTCTGTCTCCTTGGGATATTATCAGTGAGCAAAATAGACAGAGCCCTCATGCAGAGCAGAATGTAAGCCAAACATATTTTTTTGTTATTCCCTGGTTCTCCAAGAAAAATAAAACAATATTTATTGTTTTACAAATTTTGAGAGAGCAAAATCCATAGAGAAATACCTCTTGGGGTTTTCAGAAGGGTATTTCGAGCCCTGACTGTGGAGCAAATGGCGTGAGATACTCAGCAGTATCTCTTTAAACCTGTGCTCCTTTCTTGAGCAGCATTTGTATTTTTGTCATCTATGCCATTTTTAGGGGGTTTTGTTTTTGTGTTTTAGCACCTGCAAAATTTAAACTGGAAATTTCATCCTTTGTGTCTTAGCTCTTGTCACTCTAAACATCTCTTGTTGTATGAATCCGTATTGGCTCTTCATACAAATAAAATGCAAATCATATCCTTGCCAGAGCTAAACACTTATCTCAACGAAATCAGAACAAATACTTGAAGGTTAAAACTGAGACTCATTGCTAGCAGAATAAAGAGAAAAACACTGAATGCAACATGAATTTTCCACTGAGATGAATTCAAAATGTGAGCCAAAAATTCAGTAAAGATAAAAATACTTCTCATGCCAAATGATGGGTTTCGCTCTTGATAGATATCAGACTTCTATCTCCACCATTTTTCTTTCACATGAAACTTAACACTGAGCGTCTGATTGCTTCTCACTATTGAAAAATGCCATATTAAATTTCACAAAGGGAAGCATGTTAACTTTGGTGTCCAGGTCAAATGACTATTCAAAAGGAGTGGCTTTTCTGGTCAATCAAATACAACTAAGTATTCTACTCACTGATGAGTGAGTGGCCTGGATTTTGTTCAGTTCTGCCTTTATCTATGTAATTACTTCTCTGGTCCATGGTTCCCTCATTGGTTAACTCTGTGGTGTGAGGCTATGAATATCACTATAGCTAGGTCATTGCTTTGCCCCCTTAAGTACACATCAGTTTATTATATTCCATTTTTTAAAGTATTCTCCTTAATGTGTCCAAGAACTTAAAATGACTGTATGTATGCCTAGGTTAAAATTTTATTTAATATTTTGATAGCATTTTAAACATAATTGGTTGCCTTTATTATTCTATGTATTTTATGATATATGCTTAAAAATATTAATCTGAGAAGGGATCCATAAACTGCCGAAAGAGTCCATGACACAAAAATGGTCTGGAACCTTTAAGTCTCATACATTTCTGGTAAGGGAGTAGGACACATTCTCTGACCCACTCTCCATTTGCCCGTTACTACCTTAAGAGAGGTAGTTTTCTAACTAGATATGCTAAAGGGATTCATGAAATAAGATACCCACAAAGCAACATTCATAATGGATTGTGTTACATAGCTGGTATTCATAGTTATTTTTTGTGTTCTTGGTATATTTTTCTTTTGTTTGAAATCTAGGCAGAAGCAGAAATACTAAAATGTAGGTCTGACTTATTGAAAATCATATTAGAGGCTGAGTACAGTGGCTCATGCCTGTAATCCCAGCACTTAGGAAGTCTGAGGTGGGTGGATCACTCGAGTACAGGAGTTCGAGACCAGCCTGGGCAATATGGCAAAACCCCATCTCTACAAAATATACAAAAAATTAGCCGGACGTGGTGGCCCACACCTGTAGTCCCACCTACTCAGGAGGCTGAGGTGGTAGAATTACCTGAGCCTGGGAAGTCGAAGCTGCAGTGAGCCGTGATTGTGCCACTGCATTCCAGCCTGGGCATGAGAGTGAGATCCTGCCTCCAAAGGGGAAAAAATATATCATATTAGAGTGAAACATTGTGTCCGTTAGCAGGGAAGTATCTTGAAGATGATTGAGCTAAGGTAATTAAAGTATGTGTATTGTTTCTGCAGTTTAGATAGCTGCTGCTGTAAACAGTAAGTACTTTCCAAGGGTGTAAAATGATTTCTGGGTGTAATTAACATAAGCAAATATCCATCAGTGAATTCGTAGACATGAAGTCTATGGATTAATTAATGGAAGCTGTGCAATTGTAGTTATCCTTTTAAGTATTTTCTTTTTTATTTCTTTTTAATTAAAAAAATTAAGACATCAAATCTCACAGTATTACCAAGGCTGATCTCAAATTCTTGAGTTCAAGGCATAGTCCTGATCATCCCTGAAGTAGCTGGGAAGACAGATAGGAGCCACTGTGCCTGGCTTCAGTCTTTTATTTTGAGACAGGGTCTTGCTCTGTCACCCAGGATAGAGTGCAGTGGTGCAATCACAGCTCACTGCAGCCTCGACCTTCTGGGCTCAAGCACTCTTCCCACCTCAGACTCCCAAGTAGCTAGGACCGCAGGTATATACCAGCACACCTAGCTAATTAAAAAAACAAAACAAAACAAAACAAACAAAAAAAACGTGTAGAGAGAGTGTCTTACTAGTTTTTCCAGGCTGGTTTTGAACTCCTGGGCTCAAACGATCCTCCTGCCTCAACCTCCTAAATTGCTGAGATCACAAGCATGAGCCACTGTACTCAGCCTCTTTAAGTATTTTCAGACAGGAAAAGGGGGAGATATCCTTCTAATGATAAAGTCCATTATTCAGAAATCATTTTAAGAAACATGTAATAATCATTTGGAAGAGATGTTACTTTATGTCATATTCTGGTTGTGGTAAACTTCATTTTTCACTTCTACATGGACTATCATGTAAAGAGCTTTAATCCTGGCATCCATGCTTAATGAAGTTAAAAAAAATTATTTAACTAAGATTAGAAAGATGAAAACAGAATGCTCACCAGCCCATCTATAATTCTCATCAGTTCATTAGAAATCCCTTCTGTGGGTCTCTAAATAACACAAAAGTTCAAAAATTCTGGGGGGACACAGATATTCAGTCCATAACACTGAGGGTTAAAGGAGGTAGAGTAATTTGCTTAGTGTTACAGAGCTATCTGTCTTATAGTTCTGAATAAGTTTTTTAAAATTAAATAGTAAGAATTGTTTTTATAGAATTCTTCCATGAAGGCTGTTCTTTTAGACTAGACCTTTAACATATTCATCCAGCTAGGGGAAAAAAGAAATAAAAAAATTCTCTATGAGTAAATATGCGAGTATGTGACCTGTTTGTTCATGTGTAATTATATGTAAACTACATTTATTGTAAATATTAACTGGCAAGCTTTAAGACTTTTAAAATTACTATTCCTAGGAATTTACCCTTATTAATCATTATGACTTGAGAGGATTTTAAATGACATTAATTGTGGCTGCTATTTATCCAGACACTATGCTAAGTCCTTTACTTACCTTATTTCATTGAGATCTCACAACAATACTAAGGAAAAAACAATATTATTATCCCCATTTTACCGATGAGGAAACTCAGTATATTAGCTTAGGCTTCCATTACAAAATACCATTGGCTGGGTGGCTTAAAGTCCATGATAAAGGTGCCCATCAATTTTGTTCCCTGCCAAGGGCCATCTTCCTGGCTTGCAGATGGCCCCCTTCTCACTGTGCTCTCACATGGTGGAGAGAGGGAGAGGGTTCTGGTTTCTCTTCCAAGTATTATATGGACACTCATCCCACCTTGAGAGCCCCACCCATATGGCCTCATCTCCACCTAATTACCTTTCAAATGCTCCACCTCCAAATATGACTCCTCCACTGAGGGGTAGGGTTTTAATATTTGAATTCTGGGTTCAATTTAACATTTGAATATTCAGTCGATAACACTGAGGGTTAAAGGAGGTAGAGTAATTTATTTAGTGTTACAGAGCTAGTAAGTGGTTAAAAATAAAGTGCGCTCCAGAGACTTCCAGGGATGATGCTATCCTGGGAAATAATTTTCTGCACTGAAATAATATTTTACATTGGTGTGAGGGCTTAAAAAAATCCTCAGCTTGACTTTTCCTTACTACCTCCAGCATAAGCACTCTTTCAAAGAACCATGTGGCTTGCCTCTCTCCTGGACTGCCTTGCTTATGGTCTGGTTTCCCTGGGAAAAACAAAGGGATTCTTTCAATTCTCTGTCCCATCACATAAATTTGTCAATAAAAGTCCTTCAGTGACCTCCCATTCCGCTTAGAAGAAAATAAAAAATTCCCTCCATGGTTCTCAAGGCCTTCTTGACTTCATGTAACTGACCTTATCTCCAATCCCCACTCCACTCTGCCTCGTCTGCCCTGACCCAAGCTCTTTCCTGTCCAGCCTTTGCACGGGCTGCTCCATCTGCCTGGAATCCTCTTCCCCACATGAGTGGAAGGCGTGTTTCTCCTCGTCCTTCAGGATCCCACTCCTCACTCAGGCTTCCCTGACAATCCTGTCTATGTAGCCATGTCCTACCCCTAGCCAGGGGCGTGTCTGTATGTTTCTCTCTTTTATTTGTCTTCCTAGCTATTAAAGCTACCTGCTATTTCTCCATGTTCTTTTGTTAATCTGATTTATCACCTGCCTCTCTTAGTTACCTACAAGTTTTCTGTGAACAAGGACTTAGTTTTGTTCATGTTTATATCACCAGTGCCTCAAAAGCACCTGGTATGCAGTAGATGATCAATTATTATGTGTTGAATTTATGAATGTATCACTCTTAAGAGACAGAAAGAATCCCAGTTCAGAAGTGCTAAGGGGCTATGTCCAAAGTTGTCCGGGATGTAAGAGACAAAACCACAACTCACACTTAGGTCTTCTTACTTTATTGGTCTTTCCATTCCTCTCTCCTACCCTTTTCTGTAGAAACAGAATAAGGAGCAAAACACACTCCTCTGAAAGTTGAAAGTGGTGAAAGAGAACTGAGATCTACTAAGCATTAAAGCTGTGTCAGATATTACACCAACATTCTCTAAAGTCCTAAGAGGTACAGTTACTACCCTCAATTTACAGATGAGGGAAATAAAGCTTAGATGGACTAATTCACTTATTCATGATCACTCAGCAAATCACTGGCAGAGCCTTTGTTCCAGCCCTGGCTTGTATCTGGTAATAATGCCCTTACTTAGGGGATGCTGACCATGGACATTCGACGAAACCCTTTTCTGGGCTTTCATTAACCTAGGAGTAAAAGAAAGGGGATAGCTTCACTTTAGATGATAGTGAAATTTTCTAAAATTTATAACACAATCCCCCCTTGCCTCATGCCTCTACGCTTTTGTTTACTATGATGGTATTTAAAGCTAAAACAAAACCCAGAAATCTTTGGGTTTTGAAAGCAATCTGTTAAAAACTATAATAATCCATGTATCCTTAGACTTGAGAGCATTTCTAAATGAAGCTTGCAATCTGATCATTTGGTGATGTTTGGATTATGTGGTTATAGTAGGATTTAAAATGCCTTTTCACACAGATACTATAGAAAGGTGAGCAGCAGGTTGCACACAGTGACAAATTAGCGGTGCTCTTAGCCAGGCTGTTTAAATTATTTTTAGGCAGGAGACATACTGTACACACCAGGTTTTAGATGCAAGTAATTACTATGAAATGTTACCTCACTCTTTGCCTGTAGTTAATCTGAGCTCTCCCTATTTCTCTCTCTTTCCTTCCAGTTCTATTCCCTAATACTTCATGTATTATCTTCCTTGCAAGTTCCCTTTTTTCTGTGAAATATTTTCTTGTTATATTGGCAAGGATACTTATCCTTACAAAACTGGTAGTGGCTGCAGCAGCCATGCCCAGAGCTTACTATGCAGAGACTAGTGCCTATATCGGAAGTTGAGACAGGTTGCTATACCAAACCTATCTTTAGTTCACTACCTGTTTGCTTCATTAGGTAGAAGCTTTCTCCTAGACTTAGGAGAAGCAAAAACAAACACAAAAAAACAAGCAAACAAAAACAATGCTCCTTTATTTAAAGGAGCATTTTCTCAGCATCTGAACCAATTATACATGCCTACTTTCCATATCTAAATTTATAGCATAGCACAATGAGAACTCATATTAAATGGAAGACCTTGAGGCTCTGCAGTATCCTGGATCATCTAACAAAGTTTTTTTATATATTTATATGTGTATATATATCTATACACACATACACACAGATACACCCAAACACTATACATACTAAGCATTTAACATATTTGAGGAAGTTAACTTTATCACATCACAGTTCACGTTTGTATAACTTCCTAAGAAAAGGTGGAATCTATTACAAAACAAACAGAAAAAGATGATTTAAAAAGCCCTAAGAGTTGGAGCTGTTTTTATTCCTTCATAGAGCCTGCATTCTAATAACCATTTAATATAACCTCTACCTTGATTTGTACATGGACTAAAAAGGTATGACCACTGGGGCTTAGCACTGAAGCAAGAAGAAACAAAAAGAGGTTGAAGGAACACTACTTACATAAGATTTCCAGATGTGGGATTACTGTGTATTCAGATTCCTTACACAATATTAATAGCACATATAAAATAATTAAAATTTCTGGGAACTTTTAAGCTGTTTGATGTATCAAGCAGGGTCTACCTTCATGTTATAGTGATTGCCAGGTTTCAGATGCTGGGTAGGTGTCAGGTGGATACTTCATTCATGATGCCAATAGAGTGTCAAATAAATATGGATTTTTTAACTATGAGATAATATATTATCATACTTCTGCACCCTCTTCCAATTATGAGACACAGTTTTCTTTGATGTCACTCAGGCTCAGAAAGTTGAACACCCTTCACTTGATGTGATTTGGCAATAATTGTCTTTGATGCTGAGAAAACATGCACAGTATGAAGCAGAAAAATACAGCTGGGTGAGGTGGCTCATGCCTGTAATCCCAGCATTTTAGGAGGCCAAGGCAGGAGGATCAGTTGAACCCAGGAGTTGGAGACCAGCCTGGATAACATAGTGAGACCCTGTATCTACAAAAAAATTTAAAAATTAGCCAGGCATGGTGGGGCGTGCTTGTAGTCCCAGCTACTTGGGAGGCTGACATGGGAGGATTGCCTGAGCCAGGCGATTGAGGCTACAGTGAGCTGTGATTGTGTCACTGCACTCCAGCCTGGGTGACAGACAGAGACTCTGTCTCAAAATTCAATCAATCAATAAAATAAAATAGAAAAATGCAACCTGACAATCGTTTTTTTAAAAAACAAAACGGGCTGAGCACGGTGGCTCATTCCTGTAATGCCAACACTTTGGGAGGCTGAGGCAGGTGGATCACTTGAGGTCAGGAGTTCAAGACCAGCCTGGCCAACGTGGTGAAACCGTGTCTCTACTAAAAAAAAAAAAAAAAAAAAAAAAAAAAAAAATACAGAAATTAGCCAGGCATGGTGGCAGATGCCTGTAATCCCAGCTACTTGGGAGGCTGAGGCAGGAGAATCGCTGGAACCCGGGAGGCAGAGGTTGCAGTGAGCCGAGATCATGCCACTGCACTCCAGCCTGGGCAACACAGCGCGACTCCATCTCAAAAATAAAATAAAATACAAAACAAAGTACATAACAGTCATGAACATAAAATGTGCCTACCTGCACAGACTCTGGGAGAGTTAAAGCAAGGTAGAAGGAAGATGTAACTGAACACTCCCCACCTCCACTATCAGAGCTATGGTCCAGACTTCCATTGTCTGTAAGCTGGATTATTGCCAGGCCTCCTGACTGGAGTCTCAGCTTTCCTCCTTGCTGTCTTCTATTACAAACATAGGAGCCAGAGGGAGCGTATGAAAATGTAAGTCCAGTTATCTGATTCCTCTGCTCAGACTCTTCCAATGGCTTCCCATTCACCCAGAGTAAAAGCCAAATCCCGATGATGATGAAGAAAGCTCACATAACCTGTGTACCCTCTTCCTCCTCTGCCCTTGCTCAGTCCATTCCTACCACAGGGGCCCAGCCACTTTGCCTCAGCCTCACCAGGTGGGCTCCCACCTCAGGCCTTTCACACTTGCTGCATCCTCTGCCAAGCCCCTCTCTCTGTAATGTGCTCCCTCACCTCCTTCAGGTCTTTGCTCAAATTTCACCTTTTGGTGAAGCCTTCTCTAACTACCTTACTTACACTTTAAAAAAACAGGGAAATCAGTAGTAACAAAACATTACTTAGCATTCAAAGTCCTCAGATGATAATATAATATGAATTTCACTCTGAGTAGCTACAATGTTTTCAATATGCTAAGTTTAACCCTAAGAAGGGCAAAGGGCAATAAAACTTAAAGAGTCAGAGGACAAGTAGATTTCTCCTTAGAATCACACACAGGGTACGTTTCCTGGGCTACTCCACTGAACAGCTTTCAGTTCAATTGAACTCTAAATATTTACCAATTGCCTGTTCTAAGGGACTTGATGCAGGGGTTACTGAATTGGGTAAGAAAGGATGAGACCCAGATTTTAAGGTTAAGATGATTTATCAGAGGGGATTACTCAAATACTCAAAGGAAATGACCAAAAATAGATAAAATAGGGTGTTGCTCATAAGTGAAGTATAGCAAAGTGTTTTCATTTTGACCAATTGCTACAAAATCAATAGAACTGTTGACTTGGAATTAGATCATGGTTAATTTGATTGGATCATGACAGTGACAAAAACTGCAAGATTTTCTGTCCAGGGTTCTGACACAGTCTATTGAATTAAATGCGGTTCAAATTCAAAGTACCTTCATATTATTCAAAGTTTCGCATAGATGGTGCAATATTATGAAAGGTAAAATGACTGCTCCTAGCTTTGTATGCACTGTGATTAGTGAAAGCATTATGACACTTTTTTTTTAGTATCTAAATATACCATACCATAAAATGGTAAGTTTTAAAAATAGACTTGATTATTACCAAGCAGTGGCTGGTGAGGGTAGAAGAGGTTGTCTGGAGTTGATTAAACAGTGGTAGGGGTTCTGGGTTACATGGGACAGATATAGAATACATCTGCATTTGTATAAATTAAAAATCCTTCTGATAGTCTCTGGAATTTTATATTCTACATTAGCAGTAATATTTGAATTATTGGTTTTATGATCTCTCTTTCGTGGATATAAAAGAACTTAAGTTATTTACAACACCTGTTATGTTATTTAGATGATAGTTAGGTTTTATATGCATATTAACAATGTATTTTAATTAAATGATGAAAACAGATGTCATCATTAGCAAATGTAATGGGAAGAAAATTACATCTTGTCACTTGCCTTGAAATGCACTCCAGAATGCATTAGAAAATACTGTACCTAATGATGGCTGACTAATTCAGTATACTGTGCAAGTAAAATTCAGGAAGCTTGTATTCTTCTGCTTTTAAAACTGAAAAAGAGGAAGCCTTTTTGGAATAAATTTTTTATTACTCAGCTATTCAACTTAAGCTTTACAAATAGAATATTTGATGGCACTGCTTTTAAGAATCTGGATTCAATCTATGTATTTTATTTCATAGTTCTAGATCCTATTTATGTATTTCAATCCATTGAATAATGTTACACTTCACAGGACCATAATAGATGTTTTATCTGATTTTTGTTCACTGTTTCCTCTATACATTATAAAATAGCTAATATTTTACTGAGTACTTACTATTGTCTCACACCTCCCTAAGTGCTTTGCATATACATATTAGCCATTTTAATCCTCACAACAACCCCACAGTAGGTAGGCATTATTATCCTCCTTTTACAGAGGAAGAGGTGGAGTCTTTGCATGTTAAATAACTTGCCAGATCAGAAGCTAATAAGAGGAAGAGCCCAAGAAAGTTTTGAACCCAGGAAATTTGGCGCTAGAACCACTGGGCTCTGCTCTTTTCTCAAGTATTGGCACACATGGAGATTAAATCTAAAACTAAGAAATATGCTTGTGCACTCACTTCTTGGGGTCAAGAAGCAAGTAATATACTTTCCTTCTACACTCAGAGTAGGAGCGGCATATCTTCATTATACCCTCACTAGGGATAAGTGGGTGTTCAGAACCTCTGAACAGACAAGACAGGAATGTCACAAGTGGCCACATAGAGACCCTGGTAACCAGAATGGGTGAGCACAAACTTTACCAACAGAAGAGTTTGTCCAGGGAGATGAAGCCATTAGATGTTGTGGAAATTAGGGGACATTGCACTTCTCATTTATTCCCTTGTGGCTCTGTGATTTCTGAGAAACAAAGCAGGTTGAAGAGCTTTATAGGACCATTGATGTTTTAAAGGAATTATTCTGATCAAATATTAAAAATGTAAGGTAATGATACTTTGTCAAAGTAATGTTGAAAGCTCCCCTCCCTTAGGTAACACATGCCTGAACATAGTTTTTCACCTAAAAGAAGAAAAGGCAACAAAATTTGGTTAACTCACTAATAAGAAGGATACATTTGATGTATGTAAATTTATCAGATATTAAACATGAAAAGGAAAACAAGTCTTTCACGTTAAAATTTTTCTGTATATCATTCATTCACCAAGTATTTCAGAGCATTGGAAATATTTGTGATTCAGCCAATTTACATTTATCAGTGCAGTGATAATACTAATGATAATACTCTTTTTATAAATATCAGATTTTTAGAATCTCCTTTCTTTTTTTTTGTTTGTTGTGAATCAGCAATGACCATAAAAATGCCGAAAAAATTTTCAGACAAAATTACACGTGTTCCACCAGTGGTTGTATCTTCTGGAGTTTCCACAAAACAAATTTTGCTTGTGGGCTCATTTTTCACTCTGACTTCCATCTCACAAGATGACCTATTTGCCCCTCGCTAGTGGTCTATTGATAGATCATCCAAGCCACTCATACTGATCCCCATCTGCCAGGAAATCCTGCCAGTCATCACTGCCTCCCAAAGTTATCAGCTAAGTGTACTCAGAAACTTAAAAGCGAAGTACTCTGTTTCCCTCATGTATTATCTATGTCTACGTATAATAATAATAGCTAATATTTATTGAGCTTTTACCATAGGCTACACACGGTGCTAAGCACTTTACATTGATTATCTCAATTAACCCTCCCAATAATCTTACAAAGTTGCTATTATTATCACCAGTTCATAAATGAGGAGACTGAGGAACAGAGTTTAAATAACTTCCTCATGGTCATGAAGCTGAGAAATAGAACTAGATTTGATCCTGACCAGGCCAGACTCACACTTATGCCTGAACTATTATATTTAATTCCTTCCAAAAAGTGTCCAGTTGTATAATGTAGTTGGGTTGGTTTTTTTCCCTCTTTATAGTAACATAACAAAGCAATTTGGTGAAGATAGTCAACAACAGAGCAAAGGCAATGTTTACAGTGTGTTGTGCATTCCAGAAGATGCAAGCATGAATTGGTTACTTAACACTTTGGCTTGCTCATATGTGTAGACACCACTGTCTTCTAAATTGCCAACACATGGAGTTTGCTCTTTATGCATTAGTTAGGTTGGCATGATCACGTGACACATTCTGGAAAAGTTTGCATGGAGTATGATTAGACCTATTTAATATCAGTTGATTACATATCTGTTATATAGATGATCCCAATATTACCTATTAAGATTATTTTCTTAAAACTTACTTCATTCCTTTTAAAAATTACATTCCTAATTCATATCCTACTTTATGATTTCTCATAATTTTACTTGATTTTCTTCTCTTGAATTGTACTGTGAATGAGATAACTTGTTTGTCAAAATATTAAAATTACCCTTTCTTGAACGAGGTTTTCAGTTTCAGACCTCTGATATATCTCCAATATTAGAAAGCAGTAATATTGTTCCATAATCTAGAAACAGTATTTCTAGGACCCAACACATGAGCCTTCTACACATGTAGCACCTCACAGCATTCAGGAACACAGTGAAGGTATTTATTGGGAGATGGAGTGCAGCAGAAAACAAATCTATGCTAGTGGGCCTCCATGTCCTCAGATGTCTTCATTTAATGCTTACTCGGGAGTGGCCTCCTATGGTAAATTGAAAATGGAATTAAAAATAAATGCTTGACTGAAGCAATAGACTATAAAACACTAATAGCTAATCATCGGTTATGCTCTTATTTTTTGTAAGTGTCATCTCTCAGTGCTTTCAGAACACTGTGGGATGCTGATTGGATGAACTTCATTTTTAACAATGCTAAATGGGGGACCATAAAAACTACCAACAATAGAAAAATATACAAAAACCCTTAATATATAATTTTTTAAAAGGGTATGTAGAATGATAGTCATCTGCAAAAGAGCAGAAATTGCAACATTTTATAAATTTTTCTTTTGTTCTTTTTCAGCCACCTCTGAAAACACATTTTCCTAATAAGTCAAATCTCCTGCTGATTGTACTAATTTTTTTTTAACACATAAGATGTTGTAAAGAAAAGTAATTTAAATAACTGTGACAGAATTGAATGCAAAAATAAAATGCTTTAGTGCCATCTGCTGGACATTTGCAATAAGAAAAAAGTATACTCATTTTAAACTAAAGACCAAATACGTTTTTAGATACAAACTGATAATTTGTAGAACTGTAGTAATTTTCAAAAATTACTCAATAACATCTGGGGTAAATTTCTGAATTACTGAGATATTTAGAATATTGCCTCTGAAGCAACCTATGTTTAAGCCTGTGTACAAAACACTGTGATGCTTTTTAAAACTCACATATACAAATGTGCACATTTCTGTGATTCACAAAATTGTAAGTTTTAAACAGTGATGGATATCAGGTTAAATATGTGTATATAACATAATATTAAATTATTCAGCATATTTTCAGAGGGGTAGTGCCCCAGATTTTGCATTTATGCTTAAAGTTTCATTGGGATGATTATTTTTATGAAATGAGATGACAGATCTGTGAAAAAATTGCCTTCATTTTCAAGTTTATTCTTAATGTTTGCAGTCTCTGCCACATGGTGGTCTCTGGATAATTTGCACCAGAACTACTAAAAAAGCTCCTTCCTGGAATTTATCCCAAACCTACTGAATCAGAAGCTCTGTAGGTTTGTCCAAAAATTTGCATTTTAACAAGCCCCTTAGATAATTCTAATGCATATTAAGTTTGAGGATACCAAGGAAACACCTCTTACAAAGCAATAACTTTCCGTTCCTTTAGCCATAATTAAAATTAGCATTCTGAAAATAGAATGGTGTAGTGGAAAGTTTGAAACAGAGGACCTAATTATCACCAACCATTTTACCAGCCTTATGTAAGGCACATAAAGCGTGTCCCTAAATTTTCCCATTTATAAAATGAGGAAATTGTACCCACTAATCTTTGGAGTTTCTCCTGTGTCTATATTTTCCCAAATGTTTTCATTTTACACTGGATTTTGGAATCCTTCCTTCATCTTGTCTCACTCTAAGAAAAGTGCTTAAGCGAATGCCATAGTGATGAACCCCAAGTCCTGGCAAAGAAGAAAACCTTGGTTTTAAGCTTGTACAACTAGATTTCTTAAATTTCAGAAGTGATTCACAAAAAGCGTTGAAGGAGACGACAAAGGCAAATGGTAGAATAATTCATATTTCTTCCAAAGGAGAGCCTGTATGCTCATATCTAGAATAGCATATTATATTCCTACAGCTGGTGTTAGGTGAAAAATTCACCTAAGTAAATTTAGATTAGTAAAGTATTGATAATTTTTAATGACACTTGGTAAGAGTTCAAGCTATGAAAGGAAGTTCAAGGCTGAAGGAAAAATACACTGCTGTAAAAGCGATTTCATCTGAGTTACATACGTTTGCAATTGCAATTGCTTCTTTTTGCAGGATACTATGCATATGCCTGACACCTGTAAACAACTTGTATTTATAATATCAGGTAATAAAATAATAGAAACTCAAGACCTTCTTATGCTACTTTCTTTGTACTCCCAGAGCCTTAAGGAGTGTGGGTTGTGCAACAGACCTCAGTAGATGTTTGTTGAATTGATGTTTGGAAGATTCTACTGTGTTTGACAAACAGCTGGAAAGTTTAATTTGATTGTAGTGTAAGATGTATGAGAAAACGTATGTGAGAGATGCTAATAGATAAGTAAGTGGGGACCTTGTACCACAGGATGAGAAATTGAACTACCTCAGAGATGATATTTAATCAGTAGATTGACATGATTGGTTCAGTTTATTAGGAAGATCATTCAGGCGGTATGAAAGATGCACTAGAATGATGGAAACCATCGGCAGGAAGCCTAGTTAGAAAGCTAATGAAATAATACAAGCTAAGAATAATGAGGGCCTTCATTCACAGGTGATAGATTTGTGCTGTGCATTAAATCACTACAGAAAGAAGGAGGTTGTTTGTTCGTTTGATTGTATATGTACCTTGTATCTCAGTCCAAGTTTTACGTTGATTTGCTGTCCCTGCAGCTTCTTAACCAGATAAAATGAGCGAGACAGACACAAGTACATATATCCACAAAGCTTGCAGAAAAAAGATATTAAAAATAAAAAATTACAAACTTTATTTCTCAACATAGGATCCATGAAGTTCAAGATGCTTTTATAACCCATGATACCAGCCATTTAGTTTATCCCTAAAGAACTGAGAGTCCTGGGGATTTTACCATGCCAATGCAGTATTTTTTATAACTTTAACTGAAGAAAAATTAGTGCCCTTCACAGACATTTTAAGATTAGGAAACAAAAGGAAGTTAGAAGAATTCAATTTAGGACTGTAAGGTAGATGCCTAATGATTGCCTATCAAAACTCTGGCAGAATTGCCCTTGTTTGATGAGAGGAATGAGCAAGAACATTGTCATGGTGGAGAAGGACTCTCAGATGGCATTTCCCTGGGACTTTTTCTACTAAAGGTTGACTAACTTTATCAAAACACTCTCATAATAAGCAGATGTCATCATTCCTTGGCCCCCCAGAAAGTGAGCAAGCAAAATGGCTTGAGCATCCCAAGAAACTGTTGCCATGACATTTGCTTTTGACTGGTCTGCTTTTACTTTGACTGGACCACTTCCACCTCTTGAAGGCCATTCTTTTGATTGTGCTTTGTTTTCAGGATCATACTCATAAAGCCATATTTCATCTACTATTAACAAATCTTCAAATAAATACTTTAGCATATTTATCCCACTATAAAATTTCCATTGAAAACTCTGCTCTTCTCTGCAGCTGATCTGGGTGCAATGGTTTTGGCACCCATCAAATGGAAACTTTGGTCAACTTTAATTTTCCAGTCAGAATTGTGTAAGCTGAACCAATTGAGATGTCTATCGTGCTGGCTACTATTTCTGCTGTTAATTATCAGTACCCTTCAATTAGGATATGAACAAAATGATTTTTTTCCTCACAAATTGATGTATGTGGTCTGCTACTACAGGCTTCATCTTCAACATCATCTCATTCCTTCTAAAAATGAGTCATCCACTTGTAAACTGCTGATTTATTTGGAATATTGTTCCATAAATTTTTCATAAAGTGTCAGTGATTTCACCATTCTTCTGCCCAAACTTCACTTGCATTAATTTTTATTTTATTTATTTACTTTATTTATTTATTTATTTATTTATTTATTTATTTATTTATTTATTTTGAGACCGAGTCTCACTCTTGTCACCCAGGCTGAAGTGCAATGGCCTGATCTCGGCTCACTGCAACCTTTGCCTCCCAGGTTCAAGCGATTCTCCTGCCTCAGCTTTCTGAGTAGCTAGGATTACAGGCGCCTGCCACCACACCCAGCTAATTTTTTGTAATTTTTAGTAGAGATGGGGTTTCACCATGTTGGCCCGGCTCCAGGCTGGTCTCGAACTCCTGACCTTAGGTGATCTACCTGCCTCAGCCTCCCAAAGTGCTGGGATTGCAGACGTGAGCCACTGTGCCCGGTCACTTGAAATTTCATGTTTGTTCTTGCTTCAGTTTTAGAGGAATTCATGTTGCTCTCATAGAAGCTCTTTTCAAACTTATGTTTTATCCTTCTTAGTGGCTCAAACTATTAGTAGGTACTTTTCAGACATGTTATAACAGTTATTACAAGTTCATTTTGGTGCAAGAAAGTTTTGAAAATGCATAGTTTTTTAGTAATACTAATTTTCTATGAACTTTTTGAAGACCCCTCATATAAGTAATTTGCTTGGGGAACTGAATCTATTTTTTAAATTTCCTGGTGGTGGCAAAATGCTTTCCATAGTAATGTATGCTTAGTGTATGATGAAGAAAAAGAAAGGGAGGGAGAGGAGAGAAGAGAAGAGAGGGAAGGAGAGGTGAGGAGGGGAAGGAAAGGAGGGGAAGAGAGGGAGGGGAGAGAGATAAAATGGAAAATGAATGGGAAAGGGAGATCTTAGACTTAGACTCAGATATTGTTCACCCCTGGTACAGTGGAAGGAATTAAGCAATTTGACATAGATTAGAGGATTGTAGCTGAAGTGGAAGACTGACCCTCACAATATACATTTCAAAATCATTTTAGGAAGTCTTACGAAAAAGCTAGAAATCTGAAAACTGCATTTCATAGACTCTCCTGCAGCTAGAATTCCTGATGTAATTTAGGTTCCATCAGTCAAATGGGCTTGCATGAGATTTGAATTGAAACTGATTTAGATGCAGAGCCACGACAACACACTGGGCATCATTTTCCCGGGATCTCCTGCTGTGGCTCTTGTGGTGGCTTCTAGATCAGAATACCTTAGCTGAGGTGGTAGGACACTAACACTAGCCATTTGGACAGTAGGTTTCTGATTTCTGCGGCTTCCTGATTGAGGAATTTGGTATTTTTGTTTTGTTTTGTTTTTTGTATTAGACAGGGTCTCACCCTGTCAACCAGGCTGGAGTGCAGTGGCATGATCATGGCTCACTGTAGCCTTGACCTCCGAGGCTTAAACAATCCTACCATGTCAGCCTCCTGAGTAGCTGGGTCTACAGACATGCACCACCATGCCTGGCTAATATATTTTTATCTAGAACTAGAAATACCATTTGACCCAGCCATCCCATTACTGGGTATATACCCAAATGACTATAAATCATGCTGCTATAAAGACACATGCACACGTATGTTTATTGCGGCATTATTCACAATAGCAAAGACTTGGAACCAACCCAAATGTCCAACAATGATAGACTGGATTAAGAAAATGTGGCACATATACACCATGGAATACTATGCAGCCATAAAAAAATGATGAGTTCATGTCTTTTGTAGGGACATGGATGAAATTGGAAATCATCATTCTCAGTAAACTATCGCAAGAACAAAAAACCAAACACCGCATATTCTCACTCATAGGTGGGAATTGAACAATGAGATCACATGGACACAGGAAGGAGAATATCACACTCTGGGGACTGTGGTGGGGTGGGGGGAGGGGGGAGGGATAGCATTGGCAGATATACCTAATGCTAGATGACGAGTTAGTGGGTGCAGCGCACCAGCATGGCACACGTATACATATGTAACTAACCTGCACATTGTGCACATGTACCCTAAAACTTAAAGTATAATAAAAAAAAATTTTTTTTATAGAGATTGGGTCTAGCTTTGTTGCCCAGGCATTTCTCAAATTCCTAGGCTCAAGTGATTCACCCACCTTGGCCTCTCAAAGTGCTGAAATTACAGGCATGTGCCACTGTGCCTGGCCTGATGGTGGAACTTTGAGTAGTTAGCTTGTGATTTTGTTTTGAGGGGCATTCCAAGAGATCAATCCAAGACCCCACAACCATCCCTCTTCCAACTATTTTGTAGCAGAAAACTCCATTATTTAACCTTTTTGTCTAAAAGACTGTGCTGTTTGTTATTTTCTACTCAACTCTGACACAAGAAGCCACGATGTACAAACATCATTAAAAAAAAAAATAGTGACCCTTGAAATTTTGCAAACTTTTATAGCTCCTCTATTATAGAGTGGAATCAAAAAGGCAGTTTCACTAAAAGGGGGACAATTGTGTTGTGGGGACAACAAAGAGTTTTTTAACTGTAAAACTATATGACTTACTGTCCTTCTTTGACACTGGTACATGCTGTCATGAACTGCTAATTTATATTTATGTATAACTTACTTTCTAAATTGATTATACATTCATTGAAGTCAAGAACTGTGAATTTATGTTCAACAGTGTAGTGTGATGTCAAAATGTGTATAAACAAGCCTCCAACCTACTAGACTAGCAAAACATTGAATTTCAGTCATTATTAGGGCTCCCTCTTGGACAACCCCCGTGTTTTTTGGAGGCTCTTAATCAGTCCATCGTTCTCAGAACAACTCTCCTGGCTTTAATATCCATGCCACTAACTTCATAAGGACTTGGTGGTGCCCATGTGCTAAGGTTGACGAAGGGAACGCGTGATGGCACTGATCTGTTTTCTGTGCCAAAGGCGTCAAGGGAAACAGAGGCCATGCTTATTGTTTTCAGCACCTATGCCCTTCCACCATTGTACACACATCCTAAAGCAATCCTCCTGTTGGAAGTCCTGCATGCAAACTATCCTGGCCTCTGCCCTGCTTTTACCTCAGAGAAAGCCCTCACCTGCTCTCAGAACCTACCACTTGGAGTTTTAAAACTTTAAAACAATAGCTTCCATCCTTTCCTCCTCTGGAAAAATCCAGTTCTATTTGCCTAGACTTCATAAAGGAAATCCAGGAAGAAAGGTAGAATTTTCTCCTAGATTCTCATTACTTTGGGAATGGGAGAAGAAAAAATACCAAATAGAAAAATGTGAATTTCTGCACTAATTAGAAGGATTTCTCTACATTCCACTATTATGATTTACTTGTTCAACAAATACATATTAATTTGTACAAATGTCATCAATAATTGCTTGTTTAAATTATTTATTTTGCATTCATAGCATGATATTTAGATTTTCAGACATTTATAGAATAATATTTAGTTTTTTAGGCATTCATCTTTGTTTCTTTTGAAATATATGCTATTAATCACCCAAACAACTTTTTTACAAATTGAATTTTAGAGTTTCTTGAATTGAATGTACAATTATTAAAATAATGCAACAATTATTATATAGTGAAACAATGAAAAAAAACAGAACCTCATATCCTGGGAGAAAGTTTCAATATCAATGCTTTTCTTTTGATAGCATTGTGTATTTTACAATACTCTCCATTTTCCATGTGGATAATTTAAATCTGTGATTTGTGATCATATATTTTGTTAACCTCACTAGTCAATAAGAATATATTGTTAATTCTAAAATCGAAGTGTACAAATAAATTTCACAAAAAGGTTTTACATTTGCAGTCCCACATTTACTGTAAGACCATTTAATAAAATATGTATTTCCATTTATTATTCATAATAGAACACTGTCACAAATCTTAAAGCATTAAAACATCAGATACAAAAAATAAATGTGCTGTTTATGGTTTCACTACCAGTATCTTGCTTCCAAAGGCACATTTTATTATGAGGACAGCATCTTGACAACATGAGATATCAGAGTAATGTAAGGGGAATATGAATTGAGAAAAGGGCATTAAGGTTGTATTTTAAGAGAACAATTTAATAGAACAGTGCAGGTTATGGAATAGGTAGATTTTAAGGACGTAGGAGTGAGGAATGCCCTCTCTCCCTTTCCTCCTTCCTTCCCTCCCTCCCTCCCTCCCTCCCTTCCTTCCTTCCTTCCTTCCTTCCTTCCATAATATTGGCTGGTAAAATAAGGAGCATTGCAGGAAATAAGTTGGAGAAGTTGACAGGGACCTGAGTTGGACTTTTTCTTCCAGAGCAGAATAAGAGAATCTTATCTGTAAGTAAAGGAAGAAACCCAGAAAGAAAAAATATTTGAAGATTAAGAGAGTTATAGACTGAGAAAAAGCAAGCTCTTTCTTCTCTCATTATACTCCCTACTGGGACGTCTATACCAGTAGTTTAAACAAGACCTGCTGCTGAAACAAAAAAGGAATTTCTAAAGCACATGAGAGGAGGGCATAGATGGGTACAGGTCACCAAGGGCCAGCATTGAGAAGGATGTGATTCCCTGTAGAGTTTGGAGTGATGGCTGTGTGAATGGCCTCATGAGCTTTGGGATGAAGCACTTGGTGAAAAGCTGCCCCAGGCCACTTAGGTATGTCCCTCTGGGAGAAGAACATGGTGCCCTGGTGGCTGTCTTCCTTAGGACCTACTCCAAGATCCCCCATGGAGAAAGTGAGAAGCTAGAGATCTCACCGTCATACCTCAGTGGAGAAGTCTCATCCAACCAACTCACTTGCCATGACCAACTAGAAAAGGAATAATTGCTGCCTGCCCACCTGTCACAGCCAGGAGACCTTCAATTCTATGTAGCCCTGATTTGCTATTCAATGCTATTTGATGAGACAGAACTGAATCTGAATCTTTTTCTTTCTAATATTAAATCATTCATACATACAAAACAGTATTATAAAACATACATGTAAGGTGTAAAGAAAAAATAAACTACATCATGTAACCCCTCCGCCACTAGCTTAAGAAATAAAACGATTTTAGGAATTTCGGGTCCTAGAGAGTTTGGGAAAAGTTTAGATATGTATTAAGCATATGTATGTGAGTATATATATATATATATAAAAACATGTGTGTATATATGTATATACATATATGTATACACACACATACACACACAAAGAGAACTCAATAAGATTAACTAGTAAGTTTAATCTACTGGATAGATATACATATGTTATATGCAATTAAGTTTATCATTGTCATGTGCAAAATAAAATGAATACTTTTTACTAGTAGTTTACACTCTGTAGTAATGCTTTTAAATTTAAGCTCTATACCAGTTTTTGTTTTTTTGCTTTTCTGTTTGTTTTTCTTAATAATTCCCTGAGATCTCTTTTTTCTATCCTTTTATTTCAAACATTCTGTGCCTTTATATTTTGGGTATATCTCTTCAAAACTTCATTTAGCTGGATTTTTAAAATCTAATGTGATGATCTTTGTCTTTTGATGATACTTCTTGTAATGTATAACATTTGTGATTCCTCATGTGTTAGATTTTTTTTTACCATGTCATACTGTAATATTTAAATGTTCTGCTTTGTCTATGTTTATGTATTTATTTATTTTAACTCTTATCTTCTTTTAGATTGACTTTTTTCTCATTCCGTATTTTTTCCGCTACTGGTTTGGATATCATACACTCTATTTCAATTATTTTTGGTGAATACCTAACTAAAATTTTATTTTCAATCACTTCTACAGGAGTTAAAACTGAAGTTCTTGGTCACAGAACCTCAGTACATGTTTCTTGGCATCTGCTTCAGAGATATGTTACTTTTCTGAATTACTGCTTCTCTTTCATTTTTGTCCTTTGAGAATTTGCATACTTTCCAGCTCAAACGTACATTAAAAGTTACCTTTTTAAATATTACACCCAGAATTTTCAGTGTTTTGTGAAGTAGGATGTATTAGGATATGTTGTCCTCAATATGAACTTGTTTGTAAGTTGTATGGACTTTTTTCTCAAAACAGACTAATTTATACCTATATGTATAAATTTTCCATTCAGCAAATATGGGTGTGTATTGGCTGCTACAAAGGAAGTGTATGCCTGAACTATTTGCTAAACTGCATTTCCAATATTGTTTACTGTTTGGTAGAAGAGAGGTGTTATGTACGGTAATAAAACATAGTAAAAATATTAAATGGTCTATGAGTGACCCAAATGAAATGCTATGAGATTGCAATAGAGTAAGGTTTTATCTCAGTGGTCAGTGCCCTGCCTGTATATATTGCACAAAGATTTCCTGAAACAGGTTCCCTTTTGATTGCACCATATAAAATTCCCGTATGTTTGAATTTAAAAACACACAGAGGCTTTGGTTTTCAAGCCATTATATCTTAGCATAAAGCACGTACTAATGAGGAATTGACAAACTGCTGTATGGGCAAAATCTGGACTACTATCTGTTTTTGTAAATAAAGTTTCATTGGAGCATATTTACATTCATTCATTTACATACTATCTGTGGCTACTTTCCTACTACAGCAGAAATGAGCAGTTGCAAAAGAAACTACATGACCCTCAAAGTCTAAAATATTTACAATCTGGCTTTATTCCAAAAAGTTTGCCAACACTCATACTACATCATGTTCTATATTTTAGAATAAGTGTATAGGGAAACTTTTTCCTTAGCCTAGTTTTCTCCTTCTCATTTATATTTACTTAAATAGATTTGATTTGGTGGTTCTCACAATAAATATTTATTTATGTACTCTCTGCTTAGAGTTTCCTTGGTTAGATATATTTCCTTGCTCTTATTACTTAATTATTATTATTATTATTTTACTTATTTATTTATTTTGACAGAGCCTCGCTCTGTCACCCAGGCTGGAGTGCAGTGGTGCGATCTCAGCTCACTGCAAGCTCTACCTCCCGGGTTCATGCCATTCTCCTGCCTCAGCCTCCCAAGTAGCAGGGACTACAGCCACCGCCACCACGCCCGACTATTTTTTTTTTTTTTTTTTTTGTATTTTTAGTAGAGGCGGGGTTTCACAGTGTTAGCCAGGATTGTCTTGATCTCCTGACCTCATGATCCGCCTGCCTCGGCCTCCCAAAGTGCTGGGATTACAGGCGTGAGCCACCGCGCCCAGCCCTTCCTTAAAATAATTTTCTTTAGTGGAAGAAGTAAGATTGCCGGTGCCATTTTGCATGATAACTTTTGAAATAACAAGTGCCCACAGTTGTTTTCTACTAGCTTGACCCTAGATTAATTATACTTAAAGTATAAAAAGTTCAGTGTATCAAATAACTCTTCGATAAATTGACCAGATATTCTTGCATTCATTAAATGAAATATCACATATATTCCTTTATGAAGTGATATTAGCTGGCCTTTAAATTGGGAAATATTTCAGATCCTAAACTACACTGTTATGTGCTGGTGCTTGGATGTTTGCTTTAATTATTGGAATTAAATAGAAAAGGTGCCAACTGGCAAAGCAGCAAAGGGATTTGAGAATTTTTAAAGTAATCACAGAAGTTCTGCTTAAGAGCTATTAAGGTTAAAAAGAAAATATAATGAAGTCTCAATACCTCAAACACTGCAGTACCTGGACCTAACTTATTTGATTCTATTTCCAGGGAGTATCAGTTCCTCACAGTTATCTTAGATTGAGAACATCAAACTAACTGCCTGAATTAACAAAAGCATCTGTGTACTCTGTGTCCTAGGGAATACTCAAATCCAAAAAACTAGCTCAGATACCCAGATGAATTTGAGCAGGAGTCCCTCTTTTGGCGAAATAGCCAATGACTATTGGCTAGGCTCAGGACAACTCTCAGTTCTCATTTTCAAAACCAAGACATCCTTCCACTGGGGCATTCACTGGATGTTCTTGTGTTCTATTCAGAACAGCAAACAGTTCTATTTATAGAGATTTAAGATTGGGATTTGAACTGATGTCGATGGGAGGAGACTTTAATCACATTAAATGTGAACATTCTAATGGGAGGTTTCCCTAGACAACTTTAGTTGTCCCCACAGTCAGTAGTTAATCAGGAGTGGTTGCTAGCAAGCTTCATACATATTACCTGGTTAAAATAATGAAAAATTGAACTATGTAAAAATCTGCATATCTACAAGGTAAGATTTAGAACTTTTGATGTGAACTGCAAGAACTAGGAGCTCAAATATAATGTAAAAGCTAACATTCTGTGTACTGTATTAAATTAGATACTTGATCCCAAATAGATAAGTAGCCTCCAGGAATGGGGGATAGAAGACAGATTGCCCAGCAACATAGTCTAAAACAGTATTTGTCAAAGTATGCATCATGCTCAAATACTGGGTCATGGAATCAATTTATTGTGACAAACTTATTTTTGAATTATATTCAGTATTAAAGTTAGAATAGGATAGAAAATAGTAGAGTACATCATATGTATTTAGGCTAAATATTTTGTGTAATTTTTGTTTCAGTTATATGCACACATGACTGTAGTTGTAAAGTGTTGAGCTCTCAGTTGAAATATTTTGAAACATCTAAAAGAAACAGGCATGGAATAGATACTCAAATTTCATTGCTGGCGACAAACAGGGCTTATGTAGCTTCTACATACACATAGTTCAGTGCTAATAAGCAAAACAGGGATTATGGAATCATGCTAATACATATCCTACCTTTGAAGGTAAGGTTAGTGGGGAAAATAGTTTTGTATGTTTTGCTTTAGTTCAAAGAGCTATGCTTCCTTTTTGTTAGGAAATATTCCTTGTTTTGTTTGTTCTTGGTTTTGTCTTCCACTATTTACTTAGTTTGCTACCATTTTCTCTTTTGCCTAGGAGATTGCATCAACAGTTTGAAAGCTATAAGGAACAAGTGAGAAAAATAGGGGAAGAAGCGCGGCGTTACCAGGGCGAGCACAAAGACGATGCTCCGACTTGTGGAATCTGTCATAAAACAAAGTTTGCTGATGGGTGCGGTCATCTCTGCTCCTATTGTCGCACTAAGTTCTGTGCGCGCTGCGGAGGCCGCGTGTCTCTACGGTCAAACAACGTGAGTATTCCATGAACATAAGGGGCGTTGTGAATGTGGATAAAAACTATTACGCCTTCCAAACATGAGAACACGTGCATCTTAGAAAGCAGACATGTGCATAAACATACACGTTAAAATGAACCTCCCTCATTTTGTTCATGTCCTTAATAAGGTAGTGGAATGCTGATGAAAGTAATTCCTAAAAAGAACTTACTTTATCTTTGTTTCTTAATACATGATTCCAATTCAAAACCAACAGATTACCTGTGAGAATTCATTTGGTTTTTGAAAAATGCAGTTAATGTAGATTTAATATTATCATAAATTATAAAACTCTTGAAAGTTATGACCAATTCTTTTAAAAAAGTTAACTACTTTTGATTTCTGTAACATTAGTATTCAGATTGAATGCACGTAAAATGCAAAATAACTGAATGTCATATATTAAGCAATGATTAGCCTCTATGAGAGTAAATTCAGATTTACTGATATGTTAAAGAAATACAGTGGCAAGCTTATCTCATGGAAATTATTTAGATATTTAAAGTCTATTGAGATTTGCACTTCTCATTTTCTTCTCTATAAGATATATTCTTACCTGATGATGTTTCCTTATTTGGCTTAAATAAGAGCTACCTACTCCTGTTATGCCAGTACTTTAAATAAATGCAATTTTTGAAGCGTTAAGATGCTAATATGATAGGAACCAATATTATTATTTATGAAATACTAGAGTAATTCTAATAAATATTTAGTTTAGAATACATTTTAATGTTATACTTTATCATATTCTCTAAAATAGTGCAGTATAATTATTTATAGGGAAATCTTGATAGATTTCCTTGATAGAGATCTGCAGCTTAATGTAGAACAGTTACAAGCATGTAGCTAAAGAATTCCCAGTGTTCCTGTAAAGAATTTGTCATATTATCTAATCATTAATAGATTATAATACGAAGTCATGTTTAAAAATAACACGAAATCTTTAAGCCCTCTTGATATTTCTCTATTTTGCACATTACAGTTAAATTTAAAACAAACCTCCCAATCAACATTATATTCTTTAGTAGTCTAGTTGAGTTACAAGTCAGATATTCTAAACTTTATTCCAGTGGACTTAAGACACTGAGTATGATCAATATATCTTTTTTTTTTTTTTTCTTTTTTTTCTTGAGACAGAGTCTTGCTCTGTCACCCAGGCTGGATTGCAGTGGCATTTGGCTCACCGCCATCTCCACCTCCTGGATTCAAGTGCTTCTCCCACCTCAGCCTCCCGAGTAGCTGAGATTACAGGTGGCTGCCACCATGCCTAGCTAATTTTTGTATTTTCAGTAGAGACGGGGTTTCACCATGTTGACCAGGCTGATCTCGAACTCCTGACCTCAGGTGATCCGCCCGTCTCGGCTTCCCAAAGGGCTGGGATTACAGGTGTGAGCCACTGCACCTGGCCGATCAATATATCTTATACTTTAAGGTGAGACTGTTACTACCTCTGTGGCTTTAGGAAGATAACTTCTCTGAACAGTTTCTTTACCTATGAAGACTGGATAGTAATATTTACCTTGTATGGGTGTTATGAAAATTAAATAAAAATAACTAAAATCTAGGTCTTTATGATATGTATATTTAATCTTTCTTTAGGGTCCCATTCTTATGACTCCATAAGTTTTCTTTTCCTCTCCTAATAGTGGTTTGTTATAGGCAATCATCATATGCCACCTTATAGGCTTTCTAAAATAAACTTGGATATTAAGGTTGTATCTGGCACATAGAAAGTACATAAGATCTATTTGTTAACTTCCCCTTCTATAGTGCTCTTTAATACACTATTTTGGAATACATTCTTACAGGTAAAACTTGGAGGCAACATCAAAATACTTAACAACCCATGTGGTAAGGACATTGTTCAGTCTGAAAAGATGTTGGCAGTGAACAATGAGGCGCAGATCAGCTGAGTGCTAGTGCTTGCTAAGCACCCACAACTGTTAAATGCTTTTAACTTCCCATTATAGGTTTGAGACATGCCAATAGCAATACAGTTAATGATTGATATATTAAAGTCATCAGGTCTTAAAAAGGAGAGGGTGTTTAAAGAAAATTGAGGTAGGAGGTACTTACGCTTTGGAGAGGACACTCACGCCTAGTGTAGTTCATCTTTACTAAACCCATCCAATCTTGGAAAAAATATTTAAAGGAACAAAATAAAAGAAAGCACACATCTTAAGATATTTCATTCGGAGCACAAGACAAAAACATTGTATAAAGTTGTTTTTTTCTATAACAAACGTTGAAATGTGTATCACAAATAAATATTGCCTGTGGAATAATTTATTGCCAAAATAGTTAACATATTTCTCTTCCCATTTTTATTTATTATAAACATTTCTCATTCTTTACATTTTCCCAAATTGTGACTATCAATATTTTAACAATAATTTGACAAAATTATTGATACAATTTTATGCATTTTAATAAAATATTTTTCAATAATAGGTAGACTACATGTGGTAGTGAATTAACCTTCTTTATGAAGAATATTTTAAATCTAGATTTACTAATCCAAGTTCTAAAATATTAGGAAATTATTGTGCCTAACTCTTGTATCTAACATATAGCAGGACCCATAATGTTTGCATTTTCAATGAAGGATTGAACAATTACTATTTTTTAGGAAAAGTAAACATTTACTTTTCAAAATAGTTGTGCTTTAATACTTTGAAGAAACACATAATTGTTTTCTTAAAACCAATTTATTAATACATGGCTCAATTTTGTTTTTCTTTTCTTTGTCTTCTTTCTCTACTCTGCTTCCTTGGATGCTTTCCCAAAGGAGGACAAAGTGGTTAGAATCCATACTTTCTTTTCTATCATTTGTTATTGTATTGTTGTGAACTTTATTAAGTGAATGTTGCACCTAGTATTGTTAATAACTATATTTCACAAGAAATTATATACTAGGAAGAGCTCATTTCCAGCTCTCATGAAAAAAATAAACATTTAGGAGCATTACAGAGTTTGATATTAATAGATAAAGTCTGGATAGTTTGAGTTCATGATGACAGTGAAATTTTAATATAATTTATATCATTGCAAGCTCATTTATCTGCTTGACTCTGAGTTTTGATGATTATTCCAACTGCTTTCAGAAACAATAAATTCTAATGGGCTCTACCTTTTTCAGCATGCAAAGGCAGGTGATTTGAAACTTTATTGCAGAAGGAATGGAAAACACTTAGTAAAGGGAATGGATCAAATTCAAGTAAAGAGGCCAAAGTATAATTATTTTTCTATAGAACACAAGTAGCAGAGTTGTCATACTGAACCACATTTTGCCTTTTTCTTCTCTCCTATGAATATGAATAACTTGTTAGGAGAGTAAAAGGTCACTTTTAACTCTTATCAGCTGTAGAAACCACAGAGGCTCTTTGTGCCTGGGAAGATAGGCTCCAAGTAGAATGTTCAGTCAGCCTTTCCTTTGTATAAACACTATACACCTTCATTTGGTGTAAATTTTATACATACTATACACCTTCATTTGGTATGAATTACACCTTCATTTGGTGTAAACTTCCTCGCAGCTCATTAATCTACCAATATGAGAATGAGACAATGAGTATTTCAGGTTTAATATATCAACTGAGCTGCCTTTGTTCAAAAATTTTAAAGCTTATATGATACACTGCAGTGCATAATTAGCAAGTGTGACATTAAACTGAACATTAATCTGTGTTTCTAAATTTACGCTAGGATATGCTTATTGATTTTTTCTATGAAAAAGAAATAGAGTTGAAAAATTATATAGGATAATCTATTTTTGGTATTTATTTTTGTCTGTACCATTGACTGTATGTGGGATAATTTTAGGGGATATTATTATAATGCCAATTTCATCAATATTATTACTTTGGATGAGTTCACAGTTGAAACGTGGGTAAAGTTCCTTTAAAGAGTAAAAGTGTAAGTAAATAATGCTGGTGTTTAGGCAGATTTGGTGATAAAATTTAAACTGCTCTCCTGTAGGGCTGGCCAAACTCACTATCCCTTTGACAGCGTTACCCATAATGGTAGGTTATTTGTGCTTGTTATGATTATAGTGTAATGAGAATACAGGTGGGTTTTGTGGACTCAGACTAAAAATAGAGTGGAAAGACCTGTAAAATATAATCACTTTCAATTATTTTCTTCACTTTGGTTAGAATGTATATATCTATCACTTTATTTTTAAGTACTCTGTCATAATTTCTTTAAACACCATTTTAGCTTATTGAAGGAGTTCAATGAATGGCCTTTCTAGCCAAGGGAAACTGAAGCCACATTTTGTCTTAGCCATGTTAAAGAGAATAACTGACTATTAAATGAAATACTTTATTGCCAGTTCTTTCCCTATTCCTCTAATCTCTTTTATTTTTAGTAGAGAAATTATAATTTACATGTGTGTGGTGTTGGTATGGGTGGAAAGGGAAGAGAGATAAGGGTGAATAAAACTTTTCTAAAAGTAATCTTCATCTTGATCAATATAATAATAATACATTCTACTTGATCTGTTAAATTGGTGAAGAACTGTGATTAAAATAAAGGAGTATGTGATATGAAGTCCTAAGAATAGCTAATTTATAAATGTTTCCTTTGTTAAGCCCGGCAAAATTATTGTCATATTTTCCATATCAGCAATATTTTATTTTAAAACTTCATCCTCAGCCTAAATCATATCTAATAATAACTTGGAAGATTTTGTATTTACTTATAAAGAAAATTGCTGTCATAAAGAATGACTTTGTAATGGGCATATGTAATGGTTGATAAAAGAAAATTATGTTGTCAAGTGCACACTCTCATTGGCAAAATTATGATTATATTTTTTACTTCATTAAAAGCCCTCCTTGAAGCCTAAATATATAGCAATACTCTAAAATTTCCCATAGCCAGTTTAAATTACTTTTATCTTTGTTTTACTATTTGGTGGCAGAGGATTGAATTTAGATAGCTCTCTTGATAATATTTAACACTTTGCTGCTGCTAAGCCAACTGAATTGAATCCTGCAAACTTAATTCCTTTGGGATTTCCCATAAATTTTCATCACTATTTTTTTAGTAAGGATGATTGGTTGATGAATATAGCAACTAAAATGAACTTGCTACGTTTCTTGTTTATCTGTATTTTCACAAAGAAAGTGTCAGGTTTTATAAGTTAAGATTATTCTACAATAAATGTTAGCATTACTCTGAAAAACAGAACCTTACTATTTTCTTATTCTTTCAACATATGAAAGCTGCACATACCTACCTTTTAAGTATCACATATAAAAAATAATTTTTATATCAAAGTAATAACAAGACACTAAATTGACAAAGTTACAATTTTTCAACTAGTTTTTCGTAACTGTCCATTGAAGTTTGTTTTAAGACATCATAATAAATGATATGTTAGTAAATAAATATGCTTTTATAGAAAGGCTTATAAAAGGTGGGAATTGGCTTGGATGGGACAGGATGTTGGCTTGAATGGTATAGTGCCAACTGAATTTGAACCTGGCTGTATTATAAGGTGTTGTCTGTGGGATGGTTGATTCTTAACAGCTTAAAAAAACATTACTCTCAAAGACTCAACTCTTAAATACCAAAGTGATGATTTGTTTCTTTCTCTGGCTAGCATTAAAGGCAACCAAGAAAAATAACCATTTTTAAAATGATTTGCATGATTGCATTAAATATTTATTCTTGTTATGAAAAGTCTTCTCAGAGTTATCCATATTTAGCTCATGGCATGATGAAGCATATGATCCTAATTTACAACCTTCAGTCTTTTGAAAAAGTGATTATAAGAGTTTGCCTGGACCCACTTTTATGTTTTCTTCTTTTTATCTGGATGTTTTGATAGATTTCTCTGACAAAAGTTCTTTTGAAATTCTTCCCAGAAAAATAACATAGGTCTATATAGAAAGTTTATAAATATAGATAAATACATCAATAAGAAAAGTTTAGAATGTATCAAGAGAACTTTCATTTGGCAATTTGGCTGATTAGATTTCACAAGCTGTCTGGTTTTGCTGAGCTTATCCTAGAGAGGAATAAAACATCAAATTGCAGAAACTTTTATGGAAGATAATTCAGAAAGCTGTGAATTTTTAATGACAAATCTATTTTTGAAATTTGCTAGCCTGTTTTTGAGATTTGCTAGCCTGTTTTAACCTCTTGCATTCAGCATTACTATTCTTTAAACTTCGTATGATTATTGCATATTGCATATTATTGCATATTATCAAAGTTCTGGTTAGTCTTGGTTTTGTACCTTCCTGCATCATCTTTTAGTACAGTTATAAAATCTGTTTCAAGAAATTATAATTTTTCAAATCAGTATTAAATAAGGATTCATAGTAGGACTATGGGAGCTGCTCAAGGGTTAGAAAATTAGCCTTTTCTAGTATAAGGAAAGGGCTATGGTAGAAAGAGCTTCCAAAAAGTTAAGGACTATGGACAAAATTCTTGATATTTTTGTGAACATACGTTGTCAAATCTTACGTTTATGTATCTAGGAGTGGAATTACTGGGTCACATGAAAACTCTATGTTTGTCCTTTTGAGGGACTGCCAAACTTTCCCCAAGCAGCTGCATAGCAATAAATGGGGGTTTCAATTTCTCCACATTTTTATCAATGTTTGTTATTGTCTTTTTGATTAGGAGCCATCATATTGCAAGGGAATGAAGTAGTATCTCATTGTGGTTATCATAAAACTTTTTTTAGCCAAAATTATCAAACTTGTTTGATATCTCCAATGATTCAGTCTGTGTGAACTTTTATTCATACATAAAAATGCTTCTAGCTTAGTAATTTCTTGAGAATGAATTTTTTTAAGACATATTCAAAGTTTTAGAAGTTCATTTTTTTCTTCTCTGGGGATTCTTTATTTCTCTAAATTAGAATTATATAGGTACTTATTAATCCGTATAAGTCAATCTAAACAGGAACTCTGAAATTTAAGATTACTTGGAATTTAATATCTGTCTGTCTGGACTAACTATCCCTAGGATGCAAAGTAAGAGATTTTTATGACCAGTTGAAAAGACTGCTTTTTAAGCTCACAAAGAGAACTAGCAGTTTCAGTTTTATCTCTCAGCCATAGGTCCAAGATTAACAGAGAAACTTAAGTGCCTACTTTAAAAGGCTATTCTTTCATGGTGCATAATATATTTTCTCTAGTGAACTTTCAGTAGCATTTGAACAGATGCACATAAATACTGACAACCAAATTTTCTGTCATCTGCCACCCAACTTTCAATATATGCCACATACCTGCCATCCAACAGATTTCATGGACAGGGAGCTCCTGACCACTCAACAGCAGTTACTTATAATGGAGCTTCTGCACCATGGAGCTGGAAATGGGGATAAGAAATGTTGGTAGCCGTTTCCTCTGGGACTGATACTGTAGTCTTTCAGAACTGGGGAGAGAGAGAGCCCATTCACTTGGCCGTACCTACCAAGAATAGAATTTGCATCTTGCTGAGCATGGAGCAGAGAAGAAAGGAAGTTGGTTGTGGCTCAAGTCTCTTGCTGTTCTTATAAAAATTTAGTAGAGTTTCTCTAACAGATGTTTCTACATTTGCTGTATACACTTCAGACAATTTTCAGATACTTTAAATGACTGTTTTTTTTTAAAAAATAATTTTTATTAGTTGTAGTTGTTTTGCTGGGGAGAAGGATCTGCAGAGGTCCTCACATTACCAGTCTGGAGTTACTCAAATAGACTCTTCATAGTTTTGTGTTAATTCATCCATTCACTTATTTATTTATTGAGTTATTTATTTTTGAGACAGAGTCTCTATCACACAGACTGGAGTGCAGTGGTGCAATCACAGCTCATGGCAACCTAAACCTCCCAGGCTCAAACCATCTTTCCACCTCAGTCTCCTGAGCAGCTAGGACCACAGGTGTGTCTGGCTAATTAAAAAAAATTTTTTTTTAAATTTTTGTAGTTATAGGGCCTTCCTATGTTGCCAATGCTGGTCTCGAACTCCTGGGCTCAAGCGATCCTCCTGCTTTGGCCTCCCAAAGTACTGGAATTATAAGTGTGAGCCACCACAGCAGTCTTTTTATTCATTTTTTATTCATTTATTTATTCATTTGTTGGCTTACTGTCATCAGTAGTCTCATATATAATTATTTTTATTTCAAAATTACTATCTCATTCTTTTCAATAAATGCATTTTACATGGTAATTCATGCCAAGATGCTCTCTTTCTGTTCATCTTAATATAAACGTTATTTGTATTCAAGAAAATTCAATTGCATTTCATCACTAAGCTTACTTTTGTTTAACCAAGCAGCCACTAAAATTAATTATTATAATTAAGAGTAAATTCTATTCCTTGGGTTACATGAACTCATTCATTTATTCATTTATTCAGGGATTTTTAATTTAATTTTATTATGACTACATTAGGTTAAATAGTTAATATGCAATGCAGATAATAAACACTTTCTTTTGCAAGTTTATTATTTAATAAATTCAACTTAAAATGTGTATCTATATGCATATGTATACGTATAGTATAACTATAATGCTATGTTGCTGCATAATAATTTTATGAATGTTATATTAAAGAATAAATAGAATTCCCTCAGATTTCCCCTTAGTGTACAGGATGACAACTGTCTAGTAATTCAGCCAGCACCCCACCAAACCTTTTAGTGCCAAAAGCATCTTGTGCTGATTTTCTTATAAGCCTCAGGTCTACTAGACTATGACTATTCCTCATATTCTATTTATTAAAGCAGGTTTGAAGATATTTTTTAAATTTTGGAAAATATGTTCTAAATTTATTAGTTTTGCAGTTACTTTAAAAACTTTAAAAATATGTTCTAAAGCTTGTAACCATAACATGAAATTAGATATGTAGATCTTAAAAAGTCCTTGTTTTTATATATGGCCTTACTAAGGCATTTAACAAATACATTTATTCATTGGCCGATTTATTTTGTTTTTGTATGTATATATGCAATAGTTTTTTCATATGTAAACTTCAACAGCAAATATTTTGTTTTCAGAAAGTAATCCTTTTGAATCACTTTACAATGGTGGCAAAATAATTTTGTGCATTTAATTTATGAACATCTTTGTTATAAAAGACTTAATTTTTATAAAAATCAATCAAGTTGTTTTTATTGACCAATAAAGTGCTGTTACAGCAAATTACATGGGAAAGAGTAGAAAACTAAATCTTTCAGGGAGAAAATAATATGCCTTGTGACTCTTCAACTACTTCTATGGAATTTGAAAATGTCTGTGTCTTTTAAACTACATAGAAACACAGAAGACCAACAATGTCAGTCACTGAGCCAATGTGCAATTATAATGTTTTTCAGTACAAGCTAAACCAGGAATGACAATCACAAGGAGAAGATGCACTTGACGGACAGTATCACAGAAGTTTCTAGGTAGGGCAGTAAGTCAAGCCTCAGATCGGTAGTTGGGATTTTTCTTGTTTTGTTTGTTGCTGTTTTTATTGTTTGTTTGTTTGTTTTATTTTGCTTTTAGACATGGTTAAAACTTGTATTACTTTTTACAATTACTTTGTTAAATTACGTGTCAGACTAGTGTATGATGGTTCCCCTAAAAAATATATCTTCTGAAATCTATGTATTTTAGTTCTCTTTAAAATTTACTATTGCTAGAGATGCTTAAATTGTTATTAGATATCAAAGGACCATTTGGGAGGACTCTTGTATATGAGATTTATGCGTCATATGCAGATTAACTTCACTTACCAGCTATCAATAACTACTAACTTCTCTTAGTATATCTTTCTCTTATATACTTTCATACCTATTTTCAGTTTTTCTCTTTGTTGAAGTACTTTTTGTCAAACTTTTTCCAGTTGATGAAGAGCTGTCTATCAAAGGGTCAGAGCAGCTCAAATGCCATCCTCCATGCAGAGTGCTCCCTGAGTGTACCAGCCAGAATTAGCTCTTTCTGCATCATTTACACTTCATCATTATCACAGATTCCATTTTAATGTGTGAGTTTCTGGCAGGTAAGGAAAGAATATATACACCCTTGAATACTCTGATAAGCACCTGGCTTGAAGAACAAATAAAAGAACATAAAATCCTGGTGGATAATAGAAATGAAACCCCACCAGGAGCGGTAGCTCACGCCTGTAATCCCAGCACTTTGGGAGGCTGCGGGGAGTGGATCACCTGAGGCCAGGAGTTCAAGACCAGCCTGGCCAACATGGCAAAACCCTGTTTCTACTAAAAATACAAAAATTAACCAGGCGTGGTGGCAGGTGCCTGTACTACCAGCTACTTGGGAGGCTGAAGTGGGAGGATTGCTTGAATCCGAGAAGTGGAGGTTGCAGTGAGCCAAGATCGCATCACTGTACTCCAGCCTGGGCAACAGAGTAAGACTCCATCTCAAAAGAAAAAAGAAAGAAAGAAAGAAATGAAATACTAAGTTAGGTGACAGTACTGTTTTGCTTCTTAAAATAGTTCAGTGGTGATGATGTGGTCAAAGGACAATTAAAAACAATGGAACTGGGTAGGGGCCAGTTAAGGGGTTATGAGAAGACATTTACACAAAATATACCAAATAAATTTCATATTTGTTGGGAAAATGCTAATTAAATGAGAGAAGAAATAGGTTCGTTTCAATTCTGACATATTATATGTGTATTAAATATTAATAGTGGTAGCTGCAGTAAATCATTCTTAGAAACTAATGTTTATTAGGCATGTCTTTCTCAAACACTAGATTGATCACAAGGCCTAATTCCTGTGATGTTTATATCAGAGATTACACAACAGCCTTAGCATTTGCTGGTATCAGCCCGATTCCATTCTGTTTTTTTGTTTGTTTGTTTTGTTTTGTTTTGTTTTATTGTGTTTTGTTTTTGAGACAGGGTCTCATTCTGTTGCCCAGGCTCTAGTGCAGTGCCATGATCAGGGCTCACTGCAGCCTTGACTTCCCTGGGCTCAGGCCATCATCCTACCTCACCCTTCTGTAACTGGGACTGAAGTGAAGTCTCCTGTAGCTGGGACTGAGGTGGCTGAGGCCATCTTCGCTTCCTGCAGCTGGGACTACAGGTGCCTGCCACCATGCTTGGATAATTTTGTGTGTGTGTGTATGTGGAGACTGGGGTTTTACCATGTTGCCCAGGCTGGTTTGGAACTTGTGGGCTCAAGTGATCCTCCTGCCTCTGCCTCCCAAAGTGCTAGGATTACAGTTGTGAGCCACTGGGCCTTACCCAGTTCTATTGTTTTTAATTGTTACTCTTTGACTACATCATCACCACTAAACTATTTTAAGAAACAAAACAATACTATCACCTAACTTACTATTTCATTTCTATTATCTACCAGGATCATATATTCCCTTATTTTTTATTTAAACTTCTGTCTTTTCATGGAGATTGAGGAAACAAAAGACTATCCTCCTGCCCTCACTGTGGGTTAACTACAAGTACATGTATCTCATTTTTCCCAATCTATATTTGATTCTATTTTTCCTCTAACTTTGAAACTTTAAAACTAAAGTTTCAGTTTATTTTATTTTATTTTATTTTATTATTATTATACTTTAAGTTTTAGGGTACATGTGCACAATATGCAGGTTAGTTACATATGTATACATGTGCCATGCTGGTGTGCTGCACCCATTAACTCGTCATTTAGCATTAGGTATATCTCCTAAAGCTATCCCTCCCCCCTCCCCCCACCCCACCACAGTCCCTAGAGTGTGATGTTCCCCTTCCTGTGTCCATGTGTTCTCATTGTTCAGTTCCTACCTATGAGTGAGAAAATGCAGTGTCTGGTTTTTTGTTCTTGCGATAGTTTACTGAGAATGAAGATTTCCCATTTCATCCATGTCCCTACAAAGGACATGAACTCATCATTTTTTATGGCTGCATAGTATTCCATGATGTATATGGGCCACATTTTCTTAATCCAGTCTATCATTGTTGGACATTTGGGTTGGTTCCAAGTCTTTGCTATTGTGAATAGTGCCACAATAAACATACGTGTGCATGTGTCTTCATAGCAGAATGATTCATAGTCTTTTGGGTATATACCCAGTAATGGGATGGCTGGGTCAAATGGTATTTCTAGTTCTAGATCCCTGAGGAATTGCCACACTGACTTCCACAATGGTTGAAGTAGTTTACAGTCCCACCAACGGTGTAAAAGTGTTCCTATTTCTCCACCTCCTCTCCAGCACCTGTTGTTTCCTGACTTTTTAATGATTGCCATTCTAACTGGTGTGAGATGGTATCTCATTGTGGTTTTGATTTGCATTTCTCTGATGGCCAGTGATGGTGGGCATTTTTTCATGTGTTTTTTGGTTGCATAAATGTCTTCTTTTGAGAAGTGTCTGTTCATGTCCTTCGCCCACTTTTTGATGGGGTTGTTTGTTTTTTTCTTGTAAATTTGTTTGAGTTCATTGTAGATTCTGGATATTAGCCCTTTGTCAGATGAGTAGGTTGAGAAAATTTTCTCCCATTTTGTAGGTTGCCTGTTCACTCTGATGGTAGTTCCTGTTGCTGTGCAGAAGCTCTTTAGTTTAATTAGATCCCATTTGTCAATTTTGGCTTTTGTTGCCATTGCCTTTGGTGTTTTAGACATGAAGTCCTTGCCCATGCCTGTGTCCTGAATGGTAATGCCTAGGTTTTCTTCTAGGGTTTTTATGGTTTTAGGTCTAACGTTTAAGTCTTTAATCCATCTTGAATTAATTTTTGTATAAGGTGTAAGGAAGGGATCCAGTTTCAGCTTTCTACATATGGCTAGCCAGTTTTCCCAGCACCATTTATTAAATAGGGAATCCTTTCCCCATTGCTTGTTTTTCTCATGTTTGTCAAAGATCAGATAGTTTTAGATATGTGGCGTTATTTCTGAGGGCTCTGTTCTGTTCCATTTATCTATATCTCTGTTTTGGTACCAGTAGCATGCTGTTTTGGTTACTGTAGCCTTGTAGTATAGTTTGAAGTCAGGTAGCATGATGCCTCCAGCTTTGTTCTTTTGGCTTAGGAATGACTTGGCAATGCAGGCCCTTTTTTGGTTCCATATGAACTTTAAAGTAGTTTTTTCCAATTCTGTGAAGAAAGTCATTGGTAGCTTGATGGCAATGGCATTGAATCTATAAATTACCTTGGGCAGTATGGCCATTTTCATGATATTGATTCTTCCTTCCCATGAGCATGGAATGTTCTTCCATTTGTTTGTATCCTCTTTTATTTCTTTGAGCAGTGGTTTGTAGTTCTCCTTGAAGAGGTCCTTCACATCCCTTGTAAGTTGGATTCCTAGGTATTTTATTCTCTTTGAAGCAATTGTGAATGGGAGTTCACTCATGATTTGGCTCTCTGTTTGTCTGTTATTGGTGTATAAGAATGCTTGTGATTTTTGTACATTGATTTTGTATCCTGAGACTTTGCTGAAGTTGCTTATCAGCTTAAGGAGATTTTGGGCTGAGACAATGGGGTTTTCTAGATATACAATCATGTCATCTGCAAACAGGGACAATTTGACTTCCTCTTTTCCTAATTGAATACCCTTTATTTCCTTCTCCTGCCTAATAGCCCTGGCCAGAACTTCCAACACTATGTTGAATAGGAGTGGTGAGAGAGGGCATCCCTGTCTTGTGCCAGTTTTCAAAGGGAATTCTTCCAGTTTTTGCCCATTCAGTATGATATTGGCTGTGGATTTGTCATAGATAGCTCTTATTATTTTGAGATACATCCCATCAATACCTAGGTTTCAGTTTTTAGTGAAGAGTAAAAGTTGTGATCCTAAGATGAATTAGTGGATATGGTGTATAAAAGGTAATAGGGAGTGTCTAAAATAAATTAAGAAATTGTATATTAGCACTTCTTGTGTTTCCACCTCAAAACTATTCTTTAAAAAGCAAAGTAATTTTGATGAGTCTGTTTTGGATGTCTTTAATGTTTCCTTGTATTCAAGATAAAAGAAAAAATTGTATAAAGACATGGATAATTGGCATTGTCTTATTAAAGTTGCTTAGTTCTTTGTGTGGTCTTTTGATCTGTAGGCATGTCTTTCTTTATCCTTGATCATTGTTTCTCAGCTACCTACTTTGACCTCTCCTTTCTATTATCCAATGTATGTTGAATTTTCTGTACCTACCTTCTCATACTTTTTCTCATCATCTTCACCACCTTCCGTTAGTAATATTTTTCAAAATCTCAAAGCTACTCTTATATGATTATTCATCCAGGTAAATTTGAATAATCTGAAAACAAAATTTTGTTGATAGCAGGTTGTCCTGTTTTCATGGAAGAAATGTCTTCTCATAACCCCTTAAGAATATGAATTGCAGTTTTCTTTTTAATGTGATTTCCCCAAATTCTTGTAATACTGTATAATATGGCTGTCTCTTAGAGAAACATTTGCTCTGATTCCTCAGTAAAGTTCCACTTTTTCAAGTTTTCATCCATTGGTTTGTTTTTGGACTTTTATATTGATCTTCTTCTAAATTTTAGTTTTAGATAAAGAGGAGAGTTTTACTTTTCTATGAGTCCCATCTGTCCATTTCTTGAAAAGTCTATGAAAGATGCAACGAGTAGGATGCCAGGCAGCAGGGAGTTCAGGGCAGGGTTTCTGGGAGAGGTCTCTCTCTGGGCCACTCCCACTCTAGCATTCCTAGTCTGCATTCCTTTGGTAGCGTCCTCAGTAGTGTTCAGGGGATTCAGATTTCTTTCCCCACAGTTGTCCCATGGATCATACTTGTCTCCAGCCTCTGGAGGTGCCTCTGAACTTCCAAGTATCTATAACAGAGTTCTAATTGTCCTAGTAAACAGTGAGGAGACCACCAAAGAGGCTTCAGCCTGGTAGTCAAATATATTAGCAGATGTTTAATAAGCATCTCAAATTTAATGTGTAAAACCCAATCCCTGCTTTAGCTCTCCAAACCAGCTTATTCCAGCCTTCTTCACTGTAGCAAATGACTAACACATTATTAAAGTTAACAAAACTAAAAATCTTGGAATCCTCCTGGCCTTTCCTCCCCCTGCATCCAATTCATCAGGAATTTGGCTCTGTCTTCAAAATATATCCACAATGCAACCTCTTCTTACCACCTCCACTTTCGCCAAACTGGTCCAAGACACCATCTAGTCTGGTTTATTGCATTGAACCCCTAATTGGCCTTTCCTTCTCAACCCCTCATCCCCCACCCCACTCCCAAAGACAAATCTGAGCAAGAATAATTGTTTGAATGTGTAAACCAGACCATGCCATGTACATCTCTGCTCAGAACCCTCCAATGGCTTCCCATCTCATCCAAAGTGAAAGCAAAGACCCCTACAATTGTACCCAACACCCTGCATCATCTGTACTCCACACATACACACATCCTCTCCTGTCACTGTCCTATCTGCCTGCTACCTTCTGCTCACTGTATTCTTCCTGGCCCCAGTGCATACTAAACAAAGCCCTGCCTCAGGCTGCTAGCATAACTCTCTTTTCCTGGAACATTATTTCCACTCCTCACTCCCAAACTCTCTTCAGGTCTCTGCTCAAACATTACCTTATCAAAGAGGCCCACTGTAATTACTCCATGTAAAATTGTAGCCACAGCCCAACCATAGAACATCCTTTCTTTTTACCATGTTTGATTTTTCTCCACAGTACTTCACCCTGTGAAATATATATCTACCTCTTTCTTTTCTCATTGCTAGCTCTGTAGAAAAGGGGGACTTTAACTTTGCAGTATTCTCAGTGCCAACAAACTTGCCTGGCACAGGTAGCCACTCTAAATATGTGATGAATATTGAGAAGTAAGTGTTTGACTTCTGAGTTTGTGGAGTCAGCTTCATGTTACCAGGGCAAAGTATCACTTCTAAATTGGCACAATCCCTGTACCTTGAGAATCCCAACAGGCAAAGCCCTGCTGTACCTGGTATGCTATATTTGCCATGGAAAGGTAATGAAATAAATGAAATTTGCAGCCACAGGGCAGTGTGCAGAGTCATGGTATAGTTATTAAAGGCTTTTTCTGCCCTCACCCACTTCACCCCCAATCTATCCTTGCTCTAGGATCATGTGTCATTTAGTTTAGGGTTCTCTGGGGAAAATCTGTTTATTTCAAAGCCTTCCATTCATCCGTCTTGGATCATGGATTGACCATTGTTTTACTAGGCTTGATTCTCGTCTGTATGACTTCCAAAATTTTCTCAAGGTTTCTACTTGATTAATGATTTCCATCCTTGTGGCATGGAATATGTCTATATTTTATTCTTATTTTTATGCTTTTATAGCATTTGAAATATTAGGAAATTGTGTTTTTGAACTGAAACTTTGTTGAGTAATTTTGATAAAGTTGAACTTTTGGAAAAATAATGAAAGGCCTTGAATAGAATAGTAGCCCTCTGCCAATTGAATAACTTTTAGCTTTTATGTTGACATTTTACACGATTAATTTTTAAACTTTCTTTTGAATTCTAGAATAAGCAGCAAAAAAGAATTAAAAATCACTTTTTTAGTAAATATATTCAAATATTACTTTAGTACTTTTATTTTCTTTCTTATAAACCCCAAGTGTTTTTTCTTCTTTAATTCTTAATATTTGCAACTGTAACTGGGCTGATCACCAATTAGTGAAATTCAGTGAGTTTGTATCCTAGTGACTGCAATGGGAAAATACACAGCAAAAATGCAAATGATATTGAAATATCAAATAAAAATATAGGATTCTCAATTAGTGGTTAGTCCTATGCAATAAATGCTATATGCAAGACACTTTTTAATCATTTCACTCCTTGCCCTAAAATACATAAAAAGACACCAATAATGTAACCTGTAGTATATTCATTTTTTAATAATGAGACTGTTTTATGAACTATAATTATGTCAAATATCAAATGAACATTAAGTAATTATTCTTTAATGCATCTCAAAGTTATTTTAAAGAGAAAAAAGTTTCAAATGTAGAAACTCATTGTTGAACTGTAGCTACTTTGTCATTGGTGAAGTAAGATATTGTGATGATTAGAGAAAATGAGGAAATTAGAATTTGACTTGACACAATGTAGTAAATGTAAGTAAGTCAAAAATATACTTTTATAATTTGTTTTTAAATTTGTGTATTATTTTAAATGTGTACAGAGTAGTTTCTAATATGCATTATTTCATGGAATTGTATTCGCACTGGAGTCGTATTAGTTATTACAGGCAAAATTCTTTATAGGTATATAAGAAAAGTGAGGCCAGAGAAGTTTAGTGATTTTCTATACATCATAAAGTTGACAGCATGTGGTTGAAAATCCAGGGCACATACCTCAGAGCTCCTGACTTTTAAAATAAGATCATTTGATTAATTTATGTCAAGATAAATTATTGTTATAAAAATTTTATGCTGCTTATAACAGATTTTAAAGGAAATATCAAATTTTTTTTGTTAATTCCTTCACTTTGCTGTTTGCTTGGGTGACATGAGCCATGCTTAATTTTCATGGTGCTTTTGCTCAGCCTTTATAGTGCTGAAAGTATAGTAAGCACTCAGTGAACTTTGAATGAATGAGTGAATGAATGAATGGTACTTCTCTGTACCTTTTTTTTCCTTAATTATGTTGTTTTGAAACTCCAGTGTTTAAAACTATAAAACATAATTTTGTATTTTAGGATATGTTTCCTAAAATAAAATCATTAGAACTGTACTTAGCTATTGTTGTGGAGCTGTCTTATCAAACCTATGATCTCTGGCTTTGCATTCTCTACTCTATTCAGATTTTATGGTATGAGAGGGATGTTTGGTCTTCTTCCTCACACAAAGTTCTAGAAGATACTTGAGTTGAGCAGAATAAAAAGAGGCTCCCACCAGCTTTTTTGTTTATCCATGTCCAAATATAAATTACCTACTGAACGCTGCATATATGATAAGTGGAAACAGATAAATTTTATTGTTTTGGACCATTCACTCAAATCTTTCAAGTAACCCAGTTTCTGTTTCATGAATGTTTCTTAATCTTACACTTCTTGGTCAGTGATTTATTATTAATTGGAATGTATTGCTTAAATTCATACCTTTGATTGGCATATGAGTTTGATTACAGACATTCAATTTTCTTAGACATACCTAAAATAGCACATTTTTAACAAAGAATAGTATTATTAGAAACTGATTTCATCCATTATTTTAATTCACTTTTTTATTAGAAAGAGCATCTATTGAGAATTCTGTGACCTAAATACATAATGTATATAGTATTTTTGCTATCCTTCGTATGTCAATCAAATGTACAGTGTCAAGTTGATGAATTTACAAAGCGATTAAATTTGTTACCTATATTTGAGATTGCCTTTATCTAGGTTTGTCAATGCTCTGTAAGAATTTCTTCCCGCTTAGACTTTTGGTTAATGCATTAGAAAGTATTTGAGTAAATATAATTTTCTAAAATAATATTATTCCATAATAAGTTACCCTATGTTTTTGTGATTTTTAAAGGCTTTTGCTGGTGTTATTTTTGCTTTTTAATTTCAGGAAGCTAAAACTTTGTAACAAATTGTACTATGTGAATTGGATATAGCAAATAACTAATTTCCTACATCTCACTCAACTGTGGGGTTAATATTATTTAATGTATGGTATATATGCAAAAATCACAGCTCGAGGTTCATTAATATCCTTTATTTCTTTTTTCATATCTTTTATTTCTTATATTAAGATGCTTTCATTTGAACCCAGCTTTTTTTTGCTTGCATTCACAGAAACCTTCAAAAATATCTTTAAAATATTTCATTCTAAATTGTGTTACAGATATAATTGTACATGTTTAAACATATTTTAGAACTAGAGACTATGGCTAGCAGAAATAATTCTTACTGACAATATAAATATGTAATTACTATATATTTTTGTTTAGGAATAGTATACATCTTTTCTATTCCTACTTAATGTATTTCTTGTGACATTGCTGAGATGACTACTGAGGCAGTCTGGACTAGAGTGAGAAGCACTGCAGTGAATGCTAGAGAATCTGAGTTTAGTCACAATCTAAACTGTCTTCTAAGGATTGGCAACTCACTTGAAGTATCTCTGCCTCAACTTTTATACAGAAAAATAGGCAGTACCCAACACCAGTTCTCTTACTGTTTGGCTTAGACCATGGTGAGCTTTATTAGGTTGGTAACAAGAGTCATCAAGATGTGTAAGTACAGATGTTGGGGGAAGGGATGTTGTCACATCAGAAACTAATTCTGAGTGGGGGTCAAGGTGTACAAAAACGAGATGAAAGAGAACTAGCTCAAAGACCATTGTCAGAATCCAAGAAAACTGGAAGTAGTCTGAAGACAGTTGTACTGTTTCATATAAATGTAACACAGGATGCAGTTCCACAAATTTATACTCACATGATTTACTCTTTCAAATCCCCACTTACTTACATTTAGGCAACTATTTAATCATCTTAATTTCCCTACTTTATAGAGGTCTGCAAACTTTTTCTGTAAAGGATGAGAGAGTAAATATCTTAGGCTTTGTGAGCTTTACAGTCTCAGTTACAACTACTCACATTTGTCTTTATGCCTCTATATAGCCATAGATAATACAAATAGATGTGGCCATGATCCAATAAATTTACATATGGAAACTGAAATTTTATGTGTCATGAAATATCAATTTTTAAATTTCTTCTCTCACCATTAAAATATAATAGCTATTAATTTACAAAACATTACCATTGAAAATATCACCAATTGTGGAGGCAGACATTTTTGGACTAATATTTATTGAGCACATAATATTGTTACAGTGCTGTCAGTTGTAAGTGTGTGTGTATATCATAAATTCGTGTGTTTTTATTTAATCATCATGACAACCTTATTAATATCTCCATGTGACAGATGAGAAAATTGAGTCACAACCCAATTGCTCCAGGTCATGTTTGATTTGCTCTATGCTTGTCTTGGAGAATTCCGTTCCTCATATCTGGTCACTTTAAACTCTAAGCAAGTGTATACAAATCTTCTGAGGTGCTTGTTTAAAGGTAGATTTGTTGGTGTCACTCCCAGAAATTTTAATTCAGTAGGTTTGGAATGGGGCTAAAAAATCTGCATTTCTTTCTCTTAGTTCCTGGGCCATAGAAAATGGATGGCAGGCAGGATTTGGCCTGTAGGTCATAAGTTTCTGACCCCTCTTTAGTACAATAGCTCTCTCTTCTGATCATTACTGCCAATCAGTCCTAAGTGGAACAAAAGAAGCAGTAAGAATGTTCTGTAAGTATCTGTTAAGTCTGTTTGTTCTCTGGTATAGTTTAAGTCTATTGTTTCTTTGTTGACTTTCTCTCTTGATGATCTGTCTAGTCCTGTCGGTGGAATATTAAAGCCTCTCACTATTATGGTTCTCATCAGCACATGTAACATTCTCCAAGATAGACCAAAACAAGTCTAAATAAATTTAAGAAAATTGAAATCATATCAAGTATCTTCTCAGACCACAGTGGAATAAAACTGGAAAGCAACTCTAAAAGGAACCCTCAAAACTATAGAAATACATGGAAATTAAATAATATACTCTTGAAAATTATATTTAGGTTAACAATGAAATGAAGATGGAATTAAAAAATTCTTTGAAATGAATGGTAGTAGTAACACAACTTATCAAAACCTCTGGGATACGGCAAAAGCAATGTTAAGAGGAAAGTTCATAGCGTTAAATGCCTGCATCAAAAAGTCTGAAATACCACAAATAGACAACCTAATGTCACATCTCAAGGAACTAGAGAAACAAGAATAAACTCAACCCAAACCTAACAGAAGAAAAGAAATAACAAAGATCAGAGCAAAACTAAATGAAATTGAAGTAAAATAATACAAAAGAGATATGAAACTAAAAATCAATTATTTAAAAAGATATACAAAATCAATAGACCATTGGTAAGATTAACCAACAAAAGAAGAAATAAGATCCAAATATGCCCAATTACAAACAAAACTGGAGATATTATGACTGATACCACAGAAATACAAAAGATCATTCAAAGCTACTATAAAAACCATTATGCACACAAACTGGAAAATCTAGAAGAGATGGATACATTCCTGGAAATATACAATACTTCTAGATTAAATCAGGAAGATATAGAAACCCAGAACAGATCAATAACAAGCAGTGGTATCTGCCATTATAGGAGGTTTTTTCCACTGATTCCCCCTGTTATTTTTTTTTTATTTTTCAGTAATTAAAAAAAATTGCCAGTAAGTAAAAGTCCAGGGCCAGATGGAATCACAGCTGAATTCTATCAGGCACTCAAAGAATTGGTACCAATATTACCGAAACTATTCCAAAAGATATAGAAAGATGGAATCCTCCCTAAACGTTCTATGAAGCCAGTATTACCCTAATACAAAAACCAGGAAAGGACATAACAAAGAAAGAAAACTATGGACTGATATTCCTGATGAACATAGATGCAAAAATCTTCAACAAAATACTAGCTAACTAAATCCAACAGCATATCAAAAAGATAATACATCATGATCAAGTGGGTTTCATACCAGGTATGCAGGGATGTTTTAACATAAGCAGGTCAATAAATGTGATACATCACATATACAGAAGTAAAACAAAAATCATATGATTATCTCAATAGATGTAGAAAAAGCATTTCACAAAATCCAGCATTCCTTTACGATAAAAATCCTCAACAACATAGTCATAAAAGGTACCTACTTCAAAGTAATAAAAGCCCTATATGATGGATCCAGAATGAACATTATACTGAGTGGGGAAAAGTTGAAAGCATTTCCACTGAGAACTGAAACAAGACAAGGATACCCACTTTCACCACTTCCATTCAGCATCATACTGGAAGTCCTGGCCAGACCAATCAGACAAGAGAAAGAAATAAAGGACATCCAAATTGGAAAAGAGAAAGTCAAACAGTTGCTGTTCGCCAATGATATGATTGTATACCTAAAAAACCTTAAAGACTCATCCAAAAAGCTCCTAGAGCTTATAAACGAATTCAGTGAAGTCTCAGGATACAAAATAAATGTACACAAATCAGTGACACTGCTACACACCAACAATGACTGAGCTGAGAATCAAATAAAGACCTCAATCCCTTTCACAACAGCTGCAAAAAATTTATAAAATACTTAACCAAGCAGGTAAAAGACCTGTACAAGGAAAGTGCAAAATGCTGCCAAAAAAATAATAGATGACACACAAAAAATGAAAACACATCCCATGCTCATGGATGAGTAGAATCAATATTGTGAAAATGACAATAATACCCAAAGCAATCTACAGATTTAGGGCAATTCCCATCATCATTCTTCACAGAATTAGAAAACACAATTCTAAAATTTATATGGAACCAAAAAAGAGCCTGAATAGCCAAAGCAACACTTAGAAAAGAGAACAAATCTGGAAGCATCACATTACCCAACTTCAAATTATACTACAAGGCTATAGTTACTAAAACAGCATGGTACTGGTATAAAAATAGACCAGTGGAACACAATAGAGAATCAAGACATAAAGCCAAATACTTATAGCCAACTGATTTTTTTTTAATACTTTAAGTTCTAGGGTACATGTGCACAATGTGCAGGTTTGTTACATATGTATACATGTACCATGTTGGTGTGCTGCACCCATTAACTCGTCATTTACATCAGGTATTTCTTTAATGCTATCCTTCCCCCACTCCCCCAACCCCACAACAGGCCCCTGTGTGTGATGTTTCCCCTCCTGTGTCCAAGTATTCTCATTGTTCAATTCCCACCTATGAATGAGAACATGTGGTGTTTGGCTTTCTGTCCTTGTGATAGTTTCCTCGGAATGATGGTTTCCAGCTTCATCCATGTCCCTACAAAGGACATGAACTCATCATTTTTTATGGCTGCATAGTATTCCATGATGTATATGGGCCACATTTTCTTAATCCAGTCTATCATTGATGGACATTTGGGTCGGTTCCAAGTCTTTACTATTGTGAATAGTGTCCCAATAAACATATGTGTGCATGTGTCTTTATAGTAGCATGATTTATAATCCTTTGGGTATATACCCAGTAATGGGATGGCTGGGTCAAATGGTATTTCTAGTTCTAGATCCCTGAAGAATCACCACACTGTCTTCCACAATGGTTGAACTAGTTTACAGTCCCACCAACAGTGTAAAAGTGTTCCTATTTCTCCACATCCTCTCCAGCACCTGTTGTTTCCTGACTTTTTAATGATTGCCATTCTAACTGGTGTGAGATGGTATCTCATTGTGGTTTTGATTTGCATTTCTCTGATGGCCAGTGATGATGAGCATTTTTTCATGTGTTTGTTGGCTGCATAAACGTCTTCTTTTGAGAAGTATCTGTTCATATCCTTTGCCCACTTGTTGATGGGGTTGTTTGATTTTTATTGTAAATTTGTTAAAGTTCTTTGCAGATTCTGGATATAGCCCTTTGGCAGATGGGTAGATTGCAAAAATTTTCTCCCATTTTGTAGGTTGCCTGTTCACTCTGATGGTAGTTTCTTTTGCTGTGCAGAAGCTCTTTAGTTTAATTAGATCCCATTTGTCTATTTTGGCTTTTGTTGCCATTGCTTTTGGTGTTTTAGTCATGAAGTCCTTGCCCATGCCTATGTCCTGAATGGTATTGCCTAGGTTTTCTTCTAGGGTTTTTATGGTTTTAGGTCTAACATTTAAGTCTTTAATCCATCTTGAATTAATTTTTTATAAGGTTTAAGGAAGGGATGCAGTTAACAGCTTTCTACATATAGCTAGCCAGTTTTCCCAGCACCATTTATTAAATAGGGAATCGTTTCCCCATTTCTTGTTTTTGTTAAGTTTGTCAAAGACTAGATGGTTGTAGATATGTGGTGTTATTTCTGAGGCCTCTGTTCTGTTCCATTGGTCTATATCTCTGTTTTTGTACCAGTAGCATGCTGTTTTGGTTACTGTAGCCTTGTAGTATAGTTTGAAGTCAGGTGGTGTGATGCCACCAGCTTTGTTCTTTTTACTTAGGATTGTCTTGGCAACATGGTCTCTTTTTCAGTTCCATAAGAACTTCAAAGTAGTTTTTTCCAATTCTGTGAAGAAAATCATTGGTAGCTTGATGGGGATGGCATTGAATCTATAATTAGTTTGGGCAGTATGGCCATTCTCATGATATTGATTCTTCCTACCCATGAGCATGGAATGTTGTTCCATTTGTTTGTGTCCTCTTTTATTTCGTTGAGCAGTGGTTTGCAGTTTTCCTTGAAGACCTCCTTCACATCCATTGTAAGTTGGATTCCTAGGTGTTTTATTCTCTTTGAAACAATTGTGAATGGGAGTTCACTCATGATTTGGCTCTCTGTTTGTCTGTTGTTGGTGTATAGGAATGCTTGTGATTTTTGTACATTGATTTTGCATCCTGAGACTTTTCTGAAGTTGCTTATCAGCTTAAGGAGATTAGGGGCTGTGACAATGGGGTTTTCTGAGTACACAATCATGTCATCTGCAAACAGGGGCAATTTGACTTCCTCTTTTCCTAATTGAATACCCTTTATTTCTTTCTGTTGTCTGATTGCCCTGGTCAGAACTTCCAACACTATGTTGAATAGGATTGGTGAGAGAGAGCATCCCTGTCTTGTGCTAGTTTTCAAAGGGAATGCTTCCAGTTTTTGCCCATTCAGTATGATATTGGCTGTGGGTTTGTCATAAATAGTTCTTATTATTTTGAGATATGTCCTATCAATACCTAGTTTATTGGGAGCTTTTAGGATAAAGGGCTGTTGAATTTTGTCGAAGGACTTTTCTGCACCTATTGAGATAATCATGTGGTTTTTGTCTTTGGTTCTGTTTATGTGATGGATTACGTTTATTTATTTGCATATGTAGAACCAGCCTTGCATCCCAGGGATGAAGCCAACTTGATCGTGGTGGATAAGCTTTTTGATGTGCTGCTGGATTTGGTTTGCCAGTATTTTATTGAGGAATTTTCTTATAGATGTTCATCAGGGATATTTGTCTAAAATTCTCTTTTTTTTGTTGTGTCTCTGCCAGGCTTTGGTATCAGGATGTTGCTGGCCTCATAAAATGAGTTAGGGAGGATTCCCTCTTTTCCTTTTTTCTTTTTTTTTTTTTTTGAGATGGAGTCTCACTCTTTCTCCCAGGCTGCACTGCAGTGGCGCTATCTTGGCTCACTGCAAGCTCCACCTCCCAGGTTCATGCCATTCTCCTGCCTCAGCCTTTTAAGTAGCTGGGACTACAGGTGCCTGCCACTGCACCTGGCTAATTTTTTTTGTATTTTTAGTAGAGACGGGGTTTCACCATGTTAGCCAGGATGGTCGTGATCTCCTGACCTCATGATCCACCCGCCTCGGCCTCCCAAAGTGCTGGGATTACAGGCATGAGCCACCACACCCAGCCAGATTCCCTCTTTTTCTATTTATTGGAATAGTTTCAGAAGGAATGGTACCAGCTCCTCTTTGTGCCTCTGGTGGAATTTGGCTGTGAATTTGTCTGGTCCTGGACTTTTTTTGGTTTTTAGGGTATTAATTATTGCCTCAATTTCAGAGCCTGTTATTGGTGTATTCAGGGATTCAACTTCTTCCTGGTTTAGCCTTCGGAAGGTGTATGTGTCCAGGAATTTACTCATTTCTTCTAGATTTTCTAGTTTATTTGTGCAGAGGTGTTTATAGTATTCTCTGATGGTAGTTTGTATTTCTGTGGGATCAGTGGTGATATCCCCTTTATCATTTTTTATTGCATATATTTGATTCTTCTCTCTTTTCTTCTTTATTAGTCTTGCTAGTGGTCTATTTTGTTGATCTTTTCGAAAAACCAGCTCCTGGATTCATTGATTTTTTGAAGGTTTTTTTGTGTCTCTATCTCCTTTAATTCTGCTCAGATCTTAGTTTTTTCTTGTCTTCTGCTAGCTTTTGAATTTGGTTGCTCTTGCTTCTCTAGCTCTTTTAATGTGATGTTAGGGTGTCAATTGTAGATCTTTCCCGCTTTCTCTTGTGGGCATTTAGTGCTATAGATTTCCCTCTACACACTGCTTTAAATGTATCCCAGAGATTATGATATGTTGTGTCTTTGTTCTCGTTGGTTTCAAAGAACATCTTTATTTCTGCCTTCATTTCGTTATTTACCCAGTAATCATTCAGGAGCAGGTTGTTCAATTTCCATGTAGTTGAGCTGTTTTGAGTGAGTTTCTTAATCCTGAGTTCTAGTTTGATTGCACTGTGGCCTGAGAGACAGTTTGTTGTGATTTCTGTTCTTTTACATTTGCTGAGGACTGCTTTACTTCCCACCATGTGGTCAGTTTTGGAATAAGTGTGATGTGGTGCTGAAAAGAATGTATATTCTCTTGATTTGGGGTGGAGAGTTCTGTAGATGTCTATTAGGTCCACTTGGTGCAGAGCTGAGTTCAATTCCTGGATATCCTTGTTAACTTTCTGTCTCGTTGATCTGTCTAATATTGACAGTGGGGTGTTAAAGTCTCCCATTATTATTGTGAGGGAGTCTAAGTCTCTTTGTAGGTCTCTAAGGACTTGCCTTATGAATCTGGGTGCTCCTGTATTGGGTGCATATATATTTAGGATAGTTAGCTCTTCTTGTTGAATTGATCCCTTTACCATTATGTAATGGCCTTCTTTGTCTCTTTTGATCTTTGTCAGTTTAAAGTCTGTTTTATCAGAGACTAGGATTGCAACCCCTGCTTTTTTTTGTTTTCCATTTGCTTGGTAGATCTTCCTCCATCCTTTTATTTTGAGGCTATGTGTGTCTCTGCATGTGAGATGGGTTTCCTGAATACAGCACACTGATGGGTCTTGACTCTTTATCCAATTTGCCAGTCTGTGTCTTTTAATTGGAGCATTTGGCCCACTTACATTTAAGGTTAATATTGTTATGTGTGAATTTGATCCTGTCATTATGATGTTAGCTGGTTATTTTGCTTGTTAGTTGATGCAGTTTCTTCCTAGCATCAATGGTGTTTACAATTTGGCATGTTTTTGCAGTGGCTGGTCCCAGTTGTTCCTTTCCGTGTTTAGTGCTTCCTTCAGGAGCTCTTTTAGGGCAGGCCTGGTGGTGACAAAATCTCTCAGCATTTGCTTGTCTGTAAAGGATTTTATTTCTCCTTCATTTATGAAGCTTAGTTTGGCTGGATATGAAAATCTGGGTTGAAAATTCTTTTCTTTAAGAATGTTGAATATTGGCCCCCACTCTCTTCTGGCTTGTAGAGTTTCTGCTGAGAGATCCACTGTTAGTCTAATGGGCTTCCCTTTGTGGGTAACCCGACCTTTCTCTCAGGCTGCCCTCAAGGATTTTTCCTTCATTTCAACCTTGGTGAATCTGACAATTATGTGTGTGTCTTGGGGTTGCTCTTCTCAAAGAGTATCTTTGTGGTGTTCTCTATGTTTCCTGAAGTTGAATGTTGGCCAGCCTTGCTAGGTTGGGGAAGTTCTCCTGGATAATATCCTGCAGAGTGTTTTCCAACTTGGTTCCATTCTCCCCATCACTTTCAGGTACACCAATCAAATGAAGATTTCATCTATTCCCATAATCCCATATTTCTTGGAGGCTTTGTTTGTTTCTTTTTACTCTTTTTTCTCCAAACTTCTTTTCTCACTTCATTTCATTCATTTGATCTCCAATCTCTGATACCCTTTCTTCCACTTGATCCAATCGGCTACTGAAGCTTGTGCATATATCACATAGTTCTCATGCCATGGTTTTCAGCTCCATCAGGTCATTTAAGGTCTTCTCTATGCTGTTTTTTCTAGTTAGCCATTCATCTAATCTTTTTTCAAGGTTTTTAGCTTCCTTGCGATGGGTTCAAACATCCTCCTTTAGCTCGAAGAAGTTTGTTATTGTCGACCTTCTGAAGCCTACTTCTGTCAACTCGTCAAAGTCATTCTCTGTCCAGCTTTGTTCCATTGCTGGTGAGGAGCTGCAGTCCTTTGGAGGAGAAGAGGCACTCTGGATTTTAGAATTTTTAGCTTTTCTGCTCTGGTTTCTCCACATCTTTCTGGTTTTATCTAACTTTGATCTTTGATGATGGTGACATATAGATGGGGTTTTGGTGTAGATGACCTTTTTGTTGCTATTTATGCTATTCCTTTCTTTTTGTTAGTTTTCCTTCTAACAGTTGGGACCCTCAGCTACAGGTCTCCTGGAGTTTGCTGGCAGTCCATTCCAGACCCTGTTTGCCTGGGTATCACCAGCAGAGGCTGCAGAACAGCAAATATTGCTGCCTGATCCTTCCTCTGGAAGCTTCGTCTCAGAGGGGCACCCGGCTGTATGAGGTGTCAGTCGACCCCTGCTGGCAGGTGTCTCCCAGTTAGGCTGCACAGGGGTCAGGGACCCACTTGAGGAGGCAGTCTGTCTATTCTCAGATCTCAAACTCCATGCTAGGAGATCCACTGCTCTTTTCAGAGCTGTCAGACAGGGACGTTTAAGTCTGCAGAAGTTTCTACTACCTTTTGTTCAGCTATACCCTGCCCCCAGAGGTGGAGTCTACAGATGCAGGCAGGCCTCACTGAGCTGCAGTGGGGTCCACCCAGTTCGAGCTTCCTGGATGCTTTGTTTAACTACTCAAGCCTCAGCAATGGTGGATGCCCCTCCCCCAGCCCAGGCTGCCACCTCGCAGTTGGATCTCAGACTGCTGTGCTAGCAGTGAGCAAGACTCTGTGGACGTGGGACCCACCAAGCCAGGTGTGGGATATAATCTCCTGGTGTGCTGTTTGCTAAGACCGTTGGAAAAGTGCAGTATTAGGGAGGGAGAGTCCCGATTTTCCAGGTACCATCTGTCACGGCTTCCCTTGGCTAGGAAAGGGAAATCCCCTGACCCCTTGCGCTTCCTGGGTGAGGCGACCCCCTGCCCTGCTTTGGCTCACCCTCCGTGGGCTGCACCCACTGTCCAACCATTCCCAGTGAGATGAACCAGGTATCTCAGTTGGAAATGTGAAATCACCCATCTTCTGTGTCGATCTCACTGGGAGCTGCAGACCAGAGTTGTTCCTATTCGGCCATCTTGGAACTCCTCAGCCAACTGATCTTTAATAAAGCATACAAGAACAAAAATTGGAGAAAGGCACCCTGTTCAATAAATGGTACTGGGAAAACTGACAAGCCACATGTAGAAGAATGAAACTTGATCCTCACTTCTTACCTTAAACAAAAATCAGCTCAAGATGAATCAAAGACTTAAATCTAAGACCTGAAACCATAAGTATTCTGGAAGATAACATTGGAAAAACTCTTCTAGACATTAGTTTGGCAAAAAGTTCATGACTAAGACCCCAAAAGCAAATGCAACAAAAACAGTAATGAATAAATGGGACATAATTAAACTGAAAAGCTTCTGCACAACAAAAGAAATAATCAGCAGAGTAAGCCGACAACCCACAAAATAGGGGAAGAGCTTCACAAACTATGCATTCAACAAAGGACTAATATCCTAAATCTACAAGGAACTCAAACAAATCAACAAGAAAAACAAAAAAAAAATAATTCCATCAAAACATGGGCAAAGAATGTGAATAGACAGTTCTCAAAAGAAGATATACAAGTGGCAAACAAATATATGAAAAAATGCTCAGCATCACTGATTATCAGGAAAATGTAAATTAAAACAACAATGATATACCACCTGCAAGAATGGCTGTAATTAAAAAGTTAAAAAAAAAAAAAAAAAAAAAAGATGGTGACCTGGATGTGGTGAATAAGGAACACTGCTACACTGCTGGTAGGAAGGTAAACTAGTACAACTATGGAAAACAGTTTGGAGATTCCTTAAACAACTAAAAGTTGAAGTGCCATATGATTCAGCAATCCCACTACTGGGTATCTACCAAAGGAAAGAAGTCATTATGTGAAAAAGATACACGCACATGCATAATTTTGAGAATGAAGATCCAGTTTGCATAATTTTGAGAATGAAGATCCAAAGTTCCTTCTCAAAGCTTCTCTATATTCATGTTTTATAAATTTGCTTATATCAGAGAAGAAACACCTACCCCAATGAATATTTCCCCATCACCAGAGTATTTTTCCATATATTTTGGTGCGTAGTGATGGTATTATTGATGTTAATATTTTATATTTGTCTCTTTTCAGCAAAAGGAAAATATCAGTAGTTTTTAATTTGTGAGCTTCAATTTACTTCACCAACTATATCTGCATTCTTCTTTCTCAGAGGCTAATACCAGTACATGCTGTGATGTTTTTTTTTTCCTCCTTGTGTGTTTTGTGTCACTTGTGTATATTCCGCTGAAATGTATTCTGTTTTTCAACTTTTAGGGATAAAAACTGTGCAGTGTACATAAAGTTATTTAAATTATCTTAATTGATTTTCATTAACTTAATTATGTCTTGAGAATTTATTTTGTGAGGCCAGCAAGGAATTCAGTCTCAGTAATCATTGAAATTTAGTCCTCCAATTCTCCCAGGACCTCAGAGACATGCCTTATATAGACACTATCAAAGCATTATAAAGGCCCCTCCAGTCATCAATTCTACACTGGCTAGTACAGACACTCTCCAGAGGTTCTGTGCCTTACTTGAAGCATGGCTATGTTTGATGAAGCTGAGGCCCTGTTCCTCTGGTCCAGCTTTTGAGGGAAATATAATTAAAAATAAAATCTTCTTCCAACCCAGAAATCTTCTCCATGAAGGTAGTAGAGAAAGAAAACACTTTTTTGTTGAATAAGCATTAAGCCAATATGTGATGCCTATCACAGGCAATCTGCTGAGATTGCAGAGACAGAAATAAATCTTACGCTTACATACAACCAAGTAGGTACAACCCACTCCATACATGATCTCAAGATTAAAAATAACTAATCCTCTAGTAAGAAGACTTGGCAGCAGCAGTTAGCGCACATAGTTTGCCCTAAATTGGTAATTTGGGTAAATTGATAACTAATGTATGTCAGGGAATTGGCTTTGTCCAAAGGGAAAATAAGCTTCTCCTATCCTTATGACAAGAGGTTATTTGGCAATGTGGAGCAAGGTGCCTGCTGAAGTTAGACTACTCTTCCTCACAAACCTAGAGAGGGGCGCTATCTTCCTGGATGATTGCATTTCAAACAGATGGCTCCAGGTCCTTAAAAAAGACAATACTGGGTGTTAAAGCTGGCAAAAGTCTTATTTAACCTTAAAAAAGATGTACATACATTTCAAAGGACAGAGAAATTTTGAATTAAATGCTCCAAGAAAACCAGAGAAGGAGGGAGTCCTTTCACTTACTTTTAAGAAGGAAAACTGTCTCTTCCTCTCCTCTCCACTTCCTTCCCCTCCCCTCCCCGCTTCTTGTCCTTTTTTAAAAAAAAATTGTATTTGCCCCCTTTAAAAAAAATGTATTTGCCCTTACAGAGCTTCCCTATACCCAGAACACAGCCATCCTCTTAAAAGTGTTACCACATTTCCCAGGACATGACTAGCTAACCACGAGTGAGTCTCTGCTGGTCCCCAGGCTGCCAGCCTCCAGTTTCTTCAAGAATGGGGAATCTTCCAGGATTCCTCTCTTAAAATTCACAATGTGTTTTCTATTGTACAGAAAAAATAAGAAGTCCCTGAGACAAATAAATCAAGAATATTTAATATTTTGTCTGATTTGAATGTGACTTTAAAAATCCAGGAACAACAAACACAGATTAGTATCTTAAATTACTTTCCACCACACCACTATCATTACTTTTACTCCTTAAATATGTTTGAAATAAACCAAACTGACCAGACACAGCAATTTTTTTGTGGAAATATTTCTTCCTTCTGTAGCTTTACTACCGTATACATCATTGAGGTGTTAATTTCCTTTGTGAGAATAATATTCATCTTTAATATTCCCACATTGCATACAGTAATTCCAGATCATTTTATGACATTAAATCAACTCAGAATCTGTAACATAGCATAATTATTGTTCCCATTTCATTACTGCCTTTAACAAATTTTACAGATGTTTCCTCCACATTTTAAATTGTTTCCTTCAAAATTGTTTTTAATATTCTTTGTTAGCTCTTCTGGACTCCAGGAAGCCTGTGTCTTTTTATCTGTCTTGCCCTAAAATTATCTTTGAAAAGTTAAACTGGTGGCAAGTTTACATATGGTTAAAGAACCATTTATATTGATCTATCCTTATGAAATATTATCTGTGAAGCATCATAATATTCCATAATTACCTCAGCAGCATGTGAATCTGTGTGTCAAATGGCATATACATTTCACTATATAGAGAATTAATAATTTTCACTGGGTATAAGAGGTAGCCATGTTTAGGATGATGAGATTAGTGACACACTAGGAGTTGGATCATTTTGGTCTGAGTTGCAGTCCTGTCACCTGAAAAAAGAAAAATCACAGCTTCCCTAGATTTTTTTGCTTACTTGTAAAAATAAGAACAACAGTATTACCCAATACATACTTCTCAGAGCTATTGAGCAGATAGAAGTAGTAAGAAATTTCTAACGTCAGATTATATTTTATAAGTATAAGAGTTTTCTAGTTTATGTTTTCTTGCATATGATTTGGATTCTAAGTAGAACAGAAAGATCTAGATAAGCCTTAATCAGTACTGCTCATTTAATGCAGATGGGACCCTATGTGATTTACTTCTCTTAAAATGTATTAAACCAGAGAAAACTGCTAAAAAAAAAACGGACAGTTCAGCTTTGTTGGCTTGTAATCTTTGTGGTAAAATGGTAACTGCATTCAACCATTACTTTAGGGCTGCCTGACCAAATGGTCTCGAGAAACATACATGAATTTTAATAAACAAAACATGGCCTGGTAGGTCACAGTGCAAAACTAGATCATTTGTAACTTATGATTTCTGTTCAATTATTGTGATGTATGACTTTTCTATGACTCCTTCTTTACAAGTTTTCTTTTCTACCTACATTATTTCAGGATAATATCATTTTCAGTCTTGTAAAATAAGTAGAATTAAAACCAGTTTAATAAGTTGATTTTAGTTAGAAATCTCAACCGATTTTGTTTCACTTACTCTGGAAAAATATATTTATTTATTTATTTACTTTATCTTGCTGGCTATTTTGAAGTTGAAATTATTGTTTTCTCTGAATGCACCAATTATTTGTGTGAGCCCAAACTCTCTGACTAGATGATTATTCCAGAAACCTTATTATTTAATATGTTGAATGACATTTACTTTTATGTGGTGTAAGCCATTCCCAGCTACTTTTTTTCTGAATGTATTATTTTGTATACTCGCCTTACTTTTCAGAGAAAATCATTTTTTACCTTATTCATATATTCATTTCTTTTCTGTGAGGTTTGAATATTTTTAGGTCAAAATTTAACAGTGCTACTGCTGTGCCATTAAGCGTAAATTGTGTATATTCTGCTTCTGTTTTTAAAGTATAATATCAAGATAGGAACCGATTATGAAAGTAGGTCATAATGAGGGATAATCTCCTTAGAGACATGTGTTTTGGGGATATTGTGCTGCTTGATCCACTAAATTCTATTATGGTAGCAGCAAGATGATAGTGTTATTGGAAATTTTTAGTTTAGTCCTTTTATTGTTTTAGTTATTATCTTTTCTTCCACCAACACCACATTGCTTTGAAATATATTTTGGAATACATATATGATAGACATTTGTGTTGCAGGAAAATATTATGTCCCACAACTATTTGGGGAGTTCATAAAAGGTAAAAATATTGACATTTTGATATGCCTTGAGGAAAATACACTAAGGCACTGAAAAATAATATTTATAAGCCCATAGTAAGAGATACAAAGGCCAGGCATTTCTTTGCAAAAATAAAGAAATTGGCAAAATATTTATCAAAAAGCCTTGAGAGACTCCCCAAAACAGGAAATATTCTATCTTGTTATTTCAAAGAAATTCAACAGTTCAGAAAGTGCAAAGTTAAAAATGAGAGGGAAAGAAGGAAATAGAAATTGATCAATTTGGTTTCCCAGGCATTGATTAATTTCCTATGGTGTTCTTAATATATCTTTTTGACTTGGTTCCTTCCTTTCTAATAGAGAAAGTACCATCTCCTACATCTGTTGATATTTCAAACTGTGATTGGAAAGGAGAGATTCATTAATCTTCATTCTTCAACATTAAGAGAGTTAGAACTCTCCTATACTGAGCATAGTGGAAAGTGGACCTGTTTCTCTCTAAAGATAAAGTAGGAGTATGATGACCTAACAACTGTGACTAAATTAGCATTATTGACAATTAGTGTCAATAATATCATAAAGTTAATATCAGGGAAACCTGCCCCGATAGTCACGTAGGTTCTTTTCTGTTTTCCCTAAGTGTCGGCAGGTTTGAGAAATAAAGGGACAGAGTACAAAAGAGAGAAATTTTAAAGCTGGGCGTCCGGGGGAGACATCACATGTCGGTATGTTCCGTGATGTCCCACAAGCCACAAAACCAGCATGTTTTTATTAGGGACTTTCAAAAGGGGAGGGAGTGTACCGATAGGGTGTGGGTCACAAAGATCACGTACTTCACAAGGTAATAGAATATCACAAGGCAAATGGAGGCAGGGCGAGATCACAGGACCACAGGACTGGGGCAAAATTAAAATTGCTAATGAAGTTTTGGGCACCATTGTCATTGATAACATCTTATCAGGAGACAGGGCTTTGAGAGCAACTGGTCTGACCAAAATTTATTAGGCAGGAATTTCCTCTTCCTAATAAGCCTGGGAGCACTATGGGAGACTGGGGTTTATTTCATCCCTACAGTCTCGACCATAAAAGATGACCACACCCAAGGGGGCCGTGTATAGACCCACCCCCAGGCGCATATTCTCTTTCCCAGGGATGTTCCTTGCTGAGAAAAACAATTCAGTGATATTTCTCCCATTTGCTTTTGAAAGAAGAGAAATATGGCTCTGTTCTGCCCAGCTCACTGGCGGTCAGAGTTTAAGGTTATCTCTCTTGTTCCCTAAACATTGTTGTTATCCTGTTCTTTTTTCAAGGTGCCAAGATTTCATATTGTTTAAATACACGTGCTCTACAATTTGTGCAGTTAACGCAATTATCACAAGGTCCTGAGGCGACATACATCCTCCTCTGTTTAGGAGATGACAGGATTAAGAGATTAAAGTAAAGACAGGCATAGGAAATCACAAGGGTATTGATTGGGGAAGTGATAAGTGTCCATGAAATCTTCACAATTTAAGTTTAGAGATTGCAGTAAAGACAGGCATAAGAAATTATAAAAGTATTAATTTGGGGAACTAATAAATGTCATGATATCTTCACAATCCATGTTCTTCTGCCATGGCTTCAGTCAGTCCCTCTGTTTGGGGTCCCTGACTTCCCACAACAAGTTAATTCATAAAACATGTATTACTTGAAAATATCACCAGTTGTTGAGGCAGACATTTTTGGACTAATATTTATTGGGTACATAATATTATTGTAGTGTTCTTAGTTGCATATGTGTATGTCATATATCCATATATTTTTATTTAGTTGTTAAGGTAACCTTATTACTATCTCCATGTGACACATGAGAAAATTGAGTCATAGCACAATTGCTCCAGGTCATGCTTGACTTGCTACATGCTTCAGTTGGAGAATGGTATTACTCAAATATGGTCACTTTAAACTCTAGGCCAGTGCAGACAAATCTCTTAAGAGACTCATTTAAATGTAAATTTCTTGGGCCCGCCCCAAACATCTTATACTATCATATTATGTTCTAAACATAGAATGTGGTTTAGTAATGAAGTAATATCTCATTTATCCAAAACTCAGCTCTCTATCAACTTCACCTTTCTTGTCTGAAAAACAGATATTTTTGGACTAATATTTATTGAGCACATAATATTAATACAGTGTTATTTGTTGTATATGTGTGTAAAATATCCATATGTTTTTTATTAATTGTCAAGACAACCCTATTACTATCTAGTCATGACAAATGAGAAAATTGAGTCACAGCACAATTGCTCCAGGCCATGCTTGACCTGCTTCATGCATCACTTTGAGAATGCTGTCTGAAAAACAGACAGGCAACAGGAAATAAGCAAAAAGGTAATGTGGAATTTCACAAATAATTTGATCATGTCAAATCCATGCCATTAATTCATAAGAGAACTTAGTGTACTCATAGTTTATTCATAGCTCTCTCTCTTTTTTTTCTTTTCTCTCTTTTTTTTTTTTTTCCTGATACAGAGTCTCACTCTGTTCCCCAGGCTAGAATGCAGTGGCTCAGTCATTCATAGCTCTTAAAATCTAGGTTTTGTTGCTAGCCTTCAAGTTTGTAGAATGCGTTAGAAAAAAAGAAAGGCTGCTCCAATTTAGCAGATATGCTGGGTGACAAGAATCTTACAACTTCAGAGGATATTCAAAACTAGAAAAACAGACACAAGAATTCAAAAACTTGCAGTCTGGATCTGACATGCACAGTGCAGCTGGCTTGCACATATCAGTTGGACTTGACTATTTACAGTTCTCCTTTGCTGCAGCATGAGCAAATAAATCCACTTCTTCCAGTGATGGCTATAGAGAGAGAAAAGAGTATGTAATTTAGAGTCAAATATACTCCATTTGGAGTAGTTTCAAATCTCAGCTCATCTACTCACTGACTGTGGATGACACCAAGTTTTCTGCAACTAGGTTTTTTGTTTGTTTGTTCTTGGTCTATGAGGCAGTCATAGCAACAACCTCCCTAGATAGAGTAAATAATGCAGGTGGGAAAATTCCCTATCAGGATACCTAGCACATAATGGAAATCCAAAATCTTTCCTTTGTCATCTTCCAAAAGCATGAAAGATAGTTACAGAGGGTGGGATATGGTGTTAGGCAGCTGAGGACTCAGATCCTGGCTGCATACTTATAAGTTGGATAACTTTAGGAAAATGATTTCAACTCTCAATGCCTCAGTTTTTTCATTTGCAAAGTGGAGTTAGTAATGCCTATTTTTCTAGGTTAATATAAGAGTGATCAATAATATACATACAGCACCTTTAATATATTAGGCCTTCAATAAATGATGATAGTAATGATTATATTTCTAATTTTCAATGTCTTCCTTTAAAGACAATACTGCAGATGTGTTATACATTTTGGAAAGATTTGTATCCTAAATCATAAACCATTAGTATTTCAATATAATTTATTCATCAGGTTCCTGGTTGTTTATAGGGTAATGTTTAAGCCTTACCTTCATACAGAAAAAATACATACTTTATTATTGTGAATTTTTATTGTGATATATATTTATACTTATAAAAATATGTATATATGTGGATTTTCATTTTTCCTTCATTCTCAGCATTACACACAGCTTTATATCTTTATTCTTACAACATTAGCTTGTGTAGATTTATTTTGAGATGAGAATTTCAGATTTTAATACACTTTAATATTGATATTATTACTGTTCAGGAAAATAACAGAAAAACATAGTTAGGATTCTGAACTTAGAAGTGTAAAAGAATTAAAACCTGGCTTCTCTACTCATGAGTTTCGTAACTTAAGATGATCTATGTAACTACACTGAGTCTCAGTTTCTTATTCATAGAGGCAATAATATTCTCTACTTAGTATTTGGGGATGATTACTAGCATTTATAATGTGCTTAACATGATACACATTATAAATTCCTAAGATGAGGTAGGCTAGTCTATTTTTCATTTGACTGTCACATTTGATAGTGATAGTAATAAAATTTGATCACTTAGTTTTCAATAATTAAGTTCTAAAAAAGAAATAAAAATACATTCTCCCTCATCTCAAGGACAACACACTTAATGGATAGACAAACATGAACAAATACCAGTAAGGGTCACAGATGTTTTAGATGTTTTGAGTAAGTTAAATGGGAGAAAGAAAGGGAGTGATTATTCAACCTGGAGAGATAAAGGCTTTCCAGAATGTGACATTCAGTTTGAGTACATTTAGTTCAAGCACAAAATTTTCGTTAAATGATAATAATAAATATATAATGCAGAAGACTGGATCAAAATGCTGCATAGAACACATATATAAACACCTCACCACCCACCCAAAATTCCTTTAAATAACAAGGAGAATTCAGAACAAAGTTAAATGTAAGAAAAGGTGTTATTAGCAGACCATAACTTTTTAGATACTCCTCAAAGACAGAAAGCCCAAAAGAGTTCATTAATAAAAGCAAACCACATGTCAGCTCAAAACACAAGCAATAGAAAATTATTACAAAGATAAAAGCTGGAGAGTTTATTATGTTTAATGATACTCAATATAAATATTAAAAGAAGAGGAAACTGTCAGTGCAATTATCATGCATAATGTCACCTCACTGTCAAAAATATCATGCATACTGTCAAGAACATTTGAATTCACCTCACCTCCCAACACTACTCCTTACATGTCCACTTAAAGAAAAAATGCAGCAGCTAACTCTCTAACACTTGAAAACTTGTAGACAGTACTCTAAGGAAATTTAGCTACTTATTTGAGGAAGATGCTTAGAATGGGCATCGGTGTCTGAGAATGAATGTTTAGTGTGGGTGTCAGGGTATGAGGGAATAGGAGAGCCTGAGGTGACTTGATATCCAAAACTGACGTGGAAAGGAGAAGAAAAGAAGTTAAAGCAGCTACATCACAGGGAAATTCACTAGGATATTCTACAATCAGAGAACAGCCAACTTTGTTTCAATAAGTGAAAAATTGAGAAATGTTTTTGCGGGTTTGGGTAGCAGTGGGTGGTCACTGCCATTCTGCACATGTGTAAGATGCCTAAGTGATAAAACAAAGCCAGTCAGTCAAGGTACCTACCCATTTACACCAAACCCACGGTGACCCCATCTGTTTAGAAGATGGGGACCTTTAGAAAATAACCCTATTACCTGCACAATGGCAGAAGAAATTCATTCCAGAATGAACAAAGATGATTCCATGACATTTGAAATAACAAAGATTTGCATACACCAAATAAAAACAGTCTGCTGAGGAAAGGGGCAATGAGAGGATAAGAATGAGTTAGGAATTAAAATAGATTTGCAAAAATTATCTTTAAAAGTCAATAGAACTGGTAAATAACAGACAGAACTGAGGACAGAATCAGTAATCTATAAGATAAATATATGATATTTTCACTGGTTTAAGAAAAACAAATAGAATGTTAGAAGAGTTAGTCATAGATGCTTAACCAAGGAAGTCTAACTTCAAGTAATAGGAGTTCCAGAAGATGAAAAAAGAAAATAATCGAGAACATAAATACAAAATAGAGGAAAATATTCCCAAATTGTTAAGCATGATTGTTGAAAAAATACTTACACAAATATGCATCTTGGTGGAATTTTATTACTCTTAGTATAAACAGAAGAATCCTAAAATATTTCAAGAAAAAAAAATGAAAAGGTTTACTTACAAAGAAAGGAGAAACATTGCATTCTGATTTATCTTTAACAAAATGTTAGAAGTTAATTAAGCAATATATTCACTGTTCTGAAACAAACATAAATTTTTGAAATCGAGAATTCTGTATCTAACTGGTTGTGAGGGCAAAGTTAACAAATTTTTGGACGTGAAAACATTCAGAAAGTTTACCTTTTACATTCTCTTTCTAAAATAATCACTCCAAAATTTAGTGCAAAAAATGATCAAATAATATTTACTTTAGGAAGATAAGGATGACTTAACACCAAAAAAATCTAACAACATAACTCAGTGTATCAAACAAGTAAAGTATAAAATTATATGATTAAATCAATAAATGCTTGAAAAATGTTTGGTAAAATTGACAGCCATTTCTAATGAAACACTAGCTTTAAATATAATACAGCCTCCTAAATATAAATAGGAACATTTACCAAAAATTAACAACACTTATTATTTTTACAGGTGAAACACTAAAACTATATTAATAAAAATCAAGGAATGGGACACTAACCGATTATCATTTAACATAGTCTTGGATGTTTTAGTTAATATAATAAGGCAATAAAATAAAATAACTAGAATAAAAGTGGAGAGAAAGAAGTAAAGATGTATCTTTTTGTTGACTATAAAGTTGTATACCATAATGAAAATTATTGAGAAATTTAGTGAGGTGGCTAAATATAAATTTGAAAAATCCCATATGTATATCCCATAATTTATTCATCATTCTTGTTGTTTCAAGGGTTTTTAAGAACAATACCACAGTTTTCCTTGTGCATATATTCTTAGTAGCATTTTATAAGAATAAATTCCAGAAAAAAGTTATTTTCAAACTGCTTTCCAAAAATGTTTTAGCAATTCAGCAGTGTTTGAAGGTATACATTTCTCACATAGCACCAATAATAAATGTTAGTACTTTTCTTGGAATCTTGTGAACATGATACATATAAATTAACATTGTATTATTAATTTAATTATTTGTATTTCTTTGATTTGTTAAGCTTATGCATTATTTCATGTGTTTTGAGACGTTTAATTTTTATTTTTCTGAGAATTATTTGCTCATAACCTTTGCTTATTTTTCTATTGAGTTGTATTTTTCTTGTCCATTTGTAAGCATTCTTTGTATATTAAGTACATTAGCATTTTATATATTAAATGTGTTTTAAATATATATATATATTCCAATCTGATATTGTGTGTTTACTTTATAGCTTTCTTGTTTTGTTCTTCTGTCCTAAAATTAAGATGCAAAGTTGTCTGCAAAAATTAAGTCTATACAATCTTTTTTTTTTTTTTTTTTTTGAGATGGAGTCTTGCTCTGTCGCCCAGGCTGGAGTGCAGTGGCACGATCTCGGCTCACTGCAAGCTCCGCCTCCCGGGTTTACACCATTCTCCTGCCTCACCCTCCCGAGTAACTGGGACTACAGGTGCCCACCGCCACGCCCGGCTAATTTTTTGTATTTTTAGTAGAGACGGGGTTTCACCATGTTAGCCAGGATGGTCTCGATCTCCTGACCTCGTGATCCACCCGCCTTGGCCTCCCCAAGTGCTGAGATTACAGGCGTGAGCCACCGCGCCCGGCAAAGTCTATACAATCTTAATGCAAAGATCGTATGTGAGTCTGTGTGTGTGTGTGTGTATGTATATGTGTATAGACGGTTCAAAAAGGTAGGTAGACTTTCCTCCTTTTAACTTGTAGGGATATCTATGATACATTTTTATCTAAAAAAGCAAGTTGCTAGAAATGTGTATACATCATTTTCTTTAAAGAAGTTAATTGATATATACAAATGAAACTTATTATTTTCAAATGTACAATTTAATGTTTCTTAGTAACTTTCAGTGTTTCTTGGTAACGTTACAGAGTAATGCAATCATCAGTACAAACCAGTTTTAGAACATTTTAATCTCCCCAATAAAATCCCTTAAGCCCATTTACAATTAATCCTCATTCCTCTCCCCAGCTTCAGGCAAAAACTAATCTACTTTTTATCTCTATAAATCTGCTTTTTCTGGATTTTTCAAATAAATGAAAATCAAATAATTTTATATATGTGTAAAAATGTTTGTATACGTTTGTATGAACAGGAGAAAGCTGAGAAGGCATACACATCTGGCTGTTGACATTAGTTAAAGTCAGAGAAGTGGGATGAGAACAAGGGAGGCAAAACAAAAACAACTAAATAGACACTCTTAAATAAAAAATAATTCAACAAAAAAATATAAAAAGTAAATTTGCATAAGGCACATTACAAAAAATGAAGAAATATATTTTAAAAAATCAACTATAATGAACAATGAAAAATCATTTTCACTATCAGATTGACAAAAATTCAGAAGACTAATAACACCCAGTGTTGTTGGGGGTTTTGAGAAGTGGTCACTATCTTATGTTGCTGGTGGAAGTGTAGGTTACTACTGCTTGTTGTGAAGGGCAATTTGTTAGCCTCCATGAACATTTAAAAGGAGTTTACCATGAACAATTCTACTTTTATATTTTTAAATTCTAGGGAAATTACAGATGAGCAGTGCTATATTTTATAATAACTAAATTAAAATTCCTATAAACACAAACATAAATGCATATAACTGTTTATATGTATATATATGTAGATACACACACGTAGGTATACATAAAGATACATGCCTGTTTCTGTGTGTCTGTGTGTGTGTGTATGTGTGCATATAGTGTTGGAAGGATACATATGAAAAGACTCTGGCCTTTTCTAGGACCTAAAAAGTCCTATTAGAGCTGTAGGGCTCCTCGTCTTCACCACACCTCTCCCAACTTGATCTCATCCTCTCATATAATCCCCTTCACACACTGGTTACTTTGCTGTTCATGAGCACACCAAGTAAGGTCTTGACATTTTCAGTTTCCTATACCTAGAATGACTTCCTTTATAAGTCTGGCCCAAGGTTTGTGCCTCTGCTCATTTGGCATCTCATCAAAGAGGCCCTTTCTAAAAACTTCTTAAAAAGCACTGCCCACCCACTGCTCCTACTCTGCACTGGCCCTTTGTGCTAATTTACATTTCATATAGCACTACCTAACATAGTATATATTGTCAGTGTATCTGCTTCTTCCCACTAGATTATAAGCTTTGTGATCTTGGAGACTTGTTTCCCTAGGGTCTGGTTAGTACCTGGCACATAATAGACACTAAATAATATATATTAAATGTTATGTGGATGGACTAAATTATAATAGATTTGGTATGAAGGGAAAGTTTCAGATTTCAGTTCTTAATATATATAGTTCTTTATTTTTAATATTTTTTTCAAAAGAATACATTTCCCTAATGTGTACATTGTTGTTTTATTAAGTTATTTAAAAATCACAGACCAAATGCAAATCAATCTCTCATCTTTCCAAATTAATTCAGGAAGCATGTTTTTAGTTACATTCTTCCAAATCACCTAAACAAATTCTAGCTTAAAATTAATTAAAGGCCTTAATTTTACATAAGAGGCTTGAAGATTGATTTAAGATATTACATGAACAGTATGAAGGAAACAGCAAGTTAATTTCTTTGTATTTAACTTTGTGGGATAAATGTAGCATTGGTCCAGACAGGGAACAGCTTACCTTATTTCTACTATTATGAAAGAAAAATGTTCCTCATTCTTGTGGACGTCTGAGCTCTGACTAAGTGGAGCTATCTTGGTTTAGAAAACTGTTCTGATCAGTAATCTATAAAAGACTGATTTATTTTATTGTGACCTTTTTTATTTAAAAAAAATCACTTGAACTGCCAACCTTTCTAAAGAATATTGTCTTCACTTTAATGCTTTTAAATGTATAATTATCAGCAAGGAACACTATTATTTTAGTTTCTGTATAATCCTATCTGCCAAGTAGTAACAGAATTAAAAATCAGAAATTATATTGGTAACATAGTTAAACAGAGGCTACAGTCTGTAAGGAGGTTATCTAGATATCAAATAATTCCAAGGTATTTCAGTACATTTAGAATTTTAAAAATTCTTTAATATTTTCCCTGGTAGAATTTACAAAGCATCAGGAAGAGAAAATGTCCCTGTCATACAGTATGACAGATAATGGTTAAATATTTCCACTTGGCATGATTACTATATTTAAAACTTAACACCTTCCACCCTTTATGATAGTTATTTGTATTTTGTCTGAGTGTGTGAGAAAAAGCACTTTGATTTCTCCAACAAGAAAGCAGAGCCCTGTTATGTGTGTTAGTGCTGTAAGACCTCTAACTTCCCAGAGTTTTTGAGATCAGAAAAGAAGACATTTGGATTGCATTTCCCATCTTCAGATTATCAAGGATTACAGACCATTTTAGTTCAATTTCGTATTTCTGTCCTTAAGAGACATCAACATTTATATGATATATACTCAAATATAACTGTTTTCCTGTTGTCATATAGATGTAAAGATACTTTTTAGCAAAAGTACATAGTTTTCCTAAGGGTTTGGGGTTGAGAAAAGTAAGTTGGGAACAAGTCTTCAAGGAGGGAGGAATTTATTTCTTAAGATGGTGATGTTCTCTATCCTTCCACAGGATGGCAGGAAAAACTTGGTAATTTACCCAGTTGATGAGTAGTAGGTTATACATATCTGTATTTTAAGGTGGGTATGACTTCCAATATTTCCAACAATATTTTGATAGACATTTCTGCATATCTTCTAGGAGTAGATGTTTTCACTAATAGTTTAACAAACTATTTGAAACAAATCTATAAAGTTAGCCATCTAATAACACAGTTGTGGAGTTTAGATAAAGATTCATTGAGAAACTGTATGGTCTATGAATATATGGGAGGGATAATAAAAGCATCAGTGACATAGTGCCAGACAGTTGAGCATGAAGGCCATCAGCATGCTGTTACTAGAAAATAACTCTAGTGGAACTTTTAATGCTATTAAATTTCCAAATTCCCTCCTCCCCCTCAAAAAAAGTTTAAATGTACTTCCAGGTTTTGGGTATTTAAGTCAAATGACTAGTAAATCTGATAATCCATTATTGTGACACTTGGTAAATTAGAGGCTGCAATTTGAGGCAAAGTTCTCATTAATAAGTTACATTTTCCCTAAGAATAATAGTGTTGAATGGTGTCCAGCATGCTTAGTACTCAGAAGAATAAAACTTGCCTTCAAATGAAAGAAAATAAGGAGAGTCCTAATTAATTTTCCTTACATTTTGACATTTTATAAATTTATTTAAATTTTACCACACAATTTAAATAACCCGTGATAGAGTAAGTACTAAAGTTTTAAAGTTTTAAATAAGTGTTTAAGCATAGTGAAAAAAATCTTTGGTGTTATATTTTTAAAATGTGTTTTTCAGAATTTCATGATAAGTCACTAGACTTGGATTAAAGTGGTTGGTTCTCACCTCAGCTGAGCTATTAGTAAAATGTATCACTGTGGACAAGTTATCTAAATGTAGTTTCCTTTCCTAGAAAGTAACAGGTATTGAATTAGGTGGCCTATTAGCTTCCTTCAAGTTCTAACATTTTTGTAATAAAAATATTTTTACTTTGTGTTCTTTGATAAAATATTTTATATTATGCTTTTAAAACATCTATTAAAAGTGACATACTGCATTTGTCTTAGTTGCTAGTGGGTCTTTTAAATTTTGTATGATGTCCTATAAGAGATCACTGTTTTTAAATTTGTACACTAAGTATGTGACTGGAAATTAATTTAATCTGGCCCCTCTAAATATCAAGCCATTTAATATTTTATCTCTTCTGGCAGAAAAAAAAATCATTGGGTTAACCATTATTGTCCTCCCTTTATAGGAGAAAAGTAAATTGACCTGCTATATTTACAAAGCAGGTATGCCTAACTCCAAAGATGGTGATTCCCCCCCTACAGTGCCATTTTAAATGAAAACACATTATTTTTTCCTTGGAACAAAATATGTGGTATTTTGTTATTATTTTAAAGTGATATTCTGACAGAAAGTAGTAGAACATCGTTTTATGTATTTTAACAGGTTAGATGGTAAATTCCTTGTCTATGATATGACCTCTTTCTACTTCCTGAAAAAAGGAGACAATTATTCATATATTATTTTCAAAATCTATCAGAGCTACCCCAGATCATCAATAAAAGATAGCTCTTTTATGAGTGGTCACAGACTGATCTCAGTGTGAAATCACTGTCAAATAACATTTTCCATTATGTATATAGAAATGAGGTTATCGCCAGCTTAAAATTAAGCAGCAATCATCTTGCAATGACAGTTGTTTCTGCTTTATTATAATATCATTTCCATGGTAACTAAACAGAGCACCATAAAGGAAGGATTATGCTAGCAGGTGTGAAATAAACAGCAGGAGGACACTTACAAAAACTTTATAAAAACTTGAAGATAGATGACATTTTTAATAAACATTGCAACCAACGATAATACATATGGACTTAGGAAGGGAATAACAATTTAACCTAGTATATGAAGTACATGGTTAAAACTCTTCTAATACTAATTTATTAGAAGTAGAGAAATTTATGCAAACAGCTTTCTCCATAGGACAGTTTTATTAAGCAGGCTATTTTTGCAAATTCTTTGATCACCATGTAATCGTGATCAAAGAATTGTGATGTGATGTATTGGTATGTAGTGGATAAAATTATGTCCAGAATATAGTGTTCATGGTGGTTGATGTGCCTGTTTTCCTTTATTTTTAATTGAAAGCTGTTTCCATTTGTTTCTAACATATAGGCTAGTGATAAAATTCTCTTAAATGTGATATTTATCTCAAGACTATGAGCAGAAAGATATATTATTTCTTTTTAAATATATACGTAGTTGTGGTTTCTGATAGAAAGAAATACATTTTAGATGACTGGGATATGGATTTAGCCTTGTTTCTATTTCAATTTGAGCCATATCAAAATAGGATATTGTTTAAGTGCCATGGTTTTGGAGAAAAGACAGTCAGCTTAAATTACTTAATGAGAGCTGGGCATCATAAAGAGAGTCCAAAGCAAAATACTGGGTTCACAATGTCTCAACCTATGGCCTTGGTATTTGGGAAAAAATGGTCAATTCCAGAAGGTAGATCTTGGTGGAAGTCAGGATGAAGTCAAGAGGCTGTCAGCAATGGAATGTGGAAATGTGTGCAGTATTTCACAGCTTCTGTGATTATGGGCTATGGTACTGAAGGCAGAGAAAGGAAGGTTCTACGTTGAAACCTTGGTGATGAACCAGCCTTCTATCACGCTGTGTTGGTATTTAGTTGATGTTTAGCACTGCCTGTGAAGATCAAACTCCAGTTTGAGCAGAGGTTGGCTCCAGACAATGCCAAAGAGGATACAATTAATTTCTAAACATACTTAATAGTTTCTACATTATCGTATTTTTACGTCTTTTCTGCTAGAAGCATTGCACTTCAACAAATGACACATTACTGCATAAAGCCCCATTTCTTGAATGAAAACTCTGAGCCATCTATAGTTTTTAGAAATTAAAGGATAGCATATGTATCCTGGAATTGGTGAGTAAAAGGACAGGGAAAAGTAAAGAAAGGTGAGGATGGCAATAATAGCAAGTAAACATGTCCTGGACCACAGTATTTTGGGTGGATAAAATTATTGCATGAAATTCATGGCTTCCAGTTCTTCCACTATAGCAGCGAACGCAGGCCCGTATTACTAAAGCAGCATATCATTATTTAACCAATTTAAGATACAGTCACAACAAAAATGACAACTATTCATTATGCATCTATTAAGTGTTATTCAAGCAGTTGGCCATTAACAAAGTAGTGTACTTTAAGGCCATATTCATTTTTACTCAAGATTACTTCTTGCCAATGCCTCAATGGTTCTGAATTTCAGAAAAGCAGCTAATATGCACTCTGTTAGAGAATAAATAAGGAGTAACATCTACTTAACTTCTTGAGTAGAGCAGGAGTTTGAGATGGAAGTTCTAAAGAATGTGTCTCCTGTCTTCATGAAATATCAGTGATGTAGTATTTTTCTTGGTCACTTTGCCCGCTGGGGTCCTCCGTGAAGAGACATGTATCAAGACGTAGACATTTATCAAAATGAAAGTAGAGGATAAAGACAGCTCAAAAGTCCTAAGGCTGCTGACATGAACAGATAATTGGTGGCTACAGTTGTGCCTGCTAAGATTTGGGTGCATGGGGCTTCGCTTTGGTTAGCTCCCATGGTCTTCTTTTCCAAAAAAAAAAAGAAGCCTTCAGGTTAAAGACACTCCATTTACCCCCAGCACCTGGCAGGATTTGCAGGATAATTGCCCAGAATTAGAATATTGATCTAGTTTTTTACATTACCCATCCCTTTTATTTCTTTTGAGCTACAGCTGGAGATCACTGATTGGTTCACAGGAATGAGGGTTAGTCTAAAATGCAGACAAAAACTTAAAAACAACTAATGAGACTAGAATGTAATGACAAGTGTATGATAAGGATTTTTTTTCTTTCTTTTTTCTTTTTTTTTTTCGAGATGGAGTTTCGCTCTTGTCACACAAGCTGGAGTGCAGTGGCGTGATCTTGGCTCACCACAACCTCTGCCTCCTGTGTTCAAGTGATTCTCCTGCCTCAGCCTCCTGAGTAGCATAATTTTTCTCTCTCCAGTTCTTTTGTTAAAAACAAATCATAATAGAACTGAGTTGTTTGTAAAATAAACTTTAGTCTTATACTTGGCCTGATTATTTGCATAAAGTGCAGCAAAAATAATTATGTTTCCCATAGGCTTTTTAAAATTGGCTTTGATGGAATTCTGCTTCATAAGGAATCTCAGATAAGACCTTTTAAAGCCAAGCCCAGCCATGGGTTTGCACCTTCAAATACCTATGAATTGGGTAAATTCCTCTCTTCTTGATGTCCCCAAGATAACTTGGGCTCCTGGGCCTATTAGAAAGTGACATTTTTGGCCAGGTGTGTCGGCTCACGCCTATAATCTCAGCACTTTGGGAGGCTGAGGCAGGTGGTCCACAAGGCCAACAGATCAAGTCCACCTGGTCAACATGGTGAAAGCCTGTCTTTACTAAAAATACAAAAATTAGCTGGGCCTGGTGGCACACTCCTGTAGTCCCAGCTACTCAGGAGGCTGAGGCAGGAGAATCACTTGAACCTGGGAGGCAGAGGTTGCAGTGAGCCCAGATCATGCCACTGCACCCCAGCCTGGTGACAGAGTGAGACTCCATCTCAAAAAAAAATCAAAAAAGAAAGTTACATTCTTTACTGACCACAGGTTAGGAACCCCGTATAAAGACTGTGTAGACAAGTTAAGAGGCCAGTGTTCCCAAGGGGCTTTTATTGGCTCTGCAAGTCAAGCTTGATTCCTTAAAGGGAAGCACACCCTTCCAGTCAAAGCTTTGGCAAAAACAAACAAACAACAACAAACAAAAAACAGTTTCTCCAATTGCATCCTGTTGCAAGAGAAAATGGATTCTTATTGCACTTATGCAAATAGCTATATTGTCATAAGTTAAGAATACTCCCAAATCGTTTCCAAATTGTGGAGAAACCAGGCAGAGAGAAACAAATACGCTGGAAATTTTGTTCACAGAAGTATACCTTACTCAATTGTTAAAAGCTGTAAATAGTTCAAAATAAAAATTTTCTTGACTCTGAGAAACAAAGGATCAGCAATATTTTAAGCAAAAAGTAAAAAATGATTACTTCAGTCCTTTATTAGTTTAGTTCATTCAGTTAATTCTTGTTCTGCATGACATTCATGAGTCCTGAACATTTTTCCTCTATTTTAATGTCACAATCTCTACAGCTATCGGAAACTGGCATTGTCTCAAATATTTTTAAAAAGGCAAAATCTTTACGCAACAGGAGGGAAGACTTAGCTTTCCAAAAAATCTGTCACGTGTCTTTCCCTTCTTTCTTCAGTAGTTTATTTGCAAGGCAAACAAAAATCTTTCATTATCCTTTTATGTTACACGAAAATCTTGTTCAAGAGGTAGAAAGCTTGATTTCATCCTTGCATTACTCTACCATTAAGGTCAAGCCCATTTTTTAAATAAAACCTTAAGGATAAATCTTAACCAGTTTGACCATGAGGTGAAATTCTTATAAATCTTTTATAAACCTTTACAAATTTTTGTTAAAGAGAAGGTTAGTGCCTTTAGAAAACCCTGTTGTGCTTTTATTTCAGTGTTCAATTTACCAAATTGAAAAACCAAATAATAACCTTTTGAATTTAGTCAATATGTTCATACACAGAATTTCTTTTACAAGATTAATTTTTACAAACCTTCCACACCTTGTTCAAACCTTTAGATTTATTTAATTTAAAACAATCCTTTAACCCTCTAACCTAGACAAAAATTTATATTCCCATGCCTTCTTATAATCTTTTACTAAAAACACATTTTACTTTCCTTACATACCTATCATGTAAATCTATTTTAAGTAGTCTCAATTACATGTTATAATGGTAATTCTTAGCAATTTTAAATTTTGATGTAAAACCTAGTAAGTTATTTTAATTATGTACTAGGTGTAGATACGGTCTGACTCTTTCCAGCATAATCAGGGGCATGGTTAACTCCGTATGTCCCCAGACCTTACCAACTGTAAAGCAGGCAAGTCAAACGATTTTCAAAAGCCAAAGAAGCAGTTTATGACCTTAAAGCATTTAGCAAACCTAATATCTGACCTGTATAATTTAGACCACATGTCTACATTTTGAAGACATTTTTACTTTACCAATAATCTTTAAAGCTGTTTTTATTTCTCAAAGATTAAAGTCATATGAATTAAAAGGCATTACAGCTTTAATTTTTCCTTCAAAAATATTTGATCTATGCATTTATTTTTCTTTAGTCAATTAATTAGAGCTCTTCTAAATAAACATCACATACATAACACATATATAACTACACAGAGAGACAGAAAATTGAGTAGTTGTAAGATTTTTCATTGGGCAGTTTCTTAATTGGATTACTGGCCTCAGGGTGGAGCCCTTGAAGAAACAGGGCTAGGAAAGCATGTGGTTTCTAGGGCCTAATAAGCAGGCATATCTGAAAGACAGAAACAAATTTTGAGAGGGCTCTATCCTGGGGGTTCCATGAGGAAAACAGAAATTTTTTCCAACACAGGGTCAGTGGCACCTCCTCTGTTTCCCAAGGAGTCCCAGGCTATCAAAAGCTATTCTAGGGCCTCTCATGTGTGTGTGCATTAACAGTGAAGAAAAATAATTCCATTGACTGAGAAGAAAAGAATGTTTTTCTGGCAAAACAAGATCCACAAAGAGAAAAGACATAAAGGCCTTTTAAATATACCTATAGCTTGAATATCCACTTTTAATTAAGCTGACTTTTAACTATAGTGCTCTGTTTTTAAAAAAGTCCTTTTGAATCTTTTATTACCTGACCTTAGCCATGGTATATGGCCAATACTTCTGGGTTTTGAACTCATAGAGGGGCAGAAAATACAGAGATTTTTACCATTCCTGCAACTATTTTGCACAGAGAGTGGCCAGAAGTCCAACTGGCAAGAAATTTTATGTTTTTGCCAGCATCCCAGGCTTCTGGGTTCCATTCCCCTACACTGTGGAGCCCTATTGACCCTGGAGTCCTGTGATGGGGAAACAGACAAAGAGGTTACCTTCATGTTGTAAAAGTTAGCCCCTCCTCAAGAGATTGCTCAGCTAAATTTGTAATTTCTTACCAGCTCATTTTTAAGCCAAACAGTTTAAGGCTTCAGGAAATTAAGCTTTTTCCAGTTTGGGGGATTCATCTGAGGGGTGTGTCCTGTGGTACAGGGACACAATTAACCATCTGGGAAGAGAGGATAAAGGAGAAAAAGGAAAAAGAAAGCATTTATTTTCCAAAGAGTCCCAATGATTCAAGATGCACTCAAGAGAAGTACAGACTGAAGATGTTTGGTTAACCATCTGGAAAAAGGAGGAAAAGGCATCCCTTTGTTCCTTTCTCTTTCTAGAAAAACCTGGGATACAAGAGGGGGAGAAAAAAAAAGATGTCCCCATTTTCTCTTCTATCCTTATATCCTCGAGTCCTGGTGACCTTGGCAGTGCCATCCATGGGTGCCAGTGTGACCTTCACCACGTAGCAGGAAGGCCTAGAGGGTAGGATTATTTGCACTCACCTAATGCACTGGCCTATACTCCCTGCTGTCAGTAACCTTGAGTTCCCTATACCTCATCTATGCCATGGATACGAGCATGACCTCCTTCCATGAAGTGGGGAGCCCAGTCAGCAGGAATTAGTTATGCTTAACTATGTTGTGCCCCTAGACTTGTGCTGTCACTAACCTTTGGGTTTGCGGAGACTTGGGTTTTTTTTTTTTTTTCTAGGGCTTCAATCGAAAGCTCAGGATTGAGTTTGGGACAAAAAGGTGCCTCAGTAGGGTACACAGACTCATTAAATTAAGTCCAAGGTGACCCTCATGTTTGCAGTCAGTGACTGGTGGGGGTAGTTGGGGCCACTTCTCTGTTGCTTCCCTATCATAAGCAGAGTGCTAAGGTGAAGTTGTGGAACCAGGGCCTCCTCAAATAAGGGAGAGAAAAGGAGTCCCAGGAATTGGGAACCTGCCCTAGTAAGATGCCTCCCCAAAGGAAAAAAAAAATCTGCCACGTAGAAAAGCTCCCTTTATTCACAGGACTTTGTGAACTCCTGACATGGTGGAGGAAAGAAAAAAAACAGCTTAAGTGCCTGTGGGAAAAAGCCTCTTGTTCTATGCAAATGGATTCCTTCAACAGGGGAAAAAAAAACTTTAATTGCTGCATCCTCCCTGTTTCTAAGAATAGACAGAAACTGCATTTCTTATGACTGGGCCAAGTGCCCATTCTACCCAGTAATATCTGTGTAGTTTGCAACAGCACCTTTAACATTATAAAAGAAGAGCTAGCAGCCATCACAATCCATGAAAGAAAGAAAAAAAGTACCATTGAAAAGTCTGGGCATCTTGGCTAACACCCTAACACCCCCTCCAGTTGCAGACTGGAGCCGGTCTAGGGGCCTTAGGACAACAATGAGGTGTTGCCTTGGCCAGATGCCTTCAGTTTCCTCAGGACCTTATTCTGATCCCATGTGACAGCTAGACGTCTGTGAAGGGAAACAAAGTGAAGATTCCTTACACCTGAGAGTGATGGGGGTGGGGGTGGTGGCAGAGCCCTCCCCACATCCTGTCCTCTGTAGCCATGCCATTCACTCTTAACTGGCTAATTGGAGGTACAGTGCTTATCTGCCTTCAGAAAAAAGTCTGAGGACAAAAAGTCTTGGGAAAAAAGTGAAGAATTATATGCCCACATTCACTCACCCTCTGACAATCCTGGATGAGCCCCTAGAAATGATGCAGGATTTTTCTTGTTAAGTTTGCTAGCTGGGGGCTTCCACAGCCAGCAACATCCTTGATTGAGCCTTTCTTGGCCCTAGGCCTGCTGCAGGATGTGTCTCATTCACTCGGCCCACTGGGCCACACCTGGCTTGCAGACCAGCCTGTATTCTGTGCTCACCAGGGGATCCGTGCTCAGCCTGTGGTTTGGCATGACCTAGCCTGCCTGTTTTACAGCTCATACTCATGTTCAGTGGCTCCCAAGTTCTTTTTCTGCATCCAAGAAGAATGAGGTTACACTGACAATCGAAAGGTGAGGGGGGTGGAGAGGAATTTTATTTCATGACAGAACAGCTCTCAGCAGAGAGGGGATGTGAGGGTGGTCCCCCATCTGAAGTCAAGTGGTTTCTCTCAGTGTGGCTGGGCCTGGGGCTTTTATGGGCTCAGAATGGGGAGGGCATGCTGATTGGTTTGTGAGTATGCAAAAAAAAAAGGCTAAAAAAAGGCCAGTCAAAGGTGGGCATGACAGTGTAAAAAAAACAATTATGGAAAGGTAGGTATATGTAAAATATGTGAAGGGTGAGGATCAATTAGAAGAAAGCACCAAATGGGAAGAGAGGTTCTCAATTTGGTCTGTGGATTTGACTTGTATTTTGGCTTTCAGACTTTAAACTGTCTTTTGGCTTGAAGGTGGGGTTTCACCAGGGACCCACCCCTATCTGTTTAGGATTTGTCTGCCTCCTGCCACTATTATCAGGACATAAGATATTGAAGACATTGAAATATGGGTTGTGAAGACTTTTTCTCGTATTTGTGAGGAAAAATATTCAAGAATATTTGACTCCATTGTCCTCATTAATCATAGATACAGGTTATTGTGCAGAAATCTCTCAAGCTAGTATAGCCAGAAATGTGTCACCTTACATGTGATCTAATGTCACGAACTAGTTTCGTAGGAATTGAAGTAAATGAATATGCAATAGTAATTGCCTGTTCATTTTGTTTGTTCATTACTATTCCCATGTCTCATTCCCCTAAGTCTGACTTTTTGTTTTCCTTTCCATTCTACTTTTCAGGCTTCCCCTCATGCTCTTTTCCTCAAATTGAGGACATCTGCTCTAAGGTGAAGGGCCACAAGTTCCAGATTATATTGTGCCATTTGATGTCTTTTTCTGCTTTTTAACCTTGAGGAATGTAATAATTGCAGACAGAATTATTGTTATATTTGGTTTAGATGGACCATGGTGACAGTCATAAATGCATTTGAAATCATTTTTGTTTAGGGTTTCTGAAAGCAATTAACATAAAGTTGGAAAGACATATATTCTATTTTTTTTTTCTTTTTTTTGAGACGGAGTCTCGCTCTGTCACCCAGGCTGGAGTGCAGTGGCGCAATCTCGGCTCACTGCACGCTCCGCCTCCCAGGTTCACACCATTCTCCTGCCTCAGCCTCCCAAGTAGCTGGGACTACAGGCTCCCGCCACCATGCCTGGCTAATTTTTTGTATTTTTAGTAGAGACGGGGTTTCACCGTGTTAGCCAGGATGGTCTCGATCTCCTGACCTCGTGATCCGCCCGCCTCTGCCTCCCAAAGTGCTGCGATTACAGGCGTGAGCCACTGTACCCGGCCCATATATTCTATTTTAATGGAAAACGTAACCAGCGGAATCAGGATGAAAGTCTAAAGATGTGATATCTGAGTCTTAAAATTATAAAGAAGAAATCTTGAGAGGGTTTCTGATTTTTCTATAGCTTCCTCATTATAACCTACTCATATTAGTGAACTAACAATAATCTGATAGGGAAGAAAAACTTGCAGTCCTTATTTTCTGAGCTGTATTTGGCATCTTGTGTTGTCAATAAGTTCTTCCTTATATCAGATGCAAATCCTTGCCAATACAATATGGGCTCTTGTCACTAATTCTTTGTTTTTCTGTAACCAAGAAAAGGAGTATCATATATCTCTCTCTATCTGTCTGTCTAACTGTCTCTCTTTTCCTGAAATATGTCATTTCAGGGCAGTACATTTTACTTTAAGAAAGGATAGCATGATGTGTTAGTTTTTGTGTTGCTATAATGAAATACTTGAGGCTAGGTCATTAGTAAGGAAAAGAAGTTTAACTGGCTCACAGTTCTGCAGGATGTACAGAAGTGTGGTGTCATATCCACTTCTGGTGAGGGCCTCAGGAAGTTGCAAACATGGTGGGAGGCAAAGGAGGAACCAGTGTAGCACATGGCCAGATTGAGAACAAAGAGAGATGGGGGAGGTGCAACACTCTTTTAAGAGAGCTCTCCCATGAACTCATAAGGAGGACTCGCTGATTACCATGAGAATGGCACCAAGCATTACTGAGAGATTCTCCCCCACGATCCAAACCCTATCAGGCCCCACCTCAAATATGAGGGATTACATTTCACCATGAGATTTGGAGGGAACAAACATCCAAACTATATCACATGGGTTGGATGCGAAATGCTCATTTTTAAGTGCCATATTTCATTTTCTTAACCAACATTTTTATAGCACTTACTATGTGCTAGGCATTATTCCAAGCACTTTGCAAATGCTAATTTAACTCTTACAACATACCTATGGGAGAGGTACTATCACTATGCCTATTGTACAGACAAGAAAACTGAAGCAGAGAACAGTTGGGTAGCTTGTCTAAGATCACAATTGGTTAAGTGACAGAGGTGACTCTTAGCCACTATGCTATGCAGCTCTTTGTGAAATCATCTGTGTGCTTTTCTGACATCTTTAAGGCATTTTTTATGGTTCTGTTCTCCAACTGTATCACCAACTTTGGATTTATACTACAGATTTTCCCAGTGTTCTTGTGCAGTGTATATCTACAATGTATGTGCATGTGCTTGTAAATATGTGCTTGCATGTGTTTGATATTATCACAGCACTCATGGAGATTCTGGCACAAGTGGAACCTTACATTAGGAGGAAAGACATATATATTCCATAGAGATACATTTGGAATATATGTATATATATGTGAATATATATATATGGAATATATGTATATATATGTATATATATGGAATATATGTATATATATGTATATATATGGAATATATGTATATATATGTATATATATGGAATATATGTATATATATGTATATATGGAATATATGTATATATATGTATATATATGGAATATATGTATATATATGTATATATATGGAATATATGTATATATATGTATATATATGGAATATATGTATATATATGTATATATATGGAATATATGTATATATATGTATATATGGAATATATGTTTATATATGTATATATATGTGTGTGTGTATATATGTGTGTGTGTGTATATATATGTATATATTCCCTATGTATATATATGGAATATATGTATATATTCCCTATGTATATATATGGAATATATGTATATATTCCCTATGTATATATATGGAATATATGTATATATTCCCCTTATGTCCTCCAATAGACCTCATAACGAATTGCATGTGAGACCATGGACAATTTATGACACTTCTGAATCAATTTACTTATATTCAAAATAAGAGAGTTGGACTGGTTGATTTTTTTTCATCTTCAAATTCTAGAACTGAATCAGGAACTTCTAAAGCAACCAGTAAGGAGATTTTTTTTCAGTATAGAGCAAACCCTTGACATTTGAAAGAACTACATCCTATTTTGGTCAAATATTTTAAACCTTAAACAATCCTAAGACTTTTAAAAATCTCTAAGTTTGTAAGAACCACAATAACATATCATTTTCTAGTATAAAATAAATTAAATGTTTACATGGCCATGTTCTAATCTCTATTAGCTCTAAAAATACTGAAGTAAATAATCTATAGATTTTTTACAATAAATTATGCAATGAAATCAAAGTGGACATTACTGCATTATATAATAATCAGATAAAACTACCCCCAGTATACTTGCAGTCAAACAAAGCTTGTGCACTTACTGCGCTAAGGGATAATATTCCAGAGGAACTTTAGAAAACATTCAGAGGAGGGGCTATGGAAGAAGAACTAATTTGATTGGGTCTGCCCATTTATACTGGTATCTTCTTAAATATTTTGAGAAATCTGATGAGTATAACAAACAGCTGCATTCATTTGTTTGTACAGGTGGTTGTAATCCTATATAAACTTTTTTATAGTTTAAAATTTTAAAAACGTACAAAATATTGAAATGTATAAGGCATGAAAAAATAGAACTTCTTTGCATGCTAGCTAGGTATAAAAATGCAGGAGGAGATGCTATTGAGAACATAACTCTTACCTAATGAAGGAACATAATTATTATCTTGAATATGCAAGTAATTATACTACTTCATAATATCTCTGCTTAGCAGAGTGCTTGATTCCTGGAAAGAAAAAAAAATACACACACGCACGCACTCACACAGACAAGATATAAGGAATAGCTGTATATGAAATAGCTACAAATTTGCATGCTAGGAGAATAATTACATGTGGAAAAAGTTATGTGTTTTACAGACAGCAAAATCTTTCTATTTTATCTTTTGCTTGAGGTTTTTGGCTCCTTCTATGAAGGACTATGTTGCTATGCTTGCAGACAACTGACGGATAGATGGATGTATTGATTGTATAATTATAAAATACATGGCATTAGTTATGCCTAGGACATATGATGTTTGATAAAAGAAAAGGAAAAAGATTCACCTGTCAAGGAATTGCAGTTTATTAGAGATGAAAACAATGATCAAAATAGCAAAAAATCTAAAGACTAATGTAAAGGCAAAAATACGTCAAAACATAATATGAGAAGTTAACAAATGAGAACAACCTGGTGAGTTGAATGAGTAACATCAGCAAGATGAGAGACTAGACTCTTTCTATTATCATGCCCTTGCGCAAGTATCAACTTTGACAACTACCCACAGATAAGAGTACATTTGTGAGAATCTAGGAGTTCACTGAAGTTCCAGCACATCATCAAAGCAAGAAATTTAAGAATAGAAACATCAAAGAGGATAAAAAGAACAGTTTCACTTCTTGTATCCCACTTTCCTCAAGGTGGTACAGCTCAGTGCTAAGAGAGACTTTTGGCCCACTATTTATCCCATGGGGAAAAATGAGAACATAGTGTTTGAACTCCTGGCTCCTTCTGGTGTGCAAGATGCTGCCCTAGAGGCCCACTTCTTTCTTGCTTCACCCAGATTACTGAGATAATCATCATAGCCGAATGGTTGAGAGAGGCTGGGAGCAGGAAGAGAGGCTGTGGGCTCTACTTACCACTCCATGGATTCTATCAGGAAGCCTGACAATGAACTCCTCTCATGTTGACACCCCTTAACCCTCTCATGGGCACCCCAAATGTGTCCCCAAGAATCTTGCTGCTGACACTAAATATAAGCATCTTGCATAGAGAGCTGGCTGGCCAGGAAACCATTTTCTCCTAGGCCTCCAGGCCTGTGATGAGAGGAGCTGCCGTGAAGTCCTCTAACATGCCCTGGAGACATTTTTCTCATTGTCTTGGGGATTAATCCTTTTTCTATCACATTGTCAGGCTGCAAATTTTTCACACTTTTATGCTCTGCTTCCCTTATAAAATCGAACGTCTTTAACAGCACCCAAGTTACCTCTTGAATGCTTTGCTGCTTAGAAATTTCTTCCTCCAGATACCCTAAATCATCTCTCTGAGCCCTCCAAACTGTTCCAAACTCTTCCTGTTACCCAGTTCCAAAGTTGCTTCCACATTTTCAGGTATCTTTTCAGCAACACCCCATTCTCGTTACCAATATACTGTATTAGTCCATTTTCACGCTTCTGATAAAAACATACCCAAGACTGGGCAATTTACAAAAGAAGGAGGTTTAATTGGACTTACAGTTCCACATGGCTGGGGAAGCCCCACAATCATGGTGGAAGGCAAGGAGCAGCAAATCATTTCTTATTTGGATGGCAGCAGGCAAAGAGAGCACTTGTGCAGGCAAATTCCCATTTTTTAAAACCATCAGATCTAGTGAGACTCATTCACTATCACGAGAACAGTTCAGGAAAGACCTGACCCCATAATTCAATCACCTCCCACCAGGTTCCTCCCATGACATGTGGGAATTATGGGAGTTACAACTCAAGATGAGATGTGGGTGGGGACACAGAGCCAAACCATATCACTGGCCCGTAGGTATATCAGTAGGGGCTCAACATCACTAATCATCAGAGAAATGGAAACCACAACCACCATGAGATATCACCTCACACCTATTATCAAAATGTTAGAAGATAACAAGTGTTGGTGAGGATATGGAGAAAAAAATAACACTTATACCCTGTTGGTAGGAATGTAAATTGACATAGCCACTATGGAAAACAGTATGGAGTTCCCTCAGAAAATTATAAATAGAAGTACTATATGATCCAGCAATCTCACTTCTGGATATACATCAAGAGCAAATGAAATCAATATTTTGAAGAGATATCTGCACTTCCATGTTCACTGTGGTGTTATTCACAATAACCAAGAAGTGGCAACAACCTAAATGTCCACTCACAGATGAATGAAGAAAATGTGATAAAAACATACAATGTAATATTATTCGGCCTTAAAAAAGAAGGAATTCCTATTATTTGTGACAACCTGGATGAACCTGGAGGATATCATGTTAAGTGAAATAAGCTAGAAAAATACCACTTATTTAGAAAGAAATATACCACTTATCACTTGTATATGGAATCTGAAAAAGTTGAACTCATAGAGACCAGAAGAATGATTACTAGGCAGGGCCTGGGGGATGAAGGAAATGGGGAGAAGTAGGTAAAAGGGTACTACCTTTGAGTTATGATCAATAGGTCTGGATGCCTAAAATACAGCATGTTGACTGTACTGAATAATAGTGTATTGTATACTTGAAATCTGGTAAGAGAATAGATCTTAAGTGTTCTACCTCCCCACACAGGCGGAGAAAAGATAACTACTACTACTTAAGGTAATGGATATGTTGATACCTTGATTGTGGTAATCACTTTACAATGTTTATGTATTAAAAACATCACTTGGTATATCTCAAATATATATAATTTTATTTGTCAATTACAATTAAAGCTGAGAAAAAATGCAAATGGATTAATGTGAAAATGCTTACAAGTGCGAAAGCATTTATCCACATGTAATTAAACATTTTATTAATTGACATTTACGGAAATAATTAAATTTCATGAATGCAAGACTACCAGATAATCCAAGATGTAATCATGTATAGGTATCTTATACTAATTTCTTTTAGAGCAGATAATAATCATCTGCCTAAATAATATAGAAATATCTGTGCAATTGGTCTAGTAGCACTGATGCTTAAAAAAGCAATCTGTCCGTACTTAGGAATGCTGGAATAAAAAACAGTATAAGTCTCTGAAGTTTTTCTCTTTCAAGATTGTTTTTGTTCTTCTTTGTCTTCAGAATGTCCATGATAATTTTAGACTCTCTTTATACAATTCTGGAAAACCTTTTCGGGATTTATGTGTCAGGCATGTGGGGAACAGACTGCATCAAATATATAGAGCATTTGTAGAACAACAAATTTATACTTGTTATTCTGTATTTAACAAGCACAGCTCTTTTTATATGTGTCAGTGAGATCAAATTTTGTCCAACTCTTCTATATCCTTGCTGTTTTTATTCTGTATGTTCTGTCAGTTACAGATGTGTTTCTGTCTCCCACTGTATTTGTGATTTGCCTATTTTTTTATTTAAGTTTATATAGGTTGAGACTATGTTGTTACTGCATATGAAATCAGAGTTGTGTGTCTTTTGGGTGAATTAATTTTTCATCATAATTAAATGCTCCTTTTCATCTCTAGTAAGGTTTACTGCATCAAGTCTACTTTGTGTGATGGCTGTACTATCGTTATTATAACCATACTGGTTTTCTTCTGTTTAGTGTTTGTATAATATTTCTTTTACTCTATCTTTCTGTATCCTTATGTTCTAGTAGTCTTTCTTCTAATTAGCAAATCATTGGCTTAGGTTGTTTACACAGTCCATTGTGATGATTGTTTAAATGGGAAAATTTAATTTTCTTACATACTGTAGGTGGCACTATATTTGTATTGAAATTTGTCATCTTTATATTTTCTATTTCCCATTTTATTACTTCTTTTGGATTAGTTATATTAGCATTCTATCTTTTCATTTTCTTGCCAGCAATACACTCTATTGCTATTATTTTGTTATTCATAAAATCTTATGTTATTAATGCTTAGTATATACTAACATATTTACCACAATATAAGAACCTCATTCACCATTAACATAGCTTATCCCCACAAATATTTTATGTTATTATTGTGTGATTTATTATAATGACAAATATGTTAAATTATGCTTGTTTGTCATCAATATTCATTTATATTTACCAACTGTTGCTGTTTATTCTTTCCTGTATTTTTATTTCCATTTAGCTTCATTTTCCTTCAGCTAAAAACACTCTTTAGTATTTCTTTTCCTGTGATGCTTCTGGTAACACATTCACTTTTTGTTTGAATCAAAATGCCTTTATTTTTAAAAACATGTTTTCCTGTTACAGAATTCCATTTGACATTTATTTTCCTACATCACCAAAGTATAATTGCATTGTCTTTTCTTCTGTTATGTTGAGAAGTTAGTTATCAATATTATGGTTACTCCTTTGAAAATAATGTGTCTTTTATCTCTGGTTGTTTTAAAAAGATTGTATTTTTTTTAATCATACTCTAAGTTTTAGGCTACATGTGCACAACGTGCAGGTTTGTTACATATGTATACATGTGCCATGTTGGTGTGCTGCACCCATTAACTCGTCATTTAACATTAGGTATATCTCCTAATGCTATCCCTCCGCCCTCCCCCCACCCCACAACAGGCCCTGGTGTGTGATGTTCCCCTTCCTGTGTCCATGTGTTCTCATTGCTCAATTCCCACCTATGAGTGAGAACATGCGGTGTTTGGTTTTTTGTCCTTGCAATAGTTTTCTGAGAATGATGGTTTCCAGCTTCATCCATGTCCCTACAAAGGACATGAACTCATCATTTTTATGGCTGCATAGTATTCCATGGTGTATATGTGCCACATTTTCTTAATCCAGTCTATCATTGTTGGACATTGGATTGGTTCCAGGTCTTTGCTATTGTGAATGGTGTGGCAATAAACATATGTGTGCATGTGTCTTTATAGCAGCATGATTTATAATCCTTTGGGTATAAATGGGATGGCTGGGTCAAATGGTATTTCTAGTTCTAGGTCCCTGAGGAATCGCCACACTGACTTCCACAATGGTTGAACTAGTTTACAGTCCCACCAACAGTGTAAGTGTTCCTATTTCTCCACATCCTCTCCAGCACCTGTTGTTTCCTGACTTTCTAATGATCGCAATTCTAACTGGTGTGAGATGGTATCTGACTGTGGTTTTGATTTGCATTTCTCTGATGGCCAGTGATGTTGAGCATTTTTTCATGTGTCTTTTGGCTGCATAAATGTCTTCTTTTGAGAAGTGTCTGTTCATATCTTTCACCCACTTGTTGATGGGGTTGTTTGTTTTTTTCTTGTAAATTTGAGTTCACTGTAGATTCTGGATATTAGCCCTTTGTCAGATAAGTAGATTGCAAAAATTTTCTCCCATTCTGTAGGTTGCCTGTTCACTCTGACGGTAGTTTCTTTTGCTGTGCAGAAGCTCTTTAGTTAGATCCCATTTGTCAATTTTGGCTTTTGTTGCCATTGCTTTTGGTGTTTTAGACATGAAGTCCTTGCCCATGCCTATGTCCTGAATGGTATTGCCTACGTTTTCTTGTAGGGTTTTTATGGTTCTAGGTCTAACATTTAAATCTTTAATCCATCTTGAATTAATTTTTGTGTAAGGTGTAAGGAAAGGATCCAGTTTCAGCTTTCTACATATGGCTAGCCAGTTTTCCCAGCACCATTTATTAAATAGGGAATCCTTTCCCCATTGCTTGTTTTTCTCAGGTTTGTCAAAGATCAGATAGTTGTAGATAGGCAGCATTATTTCTGAGGGCTCTGTTCTGTTCCATTGATCTATATCTCTGTTTTGGTACCAGTACCATGCTGTTTTGGTTATTGTAGCCTTGAAGTATAGTTTGAAGTCAGGTAGTGTGATGTCTCCAGCTTTGTTCTTTTGGCTAAGGATTGACTTGGCAATGCGGGCTCTTTTTTGGTTCCATGTGAACTTTAAAGTGGTTTTTTCCAATTCTGTCAAGAAAGTCGTTGGTAGCTTGATGGGGATGGCATTGAATCTATAAATTACCTTGGGCAGCAAGGCCATTTTCACGATATTGATTCTTCCTACCCATGAGCATGGAATGTTCTTCCATTTGTTTGTATCCTCTTTTATTTCATTGAGCAGTGGTTTGTAGTTCTTCTTGAAGAGGTCCTTCACATCCCTCTTGGATTCCTAGGTATTTTATTCTCTTTGAAGGAATTGTGAATGAGAGTTCACTCATGATTTGGCTCTCTGTTTGTCTTTTGTTGGTGTATAAGAATGCTTGTGATTTTTGCAAATTGATTTTGTATCCTGAGACTGCTGAAGTTGCCTATCAGCTTAAAGAGATTTTGGGCTGAGACAATGGGGTTTTCTAGATATACAATCATGTCATCTGCCAACAGGGACAATTTGACTTCCTCGTTTCCTAATTGAATACCCTTTATTTTCTTCTCCTGCCTGATTGCCCTGGCCAGAACTTCCAACACTATGTTGAATAGGAGTGGTGAGAGAGGACATCCCTGTCTTGTGCCAGTTTTCAAAGGGAATGCTTCCAGTTTTTGCCCATTCAGTATGATATTGGCTGTGGGTTTGTCATAAATAGCTCTTATTATTTTGAGATGCATCCCATCAATACCTAATTTATTGAGAGTTTTTAGCATGAAGGGCTGTTGAATTTTGTCAAATGCCTTTTCTGCATCTATTGAGATAATCTTGTGGTTTTGTCATTGGTTCTGTTTATATGCTGGCTTACGTTTATTGATTTTCATATGTTGAACCAGCCTTGCATCCCAAGGATGAAGCCCACTTGATCATGGTGGGTAAGTTTTTTGATGTGCTGCTGGATTTGGTTTGCCAGTATTTTATTGAGGATTTTTGTATCGATGTTCATCAGGGATATTGGTCTGAAATTCTCTTTTTTTGTTGTGTCTCTGCCAGGCTTTGGTATCAGGATGATGCTGGCCTCATAAAATGAGTTAGGGAGGATTCCCTCTTTTTCTATTGATTGGAATAGTTTCAGAAGGAATGGTACCAGCTCATTCTTGTATCTTTGGTAGAATTTGGCTGTGAATCCATCTGGTTCTGGACTTTTTTTTTTGGTTGGTAGGCAATTAATTATTGCCTCAATTTCAGAAGCTGTTATTGGTCTATTAAGAGATTCCACTTCTTCCTGGTTTAGTTTTAGGAGGGTGTATGTGTCAAGGAATTTATCCATTTCTTCTAGATTTTCTAGTTTATTTGCATAGAGGTGTGTATAGTATTCTCTGATGGTAGTTTGTATTTCTGTGGGATTGGTGGTGATATCCCCTTTATCAGTTTTTATTGCATCTGTTTGATTCTTCTCTCTTTTCTTCTTTAGTAGTCTTGCTAGCAGTCTATCAATTTTGTTGATCTTTTCAAAAAACGAGCTCCTGGATTCATTGATTTTTTTGAAGGGCTTTTTGTGTCTCTGTGTCCTTCAGTTCTGCTCTGATCTTAGTTATTTCTTGCCTTCTGTTAGCTTTTGAATGTGTTTGCTCTTGCTTCTCTAGTTCTTTTAATTGTGATGTTAGGGTGTCAATTTTAGATCTTTCCTGCTTTCTCTTGTGGGCATTTAGTGCTATAAATTTCCCTCTAAACACTGCTTTGAATGTGTCCCAGAGATTCTGGTATGTTGTGTCTTTGTTCTCATTGGTTTCAAAGAACATCTTTATTTCTGCCTTCATTTCGTTATGTCCCCAGTAGTCATTCAGGAGGAGGTTGTTCAGTATCCATGTAGGTGAGCGGTTTTGAGTGAGTTTCTTAAGCCTGAGTTCTAGTTTGATTGCACTGTGGTCTGAGAGACAGTTTGTTGTGATTTCTGTCCTTTCACATTTGCTGAGGAGAGCTTTACTTCCAACTATGTGGTCAACTTTGGAATAAGTGTGATGTGGTGCTGAAAAGAATGTATATTCTGTTGATTTGGGGTGGAGAGTTCTATAGATGTCTATTAGGTCCGCTTGGTGCAGAGCTGAGTTCAATTCCTGGATATCCTTGTTAACTTTCTGTCTTGTTGACCTGTCAATTGTTGATAGTGGGGTGTTAAATCTCCCATTATTATTGTATGGGAGTCTAAGTCTCTTTGTAGGTGTCTAAGGACTTGCCTTATGAATCTGGGTGCTCCTGTATTGGGTGCACATATATTTAGGATAGTTAGCTCTTCTTGTTGAATTGATCCCTTTACCATTATGTAATGGCCTTCTTTGTCTCTTTTGATCTTTGTTGGTGGAAAGTCTGTTTTATCAGAGACCAGGATTGCAACCCCTGCCTTTTTTTGTTTTCCATTTGCTTGGTATTTCTTCCTTCATCCCTTTATTTTGAGGCTATGTGTGTCTCTGCATGTGAGATGGGTTTCCTGAATAGAGCACACTGATGGGTTTTGACTCTTTATCCAAGTTGCCAGTCTGTGTCTTTTAATTGGAGCATTTAGCCCATTGACATTTAAGGTTAATATTGTTATGTATGAATTTGATCCTGTCATTATGATGTTAGCTGGTTATTTTGCTTGTTAGTTGATGCAGTTTCTTCCTAGCCTTGATGGTCTTTACAATTTGGTATGTTTTCGCAGTGGCTGGTACTGGTTGTTCCTTTCCGTGTTTAGTGCTTCCTTCAGGAGCTCTTGTAAGGCAGGCCTGGTGGTGACAAAATCTCTCAGCATTTGCTTGTCTGTAAAGGATTTTATTTCTCCTTCACTTCTGAAGCTTAGTTTGGCTGGATATGAAATTCTGGGTTGAAAATTCTTTTCTTTAAGAATGTTGAATATTGGCCCCCACTGTCTTCTGGCTTGTAGAGTTTCTTCCAAGAGATCAGCTGTTAGTCTGATGGGCTTCCCTTTGTGGGTAACCTGACCTTTCTCTCTGGCTGCCCTTAACATTTTTTCCTTCATTTCAACTTTGGTGAATCTGACAATTATGTGTCTTGGAGTTGCTCTTCTCGAGGAGTATCTTTGTGTCATTCTCTGTATTTCCTGAATTTGAAAGTTGGCCTGCCTTGCCAGATTGGGGAAGTTCTCCTGGATAATATCCTGCAGAGTGTTTTCCAACTTGGTTCCATGCTCCCCGTGACTTTCAGGTATACCTATCAGATGTAGATTTGGTCTTTTCACATAGTCCCATATTTCTTGGAGGCTTTGTTCATTTCTTTTTATTATTTTTTTCTCTAATCTTCTCTTCTCACTTCATTTCATTTCATCTTCCATCACTGATACCCTTTCTTCCAGTTGATCGAATCGGCTACTGAGGCTTCTGCATTCATCACATAGTTCTTGTGCCATGGTTTTCAGCTCCATCAGGTCCTTTAAGGACTTCTCTGCTTTGGTTATTCTAGTTAGCCATTTGTCTAATTTTTTTTCAAGGCTTTTAACTTCTTTGCCATGGGTTCAAACTTCCTCCTTTAGTTCAGAGTAGTTTGATCATCTGAAGCCTTCTTCTCTCGACTCATCAAAGTCATTCTCCATCCAGCTTTGTTTCATTGCTGGTGAGGAGCTGTGTTCCTTTGGAGGAGGAGAGGCACTCTGATTTTTAATTTCCAGTTTTTCTGCTCTGGTTTTTCCCCACCTTTGTGGTTTTATCTACCTTTGGTCTTTGATGATGGTGATGTATAAATGGGTTTTTGGTGTGGATGTCCTTTCTGTTTGTTAGTTTTCCTTTTAGCAGGCAAGACCCTCAGCTGCAGGTCTGTTGGAGTTTGCTGGAGGTCTACTCCAGACCCTGTTTGCCTGGGTATCATCAGTGGAGGCTGCAGAACAGCAGATATTGGTGAACAGCAAATGTTGCTGCCTGATTGTTCCTCTGGAAGTTTTGTCTCAGAGGAGTACCCGGCCATGTGAGGTGTCAATCTGCCCCTACTGGCTGGGGGGGGGGGGCCTCCCAGTTAGGCTACTCGGTGGTCAGGGACCCACTTGAGGATGCAGTCTGTCCGTTCTCAGATCTCCAGCTGCGTGCTGGGAGAACCAATACTGTCTTCCAAGCTGTCAGACAGGGACATTTAAGTCTCCAGAGGTTTCTGCTGCCTTTTGTTTGGCTATGCCCTGCCCCCAGAGGTGGAGTTTACAGAGGCAGGCAGGTCTCCTTGAGCTGTGGTGGGCTCCACCCAGTTCGAGCTTCCCGGCCACTTTGTTTACATACTCAAGCCTTGGCAATGGTGGGCGCCCCTCCCCCAGTCTCGCTGCTGCCTTGCAGTTTGATCTCAGACTGCTGTGCTAGCAATGAGCGAGACTCCGTGGGCATAGGACCCTCCGAGCCAAGTGCAGGATATAATCTCCTGGTGTGCCATTTGCTAAGACTGTTGGCAAAGCGCAGTATTAGGGTGGGAGTGACCCGATTTTCCAGGTGCCGTCTGTCACCCCTTTCTTTGACTAGGAAAGGGAATTCCCTGATCCCTTGTGCTTCCTGGGTGAGGCAATGCCTCACCCTGATTTGGCTCACACTCGGTGCACTGCACCCACTGTCCTGCACCCACTGTCTGACACTCCCCAGTGAGATGAACCCGGTACCTCAATTGGAAATGCAGAAATCACCCGTCTTCTGCATCGCTCACGCCTGGAGCTGTAGACTGGAGCTGTTCCTATTTAGCCATCTTGGCTCCACAAAAGTTTGTATTTTTCTGTAGTTTTATTATGATGTTCCTATATGTTGTTTTCTTTGTATTTATTCTACTGATGGTTTGCAGCAGTTCTTAAATCTGTGGCATAATGTCTCTCATTGGTTTATTAGACAGTTCCAGCTGCTATAACAATATACCATAGATTATGTGGCTTGAAAAACAAACATGTCTCTCTCACAGGTCTAGATACTAGAAGTTCAACATCAATATAACAGCAGATTTGTTGTCTCAAATCCTGGTTTGCAAACAACAACCTTCTTACTATATCTACAAATGGCAGGGAGAGAACAGTGTGGTCTCTTTCTTCTTATAAAGGAATTGATCCCATCATTGAGGTTTCACACTTATGACCTCAAGTAAACCTAATTACCCTCCAAAGGCCCCAACTCCAAATATATTTCAGATAAGGGCTTCAATAAATGAATCTGGGGTGACAATAACTTTAAATTCATAGCAATTGATTTTGGCAAACCATGGCCAGAAGTACTGCTTCTGCTCCATACTCTATATTATTTCCTTCTACGACTCCAATTATACATATATTAAATATTTTTTTCCATATTTTATGTGTTTATTGTAATCATCTTTGTTTTGTATTTTACATTTTATTCTCCCTACTTAAGGCTATGTATTTTATTCTAATTTGAGTTCACTAATCTTACTGATCTTATATTCTGTTTTGTCTAATTTGAAAATACACAAGTCTACTTAGTTCTTAATTACATAAGTTCATTTAATGTTTAGTTTTAGTTCTAGAATTTTCATTTCTTTTATGTAATTCCTGGCTCTCTGTTTAAATTCTCCATGTTTTTATGTAACTTACTGAACTTGTCAAACAACATATTGAAATATGTGCCTTACACATCCACTCCATTATCTCTGTATCTCCTGTGGGTCGGTTGGTCTATTTTCATTATGTATGTTTCCCTCTCTCTCTCTGTCTTCCTCTCTTTCTGCCTTTATATCTATCTGTGTGTGTCTCTCTCTTTTCATGTGGTATTGCCTATGTAGGGATGCCTTATATTTTTCTTGAAAAATTATAGATATAATTTGAGGTTTATGTCCTGTTACCCACTGAGACAATGTACTTTTGCTCCTTGCATGCAGTAAGAGAAGAGGCAGATTATTTTAATTCAATCAGAGATTGAACAGATTTGAAGCTGGAACCCATGAATATACCTAGATCTAATGAGTAAGGAGAAAAAATGCTGCTAGTAGGGCCATAAGAGAATAATGAATGAGGAGGCCACCCAAAAGGAACCATGATGGGATGAAGTAAACAGAGGGAAAAATATCTAAACTTTTCTCTCCTGACCTCTGGTATCCTACTGGTACCTATTATTTGGGGGAACTGGCACCTTAACAATACTGAGTTTTTCAGTCATTAAATATGGTATATGTCTGCATTTATTTTGCTCTTCGTATTAATATGTTTGGGTTTCCATAACAAAATACCATAAGCTGGGTAGCTTAAATAACGTAAAATTATTTTCTCACAGTTCTGGAGACTGAGAAGTCCAATAACAAGGTGCCAACAGGGTTAGTTTCTGTTGAAAGCTCTCTTACTGGCTTGTAGTTGGCTACCTTCTCACCCTGTCCTCAGAGGACCTTCCTCTGGGCTTATGTGAAAAGAGAGCTAGAGAGAGAAATACACAAATACACACACACATGCACACATACACAGTGAGAGAGAGAGAGACAGAGACAGAGACAGAGAGAAAGAGAGACAGATGAACTCCTTGGTGTCTGTTTTTTTTTTTTTTTAAGAACACTAATCCTATTGAGCTAGGCCTACACCTGTATGACCTGATTTTATTTAAACTTGATTACCTCTTTGTAGTCCCTCACAATACAGCCACATTCAGAATTAGAGCTTCAACATACAAATTTTGTAGGGATACTTTTCTCAGCAATATTTTCCCAGCAATATTTTGTAAATGTTAGTGTAAAGCTCTTGGACATATTTTGTTAAAATTATCCTTATGAATTTTGGTTTTTTGGGTATTTACAAATAAACTGTATTTTTAAAAATTATCTTGCTAGGTAGAGCATAGTGGCTCACACCTGTAATCCCAGAGATTTGGGAGTCCAAGGTGGGAGGATCACTTGAGCTCAGGAGTTTGAGACCAGCTTAGGCAGCGTAATGAGATCCCGTCTCTATTTTAAAAAAAAAAAGTAACTCTCTTAATTGTTTGCTTCTGGTGTATGAAATAAAATTGCTTATGTTTATTGACTTAGTATCTTGCTAATTGCTAAACTAATTTATTAGTCTCAATAGTGTTTTGTAGATTTTTTTTGGATTTCCTACATATACTATCATAACTTCTGCAAACATGGATTTACTTTTTCCCTTTTAATCTTTATTTATTTTTATTGCTTGATTAATTTGTTATGATCTCTATTACACTGGCGTATAGAGGTTTAAAAAGTATATATATTTGCCTTGTTCCTGATCTTAAGTAGAGAACATTTGCCTTCTATCCTTAAATGTACTGTTAGTGGTAGGTTTTTTGATGATTACTTTATCATATTCAGGAATTATTCTGAAATCTTTTTTATGTCTAGTTTGTTGAGCATTTTTTCTCATTAAAAGTGTTGGATTTTGTCAATACTTTTTCTTAAATATATATTTATACACACATACACATATATTTTATATATAAAATGTTTATTTTGCATATATATGTGTATATATATTTCCATTGCTAGGATAAATTTCACTTTGTAATAATGTTTTTATATGGTTATATAGTACTGTATTAAGTTTGGTAGTTTTTTTCTTAAATGTTTTTGCTTCCCTGTTTGAGAGACATTAGTTTTTAATTTTATTTTTAATCATTTTCAAAAATTTGTTGTGTCAGGATTTTAGTATTAGGGCTAAGCTGATCTGATAAAGTGAGTTCAGAAGCGAATGTGGTTCTCCTCCCTCTTTTTAAATAGTAAACTTCAAGTAAGATTGATATCATTCGCTCTTTAAATATGTTTTAAGGAATTTGCCAATGAAGATATTTGGTTCTGGCATTTTCATTAAAAATTGGCTTTCAATTATTAATTCAACTTTTTTAATAGCTAAAGGACTATTCGGGTTTTCAGTTTCTTTTTTGCGTCAGTTTTGGTAGTTTGAGTTTTTGAGAAATTTCTCTATTCATGTTACTGAATTTATTGACATACAGTTGTTCATAGTACTCTCTTATTTGTATTTTTAATAATTCTAGGCTCTGTAGTGCTGTCCTTTCTTTGAGTAATTATATTTTCTGTTATTTTTCTTGACCAGTGCTGTGGGATTTTATCAATTTTATTAATCCTTTCAATAAACAAATTTCTGGGTCCATTGATTTTTTTCTAGGTTTTATTTTTTTTTTTAGTTTATATTTCATTTATTTTCACTCTAATATTTATTATTTTCTTCTTTATGTGATTTTTGGCAATTTAAAATTTTGAAAGATCTGGAAATGGTATGGATAATTTATTGCAGGAGCAATAAAAGAGGCAAGAACATCAATTAGGATATTGCTATTAGAGATGATGGCCCAAATAAGGCAGTACAATGGGGATAGACATGAGGGAATAAATTTGAGTCATTGTGTTCCAGAATCAGAATTAAGAAGATTTGATGAAAGATTGGGGAAAGGGTGTTAGCAGTGGCAAATCCTTATGGGTGTGCAGCAACCTCAATTCTTGCCTTCTTAGATGAAAGAATTTGACTGAGGGGTTTAAGGCAGATGAAGAGACTAAGGCAAGTTTTATAGCAAGAGTGAAAGTTTATTTAAAAGCTTTGGAGCAGAAATGAAAGGAAATAAAGTATACTTGGAAGAGGACTAAGCAAGTGACTGGTGAGATCAAATGCATGGTTTGAAGTTTGGACTGGGGTTTTATATGTTGGCATACTTCTAAGGTCTTGTGTCCCTTCTTTCCTGATTATTAGTTTGGGGTGGGCTGTCCACATGTGCAGTGGCGTGCTAGCACTTGGGAGGGGAACATGCACAGTGTGTTTACTGGAATTATACGCAATGCTCACTTGAGTTGTTCTTCCTTTACCAGTCTAGCATTCCTAGACCAAGGTCATATACCAGTCAAACTCTGTCATTTTGTCTCATAGTGCACATGCTTGAGCCCACTCACCCAACTCCTGATATCTTATTGGGAAGCTGCTGATCACTAGTTTCAGGGTTTTTTTTTTTTTTTTTTTTTTCTAGTGGGAGACTGCCTTTTCCTGGTGCTGGCTGAGATTAATTATTATTTTAGAGAGACAGTTAACAACTTTGCCTGACCATCACTTGATAGTCGCCTGACATTCCTGGTGGTGGTGGGGAGCCCTCTCCTGCCCTGCTCATGTCTGTCTACTGTAACAAGGGTAGGCTAAGATCAATTTTTGATCAATATATTGGGTTACTCTGCAGATGGTGTTACTGTTAACTAAAACAAGAAGTACTGGACAAGAAAGTTTTTGAGAAGCATGATCATTTCTGTTTTGTATATTTTAAGTTTGAGGCTCCTGTCTAACATTTAAGTGGCCATATATAGTAAATAAGAAGATAAATGGATTTGGATAATTGTAAAGATGTCTGAGCTAGAAATTATGATTTTAGAGTCAGCAGTTTATAGTGCAAGGTATTCTTTTTGGGTACAAAATAAAATTGAAATTCTATTTATATTTTTATCTTATTTTAATTTCTACTTCTGCATGTTTTACAATGCAAATACTGTGTTATTCTAATAGGCATGCATAATGCATTACACAAATATTTATTATATAAGCCTTCTCAAAAATATTTTTTCAGAGGGCTTGAGATCAAAATATTTGGAAAACTTTACATCTTTCATGAAGCCTATTTAAGTAACAAATGTAGAAGAGCAAGAATTGAGTCCTGTGTAACATCAACATTTAATAAAAGAGTAAAGAAGGAAGATTTTAGCCAGGAATATGAGAAGAGGTGATACAAATAGGAAAAAGACCAGAAAAGAAAATTGTCACTGAATTTTAGAAACCAAAAATGAGGGATGGTTAGGAATTCCCTATATTTTATTCTCAATCAACAACCAAAGAGATCCTATTAAAACCCAAGTTATATCTGGACACGGTGGCACATGCCTGTAATTGCAGCACTTTCGGAGGCTAAGGCGGGCAGATTGCTTGAGCTCAGGAGTTCAAGACCAGCCTGGGCAACATGGTGAAAGCCTGTCTCTACCAAAAAAACACAAAAAAACAAAAATTAGCTGAGCGTGGTGCCTGCCTGTGGTCCCAGCTACTTGGGAGGAAGAGGCGGATGGATCACCTAAGCCAAGGAGGTTGAGGCTGCAGTGAGCTGTGATGGTGCCACTGCACTCCAGCCTAGGTGACAGAGTGAGTCCCTGTCTCAAAAACAAAACATATGTGAGATGACTTCTCTCCTCAGAATCTTCCAATGGCTCGTCATTACTCATCATAAAAGTCAAAGTCATTGCTATAGTCCACAAAGACCTACTGGGTCTGACTCATTACTTTACTGAACATATCTTATACGACCTGAACCATCACTTACTCGGCTCCACCTGTGCCTTGAAACCACCAGGTATAAGCTCCACAAAGTCCTTTTTATTTGCTGTTTTTACAGCCTGAGATGCTTTCCTCCAGATACCTGCATAGCTTACTCTTACTCAAATATCACTTTCTCAATGAAGTTTTTTTGACTAGCCAATTTTATATTGTACTCTACCACCACTCAGAGTGCCCAATGCCTTTTCTTTTGCATTTATTCCTCAGTACTTATCACCATCTATAATACCACTTATGTTTACCATTATGGGTTTTTTAAATTTTTTCTTTTTTTGAGTCAGAGTCTTGCACTGTTGCCCAGGCTGGCATGCAAGGGTGCAATCTCTGCTCACTGCAACCTCTGCCTCCCAGGTTCAAGCGATGCTCCTGCCTCAGCCTCCTGAGTAGCTGGGATTACAGGTGCCCACCACCACGCCTGGCTAATTTTTTGTATTTTTAGTAGAGATAGGGTTTCACTATGTTGGCCAAGCTGGTCTCAAACTCCTGACCTTGTGATCCACCCGCCTCAGCCTCCCAAAGTGCTGGGATGAGCCACTGCACCCAGCCTACCATTATGTTTTGTTTCTGTCTGTCTTTTTTCACTAGAACATAAACTCCGTGGGGAGAATTTTTGTCTATTTTTTTCAGTGCTGCATCCCTAGAACCTAAAACAATGCCTAACACATAACAGGCACCTAAAATATTTGTGGAAATCAAAAATATGTACTGAGTGTATCACTTTATATTGCAAAATAAAATAATATTTATTTACCTTTAGTTTGAAGACACATCAGCAATAAATGTTGTATGATGCTAATAAAAATATTATTGAATGTTTACTATGTGTCAAACACAGTTTTGTATAACTCAATCCTAACATAGAGTCTATGAAATCATTATTATTATTTTCCCTATTTTATAAATGAGGATACTGAAGCACAGAGAGAAGATATAAGCTGTCCTAGGTGAGATAATGAGAACGTCAGCAAATAAGGATTCAGGACTATATATTCTACCTCCAAGGGCTGCTCCTTAACCATGATTCAGTATTCATTGCTGCCTCTTACCTGCCATTACCTACACAGAATCAGGGTAATAAAAATTTTAGTCATTTACAGAAACAAGAAAAGTGAGTGACAGACCATTAGATAGTGTGTAAACTAAACTTTAAAATGTAGAAACTTTAAATAATGTAATATAATTCATATTGAATTTATATATAATACATATATTTATACCTAATACATATACATACATATATAATGTATAAATATATATTACGTGTGTGTGTGTATATATATATATGTGTATATATATATGCACACATACACACACACACACCTCCATGGGAAAAAATAATTTTCTTACTGATATTGTATGAATCTGATAGCCCCCCCGAACCTTTCTGATAATGATAAAATAACCATTATAATGCTGATAATGCTTACTTACTATATTTCAGGCACTATGCTAAGCAATTTAGATGTATTATTTCATTTAATTCTCAAAACAACTCAGTGAGATAGGAACTATTATTACCCCCTGTCTATAGATGATGACAATGAGTCTTTGGGAGGCTTTGCAAGTTGGCCTGAGTGAATTGCAAGTAAGTGGATTGACAGATGGACGTGAGATGAGAACCTAGGCAGTTTAACTCTAGAAATCACTCTTCTTTGCAGGTTGACAGTGAAATGAAGTATCCTTCAGTAAACATGTTGAGACGGTTATCTATGAAAAGAAATGAGTGTAGTTCCCTAACTCTTGTTATACCTCAAAATAGATTCTGAGAGATCAAGAAAGACAATGTAAAATGTTCAACCATATAAATAGTCAATGAAAATAAAAGTGAATATTTATAAAAGCACTTTCTGAGCTAAAGTACAACAGAAGGATTGCAAAGGAAGAGAATAATAGAATAGATGATATAAAATGAAAACCATCTTTATGATAACAGAAAAAAACCAATATGGCAAGCAACAAAATTAATAAAAAAACTATATCAAGGAGTTAATAAATCAATTAAATTGGTAAGAAATACTATGAATTTAATTCATAAATACACAAAAACCTGATTAGTTTACATGCTAACAAACACGGAAAACATTCGAAACAAAGTGTTTACCTTAACGGTACAACTTAAATGAATAAAAAAATGATAAAATCATCAATAAATGGTAAATGATCAAAAAAATATTTTTAATCATGTTATGAATATGTTAAAAGATAAATGTATAGCTATATGTAATACCACATATAACTATGTAACTGTGTATATGTGGATAAAAGATGAAACAGAAGGCTAATAATAAAGAGCAAAAGTCTTTTGACTATTCTCCAACTTTGTCTATTCATGAGAGACAAGGCACTATTAAGCATTTATATTTGGGCTAATAAACTCTTCACAGCTCTTGTAGTATTGCAATGACATATAAAAATAAAGGAAGATACTAAAGCACAGAGATGTCATTAACTCCTCTGTCCTTCCACCCAAAATCTCTATTTTGTTTCTTCTGTGGTTCACTTCTGCAGCTTAACACAGTCATTAACCAGAGCCAAGCAATGAATTTAGATTATGCTTCATATTCTATGGATTGGATACCATGACCACTGTCCTACTTGATGGGAAATGTTCTTAGCTTCAAATGTAAATGGGTCCTCCCTTTAGCTAAATTCCTTTATCCTATGAAGTTTTTGTTTCATTTGTTTTGTGTTCAAAATCGCACTATGCATTTGATCAATTTGCCTTTTGTGTTGTTGCTGTTGTCTTCTGGTTTATTTAATTTTTGCTCCCAGAATCCTCATTCTAGAGTCTCCATCCTCCTGCTCGAAATTTCTCTCTAGGGTTTCAAAGAGGGCTCTTCATCATGGGACTTCCCTTAACATTTGCTCTTCTGTGAAAACCATTTGCTTCCTGGATTCCCTCTTTCTTGGTAGATTTTGTTTTGCTAACAAGGATATGTGAGTGGTAAATTTTCCAAGTTCTTCCAAATTCTGAAAATTTCTTAAACTGCCTTATATTTGATTGATGGTTTACCTATATATAAAATTTCAGGACCCATATCATTTTCCTGAAGACTATTGATAGTATTTCTCCCTTGTCTTCAAACATCCAGTATTGCTGATGGGAATTCTGATACCATTCTATTTCCTATTCCTTTCTCTAGGACCCAACATTTTCTTTCTGGATACTTTTAGGATCTTTTTTTTAGCTTTGTTATATTGAAATTTCATAATGATTTTTATCTTGGTGGTTTCTTTTTCCATTCATTGTATTAATATGCAATGACTTCTCCATTCTGGGAATTTGTCTTCTATTATTTTTGCAACTTTATTCCCCTCCATATTTTGTTCTTTTTTTCTAGAACTTTTATCTCATGTTTTTTATTTCATGTGTTTTATCTCTCTAACGTTTTATCTCTCTAACATTTTATCTCATGTGTTTTCTTATCTCTTGTTTTTTCATACATCCTTTCTTTTAAATTCTTCTTTTATTGAGACAGTTTTACCATTAATTTTAAAAGCTCTTTTAAGGTTGACATCTGAACACTAATTAAAGGTTATTTTAAGGTTTCTTTAAGATATTTCCTGGAATTATCTTTTACTCTTCCAACATTAATTCTTCTCTATGTTGATTTTAGCCTTTCTCTTTAATGTTATAGTTTTTATTTTAATAGTTTAGTGTTCCTTGATTAGCCATATATAGGGGAATAAACAAAAGCGAGGCATGAGAATGGATGATTGGGGTGTGTGTTTGTGTGTGCATATGTGGGAGGTGTTTTTAAGTGAACAACTGGAGAATCAGCCATTAGGATGGAGAAAACCTACCTGCCAGAATGAGAAAGGCTCTTTGCAGGTCAACAACACCTGTCTGTTTCAGATTTGTGGGAAAGTGGTCATTCTGCATATGGAAAATAAACTTAAAAAAAAAAAAGACAAATAGTCATCTGTTTTAATTCTATTTCTCACTTCTCTCCTGCCATAGTATCTGCCATCTAACCTAGATCTTCTCATGGGTTCTGCAGAGAAAATCAACTCCGTTCTTGGTTACGGCCCTCCTCCATCTGTGATTTGAGCTACAGCTTCCTCCATTTTGTTTCACTTACCACCCTTTTACATACATACACTTAGCAGAAATTCATTGTTATCTCCCTTCCTTGAGGGTCCTCTTTTGCTGTGGGGTTTATGGTTCTATTATCTAAATGAATCTCACTGTATTATTTCAAATTTGAAATATTTGTAAGAGTATAGGGTTTGGGGGCATTATTAAGTCATTAGATTTTAAAATGCAGAATTGATATTGTCACTTTTGGGTTACAATTTAGCACCCCTTTTGGGAAGCTATTTTGCAAATTATACAGAGAGCCCCAACTGTTACCACACAGTGATTATATAAGAGGAGCTTTAAATATGTTCTAAAATTTTACCAAATAATTTGATTTTTTCTAATGTATCCTAAAAAAAGACCATAAATATGAAAAAAAGTTTGATCAACACACTTTTCACTGCAGAGTTCTGTGTTAATGTGAAAGGTTATAAGCAGTTTAAGGACTAGGTAAGTGATATTCCAACTCTGTAGAATATTTTGCAGATATTAAAATGCTTTAGAAACGTTTAGAATCACATAGAAATACTTGTGCCATAATATTAAATATATAAATAGGATATAGAGTAACAGTGGAATCTCAGTTATTTTAAATTTGCATAGAAAATTGTATTAAAATGCTAATAGTAAGACAGTGGAATGGGAAGTGATTTACCCATTAAAAAGAAACATTCTATATCATATTTTTGTCTTTCATAAAACCACATATATTATAAACTTCCAAAGGGAAATAAATTTATGAATAGCAATAACAACAATAAAAGACTAAGAGAAACATACCCACATACACCCACCCATTCCCACCCACATACACATTCACACTACAAGAACCAAAGAGAACTCATTCTCATTTATTCTGACATCTACTCTTTTCTACCCTCTCATCTACTTTTGTCAACAAAGTTGAAATATTACCTTGATAATTTTGTCCCCAGTTTCTGCTAGAGTGCTTACTGAATAGAGAAAGGAAAATGAGCAACTGTAATTGACTATCTCGTCTTCTTTTTCATGTTTTTCAAAATGGTACCATAATAATTTTTAAAAACATCCTATATTCATTGAAAATTGATCTTAAAATTTATCTGTAAAAGTATCAAATGAAAATTGAATCACAATCTCTTTTTCTAAACCTTCATGCTTATATTTATTCTTTATATTATAATACTAAGTACCTCAGATGGATTCTTATAAGGAAGACATTTGTGTTAATATAAGAATTCTGAGTTGGGTGCAGTGGCTCACGCCTGTTATCCCAGCACTTTGGGAGGCTGAGGAGGGTGGATCACCTGAGGTCAGGAGTTTGAGACCAGCCTGCCCAACATGGTGAAACACCGTCTCTACTAAAAATACAAAAATTAGCTGGGCGTGGGGGCAGGTGCCTGTAATCTCAGCTACTCGGGAGGCTGGGGCAGGAGAATCGCTTGAACCCAAGAGGCGGAGGTTGCAGTGAGCCAAGATCGCGACACTGAACTCCAGCCTGGGCAACAGGAGCAAAACTCCATTCCCCCACCAAAAAAAAAAAGAAATTATTCTAGACCTCGTCGTGAATCACCTTAGTAATATCATCAAGAATAAATCAAGGGCACATTTCTTTTGTTCTGTGTGTCCGGCTCTGTAAATATTTTAATATTTCTTCCACTTGAATACCTTTTTAGTTTTTCTGCCAAACTTGTGGTTTTATCTATGGAATTTTCTGTATATGTATAGTAGAAAGTGTTGCAATTTTTATTTCTCTGGGTAAAAAATTCCTATGGGTTTTATAAAATAGTTTATTGTACTTCTTAAGAATTAAGAGGAAAAGACAATTAAAAATGCAGTTACAGCAAAAGGTCAGAATACAATTTTCAGTCCTGCATATTTTCTGATATGTGGCATGGTGTTTCAAAAGTCATGTAACTTCACGATAGTATTTGAATTGAGTTTGTGTGTGATTGCTTAACATCTGTAAATTGTTAAGATAAGTTATTGCACAGGCCTACTTTAGTTTAGATTAGTTTGGAACACATCCCAGGGTATTTAATCAGGGTATAATCCTGCATAGTGCAATTTCTAAAAGGTGTGTTTGTGTGCTTTAAATAAATAGCATTTTTTTGTAGGCAAAGTTACGTCTTATCCTCTTTTCTAAAAAAAAATCTGTTAAAAATGACTCCCTACAGCACTCTTGTATTATCTATAGCTTCAGGCAAATATAATACTTAATACTGACTTCAAAAAATGTACTGTAGAGGTCTGCAATGTTTGGTATTAACTGTGTTGAAATGTATGACAATATTCTATTGTAATCTTATATATTTTTCTTTATAACTTATATGAGCAATTTATTTTTTATTTGTAAAATTTGTGGTATGATTAATTTGTAGAACTGAAAATAGAGACTGGGAGGTGATATTTTGATAAAAATAAATATTTTAACATTGCCATGGTTAATTTTACTTTCAGTTTGGAGGATGGATTGACTACACTTATAGTTAATTTAAAAATACAAATTTAAAAATGTTGTGGTGTACAAGGAAATAAGACATAGAAAAAGTTTGGAATTATACAGTATTTTACTAAATGTTAAAAACAAAAAAATTAACAAAGCATCACAGACTTAAATGAATACAAAGTATTTTAAGAATAGAATTTAAAATGCCTATGCTGTTTTGACATAGTCACTAATTGTAACCTTTTGAATAAACTGGAAATGAAATTAAATTGTAAAATTCAACTTATTTAATAATAATAAATTGTGTTTCTTTTAATTGATCTGGTAGCAGTTCTGCACATACTCAAAATTTGGAACATGCCCAAATCTGGCAGTTAGTTCTCATTGACCCATTTTTTGTAACGTTTAAAAATGTGAAGCAATCAAAATAAGATTGTGATAATAATTTCTAGAGAATATTCAAATGTAAAATGAAGAGTATCCTTTACCCTTCATCAGTATTATTGTGCTCCTTTCTGCTTCTTTATTTAGCTTTATTCAATTTTAGAAACTTTGTAATTGTAAATTTGTGTTTTCTGGTTTTTTAAAAACTGCATATTTATCCTAAGTATACCTTGATATTTCTGTAGAAAAGAACCTACTTGATTTTATTTTATTTCTTATTATTTATTTTGAGATGGAGTCTCGCTCTATCGTCCAGGCTGGAGAACAGTGGCGGGATCTCAGCTCACTGAAACCTCTGCCTTCCGGGTTCAAGTGATTCTTCTGCCTCAGCCTCCCAAGTAGCTGGGATTATAGGCATGCACCACCATGCCCGGCTAAGTTTTGTATTTTTAGTAGAGACGGGATTTCACCATGTTGGCCTGACTGATCTCGAACTCCTGACCTCAGAAGATCTGCTCCCCTCAGCCTCCCAAAGTGCTGGGATTACAGGTGTCAGCCACCACACCTGGCTGAAAAGAACCTACTTTAAATGATGATAATAAGTTGCTTACTATTAGTCTGAGAAATACAAATTTAACGTCTTCTTATTTGATGTAAAATAGTCAAAATTTCATACCAGTCTTGTTGAATTACATGATTTCAAACTTTCTTATTATGGTCTGTCAGCTAAAGAGACAAAAAACAAACCAACCAACCAAAACCTTCCCACCACACACGTCCTGTCCCCACTCAGGGTTCTGGGCAGAAGAGACTCAGTGTCACTGACTGTTCATGAAGGTCCTGGCCCTGGAGTACTGCACCTTTTAATGTTACCCTTAATATGTCCATGTTCAAACAATCAGGACTTCTGAGGGACCTACTCAGTAATAGATTTTGTAAAATATACCCTTATTTGGCTAGCACTTAAATTGAAGTTACTTTCCATAAAATCCTTATTTTGATATAGGTTTATGCAATGAATTGTTCATCTTGTTTGACATCTTAGTAGATGAGAATTCCGTAATATTGGTTATAATACTTTGTGTAGACATTATACCTAACTGCTTTTTTGAACCTAGTACACTTCATTTTATGACTGGGAAAGTCTAAATAAATCAATTAACCTTCATGAATTTTAAATTTTTTATAGCAAGTATTTCTCTTCAGTCTTAATTTTTCCTATATTATAATTCATTTGAGTTTTCTTTCCTGGAAAGCAGTTCTTAATTCACCTGCAGTATTTTCCTTTTAAAAAAGTGTATTACTTTTTTCCTGTCTTTTTCTTATTCTTATTTTAGCTTCATCTTATTCTATGGCTACAGTTACAGTTTTTCCCCATTTATCTGAATATTTTCAGTAGTTCATTTTCTTCATTTGACCTACTAAACAATGCTTCTTTTACTATTTTCTATTACTTATCAGTTAATGTTTCTACGATTTATTCATCCTGATGCAATATTTTTGAGTACATGTTGATTGAGTCAGTATTTGTGAAAAGGAAGCCTAGAGTTTGGTAATTAGTTTTTCCTGTGGAGGTAGTTTCTGAAGTAGAAACAAACACAAAACACCTGAAGTGCTTTTGGAGGCATGTAACTGAGGCAGCGATGTAAAGTCACAGCACAAAGAAACAGAGGTACTGAGGATATTTGAAAAGACAGCTCATGGAGCTGTTAGCACCTATCTTTGCCCTGTGACAGCTAGTCATTGCTGCTATTATTATTTTTTATTATGATAATCGTCCTCATTATTACATTCATTTTAAAGGTCATCAAATGGAGAACAGACATATAGTTTATTTTAAGTGGTGCTACATCTTATAATTTATCAGTGGATATGTTGCTAAATGATGGTTCCCCAATAGCTCTCCTTGGGGAACATTACATTGGAGTGGTCACATATGAATAAACTCAGAGTCACATTTATTGCTTTAGTAAATATGTGCATGGAAAATTATATTTTATAGCATAAATAAGCTTAAGGTTAGTTTATCACTAAGAAACTAGAGAAAATATACACATTGACCTTTTTTGTGTGCTTACTTTGTATGTTTCTTCTATGTGAATATTTTTAATATTGCCTTTAATTGTGGGTGATTTTTGAAAAGACAGACTTTTTAAAAATACTTGCAAGTACTGAGGTTTATGTATTTACGTACTGATTCTGTAGTTCCTGGTAACATTTTTCTTTTTTTTTCCTGGTAACATTTTTCTAATCAGTTAACTACCTTGCTTAGAACATTTTTGCTAACACTCCAGAGTCAATTATAAAAAATATGACAGATATATGGTAAAAGGAAATTCAGAATAATCAAATCAGAAATGCTGAGAAAAAACCTCTACTCTGGCTGCTGAGAGGCTCTCTAGTCTCAGACAAGTCCCTGTCTAGGCATTCATATATTTGACTGTGACTTGTGGGAGGACCATTTTCACAAGAAATTTGCAAGGATAAATATGAAAATGAATACTGTTCTTTTTTTCTTAAATATATTTTAAGATACTGAAAAATTATTTCCAAGAGGGCATAAAAATTTATATTGTTCTTTCTTCTTCAAATAGGTTATGTGGGTATGCAATTTATGTCGAAAGCAACAAGAAATCTTAACCAAATCTGGGGCATGGTTCTTTGGAAGTGGCCCTCAGCAGACAAGTCAGGATGGAACCCTGAGTGATACAGCTACAGGTGCTGGCTCTGAGGTACCAAGAGAAAAGAAAGCACGACTCCAAGAGCGATCGCGGTCTCAGACACCCCTAAGCACAGCAGCTGCCTCCTCCCAGGATGCTGCTCCTCCCAGCGCACCACCAGACAGGAGCAAAGGGGCTGAGCCCTCGCAGCAAGCCTTGGGGCCTGAACAGAAGCAGGCTTCATCCAGGTCTAGAAGTGAACCTCCTAGAGAGAGGTAATAGTTCTTTCACCCTGTAAGCAAAAGGCAAGATTTTGCTAGGAGAGCAAAGCCGTTTTCAAGAATTTAACTTCTATTACGAGGAATATGTGGAAGTAGTACTTCTCAGGCCCCACATGGAAAAACAAAAGGCCTGAGGGGCGTTGTCTATCTCTAGAATGTATTCCTTAGGAGACCTTTGTTGAAAGCATTTCTTTCATATCATGCACAGATGTAAACATGAACTAAGTCACCCAGCTGAGCTACCAACTTCCAATGATGAACTCAGAAAAGCTCTTAGATCATGTTTCACTTATAAACCTAGCCCTTTAATTAAAAGTGTGCTCTGAGAGGATGTGATGGGGGAATCTGACCTATCAGAAAGTATGTGGACACATCAGAGAAGCCTTCTTTAAGGGTATTTCTTTTATGCTGAGCTCTAAAGAGTGACTTTGAAATTAACCAGGAGAAGGGAAGGATGGGTGCTCCAGGTATCTGCACAGGCACATGGCCTGAAGGAACAAGCCCAACGTGAGGGCCTCCTAAAGGATAGCTGCTGGCTACAGTGCAAGTAGCAGAGGCAATGTGGAGGAGAAAAGGCTGGTGAGGTGGTGAAGGGACAGGTTACATTTTATAGCTTTTATTGTAGGTGAAAGGGAAGCCACTGAATATTTAAACAGGGACGAATATGATCAGATTATTTACTTTGATTGATTCATTCAAAAATGTATTCATGGGCAAACATGAAGCTATGCACTGGGAAAAAGTGTTGACAAAGAAGACAGAGCCCTTATCTTCATGAGGCTCATGATTTTGGGGCCAGGACTTTTGTTAGCACCTAGACTGGGCTTATTGTTTTTGTATGTGTAACCATTACTTGGAGAAAGGAGGCTCCAAGGAAAGCTTTTGAACCCCTTTTCAAGCAAAGCCCATACAGTAAAAGATCAAGGACTTCAAAGTTAAATAGGTCTGGATTCTAGTCCTGGCTCTGCCACAATAGGCAGTAAAAACTCACTTGCAGGGTTGTGGCAGGTATTAAAAGAGAACATGTGTTCCCAAGCTGGCACATAGTAGGCTTTCAGTGAATGTAGCTATTATTCAAGCCAGTAGTCATTGTGTATTTACTACAGATAAACACTGTGCCAGGAACCAGAGGGCATAAAGATGATTAGAACATACATGGTCCCTTTTCTGACAAATCCTAGGGAAGAGACCACACACTATTCTAGGGAAGACAGACACCTAGGTAATTAACAAGGATGCTAATTTGATCAAAGCTAGGCAATATGTATAGTATTTTGAGAGCCCTAGGAAAGAGGAAGTGACTTCTCAATTAAGCTTTGTAAGATACTCAGGAGTTGTAGGGGAGCTACACAGCGTATAAGAGGGCAGTACAAGAGAATGAGTGTTACTAAGCTATTTGGAGAAAGGATAGAAAGGACACCAGAGATATCTCAGGGAACGTAGAATTAATAGCATTTGGTGACAAATTGTTGTGGGAGAAGAAGAGACAAAAATACTGAAGCTGCAGTTTGGAACTGGTTGGAAGATGATATCTTTAAATAAGATAGAGAATTTGGAGCTGTAAAGTTTCTAAAGAGAAAAGAGTTCTGTTTTTGACATATAGTGAAAAACTATAAAAATTTCAAGAACAAGGGCTGAATAGATACTTTTTGTTCTGACTTTTTAGTTAAAATTTGAAGAAGATTGATAGGGACAAATAACTTTACTAATGATATAAATTCACAGGAAAGCAATGAGGAATTGGGAAGTACAGAAGCAGGAAGAGAGGTGGCCAGTGTAAAGAGCTGGGCAACTTCAGGGAGAAGCAAGATTGAAAGAGACACTGTTTATTTGTTTTAAATTACTGAAGAATTCTTGACCGTATTTTGTACTGTCAAGGAGTTAGAAACAGAAAATTAAAGGTAGAGATGAGAAAAAGTATAATTAGTAGAGCAAAGAATCAGAGACACTGGAGAACTCCTTCCATTTGCATGACACTCTACCCTTTCATAAAACATCTTCACAGATGGTGTCTCTAATCCTCACATGAACCTTGCAAGGTAAGTATTTTTCAGCATTTCAAGAAAAGTAAATTGATTCAATGTAAACTTCTAACAAGAGCAACTATGCTTCAATGAGCTGCTAAATGTAGTACAAGCATGACACTCTTATGAAAACTATATTTGGTAATAATTAATATGTGTTCCCATTAGATCCCTTACCTTGTAAAATTCCAACACCCTTACAGTTCCACCTTCAGATCCAAATCCCTATAACTAATTATTGTAACTGAAATGATTTAAGACTGGAATGAGAAGAAAACATGTTTTTTATGTCTAGTCTTTATAAATTGCTCTCCTTGACGTTCCTTTGTATATCATAGAAAGAAGACCCCAGGGCTTTCCGAGCAGAATGGCAAAGGAGCCCTGAAGAGCGAGCGGAAACGCGTGCCAAAGACCTCAGCGCAGCCCGTGGAGGGGGCCGTCGAAGAACGGGAGCGCAAAGAAAGGCGGGAAAGCCGAAGGCTTGAGAAAGGGCGATCACAGGATTACCCAGACACGCCGGAAAAACGGGATGAGGGCAAAGCGGCGGATGAGGAAAAGCAAAGAAAAGAGGAGGATTATCAGACCAGGTACCGCAGCGACCCGAACCTAGCTCGGTACCCGGTGAAACCGCCGCCTGAGGAGCAGCAGATGCGCATGCACGCCCGGGTGTCCCGCGCCAGGCACGAGCGGCGCCACAGCGACGTGGCGCTCCCGCGCACCGAGGCGGGCGCGGCGCTGCCGGAGGGCAAGGCCGGCAAACGCGCGCCGGCGGCAGCCAGGGCCTCGCCGCCGGACTCGCCGCGGGCTTACTCGGCTGAGAGAACTGCGGAGACCAGGGCGCCGGGCGCCAAGCAGCTAACGAACCACAGCCCGCCGGCGCCCAGACATGGGCCGGTTCCCGCAGAAGCCCCGGAGCTCAAAGCCCAGGAGCCCCTCAGGAAGCAGAGCCGCCTGGACCCCAGCTCGGCGGTCCTCATGCGGAAGGCCAAGCGCGAGAAGGTGGAGACCATGCTGCGGAACGACTCTTTGAGCTCAGACCAGTCCGAGTCGGTGCGGCCGTCCCCGCCCAAGCCGCACCGGTCCAAGAGAGGCGGCAAGAAGCGGCAGATGTCGGTGAGCAGCTCTGAGGAGGAGGGCGTGTCGACGCCCGAGTACACCAGCTGCGAGGACGTGGAGCTGGAGAGCGAGAGCGTCAGCGAGAAAGGTAAGGGGGCGGCGCCGGCCGTGCGGGGACTTCAGCCAAGTGAAGAGGCGTGGGCAGAGGTGCAGGTGCTAGGCTAGTTGCTGGGTTCAGCATTGAGGCTGGGAATGCTCACAGATAAGATAGCGTTACCGCCAGTGGAAGGTCTTATTTTTATTAATTTAATTTTATTGATTGATTTGTGGGATTTTAAAACACAACAAGCTCCAAACTTAGGCTACAAAAGTTCTTGGTGATTTTGCATTCTGTCATTCTGGTAAATTTGGTATGCAGTCTAATATTTTTAAGATATTATTTTAGAGTGGATTTATTATTCTGTGAAAAACAATTTGTTTGCTAGAAAATGAAAATTATGCCTTATAAAGGAAGTAGACATTAAAAAAAAACCACATCAGTTACGTAATATTACAGTTGCAAAGGTAGTTTTTTTTTTTTTCAAACTTCAAATTAACCTTTCTCACAATTTGTGAACAGATTACAGTTTATTCTTGGACAATACGGATTTGAACTGCATGGGTCCACTTATATATGGATGTTTTTTCAATAAATATACTGGATTTTTTTTTTGAGAATTGCAGCAATTTTAAAAACTTGTGGACGAACCGGGTAGCCTGGCAATATTTTAATAAAATAAGAAAAAGTTAGGTATGTCATGAATGCATACTATATATATAGATACTAGTCTGTTTTATCATTTGCTATCATAAAATGTACATGAATCTATTATAAAAAGTTAAAAATGATAAAACCTTAAACACACACTTATAGACTACGTGGCGCCATTTGCAGTGGGAAGAAATGTAAATATGTAAACATGCGGTATTAAATCATAGCTGCATGAAATTAACTGTAGTGCATACTGTATTACTGTAATAATTTCCTTAGCCTCTTCCAGTGATTTTAGTGTTGCGAGCACCACTTTAAAATGCCCTGTGATGCTTATCATCTCCCTTTGAGCAGTTTCTTTCTCCAGTAAATTGCGTGGTATCTTGTGGTTCTCACGTATTTTTTGTGATGTTTAGTGCAATACCATTAACTTTGAATAATACCATGAGACCCATACAGAGTGTCATTAGTGACACTAGAAGTGCTCCCAAGAAGCAACGTCATGACATTACAAGAAAAAGTTGAATTGCTTGATGTGTACCGCAGATTGAGGTCTGCAGCTGCAGTTGCCCACCATTTCAAGATAAATTCAACCAGTGTAAGGACTATTGTTGAAAAAGAAATTTGTGACGCTGTTGCTGCAGCTACGTCAGCAGGAGCAAAACCCGTGCACTTTTTGTGAAAAACTTTTATCTTGCCTTAAAAATGCAGCTTTTATGTGGCTGCAGGATTGCTATAAAAATGTGTATCTATAGACTCTAATATTAGGAAAAAGCAAAGTCGTCATATAACAAAGCAGAAGGATAGTCAAGGACCTAAAGCTAGAGAATTTAATGCCGGAAAAGGATGGCTTGATCATTTAAGGAAGAGGTTTGGCTTTTAAAAAATGTCAAAAGTAGAAGCAGCTTCTGTGGACCAGCAGAGACGAGTTCTAGATGCCATTAAGAAAATTATTGAGGAGAAAGGATATGTGCCTGAACAGGTTTTTAATGCAAGGTGCTTTATTCTGGGAAAAAAAAAAAAGTGCCAAAAAGGACATTTAGTAGTAAGGAAGAGAAGCAAGCACTAGTATTTAAGGCAGGAAGGGTTAGGCTAGCTCTACTGTTTTGTGCAAATGCAGTAAGGGCTGCCTCTATGTATAAAACTATTAACCCCCTGAGTGTTGAAGGGAAAAAATAAACAATAACTGCCAGCCTTTTGGTTGTACAAGAAGGCCTAGACAAGAGTTATTTTCCTGGACTAGATACATGGATGTTTTGTCCCTGAAGTCAGGAAGAACATTGCTAGTAAGGGACTGTCTTTTAAAGTTCTTTTTATATTGAACAATGCCCCTAGCTACCCAGAACCCCATGAGTTCAACACGAAAGGTGTTGAAGTGGTCTACTTGCCTTCAAACACAAAGATTCCAGTTTGGCTTCTGGACCTTAAAGGCTCATTTGACATAGTACTGTATGGACAAGATTGTAACACTGTGGAAGAGAACCCCGATAAATAGAATATCATGAAAATCTGGAAGGATTACACCATTGAAGATGCCATCGTTGTTATAGAAAAAAAACATGAAAGCCATCAGACCCAAAACAATTCATTCCTTCTAGAGAAAATTGTATCAGATGTTGTGCATGACTTCACTGGCAAATCAAGGAAATCATGAAAGAGATTGTGGATATGATGAAAAAAAAAGGTGTGGGGTGAAAGGGTTCTAAATATAGATTCCAGAGTTAATAGACACCACACCAGAGGGATTAACAGAAGATAACTTGATGGATGAGTGCTTCTTAAGCAATGACAGACACTGAGGAAGAAGAGGTAAAAGAAGCAGTGCCAGAAAACAGATTGACATTAGACAGTCTGGTAGAGGGTTCCTGTTGTTCAGGACTCCTTTTGACTTCTTTTACCACATGGATCCTTCTATGATAGAGACAATGACACTAAAGCAAATGGTGGAAAAAGGATTGGTACCATACAGAAACCAATTTTTAGAGAAACAAAAAAGCAAAAATGTCAGACAGAAATTACTATGCATTGCCATAAAGTTACACCAGGTGTGCCTGCCTCTTCTGCTTCCTCTCCCATCTCCTCCACCTCTTTTGCCTCTGACATCCAGAGACAGCAAGGCTCTTTTTCCTTCTCCTCAATGTGAAGACGACGAGGATGAAGACCTTTAGGATGAAGACATTTTTGGTGATCCACTTTTACTTAATGACTAGTAAATATATGTTATCTTCTTTATGGTTTCCTTAATAACTTTTCTTTTCTATTGCTTACTTTATTGTGAGAATAGAGTATATGATACATATAACATACAACATTTGTGTTAATTGACTGTTTATGCTATCAGTAAACAGTAGGTTCCTGTCAACAGTAGGCTATTAGTAGTTAAGGTTTTCTGGAGTCAAAAGTTATACTCAGATTTCTGACTACTTGGGGGTCAACCCCTAACCCCTGTGTTATTCAAGCATCAACTGTACTTCACAAGTATTGTATCAAGCAAGGTGTTATGTATGGTGTTTTGGGTAGTAACTTTGAGGTAAAAAGTTCATACTCCAAAAGTTGTGGGAATATTGTGTGATGGTCTGAATTTTCACTATATAATGCTGTAGCCCCATGTAGCTATTTAAATTAAATAAATGAACTTAAAACTCCTCTTCTTCTGAAGAACTAGCCAAAAAGCCTGGTGCTCGAGAATGATTATCACAAAAAGTTCCATTAGATAGTGCTTATGTAGAAAAGGTTTCAATGTAATATTAAAATTATGTGCTTAGTTTGAAGATTCTCCTCATTTTGCTTCTGTTCACTCAGATTTAAAGTGGCCACAGTCCTAAATTTAATGGTGCTGGTCATCATCCTTGTAGAAGTGTTGGAGCCCTTCAGTGTTTCTTAATGTTTTTGTATTTAGGGGGACTGTTTGCAGTTTTTGGCTTTGTTTGTAATTGCCAAATTGCATAATAAATTATATACAAAATATTATAATTTAAGAATTACTTCACTTCCTCATTCTATGTCCGAACTGCATGTATATATGTACCCCCCCCCATATATATGTGTCCGAACAATCTCATACTATATATAGGAACAATTAAGAAAGCTCATTCTGGCCGGGCGCAGTGGCTCTCACCTGTAATTCCAGCACTTTGGGAGGCCGAGGTGGGGGGATTTTCCGAGCTCAGGAGTTCGAGACCAGCCTGGGCAACATGGTGAAACCCCATCTCTACTAAAATACAAAAAATTAGCCAGGTGTGGTGGCATGCGCCTGTAGGCTACTTGAGAGGCTGACACAGGAGAATTGCTTGAACCTGTGAGGTGGAGGTTGCGGTGAGCCGAGATTGTGCCACTGCACTCCAGCCTGGGCGATAGAGCGAGACCCCGTCAAGAAGGAAAGAGAGAAGGAGAGGAAGAGAGGAAGAAAGGAGGGAAGGAAGAGAGGAATGAAGGAAGGAAGGAAGGGAGGGCTCATTTTGTTATTATTGCTGCAACCCAACTTAAAATAGTGTCTTTGGAATGTAATATATGTATATGGGATCAGTCAGCTCACCTTCCAATGACTTCTCTTTATAAGTTGCATATTATTTATGGGCTTGTAAAAAGTCAAATGGCGGGTAGATTATCTTGACTGCCTTTTGTGCCTTAATATTGTTGTATGAACACATATTTTTCCCTGAGGTAATAAAGTAGGTATTAAATAGAAATGTAGATATACTTAATTTGTGTCCAGATATCCTTTTTGTTTTTTTTTTTTTTTTGGAGACAGAGTCTCGGTCTGTCACCAGGCGGAGTACAGTGATGTGATCTTGGCTCACTGCAACCTCTGCCTCCCTGCAACCTCTGCTTCCTGAGTTCAAGTGATTCTACTGCCTCTGCCTCCTGAGTAGCTGGGACTGTAGGTGCGTACCACCATACCCAGCTAATTTATGTATTTTTAGTAGAGACAGGATTTCACCATGTTGGTCAGGATGGTCTTGATCTCCTGACCTCGTGATCCGCCCACCTCGGCCTCCCAAAGTGCTGGGATTACAGGTGGGAGCCATCGCGCCCAGCCCAGAAATCTCTTGATGGAGATTGATATGTGTATTAGGGTTCTCTAGAGGGACAGAACTACAGGATAGATGTATATATAAAGGGGAGTTTATTAAGGAGTATTGACTCACAGGGTCACAAGGTGAGGTCCCACCATAGGCTGTCTGCAAGCTGAAGAGCAAGGAAGCCAGTCTGAGTCCCAAAGGTGAAGAACTTGCAGTCAGGTGTTGGAGGGCAGGAAACATCCCACACAGGTGGAAGGCTGAAAGACTAAGCCAGTCTAGCCTTTTCATGTTCTTCTGCCTGCTTTTATTCTGGCCGTGCTGGGAACTGATGAGATTGTTCCTGTGCAGATTGAGTGTGGGTCGGCCTTTCCCAGTCCACTGACTCAAATGTTAATCTCCTTTGGCAACACCCTCACAGACAACCCAGGAACAATACTTTGCATCCTTCAATCCTGTCAAGTTGACACTCGATATTAACCATCACAAGTCCACCCTTGTCAACTTGAACCCATACACATCTGAAATCATATGTAATCTTCAAATAAAGACAATAATAAGGTAATAATTATGCCGAACATAATACAACTATCCTTCGTACAACCAGAAAGTACCAATCCCCAACCCAAATGCTGTTACATAGAGTTAACAACACTGAAATGCTGATATGAAGTCAATAAATCTTATGTCACATGATAAAGGAAAAAGGAAATAAGATGAAGATATTTTCTTAGCACAAGTGTATACATGCACAAATATGTTCTTAACAAAATAAGAACTCATGACAATTACAGTTCTCATTTCTGCACTTGGTCACATGGCCATAGCTGGAATTGATGACTACCTTCTACTACCCATTCTTTATTTCCTTTGCCTTCTGCAAGCACCTCAGCAGTTTGTGGTTTTTTACCTGGTAGAGTCACCCAGACCATCATTCCTGAGGGTCTGGGCCATTTGTAATCCTGCCTGGATTGGGCTGTTGTAGTTTTCCATTTACCTCAATCACAGGGCATGGTAATACTAAGAGACGCCCTAAGGGATCTCCTGTATTCCATGCATACTTTTCCTTACCTCCATTATGGAGTAGTAGACTGATTTCATCTTGATAGTCCAGGTCATTCACCCAAGCCAACACTGCAATTCCCTTCTTGGCCTGTTGACTTAAAGGTAGCAGTGGCCAGGTGGCAATATTAACTTACAGTTTAATGGAATCATTGTGTCTCCTGGTGACAGGTTCCTTCCTCTGGAACTAAGACCTTTAGACCAGCAGAACATAATGTTATGGGAACAGGAAGCAAAAATTTTGCTAGTGGGTCTCTAGGGATGATGGTGAGTGTTGCCACTTCCACTTCTACCTTTTGATTCCTGGACCTGTGAATCCTGGCTAAGGGAGAAACAGTACCATGTATTGGACACTGATTCAGAGCATACACAGCCCTCTGGAGAACTTTGCCTGAGCCCTGCAAAGTATTATCACCTAGTTGGTGTTGTCATTGCGACTTCAAAAGGCCATTCCACTGTTCTATCAATCCAGCTGCTTCAGGATGATGGGGAACATGGTAAGACCAGTGAATTTCATGAGCATGAGCCCACTGCTGCACTTCTTTAGCCGTAAAGTGAGTACCTTCATCAGAGGCAATGTTGTGTGGAATACCATGACAGTAGATAAGGCATTCCATGAGTCCATGGATGGTAGTCTTGGCAGCAGCATTGCATGCAGGATAGGCAAACCCATATCTGGAGTAAGTGTCTGTTCCAGTAAGGACAAACCACTGCCCTTTCCATGATGGAAGAGGTCGAGTGTAATCAACCTGCCACCAAGTAGCTGGCTGATCACCCCAAGGAATGGTGCCATATTAAGGGCTCAGTGTTGGTCTCTGCTGCTGGCAAATTGGGCACTCAGCAGTGGCCATAGCCAGGTCAGCCTTGGTGAGTGGAAGTCCATGTTGCTGAGCCCATGCGTAACCTCCATTCCTGCCACCATGGCCACTGTGTTCATGGGCCCATTGGGCGATGACAGAGGTGGCTGGGGAAAGAGGCTGAGTGTTGTCCACACAACGAGTGATCCTATCCACTTGATTATTAAAATCCTTTTCTGTGGAGGTCACCTGTTGGTGAACACTCATATGGGATACAAATATCTTCAGTTTTTGACCACTCAGAGAGTTCCATCCACGTACCTCTTCCCCAGATTTCTTTGTCACCAATTTTCCAGTCATGCTTCTTCCAAGTCCCTGACCATCCAGCCAAACCATTGGCCATAGCCTGTGAATCAGTATGTAATCACACATCTGGCCATTTCTCCTTCATGCAAAGTGTACAACCAGGTACACTGGTCGAAGTTCTGCCCACTGGGAAGATTTCCCTTCACTGCTGTCCTTCAGGGATGTCCTAGAAAGGGGGTGTAGTAGGCTGGGGAAGCTGGCTCATGCCTGTAATCCCAGCACTTTGGGAGGCCGAGGTGGGCGGATCACCTGAGGTCAAGAATTCGAGACCAGCCTGACCAACATGGAGAAACCCCATCTCTACTAAAAATACAAAATTAGCCGGGCATATTGGTGCATGCCTGTAATCCCAGCTACTCGGGAGGCTGAGGCAGGAGAATCATTTGAACCCGGGAGGCAGAGGTTGCCGTGAGCTGAGATCGCGCCATTGCACTCCAGCCTTGGCAACAAGAGTAAAACTCTGTCTCAAAAAAAAAAAAAAAAAAAAAAAGAAAGAAAGAAATAAAGGGGCTGTAGGGGCTATAGTGCTGGAGCTGTCCGCCTTCATTTGGTGCCTGCATATGGTGCAGAACCATCTGTGAACCAGGCTCTAGTCTCCTCTTCCTCTGTCAACTGATTGTAGGAAACTCCTGATGAGACCATAGGTGCATGCTGTGGGGGAGAAGGCAGGGTGGCAGGAGTGGAGATGATGGGCATTTGAGCCACTTCCTCATGTAACTTACTTGTGCCTCAGGACCTGCTTGAGCCTGATCACATATATGCCACTTCCATTTGATGATGGAATGCTGCTGGGCCCCAGTTTATGGCTAGATGGGTCAGAAAGTACCCATTTCACAATAGGCAGTTCAGGTTGCGTGGTGACTTGACCCATGGTCAAACATTCAGTTTCCAGTAAAGCCCAGGAACAGGCCAAGAGGCTGTCTCTCAGAAGGAGCGTAGTTATCTGCAGAAGACAGCAGGGCCTTGTTCCAAAATCCTAGAAGCTTCTGCTGTGATTCACCTATGGGTGCCTGCCAAAGGCTCCAAACAGCATCTCTATCTGCCACTGACACCTCAGACACCATTAGATCTGCTGGATCATATGAACCAAGTGACAGAGCAGCTTGCACAGCAGCCTGGACCTGTTGTAGAGTCTTCTTCTATTCTGGACCCCACTCAAAACTAGCAGCCTTTTGGGTCACCTGATAGATGGGCAGAGTAACACACCCAAATGAGGAATGTGTTGCCTCCAAAATCCAAATAGGCCCACTAGGTGTTATGCTTCTTTCTTGGTTGTAGAAGGTTGCCAAATGCAGCTATTTATCCTTTACCTTCCTTAGAGGGAATATCTTGACAAGCCCCACACCACAGGACCCCTAGAAATTTTACTGAGGTAGAAGGTCCCTGAATTTTAGTCGAATTTATTTCCTATCCTCTGGCATACAAATGTTTCATCAGTAAGTCCAGTGTGTTTGCTACTTCATGCTCACAGGATCCAATCAGCATAATGTCATCAATGTAATGGACCAGTGTGATACCTTGTAGAAGGGAAAAGCAATCAAGCTCTCTCAGAACAAGATTATGACACAAAACCAGAGAGTTGATATACCCTTGAGGTAGAACAGTAAAGGTATATTGCTGGCCTTGCCAGCTGAAGGCAAATTGCTTTTGATGGGCCTTATGGACAAGAATAGAGAAAAAGGCATTTGCCAAATCAGTGGCCGCATACCAAGTACCAGGAGATGTGTTAATTTGCTCAAGTAATGAAGCCACATCTGGTATAGCAGCTGCAATTGGAGTCACCACAACTTGGTTAAGCTTATGATAATTCACTGTCGTTCTCCAAGATCCATCTGTCTTCTGCACAGGCCAAATAGGAGAGTTGAACGGGGATGTGGTGGGCATCACCACCCCTGGGTCTTTCAAGTACTCGATGATGGCACTAATCTCTTCAGTCACTCCAGGGATGTGATATTGTTTTTGATTTACTATTTTTCTAGGTAGAGGCAGCTCTACAGGCTTCCATTTGGCCTTTCCTACCATAATAGTCCTCACCCTACCAGTCAGGGAGCCAACGTGGGGGTTCTGCCAGCTGCTAAGTACGTCTGTGCCAATTATGCATTCTGTTACTGGGGAAATGGCCACAGGATGTGTCCGGGGACCCACTGGACCCACTGTAAGTTGGATCTGAGTTAAAACTCCATTAATTACCTGACCTCCATAAGCCCTTACTTAAACTGGAGGACCACAGTGACATGCTGTGTTCCCTGGAATCAATGTCAGCTCAGAGCCAGTGTCTGGTAGTTCCTGAAATGTCTGATCATTTTTTCCTTCCTCCAGTGCACAGTTACCCTGGTAAAAGGCTGGAGGTCTCCCTGGGGAAGGATAGGAGAAAGAGTAACAGCATAAATTGTCGATAGTGTAGTGGGGTCCTTTCTCAAGAGCCCCCAGCTTTCCCTTCATTCAATGGGTGCTGGGTCTGTAAACTGTCTCAGGTCTGGAAATTGATTGAAGGGCTGTGATTCTCTGTTTTAATAATTCAAATTAGTCTTTTTTCCACTCAACCTGGAAGTTTTCTGCTTATATAAATTAAGAATGCAGTAGGCGTCCTATCAATTTCACTTCTAGGAACACTGTGATTAATTAGCCAATGCCAGAGCTCTACGTGAGTCAGGCTATTCCGATTGCTGCTTTGCCTCTGCTGTCCATTATGGTAGCTATGCCCACCTTGCCTTTGATGGTTGAGTGCTGCCCTTGGCTCCTGCCACCTTAGTATCTAATTATTCCAGTTGCACAGATGGAGGGCTGAAAGGCTAAGCCAGTCTAGTCTTTTCATGTTCTTCTACCTGCTTTTATTCTGGCTGTGCTGGCAGCTTATGAGATTGTGCCCACTCAGATTGAGGGTGGTCTGCCTTTCCCAGTCCACTGATTCAAATGTTAATCTCCTTTGGCAGTACCCACACAGACACACCCAGAATAATGCTTTGCATCCTTCAATCCAATAAAGTTAACACTCAGTATTAACCATCACAATATGTATATTCTCCCATTCCTTAAAGGGCTCTTCACCAGTTTTTATTGAATATGTGTTATAAATCACAGTGAGCATGGAATCAGACATAATTAAATCCTAAAATTATTTACAATAACAGCAGATAATGAAAGAAACCTGACTGGTGGCATGGGTAGTTGGAGGGTTGGAGCTTGTCTGATGTGAAGAACTTATTGCCTCACCATGCTGTTTCCCCTCCTTGGGAATTTATCATTCTGGAGACTTTGGTTACCATTTGGGTTGTACACATCTCTGAAGTTAGTGTTAAACCTGTGCATCTGGGAACACAAGGATACCAGACGCTCATTTATCTGATAAAGACAACCTGGTTCCTCTTAACATAAATGATCTCATTCTCAAATAAATTGTGTGACTATACCTTAAAGTGGTCATCCTACTCTAATATTTTAACCAATCTCAGCCTTTACAAAATGAAACACAAAGAGCAACACCTTTTATCACTGTAGCATGGAGATTTGCTTATTTCAAACTTAATTAGAAATGCCATCTGTAATAGCTATTAATAACTTTATTAGCAAACTCCACCATTGCCTACTAAGGGTGATTTTGGGAACCAGCCATGATAATCTCCAGCACCTTGTGACACTGCACAAGTTACTTAACTTCCATAAATCTCCATTTTCTTATTAGCACAACTGAAATAAAAGTATCTACCTCATAAGGTTGTTGAGTGGTTTGGATGAGATAATGCATCTATAATAGGATGCTAAATTAACATTCTTCATATCTTTATTTTGCCTGTGGTACTAATACCATATATGTTTATTATCATAATTATGAGATAATTATCAATATCTATAATATACAAAGAAAAGGGAAAAGAAACAGTTTTGTATGTTATGAGCCCCAATAGAGTGAGAAGGCAAAGGATGATCTGGGAAGAAATTTTTTTTTAGAGTAATTCAAGTTTTCTTGATATTTAGTTTAAATGACAATTGAAAATCTAACACTTTGTGGAAGATGTGTTCTATAGGAATACATTTAACCGAGGAGGTGAAAGATCTCTGCAAGGAGAACTACAAAACACCGATGAAATAAATAGATGACACAAACAAATGGAGAAACATTTCATGCTCGTGTAGCAGAAGAATCAATATGGTTAAAATGACCATAACCATCCAAAGCAATATACAAATTCAATGCAATTCCTATGAAATTACCAATGTCATTCTTCACAGAATTAGATTTGTTAAAAAGAATAGTATGTCATTTTTGAATCTCAGGTGGGGGAAGATTATCCTCATGGAATAAAATTTAAAAGGACAGTTTATCAGTTACACATATAAGTTAAACATTTAACACAGTACCTGGCATATGGTAACTACTTAATATATGTGTACTATTATTGTCATAGATATATACTACTATTTGTATTTTATGCTGAGTTTGTTCTTATGTTTGTTAAAAAAAGGTATTTCACATTTTCTATGTATTTACTGAGGTTAAAAAAAATATGCTTCCTACTCTAATGGAGTTTATATTCTATTGAGAAAAATAAACAATAAGGAATAATTACACAATAAAATACAACTTGATAAATGCCTCAAAGGGACATTTCTCCTTGATGTATTGATATAATATTCCTATGTGTTTTGCTGTCTCACAAAACCAAAAGGTAACCTGGTCAAAATGGCATCTGAAAGATAACACAGCCTTTATAGTCAATATAATCTTTCAAATACAGTTTAATTCCTTTGAATACACATGCAAAGCACACACACACACTGATTAACAATGGGCTCTATCTGGTGGGATTATCTAAAAATTGAGATTAACAACCACGTTTTACAAGTGATTGCCATTCATACTGCTATTGCCAGGTGAGAAAAATTGGGCATCTCTTGTCTTTTAGCTTATAAATACTAACTAATATAAATCTCTCTAAATGGAAGAAAAAGTGAACTAAATCCTGCTTATAAAATAACAGTTAAAGTTAAATGAAATATGTAATATAATTCATTGAAAGAAGGTCTACTGAAGATTCATACTGAAGATTCGTGCCTGTGAGGAATTGAGTAAAGAGGCCTAAGAGTAAACAGTGAAATTAAGGTGCTGTCTTGATCCAAGGGAAAGCCACTTATACTTAAGGAACTTAATATATAAATCCTAAGGCAGGGAGTTGGAAGAAGAGCCTGGCATAGGATAACAGGATTTCCTTCCTTCTTTATCTTCTCCATGCTGACTTTCAGTAAACTGAGAAAGTACAACACAAATTAATTATGCCTTTGAATTTCTACAGTGCTTTGTGAATGGCTTCAGATGTCAACCTATATAACAAGGGGCAGTTGGTTGGTTTATAGCTGTTACTGCTAGGCAGTGTTTAGCAGTCTTTTGAGGAGCATAAGGTTTCTGGATTAGTCTAAGAAATGATACATGCAAGAATATCAAACAATGAGTAGCTGAATAAGACTGAGGACCCTTAATAACAGATGTGACTTTTACCCCTAAATATAGAGATGGTGTTAGGGTACCAAGTGTAGATTGTGGCAATATGAATAATTGCCTGTTAAGTTTGGGTACCTGACAATCATTGGAGAATCGGGAACTCTTATAAGATGATACATCCTTTAAATGTAACTTATGCAATGCTTTATATGGTCACTTAGTTCTTAAACTAAACGTACTGGGAGTATCCTCTTTGGGCTTCAGCAGTATAATGCATACTGCTCACATAGTGCTTATAATTTTGACTAGAAGTGTATTAGTCCATTCTCTTACTGCTATAAAGAACTGCCTAAGACTGAGTAATTTATAAAGAGGTTTAGTTGACTCATAATTCTGCATGGCTGGGGAGGCCTCAAGAAACTTAGAATCATGATGGAAGGGGAAGAGGCACGTCTTACATGACGGCAGGTGAGAGAGAGCGAGAGTATGAAGGAGGAACTGTCAGATACTTATAAAACCATCAGATCTTGTGAGAACTCACTATCATGAGAACAGCATGGGGGACACCGCCCCCATGATCCATCACCTCCCACTGGGTCTCTCTATTGATACATGTGGATCATGGGGATTACAATTCAAGATGAGATTTGGGTGGGGACACAAAGCCTAACCATATCAAGAAGTTATTGGTTTATGTATATTTCCTGGGAGCAAAGAATTCATTTTGTGTTCTTCTCATAGTCCTGGTATTTTTTCTTGTAACATTAAGAGGGTTTGCAATTCAAAAATTTGGCTATTATTTATTCATGTAATAATTTATTTAATAAATATCTAAAAAGAACCTACTGCATTATGAGTGCACTCTTCTAGCTAGTCAATTGAAAATGCCATGAATGCAAGGACCATGGCTATTTCCTCTGTCTGTCTGTCTGTCTGTCTGTCTGTCTATCTATCTATCTATCTATCTATCTATCTATCTATCTATCTAACTGGGGACTTTATAGAGAGACAGGATGCTTCAAAACAAAATCAGGCTCTGTGGTAAGAATTTAGCTACATATATTTTAAAAATTGTAACCTTAAAACAATTACAACTTAACCCATTTCCCGTTTGCCCTAAAAGTACTGTGCTGGCAGCCAGCTGCACTTTTTTTTTTTTTTTTTTTTTTTACCTATACAGGAAATGGGTTAAAAGGAGCTTTCTCTTCAAATGGCTGTCAAATCTCAGCATTTGTTTTTCTTACTCCATGAGACTCCCATAAAATACTCATAAAAGTGATGAGAAAAGGTGAACTATGAGTAGATGAGATGTTTATAGCAGATGGAAAGGCGAATATAGCGTGCTTTTCCACATAAGAGCTTGTCAGGTAGGCATGAGGGTGTGGTGGTGGAGTAGAGAGCTATTTGCCATAAAGCATCTTTGTGAAGACTTCAGGCTCAGAGACATCAGATTCAATGGAGCTGAAGTGAGAGGGAGCACTTCAAGTTGGCATGTTCATTCAGTATTTGTTGACACACACTTTTACATCACTCTTCTTACCATTCCCCCTTCCTCTTTATTGCCTTGCACACACTAAAGGCCCAAGATTTAAATCCTAGGTAAATATCAAGAAGCAATTCAGCACACTGCTTGAGCAAAAATCAGATACTAGGAGTAGGTGCCTCCCCACTGTGGAACCCCCATCCATACCATCCTAAAGTTGAGCTTCACACCTCATTCATCCTAAAGTGAAAGCTATCCATTCACATACTCTATTCACAAATGTCAGAGATACACTTAGTATCTACCAGAGCAGCCTATCTAAAATGATCTACGTGGAAACACTCACCAGCCACACAGGAAAATCCACTGATTGGTTGCTCATTTTAAATGTGAATGAACAACAAAACCCAAAAGATAGGAAGAACCACGATAAACCAAGACACATTGACCCTGGAAATAAGAGATCATTCAAGAGCAGAAGAATGCTTAAAAAACAAACAGAACAAAATGCCACACATGTTGCTCAAGTTTAGTATAATACTTCCTGAAATGTCTAACCCACAGGGAAATTTGTTCACCCAAACACACAAATATTCTGTGTAAAATACTTTTTTAAGTATTAAAGTTATTAACAGAACTCAAGATAAAGAGAAAGCTCTGGGTACCAAAATTTATAGCATTGAAGTGCTTCGACAAAGGTGACTGGACAAAATACAAGATTATATGACCAAACTCAGTATCACACACTTGCCTACAGGTATGGTATCTGGGCAATTCTCCAAGCCAGGAAATAAAATAACCTGATCTTAGGCATTAAAACAAAAGCTGAAGTAAAAGTGATGAATTTTGAAACTACAAAGAGGCAACCATTAAACTTACCTATGAGGAAGCCCATACAGCCATGGGGATGCCCAAAGATGAGTACAAAGATTATAATTGTGAAACATAAGAGGAACTCCAACACCATTAAAGATGCCAAGGAAAAGGGGAAAAATGTATAAGCTTTTGGAGGTTAAAAAATAAACCAGGTCATATACAAAAAAGAGTTAACTGCCTTTATAGTTCTCATCAGCAATGATGAACTACAGACTGAACATAAACTACAGTTGATGAATGCCTTCAAAATTTTGAGATTTCTCTAAAAACAAAATAGAACAACCATATAATCCAGTAGTCCCACTACTGGTATTTATCCAAAGGAAAGGAAATCAGAATATCAAAGGGATACCTGCGCTCACATGTTTATTGAAGCACTATTCACAATAGCAAAGATACTGAATCAAACTAAGTGGCCATCGGTGCATGAATGGGTAAAGAAAATGTGCATATACGCAATTAAATACGATTCGCCCATATGAAAGAATGAAATCCTCTTATTTGCAGTAACATGGATGGAACTGGAGGTTATTATGAAATAATAATCATCATCATCATCTGCAGTAACATGGATGGAACTGGAGGTTAAGTGAAATAAGTCAGGCAAAGAAAGCAAACATCATATACTCTCACTCATATGTGGGAGCTAATAGAATTGATTTCATGGAGGTAGACAGTAGAGTGATAATTACCAGACATGGGGAAGGGTGTGTTGAGGGGAGAGGGATGGAAAAGAGAGGCTGCTCAATGGGTACAAACTTACAGTTAGATAGAAGGAATAAGATCTAATGTTTGATAGTAGAGTAAGTATACTATAGTTAACAACAATATATTTCATATTTCAGAATAGCTAGAAGAGAGGACTTAAAATGTTCCCAACATATAGAAACAATAAATACGTGAGATAATGGATATCTTAAATACCCTGACTTGGTCATTACATATGCTATGGGTGTAACAAAATAGTACATGTACCTCATAATTATGTATAAATATTATGTGTTAATAAAAATATACAGAATCAATTATGAGCAAAGTAATTTTGAAACCGCAATTCTGTATTCATCTAAACTATCAACTTCAAAGTTCTCAGAAAACCTGCATTTTATTCTCGTTCTGAGAATGTTATTTAAGGATATATGCACCCAAGAAAACTGAATAATAATCATGTAGTCAAGACAAATAATAAACAAGAAATAGTAGAACTAACCCAGAAATTCAATGCAAGGAAGTCCCTGAATGACATGTGCAAAAAGAAGTTTGTTCAGATTAAAACTGGAGGTCATTTCCAGGAGGCTCCAATAAGAAAGTCTGTATTAAGAAGAAGGTCATGGATTCCAAGAAATATCCAATGACTAATGAATGAGTTACATGACATCATAGACTTGTTAAAGAAAGGCTGTGTCTTCTTTCAACAATAAAAAGGGGCAATTAAAAATTGATAAAAAATAAACTTAAAAAAATCCTTGTCCAAATGTGAAGCAAGAAAAAATATGATGTAATTTAAGTAACTGATACAGCCAATTGGGCCATAAACTTAACTACATTTTTCTCTGAGTGCCTGACAGTGCATCTATAGAAAAGGAAATTTAACCCTTGCACATTATTGCCATTTTCTTGGTTCTAGGGTATTTAGATGTAATGATATTGTAAAAGTTGCTTATTGGTTTTCAATTTTTAGAATAAACCCTTTTTTTCATTTAATACTTAAAAATGTCAACACAATTGAATATGAATACTGTGTCTGCATGAAAATAAAGGTAAAACTGACAGATATGGGAGTTGAAATGCTCTGGAGAGGGCAGAGGTGGAGGGATAGGCAGGAATATGAATAGTCTTATGTAAAATATTGAAGAGTTAAAAGATTGTGTTCAGATTTTAGGACAAGAAATAGAGGATTAAGTATGTTTAAATATAGAATTGTAGAAAGATAAAACTATTGGCTTCTGAAACCAAAATGATGTAAATAAAGTGAGCATCTTGTCTTTAATCAGTTTTAACAATAGGTAATATTTTAAAATTAGAAACCAGTAGATAATATTACAAATAAAGCAGTCAACATATAGAGACAAATTATTTTAAAATTAGGATGTTTTCCATTAGAACGACTAAGAAAATATCTAAAAATAAGGTTGGGAAGTAGAATTGATACTGTGGGAAGAAGGGATATGAGGAGAAATCAATTACTATAGTTATGCATGGGAAGCTCTTATTTATTTTAATTTTTATCATATGCATGCATTAATTTGATATCCTTTAAAATAAGAAAATAAAAAATTCTATCTAATATTTCTTTTATTAAATTGCAAGTAACCAATTTTGGTGTCTTCTGGGGCCTTCCATAATTGGTATTTTAGCAATCAGAACATCAAAGAGCAGTGGGTTCACATGGAACTGTAAAAGCCTTGAGTTCTCTTTTTATACTAGTTTCTCTTTCCTTTCTCTTCATATATTAATTTTTCATTGAGCTTCCACTATATGACAGGCACTTACCAGGTTTGGGGAGTATATTGCTTAGAGCATAGTCCCTGACCTCAGTGGCCCTCTCAAAAGAGTCCACCTGATTTCTTTTGTGCTTTTCCCTTTTATCTACATCTGCCCTGGGCCCTTTCCCACACAAGGTGAGGAACACACTTTCAGAGACCTCTACCTCCACTTCTTAACCTTCAATGAAAGGCTTTCTGTAGTTTCTTCTTTAATTACTCCAAAAGAGGAAAGAAATTGCCATAGGGAAACATTTGGACAATTGGACAGGTTGACATTTAGCACTAATGCTCAACAGTTTTACCTGGCCTGACTTTTTCTGGTCTTATGAAGGATAGAGATGAGAATAGGCATAAAACAGAAGAGAGACTACTGTCTGCCATTGATGAGGGAAGGATAAACAATTCTCCCTCTTAACTACCGAAAAGGAGACATATGACTTGGGGCATTAGATGCTTCAGTTTAATGCCTTAGAGAAAGTCTGAGAACTAATTTCTTCTTACTGTGGATATGGAGTGGACATTAGCCGTTTTAATCATCTGTGCAATTTAAATCTTGAGAAGAGATTGAAAGGACACAATTGTGTGTGTGTGTGTGTGTGTGTGTGTGTGTGTGTGTGTGTGGTCTGAGCTAACATGCCAATTTCTTATTTCTAAGAATATGCATTAAGAAAAATTTGGAAATCATGGTGAGAGGCTGGATTTTCAGTTTCAATTTCTGCCTAATATATAAACGACCAAAAAAAGTCTCCTTGATTCTAAAACAGGAGTTATGACGAAACATAAGTTCTATAAAAAGGAAAGAAATTAAGTTGGTAAATCTAACATGATTATACCCAATAATATTTCTTCCAAATTAGTCCATGGCTAGAAATATTAGTCATTTAGTTGCATTTGAAAGAAATTTCTATTCTTGAATCAGGAGAAACTAAATTAACATCAGGGCTACATTTTCAAAAATAATCATACAAATTTTATGTGTAATATATGCTTACAACTTTAATATAGAACTTTTAAAAAGATGTGTAACTAAAGGTCATTTTAAGGGGAAACATTTACGCTTCAAAGTTCATTTAGAAAAAGATTTGATATTGAAGATTTCAGTATCACCTGTTTTATCTCAGTAAGTTGTTCTTTGGTATCCTTTTAAAATGCAGAATCATACTGCAGTGTTTTTGACCCATTTTATCCAGTGAATGAAAAGGTTGTCCTTATTTTGGTTCAATTTAACAGAATAACAGAAATCTCAGACCTGGAAGAGGGTTCAGAAGCAAACAAAAATCTCTCCTTTCACACACTGTTGATCAGAGAAGGAAACATGGGTATTGAGATCTGCCGAATTTCTTGCCTTTGAAACCCTTTATTATATGCAGATGGAAGAGCTTGAAACTCATCTTGTACCCTCTGAGGACAAGCATTTACTCAGTCCTTCTACTTATTCTGTCTGCAGTCTGGGCTCAACCCTAACAATCTAAATTTTAACATATTCCTGAGTCCACATTCCAGAGTTGTGCCTTGTTTTGGTTATTAGATCCATTTCCCTAGATCTTGTGACCAAATCTGATTCTGTTGCCCAAGTCTTCAGAACTGAAGCTTTTGCTTGCCGTCACCAGTCCCTGTCCAGGAGTTAGATAGAAGCTGGATCCCTAGATACTGACTGATGTCAACTACTGTATTGGAAATCCAGATACTACCTTCCGTATCATACTTATTCATACCTCGTGGGGCATTTCTGATTCTTACTGCTATTCTAGGTTTATTGTATTTAGCCATCTTCTTTGTATGTCTTGTTTTAACTACTGAGCTAAACTTGTGCAATTGTGTCTTTTTTAAAAGCACATGTTTCATCCCAAAGGGCAGATCTAATTTTAATTCCAGTAAACCCTTCTGAGGCTGCTGTGTACCACATGAGATAATAATTGTATTAGTTTCCAAGGGTTACCATAACAGGATACTGCAGACTGGGTGTCCTAAACAACAGGAATTTATTTTCTCATAGTTCTGGAGGCTGGAAGTCTGAGATCAGGGTGTTGGCAGGGTTGGTTCCTTTGGAGGAACCTGGGGAAGGATCTGTTCCAGGCCTTTCTCCCTGGTTTATGGATGACTGACTTTTCTCTGTATCTTCTCATGATCTTCTCTCTCTGCATGTTGTGTCCAAATTTCCTCTTCTTGTAAGGATACCAGTCATACTGGATTAGGAACCTCCCTAATGGCCTCATTTTGGTTTAATTGCATCTTTAAAGACTCTGTCTCCAAATATAGTTACAGTCGGAGGTAATAGGGGTTAGGACATCAACAGATGAGTTTGGAGGGGGACATAATTCAACTCAATGATAATATTCATAGGAGGAAAGAGACCAAGTCCTGTAGATGTTTGTGTACGTACATGATAAATACTGATTTTGGCATTTGTCTCCATGGTTGTCTATGAAAAACATGATCATGAAGAACCTTATTGAGCAGTTGCTTTATGAAGAGGGTTTAATATCCCAGATCATGAGGACATAAATAAGTTTTAGGCATAGCCAGAGACTGATAACCCAGGACATGTTACTTAACCCCTAAGTCTCAAGTTCAATCGTTTTAGAACCTGGAAATAATAATTGCACATACCGCATGGAGTAGTTGTAAAGATTAAATGAGATTATTCATGGCTCTGTGTGCCTTGTACCTGATACATAGCAAGTACTCCATAAATATTCTTTCTTTCTTTTTTTATTTTTTATTTTTTGAGACGGAGTCTCCCTCTGTCGCCAGGCCGGAGTGTGGTGGTGCGATCCCGACTCACTGCATGCTCCGTCTCCTAGGTTCACGCCATTCTCCTGCTTCAGCCTTCCGAGTAGCTGGGATTACAGGTGCCTGCCACCACATTTGGCTAATTTTTTGTATTTTTAATAGAGGCGGGGTTTCACCGTGTTAGCCAGGATGGTCTCGATCTCCTGACCCTGTGATCCGCCCACCTCAGCCTCCCAAAGTGCTGGGATTACAGGCATGAGCCACCGCGCCTGGCCCCATAAATATTATTTCTATGGCACCAAATAGGATGCATAGATAATATATTTTACAGTAGTGAGGAAGGAAGCTTGAATGCCGACGTTTAATATTAGAGCTGGGGTAGATTTTGGGCAGAAAGAACCAATGTGTCATTCTAGTGAGGGAGACTGGCATGAAGAAGGAAAGACAAGCATACACACTGTTCTAGGAAGAATAAGCTTATAGACCTGTAGAGAGAAAAGAGCCCAGAGGTTACAGGTTGAGGGAACAGGTTATCCTAGTTCTGTCAAGAACTGGGTTACCTTGGGTAACAGAAGGAGAGGGTTGGATTAGATCAGTGATCCTAAAATTTTTATGTACTTTTAAAATTATCTGAGGAGCATTTAAAAATATGTGCTGGAGTAGCACCAAAAACTAATCTGGTTTAGTCAATGTGGAGCAGTGCCCCAAATTTATTTTAATGTGTAGTTGAATAAGTTCAGTGCACGTTGCAATCACTTGAGGGAGGAGATTTTTGAAAAACCTGCTAGTATTCAGGTCCCAAGCCCAGAGATTTTGATTTTAGTGTTATGGGTTGGGGCCTGAGTATTGTTATTGGCAAATCTCAAACCTGACCCTTCATAAATTATGAAGTGCTAGTCCTCCCATGAGAATTTTTTTTTGGTATCATAAGATGAGCTTCCAATAAAAAGTTGAATATTAATTTGAAGACACATTTGACTGGGAAAGTATCCAAAATGATTTAACTTATGTTTGGGGAATAAAATACAGAGTTATATGAATCCAGGTATGTTTTGGAACTTCTTAACCTTCACTTTCTGACTGACTAGCAGGTGTGAATTCTGCCTGGGATAGCTCTGTAGTGCTTGGGAGCACATAAATGAGGGAGGGATTAAGGAACAGAAGAGTGACTTTGCATATATTTGGAACAGAAACTGAAAGTCCTGTCTACTTTGAGATAATAAATGGGAAAGTATTGCTCAGAGTCTTGAGGATCATACAAAGGTAGTAATTGTAACTGTCCTAACACTTTGTCATTCCAGTCGGTGCGGTGGTGAAACTCCTGTAGATTAGGTTATCATTATATACAGAATGAAATCCAAAAAACTTCAGCCATGCCCTTCAATCTTCACAGTGTCTTGTGTCTTGACACAATCACCTCTAGAACTCTGTTCTTCCTGACTGATTAGCATTTATTTCCTGTATTTCACACTTACCATACACTTTTCCATCTCCATTATTTGGCAGTGTTCTGCCTTTTTAAAATGTCCTCTATCTCTAGCTGTGATTTAAAACTAAAATCAAATTTCGCCTTCTCCTCAATCGTTCTCTTTGAATACCCAATTTTATTCTTAATGTTTGCATGTGCTTTCCTAAGGGAAATTAATTATAAGCATAAACGGAGAAATCATCTTTCTACATTTATATATTGTTTTATGGTTACTAAAGTGATAGTTTATAGTTACATACATGGAATTATAGTTGTTGGATTAAGTTGTACATTGTTGAATGTTTCTTTTTTAATTTATAGAAGTAATTAGAAAGTAAGAAACTAATAAATTTTATAATTTCATAGGGAGAAAAGATGTATATAAAAGTACTGCTGAGGATGATTGGGTTTGAAAAAGGGTAACTTTTCTTGTCTTCTAATTCTTGGCATATCTGTTAAGTTTATTGATTTAATGGCCATGCATTTGGGAAAAATTACTTAGGTCAATAAGTACCTTTTCATTGGATGACAAGACATTATTTACTTTGTTTCTTGTGTAATTACAGAAACTTCTCCTAATTACAGAGAAGTAATTACTTCTGTGTTCTCAGGATTCTGTTTCTTTAATTATTTTAGTAATTTGGACATTAATTTTTGAACTACAAAGAGGTAACTGTAATATTCCTACCATTAGACATTAATTTAGTGTGTATTCTAATGACAGAGAAAAAAAATTATGCATGGAAAAAACTACCTGAGTTATTAAGAGAGAATTGCCATTAGATTTAAGAAAGAAATAAAGCAACATCAATAACATCAATAATAATAGTGAAACACAAAACAGGTTAGGAAGCTCAGACTGACAGCTAAGTGATCAGAAGGGAAATTTTAATTGGCATAATCCCCAGAAAGAATAAGAGCTCTAAATTAGGTGTAGGGGCTGCCAAGACAGCTCTTTCTTTGGGAAACCATGAGTTAGGTTAGAAATTAGGGACTTTGGGGAAACTGAGTTGAATTGAGCATGAGATTGTATATTTCACAATTAATGGGGGAACTAGAATAGTGATTAGAGTGGTTCAAACTCAACCAAGCCTGGTGTTTGGAACTGAAATCATGTAAGAACTTTTCTGTAACCCAAATAATGAGTCAACTTGTCAAATTTATTTAATAGCTGCAATCATTACCTCTAACTGACTTATTTATAAATTTAGTTTATAAAATGTGATTGCATCACAAAGAGTATCTTGGCATAATAAATACTTTATGATAGATATGGACAAGTATTTTTTATGATAACAAACTCTATAATATAAACACTGGAAGTCAGCTTAGTTTCCAACAATAAGATACTGGTTAAAAAGCACTGATTATAGGAATATTGTGTAGCCATGAAAATCTTGTTATATATTGTTATATTTAATGACATAAAAATATATTTGTGATACTTGAGGGAAAGGGATTGCTAATTATATCTATACTATATGGTATGTTTTTGAAAAAATGATTACATATGTGCACAGAGAACTAACAGGATATATACCAAAATGAATATACTTATATTTTTTTCTGTTGTCTCTTTCTGTGTGTGTTTTTAAACCCCTACCATAGTTATATTCTCTTGTATTTGTATTTGCTCAGGTTTTCTATTTACCATTCATTCCTTGGCTTTGCTTTTTTACCTTTCATGCATTCTTAAAGACCGATCAAGTTGTTTTCTGTGTCTCTTCATTTCTTTTAGAGCTTAAGGCATTATGCATTTCATTTCTATCATTTAATGCAAACCTTCACTTTTCAATGAAGTACTTAATTTTAGAACTTTTTAGTAAAATCTAAAATTAAATCATATGTCTATGAAAGAAGACTTTAGCATGCTTTCACTTTTCTCAAAAATTTACTGTCTTTATTCTATCTTCTATGATATGATTTGGAATTTAAGTTCAACTTGTGTTTCAATATTCACATAAATAGATATCAGTGTTATTATTATAGTTAATACTTAATTGCCAACATGTTTAAATGATTTCATTTTTCTTGGTTACTTCTCATTTTCCCTTTCTGCTTTATTTTTCTTCTTGTCAGGGCATGCTTTGTTAATTTTTTCAGTGAGCGTCTGGGGGTAGTAAGAAGCCATTAGTTTGTTATCATTTCTTGAATGATATTCTAGTTGCGTATATAGCATAGACTTTTTTCTTCCATAGTTTCCAGTACCTTGATCCCAAGTCACAGGTATAGCACATTGCAAGTGGCAACCCTGGGAGAGATTGACTGGGGTTACTTTTAGCCTAATTAATGGGAGGAGCTTTAGGCCTGGACTGACTTCTCTACTGGCAGGACAGGACATTGCAGCGACAGTAGCCTCTACCCATCTGCACTACCTTTCAGTGGGTTGGGTGGCTTCAGCCACTTTCACCACTTTGCATTTTAAAGATTCCAGTTCTGCATTTATCTTATTTACGTTTTGTAGTATGACTATTTATTTTTTGAAATAAATATTGTTTTAGAGGTAGAAGACTATGTGTATTTATATCTTGACACAAAGTTCATAAATATTTTTAAGAAAAATTTTTGAAAATTATTTGAGAGAGGAATAAACAAGCAAGAAGTAGTCTGGTCCTATAGGCAAGGTATAACCCAGAGAAAGTACTGGCCTTTATGTTATTTGGTTAGAAATTCAGCTGAGATAGAATTTAGGGAGCCTTCTATTCTGGAAAACCACTGGTTTTGATTTGTTTTGTTTAATTCCTAATAGATTTTCAAAATACTTCTCACATAGAGAGGACAACAGGTGGATACATATAAATAGAAAAGTAGAATGATGTGTAGAAATAATAGAGTGAGACATACGCTCCTGTGTAGCATTTAATTACTTAGCTTGTACATCATGTAAATGATCTTGACTCTACTTGACTATGTGCTTTCTTTAATAACTTGGTATTTTAAGTCTTATCATATTTTGCCTAACATTTCTACTTAGCTTCTTTAATTTGTTGATTTTTTTTGTGGAGAAATAGCTGATGTCCATGACTATACCTAGGAAGCAACTAGGTGTGTGGGCAATAGGATGATAAAGAAGGCACTATTACTTCAGATAGCATTACTTGAACTGTAGTTCTGTGAGGACAAATAAATATATCCATTTAATGGCGTTTGAACTGACAAATCAGATTTAAAACTGTCAACATATCAAAGGGAAGAAACTAACTAGGACACCACTTGAAATTACTTCCAGTTTACACTAACATTGCTGCCAAGGCTGAGGAAATTAAACGTAGGCAAAACAAACAAACAAACAAACAAAAAAATTCTCCCCAAACCCCCCAAATTCCACTGAGAAAAACCTATAAATGATTCATAAAGATAACATTTTTTAAGGCATAGTGGAGTTTGTGTGAAAGAGGAATCTCTAATCTCCAAGTGCCAGAAATGAAATGAGAAAATTAGATCTGTAAGTATGTGAGGTGATACTTCAGCAATATGCCTGGATAAATCAAGACTTATAATGGTTGGGGGCTTGCATTTTTAAACCACACAGGGCCATGAGAATGTTTCCCTCCTAAGAAGCGGAAATGGCAATTTTTTAACCTCTTTTTTAACCTTGCATCTTTATACAAGACCAGGACACTCAGAGTGCTTTCTCCGTAATGAAAGAAGGATGAATATAAAACTTGACACAGCTTAGGTAAATGAGTAATCTTATTTCTGTCTGAACCGTGGGTGAAAACAAAAACAAGCAACAAGTCTGTTGTAATAAATTGAAGTCTCATTCTGCTCATCTGTTCATTAAGTGGATTTTATAGACTGAATTTATATTGCCTACATTGTAATGTAGTCCCGCATCAAGAAAATAACATTAAATTTGGTCCTTGGTCAGTGATACCTCATTCTATAATACCTTTCCCATCCAGTTTTAAGCTCAAAACTTTTTCCATTCCCGTAAGATCAATTATTAAAGTTACAAAGAACAGGCAAATGCTAAGAAATGGAGCTCAGAGAGCTAAAATGTTGGCTTTGTAAATTGGAATCCTTTTTCTTCTGACATGTTTTTTGTCTTTTACAGAGAAATACAGTAATGACTAAAACATTTGTGCCAAGCTTGAGGCTGAAATTGTCAACTTCTGATTATCCTTTAAATATCTAATCACCATGAAAAGCACTCAAAAGGTCTCCTGTAGGTAATGTGTAAGATCAGTCAGAAGTTAAAAATTGGAGGAGAGACATTCCATGGTAGTAGGTGAATCAGGTTTATTAATTAGGCACACTACAAACTTACCTTTTATATCTTTCTTGATGTTCCTTTCCTACCCAAACGTCTTCTCTCCAAATATCTTAAAAATATTATCTCTGAAAAATTCCCTACTCAACCCTGGCTCACATCCTGGCACTGTCTGACATTTTGACATGTTTGCTATTCTGATCCCCTTTATTCCATATCCAGTAATTGCCTCAATTACTCCATATGGTTGGGTCAGGGTCTGGAAGCTTTAGGGCTCTGTAGCTTAGAAGACATCACAAATCAAAGCAAATGATACAGACCAGTTCTCATTGAAGATCTCTTTTAAACATGCTTTTCCTTTAACACACTGTAAAACAAAGAATAGAATTCATTGGATACTCATATTCATTTATATTATAAATGGCATCATTACTACACTTTGAAAACAATAATTTACATACCTGTAACTTAATTTGAATTTGAATTTCAGAGCAATTTGGGATCCAGAGCCCCCTTGATAGATAGCGTCAAATACTTTGAATCTTTTTTAACCTTTTAAATTTTTCCAGTTAGGCATTTTATAACCGGAGTTGCTTCTAATGTCCAAATCACCCTTGTGGGAAGCCTGTAAATAGTGATATAAGAGGCATTGAAGCCTTATAACTCAGGAAATTGTAATTATGAAAGAGGTTCTCAATCCTGGAAGAAATTGAACTAAATATATTAATTTCCCACATCCTAACATTTTGAGAATTCTTATGTCTTCGAAACTAATTTTGCCTTCTATCTTGTTATTGTTACTCCACAAATTGTGTCTTGAATATTGATTTATTCTGTTTTTAGCTGTATGCAATCGGAATTTACTGGGCTATGTCAGTTGGACTTTGTCTTGAAATATTTTAAGTTTCAGCAAAAGAAATAAACACAGGCCGGGCACGGTGGCTCATGCCTGTAATCCCAGCACTTTGGAAGGCCAAGGCGGATGGATCACGAGGTTAGGAGATTGAGACCATCCTGGCTAACACGATGAAACCCTGTCTCTACTAAAAATACAAAAAATTAGCTGGATGTGGTGGCAGGCGCCTGTAGTCCCAGCTACTCGGGAGGCTGAGGCAGGAGAATGGCATGAACCCGGGAGGCGGAGCTTGCGGTGAGCTGAGATCACGCCACTGCACTCCAGTCTGGGCGACAGAGTGAGACTCTGTCTCAAAAAAAAAAAAAAAAAAAAAAAAGGGAAAGAAACATAAAACAAAAAACATTTGCCTCCATATGATTATGTAGAGTTGAATAAATGGAACTTTGGTACAGAAGCTGTCCATCTGGGTCAGGAAAAGGAGAGCTGAGCTGATAGTTTGTGGTAGCTGAATCACAGATATCCCAGTGACAGAACAAGACATGAGTCCCTTTTATTACAGAAACTACCCAAAGGAACAACATGGTCCTAAACATCAACTCTTAATCTATGAAATGGGATCCAATACTTCTCTTTCTTGTTCCTTAGGATAGCTTAACAAAAATCAGAATACACAGTATTGATAATGCAAGCATTTTTCCAACTATTTCTGCAAAATAGCAGGCTTAGTAAATATTTCCAAAAATATTGTTTATGCTCAAGTAAGTTTAGCCAGTGCTAACTTTAGCTAAAAATGTCCTCAATGCAGGACTTCTGACCACCTTTTCTGGTAACGTGCCTTGTTATTTTTCTAGAAAAGAATAGAATATGCAGTGTGTCCTGAATACATGTGATTGGGGCCCTTTTATTTTAAACCATCTGCTAACATCTCTGTAAACTGGTGTTGTGAGATCAAGACATGGCAGAGCTATACTATATTCTCATGGAGGATCTTAGCCAACAGCAAAATGTATGTTCTACTTAGTGCGGATTTATTTGCCTCAATCACAAACTGCCAAGAACACAGCCTTGAACCAGATATTAAGTGAGAGTCCCCAAATTTAAGGAAGTGGTAATCTAAAGTGATATTAGCTTTGATTATTATTGCTTTTGTTGAATTCAAATTCTGGTGTTGCCACTGACTTGATATGTCATTTATCATACCTAAGCCTCGGTTTCCTCATCTGTAACATGGGAATAATAATAGCAATAAACCTTTGAGGCACAGACCTGTTCTATGTATTTTTTCTTTTACTCCAGTGCTTAGTATAGTTGATACTCAGAATTTTTGTTTGATGAAAGAAGTTCTGAATGCATGCATGCAGGGATCAGTGAAAATTGGAAGAAATAACAGAATGAAATATTATGCAAGGCCGACTGTCCCTTGAAGACCTAAAGGGAAGTGCTAAACAATAAAAAGATTAATGTGCATTGGGTTTAGTCAATGAAAACCTCTCAGAGGAGGTATCGTGAACCTGAACATGTTTTTATGCCATAACCTTTCATAAATATTATATTCTACTACTGGTTGTAAAGATTAAGAATCTTGGTATTACTAAAAGGATCTGGAGTTTCCACATGTACAGATTAAAAGACAATATATTTGCCCTCTTCTGTCCAGAGTTTGTCCTGCTATTGTTTCTTAAGTGCCAATACATTAATACAATATAGCAGGGCTCACACAGCAGAGTTAGCCAGTAAACTCAGTAGTAATGTGTTAGTTCTACCTGGGCAGTCTTCATTCTGTAGTCCCATAAAGAATGAGATGCTAGATTTACATCCTATCAAAGTAAATTATGTAGACATTCTCATTATTTAAAATGATTAGCATATTTGTCTATATGGAAGTTTACATTTTTTACAAGATATAATTGTGAGCAACAGGATATTACATAAGTGAGTCAGCTGTAGATTAGTAGAGATGTTTTTCAGCTTTTGAAAGTACTTTGGAAGAGTTTGGAAATAATATATACATTTTTCATATAGTACTTCAGTACTGTCCTTAATACGCTGGTGGTGTATGGAACTTAGAAAATCAATACATTATTGATTATTACTTCAAAGGATACTTGTAGGAGATTTGTGATTTGAAAGTCAGATTAATTTTGCATATGGAATTAATAGGACTATGGAGGAATAAAAAGGAATTTCTAAGATATTATATGTGATCAATATTTCAACATTAAAAATATTGGCATTTGATTGTAATAGGTTTTTATCTGTACTTTCTGGCTGTCATATTAGTACCAAAGTTTAATTTGAAAATGAATGTTTGGTGAAGTAGAAGCCTTAGGTTAGTGACTTAGGAATTTCATTTCCAGGATAAACCAGTCTTGGTAATACTCCATGTCTGTTTCTCTACATGGTTGATTCTCTTGTTAATGCTATCCATCTTTGTTACCTCTCAGATTCATTTTGAAGCATATGAATATTATTTAGGAAGTATGAAATATAGGCAAATGCAAGGTGATTGTGTTATTTTTGCTATTTACAACATTTTCTGTATTGAAATCCAAAACAATAATAACTACCTGCAGGAAAATATGCTTACATTAAAATTACATGTGAAATTTTTAGTTTGTTTGTTTTAGTGAAAAGACTACAGTTAAGGTAGATAAAAATATATAATTTTTTTCATAAATTAGGAATATGCATCTCATTTATCAGAAGGTACAGCTCTTCATATTTCAGAAATGTGTATTAGTTTTGTAGCATGTCACATATAATAGGAATCTATATATAATATATAATATATTCACATATATATGTATTTGCATCTGATAGAAAAATAATAGGAAGAGGGAAGCTACCTTAAAAAGTTTATGTAATAAGAGGTAAGTACTATTTAAAGAATATGTAACAGTTAAAAATACAGCCTAAGTTCAAATATTTCAAGAAGAAACAAAAGTGTATTTCTTCATAAATCAAAGATATAATAATAAGTGCTCCCATTTAATTAATTTTAATGGTACTGAACAAAAGCAGAAGAGTTAGGTTAAGAAATCATTCTATGGGCCAATGGCCATTTCATTGTCATAAAAATCCTTTATTTAGCCTTCTCCACAAATAAGCTCACAGCACGACAAAGGACACTAGTTAGAGTAATTTGGGCGATAAGTAAACAGAAGGAATGGCTAGGAGCATAGTGTCATCTGGCAGAGAGCTTATTTCCTGAATCCTGTGGATCTGGTTAAAACCCAACAGAGATGCCAATATGCTTCTCCTCAGTAAATGCTACCAGTCCCCACACCACCAGGCCCACCGAAGCTTGTCTACAGTATTTTATCCAAGCAGTCCTTTGGGTAACTGCACAGTGCCTGCAGTGACCTGAGTCAGTCATGCAAGGAGACTTTCTTGTTCTCACACCAATGTTTTATTTCAGTTTCCATTTTCTGCTGGTCCTGTTGTTCAATGATATAAGCAGAGTGATGAAGGAGGCGCTTCACACTCTTCTTAGATAAGATCTTGAGCAGCAGAGAGTGGTTTAAACAGCAAGGCTTAAATCTCTCAAGCTGGATTTATTTCCAAGTTTGCTGTCATGTGTGCACCTGGGATTCATGTCTCTTCAGAAGGGTGGGAAGAAGTGAGGTCTGTTGATTCCGAAGAGGGAACAATTGAAGCTCGACGAGCAGTTGCTGGTAAGCAATAGATAATGGTAATCCCACTTCATTTTGTCCCAGTTGTACCTAAATCTATATTTAACACTCCCTCTGTATCTATTTTCCAGTCAAAATATTTCTATTCTCTGTGTGTCAGGTGCACAGTGTTCTTAATTGAATAAAGTTTCCAGTTACCAACTTTATCTTTAATCTGTTACTCTGAAATGAGATTGTAGGGTTTATAATATAGCTCTAAAGATTTTAAGATGATTAATTATGTTTATGATTGATTCCTGTGTAATAGCCACATCAAGGGAGATTTGAAGATTAGAAAATCAATGTTCTGTGAAAATAATTAAAAAAAAATAGCAGGCTACCTAATTGTGCATGGGTTTTTTTTTCTGTAAATGTGTTCCATGCTTTACTATCTCATACAAAGAATGAGAAATACATGACAAATTGCAGTAATCATTAGTGGAATGTCAATGCAAAAATAGGAAGTTTGTGTCACTTTTTTAAAATAATGGTTCCTGGGTTCTTGCGAAAGTACCAAAACCTTTTCACAAATGCAGGCCTTGACCTAAACTACAATAGCACAAGGTCAAATGGAATATATGAAGCAAGCTCAAAATTGCATTTGATGTTAGGTTTTATGTATTCTCTCCCAAGGGAAATCAGTTTTCTGGTCTTTGATATAGCTGTGGAATCACAACTAAGTATGAGGCTGTGAAATATATAACCCAGAAGAAGGATATATATAGCTCAAGATGGAAGAGTTGTAGAAATATTTTAAATGAGTAAATATTGTTAACATAAATTTTGGAATTTAAAAAATGAAAATAGAAGGATTTTTTCTACTTTTACCTAGACAGTGGCTCCAGTGAATAACACTTACTACTATGCATGAAAGCTCATAGTATGTGGTACCCAGAAATAAGTAAGGATATTTTAGAATAAGGTCAACATTAATCTCTTCTAATATTGATTCTCTGCTTTGATTCTGTAATTTTGAAATCCATGAATACCATTTTGATTAATAAACCCTGTTTAGTTTATTAAATTGCATTTCTAACAGAAAATACTTAATAAACCAAACAGGGTTTGGTAACAAATTGCATTTCTAACAGAAAATACTTAATAAATCCAAACAGGGTTTGGTAAAAAATTGCTTTTCTAACAGAAAATACTTGATAAACCCTGTTTGGATTTATTAAGTATTTTCTGTTAGAAATGCAATTTGTTACTATTTGATAAATTTTCTTATATCAAGGCACTTTGGGGAACTCACGGTAATTATACTAAATTAATATAAATTCATGAGATGGAATGAGGGACAAATATTAGATTAATGACATTCAAAATGACTTTATAATTTGAAGTAAGCCCATACTGGATAATAAACAAGAGAAAAGAAATAGGAATAGAGAAATAAATATTTTTTTAAATCTCAAAACTCAAGCACAACAATAGACACATGCAGTGTATTAAAATGTTTTATTTCAGTTGACTTGAGCCTACATAGGCTTATATGATTCATGCATTCTTTTTTTTTTTGGGAGATGGAATCTTGCTCTGTCACCCAGGCTGGCGTGCAATGGTGCGATCTTGGCTCGTTGCAACCTCTGTCTCCTGGGTTCAAGCGATTCTCCTGCCTCAGCCTCCCAAGTAGCTGGGATTACAGGCACCCACCACCACACGCAGCTAATTTTTTGTATTTTTAGTAGAGATGGGGTTTCACCATGTTGGCCAGGCTGTTTCAAACTCCTGACCTCCGGTGATCCACCCGCCTCGGCCTCCCAAAGTGTTGGTATTATAGGCGTGAGCCACTGCTCCCAGCCTGATTCATGCATTCTTAAATTCTAGTCAAAGAACATTATATGGTAGCGATTTCAACCAGACAAAATGAGTATATTGGTTGTTGAAAGTTTTGACTCCCTTTCTATTGGTTCTCTTCTGTATACTTGCTGGACCAGCAGATCTATCTCTAGACCATGCCATCTGTATGTCTTCTTAATGACCATATCATAATGGAAGCAACTTAAGTTCAGCAAGTATAAGACTTCAGCCCCAATAGCTGCTCCGGAAAATCTTCACCACCTCAAAACATGGGAAATAAAAGTATATCATTATAGGCCCCCCGCTGCACCTCCAACAAGTCACGAGTACTTTCACAAAAACTGACATAACTTTGAAGTAATTCAACAAAATAATTGCAGTAACTCCTAACTACTATGGTGTAGTGAAAAGCTCATACATGGCTTTCAAAACAGACAAAACCAAGTTCAAATCCCAACTCTGCTACTTATAAATCATGGACTTCGGGCAATTTAATTAGGTTTTCTAAACCCCATCTCTAATATGGGATAAGTGTTGTTGATTTTTCCATATGCCTATGAGAAATAAATTAACTAAATAAAATTAATAGACAGTATAATATTTGGCACTTAATAAGCATTCAATTGATGTTTATTTCCCTTTTGCTTTTCCCAACAATAACTTGGTCAGGTTTTGACTACAGCCAGCTTTAAGCATAGGCGGAAGTTTGGGAAAAGAAAAAAAAGCAAACAGATTCTGAGTGAGACCGTAAATATGTTCTTTTAAGAGAGAAAAATTGTTCAAATTAGTCATTTCATTTAAGGCTGATATTTTGCAGTTGTTTTTGGTAATGAGATGATCCATGGCTCAGTTTTAATTTTTTTTCTCATGAGATAATTATTTTTGACAAGTACATGTAATTTAAGTAAACACAGCACCATTTGTTTTAAATAAATGAAAGATGTTCCTAATTTTCTCTCTATCCTCATTTGGCCATTTCATTTTCTAAAACAAAGTAGAAGCAGTCCACCTTGATTTTTCAGCAAATAATCCCTAGATGATTAGAGAAGTGTATCATTATTCATTGCTGTTTCTGGGATCTGAATGTTGTACTACAATAAAAATGTAATTGAGATAGTAACATAATTTCAAATCAACTAATTTTGTTGTTACTGTTGCTGTTGTTCTGTAACACAAAATATGGGTGGATGAAGTAAAATGTAGGTGACCCAATGAGAGGATAATTATTCTGTGTCTCAGTGAGAAAAAAAAAATCTATTGTATTATGAATTATGCATCTACAGTCCTCAAAAATATGCATCTTTAAAAATATCAGAAATACGAGCCACCTTCTCCTGTCCCCAGCTCTCTGGCAAAACCTGTTTGAGGTTGTCCTTTTGCCCTCTGGAGATGAGCCACCGTTAGCACTAGGCTGGCCGTACCAGAAAAGCCTGAAGAAGCACTTTTGCCTGTGTTCCCAACAATCAATTGTGTATACTCTTGGTTTATGCTTTCTGGTGCCAGTTGTCATTGAGCTGAGTAAGATTCCTCAGTTAGGGAAACTGCAGAGGAAATGATCTGTTACACAGGGCTTGGCAGGACCATTGCCAGTGATTGATAATGGGACCAAATCATTTCAGGTGAGTTTTCTGTGGTCTGACAGGCATCTGCTCAACCTTGTCATCTTAATCCATGGGTATCCCAGTGAGTGTCAGTGGGAACAAGATGAGCTCCTGAACATTTGCCTGAGTCTTTTCTTCTGTGTTAGCTTTAAGGACCACAACGTTTCATCTCTCTGGCTTCAGGAAGGTAGCAGCTTCTGTGCATTGTTTTAGGAAATGGTTAATTGAGGAGCTAAAAGAGCTTTAGTGTATGCTACACTGGGAGCCACTTTAGTACAGCACAGAGCACTATAGATTAATGCTGTAATCAATGAGAATCTGTTCACTGCAGAGATCTGTTTTGATGACAGCAGCACTTATGGCCTTGTTTAGTGTCACTGTTGTATAATGTTGGACACTGCAGGCTTTTTTGGCTTTGATTTAGAATGCAAGGACCACAGGGAATTTTATTTAAAATGTTGTATTTTGGTGGATTTTTTAATTGTGTTGTGCATTTGCTGCCATTGCTAGCTGAAATTTAATGATTTGATGCCAGTGGCATTTAGTTAACCACTCCGATGCTGCTGTTATGTTTGCTGGGTTTCTGCAGTTTCTACTACTTCATACATTGCACTCAGGAACAGGTAAACTAAATTATATTAATCTATGGATAAATGTAAAGTTAATGTAATTTATTGTTTAATTATCCAAAAGAGTAAGATACTAAAATGTTTCATTTAGATTCTATCAGTAGAGAATAAGGATGTTTTGCTTTATATAAATATGTAATTTTAGGATGCAATAATGATTACTTGTATTACATAAAGTTATTTTTATGATTTAAATGTTTATCTGAAGTACACATTAAATTATATACATTTTAGTATTACATTTAAGTCTTAACTTGAGATATATAGATAATATACAATTAATTCAGAAAGATACATTTTTCTTCTCTGATGGATCAAAGAGTTTGCTTTCCCTATTTAGTGACTTTCACTAAAATTAGAAAATGTCAGAGCTTAATCTTCTTGAAAATACAAAGATTTAAGTATATATAGATTGTTCTTTTCAAGTGTTTAGAAAAAATGCTGACCAGGTTTGGTTTCTCCTAATTGACAGTCCTGATTATAGAACACATTCGTGGAAATGCCTGTGTTTTCGGTGATGTTAAGCTGTGGACTAAAGGGGAAACTGTTCAGATGAGGGGAACAGAGAGCCCAAGACACAAAGAAGGAAAGAGAAGTGTAATCTTTTGCATCAGAGATTTGGGTGTGTGACCTTGGGTTAAAAGAGTAACTAGTGACTAACCCCTTCTGGCCCTTGTTTCCCTTCTGCCAGTTTGGAAAAAGACTCTCCTGTTATTCTCTGTAGGAATGGCAAAACATTTTTTCAGATGCTCAAGATCATCTATTGATGATTTTCATGTAGAAAAAAGACACAATTATTAAATGTTCAAAGGTATGCAGTTTTCCTAATACAAGAGGTAAATACAGCGGTTTTTTTGCTTTTTTTTTTTTTAATTGGCTTCATTGTAACTATTTTGCCAAATAGGCATTGAGTAAGTTTGAGGTGTCCCAAGGGCACCTACTATTAAGACTGCACTCCTTGGGAGAGGAAAGAGGCATCACAGTTGTGCTGCAGCCTGATGAGGACCTGGACGCAGAGAGGCACTGGGGCTCTCTGAAAGTCGGCCAGGGACAAGGGCTGTCCTCACTGCTCACTTGCTCCCCCTCAGGTTCAGTGTGTATTGCTGAGGGCAGCTGAAGAGAGCTCCTGCCTTCTTTTCTCAGCAAATGTTTTTCAAGAGGTCTACTTTGTGCTGAAGGCAAGCTCAAAATCCAAAGGGTCAGAGGCAAATGGAAAAGTAGCCACCTTCCACTGGCAAAAATATGAATCAGATTGCTGCCTACCAAATACTAGTTAATGTTTGTGAGTCTAGCCTAATTAAATATATTTTTTAGTGAGGATGGAAGGATTTTATTGTAAATTGAACAATGTGCTTACAGAGTGGCTAATAATTGCCAGTTTATAATGATCATGAATCTTCTGTTGATGTTTATACTTGCTGTTTCTTCTTAATAGTAGACACCCACCATTATGAGAGGAAGGCTGAGGCAATGATGGTTCATGTTCCCAGATATATGTACATGAGAGACGAAAGAAAAAGAGAAACAATGTGATTGATTTCTCTGTCTAGTTCTGAGGAACCAGTCTGAATTATAGTCTCTACACATATATTTATGAGGGCAATAACTTTATTAGTAAAGTGATTATGAATTCCATAGAAGTTTGTCTGCTCAAGTCTCTTCCAACTTCCTGATTTTATGGGGTGCTGCTGTTTATTAGTGCATAGTTAGGAAGATCTTCAAGGAGAATAGATATTTTCATTTTGAAGTATTACCTGTGAATGTTCCTGGCAAGGAGGGTTCTGTTAGAGAAATGAAGAAGTCATTTGGAAAACAAAAACAAAAATTAATCTCAATGAACAGCAAATATATATTCTCCCCTATCCTTCCCCAGGTCATCTGTAAACACTTTTAATAAGTAAAACAAATGCTTGCCATTCTCAATTTTCTAAGGCTAGGGAGATTGGGAAGAAGCATGTCAATTTATCAAAGAAGATACATTAATGAAGGAATTTGTAATTATTTGATACTATGATAATTGTCAAGAAAACTTTTAAATACTTATCATCATGCCTGTAAGTTGTAGGCTAATGAAATGGTTTCAGATATTATATAACCTGCTTCACGTAGGCCAATCTTTTGTCTTTAAGAAGGGAATCATCATAATTATATTATGAGTGGGTCAATTACTTGCAGAAGTGTAACCAAAAATCTTGATTGCGTAGTTAATTTAAATAAGTTTTAGAGAAGGTTTTACGTGACTTCTATGAGTCTTGAATATCTGGGAAATAAATTCTTATGATGAACTGTAAACATTGAACAAATTTCAAAACTGACTTCAGAAAAGGGGGTATATTGATATAATGACTGGTGAGTTTTAACAAATGTATTTCAATACTATAATATCTGTCTTATATTTTAGGCTTATAAATAGCTTTGAGGGTTTTTTTTTGTTTGTTTTTGTTACAAGAGGCTGTTAGCCCTGCAATGTTTGTGGTTTTTCTCTCTAGAGAATGCTTAGCCCTTGAAACTTGTTCTTCTGAGTAGGTTCAAATTGCAACAACTTTTTTATCCACTTAATTTTTTTTTTACTTTTATTTCAGGATTATGTTCTGTAATCACTTATTTAGATTATATAAAGTTTGTTATTATATTTTCTATATTTTCCTATTTAGCATATATCTGAAATTGTCTAAGGTATTCATCAGAGAAGAGATGTTAGTACATTTGTGTGTGATATTTCTCTTGCCTATTCTATATTAAAGGCTTTTGAAAAATATAATTCATTGGAGTGTTGCTAGGTCATGAAAGTGCTTTTTGAGGTGAGTTCCCTTGCTCTCTATATGTACTCACAAAGCTCATTTTCTCTGAGTATGGTTTTTTGATTTCCTAAGTGCCTGGCTTAAATAGTGATCTTCATGAAAGCATACTGCTGAGGCTGAGGACCTGCAAGAGAGGATAATTCTGGGAGCTAAAGGTAAAGCAACAAGTCCATATCATAATACCCTACTCAGGGTCACTCATTCCTTTAGTCCCTTTAACCATTTGTTCTTAACTTGGAGAGAGATCAGAGGCCTTTGAGAAATAAAGGAAGCAATGGACTCTTGAGGGAAAAAATACTTTTGCACACAAAATTTTACTTGCAATTTAAAAGAGTGTGTGGATCCCCTAAATGTAATTATGGACCATGTAAAAGGACTTGCATAACTCAGGTTTATAATCCTTTCCTTAAAAGTCACAACAAAGAAGTACTTGACATTCAGTGGTAGAAAAAGTCCTGCCTACACAAAGGTACACCACTTCTCATCTATGGTTAGTGGATAAACTCAAGACCAGCTTCAAATTGCTCTTGCTAAAAAAACAAAACAACAACAATAAAAAACCTTAGTTACTAGTTGGTGTTTTCATTGGCTCTGCCATTTTATATCATAAACAAATACACCCAAAGCTTAAATCTCCAAAAGATAAATATGTGATGATTAGACAGATCATTGGCATAAGCAAAAACATTAGGAATGACTGCAAATTCATTGAGCTTGTTTCTGTTTAGAATGGCTTGACAGAGACTAGGTTTCTCTTGACAATAGGCTTCTTTGACAAATACGTTGTGATTTCTTGATTTCAGAGGCTAGTTTTGTTTTAGGCAGACATTTAGTTATAGAGATCTCTATGTAAGGTTTGTTATTATGAGATTTTACTGTAATCAGAGCTATTCAATTAAGACATAAAAGTGATGGAAAAATTAAGCACAGAATAAGGGGCTCTAAAACATCTATTTAATCTGAAAGACCCTTTGAGTATTGGTAAGAAACATGTGGTTTGTAACAAGAATAGTCTTTCTGAAGTTTTTGCTTGAAGCTGTCCCCTTTGAGTTTGCTATATAGAGTCTTTAAACGTAATATCTTTATTCTCCACAGATTTCCTGGATGGTTTAACAAAGCTAAATTGCAATGGATACAGTTTGCATACTTGTGAACTAAGTACACATCCATATGTGCGATCTAAAATGTGATACAGTGATAATTATGTCAGAGATTATGGTAGGCCCAAAGATCTGGGGTGAGTGTGTGTGTGTGTGTGTGTGTGTGTGTGTGATTTTTTTTTTCTCATTAAAACTATTAGTACATCACTTTGAGAAACAAATAGAACCATAGAACTTCTTGGTAATAATGGAAATTATAAAGGCCAATAAGATGTTTTTCAGTGTTTTTAGTCCCTTTCAACTGTAAATAATGCAAAATGGCTAGCCTAGGGTAGTAATGAGTTTCTCATTTGAAAACTAAGCCATTAGAATACAGTTGCAACAATTATCACAAATTATTTACAAATATATTTCAAACGTGAATAATAAACATTTTATTTATAAGCTAAATGCTACTTATGGTCTTGCCAGTTAAAAAGAAACTGAGGTTGAGTTTAGGAGGTGCTATTGACTGGCTCTTTTATTTTGAAATGGAGATCAGACTTTAGTTTTATTTATAGTATACCTGTATATAACATAATGCCTTGTTTTATAAAAGATAAAATTAAGCTATGATATTTTTTCTTAATACTGAGATTATTATAATTACTATAATTTGGTATTTCTCATGGATTCTATATTTCTCCAGCTCAATCCTGCTGTGATCAATAAGATATTTTAGCTAGCATTTGGGTTGGTTTTTACGGAAATTAGGTGAAATAGAATGATTTTATATTGTTAAGATTGGTGATATTATTAGGTCAGTCTTCAATGTGCACATTTTTATTGACAGAACTGAGTTAAACATATTTACTGTCTTTGTGAGTGATGTCACCTTATGTCTCAATTGGGAACGTTTTGTTATGGATTTATAAAAAATTATAAAATATGAAAAATTGACTTTTTAACATTACTGAAATAATATTCAATTTAATTTTTTATAAATGTAATCTTTCAAATGGTAATTTTAATTTTCAGATTTAGTGTTATTGAATAGTTTATCAGTGCTAATGGTTTGCAATTTTATTTTTTTGACCTAATGTCTCTTAATTTCACAATTTAATTCAGTTACATAATTCTCTAAAAAGATAGTTTTGTTCACTTGGTTTGCTCTTTCTTAAAAGACATTGATTTAAGAATCTTTAAAAGACAATTCAGCTACTCTGTGTGGGGAGTATTATGCAAAGAGCACTTGATCTTTTCCATTTTTTTGTACTGCATTCAAAAAATATCAGGAAATAGAATATGCAAAGGGATAAGAGTTATTATTTACAGTGCATTTAATCTTTAAATTAAATTCATGATTAATCTGAAGCAATATTTAATAAACAGTTGCTGTATGTTTCTGCTTTTTGTTGCGTTGATAAATAATGACTTAATTGTAAAAACTTAGCTTCTGATCTCTTCTTATTTACAGCTGAGTTTTTCGATGTGCCAGATATTTGCCAACCAGCTTATTGTTATGATTATTGCTATTTGTTTACATTGTTTTAATTAAAGTTTATCTCATCAGAATTATAATTTACCAACCTTTGTTTTTAATTAGGAGGGCTATAAAGGGATTTCATCCTTGTTTTTATAAAAATTTACATGCTGTAATATTTTTAGTTGTTGCCTAATGGATATTGTTTTAACATCAATGTTTTGCCCTTTAATCCAGTTGTTTTCATATATAACTGTTCATGCACTCCTTAACACAATTATGTTCATAGAGCTACACACAGTATCACAGTGTTGAGGGCACATAGACTCTTAGCTGATTTGTTTGTTTTTGTGTATTTGTTTGTTTAGGTTTCCCTGCCCACTTTCTTGTTAATAATTATTGCTGTCAATGTGCTTGTTTGAACAAACCATTTTCCCATTTACAGTGTGCATCTTTAATGGTTTTGTGGGGTTGAATACCAAAGAAACTCTTGTATTATTGTGGCTATAAAGTTATGAGCGAGGTGCTGGTGTGTTTTTCTAGGAATAAAGTCTAGGAGCTCAGATTTTGTTCTATTGCTTTTTGCCAGATGAGAAGACCTTTTCACTTACTTCCCATCCTTTGGCAAGACTCTCAAATAAATTAAGATAACTTGCTATTTACTGTAAAGTAATACCTGCACATCAGTTCCATTTTGTTGTTTTCTGTTGAATCAAAGTTATTTTGAGTTTGAAGGAGGGAAAACTGCATTTTAATGAAAATAGAGTTACAATAAATATACTAAATTATATTGTGTACATATCATTTAGTAAGATTTTAATTGCTATGTTAATATCATTTTAAAGCCTATTTTAATATCAAAAGTGATTTACAGTAGCTGCGAAAATGTAAAAATGTAGCCAAGTGAAATAAATTTAAAATACATAGAAAAGATCAGTAAGGGGAAATAAGGGTAAAAATTAGGCTGCATATTTAATCACAAATATCCCAACACAAAAAAGTGTAATTCATTACAAATGCACAACATCTTTAATACAAAATAAGCCAGTTGCAGGCCAGGTGCGGTGGCTCACACCTGTAATCCCAGCACTTTGGGAGGCTGAGGTGGGTGGATCACGAGGTCAGGAAATCGAGACCATCCTGGCTAACACGGTGAAACTCTGTCTATACTAAAAATACAAAAAAATTAGCCAGGCGTGGTGGTGGGCACCTGTAGTCCCAGTTACTCGGGAGGCTGAGGCAGGTGAATGGCGTAAACCTGGGAGGTGGAGTTTGCAGTGAGCCGAGATCGCGCCACTGCACTCCAGCCTGGGTGACAGAGCGAGACTCCGTCTCAAAAAAAAAAAAAAAAAAGCCAGTTGCGTAAGTGCACACTAATTATTCCTGATACCAACACCAAAAGAAAGTTTCTTTTCTGTTATTTCATAGAGGAGATTATCAGCAGGAGCAGAAGCAGCATGATCCATATGAGAATCATCGTCACCATGATCCATATAGTAAACAACCTGATATAGTAATGATAAAGGACAGTACAATGAAAGGAACTGTAGGTGCAGTGAGGGGAGAGGGACTGTCTAGAAATATAGTGTGTTCCAGGTGCATGGTTGTTTGATGGTGGGAATTAATTCGTAGTTTTGTTTTAGAAAATATAAATTGATTTACCACATAGCCCTCACAAAGACTTCTGTATATATTGTTGCTTTGTGTTAAACATTTCAAAAATTTGTAGGGCAGTATCTTCAAGGATAAACTCTCTAAAGTGTACTTGCAGGTAGTTCCATGCAGCTAGTTATTGTGAAGTCATATATTTAAACAGCCAGTAAATCTGGGAATTGGATTCTCTTGCATCTGTGACAAAGCCAAGAAACCAGTGTTGAACAATTTTAGTCTAGGTCAGTGAGGCTTACTTATTTTTTAAAGTAACAGTTCCAACATGAAGATATTTTTAAATAATTATATTGGAAATATAGATTTAAAACGGTTTATTCAGTCAAATATTTAGGACCCCTGGAAGATAATTCCTTTCTTGAGTCAATAAGTTAGTCTTTGACCGACATTAACGTAGTTTGCTTTTTAATGAAACATGTATATACAATCTATATGGATTTGTTGATATTGCTTCTTTATCCTCATTTTTTTGTGGTTTATCTTATTTCAGTTATTTACTTCTGTCACATGGAGTTGGAGTACAGTTGAAAGAACATGACTTTATAAAGCTTGACCAGTTTTTCATTGAGTCAGAGATTTAGACCAGTGACTGCAATGTTTTGCAACCTGATTTCCTATAGCTGTAGTTTTGGAGTTTTATTAATATGGCTATCTAGAAGTTTTCTCAACAACAATGCGAAGGCATAAAATAAAATGTTCTCCAAACTTCTGTGTCTGGTGATTTTCCACTGCCAGTCAAAGAATTTCCAACTTAAAAATAAAGTCCTTTAATGTATCTATAAATTATTTGTTTGCATAGCCAAAATAAAAACAAAGACAAACAAACCAAAAAATAAGTAGAATAAAACAGAAAAGAAAGGCAAAAACAAACTATTCATAGTCACTTGAGGGATCTCTGGTGTCAAAACTTGTTTATATTACCCACTATTTGCTACAGTATAAACTTTTCTACTTTTTTGTAGATTAATAGTATATTTTAAAATAAGAAGTATCAGTCCCACATAATTACTTCTGTTTTGTTCTACATATCCTTAAAATTCATCTTTATTATCATTTTACTATTTTCATTTATATCACTAAAAGCATGTATCCATCTTTACATTTTTTATTTCCTTGTCTTTGGGATATAGAGGCAGGTAAAAATTGATTTGACATTCAGAATATTATTTCAACTTAATGCTGTTTTGCTAGTATTGCCTGGGTCTGGATAAGGACTAATATTTTCCTTTATCAAAGATATTTATATGTAGAGTTTGTTCTTGTAATGTCTTTGCTGTGAACTTGCCCAGCACAACAATTTCTTAAACCTATGGTTAACATCCAGTCCCCAAACAATGAAAACAAATAAACCCCAATTTTTTCCACAGGGTTTCCTGGCTGGTTATTCCGAGACTTTGCACTTGACAACCTGTTCTCCCACGTGAATGGAATACTCAGTGTCAATGTGGAAGCCTGGTCAGTTGGAAAGTTGCAGTAAAATATTTCCTTCTGCTGTACAGCACTTCCCAAATTCTTATTTATGAAGAGTCATTGTGTTGAAACAAAACAAGTATCCCTAAGATTGTCAATTTTGTGATTTGTTATCCAGGTTATCTTACTATTCTATATTTAGATCCTGGGAGGGAAATTTCTCAGTTATTAGGCCTCAGGTCATATTTACACATGAAATTTATTCTTCTCCAAACTGTTTTGTGTGGAAAGCATTTTGGCCATTATCAATGACCTTGAAGACTTTTCTTCAGATACATTTTCATTGTCATTTAATACAGATAATACAGTATGGTCTAGATTTCTTGAAGACCATGACCACATTCTTATTTTATAATCCTAAGGCACTAAGTTGTGTGCGCATGCATGTGTGTGTATGTGTTTGTGTGTTTGTTGTTCAAGTTTTCCGGAATTTTAATTTATAAAATTTATCTAAGGCATTATAGCACCAGGCCAATGTAGAGGTAAGAAAGATGGCATTGAACATCATGGTGTTTTGGGAATGTTTCTGGACCCCAAAGCTTCATGTGATCTCAAAATCTAAATTTATATAAATGTACATAACTTTTAAAACTAGGAAGAATTAATCTGATGACTGATGTTTACTGTCTCCAATTTCTTTTAATTTCTCAATATCGATTACCCTTTTCAAAGCAAACCCACAATGTTTTCTGTTTTCTCAAAGCCCCATTATCTACGGTATTTCATGTTTAAAATTACAATAGTTATTTTCTTACTACCATCAATCCTGCTATTGTTTAGATAATTTTTAAAGGAATATAAACTAAAAAAATGAATTACCGGAAGTTAGGAAGCTTACAACCTATTAGAAAATAAATATTAAAATATATTTTACATCTAATGTCTACTAAATAATTTTTAAGGTATAATACAAGCTGTCTTCAAGGAAACATTGTTAGGGATATCTTGAACAATCTGGCCAATTAATAATTTTTACAAACAACAGGACTTCAGCATTTTTCTAAGCCCATTTCAAAGCATGTTTTGCAAAGATTACAGATATTACATCTATTTTGGTTACAATCACTAATTAACTGTAAGTCTGATCTCTAACACCACGATTTCATATTCTTCATCTCAATTGTGTAATGAGACATTAAGCTCTATTTCTAAACTCCTTTACAATTCACAATACTGACATATCTCAGTTAATCCTCATGAAGTGTTTGTGAGGAAAGGCACTATTCTTATTTTGTAAAAGAGGACAAGGTTAATAGAGATGAGGAGATATTATCAAGAGAATGCACCTAATATGGCAGATTTAGGATTAGTCACAAGTCTCCAACTCGGAGTACAAAGTTCTTTTTACTGCATAATCGCTGATTTTATAAGTGTTATATGAATATGATTATAAATATTAGCATATAATGTTGATGGAGAAATTAAAACATAATGAAGTTTTGTTGATTACTCAAGATTTCAAATAAGTAAACTGCTGGGTAGAAAAATATATTTTTCTTAGTTTGTACGTGCTATTAGAATTGACAGAAATGCTTATAATTATATAAAAATGCAAAATGTTTTTAGTATACATTTTTATACTCTGACAATGTGGATTTCTGTGGTGCTCTATAGTTATAATGCAGTTTCGTGCACATTATCTCATTCTACCCTCAGAAGAAAGAGGGGTTCTATGAGAGTTAGTTACCTTCTGAGTCGAATGACTGAGCTCATGATTCAGCCAGAAATTTTGATTCTGAGTTCCATATAACTGCTTTGTAGAGTTGTGTCATGGTGGTGTTTGCATCCCAAAACTTTGCTCTCAAATTCAACAAACTATACACACAACCAGAAAAAGTACTGCCTCTACCAAATATGTTAATAAAGTTTCCCTTTCCTGGACCAGCTACTGAGTTTCCTTGCCTGTGTCCTAAAATTATAAAACATAAGGATGGCACCACAGGGCTTCAAACAAATATTTAATCACTCTCTGGGGTAGTTCAACTCCGGAGGTTTCATTGAGTACGAATATTTTCTGAATACAAATATCTTTGTCACACCAATAACTTAATAAATAATAATTGATGCATTTACATGAATCAACTTAATAATACTTCAGTTTACCTGAATTATCAAAGTTACATATCAGAGAGAAAGACACAGGGGATGTTCTTGGTTTTAGGATGGAAGCAGAGTGCAATTATGAACAAAGGGGAACTTTTAAAAGGGAAATATTTTTCTTTTTTTAAAAACCACTTCACTGAGGTATATTTGACATAGAAAAAACTGTGCATATTTATTGTATACAACTTAATGAGTTTGGAGAGAAATATACACTCATAAAACTAGCACCACATTCTGTGCCATAAACATATCCGTCACCTCCAAAACTTCCACCCTGTTTATTATTATCTTTTTTGTAATAAGAACACTTAACGTTAAGATTTACCTTCTTAGCAAATTTTTAAGTATGACACACAGTATTGTTAACTCTAGACACAATTCTATACAGTAAATCTCTAGGGTTTATTCATCTTGTATTACTGAAACTTTGTACCTTTTGACTTATACCTCCCCGTTTCCCCTGTTCCCCATCTGCTAGCAACCACCACTCTATTCTCTGTTTCCATGAATTTGACTATTTTAGATTCCTCATATAATACTACTTATACTCCTCATTATGTTCCTCATATAATATTTTCCTTCTTATCTGGCTTATTTCACTTAGCACAATGTTCTGAAGTTTCATCCATGTTGTCAAAAATGGCAGGATTTCCTTCTTTTTCAAGGCTTAGTAATACTGTGTTGTATGTTTATACCACGTTTTCTTTATTCATTTGTCAGTGAACATTGTTTCAACCTCTTGGCTATAGTGAATAGTGCTGCAGTGAACATGGGAATGCAGATATATCTTTGAGATTCTGATCTCAATTCCTTTGGATAAGAAGTGGTATTGCTAGACCATATGGTAGTTCTATTTTTAATTCTTTGAGGAAAGTTTATACTGTTTTCCATAGTGACTGTACTGATTACATTCCCATCAGCCATGTAGAAAGGTTCCAAAATTTCTCCACATTCTCATCAACACTGACTTCTTTTTAAATTTTTATAATAGGCCATCCTAACAGGTATGAGGTGCTTTCTCATTGTGGTTTTGATTTGTATTTCTTTGATTGTTATTTATGTTGAGTATCTTTGGTGGTAAACATAGCTGCCATCCAAACTGAAATTTCTAACATGCATTTAGAAAACAATAGCGCTAACAAACTCCTAATGGCTAGAGATAATATGCAACTCTCCCAAGGATTTATACCTTTTTTTTTTGGTCCTGGAACCAAAACCAGAAATTTGATTTTAAGTTACTTAAAATTGTTAAAGAAGTTCTTGCTGAAGCCCAGTGGTCTGAAGAGGCCTCTAGCCCTGCTTTGGGCCTTGAGCTCAAGGGACAAAAATCTGTATTACCTAATTTTATGCAGTGTTTGCCTTCAGATATGTTTAGGGAGTGAATATTGGCCTGAATTTAGAATAAAATTAACAGAAAGTATTTGAGGACCAGTATTTTCACTATACTAGGCACTTTGACAATAATTCAATCATGAATGACAGTAATTCAGTTGTGAAAGATAATTTATGTAAATTTTGCAACAGTACACATAGATTTATTTATAAAATACACTTTAATATTTTATAGATTGTATGATTAATGATTAAATTTAACAAGTATGTCTTCGCATTTTATTGTAATGCCTAGATAATAAGCCCTATTAAATAATATTTATTTCTTATCCCTGACCTGTAGTTAGGTGAAATTAGACTTTCTAGGACTTTGCTGTATAGCAAATTATTGCTTATTTATCCCAAAGTTAGCTCCTCTATTATGTATAATTTAGGGTAAGTGGAAGCACACTTTTCCATTGCAGGCATGGAAACATCTTAAATAGACTTCTAAAATATGAAGAAACATTTCAAAATATATTTTCAGTATATTAATCCAGAGTTAAGAGTTTATCTTAGTTCTTAGACTTCAGATTTTAACTCTTGTGTATGAGACTGTTTCCCAAATGAATATCCCTGTAAAATATTAAAATGTTTATATTTTTAATATCACAGTGTAACTAAAACAGTATTTAACTCACGTATGCTGACCATGGTATGTGTCCACGTGTCAATATCTTACCTTGTCTCAACTTAAAAACCTATTCTTAGAACTCAGTTGGCTTTTTGTGTATGCAGTGCATAAAAACATTCAATAAACATATTTTGTACAATGCTTCATTCAGTTCCAACTCACATCCTGCTATAGAGGACTCAAAAAAGTAAAAGAGGAAAATATTTTAAGAGGTTCAGGAAATACCTGGGAAGGATAATTGTGATTTTTGGTCTGTGAAGTTTACATTTTTTTGAATGAAAATCTATTCTATTAATATCTAGAAAGAACAATCTCTTTTTGAAGGTGACCACATGTATGTATTTGAAATTGCTATTCATTGCTGTGTTGCTGTGAGCCAATCTTAGAATTGGTTTGAATTCCATCTTTTACTATTATTCATTATAATGATGTTAAAAATATGCTGCATATTACTTCTAGAGATAGTCAAGAAGTTCAAATTTTCTAATACTTCAAGGCTTTGGGACAGATAAGCTTTCCTTTACTACCTGCACATTAGGTACACATTCCACTTGGTCAAGTAGAGCTGTCATGTAAATTGCTAAATAGATATTTAATATATGAAATTAGAGGAATGGTTTTTTTATATTTTTAACATACACATGCTCAATCGTGCCTGTATATTATTTTGAAGGGATTTTTGTTTAATTGGCATTGATCGATCTTATTGAAATCCATTGCGCTTTAACACTAGACATCATGATACACAATTCTAAATTATAGAGATAGAGTTACATGTTTATGCCTTGTTACATACTCTAATCATAATGACCTGGGTTTAGGAAACACTGGTTCTCTTTAGAGAAAATGTATGTGTAATTTAGCTGACTTTTATTTCTGCACTGATAGTTGGGTGTTTATTAAGTTTAATAACCTACTTTTTCACAAGGGATAGTATAAAAATTTTAAAATCGCTCACAAAATATAATGCTCAAAATTATAACACTTCATTGAACTTGGCTAGTTATGAACTTGAGACATTTCCATAGACACAAGCAGCTGACGTATTTCCTGATTCTAAATTAATGGTAATAGTGAATTAGTTCCTAGGACGTTTTATTGACTGTGAGGACCAAGGTGCTTTTGTATTGACTCCATAAGCAAATACCATGAATTTATCATTTTGCAGCTATGCCACCTGGCAGCCAATATCTTTAATCAACTATTAGAAAAGTGATCAAGGAAAATGTTTTGTGTTAATGAAATATTAGACTCTGAATATTTTAGGAGCATGTTTTGTTGAGTGTTGCTTATTCCGTTAATAATAGTGAAATCTTAGTTATAAAGACAAATTAAGAGTGCTTCAAAGTTCAGTAATATCTTTCAAACAGTAATTAGAGGGATAGAAGAAACAAAGGTAGTTTACAACTAAGTATTTAGATTTTAGATTTTATTTTTTGTAAGTCTTTAAGCAAAAGTGTTATATTTTAATGGGTAATGATGAAATTAGTGATAAGAAAACTATTAGCCATTCAGAATATGAAGGAAGTATAATTGTATACTAAAATATATACAAATATTGTATGCTAAAATAATGAATGTGTTTTTTACATTTACATTTGTTAGCAATATTTAGTAGATAGCTACAAAACTGTGTATGGCCAAAGTTGGAAAAAATAAAATTTGTTTAAGCTGCAATATCTGTAGCATCCATTTTATTACGGGATACTGTATGAGTCCTGGCTCCTCACTGGAATCATCTGACAGACTATGTGTAATATTTATCCAGTACCAAAGCAATTAAATTAGATTCTTCATTCAGCATCATTATTCTGCAAAGCTTATATATCATAGAATAGCACTGCTTGATAGCACTGTTTTCATAATAAAGTGTGTTGAGTATCACCATTGAATCTTACCCAGAAACATCAGCTTTTGGTCCTTTGCCTATAAGAACAGTTTTTTGCAGATCGAATATTCACGAATATATGTATCTCATATGGTGGTTCAACTCCATGTTTTACTCATATTTGATTTATAATATTAATAGATTTACTTAGGATAATATGAGCGAAACAAGGGGTTGAACCGCCATATGAGAAATTGGGGCATGAACCAGAGAAGAATCCTGAGGAGTAGTTTTCAAGACCTAAGTCAGGTTATTGAGGGATACAATAAACTTTTGTTTTCTTGAAGTGTTTAAAGTAGAAAGAATTTTTGTCATTTTTTTAAACTTCAAAGACTTTTTAAGGTAGCTTTTGAATTAATGATCAATTTTTCTTTTTGGGGGAAATATAATTTTCTTTCTCTTCAAATATCTCAGTGTTTCTATTAATTTTCACAGAATTTCAAAATGAATCAGCATTCAGGAAGTCATTAGGCATTTTTACTAAGTATATGAAATTATAGGATAGAGTTTTACAAATTGCAATAATTACCTTTTGAATTATAACATTTGTGTTAGTAGTAATTTCAATTTTATTAATATAGTTTTTCTTTCAGAACAAGCTGTCATAATACTAAAGAGAGAGCTACTTTAAGAATAGTCGTGAACTTTTACAAATAGTAAATATGAAAGAGAAGAAAAGTTCTTTTCTGACTTCCTAATATTCCATTAACTGAGGTGGCCCAGTAGGAGTATAGAGATTTATCTTTTTTGGCATCAAACCATGTATACATTTTTAAAGTATGTGATTTGGAGAGAGATATGGAATCTATGTGAAGTAAATTTTAACAGAATATAGTTTTTTCTAATGAAATTTCTAATATTAACCCCTGCATAGAATATACTACTGTAATCTACATGAACATTTGAAAAATGTTTATTGTAGTACCTGTATAAATAACGTTTAAGGAAAAGGGAAGCAGTTCCTAAAAAATTGAAGTGTATGGATTGAAGTGTATGGAATTGAAGTGCCTGAATATTTTAAATATTATTAAAAATTATTTCATGTAGCATTTTGTTTATAGTGCCTGTATCTGCAGTGCCTGTCATGTACATACAATTCTTTACCTATGATCTTTACAGGCATCAACCAAGCATATTTTCCCAACAGTTGATAGCTCATTATTAACTAGCATGCTTTACTCACTTTATGTTTTTCTCTTTCAAGATCTATGCAGAGAAAAATTTTATTGAGTTAATCTGATGTTGAAAATTTAAAAGGGAATTATTCCCCTGCTTTCCCTAATATCTCTTCTCATGTAGGTTACCCAATTTTTCTCCGGCCTTTCATCCTATACAAATACTGAAAGCACTGATACTTTCCATTGAAGTTTTTTCAGTTTTTCTCAGATGCCTTCTTTAGCATTATATTGTTAAGCCAAAAGATCAAAAATAAAGGTTCATAAACACATATTTACAAAGTTAGAACTTTTGAGTACTCTGTCATTTGTAGCCAGTCTTTTGGAAAAAGTTATTTTTCATATTTATTTACTCATCACTGTGTCCCAAAAAATGTATGTTATGTTTTTTAGTTGATGAGAGAAGATAAAGATCAGATAATAATTTTGAAAGATATTATTTAGTTCAGAAAGTATAAAGAGAGACACTATATTTTAGTACTTACCTCATGTCAATGAATAAAATTTTAGCCAGCATCACTAGATAGCAGGTTGTGGCTGGGTATGGACTGTCCTTTAAGGCTAGGAGGGGCAGATTAACCCTGTTTTTTTTTTTTCTGTACATTTATATGTTTCCAGACTGATTTATGAGAGAAAAAGGTAGTCATTCATTGTATGAAGTGCATTTGTAGCATACGTTCATTCCAGTGATTCAAGTCACAACCTTTGCAACACAGGTGTGCATCATTCTGCGATGTACACGCTCAAGCTTATGATATTAAAACTCTTTATAGATCGAAGAAGTAAAGCTTAAAGTGATACACTCTTCTCTTTAATACCATTACACTTTTCATTCTTTTTGTATTGCACAGGTGATTTGGATTATTACTGGTTGGATCCTGCCACGTGGCACAGCCGGGAGACATCACCTATTAGTTCGGTAAGTTTTCTGGAAAGTGTGTTTGGAGTTTAGGGAATATGTGTGCTCGTTAATTGTCCTTTGTCTGATATGTGATATCTGCTCTATTATTCATTTGGTAAGGGCAAATATTGATTTCATTTAAGATAGTACAATTTTGAAGAAAAAAAGTTATTACTGGATAATTATAACAAATTTTAAATTAAGTAAAAAACAATTATTAAATAATTACTATAAGTAAGATTGAGATGTTTGGTTATGGATATTGACATTAACAAGTCAACATACAGAATCAGTTTTTTTATGTAAGCAGATATATTTTTAAATTTTAATTAATTCCATTTTAGAACTATTTAAAAATGTATACTTATTTGCCAACCACTTTAAGAAACTTTTAGTATAAATTTCTGCTACAAATGAAATATAGTTCTAAATGAAAATTTTTATAAGCCAAGGATGGAGTCCACTGAAATAATTTCCTCTAGAGTGTCTTTTAACTGAAGAAATTGCATCATGCTGCAACCAATAACTTGTGTCTATAGGAAAGAAAGCAAGTTGTTTATTTTTAAAAAATTTAATAGGCCTTTTTCGAGCAGTTTTAAGTTTACAGAAAAATTGAGGAGAAAGTACAGAATTCCCATACACTTCCTTACTCCACCCCTTTCCACCTGTTTACCTTGTTATTAACATCTTGCATTAGTGTGGTCCATTTGTTACAACTGATGAGCCAATATTGATGTATTATTATTATTGACTAAAGTCCATAGTGTACATTAGGGTACATTCTTCATGTTATACATTCTGTGGTTTTTAACACATTTATAATGTCATGCGTCCACCATTACAGTATCACACAGAATAGTTTCACTGATCTAAAAATCCCTGGCACCACTTATTCATCCCTCTCTCCTTTCTTCCCCACTAAGTCCCTGACAGCCACTGATCATTTAGTTTCTATAGTTTTTCCTTTTCCAGAATGTCACATGGTTAGAATCATACAGTTTATAGCTTGTTCAGATTTGCTTCTTTCACTTAGCAATATGCATTTAAGGTTCTTCCCTGTCTTTTTGTGGTTTGATAATGCTTTTATGTTTGTTTTTATCACTGAATAATATTTTTGTCTGGATATGCCCAGTTTGTTCATCAATTCCTTAGGATTTTAAAATATTTTTAGGTTGATATTATAAATGAAAATATTTTTCAATAATGATTTCTAAGTTACTCTGCCAGTTGTTCCTATTCTCTTTTATTTTATTTTTTAATTGACACAATAATTGTACATATTTATGCAGTGCATAGTGATGTGTCAGTACCTATAATGTATAGTGATCACATCAGGGTAATTAGCATATCCATCATCTCAAACATTTATCATTTCTTTGTATTGGGAACATTCAATGTCCTCCTTCTAGCTTTTGGAAACTATATATTATTAACTATAGTCATCCTATAATGCTATAGAACACCAGAACTTATTCCTCCTGTATAGCTGTAATTGTATATTCTTTAACAAATCTCTCCCTACCCTTTCCTTCTCCCTACCTTCCCAGCCTCTATTATCCTCTATTTTACTTTGTACTACTACAACATCAACGTTTTTTTAGCTTCCACATGTGAGTGAGAACATGCAGTGTTTAACTTTCATGCGGGAACTAACATGTTCCTGGCTTATTTCACTTAACATAATGTTCTGCAGTTCTATCCATGTTACCTCTAATGACAAGACTTCATTCTTTTTATAGCTGAATGCATTACATTCTGTATATATTACTTTTTAAACTCATTCATGTTTTAACAGCATCCTGTAACGTGGCAACCATCTAAAGAGGGGGACCGATTAATTGGACGTGTTATTCTTAACAAGAGAACAACCATGCCCAAAGACTCAGGTGCATTGCTGGGTCTGAAAGTAAGTATGCTGGTTTAAAATGTTTCTTAAAGGGTGAATTACAGTATGGTCTGCATTCATCGGAGTTTCTGGCAATGATTTTTAAATGTCATTTAAATATTTTATATAATTTTATTGATATAGCATATAGATATGTTAGGAAAATTGAATAAAATTTAGGGAAACTAATGTATTCTGACTATAAAGTTCAGGATGATTTTTTGCATTAAAAAGATTTAAATGGAAAGTAGCATAGGTAATGTGGACTTTTGTTGTAACTTAAGCAGCAACATAAACATCATTAAAGGGATCACTTTCTAATTACAATAGTTTTGTAAGAATTTTTTAAAAATTAATGTACTTAATAGTGCTGTCTTATTGATTATTACCATTAATTACTCCTGCTATGAAATAATTCTGATTACCTCCACTAATGGGTATGCCACTAAGAATTGTGGATGAATCTCAACTTTTGGTGATATTCTCTTCATTTTAAATTATATATATTTGAGCCCCTGCATTGGAAGAACTTAAACATAGATTTTAAAATATTCTATAATAAAACTCAGACTTTGATAGTCTTATGGGCATAGATACATGTTTCAGATGAGATGGTCAGCTGCAGAGATGCATTTAGGCTATTAAGCTTTGCACAATGGTAAATTGCTTCCCAAAGGTGTCATTTTCTTGCTTTGAATCTACAGTCTTTATAGTCATAGACCTACATTTTACTACACATATACAAAAGAGATTAAGATCTGATCAAGAACTGATCTTGACAATGGGATATTATCTTCATGTAGAAATAATAATTCAACTGGTACACATGAATTTGGATGATAAAGAAAAATGAATTTTAATGTAAACAGTGTCAAACACTTGCTGTTTGATACTAAGTAGGGAAGACCTGGCACCTGTCTTCTATGTATATGCATTATTTATGGTGCCCTTTTATTGTTAGGTCACTTTAAGACAGGGCTATTTAATCTTTTAGCTTCCCTGAGCAACATTGGAAGAAGAAAAATTGTCTTGGGTCACACTTAAAGTACATCAACACTAACAATAGCTGATGAGCTAAAAAAAAAAAAAAAAAAGCAATGTTTTAAGGAAGTTAACAAATTTCTATTGGGCCACATTCAAAGTCATCCTGGGCCACTTGTGGCCCACTGACAGCGGGTTGGACAAGCTTGCTTTTAAGAAATCACTACAGCCTGGGTGCAGTGGCTCATGCCTTTAATCTCAACACTTTGGAAGGCAAAGGTGAGAGGGTCACTTGAGCCCAGGAGTTAGGAACCAGCCTGGTCAACATAGCGAGACCCCTTCTCTACAAAATTAAAATTAAAAAATTATCTGACTGTAGTGTCTGCACATGCCTGTAGTCCCAGCTATTTGGGAGCCTGAGGTGGGAGCAACACTTGAGCCTGGGAGTTCACGGCTGCAGCCATCTATGATCACATCAACACACTCCTCTGTGGGTGACAGAGTGAGGCCTTGTCTCAAAAATAGAAAGAGAGAGAGAGAGAAAAAAAAAAGGAAGGAAGGAAGGGAGGGAGGGAGGAAGGGAAAGAAAGAAAAGAGAAAGAAAGAAATCAGTACACAAACTTCCTTAGGACACATAGTCATCTCAAATATGAGATGTTTTGTTTTCAAAACTGTGCTCCCAGCTACTTTAATCAAAAATGTAGGTGAAGCCCTGGTGGCTCACACCTGTAATCTCAACACTTTGGGAGGCCGAGGCAGGAGGACTGCTTGAGCCCGGGAGTTCAAGATCAGTCTGGGCAACATGGCAAGACCTTGTCTCTACAAATAATTTTAAAAATTAGCTGGGCGTGGTGGTGTATGCCTGTGGTCTAGGCTACTTGGTAGGCCAAAGTTAAAGGATCACTTGAGCCTGGGAGGTCGAGGCTGCAGTGAGCTGTGATCATGCCACTGCATTCCATCCTGGGTGACAGAGCAAGATCCCATCTCAAAAAAAAAAAAAAAGTGCTTCACTTCATTAATGTTTCTACATGCAATTTCAAGTGTATCATAAAAGAATGTAGGATTAATTCCTCAAACTAATAAGCTTATGTTTTAGTATGAGTCTTGGAAACTTATAAATTTGTAATTATCCAGGTTGTTGGAGGAAAAATGACTGACTTAGGACGACTTGGTGCTTTCATCACCAAAGTAAAGAAGGGTAGCCTAGCAGATGTAGTTGGACACCTAAGAGCAGGTAAAGTTTCTTTTTTTAATATTTAAACAGTGTGTTCTCCATGCATGAACATGAATTGGTGGTTTTCAATTTGGGGTTAGTTTTATATATACATACATACATACATGTATGTATGTATATATCAATTAAGTCACTAAATTTTAATGCACGAATAAAGACTTATTTCCTGATATAAATATTTACCAATTGCAATAATAAGTAACTCTACATCAGCAGCAATCTGGAGAGTAAGGGTAGGAATCTTCTTTTTATAAAAATAAATAGATGTAAAATATAGAAGAATTACTCATCTTTGTAGATGATGTCATAATGCTACAAAACTTGAAATCTAAAACAATTTATCTTTGAGAAAAAAATCTTATATCACTATTTAGTTATTTAGTTTATATTTTAAGCTACAGTAATTACCAAATTTTTTTCAGAGTGGTCCTAAAACACTTATTCAGGGGCAGTGTTTTTTATAAAGCATAATCATAATCACATTTCTTATACAGATTGTATAATAAAATATTAGTAAATTTAAAAGTGACTCATGTAGATGTGCTAATTCTTGGTATTTAGAAATTTATTTTTGTTGCCCTATAACTGAACATGACACAATGAAATTATTTAATATATGTAAATGTATCATATATTAAATAGTAACACATTTTAAAATCCATTTTTGGTAAATTGTTTGCTTTTCATTTTTGTTAAAATCACATTAAAATATTTCTTCCAGTTGACTTGACTGCAGAGCTTAGTAGAAATCTTTTGGTTAGATGGCTGTTTATGTATTTGCCAGACAACTATAAAGGAAACAGAGTTGGCTGAGCTGTAGAATTAAAGATTAATAACCCATAACACAAAGAGTACATTTCCAGGTGATATTCTTAACTTTTAAACCTTAAGTTTGTGATTCTTGAAAACTTTGGCAAAATATTCTAGGACTCTTAAAGACTTTTCAGTATATTTGTTTACCAGGATATCAGTTCAAAATCATTTTCATTTTTTTTTTAATTTGACAAGGACTTGCTGTGCAGGTGTATAGGAAGAAAACTCTAATCGGATTTTTCTCCATTTGCTATACAACTTTGAATATGTATAGAGATATGTTACACTGTTATTTCTTATGAAGGACCAGTTATGATTCAGTAGGAAAATAACTCAATCAGGGTTGACTCTGTCAGTAAACTGAGTGTGTGTTTGTCTAATGACTCAAAAATAAGCCTCAGAAAGTCTGAGAATCCCTTGTTGGCTAATGTAAAATAACTTTAACTACAGAAACCTGAGTTTGCAGACCACATTATAAACATTATATACACATTATAAACACATTATTATGTTTTAATAGGAAGTTACTTAGGAAGTAAAAGAAGAGGGGTGTTCTATATAAAATATCTGTTAGTGATTCATTTCATTTAACACCCTTATGAGCCAAGAGCCTGAGAAACTTAAATCTGAAATGTTAAAAGCTCAACTTAAAGAACTATAAAACAGACAAGTGTACTTTTCATTCTAAGCAATTTATGTATTCGAAGAAAGTGAAGTGATTTTGCAGACTCAATCATATATCCTATTTGATTTACATTATAATTTAGGAACTGACTAAATATTTGCATTTATGCAAATAGAATTATTTGCATATAAACATCCTTAGCCTATAAAACTACGGTGCAATCAATGTGACTTTTATTTAACATTTGCAATCTTGTTTTAATCTTGCAATATCTTTATCCAGTCCTGCCCCGCTTTAAGTCTGTGCACTCTACTGCTACTTCATTTAACCTTCTAAAACACAAAAATGACACTGACACTCTGTTTATTATGAAGATCCTTCGGTGTTTCCTAGTTATCATTTGTTCAAGTCAAAGCTCTGTAGCCTTGTCCTCTACTAACACTTTCAGCTGTCCAGGATGTTGGTCCACCTGTAGGTTCCTGTCAGGCTGTTTCCCACCTAGAAGATGTGGTCAATGCCTCTTGTCTACCTAGTTTTCTACCACTCCTGTTGAAGGCCTTTCCATCCTTCACAATTCATCTGAAGTTGCCTTAATTCTGAAGTGGTTCCTAATATCTCACCTGGAACAATAACTAACTACTATGTCCCTGGCACCACTTGACTCTATTTCTGGTCCTCAAATGAACTTCTATTGTTGCATATAAAATATTTTATTAGAGTTGTTTCTTTATCATTTCTTCATGACCAAATTTAAAGACAGATAAAATGTCATTTTCATCTTTGTACCCTCATTGTCTACATCCCTGCTTGATTATCCATACATAAATAATGTAAAAAAAGCATTATGGTTTAGGAATTATTAATCTGTAAATAAACGTATGTATTAACTTAATTTGATATTAAAAGTTATGCGTCCAGGTTGCCGCTTATAAAAAGGAGAGTTTTAAAATGCAGTGCTTTTGCAAACTGCTGGTTGCAGCTCATTATTGGGTAGTAAAATCAATTTAATCGTTTGCATCTACCACTTTAAAAAATTGAAGTAGAACATAATAGAATAGAAAAATCAGGGTAAGTATTGTTTCATAAATGTTTTTTAGTGTATATATATATGTATGTACTCATATAATATGAATATATATACACACGCACATATATACATGTTCATATTATATGTGTACAGGATCATGATGTCAACTTTGTTTCTTGGTCAAAATATTTTGAAAGCACTCTTAATATATTATAAATTTGTAATTATTATATTTCTTTTTTCTTTTTTTTTTTTTTTTTTTTTTACAGTGAAGTATATTCATTGCCTATTTGAAAAGCTTTTCTAGGTAACAGCTTAGGGCAGTCTATTAGAATTGGTGGCCGGGCACGGTGACTCACACCTGTAATCCCAGCACTTTGGGAGGCTGAGGTGGGTGCATCACCTGAGTTTAGGAGTTCAGGAGACCTGGCCAGCCTGGCCAACATGGTGAAACCCCGTCTCTACTAAAAATACAAAAATTAGCTGGGCGTGGTGGTGCATGCTTGTAATCCTAGCTACTCAGGAGGCTGAGGCAGGAGGATCGCTTGAACCTGGGAGGCGGAGGTTGCAGTGAGCCGAGATTGCGCCACTGCACTCTAGCCTGGGCAACAGGAGTGAAACTCCATCTCAAAAAAAAGAATTGGTGATTACCATAGTATTTTACCAAACCAAAGCAGCATCATGTACTTTTTGCATATTTACTTTTTACTCTTCAGTGAGCAAACAATTGGAAAAAATAATTACTTTAAAGTAATACTAGCAAAGCAATTTTCCTACTTTTATTTAAAAAATTCTAGGTATACATTGAAAAGATTTTATGCTTATACTTGGCTATAAAATGTATACTGATGATATTGATCCAGTATTTCAACACAAATTTACTTTGCTCATAAAATGTTCTAGACACTGAGAACAACAAAATAAGCATGAGCATCAACAAATTAAGACACCTCAGTGCATCGAGGTTGAAATATTTCAGCTGAGACTACCATTTTGAAGTGAAGAGTCTAAGGCAGAGAACCGTTTGGTACCTACAACTTCTTAAATATTTATGAAAATAAATACTTTTTTTCACGTGACCTATGGTGTGAAAACCCTAGTTAAAATAACAACTGTAAGTTGTTAGCCTGTATTTTTTTAATGCAACATCTTTTAACTCCCCTTGATTAATCTTAGAATATTTAACAACTATGTACTGTATTAATGTTTGGTTATTTTAAAGTGTGTTCTAATTGTACTTTAATGTTCACAATATAGATTATGTATAGTACATATGTGTTTTGAACATCTGGAAGTGGGTTGACTGTCATGCAACAGTTTTACATCTGCTTGCTTTGTAATTTTGCCATAGCTACCTGCGTTAACTGATGGGTGTGAATTCAAATCCTTTCATGCATTTTTATTCTGTTGTGCATCTGGTGAAGACACTGAAGCATGACTTGTAATTGGGAAATTCATGCTAACAAATATTAATTGCTCTTTCTTCCAAAAATAAAACAGGATTTATGCACAGTTTAATAAGAATCTTTCAAAAATAGAGCCGCCTACATTTATTATATGGAGGGCATGCTGCTAATTATTATTTTTTAATGTTTCCAAATAGGCTGTGCTAATTCCATCCCATAGCATGAGATTATTTTTATATGATTTCTGGTATATCTCAAAAGATAAAGGTAGTTTTGTATTGTACTGTTTCCAGTCACCAGTAATATTCTGGGGGAAAAAAAGAAAAACAAAAGAAAAGAAAAAGTGTTTAGAAGAACCATTTAGCTGACATTATATGGCAATCAATTTGCTTTTGAAAGCAGAGCCTAGACAATTAAACTATTTGTATATGTTTTGCATTTCTTTGTTAAAAAAGAGAAAAGATACGAAAAATAAACAGAATATATAAGGTAAAAAAATACCCTTTTTTTTAAATTCAAGGGGATGAAGTTCTAGAATGGAATGGTAAACCCCTGCCGGGAGCTACAAATGAAGAAGTTTACAACATTATTTTAGAATCAAAATCAGAACCTCAAGTTGAAATTATTGTTTCAAGGCCTATTGGGTAAGGCTAAAAAAACTTACTTCTTAAGTTTAGTAAATTACATGTATTAGTAGGGTTTTAAAAAGAATTTTATACATTCATACAGTACATGTTAACATGGATAGTTTTTGCATCAATTATGGGCATACATTTTTAGATTACTAAAAATTTCTTAATTTTTTAACTGGAATACTGAGTTTACTTCACTACATTTTAGAAGCTCCACACTTTAACAATTGTAATATCAAAAAATATCAATATGTACTTTTTGCAAGTGAAATATAAAGTAAAATATTTTCTTTTAATGGCAGATATATTTAAGTAATTCTAATTTAATAAGTAGTATTTCCTTTAAGAGAGGCACTAACAAACTCCTCTTCTTGTGATATTTAAAATATTAATGATTTCATATGTCTACATGAACTTTTTATTATTCTACGAAAGAATAAAATATTTTTTCTGTCTCTTTAACCATGAGTAATTTCAACTTTTATTTAAAATCAAGCAAGAAGTATTAAATATTTTAACATTTTAATTGGTCATAATGATATTTTTAAAACCTCAATTTTCAGTACAATTTAATTATCTATAGCCAGTGGGATATTTTCTATGTATGTATATAGATTTCCCCATATCGTTGCCTTTTTCTGGCAAACCCACATGGTCCAAAATAAATATTCATTTTGCCAGTCTATAATTTTTAAGGGCATTTTGAACTGTTTTATTATACTTGGCTTAATGTTTGAATGTGTTCTTGGAAATGATTCTTTTTTTCCCTATTCTCCAAAATTTAATACAGCCATTATTTCAAGGCTTTTTATGTTGAAAAAATGCTAACCTTTAATTTGTATCGGCCTCATGAATATATGTCAATGCAAAACATACAAGAAGATATAATTATCATAATTCTCAAAGAATGAAAATGTATGATCATATATCAAATAATATTAATATATAAAACTCTAAAATAAAGGCAAGCTTTTAACCAATTTTAACTGGTTATTATTAAGAGTGAACACTGAAGACATTTGCAAAAGTGTTGTACATTTCCATGTAGATTTTTAAAATAACAATACTACAATTTATGCTAGTTTTACATGACATATGTTCTAGTGCTGAGGTAAATATAAGGCTGGAAAAGAGGTAAGTAAATTGGAAAATGAATCAAAAGTATGAAAGCTAAAGTTTAGAATCAAGCATTGTGCACTTGCCAAATACTTTCAAATATATAGTGGTTTAAAAGTAAACAGCAAAAACAGAATTGATTCATGGTGACTTAAAAAAGTAACAGACAATTAAAGTAGACTGGAATAACATTATTTTTACTTTTTATGAAAATTAATTAAGAAGTAATCATCTGCACAGCCAAATTCTAAACTATTATAGATTATAGAATTGAAAGGAACATGGAATACAAAAATTATAATTTAAAGATTATAGAATTCAAAGGACATGGAATACAAAGATTATAATTGAATCAGAATCAAAGGTAGTATCAACTTTCTTTCTAGTGAATACATTATTGGAATCCTAGAAAAATAATTTTAGCTGCTTTTTTTTTTTTTAAAGACATGGTCTTGTTCTGTTACCCAGGCTGGAAAGCTATGTTTTAATAATAATATTTAATGTAGTCCTGTTTAACAACTATAATTAAAGGAAAAAGAAAATATTTATTCATAATGTAGTGGCATAGTGATTTCAGGAATCATTCTAAATATAACTTACAAGCACATTGATCAGTACACACTAAGAGGCATCAGCCATCTTGAGGTATTGACTTTTTTTGTGAACCCACCAAATACAATATCCTTGACCTTTATGCTTTTAATTGTTATTAAAACTACTCTACTACCTAACTGGTAAATAGAACTAATAAAGAATTCCACTGGATATGTAAACATCCAGTGGAAATTTATGCCTGAAAATATTGCTGAAGCAATTAACATAAATAAATTTTAACTAAAAGTCACTTTAACATATTTTCAACAACTTTGCCACCATTCTTTTTTCACAGGCATGTAAATTCCAAAGTTTGTACCTGGCTTTAGAACTTCAAATTCTGATTTCATAATGGACTATGAGGCTGATTTTTTAAGAAGTCATACTATCTAAAAATTGTTCCTGGATTTTTTTACAATTTAATTTTATTTGCTTGCATTAATTTAGAAGAAAGTAGCAGAATATATAGTTTTTTCTGTGTTTTGGGTATTGTAAATTAGTCTTTTAATTCATTCAAATGATTTTATATAAATGTATAGTCATACAAAAATATATAATAAAATTTATAAAATACACAGCATAGGCCAGATTGTCATTTTTAGGAAGTATAAATTATAGTTGGTTATGAGAATTACTTTGCACAAAATAGTCAAAATGACAACTGCAGAGAACAAACAGGGAAAACTCTTTTTGTTTTCATTCCCCCCAAAAGTGAAAAGAAAAAGTGAAGTCAGCTCATAAGGTAGGTGGTTAGAAATTCTTAAAAAATATGCTTATAATTTTGTTGGGACTAGCTAACTCCAGTCTGCTTTAATATGTCATGTTAATATTTGCATATTGTTAATCTTAAATTGATATTAAAACGTCTTTGGAAAATGAGAAGTAAAATAGTCCTATGCAGTATAATACCTAAACCAAGGTGATCTAGGGTTCTTAAGGTCATAGTGGGTAATGGATTAAGTTGAGATTATAGTACATATATTTCTTCAGAGTAATTTGTCAGTGTGGCAGGAATGGGTGGTCTCACAAGTCACTTTCTAACCATATGGTAAATAGTCATATATTTAGCTAACTTCAGTATAGAGATATGAATCTCTATAAAGGGTATATATGTGTATATATATTATATATTCACATATATAAAATAATTTGGCTTTTTTGTTGCAAGCTTGAACCATTTTTACTTTCCAAAGCAACTCATCCTTTTCATTTAACTTTGCCCATGATATTCACCACATCATTTTATTATTGAGATGTTCCCATCCCTTTCACTTGGTAAACTCTTTCAGATGTGTTTGTAAAGCATATTACTGATGTGTAAAATTTGTGTCATTTTGATTTCCTATAATTGAAGGAAAGTATTACCTTTAACATTTTTTATTTCCAAAACCTGCTGTTTTGGTAGTAAAAATATTGTGGTGATTTTAACCACAATATTAGTCTGATTGTTGTCATGTTAAAGTTTTGCTCTTAAATATGTAAAAACTTTTTTATTGCAGTTTTTTTTGTGTGGTGTTTGACATTCATGCACATTAGTAGTTGCCTTAATAGTAACTCCTATTCATTTCCACACCTGTAAAGACCCAGCAGGATTTTTCACATCACGTATAATGGGCTATGATTGCCTCAGGCAGGGTCATTTAACTAATGGGATTTTCACCATATCCTGTTTCTTTTAGTGACATTCCCCGGATTCCTGAGAGCTCCCACCCTCCACTGGAGTCCAGTGAGTATAAGGTTTCTTTGTTATTATAAAAGTATTGAACTAATTGAAAGTAAAGATTTCTAATTTTCTTTAGTTATTTGATATAATGAATTGGGGTTACTATACTAAAGATGTCTCCATTGGTACTAGATGTTGGCAATGATGGCAATAACTGGAAATCCAAAGAAGTCCTACTTCAGGATTTTTCTTCCTCTACTTTTTTATGTGATTAAAAAAAAAATCTTTACTGGGAATACTCTTCAGCATCATAACAGTCAGGACCCTTACAGAGCTTAATATATCAGGAATAGTTCTAGTTACATTAACATTTATTGTGATACTGGATTATTCAGTTTGATTGCTAAGCAGCTCAGTCTCAAGAGCAGCCTAGTGAAGAAACTAGGTAGACACTTTAACAAATAATTGTATTACTGAATAACAAAGTGTGTGGATTGATTTTGGAAGTGAATGGGTGGAGTAAACTTCATTAAACATAATAGGTCAAGAGATTGTGAAACCAGAGGGTTGAAAGAATTATCTATATGGGAATTTAAGTCGTTTCTGTATGACAGAAGATGATATTGTGTGCAATAAAATATAGACAATTAAGTTTTCAATGATAATGCAGAAGTGACCCAAATATTTACTTTGCAATGGATGGGAATTAAGTTAATACTTGGGCTTGATTCCCCAGGTGTTCTTACAGAACCCAAGTTAAAGAAATAGAAAATAAAAGGTGATTTAGGGGAAAACCAGTGATAGTGATTAGAAGGGAGAAGAAAATATGAAAGTAGGATAAACAAGGAAACAGACACTAGGTTATCATATAAAATGCATACCATCATGTTCTGCTAGAGGTGGACCCAGTTTTGGCTTTGAGCTTTCTGGTGACCAATACAAAGAGGGAAGTGGGACTAATTGCATAATTTATATTATTGATATGATTAAAAAATACACTGATTGCCATAATATTACAAACAAGCATTATTAGAAATAACAGTGTTCCTGTTCTGAGACTTAAGGAAAATGTATTTTAAATATACCTGGGAAAAGACACATAGTAACAATTTTATATAGCTGTTTTTTATCACTAAATGTTTTCGGAGGGCACAAAAGGATGACATGAGAATTAATTTGTACTTATAGAAAAAAATGTGCGGATTGCACATACTCAGGCAATGCTTCATAAACAGTATTTCTCAATGAAGCATTGGCTAAGTTTGAATGGTGGTGAGTTCAAGGTTGTACTTGCTGGATCAATAGCCTTCTATAAACACTCTGTATTGCTCTCTGTGTCAGGGTATACTTGGAACAGTGAAGAACTCCACCAAGTGGCTGAGAGGAGACCCAGCCTCCTCCATGTGAAGTTGAAACAAATCACTAGTGGTGAATTACTTGAAGCAGCATTTTCAGAGGTTCAGGATACTCATTTATAAGATCAAAACTAAGATAGATGGGGAGGCCGAGGTGGGCGGATCACCTGAGGTCAGGAGTTCGAGACCAGCCTCAACATGGAGAAACCCCGTCTCTACTAAAAATACAAAATTAGCCGGACGTGTTGGTGCATGCCTGTAATCCCAGCTACTCAGGAGGCTGAGGCAGAAGAATTGCTTGAACCTGCGAGGTGGAGGTTGCGGTGAGCCAAGATCATGCCATTGCACTCCAGCCTGGGCAACAAGAGCGAAACTCTGTCTCAAAAAAAAAAAAAAAAAAAACCTAAGATAGATGGTATATCTGATTTTAAAACAGTGGCAAAGTCTTGGCTTAGATGTGGCTTATAAATTATATTATGTATGCATTCATTTTAATTTCTCAGTAAGGACAGTTTATAATAGATGATCCATTAGCCAAGATAATTAGTGTTAACAGGCACTATCTTCCTTATCTCTGAAGCAGACCTTTACCCATATGTGAAGTCATGCAAGAGCCTGTGCAATACCATGCACTCCAGAAATGTAGATCAATTCTTTCCAGTTGAAATAAGCATAATACTTCGTTATATCATTCTTAATATTTTTTAAATAGACAACTAAAGACAATCTATCCCATTAAAAGTAGGTTCTGTTATCAGTGATAGTAATTATGGTTTTATACAAATAAAGGATGCATTTAACATTTTATTAAAAATATTTCCTACACTTACAAATATTACTTACTTTTTTTTCTCATTTTAGGTTCAAGTTCCTTTGAATCTCAGAAGATGGAAAGGCCTTCCATTTCTGTTATTTCTCCAACAAGTCCTGGAGCTCTAAAAGATGCCCCACAAGTCTTACCAGGGCAACTTTCTGTATGTATTTTTTGTACATGTTGGAGGCTGTTAGTATTTGCATACACTGTCTGAGTCTGTCTTTAAATATGTTCGCCTTTCCTTGAAGCCTGCAATAAATACATAGTCATTTAACACCATAATCTACTTCATTAGTTTTTCATGCATTTTTTATTATTCCTTTATTCACATATTTATTCAGAAATACTTACTGAGTGCTTGCAGTGTGCCAGATACTCTGAACATTAATTGATGAATGGTAACATAAGTAAATAAAGAGTTCATATTTTTTGTGTGCTATGTAAAAGTTTCTAAGGTAAATAATTGTTTACACATAATATTAGGAGTTCATACCCCATTTATGTAATAACCTTATGAGCCTAGAGCCTGAAGAGCCTAAATTTGGAATATTCTTTTTAACTTCCTAAGGCATTTGGCAAAACTCTTCGTTGCCACTGAAAGCTCTCTGAAAAAGCTACCATTTTCTCACTATTGCCTTATTATGTGATCTGGGGAAACCTGGAGTGAAGAAACTAGGGTTAAGGATAATGAAGAACCATATATTTGTAGATTATGATGGAAAATGTGATGTTGATATTATAATTTAAGGACTTCAAACTATTTGTTTCAAATTGTTACACAAATAATGACCTTTTGCTCCTCTGATAATGTGTGGATTTCTGTGGTTTGCCTTTGTGGTTTTCTCTTGATTTTAATGAGACAGAGAAGATATATGTAAGCTTATTGCTCAAGGGCTTTTATGGTTTTAACTTTTATTTTTAGTATATTGAATATCTTTGTAATACCCTTTGGGTTTATCTGCCGGCCATCTTTTTCTTCAGTGTATGTGTAAATCTCTCATATTCTCCACATATTTTGAAAGAGGATGGAAACCCATTCTGGTTCTGTGAAACCCCATCTTAGGTATCAATTGGGAATCAGAGAAATGGATTTACACAGATCCAGGTTTGAATTCTTAATCTGTTCCTTACCATGAAAAGCTAATCCTATGTTAAATTAGTTTATTTTGTTTTAATGACTCTCAAATATGTTCTAACATATACCTATTAACAGCATATGCTTACTTAAACATAAAATGAAAAGTAACTTCTAAATTAAAGGAAAAAAATTAAAGTTAACATTGTTAAAGTGTCATCACCACTGCCAGGGCAGATACTGTAATAATGACTGATAAAATTCCAATTCTTGTGAGTTTGACAATAGGATTTTAGTACGTTACTTCCCCATTATTCTTTGGTCTACTGTCATGAAATCTTGGTTAATAGAAATATCATTTGGCCTTCTTGTAGTTTGAAGATGTCATTTGTGTATTGTATCCTTAGTTTTTTCCTCCTTCTCTCATGAAAAATAACCTGTAATAGTTTAATTCTAAAAATTAAATGACGGCTTGGTGCAGTGGCTCACACCTTTAATCCCAGCACTTTGAGAGACTGAAGAGTTCAAGACTAGCCTGGCAACATAGCAAGACCCCCGATTCCACAAAAAATTTAAAAAACTGGCCAGACATGATGATGTACACCTGTGGTTCCATCTACCTGGGAGGCTGAACTGGGAGAATTGTTGGTTCCAGCAGTTTGAGGCTGCAGTGAGCTATGATCATGCCACTGCATTCCAGCCTGTGACAGAGTGAGACCATGTCTCTAAAAAATAAAAAAATAAGTGAGAAAAAATACCAGGAAATACTAAACGGTGCCTGTATAAAATAGGCCCACAGTAAATATGTTTTATGATCTCTTCTAATTCTTTGTATTTCTTATTCCTAATATCCAAACTCTTGTTTTTTTTAATTTTAACTACCTGTGACACCAGAGAAAGCATTTAGTCACGCTATAATAATTTAGACACATATAATCTTCAAACTCTTATTTTTAACATTTAAGAACAATAATAATGATTTTATGTCTCCCTCTTCCCTTAGTTTTTTGGAAAAATTATTATTAGTTTTATTTTATAAAATGATATGTGAGAATATACAGTAACACTGAAGGCCTGCCAGTTGTAGGTTATGTTTAAAGTACTCAAAGAGAAAAGTAAAGTTCTGTGTGTTTATGCTTTCAAATTGGTGTGTTTTTAGAAATATCTGTAATTGCATTATATTGTAATTCAAAATTTCCTCATTTAAATATAACTTGAATTTTGTTTTATGTAAAATTGTAATGCCTCATGATTTTTACAAATAATTCCTTTCCTCATTGCTCCTAGGTGAAGTTGTGGTATGATAAAGTGGGACACCAGCTGATTGTAAATGTTCTGCAAGCAACAGATCTACCTGCTAGAGTAGATGGACGTCCTCGAAATCCCTATGTAAAAATGTATTTTCTTCCAGATAGAAGGTAGTGAATAATTTTAGAAAAAAAAAATCTTAAAATCTGTACTAATAGAAAAGGTAGAATTTTCTCTTTTGGGATGTTTTTAAAAAATATAATAGATAATTCTGAGGAGATAAAAGTACATTATCTCTGAAAAAAGAAGTCCCTCAAGTGTTGGAAATTGTGTTGGAAATATTTGAAAATAATCTGTCAATTAAAAAAATCTATTACCTTGTTTATAGGTATATTAGTCTTTGATAGCGACACATCATTTAGAATGTACCTTTGTATGTGTCCCTATAATTACAATACTGCTTATATTGTAACTGAAGTTAGAATATTATTAAACTCTATTATCTTTTTATAGACTTTCCATGAGTTATTAGTTAAAATAATATAAATATCAATGGCAGTTTTACATGTAACTACAGTAGATGGCAGCATGTACTTGCTTTTTCATTTACAAAACATACTTATTTTTCAGTGATAAAAGTAAAAGGAGGACCAAAACAGTAAAGAAAATACTAGAACCAAAATGGAATCAAACTTTTGTCTATTCACATGTACATCGTAGAGATTTTAGAGAACGAATGTTAGAAATAACTGTGTGGGACCAACCAAGAGTGCAAGAAGAAGAAAGTGAATTTCTTGGAGAGGTGATGTATATTTTAAAAACTCAAGTCAAATAGTTAATAAAGTTTTGTGATATTTATTATGATTACTATTACATTATGTTTTGATAAAGGTACTTGATTTAATTTGAGAATTACCCTCTCAGATCCTCATAGAATTGGAGACAGCGCTTTTAGATGATGAACCGCATTGGTATAAACTTCAGACACATGATGAGTCTTCACTACCTCTGCCTCAGCCATCACCTTTCATGCCAAGGCGACATATTCATGGAGAAAGCTCTAGCAAAAAGCTACAAAGTAGGTTAAGGTCCTTTTAGTTGCCACAAAGTAATTATGCTGTAATGATCTAATTAGTGATTAATAATTCAAGATGTTTTTTTTAAATGTTTTATTAGAGATCAAAATACTGGAAAATTGTTCATCTTTATGAAGCAACTTGGCAAAACTGTTTCTACATTTTCACAATGAAAATAATGTAGATAGCATAGCAGAGTAATTGCAGAGCTGCAAGCCAAAAACCTCTGAATTAAAATTCTTGCACAGGGCCAATTGAGCTGTTGGTTATTGACTGATGGAATAATTTCTGTCATCACTGGTGAGTTGCCACCTGTGAAGTCTTAATAACTTTATAGTTCAAAGATTTTTTCTCCCCCCACCGAGAGAGAGTCTCACTCTGTTGCCCAGGCTGGAGTGCATTGGCGTGATCTCGGCTCACTGCAACCTGCACCTCCCGGGTTTAAGCAATTCTCCTGCCTCAGCCACTGGAGTAGCTAGGATTACAGAAGTGCGCCACCATGCCTGGCTAATTTATTTTTGTATATTTAGTAGAGATGGGGTTTCACCATTTTGGCCAGCCTGATCTTGAACTCCTGACCTTGTGATCCATCCGGCTCGGCCTCCCAAAGTGCTGGGATTACAGGTGTGAGCCACCATGCCCAGCCAGTTCATAGATATTTTAATAGTTATTCATAAGAAATGTTGTTTAAAATATTAGAAGGTATGTTTATTGCTATTCATCTAGTGATTGGGAAAAGCTATTTTTTTCTGTACTTATTGAGTAATTTTTGTGTCATAACTACATTTCTAAGTTAACAGCTGAAAGAAGCCTCATTTTGGTAATCTGGAACTAAATTATTTTTCTCACATAATTAAATATTTCATGTTGATGCTTCCCTGATCAGTAATTTCCTCAAAGTTAATGTTTAATGAAGTATAATGACTAATTTGGGGAGCTAAACATAAATATTTTATAAAGGGCCCTGATGTTTTTTCATTAATATAGGCTGAATAGAGCTCCAGCCAAGAAATGTCTCTGAACCTTTCCACTCAGCCCTATTCTCTCTGAACTGCAGAGGAAAGCACTTAATTGTGTAGAAAACAATGTACTGTATATACTGTGCTGAAGGCTTTTAGTATAATATTTTAATTAAAGAATTAATCTGAAAATCTTATTCTGTGAAGTCCCCTTGTTTCTATATGTCTTTGGTGTAATGAGGAAAAAAATACTGATAAAATGTTATCCTTAGAGAACAAACATTTCTTTTAAAATTAGCTCAGTGTTTACTGTATTAGTCTTCATAAGTTTTCAGTAATAATGCAATTCACTTTTTAAAAAAAGTTTGACAGTGCTCTTTACGTTTCATAAACCAACCAGACACAGAAGTATCTCTTTGCCTTACTGTTGTGCAGGATCTCAGCGAATCAGTGATAGTGACATCTCAGATTATGAGGTTGATGATGGTATTGGCGTAGTTCCTCCAGGTGCGTGGGTGAGGAGCATGACCCTGCTTCACTGTGCTGCTTTGCTTGTTTTCTCTGTCAGCTTCCGGACCTCTTTAGGATACTAAACTGAAGATTTATAGCACAGAGAAATCAGTATTATATTATTCCATGGTGACTTACATTTCAAATTATTAAGAAAGTTTTAAATGGACTAGTCTCTACTAATTAGCATTCCCATAGTGAGGTTCTTCCGTAGAAACATGTCTAACTAGTGAAACAAATCATTATTTCACAATGCTCTGAGCGTAAGTGAAAATACGAATTTTATTTTGAAAAGATGGGGTTATTAAATAAAAATTCCATTTTTCTGTGTTTTATATTTGCATTTCTATGATTTTCCTTCCACCATTTCTGAAAATAATGTAGCCCTCCATGGAATATACTGAGAAAGGTGCATGGCGGGGTTTAAAATTGCATGTGGCATGGCTGTAACTTTTAAAGCTTTTGTGATGTGTTCCCACTGATTATACCTAGAATGTGTGTATATGTTTTAATACAATAATATGTTTAAGAAAGATTAAGTATTAATTTGAAGTGAACATCTCTTTGTCATTGTGTAAGTTAGTAAAACTTTTGTGATGTTGTAGGGTTTAAATGTTTCTCATCTGACTTCTGTCAGAAAAGTGTAAAATCAAGTGGTAAAGACTTACTTTCTTGGCACTAATTCTATACTTTTTAAAAATTTACTAATGAGAGGAGAAGTAAATATGCAAATAAGAAGAAATGAAAGAGACAGTCTTAAAATGTATAAATATGAATTTTAAAGGCAGTTTTTAAAGACAGTATATATATATATGCCCTTGATATATATGCCCTTTATTTACATAATTTCTCAGATGGCAGTGTACTTAATTTGAGGGCAATGGTTTTGCTCAAATTGGTAGATTCTACGATACTAACTTCACAGTTTGGAGAGATGCATACAACTATTAAAACTGGGAGAAAATTATGGAGAGTTCTCTAAAATCAGGTTTCATTTGTTCCCTATAATTCAGAGAATATATGGTATTTATTTATTTATTTATTTATTTGAGACGGAGTCTCACTCTGCTGCTAGGCTGGAGTACAGTGGCACAATCTCAGCTCACTGCACCCTCCACCTCCCAGGTTCGAGTGATTCTCCTGCCTCAGCCTCCTGAGTAGCTGGGACTACAGGTGTGCACCACCATGTACAGCTAATTTTTATATTTTTAGTAGAGACTGGATTTCACCGTGTTGGCCAGGATGGTCTTGTTCTCTTGACCTCATGATCCGCCCACCTCGGCCTCCCAAAGTGCTGGGATTACAGGTGTGAGCCACCATGCCTGGCCAAAAATGTAGTATTTAATCACTGTGTGAAAGTAGAAAATATTGTTAAATTTATTATTATAAATCTAGTGCTGTGAAAATCTATATACTTATATATTAACCTTTGATGTCAGTGTATCAGTGAGAGATTTAGATCATACTGGAGAGAAATTCACTTTTGCTCTCTGTTTTTATTTCTTAGAAGGCCATAGTAATTACACACATTCTCAACAGAAAGGTTCACACAAAATGTAACATCATATTAGTTTGTCATGAAATTCAAAGAGTAAAGTGATTATAAATTTAAATTCATTTGGGATATTCAAATAGGAATTAGATTATACCTGGTAGAAAAATCATCACCTCTAACAGGAATCTTAACTATTAGTCAGCCTTAATGTTGTCATTACCAATTTATCTAAATAGAATTTGCTTCGGTGAGTGGTTCCCAAATTTCATTCACCTGAAATTTCATATTTTTAGTTATGAGACAGGGAAGTAAATGATGAATAAATAAATGGCCAATTAAATAAATGCTTGCACAAATGATGAGTTTCTTCCTCTTTCTCTGAGAGAGCAACATGGATAACGCCTTGTGAGAAGTCAAAGTGAGTTATGGAATCCACTAGAGATGGGATTAGTGCTTGAGTACCACCAAGGAGCACTGAATTCTAAATATACTTATATTCCATACTGAAATATACCATGTCCCTCAAAGTGTTTGCAAACATGCATAATCTCTGTTATCATACAAAGCAATATTTTTCAAATAATATTGTTCATTTTTATTTAGCATTTAAAAATGTAATGAGTCAAACTTTAATAGAATATGACTAGTAACTTATAAAACTGATAAGTAATATTTTATGTTTCAAAGATCTCCTCATAAATTAAAGGAGAGCATGTAATTCATTAATATTTTCAGATATACTCTTCATTGATCCATTGTAATTATGTGGTAGTATTTGTATGGCAAATATAACTAGTCACATAGTAACATGCAATACATTTTAAATGAAGAGGAAAAATGAGTCAGTAAAATAAGGGCAAGAAGCTAAAATAAAGTGAGGTGATAAGTTAGCACAGTGCATTCTTATGTACTTTTAGATGTTGGTTACAAATTTGCGTCTACGTTTCCTAGCATCCAATATGAAGAAAAAATTTGTTTAGATATGGAAGTCGTCTTCTATATATGTTTAATGTACTCAAGGAAGTTCCTGGTTGTTTATTATCTAGAGAAGCTCAAAAGCTCTGTACAAAATGTTCTACTACAGCCAAAACTTAAACTTCCTAATGCCTTGGCTTTTCTAGAACACGAAATTCTCTGTTTTTATTTGATGTGTTTACTATCTTTTTCCAGTTAGGGAAATGTAGCAGGTTTTCAGCAGTTGAGACTGCCAGAGCCACATTTTATTAACTTTGTAGTTATAGCCTTATTGTTATTTAAAGTAAATAATTTTAGCTAGTTAAGAAGAATAAAAATAACCATATACAGAATGCCCTCATCTGAGGTGAGGAATCTAGCAACTTCAACCAGAAAATGAGAAAAAAATTCTCTAATCTCTAACCCTGAGTCAACTAAAACACTGGGATTACCATAAAATAGTTTCATCCCAGCCGGGCACGGTGGCTCACGCCTGTAATCCCAGCACTTTGGGAGGCCAAGGTGGGCAGATCACAAAGTCAGGAGTTCGAGACCAGCCTGCCCAATGTGGTGAAATTTCATCTCTACTAAAAGTACAAAAATTAGCTGGGCCTGGTGGCGCACGCCTGTAATCCTATCTATTCAGGAGGCTGAGGCAGGAGAATCACTTCAACACGAGAGGCAGAGGTTGCAGTGAGCCAAGGTCATCCAGCCTGGGTGACAGAGCGAGACTCCATCTGAAAAAAAAAAAAAAAAAAAAAATTTAATCCCAGTCATGGTTCTGAAGATAGAGTGCATGTTGTCAACAATAACGTAAACATAATGTGAAGAAAATCAAATTTTTTGTAAAAAGCAACTATAAATGTAAAAAGCAAAGAACTTTTTCTTTGTAAAATGCAAAGAACTATAAATGTATATTTATTTAAGGTCATTCACTATAGAGTCAAATGTTAAAACTTTGAATATTATAGCATATGTTATATTCAAAATGACTTTGAGTCACCAAAATAGTACACATTGCCGTCAGTATACTTTTTGAATTCAGAACTTTCTAAGTTACATTAAAAGTTGTTAATATGTTAAAAGTTTCAAGATTTCACTTGTTTCCTTAAAGTCCCTTCTTAAAAGGATAAAAGAGGCATTAATTTCTATATAACCACAAAGAATCCAGGAAACAATTATATACCTTTTACAGCAAGATGCCAAAATTCTCTAAAATTTATTCTGTAATAATTAATTATACAAAATCTATTTATATACCTTGAATACTCACTTAAATCTCGAAATAGGGCTCATAAGTCAATATTGGCCTTCCATAATTATTGTGTAATTGATACCAGATAGCAATTAAAAATGTTTAAGTAATTCAGACTATGGATTAATTGTCTTTATAAATAGTCACCCTTTTTTTTTTACAATGAGCTATGTATTAATAGTGTATTCACTACATGTTAACTTAGTTGGTCTCTTTCTAGCCTTAATATTATAATTTCTAGTCTTAAAATTACAATATAATATTACATCTGAATAACAGACTTTTTATACAAAACTCAATAGCTTAGTTGATATTTTGATAAGAAAAAATTAAAGTATTTCAAATTATAAATTATACCATTTATGAATATTAAACATGTTTTTATAGAGTGACAAAATGTTTGTATTTCTTTAGTCTGAATATTGTCAAAGTACACTTAATGAAATGTTTGAAGTCCCTTAAAATTCGGCATAAGATCATGGATTCACAATATATAAACTGCTAGGGACTATTAGCCTGCCTTTAATCATGATGTTTCATAACATATTTTTGAGATAATGTGAGAGTTGTCAAGTAAAAAATGAACAACAGTTTTAGCTTCCCAGTTAAATTTAACATATTTATGGTTTATGTATGTTTTATGTAGTTGTAAATATAGTTTTTTTTTTTACTTTGGCCACATAATTTTTTTATTTTCCTTATGATAATAAAAAACAGTTACCCTTGTGAAAAAATTTTAAACTCTAAACTCTTCTTTTGGTTTTGAGATTACTGTCTTATCTTAACTAAATCGCAGACAATATAAACCTTTTTACTTCAGGGAAAAAGTGACTGTTATAATTTATTTTAAATTGCAATATGTTAACTATATTATCTTAGTTATGCTAATTAAAATAATTATGGAGTAGTTTCAGATGTGTAAGGCAGATTTGGCGATTGGTTCTTCAGAAGGGTGCATTTTCTCTACATTATTGTGATAGTCATCTTCAGTCATATACTACATTTGAAAATTGCAGTATTATTTGTGGTTTGCAAAATTCACAATGAGTATAATGGTGAAGATCTGCTACTCTTCTTTGTTAATTAAAACTGGAACAATATATTTGTTTTCTTATTAAAGAGGCCACCTGCAATCCAACTAAAATAATTTATTCTCTAGAATAAAAATCGAAATGAAGAATTTATTTAAATTTAAAGAGACTCCAAACTTCTAAGCATTGACTTGTATATTAACTATAGTTTCATGTCAAGCACTTCATTTGTGTTGCTAAGTCACGAACTCGTTCATTATTTAAATTGAAACAGTATCCCAACTCATCGTAATGTCTGAGGCATCAACTGTCATATTCATATTATTATCTCCATGGTTCCTTTGAGCAAAACTGTAACCTGTTTCAATGCATGTATATGTTACACTCTGTGTAGGTATACTTAATATTTTTGAAGATAAGGCTATTAATACCGATTGCATGACATTTATTCTTCATAGATCAATGGCTGCTTTAGAATAATTTTATATTCCTGTGTTAATGTTTGCATTATAGAAGAATACTGACTAAATTTTTTCTGTGTGTACTTTTGCCAGTAGGCTATAGGTCTAGTGCTAGAGAAAGTAAATCTACAACATTAACTGTGCCAGAACAGCAAAGAACAACTCATCACCGCTCACGTTCAGTATCTCCTCATCGCGGCAATGATCAGGGAAAGCCGCGTTCACGTTTACCAAATGTGCCATTACAGAGGTAGGCTTTGAAATGGGCTCAGTGTCCCTGACAGTACATTTTTATTATAATGCAGTGTAAATTGCTGCAAAACTAACTGAAATGAAAAAATAGTTTGGTCAAATTATTTTTTTCAGAATTAATTGTAGGCAAAATTTTTTTTATTCTTTATCCAACCTATGTGGCAGTCTGTTGTTTAATCTGAAGAAATTTCCCAGGGAGCAGAAGTTGTTTATGTCCCAGGAATAGTTTTTGAATAATTGTCTTGTATTCTCTTTGCTAGTTTTCTTTCTTGTTAGAAAAAAATGGTAACAAATCAGAATTGTGGAGAGAAGTGGCGAAGAGGATAAGGTTAAGAGACAGAATGGACTTTGAAGAGATTTAGGATTGTCTCTTTGAAGCACTTTAAATGCTTGGAAACATAAATAAAACATATAGTGCTCTACTTCATTTTACTCTGATATACACTCCTGAAATTGTAATTAATTATGCCGATAAAAATTGATTTTGATAGAAGTATGAAAGAAGGTTGGAGAAATGCAGCCACAGGCAAAAACTCATAGAAAACAAATACCCTTAACTCATTGATAAGTAGGTTTTGATTATGATGCAAATACTTTTCAGTGTTTATTTGCATATTACTCTCAGTTCCTTCACTTTAGTCTGTCTGCCTGTTTTGGGAAGATGATACAATTTGACACATAAGAATTTTGTAATCATTTTAGGAGTTTAGATGAAATTCATCCAACAAGAAGGTCACGTTCTCCAACCAGACACCATGATGCCTCCCGAAGTCCAGTTGATCATAGAACCAGAGATGTGGATAGTCAGTATTTATCAGAACAAGACAGGTATTTGTCAAAATTATGATCTCAACGTTATGAATTTTTTGTTCTGTTTTAATATATACAGATATTGTGGCATAGCACATTAGAGAGTAAAAGTATTTATCACTCAAAAATGAGCTGCTCTCAAGCAACAACTGTTAACATATTGTAATAGAAATGTAACTCTAGGAAATATTTGGCTAATATTATATTGTTATAATTATCCAATTTCTTTTACAAAATCAGAATTTATGCTTAGACAGCTTTAAAGGTACAGCTTGTTGACTTAGATATTGACCTAAATTATAGAAGGGAGTCTGCATAAGGAGTTTTCAAATATTTTATTTATTGTGGGTCACAATATTTGAGGTATGAAGTAATCATAAAAATTATGTTATTTATATAATTTAAAACATTGTGGATACATGCCATTTGAAAGTTAATTGCAGAGTTTCTATGAGAACTTCAATAATAATGTTTCTGTTATATACTTCTTTTCATAAAATCTCTTTCTAGAAAATGTCTATAGAATACAATTATTGAGATGGGTTCTTATGGGGATATGTGCTTAGATTTAATTCTGCATTTGTGAACTAATATTTCACGGAAATAATTACTATAAGTCTACATTATGAATCTGTTGCTCTGCGTGCCCACAGACTTTCTTCTTGAAGTAACCATATACCTGTACAATTAGCCTGATTATAAGCTCAGGATCTGATTTAAGGTTTTATAATACCCACCTTGTTGAATATTCTCTTCTGGCTTTTTAAAATGGAGAAACTTTCAGTGAGGAGAAGGGTCATGATAGTGGTGCTAAATAATTTTTCGCCATGGAGTCAAGGACACAAAGTAGAACTTCTTAACCTACCTAATTGCCATCCTACTGTGGAAAGTAGCGTTGTGACCTTCAAGAATGGAGTCACAATAGGTACTAGGATGAAGAGCTGCTCTGAGGAATAGGATTCCAGACATCTCAGCTTGAGTTGAATGAGGGCTATTTTATCAACATTCATTTGGGCCACCATGAATTTAGGTGAGGAGGGAAAACACAGGGCTACTTGACCAGGGCAGTCAATATAGTGAAATTAATTTGGATATAGATAAAGTATTAATTGTAAAATAAAAATTCTAATCAATTATATTGTTAGTTGGTTAATAAGAAACATAATATGGTATTGCATTTTCAGTGGCTATAAAAGCCAAGAAAACTATCACGCTTTAATTTGTTATAAAGTTATAAAAATGTTCAGAATTCCCATTAGTATCAGGCCAAATTTATAGTATTAAAAAAATACTCAGTTGTCTATAATTGGAAACAGAGTCCTATATCTTATTTGAGGAATATTTAATTTTGTTTTGTTTTAATATTCTATAAAATCATTTTGAAATACAATGGCAAATCAGCAACAGCTAGGACTTCAACCATAATATTTGTACTTTATTGTTTAAATTTTTTAAATGCTTTTATGTTTATTTTTGTTTAACCTCTCAAGCAAATATGCTAGTGCAGACAATCTGGTTTCTTCCCTTTTCATGTTTTCATTGGCATACCATTGGCATAACCCATGTCTCATAATTTATCTGTTTCACTCACCACCCATCCTGTCTGTGCAGTGAGCTTCTTATGCTGCCCAGAGCAAAACGAGGACGAAGTGCAGAATGCCTACATACTACCAGGTAAATACAGGGATTTGGTAATGGTGACTGTGTGTGATGACTCTCTTTCCATTCTATTATTCTTCCGTCTCTCCCTTAGTGGTATTATTACAAGCAAGTCAAATAAATTTCCCAAGTATTTGAAATTTGTTTTGTTTTATATTGAGGTTATGGAAAAGGTTCCAAATATATTTCAGTTCCGATTCAGGCTGACTGCTTTGCCATCTGTAGATTCAAAAATCCAGAGACTAGTGGGCCTCTCTGGGACTGTTTGCGTTCCTAAAACTGAGGAACCAGTTTCTGCAATTAAAATTCTAAATGCTCACTGTGAGTGCCCCCAACTTTCCCACACATATTCCTGTCTAGTCACAAGAGGTCTAATCTGTGTATGGCAGTGTCATTGTTTCATAATTGTAAGTTTGCTCTGTTTTAGCCTTTTTTAATTTCCTTTTAGAATTTATTGTTGTTTATATTCTGTTTGCTTTTGATAAAATCTTTAACAGTTCACTTTTAATGGCTGAGCTTCAGCTTCTTTCTTGATGAAAAGTGAAGATATTCAACCTGATCTTAACTATCCTAGCCCACCAGTTGTCAGAAATGCTGCAGTACAAACTTTCCCACAAAGGCATATAACAGTATGAATGCCTCTTTAGAAGCGACAAAAGATATAATTTTTGCTTCTAAATTGGAGCTTAGAGCCTGATGCTTTATGTTAATCTCATTACATCTTTAATTTCATATCCAAGTAAAACTTCTTACAGATTACTCATGGAACATATTCTATAAATACTTAATGTATATTTGAAATGAATATAGAAGTTAAGGAAGTAGTAAGTCAGTGAAACAAACTAACACAAAATAATCGAACTCAAATATTTTAGCCAATAAAAAGCAAGAGGAAAGAGAAAGAAAGAGGTATTACCGCAGTACTTGGGATGCAAAGACAAATGCATGATTTATTATGTCTGTGTGTAATATGTAGTTCTGCCCAATAATGCAAACAAAATTGGGCTAATAAAAATTGTTTGAACTTTTTACAGTCTGAAGTTATACTACTCATAACTACTGCCATGTTTGCTTGGAGTGCCACAGGAAAAAATCGAGGAAATATTAGTTCTGCTTGCTGAGAAAAAAATGTAAAATCATGCATATTGTAAAAACCTACTGAAGGTCAAAGCATGAACTATCCAGGTTTATTATTACTTGTTCTTGACAAACAGTTTCTTAAAATAATGGTTTATTTACTAATTCTGAAAGTTTTCTCACACTCCTCTTGATGTGACTAAAGCTTCAAAAGAAATAAAAAACATGCACACAAAACAAACACAAAAAAAATCCTTATATTTTAAGCTACTTAGTGTGTGCCTGGCACTCAGTGTGTGAATATTTCTAGGATACTCACACCAGTGGTCTAAATATAATAACTAAAAATATTTTTCTTTCCCTTATTTTGTACTTGTAAAATATTATATACTTATATAATATTATATAATAGTTGCATCATTTTATATAATCTTATACTTAAGATTGGTGCTTTGCTAATAATTCTGAGCTCCACAAGTCCTATTTAATAGTCTCTGTATGTTGACTTTGCATTTCCTGATTTAAGCAAATAATCATATTTGTATGTATACAATTTAAAAATAAATGAGTATTCAGCGAGGCAGATAACATCCTGTGGACAGGTACTACGACAATAAGATAGGGAGTGGAAGGAAGCTGAGCTAGCCAAATGTGTCAGTGCGAAACATATGTCACCAGTGTCTTTTCTCCTTCCTGTCTTTCATTCTCTAATGTGTAATGCTAAAAGTATGGAGATAGAGACAACATGAGTTCAAAAATACGTGCATGTATGTATATATAATCTCTTCTGTGTTTATATTCATGTATTTATAAAAACATTAATTTATATCTGTATAAAAATGAATGTCAAAATGTGTACATATAAATAACCACAACTTTATATGGATATATCAATAATATAGTTTGGTTTCATATAAACTATGGACACTTATTATTTCTATAACTATCCATGGCTAAAATCTAAAGCTTTCAAAATACATCATACCATGTTCACTTAGGACTTATAAAAATAAAATCTGAGGATTTACTAGTCTCTAGTAAACATAAGGAAAATAACATTTATTTAATAACAAGCACAGTGTTAAATATTTAATGTACTTTGTCAATTTCCTGACAATAATTATATGTTATGAATATTATTATCCTGATTTTAGAGATGAGGAAAAAAGCTACGAAAGTTTATTTTACGACTAATAGAGTAAGGATTCAAAATCAGATCTATTTGATATCTTCTGTTTAACTAGTTTTTCCAAAAATATGAAAACTTGTCCTATGAGATGTTTCACCAATAAGAGTTTTTGTGAGTCAAATACATTTTGGAAACTTTGCAACTGAAAGTGTCTACCTTGAAATTTAATACACACAGCATATTAAAGTCATGTTCTAAAGAAATCTGTATGTTTAGTTTCTTTTCTCCCAAATTGTTTAATTTCCCAACCTTTTTTTAGTAAAACGTGTCTCGAGGAAGTGGTAGTATAGAGAAAATGCTATAGTTGCCTTACTGTATCCTACTGTGTCCTAAATATTGTGTACATGTTACCACACACCCCTGTTAAGTGGAAGTTATTTCCCACATTTTGTGGATGTAGAAACAGGCTTGGAGACTTAATCGAATTACCCAGGTCACAGCCAATAAGTGGCAAAGCCAAGGCAGGAACTTGAACATTCAGACTATAAATTTTGTGCTATTTTCTAGCTGTTTCCCATTCTATGTTGATCCCATTCTTGAAAAAAAAATCACTTTTGAAGCAATGCTTAGAAAAGTTTTATAGCAACCTATTACTAAAGATATTTGCCTGAGGTTAGGAGTTGAAAAGAAGAGTCGACTGTCTAGAAAGGAGGCTAAATCCTTAGTTTCAGTAAAATTTGTCCTCAACTTGTACTTAATAAGGAGGAAGCTGAAGCGGGCAGATCACTTGAGGTCAGGAGTTTGAGACCAGTGTGGCCAACATGGTGAAACCCCGTCTCTACTAAAACACACACACACACACACACACACACACACACACACAAATTAGGTGGGCATGGTGGCAGGTGCTTGTAATCCCAGCTACTTGGGAGGCTGAGAGAGGAGATTTGCTTGAACCCAGGAGGCAGAGGTTGCAGTGAGCCAAGATCACACCATTGCACTCCAGCCTAGATAACAAGAGTGAGACTCTGTCTCAAAAAAGAAAAGAAAAGAAAATGGCATTTTAGTTCATTTTTTAATTGAAGTTTTAAGGGATTTCCTTTGATTTGATCATTAATATAAACATGATTAAACCAGTGAGGTGTTTGATGTTTAGGAAGCCTTTGATAAATGTTTATTCCCTTCCCTCTTGATTATGCTTTACTGCTAGCTGAGATAGATGATGGATTTTCATAATTAGTAATTAAATTTATAGAACATTATTAAATTATCAAAAAAAATATGGCTGGACCTAGTTTGTCCTTCATGGCATAGACAGTCCAGAAACCCTCACAGATTTTAAAGGAATCAGATGCCGTTGGGCCAATTTTCTGCCAATTCAAAATCCATATTCTGGTTTGCATCTAATGCCTATCTTACCCTACTTCCAAAGGAAAATTTCCTGTGGTTGGGTCTGGATCCAGACAGAAGCTGATAAGTAGAAAGAGCTTGCTCCTTTGCAATCACTTCTTGGCCTTTTTCTGTTTCCTTTTTTTTTGCTGCAGTCTGGTACTATGACCAGCTTTGTCCCTGGAATGCTAGTCAACACTTTGTTTTGTTTTAGAACATTAAAATTCTTTTAGTCATATTGTAACTCTAAAATTATATAAATTAGTTGATTTTTACTTTTAGCTATGAGTTTACTTTCGTAGAAGTAGGCATAATATTAAATCAGAGATTAAGTAGCACATTTACATATTGATCAATGATAATTCATAGAGTTTGGTTAGCAGGTATTTTTCTAATTCAGATAATTAAATAATAATTTTGAGTATTTTATGAAGTCAAGTGTCTATGATTTCATATTTTAATAATTGTAGTCTTCCCTTCAAATAGTTATTGTGGTTCTTTTGAGAAAAAAATGACCAAAGATTTATCTATATAGCTTTATAGGCCTCCTACTTTCTGAATATCTTAATAAAATTGGTTTCATATATATTTTTCTGTTTCCTGCGTGTTTGTGTTGCTACGTTCCAGACATCTTGTTAGGCACTATAAAACATTACCTCCCAAGATGCCTTTATTACAGAGCAGTTCTCACTGGAATATTTACAGGTAAGAGCCCTAACAGTGAGTCCCACCCAGTTATAAAGTAATTCCTAATCCCTTGCCTACTAAAAATAGAAAATTCACATTCTAATAAAATATTAAATAGGAAATTTACATTCTAATAAAATATTCTTTTGAAATAATTATACAGTGAGAGACATTAAATTAATGATATCTAAAATCGTTTTAACTATAAAACTTAGTACTAGAATAATTCTCTGAATGACATCTACTAACTCAAATGTCAGAATTCTAGTTGCTTTGTCATTTGTATATTGTTGTACTTGTTGATTTTAATTATAATTTATTTTATTTTATTTTTGTGTAATTTTAATTTGTGGAGCTCAATTCTGCCTGCACATACTAAGACCAAATCAGTGACTAGACAGGACATTTCCCTTCATCATGAATGCTTTAACTCAACAGTATTGAGATTTACTGATGAAATACTGGTTAGGTAAGAACATTTGGAAGTGATATCTTCCGTTTCCCTTGTTTATTGTTGTGAACCAAAAAAGTTGAGTTGTAAAATTATTTCTCCTCTGATGTCCTTCATTTTGTTTTGGTGTGGCATCTGTTCCTGGTAATGAAATTTTAGGCATTTTGTTTTAGTGCTTTCTGTATCCAGTTTTTTTCATAAGTAGGTGTGATTTAGTCTCATTTTTCAGTCTGAGACACTTTTAAAAATTATGCAAAGCAATTTAAGCATAATCTTTGTTTAGCTTCATTTTCTAAACAAAATTTTACACTGTCATTCTGTCAACTCTCTCACACCCTTATGAACTGAATCCCAGTGATTCTACATTTTGTGTAAAGGGGACATTATTTTATGCTTTACTCTCTAACATGGTCTTCCTTTCTTTGTTTTCTCTGTCTTTCTCTTCTACCACTGGATGCAATGCACTGGCACTAGTGAACTGCAGCCCTTTCTTGACAGGGCTAGGAGTGCTAGTACCAACTGCTTGAGACCAGATACTAGTTTGCATTCACCAGAACGAGAAAGGTATAAAATAAAGACTTTCTTAATTTCTTATCATTTGTACTAGTGATTTTTTTCAGTCACTTTGTTTTGTTTCATGACAGCCTTACAGGTTTATTCATTCATGTATACTTTGCTAACTGTCTACATTTCCCCTTCCCTTATTATACATGTCTATTTAGAGATATGCGTATGTGGATAAACCCAAGGGTACACATACACATATTTCTATGAATGTTGTTGCAAATGGCGTGGTGTAATTTGTAACTGCTTCTGGCTGCTGCTTTTCCCCTTTTGTTGCTGTTCAGTCATTTTATTGACTATTCAGGAAACCTTCAGTATGCTGATAATGTTATAAGGTCCAGTGAATTATCCGAAGGGGAGGATCACTTTCCTCTTAGTACCACTGATAAATAGTATTTATAGGTTTAACAACAATCTTCTATAAACTCATAACAGGAAGTATTTTTAAATAGAATACTTCCTTTGTATATCTACATTCATTTTTAATCAATCTACTCTTTGATATAATGTTTTACCTTAAATTATACTTTGACAACAAAAAATGATGTTATTCATAAATTTCCTGATGCCTAACAAAAAGAAATACATATATATGTACACAGACAATTTTGCTTAAAACTTTAATTAATAAATTCTGATATATTCATTGATGTTGTGTTACACTATCTCCTAGCTGTAAGCATCTAATTTTTCCACTGTGATGGAACTCTTTTAATAGACTTAGTTATAATTTTAATAGACTTAGTTATAATTGATAGTCTTGTTTATAATGGCTATCTCTTTTTAATTAGAAGTCATTCAGAAGACATTTGCATACTACCTCTTTACAAATCCTGAAGAAAAATATTTAGTTGTACTAATGTAACCCGCTCCTCCTTCTTAGTAGGCTACTTAAAGCTTTTCTTTAGGTAACTTTCTAATCTGAGTCTATTCATTTATTTATGAGATATTTATTTCTGGAATTGAACAATAGGTACACGTGTGTATATACCTTGTTTTAGTGCCTTAAGAATTTACTTTTAAATTGTGTATTCTTTTACATTTGTAAACTGTGTAATAGAAAAAAGTGAAATTTAATTTCTGTCTTGTATCCCTTTACTTTTGTAATATAAATTTTAGTTGAAAGGACTATAGAGTCTCTAAAATCATAATTGGAATTGTTTTATCATTCTCTTTAGTCAAATATAACCCCTTCCCCAAATAATTTCAAGAGTAGCAAGAAAATTTTAAAATATGTTTAGTTATTATTTTCTTATATGTTTCTGGTTAGTAGTAAAACAAGGATAGAAATTCTCAAGTTAGTGGAATCTTCTGACCATAGCAGCCTGACATTTTTAATATTACCCATATCAGTGCCATCTGATAGAAACATAATGCAAGCTGATACTTTAATATTTCGTAGTAGCCATACTAAAAGGATTAAGTTAATTTTAATTTTTAACCCTGTATATTCAAAATATAATTTTCACATGTCATTATTATACAAACTATTAGATATTTTGCACTCCCTTTTTTACAGCATAATAAGCCATAGATACTAAAGATAGTTTGTACTTGCACCACTCCCACTTTGGACTAACCACATTACGGTGCTCATTGGCTTCATGTGGTTTGTGGCTCCTGTACTGGACAGTGCAGGTCTATTCTTATGGTGAGCCTGTCTAGCATATGTTCCCTTGTGACACTGAAGCCACAGAGTTTATAAATCTCCATGTTGGCAAATTTAATCTGTCAGATAATACCCTTAAAGCAGGTCAACCAGCAGGCAAATAATCTAGGGACAGTTATTGTACAGATTGTTGTAAAGTCCAAGTGGGTGTATTTACCTTGAATAAAAGAAGAAAAAATATTGAAAACATATATTCACTCTACATATTGAATAAAAAGGAATTTTTCATTTAAAAACTCAATGAAACAAGTCTTGGTATTATCAGTGATCCTAAGTTTATTGGGATCACTTTATTGCCAAGAAGAACAGCAATTATTTTATGTAATGTAAAATAAACAATTATTTTATGTAATGTAAAATAAAACTTAGATAAGGTTTCATCAAGTAATTACAGAAGCTGTAGATGCTTATTGGTTTGGAGGATAGAGACTACAAGTACCCTTTGTGAACACGCCTATGAAGCAGCTTTGAAGCAGAAGATAACAATATCAAGAGTGGTGACTTTGTTATCTTTGGAGAGTGCATCTAAAGCCCCTAGACAGTATGCGGAGAGTATGAGAAGGGAGGCTTAGAGGGTTTTCGAGGCTACTTAATTTTTCTAATTTACCGCAGGGATTATTGTATTAATGCCTAATATATACATAGTAGATAAAATGTTAGAGCAAATGTTTTAAAAACTTAATTTTATATTCTTAAGAGATGAACATTATTTCTACAAATTTGTCAACTATGTATGGTCAAACGATTTTGATTAACATTTACATGCCTTTATACCAACTTAACTCCTAACCTTTAACACAAGTTTTCTGTTAAGATAAAGGGTGAAATTGTCAAAGCACACTCAGTACTCAATATAATACTTTTCTAATGATTCAGAAGATAAAAGAGCAGCATTCTTTTCCTGAAGGAATTGAAAACCATCAGATACACCTATCGTTTCTCCCTTGTTACATAGTTTGGCCTACTTTAACAGATGAGTTTTGAATAATGCATGTAAAAAGCAGTTTGGAAAGGAAACCGTTTTAGTTTAGGAGCACCTCCATTTCATGTTCTGTTGATTACACAGATGGAAAACATGCTTATGGGTTACCATAATTCAGTGAATTATTCCAATTCAGTTATGCTTCTTAAATCAATATATTTGAGGTTTATTTGTAATAAGAAATAATTTATCATTTATATCTTCCCATTTCCCTTGCTTCCCTGATTGGCAAGGAGTGAGTTACAGGCCTGCTATTAACCTTTGCTTTTCTAGGTTTTCAAACAAATTGTTACTTACATGTTCAGAAGCAATGATTTTTAGAGCCACTAGAGAAAACTTACTTTTCTTGGATGGTTTACCTTCTTCCTTGGCCTTTCAGAGCAATCATATCCTTGATGAAGGCTTATGAAAGGGTAGTTTAAACTTACCGCCTGCATTTTTTACCTTCCAGTAATTCCTGTAATCTGTAGCTGTACTGAAGTTCTTCTGTGGTTTACATTGGCTCCCTAGTTGTTCAGCAACATCTTGCAACATTTTACATTACCCACCCTGTCACTTGAATCTCTCTTCCATTAAGTACCTCTACAGATTTTCTTAAACCTCTGTTATGATGTCTGCTTTGAAGGCTTGTCTTACTCCGCTGTCCTATAAAGATAGGTATTTCCCTAGCTCCACCTCCAGTTTTCTTCTTTTGCCCCACCCATACTGTACTGTTCCTTAAATTTTATTTCTATAAAAGGTTCCCACTCCAATACATATGAAGACAACCCTCCACTATGATTGACCAGACCCTGTCAGGCCTAAATTTCTAAATGATGATGTCTAAATCAACTTCATTATCCCCACTTCAGTCCCTTTACAGCAAAATCCTTCCTCTTTCTAAATTTTTCTCTCATTTTATGGTTTTGACATATAACCAGCCACACAATCTGCAACTACTTCTCTTCCTGCTCCGTCACAAATTCAGTCACAATAAATTCAATCAATTCCTTCGGAACAGGTCCCTCACCTTGAATATATTAATAGATAGCCCTTCTCCAGTTCCAGTGACACTCCTGCTCCCATTAATTTTCTTAAGTTCTAATAGTCTTTATTAACTTATATCTCATTTTCTTCCTATTAAAATTAAAATATTCTTCTTCCTTTGTTGTCTGATTAAAAATTCTGCTCACTGTTCAAAAATACAGGTTAAATACCATATCTTTGTAAAACCCTTCTTAACCTCCTCCCCTGTCCTCAGTCCCGCCACCAACACACGCACATACTTCCTTTTCTTTTGCCAGTCAGAATTATTTACTATCTTTTCTGGGCCCACCTAATTTTATATACTTCTATTAAAATACATTGTATTTTATTTAGTACTGTAGTATGTTTGTGTCTTCCACTATATTGTGATATTCTTCCACGATATCACCATATAGTGGAAGAAACACACACACTAGCCTTAAGGGAAAGGAAGTTCTTGGCTAAAAATCAACAGCTATAAATTGAATTGAAATAGATATCATAGGTCTTGTTTCAGAGTATAACTATGTGTATTAATTAAAATAAGTTAAATTTAGTTTAAAACAATATTGGGGGAAAAATATTTAAGGACTAAAATGAATAATTAGAACAGACAATAAAAATACATATGTGTGTAATCAGTTATCTCATTTTGTTTGGTTTTTAATGTTATAATTTCTAATTGAGGGCAGGGATAATATCCTATTTCTCTTTTCCATCTATAGTGACAACATGATGTATTTTTTACTTGGTAAATCGTTCATTTGGGGAGTTTAGGGGCTTAAAAAACACCTTCTACTTTTCACTTCAAAGTTGGATTGAGCTGTGAGTTAGACCCAGGTACTAGAAAGATGGGAGATTTAATTTTCAATATAAGTACTTTGAACAGAATTGAAAGCTGTGGCTTTGAGTCTGCAAGATGGCTAATAACTAATCCCAGAATCAGCCAGATTCACTGAGCCACACAAACTTCTGCTACAGGGTCAGGCCTCAGATCTCATCACTGCTTTACAAGTTTGTTTGTTGTGCTGTTTGCAGGCATCATAATTTGGAAAAAGGAATCCAGAAAGGGCTAAGTTTCCTGTGCCCAATTCTTTACCATGGTCACCTATCATATAAGCCACTCTTTCTTCCTTGGGGTGCAATGAGGAAAGGCTTACTTGAATGAATTTCCCTCAAAATGGAAACATGAGACTTAAGGGAAAGGAGGTTCCTACCTAAAAATCAATAGTTATATATCAAATTGAAATATGTATCATAGATCTTGTTTCAAAGTAGAAGTACTGCCGTGGTGGCTCATGCCTGTAATCCCAGCACTTTGGGAGGCTGAGGCGGGCAGATCACTAGGTCAGGAATTTGAGACCAGCCTGACCAACATGGTGAAACCCCGTCTCTATGAAAAATACAAAAAGTAGCCAGGCGTGGCGGTGTGCACCTGTGGTCCCAGCTACTAGGGAGGCTGAGGCAGGAGAATCGCTTGAACCCGGGGAGCAGAGGTTGCAGTGAGCCAAGATGGTGCCACTGCACTCCAGCCTGGGTGACAGAGCAAGACTCCATCTCAAGGAAAAAAAAAAAAAAAAAATATATATATATATATATATATATATATATGTTAATTAAAATAAGTGAAATTTAGTTTAAAATAATAGGGAAAAAATTTTAAGGACTAAAGTTATTAATTGAAAACACAATAAAAATATATATGTGTATAATCAGTTATCTCATTTGTTTTGGTTTCTAATGTTGTAATACCTCATATTTTTAATTTGTGCTATTTATGGAATTAATGACTTACATTTTTATTTAATGCCTTTTTTAGATAGTTAAGCTTCTTAGCCATGTTCTGCCAAGAGATATGCACCATTGAAAGACGTGTGTATATGCAAGTACAGGTATTAATAATACACATATACATTTGTTTTAAAGTTTATCAATGCCTGGGGGAGAGGGAAGAGCTGCAACATAAGTATCATTTAATTGCTTTCTGAGGCCTATCAATTCTCAATCCCCTTATGTCAATAGCACTGTCTATTTCTTGGTTAAGGTTCTCATTATTCTTTATCCCCAAAGCCAATAGCCTTATGTCATTATTTACTTAAACATTCACAAATATTTGTTTATTCTGTGCTATGCATAATGGATGCAATTATCAAAAAACAAAAAAGCCTCACTGTATTTCCTTCTGCAGGGAGTTCACAGCCTTTTTATTCAATCCTGTAGCCTCCAGAGTGATCTTTCTTCTTTTCTTCTGATCACAGTGAAAGGAGTGGGCTCCCAAGAAATAGATGTTCCTCAATTAATGAATTTAGAATACCTGATACTAAAGTATGAATAATTTACTAAGTAACTAAGCAATGAACTTTTAGGTAGGCTGGTTTGGAAATACAAATCAAGAAAGGACCGGTTTAGTTCAACTTTATGATTAAAATCTCCAACGTAGCCTGCCATATTAGCTTGTAAAATGAAAATAGAAATGAAAGTTGAAGCTATGTATATTTCTCAATAACCAGAGTTGGGAAGAGAGATAAAGATTCTAATTTTGGTCATTCCTTGTAATAGGGAAAAAAACCAGAAGTAGCACCTATTATAGAAAGCATATAAAATATGCTAGTATATTTAAAACTTACAAAGATGTGTTATTAAAACTTAAGTGACATCTTTTCTTAGGACAAAAGCTTGGATATAAATTGATCCTGCTCTCGTTGTATCCACTGTATGTGGGAAAAAGCAAACAGATTTATTATATTGGTACTACATATCAGCATATTCAGAAGGACTCTAAGTGTACAAATATACGTGTATTAAACCAAATATTCGTTTAAAATTACCTTTTAATCGCTTGCATTCACAATTGCTTGTTTCTAAATGTACATCTTTCTCCTCCACAGCTTTCACTGCATGTTTCATAATTATGCCATTTTTACTTGCTTTTTCTTTACTTTTATGTTTAAATAAGCACAAGGACTGGAATTTTGCCCTAGGAAGCAAGGTTATTCATAATTCTGTCCAGTTAATATTGTTACTTCACAGAAAAATACTAAGTCTATATTTATGTTTCCAAATAACACCAAAAGTTTTAACACAACTGAGTATATACCTTAATGTAGAAAATGCTGTCGTCGTAATTCTTTTCCAATTATTTTACAACTATTTCTTCATTTTATCTATAAACAAAAGCCAGTACAGTGAAAAGAAACTTTTTAAAACATTCAGATTGGATTGACCAATCCTTTAAATAATTTTTAAAAATTAAATAAAGTTAATGCAAAATGTTATTTCATCAACATTTATCACCTTTAAGAGTATGTTCCACACATTTTTATCTTCTGCTCAAAATCTGCTATTCAGTATTTTCACTTGCTTCATGGCTTCTTCAAAGCCTGACTTGAATCATGCCAAGTTTGTCTATTTAAGATAGATTAAACAAAGGCTTCCAGAGAATTTCAGAATTGAGTATCTGATGACCTCGCATATCCTGAGTGACAGAAGCCCTTTGCTATGTTTGGCCAGATGGTCTAAAATATTCAGTAAACCAAGTTATATCTGGCAAGTTTTCAAAAAGAAAACTTTCTTTTTGAAATGGTAGGACTAGACTCCTTTGGATAATTATAAAATCTTATACCTAAATGAGTCCTTTAAGACTATCCAGTTATTCCTTCTTTCATACAAGAAAGCCAATATCTAGAGAAAAATATCCTGTTAGAATTTTCATATATAATAAATAAAAAATTTTAATTCTGACCCATTCAGTGTCTTATTTCCTCAGTTTTAACTAGATGTTTGAAATTTGTGTCTGTGCACAGACAGAATCTAAAGGTAGCTTAACAAAGGAATGAAACAGTTTTCTAACTTGTGTTTACTGTTAATCGCAAGAAAAGTATTGTAAATGCTGAGCTAAAAAGCATCCATTTAATTGACATACTTTTGCAAATAAAAACCAGTGAAACTAAAAAAAATTAATGCTAATTTATCATTTCATGTATCTATGTTCTTTGCTTTTATTTATCAGTATCGTTTACTTACAGCTTTTAAAGTTCAGTAATTAGCCCTGTGGTTTTTGACAAGAAAACTTAAGAATTCACTTGTAGTTTTCCCATGAATTATTTCTTCATGTCACGGTTTCAACACTGAAGAACACTTTTATTTCTTCTACTTAACTGTGCTCCTTACTTTGTATTAAATTCACACATCCCCACCTTTGCAACTCTACCCAGTAATTTCAAGGCCTGGTATCACAAAATCATTGGTAGCTTATTAAACCTATTTATTCAAACATAAGCCATATTCCTAAAGATGCATCTTTAAGAACTTAAAGTTACATTAATATTTGTATATTTATAGATTAAATATGCACATAGAAGCACATTTTGGAAGAAAAAAACTACACTTAATAGGCGGATTCCAAACATCTTCCCGAATAAATTGTTTCTTTATTCACTTATAAGATTATAGGTTTTATGTTCTTAAAGTATTGTAACTTATCTTTCCAAGGCTTATAACAGTGAAGATTTTAAATTATGGAGCAAAGAATCTACACTTTGCCTTTATGGGGTGCTTTTCCAGTCCTCTTGTTCCATGTATTCTTTTATTTTAGGAGTTACTAAATGTCCTGTTTTTTCCTGTCTTGTTCACTGGGCAAACAGGGGTAGATGGTCCCCCTCCCTAGATAGGAGACGACCTCCTAGTCCCAGGATTCAAATCCAGCATGCGTCTCCGGAGAATGACAGGTACTAGTCAACTCCTCCTCACAGACAAGTGGCTTCTAGAAGCTTATAGGCCACCAACTGAAGGATAACCAAGAGAAAAGTTGAATATGATGTACTTTATTCCAGGAGCCAGAGCCAGATATGTTAGATGTAGCCAACTCTGGTAAAGCACCTCAGAATATTTACTGAAATGAGGATAGCATACAAATGGCAGAGTTTAAACCCAGTGAAGTCAGGATCCATTGAAAGGATGTTCTGTTTTGAAGAGCATTTGATTGTGTTTTGAATTTCTGGAAACAAATTTAAATACTGTTTTTGTTGACAAGTAAATAAAAATTCTCAGGTGCTTTAGAGTATATTAAAATCTGTCACAGAGCCTATTTGTTATATTGGTTGATGGTTTTATCTCAGTTGTCTTGTTTTGCTGCTGTGTACACTTGTTAACAATGAAGTTTAGGCTTTGATTATATTAAATAATGTCTGTCTTATTAAGTAAAATACCTGGTTTTTATATATTTTATAAATATTGTATTGTTAAACACAATATTGTCCAGGGCTAAGGGGTCAGTCCCCAAGGTAGGTTTTTAAAAATAGCATCAGTGCTTTGAATCCACTTTATGCTGATATGTCAGAAGTGCCACAACATATATTTTCCATTACTTTGTTATTCTTCTCAGTGTGAAGTTGACCCAGTTTTCCTATTTTATGGTATATATATATATATATATATATATATATATATATATATATATATATATATATATATATATGCTTTATCTTTAAATGTGTTTTCCTGACTGGTCACAAAGGTTTTTGGGTGTTTGAGATGCTTCTCTTCTGGTTCAAGCAGAAATTCAGCCAACGCATTGGTAATATTTATTCAGCAGATAAGTAGACGTGGTATCTCAGAAGCAGCATAATTAGTCATGTAAATGTACAGATTTTTTTTAGTGTGTGTGCGTACGGCAGAGTAATTTAAGCCCTAGTTAACCGTGACACAATTTATTTTATGTATTTGTAAACAATCAAGATATCCTCAGGATTTTAGCTTGAAAGAAAAAGGAAACATTGTCACCAAGAAAAAAATTAAGGTTGTTTTACAAATACTGGAAAAGACTACAAACTGATATTTTATGAAGGTTTCAGGAACATTTTAGCATCTTTTAATCTCTAAGATACTTGCCTCAATATGGTTTACATTTACATATTTGGAAATTAAATATAATTCTTTCTGCTACTGTCTGATTTCTAGGATAGAAATTCTGGGACTAGAAAAACTAGTAACCAATCTAAAAAGTATTACAAATGTAGAGTCTTCTCAAAAAAGAATATAAAATAATTGTGTAAATTCAATAAAAATTTATATCTATATTGCTACTCATTTATTCAATAAAAACTTATTGTACCCCTACTATGCACCCTATCCAAATGGCTAGGTCACAACAGTGATTAAGACAGACAAAGTCCTGGCCATCAGGGAACTTAGAATTTTCTTTTAGAAAAAATACTTCTGTGCCAGGCATGGTAGCTCACACTTGCAATCCCAGCACTTTGAGATGCCAGGGCCAAGTGGGGAGGATTACTTGAGCCCAGGAGTTTGAGATCAGCCTGGGCACCACAGTGAGACTGCATCTCTGCAAACAGTTTCAAAATTAGCTGGGTGTGGTGGCACATGCCTGTAGTCCCAGCTACTCAGAAGGGTGAGGTGCACACACAGTCTGTGAGCCCAGGAGGTCAAGGTTGTAGTGAGCCATGGTCATACTACTGCATTCCAGCCTGGGCAACAGAGTGAGAACCTGCCCCCTCCGATCCCCAAGAAAAGAAAAAAAGAAAAGATAATTCTAGAAAACCTTTGTATGTATTCCAAAACAAATAAAATAGTAGATTTCATCTTCTGTATTGATTGAGTATAGGAAAATTAAACATGATGATCTTTGTAATGAATATAAATGTAAGTTTATCTGGGCATTGATTAAGCAAAATGGAAATTCAAATAATACTTTCAGTTCTTACATACACGAGATGTTATTAGCTTAATTTAGTGGTATATGAATTATTCCATTTGATTGTCTCGATAGTATATGTAACTATAAGAGTAGATTTTGGGACCAGAAATGATCCTTTTAGATAAGATTATTAAAATAAATTATTATTAAATACATAATTTTGAATACATATTTTGCTTTTTTATGATAACATATTTATAGATAAGTCCTATGTTCGACCAAAATAAATACACTTTACATCTCTTGATACTATTATTTATTACTATAGAGAATAGAGAATTATTTACAATACAATTTTATTAAAATATAAGACAAATATGTACGTATAAAATGAGAGATAAATTATGTCCACTAATGCTACATTCATAGGTTATATGTCAACCACTTGGCAAATCGTAATGAACGTTGGCATTTCATTTCTCATCAGCTTTATTTACTCATTCAGAAGTTTCTACCAATTTCTAAATGAAGTAAATATGGCATCAGATTTGGATATAGTGAATGTTCATAAGAATTTCAGCGTTAGGTGACTTTTATTGTTGGACACTGGTAGCCAGGAAAATATTCTAAAGTTAATGACAATTTATACAATTCAACTTTGGATATCTTCTATCAGGGCCATAGTTGATTATTTTGAAAATAACATTGTAATGCAGAACGTAAATTATTCCTTAAGAGAGTTATCCAGTACATTCAAATAAATTGAAAAGCTTTTAGTTGCCCTCTTGTTTCCCACAGCATATATGTGTACACAGACACACAATTTTTAGAGAACCATTTCTCCATAATTTAACAGTAAGCATTCTCAGTTTTTCTCAAGTGATACCATAGATTTATTTGGAATTAACATGAAGGTACTTTTATCTAAGAATATTTTCTAGAGGCCGGGCGAGGTGGCTCACGCCTGTAATCCCAGCACTTTGGGAGGCCGAGGCGGGCGGATCATGAGGTCAGGAGATCGAGACCATCCTGGCTAACACAGTGAAACCCCGTCTCTGCTAAAAATACAAAAAAATTAGCTGGGCGCGGTGGCAGGCGCCTGTAGTCCCAGCTATTCGGGAGGCTCAGGCAGGAGAATGGCGTGAACCCGGGAGGCGGAGCTTGCAGTGAGCCGACATCGCGCCACTGCACTCCAGCCTAGGCGACAGAGCCAGACTCTGTCTCAAAAAAAAAAAAAGAATATTTTCTAGAAATTGAGGAAATTTAAAACATTGATGAAGAAAAAATACATAAATTTGGAATCCCAGGGGATGTTTTCGATTTTAAAATTGTAGTGAAAATTTCCTTGTAGTTTTATTTCTAAAAATGTTGACCCTTAAAAAATCATCATTCCAATAACAAAGCATCTCTTTAGAAATAACACTATTTTAATACATGAAAATGCTAATGAACCTATATATACGTAATTATATGAGTGTAAATTAAATGTAGATTGAGTTGTAGCTTGAAATTAACCAAAATTTGTAAGTAGCCATTTAGAAAAAATATATTTTAATATGGCCCTGAAGCATCAGAGTTCTGAGTTTAGTGCTTACAGTTTAATCAATCGTCTTTAAGAATGAAAGGCTAGTGTAAGTTATTATTAAATAAAACTTTAAACTATTTTGGTAAATGTTTTATTCAAGAAAATGCAATATTTTCATTGGGTACATTTTGAGGTATATTTTAACATGTCACTGGCTTTACAAATCACTGCAGTTACTATCTTCAATATTTTGATTGAGAATGGTTTTTAATCTATCTATCTATCTATCTATCTATCTATCTATCTATCTATCTATATATGATTTTTAAGGGTACAATTTAGTAGTGCATGACTCAAATACCAAAAATATTTGGTTAAATAATCTTATTTCCAGAACTTTAAATTTTTCAATTAAGTAAAGCATCCCACTATGTTTAATTCCTGAGTTGTTCTGCTAAAGTGGCTCTAGTTTCTTTTGCAGATAACCAAATTTGTGTAGTTTCCTATACCTATTAGTTGGTAGCAGCTACTTGTCTATAAGAATCCTCAACCAAGAGTATCAAGTGATTTCTTTTGATTTAAAATGAATTAATCTTATTTCTCCTTTGAAAATATTCTGGGACAAACAAATCACAAACTTTTTGCTTCCAGGATTCATGGCAGTTGCCACATATTTTCAAAGTTAGTGTAGAACCACTTATAAATAAATACAGTACATTACTTATTATTTCTTTTTGTTCTATAATATCCTTTATTATCTGTGCTTTTCAAAAATACTCTTTCTTTGAATGAACAAAGTGTATCCATGAACTAAAATATGGTGAGTCTATTTAATAGCTACAGTCGTATACATAAATATCAATAATATACAGGAAGGTAAATGTATCTTAATTGCATGCATCCATCTTCACTGCATAGGAACATCTCTTATTTAGGTTGATTCTATTCAAATTTAATTTTTCCTTCCCAAACTTAATGAGTAAATAGGGTGATAGAGATTTGCTTTGCACATTAAGACAGTATAAGCCATGTAAGTAGTAAGCCAAAATATAGACATATTCTTATGATATCAGTGTTAGCTCTAATTAAGTGAAAACATTATGTAGTAGACTTTTGTTACAGTATTTCCAAGGCAGAACAGACTATGTTTTCATTGTTATAAAATAGTCTTAAATAATTATGATTTTATTAATTTTGTCCTTTAATAAAATTTTAGTATTTTATCCTTTAATAAAATTTTAATGCCTTCAGAAAAGCTTTATTTACCAACGTCTTTAGAGAGTTACCCTAACTGAAATTAGTTATTGAAAAGGAAAAGAAAACACATAGATTTTAACAATTACCTCTGTTTTTCATCAGTTCATTTTATAAATCTTCACACTAAATTAATAGAAAGGAAATAATCACAGAAAATGGAACTTCAAAAGAATTGGGGTTTAAGTAGAAACATCCCATTTTCTGATTTTTACTCTAGCTTTGATTTAATAATAAAATAATTGCTTTTATACCTTACAGTTGAATGTACTTTTATAGCTTTAAAAGAATTTCTTTAGTACATTGTGAACTAGAAAGCATAAGGCCAAAAATCACACAACTATTAAGTTGTGAATAAAGGGAGAAAAACTCAAGATTTCTGATTCTTGCATGTTTAAAACCAAGTAAATATTCTTTATGAATAATATTGTAAAGATAAAAAATTTATGCCAGAACAAAAAAGCATGTTTAAACTAAAAATAAGACATAATGAAAACACTGAAACAGTGTTGTCTTGTTCACTCGTGCCCAGGGATCTCTCAAATAAACATCTAATCATTCAAAATGAACATGTGGCAGAGTCAGCAGAGAACTTAAGCACATAGGGGTGTGATGGTGTTATCCTCATCAACTTATTAAGGTCTATCATAGCTTGGATGAGACACTTAAACTTTTGTGGACTAAGTTTCCTCATCTCTAAACTTAACTGGTTATACATGGGATAGCTGAATTTTAATGTCCTATAGACTCTAAAATTGAGTCTATACTGCCTTGTTGCATCATGTTAAAACATCCATTAGGCCCTGGATAATGACTGACAGTTCATTATGTATTATTCAGTAAACCAAAGGTCATGTTGTATTTAAGTATTTTATATTTTGCTGAAGGCCAGAAAATTATGCAGTTTTATTTTTAAATTTATTTCATTTGAGGCAAACTAGATTTTATAGCCCTAGTTAGTTCTTTTTTATTGTAATTTTTGGGCTTTCAAATTTAATGATAATACTCAAAATATTACCTTTTAAACTATCCATTCAACAAATAATTATTGAGCAACTACCATATGCTAGGTGTTGATATTACACTGATAATCCAAACAGACACAATTCCTGACCACAGGGAACTTAAAGTGGTATAAGGTAGAAAGTAATTCATTTTAGTATGATCTATTTTGTGATTACACAATTAATAGTTTCAGTAGTATGGTACATGAATATAGGTGGATTGTTCTAACCTTTCCTATTTTATATATCTCAATCCAATTTATTCTAAGACATGGCTGTGTTAAAATATACAATATTTTGGCTATAATTTGGATTCAAAATAGAAAATAACATTAGAATTTTCTATTTTATTCTCTGCTCCTTTACAGAAAATTATTGCAATTAAGTGCATATCATTTTAACTTAATTTACGTATTCTTTTAAGGGGTTAGAAGAATTATAAAGACATATCCTTTGTAGTTATCTTTAGAAGAATCTTTAATGGAGGTAAATTTCATTGCTATTTGAAGAGAAAAAAGGGGCATCCTCAATAAGAGGGTTAAAAATGAAAACAAAAATTAAAAGGTTAGATTATGAGCCTTTGCATGAATATTTGTTATCCAGTTATAGAGCACTGGCTCTAAGTTTTATATTTTTATAGATGAGTAAGAAAACCCTTTGCCTTCAAGAAACAAATATTTAAAGCAATATTTTCATAGCACCACTTGCTAATTCCAAGTAATGCAAAAAACATAGTCAATTCTAGTTCTGTGTAATACTACAAATACTACAATACTGAGTACTACTGAAATATTTAAAATTAGCAAAACCTGTGTGTGTGTGCAGTGGTAGTGGTATTATTGCCACTTTTTAGGTAAAAGAAAACTGAAGCACAGAGACATTAAGTAATTTCACCAAAATCGCCTGGCTAGCCAGAACAGAGCTGAGATTACACCCAGTTCATTATTTTAGCCATTTATGCCAGAGATACAACATGATTACTGTTGTTCAGATTATGGACTCTCAGTTCACCTCCTGGCTAGATGTTGAATGACCATGTAAGCGAGAACAAAGTGTTCTCTAACTCTCAATTTTCTTATTCTTAAAAAGGATAAAAGAGTAGTACCTACCTCTGGATTGGAAAGAAGATTATATGAGATAATGCAGATAAAGTGAACATGCTATCACAGAGAAAGCTCTCAGTAAATGTTATATATTATTAATATCATAATCACTGTTACAACAATCATTGATTACTGTGATAATCTAATATATGAATCCATTACATTTTAGGAGATGAAAAGAGGAGGAAGAGTTTGAAAGTTTCACAGAGGAAATGAAATATCACTTGGGTCTAGAAATTAATAGAAGTTGCCAGGGATCAGAAGAAAAGCAGGCTATTTCAAAAAGATGCCAATAGCCCTTTGATTGTGCAGAAGTTTTATTCAAGGGTCCACCAGATTCTACACAATTTCTCTGCCTTCTCCTGCAAAATTTTTCATCTGAATCATCTCTCTTGACCCCTGCCTTCTTATTATTTCCTATTATTTCTTCCCTTTTCCTGAGATACTTTTTCTCTAACAATATACATGGCTATCTCCTTCACTTTACATCTTTGCTAAAATGTCACCATTTCAATAAGTCCTTTCCAACCACCCTACTTAAAATTGCAATATGCTCCTGCCCCTAAACTCCCACCTTCTTACCCTGGTTTACTTTTGTTGTTGACATGTATCACCTTTTCCCATACTACATAATGTACTTGTTTGAGCTACTTTTTGTTGTTTATTTTTTGTCTTGTATCAACAAAGTGTACATTTCTTGAAGGTAGAGAGAATTGTGTTTTTTTTTCCACAGACATATTCCAACCACCTAGAACAGTGCCTAGTATATATACATGCACAAGTGTTTGTTGGATGAATGAATGAATGAGTGGAAATTTTAATGACAGTAAGTTTTGTGGGTCTTCCTGAATCTCTCCACTCTCATCTGCTCTACTTGTGCTGAAGATGAGAAAAGGAGCATTTGATCTTCCAGTCAGTTGCCTTGAGCACTGTGGGGACCAAGCATAAATTTCCCATAACTATTTTTATTTTGAGCTCCAATACCTCCTGAGCCTGCAGATCTAATTACTAATCCTTTCTTCTCCCCTTACTTCTCATCTTCCCACTATGCTTATGCCTTCTTCCCTGTGCTTCAGGAACAAGATTCCATTCCCAACAACCATGTCTCATTGATTTCAGCCATGAAATCAATCATGGAATCTCTGCCCCCCTACCACCCATGATCCCCTCTCCTGACCACAGAAGCAATAAAGTAAATAAGAACCTTAATGTCAGAGAGAGAGAGTCATCTGTTAGTGATATCCCAGCACCTGATTTCATGGTTTCATTTCTTCCTTCCAGAACAGATACACACATAAGGCATGTGCCAGAATCTCTCTCTTCCACTCTCTTTGCTGTATAGTATAGAACAGAAACAGCTTAGGAGCCAGATAAACTTAGATTTTAATCCTAGCTTTGCCACTTTCTAACTGAGTAGCCTTTCCCTGAGCCTGTTTCTTCACCTATAAAATGGAAATGACACATTCTTAAAGGATTTTCATGGAGTTTAAGTAAGTTCATATCCCCCTCAGTGCCTGACATAGTTATCCCTCAATATATTGAGTACGCTCTTTTCCAACTGGTAAGGGAATATGATGTCTCACTCCTCTATTTCTTCCTTTTTTATCTTAAAAGTGGTATGTCAGATTAACATGAGTCTGAAAACACACAGCTGAAACCCTGAATTGAAGGGGCAAGAGAGTGTGAACACAATTTCTGGCGAAAGCGGAAGAGATTGGGAGAGATGAGCAGTCCCAGAACTCTGTAACAGCCTGTGAAGGCTTGTACCTTGATATGTGTTCCTAGTGCCTAGCAGAACTTGGTATATACTAGATACTTAATTAGGATGTCACACATTAATAAGTAAAGACAGATATTTTTCTCAACATTGTTGGGAGAAAGGGATATCAGTAAAGAAAAATAAGCTTAATTTGTAGATAATTAATATTAAATACACATTCCTAGGGTTTCTCTCTTTTTTTTTGTAATAAGTGTGAGCTTCTTGACCACAATATTTTACATTACTTATTTCAAATATATGGTACTGAAGACATTTTAGGCTAATTAGACATATGTAAGCTGCTGTGGGGAAGCAAACTTTTTATAGAAAAATTATTTCTGTGGGAAAAATGCATTTCAAGTGTTCAGTGCACATATGTACTTTTAAAAAGTAGAATAAACTGGGGAATATGATTTGTAATGTGATTAAAATGCTGTGTGCTTTTAAAAATGCTATGTAATTTATAAAAGCATCTTTATGAAAAATTTTAAAATGATTTTAATACTTTATATAAATACTTTCATTTATATAAAACATCTTTAACTGTAGCATTTTTCTTCTCTTTTCTTCACAATTTGTGGGGGACAAATCAAAAAAAATCTTTGTAGCACCAAGTTTCAACTTGTAAAAGTAGGGGGCATTTCACCCCTTTGAAGCCTTTCAGCACCTAAACTATTACCATCATCACATTTATCATTATTACACTTCACCATTGCATTTGTTTGCTCATCAGCAGAGGCCGAGTTGCTCAGTAGGGGTTCATATTAGATCATTGTTGTAGACGTACTTGTCTAGACTAATGAAATGTCAGCTTCTCGTGTCTTCTATTGGGCAACTTGTGTCTTCCACTTGGCACCAATTCTGGTTTTCATTTTATTCATTCATTCATTCATTTATTTGTTTATTTAGTTTTGAAAAGTACTGACTGACAAAATCATTTAGGTAATATAGTTGCCATTTTTCATGTCTATTGTGTTTATCATTGTATGATGTTAATGTAGCTTTATTCATCATATATTTTGTGTTTAACATTTCATTCCACAGGCACTCCAGAAAGTCTGAAAGATCTAGCATCCAAAAACAGACTAGGAAAGGCACTGCCTCTGATGCAGAAAGGTAGGCTTGGTGTTGTGGTGTGCTGACATCTTCCATTTTAGGAATATATTTAGGGGTGCTGTCACTCTCATTTTACATGATCAGTTCTTAAACACAAATTGTGATGTTTAAAGGCATTCATGTAACTAAACCTACCCCTAAATGGAAATGATCTCATTGAAGAAGTAAGAGAAGGATAATTTCAAGGCGGTTCTTAAATCTTAGGGTTTAAAAAATAATTATGTATTTCTCTTAGTGATCATTCTGATTACTAATAAGGATTAAATCCATACTCATTCCTATATACATATTAGGACATTAATATTTTGTTTCTGATATCTTTTAAATGTTACCAATGAATGTAGTGCCTGGAATATGCAAATTATTGACTGTCTTATTTATCTAAATAATGCCATCTTTTAAAAAAATCACTTTTCTACAAATATATATTCTAATATTCTACTGGTATATTATAACCAAGGATATACATTGAGTTAATGTAAAATTATAAGGGATTACTAACCTTTTGTTTGCAATTTGTCCAATTCCACAAAGGTTTTAAGTATTTTTAGGTACAACATATTGACACTTTTTTTTTTAACATAGTGTTAAAAGACCTAAGAATTGCAACTAACATATATTCATTCACCCATTCATTTATCCAACAATGACTGAGAGCATGTAAAGGGACACAGATGTAAATGAATGAGTATATTCAAGTATCATAGCTTTCATTATAGAGGCATGCACAGGTACAGTATGAACACAAGAAAAGTTGTGCAGTAAGGATGAAATTAGGAAATGCTTCATAAACAGATGTCCCTTGAGCTAAATCCAGATACATAAAAGTATGTGTGAAGAGTGGAGTATTCTGAGAGGGGACAACGTGAGAAAACACTGAGATTGGAAATACTATCTTGAGTTTGGGGAAATGGTACCAGTTTTGGGATGGAGAACAGGATTCAGTGGATAGAAAAGAGGCCTGAAAATAAAATTGGAGAAATTCTGAGAGGTTAAATGAATGACATCACTATGCCATGTTAATACCATGCTAAAGAATTTCAACTTCTTTATTGATCTGTGAGCCACAGATGTGCTTTAAACATGGGAGGCAGAGGATCAGTTTTGAGTTCCAAAATTATAGATCACTTTGACTGATTTTTGGAAGGTAGATCAAAGGATCTAGGGGTAGATGCAAGGCATCAGCCAGGCTATCTCAATAGGCCTAGTAGAGATAGAATTTGTACAATTCAGTGATTCATTCAGTTAACAGATATATACCAACTATGTGCTAAGTTCAAGTAATAAAATAGCAAGTAGCAAAAAAGAAAAGCTTTCCAGAGGATGTTAACACTGAGTTGAGATCTGAAAAATGAGTAGGTGTGAGACATATCAAGGGATGTGGTATGTAAAAGGGAGATGAAATTTATTTCTGGACAGTGGTCCATGGAGAAATTGACTATTTAGGGAACTTGATTCACAATGGAATAAGGATACAGGGGACTCATGAAAAGTGTTGAGTAGTACAAAGAGTTGGACTTTGAGGAAGGAAATTGATCAATCGATAGATAGATAGCCTTTGATGAAACAATGTTTGTATTTTCACATTCTTTAATCCCAGCTCAGTTAACTGCAGTTTCTTTACCATCATTGTAAATAACTATAATTTCTTAGATAAATTTTCAATCTTCAACCATCATTTTCAGCCCCCTCTACACAATTTCAATTATTTTGACATGATTAAACCTTTTCCTTGAAGTTGTATTCTTTTAATTCTATTCAGTATTCTTTCATTCATTTTTTAAAAATACTAGTTGAGTCTGGTCATGGTGGCTCACACCTGTAATACCAGCACTTTGGGAGGCCAAGGCGGGCAGATCATCTGAGGTCGGGAGTTTGAGACTAACCTGACCAACATGGAGAAACCCCATCTCTACTAAAAATACAAAAGTAGCTGGGCCTGGTGGCACATGCCTGTAATCCCAGCTACTCGGGAGGCTGAGGCAGGAGAATTGCTTGAACCTAGGAGGTGGAGGTTGCGGTGAGCCGAGATTGCGCCATTGCACTCCAGCCTGGGCAAGAAGAGCAAAACTCCATCTCAAAAAAAAAAAAAAATTGCTAGTTGAGTGACTACTGTGTGTAGTTATATATTAAGGATACATCAGTGAACAAGTTTTTTTGGCAATAAGATACTATTTTAGAAAATGATAGATGATGCCAGTGTCAGCTGGAGGTGCTTAACTCCAGATTAATGATATTGAGGCATCTGCCTTTGCAACTCTGAAATGTAATCTGTGGATAAACACAAATCCTCCAATCAGAATAGCAAGGATTTGATTGACTTTCATTTTCAAATATATGACACTTATGAATCATATTCATAGTACTCTTGCCTTTCCTTTGCTTATAGTTTAAAGTAGAAAGCTGTAACCTTTTAGATGTGTTTGATTATAATTAAAGCTTTTCATTGATTTTTATTAGAGTGTAAACTACATGCCTAGTTTCTTTGTGAATTGTTGAATAGCAGGTTACAAAAGAAGAACTGGCCTGGGTTTTCTAATTTATGTTAGCTCTGAATAAGAGCTGTTAAGAAGATACCTTGAATTTACATCTAGCTACACGTGAACCGAAGACACAGTATAAATGCTTTGGACACTGACTCCTGGCCTTTGAGAGTTGATAACTTCCCAAAAGGAGTCATACTACACAGTTTTGCACTGGTTTCTGGCGAAATTTGCTGTTTAATGATCATAATTTTAAAGGCCTTTTATTGCCCTCAACAAATGTAACCTCATGACAGATAGCCTTTTAAGAATATATTTTGAAAGAGATGATGACCAGTTGTCATTAGGAGACAAGTAGAACTGATTTATATTTTTTGTGTCAAGCCACTTAAAGAAATGTATCATATTTTCTTTGGAAGCTTCTTGATAAGATAAAAGTCTAGCTTTTCATCTTCATGTGAATTCACCCTTGAGAACTGCTGCCCATCATTTCTGCATTCCATTCTAGTGACTTTTCTTCCTGTAGAAACTACACTCTACATTCTAACTTGGGGATGCTTTATTTCTTTATTTGGACTACTATTTAGAATTGCTTACATATGCATTTTATGGTGTGTTATTGCAAAAGAGCCTGTGCAGGCCTGTAACGGACCAGCACAGTAGGAACCACTTTGAAAATTTGACCTTAAATACCACATACATGTCCATTCTTTAACAAGTTGTTTAAAAACAAAAACAACAGAACTACATTGTTTTTAGGCTTTGGTAGAAGCAATTTACTGCAAGTCCATTTGCAGCAACAAAAATGTCTGACTAAAGACGCAAATTTTTATTGAGAAGTATGTTTTACTTAAGTGTAAATCAAAACTCTAGTCTTAGATGAAGGAGAGTAGGCATGGATTGAACTTAGTGGTAAATGTTTAGATACATACTTGAAGATGGTAAACTTAGGGTCAGGCATACATAAGTTTGAATTAAACTTTTGCTCTGCAAACTTTTTTTTTTTTTTTTGGAGATGGAGTCTTGCTCTGTCACCCAGGCTGGAGTGTGGTCACACGATGTTGGCTCACTGCAGCCTCTGCCTCCTGGGTTCAAGTGATTCTCCTGCCTCAGCCTCCTGAGTAGCTGGATTACAGGTGCGTGCTATACGCCCGGCTAATTTTTGTATTTTTAGTAGAGACGGGGTTTCACCATGTTGGTCAGGCTGCTCTTGAACTCCTGACCTTATGATCCACCCGCCTCAGCCTCCCATAGTGGCATGAGCCACCACGCGCGGCCGCAAACCTCATTTTTTAAAAATGAGGAGCTGTAAATATACATAATAGAGTAGGTATTTGTTAAATACCATTGTCCATATATTTTGATTCCACAAACTCTCAAACACAGTTCTGTTAAGTCCTGCCAAATAATTTGATACTTGGACATATGGTTTGTGTTAAAAGATTCATGGTACATCCTGAGATGTGAAATTACCACTTTTTTCTCATGATACACAAACAATCCTATCTCACTAGACAGAAAAGAGAGCAAGCATTGGAGCTGGACAGACCTGTGTGGATCCTGCCTCTACCACATTTTAGCTGTTTATCTTTCTCCAGGTCACTCTATGACCCTCAGTCATAATAAAATAAAATAAAATAAATAAAATTAAATAAAATAGTAGTAATAACGCTTCTTAGTGTGTGAGAATACAAAAAGGTACATATGTATATACTTGTATGTATAAACCTATAGATACATATATGCATGAATACATGCATGCCTGCATATGCGCACAAACACTTTCAGTTCTTGGCATGAATAGATGACCCTATATTGATGCTCAGTAAGGAATAGCTGTTACTGTTATGTTATTTATCCATCCTACACTCCCTGTTTCATTCTCTAACAGGTTGTTCTAAATCTCTATCATTCTTCTTACATCCTTACATTCTTAGCACATCCCATTTCATTGAAAAGATCAGGGCACAACAGCCTGGATTCTTTCAACTTTACACTCTGTACCTCAGAATTTCTTGATTAATTGTCCTTTCCTCTTGCCTAAAAACAAACTATACTTGGTTCTATCATCTCTCCTCTGCAAAACCTTGCTCTTCTCTCTCTAAGCTCTGCATTTTTCCTCTACCCAGCTTCCCCTTCATAATTCAGCATTGCTACCACATTCCTTTCTTCCTCTGGCAAAGTGGCTTTCTACGCTTCTCCTTTGGTCTGTGATCTCATGCTTGTTACAGAGTGGCTGGGGGCAGGAACTCTTTTATTATTGAGGGACTTTTCATGTCAAAGAAAAAAAACATATATTGTGCTAAACGATTAACCTCAAACATTACAGGCTATTTTCAGACACTGCAAGCCTTGTGGCTCAGGAGATGGAACACTATATGTGGTTGAGCTGTGAATATTCACCCAGGAAGCCATTTATTTGCTCCTGAAATTGCTTTTTATACTTTTGCCATTTAGTTTGATGCCACAGAAAGTTCACCGAAATTTTTTACATTTCAAGTCACATTTGAGTTTTTCTTTTAGTGCTTGTGAATTGCTTTAAGGAATGGAGCAAGATTTAAGTGAAATTGTAATATCCGTGAAATTTCTCAGTACTAAGGTGAAAACTGTATAATTCCATTTGCGAGCCACGTTTAGAAAGAGTATCTTGAACAAAGATTGAAGTTTATTGTCATGATAATGACTTTTAAAGAGTAATAGATAAAACTCTCATCACTGGAAAGGACTTGATCATTTACTCTATCCCATAGAAATTCATTCTATGTAGTTGAGTTAATGTGAAAAGCCAATTTGGAATAAACAGTTTTAATATATAGAACCCTATGAGTTACTTTTTATTTTAATTTGGAAATTGAGGTAACAGCCCAGGTTTCAGCGTTTGAATTATGACGTGATAAAGCATTAATTTATAGCTCAAGAAAGTAAAATACGCCTTTATTAAAGACCTAAGCTGAACATCTTTTTGTTATCTTCAACCTGACATTTTCCTGTTTTGTTGTTCTTGAATGAATAAGATACTCAGAATCAAAATCATTATAGCTATAAAAATCATTTTACTTAAAAGAAAAATTGCCAATCTGAATAGAAGTTGAATGACACTCCTTTATGTGCTTTTGGTGATAAATATGTATTCTTTATTCTCACACATTTTTAGTCACTAAGTGAATTTTACAGTATTGCTTTAAAAAGGGATGAGGTATCATTTTATTCTTTCTGTCAAAATAATACCTGCTAGGTGTTTTAATCATGCATTTTATTTAAAATAAATACCAAAATCAATGAAAAAGGCAAAAGCATGCATTAAAAAAATAAGTACATCTATATAAACATCAGTTGTTTATTTTTAATTCATTAATTGGCTTTATAATAATTTTAAACGCCATAGTAATATAGTTGTCAAAATATGGACACATACATTTTCAGGTATTGTTATATCTGAGAGAACATGTTTTTATCCATATTTCAGCCATTTATATTTAATCAGATGTATAATTAATGGAGCATTCTCCACCTTATATTGTTTTAATTTTTGTCTACTTAGATTAACCTCAAAAGGCAGGCTTCTTTCGTTGTTTTTGGCATAGTCTTGCTTATTACAGAGTAAAATTATGAACATTGTAAAAATATAGAGGCCTACAGTATTTCTTCTTGAAGGCAAGCACTTGAAGCTTTCCTGTATTCATCATCCTAATTACAGTCACTCATTCAAGCAACATACCTTTATTGAGCTCTTGCTATCTGTGCAGCTGTGTTGTAAGCACTTGAGATACAGCTCTATAAAACAAAACAAAACAAAACAAAACAAACAGACAGGAGTCTCTGCTGTTGGTGGAACATACAAGAGGTTTATTACATTAGAGCAACACCAATTAGTCTTTAAAAACCACATGGCGTTCACATTTGCAATAATAACTTGTCAGTTTGATTTGAATTCCATTTCAATAATTGCGTGATGGGTTCTCTTCTTTGAAATTACTGTCATGTACGAGTAACCAGGTTTTCCTTGGACAAATGTGTTGGTATCAAAGTTAATGTGAACCTGCTGACTGAAGATCTTTTTTGGCCCTAATGTTTTAGGGTTCTCCCAACATGTCTTTCTAGAAGGGGACACGCAGCCCCAAGAGCAACTGATCAGCCAGTCATTAGGGGAAAACATCCTGCTCGCTCAAGGTCGAGTGAGCACTCTAGTATCAGAACACTGTGTTCTATGCACCACCTTGTCCCTGGAGGGTCGGCGCCACCTTCTCCGCTTCTGACAAGGTCGCTATTCAGTGTCCCCCTCAGCATTCATGTCCTGCCTCCGGGTGTTGGTGTGGTGTTGTACCTTCCTGAGCACTTGAAGCTTTCACTCATTTTGACACCATAACTTTTAATCCTTTCTTTGTGACACTTAAATCTCTCTCACATCCTCTATTACTTGCATCTATCTTCACTGTGCTGGTGGTATACTATAGTTTCTGCCAATTAGCTCTCATTGAAAATTAAATTTGGCTGTGTTATGTCCTTTCATCTGTTTGTGGCATATTCATATATAATTTTTTTAATTATGTGAAATTTTTATGATAAATTACCTGGAGTTAAATGTGTGCTTACTTTAAAAAGCATAAGAGGAAATTTTAAAAATCTTTTATATGTGTTCAGTAAAGTGTTAAGAGTGTTTTAAAGTTCTTCAGTTTGAAAAGTGTTTAAATGCCAACAGATGGAAGTCCGCTTAATCCTGGGCAGTAGTAATATATCGGCACACTTCTCAAACTTTTATTTGTAATTTTAATGCTAGCACCAGTGTATTTCATAACATATGTCCAGGATTATTTTAAATATCTTTCAAATTTGTTCCTATTTAGAAATAAAGTACAAGTGAGTGGTAATTTATAAAAGTCTGCAGCTAGAATTCTTATCAGTTATAAATAATTCTATAGTCAATATCAATTTAAGAGTAGCAGTTTAGGCAACAGCCTTTCTTGCCTCATTTATCCATATTGTTAAGATCCAGAGGCTGTAATTAGATGTATTTGGTTCAGTACTGCCAAAACTGAATAACTTGCCCAGGTAGAACAACTTAATAGAAAGTTAATGAAAAGAAGTGAATTGGATTCTGCTCAGTTTAAGAATTCATTATGTAGAACTGTGTGTGGTGCACATTGCCCTATCTCATTTAACCCCTTTTTGTAATATTCCATTTACACATATCATAAAAAGTGTTTGATTCTGCTCCCATTGGCCCAGTGAGGGGGTTTATGTCTATTTTAATCGTAACAGAAAGGAGGAAAGATTTTTGTCAGACCACATTGGAATTTCATTGTTTCATGCCCGCTTTGCTTTTTGCCTGCAGAATGCACCGACAGAGAAGTCCAACACAATCTCCTCCAGCAGACACATCGTTCAGCAGTCGCAGGGGAAGACAGCTCCCACAAGTGCCAGTGAGAAGCGGCAGTATAGAACAAGGTATCCGATAAAGAGAGATCATTGTCCAAAAATCTTGGATTTGAGAACCTCCTCTATTTATACCCCTTTTATTAAATGAATAGTATTTTGATTATATGTAGTTTGCTGCATCCTAAAAATTTGATTTTCTTACAGTTTTATCCCCAACACCTAGTGACAGTGGTTCATGGCATGCACTCAGTTTTTGCTGAGTGAGTTTTGCTGGATGATTGAATTTTAGATGGTCATTTAACAGAAGGGATTTAGGGCTAGAAACATCTTATTCCAAAGTGACAAAGGAAAAAAATAAAATTTAAAAATCTCATTGCAATATGGCATTTTATGTGTTAAAAGAATATTTTATCTTTTAAAAGATTTTTTAAAAATTAAACACTTAATCATACTGAATCCTTTACAAATTTTTTAATTTAACTTGATTAGCAGTAGCCTATATTTTAAGTTTGATGATGAAAAAAATGACAGAACACATGTTTTAGTGTCTTCAGCAGTTCATATTGCTTAAAGATTTCCTTATTTTATGCATATATTATTTCATTTTCTGAGCAACAAAGAAAGAGAAAGAGAGAGAGAATGTATACGGTCTGATTTTAGTAGAAACTAAATTTTCTAAACTACCTGAGCTAGATGATTTAGACACTACGTTAAAATAGTATTCTTCATGTGACCCAAAGTGCTATCACATATCTTAGTAGATGACATGACTTGTTATCATTATTTTTTATCACATGTTTTTAATCAGGAATTTGGTAAGCAATTTACTAAAATAATTTCTACTTTGGGATTGTAATATAAATGTAGTAGAATTACTTTTAAGATATTTATTAAAAACCTTTATCCCTATGAAACAACTGAAAGGTTAACACTTTGAATATTTTTTTCAGCAGTGTTATTGTTGCTGATGGAAAACTTGCATTTCATTTTATATTGAGGGTACGGGGGTACATGTTTTTCTCACTTAATTCAAGTGATTTACTGAATGTATCACAGATATGTCAAAGATCTCAGAAGGTAAATGCATTGTTTCAAAGACTGATGTGGCATAGATTGCCATGCAGAATACTTGATTATGGAAAACTTAGTGTAGATTTTTAAAGGTATCAACTTATTAATAGAGTAACACTGGTGTGATAAACTCTGAGTTTATATTTTTTAAAATACATTCTATTGATACTCCATGCTTTAGTTTTCAGGGTTGCTAAAATGGTATTCATTTAGTGAATCATGAAAATATGATGCATTGTGAAACTCTGACTTTCTTTTTTAAAATCGCAGTTAATTCATTGGAATTATTCATTGACATGTTTAACATTTTTCCTCTCCTCTCTGGGAACATTTTAAAATTATTCATAATTAATCTGGCAATAACCCAGATGAAATTGTTTTAAAATTTATTTTTTAAAGCAAAAGTTGGTGTTTATTTAAATTATCTATTCATGAGCTCCTGTTGCACAACTGAAAGAACTACAAATGTGGGTGTTTAGTTACAAACTCGGTCTTACCGATCATATTTTGCTAAAGATTGATATTCTAAAAGTCATGTGCTCCTAAAATTCTTTGCATTTCCTTCAGTTGCAAATAAAACATTTTATGGGTTCAAAAGCATATAAGGGTACTGCATATAACTCTCCTATAGTGAGATTCTGATTACATTATTTCTGTAGAAATAAGAATTCCTTCCACAAAATAAGTTGTATTGTATGTTGGATTTTGGTTTTTTAAAAAAGCTCATGTTCTATTGTTAATATAAATGTTACTGTTTATGATATTCATATTCACAGTTGTCTTTCAGAGAAATCATCAATTTGTAAGGATTGAATTGAGGTGGGAAGAAGGGAATGACTACATTGGTGGAGTTACTTTGATATTTAATATGACAAATACACTAATAAACATTTTGGTTATTTGAGTTTCCTGAAATATATGATCTTTAGAGTTATATACATACAGCTTTTAAGAAATGTGACAACAAGCATGTATTTTATATATCTATATATATAAATGTTCTATAAATAAAAGAGACCTGGTTGGTGTTTTTTATGATATAAATATGTGCTTTAGGACTTTTGGTAAATGATTATACCGTCTGCCATCATCTTTTTATGGTTCTATTTCAAAATGAACAGTCCACATGACAGCTTTGTTTGTCCTAAAATATGTTTAAAAAAGTAAATTTTAATTTGATTTATGAGTTAGATAGGATTTAGCATGTTCTATTTAAGATTGATTTCATTGTTGTTCTTAAGGCTGTAGAATTATGCCATTTTATTATTTTGAAATTACTTGTTAAACTTTAGTTCCATCTCCCATGAAGATTAATGCTGACCACAGTCTATTACAATTGGTTAAGCCCCTACTGCACTTGACTTCCTTCCCATTTTTTAAAAATGTTTAACAAAGGGTGATTTTCTGTTTAGAAATAATTTGATAAGCAGCTGATTGGTAAGAACAAATATTTCAAATGGTTTAGATTACTAGATACTGATACACCTTCTTGAGGCACTTATAAAATAATTTTATTAATATACCGTTTCTGGGTACAGTTATCTACATTACTGATTTTGGAATGTATGCCAGGACAATTTGACTGTTTCACTGGAAGTATTTTTTTTCTTATAAATCAAATATACCACTCTCTATTTATACCATAAAGGCAGTATCTCTTAAAGGCTAACATATCATTTGGAAACACATGTTTAATCAATTTTTGAAAAGGTGTTTTAAAGTTCATTTTAAAAATTGAGAATGCTAGCCTATTTGCTACATAGAGCCAGATTATGTTGAAGTAGATTTAGGGGAAAAACAAAGAGGTGATCACAATACAGATTTTTGCGGTAGAGTACTTGAAACAGTAGCCTTATAATTTAAGTAACTCTAATGGTATGTGATAATTGAAAGCAAAGACTTCCACAAAATTTTTCTGGTTATATTTCAACACAATATCCCAGCATATCCCTTATGTAGAGTAAGGCTGAAGATAACTTAATTGGTTGTATAAAAATGGATTTCTGAAGCCAACCAGTAACTTTTTTGTGCTCAACTGGATCTTTTAAAGAAGGATTTAGAGATGATTCACAAACTAACAGTAAATGATGTGTTAATTATGTTTTATATCTTCCATTATTATATCACCTATCTAAAACTCCAATGATATTCCTCTTCAGAAATACAGAAACAGGCCATTAGTCCTCTGTAAATGATACAAAACAAAGAGGTGGATATAAAGCCTTATAAAATGTCTAAGAAGTATAGTCTCTACAAAACAACTAATTTTACTTTGGGGTATTTTAATCTAATTAATTTCAGAAGAAAAAAGGATTACTTAAATTAGAATTTTCTTTCATGTGGAAAATGTTACAGAATAGTTTCCGTGGTGCAAACAAAGTGTAAAAATGGAATTTATTTTTTGCTTATCAGATAAAAAAATAAATTTCATTTTATCATATGAGCCTTTATCACATGAACTTTCATTTTTGAAATGATAAAAATTTTTGTTATGAAAATTAAGTATGCTTTTAAATGCTTTTCCAAAAAAAATCACAATGGATTCAAGTTAAGATGTTTTAATAAAATTGGTACTGAAATTTTATACAGCTCTTAAAAGGAAAGAAAAAATAATACAGAATATATTTTTCAAATGCCAAACATACTAATTTCCCAATGTTTTTGTTTCATTTTAAATCTTTAAATTGCTGTATTCATTCTTTCTTTGATTAATTTTAGTACCATATTTGGGAACTCATGGTTTTTCATTGCAATTTATCATGTCACATTATATGTTATGCATTTTAATTATTCATGCCATTGTGTTAATTCACATTTCCATGTCTAACTATAAATTTGCTGATTTCTTTCTTTTGTTTCCATCATTATGTGCATTTAATTCATTGAAGAACAAGAAAAATATAACTCTTCCACAAAAGGTAAATATTAACATAACTTTTTAACCATTTAATATTGTTACTTTTAAAAATATAATATACAAGAGTTATATAACTGTATTTATTGAAATAATGAGCAAAATTAACAGGTAGCTATTTTCCTCAAATGATTTTGTAGTGTATTTGATATTAATTATTTCATATTCTATGTTCACATCAAAGAAGAGAAGATTACTTTAAAATTAATGTTTTTTAAAAATTTTATTTAAAATTAATGTTTTTTTAAAAATTTATTTATCTATACTGACAACTAGAAAACAATTCTCCTAGGAAAATGACATTTTCTTTGTTTCTGTTTGTTTGCATTTCCCTGCTCTCATAGATAAAAGATTTAATTCTATTCAGGGTAATACCTGGTAAAAGTAGAAAATCTCTGGATTTTACTTTCCAGATAGTGGTAACCTTAGTGAATGTTCTGGCCCTGGCTGCAGTCATACATCTGAGAAGCTGCTGCCTAAATGTTACTTCTGTTTGCCTCAATACTGTTAAAATACCCATTAATTTTATCTTTCTGAGAGTCATGGGAGAAGAAAACCATTCAGCATTTTTGGTCTTTGCACTTGAATTTCAAATAGGTTGCAGGCTTCCCCCTACAGTCATATGCTGCCCACACCATTTTCTGTTCAGAGTTGCTGTTGGCCTGATAATTAACTATTTGAACATGAGTTTTCAGCTTAATGTGATAAGGTTAATTATATTTAATAATTATATAATTCTGTATAATTTAATAAAAGTACATTTTCTCAATATTTGAAAGTGGACTGATTGAATTAATTTGTTGCCCATAGTAACAACAAATTAACTCAAAGCTAGTTCTGAAAGTAACATCATTCCTATTTTAGGAATAAGGACACAAGTTCAGAGAGATTATGACATTTGCCCAAACTGCTTGTCAGTAGTAGACTACAAACCCAGATCTTTTTACTTTCGACCTTTTCCTCTACATGTTGGTGTATCCTATTTTAGTAAGTACAAATACCAAATATATTATTTCTCACCCTTAGCATATTTAGTTATGCATTATGTATCTCGGTATTACAAAGAGAACAGTTTCAATTACATATTTGATCTGTATTTATAAAAATGTATTTAACAATATTTATATTCAGGCACTATACATATATATATTATTCTGGCATAGTGTCTGATATATTAGGCAATACATATATTAATTAAAAAATTAAAAAATTCAGTGAGATCAAGATGTTTTGGCCATAGATTTTGCATAGATTTCTAGCCATCTTGCTGCATTTTTATGTCAGATATTGAAAACACAACATTAGATTCAGTAGTACAAGAATGACCAATGTACTTTACTTAGGTCAGAAGAATGTAGTTGGATTTGCAAGATAAATTTTAGTGGGCTAAAAGTATTAGATTCATATTAGAAATGGGCCATGATCTAATTCCTTTATCCAAAAGAAAGAAAAATGTAATAATTCTTCATTTAGAGCCCTTTCCATATATATTACTAGGCAAAAGCTGTACCTAGCTAAATAAAACAAAACAAAATCCATAAGTATAACCTAAAGTCTGCATGAAATATGCACATTTAGGGCCTCTGTGCAGAACATGTCAGTTTGTTTTTATACAGTCAGTGTGTCCTGGCTGAGAGGTGTCATCACCCCTCCAAGCGTTCCTTGGAAACAGGATGTAGAAATGCCTCACAGAATAGACCACATTTTTAGAAATAACCAAAGAAGCACATCCCAAAATGCGTCCAGGAAGGTATAGGTCAGAAAAAGAATGCTGCGCCTCTCCTTAGGGATTTAAGATAACACAGTTTAGCCACTGAACGTGGCTCTCAAAACTTTGAAAGAATAGAAGCAAGGTCAAGAAATTTCATTAAAATCGTATTTTAAGCTCACGTAACCCAAAAGAAAGGAAAAGTTCACAGCATAGAAATCCTACTTCTGTGAGCTGAAGTTTGTCTTTGCTGGGATCTATCTTATTAGAGAATTCAGGTTATTGTGAGTACATCCCGGATAAATGAAGACCAGTACACAAGCCAAGGGGTTCATTAGGGTTTATTTTTTATTAACTGTAGATGAACTTGTAGGACAACCAGTGGTTCCAGTTTGTCAGGGACTGAGGGTTTTCCCAAGATGCAAGACTTTCAGTGCTGAAACTGGGACAGTTCTAAGCAAACGAGGATGGTTGGTTACCCTATAGGGAACCAGTCTATTAATTTTACAGCATATGTTTTTAAAGTCACATAAAGAGAAGTGTAAAATACTCAAAGCATTACTAATGGTAGATAGGCTATATTGAGCACTTACTATATGTCAGTGACTCTACTAAAAGTGTTACATATTTATCTCATTATATTTTCACAACAACTTGAGACCTAACTATTAGTATCTTTATTTTCCCGCCGAAAAGCTAAAAGTTAGGTTAAAAACTTGGCCCCTTATCAGTCAGTATTTCATTTTGTAAATGATAGAATAGGAAACGAGACACAGATCCCCCTCCAGGGAACTTGTTCTCATCCACTTTGCTCTGTAGACTCTTCAACATTCAGACAGCATTTACTGAGTAACTGCTTTGCATGCATCACCACGTAATTATAGTAACACATTTACAACTGCAAGGAAGGCTTTTTTCACCCCTGTTTTATTGAAATAGAGTGAAAGAGGTTAAGTTGAATGCCAAAGGTAAAAAAGCTGCTGTGAGGCAGAACCAGATTTTGAATCCACAGCCCATGTTCTGTGCTCCACACCACGTTCCTGTAACAATCACCACTCAGCACTGGGATTTTGGAGAAGCCCACTTAGTTTCTCCTCCCTTTCCCTATTGACCCAATTTTGCAGCATTCAGTTAAACCTTCTACATCTGGCCTGCTCCTCCAATTGCCATACAGATAACAAATCCTTTGGCTTGAAAGTTAACAAAGCTAACAAAGATAACACATCCTTTGGCTTGAAAAGTTAACCAAGGGACTATAAATGTTCATAGTACTTTGTTTACATTTTAACTCCCTCTTTTATGTTGAAAGCTGAAAGACCATATCATTTTAGTCTTCACAAACTGCTTTATAGGCCTATTTTAAATTATTCATTCTAAAAGTAAGCCAATTTTTCCCTCTCTGCTACATTTCTTGGACAGTTTTAAAGAGCCCATGAATGTAGTTTGGGGGCATCGAAATAATGATATAAGAAGATCAAAACTGAACCAGAAATTAAATGACTTCAAGGTGAGAAAAATGTTATTGTCGTAATAAATTTATGATTTATATGCCTTTAGATACTATTTTTTAAGTGCATTAAGTTTTTGGCTCTTGGAAGCAATTTTGAATCATAACAAAACACATCATATTATCTCTTCTACAAATATGAATTTCCTTAATCATAATAGTGTGTAATTTATACACATGGAGAATGAAAGGCAATTAAAGTAAGTAAATTATTATTTATAGGAACAAAGTAAATAGCATTTTGGTGCTTTTTGCTTTTCTGTTTCACTAATAAAATATGTGATAATTATTGTAACTAGATCATAGAGATTGTAACTAGATCATTAGGATTGTCTCTAGTCAACTATATTTTTTTTAAGTACCAGGTTTCTTTAATAAGTTCTCAAGTAAGTTAACTGTGTTTTCCTTCTTTAAATGTCAGCAAGAACAGTTTGAATGCTAAGTTATGCAAACTATATTTTCCATGAAACTTATGAGCATTAACTTTACTTTAGTGGAATTCAAGTAAAGAAGCGAAAAACATTAATTTTAGCATTTTTTGTACAGTTGTATAAATAAAAATTAAGCACATTTCAATAGCGTACTGTGGTTGTGAAACACTATAAGAACAAATTATGTACTCTTTTTAAAATAAGTAAACCAATTTTTGTGTTTTTCAGAATCAGCATTCTTTTAACTGTCATTAAGTAGCAAAGGTCTCAGTTTTATTTACATTTTTATTAGTAGTAGTAGATGCATATTAGTCCAGGTGAATCATTTTCTGTTATTGTGTGTTAAGATTTCAAAAATACAAGTTTCTTAATATTCCTGGGCATTGCTTCTCCTGAACACTTATTATGAATCTTAATGAATATTTACTCATAAATATTTAGAGCTCCATTAGGAAAAGTAATTTATCCATCTCTTTTTTTGGCACAATCTCATAAATATATTGTCATTGTAGCCTTCTCTTTAAACTTCAGGATCCCAGAGGGTTAAGCAGATTGATTAGAAAAATTCAGAAGTAATGCTTTTGACCCTGTTTTCCCATTTGGTGATTCAGATGTGTTTATTTATAGTGTCATAGGCTTTTAAAGCTTCAAAGGATTTAACACATGTTAACCAAGACACAACTTGCAAGAGAGACCTAATTGAGGAAAACAAATGTCTAACCATGGACAGGCTCTTTGATGTATTTTCTCTAAAGTTGTATATGTTCCCCAAATATTGTAAAACACAGGAAAAGACTTTCAAAAATCAAATTTAAATTTAGCAGAATTGTGCCAATCAAGTCTTTCAGGATAGATTCTGTATCCATTAGTATTATTGGAGTAATGAGAAATTATGGCTAAACATTTTAGAGATCACTTGGTATAAATAACATGGCTTCCTCAGTGATTGGTTTTGTTATCCCCCAAAGAAGGCTTAATTACACAGGTTGCTTTTTGTAAAAATTGTATTTGAAGTGCATCTTATGGGAGATAGTGTTCCCTCTCAAAACCTAAACATGCTTTTAAAAATTGTTTAACTTTGTATAACCCTAAAGGACAAGATATATAACAAATTCTTTTATAAGAGCCTGACTTTCTTACTTGCCAATGACTAGTATTTTCAGTGACACTCTGAGAATTGGCAGTTTTACATTGAGAAATTATGTCTGGAGTTGGACATCCTGAGCTTCGTTTTAGATAGTTCAATGGGAATAGGTGTGCTAAAACAGGAGATGGTCTTGTGGTTTTGGCTGCAGTGAGACTTAAGTGATTATATATACAAATTGCCTCTTTCACCTATGCCAATGTTAAATTTCACTTATCTAAACATAGGTACTTTGCTTTAAAAGTCCGTAAGGCAATGTGGTATTTTCACTTATGTGTTACTCACTTATTGCATTTTCTGTTTCTCATGCTGGTAGATGTATGCTTTATTGGTAGATGATGGGTAAATGTTTATTTTATTGGTAGATGCTGGATAGATGTTCTTTTATTGTTTATATTACTGTAGCATAATCCTTAACATCCAAGAGAAAAGGATGTTATAAGGGAAAATGGGAAACTACTTGGAACATTTTTACACTTACAAGTTGAAAGGGGTCATTTTATTCCAAGAAAGTGTGCCAGAACTAGGGCATTTCTATGTAGTCAAAATATTTTAAAATTTAATCTTTATGTATAATATATATGTGTGTGAAGATGTAGAAGTTGGATATGCACTACATCAAAGTCTCTCACTATGTTTGCATGACTCCAAAAATAAGGATCAACATGAAAATAAAACATTGCAGTTGGCCCACAGTATCCATGGGTTCCACAATGGTGGCTTTAACCAACCATGGATCAAAAATGTTTGGGGGGAAAATGATTGGTAGCATCTGTACTGAATATGTACACACTTTTTTTTCTTGTCATTATTCTATAAACAATACAGTATAACAGATTCATGAGATTTTTTTAAGTTGTAAGCCATTTAATAATACGAAAGGGATAGATTTAGAAAAATGCATATAGGCACTATTTACATGACATTTTCCTTGTATTAGCTCTTATAAGTAACCTAGAGATGAAAGTATATGAGATGAGGTGCTTAGGTTATATACAAATACTATGCCATTTTATATAAGAAACTTGAGCATCCGTGAATTTTGGTACATGTGGTGGGTGGGTTCCTGGAATCAATCCTGAACAGATGTTTTTTAAATTGGGAAAATAACATGATAGAAAATAGTGGTGTAAAATACAACTGGTGAATTTTTTTCCTCGTGATACCTATAGTCAATTGGAAAATTTTAAAATCTGGAAATTAGGTAATAAAGCAAGAGACAAAGTCATTGAGATTCCTATTTTTGCAAATATAAGAAAAGTATTTTAACAATACCCTATTGAAATACTATAGAATCATAGACTACAACTGCTGGAAGGTTCTCTGAGCAGTCTCTTCTTTTTACAGATAAAAATTCTGTAATGGAGGGATATATCAGGAATTGATCAAAGGAACATTGAGGAACTGATGAATGGTGATGGATCTAGGACTGTAATCTATGCCTAGTAATTCCCATTCCTAGGTTCTTACTATTTTGCCACATTGATTCCAGGTATATGCAGAATGCTTATCCATATAAACAATTCCTATTTCTCTAAAGTCTAAAAAACTGTGGGCAGAGACTAGTATTGTATTTTTGAATTTTCAAATAAACCATCTTTCTTGATATATTTTAAGATATAGTTTATACATTAAATATTTCTGATATTTAATGTATCAGATCTGATCTTCCTATTCAGTCTTGGTATAGTCTATACTGATTCAATTAGCTAAACCTTTTTCATCTTTTCTTGTTAATCTCAGCTTTTTTTTTCCACTGCAGTCAATAACTGAAGCATAGGAGGTGTGTCATTTATATTCTTCTGTCTACCTGACAACTTCCAAATAAGCGGTCATTTATCACTGCTCTTCCTGAGAGATGTACTGGAACAAGAATGGGACTGCACTATCATGGAGCTCTCATTGTGTTGCTATACAACAAGGAAGCAGAGATGCTAGTTTTTTCATTCACAAAATATGATAGCACATCATAGTTAACTAGACAGGCTTAAATATCCTGTCCAGGTGTTATTGTGTGTCAACTTTGATACATATATGAGCTGACCTTGTTAAAAAATAATTTTTACATTAATATATTTAATAATATAAAAGTTCTACTTATTTCTGTCCTTTTACAGTCATATTTCATCTAATGCTTGAAAATATTAGGAGGTTTAACAATATATCAATATAAATTATTTTTTGCCTATAAACACAAACGTCTGAAATTTCAAATTCATTTTAATTTCAAGGTGCATAGAGAGAAATGTGAAAGATTTAAGGAATTTTGAGATCCAAACAAATTTATTTTTATATAAATTAAATTTATGAATATTTTAAATATATTACTGCAAGTTTAAATTATAAGCGTTCTAAACTATGTATAACTATAATGTTTACAATATTTTAAAGCAAATTACAAATATGTGATAAGTCAAAGAGGTTTCCTAGAAAATTACTTTATCTCTTTGAAGGAGGTTATATTATAGAAAATTTTAAATGATGGATTAGGGAAGATTTATTAAGGATTTTTGAGGGTTTTTTAAAGTCATAGGCCTTTTAATAATATGAAAGGGATAGATCTAGAAAAATGCATATAGGACAAACAAGATTATAAAATGATTTTAGTTTCTTCATAGATTTATTAAAGATCATTGATAACACTAAATTAGGAATCCTTAGCAAAGAATGTGAAAAGAGTAGTTATTTTAATATCTTTATTTTTAATACTAATACTTTACATTTGAAAATTGTAATAATTACAGTACTTTGTAAATTATATTTATTTTTCTTATCTTGCATACTCCAGTCAGATTCCTTCTTGTTGAGCTTTAGAAGACAAGAAATTATTTCACAGATATGGTTTTCATTTAACTCTTAAAAATAAGTTCCAGTTTTATACTTTCTTAATTTTAACATTGAATTGATTTGTGACATACATAGATTAATATTAAAAAAGCCATAGTTTGGAAAGAACAATGTATATAAAGTTGGAATAAATAAAATGGATCTTGTTCAATAAATACATTTTTGTAAACTAATAAGTGCTTTTTGAAAGTACCATTTTTTTAAAACATAAGGCACATAATTCAGTTGGTACCTTATAGTGAAATATTTCAACCCTTCAACCCCATTTTTATAAAATTGTAATATTACATCTGAGGAACTAAGATACATACATTTTGATCTATAATCACAAAATCTATAATTAATGCTGAAATATAGTCTATAGTAAATATCTTTATCTTTCGACTTTATTATACATAAGCTAAATTTTCATTAAAAGACTAAATGAAATTGCATGATAATTACATTTCTTGTAAAAAATGAAAGTTATTATTTAGCTCTTGATTATGTGGCATTTATGAAATTTTTAAAAATAAAAACCACAGGGCCTCCCAGTTTTAAATTTTCTATAAAGAAATAGCAACTGGCATTTTAATGATTTAGTTAGTTTACAATACTATTAACATTCAGAATGTTCCTAAAATGTGAATGTAATGCTAGGATTTGTGGGGTAATTGGAAAATACTTTATTTACTATTTTAGTTTTGCTCTTGGGTTTAAAATTGTTAAAATAATATAAAAATTTTAAATGACAGTAATCTTTTTTTAAAGGAAGATATTTGAGCTGTCTGAGTTACAGTTAATTTTACTTATACTAAGATACTAGAGAGACAGTCACATTTCAAGAATTCAATTAACTTTTAATCATTACTACTATTCTCCATATAAATCATATAACTTATTGGAATCGTGCCTTCTGGTTCAAATTTGTGGTAATTGTCTTATTTTATAAATTTGTCTTAATATTTGGCTTGACACATCTGCAATACAGAAATAATGTCATTTTATTCTAGATATATAGTTGAAAAATAAACATGGTAAAATCTTTAGCAAAGTTAAAGAATTTCCACATTTACACTGAAGGTTTTTCAGCGATTATGAAAAAACTTTTACTGAAGCACAATAACTTGTATAAACAGTTATTTCAGAATATGCACTAAGGCACATGTCATTGGGAAATAATGAAAAGTACTAAAAAAAGTGTGTGATATTATGTAATTATTTGGCTTTTTGCTACGAGTAAATAATGATAAGCTATTAGCATTTTGGTTTTGTTGGAATCCGAGAGCAAGAGTGAGGATAGCATAGCAACTACATCTTTGATTGAGAGTCAGGGGAGTCTACTCATCATTTTGAATCATAATGTTAATTTGGAGATTTTTTTTTCCTTTCACAGATTAAATAAGGTCAGTTTTAACTTCATTGGGAGTAAATATAGTATAGTAATGATTTGAGGGAGGTAAAATGAAATCATTTAGAACCATTTTTAGATTCATGTTAGTTGTATTACCAGTCTTTTTATGATTTAGTTTTACATTTTGCAAATAAAGATTTAAATGCAGCTATAGCATAAGCTAAGTAATCCTATTAATGTTTAGAGAAATGAAGTGTTGTCCTAGCAAGGTTCAGTCCCTAGATCTGTGTCAGACTGCTTCTGGCCAGTAGCTATTGGGATATAATTATCCGTGTCTAAGTAACCATCTACCCTGAAAATTACGTGGCACTAAAAGTGAAGCTTGCAAAGCTGTGGGCTAATCAATGTCAACATATTTTTAAATAAAGTTAATATCATTTTATGAGAATAGTTAAGCTAACACCATTTAAGTCTGTTTTTATTACAAATTGAGATTGTTTTGAGTTGCTTTAAGCTTTAATTATAGAGCAGAACTAAATTTGCAGTCCATTTGACTTACTCAGAACTCAAAGCAAATGATTGAGCGTGTACCCAGAAGTACTCACACCATAGGCAAAAGACAGAGAACAGATATTTTCACATTTTCTATATTGCATATGTCTTTTGTAAATATAACTCACATTTTTCAATAACTGTCTCAGTTTCTAATTACTCTTACATAGCATTTTACTGTATAATACTCCTTTTAACTCCTTATATGTTGCCAAGTAATGAATTTCTGAACCACATTGCTCAAGCTCTCCATTGAACTATCCTGTAATGGTAATAATAGTCACCATTTATTATCTCTGAAGTCAACATTATTAAAGCAGGGGTGTATCATTGCTTAGTTTGCATAACTAAGGGTTGTTAGGGATTTGAGATTGGTTATCTAATTTGCTGAATTTAAACAAAGTGAAACATTTTATAATTTACTGATAAAAGTATGATTAAAACACTTAGCCACAAATTCCAAATTTTATTATCTCTTGGGCTATTGGTCTGCACTTGAACACAATAAAAGTTACAGACTGATTTCTTTTTTTAAAGTGTGTGTTGGCGTTTTATAATCAAGGATGATAGGCCACATTTAGTCATTGCAATGGAAAAAAAATTGTCAGCAAATATCTTTATGAACTCCTTGTAAGAGATAAAATCAGCAGCCAAGTCAATCAAACATATCAACATTTCCATTAACTTGTAAACCATTAGTCTCTTGGCAGAAGTTCCCACTACATCAGTGACCAATAAGCAATTTTCCATACACACACACACGCATGCTCACACACACACACACACAGCCCTACAACTTAAAAATCTGAATACTTGTTGCAGAAGTTGAGTTGTCTGGGAAGTTGGCAAATGTTGTATAAAGTAAACATAAGTCTCATACAACATAGGTATAAGCTTTTGAGTCGTTTACCCTACACATGACTGTACCTTAGCTGTTTCTTTCTCCTTCATTTGTAAAAATGCAAAATTTAAAGGCAAGGTTTTGAAGTGATGTTGCTGATGGTGGATTCTAACTTAGAACAATTCATACTTTATCAAAGGCTGCAATTCTTGCCCTCCTCTGCTACTTAGGAGATTAATAAAAGCTTAAAAGTATTCTTTACATATTATAAATTAAAGGGCTGAAAGTCATGTATTCATTTTCAAACTTACGAATTTCATTTATGTGGTCCGGATATAGCCATAAGGAATAGTGAGCTAATCTTTTAGTAAGTCAGTTTTAAGGACTGGGAAATAGTCATGAGAAGCCACGGACAGAAATTAAAGATTTATAAGAATGCCTCAATAAAGTAGATACTTATTAATTAAAACAATTTTTAGGTGACTACTGTTAGCTGAGGGTGTTAAGTGGGTGTGTGCATGCATGTAAGCATGTGCATATAGTGCGATGTGCTAAGTATGCATACTTGTTTTCTCTATATATGTACATGCAACAAACAGTTGTTTAAATTGAAAACATTCTTACAATTAAATTTGGTTTCGCATAATCATTTATGAAGGAAATTGAAAATATTTCATATAAAATCAAGAAATAGAGTATATTTTGTTACTAACATTTACGTTCCCCATTCTGTGTAATTTGAATCATGTTCATCTTTAGATTAACAGTTGCTAGTACTGTATATTCTGCATTTTTGTTTAATTTATTAATCATGTGTTATTTCTAAATTTTATTTAATTGAAGTCATTTCAAAAGCATTGAAATCTTAAACCATTCAGTTCCTGAAAGGTTCTTCACATGTTTTAATAGGCTTCCATTATGTGTTTTTGCAGCAAGCTTAGTAGTGGAGGAGCGAACAAGACAGATGAAAATGAAAGTGCATCGATTTAAGCAGACAACAGGGTCTGGTTCTAGTCAAGAACTTGATCGCGAGCAATATTCCAAGGTAAAATTAGTAGTATCCAACAAATAGTTTCCCTTTTAAAAATGTGTAGTGTGTGTACCAGGCAGGATTAGAAAGCACCGAATTATATAAGAGAAGTTATCATTTGGGCCGGGCATGGTAGCTCACACCTGTAATCCCAGCAGTTTGGGAGGCCAAGGCAGGCACATCACCTAAGGTCAGAAGTTCAAGACCAGCCAACATGGTTAAACCCCATCTCTACTAAAAAATACAAAAATTAGCCGGGCGTGCGCCTGTAATCCCAGCTACTTGGGAGGCTGAGGTAGGAGAATCCCTTGAACCTGGGAGGCGGAAGTTGCAGTGAGCCGAGATCGCACCACTGCACACCAGCCTGGGTGACAGAGCAAGACTCCATCTAAAAAAACAAAAAAAGAAAAGGTATCATTAAATGATAGTCCTGCATCATAATTTCTACCAAAGCCAAAAAAACAAAAAACTCTTTCCTCTTGATATTTTCGTGTGATATAACTTCATTGAAATATTAACTTGGATTTGATTTTTTTCTAAAAATATGTAAATATTTGATATTAAAATCACTTAATGATTGATTAGCATTAGTCAAATTCACATAAATAAGCAAGATATATGAAGCCATTTTGTTGCTTGAACATTATTTAAATATTCCATTTAAGATATTAAGGTATATATTTATAGTCTTAAGTACAACTTTGGATTGATATTTGACTATTGATATTTGTGAATGATAAAAATTATGTGATTTGAGATTTCTTACAGCTCTGTCTTTAGTAAGAAAAGTAACTGATTTCAAACTTCTAGAAGCTGAAATTTACACAATTTCAAGTGCTAATAAGCATTTAATTTTTATTTCAATAATATTTTCTAAGGAAACACCAAGGAGTTTATAAACTGCTAATATCTGATAATTTTAAATAAAATAGCATAGATTTTTGTTCTTCATGAAGTAATTTTAAATATATTATCTGGTTTATTTAAAAGCTTTTTTTCTTTATAGAATACTACAAAAGTAGCAGCAGCCATTATAGGTTGACCTTTGTTGTAATTTAATATCAACAAACTCTTTGGGAGGTAATAAGCTATTAGAAATCAAAAGTAAATAAAACTACACTAAATTAATATTATTAGCTTGAAATATGGACCTAGAAAAACCTACTTATTTTTAAGCAGTGTAAGTGGTTCATTATCTTTCCAGATATTCTGTGACTAATAAAAAAATAAAATAAAAAGAGGTGGCTACAAAATACGATTTATCACCAAGACTACCATAGAGTCATGTGTGTTTGATACAGTCTGTCACTTTACATGTTAGGTTAGATGCAGAAGGGCTTCCAAATGAGACAGTGTGGAGGGTCACTGTGATTCAGTGATGCTCAACTCCCTAAGAGTCTTACCAAAAAAATGGTAAGCAAAATAACCTGATGTCCCGTAGTATTGCCTATTTCAGCTCCATACAGGTTTATCTTGTCTGCAACTTGTTATTTATGGTATTATCACCTAATCAGCCTACTTATCTGTCTTCATAGATATCATCATCGTTTTTGTTTTCTTACTACAAATGCAGTGAGAATTAGAAGGCAGGGTAATTTGGGGTTTTGTTTTCCCTCTACAGTTGGATGCAGTTATTTGAAAGTTTCTTTAAACTGGAAATGCTCCTTTTAAGCTGGAAATTTTTATCAGTTTCTTAGCTTTATTTCAAAAGATGAGGTCAAATAGAACAGCAAGGAGAGGTAGAGCCAGTATAGGAAACAAGAAAGAGGCGAGTAAAGAATCAGGGTAAAATACTGAAAGCCTTTCTGGATCATCCTGAGCTGGGATTCTGATCATTAATTAGTCGATCCAAAAAATCGACAAAATGAAGTACTCAGAAGTCTAAACCACCACTAGTAGTCATAGTAAACCAAAGGTAGGTGTGCAGACTCCAAATTCTCTGACTCATAACTTAAAAACTTGAAAATAACTCAAAATCTTCTACTCCAGCTCACTTATTTACCAAATTTATGACAACTGGGGCTCAGAATGAAAGAGGTAATTAATTAAAATTTGTGTTAAAATTAGTAGAGCCTCTCTGTATAGTGAAGAGGCCTATAACAATGGATTTGGGACTTAGGGTATGACTTTGTTCTACTTACATCATTGAAATGAACACATTACTCTAGATTGATTCAAAGGTCTCCATGTGGCTTTCAATTTACCTAAAAATTAGATTAGCATATTCTATCTTTCCTCCCTCCTTTGCATAGGCACCCTTTTTCTTTTCCTCTCTCTCTTTGCATTTGACTATTTTAAAACCTATTACTTTCAGATATAGTACTATGGCTCTTACTGAATAGATACTACTATGTTAAATAAAATTGTAATAACTAAATATGAGATCAAAGATATGGTAGCTTTAAAAACTTGTAAGAATATAGGATAGGAAATTATATAAAATAAAACAAATGATTAGCCTTTTCTTATATGTCAAGTAGAAGATAAAATACTCTCCACATCTCTAATATTTATATTATATACTAACACATACAATAGAATTTTTTTGTTTTCAGTAGCCATTTTTGTTAATTCAAGCCTTTTGCATATACTTGAGAAATTATCTTTTTCATTTTTATTCTACATCAAGTATTTTATAACTATTTTATAAAGATCTATTTTTATGGCTATAATTAAGAGCCAGTATTGGCACAAATTTTATATTCATTAAATTTTGAACTTTATTCTGTTATTGACTCTTTTTTAGTATCTTAATCCATTTGACATTTTGGACGAAGCAATGAACATTAGTTGAAATTTATGCCAAGCCAAAGTTAGTTAACTATTCTCAAATACTTTTAACCAACCACTAGTAGAACTGGACTTTTTTTCAGGGCAAAACATTGTCAGACAACTGTAATTCCTGAGATGCTTCTTGAAACCTAGTATGTCTTTTAGAAGACTAAATGACCCTAACATCCATCCTGAGTAAGGAATTAGGACTAACTTTGCTTTTGAAAAAGCACAACAATGCTGTTTAGGTATCCTTGAAATGTGTCACCATTCTATTTTTTTTTTATTGGTGGTATACAGAGTGGCATACCTTAATGATGAAGTGAAATTCATAATTAGAGGTGAATTCACATTTAGGTACTCACAATTTAAAGAATGTTTATGTTTGTGTTTATGTAACCCAGGAACAGCAACCGAGAGTGATGTGATGGGTTTTGTAGGTAGCTGAAGAGTGTTTATTATTACTTACTTCTAAAAATAGTAGTGTTTAATTATTTCTCTCACATCAATGACTTATTTGCCCTCTGTAGGATCGGTAGAAATTCCTTCTGAGGAATTATGTTCCTCAAAATATATTTTATGTATTTCCATTAAAATATTAAATTGTTACATTCAAAATTTAACAGATCATGCCTGATGAAATTCAGTGATTAAAATGTTAACATATTAGTTAAAAGTGAATATAAAAGTATTTCACTTTCTTCAAATAATCAATGTGAATAAAACTGTGATATCATATCAGAATGATAGATTATTCTTTATCTCAATATAAAAAATGTATTATGACATAATTTTTGAAATCCCTTTTTGTCCACTTTCTGGAATAACAAAGGTCTGTATACAAAAAGGTTGAAGAAAAGATGGCTTAAGTAAAGCCATCTTTTGGCTTATTTCCAACTAAAAATATTTTTGTTGGAAAAATATTTTCATATACATTCACATACCTTTATGCTTTAGTGTACACTGCTTAATATTGTCAAATATCAAATAAGGGGAGCATTTGCTCTGGGTATCAGCACAATGCTAACACCCAAAACAGGGATTATTTCATATTCTGTCATGGGCAAGGTATCATCCCAATACATTTGGAGACAATAATTACATAGCATCTCTCTTTTAGCACAGTGTTTCAAAAAACCAATAATACAGGAGTTGTGTTTGTAACGCAGCAACAGTGTTAAATTCAGGTTCTACTCTTTGAACATAATTGAGTTTTTAGCACATATACTCTGTAAATTGAAAACAGATCTGATTAAAATGAATTGTGTTAGTCAGAATCATGTTATTAAATATAACTGAATTTGCTGGTAAACCATATTGTCACATTGCTTTCAGTACATTGTCTTAAATCACATTAATTTTAGATCAAACATGAAATCATATAAATATTAATAGCTCAGTTTAGATATAATAACATATGAATTTCCTTTGAATTCTAATTTGGCATATGACTTTGAGAGATAAATCACACAATTATGAAAAATCCTTGGGAAAACTAATTGTATATATATCCTATATGTTGGGAATTATTTTCATGCCTGATATGAAATTCTTTTATCAACACATACACATGAGAGGTAAAGAAATAAAAATCACATTTAGGGAGGCCGAGGTGGGTGGATTGTCTGAGGTCAGGAGTTTAAGACCAGCCTGGGTAACACGGTGAAACCCCGTCTCTACTAAAATACAAAAAACTAGCCAGGTGTGGCACCGTGCGCCTGTAGTCCCAGCTACTTGGGAGGCTGAGGCAGGAGAATTGCTTAAATCTGGGAGGCTAAGGTTGGAGTGAGCCAGGATCGCGCCACTGCACTCCAGCCTGGGCAACAGAGGGAGAATCTGTCTCCAAAAACAAGAACAGAACTCACATTTAATGTTTCAGTCCTAAACTACTCTCATGTAAGAAATTATTAAATAAACATGAGACCTTTCTCTAGGGTAATTTTTAAGTGTTATTGTCTAATCTTCTTTTTAGTACCTATAAATCCAGGTTGTAGCATCAGTTAATTTAGTATGTTTTAGCAAGACAGTTCAAATTCATTAAAATTCCTCTGACATGGAACATCACAAAGGATAGATGACTTTTTCTACAGGTTTAATAAACATTTGATATTTCATACTTTATTTCTCATAAATCTAAAATTAAATTGCTTGCTAAGAAACAAACACCCATATGTTATTTTGTTTTACAGAAGAAGTTATAGTATCTTACCTTCCAGTATCTAAGAAAACTACTCACATTTTAGGTATCTTTCAGTTATTTATAGTTATGTAACCTATTTATTACAATTATAACATATATAAAAATAATATGTAATATATAAGCTATTCACTGTGTGGTTCATCACAATAAGACAGTGAAGTAGAAATAAGAGTAGCTTAACTGCTTTGACAGCTTTGCATATTTTAATCTTTTATTTGATGATTCCTAAAATTTTAGGAAATGAATATCAGAGACAAATTTAAAGGCATCTTTGAATAAAAGATATAATGTACAATGAAATTTTAATAAGGATCCAGTATTCTACTTTTGATTCTAAGTTAGTAGGTTAAATCTGAAACTGTCTAATGAAGCCATAGTAGAAAGCTAAAGACCAGTCACTGCCTCTTTGCTCAGTTTATATCAGCCCTTGTTTTTGAAAAGTTATATATTTTTAAGAAATGTTAGAGACACTATAATGTCTTAGAAAGTATTTAACTAAATTGACTAGTTTTAGAAAGTATCAAAAACTATATACAGGTGGAAGCAGTCTATACAGGTCAAGTATCCCTTACCCAAAATGCTTGGGACCAGAGGTGTTTCATATTTTGGATTTTTTCATATTTTGGTATATTTTTTCTATATACATTATATATTTTCCAGTTGAGCATCCTAATCTGAAAATCCAAAATGTTCCACTGAGCATTTCTTTTACACATCATGTCAGTGCTCAAAAAGTTTTGGATTTTGGAGCACTTCAGATTTTGAATTTTTTGATTAGGAATGCTCAGCCTATACTTTGACTAGAGTAGAAGGTGAATAAAATGGACAAGAATGAAAATGAAAACAAAAAAGAGAAGCGTATGTACTAGAAAAAAAATGAATAATACACTTTTGAGGTTCTAAATATGTACAAATAATTTAATGACTTTTCCAATCAGGCATTTAATGATTGTGTTTAATTTATATTTCAGTCTTCATAAGCCATCTCTTACCACTCAAAGGATAATGTTTTTATATTGGAAATCATATGGTAGTATTTGGATTATTTTAGATATTACAGCTACTCTTATGAAGGTACACCTTTATTTGGTGTGGGCTAAGTAGTCATTCATCTCACCATCTATGTTTTTTCCATTGTCTAATGATGGAGCTCACACTTTCTTGTTTTTAATCTTTAGTATAACATACATAAAGATCAGTACAGAAGCTGTGATAACGTCTCTGCCAAATCATCAGATAGTGATGTCAGTGATGTTTCCGCCATTTCCCGAACCAGCAGTGCCTCACGCCTCAGCAGCACAAGCTTTATGTCAGAGCAATCTGAGCGCCCCAGGGGTAGAATCAGGTGAGTTGGCAATACTGTTTATATAAACTGGATCTTTATCTGTGATATAAAAATACAACTAGCTTCCTGAATATTTTTTCTATAATACAGTTTAGGTCACAGTGGGTTAAGTATTTATCGACTACTATGTAGTATTGCCAACAGAATGTTTAGTATTGACTACTATCAGATACAGCTTATAACCCTAGTCACAATTTTAGAGATCACTCTGAGTCACATTTGTAGTAGTTTCCTCTAATATGATTAAATTCCCTTCCTTTAGTCCAACATCAGAAAGTGTATTCTTTAAAGGGACAGACAGTAAATATTTCAGGCTTTGCAGAACAGTCTTTGTGGCAACTACTCAACAATGTCATTATAGTGTGACAGCTACATAAATAAATCAACATGGGTGTGTGTGTGTATGTGGGTGTAGTGGATGTGTTAACAAAATAGACATCCCTAGTTACGTTATGAGTTGAAAGGCATTTGCGTCAATTTTGTTTAAGTCACCAGTAGTGCTTTTGTATTCTTAAAAGACAAATACCCTGCTGAAAGGGAAAAGACCCCAGACATCCAAGTGCTATCTAAACTAAAGCAGATTGATTATGGACAAAACATATTTTGTATTAGTTCTTTACTAGTTTTCAGAAGTCAAAGTTTCATATAGTTATAGTCGTGTAACCTAAAAATTTATTACAATTTAAGGAATTTTGGTGTTGATGAGAGGTCCAATAAATATAAGTGTTAAAAATATGAACAAACACTTTTCCAATACTCTGAAAGGCTGATGTTAGTGCACATTTTGATGATGTACAATGAATTGAATTTTGAAAATTCTCTCTTGTTTGTTGAAGCAAATTAAAAGTAATCATCCTGCTGTTATTTAACAATTTCATACTCTGATAATCTAACATGAGCAATTTCAACTGATAAAGATATTAGTAGAAAATCTTTTATCTTTACTTTTGGTGTTCTCAGCATCTGACTCTAAAAGAATATAAAGTTCTTTAAAATTTAAGGAAGAATTATAAGAGCTCAAGAATGTAGCCATATTAAGCTAAGATCAAGGGGTAAGAAGTATTCTTATAGATTCCTTTTTATTGAATTCTTAATAAGATAGAATGTTTTTTAAACTGTTGAATTACCAAAGAATGTAATAAATAGGATGTAACCAAGGACTTTTTTTTTACCTTATTCACTGAAAACAATTTGAAGTAATTTTTGTTTGTATTCACTGTAGAGCCAAGTACCTTGAGCCCTATGCTTTAAAGTAGTACTAGTGAATAGAATTTGTATTACTAACCAATTGCATAGAATAACTTGTGAGTTCATTTTCATTCTCCTAAAATTTCAGAAGTAGGATTCTTCAAAAATTTATCTTCCTATAAAATTTGGCTATGTGATTTCTTTTAGAAAGAATAGGAAAACAATGACAAGAGACTATGATTTTATACAAGGAGAATGGGGAAAACTACATGTTAGTAGTGTATTGGAACCAGTGTTACTTTGTGGAGAACATGGCAACTCAACAAATCAGCATGGACTATAACCATATCATGACAAGAAGCAAAAGATAGAGGATTTTTTTGCTTCATTGCTTCGTATGAATTTTCATATTTAGTGAAGATGGTGAGAAGAGGGGTGGACCTAAAAAGAGTATAAATAAACTTCTTAGTGATAAATCTATTTTCTCTAAGCACTTTTTTGTTTTCAGCTTCCTTTCCCTTCTTTGTAGTTTAAAACCCATATAAACTGAGAGTTTATTTTATGTAAGTGGATTATGTAAATTTAAGCACTACAGCTAATAGTTAAACAAGTTTCCCCTTAAGCTAACATAAAGAGCTACTTTTCTTGTAATCTCATACTGTATGTCAGTGATTTGTCATATGCGGTACATATTTGCTCTTAGAATAATTAGGAAGAATAGAGAGAAAAAATAAGATGTGACACGTCTTCTCTTCTGACATTCGTAGACTAGTTATCCCTTCATATGCATTCTTCTGTCTACATATTCTCATAGACACACATGCAGCAGTACACACACACACACACACAGAGACACACAAACACATGGAGTTATTTTGCTTCCCTCGTCAATCCTGTGGTAAAAACCTGAGAGGTGATAGTTTGGAATGATAAAGAATAAAATGACATCAGCATAAAAGCATCAAAGTCCTGTGAACAAGCATTGCAGGCTCTTCAGATGTAAATATTCCCTGCCCTTATAGGTAACACTATGAGGAATAATTTTTCTTAATATATTACTGTTTCTTCTTTATTTTTTAGCAACTAACATCTGCATAATTTCTATAGTTGTTTACTCAGCTAATTAATTATAATGATAGAATATATTTACATATAAGTTGTAATAATAAGCAGCAAAGTTTTTTGTTCCTATCATGTGTAAGGACTTTATTATCTTCTTTTTAAAACAAACAAAACAAAAAAAAACATTGTAAATTCCTGTTATCTTCCCCACCACCATGACCATGTAGGGTCCAGTCTACTCCCTAACCTTTTTCCCAAAAAAGGTGCTACCTCCTTCCCAGACAGATGAGAGAGGGCAGGACTTCAGGCTGGATCTACCATTAGGCTCTCCCTCCCCCAGCTTGGAGCACAGGAGGGGAGGTGATACCTGGTGACAGATGGATGGGTGGTGGACAGAGAAGAGGAGACAAGGAAGGGCTATTCCAGGCTCAGCCCTGCTCCTCCAGCCTTGCCTCTGGGTATAGGGGAAACAGAGGCATGACCAGGATCAGGGTCATGCCCAGCTGGCCACAACCACGCGTGGGGTAGTCCAATAAATACCGTGGATGCTCAGCAAGGCTGCTACCTGGTGTTTTGAGGCTGCTGTGGTTGCAGACACCCTCCTGGCCTTGGCTCCCTATCAAGAAGCTGGGGATGGGAGGTGGAGGGAGGAGGAGCCCCTGCCTTAGGAGCCTCACAGGCTGCACCAAGAGAGCAACCAGCCTGGAGCAGGAGCCACCAGGTCCCAAGCATGGCTGACCCAAATGTCATAGATGCTTTTATTGGGTGGCACCTCCTGGAAGAGGGTGTCTAGATCCCAGAGCAGCCTGGGGGCCCTCTGGTTTCAGAGGCCACTCCCTAGTAGGCAGGGCCAGTTGACGGTAGACACTGGGGACAGTAGGTGGGTGGTGGTGCCAAGGGCATTACCACATTGGGAGTGTAGATAGGCAAGTAGGAGGTGGGCAGCTGCCCCCAGGGGGAGGCCCTGTGTCCCCCACTGGACAGCCACCCAAGAACTGAGGTGTCCTGCAGTAGAGTGGAGAGACCAGGCCCTAGGCTCTGTGGAGAGGGTCGAGGGCCCAGTGGCTCCCTGCTGGGAAGCCTCCCCCTCCATTCTTATGGGGCTGGGAAGAGGGCAGAGAGGCCACAGAGGCCTCTCAGAGGAGGGCAGGGGTGGGGTGGGCACCACCTCCTCCCCACTGCTCCCCATGCCTGAAGGAGCTGGGCTGCTCTGTGGCACCAGTCCCGACCAGGGTGCCCCCTCCCCAGAGTCCCCTAGCAGGGACTTGATGCTGAAGCCCTCACGGGGTGGCAGCAGGGGACTGGGAGCATCTCGCAGCAAGTAGGGCCGCAGGTCCTTGGTGAAGGCTCCACATGCACCCCAGTTCTGCCAGCACCTGCACAGGGCTGTGTTCTGCCACCATAGCGACTCTGCTGGGATCAGGCTTATGTCGACCGCCCAGAAGTTGCCCTTGGCCTGGAGCTTTGCAGGGTCCACAACTATACATTTAGTAAAATTTGGCATTTGATGTCAGTAGGCATAATAATCAGTAAGCATATACTGAAAGGAATGTTCTTCTATTTATTTGAGGATTTTAAAACAATATAGATTAAATTATTTTATATTTTAAGTTGTGATAACAAATATAGAAGTTAATATATTCTGGAATGTCAATCTTGATATTACAGTTATGTTTGAAAAGTGTTATAGAAAATAATTTCAAATGCCCCTTATTTCACAATAGTTCTTCAATTCAGTAAGGCAATACAGGATAAAATTCAAAAGTAATCCTTGGATTTTTGTGATGCATATGAAAATCTTGAGTTAGAGTTATCTATATATCCAATACATGAAGCTTATTATCTACACTGTTCCGAACTTCAATTGCTTTACTACTCTTTTGCCTATTCGATTTGGTATTTACTGAAAATGCTCAGTTAAGATCTATGAAGAGGATTTGTCAACTTCTTTATTATTCTGTCCATTTTTTCTTATATGAGATTACTTAATTAGGTTCAAGTTCAGAATTATTTTGTCTTTCTGGCGATTTAACCTTTTATCATTATGTAATAAATCTCTTTATTCCTTATAATATTATTTTGTTTTAAAGTCAGTTTTTCTTACATGATAACACAAGCTATTTTCAGTTAGTGTTCAATCTAACTATTCACTGTTCACATCTTTTTGTGTCAACTTTTCTATGACCAATGTGTTATACTCACATAAACAGCAAATAGCTAGGTTTAATTTTTTTCTGACCACACAATCTCTATCATTTAATTGGCTAGCTTATCAATTTGCATTTATTTTGATTCTTATAGACTTGGAATTACTTCTATATTGGTGTATGCTTTTAATTTTTCTTATTCTATTTTTTCTCTTTCCTGATCGGTTTTTAATTGAATTATTTTTCTTTCATTTCCCCCCTCCATTACACTGGAAATTATGCAGTTTCTGTGATTTTTACTGACTAGTTTCTCAAGTATATAAATTTTGTTAAGTAGTCAATTTAAAATTAATAATTACCTCTACTTTCTCCTAGGAAAAAAAATGACTGTCATATGCTTCGCTGTGCTACTATCCCTCCCCCATTTGCATATTCTTGTACAATGTTTTAATTATAGATTGGTTCATTTTCCCCTTATTGCATGTTATTTTTTTAAATGCCTTATATTAAACCATATGTATTCTAGTTTCTTTGCTAACCATTTTTCGTGCATCTTAGACCTTCATTCTGGATCATTCTCCTCTCTGAGAAAAGTGCATTAGAAAGCCACCAGTGAGGGTCTGTGAGAGCTTAGACTGAGACACACGTTTTTCCTTGTTGTTCTTTAAGGGTCTTGACTCATGAGGATTTCAGTTCTAACTCCTCACTAGACCTGAAAGGTTTCCAAAGATTCATCATTCACTTACCGACCTGTTTTAGTTCTCGTTTGGTTTTTGGCTAAGGACATATGCCTTTCTTTCTTGTGACCTCAAGTTGGTATTTTAACAGGCATTTGTTGTAATTTTCCCATCATAATTACTAGGCATTTGGAAGTGAAAGGATTTTTTAGAATCAGAATATATCATCTACCATACTGCCAGAAATAGTTCATATTTGATGTGTTACCATTTTTTAAAATTTTTTTTTAAATTTGCTTACTTGAAAAGGATAATATTTAAAAATAATTAATAAATAAGAAAAAACATGTAGGTGTGAAAAGTAAGAAGGATCATGGCCCTAGAGACTTTATCCCAAGTTAGAGGGCAAATGCCAAGGCAGAGCAAGCAGAGTTGGATGTTAAACTGGAAGTAATATCTAAGGGGCTTAAGAAAAATAACAATCAGGAACATAGAAGGAGATGGTGAAGGGAGCCAAGAACTGGAAAACTTTCAGGAAAGAAGAGAGTGCCAGCAGAGACAGGACCATTTCAGTCATGAGGTGTAATGGAAGGAGGAGAATGAAGAACTAATGTGGGAGGTAAAGGTTGATACAGCTCAAACTGAGAAAGAGATTCTGAAGTCTCAGAGGATATTGAATATAAGGGAGAAGAATGAAGTGAGCCTGAAGTTAAGGGAATGGTTAGTGATTGCTGAATAAACAGCATCTTGTGATCAGAGTTCCTATGCCAGGACAATGTGAAGACTACCAGCCTGCCCTTAAAGACTGCTTTTGACTCAGATGTGAATCTTTGGTTCTGTCAGCTATGGCTCAGTACTTCTACTAACCAATATTGAGAGCTTCATTCAACAAGTGTACAACTTCTTTAGACCTTGATTTTTTTTCACTTAGTCATAGATTTATTCATTTACTTATTCACCAGTCATTTATTGGGTACATCTTATACGCAGGTGCCGTACACTATCTAGTATAAAACAAAACACATGATTCCTAGATCTATGTTTTTAGTGGATTTTCATACAAGTGTAATAATAATATTAAATGTATATTCATCTGAAAAATGTGAATCATACCTGCCACTCCTACCTTACCAGACTGTTTGAGAATAAAATGAAATAGTGTATATCAGAATACTTTGAAAATATAGCATTTTGCTTTATAACTCAGTTACTGCATACATGGTATGAAGTATTAGATAAGTTACTTTATACTTTTAAGTCATCCTTGAATGTCTTCTGAGAGACGGCTAACACATAATATAGTGCAACGGCATTTAAAATTCGAATTTTGATTACTAATATTTAACTTATCCACTTCACAGTGCTTCATGGTGAGTTGGATGAATTTAACAGTTGGATTTGACACTTGAAGAGTTCAGTTTTATTCGAGTGTTTTTCAAAGTTATGCCCATGGACTGTTGGTGTTCTAATGAACCTTATTGTCTCCAAGAATTGCCTGATAGACAGGAGAAAGTTGTCCAAGGAGCAGGAGAAAAACTAAACGGGGAGGAGAATTCCTAGACTGCAGGACTTCAGCAACTTCAACTAAAGCAGTTCTACTAGTATTTGTTTAGTACAACAGAAGTCTGTGAAGTAGTTTATTTTTAAAAAGGAAGCCAGGCACTGCTGCTTTAAAAACATATTGTAAACCAAAATATATGGCACAGTAAATTCTAGTGCTATTACTTCCAAGGAGAAAATTAAAATATGAGATGTGGTTCTACTTCTCTAGTTATTACCTGTTTTTAAAATTCAGATAGTACCATAATTTGGCTGAAGGATTATGCAATGTATAGTGAAACTTCAGTATAATACACTAAGAAAAAACAAATTCCAAAGAAAAAGAAAACTACTAGAATGTTCTATATTGGTCTTAGTTGGTCTGTTTTTCTACTATATATTATGTTTATTATACACTTGGTATATGAGATAAATACTTATTATTGTTTTTTAGCATTTTAGCTTTAAATAGCATTATATAGATTGTCCAGGGAAATATATATTATTTCCAAGCTCATTACTTCAGCTTGTACAGTTAATAGACTTTATACTATGCTTTTTTATACTACTCTTGATATATGTTCAATTTAAAGCAATATAGTAAAATTTTTAAAGTATATTTTTACTTTATCTTTTTTATTCATTTAGAAAGTCATCATTTAAAGCTTTGTTTCTTTACTCATTTTAACATATGATTACCTTGATTTCAGCTAGACTCTCTTAAAGCATAGACATGATAACCAAGTGCGGATTGATTGATATTTGCTAACTGTATACGTACTACTTATGCAGCATAATGAATAAAGAAAGCATAGACCTTGATGTATCCTCAAGATGGCATATATGCTATTTCCTTATAATTAGTGGAAATATTTTCAAAGCTTTCTGAATCACTAATACAACAAATTAGTTGTATTATTTGTTACTTTGTAAACTACAACAGATATATCAAGGCAGCATTTGTGTGTATTCATCTTTAATTTTATGACTTTATTATTTGTGACTCATTTATATAGTTTTATGGTCCATACATGATGTAAGTAATTGTTTTCTCATGTTTTGGTATTCACTGAGTATGTATATCAGCTTTTGTTTAAGTATGCATTTGTTTTTGTATGTGTTGCATTTACAATAGATTAGAAATACATGAGCAGATGTATTCTTAACTGGTTACTTGTAAAACAACATTTATTAGAACAAGTATGAAAACATTATCGGCTTGTTTAGTATTTTAACAGAATAATTATATGCTTTTTACACCATTATCCACCCAGTTCCCAAATCAAAGAACTGGAAGCCACCCAGATTTTTACCTCTCCCCAGTCCTCTTCCTAATTCAATATTTCTCAATCCTTTTTATTATCACTCCCCTAAGGGATCTTTTAGGTGTTCCTTTCCTAATTGCCCTCCTTACATGAAATTTTAATACTAGAGACATACTATTTATATACTGCAGGCCTTTGGAGGACCACTAACCATTGTATTATCTAAGATTTTTTTGTTCCCTCTACCTTCACCAAGAATCAGTTATCCCCTTCTGGGGACAGTATCACTCCCAATGGGAATGCATGTTCAAATGAGTCATCAAGGCCTACTCATTTTACTTCTCAAAGAGAACTCATGATCACAGATTTAAAGTTACAGAGAACAGATGTGTTTACTCACCTCAATTTTATAAGAAGACTAAAAAGACTAAAAACTCCATCTAACATGAAACTAGGATTTAACCACATCTGTAAATAATAAGCTATAGAAAGCAATTTTCAAATTCAGTGAAATCTGAACCAAAATGAGAGGAAATGCCAAAAATAGTTGCTTACTTGTTCAGCTATTGAACAGAATGTGAAGCTCTCTAAAATAAATGTCACAGCCTTAAAAAGTCCAATGAAAAATTCCCTTCTAGAATATGTAAGAGCTAGGGGAAGTTTTAGCCCTGGAGCACCTTGAAACAGTATTTTATACCTCATAGTAGCAGACTACATGGACTCAGAAGAGGACCATCTCAGGTCTGCCATTCTGTGGCAGAAGCAGGGTATTGGGGGACTGTATATAGGAATCAATGTGGCAAAAGCTATTCAGTATAATTTACAAATAAACTGGTATAGCATGATTTTAACGTATGTCTTCATTATGAAATCCTATGAACATTTTGATAACAACATAACTGGTCTAATTCTACCCTTATTCAAAAATAAGCAATAATATTACATGGTCACAGTTCCCCAGGCATGACAGTATAGTTTATATCAGACTAACTTCTCCACATATAAAACTATAAAAGCTGAACAAGAACAAATAATGAACAAGAACAAATAATGAACAACAACAGCAAAAACTATTGGAAGGCCTTTGAGAGCAACAAAGCAGGCAGAAATTTGAGTAGTTTCAATTTTTGAAAGGAGGGGAAAACACAAGGTAAGTGGTAAGTTCATCCTAGTTTCCTCTGAAGTTACTTTCCAATTTGGTGACATAGGATAATAGAGCCGTAAGCAGAGAGCAGTGTTCTTACTTACTAGGCTGAGAAAATAAATTTCACAATTCAGGAACTGACAGAGAAACTGGAAATTGTGAGGGTGGAAGGCTTCAAATTTTGCTATAGAATTCCTTCATACGTTGACCAGTGACCTGTCTATGCACAGGGAAGTTTCCAGGAAAGCAAACAAAAAGCAGCAGCTGGAAGGCCAAAGAGCCAAGCACAAATTCCAGCAGCTGCCAGTGCTGGGGAGATGGATTGGACTTCAAGTTCCCATAGTTAGAGGGGTATGACAAACACTTTTGATTTCTTTTAAATATCTCAGAAGGGCCAAACTCTAGAAATAAGCATTACACTCTGTGAATAATAGCAAATCTTTAAACCCAAACTCTGTACAAGAACAAGACGAAATCTTTCTGTCAATCAAATGAGAATTTTACCTATTTTGGAGGAAAATAATATCATACAGAGCCTCCACAGGGTTTCATCCACACAGTTTTACATCTGATTAAAATTTATGAGTCATGTTTAACAACGAGAAAAAGGACTACCTGGCTAAACACTAACAAGAGTTATCAAATAGAGAGAGACTTTAAAATATCTGTGATTAATATGTTAAAGAAATCAAAGGAGGATGGATTATTTAACAGAGACCTGGAATCCATTTTAAAAAATTAAATTATAATTTAAAAATTAAAAAAAAGTAATAGTGGGTTTAATGACATATGAGAAACAGTAAAACCAAGGATTAATGAACTAGTCAGTAGAAAGTATAGGAGTTGATGTACAGAGAGAAGAGACAGAAATTGGAGGAGAATATAAACAAGTTGAACATGATGAAAAATTCTAATGTATATAGAGTCCCAGAAGGAGAGGAAATGACAGAAGCAACACTTGAATACTGAATTACAGACCGACAATTTTCCAGGACTGATAAAAGACATCAAATTACAAATCTGAAATCTTTACATACCCAATAATATATGTAAGAGAGAAAAAAATCAGCATTATTGTAATCAAAGTACAGAAAACTAAAGGAAAACATTTCTTAAAAGAATCTCAGGGGAAAAAAGAGATAATATCTTTGGAGAAGCAAAGATATGACTAGCTGAAATTTCAGCACATATTATGAGACCCCAAATTTGATGGAATGGCCAAAAGAAAGAACTCTGAAAGGAAAAAACAAAAATGTCCAACTTACAATTTTATGCTTAGTAAATATTACCCAGAAATATCTTTCAGGAAATAAATAAATGAGTGCATGCATGCATAGATAGATAGATAGATAGATAGATAGATAGATAGATAGATAGATAGATAGAGAACAAAGAGAATTCATCATGAGGTGACCAGCACTACAAAAAATACTAATGGGAGTTCATGTTGAAGAAAAGTATCTCCAGTTGGAAGCACTAGCCTTGAGGAAGAATGAAGAACATTGGAAAGAGTTCATAATGATAAAAACAACATCTTGTGGTAGTTAAAACATATGTAGACGTGAAAAATATATAAAATACCTGAGTGAAAGGTGGGAGGGGAGTAAATGGAAGTAAGTTATTGTACAGATCTTGCATTATTTTGAAATTGGTTAAAATGTCTAACTTGAGGATTTAAGTAAGTCAAAGTGCATATTTTAATCTTTAGGGTAGTCACTAATAGCATAATAGAAGAATGCACAACTCAGATGCTAATAGTTGAAAAAATGTGGAATAATAAAAATACCTAATTAGGCAAAAGGAGAAGTAAAACAACAAACAGATGGGATGACTACAAATAAACAGAAAGTGGTGGATGGAACTACATCTGTATCAATAATTGCATCAAAAGTAAATGTACTCAGTAAAAATTACCAATATCATAGAATGAAAGGGGACAATAATACATATTATAGATATATAAATGATATTGTAAACAACTTACGATAGTAAGTTTTTCAATTCAGATCACAGTGAGCAAACTATGGCCAGCAGGCTAAATCTGGCCCACTGCCTATTATTGTGAATAAAGGTTTACTGGAACACATCTATGCCCATTTCCTAATATATCGTCTATGGCTGTTTTCCCGCCACAACAATTGAGTGGTTGCAACAGAGTCGAGTAGTTGCAACAGAGTCAGTATGAAATATTTACTATCTGGCCCTTTACAAAATAAATTTTCCTAACCCTGACTTACATGAAATATACAAATTTTCTGAAAAGTACAACTTACTAAAAATGACATAAGAATAAACTAAAAAGCTGAAGAGTTATATATTTAGTTTCTTAAATGATTCTGTAATTGTTTTCAACCTTTTCACCAAGAAATATCCTGACCCAGGTAGATCCTGATAATTACAAATATTTAAAGAATAAATACTCTTATCTTCCACAATTTTTTCCTAAGGAACATTTTGAAACTCGGTGATGGCAGCCTTTCCTTGATGCATTTGGTAAGGACATTACAAGATAGAAAAAATAGGACAAAATCTCTCATTAAAATAGAGAGACCCCAAACAAAATTTTAGCAAATTGAATCCAGATAGAGAGAGGGATGATAAATGATGGATGAATTCATAGATCATTATTTACAGTTTATGTGATTATGCATATAGGAAATATATAAAATATTTCTCTTCATGACAAACTTAGCTTAAAAACAATTACAGTCCATTTACATATATTCAATCCACTAAAAGAACCTAGAAGTCTATATAAATATATATATATAATAACTATTAGAATTAATGAATTTTGCAGAGTCACTGGGTATAAGGTTAACGTATGAAAAGGAATTTTATTTTTATGTACTAGCAACAAACAAACCTTAGGAAATGAAATTTACAAAATGCCATCAATGTAATATAGTCAGAAATATAAAATACCTAGAAATAAATCTAAGACCTAGGAATAAACTAACAAAATGTGCATAAGCCCTCAACACTGAAGACTACTTATAGCTTCACATAAAACTCAACACATGTATGTGTGTGGGAATGAGATTTAATAAAAATTACAGAGATCATTACTTCTTAAGGTCCAGCTTACTTGAAGAGATTGAATATAAATAGTGATCTAACTTGAGTTCATTTTTTAGTTCTGATTCTTATTATCAAAATAGGTCCACCAGACACCTTTAGGAGGTATTTAATGCCACCTTGATTATTAATCACCAGTCCCTGTGTTATGACCACTGAAAATTATAGGATGGATGCCTGGAGATGGCTTCTTAATATTGATCAACAATATTGATCTACTGTTTGTGGTTAGTAACTTGTGTATTGATCCAGATGTAAGTGTAGGGCTCATATAATTTTTGTTATTTAACTTTTAAAATTTTTGTAAACATCATTGTGAACTTATATGCATTATTATTCTTTATACTACTTGTTCCTTCTTAAGGCTTACAATAGAATTATGGTAGACTTCTAGGTTCTTTTAGTGGATTGAATGTATGTAAATTGATTGTAATTGTTTTTAAGCTAAGTTTGTCATGAAGAGTGGGAACTATCCTGACATAGCCCCTCGTGTCTTCTGAAAACATTCTTGCTTTCTGAAAGAAGGTGTTTTAGGACTTCTGTTTTTTATCCTCTTCCAAAACGTTGTGTCAGCCTCCTTACATTGTAATAATGGGCCAAAGTCTGGCAAATGAAGGTACAGATTTGATTGTCTTACATTACCCATCACTTCTGTATCTATAAGTAACAGTCTATGTTTGGGAAAGTAAGCTTCTGATGCTTTAATGTTATTTTATTATTTTTAAAAATTCTTGTTTAAATTGGTTTCTTGTTTGTCTGTTACCATAATTTAATTGATTTTATCCACATTACTTGTTTGTATTTTACCATCTATACAATCAGTACATATTCTACAATTGATGGCATGTCATCGTTTAATTAGCATTTTTCTTTCTTAGGAGAGAGACTCCATACCCCCATTCCAGAATTACTTGGTCTGATAGGCAGAACAATGTGCCCCCGACAAAGGGTTCCTATATCATAATCCTCAGAAAAATGGGGAATTGGGGTGTCAGATGGAATTAAGGTTGCTATTGTCTGAATTTAAAGTAGGGAGCTTGTACAAGGTTATCCAGTGGGCCCAGTGTAGTAACAGGAGTGCTTATAAGTGAAAAAAGGAGGGAGCAGAGTCAGTCAAAGACAGAGATATGACAATAGAAGCAGAGGTCACAGTGATTCCACATGTATGCAACCAGCCATTGTTCCCTTTGATGACAGAGGAAGGGGCCATCAGTTAAGGAATTTGGGCAGCCTACATAAACTAGAAAAGGCAAAGAAACATATTCTCCCCTAAAGCCTCCAGATGAAACATAGCCCAGCTGACACCTTGATTTTAGGGCTTCTGACCTCCAGAACTGAAAGATAATAAATTTGTGTTGTTTTAAGCCACCAAAAAAAAATACATAAAATAATGATGTGTCTTAATACTGATGGCATCTTTGATTTGGCTGAATGCGTATAGACACTTTATCACCTTTTCCATTTAATGCTTAATTATTTCATACCAAATCATATGTGTAATTTATAATGTGGACCAAAGTGTTATTACCACCAGATCTCATTTTCCATACCTATCAGTATGAGGTCCCCAAAATTCATTTCTTTTTATGGTTGATAATATTTCATTGTATGGATTTAACACATTTTGTTTCTCTATTCATCAGTTGATGGGCATTTGTTTTGTTTCCATCCACTTTTTGACTTTTGCGAATAATTTTGATATGAATAGTTCATATATGTTTGTGTGGATATATATTTTCGATTCTCTTGAGTATATACTTAGGAATGGAATTGCTGGATCATATGGTAGCTCTAGTTTACCTGTATTTAAAGTGCCATCATATTTTCTAAAGCAGCTGCATCACTTTACATCCCCATCAGCAATGTTGACGGCTCCAGTTTCTCCTAATTCTAGTCAACCTTTGTTATTGTCTATTTTTTATTATAGCCATCCTAGTACATTTAAAGTAGAATATCATTGTGGTTTTCATAAACCTGCTGTTAAGCCAAAATTATCAAACTACTTTGCTATCTTCAAGAATTCACTTTGATTCTACTGAGTTAGCAATTTTTTGAAAAGGGAATTTTCTTAAAATGGTAGCATTTTTAAAGTATTAGAAGTTCAGTTTCTTTCTTCTCTGGGATTCTTTAATTCTCTATGCTAGAATTAGGTAAGTACTCACCTGTACAGATCAATCAGAACAGAAGTTCTATTAAATGTAAAATACCATTCTACTATAAAGACACATGCACAAGTATGTTTATTACAGCAATATTCACAATAGCAAAGACTTGGAACCAACCCAAATGCCAATCAGTGATAGACTGGATAAAGAACATGTGGCACATATACACCATGGAATACTATGCAGCCATAAAAGGGTGAATTCATGTCCTTTGCAGGGACATGGATGAAGCTGGAAATCATCATTCTCAGCAAACTAACACAGGAACAGAAAATCAAACACCACATGTTCTCACTCATAAGTGGGAGTTGAACAATGACAACACAGGGAGGGGAATATCACACACCAAGGCCTGTCAGGGGGTAGGGGGCTATGGGAGGGATAGCATTAGGAGAAATACCTAATGTAGATGATGGGTTTGATGGGTGCAGCAAACCACCATGGCACGTATATACCTATGTAACAAACCTTCATGTTCTGCACATGTATCTCAGAACCTAAAGTGTAATAAAAAAAGAACTCCCCCCAAAAAATCTTATGTACCCCATAAATATATATAGCTACTATGTACCCATGAAATCAAAAATTAAAACTTATTTTTAAAACAAAAGTATAAAAACAAAATACCTTGGGATCTAATATTTGCTACTTGGACAACTATCCCTATGGTATACACAAAGTAAGAATGTTTTTGTCACCAATTAAAAATATTTTTTTTTAGCAAACAGAACTAGCAGGTTCAGTGTTACCACACAGCTATAGGGTTAAAATTAACGTAGTAATCTAAGCCTATATTTTAAAGGGTTTTTCTTCTTTCAGTATGCACAATATATTTCTTGAGTGATGTGAGTTTTTAGTAGCATTCAAAAAAAAATACTTGCAAAAATTCTACCAAACTAGATTTTCTGTCATCTGCCACCCAGCTTTCAATGTATTCCTGACACTGAAATCTGCTGGCCAGCCGTCTGACAGATTTCACCCATAGGTAGATTCCCTATTGTTACTGCCACTAGTTGGGAAAGTATTATTAGTCATAAGCAATGCAGAATCAGAGTCAGTCTTGCCAAGAACTGGAACCAGAAAGAAACAAAACAAAACAAAACAAAACAAAAACATGCATAGAAAACCAGAGTCAGAAAAAAAGAAAACAGAAAGAAGACTGTGCTGTTGCCTCTTGAGGTTAAATCTAGAAGCCAGGAAAAGGCATCCTTGGGCTTATAGAGCCCATGAAATGCCCTGCTTGGACAACACAGCTAATTGGCTTAAGTAGGGAGTTCATTTAAGTGTCTTTGGTGGGACTTCCAGTACTATCAGAACATAATTCTCCAAATTAAAACACTAATCACCAGAAAAATAGCAAATGTTGGAGCTTTAATTAATTAGTGAGAAAACCGACAGTATAACAAGCTGTTTCCAAAGATGATCCAAGAAACCCTTGTAATTTTGTACATGTACATATAGTTATTGGGGAAAATGGAATACTAAAATTAGATTACTAAGTTAGATTCAAAACTGGATAATGTATTCTAAGTCAATGAAACTATGACTTACCAGTTATCCACTCTAGAGCCAGATAGTAATCATATGCCCTTTATTAGTTTTTTTTTTTCAAATTAACATCTAACTTTACAAAGAATATAAAATGTTTGGACTACAATTATAAGAGTAAATACTAAGTCAAAATTTTACACTTCTGTAGAGAGTCAAATGACCCTTAGGTGCTCTTGTTAGCCAATGCACAAGCATGTTAGGGAATGCTCAAGAAAAGTGGCCAGAAAACCAATTTGGTTGGTTGGTTGGGTTTGTCTTACTTCCAAGATTGGATATTTTGTTCTTACTCTGAGCAGTTGGGTAGATGGGTGCCTATAATGTGATATGGAAGATTGGAGAGGGAGCAGGTTTTTTGAGGGTTGAACACTTTATGTTTGAGAGCCTTATTAGATATATCCAAGCAGATACGTCAGTTGACAGCTGGATATATAAATCTGGAGTCCAGGGCTGAGTACAAGGTGCAGGAAAACAATTGGGATCTGCAGCATATAGATACTACATAATGCTTGGAACCAGGTGAGACATCTGTGGAGTTCAGTTCATGTAGAAGAATATAGGCCAAAGGGCTGGGCATTGAGGAGCTCCTACATTTAGTGATAAAAGAGGATCAAGGTCCTGCCAGTGAGGCACAAGTTTGGAAAATCCATTAGAATAAAGTATTTCAAGACAAGGGAATCAAATTCTTTGACAAATGCATGACATATTGAGAGGTCAAAAGGATAAAGACTGGTAAGTGACAGGATTTGCTGTGTGGAGTTATTAGCGACTGATAAAAGACAGTTTTAGTGAAATGTTAGGGACAAAGCCTGATTCAAATTACTTCAGAAAAAAATAGGAGAGGATATATAAATAACTACTTGAGATTTTTCAGCAAAAAGTCTACAAGAAGGGGGGGATCAAAAGGAAAGGGATTTTGTTTGACTTTTAAAGATGGGTTATAGCACAGTATATTTCTATACTGATCACTTTTTTTCACTTCCTACTCATAAATCTATTCATTCAGCAATGGGAAGGGGGCTGTAGCAGTTTTAGTGGTGCATAAAGTGCATGCTGTTATGAAATATCAGAATCCCAATATAACCAGTACAAAATGTAAAACAAAGGACCAGGAGACAACAGTCATGAAGCTAGAGAGACTGAGTAGCTTTATAAAGCAGAAAACCTTAAGATGTGTCTTAAAAGATTCAGATATGTATAAGCGATAGGAATAATTTTTCAAGAAACAGAAGCAGAACAAATGAAAGGTAAGAAATGGGGCAGTAGAAAGCATATTTGTGCTGTAATCTTCAGATTGATTAGATTAATCTGACTGATTAGATTCTATGAACTGCCTCCTCAGTTAGAAGAAATGAAAATACCTTAAATGTTTTTCATTGAATATTATAATATTATAGACTGTTTAGGAAGCTACACAGGTCCTCATAAAAGAATGCTTTTAAGCATCTGGACATATATTTTTTGAGAAAAAAAAACTCATATTTTATTCAGCCAATCATTTTTCATATAACTTAACCCCCTCCCAATGATAACACTTGTTATACATATTTTTCTATTTTTTCCAGAACTTTTATTTGTCAAAATTGTAGAATATTTCACTGCTAAAATTGGATACCCGTGAAATAAACTTTTGAATCTTCCCAGTTCATCTTAAATTTTAATAATAAAATATGATAGTAGACATTTCCCTATACTCTTAAACTTCTTTATAAACTAAAGAACATTGCCCAGAATTTCACAATGGTGTTTTTTTGTGACTGATATTAGAGATGGAAATTTCAAGCTGTAATAGAATTCCATCTTTATGGAAATAATGGGAAGAAAAAAGGGTACATGTTAATTAATTCATACTTTCCTTTAAAGGTTAGAAAATCATCAGAAGAGAAGTTTTCAATAACCATTGTGGAGAGTGGGCTAAAATAATTGATGAGAGATGAGAAACCACTGCTTTCTCTGTTGTAGGCATTCGATTGAGCATGGACATTGTAACTATGAAATTGACCAAATCCTGACATTTCTGTAGATTCTCCAGCAGAATTCTGCAAGTAAAATAGTAAAGAAAAGCAGATAGAGTAGCCTTAAGGATGGGTGGCGTATTAGATAATGCATTCAAATATGTTGGTGAAGACACAGAAGAAATTGACCATAATACTTATCAGGAAAGAAAGTCTCCTGGAGTTGGGAATATAAATCCCACAGGAAACAGTTTGGGATTGATCATACATAATAATACTCTCATTTGTGTCTCAAAAAATGTACATAAAATGCATAGCAAAATTATCAGATTTGCAAATGACTTAAAATTTTGAGTTAATGAAAAACTGACTGGAATAAGTTGAAAGAATAAGAATCATTTATTATTATCAGAATTTTGATGTGGACAAGTTCAAGTAATGCAGCTAAGTATTAAAAATTACAAATTGTCCTCATCAAGTAGAGGTCTCAATTTTCAATTCACAATCCATGAAGGATCCTAAGGACCAGTCTTACCTCTTTTCCGTAGCTTATAAACTCTCCTTGCTGATCTTGCTCTCCCACCTTTATGAACTCACCTCATACCAATTTCTCTCTCATTATATATATGACAACAAACTTGTTACATAATCCCAACACTTTCTGTTTTATAATTTATAATCATATTAGGATTTTTTCTGACTCACATATTAAATGTCCTCACTGTTAAAGATGCTATATCAGCTAGTGTGTATTTTGTAGTTCAAAACAAGAAGTAGAAAATGAAGAAGATCAAAATGGTAATAAGGGTCATATAATTAGTTTTTGCAAATATTTTGAGGAAACATAAAATTAAGAGGGTCATTTTAGGTGTATCAAACCAGGTTTTTATTAGACAGAAATGTACTGGTCTAGATGGATAATAAAGCTGCATATGCATTGTAATTTAAAAGGTTGTAAGAATCCTAACATCATTCTCAGTAAACTATCGCAAGGACAAAAAACCAAACACCACATGTTCTCACTCATAGATGGGAATTGAACAATGAGAACACATGGACACAGGAAGGGGAACATCACACTCTGGGGACTGTTGTGGGGTGGGGGGAGGGGGGAGGGATAGCATTAGGAGATATACCTAATGCTAAATGATGAGTTAATGGGTGCAGCACACCAGCATGGCACATGTATACATATGTAACTAACCTGCACATTGTGCACATGTACCCTAAAACTTAAAGTATAAAAAAAAAAAAAAAGAATCCTAACATCCATGCTCCCTGCTTGCTTGCCCTACCTCTCCTCAACTCTCAGACGTAGTTTACTTTGGCTAGTAGAAAGGAGTTTTTCCCAGCTAACTTTCTATGCTGCATAAAATAATTAACAATAATATATTCTTTGGGGAGAGAAGGAATCTATTCAGGTAAACTGGTACAAGCTGGTAACATAGACAAGTTTTGATAGGAAAGAAAAAAATAAAAAGAAATCAGCCTACATCATGCGAGTGTGAGGCACTGAAAGAAGGAAATGAGATGAAGAAGTTTGTGTGGAGGAAGTGGAGCATGAGGGGACAAGGAAGGAGGAGGGAAAACTTAATCCAAAAGCATTTTGTTGTTGTTGTTTTAGTTTTAGTTTTTGCTTTCTTTGCAGTCTTAGACTCATTAAGCAAGATGTGTTAGTTAGAATCCCAAAGGGAAATTAGAACAAATACTGTTTTCATTTCTTAAGCCTTGTTATGTGGCACATTTAAAGAGTGTACGTTTTTAAAAATATTTTTCTCTCTGGAATATATATGAACTTTTCTTAATAATTGAAATATTTTAGTTTTTCTCTGGTAACATAGTAACTATACTGTTTACAAAATTGGTCAGTAACATTCATCTCCCCATGCATGGCATTTGTTGCACTTATTTTTACAATCTTTAAAAAGATTCTAAATTATTCCATGTTGAAATGGCATTGTTTTAAGCCATGTCTAGTAATAAATACTTTGCAGGTGGTGGTGTGATACTAAAGTATTTGTAGGTATAGATCCACTACTCAACTGCATTTTCTCCCTAAAAATGTGTCTGGATTATTTCAAAATAAATTAGATTTAGAATTTCAGTGATGCTGACCTGTAATTTATGGATGCATATATGTTTTTACTTTGTAAATATAGTTCATTTACCCCCAAAATGCAAGGCAGACGGATGGGGACTTCAGGAAGATCCATCATGAAGAGCACCAGTGTCAGTGGAGAGATGTACACACTGGAGCATAATGACGGCAGCCAGTCAGACACAGCTGTGGGTACAGTTGGAGCAGGTGGAAAGAAACGGAGATCCAGCCTTAGTGCCAAAGTGGTTGCCATAGTGTCTCGAAGGAGTAGAAGCACATCCCAGCTTAGTCAAACAGGTGAGTGATGTGAATTCAACCTAAACAACTCAATTCTTTTATGGAGAGAAAAACTTGATCTTCATGCTATGGCTTGTGATGGAATTGTGGCATATTTGGTTCTTCTTTGAAAAGAAAATTTATTTTTCTGTCTCTGAAAATCTGCTAAATTTATGGGTTTATTTTTTCTGTACAGCTCTCTTCACAAGGTATCACTTTTAAATCTGTAAAGTGGACAGATTTTTTAATTAAAAAAATTAAGGTCATATTTGCAAATATGCAAGGAAATGCAAAGAAGTATTAAACATCCAAATTTATTTACATGCAACGAAAGCAACAGGGTTCTCTTTTTCAAAATGTTCCATAATTCAATTACTTATTTTTGGCTATATCTATACTTTTTATAGAAAAGAAGGTCAGTTGTGCAACGTGACATATACTCTTCAAGGTACTGTATAAATATAATAATTGAACTGTACTTGCTATAGTTTCAATGTAAGTAAAAACCCAGCAGTGATTTTTACTTTAGAAAAATGGGTCAGTGGTTTTATGCAAGGAGTAATGTTTTAATACAAATATGTGTTTCAGATATTTTCTGCTGCTTATAAATTTAAAAGCTTAATGTCCTAAAGGTATATATTTAAAAAGCAAATACAAAAGGGAGAGTGGCTATTTTTGTATTGTAAAATATAACAAAACACTGCTTAAAATTATATAAAATTGGCCAGACAGATTAGATTATTCATTACTATGCTCAATACTATGTAAAATCAAAGGTAAGTGAAATATTGAAGCAATTTAAATAGCCAGCAACTGTTTTTTCTCTTAAAACCAACATTGGTTCCATTTTCTGTTCCTTAATAGCAAGAGCCTTATCACAAAATTTACTTATACCAAAAAGCTTTCACAAAATCCTTTTTATATCTCACTCAGCATTCTGGAAAGTACCTATTTTAAATTATTCATTCTACTGGATATATTGGCAAATAAATTAGAAGTAGGAAATTTGAGTCATGTCTTAAAATTACAGGATTAGAATGAACTTAGAATAGCTAGCATCCCTGTGATAGATCTGCATCTTTGCCCTTCCAATCAGATGAGCTGTTCTATTTGTTATGAAGGAGAATTATTTGTCTTCTTTAGAGTCAAGTTCCTTTACAGTAAGTATAAGAGGCATTTTTCATTTGTGTTGTTTCTTTTGTTTAAATTTTTTATGGTGGTGCTTCCTGGTTTTTGGTGTTTTGTTTGTTTGTTTTTTAAATTACACTTTAAGCTCTGGGATACATGCGCAGAAAGTGCAGGTTTGTTACATAGGTATACACGTGCCGTGATGGTTTGCTGCACCCATCAACCCACACCTACATTAGATATTTCTCCTAGGCCTCCTAGGAGATATTTCTGCTATCCCTCCCCTAGGCCCCCACCTGCTGACAGGCCCCGGTGTGTGATGTTCCCTTCCCTGTGTCCATGTGTTCTCATTGTTTAACTCCCACCTATAAGTGAGAACATTTAGTGTTTGGTTTTCTGTTCTTGTGTTAGTTTGCTGAGAATGGTGGTTTCCAGCTTCATCCATGTCCCTGCAAAGGGCTTCATCCTTTTTTATGGCTGCATAGTATTCCATTGTGTATGTGTGCCACATTTTCTTTACCTAGTCTCATTGATGGGCATTTGGGTTGGTTCCAAGTCTTTGCTATTGTGAACGGTGTTGGAATAAACATACATGTGCATGTGTCTTTATAGTAGAATGATTTATAATCCTTTGGATATATACCCAGTAATGGGATTGCTGGGTCAAATGGTATTTCTGGTTCTAGATGCTTGAGGAATCGCCACACTGTCTTCCACAATGGTTGAACTAATTTACATTCCCACCAACAGTGTAAAAGTGTTCCCATTTCTCCACATCCTCTCAAGCATCTGTTGTTTCCTGACTTTATAATGATTGCCATTCTAAATGGTGTGAGATGGTATCTCATTGTGGTTTTGATTTGCATTTCTCTAATGACCAGTGATGATGAGCTTTTTTTTCATACGTTTGTTGGCCACATTAAATGTCTTCTCTTGAGAAGTGTTTGTTCATATTCTTTGCCCATTTTATGATGGGGTTGTTCTTCTCTTGTAAATTTGTTTAAGTTCTTTCTAGATTCTGGTTATTAGCCCTTTGTCAGATGGATAGATTTTATTGGTATTGAAGTAATTCTTTACAGCATGAGGTGGTGGAGAAGGTTTTGACCACCAGACTTCAAAATACTTAAATGAAATGGAAACGTTATTTGATGTCCTTGAAGGAAACCAGTGTTTCCTATGTGAGAGATTGTAAGTTTACAAGTTGGTTTTACTTCTTCCCTCAACTTTCCAGTCTGTCTTTTTCTCTCTCTTCTCCCTCTTTACCCTCTTTTCCCCTCTAGCTAGTTAGTACCCTATCATTCATTACTTGAGCATAGTTTTCTTATAAAACACAGCAGTAATTTTGCATAAAAACTATACTTGTGGCTCATCTTTGTATTAATAAGTAATGGGTTCAAATTATGGTCATCAAAACACTTAGCCTCTTTGCTTTTTTCATTTATGTTTTATCTCAGTTATGGTCAGATGTTGACTTCAAATAACATCTTCCTTCCCAGAAGATGTATTGTTAATAACTTCATGGAATATCCTCTTTTCAGAGACTGGATTCCAGTGTACAGGTGGAAAAAGGAAATGGGATTATGAAGCCAAGATACCAAAATATGTAGTTCTGTTCCAAAGTGACTCAACGAATGAACTTTGACTTCTCTCTACAACTCAGTTTTCTTATATAATGATGGGTTGAATGGGATGTCCTCCTGTGAACTTTCTATGTGTAAAATTTTATGCTTCTCTTTCTACATAATAATTTTACCTTTCATTTGATAGCCTATCCTTAGATTTCAATCTTCTTGATCTTTCTAAAGCAAGTGACAAATGTTGATAACCCTCAATTATCACTCCTCTTTGTTTTAGTGCATAGCCTGATATTTCTCTTTCTTAGGACTTCCCCTAGTGATTTTTCCCATTCATTTAATTATCTTTCATCTCTCCTACAGAGATTTAACAAAATTCAGAATTATTCTAAGAAATGTTAGCTTTTATTGCTTCAGATTCTGCATTGACCATGAGATCTGTATTTCTGGATTCCTCTTCCCCTATGAAATATTACTTAATTTTAATCTCCCATAAGAAAGCCCCTCTTAGATTTCTCTCTTAAAATAACTTCGGATTCTCTTAATTTTCAGCCCTTACTTTCAATATAGATAGAAAGGGTATGACGTAGTAAAGAATGGTAAATTTTAAGAAAATGTCCCCAAGCCAGAAATATTTTGGAATTGAATGAACCTCCAGGTAAACTGCAGGTTGGGTTTTAAAATGTAAAGTTTTTAATCTCTGTTGATTTTAGTGGCCCAGCCTGTGTAATGTAAGGAATTGTCTCCCCTCACTCAATACTAACTGTATAATATTCCATATAATATCCTATATCTTCTCCTCACTTGAAAATGAAGGCATTATTGGGAAGGTTCTACAAATCTGTGCAAAGTCATTTCTAAATACACTTTTGAAATTATACTAATCAGTATCATAAGAATGATAAGTATTCATGTTTCTAAGTGGATAAAAGTAATATGTCTACATTTCTAGAGCTTTTTCCATGCTCTCTTAAGTTATGTTTGTGTGAGTGTATACAATTTCACTCCTTCATTGGTCACAAGAAACTTATGAAATGTTATTATTCCCATTTTTTTCTTTTTTATTTCATTTTATTTATTTTTTAAATTATACTTTAAGTTTTAGGGTACATGTGCACAATGTGCAGGTTTGTTACATATGTATACATGTGCCATGTTGGTGTGCTGCACCCATTAACTCGTCATTTAGCATTAGGTATATCTCCTAATGCTATCCCTCCCCCCTCCCCCCACCCCACAACAGGCCCTGGTGTGTGATGTTCCCCTTCCTTTGTCCACGTGTTCTCATTGTTCAATTCCCACCTATGAGTGAGAACATGCAGTGTTTGGTTTTTTGTCCTTGTGATAGTTTGCTGAGAATGATGGTTTCCAGCTTCATCCATGTCCATACAAAGGATAAGAACTCATCGTTTTTTATGGCTGCATAGTATTCCATGGTGTATATGTGCCACATTTCCTTAATCCAATCTATCATTGTTGGACATTTAGGTTGGTTCCAAGTCTTTGCTATTGTGAATAGTGCCGCAATAAACATACGTGTGTATGTGTCTTTATAGCAGCATGATTTATAGTCCTTTGGGTATATACCCAGTAATGGGATGGCTGGGTCAAATGGTATTTCTAGTTCTAGATCCCTGAGGAATCGCCACACTGACTTCCACAATGGTTGAACTAGTTTACAGTCCCACCAACAGTGTAAAAGTGTTCCTATTTCTCCACATCCTCTCCAGCACCTGTTGTTTCCTGACTTTTTAATGATCACCATTTTAACTGGTGTAAGATGGTATCTGACTGTGGTTTTGATTTGCATTTCTCTGATGGCCAGTGATGGTGAGCATTTTTTCATGTGTCTTAAGAAAACCTAGGCAATGCCATTCAGGACATAGGCATGGGCAAGGACTTCATGTCTAAAACACCAAAAGCAATGGCAACAAAAGCCAAAATTGACAAATGGGATCTAATTAAACTGAAGAGCTTCTGCACAGCAAAAGAAACCACCATCAGAGTGAACAGGCAACCTACAGAATGGGAGAAAATTTTTGCCACCTACTCATCTGACAAAGGGCTAATATCCAGCATCTACAATGAACTTAAACAAATTTACAAGAAAAAAACAACCCCATCAAAAAGTGGGCGAAGGATATGAACAGACACTTCTCAAAATAAGACATTTATGCAGCCAAAACACACAAGACATACTATTCCCATTTTAAAGTTGAAGACACTGAGACTTAGAGGGATTGGGTAATTTGCCCAAGGTCTCATAACTGATTGGGCCTGAATTTAAACCCAGGCTACCTGGTGCCAAACCCATGCTTTTAACCAACTTGTGAAGAGAGAGAGAGAGAGAGAGAGAGAGAGAGAGAGAGAGAAAGTGAGTGCAAGCACATTTGAGATTTTGAAATAAGTTCAAGCATTTATTGAACATCTATGTGGTTAGTACATGCTAGGCATCATGCCAAGGCACTGGGATAAGAGCTAGGGATGAAGGGATGAATGGCATACTGTTCCTGCTCTCAAGGATATCACAGTATCATAGAGCAAATCACATATAAATATTTCAGCTCAGAAAAGACAATTATATTAAATACAAGTGTCAGAGTGGTAGAACGGAAGCACAGGAAAGGACGAGAATCATTCCAAGAGGCTTTCTTGAAGAGGTAAAGCCTGAGCATAAAAACACAAATAAATCAGGATAAGTACACAAGGAAGGACTTTGCACAACTGAGGGAAGAGTACTTTTTTTTCATTTTCTGAATTATTTATATCTTTTTTTAAAATTATACTTTAAGTTTTAGGGCACATGTGCACAACGTGCAGGTTTGTTACATATGTATACATGTGCCATGTTGGTGTGCTGCACCCATTAACTCGTCATTTAGCATTAGGTATATCTCCTAATGCTATCCCTCCCCTATCCCCCCACCCCACAACAGTCCCCAGTGTGTGATGTTCCCCTTCCTTTGTCCATGTGTTCTCATTGTTCAATTCCCAGCTGTGAGTGAGAACATGCAGTGTTTGGTTTTTTTGTCCTTGCAATAGTTTGCTGAGAATGATGCTTTCCAGCTTCATCCATGTCCCTACAAAGGACATGAACTCATCATTTTTTATGGCTGCATAGTATTCCATGGTGTATATGTGCCACATTTTCTTCATCCAGTCTATCATTGTTGGACATTTGGGTTGGTTCCAAGTCTTTGCTATTGTGAATAGTGCCGCAATAAACGTACGTGTGCATGTGTCTTTATAGCAGCATGATTTATAGTCCTTTGGGTATATACCCAGTAATGGGATGGCTGGGTCAAATGGTATTTCTAGTTCTAGATCCCTGAGGAATTGCCACACTGACTTCCACAATGGTTGAACTAGTTTACAGTCCCACCAACAGTGTAAAAGTGTTCCTATTTCTCCACATCCTCTCCAGCACCTGTTGTTTCCTGACTTTTTAATGATCACCATTCTAACTGGTTTGAGATGGTATCTGATTGTGGTTTTGATTTGCATTTCTCTGATGGCCAGTGATGATGAGCATTTTTTCATGTGGTTTTTGGCTGCATAAATGTCTTCTTTTGAGAAGTGTCTGTTCATATCCTTCGCCCACTTGTTGATGGGGTTGTTTGTTTTTTTCTTGTAAATTTGTTTGAGTTCATTGTAGATTCTGGATATTAGCCCTTTGTCAGATGAGTAGGTTGCAAAATTTTCTCCCATTCTGTAGGTTGCCTGTTCACTCTGATGGTAGTTTCTTTTGCTGTGCAGAAGCTCTTTAGTTTAATTAGATCCCATTTGTCAATTTTGGCTTTTGTTGCCATTGCTTTTGGTGTTTTAGACATGAAGTCCTTGCCCATGCCTATGTCCTGAATGGTATTGCCTAGGTTTTCTTCTAGGGTTTTTATGGTTTTAGGTCTAACATTTAAGTCTTTAATCCATCTTGAATTAATTTTTATATAAGGTATAAGGAAGGGATCCAGTTTCAGCTTTCTACATATGGCTAGCCAGTTTTCCCAGCACCATTTATTAAATAGGGAATCCTTTCCCCATTTCTTGTTTTTGTCAGGTTTGTCAAAGATCAGATAGTTGTAGATATGCGGCATTATGCGAGGGCTCTGTTCTGTTCCATTGGTCTATATCTCTGTTTTGGTACCAGTACCATGCTATTTTCGTTTTTGTAGCCTTGTAGTATAGTTTGAAGTCAGGTAGCATGATGCCTCCAGCTTTGTTCTTTTGGCTTAGGGTTGACTTGGCAATGCGGGCTCTTTTTTGGTTCCATATGAACTTTAAAGTAGTTTTTTCCAATTCTGTGAAGAAAGTCGTTGGTAGCTTGATGGGGATGGCATTGAATGTATAAATTACCTTGGGCAGTATGGCCATTTTCACGATATTGATTCTTCCTATCCATGAGCATGGAATGTTCTTCCATTTGTTTGTATCCTCTTTTATTTCGTTGAGCAGTGGTTTGTAGTTCTCCTTGAAGAGGTCCTTCACATCCCTTGTAAGTTGGATTCCTAGGTATTTTATTCTCTTTGAAGCAATTGTGAATGGGAGTTCACTCATGATTTGGCTCTCTGTTTGTCTGTTATTGGTGTATAAGAATTCTTGTGGTTTTTGCACATTGATTTTGTATCCTGAGACTTTGCTGAAGTTGTTTACAGCTTAAGGAGATTTTGGGCTGAGACGACGGGGTTTTCTAGGTATACAATCATGTCATCTGCAAACAGGGACAATTTGACTTCCTCTTTTCCTAACTGAATGCCCTTTATTCCCTTCTCCTGCCTGATTGCCCTGGCCATTGATTAAATGTTGAAAATGGTGCTTAGTTTCCTGGGATATGAGAAAGAAATCTGTGTGGAATCTAAAACTATATGAAATACTTCTCTAATTCCAGTGGTTACCTCATCTCAGGACAGATCTCAAATCAAATAAGCTCCGTACAACTGAGACTATGATTTCTAATAGAACTTTTAAATTTTATGAAGAAGACATCTATAAATGTAAAATATCAGCTTTATAAACTAGAAATTACTCAATTTACTTTAACTTGTACTATTGGGTAACTGTATCTGCAGTACTATCCCAGGCACAGTGGGTGTTTCAAAAATAGAAGTATCATTTACACTGGAAGGAAATCATTCACACCTGAAATACACATGAACCAAGCAACAAAGTGAAAAAACATAAAGTAAAATGCCCGAAATAATAAAATCTAGTTCTATTTATGTATGTTATCAAAGGTAGTGGGGAGACAAATTGGTCAAGGATCTAAGTCCCTAGGATGAGGGCACATACAGAATTGGTAGATGATTTGTTCTAACCATTTAGTAAAATTATTTATTATATCATTAACAGCTGAGAATACTTTGTTAGCATAATATCTTTTCTCCAAATACTGACAAGATGTTGATGTTTATATTCTAATTATGGAAAATATTGCAGGACTCTTTCACAATTTTCAAACAGTTGTCAATTATGATGTGCTATGAATGTGTTAAAAATCACTTGTATGCTTCTTTAGTAATAGGTATTCTGTACCTTTCCAATATTTTTCCACTATCAAAGTTTATTTCTCCCCTGTGCAGATCCTTTCCTTCAAGACCCTGTTTAAGACCCTCTAACTCTATATGTTGTCCCCAATTATTTGAACAGTTTGTTTTTCTGAATTCCTAAATAGAGCTCTCTGACTTCACTGTCAACTTGCTGCCCACTCCACTCTCCATTTTGTCATTCATTTCAGCTCCTTCTCTCTGACCATCTCATTCATCTCTATCTTAATTCCCCTCCACAATTAGATTTAGCACGCAGTTCTTGTCATGGGTGGGAAAGGCTAGAACAGGATGTACTCTGGGTGGGAGCCCAAGGGGATAGGGCTAAAAGGTCTACAATGGGTTAGAGTGAGGCTGCCTTCACCATCCCTAAAATCTGTTCACATGCATGGTGCTGGGGCTGGCAAGATGGATAAATGGAGGTAACTCTTATGAACTTTTCTTCAGGGAGCTTAGCATTAGGAAGGAAAGAGATCAAATGTAGCAGTCCTTTTTTCTTTGATTCTACCAACATTTATTAGCACTTTTCTTGTACCAGACTCTGTAATTGAGGGAGTAGTAAGAGTAAGATGGGTGTGTGTGTGTGTGTGTGTGTGTGTGTGTGGGCATGCATGTTTCAGAACAAAGGAATCTGATCATTTTTCCAGGTGAAGAGTGGATATAACACCTCTAGATGGAGAGACTGAAAGATGATACGAATAATTTTAATTGTGCAGAGTTCCAGAGAACAGAGGCGATAATTCAAGAACACAAGTTTATTCTTGGAGACAGAGAAGGTTGATTTTTTTCCTTGAGTATGACAGAAAAGAGGAAATGGCTGAAATACAAAGGAATATTGCAATGGGGATATTGAAAGCTGAAGGAGCTTGAGTCAGAGGCTGCTTGATCTTCTCAGTGCAAATGAGGTATTAACAAATGGAGAGAGTGAGGATATAGGGTGAGCAATGTTGTAAGAAATTAATTGGTATGAATAAAATCCTGCTGAGCAGCACTTATCCAGCTAAGTTTGGATAATGCAAGTCATGTGGAAAGTAACTTTAAAAAAACATTTATCAGGGATCAAGGCCTCCCTTGCAGGTATCTGGTTCACATTAGCTATTCTTTTGTCTTTCAAGATTGTCATCCCCTGCCTTTGTGCATCTCCAGTGTCCTTGCCAAGGTGTCTGAAATGACCATAAGATTCTTTGAGAATATATTGCCACATTCTTTAAGACTTAGAGAAAATATCTGGTTAAGTCTAGATTCTTAAGCCCATTTAATGATTCACCTGTCTTGGGCTGCTATTTACTGTTTAGTTTGACTCTTTTTAGCATGCATATTATTATTATTATTATTGGAGAAAATTGAAGCTCTGCTCTTTCATTCTTATCTATTAATATTGTGTCTTCTCAAGGAAATAAGAAAATCTTACTCCTTTCTTTTCTTTCTTCTTCTTCTTCTTTTTTTTTTTTTTTTTTTTTTTTGTGTGTGTGGTCTTGAACTCCTGGCCTCAAATGATCTTCCTGCCTCAGCCTCCCAAAGTCCTGGGATTACTGGCATGAGTCACCACACCTGGCTCATTCTTTTTCTTAATATGGCTCTAAATGGCTTTTTATTTTTTTTGCTTTGGCAATTTATTTCTAGGAAATTAAATAATTCTTTCATTATAATCAAGGGAATGAAAGACTTCAGGAGGTCCATAGTGGAGTTCAAAACCATATGGAGTTCACTATTCTACAAGATTATACAGGCAATAATATAAGTATTCTAAGGTGTTTTAGGTAGATTTATAGATGTTAGATTTCAAAATGGGTTAATAAGTGTTTATGAATTTCCAAGGTGTATCACTAACTTCTCAAGATGAAATCATATATAGAAACTATCAAAATTTTCCTTGTTCTACTGTCAAGAAATGAATAATATACACTGATATAACTGTAACTCACATCTAAAGGGATAGTGCTTGAATAAGCTAATTTACAATGAGTTCAAGGTATTATTTTAAAATTCTTATGGTCCTTAGACAATAATTATGCCAACAAATGTGAAAAATATTAAATCTCCTTCTGTTAATTTTTTCCAGTTTTATTACCCAAAAGTCACACAGGTAATGCAAGTCATGAAATAAATCAAATGAGCACCTTCCTGGAGAGCCTACTTTATTTACCTTGGGAAAATGGATGACATTTGCCCTAGGACTTATTTTTCTCCTTCTAACCAATACAGTTTACCAAAATGTTCTCTGGTAATTTTAAGTCTGGTATGGCTTTGTGAAGACTCTCTGCCTTTTCTCTTAGAAAAATAATGTTATAGCTGCAGGGAAGGAAGGCTAAGGTGGTGTCTTTGAACATTCTAAGAAATGTTTTCTTGGCTCTGTTGATTATTAACAATATAAGCCAAAAATTCTTACAAAGTATGTAGGCCCTTCCAAAGTTTCAGAAACTGAAAGCTACAGTGGATCAAAATATTGCTGAAATCTAAATTCCTTATTTGTGCCTTATTGCCTCATTTACTTGATTCATTTAATGGCACAAGAAAAACATTCTGAAGAATGTAATATTTCATGTTCTTTGTTTCCTGAACACAAAATCATGGTACCAGAAATGATTCTCAAGTTGGCGAAACCATCAAATGAATGTAAGCATGGGTTCTTTTATTTACTGTTGCTGTCTGCCTTAGGAATTCACTACTGTTAATAGAGATTCAATTCAGCTAAAGTAACTCATCTTCTAAAGAGATGCCCTAATAAGGATTAGTATTTTCAAACATACTCCAGCTGGTCTATGTTTGTTCTTTTCCTTGCTCTGAAATATAAATTTTACGTTTGGCTAAGATATAGATATACTTTTAGGTTGGCTTGGCAGAAAAAATTATTGATTTCAGTGGAATTAATTTTTATAATTAATTTGTATTTCAGGGTTTGGAGGAGGGAAGGAAACTAAATTTATTAAGTGCCTTCAAAGCACAACACTTAGCACTAAAATAATTACACATGTTGATATTTTTAACTATACTAAGATGATTGTTAAGCATGAGATCAGTTTCAAAATAGGTGTCACAAAACATTTCAGGCAGCTAAAGATGTAACAAGAAATGTGTCTGATTATTTTTAAGATGACCAATTTTAATACATCCTTATTTAATTCAGAGTGTTTTTTCATAGAGATTTTTGTTGATTGATTTTCACATTTTAAATACAGAAAGGCAAAAAGAAGATATATAAAACTCCTGTGGTATCACCACTAATTGCAAAGTCAGTGTGAAAATGATAGTTTATTATTGGATAATTTTTCTATGCATTTGTATTATTAATATTGATAAAACCATTAGCAATAATAGTTGTGATTTAGTGAGCAATTATTACATGCCAACCAGTGTTTTAATTTTTTACATGTGTTAATTCCTTCAATTCACAAAAAACAGCCATGAAATACTCTTATTATTTGCATTTTACAGGTTCCATGACTTGTCTGAGGTATCACAACTCTTAAAACTTGAAGTAGAGCTTATGTTCTCAACCACTTTACTATAATTCCGTTCCAACTGTATGTTCACACAGAGAGATACCTTTTTGATAGAGATTTTTTAAACAAGCATAGATTTATAATATTTAATTTTGTTTTATAATCTTGCCTTTTTTCACTTTAAAAAATGTGTATTTAAGACCACTTAGTACACCATCACGGGATGCTTGTACTAGGGTGGAACTGGAAGGAGCTTAGAATTATGTCTTAGAATAAACAGTCTTTTGTATCTGAGCATTTGGGCAATAGGGAGAAGAGGAATATTAGAGATAAGGTTACGTGATGTTACCATTTACTAAGAGGGTGGTTGTTGGGAAAGGACCACATTTGCCAATTCTGGCAGTGTTGAGCTTGGGACCATCATAGGAAATGTGTTTTAGGCAATTTGAGGATCAACAACATAGAACTGGCAATTGAAATCAATGAAGTTACTTAGGAAAGAAGTATAAAATACAAGTAAAGAGGATCTAGAAGAGGCTCCTGCAGAAAACAAAAAGTTAAAGGTCCTTTTTGACCCTCCATTTTCGCAACTATAATATGGAACCATAAATGGTACCTACCTCAGAAGACTGTTGTGGAGATTAAATAAATGTTTTAAACAATTTAGCAAAGTACCTGACAAGGGATCAGTAATAATAATTAGCAGTTTTAATAATTCTGGGGAACCAAATACAAGGGTAAGTAGATAAAGAAAAGGTATCAGTGACATCGTTCATGAATAGCAGTCAGAGTTAGATTAATCCAGCTAATATTTTTATCTGTTCATTACATGTAGTTAATAGAATACAAGAATAGAATCTTAAGATCTAACGCTTGAGTTCTTCTAAGTCAGTATTTCTCAAAGTTCCTCAAGTCAAGTCCACCTTTGAGGATCTGGTGAAATCTGTTAGTCCTAGCCTCAGTAAATTGCACTTGTTCACATACGCCACTGTGTAAACAAACATGAAAGATGTTTATGAACTCCCAGAAGTATGTTCATCCCAAATTAGGCATAATCTGCCAGACAGAAATCCAAGTTTTCTTTTTGCCAGTTCCCTCCCTTCTGCTCTGTTACTCAGCCTTCACTCTATTAGGTTAGAGGTCACCAAAGTCTGGCTTAGAGTCTGGTTTTTAGGGCCCATGAGAGAATAAATATTTTTATGTTTTTTAAATGGTTTAAAAAAATAAAAATGAGAATAATATTTTGTGATATGTGAAAATTCTGAGAAATCAAATTTTTATGTCAATAAACATAGTTTTATTGAAATACAGCCATCTTCATTCATTTACATGTTGTCTATGGCTACTTGTGTGCTACAAAGTCAGAGACCGCTTAATCCACAAAGTTATAAATATTTACTGTCTAGTCCTTTAAGGAGAACATTCCTTAAGGTCTGCTGTAGGCCAACAACTTAGTGCCTGCAATGCAGAAGAAGGTATTAGTGAACAATAATCATTTCTATCATTGTTCTCTGCTTCTCAGAGTCAGGAGTTAATTTACCCTACTTCCATGACTTTATTTTTTTCCATATACCTGTCATGTTTACATTTATACCATACGTCTATTGATATCTCTTGTTAGACACAGTGATTCTCAGAACGAAGACTTATGCCCCCATAGATAAGACTCTTTATATCTTCAACTTTGCCCTAAAATTGATACCTGGCTTAGCTGTTTACATAAAGTAGTAAAAGCACGTCACTCAACCCTAATTTTCCCAGTTGGGGGCTCAAGGACCAAGTCTGTGATTTCAGTGATTGTATCCCAGTATGTAGCACAAAGCCTGTACCACATACAGAAAAGTTTTCTGGAATGAAAGAAACTTTTGGAAGAGTTTTCTGTATTCCCTTTCTTTCTGAGGCCACTCAGTCCCCCTCACTGCAGTCTGAATTCTGTCTATTCGATTTCCCCAAACTGTTCTTAGTAGATCACAGAAAGTTTATAGATATGAACTTATTTTAATAATTTAACTTATGGTGTAGGCCACAGATATTGTGCACATGTGAAACCAATGTGATGTATGTAACAGAAAAATAGTAAAAAATGTCCACTTTTATTTGACATGAGCAAATGATTCTTATTTATGTTCCATCTCTTAAATGTGTAACTTCATTTCTTTCTATGCATCAGACCTATCTTCCTGGGGTTCACAGAACACAACTTAAAGCTTCTTTCTTTGTACCTCTCTACAGGTGCTCTACCCAGAAAATTCTTAATCTGTCAGTTTGTCTGTCAAAATCTTTCTCTTCATTCAAGCCCTACCCAAATATCAACTTCCTACCAGGACCGAAAGTAATTTTTTTAAGTCCTATAAGACTTTTAGGGAGTTCTCATGTGGTGCTGTTTACATCTGTAGAATTCATGTCACAAAATGAACTCCGAAGTAAATCAAGGGTAATGACCACGCAACAGGTTTTTTCTGGTCTTTCACAACAGTGCATTTAATGCAGAAGAATCTTGATAAACGTCTGTTAGATAGGTGAATGTGATGTTTGCTTAGTCAAAACATAATGCTCAAATGGTAATTAATTGATCAAATCATGGTATAATATTTCATTTAACATTGTGACAAGCAAGCTCTTCTTAGTGGGTAAATTTTTCTTCTATGTTTGGTTTGTTATTCTTAGGAAATAAAAACATGTTTTTTAAGTTGTAACAAGTACAGTTGACTCTTAAACAATGCAGTTTGAGCTTCGCAGGCCCGCTTATACACAAATTTTTTTGTCAAACAAATGCAAATCCAAAATAAAGTATTCATGGGAAATATTATAGAAACCTGCATATGCGGAGGGATAGCTTTGATTTTGGTATACATGGTGGTCATCCTGGAGTCAATCCCCAACGTTTACTGTCGGACGACTGTAGAAGTGATTTGTCTATTACTTTGCAACCTCCCTTTTCCTTTCTTTCTCTTCTTTGCTTATATATCACTTCAAAAGCACCTGAACATTGCTCTCGATAGATTTAACCAGTTAATTCTACCTTATTGCTTTTAAATATTAACTCTTTTATAAGCAAGAATAAATAATTATCATTTTAAGATTTTGATTTTTTAATAGATTCAGAGGGTACATTTGCAGGTTTGTTACATGGATAAATTGCCTAATGGTGAGGTTTGGGCTTCTAGTGTACCCATCACCCAAATAGTAAACACTGTACCCGATAGGTACTTTTTTTCAGCACTCACTCCCTTTACTGCCCTCTCCCCTTTGTGGAACCTCCAGAATTGGTGCTGATTTAACTACTTTACCATTACAGTAAATGTCAAATAAAGTAATATTTTATTAGAAAATTATTGAAAGATAAAAATGTACATTTATGAGAAATAATAATGATTGATAAAGATATTAATTTACAACATCCTTTTATATCATTTATAAAAGGTTTATTAACCTTATGAAAATACTTAAGTATTTAAGCAAAAATGCCCAGATTTTTTGGGAATCTTTCTTTTGTTGGGCATAGGGCCAGAGGAGGCTTGTGAACAAAGGATCTACTGTAACTGCTTTTCAAGTAAGCTAGTGAATTCTTACTTGGGAAACAAACCTCTGATATTGAAGCAGTACATTGTGATACTCATTACAAAATCATTTATACTGTAAAGATTATTTTCTTACAACCGAAAAATGTGGTACACCCAATGATTAGTCATAGTTTTAGTGAAGCTTAACAGACTTTATGTTCTAGGTCTACAAGGAGGTAAAAAACATTCTGTGTTCCAGATTCAAAGTCAGTGCCATAGGATGTTTTTGTAAATGGAAATACCATACTTATTTTTCTCTTAATTTGAAACTATGAAGATTCTGACAAGTAATCAAATAGTAAATAATTATACTACATTTAGGAAAGTTTCAACTGAAAGAGATTAAAACTTATTTGTAATAACTAAAGTTACATTTATAAATAGGCATATAGTTGCATTGAAACACTGCTATATCTAGTGATGTAATGATGTAAAAGTATATTAGTTGGGAAATATAAAAATTAACATATATATTAATATTTTTATCACTCTGAATTTGAAATTGTAAGAATGAATATTTGACCTGTCTACCTGCATTATGGAAACTGAAAATGGATGTAAATACTCTAATGAGGAAGGATTCTTTAAAGGAAAGGATATTGATTAGAAACTTACCGGAAAGGGTTGATTAGAAACCCACAGGAAAAATAAAGCCAAAACAAAGTTAATCATCTTTAGGTAACTTAACCTGCTGCTGAAAATACTAGTTCCTGTTTATAGTTTCTACCTTGGGAAGTACACTCAACCTATTATTCAATTGTTTTTAAAAAGGAAAAATAAAACAGAAGAATCATTTTAAGAAAATATTACATAAAATTTATAGAGATTTATAACTAGTGTAGGATTCTGTGATCTTCGGCTAATCAAAGAAGAAAACATACTAATTGTCATAGGTTTTGGAGACTTATTGAGAAGATTGTTGTGAATAGCAAGGAAAATAGTAGGAAAAATTTACCTTTGAAGTAAAAATTTACTCTCACTTCAGTTCTTTGGCTTTCTATAATGCTTAATAATTCTGTCTTCTCATGGATCATTCTTTATTCTCTTTCAAATCACAGTTTGAAAAGTATATTTTTGTGGGAAAAATATTTAATAAATCACAGAATTTTAAAAATCTAATTTTTGTACACAGAAAAAAGGAAGGAAAAAAGACTAAATTCAGATATTTTGATGTTGCAGTAAATGTGTTGACCATGATAATAAAGCATATTTTTTCCAGAGCTGCTTGAATTTGCTCTCAGTGCAATTGCAAGTATTGACTTTAATTTCTGAGAGGTTTGTAGCTTCAATGATGAGTCCCTTGGTGCCTAAATCAAAGTGGCTCTGTAATAAGTGAGTTCTGTTGTCTCCTTTCTGCTGATGGCACTGGAGGCAACAGCATGTCTTCTAGAGGCCTCTGTCTGTGCTTTTCTTTTCATATTCAGCATGTCCTAGATTCACTGGCCCAGATAGCACAATACAGCAGGCAGCTTTTTACTCTGTAAATGGCTTAGTGACATTATTTAAAGTAATGCCAGTTGTCTATTCTTTTGTTCTGCTTTTATATTTTCATAGTTGTTACCCATTGCATACCCTTTGGCTGAAGCGTTTGAAAATATCCTATGCCCTTTAGAATTTGGCACTGAGCACTCTTTATGGTACATAAGAAGTAAAAGCATTTATCTTGCCCTGGAGTTATTTACAAGCTCATTTACTAAGTAGTATATCAACAGGCAAAGAGAGATTCTTTCTTTATAGAACTTTAGCTTTTACAAAGCCCTTTCATGCTCACCAGCTCAGAGTGCAAAATTATTGAAAGCTTTTAAAATAAAAGGCTGATCAGATTGGGAAAGATTAGGAATGCATTAACTAAGGAAAGCGTCTGGAAGAAAGTGACTTTTAAAGTAGAATATAAATATCTGCTTTTTATTCCTCAAAGTTTCCATAAATTTTAATATATTCTTAATAATTCACTTTCTTCTCATCTAAAAAATAATTGTGAGAATTAAATACAATTTTAAAGGAGCATAAACATTTCATATTTATATACATGGTATATGAAATGTAATTTTTTAGAGAATTTGTTTTTAGTAACATATCATATTGCATTTATCTTATTTATTCTTAGTTGTATCCTACTCACCTCCCCAAGATGTAAAAAAAAAAAATGCCATTAGCTCTGTTTTAAGCTTTACCTTTGTTCCCACCATTAAATTTTTAGGTCAGCACTGCCTGAAACCAGCAATCATTTCCACTGAACTTAAATGGCTACTGTTTTTATTTTCACTCATCACTGACAGTCATGTTTAGGTGATGTCAAACATTTATTTCATTCATTCCACAGATATTGATCAAGTGCCTAATAATTACTAATAAGAATGGCTAAGAGTTGTTCAGCCCATATTATGTAAACTGGTCCTTTGTAAGGCTTATAATGTGTATTGTCACATTTAACCCTGTCAGCAACCCTATGACATTGATACAAGAGACTGTGACACAGGACCCTGACAATTGGCTGGATTCTTCAAGGAAAACACAGAAGCTGAGAGAAGTTAAGTCACTTAACCATTGTCACACAGCTAGTAAGTGGCAAAGAAATAATTAGAATTTTAGTCTGTGCCTATAGCCTCAGTCCTTAACCACTACACCACATGCCTTCAGTATGTTTAAAATGCTATTATATACTAGTTAAATGTATAATTGCCTGTAAATATCCAGAATCTTCAGTGTCGATGGTGAGCATTTTGTCATTTATAACCAGAAAAATATTTAATTTGGACTTCATTTTTTTACAAGGAGAAAATTATAACATGTATATCTATATAATTTTATACCCTAAGACTAAGCTGAAGCACACCACTATTTTTCATCTTCAGTGATATGCCTCACTTTATTAGTCCCATTTACTTATGAGGAAATTGAAACACAGAGAGGTATGTAACATGCCTGAGTTCACATAGTAAGGGCAGAGCTGGAATTGGAATCCAGCAGTTGGGCTACAGAGTCTGTGCTCTAAATGGGGCATGTCATTGAAGTTGGCCGAGGAGGTGGCACTGTCAGTGAACCTTCTGACTCTGCAAACGTTTTACTGTACAACCATGCCAGCTTCTTGGTAGACTATCTTAAACTGTTCAGAATGTTTCTGTATACTTACAAGAAAACTGGATTCATTTGTTCTGCTTATTTAGCTAATTCACTCATCCACAGGGATAAGCCTAATTGTAGATATTAATGAAGACTGGGTTTATCAGGTACATACAATGAGTCATACTGGCACAATTCTAGCACTCTAAAACAGGTACCATTATTATCATCATTTTATTTAGATAAGGAAACTAAAACTCAGAAAGATTAATTTGCCCAGGATCACATAGCTAATAACTGATAGGCACAGTATTTGTGTGGTAGAATTTATTCTTAGCCATCATACTATTATATCATCCTCAAGTAATTTGATATATTAGCTAACGTAATTCTAGTTTTTATAAAAATTTACCCTAAAAGTATAAAGGCTCACATTTAGTAAAATTCTATTTATTGTTAATTTAATAATTTGAGGCAGATGCTCATGGCAGGCAGTCAACTCTCCTCTGTGCAGTGGTTCAGGTGCCCAGGTTCTTTACATGTTATGCATTTTTGTCATTTGAATCCATATCGCAAAAGTATAAAAGGGAAATGGAGAACATATATCTGACTACTAAAAGCCTTGTTCTAGAAGCATCACACATCATTCCTATTAATGCTCTATTAATGACAGTTAATCACATGGCCAAGCCTAGATGCTGGGGATGGGACCCGAGAAATAAAATCCCTGACTTAGCAACCACTTACTATGAATTCTGTAACTGGAAAGGGGAGAAACCACTAACTGACTGTCACACACACAACTTGAAAAGGCTTTCATTATAAATAATTAAGTCATTTGAGAGTTTACATTCTTTTTTCTTTTTTTTTTTTTTTTTTTTTTTTGAGATGGAGTGTCAATCTTGTTGCCCAGGCTGGAGTGCAATGGCGAGATCTCGGCTCACTGCAACTTCCGTCTCCCGGGTTCAAGTGATTCTCCTGCCTCCTGAGTAGCTGGGATTACAGGCACCCACTACCACGCTCAGCTAGTTTTTTTATTTTTAGTAGAGACGGGGTTTCACCATGTTGGTCAGGCTGGTCTCGAACTCCTGACCTCGGGTGATCCACCAGCCTCAGCCTCCCAAAGTGCTGGGATTACAGGCATGAGCCACCACGTCCGGCTGAGTTTAAATTCTGTTCTAAAGTAAAGTCTGAAAATACTGGTGCTTTCTTATGTTACTGTAAAATTTGTGCACTGACAATGTAATTTGAGAGCCCCTTTATCCGAGTTTCAAAGCCTGTCAGAATCCAAAACTGACCCCACAATTTCTATTCATTCGTCAGTTTTAAAATTTCCTGGCCTCTTTTGACTCTTAGAGTCCAGGTTCCCCTGTTCAATACAACATAGACTGCATAAAGCTTAGCCATTTCCTTGCTTTATAAAACAAAACAGAACAAAAAACGTTTGTTCATGTCCAGGCTTTATGAGTTTAATAGACTTTGATGAAGAAACTGTTAGTCATGGGGGGATTGGAGGGAAGGTGATTGGGAAGTGGTCACGTCACAAAGCACACATTATTTTGCTCTTTTTCTCTCTCTTCTCTCTCACCTCTGATACTCAGTTACTACTTCTGGCTTGTTTATGTCTACAAATAACAGGCATGTACATTTATATATCATTTACTCTTCCAGGTTGTTTTATCAACACTATTTAATCTTTAAAACAAGCCAATGGAATAGGTTCTGCTAACATTTTTCCTGTATACAGTAAGGAAATTAAGGTATAGAGATTAAGTAACTGGGGGTTGGCAGAGCTAGTATTAAAACCCAGGCTTTGGCCGGGCACGGTGGCTCACACCTGTAATCCCAGCAATTTGGGAGGCCGAGGAAGGTGAATCACCTGAGGTCAGGAGTTAGAGACCATCCTGGCCAACATGGTAAAACCCCGTCTCTACTGCAAATACAAAAATTAGCCGGGCGTGGTGGCACGTGCCTGCAATCCCAGCTACTAGGGAGACTGAGGCAGGAGGATCACTTGAACCTGGGAGGCAGAGGTTGCAGTGTGCTGACATCATGCCACTCCACTCCAGCCTGGGCAACAGAGTGAGACTCCGTCTCAATAAATAAATAAACAAACAAACAAATAAATAAAACCCAGGCTTTGCGCCTACATATTCTGTCTTCTTAGCTACTCCATGGGGACAGTTTTCTCACTATGGAAAATTCTAGCTCTTAAGCTAGAACTCTATTTTATTAAATTTACTTCTAACACTAAGCCCAATTTTTTTTAATTTTTGTATGTACATAAAAGGTATATATATTTATGGGATATATGAGATACCAATTTTTAACCTACTCATGTATTTGCTGTAGTTAAAATAATTGTAATGATTACAGAGCACATCTTTAACAAAAAGAAGTAAAATGTGTAATATCTAAAATTTGGAATTGCATACATTTTGTTTCTTAGATGCTCTGTATGCTATGCCCAGTGTTACTTTTTAAGTGAGAGAGTTGCTGTTGATTAACTATAGGAGACTTGATTTATTTCTAATTTTTCCTAGTACTGTTTTGCTATGTAGAATATAAAGATTCTGATGGGTATATTCAGTTTTATTCACCTTGTATTTGTAAACCCATAGAACATCTACCCACATCTAAGTGTAGTTGGCAAACCTCTTTAGTGCTTTAGACCTTTTGGGGTTCTGTTAACATAAGTCTAGGCCAAGAAGTAAGTCTAAACATCACCTGAGGTCTGCCCTGTTGCTACTTTATACATAAAACCCAACTGCCAATGTTAGATTTTACTTTTTTAATTCTTTTTTTTGTGCTCAGTGGCATGTTTAAATATTAAACGCGAGGAATGTTCATAGACCTATATAGCCAAATTGGTGTGGGGAGAACTGTTATGTGTTGTAATAGTGCACCGAAAATGCTATCAACCAATAAGGTAGACAATATCTTAGAAAGGAGAGTGAATACATGCATTTTGTATACTTAACTAAAGTTTTATTTTCTGTTTTTAAACAACAGTTGTGTCACTTAATAATTTTTGACAAAATGAAAATACGGGTTAAAGGGACATACAACTATCTTCTAGTCAATCCATAGTTGATTTTATATTGTCTCTAAACTTTTATATTGTCTCTAAACTTCATCTTTCACTACTTACATAAAAATCCCTGTAAGTATTACAATTTATCATACCCTTAAAAAATAGTTTATTTAGAGGATTTACTTGTATTACAACTAAATCTTAACTTCTCAAAACAAGAAAATATATGTATTTACATACTGTTGTTAGAGCAAAAATAACCTGGAAAATAATAGCATTACAATATATTTGGGGTTGTAAAGATTTTTAAATTATTAAAATTATTGTTCCTTGATTGTTCCTTTTTTCCTTATATCCAAAAGGCGAATTGTGTTATTATTCCTCTTTTGTATGCATAAAGATGGGTGAAAACACCTTTAGAACAAGCAGCTGATTTTTTACACTGAAAAATTGTGCAGCAGTTATGTTATCAGGTTAGAGACTGCCAGTTCGAGATGTTGGATATTTCCACCTCCTATTCTGCATGATATTTTAATAAACATACATGTCTCCCATCTAGTTTCCCAGTGGTTTATTGCTTGGTTAAATGAATCGTTGAGCTCCCTATGAAGTCTTCTGACATGTCTAATTCGATACCTGTCATTTATAACCATCTTTCCTTCCTCCCCCAACAATAACAAAAATATCATAATGAGCATAATAATCAGATTTGCTGATAAAATACACTTTTGACGTTTCTGTGATTACACATAACGACTCCCACTGTTCTCAGAAGATTCTGTTGTTGCGTTCTAGATACTTATTTGGCTTAGACATCTCAAAAAGTACAAAGAATATTGTATATCATCATTGACGTAATTCTTCCACATAATCTGGAAGGTGATTCCAGTCTACTATATTAAGCTTTCCTGTGATACCCCAAACACAGGTTAACATTATATATCCAGTCAGTTGACACAACAATCTCTAAATTATGTCCACTTTATGCTGACAACTGACCTTAACGGTATCTTTAGAACATAATTATTTCCTATCTTTGGAACGTATGAACTAAAAACTACTTTAACTCCAAATCACTAAGCTTCAAGAAGACTTGAAATTCTATGGCTTGCTTTTTGGAATTTGGAAATGTACTGCCAAGGTAAGTTTAAAAAAAAAAAAAATGATGTTCTGTGTTTCTTAAACTCTTCCACTGAAAGGCCTCTAATGGCAAAGGGAAGTAGTGCATATCTCCAGAAAGACAGGGCATAGCCTCAAACAGCAGCTAAAAGAGGAATATTCTTTTAAGTCTTCAATTTTATCTAAAAAATAATGAGATGTGTCCAGGCACGGTGGCTTACACCTGTAATACCTGCACTTTGGGAGTCCGAGGCAGGTGGATCACCTGAGGTCAGGAGTTCAAGACCAGTCTGGCTAACATGATGAAACCCCATCTCTACTAAAAATACAAAAAATTAGCTGGGTGTGGTGGCAGGTACCTGTAATCCCAGCTACTCAGGAGGCTGAGGCAGGAGAATCGCTTGAACCCCAGAGGCAGAGGTTGCAGTGAGCCAAGATTACGCCACTATACTCCAGCCTGGGTGACAAGAGCAAAACTCCGTCTCAAAAAATAATAATAATAAAAAATAAAATAAAATAAAATGAGACTTTAGCCTTCTGCTTATCATATACTAATGTTTACTATAAAAAATTTTCCAAAATATTTTAGTATAAAAGAGCATTCTTCTCTAAATTCTACCTTTATCTTTGAGCTTCAAATATCCTCTGAAACACTGCTTAATTCCTCCTATGAATATAATTCAAAATTTTAAAGCCAGACATACATATCTGTGGGTGAACAGCAAAGATTTTTTATTGCAGCTATAGGATCTGTGACTACAGGATAAAGCACAGCTAAATACCACAGATATCAAACTTCTTTTTACCTGGCACCAAAATTTGTCTAAGCTATTCAGTAATTTGTATTGAGTTCAGTTTAGCCTGTGGGCCAGAGAATAAAGATTATTTTCCATGGAGCCTCTAGAGAAAATATTTCCCATTAACCTTGCAGGTTTGGGGTGGCTTTGATGTTTAATCCTCAACTAGGTTCAGTTGGAGGGTGAGTGGGACCAGCACTTTGGGCTGAAATGTTCTCATAGCAGCCCAAGGGCATCCTGCAATCCACCATCTCTTTACTCAGATGAAGGATCAGTTCTGCTGCTGAGTGGTGCACATACATGAACTGCACCAGCCTCTCATCCTGGGATAGGAATATTTTATGGGTAGAATATTCTAAGGTGTAACAAATAGACTTAGGGGATTGTTCTGTATTTATGTTTACTTGTATTAGAATATGTACCGTACTGAGAGTCAACAGACCTGGATTTCAGGTGCCTCTCTGCCAGAGGCTAGCTATATGACTTTGGCAATTTTCTTTTCACCTTTTCAGCCAGTTTTCTTTGCAGCAGGTTCATGGCATTGGATTCTACAGGGTCTCTAATACTTCCAAGCTCTTCAGTCTATGGTTCTGTAACTTGTTTTTCACAACAGTGACTTTAATCAAATCCTTCTTTACTTGATTTTTACATACATATGATATTCAACATTTAGCACTTCTGTAAGCTTGGAACCAAACTTGCTCATAACCGTATCTCAGTCATAATTCCACTCTGAAATTTTCTGAAATTTGCATTATTGGTAATTGACAATGCTAAAAGTATCACCTAACTTTTTAATTTTCTCTAAAGATAAACATATATTAGGTCTGGTTCTTCATAGAGATTGAGACATCAAAAAATAGCAGTTTCTGAGTGATGCTCAACGTCTTTACATTTCACTTTTATGCAACTATAACTTTCACACATTATACATTGATTTCAAACACAGCTGGTGCCCGTTAGGAAACAATTCATTTTAAACAGTATCACCACCTTGTCTGTACAGCACAGTAGAGTCCCAAAACAATTACTGGATTTATATATGAAATTATTTTTTCCCTTTTGCTGCTCATAGAAGTAAGTAAAGAACAGAAAGAAAAAAAAAAGGTGCTGATAGATTAGAAGCATAGGTACTGTAAAATATAATCCAACAAAATATAATTAAAGACTATGGCCAGGAGTCAAGGTAGATAATGAAAGTGATAGAGAAATCTTTACAATTCTGTTTTTAAGATCATTATTTCTGAAACATTTCAATGAGTATTTTTCTCTTTTTTTAAGTGAGTACTTTTCTCTTTTTTTTAGTGAGTATTTTTCTAATACAAAGTAAAGTTCTCATTTGTATGAGAACTGGAACAAATATTTTGAAGTGGCTGCTGAGATTCCAGAATTACTGGTTAGCAAAGACTGCTTTGATAAATTCAACAGAATTTGTGTTTGCAAAATATTACACTTTCCAGAGATTACGTGGGGACAGAGAAAGAAGACATTTGTTTAAAAATTGTTCTCTGAGATATGAACAAAGAAGGGGAGGCAGTTAAGTTTGTCAAGGAAAAGCATGGGTTTTGAAATACTTATATTCTATTGAAAGGAAGATTTTAAGATAAAAAGATGAGAGAATTAATCAATAGAGCCTTGTCTATTGATTGAAGGCAGGAGGGATCACATCCAGCAAGAGGAAAGACACCTTTTGCATTGTTACAGGAGAGAAAGAGGGAAAGAATAGATGTGGGAAGTTTAGTGGTACAGTGATCTGACACATCAGGCTCCAGCTAACTACCTAGGTGCTACCTAAGTCCATAGGTAGGTCTTCAGATAATACACTGACTGCCCTCAGAGGGCATAACAGAGCCTTAGCCATAAATATCAGATCAGATGAGACATCTTAAACCTCAAAGAGGCCACCTAAGGGTCATTCTTTAATCTCCTATTTATTGTGTTCTCTAGGCTTCATCTTTACTTTTAACTTACATCATTAGAAAGCAATGTTCTGTGTTGAGCAAGTAAATGCAAACCTACCACCAAAGGCCAACAGAGCTGAGAGGCCAAAGAAAGAGGCTAACAAATACAGTTTATCAGAAAGAATTATTAACTAGGGACTTACAAACAGAAGTGATGTCTCAGGTGGCTGCAAGATGGTGGATCCTTGCACCAATCTCCAGAAAGAATTCTTTATATAGCAAGCTTTTAATGTGCTGGTCACATCTTCAGACTTTCTTACCAAATGACCACTGGGGAGATTAGATAAACATCTTCATGATTATCTATGCTGCAGGCATTGTTTAAAGATGTTACTGAGAACACCTTTACATGTGGGAGTCAAACATTGGTTATTAGGGTGGCTTCACTTCAAGATAGAATCGCTCTTGCCATGCAACAGGCTGTTTCCCTAAAAGCAATTTGCTTTTTTTTTTTCTTTAATCCAGAGACTGACCTTTCCAAATATCACAAAGCCAGTTAGGCACGTCTTCAATGACCTGCCTTAATATTGACCATTTCACACTATAATATAAATAGCAAAGCTCATTAAATTAACATATAGCACCCATAGAGTCATCAAAACGTCCCTAGTACAAGAAAATTAATTGACTACTATATTTTGATGTGCATTTCTTTTAACTAAATGTGTAAAATAGCAAGGGTTCCTTTCCAGTTGAAAATCTCCCTTCAAGGGTCATGTGAGAGAAATAACACAACACATAAATCACAAAGTGCATCCCAAGTTTGAGTTTCAAAATACGTTATTATGTTTTAAAGTGATTTCTTCCCATGAGCAGATATCTAAAGAATTATTGTCCAAAATCATGACAACAACCCACCATATAAAATACTTGTTTTACCCAACTCTCTGACAGCATCGTGTACTCTTTTAACTACAGAGACCTTAACATGGAGACTTAAAATGCAATAGTTTTCATAGATTTCTAACACAAGTTGTATAAAATTTATCAGATAAGTTTATTTGCCTTAATTGGAGTGATTGGGCTAAAACAGAAAAATTTACAAGTCAGAGTTTTGTTCACCCTCCAAATTCAAATTGTATAGCCATCTCAAACTGCCAAGCAGAGACTAGTTTCTGCTTACTCACTGAGTGACTCCTGCATTTCATCCCTTCCTCACCATACCTTGAAAAGCAAGAAGTAGCATCTAGCTTTTGTAGTATTTTGATTTGTATCAAATAATAGACTATAAACACCCTCTGAATAATCATAGTTAATGCTAATTACAAGTTTCTATTTTCATAAAATTAATCTATTTATCACATACCTTCTGACCAGAGCACTGTGTCTTTCTGTACAATAGTCTTTCTGTTAGCATCTGCTTTCAAACATATATGGAAATGTTATTACTTGGAATCTGTATTTGTGAGAAAATGCCAAAGGGTCTACAGTACACTGTTATTCAATGGATAAATCTATCATTTCCATTCCTCCCAGGAAACTGAGCAATTTCCACTTTACTTAAAAAGAAACTTAAATAACTTACCAAAAGTCGTATCAGTGCTAGCATTTGGATTTAAATCTAGATTTGCAAAGAGTCTTAATAAAAGGGAAATACATATCTACATGTATATGTGTGTATATGCATACTATATTTATATATTTAATATATTCTATACTATATATGTATACTATATTTTTTTTACTATATATATAAAACTGTGGCTACAGTCCAGCTATCTAAAAAAGATAGGAAAAAAGACGGCGTTTTATTTTTTGTGCGTAGTTCTTTAATACTTAATAAATATTTGACTAAATGCATTCTAATTACAAACAACTCTATTTTCCATAGGTGAGAACATAATAATGGGTATAGTGGATATGTTTCCTAGCCTTAGAAATCCTCTGTTTAAGTGGTAGGTTTTTTTTTTTTTAAAAGTTATTTGGAAACCTTCATATTATTCTCAGGATTTGGATCATGAGATCATGAGATCTTCTTATAAATAAAAGAGAAATTTAGGGAGGTTCCTTTTGTAAAGTGATAACTTTTTGAGTAATCTTCTGTAGGAACGGGTCTTTCTTTCTTTTTTTTTTTTTTTTTTTTTTTTTTTTTTGAGACAGATTCTCACTCTGTTGCCCAGGCTGGAGTACAGTGGCACGACTCAGCTCACTGCAACCACCGTCTCCGGTTCAAGCAATACTCCTGCCTCAGCCTCCCAAGTAGCTGGGATTACAGGCACATGCCGCCACGCCCTGCTTTTTTTTGTATTTTTAGTAGAGACGGGGTTTCACCATGTTGGCCAGGCTGGTCTCGAACTCCTGACTTCAAGTGATCCACCCGCCTCGGCCTCCCAAAGTGCTGGGATTACAGGTGTGAGCCACTGCACCGGCTGCTATTACTTTCTTATTGCTGCTTAATAAATTAACAAAAATCACAAATTTTATATCTTATTCCAGGGGTCAGAAGTCTAAAATGGGTCAAAGTATTTTCAAGTATTTCAAGTATTTTCAAAGTATTTCAACAACACAGTCAAGGCTGTGTTATGAGCTTGGCACAAAAGTAAGTGTGTTTTTTGCAATTATCACCCTTAATTAATTAAGAGTAATTATAAATACCGCGATTGCTTTTGCACCAAATTATTACTTCTGGAGGCTCTAAGAGAGAACTTATTTTCTTGCCTTCCTAGCCTCTAGTGGCTGCCCACATTCCTTGGCTTCTTTTATCATCAAAGCCAGCAATGCTAATGAAGTCTTTCTCACATCACTTCTGCCTCCCTCTTCCTCTTATAAAGACTCTTGTGATTATACTGCCTTCACTCAGATAATCCAGGATAACTTTAACTGTTTGGCAAGCTTAATTCCATCTGCCAGCACAATTCCCCATTGCCATGTAACATAGCATAACATGTTCATAGGTTGTAAACATTAGGACATGAACATCTTTGGAGGACCATTACTGTATTGTATTGTATTGTATTGTATTGTATTGTATTGTATTGTATTGTATTGTAATTTTTTCGCCCAAATTAATGGTTTTATTTCCATCTTTAATGCTAGCAGAGGATTCCAAAGCACACTGATATCCATGGATATAGTTTAAATGTAACAAAGAGTTGTACTATATACACTGAGAAAGGGAAAGGGATTTTTTTTTCATACCAATCTTTCCCTAGGTCACAGTTTCTGAATAGTAGAAACTAAACATATTGTTTTCTTACCAATTTAATTTAGGATGAAGTAGTACAAGTCTGCTAATCAACCACTTAAGTTTTCTTTAAGGATAAAGCATAAAGAAATTTTAAAATGAGTATTACCATATTTATTACTGGACTGGCTCCATGGTTCCCTTGCTCCAAGTCGGGACATCATGGTATGGAGGAGATTATTTTACTTACCAGAGACAGATTTAGGTTTTACAGGGTCGGAATTTTGTGGAAAGCCCTCTTGAAGAAAATGAAGAAATAAAATTATGAATACAAAATTAGACACTAAAATGTATACTTATGTGTAATGAGGGGGGAAGACAACAAAATACAAATTTAAAAAAAAGCAAACTGCATCTCACTTAATCCCAACTAATTTTATCCCCAGTTGTTTAATATACCCATATAGTAGATAAAACAACTGCATGATAAAATGCTTCATTCAGCACTTCTATATCTTTTGACTAAATTAAAAATAAATAGGTAGAACTCTTGTCAAAATTTTGTCTTCAAAGTTTGATTTCTAACCATCTCTTCATCTTTATTCATTTATTTATGTCATTTTCCCTATAGTTCAGTTGTTCAATTCCATGTGTTCTGGGAGTTGTAGCACAGAGAATATAGAATTTGGGACCAGAAGACCTTGGATCAAGTCCCTCCTCATTTGTTCATTCAAAATATATTTATTAAAAATCTGGTACATGCCAGGCACTATGCTGGGCTTAGAGAATACAGTAATAAGCAGGACAGACATGGTCCTTACCCTCATGGATCTTATAATGTAACAAGAAAACAGAAACAGGATGGTCATCTCAAATGCATTAAATGTTATGAAGAGGTATAGGGCCCTGTGAGTGTCCTACACGGGGACTTAACCTAGACTGGTGGCAATGAAGTCTGCTACTTCAGGACCTGAGGGATTAGAAAGGGTGTGCAAGGCAGAAGGGAGTAGTGCAAGGGAAAGAAGAGGACCTCATACAAAAGGAATATTATAGATAATGACCTATGATGGAAAAGGTGAAAGTAATTTTAAGGAAGTAAAAAAAGGTCAAAAAAGTAGAGTATAGGGAGAAAGGGAAAAAGTGGCGCAAAAACATTCTTAAGAGCAAGTTAGGGCCAGCTCCAGTAAGGCTTTGTGACCATGTTTGCAATTTTGGTTTCATCTAAAGTGCAGTAGAATGCCATTGAAGGGTTTTGAGCAAAGATAGTGCATAATTTGATTCGCAGATTTAAAGATTTTCCTGTTTGGAGAATGGGGCTGGGGCAAGAGGAAATGGCAAGAGTGGATTTAAGAAAATGAGTTAGGATGAAGAGAAATATTTGGAGTTGAAATATATAAAGACAAGTTAATTAGCTTCTAAAAAGAATTCTGATATGCATGCCTTTTCATTGACAATGACTCTTTTTTAAAAAATATTATTTATTAAGCACTACTGGAAACATACAAAAAAGATTGAAAGCATACCTCATTGACTGCTTTTGTGCTGAGATTCATTTGGCTTGTTTCTTTAACCAGGGGTTTGCATTTTATTTCAAATTGTATAATGAAAACAGTTTCCCTAAATACAGGCATTTCAGGCATCAACCAACTGGTTAAAGGGATAATTCGGGTATTAAAAAGCTCCTTCTCAAATCACACCAAGATTTCTTTAACTGATTTTAAAGATTATTTGATTTAGTACTTGGTGGTAGTGTGGGGGAGGAAAGGCAACCTCATCCCACACAGCTTCCCGTTCCTGTGGGCTTAAACACTCCAAGACTGCTGATCCCAGAGGCACCATGCCTTCCTCACCAGATTCCATGGAACATGAGGTGTCTTGAGATGAGTCACCTGGCACCAACTCCTCCACTCTGGGCCTTTCCTTTTGCCTTTTCAAGCCTGGCAATAGGCCAAGCCCTCTCTTTTACTTCTATTAAAATAACTCTATTCTGGCTTTCCTGTTTTTCTGCCCTAATATTGCCAGTGACATCACTTGTTTTCTCTGTGGTTTTTGCATATCTTTATCCAGCTTTTTACACTGTTTTGTAAAAGCTTACTGCCCCTTCTGACACATTATAACGAGGAAATGTATCACTGGGATACATTTCTCTGTTGATCAAGATCTAATTACACCTTTAAAAATAGTCAAGATGGATAGCCATATAAAAATTATTCCATAGAGCATGAGTATCTGAAGGAGGCTGTACTCTATGTGCAGTCCCCGCATGCTACCTGTGAAATGTGAATCGTTTATAGTCTGTGGCAAATAAAAGTTATGTCATTCTAATCTTTATAAAATACTAATCAATTGACTAATTCATGAAAAATTCTCTTATCTTTCTCAAATATTGGCTAAACCACATAGTCCTCCAGCCTTACAAAGTAGAGTAAGCTTCTCTTTGGCAACTGTGTTGGTCAGGCTCCCCTAAAAACAGACCCTGAAACAAAGATTTGAGTGCAAGTAGTTTATTTGAGAGTTGATCCCCGGGAAGCACGAGTATTGATTGTGGGGAAATGAGACAGGGAAAGGAAGTCAAAATACGGTGTTTAATTATCAGATTTCTGCTGTAGGCAATTGGGGTTCTATGGGAGACTATGAGAAGTGTTTCCTCTGAGCGTGAGGAAATTGTAGGATTTATCCAACATCTCTCATTTGTCCTTGGCTATGGGACTGCTTGCAGAGTCACTGACTTCTTCAGGCCTGCTTTCCTTATGCTCACAGCTGACTACACAATTGGAAGGAACCCTCAGCAGAGGGTTGGAGGTGCTTCCAGTAAGACAGCATCCTTGCATACAGGAACAGTGAATGTCTACGGGGCATAGCCAGGATACCAATAGCATCTGCTCCCGTAGTTTTCTACCCAGAGTCTCCACCTAATTGTGTGGTTTGGTCTTTGCACAGAGGTGCCCAGCCAGTGAGGGGCTCTAAGGCACAAAAGTGCTCTTTGCCCAACCACAAGTTCTATGAGGTTATTTCATTTCTGATTTGTTCAAATTTGCAGTATGTGCTTGAGGAAGCCATTCTTTTACGTTCTTTCTCTGTGCCTTCTCTTCCCTGCTGGGGTCCTCTGGCAGGATTTTAACACTGTTTATATTCCACCTTTATTCAGGGCACCCAACCATGGCATTCCACATGGATATGGCAGCCTTCTATAAACCCAGATAAATACTCCAAGTTCTGAGAGGCAGATACATTGTTTACCAAGGTACCAGTAGGCTAAACTTTTGAATTACATAGACTTCATCCCTTGCCATTTCAATTTTAATACCAGTCCTGTCAAAATTCCAAAATATCACTTGCAGTTTTGAGGCAGGTTTAGTTTAACTTGTATTGCTCTACCACTTATATGTCTATTGACTATATAATTTAGCATCCAAACTGGAATATCTTTGTAAGTAAAAGAGGGCCACCATTAGTAATATGCTAGAACAGGCATAAACCAGGATTATCCTGGTTAACCATGAAAAATGATCACTCTTGCTGACTTTTACTCCTTCATGCTGTTGACACAGCCCTGGAGGGAAAAAGAGGAAAAACAGAACACTCTAGACTCTAATGTTTTTAATTCCTTAGTGCCATTATGGAGGTGAGGAGGAGCCACACAGAAATATGCTCTTACGGTAAAATCCTGTTGTTTCCATATTCCTTCCATGAACATGATGTTATAAAAAGAGCTTAAAGAGCTTACACACGTTTGAAGAAGACGGGCCTTAGAATTTGGTTGTGTTTTGGAGGGTTTTGTTTTCACTTGTGGTGGTAGCTGTGACACTTACTACTTCTTAACTCTCTGAACCTCTCATGCATGTAAAACATAGCAATACCAATACCAGAGAATTATGATAAGGGTTAATGGAAATGTGTGTAAAGCTCTAAGCATAAGGCATGGTATGTAAAAAGTGCTCAACAGAAGTTAGAACCTTTTTTTTCTAAGTTTTTCTATTTCCAGTGTTCTAGTGTTTTTCTCGTGGCAGTAGGGTGGGACGTGAAACGACACAGGGAAAGCAGCTGAAACCTATCAGTGTTTAATAAGTATATATTGAAAGTGATAATTTTGACAGCTTAAGTGTATTAAATGTGTATTACAAGTGCCAAGTGAGTACAACACAAGAGATCGATATAGAACCTTCCCCTTAATTGTGTAAAAACCTTTTAAACAAACTTATCCTGGAAATCACGTATTAGCCCTGAGCTTTACTTCTCTGAGATTTCTTACCTAATTGGAGAAGCTATATTATATTCAATAAAGTAGGCAACATATTTTCATTTCATTTGATTTAAATGTCTTTGTTACATAGTTTGTTTAAAATGTTGTGACTGTGGCAGTTTTCAAATTGTGGCCCTTTAGCAGTTTTCAAATTTATGACACATGGCAAATTTGCTTAGTGATGTTACACTTCATGGTCTTACAATAAGCTATAGGAAAGAAGCACTCTTGACAGAAGCAATTTAATTATATTCTGTATATGCATGAGAAGGAGAGAGTGTCGGAGGGTGAGGGAGGAGGAGAGAGAATGGGAGAGAGACAGAGAAGACAGTTCACAGGCAGCTCAGACAGATATTCCAGCCAGCCACCGCACAAGTTATTTAAACCAGGTCAAAGCTTCTTTGGCATTCAGTTTTCCCCAGAGAACAATTTAATGCTGATACTTAATTTTTTCAAGATAGACAAGGTAAGTCTATGTTCCTTATATGTATTTACTAAGTTATAAGGGGAGTTTGTTTATTTATAACTTTTCATAAAACCTAGCCAAAAGCCAAATTTCTATATTTGTCTGAAGCTTTCAGTGTTGTTTAACAGTTTTCAAAGGTAGTGTTATACTTCAGATTGCAAATAATTAAATGAAAATGAAAAAACATAAAAATTATGCAGTGGACGAAATAATTAAAAAATGATGTTGCAACAGTAGATTTATTTATAGCATTGTAATATCCAAATATGATTAACTTTAAAGCTAGACTTACAGGATTTTAAAGCTGGATTTGAAGTTGAGCAGTCCTTAAACTCATTACTACCAAAACATAAATCTTAACGGTATCATAAAGTTATATTTTTCTTTAAAACAACTTTATTCTTATTTAAAATTTGTCAGCTATACTGTATACAATATAGCCCTTCTAGGTACAATTCAGTGCAAATATATGAGCATTTCTTTTGGAAATTCAGAAGTATATTTACTTTGCATTTTGAAATTATCAGTCACATTTTCTATTTAGGCTTCCTAAATTTTGCCTTTTATTTTGTTATTTTCAGGCAAGGACCAGGGAAATGTCAGCTTTTAGATCCAAAGGAAACATATGTGTTAATAATTTGATGAAATTTCAAAAATAGATTTATTTTGTGCTTTCAGAAAAAGTGTGGGTAGAAGTATAACCTCATAATTTATTTCTAGAATCATTTTCTTATTCACTGATACTCTGATGTCACAAACAGCCTGGCTGAAATTGAAAGTGTACAGTTGTCACCACTAGAGTTTGAAAAGGACAGTCTTACATACATATATATATTCAAAAACAGTGCTGTTCTCCAAAGACTAAACATATAATCTGTGCAGTACTATCCATATTTATCAGTAACTTCCTTTCTTACTTCTTTCTAAAAGAACTGTCAATCAAAATATGATGGAGAATACTTTTGCAAATGAAGGGTTTCATAGATTATCCAAGAAGAGTCATCTACATGTTGCTTGTGTTTTATTTATATATTTTTTTATATTCTGAGTAATACTTGTATTAAATTAATTCCTAATTTCAATTTTATTTAATAATTACCTTCAGAAGCAGGGCTTATCCGTGGAATAAAGGTATAAATGTACTTAGGATGGCTTTAATACATTTGTAATTTATATTTTTGCCTCCCATAATTCCAATTTAGTTTCATTCATTTGTCTTAAAAGGAATCTTAACATCTATTTGGTTTTATGCCATCATTATGCTTAACCAACTGCATAAAATGTCCTCTTATTTCTTATCTGTGCTTGTTATAATATTTATAGGCAGCAAGAAATTATTTTTCTACCTAAGTAAAAAAGTTTCTTTTTTCCCCCTTATGTTATAAACTTGGTGTAAGACCAACAGTACAGAATCAGTGTTGTCTGATTTTTTTTTTTTTTTTTTTTTTTTTTTGAGACAGAGTCTCGCTCTGTCACCCAGGCTGGAGTGCAGTGGCGCAATCTCGGCTCACTGTAAGCTCCGCCTCACAGGTTCACGCCATTCTCCTGCCTCAGCCTCCCGAGTAGCTGGGACTACCACGCCCAGATAATTTTTTTTTTTTCTATTTTTAGTAGAGAAGGGATTTCACCGTGTTAGCCAGGATGGTCTCGATCTCCTGACCTTGTGATCCACCCGCCTCGGCCTCCACTTTGGGCTTCTTTGAAGATACATACACAGTTAATGTTATAAGTTTTAGTTACTAAAATTCAGTCACCAGCTCACTCAATGAAGATGCGGTAAGCACGAGTCTTCACAAAGCACTCTGGCAGGAGTGTGTTGAGGGGAGAGATTTAGAAGCATATAAATTCAGATGACAAGTTAGATAAAAGGGAAAGATTTTATTTAAAGTTTATTGCATTAATCTGTTTTCATAGAGTAGTTCATGGTCAATTATTTATTTACAGGGAAAATAATATAGGAGTTCAGAGAGCAGTATCACTACAGCTTAGGGTGGTCACACTTGGTTGTTGGGAAGATGTTTTGAGGCAATCTTAAAGGATTGGTAGGGGAAACACAGGAAGGGACATCCCAAGTAAATGGGATAAGGAAAAGCTTGGAGGCAGAACATGTCAGCTCATACAGAGGAAACAGGATGTAACCAGCTTGGTTGGAGCAGAGGGTTGCTGTCAGGGAGTAGGAAGAGGTAAATATGGCAAAGGTGGTGTGAATCTAGTATGGGAGCACAGTAAATGTTATGGTAGACTAGGAGAGAACCAGTAAAATTTGAACAAGAGATCAATATGCCATCTCTATGAAAATTAAGCTGTTATGGTTGTACCAAGCCAATTGAAATGATAAGAATCTCAATATGGGAAGACCAATTGAAATAAGAAGGGAGGAACAGGTAGAGGAGATAAGGCAGTTAAGATTAACAGTCATGTTTTGATAGTGAGAGGATAGTGAGTGATAGAGAGCAGTGCCTTTACCAGAAATGGGAAGTTCATAGGAGGCCGGTTGGGTCTGTATATCTCAGTCAGATTCTACCCAGTGAAGCAGAATCTGTAGGACATGTATATTAAAAGATGTGTTACAAGAAACTGCCTTATATGACTGTGAGAAGTGGCTAGGCAAGTCTCTAGGGCAGGTCATGAGAGAAGGGTACACTAGAGCTCTCAGGCACCGGCTAAAGCTGCAGTCTGCAGGTAGATTTTCTTCTGTCAGGGAAGCCTGGACTCTGCTCTTAAGGGCTTTCCACTGATTGAATTAGGCACACTCAAATTATCTGAAATAATCTCCCTTACTTAAAGTCAAGTGATTGTAGACTGTATTCACAGCTACAAAATACCTTCACAGCAACACCCAAATTTGCATTTGATTGAAACCCCCAATTAACTGGCAACAGTAGCCTGGCCAAGTTGACACATCAGAAAACCCCAAAGTATTGTAAACACTAAGATGCTGGTAGGATTGCTAGGCGAAAGCAGCCAGAAGTCTATTGGAAATTATGATTTGCAACTCATGAAAGCTATGGAGATTAGAGATACCACCCTGGGAGTTATCCACCTGAAGAGTTAAGAAGATCTTCAGAGAGTTAAGGAGATCCTCAGAGAAGGCTGTAGAACTTCTGCATCAAAGATTAATTCTTGGAAGAAACCATTTTTAAGGGGCAGAAGAAAGAAGAGTTAAAGGGAAAAAGATTAAAGAGCTAAGAAAAGAACTAAAATAGCACATAGTCATAGTTGTTCCTCTGTTTGCTACACTTTCTCCCTGGTTTTCCAAGATTTCCAGTGGGGCAGGGAACACAGCATTGGTTCCCCTGTTTTCCACCTGTATTTGGGGTCCTTGCTACCAAAGTTTCAGAGAAAATTTGACCTGAGAAGAGGCTAGTGGTTTTATTGTGAACTTTGAAAGTACAATTTAAGTAAGATTGTTAAAAGGGTTTCCAAATCTCAGGTATTTCAAGACACAGTAGATAATAATGAATTAGAGGTACAACTGTTATGATTACTTAGTGAAAAGACCATTCGGGACCTTTGCCCCCACAGTCATGAATGCCCTTTGCCTTTCTCATCTGTCTAGCAAGTTATATTTAACTTTCAAATTATAGTTCAAGTATCTCCTCCTCAGCAGGAAGTTCTTTAACTTACCCCAGGAGAGATGCTAACTTGATCCCCTGTCTCATCTCTCACTTAGGAATATTTTTTACTTCTGATTCTACTGAAATAGAATTGCTTATGTGGTTTCCTTCCTCCCCCACCAGGTTGTAAGTGTCTTTTAATTTTTAATCTACAGTGCTTATAACAATACCATTTAAGTGCTGCATATATATTTGGGGAGTGAAGGTATGAATATTTGTACATGTATGGATAGCATTTAGAAAGCAGACATAAATATTTATAAGCAGCTTGTGAAAAAAGAAATTTGGGGAGTACTGGGGCTTAAAGAGTACAAATAAAGAGAATAAAGTAGAGAAGAAAAGGGAGGAAAGGAACTATATGATAGGAATGCTGCAGAGGAAGAGGAGGGATACCTTCTCCCAGTACAGAAAAGGAGGAGAGGTTTGATGTAGAGAAGAATGTAGTTGGGAGGAAGTATGGGAGAAATTTGTCTTCCCATGAAAGTTAAAGACAAACGGATATGAGAAAATCTGCCTTCTCCTAAAAATATGAGATTTTTTATATGAAAAACTTGAAATTTTAAAATTATATTTGTCAACTCTGATCAAAAGCATTTAAAGCATTTATAACAATGAAAGCTATTCCTTTTCTCTCATATCTCTGTGTGTCTGTGTCTGTATGTGTATGTATGTGTGTATGTGTGCTGTGTGTGCACATGTGTGGTCTGGAGGGTCTATTATGGGTGGTTCTTATGCAAATTTATTTAATTGATATTTCACCTATGTGTGACATCCCCCCAGCCATATGCTATCATAGGATTAATTACAAGCGCTAGTAAGTCAAAATATGTCTTTGAAAAAAATTCGTGGATTATTACTCTGGTAAAATAACAGTACTCTCCTGGAGAAACATGATTTCTGCAGATGCTAAGATGTGTAAGCAAACTGTCATCCTGTTTTTCTTTCTAGTAGAGCACTACTTTAAAGTGCTCTACTTAAAAGAGACAACTTTAATTAAGACTTGAAACTTTGTCCATATTTGAATTTTACAGTTTTATGTTTATTTGCATATGTAGTTGAAGTGTGAAGTATACCCTGAAAAGTTGACTAACTTCTCTCCCAAGGACACCAGAAAGGTAGAAGGAATCAGGAATCAGTTGAAGGCCAGAGTTAGGAAGACAGAAATGTAGTTTGTTAGGTCACGTCCTGAAGTGCTGGCCAGCATTCAAGAGGAAGTTAAGAGGCAATGGGCAGGACCCAACCAGTCCCTGTGTAGATAGACGAGCCCCTTAGCCATAGTTCACCTGGTGCCTTTTAAGGGGCAAAGCTTTTGGTAACTTGGAGCTAGAAGCCCTGAATGTGAGTTCTAATTCTGCCATTTACTGGCGATGATCTCAGCAAAATAATTTAACCTCTCTCATCCTTGGTTTCCTCATCCAAAAAACTGAAAATATTTATCAAATAGTGGAATTCTTTATGAATATAATTATTCTACTCTGGGTTGCAGTCTAACCAGGAAACAGTCTAGATCATCTTGGGCTCACAGCAAGTCAGAATGTGGAGTATTAGAATAAAGGCAGCAATCTTAAAGGCTGTTTCAAAACAAGAATCTAAAATACCTGGGCCAAGGATTCTAGGCCTGTGGTTCTAGAAGCCTGTTTGAAATTTCTGGATCAGAATCAGACCTCATAATCTGTGTTGGACAGGCCATAAACATGTGTTGGTGAGAATCATGAATTTTCATGTCAATATTATATTGTGTGTGGTTTCTTGAAAGGAAAATAAAAGGTAAAAGTATCTCATTCAACAATTGAGATTGAAGATATATATTTCCATGGCATTTAACCTTTACAAAATTACCCATCATTTCTCATCAAAATTGTTAATGTACTCCTGAGATAATTATTTTTGCCATGCTTTCTAGGGTTCCATCTTTTTAATGTTTTAAAGATTTTTTTATGTGTTTAACTTAGCAAATGGTAGGTGAAACATTAAAATCTACAAAAATGCTCTTTTTTCCTGAGATTGATTTAGAACTTGACTGCTTATTTTCTTTCCAAAAAATGTGAACTTATTGTACAGAGAAATACAGCCAAAATCAATTTACCAAGAATTTAGAGTAAACAGGGACATACAGTACTTTTCTCCCTTTTGTACCTTTGTAGGGGCAATTTGAAGGAGCATACTTAAGAATTAGGTTTGCAAACAAAATCTCCCTGTTTCTAAGAACATCGGAAAGAACTAAAAGTGGTTTCTCTGGACTGTGTCTAATCTTCAGCGATTGGTTTGCTATTCATTGTTGGGAAACTATATATGGCTGCCGCCAGGTTGCATGACCTGTTACATAACAATTTATTGAAGCAGGGAGATGCTAAAGTCACTGGAGGTTGGACTTGGCCTGTTAAGAGTGTGAACAAATGGAGTGTAACAATGTGTGTGATTTCTGAAACAAACAATCCTGGGAATAAAGGACACAGTCCACTGCTTTCATAATAAGACAATTCTTTTTTAAACAAAATTAAAATTAAAGTTTTATCTACAGTAAAGGTCAAAGACTTAGAAGTGGAAAAATTAAGGCTCTAATTTTCATTGTGTTGGTAAGGAGCTAAGTAACCACAGGCTAAGGGTTTAACCTTACTGCACCTTGGATTCTTTGATCAGACTTTGGATTCCGTCATTTATTTTTAAGGTTTCAATGCTAAGTTTCTGATCTGTTCTATTCTAAAATGGATCAATTTAACCCACCGATAATTTGAATTTCAGGGTTTTCAGCTCAGTGCTTATTTTTAGTACTGCTTTAGTATTGCATAAGCCAGTATTTAATATTCTTATAAATATACTCCTGCTCTAATGAAAAAGTATCAGGTTTGTTTTTACCTTGTGAATTACAGTGTTTTCCTTCTCAGGAAGAGTTATCAATTCCACATTCATGGCCATGTTCATTCATTCCCACTTATTGAAGTGTGGCTGAACCAGAATCAAACATTTTTGTGTGTGATTAACACTGAACACACCTCCTACTCCTCAAATTATCAGGATTGTCATTGTTTATAGTCAATTTAGGACAATGCCTTGAGAGTAATAAGCAAACTGGAAAGAAGAGAGGCAGAAAGTAATTGATTCTGCTAAGGATGTCAAATTAAATTAGAGTCAGTAATACGTTATCATTCTTATCTCACATTTTGTTAACATTTTCATTCATTAAAGCTTAGACATCTGCTTAGGCACATTTTTTTTTCTCCCACAGAATCATTAAATACTGTACTTGAAGTAATTTAGTCAATTCCTTAAGATACAGTAATGCAGTTCTGAAGATTGGTAAACCTTAATCCACCAGATTTTTTCTTCACCAGTATACTTTTTATTGTATTGCATATTTCAAGTTCATGTTCATCTAATTTTTAAAAGATGAGTAGTGAGATGAAAACTAAAGACCTAATTTTATTATTTATTTTTTATTTTTATTTTTTTGAGTTGAAGTCTCACTCTGTCACCAGGCTGGAGTGCAGTGGCGGGATCTTGGCTCACTGCAACCTCTGCCTCCCAGGTTCAAGTGATTCTTCTGCCTCAGCCTCCCAAGTAGCTGTGACTACAAGTACGCACCACCACACCCAGCTAATTTTTGTATTTTTAGTAGACATGGGGTTTCAGCGTGTTGGCCAGGATGGTCTCGATCTCTTGACCTCGTGATCCGCCCGCCTCGGCCTCCCATAGTGCTGGGATTACAGGCGTGAGCCACTGCGCCTGGCCCTAAAGACCTAATGTTTTTAATACTTCATTGTACCAATTCTCACCACCAAACCATTTCTTTTTATGTCCTAAGAGTTTTCTTTTGGTCTTCAGATACGCAACTATGTTTTGTTATTTAGTACCTATTCTAACCACAGTCAGTGGAAAAGCAACCAGTCAGCAGTTTCCCAAAACCCTTAGGGCACACAGGCTCTAATTAAGTTTTTATGCATAAGTTATATTCTTCCCAGTCATGGAATGATTCTTCATTGGTGTCACACAACCTGCCCTCAAATTACTACCAAGGCCTGTGTGGCCAGGCCTCAAATTAGCACAATTTACATTATTTGCCTATTTTCTCTCTTGTCATATCCATACTTTGAGCTAGAGTAGATCTCAGTGCCAGTCTGAAATGAAGTGGTCAGAGTATTTTGCGTTAAAACAGCAGTCAGCAACCTTTTTGGCACAAAACCAGGGACCAGTTTTGTGGAAGACAATTTTTCCATGGACCAGGGGGTAAAGGGGGAGGATGATTTCAGGATGATTAAAGTGCATTACTTTTATTATGCCCTTTATTTCTATTATTATTACATTGCAATATATAATGAAATAATTATACAACTCACCATAATGTAGAATCAGTGGGAGCCCTGAGCTTGTTTTCCTACAACTAAACAGTCCCATCTGGGGGTGATGGGAGAGAGTGACAGATCAGGTATTAGATTCTCAAAAAGAATGCACAACCTAGATGCCTCAGATGCACAGTTCACAATAGGGTTCATTCTCTTATGAGAATCTAACGCTGCCTCTGAGCTGTCAGGAGGCGGAGCTCAGGCAGTAATGCAAACAATGGGGAGCAGCTGTAAATACAGATGAAGCTTCGCCCACTACTCACCTCCTGCTGTGCAGCCTGCTTCCCAACAGGCCACAGACTGGTACCAGTCCATGACCCTGAGGTTGGGGACCCCTGCTTTAAAAGGACTAGCCAGTCAGAATCACATTGTGCTGATGGCCACCCTCACTCTCATGAGCTCTTTGCCTCATCAAGTTTAGCGTTTCTGATTTTCTCTTGGCCTCTCTAATTAATTGATTTTTATCTCTCTTCTTACATTTTACAGAATTTCTCCTGTATTTACTAATAACTCGTTCTATACCTACTAAATAATCTTGATACTTTTTTTCTCCTCTAAAAGCATAAATTACCTTTCTGATCACTCAGTAAATATATAACTTTTTTTTTAAGTTTTCATTACATTTCCTCTAGAATAGGTATGTCAGCTGGATGTTAGAAATTACACTGATGAACTAACTTGTACCAGCCACATGTAGTTAGTTATCATAAATCCAAATAAGCCTCCAATTATGATATAACTAAACAGAGTGAAACATTTCTAGATGATAATATTTTGGGAGAGTGCAGCTACCTTGAGTAGTTATTGCTTTTCACAGTTGAATTTGCTTTTTCTATGATGACAGAATCTCCTAGAGTTGTATGCAGGTACTTCTGGAGGGAGTGGGGCAAGGTTTGGGTACACAAGGGACCCAAACCTGGATTGGATTTGGATTGCTTTGTAACTAAGATATGGCCTGTAGGGGATCTCTGCAGTTTTTGCTGGCTTGCTCCTTGGGAGCTTACTGGTGAAAATGTTTGTAATCTTTGCCTACTGAATTATCTGCCAATAAAATTCCAAATTTCCCTTTTAATAAAATGGAAATGGAATATTTTTAAGTTAGCAGTGGTAAATATCTCTGACCACATTCTTGCCTCTTGGTTTTATAAATGCAAGAGAAAAGAGATGGTTTCTGGTACATCTGAATTTACTTTTTCATGAAAATTCTGAAGTTAGAAAAAAGACTATATGATTTCCAATAAGTTTTGGAGGGACTGACCCTAGCACCCCAATTTTCTTTTAATCTCTTCTTAAATCAAATCTTTGTAAATAATGCTTTCACATTCTATTAAAAATGTATAGAGAAATATTCACCCAATTATGTGAGGATCGTAAACCAGTCATTACAATATGTGCTAGCATACCCTTGTTTTAGTCTGTGAAGTGTAAGTTTTGCTACCCTAAACCTCTGACTACCCTGCTGTCATCCTGCCTCACTTCCATGAGGAATATTTTGTCTGGGTCTATAGATTTTCCCAGTCCCCGGTGTGTTAATGTGAGAATTGAGTCTCCAGTAAGAGCTGTTACTCTTCCACATCTGCTCCTTTCCTTGTAGGCCCCCAAGTCTTCTGAACTAAGGAGAGAAAAAAACTCTATAAAAAAGAAGAAGGGCTGGGCTCCGTGGCTCATTCCTGTAATCCCAGCACTGGGGGAGGCCGAGGCAGGCAGATATCGGGAGCTCAAGACCAGCCTGGGCAACATGATGAAACCCTGTCTCTACAAAATCATACAAAAATTAGCTGGGCGTAGTGTTGCATGCCTGTAGTCCCAGCTCCTTGGGAGACTAAGGTGGAAGGATGACTAGAGCCCAGGAGGCAGAGGTTGCAGTGAGCCAAAATCACATCATTGCACTCCAGCCTGGGTGACAGAGAGAGACTCTGTCTCAAAAAAAAAAAAAAAGAGAATCAGATTTTGCTACTCATATAAGATTTCCCTGGGTTTTTAATCACAGAAATTTATCACAGGTTTTTCAGAGTCTGACCAAAACTCCAAACAAAATTATGCAACAGACTTGTTCTAATGATAGTTCCTTCAAATGGATCAAAATAAAGGATTCATTGTTTACGAAGCATGGGACAGTTTTACGCTTGAGAGATTCTAGGCTTACTGGAGGCCCTGAGCAATAAATGGAAGTACACATTCATATATGCCATTTAAAAGTTATAAACCAAACTAACAAAATGCCAAATAAAAGGTCTTTTAGTCTCCTTCCTTGACAAAAATATCTTTTTAATGACCAAGGAGGTCACATTTCAATTTAGAATTCTCAGGCTCTCCAGAGTTCTGTGCTTGGGCTTGGCTTACCCCACCTCCTGCTGAAACCTGTCACCCACCTTCTTCTGTTCCCAAACCTTGGCTCCGTCCTGTACCTTGAGTGTCCTTGCGCACGTGTTCAAGCTGTGTCCACTGCCACTTGGAATTTAGGGTGTGCACACTGCTGATACTATCCATCCTCAGGAGAGTAAACCCTAGAAAGACATCTGGGCTAGCTCTGGGATTGGATGCAGGGCCATTGAGGCAGGAAATTCTAGGATTCCATGGATCTGAAGGTTAGTTCAGAAGGGAACATGGGCTCTGAGTGGGCATGGACTCTGGGTGGGCACATCCTCTTGGCCCCCTCTTGGTCTATGGGACAGGGAAGGCTATATGCTATGTGAAGAGGTAAGATAAGAAGAGGGCAGAGCAAGACCCTTGAAAGCAAGAACAGAGTAGGGCCCCAAGCAGAGGTTTGAAGGCCAAACTGATACTATCTTTTCATAGTGTCTTGAACATAATATATTCTTATAAACTGCCTGTATTGATTAACTAACTCACTGATTCCATCTTTGTGAATTTTTATTTTATATATACAGACATATATTCATCTTGTTCTTAGGAAATCATGGCCAATCCTGATATGATCAATGTATACAACTAAAAGATGTAAAGGAATCAAAATTCCTCTTTACACAAACTTTGCCTTTAGGAGATCATCAAACTTATTTTATTCTTTCCTTGTAACATTTAACTACTTCATATGAACGATATTAATGTTGACTTCTCAGTAATGGTCGTGTAAGTTGTTCTAAGTGTTTACCTCACCCATCCTTACAAAAGTATACTTACACATGCTGTCTGCCTCTCCATTGTGAATTGGGAAAATCATAAGCACTCAAGAATAAATAAATACCTGCTCTGCTGTTGTTTCAAGGTACATTGAGTCCCCCAACAGGAAACTGCCCAATTATCCCTTATCACCCTACCATTTAGAGTACCTGATGCTGTGATTTTGATTTTCAGTGTGGGGGCTTCTTTAGTGATAACTAATTACATATGCCACATCTCTCCTAGATCAATTGTACTTCTGTTTCAGGTTTTCTCAAGAATTGCTGCCTATCTCTTTAAGTTGCCCTGCTGGGTCTCCCAACAGGAATTTCACAATACTGCATAGCTTCTATTCTAAATCAAACCACCCCAATTTTGATGAAAATCCATCTAATTTATTTTGTGGAATGTGGTAAGAAGTACAGAGAATCTATTCCATTTTACAGAATATAGAAAACACTTTTTCTTAATTTTCTTTGTGACCTAAAACCCTCTCTTCTATCTATAACTTGTGCAGTACAGTCATTTCCACACAATAATTAAGAACTTCATACATGTGTGTTTGTTTCAGAATATTAAACTATTAGAAAAGGACACCTCAGGGCAGGTGTAGTGGCTTATGCCTGTAATCCCAGCACTTTGGGAGGCCAAGGCGGGTGGATCACCTGAGGTCAGGAGTTCACGACCAGCCTGGCCAACATGGCAAAATTCTGTCTCTACTAAAATAATAATAATAATAGTAATTAGCCAGGCGTGGTGGCAGGTGCCTATAATCCCAGCTATTCAGGAGGCTGAGGCAGAAGAATCGCTTAAACCTGGGGGATGGAGGTTGCAGTGAGCCGAGATCATGCCACTTCACTCCAGCCTGGGCGACAGAGTGAGACGCCGTCTCAAAAGACAAGAAAAGAAAAAGAAAAGGACACCTCTGTTTATTGTACCCTGTGGGGTGCCATGAGGGTATTTAATAAACGGTGTTTATTGCTAGAATCTTCCCCTCTAACCCAATATTCTCTGAGACTTTGTGGGGAAGAAAAATTTCCATTAACTCTCTTATTAGAAGAGGAGCCTTATTCTTCCAGACATGAAACTGTAGAGGACTAAAATGTTCTATCTGAAGCTACAGAACTGAGAGTATTCTTTATTATTCCTAAAACTAATTTTATTATTTCAAAAATCCACACTGGGTTTGATTTAGAATATTATCTTCTGTGGTACACGATAGGGTGCTGTAACAAGGCACACACAGATAGTGTTTAATCAAGACTCTTACATAATAGTCCCAGTGGTCATCCCAGTCTGGGCTGTTATGGCGACTCCTTTATGTCAGAGGACTAGGCTTCGCCAGCTTCATCAAATTCTCCTATCCTAGACCCAAAGTAGCTGCTCTAGCTCCCACCATCATGTCCCCATGCCTTCAAGAGCAGAGGAGGGAAGGGAAATGTGGTCAGTCCTTAACTTAGAAGATAGGAAGTTTACCAGTAAAACAAATGGTGAGAATGAATAGATATTGGGGGCACATGTAATTATCTGTGACATGTTGCAGCTTAATTTTACGGCATTCTAAATAGCATTTGGAATTAAATGTGAGGCCCGGAAAGAACATGTGCTTTGAATGGAGCAAGGAGAATTGGCATTATTCTACTTGAAGATGTAATCTGTGCAGAATACTTTGAGATCTTATTCTGTAACAATAGATAACTTTAAATAGGTTCCAGGCACTTTCCTGAGTGCTTTACATGAATTATCTCGTTTAATACTCAACCCTATGAGCTAGGTATTTTGATTCCCCCATTTCATAGATGAGGAAACTAAGGTGTAAAAGGCTCAGTAGGCTGCCTGCAGGCACAGAACTAGTAAGTGGTAGAGCTGGTACTTGAATCCAGGCATTCTGAGTCCAGAGTTGCCCCTCAAACCACTTCTGGTCCAGGCTCCACTTGGAATATTAGTCTGCCTGTTGAGATTGGATAGGAGGAAAGATTCCCCAAAACCTTGAGTTTAAATAAAAGTTTTTAAAAATATATATTCACAATAGCAAAGACTTGGAACCAACCCAAATGCCCATCAATGATAGACTGGATTAAGAAAATATGGCACATATACACCATGGAATACTTGCAGCCATATAAAAGGATGAGTTCATGTCCTTTGTAGGGACATGGATGAAGCTGGAAACCATCATTCTAAGCAAACTATCGCAAGGATAGAAAACCAAACACCGCATGTTCTCACTCATAGGTGGGAATTGAACAATGGGAACACTTGGACACAGGGTGGGGAACGTCACACACCGGGGTTTGTCGTGGGGTGGAAGGATGGGGGAGGGATAGCATTAGGAGGAATACCTAATGTAAATGATGAGTTAATGGGTGCAGCACACCAACATGGCACATGTATACATATGTAACAAACCTGCATGTTGTGTACATGTACCCTAGAACTTAAAGTATAATATATATGTATATGAAACAATGCAATAAAGCATTTGCTTCTTTCTAGGCTTCAACCTGAAGTATTACTTTATTATTATAGTCAGGGTGGTAGACAGTAAGGAGATATTCTAGGTTTATGCTTAGTAAATGAAATCCAGCTTCATCTGAGGTATTAACTTAGACCAAAGAAGAGTAAAGAAAACGAATGTGAAGTAAATGTGCTATTTTTACTACTACTGAGCAAATAAAATCTGAGCCTTTATCTTCCTGTTGTCAAGAGTTGTTAATAAATGATTTCAGTATACTCGTGTAATACTTCAGATTACTTTTTTTTAAAATTGAGATAGGGTCTCTCTGTGTTGCCCAGACTGGTCTTGAACTCCCAGACTCAAGCAATCCTCCCACGTCGGCCTTCCAAAGTGCTGGGATTACAGGCATAAGCCACCATGCCTGGCCTTCGGACCACTTCTTATTTAAGGCAACCTGAAAAACAAGTCCATTCCAGTATTTGGGGCTTAATCTCATCCTCAGACAATTTAGGTGATTATTTATCCCCACATGCTTAAAGTATCTCAATCATCACAATTATTAAATAACATGATAAAATAATAAAATCCACTCCCTAAATGTGTTTATTTACTAGGGCTGCTGTAACAAAATGCCATAGACTGGATGGCTTAAAGAGCAGATATTTATTTTCTTAACATTCGAGAGGTCAAAAGCTCATGATCGATGTGTCAGCAGGTTTGGTTTCTTCTGAGGCTCTCTCCTTGGCTTGCTGTTGGCCACCATTTTGTTGCGTCTTCCTAGGGTGGTCCCTCTTGTGCCGGTGGCCCCTGGTGTCTCTGTGAGGCCTGATCTCCAGCTCTTATAAGAACACCAGTCAAATTGGATTAGGGTCAACTTTAATGATCTCGTTCTAACTTAATCACTGCTTTAAAAGGCCTTTTCTACAACTACAGTCACATTCTGAGGTACAGTGGTTAGGGCTTCAACATGTGTTTTAGAGGGACATAATTTAGCTCCTAACACTAGAAATACTTTGGAAACATTGAAGCTGTGAAATCAAACAATTTACACGAGTGAGAAGTTCAGCATTTGGATGTTTCCCGCTCTCTTATCTGGCTTTAGCCAAAATAAGAGGTAGTACAGATGGTATGTTTCAGTGTATACAAATCTCTTTACTTAAATATTTTTGGGCAGCCTTATTAAGTTTAATATGAAGATTATTTAAAACATACGAAAAGCCATGTTGAACTTGCTATTGTTTATACTTTCAATAGCTCAGCGAATGGAAAAAACAAAGTTATGTTAGCTAACATTTTGCTGAAAATGTAAGTGTAACTGAGTGATTTAAGTAGATCTGACAGGCAAGGCTTTATAGTCAATCATAGCAATACCAGGTTTTTAATGAAAGAATAGCTATTAGCCATGGAAGAGCTGAAAATAAAAATAAAGGTCAATGTTCGAACAGATGAATCCTTTTCTGAAGTAGTATCTGTAAATAACTTAAAGTACATTGTAACAAAATAAAACATTTTATATCTTTTGGGTTAGGGAAATGCAATAAAAGTGGATAAGTACATCACTAGGAAAGATTTGAAATATTCTCTTGAAGGAAAATATCATCAAAAGAATGATTCCATCTATCTCACAAAAATACTCAGAATGATACTGTTTTTAGTTTCTTGACCACTGTATTCTTTCATTAGAAATATCTTTGGAAAATGGGAAAATGGAAGGAAAATAGTGGAGTTTATGACTGATAGGATTAACCTGGAGAATAAGTGAGAGAAAATGAGGAAAACAATGAAAGCCAAAGAACCTTGTGCCATTTTCTAAAAATAATCCTCCAACCTATGAAATTTTTACAAGTTGTACTTATCTGGCTTAGGATAAAATATATTCAAAAACCTTGGCACAACACAAAAGGAACATTTGTGTTTATTTGCTTAAATACTAAAGAAAATGATGGCACTATTAGGGAAGACTAATAAAAAATTCCAACTATATGGTTACCACACATTGGAAGCATCTGACATCAACAAAGGAGAGCTGCTGCATATTTTCTTTTAAATAATAATTGTTGGAGATAGATGACAATATTACTATATTATATTGCATGTAATACAAACTACACACAATTGTATATGGGTAAAATTGTATAAGGAAGACCAGGACCTTGAGATTATTAAGGATAGCATTAATAACACTACAACATCAGTTCAAATGATATGTCACTGTGCACCCTGAGGGCCTTAGATAAAAGACCCTCCAGTGTTTACTTCTCTGGCTTCACACCTCACTATCTTCAATCACCATTAAATTAACTCTGGTGATTCAGGAAATGTAGTTAACTCGAGGGACCATACTCTTTCTCTTCAGGACCTTTACCTATGCTGCTCTCCTGGCTTGAAATACAACTATACAATTCCCTTCCACCCTGCCTCCATCCGTCCTCTACCTCTACACAGAGTTAAAATTTCCTGTGAAAATCTCTTAAATAGCAATCTACAGTCTCTCAATAAGTCCAATACTGTCTGCTTTTACACAGTTTGACTACATTGGTGCTGTTTTGTTTAAATCCAGATAAAGCCATTGGCTTGCTTTTAGGCAGCCTTTTTTTAGAAATCTTCATAAACACAAGAATTATCTTGAGGAACTGAAACAAAGAAGAAGATTTGCATTTCTCAGCTCATGATCTCTCCAGTTTACATGCTCATTAAGTGGCATTGCAAGCTGCGACTCACACTCACTGCTTGAATTATTCTCTCCCCTTCTCTTCTTCTCTTCATATCATTGAATTTACATAACATAAATACATAAAGTTAAATACATATAAAATAAACCCACTGCACAGCACTTATACCACATCACAATGAGACTTTTACTTGTCTATGTCTCCTTCTAGACTATGAAATGGTTGATGGGTTTCTTTCCTTTTCACACTTACATATACAGTATTGGGGCACAAAGCACTAAGGAAATAGTTTGTTGAATGACTAAAGGACAAAATGAACAAGTATAATATACTAACCACAACAATTTTTTTTAAACTGAATTTTCAAGTTCTCACTGCGGTTCCACAAAAAGAAAGAAAAAAACAACTGAATTTTGGCCAGGCACAGTGGCTCATGCCTGTAATCCCAGCACTTTGGGAAGCTGAGATGGGAGGATCACTTGAGGCCAGGGGTTGAAGACCAGCCTGGGCAACATAGCAAGACCCCATCTCTAAAAAAAAAAAAAAAAAAAAAAACTAAAACAATTAGTCAGGTGTGGTGGCATGTGCCTGTAGTCCTGGCTGTTCAGAAGGCTGAGAGGAGAGGATCGCTTGAGCCCAGGAGTTTAAGGTAACAGTAAGCTGTGATCACACCACTGCACTCCAGCCTAGTGATGGCATAATCATAGCTTACTGTGATCTTGTTACTGAGACCTAGCAAGACCCTGTCTCTTAAAAAAAAAATTAATTTTTACAAAATAACTGAATTTGTCACCTCAAAAATAAAAAAAATATATTATTTCAGAATAACCAAAAAGGTTATACTTACTTGATACTTTGTTTTTGTGAGTTAACAAACCATTATTGCATTTATTTTGGACCTAAATTGCTTAATCAGGTGATACTCTTTTATTGATTTTTCCAATTAATTGATGGAGTTGGATAGTGTATCCAGTTCCATCAGAGACTGCTTTGGCCTCAGAGACTGCTTTGATTGGAAGATGATTTATCTGATGTTATCTATCTTTATACATCTCTCCAGCCGATAATGTTAAGTCTAACAATGTGTTTTTCCCTGTTCATCTAATTATTCCAATCTACATAGAAACAAGCTCTACTACCACACATCTTAAAGAAAAGGACAACCTCCCCTAATACTGTGTGACTTTCCAAATACTACCTCTCAATCACAACAAACCTTTACAAAATAGTCATAGGAGCTGTCTCTATTTACTCACCTCTCATTCCCTCTTCTGACTGGCCACTCCTTTCAGGCACCTAATCTTACTGCTTCACTGAATCTACTCCTCTCAGTCAGTTATCTCCATGAAGCCAAGCACTGTGGTCACGTCTATATTTTTTTCTTACTAAACCTCTTAAGTAGTAATCAACATTATTTTTTTAGTTCTTGACACACTTACTTCTTCTGATTTCTGTACCATTGCACTTACTGCTTTTCCCCCACCTTAAAAGGTCCTCCTATTCAGCCTCCTTGACAGTCCTGATTTTCTTCTGTACCTCTAACTGTGGGAATATTCCAAGCTCCATTCTCTTTACTCTTTATGTGTATTTCCTCCCCAAGTTCTTATATTTACCAGCATAGATTTTAATTGTATCTGCATGTCAATATATTCTATCTCTCTATCTTTCTAGCCTTGACCTGTTTCTCATGGTCCTAACTTAAAAATACATGTTTACTGTATTCCCTATTCTATCTTATTACTGTTGTATCTGAAACACCTAGAACAATGCCTGTATCATAGGTTCTTGGTGATTAATGAGTATTTATAGAATGAATTAATAAGTCAGTGGATGTTTCTAAATATAACACATATCTCTAAATAAGCAAAGAGAGAAAGAGTTCACCTGTAAATATGACATCTTTTGGAATACTCTTTGAGAGAAAGTTTGCCCTTCCGGAACACGGGTGAAATATTGCCCCCAGACATTTTGGATTTTAGTAATTTTTCATGTGACTAGAGAATATTAAAATGCACTACTTTTCTAATCTTTTTTATTCTTAATAGAATACTTCAGATGGTGTTCACAAATCAAAGGTTTCATGTCATAATTTGTAGTAGACTTTATGTCTTTATAAGGTTAATGATTCTTCAATGGATACAAATAATTAATAACGATGGCATTCCTAAAAGCATAAAAGCATTTTCTAATATTGTATATATTTTAATGGACTATATTGACATTAAACATATTACATAGATGTAACACATATTTGTTATAATTACAGTATATGTACATAGATGCAGATAATTATACATTTGTGCTTGTATAGAATATATGTGCTTTTTAACAAACTTTTACAAACTAACTTGTAAAGCCATATGTGAATGTATACATAAAAATACCTGTGTAGATAACCATTGTTCTATTTGCAAAATAAATAAGACCAGACTTTACATTTTCCTAAAATGTTGTATAATGGAATGATTGCAAGACTAAGATTTAGAAAGACAGGTTTCTAATTCAGCTTTTGCTGCTAACTAATGTGATGTTAAGCAAGTCATTATATCCACTAGAATGTAACCTCCATTGGGGCAGGGATTTTGTCTGTTGTGCTCATTGCTGTATTACCAGCATCTGGAAAAGACTGGACCCAGAGTAAGGGCCGAACGAATTTGTTGCATGAATTCTGTTTCTCCAGATTTACAGTTTCCACATCTATAAAACAATGTTTCTTCTAATCCTCACATTCCAAATTAATATTGGGACCCTTATGAATTTAAACAAGGCAAATTTAAAACTAGAACTGTTTATTGAGCTTCTGCCTGGACCTTTATATTGCTTAATCAATTGAAGCTCTTTTCATGAATATTTATTTATATGAATAAGACAACAGTTAGATGTCAGTTCATCTGCCATCTTCATTCAGCAGGACTAAAACAAAAACTTTAATATTAAAAATATTCAAATTCACAAAATCAAGTAAATATAAAAGAAAATTCAATAACTAGCCCCTCAAATGATATTTTTCAAGCATTTGTGTCCTTTACACCGTGGAAGCTATTAAAGTTTAAAACTGCTGTAAGAATTTTGAGACACCCTGTAGATATACCTTTCTTTAAGAAAACTTGATATCCCAACTAAAATATACAAATGAATAAAGATTATTCACTTTTAAAGTTTTTCTTTTCAGTTTTCATTTTCATTTGTCACCAAATATGTAATGAACAACAATCATGTGAAACCTGTGTTAGATAATGCAAGATAAGTCAGTTATTGACAGTCTGCACTTCACCGTCATCTGGACTGCCAGCAACACACAGAGCCTGAGATCACTGGTGACAGAGCCTCTGGGTTGGAGTCAACATCGACATTACAAAGACTGGAGAGGAAGCCTGGGGACCTGTGCACTACTTGCAAGACTGCAGCCCTCCCCTTCCCCTCTGCCACAGCCACCATTACTCACAGCCTCCCGTCAGCAGGACTGATCCCCGCAGTGTACTGCTTCCCTCTTTCCTCATAGCTTGTGTCGTCACTTCCCCCTGCCCTGCTTAATCAGACCCTGGCTCCTTTTCAAACAAAATAATTCCCGCTCTACCTCATCACTCTCTACCCCTCTCATCCTGCCTAATTTTTTCCCTATCAGCGATATTGTATCTTCGTTTCACTGTCTTTCTTTTTTTTTTTTTTTTTTTTGAGATGGAGTCTTGATCAGTTGCCCAGGCTGGAGTGCAATGGCCCAATCTCTGCTCACTGCAAGCTCCGCCTTCCAGCTTCACGCCATTCTCCTGCCTGAGCCTCCCGAGTAGCTGGGACTACAGGCGCCCGCCACCACACCTGGCTAATTTTTTTGTATTTTTAGTAGAGACAGGGTTTCACCATGTTAGCCAGGATGGTCTCGATCTCCTGACCTCGTGATCCACCCGCCTCGGCCTCCCAAGGTGCTGGGATTACAGGTGTGAGCCACTGCGCTCGGCCTATTCACTGTCTTTCTTGTATACACACGCAAACTAGAATCTACGCTCCTTTAAAGCAGGAAATTTCTCATCCATCCATATATCTCCAGCACCTCGAGCAGTGTATGACACATAATAGATGCTCCATAAATATTTGTAGGATAGATGAATGAACAAAAAACAGAATGAACTAACACTCTAACCTGAACCCGCCATATTGTTGATCCTCTTAACTGTTTCTCCTCCAGTTTTCAGCAGCACCTCACCGTTTAGATTTAATGTTCCTGCAATTTCTCTAGCCATGATCCTCGTGATTTTCAATAACTGGTGTTCTATGCAGATTTTATTATCTCATGCTGTCTTGGATAAACACTTGTAATTCATCTTGGCTCAATACTTTGGTAATATACCCCTGGGGCTTACCCCTGTCCTTTAAGTGAGATCTGGCCAGTATGTGGCCATGAGTGGCCACTGCTCTACCATAGTGACTTCACAAATGAATTACCTCTAGAAAGGAATCAACATATAAATGAATAAATACCAAAACTAAACTAAACAGCATTTACAATGGCCATAGATGAAGTCCCTGCCTTCGGTAAGTGTGCACGTTCCACAATGACAAGTCAAGTGGACAAGACAGAGTCCAAAAAGGGGATAGGAAGAGAATTCTTGAGCCATAGGTAGGTAAGTGGGAACATCCATGTGACTCTTGGTAGGAGTATAAATCACTACAATGTTTCTAAAGGGGAATTTAGAAATAGCTATTTAAATTAAACAGATTCCTACCCTTTCAGTAGCATTTCAACTTCTAGTAATTCATTCTGTAGAAGCTCTCCTATAACAACTGGAAATATCCAATAGCCCATCAATAAAGAGATGGTTTAATGATGAACCACATAGTCATAAAGTGGAATAGTGCAATCTTTAAAAAGAATAAATATATACCTGTTTGTGTTACATTATATTAAATGGAATGTGAAAATTGCACATTAGTATATGTGGTGTGATTTCACTATCAACAGTTTATACCCCTGTTCTAGATACGAGGAATAACAGTGAACAATACTCACAATGACCCTGCTCACATAGAAATTAAATTCTAATTGGAAAACAGACCACAAACAGATAAAGGTTTAATGGCAGATGAAGCAGTGCTGTGAAGAAAAATAAAGCACAGCAAAGGGATACTATACAAAGCCTCCCTGAGGAGACAGCCTGTCTTGAAGCAGAAATCTGAATAAGGAGCAAGGCAAGAAAGTCAGAAGAGACAAACAGAAGTAAAAAAGGCCCAGAAGCAGCATGCTTGCAGGCTTGAGGAAATGCAGGGAAGACAGTGTGACTGGAGAGCATTGATCATATGGAATGAGGGGCAGAAGATGAGATGTGAGGTGTCCAAGGACCAGATGATATGGCATTTCCTGGGCCACGATAACAATTTTGGATTTTCATTTTACTTTGGTGATTAATCATTATAAGATCTTGAGCAGGGGAATGATATATTCAGATTTACATTTTTAAAGACTCACCATGGCTGTTATGTCAAGAATATTCTGAGGAGGAAAGGAATAGAAGCAGTGACACTAGCTGTACGGGTATGGCACTGCTCTTTTGAGTGATGATAGTGTCTGGACATAGGGTTGGAGCTGTGGAGAGGAAGAAGAATGACCAGACTTGTGATGCATTTTGAAGGCAAAGCCAAGAGGATTCGCTGATGGATTGGGTGTGGGGTGTGTTAGAGGAATCAAAGATGATTACAAGGATTTAGGCCTTATCACCCAAGTGAATTGTAGTACCATTTACTGTGGGAGGAGGATTTAGTAGTGGGAGGTGGTAGTGTGGTGGAGGTGGGGAAGAGTTCTGTCTTGGATATGTTAATGTTGAAGTGCCTATCAGATCTGTAAATGGAGCTACTAGGCAATTGGATTAATGACTTCAGCATTTATGGGAAAGGTTAAGACCTTGATGTATATTTGGGAGGCACAAGGGCATAGGTGGCTTTGTTAGCTATGTTAAAGCTATGTTAGAGATCACCTAGGAAGTAAGTGTAGAAGAAAGCAAAAGGTCTGAGGCCTGAGGTCTAGGGATTGTCTATTTCTAAAAATCTCAAAGAGGAAAAATCCAGCAGAAGAGACTGGGAAGTAACAACCAATGTCAAAGAAGGAAAAACGGAGAATGTGGATCACAGTAGCCAAGTGAAGAAGCTTGTATAGGTATAAAGAAAAAATAGTTCCCAAATTACTAACCATTGTCTTCCTTGAGTGGTGAAATTATAGGGGGCATTCAATGTTGGCAATTTCTGTAACATTTAAATATTTTGTAATATACATATATTGTCTTTGTAAGCAAAAATAGCAATAAAAAGGTTAAGAACAATAAAAAATAAAAATTTTAATGAACATACTAAATGTGTAGGAAGGATCAGCATTAAGTTCATATAGCATAACCTATTATATCTTTGATTAGACAATTTACAAAAGGAATCCAGTGACCAAAAATGAGAGGGAAAAAATGCAGTGTTTCAAATGGCTTATCTAAGAGTGTATTTAGGTACCTGCTTTGTAAAGGTTTTATGTGGATTGAAAAGTTAATGTGTTTATATAGTAGTTATGTATGTAATTATGTATATAGAGCATTTTTCATATATTATTAATGGGTATTATATGATACTATACAGAAACTAAAGCGAAAACCAGAAATTTATATAGGACGTATAGATGGAATAAAGTCTAACAGTTTTCCTAACCTATTGATACTGCTTATACATGTAAGCAAGTAAATATTTTAGAATTTATTTCCATGCTATGAATAGAATGCTGGTTAGTGCATTTCAAAGTGGCTCAAGAAAATTCCTCTGAGCTTATCAAGAACTGAAATGCAAATGTATGTAATTCCCAGTACAAATGGAGGTGTACACCCCAAACTGCCAGTCAGAACTCATGCAGCTGAGTCAAAAGGCCATGAGGTAGCTGTGTAGTCTTTGAATTAAGATAAAACCTGTTACACCTAACTCCATAATCTATATGGAGTAGAAATAAGTATAAATATTATATAGTGTATGTTAAAGTGCTGCAAAAATCATCAATTAAAATACTAGTTTCTCTTCATGAGGATTGCTGATACGTGACAGTAAAACTGTGGTATTTTTCAAACTGGGTTCCAAATGCACCTTCTCCTTAAAAGAACACGACCTGTCCTTTGGGACTATTCATACACATTTAGTGAATTCCGTATTAGGAGAAACCTATTAGATTGTTCACCATTATCTTTCCACAGAACAGTTGGGTGCCAAATTCAGATTTTCATTGAAGTTGTCACCATCAATAATACAATGATTTCATTTTGGCTGATTGAGATTTAGGCAGTCACTGAAACTGTGGCCATGGCATAGCATCCAGTGGTACTCCCCTTAGCCAAGCATACTTTGGCAAGGAGCCTGAATCAAGCAAAGTACTCCCTTAGGTTACTATTTTTCTGATTAAATTTGTAATTATGTGTAAAATTAACTATTGTATTTGCAGGATCAATTGATATTCAGGAGTAAACTGTCTAAATAAAACTTAGAGTTTCTTTTACTCTCTCCTGTCAGAGTCGGGCCACAAAAAGTTAAAAAGTACCATCCAGAGAAGCACAGAAACAGGCATGGCAGCTGAAATGAGAAAGATGGTAAGGCAGCCGAGCCGAGAGTCTACTGATGGCAGCATCAACAGTTACAGCTCTGAGGGCAAGTAAGTGCTGTCAGCACGTCTGCATGGCTGTGGAACCAGGAATTGTGTACTAATCAGTAAGATAACAAAGCCACTGAGTGTTACTGTGCAGCTTCTCTATTTAATCAGAAGTTCAACCATCCATTTTAAACCACCCTGATGGCTTATAAGTAAGTACACATGGACACACCTCTACACCTGGTCATTCATACCTTTCAAAGGGTGAAGAAATTCTGAGTCCACATGAACAAATTGATTTCTTGCATCTAGGAAAGCCCAGACTAGTTCCTTACTGGATGTTTAGTGTACAAATGCCACAGGTAATGGACTCTTTCATATGGGAAACTCATAGTCTGTCCCTGTCACCAAAGTCCAAGTTAAAATTTATAAGTAAGGAACTGATTTCCCATTTTCTTAATTTTCTCCAAGCTATTTTGGACCCTAAGCTTTTCTAAGTCTAACACTGTCATATATGTAAGTTACATTTTCTTGTTTTTAAAACATTGCTGACTCATTTTTACCTTAGGAAATAATCCAGGGTCTATCAGCTTCATTATTTTTCTGACTAAAATGTTTTAGTTAATTCTGAAAAAATAGAATACGATTTTTAAAAATTTACTCTTTTCGATTCTTTTTCTTTTTTTTTTTTTTTTACCATTTCATATGGATCCTGCACAAAACCTGCTTCTTCCTATGCTTGAGAATATTTCTGGTAAAATTGAATTTTTATTGAGGTAGTGGATCTTACAAATAAGTAATTAATGTGTTGTTTTGGATTACATGGAGATTCACCACATATAAATTTTCCATAATTATTTGTTCATTACCATTCACATTACTCATATACCAATTTGATATTTCTAATTTCTTGTCTTTACTGGAATTTTTCTATATTGTTTAGAAAATTTAACAGAATTATGCCAAGTTACTGTTTGTGATATTCCTTCCCATTCCTGAAACTAGTTGGTCTCTGTTTAGTTGGTCAAATGATTGGCTTGTTATGCATGTTTCCAGTAAGGAATATAAGAACAAAAATCAGCAGGTATGAAAGTTACAGAGATAAACTTACTGACAAAATACCCATATTTGATGAAGTAGCATAAAGTAATATACAAATGAGACTTGAACACATCATTTTCTGATATAAAAAAGTAACAAATAAAATTTGCCTCCATCATAAACCATTTAATCTCTTGGATTTATTTTCATGGTCTCTGGATGGGATTATAATCTGTGTCCCATTTAATTTCCTTGGTTAAAAGAAATAATAGATGTGAAAGCACAATGGAAAGAGTAAGTCTCTATAGAAATATGCTCATTCAAAAAATGCTTATTGAATGCCTATCACATAATGAGCATAGTTGTCATTACCCAGTGATAACTACATCAGTCAACAAGAAGAGAACAGGCACTGCCCTTGTGCAGCTTACATCCTGGGGCTATCAGGAAGTTGTATTATAGGAAGAAATACAGATTTTTTAACCAATTAATTTCCATTGGAACCAAATAAAAGTCTCAAATAATTCATCTTTGAATCAATTAAATGTTTATAAATAAGAACTTGAACTATGTTATAACATTTATTCAAGAAATTATTGGCCACTTTAAAAATTTAGCATGAATGTTACCTAATGTTCATGAGCAAGTATCTGTGTGAAGTTTATGATATAAAAATTCGCATCTTATGTTTTTTTGTCAGCAACACATTTATATAAGGATTTGGAACTTGGTATATTAAAAACTATAACTGAGCCCTCTTGAATAGAGCATTAGGTGTTAAATTGAGAGTTTACACCTTTCCTCAGTCAATGTTAAGCCTCATATGCTTGGCTCAAAGGCAATGCAAAGAATCAATTAAAAAAACAGATTGTCTAAGTAATATTTATGTTTCATGATCATAATTAGTCAAGTGGAAACTAGTGAAAAGAATTCTAGAAGATTTCATGGGTTTTTTCCTTTGGTTTTTATCCTTTTGCTGATAGTTTAATATTTCCTGGAGTGCGACTGGGAGCTGACAGTCAATTCAGTGATTTTCTTGATGGATTGGGACCAGCCCAGCTTGTTGGCCGCCAAACCCTTGCCACCCCTGCAATGGGTAAGAATCATTTTTTTTTTCTACAAGAAAATTGATGTTTTGTGTTTGACAAAGTCATTTAAAATATTTAAAATTGTGTAATAGCAATACAAGTGAGAAGCAACATTTTAGCTACAGAGTTACTGTTTGCAAACAACTATTCTAATTTCAAGTGCATTTTTCTAATTTGAGATGTTATGAAAAAAGAAGTAAAATTAGCTATAAATATTTGAATTACCAGAAACCCTGATATAATAGATGTAAATGTAGGACATGGGTGGCATTTCACAGCATGGAAAAAAAAAAAAAAAGACTGTTCAGTAAAGTATAGTAACATAACTATTTACCTGTGTGAAAAAATTAATGGAATTCCCTCACGCCTACACAACTTACCAAAAAAGTTAGTATTTTAGACTCAACTATAAAAAAGAAAAGGGAAGGTGGAGAAAAACACTAAAAAGTACTGGAGAACACTTAAGTTAATCTGTCTGTAATCTTGCAGTGGGAAAGAACTTCAGCAAAATGCATGAAAATAGATCAGCTTGAAGACACAACATAGTGGAATTTCACAATACTGAGGCTTGATAGAAAATCATGCAAGCTTCCTAAGAGGAAAAATAATTTTACAAAAAAACTATCAAAAATCAGATTCTTGCCGGGCGCTGTGGCTCACGCCTGTAATCCCAGCACTTTGGGAGGCCGAGACAGGCGGATCACGAGGTCAGGAGACCGAGACCATCCTGGCTAACACGGTGAAACCCCCGTCTCTACTAAAAATACAAAAAAAATTAGCCGGGCATAGTGGTGGGCACCTGTAGTCCCAGCTACTCGGGAGGCTGAGGCAGGAGAATGGCGTGAACCCGGGAAGTGGAGCTTGCAGTGAGCCCAGATCAGGGCACTGCACTCCAGCCTGGGCGACAGAGCGAGACTCCGTCTCCAAGAAAAAAAAAAAAATCAGATTCTCATTGAGCTCTTCGTATTTTCATTGGATTCTTCAATATACTGGAAGCCAGAAGACTGTTAGCATTACCTTCAGAATTCGGAGGAACAAGAGATTTCCAACCTAGAATACAAAAGCCAGCCAAACTATCAAGTAATTTTGAGGCTACAGTAGGTACATACTCGGCCCCAAGCAAGGCCTCAAATCATTTTCCTCATTTCTAACATTTCTCAGAAAGCTACTTGAAGATTTACTTTGACCAAACGAACTAAACGACTTTTCAAAATTATGAACTAAAAAAAAAAAAAAAAAAGATGGAACCAAAAAACAAATGCTTCCTCACAAGGTAAATATGATTGGGATACCCAGGATGATAGCAAAGGAAGAACTAAAGATAGCTGCAGCTAGGTTTCAAAGCAGCGTTCAAATTGGGTCATGTCAGACTTCATGAGATAAAATCTATAGAATACCTAATGGGTTTGATTTTTATGGAAGAGATAAACAACCAGGAGAAACTAAGATTTGAACTAGTGAGGTCTTCATAAAAATGTAAGCAAATGCTTTTTTAAAAGATACTAATTAAGTGTAGGGAAAAAGAAGGTCTGTCTAAGAAATAAGAAGTAGTTATAATATTCTAGTTCACAAAGTTATGCATAAGGTTACATAGTCAAAATAATATAAATATTAATATTGGGAGAATGGGATGACAGAAATTGTCAAGTATGTAGTAGGGGTAGGAAGGCAGTGAAAGAGATCAAAATTGAAGTCAATAATAATATCTAAAACTGCAAAAAGGAAAATATAAGTATAGTGCTTAGAAATAAGGAGGCAAATTCCAGAAAGTAAATCAGATAAAAATATTGAAAATTTTGGAAGCAATAATTTTTGGAAGACAAGAAGTTGAGAGACAGGTAGAAGTTAGTTATGCATAAACATAACAGGTTTTATAGAACAATTGGGGATATGTGTGTGATTTAAAAAGAAATCTTTAAGAAACATTAAAAGGACAAAAAGAGAACAAAAGACTTCTAGGAACTGAGGTCTAAAACAGAATTATAAAACTAATGAATGTCTAGAACAACAAAGTTGATCAACTGACCAGACAAATAAAGAGAATCCATGCCTGAGAAAATGGAAATGATTCAACTAAGTAAAAATAACTTAGAAATTTTCAGAGATAAAGTATCATATAATCCACAGAGAAAAACACCAAGAGATTATTAAACAAAAAGGAAGTATATATTTTTAAGAAAGAAAGTTAGAGAATGGGAAATATAGTGACTTAAAATTTAAAACTCTGGATGAGCTAAATAGTATACTGAACAAAGCTTAAGATATAATTAGCTACAAGAACTATAGAATACCACCAATAACATGGCTTATATAAATTTAAAAAAATCTTTTGTAAGAGAGGAGAATTCAGGATGTAGGAAGAATAAACCAAAAAGCTCAAACTTACTCTAATAGGAGCCTAAAAAGAGAATAGAGAGACAGTTTTTGGAGAAAAATAATGATGCCTGAACTGTTTTAAGAAAAACATAAAACCTGAGAGATTGAAAGAGCACACTGAGTGGTGAACTGAACAATCTGTACAAAACAAACAAACAAGGAAAAGCTTCTTCATGCAATTTCAGGACATCATCTCAAGTCATGAAGAAGAAAAAGAAGATTACCTAAAATAAAAAACATGATGGAGAATTTCATCAGAAAACTCAAATCTTTAAGAGCCCAGTAGAAATTATAGAATTGAAAAATAAACTAAACTTAAGAATTCAATGGATGAGTTACCAGCAGTTTAGACAGAGTTGAGGAGAGAATTGGTTAATGGTTAATTGGAGGACAGAGCCATAAGAAAGTATCCAGAATTAATTGGACACATAAAATAATGGAAAATATGAATAAGAAGTTATAAGACCGAGCAGAAAAGTGAGGTCTAATATATGTCTAATTAGTCCCAGAATAGGGAAAGGAGTATAGGCCAGAAGCCATTGAAAATATAATGGTTGAGTGAGAATTATTCACATGTTTCTAGCATAAAAGAAAAAACAAATATTTAAGGTAATGATATCCCAATTACACTGATTTGATCATAACAAAGTATATGAATGTATTAAATTATCACACATACCTCAAAAATATGTACATATATTATGTACATATTATGTATCAATAAATAAAAAGTAAAATGGAAAATAGACAATAAAATGTAACAATAAAAATTATATATATAATTGAAAAATTTTCAGAACTGAAAATAAATATAGTCATACTTTCCAGAGACCCTCATGAACCCCAAGAAAAGCAAATTCAGCAATGCTAAAAATAATATTATCACAACCAAATGGGATTTTTTTTTCATGAACACATGGTTGGTTTAATATTTGAAAACTAATATAATTGATCACATTGCTGTAATAAAAAAGAAAAAATGACCATCTTAAGTATCCAAAAAAATGTTTGATAAAATTCAGTTTTAATTTATGATAGAAAATTATCAGACTGAAAATAGAGTGGAGTTTACTTATCTGTTAACGTTTCTACAAAACACACGTGTGTATGTGTGTGTGTATTTGTGTATTTGCACATCAGATTGTCCAAATTGTTTAAATCTTTTAATATAAGTAGCAAAGACATTCAGAAATATGCATTCTGATACACTACTATTAGAAGCATAATTTGGTGCAGTCACCAATTGGAATAATATGGCAGCATCTAGTAAAAATAAAAATGTAGATGTGCTGTGACCCAGCAATACAACTTCTAATTTACATATCCTCAAGAAACTCTTTGCAGCATTTTTTTGTAGCAGCACCAAATAGGAAAACCAAGACCCCTAATTGGAGAGTAGATAAATAAATATGACATTCATGTAATGGAATATTATAGAGAAATTAAAGGGAATGTCCTAGATCTCAACACATCAACTTGGATGGATATCTAAGAAAATATTACTAAGTGAAGAAGGAAAATTGCTGAATGATACCACTTATACAAATGCTTAGGCTGGACACGGTGGCTCACACCTGTAATCCCAGCACTTTGGGAGGCCAAGGCAGGCAGATCACCGGAGGTCAGGAGTTTGAGACCAGCCTGACCAACATGGCAAAACCCTGTCTCCACTAAAAATACAAAATATAGCCAGGCATGGTGGCACATGCCTGTAGTCCCAGCTACTCAGGAGACTGAGGCAGGAGAATCGCTTCAGCCCAGGAGATGGAGGTTACAGTGAGCCAAGATCACACCACTGCACTCCAACCTGGACGACAGAGCAAGCCTCTGTCTCAAATAAATAAATAAATAAATAAAGCTTAAAATTTGGAAATTTATTTAAGATGGACAGTTGTTAAAAAATATAACCTACCACAAAGAATTTAAGAGTAAATAGAAAGCTGAAAAAACCTGAGTAGAACTATAACTACCAGTATTTAACATTCTACTTACCAAAAAATGGGGAGAATACACCCAGATATTTTCACAGATGAGTTCTAATAAATATGAACTCAAGAGACATGAAAATTATGAAACAAATATTTTCATGAAATAAAAAGGAAGGGACTCATTCTAGTTGCTAATCTAATTTTGTATCAAACTATACATGGGCTACATAGTGCTCCTTAATAATCAAAGAAATGCAAATTAAAATATCGTTTTAACCAGATTGGCAAAAATTAAGCATTTTTTTGATACTGATATTAGACATATTGCTAATACCAATGTTAGAGTGTGGGAAGCAGGAAGAGCTATATTTCTGGTGATAGTGCAAACTGGAACAACCTTTCTGGAGGAGTTGGCAGTATGCATGGAATTTTTGGATGTCCATACTATTAGATATGAAAATTTAAAATCTTGGAATTTGATGTTCAAAAAATAACTGATACAAGAATGCGTACAAGAATTCTTATAAAACTGTTCATTATAACCCTATTTACATACACTGCACTATAAAATAGTTTATGTAAATAACCTTTATTTCCATCAATAGGAGTCTGATTTAATAGGTAATGACATGTCCATGCAGTAGTCCATACAGTCAATAAAATGATGGTGTATGATCATGATTGCTGATAGATAGATAAATAGATAGATAGACAGACAGGCAGAGAGATTGATAGAAGTATAAGAATGCTAGGATATTCACCAAATATTAATGGTGGCTTTCTCTGGATAATGAAAATACATATGGTTACAATTTTTTATTATATACTGGATGAAATAAGAGTAAGAAATCTTATTAAGTACAAGAATTATAGAAATACTTTAGTGTTGTTATAGTCATTTATTAACTAATTTGCAAATCTCATAAGAGGTATTAATACCAGAAAAAATAAGAGAATGGTTTCCAAATTTGATTTGGAAACTGAGAAAGAAAAGTGGATTGTGGAGTGAGGGGTCTAAATATTAGTTTCTTATCAAAATCATGAAGATAAAAATCTGTAGTCTGTTACGGGCTCTCCTTTTTGTTTTAACTGCACATAACTGCAAAGAAGCTGAAACACATCTTGCTCCTTTCCATTTGCAGGTGATATACAAATAGGAATGGAGGACAAAAAGGGCCAATTAGAAGTGGAAGTCATTAGAGCACGAAGCCTCACACAAAAGCCTGGTTCCAAATCTACACCTGGTAAGGAGAAGTATTCCTGAATTTGGTGAAGGGACTATTTAATAGGCAAACAAATAAAAACATTTGCTGCATTTGAATTTCATATGCTCTGTTTTGCATCATCTGATTGATTAAAAAAGCAGTGTTTCTGTGTTCTTTGATGTTATTAAAACGGATTTGGGTTTTCCTTGCACAGTTATTCTTTCAGAAGGTGTTAGGAAGTATGTTATAATATTTTTTTTAAAGTTTAGTTATGGTCGTTTCTTAGCTTGTGTCAATTATTTTCTTTTTGCACACTTAGAAAGGCAAAAGAAAAAAAGAATATAGTTCTAATCATAAAAAGGTAACAATGAGCTTTAAGATATAAACCTGCATTGTAACCCAAGTAAGTCAAAGTCTTCAAATAACTTTGTATACATTGAGTCAAAATGAGGAAAATGGCAGTAATGGTAACATATAGATTTAAGGAACAGAATTTATGGAGCAATGGAAATTTTAAGTAATTTAAACAGTCAATGGGAAACTTTCAGTAAGCATCTCTAATTCTCTAATAGGGAATTCTCTAATTAAAAAAATAGTTGAATTTAAGGAATAATTTCTTATATGTTAATATACCTTTGTTTAGCTCCATATGTCAAAGTATATCTTTTGGAAAATGGGGCCTGTATAGCCAAGAAGAAGACAAGAATTGCACGAAAAACCCTTGATCCTTTGTATCAGCAGTCTCTGGTTTTTGATGAAAGTCCACAGGGTAAAGTTCTTCAGGTCAGTAATAGTTTGTTTGGCTTTTTACATTGAAATGTCTGTTTTACCCATACATCGAAGAGATGGTCAAACACAAAGAGAATAAAATTTGGTAAAGATAAATGTAGGATAATATTCTTGAGTAGACAAAATTCAAATGGTTAGTTTATAATATAAATAATATATAATATCAAAAATATTTGGTGGGTCTAATAGAGAACAATTTTATTTTATCTCTCTCTCTTCTTGTCTTTTCTCTCTCTATCCTCTCCTTCTAGCTTTGCCCTGTTCCCAGCCCTCCTCACTCCTCACTAGATAGATAGATGATAAATAGATAGATAGAGATATGTCCTCACTAGATAGATAGATGATAGATAGATACAGATATAGCAAACAAAACAATGTTAATAATAGTTGGTTGAGCATTGCTATATACCAAACATGGGGTACAAAGAGGAAGAGGGAGAGGAAAAGAGAAGTGTGCAGACACCAGCAAATATTGAGCCCTGGTGGAGTACCAGATGCATTTCTAGGTGCTTATATACATTATTTAAATTTTGTAACTAACATGTGCAATAAGTATCATTATCCCCATTTTAAAGATTATGTCTGAGATTCAAGAGGTAAAGTAATTTCACAAAATTACTCAGTAAATTTTAAAGACATGATTCACCACCAACTCTGCTTGTGTAAAACAGGTGAATGAGTTCAGTTGAGAACCTTTACAGACGACTGAAGTATTAGAAAATAGAACCTGGGAGTATGTGAAATGGAAGGCTTGTCTGACACTAGTAGCCAATAGAAGTTGACCTAGATTGTGGTAATTTTTAATGATCTAATTGAAATATTAATCATCTAAATCAAAATTGGCAGGCAAGTCCTCAAAAGGTACCAGCTCACAATTATTTTTTGACCTACCCCTTCACTAAAAAGACCATAATACGAAAGAAATCAAATGAATACTCTCATTCTTTGTACATACTTTCTGGTACATACATTCCATGGTATACTGAGTTGGATTGCTCATCTTGCCCTCCTAAATTGCACAAATTTTAATTTTTAGATTTTTATGGTCCTGTACATCGCTAATTAGATAGTAGTTACACAAGAAAGGTGTTGCATTCATATAAAAATACTCTTATGTATTTATTTCTTTAACATGGCTTATGTAGCTAATACTCCTCATTGACTAGGAACACACAATCCTTCATTCCATCAGACTAAAATTATTGTGAAGTGTCTATGAGCACCTTAAGGTTAGTGTATCTTCTTATCTGTGCCTTCTCCTTGGTGATAGTTGTATTCATTATTCTTTTCCTCTGCTTCACTGACTGGCCCACTTTTACAGCATAGTTGCTTTGAGCCCTTCGAATGTGAAGCAGAGAGAAGTCCAGGTAATGTTGCATTTCTCTATCTCTGCAGGTGATTGTCTGGGGAGACTATGGCAGAATGGACCACAAATGCTTTATGGGTGTGGCTCAGATCTTGTTGGAAGAACTCGACCTGTCCAGCATGGTGATCGGATGGTACAAATTGTTCCCACCGTCCTCACTGGTGGATCCCACACTCACTCCCCTCACCCGGCGGGCTTCCCAGTCATCTCTGGAAAGTTCAACTGGGCCTCCCTGTATTCGATCATAGTGAACTCATACCAGAGTCATTCCAATAAAACTCTACTTTTCAGGATAATAATCTGAACCAGATATTTCATGATCGAAAGCATTGTTGGAGACAGACAATCAACTTGTGTTTTGCCTGTAGTAGTTTTTCAATAATATGTCCCAATTGTTATTTAAAACATGGCTTCATATGACAGAACAAGGCAATCTATCAAATTTACAGGAAGAATCAACATGCTGGTGAGAGTCACTGATGCTTCTAACAAATAGAAAAAGAGGAAACTTTAAATCCACGCATACACGTACACACACACATGCACACACACACACACCAAATTGAACAAACTGGAAACTCTCACTCTGTGAAAAGTTGTATTCTACACATTTCTGCACAGACCACAAGCAGTGTTATTTCCCTGATGTTTGAGTTGTTTTGTTCTTTTGTGTGTTTTGTTTATTTGTGTGTTGTTTGTTGGTTTTCGTTTCTTGAGTTTTTGTTTTGTTTTCACCACATCTGTTATTTCCACTAGTTTTTTTTTGGCTGTGTCATGACAGGCCTCATGATGCTAACAGAGATTCTTCCCTTCTTTTTTCCAAAAGCACCAAAAAAAAGGGCTGAAGTAGTCTCTGTAGCATCTCCCCAAAGTGTTAAACAGCTACATAAGGTGAAGCCAAGGAAGGGTTTCACTAGCTTTCATTTTATAATTATTTAAAGTCTTATGTGTGGATACCCAAGAGACAAAAAGTTATCTTCCAAAATAAATAATCACAGAAGTACTTTTTTAATGAAGAGCCTATCTGTTTGCATTCTAGAAAATTAATTTATGGTTTCCATTGTTTTGCATGGAAGACTTTTAAAGAAGTCAATCTGCAACTAATGCTGGGGACTAAAACTAACTGCATAATTGTACTTTGAAAACACTCCTTGTAATGCCTTTTTCTTCCTGATATTAAAAAAATGCTCATGTGTATAAACCATACTTTGACTTCCCAAAAATGGTGACTAGGAATGGATTTGAGCCTAAGACACTTTGAGCTATGCCCAGGCTTCTCAGCCATACCTCAGTGTAGACACATCCATCTGCCCTGGAAAGAGCATGGTATGAGCTGTTCAATATTCCACTGGAAATTCCAGTTGAAATATTCTGCACTAAACTATTGTTTTTATTGAATTTTAGTTTACATTTCTTTGAGATTGATGCAAGCACAAAGCTTGATTTTTTAATGCAAAGTATCTTACTTTTTGGGGGGAAAATAAACAAAATGAACTTTCAATTTGCATTTTCATTTAGTTTCTCTTGGCCTTGAATTTCCCTTGTGACATTCTGTACATGTGCTACAAACTGCAGTCTCTGCAGGTGCATTGATATGTTCTCCCTCCTTTTATGAGTCACTCCACTTTTGTGATTACACAAATAGAGCAGCATGACTTGGAACTGTTCAGAGCTGCATGCACATTTTGTAAAAAAAAAAAATTTTAAAAAGAAAAGAAACAAAAGGTTATTTAATAATGTATGTTAGTTCCACATAGGCCAGCTTGTATGTTGCATGTACTTGTACAGTTTGCTTGTTAATTACTATACCGAAATAACCAAGAAATCTAAGCCATCCACTTTTGTTATAGACATTTTGCAGGTTTTAGCCAGACTCAGTCTCTGGGTCTGTGGTGAAATGTCTATAGATGGACTTTATTTTTTACCCTCCGGAAAACGTGATGTAGTACGGACCAAATTCCTTCTAATAAATATTTTGGTGTAGATTCCTACTGTGGGGCTGTAACACATGTAGACACTGTGTACACACTAGGTTTTAATTCATAGACATACTGCCTGCACCAAGTGAATTATTTATTATTATTTACACATGCCAGAATTATCTGCCCATCATTCCACAGGGCACAGATTGACCACTGCTCACCATGCTGAGTAGGAGGAACTGAAGCATTGGTGCACTTCTACTAGATTCCGTTCTGTCTTAGTGGCCAACAATCAACTGATTATAATTGGGTAGTATCTTTCTATTTTGACCACTTGTCTTAACACTCCCCTGTGCTTTTAAATGAAATTCCAATTCATGTATGTAAACATGTTTAATAAAATTTACTTTTCATGTCAGTCAGTAGCCATATGTGTTCTATGTCTTGCCAGATTTCCATTGTGGGTTCTATGGTGCAAAATGGGAGCCAGGCCATGGGAAGGGGAGGCTGGGGTTTGTTGTCTGCTGCGGGCATTTGACTTGACTTGTCACTGCACTATATTATGTCTTAATCGATGGCCCAAAGGGTACTTTGCATCACATACAAGTTTTCACTTCGTCAGCCTGTCTAAGTGAGCACATGACTATACTTCTGAAAAGTGGCATTATTAAAAATAATAAATCTCAGTAAGAATCAAATGGAAGGTTGTTTTCTGCTGCTGTTTGAATGTGCTAATAAAAGAGACAACTCTATTGTCCAATTGCCAAATTATTTCAAGTTACGTGACATATCAAAAAATTGATTCCTGCGTCTCTCGTCATAGTATATTTCCTCTTTCCATCTTTTTCTTCTGAACCCATGACTAATTTATATAACTTTGGTTTAGAGGAGACCAATTTAACAAAAAATAAGCACTACATTTACACTGAATTATCTTTAATAGAATCTTAGATAATAAAAGTATCTTCAAATATAGATAGATATCCAAAATAATATATTCAAAGAGACATTATTAACTTTTTAGGTTATTTTATTATTTTTTCTTACCTGAAAGTGTGCTCATGTATTTAATAATCATCGCCTCTCATGAAACACTTGGTAAGCACTACTTTCATCTTGCATTGTAGTAAAATAACTTTTGTGATCTAGTCTTGTCTTTCTAAGAGCTCTTAACTTTTTATAGACCACGCTGGCTTTAACTTGTAAAGCAAAGTAAACACAGTTACATCAACATAAAATTTGAGGCAATAAAGAGTTTGGAGACATGAATGCATCAGTTATTTATAGTTTTTAAACAGTTGACTGAATTTTACCCTATTAAATCATCCATTTGTTTGGTCTACAAGACACAAGATTATCTGTTAGGCTGGGTCAGTAAGAGGCAAAAACAACTGGTCAGTTCAATTTAAAACAGTCAGATTTAAAGCTGTTTGATGCGCGTGCATTAAGAAAGCTCAGAGCTGGGTGAGGCCAGGAGAAAAGTCTGCCACTGAAACAGGTGATGAGAGTGGGCTTCAGAATTATTGTCTAGACAGAAGGAGAAGAGCAGTAATCTTGCTTCAAACCATATAAAGCTACCCGGTGTTGGGATTTCAGAGCCTACAGTCATGGGAGGAAGGAACCTGAGGAAAGGCAATTTTGCTAAGTCTTCATGGTTTCTTGCTGACTCTGACAACTTATTTCTTGAAATCCCAGCCCCATATGTATCCCAGATAATATATTATCTGATTATACTTAACCAACATTATTAAGAATTTTGTTAAGTACTAGGTATTAAGTACTTAGAATATAAAGTAGCCCTGTATTAAAGTAGCTCCCTGTGTATTGAAAGAGATCATTATATATATATAAAGAAATAATTATGATAGCATACAGTAAATCCTCAATGTCATTAAGTTCTGAGAAACTGTGACTTTAAGTAAAATGACATATTAAAAAAACTTTTTTTTTTCCTCTGTCAATGTTATCGAGGACCTGCTGTACATTGTTTCACTTAAAATCACAGTTTCCAAGATCAGGTGATTAAGTTAGTCCAAGTTAGGACTTACTGTATTTGATTTGTATACAAAGGCTATGGGATTATATTTACTCCCTCACAACAGTCCTATGAGGTAAGTATAGGACCCCTATTTCTCATAGGAGGCTCTGTAGCTTAGACAAGTGAAGCAACAAGCTAAGGTCACATATGCTGAGAGATGAACCAAAGTCTGACCAACTCGGGATCCTGCCATGCTAAGTGCTCTTTGTCCTCTACTAACTGCTGACAGTTAAGCTACATATTAAAGAATGAAGAGTTCACGAGGTGAGAAAAAATCCTAAGCTATTTCTCTGTGACGAGGCAGCTCCTGGCCAGCTTGGTCTCCCACAAGTTGCCTGAACGACTCTGCCTTACGATGGGGGTGGGGGATAGGAAAAGGAGGCAGGTGGGCTCTTCTCCATTCCCTGAAACCTCTTTGTAAGCCTCTCTCTCTCTCTCTCTGTCTCTCTCTCTCTCTCTCTTCCTCCCTCTCCCTCTCCCTGCTCTCTCTCCCCCCTCCCCTGACCACTCACCATTTGCACTATCAAACTTCATGAATACATAATATGCAGACTTCAGGAACAGTTTGAGTAAAGGAGATAGAACAAAGAATTATTCTTTAAATTTTCAAAAGTAGTTTTGTCTACCCTGCCTCCTCCGATTACCCCACCTGCTGCTCATTAATAACCCCAGTCTAGGTTGTCAGACCCAATAAAACAGGGGTCTCCAATCCCTGGGCCACGGACTGGTACTGGTCTGTGGCCTGTTAGGAACTGGGCCACACAGCCAGAGGTGAGCCAGGCAAGTGAGCTCTGCCTCCTGTCAGTTGGCAGCAGCAATAGATTCTCATAGGTGTGTGAACCCTGTTATGAACTGTACATGGGAGGGGTCTAGGTAGCGTGCTCCTTATGAGATTCTAATGCCTGATGATCTGTCACTGTCTCCCATCACCCCTAGATGGGACCATCTAGTTGCAGGAAAACAAGCTCAGGGCTTCACTGATTCTACATTATGGTGAGTTATATAATTATTTCATTACATATTATAATGTCATAATAGAAATAAAGTGCACAATAAATGTAACGCACTTGAATCATCCTGAAGCCATTCTCCCCCTGGGTCTATGGAAAAAACTGTCTTCCACAAAACCAGCCGCTGGTGCCAAAAAGGTTGGTGACTGCTGCTCTATAGCTCTTACCACAGAACTCCTTTAATTAAAGTATATACCTATCTTATCACATACTTGGTGGTCAATTGGTTTTTGTAAATGTAAATGTATTAGTTGGATTAAAAAAACCCACAATTGTCCCATCATCCCAGCAGAATCTCCTTTGGATCATCTTGATCCATGCCTAATGCTGAACAAATATCTCTGACCAGAAAAATGAAATACCTTGATAGACAGGCTTGTGTCAAGAGTCCAGCCCTGGATCTAGGAAATCCAGGCAGTTGCACCCAAACCACATAGAAAAGTTAGGGTAGTTCTCCCAAGGCAATATGGATGCTACTAGAAAAAAGAGAATGCTTCTGCCTTAGAGAAGGACATGTTGGGAAAGTTGTGTCTGCTCTAGATCCATTTTTTCTCTTCTCTCAAGACCTAGGAAAGGTGGGACAAAAATTCTCAAGATTGGCCACATCCAACCACACTCACTCTGATGACACTCATCTTCTCCTCTCTTCCAAATTATGGAGCCACTCATCTGGTGCCTTAAATATTTCTAAGACTCCAGACTGACATTTTGAGGAATATGGCATTATAATTATATCTATAGCACGCAGGAAGACATACGGCTAACATAAAATACACTAAAACATATCTGTTAAATGGAATAATAATAACACCTACCTCATACAATTATTTTGAGGATTAAAGTAAATAGTAAATATTACATTTTTAGGACAAAACCTGAATTCATAGTAAGTGGCTTAATAAATGTTAGCACCTATAACCATTATGCATAAACCTAACTTTGTGAAGTCTAAGTTAACCTTGTGAAGACTTCATATGAACACAAAACTCTTGGACAAATCTGGCCTTCATTTCCTGATCATTTATCTGATCCACCACCACTGATACAATGTCCCTTTCCAGTACTGGTAGATAAAAACAGAGGAGGATTTGTCGTCTGTTCAGGTGATAGGAGTGCTAATTTCAATAGCCCATATCACATAATGCTGTCTTCAGGCCATTCTGTGCATCTTTGTCTTCAGGCCATTCTGTGCATCTTCAGTAGGGCTGGTTGTTCCTTCCTTTTCTAGACCAACCTTTGCATTTAGTGAGCACCACCTCTTAGAAGCAGACAGAGAACACCCTCTCTGACCCAGCCCAACAGAACGAGTCTAGCTTTAGAAAATGTGCTTTCTAACCACCATTTTCAGTGCCATTTCCTGGATGATTTCATTAGCAAGCCTCACAATCTTTCTGTTCCAGAAATTCTCAGCCTCTCAAGGTTCTCTAACTGCCTTCTGCAATGCAAGGTTCCCAACCTATTCTCTACCTGCAAATCTGCTCCCATATCACTGAATTCTCCCCAATTTCTCCAGGAGCAGAGGAACTGAGTCGTTTCACTGAAATTACCACCTTTTTCTTTCTCCTTTTCTGTATAGTCAGTCTAGGTTCTCTCTTCAGATGCTGGATCATCTCTTTCATCCTCCTTTGCATGTACTTTAATTCTATCACTCCTTTCCCTATTTATGTCCCGCAACATGCAACTGCGGCTTTTCTGATTATGTGTGTTATCTTATCTATTCATTCCTCTGCATTTTCCAAGTTCTATCAATACATAAAATCATCAGAAACCACACGCCTACATCACTCTAGCTTGTTCCTGCCATCATGTTCACTCCACCCTAAATTCATGTTTTTTCCTAATGTTTTGCCTTTGGTTTTCATTGAGTGTTTATTAAAGATGCTTCTTGCATTGGCTATGCGTTTCTGTCAACTATTTTTTCCAGTATGTCACTGAATACTTTTTGCAAATATTTTTGTATGATTGTTTTACATTTTATTATTTAGTGTCTGCAAAAAGAATTTTTTTCTACTGAGTGGTTGTGTTTTCTTCTACTATAGAGTTCTTTTTTAAGACAAAATATACTATTCTTTATTTTTATCATAGAACAGGCATTTTCAGTCTGTTAAAAAGTATGGAATGGGATCAAGTGTAATTTTAGAGGCTTCTCATGTTTCTTTTTTTATTCCAACTTTTATTACAAGTTAAAGGGTACATGTGCAGGTTTATTACATGGATAAACTGCATGACACTGAGGCTTGAGGTGTCAGCAATCTCATTACCCAGGCTGTAAACATAGCACCCAACAAATGGCTTTTCAGCCCATGGCCCCTCCCTCCCCTCACTAGTGATCTCAGTGTCTATTGTTCCCATCTTTATGTTCATGTGTATTCAGTGTTTAGTTCCCACTTATAAGCGAGAACATGCAGTATTTGGTTTTCTGTTCTTGCCTTAGGTCACTTAGGATAATGGCTTCCAGCTCCATCCATATTGCTGCAAAGAGCATGATTTCATTCTGTTTTATGGCTGCATAGTATTCCATCATGGTGTATATGTACCACATTTTCTTTATCCAATCCACTGCTGTTGGGCACTTAGGTTGATTCCATTGTCCTTGCTATTTTGAATAGTGCTGCAATGAACATATGGGTGGATGTGTCTGTTTTGATAGAATGAATTCTTTTCCCTTGGGTATATACCGAGGAGTGGGATTGCTTCTACCATAGGGCACTTAACTTTTCATATGCTTTGGTTCCCTTTGGTGCCTGGTGATACCTATAGACTCCTTCTCAGAATAATGAAGTTAAACTCCTTTAAAAAGTACATAGGAGGAAAATGAAGCCAATTATATTGAAAGAGTTAAAAACATTTTAACAACAAATTTTTGGTCTGGCGTGGTGGCTCACACCTGTAATCCCAACACTTAGGGAGGCTGAAGCGCGCGGATACTTGAGCCCAGGAGTTTTGAGAGACCAGCCTGGGCAATATGGCAAAAACCCATCTCTACAAAAAAAATAAATAAATAAAAATTTTAAAAAAAGCCAGGCACGATGGCACACACCTGTAGTCCTAGCTACTTGAGAGGCTGAGGCTTGCAGATTGATTGAGCCTGGGAGGGAGAGGCTGCAGTGAGCCTTTGTCACACCACTGCACTCCAGTCTGAGTGACAGTGAGACCCTGTCTCAAAAAACAAAATAAAACAAAAATTTGTCATCTAGCAATACATATGACTTCTTTACTGAGGTATTAAAAGAAATCTAGTGACAGGTCCAATAACTACAGTGTTTTTGAAGCTGTGATGAGCATAAATACTAGTTGATATTATGAATATGTGTGATTCTGTACTGACAGCAAGGTCACAGGTACTACTATGCTATTGTGGTTTCTTACCTACAGTGATAAATGAAAGAAATTTTAAATTACAATTAGAGATTAGAAAAAAGAAAAGATGCACTTTTTTCTCTTTTAGTTCACAGACTTCCTGAACTCCTGCCTGGGACTATTGCAGGAATAGTATAATAACCCATTATACGAGTTTAATTTACCCTGTCTCTCCAGGACTTTGTAAAACAATTATACTCTCACATCAATCATAAAAGAATTCACAGCTAGTATGTATTTTTTCTTTTTATGATTTATTCCAATAATGTTATTATGAAACAGCTTCTTGAAACTCTTTGTAAATCCCTTTGAAATAATTCAAGTTAAAAATAATGACATAAACAAGTAGCTTAGTGTATGGCACAGGGACTGTACACAAACACAAGATGGTAGAATGAATGCACAACACAGAAACTGAGGACTCCACATTGTTCTGGATCACTGCTGTTCAGTCTACAAAAACTCAATCTCCTTTTCATAAATCCCAAAGTTTCACCTCCAACTCCCAAAACAGCTAGTTATAATGCTAAAGGGATCCATAGCTATTTCTTCAGTTGAGAATCAAAATAAAGTCTATGATTTTGTTGCCCCTAGCCAGGATTTTCTTTCATGCTAGCTTGTATTCTAAAAACAACACTTTTGTTTTGTGTGGCTTCTGCTTTTCTTTGGTCTAATTTCACCATCTGACATAGTTTGGATGTCCCCTCCAAATCTCATGTTGAGATGTAATCCCCAGTGTAGGAGGTGGGGCCTGCAGGGAGCTGCTTGGGTCATGGGGATGGATCCCTCCTGGCTTAGTGACGTCCCCACCACAAAGAGTGAGTTCTCAGGAGATCTGGTCCTTTAAAAGTGTGGGGCACCTCCCCCTGCCCTTGCTCCTGTTTTCCCCATACGAAGTACCAGCTCCCACTTTGCCTCCCACCATGAGTAAAAGCTCCCTGAGTCCTCCCAAGAAGCAAGCAGATGCCTGCACCATGCTGCCTGTACAGTCTGCCGAACCGTGAGCCAATTAAGTGTCTTTTCTTTATAAATTACCCAGTCTCAGGTATTTCTTTATAGGAATGCAAGAATGACCTAACACGGTATTATATCAAATATATTGTTTGATTTCTCAACCATGTACACTAAGGTGGAGACTTCTACACTGGAAGTATAATAATTGGGCTCAATAAAATTGCAAGTAACCAATATGAAGTGCTCTATGACACACAAATTAAAAAAAAAAACACTCCTATTTGAAGGTTTTTTTTCTAAATCATAGCAACAGTAAATTTTAAAATTACAAATTAATTTTGACTTTATAAATCCACCACCTGTATTTCTGGCAGTTAAACTATTGGAGTCCCCTTTTCCTTGGGGTTTTCTTATCCTTCTGAAAGCAGCTACAGGCTGAAGTAAAAGTATTTTCCAAGATGTTCTTTTGTAAATGTGTAACCCCCCGATGACATAAAGCAAAGTGTGCATGTTGAGTTTGGAAGGGTTGGAGATTTGAGAGCTAGAAGGGTAACAGAGGGGAAAATGTCTAGAAACAGTGGAGGGATAAAGGGCAACTTGGATCAATGGGGAATCCTGTCTCATTCCATAGTAGAGCAATAGCTCAACAATGGTCAGGCTATATCCTAAAGCCAGAGAAACAGTGGTCAGTCATGGTTCAATTTCACTTTTGTGCTCCAATGTTAGAACTAAGTTTTTCAAAAATTTATGACAGGTCACCAAGTTATAAAGGAAATGGTTTATGAGAGCTGGTTCCTGTACTGTAAAACAATTTCCACTTACTCTCCTCTCTCTCCCTGAATTTCATCATCTCCCAAGTGCCCCCCACCCCCAGGCTCTCTGCTTTTTGATTCTTCCATTCTGAAGAGGAGAAGGCAGATCTTCCCCTGCATTCTCTGCCAAGGACTCACCCCCTGCTCACTCATCTGCGTTCTGCCACCACAACTTCATAGGCAGCTAAGATCAGTGCTCAAATTTTAAAGTTGCAACCATTTACCTTGGGATCCTGTTAAAATACACATTCAATTTTAGAAGTCCAAGATGAGGCCTCAGATAATGCATCTCTAACACACTCCCAGGCAGGACCTATTATGTCATTTACGAGGTCTAGTACAAAATAAAAATCTGAGCCCGCATGTTAAAAAATTCTTAAGATTTTCAAGATAGCAACAGCAGAGCGTGAAGCCAAGAGCAGGCCTCCTGAGTGCGAGGGCTGGTGTGACTGCCCAGGACCCAGGCCTATGAAGCCGGTCCCACCTCCAAGTGATGCAGGGGTTGGAGGAGCTCAGTTTGCACAGAAAGATTGAATGCCCAGGCCTGGAAAGCAGAGCCTTGTGACGGGCCACACTTTCCACTGGCCTTTCTATCTACTAAGTAAAACCAGCAAAAACACTCATGATTTTTCAGTCTAGATCTCTGATTCATCGATTAAAATTGATAAGTTGGTGACCCTAGAGTAATGCTCCAGAAATGCACTTCTTTTTCTTTAAAACACTCTTGATGAAAGCTTTCCAATTATAAAGAATTAAGAAACATTCTTTGAGCCTTTCTTTAGACAATGATGGAAGAGGAAGGAGGCAGGACAAATGGGAAGGCCCCAGAACCTTCACTCTTGCTCTGAGCTTTGCTCTGTTTGACGATTTTATTGGGGGTAGGTGAAGGGGGATGTTGATGCGGGTCAGTCAGGCAAATTTCACTTTTGTGAAAAGATAGATGGAGACTAAGAAAGATAGATTCTCTCCCTCTCTCTCTCTTTTTTTTTTTTTTTTTTTTTTTTTGAGACAATATCTCGCTCCGTCACCCAAGCTAGAATGCAGTGGTACAATCATGGCTTACTGAAGCCCCAAACTTCTAGGCTCAGCCTCAGCCTCCTCGGTAGCCGGAACAAAAGGCATGCACCACCACACATGGCTAGTTTTTAAGTTTTTTTTAGAGATGGGGGTCGGACTATGTGGGCCAGCCTGGTCTCAAACTCCTGGCCTCAAGCAGTCTTCCTGCCTTGCCCTCCCAAAGGGCTGCGATTACAGGTGTGAGGCACCACACCAGGCCTGATTCTTTTACTCTAATAGCAACCACAAACCAAATATAACTCTGAGCTACATAAATCCTCTTTCCTAGGAAATCAGGCTATCAGAACCCTAGTTGTTGGAGAGTTAAACAAAGTTCTACCACTTTAGGGTTGGATTGCCTCTCAGTTCCAAAGGTAACAGGAAGCCCAGTGTCAGGGTATCACCTGGCCTCCTGCAATCCCAACCCTCCTCACCTTCCCACGCTGGACTCCTCCCTGTTAGCTGCCATTAGGGCATCAGATGGATAGGAAGTAGGAAAATAGGAAATTCAAAATAGTGTATCTAGTGGCATGTTCTCACCTCCTAGGAGGCTGTGAAATATTTGTGAATTTCCCCTGCTTTATTAACAGGCAAATAGCAGTTGTATTACCTGGTTCTTCTCAAAATTTAGTTTAAAAAGAAATCTCACTCTGCCACACTAGCATTTGGCTCAAAATTATGAACAAGGGTTTGTCTGCAGGCAGGGGCCTCAACCCTGCCCTCTGTTGGTGAGAGCTAGAACCTCATAAAATAAGCGGGTGTAGTGGCGCATCTCAGCCACAAGATGGCAGCAGTGCTTCGTGCAGGTCCGAGAAGACGCTGAATGCAGAGGGATCTTTTGAGAGTCAATGCTGATGCGCTAGCCTTCAGTAGGGAAAATTTAACTAGGACTGACTAAACCTTAAGGTTAAGGACTAATCTTGTGGGGCAACTGCCTTTTATATGGTGTAAAAATATCTGCTTGAGAATACAGTATAAGTATTTTATAATTATATGCATACTCAAATCTTTTTCATCTTTATCTCCACCAAGAATCAATCAAGAGGTTTTGTTTTGGTGAATGAATTCTGAGTTTTGACTCACCTCCCTTGAGATTATAGGTTCATTTCCAGTCCCCAGGTGTGTGTGGTCAGAGAATCTCTGTCGTTTCCACTTATGGAATAAAGTTGCCCTGTCCCTGGGACCAATGCCACCATGCTCAAGCACAGCCATGTGTGGACAGGCCACGCCAAGGCCAAGTACCCGGGACAGGGGGGCAGAGAGGAGGCATGAGCAGCAGGGAGAGAACTTCTCAAGGCTGGACCATGAGCCACCACTGGAAGGTGCGTAAGGGGCTGCGCACTCTTTCCGGGGGCTGCCACAACAAAGTACCCAAAGCTTGTGGCTTAAAACGACAAGAACTTCTTTTTAAAACAAGAACTTATTTTACCGTTCTGGAGGCCAGAAATCTGAAATCAAGGTGACAGCAGACCCACACTCCCTCCAAAGGCCTCAGGGAAGAATGCTTCCTGCCCACTCCCAGCTCCTGGAGCCTACTGGCACTCCTTGACTTGTGGCAGTAGAACTGCAGTCTCTACCTCCATCCTCACATGGCCTCCAGGTGCCCCCTCTCTTCTTTTTTGATCTCTTATAAGGACGTTTGTCATTGGACTTGGGGCCCACCCTAAGTCAAGGCCTTCTCATCTCAATATCCTTACCTTAATTATATCTGCAGTGACCTTTCTTCCAAATAAGATCACATTCAGATGTTCTGAGTGGACTTTTATTTTGGGATGGGGGTCATCATTCAACCCACTACAGGTGGGAGGTAGGAGATTCCTTGACACCACTCTAATTATTCTCACCATGATTATGGAATTTCAATCAATGTGGAGAAAAGCCAGTAAACATCAGGACAAAGCAGCAAAGTTCACCTGACTATGAATGTGGGAGCTTCTAGAGATGCATCATTGGCAAAGGCACCCTCTCTCCCCAGAGATGTCTCTTTGAACCCCTCTGTGGAATCTGTGAAATAACTCCCTAGTAACTTGAACCCACTAGGATTTACAGCATTTCAAAATGTGTGTGATTAATAACAATCTAATAACGACACTCTAATTTGTGTACAAATACCATAATATTAACAAAAATACTATAATACAAACATATTCTAATTCAATTAGTCTTTTGTGGTGAACAGGTATGAGCAATTGGATCTATAACCTCATAGTTAATGAGATTATATAACTATATACCATTGGGCAGAAAAAACTGTGATAATGCTACCTACCCTGCTTGCCTAAGAGAAATGTCTATCAAAGTGTTTTTAAATATATAAAACCCTCTAAGAATGAAAGGTGTGCTTTTCTTTCTCGTCCACTTCTGCAGCACATACAGGCGTGTGTGAGTATGTGTAAACAACAAACACTGAACCTGATCCCGTGCGACTCAAAGTCCAGTCCTCTGACCAGTAGCACCAGCAACAGCTGGGAGCTTGTCGGAAATACAGACCCTCAGGTCCCGCCCCGAACTGACTGAATCAGACTCTGCTGTTTAACAAAATCCCCGAGTGATTCATAGAGATACTAAAGTTTGAGAAGCCCTGCTCTAAATAATCTCGTTTGGTAAGTTTTATTCACTAAAATGGGAGTCCTAAATATTTTTCTCATAATTAGCTCCATAGGAAGCATCAGGTGTGAGCAGTGGTTGGCACAGGGAGAGAAAGAAGGCACTTTTACCCAGTATGTGGTCCTCCTTTGCTGACAATCCACCCTCCTTCCCCAGCAAACCAGATTATGAACCTCAGGAGCAGTGCCTGACTTAGACATCAGTTGGGTTCACCTTTTATGACTATGAAAGATCAATGGGGCTGCCCTGATTGAGGAAGAGTAAGTACTGTGATCTTGACTCTGGCCTTTTAATGTGGCATTTTCCAAGACAACTGAAAAAGTAACTGCAAGGGCGTGCCAGAAACATTGGTTTAAAAAAAAAAAAAGGAAAGGGAAAATATTAAAAGATAAGAAAGACAAAAGAGCCCATTGGAGAATCCTTTGATTTTTCTCACCCCTGATTCCTTATAGGAACAATGTGAATAATGATAACATTCATCTCAATCAGGTAAGACCCCTGTTGTGAAAGCATTCCGCTTTGAGGTGCCCAGATGGAAGGTGCTTTACAAATAGAGAATGATGGCAGCTGGGTTGGCATTTGTGTGGTCGCTTACTATTTAAAAGCAGAGAGTGCCTGACAGTGCTGCAGGGTTTCACTTGGTCCCACTGTGGGTTGGCGAGCTCCCTGGCTGGGTCCTGGTTGCCAAGGAAACTGCTACAGAAGAGATTGAGACTGTCTGGGTTCTTGGTTGATTGGTGGAGCTGAGAGCAGCATTTTATATAAGAAATACGTATTTTCAGTGACCAGAGCAAAAGTAAATAATGGCTACTAGAAGGAATCACATCCATCTTCTCCAACAGAGTTCATTTGGATAGAAACTCTTAGCAATGAAGAAGTAGCCTTCTCAGGAGCAATAAATAGGACTTAGAAATCTCCAGCTCAAACTTATGTGCTCTATGGGGAGCCATTGCCTTAGCTGGGCACAGGAGTTTTATCATCCTCTTTTAGGCAAACCTGGGAATGTAATGACTAGGTCAGCCTCAGATCACATCCTTGCCGTATGTTGGCACACCACTGATTAAGGACAGCAGAGAAATGCTGTCTTGCCATCTTTTCTTAGAGGGGGGACAGGATTTGTATGTGGCATTTGTTGATCTTGCTCACTGCGCATCTGTGAACTTTTCTTGACTGCCTCCCAGGTAACATCAGCTATTCCTCTGTGTTCCCATAGTACAATATTCAAGTCTTTATTATCACATTCTACTACAATTTGTCGGGGGGTGGAGAGGGATCTACTCCTTTTACCAGTCAAGTAATTTGCTTAAAGTCAAAGATTATGTTTATTGCTCTATTACAAGTGCCTGGCACAGTATCTAACATAGCAGGTCCTCAATAATTATTTGAGTGAATTGCCTGCCCTTAGTGTAGGCTGAGTGAAGGTTGAGCAGACACAACAATGACTTTTTCAGAAAACCTCAATGAAGCAGAAACAACACAATCATTATATGAAAGACATACTAATCGCCAGTAGTTTACATAGTTATTGCATCTAACTTTCGTATTCCTGCTAAAGCTGTAAGGTACGTAGCATTGCCCACACTTACAGGAAAAGACAGTGTATCCCAGAAAGGTTAAGTAAGTGACTTTGCAGGTATCACAACTAGTCAGTTAAGGAGCCAGTATTTGCATCCAGGTCTATCTGATTGCAAAGCAGTGTTCTTAGCCATCATGCCAGGCTATCTCAGAGCCTTCTAATGAATCATGTAGAGCCCTGCATATGGTGTTCCCCAGAGTTGAAGGACACAAGCCCCTTGCAATGATAGAACTGTCCTTGGTGAAAAGGCATAAGGTAAGATAACAGGTTGGATGGGATTCAGCTGGGACCTAAGATGTGTGCATAATGTTAACAGCACAATAACAGAGAAAAGGTATGCTGGGGGTCAAATCCAAGCTCCAGAAATTACTAGCTTTGTAGCCTTTTGCAAGGAATGAAAATACTTTGTTCTTCAGATCCCTCATCTCCAAGTTGAGGCAAGTTAATATTATTTTCTTAGAAGGAAAAATTGTAAGAATTTTAAAACAATATTTGCAAATGTGCATAGTACAGCTCCCAACACATAATGCCTAATGAATTATCACCATCATCTTTACTATCAATACTATCATGCTCATTATAGGTGTTATTTTCATTATATAAAGTGTTTCACTTAAAAGCCTAAGGAGCTGCCCAAATTTAAGCATAATTTGAATATCATTGCAAAACCACCTCCTTTAAAAGGTTAAAGAAGCTGGGAAGATGTTACCCAAGAGAAGAAAGGATTCTGTCTGGTCAGTTGACATTCTCATCACAACCTGCCAACAATCCATTGTGAGGTTTGCATAAGTCATTTGACGTCATTGCCACAACTGTTAAAGAAGGTAGTAAAAGTGAAGGATAGTTTGAAAACTACAAAGAACCATACAGAGGTTCTTACTCTCTGCTTGTCAACTAAAATTCACAAAAACATTTCAGTTTTTCTTCCCTTTTTAAGACAGGTTGGGATGCCTTTGGGTCTCCTTACCTAGCCACACTCTCCCCACCCCTCCGCTGCCCATGGCCACTAGCTCGTCAGGGATAAAGAGAGGAGAGAAATGTGTATTCTTTCCATTAAACTCATGATTAAATAACAACATTTTAAGGATGAGGTCTGCACTTTCTATTTCTTGGTGGCTTTTCTAATTCTGTAAATATGCTGACATGTCTTTATAGGTAGAAGACTCTCTATGGCCTGGAGAAGCTATCCTCAAGTCATTTGACAGCCCAGGAGGCATATGTTGTAGTTACTTCACAACCACCAGTTGCTGGAGACCACAGTTAGAGCCAATCAGCAGGTTCTCTGAAGGGTGGGAGCCTCCTGATTGCCAATTTGTAGTATTTGCTGCCAAGGCTCTCTGTCCTCTTCAGATCAGCTTTCCCGGACCTTATTGTTTAACAGGCATTTGTGGCAGTAACAGTTCTCCAGTTACTGTGTTTTTCGGCTGTCATAAGACCATGGTCTTGTGGATGCTGCGTCAGTGTTCATTTTAATTGGACATCTTGATAACATCCACAGAACACAATTATCCAGTCTAGGGATGACCTACTTCCTCCTAATAGCTTCTTGAAAGCCACAGTTCCATGAAAGCTGTGAGATACTAAATTTGTGTTGTTTTCAGCCTCTAAATTTTTGGTAGTTTTATGCAGCAATAGAAAATAATATAATAACTGATGCGCACTCTCCAAAACTTTCAAGGTCATGAAAGACAAGGAAAGATTGAAGGCCTGTCACAGATTAAAAGAGAACAAAGAGAAGTGACAACTAAAGGCAATGTGAGATCCTGAGTTGCACCTGGGGACAGAAAAATACATTAGTTGTATAACTGGTGAAATGTAAATACAGTGTGTAGTTTAATTAAAAAAAAAGAAAAAAAGAAAGCCACAGTTCCAGAGCCTGTTAACTTTTATTCTATGGTGTTTATCCAGCTGAATTTCCTTTCCTCCCAAATGTTCTGTAGCTGATGGGATCTGTGTAAATAGAGATACTTCAGCTCAAATATTCATTCATTTTACTCAGTTAATGAAACCTCTACCTTTGCAGTTATCCAGTTATTAAGACGACAGCCCTGCTTGAGATTCTTGCTGCTTTCCATAGACAATTCCAGAAAGGCTGCAATTATAAGCAGTACAGTCTGAACGTGCTCAGCACACTCGGGCTGTCTAGCTTTGAACCAAACAGGCTTATCTTGGCTTAGAAAAAGAAGCCATAAACAGAGACAGAAATGCAGTTAAAGCATTATATTTAGCATTGCATATGCTTAGGTCAAAATCAACCTTCCAAAATAGTAGTGCCAGAAATTCATTTTAACTCCTGAAATGTGAGTGAATCCTAAAATGTTAAAGCTGGAAGGAACTACTCATTTTATAGAGGAAGTAACTAGGTCTAGACAGGTAAAATAACCTTTTAAGCTCCTCACTGGTGACAGAGCCAGCACTAGAACCCATTTATCATGAAGCCCAGTACCACCCCCACTAGTGTCTTAGAGACTCGTTTTTGTTTGCCCATTAGAGTTAATAAATGGTTCAAACTGTTCACAGACATTATCTCATTTGATTGGCACACATGTTGTATTGATTTCTATATAAAGACCTAGTAAGTGAAATAGAAGAATCCTGAACTGTTTTACAATTCCCTCTTCTCCACCTCTGGAGTTCACTCCTCAACTGGAAAGATCTCAATTTGAATCCATTTGTGTAATGTCAAAACGCCAAAGCCACATATCCATGTGCACAGAGGTAGCTTTGCTCTCTTGTTTTTCCTTGATACAGGCACAGGGATTCAGTGTAATCTGAGCAGGCTCAGGAGAATTATTCAGTGACAGATCCACAAAGGAAGCAAGGCAAAAAAGAGAGCACATGGGAGAGATTAGTTTGGAAGTGACTCTGTTGCTTATTCCTGGCTTTTGCTGACATTCAGAGGGATTAAGACAGCATGAAGGAAGAATGACTAACACAGCCGCCTGCTCGCCTCAGAGGGTGCAGCTCTTGTGGGTCTCTGCATTGCAAGAGGAATGGAAGGCGGGTGTTCAGGGCAGCAGGATCCCTGGGGAGGAGCCGAGTCCGCAGAACTGCCCATGGTCTGAGGGTGGTCAAGAGGCCTGGATCCCTATCTGGGCCCTGCCACAAGCTTGGCCGAGTCATTTACCCACCCAGAACAGCTCTCCTCACCTAGGACGTGGGAGAGTTGAACCATATTGGGGTATTAAACATCATGATTACTAATATTACTACTATCATTATTATTATTATTATTTGCAAATAAGAAGATGAACATGAAAAAGAGATTTTTTTAAATACATGGACTGACTTCGGCGATTGAGTGGGTGAAAACACTCCCACTGCAGGCGCTCCCCTGCCTGGGTCCCTGGAGCAGCCCCTGCACGCTCTGTTGAGCAGAGTCTGAAAGCGAAGAGCTGGTCTTTAAGGGTCTCTCATTTCTCATCTTATATTTTCACTTCCATGTAAATCCATCCTTTGTGCCAAGTACCTTCTAACACATCACCAGGAGGGTGAAGGGAATGCACACGCTCCACCTCATCCTGTGATCTCCAGAGTCAACTGAACATCCCCATCCAGATGGCACTGAAAAGAACCTCTGCCAACCCTACAGCCAAGTGGTTTTAGACTCATGGCTGAAAGGTAGAACTTAAGAATATATATATATATATATATATATATATATATATATATATATATACACACACACACACACACACACACATACACATACACACCTATAAAATGAAATTTCTAAACAACCATTTTATAAAATGCTATTTGTCTTAATCAATACAAGATAGGAGCTATATGTAAACTGATGTAAAAGCCTTTTAAAATAAGAATGACATCAAGTGGGTCCATTTCTCAGTTTCATCTCTTGTCACTAAGCAACTCCAGGCCTTTCCCTGGTTCTGCATTTTCTGTTTGGACATTGTTAAGTGCTATGCACTGGCATCTTCCCCTCTAATCATTTTATCTCTGGCCTCAATTTCTGTATTTGGTATGAAAAACAGTGTGCTCTGTATCACGATTCAACAAAACACAGATTTTTCTAGGTAATTTAGGTGGAGTAGTAACAGGTCACCTTTTCCCCAACTCCCATTCATTTCTTTGGCCCTTGGTCTTTAAAATCACGAGTCTAGTAATTTTTAGATGCAAATTATGAGCCTTTTCCCATAATATTCCATGTCAATCATTGCTAGGTACCTATCATGTTTGTTGTTTATCACCCAAAATATATTTTTATTGCCTCCTAAGAGGTTTTACATAACAACCAACAACACTTTGTAATATATTTGCATTTTTTCCTGAAATGTCACGAGTAACATTGCCTTAAAATGATTCCAAATGCAAGAAGAGCTAAGTGTGAATTCCCTGTTGTTTTAGAATTTTGGCAGAGGCTCCAAAGCTGATAAGGAAGGGTGTTAATTATCTGCACAGTCTAAAAGGAGATGCCAGAGCAGCTAGGAAAACCTTGCTGAGGGGTAAGCCAAAACACAGTTTGGTCACCTTTAAACCAACACTCTTCATCTAGGGTATTTACAAACAGAGGAAATTGGCTGCGGGAAGATTGAGAGTTGAAATTTTTCTCTGGTGAGATTTCCAGAGTATGGAGTATCACCCTTTGAGGTAACAAAAGAGGGCTGCCCCACATTGCCCCCTGCAACAAGCTTAGTAAGAAAAGCACCTCAGGGGCCCCTTCTGAAGTGAACAGGCACTTGCCAAGACTGGGGAGACTGACTACCCGTTCCCTAGGGATTTTTGCAAGCTGCAGCAACCTGAAGGCCCCACGGCCTCCCAGTTCTTACTGATCACGTCACTGCTGGGTGTGGCCACAGAAGGTCTAGAATCTGACTCTCCCCTGGTTAAGTGGGAAGGATGGAGGTAGACCACAGATTACCTCAAGGCAGAGAAAATAAAGAGTGCTCACAGTATGAGGAAGCATCACTCCCATTGTGGGTATCCCTTGAGCTGATGGATGCATTCAAAATCACTGGTCTTGAATTACATTGATATAGCTCTGCTCTAGAGGGCTTCCTTCCATGAGTGAGGCATCTTTGGTGGAAAGATAATAGAGGTATCCAGTTAGAGGAAATGAAGGTGGGCAGGGGGTGGTTATACATGGCCGATCAGAGATTGAATTACTTCACATAAGAATTAGGGCTGCAGCAAGTCTCGAGTGGAAGGATTCAGAAAGTCAGTATGAAACCATAAAAGTAAATGCCCCCAAACTCAGTATTTCGGTACCTCTCACAACCATGAGGGCAACCACTGCTAGATAACAACTTTCTCATTTCCTTCCTTCTCTTCCCAGCTTTCAACACAACCCTGGAGCATTCAGACACAACACAGAGATAAGAGGAATTGAGAAATTTGTGAAAATGGAAAAGAAACTGATCATCTGATCATGTGTCCAATCTCTACTACAGGTTTTGAGCTTGAATTAGGCTCATATTGTCAAAAAGAGAGAAGCTTCACTTGCATGAGAAATTGAAGTTTTTATGTTAGATTTATCTTCATCCTTTTTATGTTGCTATAACAGAATACCTGAGACTTGGGAGTTTACAAGAAAAGAGATTTCTTTAGCTCGTGATTCTGACAACTGGAAAATTCAAGATCAGGCAGCTGCATCTGGTGAGGGCCCCATGCTGCTTAAACTCATGGCAGAAAGTGGAAGGGGAGCTGGCATGTGCAAAGAGATGACATGGTGGGAGGAAGGAAAAGATTGGAACTGAGGAAGCCAGACTCTTTTTAACAACCTGCTGTCAGGAAATAATCCATTCCTGCAAGAGGAAGAACTCACTTGCCCCCACAGGAGGCCATTAATCTACTCATAAGAGATCTGCCCAATAACCCAAATACCTCCCACTAGGCCCCACCTCCCAACACTTCCACATTGGAGATCAAATTTCAGCATGATCTTTGGCAGAGACAAACCAAATCATAGCAAGACTGGACTCGGGTTTTTAAAAACTTATAGAAATTTTCGAACATACGAAAATAGAATAGTATAATGAACTTCCATGTCCTTATCACCCAGCACACTACCCTGATATTCTACATATTAAAAATTTGGAGCACAAGTATACTTGACTATTTTAATACCTAAATGTGATGACTTCATTTTGATGTTTAATCACTGGCAGCTTTCAGGCCCCACGCTTCTTCCTTCCCCTTTTACCTCACCCGGAAGCCAATAAGAAAGCCTAGGATTCTCCCTCATGTGATTGTACAAATTCCATAGGTTTTCTGGTCTCTTTTAGATGACATAAACAGTCTTATTTTTAGTGTTCTGTGGGTGCCCTGTTAGGGAAGGATCAATTCCCCACTCAATATCATTTTGGGTATCAGGACTGATGGTGTTATACATGCACCCAGAGGGTATGAATATTACTCATATAATGAAACTCTAGGGAGAATATGGCAGGTATTCAAGCTCTTCTGGAATGGCTTGAGTCAAGAGAAGAGCAAGTACTTTGGATTTTTATTATAGTTAGGGGATGGAGCCTGGGTGAGTTTCACATAGCTCAGGGATTACCTCCTCTACCCACAGGCATCACCTCAGGGTATCCATGCTTCTTGTGCCTACACCTTCTCCTGGCTGGCTGAGTGTTCTGGAAGTCTAAGCGCAGAGAGATAAAAGTTTCTGCAGAGAGCAGTTTCTTCCAGCAGAACAGTGCTGTGCCAGAACACTGAGGCCAGCAGTGGCATGGCACTTTTCCCAGGATCAGCTCTCACTGGGAACACTGAATATATATTATAAATTATACCTTTTCATAGATGAATTTCTAGGAAAATTTTATTCCCTATTTTCATGAGTTGTTCCTCCCTAACGATAGATGTTAAAGGCTCTAATTGTCCCACTGGAGAATTAATTCAGCAAATTATCCAGCACCAATGTCAGAGGTGTAGCTCTCCCTTCTGGATATTCAGTTGGATAAACTCATTGCTTTCAACTTGAAAACTTTGGAATCAGCTCACAACCTGAGAAACTATTCAGGCCTTCCTAGGTTTTTAATGGAATACCATAAAATCTACGAGGGAGAATTGCTTCATTTCTCTAGATTTTTTTTAGGAATGAGCTCAATGAACAAAAAATAGCATAGATTCCAAATCTCTCAACCCTCAAAACAGTTTTCTTCTGGAATTTATCACTTTTTCAACTACTAAGTGAATGCTCCATTGTGGCAGGTTATAAACAGTGTGACATGCTGAAGCCAGTTTATAAGAGCTGTTGGTGTACGTCTCTTCCTGTGAGGCTTACATAGAACATTTATAGTTATATCAGGTTATTTTTATGGTTATAACAGATTATTTTAAGCTAATAACAATTATGATCACATACAAAACCTTTACATTTTTGCTCCCCCTGCATATTTTATGTTTTTATGTCGTAATTCACATCTTTTTATATTGTTCCCCTAACAAATTATTGTGGTTATGATTACTTTTAATAGCTTTGTCTTTTGACTTTTATGTTAGAAATATGTGACTTACACACTACCGTTACAGTATTAGAGCATTCTGATTTTGACCATATATTTACCTTTACCATTGGGTTTTTAAATTTCATATGTCTTCATGTTGTTAATTAGCATGCTTTCATTCCAACATGAAGAACCTTTATCATTTCTTGTAAGGTATGTCCAGTGGTAATGACCTCCCCAACATTTGTCTGCCTGGGCATGTCTTTAGCTCTTCATTTCTGAGTACAGCTTTGCCAGGCATAGTCTTGTTGGTTGGCATTACTTTTTTTCTGCCCTTTGAACATATCATCCCTACTCTCTCCTGGCTAGCAAGGTTTCTGTTGAAAAATTTCTGATAGGCTTATAAGGGTTTCCTTACATGTGACAAGTCTCTTGTCTATTGCTGTTTTCAAGAGTCTCTCTTTGTCTTTGACTTGTGACTAATTGATTATAATGTGCCTTGGAGTATTCCTTCTTTGTATTGATCTTGCTTGGGCTTCCTTAATCTTTCATTAATCTTGTGTTGATCTTTTAGGCTTCGTTAATCTGAATATCCATATCCCTCCCAACTCACATTAATAGCATGAAATCACCCATGGTGTGATTACTTACACCACAGAAACTGGCAAATGTTATAAATCAGGGATTTTTATTCCAAAAAATAGTTGTTAAAAACTTACCAGCACATCATGAGTTAAGGTAGAATGAGAAAAAAATAAGTAAACAAAACAAATGAAACTCTGAAAATTTTATCTAAATACGGCGAAAAGGTATAATTTGTAAAGAGGAATGACTTGATTCTCATTTCTCTTTGCGTAGCTCTCACTTATCTCCTTGCTCTTCCCATATATAAGAACAAACTTATGCACTGCAGTTTATCATCATAATTCCAGGTTTGATGCATTATATGAGGCAATATAGCATCTGATTTAAGAGCTTGGGCTCTGGATACAGAATTCTGGCTCTGCCACTTTCTAATTATTTTACCATGAGTAATTTCATCAAGCTTGAAAATCTCAGTTTTCTTATCAGAAAATGTGCATAAGAATAGCTCTTATTTTGTGGAGTTATCATGAGAAAGAAATAAAATAATTCCTGGCATATGGTGGGCACCCATCAAATATTTGTTATGTAAATGTATGAATGCCTGTAAAAGCATTTTGTCAATGTCTGGCATAAACCAAGTGCTTAATACATGTTAAATAACATAAAATTAATTTTGATAGCCTAGAATTACCATCAGTATTAGTTTATTTACTTCTTTAAACCTTTCCACATATATACCAGTCTCTCAAAGTGGTATAAGTCAGGATCTGTTTTTTGAAAATGTAACTAGTTACTCTCAGATGAAATAATACACATTTGTTTCTTCTCAAACAAAAGTCCATTCACTGCTCAAACAAGCTGGAGGAGAAGAAACTAGCTTGAGGATGGCAGACAAAAGTCGGTGTATCCACATGTGACAGCTTGCAGATTGTGGGCATGCTATGACATATTCCCAAATAATATTCATCAGCCATTTCTTCCAGGTCTACTGCTTTATATATATTGACCATATCATTTCTGAATATGCTCATTGTAACATCCATTTATATGTTTGAATTTTTAAATTTATCTGAATAATATAACTACTTTAGCCCTTACGATGTTCGGTTATCTTAGAGATTTAAAAAATAAATATAAAAAAAAGATTTAACTAAAGAATATAGCTCAGCTTAACATTGCATTATTTTTTGTTTAAGTATCTGTATATTTCTTTGAGTGCCTTTCTTATCTGGTATTAGGGGTAGATTTATGCCTCTCTGTTAAACTCATTGGAGAGATTAATGGTAGCAATAACAGTTACAGGAAATAGAGACAATAACAGCTATTTGCTTCGGCCAAAAAAAAGGAAAAATAGAAACATATTGCAAATTTAATGCACTGGTAGTCAGCTGTCGGAAGAAGCTATGCTTTCATATACCAGTGAGTACCTAGCAGCTTATAAATCATATTTAGGGACAGGCAGAACTTTCATAAGGAAAAGTAACCAGAATTAATGGAAGTCCACACAGAATTCTTTTCTGCTGATTCTCCACCACTACTTCCACTTACCATTTCTCCTTAATTCCCTGAAAATTCGTATGAATTCAAGTGTTGACAAATGAATTGCATGAGCAATTAACAGCCCATTCTGCAGGGAGATTTCAATTAGTAAGTCCAGGTCATCTCCTCAGTATGTTCTTCCCTCCCCTTTAGCAAGCCTGTGGGAAACTGTGACTTAAGTAATAAGAATGTGCTGAACATATGCTCAGAATTTTCTTGGAGTGGACACTACAAAAGTATGAAACATGATGCCTGCTCCCCAAAGTTCACAACCTACATAGAGAATAAAGATGTAGACACATGCCACAGTACTAAGCAATGTTGCGTTGTATATCCTTAAGAGCTAGTTACACACAATTCACCAATTAGTGAAGTAATCCAGATGGAAGCGAAATTGAGAGGCTAGTCCATCACAGTTGAGACAGGACTGAATTGGACTGTGGGGAAAAGCTAGTATTTCGATATTCCAGGGAAATTGAGGACTTAGGAATTGGGATGGAGGCAAAAGTGCCTGCCGATGGGAAGGCCAGCAGGGCTTCTGGAAGGCACTAAGGACAAGTTATTGGATCTAAATCTAGTCCTGATGAGGGTGAGCATATTCTGCAGAATAGTCCGTGTCTTCGTGGAGTTCATGTTTCATTTCCTCAGTAGGTACCTGATCTCTGTTGCTATTGAAATCACAGAGTATTGGCTTTTCTTATGACTTCCACGCACTTCCTACAATCTGGTTATAATGCATTTAAATCATTTTAACTTCTACTAGGTACAGGTTTCCAACAGACAAAGAATTAGCTAGAAATCTGATCCAGTAAACTTGCTATATTAAAATGCACCAATATTTTTCTTTTTTTTATTATTACACTTTAAGTTCTAGGGTACATGTGCACAACATGAAGGCTTATTACATATGTATACATGTGCCATGTTGGTGTACTGCACCCATTAACTAGTCATTTACATTAGGTATATCTCCTAATGCTAACCCTCCCCTCTCCCCTCACCCCACAACAGGCCCTTGTGTGTGATGTTCCCCTTCCTGTGTCCAAGCGTTCTCATTGTTCAGTTCCCACCTATGAGTGAGAACATGCGGTGTTTGGTTTTCTGTCCTTACAATAGTTTGCTGAGAATGATAGTTTCTGGCTTCATCCATGTCCCTACAAAGGACATGAACTCATCATTTTTTATGGCTGCATAATATTCCATGGTGTATATGTGCCACATTTTCTTAATCCAGTCTATCATTGATGGACATTTGGGTTGGTTCCAAGTCTTTGCTATTGTGAATAGTGCCGCAATGAACATACATGTGCGTGTGTCTTTATAGCAGCATGATTTATAATCCTTTGGGTATATACCTAGTAATGGGATGGCTGGGTCAAATGGTATTTCTAGTTCTAGATCCTTGAGGAATCACCACACTGTCTTACACAATGGTTGAACTAGTTTATAGTCCCACCAACAGTGTAAAACTGTTCCTATTTCTCCACATCCTCTCCAGCACCTGTTGTTTCCTTACTTTTTTTGTTTTGTTTTGTTTTTATTATACTTTAAGTTTTAGGGTACATGTGCACAATATGCAGGTTTGCTACATATGTATACATGTGCCATGTTGGTGTGCTGCACCCATTAACTCGTCATTTAACATTAGGTATATCTCCTAATGTTATCCCTCCCCGCTCCCCCCGACCCCACAACAGGCCCCAGTGTGTGATGTTCCCCTTCCTGTGTCCATGTGTTCTCATTGTTCAATTCCAACCTACGAGTGAGAACATGTGGTGTTTGGATTTTTGTCCTTGCAATAGTTTACTGAGAATGATGGTTTCCAGCTTCATCCATGTCCCTACAAAGGACATGAACTCATCATTTTTTATGGCTGCATAGCATTCCATGGTGTGTATGTACCACATTTTCTTAATCCAGTCTATCATTGTTGGACATTTGGGTTGGTTCCAAGTCTTTGCTATTGTGAATAGTGCCACAATAAACATACGTGTGCATGTGTCTTTATAGCAGCATGATTTAATGATCGCCATTCTAACTGGTGTGAGATGGTATCTCATTGTGGTTTTGATTTGCATTTCTCTGAAGGCCAGTGATGATAAGAACTTTTTCATGTGTCTGTTGGCTGCATAAATGTCTTCTTTTGAGAAGTGTCTGTTCATATCCTTCACCCAATTTTTGATGGGGTTGTTTGTATTTTTCTTGTAAATTTGTTTGAGTTCTTTGTAGATTCTGGATATTAGCCCTTTGTCAGATGAGTAGATTGCAAACATTTTCTCCCATTCTGTAGGTTGCCTGTTCACTCTGATGGTAATTTCTTTTGCTGTGCAGAAGTTCTTTAGTTTAATTAGATCCCATTTGTCAATTTTGGCTTTTGTTGTCATTGCTTTTAGTGTTTTAGACATGAAGTCCTTGCCCATGCCTATGTCCTGAATGGTATTGCCTAGGTTTTCTTCTAGGGTTTTTATGATTTTAGGTCTAACATTTAAGTCTTTAATCCATCTTCAATTAATTTTTGTATAAGGTGTAGGGAAGGGACCCTGTTTCAGCTTTCTACATATGGCTAGCCAGTTTTCCCAGCACCATTTATTAAATAGGGAATCCTTTCCCCATTTCTTGTTTTTGTCAGGTTTGTCAAAGATCAGATGGTTGTAGATGTGTGGTATTATTTCTGAGGGCTCAGTTCTGTTCCATTGATCTATATCTCTGTTTTGGTACCAGTACCATGCTGTTTTGGTTACTGTAGCCTTGTAGTATAGTTTGAAGTCAGGTAGTGTGATGCCTCCAGCTTTGTTCTTTTGGCTTAGGATTGACTTGGCAATGTGGGATCTTTTTTTGGTTCCATATGAACTTTAAAGTAGTTTTTTCCAGTTCTGTGAAGAAAGTCTTTAGTAGCTTGATGGGAATGGCATTGAATCTATAAATTACCTTGGGCAGTATGGCCATTTTCATGATATTGATTCTTCCTATCCATGAGCATGGAATGTTCTTCCATTTGTTTGAGTCCTCTTTTATTTCATTGAGCAATGGTTTGTAGTTCTCCTTGAAGAGGTCCTTCACATCCCTTGTAAGTTGGATTCCTAGGTATTTTATTCTCTTTGAAGCAATTGTGAATGGGAGTTCACTCATGATTTGTCTCTCTATTTGTCTGTTATTGGTGTATAAGAATGCTTTTGATTTTTGCACATTGATTTTGTATCCTGAAACTTTGCTGAAGTTGCTTATCACCTTAAGGAGATTTGGGGCTGAGACAAAGGGGTTTTCTAAATGTACAATCACGTCATCTGTAAACAGGGACAATTTGACTTCCTCCTTTCCTAATTGAATACCCTTTATTTCTTTCTCCTGCCTGATTGCCTTGGCCAGAACTTCGAACACTATGTTGAATAGGAGTGGTGAGAGAGGCCATCCCTGTCTTGTGCCCATTTTCAAAGGGAATGCTTCCAGTTTTTGCCCATTCAGTATGATATTTGCTGTGGGTTTGTCATAAATAGCTCTTATTATTTTGAGATGCGTCCATCAATACCGAATTTATTGAGAGTTTTTAACATGAAGGGCTGTTGAATTTTGTCAAAGGCCTTTTCTGCATCTATTGAGATAATCATGTGGTTTTTGTCTTTGGTTCTGTTTATATGCTGGATTACGTTTATTGATTTGCATATGTTGAACCACCTTGCATCCCAGGGATGAGGCCCACTTGATCATGGTGGATAAGCTTTTTGATGTGCTGCTGGATTCAGTTTGCCAGTATTTTATTGAGGATTTTTGCATCAATGTTCATCAGGGATATTGGTCTAAAATTCTTTTTTTTTGTTTTGTCTCTGCCAGGCTTTGGTATCAGGATGATGCTGGCCTCATACAATGAGTTAGGGAAGATTCCCTCTTTTTCTACTGATTGGAATAGTTTCAGAAGGAATGGTACCTGCTCCTCCTTGTACCTCTGGTAGAATTCGGCTGTGAATCCATCTGGTCCTGGACTTTTTTGTTGGTAGGCTATTAATTATTGCCTCAATTTCAGAGCCTGTTATTGGTCTATTCAGAGATTCAACTTCTTCCTGGTTTATTCTTGGGAGGGTGTATGTGTTGAGGAATTTATCCGTTTCTTCTAGATTTTCTAGTTTATTTGCGTAGAGGTGCTTATAGTATTCTCTGATGGTAGTTTGTATTTCTGTGGGATTGGTGGTGATAACCCCTTTATCATTTTTTATTGTGTCTATTTGATTCTTCTCTCTTTTCTTCTTTATTAGTCTTCCTAGCAGTCTATCAATTTTGTTGATCTTTGTTGAAAACCAGCTCCTGGATTCATTGATTTTTTGAAGGGTTTTTTTTGTCTCTATCTCCTTCAGTTCTGCCCTGATCTTAGTTATTTCTTGCCTTCTGCTAGCTTTTGAATGTGTTTGCTCTTGCTTCTCTAGTTCTTTTAATTGTGATGTTAGGGTGTCAATTTTAGATCTTTCCTGCTTTCTCTTGTGGGCATTTAGTGCTATAAATTTCCCTCTACACACTGCTTTAAATGTGTCCCAGAGATTCTGGTATGTTGTGTCTTTGTTCTCATTGGTTTCAAAGAACATCTTTATTTCTGCGTTCATTTCGTTATGTACCCAGGAGTCATTCAGGAGCAGGTTGTTCAGTTTCCATGTAGTTGAGTGGTTTTGAGTGAGTTTCTTAATCCTGAGTTCTAGTTTTTGATTGCACTGTGGTCTGAGAGACAGTTTGTTATAATTTCTGTTCTTTTACATTTGCTGAGGAGGGCTTTACTTCCAACTATATGGTCAATTTTGGAATAAGTGCGAAGTGGAAAATGCACCAATATTTTTCTATTTACTACCCAGATTGTGGGAAAATAAATGATCAGAAATCTAATTTTACCTTTTATGTAATAGAGTAATGGTAAACATTATGATTGTTTAATTTTAATGTATTCATTTTTGATAAATGTAATCATGGAGAAAATAACGCCAATCACATAACCACCAGCCCCTACTGAAATGTTCCTAAAGGTGACAGTGTGTTCTGCCAAAACCATATTCACAGTTAGTAAGTATTATGATGCTAAATAACTGGAGTGCATCTATACTGGACTCATAAAAGCACTTTCCTTTTCATCAATAAATCTAGCACATGATTTTCACAAGATAAAAGTGACTTGGGGTTTTCATTTGCAACATCACAGGAACATTAAAATGGTGGTTATAATAACTATATTAAAGCAGAAAACACTGGCCTAAGCCAAAAAAGCAAAGATAGTTGGCCAGAACAGAAAAATACCCAGGAAATTAAAAAATAAATAAAAACAAAGTAAAATTTCATAGTTAAGTGAGTTTTTAAAACAGATTTAATACCTAAAGCTTTGGCAAAACTTTATTTTACTTCATCATCACTGTTTACTTAACGGATAGTAATTTTTTTAAAAAAGTAGAGGCTGGTTGGGTATGGTGGCTCACACCTGTAATCCCAACACTTTGGGAGGCCAAGGCTTGTGCCCAAGAGTTTGAGACCAGCCTGGGCAATATAGTGAGACCCCTCTCTAGAAAAAGTAAAAATGAAAAAAAAATTAGTTGGGCATGGTGGCACACACTGTAGTCCTAGTTACTCAAGTAGCTGAGGTGGGAGGATCAGTTGAGCCCAGGAGGTCGAGGCTGTAGTGAGCTATGATTGCACCACTGCACTCCAGCCTGGGAGACAGTGAGACCCTGTCCAAAAAAAAAAAAAAGAAAGAAAGAAAGAAAGAAAGAAAGAAAGAAAGATGTAGAAATGTAGAAACCTAAGGGCATATTAAAGTGACAACATCTTAAAAGTTTTAAGGCTGTCCAAAATTTTGACAATTGCCAGGTTTACATTTTCATTCACCTCTGTTGAGCGTATTCTGTTCCTTGACTCTTTAGTCATAGGCTCACACTCACATGTACTCAGACCACCTCACCCAACTCATCTGTTCAATATTCTTGACCAACCTCTTGCAACATTTACACAACAGAAGTCAAGTCCAAACAACTATTATCATTGTTTTCAAATCATCTGTGGGATATTTGGATCTTATCCTTAGCCAATTCAGCAATGGTTATGGTTATGAACAAGGCCCAGTAACAGTGAAGATCTTTTGGTGTCTAGTCGCTAAATCAGTGGGACTTGGCCATTGTTATTCAGACATTGCTGTTAGGTCTCCCATGTGTCCCTAAGCTGCCATCCCAGTCCTTCTCACATCCCCCATCCTAATGCCACAGGCTCTTGCATTTTTGCTGTCCCCAAGCTGACATGGACAGAGGTTTTCTTCTGTTTTGTCAATCTTGTATCTCTAAATGAGAAAGGTCCCACTTTCGTTTCAATTCAAACATCTCTGTCCTTTTATTTTATTTCCATTAATGAGGTCATAATATACTCTTCTCTCAGGGTGTACCTCATTATGGAAGCTGTCTGAGAGTCTGAAAAAAACACTATGCTTCCTCAATTTTCTAATGGTCCCCTACATTCTATCATTCTCCCTCCCATGATGGTGCTTCCAGAAGCACCTGGTCTCCTTGGCCAGACATGCCCCAAGAGTCTTCATCATCAAGGAGCTTCCGGTTTAATAGGATAACAGGCTTATAAGCCAGTATTTACACTGCAGCATTGTAAACACTTGCAGAAGTAAATAGGAGGTACCGTAGGAGCAGAGTAGAAGAGGATGCCGACTGTGCCTAAGGGTGTCAGAAGAGCTGAGTGAGGGGATGCGTCACAAAGGAAAGGAGGCACACGAAACTAAGCCAAGAGGGAGGCACGGGCGAGGCTCAACTGCCTGAAGCACACCAAAGATCCCATAATTACAAGCAATGGGACCGGAATTCCTACTACACACAGAGAAGTATTGGAAGATAACACTAGGAAGGAAGAACCCAGATTGTGAAGGTCCTTTTATGCTTAGCTATGGAAATTGGGTTTATACACTAGGCAATTGAGTCCCTCTTAAATAATTTAAGGAAGGAAATAAAATCCACCTTTTATTTCAGAAAGATAACTCCAATGGCAATGTTAGAAAACTTCGGGTATAGTTCAGGATGTTTTGGTTTCAAGCAGCAGGAACAAATGGATGAAATTTAACAAAGAAAAGGAATTTGTTGCAAAGTGTTGGGTTATCTCATTTAGCTGAATAAATTATTAAATAACTAAGACTGCAGACAGAACCATGGGAGCTACAGAAGTCATGGACAGTCTACTTAGAAAGATGTCATTAATGTGTCTCAGTTCTACCAACTCTTGTCCCTGTATTCCAAAAATTAATAACTCCCATCTCCAGGAAAAAGAATCTGCTTTTCCCAGCTTGGATCAATCATTCATGTTTAGGTGATAGGCTGCTAACCAAGACATGGCCGTTAAGAGTTCTGTCTATTGGAGTTGTTAATGACTTCTGTGAATCGAGCAGCCAATTACCAAAGAGAGTTGGAAAGCAATTGTTCTGTGCCAATATAGAACAGTCAAGATTTAGGGGAAATGGTCTAGAAAATATGCTACATATATTTGTTACTCAAAAGCAACATAATGTGGTCAATAATTGGACATGGGAAGCAAATGACGTAAACCAGAATGACTCTTGTAGCTTGGAGAATAAGGTAATGCCAATACGAGTCATCAAGGTAGAAAACAAAGACGGAAGAGAAGGTTGGAGGGGGCAGAGATTAGTTCTCTTCTGGACCTTTTGTATTTGAGATACCTGATGCCTGCGCAATACACCCAGGAGGAGATACTCAATGGAGACTTGAGATCTGATATGGGAGTTCAAGAGAGACACCATCCCTGGATGTCATTAGTGTGACTGCATCCCTGAAAGCCATGGATGTGGATGCTATCACCCAGGGAGACCATGTAGAGTAAGAGAAGAAGCAAACCCTGGAACTGTAAGCAGTGACTCATGACATGAGGAGGACAAGTAAGAAAAAGGAGAAGGAGGTGTTATTATATCTGTTATTTAGAAAATTATTGGTGACTATGTGAGCAATGGGCTGGCATCATGTGACAGAGAGCTAGTAGGATGGGACTGAACAAATCAGAGGTGAGAAAATAGAAATAGTGAGTACAGAATAGCATTATTCTTTCAAGAAGTTTGTCCAGAGAGAGAGAGTACATTACATTACATTGTTTTGTTTTGTATCTGGTAACAAAAGCAATATATAGTAAGTCTGGAAAAAATAGAAAATCAGAGAAAGCATAAATTATAGACTTTAATAACAGCATAGAAGAAATTGACATGATTATATTTACTAGTGGGGGAAGACACATTTATTTAAGAAGTGAAAAGATAAAAGAATTGATGACAAATCTTTAGAGAAACCAGGAGTGTTTTAAAAGGATTAGTTTTAGAAAGAAAACACCTGTTCTTGTGAAGGGGTAAATAAGGAAGAAGGAAGATGAGGGAGCTTGTTAGTTTCTCTTCACTGGGAGGTAGGAGACAAGGCCATCTGCCAAGAAGGATGGGGTAAGGGACTTGAGTTGAAGTAGGTGTTGAGTTGAAAAGAGTGGTGGGATGTGGGAAAGTAATCTTTCCAAGAACAAGGAATTGAAAGGCTCAGCTGACGTTGGAAAGCATACATTTGTACAAATTCCAATCTGAAAAGTTTTGAGACTTCTATTTAATCTTTAGCAGGCTTCCCAACTCTTCATGCGGGAAGAGAAAAGGTAGATGATTAATGCAGAAGTGTGGCTTCACATATCAGACAGGACAGAAACACAAGTAGACAAGACTTTGAGTCATTACGAAAGACTAGTAGAAATGGTTTGACCATAGTATTTAAGCCGCTAAGGGAAGAAGAAAAGCCAGTAAAGAATTTATCAATTGGAATTAAAGACAGCAACCAAAGACCTAGAGATCTCAGCTAATTAAAGGGAAAATTTAATGGAAGTAATTGACCGAGTAGAGGAAGAGAAGGGTGTGGTTGTAGAGGAGAATAACAAAGTTATCATTTCTAACTTAACAGAGAAATATTGATTGAAAACAAGATAAAGACAATTTGGTTTAAAATGATCATGAAACTGAGCTTCATCTACAGATGGGATGGTTTATTTCCTTTGGAAATTAAATTTCTCCAAGGTTATGGCAGGAGTTGGAAGAGAGACGATAACAGAGCCAGTTATTAAAATTGTCAAAGAGTGTGCATCAGTGACAGGAAGAACTGTGCATAATTACACTGTTTATGACCAGCAGGTGGTAGAGCTGTATGATATAATTCCAGAAATAATTCTTTGATTTTTAAAGAAATGTGGGAAACCAACAATCCTAAATGGCAATTGAGAATAATATGAATGTAATTCAGAATGCTTTTAATTTTTTAGGAGTGGAGTAAGAAGAATACTGTTTAATTGAAGTGCCCTATTAATAAATATTATACACTAATTTTTATAACTCATATGTTTGATTGTTAAAGTTATGTTCAATACGTGGACAATAGCACAATAAGTAAATAAGATAAATTTTTAAATTTAAATATAAGTCTAATGGAAGGCCTACTATTTTGTGAGGAACAGACCTATTCAGTGTTAGAACAGTGAGTCATCTTATTTGTCAACAGAAAAAGTATCTGCTAATTTAGTGCTAATATTTTATGTTCGTGATAAAAACAAATTCTTAAAACCCCCAAAAAGTTGCCACCTAAGAATATTGTACTTTTTCAAATGACCTGGGGTAAGAGGTGAAGGAGAAAGAATGAATGAAAGAAAAAGAAGCAAGCAAGGAAGAAAGGAAAGGAAGGCAGGAAGGAAGGCGGGAAGGAAGGCAGGAAGGAAGGCAGGAAGGAAGGAAGGGAGGGAGGGAAGGGAGGGAAGGGATAACCTCTAGAAACTATTCGTAAGAGCAGGTGGATTTTACATACACCAAGTCACTATTTCAGTTATGTGTCCCTTTTAAGTGTTAAAAGGGACACTAGCCTATTAAGTGTCACAACGCTTAAGCACCCACAGCAAAACAAACAAACAAACAAAACACTTTGCTGGTGTGTTTGCAGTCAGAAAGGGTTAACTACTGTTTATATTTACAGATGATTATACTTTATAACAAAATGTTCAAAATATTAAAGAATCTACTGATAAATTATCAAAATATTAGAGTCACTTTTCAGGAAAAAAATTAGTGGAAAATAACATACCAAAATATTAAAAGAATATCTATCTGTGATGGGATTACAGTTGTTCTTTTCAATAGCTTCCAAATTCTCTTTAATGAACATCTATAAATTGTTTCTGGAGGCCATTCCTTTACTTCTTTTGATTATTAACAACCTGTGATGCTAAATGTTCAATATTCCCTTTATAATTGGAATACAGAAATAAATACTACTAAAATAAATATAAAAATAAAAGATGAATTATAATTGTAAAAAAATTGTTCCTGGTTCAGTTTAATTGATAGGTTGATTCTGAAATAGCAGCCAGGGTCTACCTTAATCTTCAAGTGTCCGTAATACATTTATGGGAAAGAAAAACACATAGTTCAGCAAGAAAATCTATGAAATGATATGACTTTATTGTAAATATATGGGACTGTAAGTTTTATTTAAGCTTTAATTTTTCAATCCTTATTAAAATCTCTATGAACACTAATAAACATAAAATTTGCATGACCTGATAATTATAAATTATCTTGATAAATCTAGTAAATAGATCTATTATCTATTAAATAGAGCTAGAAATTGCAGTCTTGATTTCTTTCAATACAATTTATCAGTTAGCTGCCAAAATAGGCATTAAGAGGAAAAAGCTTTCATTCATTGGGCTGTTAGTGCTAGGATTTTAGAGGAATAGAATCTTCCTCCTCCTCTTCCTGCTCTTATCTTCCTCCTTGCCTAATGTGTACTGAGGATGATCTTTAGGTCAGACACTTCTCCAAGTATTTTAGATGTATTAATTTATTTATCACCCACAATAACCCCAGGAGAGAAGTACTGTTAGTACCCACAGTTGATAGAAAAACTGAGCCAAAAAGAAGACTGGCAACTTGCCTGAGGTGTAGCAGCCTGAATAGTGGACCAGGATTTGAATACAGGCAACCTGGCTACAGAGCCTAGCTTCAGCTCTCAATCACTATGTTGTTTTAAGTATAATTTAGATTTTATTCTCCCATTGTAAGATAAATTATATACCAGTTATAGAAGATTCATAAAAATGCAGAAAAGATAAACTGTTTTTTTTTTTTTTTGAGACAGAGTCTAGCTCTGTCGCCCAGGCTGGAGTGCAGTGGCATGATCTCGGCTTACTACAACCCCTGTCTGCCAGGTTCAAGCGATTCTCCTGCCTCAGCCTCCTGAGTAGCTGGGATTACAGGCGTCTGCCACCATTCCCAACTAATTTTTGAATTTTTAGTAGAGACGGGATTTCACTGTGTTGGCCAGGCTGGTCTCGAAGTCCTCCTAACCTCGTGATCTGCCCACCTAGGCCTCCCAAAGTGCTGGGATTACAAGTGTGAGCCACTGCGCCTGGCCCATTTTTAATATTTGCATACTTTTATTCAAATTTTAAAAATTGAAAGTATGTAAAAAAGAGATTATGATTAGGTCTTTAGTTCTTCTCCCTGTCTCATTCAAGGCCTGATTTGTCTCCAGAACTAACACAACTTGCTTTTATCTCCCAGATACCTGAACTCCTACAGTACTAAATGTATCATTTAATTTAGCACTTTAAAATTTTGTGATTTTAATAATAAGGGTAAGCAGGCCAGGCACAGTGGCTCACACCTGTAATCCCAACACTTTGGGAGGCTGAAGCAGGCGAATCACCTGAGGTCAGGAGTTTGAGACCAGCCTGGTCAACATGCTGAAACCCCGTCTCTACTAAAAATACAAAGAATAGCCAGGTGTGGTGATGCACGCCTATAATTCTAGCTACTGGGGAGACTGAGGCAGGAGAATCACTCAAGCCCGGGAAACAGAGATTAGAGTGAGCCTAGATCGCGCATTTGCACTCTAGCCTGGGCAACAGAAGCAAAACTCCATCCAAAAAAAAGGGTAAGCAAAGCTGTACTTTACAAAATACACACACACACACACACACACACACACACACACACACACACACATACACACATGACACAGGCACACAAACATACACACACACAAATAGTAGCAAGGCACTCTGTTCTTCTCACCAGTTGGTGAGACAGAATGCCTCCCATCATAGGCTTTCAGCCCTTGGTTCTGCCATTATCTCTAAAATCCTAGCCAGTCTAGGACTTCCTCTGAGTTGAAAAGGGCATAGGTCCTCCAGAGGCTCAACTGAACACCTGCTCCTGAATTGCTAATCACCCACAGGATTAATTCATGAAAGAATTAACAAGATGATCCTTTTTGAGAGAAGCCTGGACATGCCTTCCTTTCTGTCTAGAAATTAGTTACATTAAGACATCAAGAAAGAAAGAAACTCTACAGCTTTGACAGTCAGTACCAATAAGAACTTCAAGAACCTATTCATAGAATGGAATCACTCTTTCTAGGCGATTTGCTAAAATGCATTTTTCTGCTCTGGGCCACCAAAATATTAATCCTGTGTAGACATACTTTTAACAATTTGACATGAGAATTAATTGTCATTTTCTCCTCAAAAAGAACAGAGTGCAGGGTGCCTTGTCACTGTGAGCACGTTCATGTGATTTTGCGGGGAAAGTATGGATTTGCTAAGCTTTTATCTTTGAAATAACTTTCAAAAGTAGCAAATTCTCATTGCCTGGCACGTGACAGTTTTGTTGTTCATGTAATGGATAGAAAGGAAAACTGAAAAATGCTTTGAAAGCTAGACCAATCTAGATTAGAACGGAAGAACAGCATTTGATGGACAGCTTAAAAGATCCAGAAAGATGGTAGGAGGTACTCAACCTAACATGGACTGGGTTTATAGAGTTTTGGAGGATAGAGAAGAGAAATTTCCCAACAGCTTGTATGCCTGAATAAAGAATCAGAGAGATAGGGGAAAAGAGGTTTTAAAGTTATTTTCTCAGTGATATGAATGTAAACCCTTTTTGACACTGGTGTGAGCCATTGTAGAAGAGATTTTAAATGGCTTCTTAATTTTCCTGGATTTCAGATTTGTGTCTCTTTGCCTGCAGCAGCATGTTGAAATTGGCTAAAAGGCTGCCTGGCTTTGAGTAGGTGATAGCAAACTATCAACTGGGAAAGCTCTTCCACTAATCCAAAACACTAAACAGTAGAGAAGGTGCCATCCTACAGATAATGGCTATGATTGCATTTCTACTGAGAAGCAACTTACCAAACAGGAGTTTCACCAATTGTAAGCAGATACAATGGTGGAAAGGTCTTAAGCAGACAACAAATGTAACAGACCACACAGAGGTGTTATCCTGCCAGAAGAAAACAGAGTGCTTCAGCCCAGCTTCATCTGCAAATGAGTGTTACACTGAAGCTGAAAAATTACATTTAAAGAAGACCAATGGATGGAAAACTAAAAGTCTGGGCAGGCTTTCTGGGAAGTGAGCAGGTTCTGTTTTGGTACAGTAAGTTCCACTCCTTAATTGTATTTAATTAATCGTGAGTCTCTCCTGCTGTCCTGTTGGCATTTTCAATACTAATAGATAGTTTAAAAGTTTACAGAAAACAAATATATATTCTGAAAAAATGCATGGATTTTAAATTTTTTGCACCAAAATATACTTGTACTAACTTTTTATAACATGCCTCAACAGCATCTAATTTGAGCCACTAAGAAGGATAAGATATGAGTTTCAAGAGAGCCCCAATCAGAGCAACATGAACTCTGCTAAAATTAAAGCAAGAATGAACATCAATTTATGGTAAAACTTGCGTGGAAGAATGATGAAATAAATAATGCTTTATGAAAGTTTATGGGGAAAATGTCCCAAATAAATCAGCAGTTTACAAGTGAATAACTCATTTCAAGAGGGAATGAGATATTGTTGAAGATGAAGCTCACAGTGCCATACCATCCACACATACTTGCAAGGAAACACTCATCTTGTTTGTGTCCCAATTGAAAAGGACCAGCAATTAACAGCAGAAACAGTAGCCCAACACCATAGGCATCTTAACTTATTCAGCTTACACAGCTGTGAACTAAAAATTAAAGCAGAGCAAACTTTCCACTTGGTAAGTGCCAAAAATGTTGTGCCCACTTGAGCTACAGACAAGATCAGAGTTTTCAATTGAAATTTTAAACAAGTAGGATCAAGATCCTGAAGCATTTCTTTGAAGAATTGTAACAGGAGATAGACAAGGCTTTACTAGTATGATCCCAAAGACAAGCACAATCAAAGCAATGGCTACCAAGAGGTGGAAGAGGTCCAGTCAAAGCAAAAGTGGATTAATCAAGAACAAAGATCACGGCAGTTTTGGGGATGCTCAAGGCATTTTGTGTGTTGACTTTCCAGGAGCAGGGGGTGGGACGCAAAAACAATAACATCTGCTTATTATGAGTGTGTTTGAAGGAAGTTAGCCAAAGTTTTAGAAGAAAAACACCTGGGAAAGCTTCACCAGAGAGTCTGCCTCCTCCATGACAATGCTCTTGCTCATTCCTTTCATCAAACAAGGGCAATTTTGTGAAAGTTTTGATGGAAAATCGTTAGGCTTTCACCTTACAGTCTTGATTTAAATTCTGCTAACTTCTTTTGTTTCCTAATATTTAACTAATCTTTAAAGGGCACCATTTTTCTTCAGTTACTAATGTAAAAAAAGATGGCATTGACATGGCTACATTCCCAACTCTCATTTCTTTAAGGATGGACTAAATGACTGGTATCATAGCTTTCAGAAGTGTCCCGAACTTGATGGGGCTTATGTTGAAAAATAAAGTTGGCAATTTTTGTCTTTTAATTCCATTTTTCCATGTATTTTTTGAAGTCCCCCCGTATTTGGGTTGGTCCTTGTAAGAAGTAGTGAGCCATTTTCTCTCATCTTCCTCACTGCTGAACATCTCAGGTCACACGTGATTTTGTCAAGTGCCTTTCTTCCATGGCCCTGAGGTTTGCAGTGAGTAACTCCCCAGTAAGTGACGTTTGTATTCTCCCATCCTTAACCCCTAACTCACCTCTGTGCTTGCCCATTTTCCCCATCACACAACCCCTGCCTAAAAGAAATCTGTGAATTTTCCCCATGAGGAAACTAATGAAGTCCTAACCCCAAATGAAGAGTGGGTTCCTTCCTTCCTCCAAACAAGTTATATAAAATGCTTCTCTAAGCTTCACCAGTAGGCTATACTTCTGGTTTTTTTGTCTGTTTGTTTTTTGCTTTTTTTTTCAGAAGATATATTATTCTGCTAAGAATCCTAGTGGAATCATCAAAGGTCACTACTACTAAGAAGAGCATTTTGACAAAAGACCCTTCCTCAAGGACCTCTGTGCTTTCTGACAGAGTGAAAATTTAAAAAAAAAAAATCTCTGAAAAGGAGAAAATCAAATGAAAGTCATTCCAAAAGAGCACCATATGGCCCACAAGATGTGTGGGTATGGAAGACTCATGCAATGAGGGAAACACACAGATTCTGGAAATCAAAAATGAGCCCCCCCACCCCCCACAAAGTAGGTCATCCCTCATAGCCAAATTCTGAGACCAAATTTCTCATCGCATACTTCTAATTTAGTTTACCTCTGTTGGCATAAGTATGTTCATTTAAAAGTGAATTTCATTCTCACCTCAGCATGGCTCATATTTGTGGTATAGCTAAATGGCTTCATCTTGAGGGTGATGTTGTGCAGCATATGTTACTAAAGTATAGCATCATCTTCTGATTTGAAAAAAAAGAAATGTACATTTGAACTCACTTTGGAAGCATATGTATACAAAATTGTTCTCCTTTACAATAGCTAGCATTGTCATAAAAATTGAAAGTAGGTTCAGAATTAGTAAAGAACTCTCATGGCTTCCTTCAGGACAGGGTTTCTCAACCTTGGTACTATTGACATTTGGGGCTAGATAATTTTTAATAGATTTCACTTTTTAGAGAAGTATAAAATTCGAGCAGAAGGTACAGAGGAGTCTCTTCTACCACTGTACCCAATAATTCCAATAATTTTTTTGTAGGGAGATGTCTTGTGCATTTTAAGATGTTCAGCAGCATCCCTGGCCTCTTCCACTAGATGCCAATAGCATCTTGCTGTTGTGAGGACCAAAAGTATCACCAGACATTGTCAAATGTCTCCTGGTTAAAATCACCAGGCAAAATCACCACTAGTTAAACATTATTCTTTCAGAGCTGGGCCTTACCCCTACAGGAAAGATAGAAGGTAGATTCTGTCTTTGAATTTATTAAGGAGCATCATTTTTTAACCCGACTCTATAAAATAGTACAACATGGGTAGATGTTTTATGAGTATTGATTTCTTCAGATAAAGCCACTACAAATTCATTATAAGCATTTGAGGAAGATGAGACAGTTGGAAGTGGGGTAGAAAAGATGTCAGCAGGAGGCCAGGAATGCTCCATAAGAAAGACACACACAGTGGTAATCCAAGGTCCATCTCCAACCCTGCATGTTCACAAGCTCAATATAGCTCAAGAATTATTAGCTAATTGATCAGACTTGGAGTTTCAATTCACAGGAAAAAAGCTAATGAGACATTATTAAATGGAACAACCATTGATAATTGGTAAATTTGCAATGAAAACGTCATAAAAAGGATCGTAAAAAGGATCAAAATCCATATGAGCTTTACCTGCACAATTTCCTCCAGTAGGTTGAGCTGCATGGAAACTAAATTGTCAGAGAGTATGCTGTAAATATGAAATCAAAACATGGAAAGTAAGACTTGTGATCTGATAGTTTAAAGGGCATCAGGGTTTACTCAGTCTGACATGCTCATCTCCACAGTGAGGCCCTTCCCCCTGCAGCTCTGGGGAAAGTCACATCTGAATTAATATTTCCACAAGTTAATGGGCTGAAAAAAGATCCAAGAAGCTTGCTAAAATTCAAATTTGTGGACTCTATTCCCAGAGATTCTGATTTACTAGGATGGAGGTGGGGCCAGTCATCAACATTTCAAACAAACATCCCAGGTGCTTGTGAAACACAGACCTGCGATCTCCTTTGTATCTGCCTTTTTCCCTTTGCTTCTGTAAGGTTCTGCTTCCTCTGGTCCACATAGTCTTTCTCTTAACATGTTAACACCTTCAGAGGTTGCAGTAAAGCCTGCCAGCCTGGAAAACTCTCTGTCTCCGTAGGTAATGCTGGAAATATAGGTATTGATTTCCACTCTATCAAAATGTCAGCATATCTCCTTTATTTCCTTACTGGGAATGAAGGAAGGCAAAAGGTACAGACCACAATGTTAGTCCCATGTGACACCTACAGGTAGTAAAAAGATGATTTTCTTAAATTATTGTTGAAATAGCAAACTTGAGGAAAGGTTGTTCCTCTCTTTGAAGCAGGCTACGACTTTTTGTTGTTGAGTTTAGGTTATTGATTTTAGTGAAATTACCAAACCAGAGAGCAGAATATTACATACTGAGTAATAGGCACCCCGACTTGTCTCCAACGCCCCCAATTAACTAAACTGAATGTCCTGTTCTTCATATTATAAGCCCATCTGTCCATTCATTCTATAAACATTTGCTGAGTATTATTGGGATAATTGTTATTTTTCAGGTTTTGAGATGTAAATTCTCCACTCTAGGGTGCATAGTTGTAGGATGGGGACTAGAGAGGGAGTAGAGAAATAAATAAAGGAAGCTCTAGGTGGAAGAAAAGAGAAATAACTTAACTCTAATAGGGTAAGTGTGGTCTGGGAGTGGAAGGGAGGCAGCAAGGCTTCTCGGAGTAGGTTACACGTGGACCGTATAGAGGGGGTGAGGAGGAGCCCATCACACACAGGATGGAAGAGATGACATTCAAAAACGATGAAATGTGAAGTGCAAAGACAGAGTACGGTGAGAGAGACTAGTGCTTCCTGAGATCTCTCAGTGACTTGTTTGGCTGAAATAGGAGGTGCATATGGAGATGTATCATGTCAGGAGGTAAGTAGGAGACACTCCATGAAGGGCCTTGTACAAAATGCTGAGGACTTTTGACTTGGTGAATTAGTGTAGAAATGAGTTCTTAGTTATTTTAAGCCGAAGAAAGGATACGAGTGGGTTTATGTTTAAGAGAGATCACCCTGTAACAAAGTGGTGGTTTCCTAGAGTCAGAGATTCAAGAAGAGGCTAAAAGTTTTTGGCTTGAGAAAAGATCATGAATAAGGGTAAGGCACAGCGTCATCTTGTCGAACATAAAATATAAAAGTTTTAAAACCTTCATCCTCTGAACAATCCATTTGCTTTAAGAACATTTTCTGGTAGTGCTCAGAGTCTGTTGTATAGCAAAGAAAGATGATGATTGAATCCACTCGCTGTTGTCATGTATAATTTTTAGACCATGGAAGTGACAATTTGTAGGTTTGAACAAGAAGTGTGGTAGAAGAAAATAATGAAGAAGGAGGAAGGAGAAGTGTCAAATAATATATGAAGAGCATATATTACATTTGAAGAGCATATTTGTAGTGGTAGTTAGTTAGGAAGTGAAAAAAGCTAGGGAGACGGGCTGTGATAGGATGAAATACTGAAGATTACCATATAAGCGCCAGTGAGGGGTTGGCGGAAGGTGGGGATGGTTAATGGGCACAAAAATAGAAATATTGAATAAGACTATTTGATAGCACAATAGAGTGATCATAGTAAATAATAATGTAATTACATATTTTAAAATAATCTAAAGAATGTAATTGGATTGTTTATAACTCAAAGGATAAATGCTTGAGGGAATAGATACCCCATTCTTCATGATGTGCTTATTTCACATTGCATGCCTGTATCAAAACATCTCATATACCCCATAAATACATACACTTACTATGTACCCACAAAAAATTTAAATAATTTAAAAAATTAAAAAATATATATAAGAGGCAGAACAATTCTAGGTGATGAGTCAATATTATGTACAACTATTGCAAGAAATCCCTGCAATAGATGGCCTTTCAAGTATATTTGTAATCCACCACTCACGCTCTTTCTCTTACTCCTGAAGCCACAGTGGGCAGGGTGACAGACTCTATGTCCATGTTCATGATACTGTGTTTTACCATAGACCAACTGGACCAATCAGTTTCTCACTTCAGGAATGTGACATAAAAATATCAACCATTCTGTTTTGCTTGAACTCTGGTGCTGTGGAGCATCATCATCTCTGGCATGTCCCTGTTCAGCAGAAGAAAAAAATGTTAGAGAGAGAGAGAGAGAGAGAGAGACAGAGAGAGAAAGCATGCAAATATGCAGAGAGAAACAGAAATGAGAACCTTTATGTCCCAATGGCTTTTCAGTTCTCTGTTCACTTCCTTGGGTGTTCTGCCTGTAATTTGTTTACCTGAGCTGGACTTCTGTGATATAATTATTTAGGGAAGAAAGCTCACCCACACTCATAAATTAAACACTGCAAATTTAAGTAACTTTATTCACTTATCAGCTTGGCTAAGTGTTACCATTAAATAATAGCTTCCATGTGGAGGTAGAAAAAAGGTATTCTTATATTCATTTGGAAAGGAATATATAGGCACCACCGTTTTGAAGGGAAATTTGGCAACATCTGTAAACATTTCATATGTACATTCCTTTTGACATAGAGATTCCATGTTACATACTCTCAAAAGTAAACAATTTTCTCTATGTATAATTCTATTCATTGCAATATTGTTTGTAATATTAAAAAACTAGAAACATGGTATACATCCACAAACAGAGACTGGCTAGTTACTTACATTATGATACACATACACAATGCAATACCTATACTATACAGTCCTCAAAGAGAATGAAATATGTCTATATTTGCTAATATATAAATATTTCTAAGACATATTATTGAATGAAAAAGCAAGGCACCAAACAGTGTGCATACTGTAATTCTGTTTGTGTACATTTTATAAGTGTAAACTTATATATGCAGTTATACCCATAATATTTTCCGGATACACAACAAATTGGTTACAGTGATTAATTTGGGGAGAAGAACTTGAGTGGCCTGTGAGATAGAGGAGAAAGGAAGCTTTTTTCTTTCTTCTCAACTTTTCTTTTAGATTCAGTGGGTACAACACAGGCAAGGCTGTATTGCGTATGCTGAGGTTTGGGGTGTAATTGAACCCATCATCCAGGTAGTGAGCACAGTACCCAATGGTAGTTTCTCAGAGCTTGCCTTCCCTTTCCTCTCACCACTCGCTTGTGCCCCCAGTGTCTATTGTTCCCATCTTTATGTCTGTGTGTACCCAGTGTTTAATTCCCCCTTATAAGTGAGAACATGCCGTATTTGGTGTTCTGTTCCTAAGTTCACTTAGGATAATGTCCTCCAGCTGCATTCATGTCGCTGCAAATGACATGATTTCATTCTTTTTATGGCTATGTAGCATTCCATGAGATATATATGTACCACATTTTCTTTTTCTAGTCCACCATCAATGGGCACCTAGGTTGATTCCATGCGTTTGCTATTGTGAATAGTGCTACAGTGAACATACAGGTGCATGTGTCTTTTTAGTAGAATGACTTATTTTCCTTGGATATATATCCAGTAATGAAATTGCTGGGTCAAATGGTAGTTCTATTCTTAGTTCTTTGAGAAATCTCCAAACTACTTTCCACAGTGGCAGAACTAATTTACATTCCCACCAACAGTGTATGAGTGTTCTGAGAAAAGAAACATTTTTCTTTTCAGTCTATGCGTTCTTTATATGCTATTCATTTTTTTTAGTATGTCCATATGTTATGTTGGTTTAAAGAATAAAATAAACTTGCTTTCAATAGAAGTTCTAATATGGGTCATTTATAGCAAGGCTACTCAAAGTACTAGTCCATGACAGACTCAGGTGTGTATGTCAGAATGTAAATCAACACTCTGTTTCCTTCAGTAAATAGTCTTCCTATTAAAAAAAAATGACAGCTGAACTAAACAGTGTGCTTAGTGATATAGTTGATTTACATTCCAGGGCAACCTCCTTATCCCTCACTGGCCAGCATCAAACAGTCCTCATGTGATTTTCAGACCAAACTTTAAATAACAGTGATTTTATACTTTAATACAATTTTAGAACAAATTCTCACTTTCCCAAGTTTACTTGTATGTTAAGACTCATTCTTAGCTTTAGAAGATAATAAATTTTGAAAATATGGTAAAGTTATTTTCTTGAGCAAAATTCTTTTCTTAATGCCCCTGGTCCATGTAGGCACTCAGGGGACCAGGCTGACAGTGGCTCTGTCATCTTTAACAAGTGGCTTTAAGAGTAGCACTGTGTTTCAGCAGTGGCAAGAACTAGGATACAGTCTCACCTAGATGCAAGGCTCCTGGGATAGTCAGTCCCTTGCTGGACAGCTCCTTCCTAGAAACAATTTCACATTGTGGAAGGGAAATCATCCTTTGGCTAGCTCTGTCACAGCAGTCGATTATTTGTTCCAGTACTGAAATGCAAAACCATAGAAATCAGATGCACTATTCTCAGATAAGCATTTATATATAATAAGTGTTATAATTCTGACCATTAACTTTAAATATACCTTTTTTATATACATGGGTGAAATATTTTCCTTAACAAACTATGAATGACAATCAATATAACATTTTCTAAAGTATAGTTAACTTGAAAAAACAAGGCATCATGGTAGCTAGCTGATGACAATGTGATGCAGTAACCTAATCTACTCTGGGGTCCACATATTTTGATGGCCTCCCCAGCCTACTGCGAATAGCTCACCCACCCTAGCCAAACAACCCTGAAAATTTTGTTTAAATTCCATAACCCAAACTTTTGCCCATTGCCCCTAAATATATGGGCCAATTAGGGAGGCAAAAACCAGTTAGGGGTGGCAAGGGTGCACGTGGAGAATAAAGGTCAATCAGTAAAGACAAGATAATAAAGGTGACCCACAAAGAGAAGTGGAAATGAGTAACCATGTGGCCCAGAAGCAAGATTTACTGATAAAGGGATCTGCCTCCTGAAGGCTTTTCTGTTCTTGGTTCTAGTTTACCAAGGTCTCCTTGTGTTCCTTATATCCTGATGACTAATTACCTCTTCATTTTTTGTTTAATAACTTCATATGAGTACGTTTCTGTTATTCGCAAATAGCCATAGGACAACTGTTTATCATTAATTCCTTCCAAATTTCTTGCTCATACAAATCAGGTGGTGAAGGAAAATCTTCATTAGGCCCATAGAATTCAGATGTCTAAAATTTCTTTAAATTAGGGCCTCTAAATCTATTTTTTGAGCAATTAATGCAGACAGAGTCTGCTCCCATCTTTTGCTCATGCAGATTTATCTCTTGCAAGAATAGGTAAGAGGCATAGAATAGTCGGCAATTTTGCTTTTAAAAATATATTTTCTGCTTTCTTATGTGTTCACCTCACATAGCACTCGTAGTCTCAGTTTGCACTTGCACCCCAACTTTGTACAAGACAAACTGGACTCTAAAATGTGTGAACTTACCTAACCTGCACTAAATTTTTCATCCTCTGGTTCTTCCCTGATTGTAGATTCACAATAAAAAGTCCTCCAAGTTTTTGTTTGAATGACAACCAAACTCAAATTGCTGATTTTGACCCTGCAGTTGTAACACTAAACATGTTTCTTTCATAGGCCCACATTTATAAGGAAATAAAATTGTTTGAAGAGCAATAACTTTAACTAGTCATTGTCAATAATCAATTCTTTTATACTAAAGTGCTGAGAATATTTTTCTTTAACCTACTTGCCTCACCAGATAAATATTTTTCTTCTAAGTGGATTTATCAGAATACATATATACTCATTCAAAGATGTATCAAGTGATCATAAAGAATGTCGGTCTCATGACTTTATAATATACACAAACTCCCTGATATGGTCTGACTCTGTGTCCCCACCCAAATCTCATCTTGAATTGTAGTAATCCCCACGAGTCATGGGAGGGACCCAGTGGGAGGTAATTGAATCATGTGGGTGAGTCTTTCCCATGCTGTTCTCGTGATAGTGAATAAGTCTCATGAGATCTGATGGTTTGATAAATGGGAGTTCCTCTGCACATGCTTTCTCATCTGCCACCACATAAGATGTGCCTTTGCTCTTCCTTCGCTTTCTGCCATGATTGTGGGGCCTCCCCAACCATGTGGAACTGTGAGTTCATTAAATTTCTTTCCTTTATAAATTATCCAGTCTCAGGTATGTCTTTATTAGCAGCACAAGAACAGACTAATACACACCCTCTGTAAAAAATATTTTCCCCTGATTTCACTCAGCAAATCTCTTTGCTCCTTTCGTACTCTGAATTTCCAATGACCCCTCCTTCTGGTATGAGGGACCGTAAGAAGGGAATTGTGAGCTGTGGGGCCAGGCCAAGCTCAGATTCTCAGGTAAGGTACCATTCCTTAGGTACATTTTCTCAGGTAAGTCTGAGGAAAGGGCAACATCAGGACATTTGGTCAACCTTTCTGCTTGTTGCCACCCTGAGATTAAGGCATTAATGTGTGAGTTTGGGAATGAGACTCATCAGAAAAGGAGTTTTAAATCAGCACTGTAAAAAGATTTACTCAGCTTGTATTAATCTGAGATTCTTCCATTTCTCCCCATTCATAAAAATTATGGTGTTTAAATGTTTTTTTCAAGGAGAATTAGAGTGTTTGTTAAAAACTGAAGAAAATCAAAGGCTTCTGGGTAAGACAAGATCCAGGAGAAATCAATCTTATTTCAGCCAATAGCTCTCTCATTTTCATGAGGCAGTAAGGTCTTGGTTGCTCAGTGTTCTTATTTAGGTGACTTTTTTTTTTTTTTGGTTTTGTTTTGTTTTTTAATTGCATGAAATACTCACCAGCCAAAGAGGATAGCATCCTTATTTTCTCAATGGACCTTTATTTAAATCAATAAAATCTAACCCATTTCTATAGTCTCCATCTTGCTCCCATCTCTTGTTCTCCCTCTAATTCTGGCTCTTGACTATCTCTCCCTTGCTTGCATTACTTGAAAACAATTAGTGCAATTATCCTTATTCAGTCCCTTCTGACACTCCCTCTCTCTTATACCTGCAGATTTGCAGCCACATGGTGATAGTTACGTGAATATCAAATTCGATTATTCTAATGAAGGCTTTAATTGGAGACTGTCATTTGCTCTCAATCTCATTCTAAGTGATACTTATTCTCTATTTGTAGCTTTCTCCTCCCACAAAGGTGGTCTCCTCAGATCTCTAGTCCTTATATGTTATTGCTCTGTGTAATGGCCTGTTTTAAGAATTTCACATTTTGATAGCAAATATCTTATTGACCACTTAAATGTGGTGGTAATGTGCTTAATAATTAATTGCTTTCTATTTTATATACATATATTTAAAAAAAACAACATACTATTTTTTTCAGATATATTCTCACTCTGTCACCCAAGATAAAGTATAGTGGCATGATCATAGCTTACTGCAGCCTCTAACATCTGGACTCAAGCAATCTTCTTGCCTCAGCCTCCCAAGAAGCAGGGACTGCAGGTGCTTTGCAACCATGCCTGGGTAATTTTTTTTTTTTTTTTTTTTTTTTTTTTTGTAGAGATTGTGTCTCATTTTGTTGCCCAGGCTGGTATAAAACTCCTGGCTTCAAGCAATCCTCCCACCTCAGCCTCCCAAAGTGCTGGGATTACAGGCATGAGCCAACATGCCCAGCACTAACCATTTTGATTGGGTACATTTAGAGGATTTTAGGGGTATGTCAAGAGAGATTTGTGTTTGGAGTTCAGTCTCCCAGAATTGTGCTAAATGGAAAAGCCCTTTTCACAATTCTATTACTCTTCTTACCTCTTCTATTAACTTCTGGTCTTTTCTTGTTTCAACTTCTATGGGTCTCAGTTTCTTCATCTGGGGAATCAAGGATATTTGACTATCTAGTTCATAAAGTCACTCCAAAATTCTGGTTACCTTATTAGCAAATCGGTGTTTTCTCCTTGTTACAAACATCTTTAGAAATCCCCCACAGAGAAGTAACCAAGAATAGGTGCAAATATTTTGATTCATTATTAATTAATTTCTCTAAGCACCAGTTTTCACATGGATAGAATGAGATTTTTTTAGACCCAGTTAGGATCTATGATGCCACCATACATGATAGATTCTTGCTACCATTTCAATTTAGGAATTATTTTTTGCTACAAATAAATTTGTATGTTTTCTGTTGTCAGGAACCAAAAACTCCAGAACCCCACTGTCACTCCCAGCTATAAGAAAGCTTAGAGCCGGCCGGGCGCAGTAGCTCACGCCTGTAACTCCAGCACTTTGGGAGGCCGAGGCGGATGGATCACGAAGTAAAGGGGTCAAGACCATCCTGGCCAACATGGTGAAACCCAGTCTCTACTAAAAATACAAAAAATTAGCCAGGCGTGGTGGCGGGCGCATGTAGTCCCAGCCACTTGGGAGGCTGAGGCATGAACCTGGGAGGTGGAGGTTGCAGTGAGCCGAGATTGCCCCACTGCACTCCAGCCTGGCGAGAGAGTGAGACTCCGTCTCAAACAAACAAACAAAAAGCAAAACAACAAAAAACCAAACAAACAAAAACAACAACAACAAAAATCTTAGAGCCAAATCCGTTGTCCAAATATTGTAATATGTCTAATGCTATGGCTGAGGAAAACATCTCTTTCCTTTCAGTTGGATTTTGTTCTCTATTATCCTCAAATGCCTTAATTGAAGAGTTTTAATTTGTAGGTATGAGCAAAATGCAAGACTTCAATTAACAGTACAATCTTGAATTCCATGCTGATACATTTCCAGGTTCTTGGTTACATATTAATTGAAGAACTTGCAATTGTTCATCTCCCAGTATGTTGACAGAAGCCATGAGTAAAGATTTATTCTCTCCATAGACATCTCTTTCCAAAGACTAAGGAGCTGTTCTGAGGTATTGGAGTATGAGAAGATGGTCCCATAGAACCCATCCATAGGGAGCCAAAGTGGAAAAGCCATCCAGAGACTGTAGCAGTTTATGCAAAAACCACCTGCTCATGTGTGCTCAAATGGAACTGCTTTGCATAAGCAGATCTTTTCAGTTCCCCAGGCTTGCATAGTCTCCATTATTCTTATATCCCAGGGAACATCCTCAATGCTGAGAAATATGTTCTTATACTGAGAGCTGTAGCTATTTGGTTCCTTTCTTTCTCAATGTCCTTCTTTTTTTCTTTCTTGGCCCAATGATTGTAGTATTTTCTCATCAAGTCAAAGCGGCTATGTACAAGGTTAATAGTGCCCAACAGATGTACAGTGTACAGTCTGACAACTCTCAGCTTCCCAATAGAACGCTTCCCATAATCTAGTTCAGAAGAGCCTTTTTGGTTTCCATTTGTAGCTTTGATCAGTTCCAGCACTACTCAGTCTCGAATGTTTAGGAAATTTAATTTAACTAAAGAAACTCCCGATGCCTTTCAAAATCACACAACACATAATATTCACTAAGAATAGTAACCATTTCTCTTTTGCACTATCGCTCTCCTATATCCAGTATGAACTCAGCAGCTAAGGAGGACAAAACAAAACGCGATGGCAATTTTTGAGAGGCAACTAAAAAAATAGAGATTAGTCAGTTTAATAAATTCAAGAATGTATTCAATTACTGAAATTATTTCTCTGTGGTTGTATAAGATAAGTCTTCATTAAGTACTAAAGAAGTAGAAATGTGATTTAATTTCATCTAAAGGAATTTAGTTTAGCTTAGACTTCCAGTTAAGCTATAGAAGTATCCAACAAAGATATCGAGATATTAATCTGAATATTTCTTAAAAAGGAAATGAAATCTAAAAAATTTTTAAACATGTATGTGCATTACCTCTAGGCCCCACACGTTAGCCTCAACTTTGGAACTACAAATAATCTTTACTCAATCAGATTTTGAAAATACTTATATTCATTTTCTTGTCTAGTTTTATTTGCTGTATTCCAGTTTTAGGAGAAAGAGGCACATTTAAAAAAGATCATCTTGACACATTTCAGAGGAAATTCTGAACCTGGTACATATTCAGCTTACTGCACTATCACATCAAAAGATAAAGATTATTGAATGCTATTTAAAACAATGGTGTGGTTCCAGCTCAAGATGGCTGACTAGAAGCAGACAGTATGCGCTTCTCTCACGTGGAGGAAATAAAGTAGCAAGTAAGAACTAACATTAATTGGATTGTTTAAGAGATCATGCTGGGATTCATCAGGGAAGCAATGGGACCCATGGAGAGCAGAAAGGAGAGAAACTGGGTACCTTCTTGAGTCATTGATGTACAGTGCACAATCTGTACAACTCTCAGCTTCCCAATAGAACGCTTCCCATAATCTAGTTCAGAAGAGCCTTTTTGGTTTCCATTTGTAGCTTTGATCAGTCCCAGTCCCACTCAGTTTCAAATGTTTAGAAAATTTTGTTTAACTAAAGAAACTCCTGATGTCTTTCAAAGTCACACAACAGATAATATTCACTACGAATTATAACTACTTTCTTTTGCATTATCACTCTCCTGTATCCAGATGAACTCAGTAGGACAAAACAAAATGTGATGGCAATTTTTGAGAGGCAACTAAGGAACTAGGTCAATTCTACTTTCATTCTATGGATCTAGTATCACCTTCATACCAAAATCAGGCAAGAACACAACAAAAAAAAGAAAACTACAGGACAATATCCCTGGTTAATATAGATGAAAAAATTTTCCAAAAAAAAAAAATACTAGCAAACTGACTCCAATAGTGCATCAAAAAGGTAATTCACCATAAGCCATAAGCAAGTGGGCTTTATTCCAGGGATGCAAGGATTGTTCAACATATGCAAATCAGTAAATCTGATTCACCACATAAATAGAATTAAGAACAAAAACTATATGATCATATCAATTGATGTAGAAAAATGACTGTATGAAATTCAACATCCCTTTATTAAAAAATCCTCAACAATCTAGGTATCAAAGGAACATACCTGAAAATTAGAAAAGTCATCTATGACAAACACACATCCAACATTATACTGAATGGGAAAAAGTTGAAAGCATTTCTGCTAAGAACTGGAACAAGAAAAGGATGTCCGCTCTCACCATTCCAATTCAGCATAGTACTGGAAGTCCTATCCAGAGCAGCCAGACAAGAGAAAGAAATAAAAAGCATCCAAATTGGAAAAGAAGAAGTCAAACTATCTCTGTTCACTGACAACATGACCATATACCTAGAAAATCCTAAAGACTCTTCTAGAAGACTGCCAGAATTGATAAGCAACTTTAGTAAAGTCTCAGGATACAAAAACAATGTACAAAAATCAGTAGCATTTTTATACGTGAATAATGTTCAAGCTGAGAACAAAGTTAATAACTCAATAACACTTACAATAGCTACAGTAAGATACCTAGGAATACATTTAACCAAGGAGGAGAAAGATCTCTACAAGGAGAACTATACACTGTTGGTGGGGATGTAAACTATTTCAGCAATTGTAGAAAGCAGTTTGGAAATTTCTCAAACAACTTAAAACACAGCTACCATTTGACCCAGCAATCGCATTACTGGATATCTCCCCAAAGGAAAATAAATAGTTTTATCAAAAAGACACATGAACTCACATGCTTATTGGAGCACTATTCACAATAGCGAAGTCATGGAACCAACCTAAGTGTCCACCAGCAGTTGACTGAATAAAGAAAATGTGATACACACACACACACACACACACACACACACACACACACACACACACACGCTATGGAATATTATGCAACCATAAAAAAGAATGAGATTATGTTCTTTGCAGCAACATGGAAGGAGCTGGAAGACATTAGCCTAGGTGAGCTAACTCAGAAGCAGAAAATCAAATATTATATGTTCTTACTTACAAGTGGGAGCTAAACAACATGTACACTTGGACATAAAAATGGAGAGAATATTTGATCAACATGGGGATTAGGGGGAAAATGGAGATAATAGACTATGGGGGCTCCAAAAGGGAAGAGCTCTGCTGAGATAAGGATGAGAGTTGAAAAATTATCTATCGGGTACAATGTTCAATATTCAGGTGATGGGTACTCTAGAACCCCAACCCCCTCTCTTTCACATGTAATATCCATGTAACAAACAAGCACATGTATTCCCAAATTCTAAAATTAAAAAAATAAAATGAAAAATCATGTTACATCACATGACGATCTCAAACCCCTATAAAACATTTAATTATCTCAGTTTATTGTTCTTTTTCAGTCAGGAATAAGAAAAATACATTATTTGGAAATAATCTCAACAGTAAGAGTTAGGACAAAAAAGTTTTTAGTTCACTTCTGAGTTATATACTACTTCTAAGCTACTTTCCTTAGCAAATAAAAAGCTCATGACTTTATGTGAATATATAAATGAGACCCACAACCTCTGATTTGAAATTAGTTTATGGAAAGTCTAAATTGAAAACGGGAACGTGAATTACTTCATTATATCTTCAGGTTTATTTGAGACTCTAATAGAAATGTTCTGCATAAGCAGATTTTGTACTGCCCCAAACCTGAATAGCGCCCAATCTTCCATACTCCAAAGGACTTCCTCAGCATTGGGAAATTCATTTGCTTTCTCAGGAATTTCCTCCACCCACCCAGCAAACCAACAAACTGACTGCACGAAGACCAGCATTCAGCAGTCCATCTTACCTGAATTTGCATCCTCACTCTGAGTTTGCCCCTCCATACTGCTTTGTCCTCGTAGTACTTATCATTGCCTGACATGATTTTAGTTATTTGTTGATTACCTCTTTTCCAAACAAGAATGGAAACTCCAGGAGTGACTGGGTTTTTGACTGTTTTATCCATAGCTCTAACCACAGCACTTAGAACAGTACAGAATACATAGAATTCACTCAATAAATAATTTTCGAATACATAAATTGATAAACAAACATTAACAAATTCCACTAGTGAGTTGTTCTTTATTCTGCTTTATTACATATCTAGGAAGAATAAGAATGCTAGCTGAGTGATAGAATAGCTAGAAGCATGGTGGCTCACTCATGCCTGTGGTCCCAGCTCTTTGGGAGGCAGAAGCAGGTGGATCACGAGGTCAGGAGTTCAAGGCCAGCCTGGCCAAGATGGTGAAACCCTGTCTCTACGAAAAATACAAAAATTAGCCGGGCGTGATGGTGGGTGCCTGTAATCCCAGCTACTCAGGAGGCTGAGGCAGAGAATTGCTTGAACCTGGGAGGTGGAGGATGCAGTGAGCCAAGATTGCGCCACTGCACTCCAGCCTGGGGACAGAGTGAGACTCTGTCTCAAAAAAAAAAAAAAAAAAAAGAATTCTAGCTGAAGTGATTCACTTTTTATGGCACTATGAGTTATTAAGTGAATGCCAATGAACCTGTTTTCTTAAGTATTTGATAGTGCATCTCTTTTTGTTGTTGTTGTTTTTCCTAATCATTTGTCTAGGCACTAACTGAAAAAGCTAAGTTCTTAACATCAAAATTTAAGTTCAGCTGAATAAAATATTTTATTTCACTTATCTGACCAAACCACAGACATTCAGCAAAGCTATACTGTGAGTGCTAAATGAATTTTTTTCCCCATAGGACACTAAATAGCATTTTTATAAATTGCAAAGTTCTATTAAAAATTGGCAAAGTAAGGCCAGGTGTGGTGGCTCACCCCTGTAATCCCAGCACTTTGGAAGGCCGAGGCGGGCAGATCACAAGGTCAGGAGTTCGAGACCAGCCAAGCCAACATGGGGAAGCTCCATCTTTACTAAAAATACAAAAATTAGCTGGGCGTGATGGCGGGCACCTGTAAGCCTGGCTACTTGGGAGGCTGAGGCAGGAGAATCACTTGAACCCAGGATGCGGAGTTTTCAGTGAGCCAAGATCACGCCATTGCACTCCAGGCTGGGCGACAGAGCGAGATTCCATCTCAAAATAAAAAAATATATAGAATCACTGGTTCTTATTTTAGCTTCAAACTTTTAAAGTTTATTTTTAATTTACACCTAATAATTGTACATACAGAGTACAGTATGATGTTTCAATACATGTATACATAGTAAATAACCAGATCAGGATAATTTACTTGTCCATCACTTCAAGCATTTATCATTTCTTTGTTTTGGGAACAATGAAAATTCTCTCTTCTAGTTATTTTGAAATATGCAATACAATATTGTTGACTATAATCACCTTACTGTGCAATTGAAAACCAGAACTTATTCCTTCTATCTGTAATTTTGTCTCTGTTGGCCATTTTTCTCCCCAGCCTTTGGTAAACAATATTCTAGTCCATGCTTCTATAAGATCAGCTTTTCTAAATTTTGCAAATGAGTGAGATCATGCTGTGTTTGTCTTCCTGTGCCTGGCTTATTTCACTTAACATAATGTCCTCTGGGTTCATTCATGCTGCCACAAATGACAAGATTTAATTCTTTTTTATGGCTAATTATTATGTTATCTATTCATCTGTTGATTGACACTTAGGTTGATTCCATATCTTGGCTATTAATGAAGAGTGCTGCAATAAACATGGGAGTCAAGTTATCTCTTTGACATACTGATTTCATTTCCTTTGGATATATGCTCAGTGGTAGGATTGCTGGATCATACAGTAATTCTATTTTTAATATTTTGAGGAACCCCCATAGTGTTTTTAATAATGGCTGTACTAATTTACATTCCCAACAATGTATGTGTTCCCATTTTTCCACATCAATGCCAGCATTTAATTTTGTTTTTGTAGTAATAGCCATTCTGTTAGGTGTGAGATGATAGCTCAATGTGGTTTTAAATTGCATTTCCCTGACTAGTGATGTTGAACATTTTTTCATATATCTATTCTCTATTTAAGTAATTTGCCCATTTTCAATGGGCTTATTTGTTTTATTGCTAGTAAGTTATTTGAGTTCCTTTTACATTCTGGATGTTAACCCTTTGTCAGATGCATAGTTTGCAAATATTTTCTCCCATGCTATATATTATTTCTTCATTCTGTTGATCATTTCCTTCGCTGTGCAAAAGTTTTTAGTTTGTGATTCTCATTTTAAAAGGTATAACGAACATTCTTTCCTTAATTTATATTTATTTCAGATAAAGTTTAATTTTATTCCATTTCATTCATCATGAATAAAACAATTTTATAGTGTAATGAATAAATATGCCTAAATAATATCTAAAACACAAATAAATTATCAGCTTATTTAATGACAAAGCCAAAAAAAAAACTCTGTAAACTCCTCTCAGATCAAAAAATATGTCACCAGTATCTCAGAAATTCCCGTTTCTTCCCTGTCCTTCCCACCCCAGTGGGATCCACCATTCTGAATTTTATTATAATCACTTTATTGATTTTTCTCTGAAGTATTACTATCACATTATAATCCTAACCAATGTTGTTTGATGTTGTCTATTTTTAAATTTTTGTAAATGGAATCATGCATTCTGTTATCTCCTTTCCTCAATATTATACCACTAAAATTCATTAATGTTGTTGTGTGAATATGCAATTCATTCTCTTATTTATACAATGAAAAATATACTGTTTTTCTACTGTTCTACTGTTGATGGTTATTGAGATTATTTCCAGGGTTGGTTTATTACCAACAGTGCTGCTATGAATATTCTTGAATAGGTATGTCACACATAAGCATGCATTTCTCTAGAATTTATGTCTGAGACCAAAATTGCTGATCATGAATTTCTAGCAATATAATTAGCTCTTAAACATTTGTTCAAAATTGTTTTACCAATTCACACTTCCACCAACAATGGACATATACTCCCATTACATTGCACCAACCCCTAGGATTATGAGACTTCTTAAAGTTTGCCAATATACTAGGTGCATAGTGGTACCTCATTATGGAATTTTTTTACACTTATCTGATGGCTAATAAGATTGGGACATTTATTGGTCATCTGGATTTCCTCTTTTGTGACTTCTGTCCAGTTTTTTTCTTTGTTTTTAATTGATTTTGAGTCAATGTATTCTAGGTATACTGATAGTCAATTATATGTGTTGTATATATATTTTATCTCTCTAGGTTGCCTTTCAATTGTGTCTTGATGATCAGATATTCTTAAATTTAATGATGTTAAATTTATTAATCTTTTATTTAAGGTTAGTGGGGTTTGTGTCCTATTTAAAAAATTATTCCCTACTCTTAGGTCATGAAGATCTCATCCTATATTATTTTGTAAAATCTTTATAGTTTCAATTTTTACACATAGATTTATGACAGATTTACAATTTATTTTTAGGAATGATACAACGTAGTAAGTCCAATGTTTTTACCACAAAATACGCTAAATGTGTGAGATAATGCATATTTTAATTAGCTTGATTTGGTCATTCCATAATATTTACATATTTCAAAACATCATGTTATACATGATAAGAATATATAACAACAAAATGTTTTAATACCCTCTAGATGATTTAGCAGCATAAGTTATGAAATGTATTATTTTCATTATCATTCAGTTTGAAATATTGTGTAATCCATTATGATTTTCTCTTTGAGCCATACGCTATAATAGATTATTATTTCTTAATTTTCAAATATATTGCTATTTCCTGGTTTTATGGTTGTTTTTCATTCCTAATATAATTGCTTTGTGGTCAGAAAACAGAGCTTGTAATACTTTAATTCTTTAAATATATTAAGCCATGCTTTATGGCCAATGTATGGGCAATTTTTATGAATATCAGTGTGTACATGAAAAGACTGAATTCTGCAGTTAGTTATATAAGTAAAAAAGACTTAAATAACAAATATATCCTGATGCCATATAATACTATCAAAGCAAAAAAACTAAGTTACCTTAATAATTGGAACTCTCCCTCATTCTTCCTATGCTATGTGTACTTCTAGAGTCTTTAAAGCAGTTGTTGGCGACGTGGAAAAGAAGGAGTCAATTGTGTCTGCACATAATTTTTTCAACTTGGTCAACTGAGCCTCTCACTTGAGAGGGTCACAGCTATATGGTTATGTCCATTTTTTTTCCCCATGAACCAAGAGACAGCATATTTTTAGAATTTCAAATGTCAATAAAAAGCATCAAAGGGTAATATATAAGATCATCTTTTTTTTAACTTTGGAATTCATTTATAGTTTAACACTATTGCAAATAGAGCCAGTTTCACTTTTCACCTTACAGCCTAAGAATCTTTCACAGGAAAGATTATTTCATTTTGTATTAATAACGTACCTATTATACAGTGGCATCAAAACAATGGGAGTGCTGCGTTAACGAAAAGAAAATGGGACTCCCGCCCTCAAGACTGAATTTTCAGTGAATTTACTATATAACTAAAAATGCCTAAGACCAATTCACACAACACTCATCGATACCCAGGCAGCACAAAAGGTAGTGATATAACAAGTCTTTTGAATCTTGTTTTATGTTGCCCAAGTTTAGGTTGGACTCCCTGAAATCTGTGGTTCGGTTTTATATTAAATTTTGTATTAGTTTAAATGAAAGGGCTTGAACAATATCCAGTGAAGCTGGTGATAATAATTGAGATAATAATATTCTTATTCCTTCACTTTACAGCTGTGTGACTTTGAACGAGGGACTTAACCCCTGTAGCTCTGTTTCTTCTTCTGTGAGTTTGGAAAAATCATACCAACATTGCAAGGTTGCTGTTGAGAGTTACATGTCAGTATTCTTGTATGTGATGGTACAATATGCTTGGCACACTGTGTGCATACAATGCTTGAAGACTTTATATTTCCATGATTATCAGATTAGTATTAGCTTCTGGAGGAAGCCAAACCTGTAACACAAGGGAGGGACCCACTGATAATAGGAGACAAATGGATTGAAGCTTTTAAACATAGCCAAGTCTCTCCTTATGGCTGCTTCCCAAAAGCAACAGCTTCCATTTAAATCTTTGAAAATACAACAAGATGAAGTGCTTTTCAGATGACAGGGTCCACTCCAAGACACAAGTGGCTTTTACATGGAAAATAACTGGATAATCAAAACAATATCTAAAGCCTCCTGTCAGACATTATCCTTTTCTGCTATGATTCATTTTACTTCAGGTACAAACATCTCGGTGTCATTGTATGGTCTGGTTCCTTTTAGATGTCCTTTCAGATGGAAAGCAAAATGTATTTTTCAGGCTTTCTCAGACAGGAAAAGCAAAATGTAACTAATATATTTATGATTCTGTTTTGTTCAACTCAGTAAGTGTATTTTTTAAGCATTGTTCCAGAAAAGTAAAAATATGGCTCTCTTTACCAGAAGAGTTTGAGAAGGGAGAACTTTCTGAATGCCATCAAATAATTCACTGTGTTACTTAGTATCAGCCATTTATGTTTTCTACCATAGAAAAATTGACAGTAATAGTTTCTTCCTTAGGAAAAAGACATAGAAAATACAAAGTTAATATAATAATAATAGCCGATATTTGTTTATCACCACCTAGGAGTTATATGCTAATCTAAGCACTTCATATGTAATTAATAACATTTAATCCTCCTAATAACCCTATATGGAAGCTTCTAGAATTACCTCATTTTCAGATAAGGAAATGGAGGAACAGAGAGGTTAAATAGCTTGCCTAAAGTCATGGGACTAGTAAGTGGTAGATTCAAACCCAAGCAGTCTATCTCAAATCCTTACAAATATACATTGCTGCATTTCCAGTGAAATGACATATATAGATTCTTATCCCCCATAACAGACATTTAATGAATCAACCAAGATGCAAAAAATTTAATGTAGGAATTATCCTACCAAAGGTTTTTCTTGTTTATTTTTTTAAGTAAGGTGTGTTCCTCATGTCTAAGGTAAATATAGGTATATGGTTGCCTTTCTTTTCTGACAAGAAAGCCTGGTTCTTGGTACTCATCATGATGTAAAGAGGGTATACTCCTTGTAACTGTGCTGCAGTAGCTCCAGTGTAGTTCATCCTTTGAGTTCTAAGGCTATATTTCATATGCCTTCTCATGAGATTTTTCTAGAAGTCTTAGTTCAAAATGAATTGCCTACACGTCAGCATTCCCCAGCCACATTGAGTAACCACAAAGCCAGTTCCAGCTGTGCATCCTAACATTCTTGCAGCAGCCTCACTCTCCCCTCCACAACACACATCTTGCTTTGAGGTTGTTTTCCTCAGCTAAGCACAAAGTGCAAACATTTGCAACAAGCCTGCCAAGGCAGAAAAGAACTGAAATTGATGCTACCTCACTTAGTTTCTCTTTCTGATCCATATCATATTCTGCTGTCAGAGTAATCTCTCTTGAGTACCAGGCAGTTTTATTGATTTCCATTTTTCTACCATAGAAAATGAACGCATCACCTTCCTTCCAGGCCTCCTTTATCTGGTTTTTCCTTGACATTAAACCTTGCCTTCACTTCTCTAGCCAGGCTGGACTACTCCCTAACACAGTTTTAAGTCCCCTTTTCACATGTTTTGCCTTACTTGCTTAATTTTTCAATAAATATTTCTAAAGCACCTACTACGTACCAGGTATAAAGCATGGCACTTGTCAAGAATGACTTCCTCTCTCAGTCTGTCATTTCTCACCCAAATTTCAAATTTCCTATCCAGTGCATTCTGTCCATTAACATGGTGTAGACTTTTCCAGCACTCATTATTCTTTGTTAATTTAATTCTGTCTCCTTAATGATGTAGAAGTTGCTTATAGGCTTTAGACCTCTGTATACTTTGCCGCACTGAGTAGATGCTAAGCTAGCCAAAAATAGTTACTAGTAGAGGAACATCAATGAAATCCTAAATCTTATTAGAACTGCAGTCCAACTAAGGTCTCCAACCTTTACTTAGAAAGTGAAGAGAAATTGTTAGGAAACTGATGAATAATTGTCGCCATCTGTGCAGATGTAAGTGAGGAACATGGAGTCACTTTTGCTCTTTAAAAACGTATGGTGTTGATATGTGTCTGAGGACAGCGGGGGTAGGATGCATGCAGAGGAAAGGAATGTACTTTTATCTTACACAACCTGGTCCAAATCCCTTGGTTTTCTACCTTAGTATCCTCCTATTAGTACAAAACTTTTTTGACATATTGTGTTCCCATTTTTTCTGCATTTTCTAGGCATAATTTTGAGTGTTCTTTCTGTTAAAGCATAGAATTAACCCAGCTCTCTGACCCTTGCCTTATGCTTTGAGATGGTGCTTTCCTAGCACTATACTCATAGTGTTTTCTTCATTTATTCTGCAGTATCTCTAGCTGTTTCCAACATATTATCATACTGTAAATACTTTGGTGCACTCATTTAATCAAAAGCCCACTTTATTCATTTTACTTTGTAATTCAATTCCCAGTGCGTCTTTTTCAGCACAATTGTTATGAATTTTCAATTTATTTTCATGTCTATTTTTATAGCTGCCACTTCTACAGTGTGGCAAGCTTTTTTTCCTTAACTTTAAAAACATCATTTCTGAAAGAAAGCTGTTCTGAAATCTGGCTTTTTCAGCAAACTGAACACCCACATGATGAAGATAGAATGGTGGAAGTTAGAGGTGGAAAAGATGCGTAAGGTCATCTTGCCTATTTTTTTAAGCAAATAGAAATATGTATGTACAATAATGTTGAGTTTACATAATTTCCCATTTCAAGCTTAGAAAATCTTGTTGACCCCCCGCCCCCACTCCATTATATGTTCTCTTATCTATGGGTTTTGCTAGAGCCTTATGAGCTTTGATAATAGTTCACATTTTCTTTGAAATCAATTTGCTTTGTACTGTAGAATGTGAGTCTGATTGATTCCAAATTAATTTTTGTCTTTTAAAGAATAATAATAACTTGCTTTTACCTACCTTTCTTCTTTCCTGTTTATAGGAGTAGTATTCTCCTTATCTATTGCTTTCTAACAAACCAACTCAAAACCTTAATAATTAAAATAACCTCAGTCATGTGTTATTATTTCTCATTGTTTGGCAGGGAAATGGGGCTTGTCTAGGCAATTCTTGTCCAGGGTCACAGGAGCAGCTGCACTCAGATGATAGTGGCTGCTAGAGTTATTTTACATGATTTTTCACACACACAGCTGTTTGATGGCACCTCAGCTGGAGTTTCCAGCTAGAACACCTGTCAGTGGCATCTCTAGGTGTCCTGGGCTTCCCTTGCAGCATAGTGACTGGATCCCAAAGGCAAGCATCCCAAAATAGAGGTGAAATCAGTATCGCCCTGTGTGACCCTAGCCTCCAAAGTTATACATCATTTTTACCCAGGAGTCACAAAGGACCACCCAAGTGTAGGCAGGGCAGGGACAGCGGTCGAGGGTGAGGAGTAGAGGAGGTAGGAAAATAGACTCTACCTCTGGATGAGGGGAGTGGTAAGGTCACATCGTAAACCATGGGATGAGAGATATTGCTACTCCCAACTTTGGAAAATACAATCTTCCACAGTGGTTACATAATCAACTACTTATTATTTGCAGTGGATAGAGAAAGATTTCAATTTAGATACCAGTTTCAACCTCTTTTCACACCAAACCGTACATAAGTGCCACAAATAGACTAAGCAACATGCACAGCTTTTCACTTTACTCATTTTGTCTTAATGCTTCCTGATCATTCCCTTTACATCAGATACAATCAATGAAAATGAAGAGGAGAAAAAGACTTGCTAATTCATAATCTGTGTACAATGGGCTCTAAACATATCCTTCAACAAGTCTGGGCTGTTTCTCTGCTAGCTATGTGAACCTAAGTGTCAGTTGACTTCCCTGGACTTCAGTGTGGTTAAATTATCCCAAAGTTCTCTTTAAGCTCTTATGTTCTAGAATTCTGACTTATATTTGCAGGTCTAAAATTCTATTTCCATGTGCTAAATAAAGATCATTAACAGTACCACCAGATAATTATTCTAATGAATGTGCATATGTTTATTTTTCTATTTTGAACCCCATGGAAAACCATGAAATCAATTCCCATCACATGCTCCTCATCACAAATAAGATAAAATAATTATGCTTCTGCTTGGAGTTGAGTGTATCCAAATTACACTTATTATTTTTCCTCTCCCTTTTATCCTAGAATAGTCCATCAAGCCTCAGAAGTTTTACCATGAAAACAATAATACTGTTCGGACAATGTGTTCTCAATAGGCTTATTGGTAACTTCTTTATTGATCAAACCTGAATCTCTGGTAACATGAAGAATTGAAAACATCTGGATTCTGTTAGAAGCATGGAACTCACTTGGGAAACTGGCTGCTAGTGTATTGGACATTCACAGCACAGCACTACCCCTGTGGTTTTATAAATAAACATGAAACTCAAATCTCCAAAACAACCACTAAGGCCTCTAAACCAAAACACCTCTGCCTGGGCAGAGGTGGCAAAGCAGTGGTTAACATACGTCCCTAATGTCATTCATTAGTAATATTTAATTATTTGTTTCAGTCACTCTGAATAAAATAGTTTGTTAATTATAGATAAAATCTCCTCTTTCTCTATCAATTTTTATTTTGAGAGTTTAATTCATACTTTCCAGCATCTCCTAAGAGCTTTTCTCTATCGTCCCAATCAAGTGATCTCTCCTATCTTGCTGTAATCAACAAGATGATTTTTCTCCACTTCCACAATTTTCTGTCTCTCATTTATGACTTTGAAATCAGTATGTCTTTCCCCGATCTTTGCTACAATAAACAAGCCTCTCTAACAAGTTTGGTCTTACTCCTATTTCTAAATCCAAATTACAATCTTAGGTCAAATCCTCTGGGAATGCCTCTGCTTTATAGGAATGGCTCTACTTAAAAGCACATGGTACTGACACATACTAGACATTGAGGGAAAACTGCTTATTTTCTCCATCTTAATTCATTCTCTTATAGTAGCACTAGCATTAGTCTTCATTATGCCTTCAAACTGACTTATGGGAGCCAAGCTAGGAAGCACTGAGATGTTATTTAGCCCCAGGTCTCCAGAAGCTTCTGGTCAAGGCCAAGGGCACTGCTGGAGTGCTACAGGAGCACCACGAGAATGCAGGCTCTCCTCCCTTGAACCACCATGACTCATGCACCTGAGGGAGCAAGCCAAAGGATTTGCTGGCATATTTCTCCATCCCCCATGTGTCAGCACTCCTCATAAGCACAACATTTCTAACAGCAGCTTGAGTCCTAGGGAACAAAAGTGACCCACACTGAAAATGCCACTGTGTTCTTCACAACTTGTCATCCAAATTAGCATTTGGAAAGTGGTTGGACCTAAAACTCTATCAGTGAATCTGCTTACTTAATGACCTCATCAAGAAATATCTGGCCAAGGAGAGGAGGATAAGGAATGTGGCTGCTCTAACTCCAGCAATAAGCCACCTACTATAGACGAAGGCCACCCACCAGAGCAGCTAAACGCTGCACAGCCTCCTTGCTGCAGAAGGCAATTTAGACATCCTTACACACCAGTAAAGCCCTAAAGCTGCTTTTTCCTTTGCTAGAAAACAAAATTCTTATTAACCAACCCATCTGGGAAAACACAGACTTTCTTCTCTTCTTACCTATCCCTTAAAGCAAAACTGGTATTTTCAACAAACAGAAAACAAGAGATCAAAAAATCATAAAAATCAGCATTGTTCTTATGCTTCTCTTCTCCCATCCCCCAGAACCACCCTTTTAAAAAATAACCAATGAGACTACAACAGAGGTAACTGGATAAAAAATTTGTTCTCAAAATGATCCTGCCCCTGCACTCCAGCCTAGGTAACAGAGCAAGAGACTGTCTATTTAAAAAAAAAAATGTGAAGAGAATATTCATAGTGTAAATATCCTGTCAAAAAGAAACATATATGGTTTCCCTAAGATGAATGGTTGAAATAAAAACAAGGAAAGAAGATTAGAGGGAAGACACACACACAGCCTAAACTGATTCTAATTAAAATTAAAATTAAAGGCATAGTGGGATAGATGAATAGGTCTGGCTGACATATTTCTTTATCTTATTATTAGGTGCCTAGAGGCAGAAAAAAATGGAAATAAAAATGCATCTAGGAGCCTTGAAAATTAGTGATATTTTAGGTAATTGTCTCTTCTAAAACAAAACACTGCATGACCAGTAAGTTTGTCTTGGTTTGTGTGCATGTGTGTATACGTGTAGGGAGAGTGAGTAGAGGGTTAGAATTTTTAAATAATTAAAATTGAATTGAAATTCGAATGCATCTGGTGGGACCAAAATTTCAAAAAACAAATATGGTGTTGCAGGTGGGGAACTAGGCTCGTGGCGTCATCTCCTTGGCAGCTTCTGTGGTGGAAGGATATACTGTGCAGCCCACACTATCTCACCTATGTTGGGAATTAAACAGATGCTTGTTCCTCAAAAGTACAGGTCTAAACTTGAGGTAGAAGATGAGGGCTGGCTGTACTGATGACCAAACACACACTAGCTCACTCACAGACTCACTCACAGACTCACTTACAAATCTTTATGTTTGCAGGTGGTATGAAGGTAGAGTACAAATACACATATCAATAAATACACATATCACAAGTAGTCATTATGACACTTCCCTTCCTAGTACTAAGAACACTTTGTGCAAACTTTAAGATTAAGTAGAGTGTAATGTTTACTTCCTAAATGTCAAAATTGCCAAAGTTTGTATTCTTGGATGGTTGGTGTATTTGTTTTTAAGCTTAAAACTAATAGATGGGTCAATAGTCTGTTTGACTGTGGTAGATGGAAAGTTTCTTATATAAGGCAATTACACTGAAATAAGAATTCTGGTCCTTCAAAATTCAAATTAGATTTGGCAAAATTTTATTAACTAAAACTTATTAAATAACTGTATGTTGTGGCATACATCTACAAAATAATTTCACATCAGTTCTTAAGACCCAAATGTCATTTTTCCTGATAGCACAATGTCAGCCTCTTCAGAGCATCTAATAGCTAAGGGTTAGAGCCTCCAAAAGGAAGCTGGGCATAAAACCAAAACTAGTCTGGCAGCTTGCCATCCATATTCAGTGCCTTCCATCTTGCTTTTCAGCTCCAGCTCCTATTGTCCATTCTCTTTGGCTATAAATCTGCTTGCAGATCCACAGACATTGTTGATTGACCATTGTGAGAACACCACTGTAAACACCAAAATAGTGTGTCTCAGGGTTTCCAAAGCTGCCAGTCTTTGTATTGTCAGAGTAATCTGGGTTATCTGAAGAGGTGTGAAGAATGGTGTGCTCTCCCACACTGTTTATCTTTCCCATCAGCTCAGATTTAACTCCCTTGAAAATAGTTTCTCCCTAATGTGATTCATTTCTCTCCAATGAAAATGTTTTTCTCCTCAGAGCCAGAAAGTCACTGCAATCTCCATTTCAGCAGAGGGCTTGCCCTCACCTATGCCTAACCAAAATAAAGTGACTCAACCGCCCCAACCCCCTGCACGCATAAAGGATTGCAATATTTTACCAAAAATAAAAAAAATCTGAAGCAAAGAGATGTTCAGTCTTTAGCTCTTGTACATAGAAAATAGCTGGAAGTTTTATAATTACAGGAGTTTTCTGCCAAGTTTCTACCCCACTGCCTCATAAAGTTTCTTGATTTAATTAAAACCACTTCAAGGTACCATGTACTTCTCTTCAGCAGTCTCTGATAACAAATGATCTTGAATGAGGGCCTGACTTCTTCAAGGATGACAGTGGATTCTGAAATGATGGTTCCTTCCACACTCTAGAAATCATGACCCCTTGTTCTCATATAATTTTCCATTGTCTTAGAGCCTAGAAGAAAATGGAGACATATATAAATGATGCCTTCAATTCCAAGGCAATCTGTAAATAACCATGGTTATCTGAGGGAAGAAAAGCATAAAGAAAACTTTGAGTTTTTAGGAAGAATTATTGGAAGAGTTGAGCTTTGACTTGGGCCTTGAAAGATGAATAGCATGTGGACAGACAGCTATGAAAGGCAAGGGTATTGCAAGTAGCCCTAATGTAACCAAGTGGATAAAAGACATGGAGGCAATGGGATGGAGGGTTAGTTTGTGGAAGAGTGACTTAATAATTGTGAAAGAATGGTAAGTAAAAACTACTGCAAAAATTAAAGGTGGTTAATTGGAAAAGTCAAATTATTGAGACACTTGAACAAGTGGCTAAGATGTTTGAACTTTATTTAAGTGATTGGTTGTTGAATTTTTTGAGCAAACGAATAATACGATCAGACTTGAGTTTTAAGGAAAATATAAAAGCTATGAGCTTAAGAAATAATTAATAGCCTTAAAGTAGAGAAACGAGAGTGAAGAAATTGATAATCATTTATTCCAAAGTTGAAAGCAAGTGCAGATAGACACACAGTTTGTCTGCAATTGCCTCATGACACCCAATGATAATGATCACTAATGGGCCATGAATATTCAGGAAATGTATATGCCCGCTTAGCTCCAATTTCTTTGCTTATTGGGAATAGAGCAAAGATGAATGTTGTGTTGTATAAATTACATAAGGTTAAATAAACCCTGTCTAGAAACAAACTGTCTTGGTTTAAGGAGTCTGTTTTCTCCAGATGGTTTTATTGTTTATATAACCATCATGAATTGTTCTTCTTTGATTCAGTATGGCCTTATTTTTTAGGTATTATTATCTTGAACTATATTGTGGCAGTTTTCAAAATTGTTATCCCTTGTAATCTAGAAATATGCCTGTTGGCCATAAACTGTGATCCCAGCTGAAAAATTGCAAATCAAATGCATACTATTAGTCACAGGAACAATTAGGCTAATCACGCTGTAATCAAGCTATCAATCTTATATTGAGCTGCTGTGTCTCCCTTATGGATTCATGATATAGCTAAGTCAGAGGAGAGATGCCATCATTAAAATAAAGAATCTCTTCCCTTAAAACCAAAGTTTTGGAAGTGGGGATGCAGGAAGGTAGAAGTAGTTGATTTATTGACAAAGTTTTCCCTTCTTAATGAATTATCAGGGTTTTACATATATTCAGAAGTTTAATTCCAAAACCTCTGCACCACAATAAAGTTACTGGTTATAATCCATAAAAGTTCACTGATGACTAATTCAAGCAATTGCATAGAACATTTGTATAGTGCAAGAGGTTGAAAGTATTAAAAGTAGTTTCTTGATATTCTGCTGTTAATCCTCAGATATTTATTGGTGATCTTCCAGCTTTTTCATAGCAAATGAATATTTTTTCCATGTAGCTACAGTGTTGCACCACTAGTGTCATTGTGTATCATAGCTTTTGTCTAGTTAAAAAAACTTAAAGGGAGGAGCCAAGATGGCCGAATAGGAACAGCTCCGGTCTACAGCTCCCAGCATGAGCAACCCAGAAGACGGGTGATTTCTGCATTTCCATCTGAGGTACTGGGTTCATCTCACTAGGGAGTGCCAGACAGTGGGCGCAGGACAGTGGGTGCAGCGCACCATGAGCCAGCCGAAGCAGGGCGAGGCATTGCCTCACTCGGGAAGCGCAAGAGGTCAGGGAGTTCCCTTTCCTGGTCAAGGAAAGGGGTGACAGACGGCACCTGGAAAATCGGGCCACTCCCACCCAAATACTGCGCTTTTCAGACGGGCTTAGGAAATGGCGCACCAGGAGATTATATCCTGCACCTGGCTCAGAGGGTCTGACGCCCACGGAGTCTCGCTGACTGCTAGCATAGCAGTCTAAGATCAAACTGCAAGGCGGCAGCGAGGCTGGGAGAGGGGCGACCACCATTGCGTAGGCTTGCTTAGGTAAACAAAGCAGCTGGGAAGCTCCAACTGGGTGGAGCCCACCACAGCTCAAGGAGGCCTGCCTGCCTCTGTAGGCTCCACCTCTGGGGGCAGGGCACAGACAAACAAAAAGACAGCAGTAACCTCTGCAGACTTAAATGTCCCTGTCTGACAGCTTTGAGGAGAGCAGTGGTTCTCCCAGCATGCAGCTGGAGATCTGAGAACGGGCAGACTGCCTCCTCAAGTGGGTCCCTGACCCCTGACCCCCGAGCAGCCTAACTGGGAGGCAACCCCCAGTAGGGGCAGACTGACACCTCACACGGCCGGGTACTCCTCTGAGACAAAACTTCCAGAGGAACGATCAGACAGCAGCATTCGCGGATCATGAAAATCCGCGGTTCTACAGACACCGCTGCTGATACCCAGGCAAACAGGGTCTGGAATGGACCTCTAGCAAACTCCAACAGACCTGCAGCTGAGGGTCCTATCTGTTAGAAGGAAAACTAACAAACAGAAAGGACATCCACACCAAAAACCCATCTGTACATCACCATCATCAAATACCAAAAGTAGATAAAACCACAAAGATGAGGAAAAAACAGAGCAGAAAAACTGGAAACTCTAAAAAGCAGAGCGCCTCTCCTCCTCCAAAGGAACGCAGTTCCTCACCAGCAATGGAACAAAGCTGGACGGAGAATGACTTTGACGAGTTGAGAGAAGAAGGCTTCAGATGATCAAACTACTCCGAGCTACAGGAGGAAATTCAAACCAAAGGCAAAGAAGTTGAAAACTTTGAAAAAAATTTAGACGAATGTATAACTAGAATAACCAATACAGAGAAGTGCTTAAAGGAGCTGATGGAGCTGAAAGCCAAGGCTCAAGAACTATGTGAAGAATGCAGAAGCCTCAGGAGCCAATGCGATCAACTGGAAGAAAGGGTATCAGTGATGGAAGATGAAATGAATGAAATGAAGTGAGAAGGGAAGTTTAGAGAAAAAAGAATAAAAAGAAATGAACAAAGCCTCCAAGAAATATGGGACTATGTGAAAAGACCAAATCTGCGTCTGATTGGTGTACCTGAAAGTGACGGGGAGAATGGAACCAAGTTGGAAAACACTCTGTAGGATATTATCCAGGAGAACTTCACCAATCTAGCAAGACAGGCCAACATTCAGATTCAGGAAATACAGAGAACATCACAAAGATACTCCTTGAGAAGAGCAACTCCAAGACACATAATTGTCAGATTCACCAAAGTTGAAATGAAGGAAAAAATGTTAAGGGCAGCCAGACAGAAAGGTCGGGTTACCCACAAAGGGAAGCCCATCAGACTAACAGTGGATCTCTCGGCAGAAACTCAACAAGCAGAAGAGACTGGGGGCCAATATTCAACATTCTTAAAGAAAAGAATTTTCAACCCAGAATTTCATATCCAGCCAAACTAAGCTTCATAAGTGAAGGAGAAATAAAATACTTTACAGACAAGCAAATGCTGAGAGATTTTGTCACCACCAGGCCTGCCCTACAAGAGCTCCGGAAGGAAGCACTAAACATGGAAAGGATCAACCGGTACTAGCCACTGCAAAATCATGCAAAAATGTAAAGACCATCGAGATTAGGAGGAAACTGCATCAACTAACGAGAAAATAACCAGCTGACATCATAATGACAGGATCAAATTCACACATAACAATACTAACTTTAAATGTAAATGGACTAAATGCTCCAATTAAAACACAGACTGGCAAATTGGATAAAGAGTCAAGACCCATCAGTGTGCTGTATTCAGGAAACCCATCTCATGTGCAGAGACACACATAGGCTCAAAATAAAAGGATGGAGGAAGATCTACCAAGCAAATGGAAAACAAAAAAAGGCAGGGGTTGCAATCCTAGTCTCTGATAAAACAGACTTTAAACCAACAAAGATTAAAAGAGACAAAGAAGGCCATTACATAATGGTAAAGGGATCAATTCAACAAGAAGAGCTAACTATCCTAAATATATATGCACCCAATACAGGAGCACCCAGATTCATAAAGCAAGTCCTGAGTGACCTACAAAGAGACTTAGACTCCCATACAATAATAATGGGAGGCTTGAACACCTCACTGTCAACATTAGACAGATCAACGAGACAGAAAGTTAACAAGGATACCCAGGAATTGAACTCAGCTCTGCACCAAGCAGACCTAATAGACATCTACAGAACTCTCCACCCCAAATCAACAGAATATACATTTTTTTCAGCACAACACCAAACCTATTCCAAAATTGACCACACAGTTGGAAGTAAAGCTCTCCTCAGCAAATGTAAAAGAATAGAAATTATAACAAACTGTCTCTCAGACCACAGTGCAATCAAACTAGAACTCAGGCTTAAGAAACTCACTCAAAACCGCTCAACTACATGGAAACTGAACAACCTGCTCCTGAATGACTACTGGGTACATAACAAAAGGAAGGCAGAAATAAAGATGTTCTTTGAAACCAACGAGAACAAAGACACAACATACCAGAATCTCTGGGACACATTCAAAGCAGTGTTTAGAGGGAAATTTATAGCACTAAATGCCCACAAGAGAAAGCAGGAAAGATCCAAAAGTGACACCCTAACATCACAATTAAAAGAACTAGAAAAGCAAGAGCAAACACATTCAAAAGCTAGCAGAAGGCAAGAAATAACTAAAATCAGAGCAGAACTGAAGGAAATAGAGACCAAAAAAACCCTTCAAAAAATTAATGAATCCAGGAGCTGGTTTTCTGAAAGGATCAACAAAATTGATAGACCGCTAGCAAGACTAATAAAGAAAAAAAGAGAGAAGAATCAAATAGGTGCAATAAAAAATGATAAAGGGGATATCACCACCAATCCCACAGAAATACAAAGTACCATCAGAGACTACTACAAACACCTCTATGCAAATAAACTAGAAAATCTAGAAGAAATGGATAAATTCCTCGACACATACACTCTCCCAAGACTAAACCAGGAAGAAGTTGAATCTCTGAATAGACCCAATAACAGGATCTGAAATTGTGGCAATAATCAATAGCTTACCAACCAAAAAGAGTCCAGGACCAGATGGATTCACAGCCGAATTCTACCAGAGGTACAAGGAGGAACTGGTACCATTCCTTCTGAAACTATTCCAAACAATAGAAAAAGAGGGAATCCTCCCTAACTCATTTTATGAGGCCAGCATCATCCTGATACCAAAGCCTGGCAGAGACACAACCAAAAAAGAGAATTTTAGACCAATATCCTTGATGAACATTGAGGCAAAAATCCTCAATAAAATACTGGCAAACTGAATCCAGCAGCACATCAAAAAGCTTATCCACCATGATCAAGTGGGCTTCATCCCTGGGATGCAAGGCTGGTTCAATATACGCAAATCAAGAAATGTAATCCAGCATATAAACAGAACCAAAGACAAAAACCACATGATTATCTCAATAGATGCAGAAAAGGCCTTCGACAAAATTCAACAACCTTCATGCTAAAAACTCTCAATAAATTAGGTATTGATGGGACGTATCTCAAAGTAATAAGAGCTATCTATGACAAACCCACAGCCAATATCATACTGAATGGGCAAAAACTGGAAGCATTCCCTTTGAAAACTGGCACAAGACAGGGATGCCCTCTCTCACCACTCCTATTCAACATAGTGTTGGAAGTCCTGGCCAAGGCAATTAGGCAGGAGAAGGAGATAAAGGGTATTCAATTAGGAAAAGAGGAAGTCAAATTGTCCCTGTTTGCAGATGACATGATTGTACATCTAGAAAACCCCATTGTCTCATCCCAAAATCTCCTTAAGCTGATAAGCAACTTCAGCAAAGTCTCAGGATAAAAAATCAATGTACAAAAATCACAAGCATTCTTATACACCAATAACAGACAAACAGAGAGCCAAATCATGAGTGAACTCCCATTCACAATTGCTTCAAAGAGAATAAAATACTTAGGAATCCAACTTACAAGGGACGTGAAGGACCTCTTCAAGGAGAACTACAAACCACTGCTCAATGAAGTAAAAGAGGATACAAACAAATGGAAGAACATTCCATGCTCATGGGTAGGAAGAATCAATATCATGAAAATGGCCATACTGCCCAAGGTAATTTATAGATTCAATGCCATCCCCATCAAGCTACCAATGACTTTCTTCACAGAATTGGAAAAAACTACTTTAAAGTTCATATGGAACCAAAAAAGAGCCCACATCGCCAAGTCAATCCTAAGCCAAAAGAACAAAGCTGGAGGCATCACACTACCTGACTTCAAACTACACTACAAGGCTACAGTAACCAAAACAGCATGGTACTGGTACCAAAACAGAGATATAGAACAATGGAACAGAACAGAGCCCTCAGAAATAATACAACACATCTACAACCATCTGATCTTTGACACACCTGAGAAAAACAAGCAATGGGGAAAAGATTCCCTGTTTAATAAATGGTGCTGGGAAAACTGGCTAGCTGTATGTAGAAAGCTGAAACTGGATCCCTTCCTTACACCTCATACAAAAATTAATTCAAGATGGATTAAAGACTTAAATGTTAGACCTAAAACCATAAAAACCCTAGAAGAAAACCTAGGCAATATCATTCAGGACATAAGCATGGGCAAGGACTTCATGTCTAAAACACTAAAAGCAATGGCAACAAAAGCCAAAATTGACAAATGGGATCTAATTAAACTAAAGAGCTTCTGCACAGCAAAAGAAACTACCATCAGAGTGAACAGGCAGCCTACAAAATGGGAGAAAATTTTCGCAACCTACTCATCTGACAAAGGGCTAATATCCAGAATCTACAATGAACTCCAACAAATTTACAAGAAAAAACAAACAACTCCATCAAAAAGTGGGCGAAGCATATGAACAGACACTTCTCAAAAGAAGACATTTATGCAGCCAAAAGACACATGAAAAAATGCTCATCATCACTGGTCATCAGAGAAATGCAAATCAAAACCACAATGAGATACCATCTCACACCAGTTAGAATGGCAATCATTAAAAAGTTAGGAAACAACAGGTGCTGGAGAGGATGTGGAGAAATAGGAACACTTTTACACCGTTGGTGGGACTGTAAACTAGTTCAACCATTGTGGAAGTCAGTGTGGCGATTCCTCAGGGATCTAGAACTAGAAATACCATTTGACCCAGCCATCCCATTACTGGATATATACCCAAAAGACTATAAATCATGCTGCTATAAAGACACATGAACACGTATGTTTACTGCGGCACTATTCACAATAGCAAAGACTTGGAACCAACCCAAATGCCCAACAATGATAGACTGGATTAAGAAAATGTGGCACATATACACCATGGAATACTATGCAGCCATAAAAAGTGATGAGTTCATGTCCTTTGTAGGGACATGGATGAAATTGGAAATCATCATTCTCAGTAAACTATCACAAGGACAAAAAACCAAACACTGCATGTTCTCTCTCATAGATGGGAATTGAACAGTGAGAACACATGGACACAGGAAGGGGAACATCACATTCTGGGGACTGTTGTGGGGTGGGGGGAGGGGGGAGGGATAGCATTAGGAGATACACCTAATGCTAAATGACGAGTTAATGGGTGCAGCACACCAGCATGGCACATGTATACATATGTAACTAACCTGCACATTGTGCACATGTACCCTAAAACTTAAAGTATAATAATAAAAAAAAAGACTTAAATGTATAACAAGGGTCAACAACGATAGCCCATGGACCAAATTTGTTCTGTTGCCTATTTGTGTGAGGCCTACTAGCTATGAATAATTTTTACATCTTTAAATGGTTGGGAAAATAGCAAAAGAAGAATAATATGTTGTCATAAGTGAAAACAATATGAAATTCAAATTTCAGTTTCCATAACTAAAGTATTATTGGAACAGAGTCATGCTCATTCATTTATGTAGCTGCCTTTGAGTACAACACCAGAGTTGAGTAACTGGAACAGAGACCATATGATCCACAAAGGTGAAAATATTCACTATCTGGCCCTTTACAGAAAAATTTTGGTGAACCCTGATTTACAGCATTCCTGGAACATGAAATCAAGAGTCACTTTTTAAAAGCCAAACAGTTTTTTAAAATTATATTTATCTAACAGAGAGCAAAAGTTTCCATTAAGAAGGTTTTGGTTTGTGACAGTAATGCCAGAATTCTCACACGGGTACCTGAAAGTATGTGATTTTGAATTATGCAGAAAAATATGGGTGAGTAAGTGAAATAATACATGAAAGAACACAGTGTGGTCCTGAAATCCCTGCAAGGCTTGAGAAAATATACCGAGTTACAGAATGTGTGCCTGTTTGCGTTTCATTCTGGCAGGCGTGTAAAACCGAACTATTTATAGTGATTCAGGCAATGGATAAATGCATGTTAGCTAAAGAACTACCTTAGAAAATAATGGGAACTGTTCTTTGCAGGAGAAGGAGGCAGAGAAAAGGCTACCTTAAATGAACCAGAATAGGAAAAATTTCAGAGAAAAAGAATACAATGCATATTTGAAACATGGGAGAGTATGGCTAATACCTCAACCTGAAAATGCCTTGCTTTAACCATGACTGATGACCTTAATGTCCCTCCCAGAGAATAAGGGTCACAGCCACAGTATGTTTACTGTGTTAGTCCTCCAATCTGGTACCTCACATCCATTCCAACACGAATGACTAGTGTTTCCAGTGCCCCTTTCAAGGCATTCCTCTGACAAATCCATGATATTTCCATTCAGACAGCAACTAATTAACAATCATAGCTCAATATACAGCCCCCCGTGGTAATAAACAGAAGAGGAGGAAGAAGTATCTGATTTTATTTGCGATTCCCTACAGACCAAGAAAACAGAACCAATCTAAATGGTTTTAGGCTTCCATGGCAGCTTGAGATATTTACTGGCATCACAGTACAAATCAAATGAGCAAATAAAACTGCCACTGCTGTGGAAGGAGACGCAGAGCTCTGAGGGAGTCATCTGCTGTCCTCCGACATGTCACAGAGCCTCACTTCGGCTCCCAGAGCCCGGCAGACCTACCAATTTGAGTATATTTTAATATACATCACTAGGATTCATATTTTCCCTTTTAAGTCAAAGGACTGGTTCTTTACATCAGGACTCAGCCCCCCAGATGTCTGTACAATGTCTCTGTGCAATACAGCTGGCATTACAGAATCAGAACACACAGCTTTCAGGGACAACTGTGACTTTGGGGCCAGCGTCATATTTTTGCTTGGCTTCCTTGGCATAGCCCTTGGCTGTTTCACTACCTCAGCCTTGTGGCTCTATCAGTTTTGATTTGATCGCTTAATTTATTCCTTCAGTTCATTGAATTGGAGCAGCTGCACCAAGACTCACTCAGACTTTTCTAGCTATCTTGCATCTTTGCATACAGCTTATTTCCTGAGTATTGAAAAAAAGGTATTTTCCTTTTGATAAAACAAGTATATTGTTTTTAATGAACTGGATAGGTTTAATCTGATCAACATGATTTTCACATTTACACTTCCCCAGTGTTGATTCTAACATTATTGTGAGGGCTTACTCTAATTTTCACAGTAGCTTCCAGTAATTGAACAACCAACATACTATAATTTAGTAATTCACTTTTAGTTGTTGGTTAACTTTTCTTCAAGTGTAACACCTCAACGTCTTAATTTTCCACTCACATGCTAAGTTAGATCTTTCACTTAAAGCTGTTGCTTCATTGTGTGAACGACTAACCGTTTTAGCAATGTTAGAAAATTGACAATCACCACCTAAAATGTAATGAAGATGAGAAAGAAAGCAATAATAGGAGATGAAGTAAGTGCTAGAAGTTGGCAATCGATGAAAAGTACTGAGCTCATCATTTGTGTCTAACACAAAAGTAAAGTATTAACAGTAAGTTCAGTGACTAGTGAAGAAGATTCTGTACCTAATGGGAGCATTATAAGAAATGTAAGAGTACAGAGAATTAGAAGGTATATCAATTTAATTTTAGAAACTTAAAGTAGAGATTTTTAAAAGTTAACCCTCATTCCATTGCATTATAAACTCTAAATACAACTTAGCTAGAATCTACCATGTTAGCAAAATGTTCAATACTGTGTTGACGGCCAAGAATTAAAGTATCTCTCTGGAAACAGGATATAAAAATATTGAAAGAGAGTCATAACAAAATCTCTTCAACTAATCAATTGAAAAGTAGCAGATGGTGCAAATGGGTAACTGTTTTGACAACTGTTATGCAATGTATAATGCATGCTAAGCAGGTATTTAAAAACTATCAGCTAACTTGGAAGCAACATCACACAGGATTTGGAATAAAGGGGCCCATGCGGTTTTGGACAAGTTACTTAAATGCTTCAAATCTTGGTTTTCTTAGTTTTAAAAGCAGGGATTGAAATACTGGTCCCCACAGAGTTTAAGGAAATGAGATAATTATATGTAAGATATCTACATGCGATCAGTTTGTAAATTGAGAGGCAACTTATGAAATCTTACAAATTACACATGCAAGTGATTTTGGCTAGACAGGCTCTTTGTGCCTGATGCCAATGCTACTGATGTTAGTGATAATTCTTTTTTCTTGAGCACCTGCTATATTCCAGGCCCTCTGCTAAGGGCTTGTAGTACATTTTCTCTAATCTTTATGACAACCCTTAAAAGTTAGATATTGTTATTACTACTCTGTCTACAGAACACTCAGCTTCTATTTGTTAAACATGCACAGCTTCTTTACCCACTGGGTTGTAGATGAAGGCCTAAGTCCTAGAGTATCTTCCATTCATTCTTCAAAAACTGGCTTGAATGTCACTTGTAATCCCTAGACTGGGCTTTCCCACAACCCCAGGCTAGGCCTAGGACTCATTCTCTTGGCTTCTTTAGTGACATTTCTTATATTCTGTGAGAGTTCAGATAATAGCACAAATAAACAAGGTAAGATACATAGGGCTTGGAGAGGGAAGAAGAAAGAAAAATCTGATTTTACAGATATGACAGAAAACAACTGCTTTAAGAGAAGGGAATTAAATATGAAATTAAAACCGCGGCCCTTGAGCTGAAAGGTGTTAATGATGCTTGCTTATTAAGAGGAAAGCATTGTCCTTTTAGAAATTTATCTCTTCCCTTTTGTATTTGGTACCTGATTTAGAATAAAGTGCTTCGCTTGATGCTTAGCAGACTTAATTTTATCATTTTCTCGGGGAAAGAGACATGTTGATCAATGACAGCGGAGGGATATAGTGCCTCAAACAAACTAGTAGTAAGATTTCCCTCCTGCTGTGGTGCAGAAGCAGGAATGAAGCGCGAAAGCAGGAATGAGGCACGGAAGCAGGAATGAGGCGCGGAAGCAGGAATGAGGCGCGGAAGCAGGAATGAGGCGCGGAAGCAGGAATGAGGCGCGGAAGCAGGAATGAGGCGCGGAAGCAGGAATGAGGCCACAGCTCCAGGCCTTGCTTTGCTCGCATGTGCTGATTTTGTACCAGAATGAAGCAGAAGCATGTTGTGCTTGAGATTAGAACCCTCATTTTTTATGAAGAATAATAAATTGTCAGTCTTCAAAGAGACACAGTGAGATGTATGGAAAAAATACTAAATTTGTGAATGGGAAAATGCTTTTATTCTCACGAAGATAAACTACAGGGAAATTTCTCAGGCACAGTTCTGTGAAGGCTAAATATTGCCACAACTATTGTCAAGCCACCATTTCAGTAAGCAAGGCCCACGATAACATTCATAGACCTTAGCTTCTTTTGCCTTTGTGTGCCCTTTTTTCCCACTTAAAAAAATAAAAATTATATTTTATAACTGTGTTGGACAGATGTCTATGTTGATATTATATATTGCCTTGAGTCCAGGAGTTTGAGGTTACAGTGAACTGTGATGGCTCCACTGCACTCCAACTTGGGCAACTGAGTGAGACTCAGTCTCTTAAAATATATATATGTATATAAATATATATACACATATATACGTATAAAATATATACATATAAATATATACATATAACTATATACATATAAAATATATAAAATATATATGTATATGTGTGTATATATATTCTCTTCTTAAAAATATATATTTAAACTCAGTCTCATATATATATTAAATCTCTTCTTAAATACATACATTAAAAAATCTCTTAGTCTCTTAAAAAAATATATATACACACACAAACATATATATGTGTGCGTGTGTGTATACATACACACACTACAACGTTGTAGCAACCAAAAAAGCATATACAAGCATAAAAACAGATACACAGACCAGTTGTACAGAATAGAGAACCCAGAAATAAATCCATGCATTTACAGCAAACTCATTTTCTCCTAAGGTGCTAAGAATAAAATTGGAGAAGGGACAGTCTCTTCAATAAACAGTTGGGAAAATTGGATATGCAGAAGAATAAAACTAGACCCCTACCTTCCACCATATACAAAAATCAACTAAAAATAGGCTGGGTGGGGTGGCTCGCACCTGTAAGGCCAGCACTTTGGGAGGCTGAGGCAGACAGATCACTTGAGGTCAGGAGTTCAAGATCAGCCACGCCAACATGGCAAACCCCCATCTCTACTTAAAAATACAAAAATTAGCTGGGCATGGTGGCACACGCCTATAATCCTAGCTCCTTTGCAGGCCGAAGCACGAGAATCACTTGAAACTGGGAGGAGGCCGAGATCATGCCACTGCACTCCAGCCTGGGTGACAGAGTGAGACTCTGTCTAAAGTAAAAAAGAAAAAGAAAAAAATTGACTAAAAATAGACTAAAGACTTGAGTGAATACCCTAAACTATAAACTACTAGAAGAAAACGTGGGAAATGCTTCACGACAATGGTCTGGGCAAAGATTTATTGAAGAAGACCTCAAAGCATAGGCAACACTAACAAAAATTGAAATGGGATTACATCAAGCTAAAAAGTTTGTGCACAGCAAAGGAAACAATCAACAAAGTCAAGAGACAACCTGCACAATGGGAAAAAATATTTGCAAAGTATTTATCCAACAAGGAATTAATAACCAGAATACCTAAGGAACTCAAAAAACTCACTAGCAAAAAAAACAAATAATTCAATTTTTAAAATGAGCAAAATATTTAAATAGACATACCTCAAAAGAAGACATACAAATGGCCAACAAGTATATTAAAAAATGCATATCACTAATAATCAGGGAAATGAAAATCAAAACCACAGTGAGATATTATGTTACCCTAGCTAAAATAGTTATTTTAAAAAAGACAAACTGGCAGAGATGCAGGGATGTGAGAAAAGAGAATGCTTGTACACTGTTGGTAGGAATGCAAATTAGTACAACCACTATGGAGAACAGTATGGAGATTTCTTTTAAAAGTGAAAATGGAACTACCACATAATCCAGCAATCCCATTGCTAGCTATATATTCAAAAGAAATTAAATCCTTATATAGAAGGAATGTCTGCACTCTCATCTTTATTGCAGTACTATTCACAATAGCCAAGATATGAAATCAACCTAAGTGTCCATCAATGGATGAACGGGTAAAGAAAATGCAGTATATATACCAAATAGAATATTATTCAGCCATCAAAAAGAATAAAATCCTGTTATTTGCAGCAACAGTAATTAAACTGGGAGACATTTGTTAAGTGAAATAAATCAGGCACAGAAAGATAAATATTACATGTTCTTACTCTCATGTGGGAGCTAAAAATGTTGATTTCAAGGAGATAGTGAGTAGATTGATGGCTAGTTACCAGAGGCTGGGGAGAGTAGTTGGGAGGGAGGTATGAAGAGAAACTGGTTACTGGCTACAAAAATATAGTTAGATAGAAGAAATAATTTCTAGTGTTTGATAGCACTATAGGGCAACTAGAGTCAACAATAATTTATTTTACACTTTAAAATATCTAGAAGATGTTTGAAAGTGTTCTCAACATAAAGAAAGGATCAATGTTTAAGGTGATGGATATACCAATTATCAAAATTTCATCATTACACGTTGTGCTATTGGATCAAAATATCACATGCACCACATAAATATATATAACTATTTTGTATTCATAAAAACTAAAAAAACAAAACTAGTGAACAATAAAGTATTAACTGTGCTTTTAGTATAATCACAAAATTATGCAACCATCACTACCATATAAATAATTTATTAAATAAATAAAAATAAACCATTTATCCATTAGCAGTCACTCCCTATTCCCCCTTCACTCCAAGGCCCTGGCAACCACTAAGTCCACTTTCTGTCTCTAAGGATTGCCCATTAAATAGTCATCCCTAAGGCAATATAAATTTATCATTGTCTCCTGCCTTCACCTGGAATATGTTACCTCTTCTCTTGTACCTTCTTTTTGGGACAAAATCATACTTATCCTTAAAGATTCATATCAGATTGTATCAATATTTTCCCTCTCCTGGGAAAAATTAGTGGCTGCTCTATCCTTGCATGCCTGACACATTTTAGGCATATCCCCTGTGACATCTGTAACATTATGTTGTCACCATCTGTTGGCCTGTATTCAATGGTGAGTTCTTTGATACAGATTTAAAATGTGGGGATAATTTGTTAAATTTTGTGTTTTTATATTCTCAGTATCCACTCCCACATTTAAGAATGTGATCTTTCAACTCCTTCGGAAAACTGTCTCTACCACTCAAATTATTTGCCTCTCACAGACCTGGTCATCTAGGTATTTTCTGCTCACTCATGTTAGAGATGCAAAAATCATAATATCCTATTATTCTGACTTCTGCTATTAATATCCTACTCTCCTGACTTCTGTTATTTGTGTAAACTTTGGCCATGTGATCCAATCAGAGCCAATCATAACAAATTGCTGGGACTTTTATATATGATTCTGGTAAAAAAAAAAAAAAAGAATTCATTTCTTACCTTTTAGGTCAGATATTATAAGGATGTGACTTAATGGTCTCTGTTTACAGAAAAGTCTGAGATAATGAGGCAAGGTTGCAAAGAGAAGCTAAAATTATAGACGGAGAGAAAAAAGAAAGAATTCTGAAAGTATTACATGAGTCCCAGAGAGAGAAATGTCTAAAGCCAGCTGCCCCTCTTTTTTTACATCATAGGAGCCTTTAAGTTCCTTGAGTTGAATGCACTACCATGCTAGTTAAATACGCTATTTTCTTATTCATCTTTCCATTACAAGTACTTATAATGCCTGGCTTACACATAACAGATACTCAATAGGTGTATGGGTAAAATAATAGGTGTAATTACTTTAATTTTAATTTTTATGGGTACGTCAACATATGAATGGGTAAAGAAAATGTGGTATTTATACACAGTGGAGTGCTATTCAGCCACAAAAGATTGAGATCCTCTCATTTGCAACAACATGGATGAAACTGGAGGTCATTATGTGAAGTGAAATTAGCCAGGCACAGAAAGACAAACATCGCATGTTCTCACTTATTTGTGGGATCTAAAAATCAAAACGATTGAACAAATGGAGATAGAGAATAAAGGATGGTTATCACCTGCTGGGAAGGGTAGAGGGGATTGGGGAGAATGTTAGGGTGGTTAATAGGTTCAATAGGTGTATGTTAATACAGCCGTTGTTGTTAATCTTATATCTTCTACTTTGTAGTTACATATGTCTTTCCAGTCTCAAACCTCCAGCACCCAACAATTGATCCATTTCATTCATTTTCTTCATATCCCCAAACCACAAGTATTTGGAGTCACCCCTGAAAGTGTAACTAAAGATGGTGGTTCTCCTAATAAGTTCACTATTATAAAAATTTTATAGGGATAAAAGTAGGGGAAAATTATGTGACCAGAGCCACTTTAATAGTTGCAACCTATCTCATGTCTGATATCAATTCTTATTCTTCTTTTTTATCCATTCCTTGCACAATCCCCAACTTGAAAAGAAATGTTCAGATATAAAGAGCAATCTTTGGAAAGACTTTCCATGGCATAATTCCCACCATGGGCCTTGGATGCTGTTGGAAGCCACATAGACAGAATATTAGGTCCCAAGTATAATCCTGACTCTTCTACCAACTTACTGTGTGACTCGCATAGTTCATTTTGCTTTTGGGAGTTTTCAGCTTACTCACTTGAAAAATTAAGGTTTTGGTCAGACGATTTCTAAGATTTCTTCCATCTCTGGCATGTTATGATTTTGTGGGTCTTTGCAATCGAAGGTGTTTCATCAAATTGAATTTCATTGTATGACAATTATAGGACCACAGTATTCCTTATAGTTTCAAATATGACTCAATATTGATGTTTAATTTTAAAATATTTAGTACATGCTCTGTTAACATAAACCTCTAAAGGAGGATTACAGTTAGTATATCTTAACTAAAATACATTTACTGATATAAATATGTGTATCTATGTGTAGGTCAAACACTTACGTTGTGATCTACCTTTCATTTTTGTGATTGAATTTAAAACATTGCTCAAATGGCTAAGGGTATTTATTTTGTACATTGTAGTAAATGAATGTTGACTAGAAATCTCCTTTTTCCTCAGAGGAAAATATCACTCAATAAATTGACAAGAACTTTTTTCTTGCAAATAAGGGGTTAAAATGATACAGGCACACATGAGACTAGAAATCATAATATTAATATTTTTATTGTGCTCTGTAGATTTCAAGTTCCTCTCTCCACTAATAGGACAATTGTGCCCTGAGAATTTTTCTCATTTCTGGAACCAGGACAATTTTCCCCTTCTTTTGATTGTAACTGAAGAGTGATTTATAAAGATAGATATAAAAATAAGAAAATACTTGTGCTTGTGTAAAGTCTCAAGCATTCTCTTATCAATCATTTATTTAATTTTCACACAATTCCTCTATACCGAAGCTCAGGAAAGTTAACAGGCTAATAAATGTAGAGCAAGATAAGAACTCCAGGTTTGTCTGATTTAACTGTAGGTAACATAAAATAACATTCTAGAAGGAAACGTTAAAAGTTTATTTCCTTATAATTGGGAAAGGTGAACAGTTTTTTTTACACACTTTACAGAACATTTAAGAACAAATACCAGTTTCAGAATTGATTACAAATTGATTTTTGTTTTCATAATTTTTTTGCTCATAGTAATAGCAGATACCATTTATCCAGTACTTACTGAGAGCCAAGCATTGTATAAATTATCATATTATATATGATCTAATTGAATTCTTATATAATCCTTATGTAATAAGAATTATTATTATCTTCATTTTAAGACTTGGAGGTTAAGTAACTTAATTTGCCCAAGGTGCATAATTAGTAAGCGGAAAAGCTAGAATCTGAACTCAGGTCTCTCTGACTCAACCACTCAAGCTTAACCACTCAAGCTTAACCACTCCACTACAATGCCAGGCACTAGATTAAAAGGAGAGCTGAGTTTGATGCTGGACTTCCACTACTCGCTGAAGTTACTTTTATAGCTGATTTAATTTCTCTTAGCCTCAATTTTCTCCTCTGTAAAATTAGGAGGTGGAACTAGAGCACTTTACAAATTTCTTTCTTTTTAAAATATACTATGAGTTTTCATGGCCTGAGGTAATTCTCAAACGTGCAAGAATCAAACTCTCAGACTTCTTCCACCCTGACTTTATTTTTCATTAAAAAAAGAAAGACATGGCTAGAAATCTCTGAACTTGAGCCTCATGTTGAGTTTTGATTTGGGAAGTATCATTGGTTTCACACAGCTTGTGAGATAAACGTTGATGGGTTCCAGCCTCACTCCGTACAAGTTGACCCCCTGTGCACATTTAGGAATTAGTATGAGACAGTATAATGGTTTCTGGGAAAGGGAACTTTTAAAATGTCTAAAAAGCAGACTCAAAACAGCAGAACCTATGTTAAACCCACAAAATCCTTCCCCATGTATAAAAATTTGGATAGGAAGTAGAAGAGTCCCTATCTATTTTCAAAGTTATTGGTTGGTGGAGGTATCACAAACTGTACTATTGTGTGGCCTCTTACAATTTCTTTTTGAAAATTATGAATTATATGCACAGGAGTATTGTACGTATATGAACAATGTGTACACATCATTCATCTTAAGGTGTAGAATATTAGCAGCATCTTTGAATTCCCTGGTGTGCCTTTCTCAGATCACATCCCCCTACCATCCTCCTGGGTTGACCTCTAATATGACTTTTGTATTAATTATTCTGTCACTTTTCTGTATAGTTTTGCCATTCATATATATACCAACAATGTAGTGTTTAGTTTTGCCTGTCTTCAAGCTGTATATAAATGGAATAATCATACTATATGAATTCTTCTATGATTTCCTGTTTTTTTGTTTTGTTTTGTTTTGTTTTGTTTTGTTTAGACGGCGTCTTGCTCTGTCGCCCAGGCTGGAGTGCAGGGTTGCGATCTCGGCTCACTCACTGCAAGCTCCGACTCCCGGGTTCACGCCATTCTCCTGCCTCAGCCTCCTGAGTAGCTGGAGTGCATGGTTGCGATCTCGGCTCACTCACTGCAAGCTCCGACTCCCGGGTTCACGCCATTCTCCTGCCTCAGCCTCCTGAGTAGCTGGGACTACAGGCGCCCGCCATCACGCCTGGCTAATTTTTTGTATTTTTAGTAGAGACGGAGTTTCACCGTGTTAGCCAGGATGGTCTCGAACTCCTGACCTCGTGATCCGCCCGCCTCGGCCTCCCAAAGTGCTGGGATTACAGGCGTGAGCCAGATTTCCTGTTTTTATTCTCTGCTATTCCTTTAAGATTTATCCATGTAGAGTGTGTAACTGTTTGTATTGTGTCACTGATGAATAGTATGCCATGGTATCAATATACCATAATTTATTTATCCATTCTAATGTTAATGCACTTGCAGATTATTTCTGGTTTTTTTGGTGTGTGTGTTACAAATTATGAACGTTCATTTGCCTCTTCCTGGTTACATACATGCAATAATTTCTCTAGCATTTATACGTAGGAGAGGGATTGCTGGATCTTAGTTAACATAGGCACTTGTCAATTCTAGTAAGCCAGATTGGTTTATCAATAGATTTTCAAAATTGTAACTTATCTATTAAAAATAGAGCATGAAAGAAGGCATAATCCTATTGCATTGTGAAACCTGGATTCCTGACTATAAATTAAGCATAATAAAGAATGCTGTGCTCACTTTGTACCAAATGACTTGGTATCAAGATATCAGTAAAGCCCACTGGAAGAACAGAGCATTAGGCTGTGTTGTACGACTGAATTAAGGAGAAATGGTTAGTTCATAAGAACTATAGGAAAATCAGCATAGGGATAGATACATAAAGAAAGCAGAAGGTAGAAACAGGAGGTCACTCTGTTCCTAGAAAAATAATTAGATGAGAAGTTCTTATTTTTTCTGTTAATAACTAGATATTTATGTTATTTCAGCCCCTAGAAGATGACCAGCACCTTGTGAACTCTGTATCAATGAATACAAGCTTACAAATCAGGAACACCAAAGAATCTGTATTGACTTTGCCTCACCTATCCTTCTCCCCATGCCTCAACCTTACTTCTCCCCATTTCACCCCAGCATTTCTATCTGTTCCAATTCAGCCATTATGAACTCCAAGAATAACTCCCTACTCATGCTTTTGATGAAATGGCATGGGAGTCACGGTGCAGAAGGAAAAACATCTCAATTTTTTACAGTAATTGACATTCTGAGGAATATATTCTTAGCAATATAAAAGACAATACAGAGTTCTCATTTGTTTTAAGAGTTTATACTTTTTTATGTTATAAAATCTCTTGGGAGTCATTACAAATGGCCCTCAAAAAAATTGCTCGACTATCCCTGCTCAATAGTTGTTTCCAAGCTGTAGGCCATGGACCTCAGTGGGCATTGACAACTATCTCAATTAGACAGTGACTCCATGTGTACAAATAACATTTTCAGTGAGCTAAGTAAATGGCACAGTGCATTTCACACACCTAACAGACAATAGCTATTTATATGTATTTAGATTATGTTGTGAAAAGTAAAGGATAAAGGTATTTGACACACAGGTCAATACTATGTGGCTTTTCTCACTTCTTAATGAATATATAGATTTCAGCTATCAAGGAGGTAGGGGAGAGGAAATATTTATATTAACAGGGTTGGAATTTAAAAGTTTGGGAGCAACTACTGAATAACATACATCTGTACCTCAAACTATATATATATATATATATATATATATATAAAAAATGTTATATATGTATAGATATATATTTATATATAGATATGTGTATATGCATGTTTGTATACACACACACACACACACACTTTATAAATATCCATACCACCAGAAGGATGTGAAGCATTAGGAAAAATAATTTTCTGCAGAGATGCACCTTCCAGCTATATCTGAAAGAGCATTTTAAATTATTAAACAGAATACTTAACATTTGTACTTGAACATCTTATTTGTAAACAAATAAATTAGAACACACCATTATTCAACAGGATTTCTCAGATTACAAAAAGAACATAGCGTCCCTTTCAGTTACATCTTTGTAAACATTGTAAATCACTAAATTCTTAATAGGGAGAAGATCAGAAAGCTTAGTTGAGTATATATGAATCAGAAAATAAAATAAAGCAAAAATTTAATACTAACAAGTATCTCTTCTTATTTATCATCCAGGTTTTGAAAAATTATATTTAAAAAACTTTCCAATTTAGTTTTGTTATTCATACACACAATTTCTTCCAGACTAGAAAGTAATTATTAACAGCCCTGAATATACATGTGAGTGCATTTATTTTCTCTTCACTTGAGTAAAATTTCCTTGAGTGGAAGAGACTGATCTTTTATAAATAGCATCAAGATGACACCTTCTTCACAATTCAATTTTATAATTAAATACTTCAAATGAAAATAAAAATAACCAGAATGATTCCTCATATGGCTAAAACTCAGCGTAAGAATTTCTTTTGCTAACCCACCTCAAATAACTGTTATGGAAAATAACTGGCTTCTGACAAAGTTGTCATATATAAAACAAAATATAAATGACAGTGTTTTCATTATTGTTACTAATGAAAATATTGGTGTCTAAATATTTACGCTCTGGAAAAACATGAAATGAGAGCTTGAGTGAATTTTTTAAAGTAGGGGACAAAAAATAAAACATGCTAATCACTGAAATCTATTTCTTTAGTTACGAAACAACTAACACCTAATGTTCTACGTAGGGTTTCATCTCCTCCCCTAGTGATGCTTAAGGGAGAAAGTTAAATTAGGGGAAAAAATGAAGTAAATACACCAAGGAGAATAATATATTTAATAAAATTTCTTAATTACGTGATCCGTGATTTCCCTACTTGCCCCCTCCACCCCTGTTTTGTGTCAGTAGTGTCTTGGCACCAGGAAAAGGTAAGATTAGAAATAACTCCCAGAATAGGTCCTGGCTGCTTCACTGAACTGAACAGTTCTTTGGTGTGAGTTGATGCTCAAGAAATTCTGTGCAGGACAGTTTATCCTTTGTATCTGTTTATTGGTGTGAAAATACAAGTTCTGTAGTATACAGACAGATGAGCAACTGTTTGAGAACATTTACCTTTGTTACTCTTGTAACACAAACTTCTTGTTTTTGCCCTTGAGTGGAAACTTTTCTCTTCCCTTATGGAAATTAAATGCTGCAATGCAAGATAGGCTAATGAGAGTTAGCATTTGCCTCTTGCTGTTTGGAGAATGAGGGTGTCCTCAATGGAAGGGTTTTAAGTCCCTGCAAACCCTATCTACTAATAAACAGGGAACATTTACAAGGTCAGACTCCTTGTAGAAAGCTGGACCTTAATCTTAGTAGTAATTACCCTAGAGGAGTTCATCTGTTCAGGAAGATAATTTCCTTCAGAGCAGACAGTTCCCAGTTAGTAATCATTTCTCATTTTAAAAAGGCAATTGAAATCCATCTTTCCCTCCTAACACTTCCACATTGCTTCCACATTGCAACCAGATCCCCTTAGCTCCAGATATCTAGCTAGATTAAATCGAATTGTAGTCTTTCATCTTCTAGATTAAATTCATTTTCCCCCACCCAAAGCAAGGGGGTGTATCTTCTTACATGTTTAAATTTTGCTTATATTTTAAAAATATATCTTCAACTTACTCACTGTAAATTTGATTAGGCATAATGTATACCAAGACTGGCAATGCTTTACGTCTATATTCTGAACGTGCATAAACAAGCATACATCAAACTATTTCTAATTCTCCTTGGTATTTGAGGTATTTAGGTTGCAGTTCTGATGCCTTAAAGCAACCATGTAGATTCACAGTAATTCATAATTTGTTTAAATACAGTGATGAACTGTGGACTCTTCAAGGCTAATAATATGTGAGAATAAATTATTTGGTCCAGTTGAATGCATTGAAGTGGACAATTCTCTAAGTAAAATTGACTCATATTGTACACACCTATAACTCTAGTGAGGTGAAAAAAAACCCATTGTTTCTTGGGAAAATGATTTCCAAAGAAGTCATTCTTAAAATTAAAGAAATCTTCCAAACTGAGAATGAAGAAGGTGTAAGGAGCACCTTACAAATATTAAAGGTCTACTGAATTGATGAATATTTTCACTTCTGCATGGTATAAATTTAGTTCCATCTAGAAACTCTCAAATGAACCTACATTAGCACTGTGAATTGTATGTAATCAAGAATCAATTCAAATAGAATCACTCAAAAAACAAAATAATTAAAAGAAATATGGTTCATATGACTGAGAAAGTTGAGGGTGTGGATATAACTGCAGATGTGGATTGGTGCAGAGGGCAGTAGACATTGTTAAGATTTTTCCTCTGAGTTGGTGCCTTATGTGAGTTTTCTTTCATGAAGAAATATGTCTGTAGCACCTGCAGCCTCATATCCCTCCAATCTCAAGTCTAATACAAAGAGGTCCTACCTCTGCCTCAATGTTGCCATCTGAAACTTTCATTATGTCTGATTGGCTCTGATTGTGTCATTGTCAGCCCTCAATCAATTACTGTGGCCAGGTGACTACAAGACTACAATGCACTCTTAGACTTGGACCTTAGTTGCATATTTCATCCTTAATGCTTGGGATGCAGGCCCACCCAGACTAAAGGGAAAAAGAATGGGGAGGAATGGAACCATAAACTAAAACTGAACCCTTTGGCCAATTTTTGAGGACAGAAACCACAACGTTCACTACTTTACCCTCCTGGAACCCATTACAACCAGCTCATCAGACACAGCTTCATGCAGTATTATGCTTTACATGTCAAAGATGTTAAAAAAGTTATAGCTATAGGTACACCTTCATAGATCTAATAAGCAATACTAATATAATAAATTATTAATAAAATGATTGACTGTATTGAATTCAGCATTAACCACTCCTTAAGTGGGTTCTTCATATTGCAATGCACAATCACTTGCAAATTTAATTCAGAATTCAAAATTTATTTTATTCAGCTTGAGTCAAAAATATTAGTATAATTTATAAGTGCATTTATGCAAGCATAGTCATTAAACTCTTTCCTCCCTACCATGAAGGCATTATATGGTACTGCATTTAATTTCTTCTATTAAATGCACAAAAACATAGTTTTTTTCCAATTCTGTGAAGGAAGTCATTGGTAGCTTGTTGGCGATGGCATTGAATCTATAAATTACCTTGGGCAGTATGGCCATTTTCACGATATTGATTCTTCCTACCCATGAGCATGGAATGTTCTTCCATTTGTTTGTATCCTCTTTTATTTCATTGAGCAGTGGTTTGTAGTTCTCCTTGAAGAGGTCCTTCACGTCCCTTGTAAGTTGGATTCCTAAGTATTTTATTCGCTTTGAAGCAATTGTGAATGGGAGTTCACTCATGATTTGGCTCTCTGTTTGTCTGTTATTGGTGTATAAGAATGGTTGTGATTTTTGCACATTGATTTTGTATCCTGAGACTTTGCTGAAGTTGCCTATTAGCTTAAGGAGATTTGGGGCTGAGATGATGGGGTTTTCTAGATATACAATCATGTCATCTGCAAACAGAGACAATTTGACTTCCTCTTTTCCTAATTGAATACCCTCTATTTCCTTCTCCTGCCTGATTGCCCTGGCCAGAACTTCCAACACTATGTTGAATAGCAGTGGTGAGAGAGGGCATCCCTGTCTTGTGCCAGTTTTCAAAGGGAATTCTTCCAGTTTTTGCCCATTATGATATTGGCTGTGGGTTTGTGATAAATAGCTGTTATTATTTTGAGATACGTCCCATCAATACCTAATTTATTGAGAGTTTTTAGCATGAAGGTTGTTGAATTTTGTCAAAGGCCTTTTCTGCATCTATTGAGATAATCATATGGTTTTTGTCTTTGGTTCTGTTTATGTGCTGGATTACGTTTATTGATTTGCGTATGTTGAACCAGCCCCTTGCATCCCAGGGATGAAGCCCACTTGATCATGGTGGATAAGCTTTTCGCTGTGCTGCTGGATTCGGTTTGCCAGTATTTTATTGAGGATTTTTGCATCAATGTTCATCAGGGATATTGGTCTAAAATTCTCTTTTTTTGTTGTGTCTCTGCCAGGCTTTGGTATCAGGATGATGCTGGCCTCATAAAATGAGTTAGGGAGGATTCCCTCTTTTTCTATTGATTGGAAGAGTTTCAGAAGGAATGGTACCAGCTCCTCCTTGTACCTCTGGTAGAATTTGGCTGTGAATCCATCTGGTCCTGGATGTTTTTTGGTTGGTAAGCTATTAATTATTGCTTCAATTTCAGAGCCTGTTATTGGTCTATTCAGAGATTCAACTTCTTCCTTGTTTAGTCTTGGGAGGTTGTATGTGTTGAGGAATTTATCCATTTCTTCTAGATTTTCTAGTTTATTTGCGTAGAGGTGTTTATAGTATTCTCTGATGGTAGTTTGTATTTCTGTGGGATCAGTGAAGTTCATATGGAACCAAAAAAGAGCCCGCATTGCCAAGTCAATCCTAAGCCAAAAGAACAAAGCTGGAGGCATCACGCTACCTGATTTCAAACTATACTACAAGGTTACAGTAACCAAAACAGCATGGTACTGGTACCAAAACAGAGATATAGACCAATGGAACAGAACACAGCCCTCAGAAATAATGCCGTGTTTCTACAACCATCTGATCTTTGACAAACCTGATAAAAACAAGAAATGGGGAAAGGATTCCCTGTTTAATAAATGGTGCTGGGAAAACTGGCTAGCCATATGTAGAAAGCTGAAACTGGATCCCTTCCTTACACCTTATACAAAAATTAATTCGAGATAGATTAAAGACTTACATGTTAGACCTGAAACCATAAAAACCCTAGAAGAAAACCTAGGCAATACCATTCAGGACATAGGCATGGGCGAGGACTTCATGTCTAAAACACTAAAAGCAATGGCAATAAAAGCCAAAATTGACAAATGGGATCTAATTAAACTAAAGAGCTTCTGCACAGCAAAAGAAACTACCATCAGAGTGAACAGGCAACCTACAGAATGGGAGAAAATTTTTGCAACCTACTCATCCGACAAAGGGCTAATATCCAGAATCTACAATGAACTCCAACAAATTTACAAGAAAAAACAAACAACACCATCAAAAAGTGGGCAAAGGATATGAACAGACACTTCTCAAAAGAAGACATTTATGCAGCCAACAGACACATGAAGAAATGTTCATCATCACTGGCCATCAGAGAAATGCAAATCAAAACCACAATGAGATACCATCTCACACCAGTTAGGATGGCAATCGTTAAAAAGTCAGGAAACAACAGGTGCTGGAGAGGATGTGGAGAAACAGGAACACTTTTACACCGTTGGTGGGACTGTAATCTAGTTCAACCATTGTGGAAGTCAGTGTGGCAATTCCTCCGGGATCTAGAACTAGAAATACCATTTGACCCAGCCATTCCATTACTGGGTATATACCCAAAGGATTATAAATCATGGTGCTATAAAGACGCATGAACACGTATGTTTATTGCGACACTATTCACAATAGCAAAGACTTGGAACCAACCCAAATGTCCAACAATGATAGACTGGATTAAGAAAATGTGGTACATATACACCATGGAATACTATGCAGCCATAAAAAATAATGAGTTCATGTCCTTTTTAGGGACATGGATGAAACTGGAAACCATCATTCTCAGCAAACTATCGCAAGGACAAAAAACCAAACACCGCATGTTCTCACTCATAGGTGGGAATTGAACAATGAGAACACATGGACACAGGAAGGGGAACATCACACACCGGGGACTGTTGTGGGGTTGGGGGAAGGGGGAAGGATAGCATTAGGAGATATACCTAATGCTAAATGAGGAGTTAATGGGTGCAGCACACCAACATGGCACATGTATACATACGTAGCAAACCTGCACGTTGTGCTCATGTACCCTAAAACCTAAAGTATAATAATAACCATAAAAAGAAATTAACTATTATAAATTGCTTCTATAACAAGGCACTGTGATAAATTATCCTATTTTTAAATTATATATGTTTTCTATATAATTAAACCTATTATTTATAACATAAAAAAATAGCCCCATTAAAAAATGGGCAAAGGACATGAACAGACACTTCCCAAAAGAAGGTATATAAGGTGTGGAGAAAAGGGAACTCTTATACACTTTTGGTTGGAATGTAAAGTAGTTCAGCCACTGTGGAAAGCAGTTTGGAGATTTCTCAAAGAACATAAAACAGAGCTACCATTCAACCCAGCAATCCTACTACTAGGTATATACCCAAAGGAAAATAAATCATTATACCAAAAAGACATATGCATTTGTATGTTCATTATCACTCTATTCACAATAGCAAAGACATGGAATCAACCCAGATGCCCATCATGGTGGACTGGATATAGAAAATATGATACGTATACACCATGCAATAATATACAGCCATCAAGAAGACATAAAATTATGTTATTTGCAGCAACATGGTTGCAGCTTGATGCCATAATCCTAAGTGAATTAACACAGGAATAGAAAACCAAATACCATATGTTCTGAATTATAAGTGGAAGCTAAACCCTGAGCACACATGGACGTATACATGGAAATAATAGAGATTTGGGACTACTAGAATGGGGGAAGGAGAAAGAGGGAAATGGATTGAAAAATTACATGTTGAGTACTATGCTCAATACTTGGGTGATAGGATCCATACCCAAAAACCTCAGAATTATACCCATGTAACAAACCTGCATATGTATCTCCTGTATCTAAAATAAAAGTTGAAAAAAAAATGCCCTACAAAGAATAGAGGATACAGGGGGGAAAGCATATTACTAGATAGAAACACTTCAAGTAGTGTATAATAATACGTTCATATTTAATATTATATTAAGTACTAATTTTATGGCTGAAAAGGACTATAGAGATTATGTAATCCTAAAACTGTCTAATAAAGATATTTTCTGGGTATGCTGTTCATCACCATTTCCTCCATAAAACAGGACAGCCAGAAAGACATATTCACATTACTGTATCTCTGTGAAATAGATTAATTTAGGCCTCATTCTGTAAAGAATTCTCTGCTTTTTCAAGCAGACACAACTGCATCTCAACTTCACTGATTCCTTCACAAGCCCTTCATTCATTCCAAGTGTCATTGACCACTCACCCGCTTATTCCTAGCATTGTGCTAGCTGTTGGGATACAGGGATGACCACATGCTTTTTCCAGTCCAGTGAAGCCAACATACATTAATCGTGTTGTTACACAAATACATTCATCAGTACCAAATACTCTTTGTTTTATAAAGGAAGCTTTCAGTGTCCCTGTTCCATTGTCTCAGAGCCTGTCTGGCTCAACTGGAGGCTTAGGGAAATTGCCTTTGAGCTGAGCATAACAGAAGGATGAAAGTCTGGGCTACACCCATACACTGAAGGCTTTGATAGTCTCCCACACGGAACCATGGAACAGAGAGCAAAATGAGGGAATTATGAGGGGGCCAGGTCATGCAGGCTTGTAGACTGTAGGAATTTCAGTCTTCATCCTAAAGTCTATCTTAAAATCTAAATTAAAATATCCTTTAGCAAAAGGTGACATAATCAGGTTTGCATTTTAAAAAATCACTCTGGCCAATCTAGTGGAGATCTAGTGTAAAAATGATGAGAACAGTTAGGAAGCTAATAGTTGGTCGAGGTGAGAGAGGATGATATGATGATGGCTTGCTCTAGAGTGGCACTATCGGAGAGGAAATATTTAACAGATTGGACAGATTAAAATTTAAAAGACATTAGTTCTCATCAAGTTTTGAGAGTCATAAATGCCAGCAAGTTGGTTCTTTTTCCAGTGTACTTTCTGCGAGGTCCCATAATCTGCTTCAGTCTTCCTAATGAGACTCAATAAATATCGCCATTCTTTGACAACCACATAACTTTATTTATAATGATAAATAAATACTTAAGGAACAATAGTGCTCATACCCTATAGCTTTCTGGTTACTGGAAATGTCTTTTGGCTGTTAACCTAAATTTTCAGTCCTGTAAATTCAAGTCTCTTTGTTCTTGACTGAACTCATAGATACTTTCAAAATGTAAAAAGATGCAACAATTTAGGGTCCCTCTGTGTTTGGAATTTTTCTGAATCATATCATAGTTTACAGATATCCACTTACAAAATCCTCACATTGACATGATTTGGAGTAGTTTACGAGTCAGTAAAGTTAGCTGATCTGACATAACATGCTATGTGGATATTTTTTCTTAAGAAAATGCTATGTCCTGAATTAAAAATTTAAATGTAGACTAAAATAATGTTGGACTGATTACGTGCTTTGAAAATTTTTATTTCTGCCTCTACTTTTATTCCCTACTTCCTTCAATACTGGTGTTCCCTACTCCCATTGTAGGTGATTTTCTCTTATTCCAAATCAGTGAAGCCCAAATCACTGATGCCACTTCTGAGCCTTTGACAGTCCCATCCAACTGTTCATATATTCATTAACAAATATTTTTGACAGTCTAATTCTATCTGAGCCCCTGTGAAATATCTCCATGGAGGGTCCTCCAATGACACAAATCTACATATCTGAAAGTAAGTTAGCAATCTGACTTCCCCAAATCTATTTCTTACTTCTATTCACTATTTTGGTCAAGGTTAACCTTGAAAATGTACTTATTTAGCTGAACAATTCATTGTTTTACTCTATGCCTACATTGATGTCTTCCTGCCCTTACAACCCCATCACAAATCCTACTCTTCTTCCTTTTATGACTCTTGCAAATTTATCCTTCTTCTGCCTCCAATTTTAGGGTTTTTTTTTTTCCCTCATCTTCACTGTTAGGGTTTTAATTCACACCCTTGTTATCTCTAAGTTCACACTGGGTTTTCCTTCCTCTAATTGGGAGCCACTTGCCAATCCATCCTTCCAATCCAAGCAATCTTATTAGGAAGACTGATCAAATCATGATGCTGCTGTACCTGAAAATCTCAAGGAGGATGATTCCTCATTGCTTTCAGGATAAAAGCATAGCACATCAGTATAGCAAACAGGACTCGTAGGAATACTTTTTAACCATTCAGCTATACCATACCACCCCCAACCCTCCACCCTCCGACTCCAGTTGCCAGTCACCTTTTGTCTGCAGTTACATAAAGTGTTCACTCCTATGCATTTGCTCTTCTTTCTGCCTCCCTCTACTGTGACTCTCCTCCTTCAAGATTCAGCTCTAATGTTATTTCTCTGCATAGGATTTTAAGCATCAAGCCCACGTGTACTCCTGCCATTACTCTTTGTTGATCTATGCCTAGGGACACTCAGATCAGCTTCCTGCAATCATTTGTTAATTTCTCATTATCCCACTCAAGTAAACTTTCTGGAGCACAGATTATCTTTTTATCCCTGGAATCTACCACGGAACATGATATATAATAAGTATTCCACAAACATAATTATGATACTTAAAAATGATTAATATTTAGCATGTGCTGTTTTATCAAGTGTAGGAGAAATACGCAACCACATACACACTCACACACTAAGAAGACCAAATTAAAGCTTGAGTTTAGAATATTAATAGGTCAGTGAAAAAAAAACTCTTCATAGGACTCCTCAAACAGAATAATTTTCAAGTATTTTTTTACACAACCAAAATAGTAAAAATACATTTTGTGTCATAATTCTCCAACATCCAATCATGTATAATAATGGAAATACATAAAGATTTTACAAAGACAATCCTCACCCTTCCTGCATATGATGCCTTCTGATATTTTTCTACAACTATTTTATTTTTTAGATGTTGGTTGAAACCACAAAAAATATTTTATGGCTCATTTTGGGAAATACTGCTTTAGTATCTCTACCATATTTGGTTTTCATTCACACAATTTCTGTAAATAATTAAGCCTGTACGTGAAAATTAAATAAGCAATTTTGCTAATTTTTAGAGCTACTCAAAACTCATCAATTTCCTAAATATGCTATTATCACTGCTAACTCCACCGTTATTTTCTTAATAATAATAAATTTCTTGTGACAATTTTTGACATATTTCACACACATTGAAATCACTGGAAGCAGGCTGAATGACTCTGAAGCAAGATTTGCAATCGCTGAATTGACCAATTCCCATTTGCAGTCTTTTACGTCGAGTCTAGACATTGAATCCATATTTCCTATTGTAAAAGAGTTAAAACTCTCCAATAGCACCCTATTTCTATTCGGTGTGTTTCTTTATTTCTTTTTAAATAAAATAGCATAAAATATGATTACAGGATTTTTTTTTGGAAATAAAGCTAGTGATAGGAATAAATTCAATACATATACAAAGAATCATGCCAGAATATTATTTCTTTTTTTTTCTATTTCTGGACAACTCTATCACTGAATAAATCACACATAATTCTCCTATAACCACGGTGTTTGGCAAGGAAACTTGCCATGATTCTTCCTTAATTTCAAGGAACACATATCTGCCAACTTTTATGTTGCCTCATGGAAAGTAACAAATATTACATGTCATATGTCAGCATTTCAGTGCCCAATAACGAAGAAACTCTTCATGGTTTCTCTAAACGAAAGAGCAAAAAATTCAGAAAGACAAAAAGATTTTGCCAATGTTTTGCTATAAAAACATTTATCTCAAAAAAATTGGTTACAGGAACTATACCAAAAATAAGGATATTTATCATGATATATGCCTTCACAACTAAAGTTGTGAATACTTTAAATTGAGATTTTGAAAAGCACACTTATATAAATAAGTGTTTTGTTTTTAAATAATTCATTTTTCAAAACAAGACTTAAGCTGTGATGAGAAATTTGTCAAAATTAAATTTCTATCCCTGCCCTCCTTCTAAGTATAGTAGCACAGCTGTCATGAATCCTAAATTTGAATACACAACTTGTATAAGTGGGACATAGAATGCCATTGCTCAAGTAGAATATGGGGTCCTTTTGACGTGTTTCAAGGCCATGAGTTTCCTTCCTACATTTAGTGGTGACACTAAAACTGAAAGCTTGGGAATAGTACATAGAAGAGGGAGGCTGTTAAATATACTTATTTATATAGGTACTTTTCTAAATGTATTTGATGAATTAGAGAATTGTTTAAACGAGGAAACGTCCAAAGTATTTGCTGTAAATTTTCCATACTGTTTGATGGAGTAAAAAACAAACAAACAAACAAACAAAGAGATGAGGAGGTTTTGCATAGAAGGACAGCCCCACACAGAATGGGGAGAACAAGCCAGGTAAGCAGTGTCCACACGGTCAGGGCTGCGGGGTCTATGGAGAATTGCAGTGGCAGCTGTCCAGTGCAGGATGCTGGTGCCTAAAGTAAGGGTGATGCAGAAGGTGGTAGCTACAGTGGGGGACATAGGGGACTGCTCAGGGGACAGTGGTGATGATGGCCTGGCAAGTGGCGTCAGACCCCGGCGGAGCAAGAAGGATGTCGGTGCAGTGAGACAAAGGGTGGCAGCAGAGATCAATGCTCAGTTACATACAGGGGGTCTGATCAAGTAAGAAAATAGATAACAAGAAAATAGGGGAGGGGCGCAGTGTCTCATGCCTGTAATCTCAGCACTCTGGGAGGCCAAGGCGGGCAGATTACCTGAGGTCAGGAGTTCGAGACCAGCCTGGCCAACATGGTGAAACCCCGTCTCTACTAAAAAATACAAAAATTAGCTGGGTGTGGTGGCAGGTGCCTGTATTCTCAGCTGCACAGGAGGCTGAGGCTGGAGAATTGCTTGAACCTGGGAGGCGAAGTTTGCTGTGAGCCGAGATTGCGTCACTGCAATCCAGTCTAAGCGACAGAGCGAGACTCTGTCTAAAAGAAAGAAAGAAAGGAAGAAAGGAAGGAAGGAAGGAAGGAAGGAAGGAAGGAAGGAAGGAAGGAAGAAAGAAAGAAAGAAAGAAAGAAAGAAAGAAAGAAAGAAAGAAAGAAAGAAAGAAAGAAAGAAAGAGAAAGAAAGAAAGAGAAAAAGAAAGAAAGAAAAAAGAAAGAAAAAGAAAGAAAGAAAGAAAAAGAAAGAAAAAGAAAGAAAGAAAGAAAGAAAGAAAGAAAGAAAGAAAGAAAGAAAGAAAGAAAGAAAGAAAGAAAGAAAGAAAGAAAATAGGAGTCAGGTTTTTCATGGTCAGAGAAGGGAAGTACAAACAGGGAATAGAAAAAAAAAACTAGGATGAATCTGTGGTACTGCATTGAAATTGGAAATGTAAGTGTGAACTCATGTTTTTCAACATATTTAGATAGATATAGAAATAACTCTAGAGTATAATATGTGTGTGTGTATAGTAGTCAGGGTTCTCCAGAGAAACATAAGCAATAAGATTTATCAGTAAGAATCCATTCATGTGATTATGGAGGATAACAAGTCCCACGATCTGCAATCAGAAAGATGGAGATTCAGGAAAACCAATGGTGCCACCCCAGTCCAAAGGCCAGCGGGCTTGAAATCCAAGAAGAGTTGATGTTTCACTTAGAGATTGAAGGCAGGAAAAAACCCCAGCTTTTTAGCCATCAGGCAGGAAAATGTTCCCTTTACTTATGGGAGGGTCAGCCTTTTGATTCTATTCAGGCCTTCAACTGATTAGATGAGGCCCACTCACAGTGGGGGCAGGGGACAATCTGCGTTACTCAGTCTGTAGATACAAATGTTACTGTCATCCAGAAACAGCCTCATGGACATGCCCAGAATAATGTCTGACCAAATATCTGGGTACCTCCTGTCCTAGTCAAGTTGACACCAAAAACGAACTATCACAGTGTGTGCTTGTGTGTCTATGTTTAAAATACCTAGCACCCAGATCTTGGTTACTAAATGCTATTCTCTCTTGAAAAAAATTAGGGCTTCTTGTTGAAATAGCTGAATCCAAGGCTGGGCAGGGAAAGTACAAGATGAGTCTGGAACATTTTGTTATGCCATAAAGAGTGCTGAAAGAATAATGAGGACATGTCTAACAGCATAGGAAGCAGCTTAAAGAAGCTCCCACTGGCCAAATCCAGGACAACTTGAACATCAAAATAAATTATAACAACAACATCAATAAATTACAACATCAAATAAAATAAGAATCCATCAGCCCATACTCATGGGCTAAGTATAAGTTTGTTAATTAATATGTTAATTAATTATAAGTTAATATGTTAGCTGCTAATTAATATAAGTTAGTATATTATATGTTAATATAAGCTAATTAATTGAAAGTTCGATGAGAGATGGGACATTTACATAATCTCAGAATACATCCCCATTATTCTTTCATTCCAAAGGGAAAAGTAATAGCTTTCCAGTGGAGAATCCTGGCAGGCACTACTTTAAACAAGTAATCAACATTAATATTACCAGTAATAGGACAATTCAAATCAGGTACTGGGTGATAAATGCAATGAGGAAAATGCAATATAACTTTTACGGTACTCCTGTAAGAAATAAAATGCATATATGGAATTTAATTATGAGGAAACACACAAAAAAACTAAAATTGAGGGACATTCTACAAAATAGCTGACCTTTTTATCTTCAAAAGTGTCGAGATCATGAAGTCAAGGAAAGATTTAGGATCTGTTCCAAATTGAAGGAGAATAAAGAGACATGACAACTAAATGCAACATTTGATTCTGAACTGGATCCTTTTGTTATTTGAATAATTGATAAAATGTAAATGGAGTCTGAAGTTACATGAGAGTCATATATTTATATGAATTTACTGATATTGATGGTTTACAGTAATGTAAGATAAAGTCTTCAGTTATAAGAAATACTCATTAGGCCAGGCGTGGTGGCTCACGCCTGTAATCCCAGCACTTTGGGAGGTTGAGGGTGGCAGATCACTTGAGGTCAGGAATTTGAGACCAGCCTGGCTAACATGGTGAAACCCTATCTCAACTAAACATACAAATTAGCCAGGCATGCTGCATGCCTGTAGTCTCAATTAATCCGGAGGCCTGAGACATGAGAACCGCTTGAACCCAGGAGGCACAGGGTGCAGTGAGCCAAGATAGTGTGTGCTGCTGCACTCCAGCCTGGGCGACAGAGTAAGACTGCACCTCAAAGAAAAAAAAAAAAAAAAAAAGAAAGAAAAGAAAAGAATACTCATTAAAGTATTCTGGGTTGATGCAGTATCACATAATCCTCTTACTCAAACTCAGAGGAAAAAGTTCTTCATTCCCTTTTTGCAACTTTTCTCCACGCTTTAAATTGTTTCATAAATGTATTTATATAAATATTTTATTACATTAGCAATCAGGAATATCCCTGTTTCATTTAGAATACAGCTCTTTCACAATATTTCCTTAACTTTTATGTCTGTTTACTTTAGGGTGAAGTCACAGTAATAATTATAAACTTCATATTATAAATTTCTATTATATTTTTTAATTAAGAAAAAAATCTCAGGTTTGAATTTTTATTATGTAAAAACCTTATCAAGTAGCAGTACTTGAATATACCTAGTCATAGGGAGAACATTCCTGTATTTCCTTCTTGGACAACTCTCTTTTCAGAAACTTTCCCTATATGATAAACACTCCCTTACACTTAGATAAAACTGCTTTAACCATTACTATCACTCATCTCTTTTTTTGGTATTTCACTGTGAGGACACTTATTAGTTCTTTCTTGCTGTTTCCTTAGATATTCTTAGCCTTTGTCTCCTGGAAACTCTTATTTCACTTGACTCTGTGACAAGTTTTTGTTATCTTCCTTTTACCTCTTTAGGAATCGCTTCTTAGTAGTATTCATAAATGCTTTTCCCTCTGATCGTCCCTAAAATATTGATGTTCCTCTGGGTTCTGCTCTCATGTCCCATCTCATCCTCCATTACACAATCTTCCTGAATCACCTTTTCAAAGTCTTGATCATCACCCATGTCCTGATGGTCTCAAATCTCTGTTGGATCCAGATATCACTCCCAAGCACAGACCTGAATGGCCCACTGCCTAAAAACCACATAAATACTTGTATCCCTTGGGTATATCAAAATGAGCAAGTACAAAACCAAACTCATCACCAAATCCCATCCTCTCTCAAGTTCCTTCCACCAGGCTTGGTGCTCTCGCTTATTCCTCCCTCAGTGAAGTGCATCACCATCAATCTAGAGGCAAAGCAGCAAACAAGATCTTTTTAAACTTCCTTATTATTTATCAAATCCATATATATATTAAATATAAATATATATTTCTCTCCCTTTCCCACTGCCTTAGTGGGACCACAGTTCAGACCACAGTTATTTCTTCCCTGAATTATAGCTTCATAGATGGGGCCCTGGACAGAAGTTTTGCTCCTCTGCAATTTTTCTTCATGGTGATTGTATTAGTCAGAGTTCTCTAGAGGGACAGAACTAATAGGACAGAAATACATATCTATGGGAGTTTATTAAGGAGTGTTAACTCACACGATCACAACATCCCACAATAGACTCTCTGCAAGCTGAGGAGCAAGGAAGCCAATCCAAGTCCCTAAGTTGAAGAAACTGGAGTCCAATGTTCGAGGGCAGGAAGCATCCAGCATGGGAGAAAGATGTAGGCTGGGAGGCTAAGCCAGTCCAGTCTTTTCACGTTCTTCTGCTTGCTTTTTATTCTTGCTCCAAATCCCCGACTCATGCTCCATTTTTGATATCTCTATGTAGCCTTACTTACTGTGGCTATTCTACCAAACACAAACCTGTTGTATGCAAATGACTTACAATGAAAATTTAGAGACTTGAGGGAAATTATATTTCAGAACAGAAAACAATCTACTATTAAATAGCAGTTCTGAAAACTCACAAACTTTCCCCAGCAAGAAAGGGGAATCTCATAGCCTTTCCTCTCCTTACTCTCAAACCTACCACTGTGGTGCTAGACCCCTACCTCCACCTACAGAGACATTTCTTCCAGAAAATTCCTACTTTTTCTCATTCTGAAATTTCCCTTGCATAACATTCTCCCTCCTAAATAAGTCCACATATCTCATTTGCAAGGAAACCACTAATACATTTTTCTAAACAAAAGAAATATTCACTCCCCTTGATAGAGGGGTAACTCTATTTGAATAGAGCAGAGTTATCATCTTCCTCATTTTAGATGAGTGACTTCCGTCAATAATGCCTAAAATTACATTTAGTTTTAGGTTAAACACACTGCATGATTGACTTATTGAAACAGTTCAAGCTGAAACCTTCAAGTCTTTCATAAGAGTTACCTTTCAACTGCATCTCTCTCATTCTGTGTTTATTTAGTTGGAACTTTGACCAAAGTACAGACATTTATCCCTGTTAAGTTTCATCTTACTATATTTGGCCCATCATTGCAGCCTGTCGAGATCTTTTAAAATCTTGATTCTGGCATGAAATCTATTCACTATCCCTGCCAACTTCATGTCAAATGCAACTTGCTTAAGTATGTTCTCTATCCTCACATAAGCCACCAAAAATGGCTAATAGGCATGTGCAGTTTCGTTACAGGATTCCAAGAGCTTAAAAGAAGATAAAATCACCAAACTAGATACCTAAGGACAAATCTTTTTAGATTGAGAGTGAAGGTCTCATGTTCAGGCAGGTGTCCCTCATTTCTCTTGGTAACTCTTTTACTACTTATTTTGAGGGATGGGTTGAGGTGGTGAGGGAATGAGGCTTGAAATGGGTAGATTGTCTAAAAAAGATTTTAATGTGGTAGGGCCAGAGCTAGGTTAAGGCTAGTGAGAGGCCAAATACAGAAAATTTAAGGAGTCACTCACTCTCAGGGTCTTGCAAGAGAGTAGGATGGCATTTGCAGACTCTGAGAGTGAGTGCCACCTTAAATTCTGTACTAAATGCTTCTCGCTGTTCTCATGCTAGCCCATAACCCATAATGTGGAGGAATGTTTAACTTGTAGAAGCTGTCCTTGTCAGAGTTTATTCCTTCAACCTTAGCTTGAGCTATCATATTACCACCTTTCTCATTGCTAGTGAAAATCTGTAGTTAATATTTCTAGCAATCTTTGAGCCAAGCTTGAATTTATCCTCACTTCTTTTCTCTAGCTATCCAAGATCAAAATTACTAAGAAAAGTTCCAGGCATCAGAAATAATAAGAAATAGGTGAAACCCCCTTTTAAATTAAGAACATAGTCCAAAGATGCCATTTCTGTTATTCAACACAATTTGCAACCCTCTATGCTAGCCATTGTATTATTTTCTTTGCTCTGCCTTCTCCAGTTCCTTGCAGCTTGGTCCACCAATACCATCACCTCCAGGAAAGACAAGTTTAAAATAAATTCTGGCTTAGTTAAGAAGAGTTATTTGGATCCTTGTGGCAACCCTATGTTGGTCCATGCAATTAACTTGCTCTTGTCCAGACATGCTGAGCCACATCTTCTGGTAGTCTATATGTCTACCCTGCTTCTGAACCTCTGTTCCCCAGGACTGATGCCTCAGTTAGCACGTAGCCCAAACCACAATACTTCTCAATTTCTCTTTCCTCATGCCCATTGCTGTTATACCAGCTGCTAGGTGCCTCAGGAGGTTGCGTTCTTTGTTACAAAATTATGTGTTGCTTTGCCTTCACTGTTTTTATATAGCTGTTTACCTGGTTGAATACACTCAAATCCTACCTCATTTGGTTTTTAAATGGTAGGCATTTCATAGTTATTTGATGAATGGATGAGTGAACTAATGAGAATGAGCAGTAGGAACTAGGTATCCAACACTCCAGAAGCCGTGATTTAATTAACTGAACTGCTAATCTATCTTACCTTGTGTAAACACTTGGGATCCAGGCAGATGGTAACTGTGATATCTGTGTGATATACAGTTACTCCTCATCAACCATAAGCATTGCCTTACTTAAGCACTTCAGTTGGCAAAAATTGTAATTAACAAGTCCAAAGACTAATGAATACAGGAGACTCAGAAAAAATTAATAAAAGTGATATCATGCGTGCATGCATGTGTATATGTGTGTGTGCACCCACATACACACAGTAAATATACATTTTAAAGGGCAGACCATCATAGAACAAGCCATATTATTTACCACTTTTTCTTGCTCCAGTATCACTGTTTTCATTGTTCCAAAACAGATAGCTAAGGTAGATTATCAATAAATAAAAATAAATTATGTTAATTTTATGTAAGATTGTATCTCTTCTTAATATTTTAAAATTTAATCCAGCTAGATTAAAATTTAAAGGCTTTATTTTTGTTTTTGTTTTATTCCCCTGTGATGTTCTCACAAGTCCTAATTGCTCTTTCAGCAACTACACTGCTAGACTTTACTAGACACTACGATAGGCATTAGGGATACAGCAGTGAAAACGTTCACTTCCCTACCTTTATGGAGTTCATAAACTAGAGGGACAGAGTTAACCTGCACTTAAGGAAACATTTGATTAAAAATACATTATACTACATCGTCAATCAAAGATCCCCATTAACATTTTATGAACCCAACTCTATTAGTCCATTCTCACACTGCTATAAAGAAATACCCGAGACTAGGTAATTTATAAAGGAAAGAGGTTAACGTATTTATTTATTTATTTATTTATTTACAGATGGCATCTCGCTCTGTCACCCAGGCTGGAGTACAGTGGGACAATCTTGGCTCACTGCAACCTCCGCCTCCTGGGTTTAAGCAATTCTCCTGCTTCAGCCTCCTGAGTAGCTGGGACTACAGGTGTATGCCCCCACACCCAGATAATTTTTTTCTTTTGGTATTTTTAGTAGAGACAGGGTTTCATCATATTTCCAGGCTGGTCTTGAACTCCTGGCCTCAGATGATCTGCCTGCCTCAGCCTCCCAAAGTGCTGGGATTACAGGTGTGAGCCACCGTGCCCAGCCAGAAAGAGGTTTGTTGACTCAAAGTTCCACATTGTTGGGGAAGCCTCAGGAAACTTACAATCATGGCAGAAGGCGAAGGCGAAGCAAACACATCCTTCTTCACATGGTGGCAGGAGAGAGAAGTGCAAGCTGGGAAAACGCCAGATGCTTATAAAACCATCAGATCTTGTGAGAACTCACTCACTGTCATGAGAACAGCATGGAGGAAATTGCCCCCGTGATCCTATCACCCTCCACCAGGTCCCGCCCTTAATACATGGGGATTATGGGGATTACAATTCGAGATTACACTTGGGTGGGGACATAGAGTCAAACCCACTGTTTAGAAAAATAAAAGGAGATGGGTCATCAACAGATTAGAGATTTTAGCAAATTTATGAAACATATAAAAGAGGTTGAAAGTGATAAATTGTGAATAAGGTCAGAGGAAACCTCCAGCCTAGTGTACAGAAAGGCTTATAGTTTAAATTCACCTGTAATGACAATTGTAGGCAATACTTGAGACTGAAATATGCTAGATTCGATTGAGGGCAAAGTTAGACATGGGAATAAAAACAGGAGGGATAATAGAATGTCTGTATTTGGAACAGTTCACTACCCCCCACACATAGATCTTTCCAACCTCCAAGAAAAGCACACTGGAAAGCAGGCTTCTGTCCACCAAGCAGGAGGGGACTTTTCTAAAGAAGTTTAAGAGAAACTTGAATGTAGAGTTCCCTTGGTCTCTTCCCACTCATTAATCTAAAGAAACACTTGCCTATCAATTAGCACAGTCTACATATTTAGAAATACCAAGATTTTTTTTTTGCCAACTTTTTTTGTAAAAAAATAATCAAGATGTACTAAAAACCTTCAGAAATCCTTCAACATAACAAAGTGATCAAAGTAAACTAACATAAAAACTATTTTAAAGAAAGAAAATGGCTGGGCGTGGTGGCTCATGCCTCTAATCCTAGCACTTTGGGAGGCCCAGGCGAGTGTATCATTTGACGTCAGGAGTTCGAGACCAGCCTGGCCAACAAGGTGAAACCCAGTCTCTACTAAAAATACAAAATAAAAAAAAAAATCGCTGGGTTTGGTGGTGCATGCCTGTAATCCCAGCTACTCAGGAAGCTGAGGCATGAGAATTGCCTGGACCTGGGAGGAAGAGGTTGCCGTGAGCTGAGATCGTGCCACTGCACTCTAGCCTAGGCGAGAGAGGGAGACTCTATCTCAAAAAAAGAAAACAACAAAATATCTAATTGTCATCTTCAGGGACCATGAAGAAAATGTATCCACAAAACAAAAATAGGAAGCTACAAAAGGAAAAACCAGAGAATTCAAAGGAGCTCTTGCATATGAAATGTATTGCTACCAAAAAATACGGAAAAAGAAACCCACAAAGGAACTGAAGATGTAATAGAAAATATTAGAATAGAGAAACAATTCAAGAGGTTCAAACGTCTAACTAACAGAATAGAATTTCTAAAGATCAAGTATGTAAAAATAGATGAGAGAAATTATCAAATAACTAATTGAAGGTAAATCTCCAGGGTTAAAAGATTTGACTCTTTAAATTGAAAGAGGCTACTGAATCTCAAGAACAATTAATTAAAATAGGTCACATCTGGATTCCTCAATTCTGAAATTTTGGAGCACAAATACATAGATAAGGGTTTTAAATCTTTTGAAAAGTAAAAGTCATGATATGTACAAAAGAGAGAATTCTAGGCATGAGATTCTCCTATTTGTTTGTTTGTTTGTTTTTCTGCAACAGTGGATACTGGAAGATAATGAATGTCATAGGAGTTGTGAGAGAGCATTATTTTTGGCTTACAACTCTGTATGCAAAAGTTCTACCAGATGAGTCAATAGGATTAAAAGAAAATCAGACAAATAAAGAATCAGGAAAACAATCTTCCCAAACTGGTAGGTGAAGGAAAATCTCCAGATAGCAGCTGTGCCTCAGGTTTTAAGAAGAACAAGGCAGATAAGAGCAGAAGGACAGAGGATGAGCATGTAGTTCTGTATGAGGTAATTAATATGTCCAATCATATGTAATGGTTAAATAAATCAAGGCCCATCCACAGAGCCTGATAAATGTCTTCTAAGACTATTTGTTGACACGCCCATAATATCTTAAGTAATAAAAGCAGTTTACAAGATAATGATTTGCCAGTAAGTATACTGAGTGTGTGTGTATGTCTATGTGTGTGCATGTATACTATATATCTCTCTATATATATATATGTTTTAATGCATAGAAAAATTCTAGAGGATTGTATACTACAACTTAAATATTACTCGTATTTTTTCTCTGGAATTACAAGTGCTTTTTTAACACCTGAATTCCCCCTCCCCATGACCGTATATTATTTTTATGATAAAGATACAAAGACACATCTGGTGATGGTGTTTCGGTTTGCTTTTAAGTAGCCTGCACATGCTGCCTCCACTTGCTCACTTTTTAAAATTTACTCCTAAACCCTCTGCAATCTATTTCTATCCCCAAGTCTTCATAAAAATTACTCTCCACTGAGGTCACAAATGGTTTCCTAGTAGCAAAAGCCACTGGATACCCTTCTGTCTTTATTATTCAACCTTCCCATGCTATTTGATCTTCTTAATTATTCTCCTCTCCTTAAATTCTCTCTTCTTTTGGCTTCCTTCACAGCAAACACTCTAGCTTCCTTCCCATCACTCTGCATCCCTCCTCTTTTCTGGGATTCCCTCCTTTGTCCCACCTTTCAGTTGTTGGTGTTGCCAGCACTGTTTCCTTGGCCTTTGGCTATTCACTCCACTCTTCTCCTGAGTAACCCCATGCATTCCTATGAGCTGAACTACCATGTGTATTCTGTTGACTCTGTCATCTGTATTTCCAGTTCAGATGTGTGGTCTCAAAGCCCAATGTCAAATCCCAAACATATATGTTCACTTGATTGTGTGAAACTGGATTTATTACATTCCTCCTTGCCTCCACCCTGACCTGACTCTTCTATATTTTCTGTCTCAGTTTTTCATACCATTACTCAAACAAAAACTCTCTATCTGAATTTCTCCCACTGATTCATTCTACATGAGGCCAGTATAATAATGTCACTCTTATTTCCCTTGCATTGGCTGCTTCTAACCATTTCTAATGCTATTGCTTTTCTGTACTCTTGCCTACAGTGATGCACTAACTTCTGAGTGCAGAAGTTATTCTGCACTCCCCTGGCTCCAGTCCTAACTCCTGTATACCTCCCCCAACACCCCAACACACATAAGGCTGCTAGAGTGACCTTCTTAAAATGCAAATATTCCCTAATGTTTCTCAATTGCCATAAAAAAAAATCTCATCACATAAAAGGCTTTGTGGTTTGATCCTTCTCTTCAGTCAAGACTCATAATTTTTGTCATCTAGAGTCTGAATTTCTCTGTGAACACTTTGCTTCTAATAGAAAAGATCTTCTTTCCTATATGCCTTCTCCACTTGGTTCCTCTTACATCTCCCCAGAATCAGCATGAGCACTTTCTCAGGACATCTTTCAGAATCTCTCCAAGTTATCATTTTGTTTATTTGTAAGTTTCTTCTATCAGATTGTGAAGTTTTCATGGAACAACCTACATTTTTATTTCTGTTAGATTGAATAGTATAACATTATTCTTTTTAGGCTTAAAAATGGTCAGGTCATATAACAACAATTTCATGTAATACAACTTGATGTGTTCCAGCACTTAACATAATACCTGGCACTTAATAAATTTTGGATAACGTGTTGTTGAAAGAACAAATAGAATTTACCAAAAAAGGCAGGATCAGGAGAGGAATTACTCTTGACACCTGGGTTTGAGATTTATCCACCCAATTTTGGAATAAAAAAATAAAGGCTTCATTATTATAAGATTTAAAAATTAGCATTTTAAGATCAGAAATGAAATTGTTAGTATTTAAGTTAGTGAAGTATATTAAATTAATGATTCCAGCTATATAATTGCTTTTGAAGCTCAATCGCAAAATCACTCTAATCCAAGAAAGGAATCATTAGTTGGAAAATTGGACTCATTATAAATCAAACAAAAAATGTGCTTAAGCTCTTAATATCTAAATTACAGAGAGCTTTCTTTTTTTACGTGATCCATATGAAGAGACCTATTTTATATGGAAAAGAGAAATAATTTGCTATTGAATATTCTGTCTTCTGCCTCTCTGTGGTTAATTTTCAGCTAACAGTATGTGGTAAAATCAAATGCTTTTTTAGTCATTCTTGGTTTATATGGATGTTTAAAAGAAGGCTGCCCACTGAATTGGGCATTAAAAAACATTGATTGAACATGGTGAAATCGATTGGAACTTTTAGTGCTTTACCTGTGTTTGTTTCCTGCTAACTTTCAAATGTCTGGACTGATTTTGATCAAATTTCCTACACTATAATTTTACATATCGAGATTAAGGCCAATGTTGAGAGAAATTTTAAGTATGCAAGATTTGTTTTCAGAAAAGTCCTACCCTTCAGTTGAGACTAGAACATTTATTGTCTAGGTCACAAAGTGGATCTAATATGTCCTGGATAGCCTTATACCCTTATCTTCTCCATTTTCCTTCTGTAGGGTGTCCCTTTTCCTTCCATCATGGAATCAGATGCATTTCTAATAAGAAATTGAAAGATCTTACTTCTGATATAGGAAACATCAGCATCAATGATAAGAGAAAGATATATTTATAGAAGCAGGCAGGCGTTCCCACTATCCCAGAAAGCACTTCAATTTCCATCTTACCCTGTAAAATACAGCACGGTATTACTTGTGAAAATATAGGAAGCTAATTTAACCTCTTTTGGGCTTCTATTTTATCATCTGAGAATGTATTAAAATCCTATCTACCTTGAAAATGTTGGTATTATGTAAGAAACTACATGTATATCTCATAACACAGTGCCTGACATATAGTTAGTGCTTGATAACTGTTTGCTATTGATATTATATATCCCCCAAACAGATGATGTCTAGCAAGCAGAGCTTCCACATTCTATCTACCAAAGTCTTTTTTATAAAATTATTTTCAAATAATGGATACACAGGATGTCACAAAAAATTATGTAGGTTTATCCTGTGTACTCTTCATGCAAATTGCCCCAGTGGTTACATCTTGCAAAACTCTAGTATAATATCAAATCTAGAAAACTGACATTGGTGCAATCTATAAAGTATATTTAGTTTTTGCCAGGTTTGCATCCCTGTGTGTATGTGTATGTGCATGTGTGTATAGTTCTATAGAATTTTATCACATGTGTAGATTTGTGTAATCATCATGACAATCAAGACACAGACTGTTCCACTACGAAGCTCCCTCATGCGGCCTCTCTCTAGCCATATCCACCTTCTTCACCCCTCCGTGACTACCCCCTCAACACACACAAGCATGAATTTATACTCCATCTCTATTCAATGATGTTACATAAATAAAATCACTCAGGCCGGGCGCGGTGGCTCATGCCTGTAATCCCAGCACTTTGGGAGGCCGAGGTGGGCGGATTACGAGATCAGGAGATGGAGATCATCCTGGCTAACATGGTGAAACCCCGTCTCCACTAAAAATAGAGAAACTGGCTGGGCGTGGTGGCACGCGCCTGTAGTCCCAGCTACTCAGGAGGCTGAGGCAGGAGAATTGCTCGAACCCGGGAGGCGGAAGTTGCACTGAGCTGAGATTGCGCCACTGCCCTCCAGCCTGGCGACAGAGCAAGACGCCGTCTCAACAAACAAACAAAAAACAAAAAACAAAAAAAAATCAAAAAGAAAAAAGAAAAGAAAGAAAGAAAATCAGTCAGATTGGGTTTTTATACACAGCACTATTCCCTTGAGATATATCCCACTTGTGTATAACAACACATGCGTTTGTAACAGGGAGGTGACACCATTATTTTAACCATTTGTTAAGACAGTTGAGTTGTTTCAAGTTTTCAGCTATTACAAACAAATGAAACTGCTATGAACATTAGTTTACAGGTTTTGTGTCAACATAATTTTGTTGTTGTTGTTGTTGTTGTTGAGACGGAGTCTTGCTCTGTCGCCCAGGCTGGAGTGCAGTGGCGTGATCTCGGCCCACTGAAAGCTCCGCCTCCCAGGTTCACTCCATTCTCCTGCCTCAGCCTCCAGAGTAGCTGGGACTACAGGCACCCGCCACCACGCCCGGCTAATTTTCTTGTATTTTTAGTAGAGAAGGAGTTTCACGGTGTTAGCCAAGATGGTCTCTATCTCCTGACCTCATGATGCACACGCCTCGGCCTCCCAAAGTGCTGAGATTACAGGCGTGAGCCACCGCGCCTGGCCATACTTTTTGTTTCTCTGATATAAATGTTCAAGAGTGCAATGATTACATTATAACACATATGCCTGTTTAGTTTTGTAAGGAACTGCCAAACTATTTTCCAAAGTAGCTGTGCCATTTTCCTTTCCTACCAGCGATATACGAGCAATCAGTTTCTCTGCATCCTTGGCAAGATTTGGTATTATCTCTATATTTCATTTTAGCCTTTCTGTTAGGTGTGCAGTGAGATCTCATTGTGGTTTTGTACACTTCAGTGTCTTCAGGGTCTGAAGTGATATTCCCTGTTTTACTCATGATATTGGTAACTTGTGTCTTGATTCTATATTTGTTTGTCTGTGTCGCTAGAGGCTTGTTAATTGTATTATTCTTTTCAAAGAATTGACTTTCTGTTTTGTTGGTTTATTCAATTGTTTTCTGCTTTTAATTTCTTGGAATTTTGCTCTAGTTTTATTATTTCCTCCTTATGCTTGCTCTTAGTTTATTTTGTCCTTTTTCTAGTTTCTAAATATGAGATGATTGATTTGAGACTTTTCTTTTTTTCTAATATAAGCATTTAGTAGTAGAAATTTTCTTCTCAGTGTTGCTTTAGTTACATCCCACAAATTTTGATATATTGTTTTTTCATTTTCATTCAATTTAATGTATTTTGTTTTCTTTGGGACTTCCATTTTTTTGAGATGGAGTTTCACTTTGTCACCCAGGCTGGAGTGCAGTGGTCCCATCTTGGCTCACTGCAACCTCCACCTCCCAGGTTCAAGGGACTCTCCTGCCCCAGCCTCCTGAGTAGCTGGGATTACAGGTGCACGCCAACTCGCCCGGCTAATTTTTGCATTTTTAGTAGAGACAGGGTTTTGCCATGTTGGCCAGGCTGGTCTCGAACTCCTGACCTCAGGTGATCCACCTACCTCGGCCTCCCAAAGTGCTGGATAACAGGCGTGAGCCACCTCACCCGGCTGAGACTTCCTTTTTGACCCACTAATTATTTAGAAATGCATTGCTTAGTTTCCAAGAGTCTAGAATTTTTTCTGTTATATTTATGTTACGCATTGCTGTTTTGATTCTATTATGACCAGAGAACACATTCTGTATGATTTCAATTCTTTTAAATTAGGCAAAATTTGTTTTACAGATGCCAGATACATGATGTTTTGTGATGAATGTTCTATGAATTCTGGAAGGGATGTGAACTCTGCTGTTGTTGAAAGGAGTGTCCTATAAATGCCAATTATATTCTGTTGTTTGGTGGTGGTGTTGACTTTATATGATTACTAATTTTCTCTGTATTTGGTCTATCAACTGTTGAAAAAAGGGCTGAAGTCTCTAATCATAATTGTGAATTTGCCTATTTTTCCTTTCAGTTCTATCATTTTTTGCTTCACATATTTTACAGCTCTGTTTTATGGTGCATCCACATTTAAAATTGCTATATCTTTTTGGTAGACTGATTCCTTTATCACTAATGATTGTCTCTGTCCCTGGTAAACATTTTGTTATGAAGTATACTTTATATGATTTTAATATAGCCATTTCTGCTTTATTTTAATTGATGTTTGCATGATATATTTTTCTGTCCTTTTACTTTCAGTTTATCTATATTGTTATATTTGAAGTTATTTTCTTGTAGACAACACATAGTTATGGTTTTTAATCCATTCTGCCAATCTCCATCTTTTAATTGCTCTACTTATATCATTTACATTTAATGTGATGATTAAATTTTCAGTGCTTCAGCCTGACATTTTGGTTTCTGTGTTCTTGTTGTTATTTTTCTGTTTCTCTTTTTTCTTGACTTCTTGAGGGTTACTTTGAATATTTTTTAGAATTCCATTTTGATTTATCTTGAGGTTGAGTTTTTTTTAGTGTATTTATTTGTATAGTTTTTTTAGTGGTTCTTGTAGGTAGTAGATTATGCGTATATAATGTGTCAGTCTATTGGTATTATCATTTTACCAGTTCAAGTAAAGAACAGAAACTTCATCTTCCTTTATTGTACTCCATTTATAATATATTTGTCTTAAATATTTTCTCTATGTACTTTATAAACGTACAACAGTATAGTTTTTCTTCAACTATCAAATACAATTTCCAAAAATTAAGAGGGAAAGGAAAGTACATTTGATTTTGCACTTTCTATTTTTCTTTGCTCTAAAACCTTTTTTTTTCAATCATCTCTTCCTGTTTAGGAAAATAAATAATTTATCTTCCTGTTTAGGAAAATAAATCATTAAATCATCCTTTAAAATTAGGTCTGCTGGCAATAAATTCTCTTAGTTTTTTTTATCATAAAATATCCTGATTTCTCCTTCACTCTCAAAGGTTTTTTTCACTGACTATAGAAATCTGGGCTAATAATTTTTTCTTTTGGCAATGGAAAAATATTGTTCCACTTTTTTCCAGCCTCGTGGTTTCTGATGAGAATTTCACTGTCATCTCAATTGTTTTCCCCTTGTTGATAAGATTTTTTTCTCTCTCCTGGTGTTTTCTAAGATTTTTCTCTTTGTCTTCAGTTTCCAGAAATATCATTATGATGTGTCTTGCCATACAGTCCTTTGATTTTTTCCTGTTTGACATTTTCTCAGCTTCTCAAGCCTATAGGTTTATGTCCTTTGCCAAATTTGGGGAAATTTTACCCATTTTTTGAATACTTTTTCAACCACACCTCTCTTTCTTCTCTCCTTCTGGGACTCTGTTAGCATAAATCTTGAATTAGAGTTTCCACAGATCCCTAAGACTTTGTTTATTGTTTTCAGTCTATTTTCTCTGTTTTTCAAGTTGAGTAATCTCCATTGTTTTATTACCATTGTCCTATGTTTAAGTTCAAGTTCTTTCCTCTGTCATCTTCTTTATACTGATAAGCCTATCCATTGACTTTCTAAATTTCAGTTCTTATATTTTTCAGGTCTAAAATTTCTAGTTCATTCCTTTATATATATTTTTTTCTTTTCATTAATTCTTTCTTTTTGCAGAGTCTTTCTATTGATTTGCTGGTACTTTCCATTTTCTTCAAATGCTTCAAACTTATTGAAAGATTTTTATAATGGCTGCTTTAAAATCTTTGTCATGTAATTCCCACATCTATTTAATCTTGGCATTATTATCTGTGATTGTCTTTTCTCATTCAACGCAAAATTTTTCTGTCTTTGTATGATAAGTAATTTAATATTATATCTGGACATTTTGGCTATTATGTTATGAGACTCTGGATCTTATTTAAATTATTTGCCTTAGCAGGCCTCCTCTGACATTGCGCCAGTAGGAAAAGAGGACACTACCTTATTACTGCCATGTGGCAGTGAAAGTACAGGTTGTGCACTTAGCTGCAGTTGATGCCCCAGGAGAGGCTCTTTTCCTAAGCGAATGTGGGAGTTCGGGCTCCACTCTCTTCCTCTACTGACACCATTCTGACTTGGAGTGGGGATAATGTCTCAATTTTGCTTTGGACATAACCTCCACTGACACTGTCAGGATGAGGTTGGGTCTTAGGGAGGGAATAAAAGTTCTCACGTCCCACTCCATTTTCATAGATTCAACCACAGTGATGAAGGGGGCAATATGTTGCAACTTCACAGGCATGGAAGTTTTGTCTCCCCAGTCTTTCTTTGCTATTAGGAGTGTGGAGACAGTCACAGTTTTGTCCAGTGTTTTGCTAGTATAGGGAGAAATGTTATTGTCTAAAAGATTTTTTTCTCTTACTAAGCTGACCCTTTTCTTGTTATTTGACTTGAGATATAAGGCCTTTCTTAGGGCTTTTTACTTATTTATTTGGTCCAGACCCATTGGAGTTTCCAGGTTCCTGATTTTCTACCACACATTAAGGGATATGAAGCAAAAAGAAAATCCAGGGAAGTCACCACCGTGTCATTCTTCAGGTCCCAAGGTGCCTACTAGTTTGCCTTCTTTCCTCCACTTTTCAAATTCTTCCAATGTTTGTTCAATATATGATGTCTGAGGTATTAAGTTTCCTTAGCAGAGGCAATAGAGAGAAGTGCATCTACTCCATCTAATTCCCAGGATAGAGTGAATTTCTCTTGTTATGGTTTTAAATTGCATTTTCCTAATTGCTAGTGATGTAACACATCTTTTTATGTACTTATTTGCCATCTGTATATCCTCTTTGATGAAACACTTCATCAGGTTGTTTGCCAGTTTTCCCTTTTTTTTTTTTTTTTTTTTTTTGAGTTAGGATCTCGTTCTGTCATACAGGCTGGAGTGCAGTAGCGTGATCATAGCTGACTGCAGCTTTGAACTCCTCGGCTCAAGCAATTCTCTCGCCTCATCCTCCCAAGTAACTGGGACTAGAGGCACATGCCACCATGCCTAGCTAATTTTTTTATTTTTTGTACACAGGGTATTGCAATATTGTGCAGGCTGATCTTGAACTCATAGCCTCAGGTGATCTTCCTACCTCGGCCTCCCAAAGTGATGGGATTACAAGCATGAGCCATTCCATCCACCCTGATTTTCTAATCAGTTTATTTAGTTGTTTTCTTTTTCTTTTACTGTTGAGTTCAGATGGTCCTTTGTATTTTCTGGACACAAGTCTTTTGTCAGGTATATGGTTTGCAAATATTTTCTTTTAGTCTGTGGCTTGATTTTCATTCTCTTAATAGAGCCTCAAGAGAAAAAGTTTTAAATTTTGATGAAGGTAATTTCTTAACAGCTTTGAATACTCAGACTATTAAAAAGTTCTCCTACAAAAGTGCCTTAATTGAACACATGGCAGAAAGAATTGTTAGAGATGTTTATAATGCCCTGAGAAGGCTCTGGATCATAAAATAGTCATTAAGTGACCATTCCCCTAAAAGAGAGCATGGGCTGTGAGATAGGTTTTCTGAGATATCTATTACTTACTAGCTGTGTGACCTTAACAAATTACTTAACTTATTTGGATCTCAATTTTTTCATCTTTGAAAAAGGAATGATAATTGTAACAACTATATCATTATTATAAGTTAGAATTTTAAAACATGTATTAATTTTTCCAGAGAACATTAAAATTGTTTTTCAGAGTTGAAAACACAGCTGATTGAAATTTGAATATAAATGTTTTTAAAATTTAAATTAATTCTGTAATTTTTCACTTTAAAGATATTCTAATCTCCCCTCAGAATTGGTTATGCCACTCCATTGATTCAAGTTTTCTTTTATATTTTTTAGTAAATCATTATACTTTTTGTAATACATGTTCCATGTATTTTCATTAAATTTGATTTTAGGGAATTTATATTCTTTAGATTTTCTCATAAATGAGACCTGTCTCAAAAAGCTGATCATTCGTTCCAGTGAAAATGTAACACTGCCCTATGAAATAAGCCTCCATAAGACAGAATTCCCTAAGAGGAAGATGATTACTGGTTGTTTCCATTCGGTGTACTAGGATCTTGACTATAATAATGAGAAAAGATGTACCATTTCAGGTAGCTCCATGCAATATACCCAGAAGTACTGTTTAACTCAAAAATACATGAAGCCAATTAATGCCTTCAGACTATTTGAACTCTCTACTGTAAGGATTACTATATGCAATGTGTTCTATATATGTACATGTAATAATCTTTTTTTGAATATATATTGGTTTGAGCTATCTGTCTCTAAATCTTCCTCACTGAGAAACTAGTGATGACACTTAGTGTGGCTAAGAGGATAATCTCTTTGCTTGTCCTGACTATATTCTCTATTTTGTGTGTGGTAGGCTGTTCATTTCTAGGTGCACATTACAGTTTTAATCTCTGCATGTGCATTTGGCTCTATGCAAAGGATTGACTACATTATACAGCAATTATGACTACCTTGACAATCTGCCTTCTGCTTTTCTGCTTCTAATCTGCCTGGATTCTTTTGGTGTGGCTTCCCTGTTTTTATTCTTGCAGTTGCTGCTCCAGGATGCTATAACATTTTGGAGGACTGTTAGCACCAGCTTGAGGTTCAACCAGGTACCTCCATTTTTGTGATGCCATAAATCTTTCTCTGTGTTCATTTGAACATCCTCCCTTGAAATAGCTGTTCATATAAACATTTAATTATTTTACGTTCAAGATAGTGAGAGTGGGACTACACTGGCCTTATTTACTGAAAAATCTATTAGAGAGTAATTACTAATTATTAAACTATTTAATAATCAATCATTGAATGAGCTTTCTTTTCTCTACGAAATAATAAGTAAATAATAAATACTATCTACTAACATATAATAGGATTTCATTTGGGGGTTGATACGTATCATTGTGAATTTTCTAGTAATCCATTTAAAAAGTAAAAAGAAACAGGAAAAAATAATTTTTGACATATGTTTTACTTACCCATTTTAGGTTCCCAAGAAAGATAATAAAATTGGTCTCATTTGACCCCATTTGAGTAGAATGTTTCATGCCAGTCCATTTAGCAAACAACTGCTTGTATACAAAAAATTTATCTCTGGGTCAGCTACTACCATTCCAGTCCGGTATATACTATTTCTTCAGGTTCTACCAGTCACTGGGGAGGAAATTTTATTTCATATTGCAGGATGCATGAATCGGTACTTGTTCTTTTTTATATCTAATGATATTTTGCATTAAAATGTAGTTAAGCTCAGATGAAAGGGAAATAAATCCATGTGAATAACTGTGATTGGTCCATTACCTGGATTTCAGGGTTCCATTTTCCATCCTGAGATAAATAAAGGAATTGTTGGGGATAACTGTGATATCCACCCTGGCAATTGCTTTACATTATTGCATCATAATGCTCCCAATGCATGGAGAAAGAAGGTACTGATAGATTTGAGAATATAATTGATTTGTATCTTTAGTTTCTACCAGAAACATATTTTTCACTATTTATTTCTTTTCATGATAACTCAAAGAAGGGATTTCTCAGCACCAACACTCATGCTGTCATTATCCTAGAACTCTTTTGTTTTGCTGACTTGCTGGGGAATCCAACATCTCTCTATATTTCAAAGGTGAACAACAACAAAAACTGTATGCAGAATTCTTGAGAAGTAAATTTGCCTTACCAATCCAAGAGCAAAGTAGCACATGGGAGTCACTATAAAACAATTTTTTTTTTTTGAGACAGAGTCTTGCTCTGTTACCCAGGCTGGAGTGCAGTGGCGCGATCTCGGCTAACTGCAACCTCTGCCTCCTGGGTTCAAGCGATTCTTATGTCTCAGCCTCCTCAGTAGCTGGGATTACAGACGTGCGCCACCATGCCAGGCTAATTTTTTTGTATTTTTATTAAAGATGGGGGTTTTACCATGTTGGTCAGGCTGGTCTCGAACTCCTGATCTCAAGTGATCCACCCGCCTCAGCCTCCCAAAGTCTTGAGATAAGGCGTGAGCCATGGCACCAGGCAGAAAACATCCTTAATTGTACTTCAAAAATTAAATTACGACAAAAACCTAATGTGTGCTATCAGATTAAACAGATTTATTTTTATGGAAGTGTTGTATATGTTATATATTTTAGTTTAGTTTAATTTATCCACAATAAAGAATTTGATCAAGAAATATCAAGCACAGCAACGCGTCTGAGAATTTGTACTGCCATTGCTTGCCGGGCTTCCTATTCATTTTGGGTTGTTTTCCATTACAAGGTCCACAGAAAAGGAGGGTCCAGGCAAGTAACTATCATGCTTAAATATCAGTCATTTAAAAATGATAATCAGATTAAGGTAATTGTAAAGGGATATGACTGCCAAATTATGAATTTTAAATTTCTTAAAAATACTTGGCTATTTAAAATTAATTTGCTTATTTTAAAATAACATTATATTTTAGAGAACAATAAAATAAATTAAAAGCATCCAACAATATGATCTTATAATTGGCAAGATAAGTAGAATCATCCGTCAGTGTCTGTTGGGGATTCAGTTCAGGACGCCCATAGATACCAAAATCTGAGGATGCTCAAGTTCGTTAAATGAAATGTCATGCCCAGTCCCCTTCCCCTGCGTGCTTCTCAGATCCCCAGAGGATGTGTGCCAATATTATATCCCTCAGTCAGGAGAGAGAGCAATCCTCAGGAGAAGCTAAACTACCCTAGAGAAAAGACCAACAAATCCAAACATTTCAGAATCCCCATTATAACGTTTACTGGTCTATGATCCCATCCTTAAACAAAAACCTTGTAATTAGCTCTCTTATATACAATCAAACATCTCAGTATCACCAGACACTTCTTAAGTTGATAAACACACACACATGTGAACACACACACACACACACACACACAAACACATGTATATAGATATATGTCCAAACTGTTGGAGAGTAACTCAGCTAACGCTGCCCCGCAGATATGATTCCCATTCTCTGATTACCCTTCCTGACATCCTCAAGTTACCCATGATTTCACTACTTAGGTTTTGGATTTTTGGCTTTCTCTGGAATTTGTCAGTGTTTCTGAATATAAAACCACTACTCACCCCAGTGCTTGTGAAGACGCATGCCTTTAGACCACCCATAAAACTCAACCCAGAATCACCTGTCTTTATCAGTGGAGGTAACAGCAACAGAGGTAAGGGGTGCATTTAGTCATCCAGGGGCTCCTGAAGATAGGTTATTATTGCACAATAATACAGACAATGGTGTTGGGGCCAGAATTAAGTCATCAGGAACATTCTCTATTCTCTCTATAATCTATTATAAGTTATAATACATTCTCTCTATAATCTATTTCAGATCATAATAGATTCTCTCTATAATCTATTCCCAAGGATATTTGGGCATAAAATACTGATAAAAAGAGAGCCTGGAACCTGGAAGAACTGAGACAGAACACCATCTACAACTCACCAAAAGGAATATGCATCAAAAGAAATATGGAATTAGGCTCCATTTTTAATTAGAAACATCTTTAATCTGAATATGAACATTCTTCCAGTCAGTAGCTGAGGTTGCAAATGGCAAAAGTGATTTGGGCCTGCAGTCTGCACACTGCTGCTGTTGTCCTCTCCCTACAGAAGAGTGGGCCTGTTTGGGACATTACCTTTTTCTAACCCAGACGTTAAGGTTGTCTTTTTCATTGTAGTTTCTGGAAAAAGTTATCTCAAACCTTCCTGGGTTGAGACTATTTCTGTGGATGTTTGGGAAGAAATCTGAGAAAATTTTGATTTGAGGGTACTGATTAAAGCTTATCCATCTCACCGGTGGTCAGAGAAACTTGATTTATTTTCTTGTATTGAATGCACTTCATGTATAAGACAACTTTCTGGAAAGTGAAATTTGTTATATTTTGGCTTTTGACGGGTGAAATATAAATAAATCTCATAATGAATTTAAAAAAACAAAACAAACATTACTACCAACAGCTAACAGGCCCAAGTGGAACTGACTGAGAAGATGAGAAAACAATGTCGTGGGGGTGCACTCACCCTGAGCCACCAAGTCCCCTAGGTGATCACCACCATTTCTGCCAAAAGCCTGGCTGCCTGCCAGAAGTATGAGGATCTGCACTTAAGTGCTTCTTGGGACCATAGCTGCCAAGCCAGTCCTGCACATCTGGAAGCCCATCCTGGGTGAGGGAGGGCTGTCCTGAGGCCATGCTGCTGCGTAGGGAATGCAAATGCTACAATGTGGTTCTGACAAGCAAGGTGGCGACCTCCAGCTCCAGCGTCACCAACCAGCACAAATGAGGCAAGGGCTGCAGTGATCAGCCACCAGAGGGCCGGGTGCATGTTCTGCTTGCCCCAGAAGTTGAAACTGTATCAGAGGCAGGTGTCCCACCTGAATGCCCAGAAGGAGTGTTTCTCACACTTCTGGGCCTGATGCCAGCACTGCCAGGGGAGGCTGCACACACTAGAAGGTAATTGACGCCAGCCATGACTGCTGTATCTTTTCCATGAGCAAGAAGATGAGGACCTTCTGGAGCACGAGGGCAGCTTCTGAGATGCTCAGAGGCCTAGTGACTCCTGCCAGCATCCCAGCAAGGGCATGGGGAGGGGTGGGAGAAGAATTAATAAACTTTGGGCCTTTAAAAAAAAAAATAGTTACTCCTTCTCTCCATATCCCATCTGGTGGAGGAGAGTAAAGAGGGCCGTTGTCATCAGTTAGCATTTTTAAATCGATCCTCCTTCTTCTCGCACAAGAAATGTATGCAGTATTAAGAAGCCAGTATCTTCACACCTCTTTGATAGCTCCAAAGCAAATGTACACCAACTCAATTGCCTCCTTGCTGAATTCGGCAGGAAGCCCAGTATCTTTCCAATCTAAGCTAATGGCCTCTACTCCCTGAAATGTCCCAAAATCTAAGATCTTATGCAGACACAAAAAGAAATCCGTCCAATGACCATTTCTAATTCTCACCTGCATTTGGGTTCTCCAGAGGGACAGAACCAATAAAATATATGTATATGTATATGTATATGTATATGTATATGTATATGTATATGTATATGTATAAGATAGTTTACTGGGGAGAACTGGTTTACACAGTCACGAGGCAAAGTCCCACAATAGACCATCTGCAAGCTGGGAAAGAGAGAAGCCTATAGCGCAGGTCAGTCCAAGTCCAAAAGCCTCAAAACTAGGAAAGCTGACAGTGCAGCCCTCAGTCTGAGACCAAGGCCCGAGAGCCTACAGGAGGCCTCTGGTGAAGTCCCAGAGTCCAAAGACCAAAGAACCTGGAGTCTGATGTCCAAGGGCAGGAAGAGAGGAAGCAAGAGTCCCGCTCGTAAAGAGGGAAACAGAGCAAGAAGTCTCAGCAAGTTGCTTATCCTCTCTTTTTTGCCTGCTCTGTTCTAGTGGCCCTGGCAGCTATTGGATGGCACCCACCCACACTGAGGGTGAATCTTCCTCTACCAGTCTGCTGACTCAAATGTCAGTCTCCCCTGGCAACACCCTCACAGACACACCCAGAAACAGTACTTCACCAACCGTCTAGGCATCCCTCAATTCAGTCAAGCTGACACCTGATATTAATCATCACATCGCCTAAGAGGATAAAGAGCCCAGGGAGCTTTTAGGTGGCTGCCACCCACCTGCTCCTGCTGGCACAGCAGATGTCAAACCCCTAAAGCCCAGAAGATGCATTCTCTTCATCATTGAGCTTTAGTGTCTCCGAGGAGACATAGTCACCTACCCGAGTTAACAAAGGAAGACCTTTGATACCTAAGTGATCGTTCTAAGAAAGCCACTAGTCTCAAGGGACTTACCAGTTCAAAGTCGAGCACAGTGATTCATGTTAAAGCAGTGAAACAAAACAAAACAAAACAAAACACCCATGTTCAATCTTCCCAGGTAATAAGTTAGTTTTATCTTTGGCTGCACTGCCTACTAAACACATTTTTCCCAATGAACTCAATCAAAGACTTTATTTTGAGGCAAAACTGAATGTGAACAAGTTGTCCTGGCTTTTATCTTCCTAAGAGTTGGTCACCAAAGACATGTTGAGAGTGTCCATGTATGCTGAGAACTGAACTAGGTGCTGTGTGATTGGAAGGATGTGACTATATTAATAGCCACTAGAAACCATTTATAAAAGAGAATCTAGAGTTCCCATATACAGTATTTTTCTTTGCACTCTCTTTAGCCTCTTGAGAAAGTCATACTGACAATTATGAAGAGGAAGCTGTTAGCAACCAGGAAACCAGGATATTTGACAGAAGAACATTGTGAAATATGACTTCTTAGAGGAATTGATTACTAATAGCCTTTAAGTTAGAGTGACATTTAGTACATTTCAGATAAGACTCCTAAAACCAAAGCTTTTCTTCCACTTTACATAGAGATCTTATGATCACTTTGCTCAACTAAGCAATCATATTTCATAAGAACCAGACAATCTTTGGACTCAAAATATATCCCTCTTGGAAGAGAATGTTGAAAACTACGATGAGAAAGTACTATCTCCTGGCTTAAATGTTTTTCAGGCTCTGGAATTATTTCCTCTTATTTCACTTTGTGCCTCACTGAGTGTTTCTCACTTATTCGGTTCTCTTAATTTCCAAGAAGCATTTTTTGTCTTCATCTTTTGGTTCTTATTCCCTTGTCAGAAAGAAATATCACTCCCACAGTTTTTTCCTTGTTTTCTCCAAGGATAGAGAGTTCTAAAATTGTTTCGTCGTGCCAGATGGTGAGGCCTTTCAACCTCTAATGAAATTCTGTTCATAGAAATTAAGCCATTGTCACAAAATGTATACTATGCAGATTCTTTTTCTCATTTGTAAAGTAACTTTATTCTTATGATGCACCTTTCAAAACTTTGTTCCAGGTTGAGGATAGCTACAAAGAGTCAAATAACTTTTAGATGGTATGGGAAGAGCCCAGTACTCTGGTACAGAAAACTGCAGGAGTTTTTCCAAATGCTAAAATGGCTCTTTATATTTAGGGAAGTATAATTGTGCATTGCAAACATCAAAGAAAATCATGTTTACACAAGGGATTATTGTTACTAAGTAGATCAAAATTGGGAGAAGAATGATCATACGAACACATTACATGAAAGGAATATTTATTCTTTCCATTTAAAAAGAATCTAGCAATTACCTGTTTTTCAGACTTTCCCCTTGATGAACTTCACAGAAATTCAGGGTGGGAGGGCTTTAAACAACTCCTAGATATAACCACACTCCTGAAAACTGATCTTCCAGCCAATTCCTCAGCACCTCTAGCAATGGAAAACACTATTTCCAGACTGCCTTTTGCCTTGGATGTCTGGCTTTCCTGTAATAACTCACTGCCTTTAAATACAACCACAAGGAACTGTTGCCCTGACCAGGATGCTGCCCCCACATTATCTGCAATCATTCCTCAGAATAAGCCGATGTCTTCCTCCTTAACATTGGACCCATTGGTTCTAGCTTTGCTTTCCTAAGTCACACAGAAGAAATTGAATCCATCTTCTGTGTAAAACCCACATACTAAAAGACCACCCATCATGTATCCCCCTTCAGATCTACATTCTATAAGTTAAACATCCCATTTCTCCAACCATGTGATATGGTTTCTAGACAGCTAGCTATTCCAAACATCTCCCTCTGGACATCCTTTAGGAATCTCAGCTATCATTGAACAGATGCTTCCTGGTAATGTCTAATCAACACAAAATCCAGCAAGACCACTTAGACACTTTCTATAAACCCAGGCTAAACCACAGGAGCTTTCTTGGCAGACACATCTGCTTTTTATTCATTGAACTCACAATCAGCTAAGCCAAATATTCTGTACCCTGGAATTGTACAATTTAACTTCTGAACCAGAACATATAACTTTACATTTAGATCTCTTAAAAGTCTTTATGTAACAGTTATCCCAGCATCGAATGCTCTTTACTGTCATTCTCAATTTCTGTTTCTTTATCCATAATATTAATTATTGTTCCTTAATTTTTAATCTCTGAACTTGACTGACATGTCTTTGACATATTTTTCTAAGCCCACTTATTTATACTATTGAATAGAACAGAATGAAAGACAGGTCTTTTGATATGTCTCTACAAAAATCCACTCAGATTGCCATAAATCCAGTGATATTTCCCATTCTCTTCTGGGCAGGGCCACTCTGGCCCATCTATTCCAGCCTGACTTTCATAAATAACTATCCCTCCCTGCTATTTTCTGTAACTTGGGAAGATATAGAAAAATCTATCAGCAGTTTACCAACTTTTTACAGAAACACCATTTCCCCCATGTATTCAAGGACATACTGACCTACACAATGGTGGATACAATTAAGATAGTTACTATTTATGAGTTGTAGGATGGATACATTTAAGGATTCTTGTTTGTCCCAAGGCCCTTTGCATAGTATATCCTGCACATATATCATCTCAGCTACCCCGTACTCTGTAAAAGAAAAGAAATGCTAGGTGTGTTCAACCCCAAACCAAATTTTGTGTGGCCTGAAAGGGTAAAGTTAGAATTGATAGTCCAAGATTTAGAGAGAATGATGTTGATTCATTATGAGGACTGACTATAAATAACATGGAAGCAGCACCCTGAGTGGAGAAAGCGTTCATACAATGTGTTTATACTTAAAGGCACTGACTTATTCCAGGCAAAGGAGATAAAGTGTAGTCTCAAGACATTTCAACTCTGTATTGTATCTCTGCTAACATCTACCCCATGTGCAAGAACGTGAATGGGTATCCTCATCTCAACCATCATCTTTCTACCATGGTGTTCAACCCAAGTCCTTCAACACCAGGCACTATCTCATGCTCTAGACCTTTCTTTATCCCACACACATCCAAACCAAGAACATACAGCTCATGTTTAACATCCTTTTAAAAGGTAACTATTTTACTAAGCCAACATTGTAATTAATATATCAACACACCAAATAACATTCACATTTTAGCAAAGGCTGTCAATGTCCTAAACCAATGAAGTAGATATTGAATATTTTACATCATGTTAAGCAAATCGCCATATTTCTCCACTGACATGCAAAGCCAGCTGTGAAACCATAACCTCTGTGAAGCTGGAAAAGCTGACCTGTGTGTAGGTGACTTGCCCAAAGTAGAATTGATTACTATCTTTATTTTTATTTTATGTATGAGTGATCAGCCCTGTTTACCTTGCCTAGTTAGAATTAAATACATAATTTTATCTACTTAATAGATTATATATGTATGACCAGCTCTGTTCTCTGCCTGGTTAATGAAGAGCTTTTATCCCAAAGTTTAGTTTTCATATACGCTTAAACATCCTATTGAGAACAAAATGTCATAAAACATTCAAAAGCAATACTCAAAAAGTAATTATCCACAAAAACTATAGTGATAGCATCAATATAACGAAGACATTGTAACAACCAGCCCTGAATGTCAACATTCACTATAGAAGATCTCAGGCACTGCAGCTGAAGCTGCATCCCAGCCTCACATTGAAATGTAATCAACTTTTTAAAACTGTCATAACAACATCTGTTTCCAAATAACAATTTGCTAAATTTTGAATGTTTTCACCCAATTTAATTGAAGTTAAAGTAGTTCATATATATGTAAACATATATGCACATTTTCTGATTGCTCACAAGAAATTTCAGGAAAAACTTTATTAGTCTCCAAAACTTTTATGGCAGTCCTAGCAAGTTTAACAATGAAAGGTCTTGTTTTTGAGGGTTAGCATCAAGTAGTTTGTTAAAGAAAAATTATTATTAAAAATGTATACTATCACAGTGTAATCAGGATTTAGAAGGGACTTTGAGGCCAGGCATGGTGGCTCATGCCTGTAATCCCAACACTTTGGGAGGCCAAGGCGGGCAAATCACTTGAGGTCAGGAGTTCCAAACCAACCTGGCCAACATGGTGAAACCCTATCCCTACTAAAAATACAAAAATTAGCTGGGCATCATGGCCCATGCCTATAATCCCTGATACTTGAGAGGCTGAGGTGGGGAGGATCACTTGAATCCGGGAGGTGGAGGTTGCAGTTAGCCAAGACTGCACGACTGCATTCCAGCCTGGGTCACAGAGTGAGATTCTGCCTCAAAAAAAAAAAAAAAAAAAAAAGAAGGGACTTTGAAAAGTCATCTTAAACTTTTAACTTTATAGGCTTAAGCCAAAGCTAAACTCTGACAGATGTGTAGCCATTCTTTTGTATGAGGATTTGCAGAAAAGATTTCATGACCAAGAGCTTCCATGGTATGCCATTATCCCTGTTTTTGTTTTTGTTTTAAGAAAAAACCTGGTCACTGATCAGGAGTGTGACAACCCTTGTCTTCTAAAACTCTTCTTTATGGTTGTTCTAGTATTGGTAATGAGAGAGCACAGCTTCGCCTCTATCCTAGTGTGTAATATAGTTGGAAGTTCTTCTTAGGTTATCATGAACTATCTTTTCTTCAAATTCAAATTTAGTAGGGATTCCAAAGAGAAGTAGGGAGAAGATTTTCACAACTTTTATTACCCTAAAATGTTGTTTGTGGAGGCTAAGTTAGGTTTGTTTCTGGAGGCTCAGTGAGTCTGAAATTAACCATTAGATGTGTTTGACAGTAACACTGCACATTTTCACATTCGCAGCCACTCCAAGTTGATTATTCTCCTCATTTTGCTGGAAGGCAACAGTTAATAGCAAAGATTCTAGAATAAGATGATACAGCTTCAAATTACTAAGTATTTATAATTCTAGTTAATTTGGTAAGTCATGTAAATATTTTAAATTTCAGTTTTCTCATTCATAAAATGGGGTTGTTACTATTTTGATGTGAAGAATTAACAAGATGTATGAGACTTAGATAGTCCTGAATGTGTGTAAGCACTTCAGAAAGGTTAGTTTATTCTTCATCATCCTCATTCTCGTTATCTTCGTCACTTAGTTAAAGCTAGACCCTCTGACTCTAAACCTCAGGGCTTTCCTCATACCTCCTCATACTGTACTGCCTCCATTACATATAATCTTGAACTACATAAGGAAAGAACAGAAGAGAAAATAAGTCAAGCATCACCGAGGAAACCTTAAGCCAGTAAGTAAAAGCACCACTGGACAAGAACCAGCATGGTCTAGTTAAGTGATTCTAGGGCAATGCTGCCAATTCATCATTCAATCAACCACATGGGAAGACAAACTAACATCTCCAATAATGTGATTTTCTGTCTGACCATCACAAAAACTTGTGCATCAGACAGGGCTGGTAACAATAGCCCCCAACATAAGTTCAGGGAAGTTAAATGTTTGCCCACATCACTGAACTGATAAATATGAGACTTGACCTAGGGTCTCTAGTTGAAGTCTCCAAACTTAGATCTCCAGCTTCAAAGCTTAGAACTTTTACAACCAACAACTATTGTCATTTCTCACCATAAATCATTTTCCTCAAGACGGATGTTACATTTATTGCATCCACAATGTTCTGCATATAGTGGTTTGATACTGTTCAGTGAAATGAGTTCATTAAGTTTCTCAGAGGAAGTCAGCATCTATCTGGAAGATTATTGGTTGAAAATCATTTCCCTATTTCAAATGAAGGAAAAGCTTTCGGTTTTTATGTTACTCATCAGTTTTTAGCAGGTCTAAATGGACTCTAATAAAATTGGCCTTACTCTTGATCACAATGGATTTGGCTGATAATTTGCCAGATATGCAGGCCCGGCATTATCTTAGTCAGCATTCCACAGAACTGCAGTCTTGGCCTGGATTATAAATTTCCTAAATAGCCATTATTTGGCTATATGCCTTTCAGTATAATTGGTTGAATCTAAACCATGCCAATCAATCATTTTGCTTTGCCACCTTTAGCAATCTGTGTTTCTAGTTCTATGCCACCCTCAGGAATTCTTGATTACAAAAGATTTGCCTATGTAAAGATTCTGTAAACCTAGTAAAGATAAATTTTTGTAAAAGGTCAGATTATCTTAGAGACATATCTAAGAACCTTCACAAGTGCATTTATTAATATTTGGTGCACTTAAAAACCAGAAGGAGAGGGAAAGCATCTGTGATGAGATGAACATATGTAGCAAGTTTGTTCATTGCTTGTTTGAGACTGTTGATCTGTCAATACACGTACTGGGTAATTACTCAACTTGTAAGTGTCAAATCTGAGGGATCTGCTAAGAGAAGAAGCACAGCAAGTCAGAGTTAAGTTAGTATGCAATAATAGAGACTATTAAAATATATGAAAAAAGATGTTCTCAAGGCAGTTTATAGTTATCCTTGTTCAATCATAGAAGAAATCGTAGATACACTTTGTTTTAGTCAACACTTAAGAATTTTCAACAGGACCTGAAGGCTAGATGATGTTATCACTTGTTCTGACAAGTCTTCCTTATAAATTTTGATGCTAGTCTTCAAATATTCCATACATTGTGATCAGTTTTGCAAAGAAACAGAAAAATTCACCGGAGTGCATTCTGAGCAGAATGAACAAGATATGGAAGCAAATGTTGAATTACCATTGGTGCTTTTGTTACGACAGGGAAAGTAAATGTGTGTTTATTTAATATCACTTTTATTTAACAAAATGCTGATATTGTAACTGGCATAAGGAATTTTCCTTCCTTGAAAGTCTACATTCTGACTATAAGCTGCCCAAAAGTTTGGTTTTAAAAATCTAAACACGAACATACACCAATAACTCTACCTCCCAAAAGCATTATTATATAAAATTTGACCTTATGTCTAGGTATTTTTAAAGAAAGTTTATTCTTTGGTAGTACTGTATGCGATGATTGTTTCATTGATTTTAAGCTTTATATATTCACCCAAAATGTTACTTTTGTGCAAATGTATCATAATAATTTTTCTAATAGAACATGTGGCTACTTTTCAAGATGCTCTATTAAATCAATTACTCATTAAAACTTTTATTGGCTCTTTCCTCTTCACAAGTGGGAGGCATTTGGAGTCTATCACTACCAGATGGAATGGGGAATATATGCCCAGGCTGGGTAATGCTTCTCTGACATCAAGGGTAGAAGAGTTGCCAGAAGACTCTCTAAAAGCGGAGGACAGTGCTCACTCTCCAATTATTACTGCATTTTTCTTTTTGATATGAATTTTATAGAGGGCAGAATATGTAACCAATGTTTCCCAGATTGCCATCCCTAAGCAAGGGGTGGCAGTAATGCCACATCAATGGCATAAATCAGTGTCATGTCATCCCTCCCTCACTTGTAGAGTGACTCACACATGGTGGCTCACAATGGTACCCCATCTTGCTGTTGACCCTGCTAACCTCTTTTGCCAAAACCATAATTTAGGAAAGGTCCCCACCTTTGCTTCTAGCCTTGTGGCTTCTTTCCTCTCTATCAGTGCTGTTTCTGCCTCTCACAGTGGCCAAGGTGGGCAATACAGAGAGACCCATTCTGAGTCCCTAAAACAGGACCCTGCCACTCCCTGTGGCTCCCTCATCTCTATATGCTACACTGCTAACACATGGCCACATGAATGTGAGACTATCTTCCATGAGTTATGGTCAGCTTGTTCTTGTCTCACTGTCTGGGTCACTGATCTTGGGTAGGACTTGGACTTTGCCCTGAGGCTGCCTCATCAAAGGGCTACTTCTTCTTGGCATTGCTCTGGGGTGAATTTGGACCCCTCAGAGATTCATCCATCATTCCTCCCCTCACATTTTAGGGGTTTTGCCTCCTCTCTATTGAAGGGAGCTAAGAATAATTCTTCTTCAGAATTGACCTAAAAATTTGAAATGGCTGGTTCTCCTCATGCTTCTATCTAGAGATTATTTTTTATTACTTTATGCAGCTCATCAACATCATAATCATAATTGTTTTTCATGTCTTTTAAATTCATTTCTTTCATTAGAAACCTAAATTAGGGGAATGAAAAATTGAAGTTGATTCAGCCACCCAGGGATATAATATTACCAGATAACTGGAAAGAGGTGAGAAATGGGGCTGGGCACAGTGGCTCTCACCTGTAATCGCAGCACTTTGGAAGGCTGAGGCGGGTGGATCATCTGAGGTCAGGAGTTCAAGACCAGTCTGGCCAACATGGTGACTCCTCATCTCTACTAAAATTACAAAAATTAGCCAGGAGTGGTGGCGGACGCCTGCAGTCCCAGCTACTCAGGGGGCTGAGGTAGGAGAATCACTTGAACCCTGGAGGCGGAGGTTGCAGTGAACCGAGATCACGCCATTGCACTCCAGTGTGGGTGACAGAGCAAGACTCCATCTCAAAAGAAAGAGAGAAAGAGAGAGAAAGAGAAAGAGAAAGAAAGAGAAAGAAGGAAGGAAGGAAGGGAGGGAGGGAGGGAGGGAAGCAAGGAGAAGAAAGAAAGAGAAAGAAAAAAAGAAAGAAAGAAAGAAAAAGAAAGAAAGAAAGAAAGAAAGAAAGAAAGAAAGAAAGAAAGAAAGAAAGAAAGAAAGAAAAAAAGTGGAAAGAGGCAGCAGCACAGTGACACCTTCTTTACACTTAACAATGAAGTTCCACAGCCAGCATAGAAGTGCTGGCTTATGTTATGTCTCTATGGACCTCAGAAACCACATCTCCCGTCTACCCCAGTGTTCTACTGTGTGACTCAAATTTCCTCTAGAAGCTGTGTGGCAGAACCTTTCCTTCTGTATTTTAAGTGTGAAGTAACAACATCTCTTAATCTTTCAGAAGTCTCCAGTTGGCATCCTTTGAGTTATTCCTGGTCTGCAAATATGTTTACTTTGCCCCCACAGTGTTGCTTAATAATATGAGCTTTAATGCCTTTAGAGAGAGGAGGTATTGTCAGGTTTAATAAGTCTTCACCATTCCCTATTGTAGTACACTTTGCTGGCTTCACTTATTTGCATGATCTGGTTTTAGGTCCTTCTAGACTACGTGTGTCCCAAAAAAATCACAATTGCCCTTTTCACTGCCGAACCACTAATATGCTAGGATAGTGCCTGCACATAAGAGATATTTAATAAATATTGAATGGATAAAAATTTTTATTTAAATAAATATGGGAGGGGGTGAAGAGAGAGATCCAGAAATGTAATATAAAATTCACTGCAATGATAAACTATGCTAAGATCTGACTAGTCAGTAATATACACAGCAGACATCTCAGATTATCATACTATCCCCAGCACCAATACATTCCTAAGCTGCACTTCATTCCTGAAAGTTAGTACTTTCCTGAATATTGTCACACTCCCCCATCCTGACTCAGTTAGATGTCTCTTATTGTGATCCCTCAGTACCCTGTTCTTAAGGTTTACAGTATGTGGTACACACTATAATAGCTTATTTACTTGAATCTTCACTAGCTATATATTTCTTGAGAACAGAGGCTATATCCTTTTCATAGCTGTATCTGTAGTACCCAGCAAAACACTCAATGACCTAACACCTAGTAGACTCTCAGTTAATGTTTGCTGAGTGATAAAACAAATAATAGATGAACTCAAAGCCTTTCAGTGTTTTTCCTCATTTTATTTTCTTGCCTTTTTTATTTTATATTGAGAGTGATCCATCATAATCAAATCCAAATAAAATATTTGAGAAAGAAGCTCTTTTTCTAATAGTTTAGAAATCTCTGTATTACCTCTAAAACCTTGAAAAGTGAGGCTAAGAAGCTGTTTTTGTGTATGGAAACAAAGGAGGAGTCAGGAAAGAGAACTTTTCTGAGCAGAGGAATTGAACTTGTGCTTCCTAGACTGTAGCATTTTCTCAGGCTTAACATCTCAGCTTCTGCTCCATGAGATGTGAGGTTCTGTCAAGTGAAAGATAAAAGAAAGAACCTCCTTCTTTAATGACAGCCTGCACTATTTCTCAAAAAGCATCACCAGGGACAAGACCTAGATAAGATGACTCCTATACTCTGGGTATTTCTTTGCAGCTTTTAGCTATGTATGTTCTGGCAGAAGCAACTTCTTACTGCTTAGTGAAATTATCAAAGCAATAGTTCAATAAGAATGGATTTTTTAACTCCAACTTTTTTTCTACAACCTAAAGACCATCCTTGGAAAAAGGCTGTCTTCCATGTTAAAAGCCCTAAATACTCTGCTGCTCAAAGTTCAGCCAAATCAGTCTAAAGTTTCTTCCAAGAGAGCTATCAGGGCAGACACAAAGGCATCTCAGGGGATCTGCTGAAATAGTGTTGTCATCTTATCTTTAGTTCTACTGAGATGTTAAGTAAGAAAATCTGAACATTAAATTGCAAAACCTCCAAAGACCAAAGATGAATTTCACAAAAAGATAGAGGAAGAATTTTTGTAATAATCTAACTGAAATAAAGATAGGGACATAAAGAAACCTAGAGGTTATGAAAATGGAGAGCCATTACTGAAAAGACATTTGGATATAAGACTAAATTGCTTTCACTGACTACTAACAAAATTCACATCTCCTATCTGATGCCTGTCTGCCAGCTTATAAACACCAGGATCCATATGGCTCAATCTCAAACAATGTTTTGATCAAAGAAAACTCAAAACAGTAAGCAAGATTTCTTTAATTTTTATTTTTATGCAAGGTTTTTACTCAAATTTCTCTAAAACAGTGAAGAGAAGGCCAATATGTAGAGTTTGAGTAGTTTATTTAGATCCCACATATCTCCTGCTCCTTCCCTCACACCTTGCTGCACTACTCCAATCTGTCTCTCCAAATTCCTTGAATTCTTTTCTTGCACCTCTCTTTTCCCAGTCCTGGCCTGCCTCTTGATCTTAGCGACCATCTACTTTTCTTCTTATCTCTCCAGCTCTATCTTCCTCTCTATTCTCTTTGTTTTGTTTTTAAAGCACGCGATTCCAGAAAGAGAGCTGGGCACCTTCAGATTCTTTCTCAGAGAGTGGAGGTAAAAAAAAATAAGTGCTGGGCAAAACCAAAGCCCCCTTGTGTAAGTAAATTGAAAAAACAAAATTGAATTCAGAATTTTTTTCCAAAAAAAAGCACCAATATCTCTGCCTTCAGCGTCCTCAAGATTAGGTGGTGTAGAGTGGGAAAAAATGGTAGAAGAGAGGCATAAAATGAGGCACTCTAGTGTAACTGAGCAGATAATGCTACTAAGCGATCAAAATATGGCCCACAATTCTCCAGTTTCCACCTGGGATTGTAAGCAAGAAGGTCTCTGAATACTTGGTCTCAGCCCTTGACAAAGAACTACTGGGACCCACCGCAGTTCTCTATGAGTATGAGCTTGCATACTGTCTTTAGTAACAATTATGTTTGTCTCACTGTGGCTATATAGACTTTTTTCACATGGTTTTTAACATTGTTGTATAAGATAACTATAGATACTCTGAATCCAGCATTGGATTTGCACTGCTTGGGTTGATGGTAAGAGTGCAGATGGGTGCCTGATCTTAGGCATCTTTCTGTTCTATTTCTGCCCTGACTTGAATCTGCATAGTGGTAGAATTATCTATACCTTTGATTGTACGTTTTGTATATTGCTGTGTGCCTAATCTTTTTTACAAATCTTTTATGCCTGGAGGGTTTGTGATGATCACAGAGTACTTCTCAGTTTATCATTTCTCCTTTGAGATCAACACATTTGAACATCAGTCAGTAGGACCAAGCATTGTTCTTCAGTATGGCAGATGTGAAGTCTTTTGATACCTCTTCATTTCATCTAATGCCAAATATGCAGATGTCTATAGAGTACATTCTCTCTACTCCTGAAAATGTTATTAAGTTTTCCAAAAGCTGCAGAAAGTTTCTGTATAACCACCATAGCTTATCATGAAACTCTTGGTATGTTTGTTAATGGGACACTAATTGTTCCTATGATTTTTATATTTTTAAAACTGTATCTCCTCTTCTACAAGGAAAACATTTTCTCTTTATGATGGTGTCTAAAATTTATGCTGTCTTCAACTTGCCAATTTCAGGCCTAGATGTCAGAGTTCATTTTGGGATAATTATCACTTCTGACTTTGCATCCTATCTTTTTCACACAAGTCTCTCAGTTAATCACAAATCTGTCTAGGCTTCCACTTGTGTCTTATTTGTAATAAACTTACCTTAAATCAAATTTTGGACATTCATTGATTTCACAAAAGCAAATGCTACTAAATTATATGTGTCTATAATTTTGGAGTAACATATTTAATTGCAGAAAACACAAAGCCAAAAAAACACATTAGAAAAAAATTATCCTTAATAACACCAATTGTTTAAATGATTACTTATTATGTACTAGAGATGCTTCTGGCGCTGTACATTTAGTAACTTAACCTTTACAAAACCCCTAAGAAATAGATAGAGGAATGTTGCTATAATACAATATGTGTTCCGAAAAAAAACTCATGCTTTGCAGAATTGCACATTGAAAATCATAATGTTTGTTGGAAAAATAGGACAGTAAAAACCTATGTATTACAGAATTATGTATCATAACACTAAGAGAAACAGTAATTGGTACCTTAACAGACAATTTTGACAGCCCAGAAAGGCAGTTCAGAGTGGTTGGAGGCCCTCTCAGGGTTGGGGAATGCTGGCTTGTAGGCACTGGCAATGCAAATGGGCATGAAGAGCTTAGATGGTAGGGTAGCATTTAAGGTAGGCAGAGGTAGAAATGTAACCTGCTAAGGGACAAAATCATCCAAGACTGGAGGTATGCCAATAAAGTCAGCTGGACCTGGGGTTTTCTTTGTGAGAAGCTTGTTTATTACTAATTCAATATTTTTCACTTGTTAGAGTTTATTCAGATTTCCTCTTTCTTTTGATAGTTTGTGGAAATTTGCTCATTTCATTGAGTGTATCTAATTTGCTGGCATATAATTGTTCATAGTATAATATTCACTTATCCCTTTTATATCTGGAAGATTGTTAGTAATGTCCCTGATTTTATTTTTGGTTTTATAATTTATTCTTCTCCCTTTTTTGTTATCCTAGCTAAAGGTGTGTTACTTTTGTTGATCTTTTCAAATAAACAAGTTTTGGTTTCATTGATTTTTAAAAACATAAGGAACAGAAATTTATTTCTCATAGTTCTGGAGGCTAGGAAGTCCAAGATCAATGTATCAGCAAGTTTGATATCCGGCGAGAAACCCAGACTCTCCTTCCAAGATTGTGCCTTCTTGCCGCATCCTCTGAAGAGGCCAAATGCTGTGTGCTCATATGGTGGAAGAAACAGAAGGACAAAAAAGGGCCTACGCTAGTCTCCTCCAGCCCCTTTATAAGGCACTAATTCATTCATGAGGGTAGATCCCTTATGACTTAATCTCTTCTCAAAAGACCCCACCTCTTTGTACAACCACAATGGAGATTATAGTTTAAACATGAATTTTGGAAGGGACACACTTTCAAACCATAGCATGTATGCTTAACTTTGTAAGATACTGCCATACTGTTTTACAAAGTAGCTATACCATTTTGCATGCCCAACAGCACTGAATGAGAATTTGAGCTCCTCCATATCATCACCACCAATTAGAAATGTCAGTCTTTTTAACTTTAGTTATTCTAGTGGTTGTAGAGTGATATCTCAATTTAGCTTTAATTTACATTTCCCTAGTAATTAGTGATTCTGAGCATCTTTTCATGTGCTTATTGGCCACATACATATCTTCTTTGGTGAAGTGTCTTTATATCTTTTTTCTGTTTTTTTGCTTTCATTATTATTTTTAATTGACACATAAGAATTGCAAATATCTATAAAGTACAGTATGATATTTCAGTACATGTATTCAATGTATAATGATCAAATCAGAGTAATTAGCTTATTCATCACCTAAAACATTTATCATTCCTTTGTGTTCACAATACTCCAAATCTGCTTTTCTATTTGAAAATAAAATATTGTTGAGTATAATCACCTTATAGTGCTATAGAGCCCTAGAAATTTTTCCTCTGATCTAGCTATAATTTTGTGTCCATTAGTTAATTTTTGGTTACTCCCCCTATACCCCATAGCTGTCCATGCCTCTAGCAATCACTATTCTATTAGGTTGGTATAAAAGTAATTGTGGTTTTTGCCATTGCTTTCAATGGCAAAAACGCAATTACTTTTGCCCCAACCTAATAATTTCTACGTCTAGGAGAACAACCATTTTAGCTTCCACATATGAGTGACAAGTTGAAGTATTTATCTTTCTGTGCCCGGTTTATTTCAGCTAAATAATGTCCTCCAAGCTCATGATGCTTTGATGACAAAATTCCAGGTTTTTATGGCTAAAGAGTATTCTATTGGTTATATATAATACATTTTCTTTATCCATTATCTATTGATGGACACTTAGGTCAATTCCATATCTTGGCTATTTTGTTTTTGTTTTTGTTTTCTTTGAGACAGTCTCACTCTGTTGCTCAGGCTGGAGTGCAGTGGTGTGATCTTGGCTCACTGCAACCTCTGCCTCCCAGGTTCAAGCGATTCTTGTGCCTCAGCCTCCCGAGTAGCTGGGATTACAGGTGTGTGCCATCACACCCAGCTAATTTTTGTATTTTTAGTACAGATAGTGTTTCTCCATGTTGGCCAGGCTGGTCTCAAACTCCTGACCTCAGGTGATCCACCCACCTTGACCTCTTAAAGTGCTGGGATTACAGGCATGAGCCACCACGCCCAGCCCATATCTTGGCTGTTTTGAATAGTACTGCAATAAATATGGATTAGAGATATTTCTTCACATACAGATTTCCTTTCCTCTGAATATATATCCAGTAGTGGAACTGATGGGTCATATGTTACTTCTGTTTTTAGTTTTGTACAAACATTCCATATTGTTTTCCATAATGGCTGCACTAATTTACATTCCCACCAAAAATGTATGCATTCCTCTTTCTCTGCATCCTTGCCTGCATTTGTTATTTTTTGTCTTTTCATAGTAGCCATCCTGAGATGAGATGATATCTCATTTTGGTTTTGATTTGTATCCCTCATGCTTACTGATGTTGAACATTTTTTCATATACCTGTTGGCCATCTGTATCTCTTTTTTAAAAAGATATCTATTAAACTCATTTGCCCATTTTTAAATTGGATTATTTGTATTTTTGCTGTTGAGCTGTTTGAGTACTTAGTATGTTCTGGATATTAATTCCTTGTCAGATAAATAGTTGAAAATATTTTCTTCCATTTTTCATGTTGTCTCTTCACTCTGCTGATTATTTCCCATATTGTACAACAGCTTTTCAGTTTGCTCTAATCTCATTTGTCAATCTTAGCTTTTGTTTTCAGTGTTTTTGAGGTTTTCTTCATGAAATCATTGTCCAGACCAATGTCCTGATGCATAGAAAGACAATCTCACTTATGTGTGGTTTTCTTATTATAAGGTTTGATCTTTTTATTTTTATCCTTTGTGTATCAGCTCTGACAATGAGTATTATACATTTGTGAGTTTTCATGATAGTGATTATTATCTCTTTGCTTCCAGATGTAGGGCTTCCTTGAGCATTTCTTCTAGGAGCCGTGCAGTGTTGCTAAACTTCCTCAGTTTTTGCTTGACTGTGAAAGACTCTAATTCTCCCTCATTTCTGGATGATAGATTTGCTTGGTATGGTATTCTTTGTTGGCAATTATTTTTCTTTCAGTGCTTTGAATGTTTCTTTCTATTCTCTGTTAATCTAAAAGATTACTGTGGAGAAATCTGCTTTTAGTCTAATTGGGATTACCTTGTAGTGACTTGATACTTTTGCTGTATTTAGAATTCTGTTTTCTGTCTTTGTCTTTGACTTTTGACAATTTACTATAATGTACTTTGGAGGAGGATTTTTTAGGTTGAATTTATTTGGGGACCTTTGATCTTCCTGGATCTGGATGTCCACATTCCACCTCCCTGCCCCGCCCCCACCCCCCCACCCCCACAAGACTTGAAAAGTTTTCAACTATCATTTTATTAAATAGGTATTCTATACTTCCTCTCTTGTTTTTCCCTTCTGGAACTCCCATAATATGAATATTTGTTACCTTAATAATGTCTCATAAGTCTTGTAGGCTTTCTTTACTCTTTTCCATTTTTATTTATTTTTTCTTTTGTATCAGTAATTACAAACAATCTATCAGCAATTCCAATGATTCTTTGTTCTGTTTGATAAAGTCTGCTGTTGCTGCTTTCTATTGTATTTTCTCTTTCATTCATTGAATTCTTTTTTTAAATAATTTCAACTTTTATTTTACACTCAGAGGATACATACGCAGGCTTGTTACATGGGCATATTGCATGATGCTGAGGTTTGGTATATGATTTTGTAACCCAGGAAGTGAGTATAGTATCCAATAGTTATTTTTCAACCCTTGCCCCCTTTCACCCTGCCTCTGTTAGTTCCAAGTGTCTATTGTTGCTGCCTTTATGTACATGAGTACCCAATGTTTAGCTCCCACTTATAAGTGAGAACAAGTGGTATTTGCTTTTCTGTTCCTACACTAATTCACTTAGGATAATGGCCTCCAGTTGCATCCATGTTACTGCAAAAGACATGATTCCATGTTTTATTGCTCTGTAGTATTCCATGGTGTATAGGTATCACATTTTCTTTACCTTTAACAACTGATGGGCACTTATGTTGATTCATGTCTTTGCTATTGTGAATAGTGCTGCTAAATGTATAAGTGCATATGTTTCTCTGGTAGAACAATTTATTTTCTTTTGGATACATACCCTGTAATGCGATTGCTGGGTCAAATGGTAGCTCTGTTTGAAGTTCTTTGAAAAAGCTTCAAACTGCTTTTTACAGTTAGTGCAATTACATTTCCACTAAGAGTGTATGTGTTTCATTTCCTCTGCAGCCTTGACCACATATGTTGTTTTTGACTTTTTAATAGTTATCCTGACTACTATGGAGTGGTATCTCACTGTGGCTCTGATTTGTACTTCAATGATGATTAGTGATGATGATTAGTGATGATTTTCATGTCTGCTAGCTGCCTATATATGTTATTTTGAGAAGTGTCCGTTCATGTCTTTTGCCCACTTTTTACTTGGGTTATTTGTTTTTTGTTTGTTGATTTGTTTAAATTCCTTATAGATTCTAGATATTAGACCTTTATTGGATTGATAGTTTGTAAATATTTTCTCCCATTTTGTAGGTTGTCTGTTTACTCTGTTGATAGTTTATTTTGCTGTGCATAAGTTCTTTTGCTATGCAGAGGTTCTTTAGTTTAAACTGCAGGATTTCAGTTTGATTCTTTTTTCATGGTTTCTATCTCTTTGTTTTACTTATCATTCATATTGTGAATTATTTCCTGGTTTTGCTAAATTATCTGTCTGTTCCATTGTATCTCATTGAGTTTCCTTAAAATCAATTATTTTGAAGTCCTTTTCTGGTAATTTATTGATTTCAATTTCATTGGGATCTCTTACTAGAGAATTATGTTTCTTTGGTGGTGTCACATTTTATTTGGTTTTTGCAGTTTTTTGTGTGCCTGCATTGACGTCTGTGTATCTGGTGGGGCAATGACCTCTTCCATAGTTTCTAGAGTGGCTTTCATAGAGAAAGAATTTCACCTCCAGTTGGGTTTTAGTGTGCCAGTTGAGAAGGATGTAGAGACGGTGTTTCCAGATAAGTGCAGTGTTACAGTCTCCATGTAGCTTCTTCAGCTGTGTTCAACATCAGCAATAAACTGTGAATGTCTCAGTAGTCTAGGCTGTAGAGTTCAGGTGTTTGAAGCAACTGTGGGGTCAAGGTCCTAGGCTCAGAATCTCACAAACTTATTACGACAGCTTGGTCTTAGGGTATAGGTTTATGTTCTGTGGCACGGTTGAATGCAGGCTGCCTACAAAGCCAGGATCTGTGACTCTGAGATATTTCCTAGCTGCTTGGGCCAAGGGACCAGGCTGTAGCTATGATTCTACCCATGAAAGTCAGGGCACAGCATCGGCCCAACTCTAGGGGAAAAGAAGTGCTCTGGAGGATTGGTCCTAGAAGGTAGGGTAAAGTTGCAATTCAGAAACTTGAGCCAATACATCTTAATGGCAATTCAGGTCCCGAGAATTGAGACATTGTGCAGTAGTGACCCTTGACCCTGTGATGGTGGGGCTTGGCAGTATCCCAGACTCTGTGAATCCAGACACAGTGGTAGCAAGTACTCCAGACTGGCAGAGCACAGATGTTGTTTGGGCCCTGGTGGAGAAGAACAGAAAACAGTATAGCAATAACCCCACTCCCCAAGAACAGCGATATTTCAGCAGCAAAGACTCTAGAGGGCTAGTCCAGCTCAAGGGAAGCAGAATATTAGAGTTTAGTAGTTTGGCCTGTAGGGTGGGGTCTCTCAAATCAACCAGTGCTCTGTTCTCCTGGAATGCAGTGTACTATGTCAGCTCATCCCTGGAATGAGCAGCAGCCCAGCTGGGCCAGGGCACCAATTCCCCAGCAGGGCAATGTGCTACTTTAGCTCATAGCTGGAAGCATGATTTTTTCTGAGCAACCCAGGTACCATTTATCTGAGTTGCAGGGCACTGCTTCAATGTAGATACTGGAATGTGTGACTGCTCTAGGTAGACAAGGCATCATTTTTTAAAATGCAGGGTGCTACTTCAACTTGGGCATTAGGGAGGCATGACTGTTCTTAGTGGCCAAAGTACTGTTTTTCAAGGTGCAGGGTATTGCTTCAGCTCTGGTTTGAGGTGGGAGGGGAAGGGGTAGGTGGAGCAGCTCTACCTCCATTTGGTCCTATGGGTAAGGTTGTAACAGCTGCTCACAGCTCTCGTTGGGGATGTTGGGTCACAGTTGATGGTGGTTCAGTGATGGCTTAGCCTCAGGGATGAAGGGTAACTGTGGCTACTTGCTCCTGGAACAAGACACATGCCAAGCATAGTTCCAGTTCAAGATGGTGTAATACAGTAGCAATATGTGGCACAGAGGATAGGGCAGAATGTTAATTCCTTCTCTGAGCAGAGCACAACTATGTGGACTCCAGGCAGCTCTGTCAAATAGGCTTAGTCCCCATGAGAATTGCAGGGGACCCCAGTGGTGAGGTCTGTAGGTGTCCAGGGTGTTGATGGGAGATGCTGAGATCTTCTTGCTTACCTCCTTACCTGAGGGACAAGTTTCTCCTGTATCCCAGTTGTGGGATGAAGTAGTGTAGCTTTGGCCTTTCCTTCCATTCTTTATATGGCCATCCTGAATAGCTTTGCACACCAGGGTTTCTATCACTTGTCTGATTAACTCTGACACTCCGCCTTCATTATTTTTGTTAAAATGTAGTTGTTTATTTGTTTTTCTGGCTATCTTTGTGAGGGGAAAAAGTGCTAGGAACTTCCAGTCAACCATCTTGTGATGTCCCTCCTCTCTTGATTTTACTGACTTTTCTATTGTTTTTCTATTCCCAATTTTATTTATTTTCATTATAATTTTTATTATGTTTTTCCTTTGACTTGATTTAATTAATTTGCTCCTTTTCCTAGTTTTACAGAGAAAGTTAAATTGCTGATTTCTTTTTTTCTTTTAATATTGACAATTTACAACTATAAATTTACTATTCATATTGCTTTTGCCACATCTCTTAAGTTTTGGTATGATGTGTTTTCATTTTCATTCATCTCAAACTATTTTCCAATTTCCCTTCTGATTTCTTATGTGACCCATTGGTTATTTAGGAATGTGAGGTTTGATTTCTACATCTTTGTTCACTTCTAAAATTTTCTTCTGTTAATGATTTCTAATTTTATTCTATGGTAGTCAGAGAATATACTTTGCATGACTTTCATTCTTTTAAATTTAACAAAAGTCATAGCCAAACTTATAATGAATCTTACAGAATGTTCCATGTGCACTTCAGAAAAATGTGTATTCTGCTGTTTTTGAGTGTAGTGTTCTGTATCTGTCTGGTTGGTATTTAATGTTGTCCAAGCCTTCTATTTTCTTGATGGTGTAACAAGGCCCTAACTCTCTTCTATTCTATGAAGGCCAAGAGAGATGAGAAAAACTAGAGAAGAAAAGTTGGAAGCTGGCAGAGACTGGTTCATGAAGTTGAAGAAGCCATCTCCACAACCTAAAATTGCAAAGTGAAACAGTAAGTGCTCATGTAGAAGCTGCAGCAAGTTATCCAGAAGATCCAGCTAAGATAATTAATGAAAGTGGCTACACTAAACAATAGATTTTCAAGGTAGAAAAAATAGTCTTTTGTTGGAAGAAAGTGCCACATAGGATTTCCATAACTGGAGAGGAAAGTCAATGCCTTGTTTCAAAGCTTCAAGGGAAAGGCTGATTCTCTTGTTAGGGGCTCATGCAGTTAGTGACTCTAAATCGCAGCCAATGTTCATTTACCATTCTGAAAATTTTAAGACTTTTTAAAATTATGTTAAATCTATTCTTCTGGCGCTCTATAAATTGAACATAGCCTGGATGATGCCACTTCTGTCTACAGCATGGTTTCCTGTATATTTTAAACCCATTGTTGAGATCTACTTCTCAGAAGAAAAGATTTCTTTCAACATATTACTGGTCATTGACAATGCGCCTGGTTACTCAAGAGCTCTGATAAAGATATACAAGGAGATAAATGTTATTTTAATGGCTTATAACACAATATTCATTCTGCAGCCCATGGATCGAGTAGCAATTTCTACATTTAAGTCTTATTACTTCAGAAATATATTTTGTAAGGCTATAGTTACCATAGGTAGTTATTCCTCTCATGGATCTGGGCAAAATAAATTTCAAAGCTTCTGGAAAGAATTCATCATGATAAATGCTTTAGAATATTAGTAATTCATGAGAGGAGGTCAAAAAACCATCAATAATAGGAGTTTGGAAGAAGTTAACCTAACCCTCATGGATAACTTTGAGGAGTTGAAGACTTCACTAGAGAAAGTAACTACGGATCTGGTGGAAATAGCAAAAGAATTAGAATTAGAAATGGAGCCTAAAGATGTGACTGAATTGCTGCAATCCCCTGATAAAACTTGAACAGATGAGGAGTTGCTTCTCATGGATGAGCAAAGAAAGTAGTTTCTTGAGATGGAATCTACTACTGGTAAAGATACTGTCAGCATTGTTAAATGGCAACACAAGATTTAGAAAAGTATGTAAACTTAGTTGATAAAGCAGTGGCAGGGTTTGAGAGGACTGACTTCAATTTTGAAAGAAGTTCTACTATGGGCAAAATGCTATCAAATAGCATCACACACTACAGATAATATTTTCGTAAAAGAAAGAGTCAATTGACGAGGCAAGCTTCATTGTCTTATTTTAAGAAATTGCCATAGCCACCCCAACCTTCAGCAGCCACCCTTGATCAGTCAGTAGCCATCATCATTGAGGCAAAACCCTCCACCAGCAAAAAGATTATGACTCGTTGAAGGCTCAAGCAATCATTAACATTTTTTAGCAATAAAGTATTTTTAAATTATAATATGTACATTTTTAACATAATGCTATTGCATACCAAATACACTACAGTATAGTGTAAACATAATTGTATATGTGCTAGGAAACCCAAACATTTGTATGACTTACTTTATAGAGATATTTGCTTTGTTAAGGTGGTCTGGAATCAAATCCACAACATCTCCAAAGTATGCCTGTAGTTCTAACAAAGCTGAAAATATTTACATTTGGCCCTTTATGTTTTTAGCCTTTGGAACTAAGGTGTTGATACTGAATTTTAAGAGAAAATAAAGAACAGAGCCCCTAATCCATGCAAGAATGTGTACAAATTATGTTTACATTGCATTTTAAATACATAGAAAGGGAAGAATAAATTATTAAAGAACACTTATTTGATCAATAAAATTTCTTAATATAAAAGAGAAAGCCTTAAGGGAAATATTGGCAAATCTACTGTCCAATTGGCTTTTTCCACAACTCAACCTTTGTGTATGGGTGTGAGATTTTTAATATAATTTGCATATCACTGTATTATTAAACTTTCCATCAATTTTGTACGGAAAATTATAACTTGATATTAGGCAATGGCATGGCTCTAAACTTACGCAGTATCAGAGAAGATGTATTCCAAATTTATAGGATAGTCTTAATCTAAAGTGAAGAGAATGTATATGTATTAAATAATAGTATTTTGCAGTTTCACAGATATTATTTTAAAAGCATAGCCACTTGAAAGCAGAATAGACATTGACCAGTGGACTCAATCTTAAGCCCACCTAGAGAGACAAGAAAACTGGTTAGGATCTTACCGACCTCAGGTAAACAGAGAATTTCATGCTTATTTGTCACTAACACAATGTACTGCAGGCAGTACGCATAGTTTTGCTTATCAAAAAGAAAATATCAATATTAGAGTGGTACTGATGCAAAAGTACTTCTTTGCACCTAAGAAACTGAGAAAATTAGCACTATAAAAATCATTTTAGCTGCAACTCTCCTCAACACACCTTAATCACAGTATTTTTCACCATCTGGGCACAGAGATTAGAGACAAACATCATTTCTTAGCACCCTAGAGAACTAAGACCAGCACTAGTTCTCTAGAAAGTACTTGAACTTGCTTGCCTAAAATCTGAAAGAAATTACCATAAAAATATCTGAGCTGTGTAGTGCCACAAACCTCTAGGAGCATTACTAGCTCTTAAAAAGTCATAAACTAATATGCTTTGCATTGTCTGTTTTAACCCTAAAGGGATTGCTGATTTAATTAAAACAACACTAGTTTAGAGTAAGACTCATATAGCAATATATTTCGCAACCTCAGCCTCGAAGGACGCCATGCTAACTTGGTCTTTTGACAAACCAAAAGATCATCAATTAGTATCAAATTAAATCCAAGATGGACACATTAAATTCTCTGTAGCTTAAAACATTTCATAGATGTTTTTGAGTGTGTTCCCTCTGGAGATTTTTCTGGTAATAATTAAAGAATGTTTGTGCCTCTGAAGTTGAAACTTTTCCTCACATATCTATACCACTTTCCAATCATCTAAGTGTGATGAAATTTTAACTGGAAATCACTGGTGATAAGATTGGCAGAGAAGCTGGCTGAAGCAAATGAGATACGCATACCTGTAAAACTAGGAATAAGATATCTTATCCAACCAGCAACTGACAGAGAATGTAGCAACTACATATGAATGTTATTTTTATTACAGAATATTATTCAGACCTACTTTGGAAACCTCAGATTAATTGGCAATTCCATGGCTCAAGATTGCTAATAATGACTAATTATAAAGGGGTTACAATGCTCCAAAGATAACTTACACTGGACTCTGAAATCATAAACGTATATGTCTTCAGGAAGGTTATTGTTGTTCACTTTTGCATTGGTCCTACGCGTTTGAAGACAATAGCAAACTCTTGCGCATTGTTTTCCTGTGTTCAGCTCTCTGCATGAATCCTTCGCTTCAGTCTGCCTAACCTCTCTTCTTCATCAGCCTTCATTTGATATGAAAAGTAACAGCAAATCTGGCTAAGGAGGGACACTTGAAGGATTTAAGAAAATAACAACTAAATACTAATGCTATAGATGTAGGGCCGGGATACAGAGTTTATAAATGTACACTGGTGCCCAGATAATAAGACAATTGTCTATTCGATAGAGAAGGAAAACTAACTGATTAAAATTCATCTTCACATAAATGTAGAAAACACAAACTTAGAACCCTAGTTATTGATGATTTAGTAAGGGTGGCAGTGAATTTGAGAAAAAAAAAAGAGAGTGAGATATCAGGGAAAGGTGTATAGAAGCTAATCTTAATTTGTGGCTCTGAAATAAGAGGTCGTGGAATGTCATATACAAGTTACCAGCATTGTTCACCAAATTTGGTGTGATTAGGGGATTATAATCATACCCAGAACAAATGTAGGAGTATGAATCTATTTAGATTACCTCCAAGTGAATTGGACAAAACTCTTAAGGAATAATCTGGAGATGCTATGAAAGACTAATATTACTGGATCTTCCCTCCTGCTGTGTGGGAACCAGGACTAAGTTGAATCTACTTTGAGCAAAGGGGTATGTATCCAGCTTTTGCAAACAATATTGGGTCGCATAAACAAAAGCTATAACTAAAAACAGCAGGATCATGTGGTGGTGGTGGCAGAAATCCTTCAATATATTCATCTTTTCAATTTCATTAGCAATGAAAATAACAGAGATTATTTCTTTTAATTGCTAATAACAATTTTATTAGCAATAAAAATAATAGAAATTAAGAACTGGACAAAAGCTTTGTAATGGATATGGTTTGGCTGTATGTCCCCACCCAAATTTCATGTCGAAATGTAATTCCCAGTGTTGGAGGAAGGGCCTGGTGGGAGGTGATTGAATAATGGGGGCAGACTTCCCCCTTCCCCCCTTGTTCTCCTGATTGAGTTCTCAAGAGATCTGGTTGTTTGAAAGTGTGTAGCACCTCCCCCTTCACTCTCTCTCCTCCTGGCCATGAGAAGACCATACATGCTTCCCCTTCCACCATAATTGTAAGTTTCCTAAGGTCTCCCCAGCCATGTTTCCTGTACAGCGTATGGAACTGTGGGTCAATTAAACCTCTTTTCTTCATAAATTACCCAGTCTCAGGTATGTCTTCATAGCAGTGCAAGAATGAAACATTGCAGGTAACGTTTCAAATTATCACACTCCTGGTTGCAGATGAGGAAACTGAGGTGCAAAGTGGCTTGTGAACATTTTTAACTAAATATATATATATAATATATATGTATATATGTATTATATATATGTATATATGTGTATATATGTATTATATATGTATATATGTGTATATATGTATTATATATAATATATGTATATATATGTGTATATATGTATTATATATAATATATGTATATATATGTGTATATATGTATTATATATAATATATGTATATATGTGTATATGTATTATATATAATATATGTATATATATACACACAACAAATATATGCACACACATGTGTACACACACACATACACATACACCTTGCCCCCTGAAATGACTCATCAAATGCTACCTGTGTAGCTTTCTTCACTTTGATGATTAAGCCAAATGCAAAAGATCATTCATAAGCAGCATTGTTTTCACAAACACAGCAGGCTGAACTTGTTATCAAATATGAAATACAGCAAAAAATCAAATCTCTGTGCAAAAATACATTAAAAATTATCTGAACACATGCAAAGCCAGTGACAGTACTAACCTCCAAGGAGGAGGTGAAGAAAGAAGAATTAGAGTGGTGGGCAAAGGCAATGTTAGTCTCATTTATAATATTTTGATTTTGTACAAGGAGAATACCTTCATATACTAGCTGTGTAAATAAAAATTAGTTTTAAAATAGTATTTGAATAGGTGTAAGTTACTGTTACCATATTTGTACACCCTTTTTTTCTTTCTGAGGTTTGTATTTTTAAAATGCTTAAACAACACAATATTATCATTTCTTCAATTCTAGTTGTATTATCTCAAGACCTAATATGATAAATTTTTTTTGAGAAGTTACTCTGTTGCCCAGGCTGGAGTGCAGTGGTGCGATCTCAGCTCACTGCAATCTCTACCTCCCAGGGTCAAGTGATTCTCCTACCTCAGTCTCTTGAGTAGCTGGGATTACCAGTGCCCGCCACCATGCCAAGCTAACTTTTATAGTTTTAGTAGAGACAGGGTTTCACCATGTTGGCCGGGCTGGTCTCAAACTCCTGACCACAAGTGATCCACCCGCCTCAGCCTCCCAAAGTGCTGGGATTACAGGCATGAGCCACTGTACTCAGCATTATTATTTTTTTGATTACACATAGTAAGAATCAATTCTTTTCCCCTCAATTTTTACCATAATCTTACAAGTATTTTTTCCATCTAATTTATATATTACTATATCACAAACCTTACCAAAGACAGATTTTCTTTCTATTGCAGCTATTACCAAACCAGGCACATGTAATGGAACATTTACTATCAATTAAAATGATTTCTGGATTTTTACAAACTACCAGGAAACTAAAATCTTTACAGGAAAGACAGCAGCAGAATTCCAGACATACAAATATTTCATTAACATATGCTAGAAATAGACAAATCTAGGATATTAAATCAGTGCTTCATCTAATTTAAACAAATCTGTAATAATTTGATGGCAATCAATCTCATCTATTGCAACCAGCTTCTGATGCTGTCGTGTTTAGCAAATTTGGGGCTAGTATCCACTTTTACAGTTGGACTATTTTGATATTTTGGACATATTGTAAATAACTTTTCAATGTGAAAAAGAACAGAAAATGCGACTAACATAATTCACTAGTTTTATATCTTCATATAGTATATTCTATTGCCATTATTCCTTGATATCACAGTCTAATTTAATGTGCATAGGCATGAAATAGAAGTAGAGTGTTAGATCTAGAAAAAATCTTGGAAATCTTCTAATTCAGCTTCTGCAGATGAGAAGTTGACAAGCAAAAGATACAGATACTGACTTTAAGTCATTCAGCAAAGTAGTAATGAGTTTAACTGGGACAAATGTACTGACCAACATAAGCAGTGTAAAAGTATTTTCTTTTCTTTTCTTTCTTTTATTTTTATTTTTATTTTTTTTTGAGACAGAGTCTGACTCTATGGCCCAGGCTGGAGTGCAGTGGCACCATCTCGGCTCACTGCAAGCTCCGCCTCCCAGGTTCATGCCATTCTCCTGCCTCAGCCTCCAGAGTAGCTAAGACTACAGGTGCCCGCCACCACGCCTGGCTAATTTTTTGTATTTTTAATAGAGACGGGGTTTCACCATGTTCCGCCCGCCTCGGCCTCCCAAAGTGCTGGGATTACAGGCATGAGCCATCGCGCCAGGCCAAAAGTGTTTTCTTACACAGTAAAATTAGAAAAGTAAATGGGTGTGAGAAGGATAGCCATCACAACAGTTTGTTAAATATTTCAGAATATCCCCTAAGAAAAAATTTGCCTCTAATATAGAATTGTTTTGTATTTTATTTTTTGGTTTAAAAAACCTTGCTTTCTCTTAGTTAATATCTGGCATCACTCAATGCTTCCTAATTACAATTAAATTCCTAACTCTATCCTTACAGATAGAGCAGTATCAGAACAAGTGGACTCTTGCCAATTCCCCCATCACTCATTTTTGTAAACTTTCTATATTTGCCCTCATCCTGTGACTAACTCAAACCTATAAAATTCTACTGTGTAATTCCCCTTTATCTTGTACTGAAAAGTCCTCTTCCCCCTGCAACCTGAGATACGATTGGAAAATTCAAGCCGTTAGTAAATAGCATGCATTCCTACGTTGGAAAGCAGACCACCTGTGTACACAAAACACCTGGGTATAAAGACTGAAGTCTCCTATTATTGATTCAAAACATGAATATCAATGGCAGAATTCTGGAATATTATCAGATAATATTCTCAAAGGTGCTAATAAACTAAAAACTTCACACAGTGCCCTGTAGATGTTGCTTCAATTTCTCTTCAGGTTTTCTTCTTTTCATTCCTTTATATGCAAAGTTGCTGGATTTAGCAAATAAAAGAGCAAGATGCCCATAACATTTGAATTTCAGATAAATAAAGAATTTTTTAGTATAAGTATGTCCCATGTAATATGTGGGACACAGTTATACTAGAAAATTCTTTGTCATTTATCTGAATTTTAGTCATAACTGGGCATTCTGTGTTTTGTGCTTTTTGTTTGTTTGTTTGTTTTTTGTTTTACTGAGATGGAGTTTTGCTCTTGTTGCCTAGGCTGGAGTGCAATGGCATGATCTTGGCTCACAGCAACCTCCGCCTCCTGGGTTCATGCAATTCTCCTGCCTTAGCCTCCTGAGTAGCTGGGATTATAGGCATGTGCCACCACACCTGGCTAATTATTATTATTATTATTATTATTATTATTTTTAGTAAAGGCAGGGCTTCTCCATATTGGTCAGGCTGGTCTCGAACTCCCGACCTCAGGTGATCTGATCTGCCAGCCTTGGCCTCCCAAAGTGCTGGGATTACAGGTGTGAGCCACCGAGCCCGGCGTTTTTTTTTCCTTTTTGAGGCAGAGTCTTGCTCTGTTGCCCAAACTGGAGTGAAGAGGCATGATCTCGGCTCACTGCAGCCTCCGCCTCTCAGGTTCATGCTTCAGCCTCCCTAGTAGCTAGGACTACAGGTGTGCACCACCATGCCCACCTAAATTTTTGTATTTTTAGTAGAAACAGGTTTTCACCATGTTGCCCAGGCTGGTCTCGAACTTCTGAGCTCAGGCAGTCTGCCCTCCTTGGCCTCTCAGTGTGCTAGGATTACAGGCGTAAGCCACCACACCCGGCCGGGCACTCTGTATTTTACCTGGCAACTCTAGTTATATGCAAATACCTTGGACTATCTCTAAAGATAATCTGGTCTTTGTATGAGTTAACAGATGATTTTTATATATTTGGAGGGGAGAGATATTCAGTTAGTAACCATTCTATAAACTTTACCTCAAGACCTGACATGGAAATTTACCAGACTTGGTTTACCGGGTGGTCCACTGCTAGGAAAACATTTTCTAAAATGGCCAGAAAGCAAATATTTTAGGTGTTTTAGGTCGTGTAGTCTCTGTCACAACTATTCAACTCTTCCTTTGTCATGTGAAAGCAGCCACAGATAGTGTATACATAGGTGGGTGTGGCTATGTTGCAATGAAAGCTTATTTACAGAAACAGCTGTCAGGTTGGATTTGGCACACAGTTTTCCAACCCGTGGCACAATTGAACTGGCACATAGATGACATTCCAGTGTCATTACATGTAACTTATTGGAAAATCAGTCCGACATATTGGATATAACTGGACTCTTCAAAATTATAAAAATAGCAAGGTCATGAAGAGAAATGGAATAAAGCTTTTGCACAAATACTCTGCTGTATCCCTCTGCCACAGTAAGTAGATGAGAATGAACATAGGCTCATTTGGGTTTAAAACATTAATTGGAACTAATTAAATTTTGCACATTGTACTATTTCATAGTTGGTAATACAAAGAGACACTGTTATTCAGCCAAATTATAACTTTTTTGAAAAATTAATGAAAATATTTAAAATTTAAAATGGTGTTGGGGGCTGGCAACTCAGAGATGGAAAATTTAAACGAGATGAATAACACTGAAGAAGGCAAGTAAAAAGGCATCTCGTTACACAAGGGCAGCTGAAAGGCAGACAAATAACAGGATACGGCTGGTAGGATAAATAGAAGGAGACAAGTCTTGAGTAGTTTCCATGACTCATTGCTGAGCCACAGTAACCAGAGAGGCACAGAGACTGATTCAAAATGCATACAGGAAAAGTGAATATGGCATGCAGAAAGAGGAATAAAAAGAGCCAAGAACCAAGAAAGGATGAAATGGAATGATGTCTTAGAGAGATAACTTCCCTGGAGAGACTTCTGGAAAATAGAGACACAGAAATTGGTTTTGTTTATGATCTCTTGCCAGCAGCTTCTTGTTTACAATACAAGGGTTAAGTCAAAGATGACAGGTGTACCTGACAATGACAGGAAAGCATTTTTACAGCAAGAGTGTTTTGCTGTCCTAAGGGTTTAGTCTAATAGAAAGAACTCAGGCATATATTTAAAATCAATCATGTGTCTGACAGCCAACGATGCATTTCAGATAATCCATTGGGACAAATGTTTCACTTGCTAAATTTGAGACACACATAAGAGATGCAAAAGCAAATTGAGCGGAAAAAAAAGTCACTTTATTTAATAAGTTTCTTTTTCCCTTTCCATTCATCATCAAAGCCAGAATAAACCTGACACAACGGAAATGACTAAAATGAAGTAAAAAGGTAGTTGTCATTGAATAGTTATCCCCATGGCAATAGGAATAGACTGTGAACACCAAAGAATGAAAGGAATGAATGAATAATGAATGAATAAACACAATATGTATTTTGAGAACTCGGAATCAATCTGATGGTTTTGGGATGTGCCAGAAAAGATACACAAGAGTCATGATATCAGAAATGACCAACATTCTGGCTTTGCTAGAATTTGCTAATTTGTGAGATAAAATTCTTCCCATGTTAGAAGGCAAATTTAGAGGAAATAGCCCAAGATAGCTTTAGCTTTAGCTGCTGCTTTGTTATTATCATGAAAATAGTAGCTGAACTACTCTTAAGATGAGAATTTATACACTGTGATCAAAATAACTTTAAAAAATATCTCCAGCTCCTGTGTGATTCTTTTTGCATATGTCACACTAAAATGTATAAGAAAGTCTTTATTCTGATGAAGTCACTAGATATCATCAAAGGAAAAATTTATCTTGCTGGAGGCATAATAAAAACCTTTATTGAGCACTTCCTAAGTGTCAGGCATGGTGGTGAGTGCTTTGATAGTAGTTTCACAACAACCCTGGGAAGAAGATATTATTAATATCTCTATTTTTATATGGAAAAAACTGAAGCCCAGAAAGGTTAAGTAACTTGCTAAGGAACGCAGCTGAGAATTGGCAGTGCAGGGATTCTACTGCAGGCTGCCTCACCCCAAAGTCTAGGTCTGGATCACAACTCTACATTGTAAGGTTTTCTGCATGCCTGGACTGAAATATTTGGTAATTCACTACCCATGACAACAGTGCCCCCCCTAGACCTCTTTAATTGGCTTTGGTCGTGCAAGAGTCCTTTAAGAGAACTTTCCCGTTCTGGGTTATAAACACTGCCTACCTCTTAACTCATGATGCTGGTTCGTGGCCAGAAAGGTGATTTTAGTGGGTCATCTACCACTACACTGATTTCTAGAGTTGATTCTGTTGTTTTACTGGCTAGGCAGGTGTGTCCTTTCTCCCTCTCTTCAGTCGGCAAGCAGCCCTCCAGAGGCCCATTCTTTGGTCATGGATATTCATAGAAGGCATTCAAGTTTCCTGATTGAATTAATCATAGTGTGATTGACCACTCAGGGCGGTTCTCTCCAATGTATGGTCCTGAAAACTGCAAAGTAGCAACACCTGAGAGCTTGCTAGAAAGGCAGCTTCTCAGGCCCCACCCCAGACATACAATATCAGTGTCTTTGGAGTGGGGGGCCTAGAAATCTGCATTTTATCAAAATCCCAAAGCAAGTTGCAAATATATTAAAGTTTGAGAGGCATCAACTTAGGGGACTCCCTATGACTATCACTTTTCCTCATATTTAGAAGATTCATAGCTCTGTATATGGGGAGTCTTTCGGACCCATAATCAGTTCCCTGCGGAGCCCAGGGCAGCTACTCCCAATCTCAGCTGACTAGAGATTCCCTGGCTAGAGATAGTAGATGTTGAATGTAGCCACATGTGAAAATTCTTCCTAAGTTGTTTTCATAGAATTGCAAATTGTATGTTTTTATGGAGCCCTAGTTCTCCTCAAATTCCCAAAGAAATCAATGACACCAAAAGCTTCCCCCTGGGATGCTCCTCGTTACTCCTTGTCTTTGGTATACTTCACTGCATAAAAGAGCTCAAAGCTGAGACAAAAAAAAAAAAGTCTACATAGAATTCTGTTCAATTTAAGATGATGGAAATCATGGCAGCTGAAAGTGAAAGTTAAGTAATAAATTTGTGATAGAGAAACACCACTCCTGCACTTTATTCCTGACTGACTCGGCAATCACCTTTTCCTGAATGTTTATTTAATATTTAAGAGTTTAATTTTGATGAACTGCTTAGTGCCAGAGTCCTATCCTGCCAAGCAAGAGTTTTATAGTCTACTTGAAGGGCTGCCATGAGTGCATAAATTATACAAAATTAATAAAAACAAAATAAGAAGTTGCAAACAAAATCACCAATTATTTACATTTACAAGCGGGACAAAACTCTATATAAATAGAACCTGGCAATCTTATTCATGAGCAAGCCACAACAAACAATCTATGATTTTTTTTCAAAAAAGCAAACTAAACTTGAGTTTCAATCATCCAGAAACAGAGGGCCTCAGTGCAGATTGCAAGCAAATCAAATGGCTGAAATTTCTTTTGTGAAAGTGGTTAGTATAGATTTCCTTTAAATTTAAAATTAATTTTCTTCCCATTTCTTAATCTTGTAATAAAGATTTACCCCCACCTGTTTCCACATCTCACTTCCTCCTTGTCTATCTCTGTATCTGTCACCCTATCCTTGAAGTTTTTGCAACTCTCTCCTTGTGATCACACAACTTATTTTAGATCTGGCCAGAGTTTCTTCATAAGCCTTCAATCTGGACTCCTAACACCCAGAATTTAAATTCATTTTGCATCCTGGACAAAGTAGGAATGAGAGACTTGTAAAGACAGACATAACATGAAGGCAGATGCCAAACAATAGTGGCTTAAGGAAAGACAGATGTCAAGAAAGTAGGAGAGAAACGAATCAATAAATACATGAGCAGAAAGCTAGACAATCAGGGAGAATAAAGATCTTATAGAAAGGGAGACAGGACTTTGCAAGATCTAAACAAAAGGACCTCAACTAATCATGGTCTGGGTATCTGAAATTTAGCACTTACACTTTAGTTAACTTAATCACTTATAAATAAATAGTGTAATTATTCTTCAACTCTGAGTGTACATGTCTATACCATCAGGTAGAATGGTCAAAATCATGGTTATATCAAAATTTAAGTTAAATATGCTTTAATTTTTTAATATGCTATTAATATCAGCTTAATTATTACATAGACTGCATGTAACTTTTCATAAAGGAAAAGTAAAGAAGTACTTTGGCAAGTGGGTAGTATAGGAAAAATGGTCCTTAATATAGTTTTCAAAAGCATCTCTGAATCCAATGGTTGATCCAAACAGAAGCAGATTGTCAAATGTGCCGCCAGTTGGTCTTCTAAGAGGAACCAAGCACATAAATCTCCATTTTGGCTCTCATGGGGTTCTACTATCATTTGAGCACTAGGTAAGCATTTCTGATGCCTACCTTGTATTTGAAAAATGAATTATACCAACAAACACGCTAAATATATTGCTTAGGGATACTCACATATGTTACAATAGTCTTTATTAAAGGAAGGAAAAGCTGAACACAAAATTTAGTATAGAAGTTACCTCCCAGAAGGAAGGCAGTGGATTGCAATAAGGAAAAGCACAATGGTATTGATGATATTCTAGTTTTTAAATTCAGTCATGGATGTGCATTTTATTACTAGCCATCATAACTTATATCTTGCATAGTTTTATATGCAGAAAATATTACATAATAAAAATTTCAAACAAATCATACATAAATTTTATTATTCTACCAAATCCATAGAATGACAATTCAGAAAAAAATTTAAGTTGTGAAAAATTCACATTTGAACACAATTATATAGGAAATTAGATAAGATTTATGCCTTAAATATTTTTCTAATTGATTTGAAAGCAGAGAAGGCAACAACACTGCCAAAGAAGTCAAGCAAAGGACACCTGGCCCTTCTGTTTCTTGGCTGTTCATGAATGTAAGAATGAAAATTTTGTCTTTTCTCAAAAATAATTAATAACCAATTTTCCCAGAGGAATTATAAGTTTAAGAAGTAGGCTTGGATACATTTCAAAATGGAATGTTTTTCGTACATACTAGGATACTATGTATTTTAGTTAGGTTTATAAAAACAATCAGAAATAATAAAGATTTCTTGAATTGATGCTTTATCCACACATTTGAAATTATCTTAGGATATGGATATATAAAATAAATGAAGATTTAGCCACAATGAGGTAAATTTATAACTTCTTAAATGACCATGTCCTGAAGATGCTGATTTATTGGTGCGTGGGTGGGATTCAGGGCTCTTGTCAGATTCAGGTGATGAAGTTAAAGTAATCTTTATCAATGTAGCAGATTAGAGAAAAATGGAAAAATTAGTTAATACAATGTAGAATATAAGCATTATCCCAAATGGTGTTGACAAGCTGCAATGGTAGACCAAGCCAAAGAAAATATATTTAATAGGAGTAAACTGTAGTAAAAATGTATATGTGAAAACAAATAAATACCAGTTACCAAAAGGGAATTTGGTCTCTGCATTAATAGAAATAGAGTGTTTAGAAGGAGTGAAGTGATTATTCTCGACTTTGAACTGGTCTGCTTGTACTAGGGAAATTTTGTATTCACTTTTGAGTGCCATATCTTATAGAAGATGTTGAAGAAAACAACCCGGGATAAGAAGTTTCCTCGAATCAACATACTATATGAAATAGTGGGAATCTAAGCCAAGGAAGAGAAGACATGGCAGGGAGGGGAAGATGACATCTCAATAGTGTGTACAAACACTTTATGATCCCTCATGTGAGTGAGGAAATGATTCAATTTGCACATTGTTGTTTGTGATGGTGAGGATATGGCCAAAGAAAGGAAGAATTACCTAATAGTTATTCTTCCTTGGAGATAATTAAACTAAGGCAAAATGCTATAAAGGAGACTCAAATATTTAACATAGACTTACATTAGATTAATTTTAGGATTAATTCCAAATCTAAAGATGTGTGTGTATGTGTGTGTGTGTGTGTTTCAATTTATTTACTGTTTCCAATTAATACGTTTTTTAAGATTTAAAAAAATTATTATTTCAATAAACTTTTGACTTAAACCAGAACACAGGCAGAGCAAAAACAAGAATCAAGACAGTCTAGAGATACTGAAGTTGAGAAAAATATTAAAACAAAGAAAAATCAAATATGGTGACCAAGACAGCCTTAATGTTCTCCCCAGCTTAACTAACCTTTAGACAGGCTTCTTCCTGATTCTAGGCCCTGACTTCCCTTTTCTTAGAGCATTTACTTTAGAAAACTTTCAATTGTACATTCTTTCTCTGCTTCTTTGAGATGTATATTTTCTCCCAGCCTCTTGCCAGTTTAACAACCCACTAATGTCTTTCTCAAGGACCTGGGAGCTATTCCTCTGAAAGGTAATTACCAAGAAAAATAGTGCTGCTGTCTCCCAGTCTTAGAGGTGGGGAAGGAGACTAACTTTTTTGGGCACCAATTAGCAAACACAGATGGCATAATCACAGAGAAGAACATTTGCAAATTCAGAAATAAATAACTCAATGTGCTCAACACATCCCATTGATCGTCCTCCTCTAAACGTCCTCCGGCATTTTTCCACTAGCTCACTCCAGTATTTAAAAACTCTCCAGCTTTTAGTTTTAGTAGAATTTACTTCAAATTGGGGTCTCTCTTCCAATATTGCAATTGTCCTGAATAAAATCTTCCTTGCCTGTTTAACTTTCTGCAGTGCAATTTTTGCTTTGACGATGGTAGCCAGGGTAATGTCCAAGGGTAGAATGCCAGGCAAGAAACCAAAGTCTATGCACGTACTACCATCCAGCAGACATTTTTTAGTGTCTATTGGCAGTCTGCCATAGCAAGAAATATAGCATGTATAGTCTAGTAGCATAATAAGGCATTGCCACAAATGACTTTAATTCAGTTGAAAATGAGCAGTAGCTTGAGAGATCTTATTAAGTTCTATGAAAGAATAATAAAATTCTATGGTTGATTTTAGAAACCAAAGGCCCAAGAAGCGTATGTAAAACTGCAGCAAACAAGAATGAAGCAGGAAACTTTTGATATAGCTAATACAGGGGCAAGAGTCAATTACCAGGCATAAGTAGTAGCAGAGTTGTTGAGCAGATGACATAAAGTACAAGAGGTGGAAAGAATGGCAGAACTTAACTCTCCGCACCTCTTTATTACTATGTGGTCACCATAGAGATCTGTGTGTGTATATATATATATATACACACACACATATATATATACACACACACACATATATACACATATATATATGGTCTATGTGGTCACCATAGAGATAATATATATCATACACACACACAAACACACACACACACACACACACACACACACACACACACAGAGATATGTTCCAAAGAGCTGGAGAACTAGGGTGATCAGTTGTCTGATTTAATAGTATAAACAGTAACAACAACAACCAATAATAGACAGGGCCATGCCAAGTGTTTCACATACTTTACATCATTTAATTCTTCCTGAAATCAAGTGGAGAAGATACTGTTATTATCCTTACTTGGTAAAGAAATTGAGCCTCAGAGAAGTCACACAGTCAGCAGAAGCTGAGTTGACATTTAATCTAAAGCTGATTACAAAACCCATAGTCTTATATAATTAATCCAGTGGTCCTCAAATCTAGCTAAATATTAAAATCACCTGGAGTTCTACTGAAAACATCAATATCTGAGTCCTTTTCCTGGAGATTAAGATTTAATTGGTTTGGTGGGTTTGGGGAGAGAGGGGAAGCAGGCATTTGTATAAAAATGTAAAAAATAAAATTAACCTTTCTCAGGGTGACTGTAATATGCAGCTAATGTTGTAAACTATTGCGCTAGGCTATTCTGTTTCTCCTCCTACCATTTGTGTGGCAGAAATAATAGCATAAATCAATACCAGCAGAGACCAAACTGGCTTTTCACTGCTTCCTCACCTCTAATTCACCTTAGAAAATAACAGTCTGGCTTCCACACTCACCATCTGAGGCAGGAATTATACAGGGTGGTCGCAGAATAGAAAATTCCAGGCAGCAATTGCACATGACTAAGTGAAAGCAAACTGTTGAAACAGCTACAGAAGCTAAGGACTGATAAGACCCTGAAAAACAGGGTGTGGACTGAGCTGGCTAAGACTGACTGGACCCAACACGGCTTTGGATTTGAGCTAGGTTCCTCCTAAGACCTCATTATCTACTCATTGACAAAACTAAATCACACACCCGCCAGTGCCACGACAGTTCCAAGAATAGCCACATGGGGTAAAATTGAGTGTCACCACAGTTCTGAGAAATCTCCATTTTTTTCCAGGAATTTCATGAAGAGTCCACCCCCTGGTTATAGAAATCCATAAATCTAGAAACCCCAAACTCTATTGCATGACTCTTTCTTGAGTACACCCATATTACCGTCTCCCGAGTATGTACTTTAGCTTTGCAATAAATCTCCATACTTCCACTATTTTCTGACTCATCCTTGAATTCTTTCTTGCAATGATGTCAAGAGACTGGACATTGGCTGTAATCGAGGTCCCACTGGCATTTGAGGACATCCCACAGCGTACCAGTATCACATCCACTTAGACTACAACATGCTGCTAAGACTGCCAATTAGCTCCATCCTGACAAATCCACAGTCCTTTTAATATTATATCTTCCTGCATTATTTGACACTAATTAGAGAATCATTCTTGAAACTATAACTCATTTTGTAAAATAACTTACCTATGGAACCATCCTGTGCTTCTCACTGGATTTTCTTCCTTGGCCCATCTCAGTAATTTAAGTATTTCTCAGGTTTTCCCCAGGATTCCATATTCACCTGCTACCTTTCTCATTCAACACAATCGCATTCCTGCAGAGTTATCTCACCCACTGCACATTATCAACTACCTGCTAAGAAGAACAAACTCCACATTCCTATCCCCAGCCAAGTCTCTGTCTTGGGCCTCAGTTCTACATATCCAGATGCCTATCCCAAATATTTCCACTTGATTCATTGTGGACCAAGGGTGCCTGGACCTTGGGAGTTAAAACCCAGGAGCCATGGGTCTTCTATTTTATGCAGGACCTGTTCTTTTATGCATTGTGTAGGGGGCATGGTGATCACTTACTCTTCAGTTCCTGAGAGTGAAATAAACCCACCATGTCTTCCAGGCACACCTCTAAAGCCTCAAGGCGTTTGTCCTGTTGATGTCAAAGCAAAAGTTTACTAAGAGTATTATTTTAATAGAATGTTAAAGAAACAGAAATTAGGAGAAGTGTATCCTGCCAGGTCCTTTGCCTGTTTCCAGGTTCTTCTATACACAATTATTCTATTGGGACCAAAAGCAAAGGAAAAATTGCTTGCAATCATGGTTGGTTTGCTGTTTCCTTATTCTGTCTCTTTGTGCTGCTAACTATAGCTAGAATACAATATTCAGGATTTTTTTCCACTTCAAATATTTAAGAAATATAATTTTTTCCCAATTACTTAGTTATATATAGCTGATATATTTTTCCACTTTTTTTCTCATTTCTGAGATCACATTTTTAAAAATATGCTGACTTCAATAGAGACAAATTGTCAGTTATATGTTCCAATTTTAAGATAAATTAATGTTCATTAATTTTACTACATAAGGTGAAAATACACTGAAAGAAATCACTATATTATTAGTTATTTAAAATTTTATAGCATTCTTAATAGTTACAATATTTGTGATGATAGTGATAATAACAGGTAAGCTATTTTCTTTAGTGACACTTTTTTGATAATTTATATTGTCTATTACTAAAATGTTCATCTTAAAATTTTTTCTCTAATATATCAGAACACAAAAATATTATAGCACCCCTTTGGTTACTTTTACTAGAGTTATGAATGAGTAATAATTTAAAGTTATATAAATTAAGTATCTGGCTCAATAATTAAAGTCCAAATTTATCAGTTACAAACCCAGGAGGTGCATGCTCAATATTAAGTAATAATTATATGGATTACATGGATAATTATATAGATGAGTGCACCATTTCATTTATAATAAAGTACAAGTGCTTTGCAATTTATATTAAGACAAAAATCCAATTAGGAGATTTGCAAATATAGTCATTCTATTACTGAATATGTTAACTTTATTATATGAAAATCATTTCCTCAGTGCTAAATTATTAAATCAATTTCGGTTACAATTTCCTTTTGCTTACAAATTTATATGTATACTGTGCATACTTGACCTAATAATAGTCAACAGATTATTCCTTTTTGCTTTATGAGTTTAACATAAAATATCATTTTTACTGTGCTCTGTGTAAGACTTGCTGAAACTTTCTATGAACACAGAGATTCTCTAAGATACTTTAATTTTTCATTTCCCATTTCAAACAAAGCTCTAAACTGGGAACTTTAAATAAGATGGTTTATAGTCTAATTTGTGATAGAAAAATTTGAGTCAGATGAAATCTATTTATTGCCTTTTTCAATATTAATCATTTTATAGATAATTAATAGGGAAAACACTTTAGTTTCATGGGTAATTTACTGCTAAGAATATTCAATAAGTTATTCAATTAAGTATGTAATAGGTACGTTTATACAAAATCAAGAAATGAATTTTACCTGTTCTTTCAAAATGGAAGCAAACTCTAAAATTAAAAAGTCTTGTGATCAATGTGACTGACTGATGCGCTCCAGTTTATTCCTGAGTAATAGTTTTAGGAAGAAACCAGAACTACCTGTACACTATCCCTGGTCAGTCCTAGCAGTCAGGTATTTGGCCAGTGCCCACGTGGCCTTCTATGACCCACAGACAATTTCATTGACTACCAAGGAGTCTGCCAGACAGTTTTTTCCCTATAGCTTGTGGGCCACAGAAATGCCAGTGCAGACAGAAATACCCTGAACTGCCATCACAACTTCTCTTTTTGGTTATCTAGCAGGAATAATCACATGAAATTAAGTCTCCAGTCTCCACCCTTTGTCTCATATTTTCCCATCAATGCTATCCGCATTTACCAACAGTGGAGAATTTCTAGTTTGTTATAGAGTTCAAACATTAAAAACAATAAAATAATTAAATCAGTGGAATTTTAAGGGTAAAACCAATAGTATTGGTTTCCATGTGTATAGGTTAGGATTTTGCAGTCACACGCCAAGGAAATGGATTATCAGAAGATTATCCTATGGCTCTAATTAGAAGATATGAGGAGTGATATGCCTCCAGTTTGTGAGACCGAACACTGAGATTGATAAATTCATAGTGTTCTCTGAGGAAATAGAGGTTATTTGGAGACCTCCATCAATTTAAAAAATGGCAACAATGTGAGTGCTCTGAACTCAGTCTCTGCAGATATTCATCCTTCAGGCTAAATCCCCATTCTAGGGACATCCTCCTGGAAGTTAGGGACCAGATCCGTCTAGGTTTCTTAATGTTTCTTACAGCACATTTCTTGTACAATGGATATAGTGTGATGTAGTGACTAAGAACACAAATAAACTTTGGAGTCAGAAAACACTGATTTGATTCTCTGTTATACCACCTATTAGTTATGTGATACCAGGAAGTTTACTTAACTTTTATTAACATTAGGTTTTTCCTGGTTATAAAATGGAAACTATAATGCCTAATTGTAAGAGTTGTTGACAGAATCAGTTGAGAAATCCTGTGCAAATAAATTTGCATTATGCCTTGTATATAGTAAATATTGAAATAGTAGCTAGATTACAAGCATCTTTATATTCTTTGATTATTTCTAAACTCTTTAGAAGGTAATGGAGTAGAAAGAGAAGAGAATGAGCCCTTCTACCTTAGTGTCTTAAGTTATAGCTTCCTTTCCTCCAATGATGTGTATCTTTCTTGATTTCCTAACAACCATACTAGAGGGTCCCTCTCACTCAAAGTACATGATTTTGTAAGTTCAAAGTTTTTTTGTGTGAGATTGTCCCTTTAATTTCCCCACACCTTTCTCTGATATCTTTTCTGTGGAATATATGGAATGGTTGAGGACAAACTTTAATCACATCTCATCTGTAAAGTTTTCTAACCCTTTCAGAAGAATTACTAGCTTCCTCTCTGGCGTTTCCACAAATAGCATAGTATTTACTTTATTATCTTTGGTTAGTTCCATATGCATCTCTTTCCCTTGATAGCATGTAAGCTTCTTGGGGGTAGAAACCATAGCTTGCTCATCCTTATCAAACTGAAAAATGTAAAAACCAGCTTTAAAATACAATGCTTTTGGAAAACAAATACTGAGAAACTTACTGGTCAGCAAGGTCAGTTGCCGTTTGGAGAGCCACTAGGGATGGAAAAGTATGGTCAGATATTCTGTTCGATTTTTAATAGAAATGCCACAGTGAAAGTGACAGGCATTTAAGAGCCCTCCTGGAGCATCACATTTTGAATGCTGTTTTAGAACCCATATTTGCTCTTGATATCTTGTTGTTCAAGGACCATGCACAGCAGATTATAAAATATCAGTAAATTGTCTTTTAATTCATTGAATTCTTGAATTCAACAATCATTGCATTTTTCTTTTTTTTCTCTAGAAAATCAGTAGAAGATTTTTTTTTTTTTTTTTTTTTTTTGAGACGGAGTCTCGCTCTGTCGCCCAGCGGTGCCATCTCGGCTCACTGCAAGCTCCGCCTCCTGAGTTCACGCCATTCTCCTGCCTCAGCCTCCTGAGTAGCTGGGACTACAGGCGCCCACCACCACGCCCGGCTAATTTTTTTTTTTTTTGTATGTTTAGTAGAGACAGGATTTCACCATGTTAGCCTGGATGGTCTCGATCTCCTGACCTCGTGATCTGCCCACCTTGGCCTCCCAAAGTGCTGGGATTACAGGCGTGAGCCACCGCGCCCGGCCTTTTTTTTTTTTTTTTTTGATAGAGTTTTTTGCTTTTGTCTCCCAGGCTGGATGCAATGGCGCTATCTCGGCTCACTGCAACCTCCGCCTCCCAGGTTCAAGCGATTCTCCTGCCTCAGCCCCCCAAGTAGCTAGAATTACAGGCGTGTTCCACCACACCCAGCTAATTTTGGTATTTTTAGTAAATATGGGATTTCACCATGTTGGTCATGCTGGTGTTCAACTCCTGACCTCCAGTGGTCTGCCAGCCTCGGCCTCCCAAACTGCTGGGATACAGGTGTGAGCCACCATGCCCAGACAAAAGATATCTTTAGTCTTTAAAAAATCATTAACTACTCAACACTACGACAATAATGGTATTATGGTTTTTGTTCCACTTCTAATATTCTCAAGACACAAAAATAAGTTAATTCAAAATTCAGCTTATGGTTCTAAAATAAATGAAAGGTGAAAGCTGAGTAATTCATGATAATTAAAGTCATGTGAGGCCAATGCCATTAGTGGCAGCAATTTGACTATTCTCACTTGGCAGGTATGGAAAAATATTACAATCCTTAATTATCTTTTGTAAAACTTATTTTGTAAAAATTGTTGGGGATTTTGCCACTTACTCTAATAAAACTGTTTACATACATAAGGATTTTTGGAGGAATGCTAAGAAAAGAAAGTCAAAGCAAATAAAATAACCATTTCAAAAAAGATATATCTTAGCTCTTCTGATTTAGAGAGAAAAGGTCACTCAATTACCAAACAGAGTTTCATGTAAATTCAGAAACAATGCAATCAGACTACTAGAACAGGTTAATACTTAAACAAGTAGAAGAAGTTAGGGAAGCAACTTGCTTCTCCACCTTTTCTAAATACTAAAATTTAAATGAACCTACAAAACACATTCCAAATTAAAATAAAAACTGGTTTTGAATTTCTAAAAGTAAATTCTAACAACCAGTACATGAAAGGTGGAACAAAATGTATCATCCATCATTCTGAAGACTAATGACTTTTAAGTAGATGGTGATTTCTGATAAATTCTAATGGAAACAAAATTCCTGAAGTTAAATTACCATAAATTTTACTCTACTTTAAAAGACCTAATTAAGTCTCATGTTAAAAACAGATAAAAAATTAGTTTATTTTCATTTTAATTCTGTTCCTTAGGGGGAGCTGCTCAAATAGGGAGCTTGAAAGGTAACATCATTTGCTTTTCAAAGAATTCCAAAATATTCTATTTGTTGAGATATCTGGAGGAGAAACTGATACTATTTCAGATAAAATATCCTTACCTGAAATTCCAGGAATTATTTTTTTTCAAAATTATTATTATACATTCTTATTAGGGGAAATTTAAATAGACTGCATATTAAATCAAAATTTCCTATGGCATCTAAAATTTCACCATGCAGAAATATTCTAAAAAGCTTATAACATAATGCATTCCAACAACATTTTAAAAGTATAACATTATAGAAAGTGTTCTACTTGGCAACTTAAAAAATCTATAAAAGAACAAAGACCAAGGGTAAAAAATAGAAAATAGTACCACATACGATCAAAATTAATCAAACTACATTAATATTTACTTTAAATATCAATTATCTAAATATAAATATACTAATTAAAAGACAGAGATTGCCAGAGCAGGTCAAAACGTAAGGCCCAATTATATGTTGTTTACAAGAAATCCACTTAAATAAAAGTAAAGGGGTGGAGAAAGATATACCATGATAACACTAATCAAAGTAGAAGCAGCTGTATTAATTTCATACGGAGCAGACTTCAGAGCAAGGAAAATTATCAGGGACAAAGATAAGCGTTACATAATGAAAAAGGGGTTAATATTCCAAAAAGACATCTTTAATGTGTATGCACCTAACAGCAGAGAATCTAAATATATGATGTAAAAACTGCAAGGAGAAATATGAATTCGTTATTACAGTTGGAGACTTTAGTAATTCTTTATCAGAAATGAACAGATCCAGCATGCAGAAAATCAGTAATGAAATAGTTGAGCTCAACAGCACCAAAATAGACCATGTTCCAGACTATAAAGTAAATCTCAACAAATTTAAAAATATAGAAATTTATAAGTGGAAGCTAAACAATGGGTACACACAGACATACAGAGGGGAATAATAGACACTGGGGCCTCCAAAATGGGGGATGGTAAGTAGGGAGGGAGAGATGAAACATTACGTATTGGGTACAATGTTCACCATTCAGGCGATGGATACACTAAAAGCCCAGACTTCACCACTATGTAATATATCCATGTAACAAAAGTGCATTTGTATTCCCTGCACCTATAAAAATAAAAAAAATATAAATCATACAACATTTGCTCTCAGACCACAATGGAATTAAACTAAAAATCAATAAAAGAAAGGTACCTGGAAAATCCCAAATACTTGGAGATTGAACAACTTACTTCTAAATAGCAAGTAGGTCAAAGATGAAATCTTAAGAGAAACTTTAAAATAATTGAACCAAACAAAAATAAAAATACAACTTGCAAAACCTTGTGGGATACAGTGAAAATAATGCTTACAGGGAAGTTGATAGCAATGAATGCATGAATTAGGAAAGAAAAAAGATAAAATCAATAATCTAAGCTTTCTTATTAGGAAAATAGGAAAGGAAGAGCAAGTTAAATCCAAAATAAGCAGAAGGAAAAAATAATAATAATAATTAGAACAGAAATTAATGAAATTCAAAACAAGAAGTCAATAGAAAAAGTTAACAAAACAAAAAGCTGTTTTTTTAAAATGATCAATAAGTTTTTTTCCTGTTTTATTTTTTTTTGTTTTGCCAGCATTTTTACCTTGAAAGGACCAATAAAGTTGATAAGCCTCTAGCAAGACTAGGAACAAAAGAAGACACAAATTACTGTCAGAAATGAAAAAAATGGACATCATTATAGATCCCATAGAGGTTAAAAGGATAAAAAGGAATATTATAATTCCTCCATGCCCACAAATTAAATAATCTAGATGAAATGAACCAATTCCTTGAAACATAGATTCTAACAAAACTCACATAAGAAAAAACAGACAACCTGAATAGGGCTCTATCTAGTAAAGAAACTGAATCAATAATTAACAACTCTCCAAAACAGAAAGCACCAGGCCCAAATGGGTTCACTGGTTAATTCTACCAAACATCTAAAAAAGAGATTATACCAATTTTCTACAACCTCTTCTAGAAGAGAAAAGTAGAGGTAATATTTCCTAATTCACTCCATCAGGCCAGCATTACCCTAATACCAAAAAGCAGACAAGGGCATTACAAGGAAAGAAAGCTATAGCTCAATATCTTTCATGAACATAGATGCAAAAATCCTCAAGAAAATATCAAATTGAATCTAACAATGTGTACAATGAATTATACACCCCAACCAAGTGAAATTTATCCCAAGTATTCAAGGTGGATTCAACATTTGACAATAAAATCCATCATATCAATAAACTAAAGAAGAAAAATCACATGATCATAACAATAGATGCCGAAAAAGTATTTGACAAAATCCAACACCCATTTATGATTAAAAAAAAAAGAAAAAACTCTCAGTAAACTAGGACTAGAAGGAACTTCCTTAGCTTGGTAAAGAACGTCTACAAAAACCCTATAGCAAAAATCATACTTAATGGTGAGAAACTCAGAGCTTTCCCACTAAATTCAGAAACAAGGCAAGGATGTCCCCTCTTACCACTGCTCTCAACATTGGACTGGAAGTCCTAGTTAATGCAATAAGAAAAGGAAATTAAAAATATACAGATTAGGAAGGAAGAAATAAAACCGTCTTTGTTCACAGATCATCTGAGTATTGATGTAGAAAATCAGAAAATGTCAATAACATCAAAAAACACCTGGAACTAATAAGCAATTATAGCAATGTTGCAAGACACAAGCTTAATATACAAAAGTCAATTATTTTCCAAAATAAGAGCAATGAACAAATGGTATCTGAAATTAAAAACAGATTACCATTTACATTATCACCCCCAAAAATGAAATCATTATAAATCTAGTCAAAGAACTAATACTACCTGACTTCAAGAGTTACTATAAACCTACAGTAATCAAGATTGTGTGTTATTGGTAAAAGACCTGCAGATTAACAGAACAAAATAGCCCCAAAATACATCCGCACATATATAGTCAACTGATCTTTGACCAGAAGCCAAAGCAATACAAAACAGAAAAGACAAATTATGCTGGAACAACTGGAGATCCACATGCAAAACAACAACAACAAAAAGAACCTAGAAACAGATCTTATACTCTTTACAAAAATTGACGCAAAATGTATCATAGGCCTAAATGTAAAACACAAAACTGCTAGAAAATAACATAAGAGACAGGGAGGAGCCAAGATGGCCGAATAGGAACAGCTCCGGTCTACAGCTCCCAGCATGAGCGACGCAGAAGACGGGTGATTTCTGCATTTCCATCTGAGGTACCGGGTTCATCTCACTAGGGAGTGCCAGACAGTGGGCGCAGGCCAGTGGGTGCGCGCACCGTGTGCGAGCCGAAGCAGGGCGAGGCATTGCCTCACCTGGGAAGCGCAAGGGGTCAGGGAGTTCCCTTTCTGAGTCAAAGAAAGGGGTGACGGACGCACCTGGAAAATCGGGTCACTCCGACCCGAATATTGTGCTTTTCAGACCGGCTTAAAAAACGGCGCACCACGAGACTATATCCCACACCTGGCTTGGAGGGTCCTACGCCCACGGAGTCTCCCTGATTGCTAGCACAGCAGTCTGAGATCAAACTGCAAGGCGGCAGCCAGGCTGGGGGAGGGGCGCCCGCCATTGCCCAGGCTTGATTAGGTAAACAAAGCAGCCAGGAAGCTCAAACTGGGTGGAGCCCACCACAGCTCAAGGAGGCCTGCCTGCCTCTGTAGGCTCCACCTCTGGGGGCAGGGCACAGACAAACAAAAAGACAGCAGTAACCTCTGCAGACTTAAATGTCCCTGTCTGACAGCTTTGAAGAGAGCAGTGGTTCTCCCAGCACACAGCTGTAGATCTGACAACCGGCAGACTGCCTCCTCAAGTGGGTCCCTGACCCCTGACCCCTGAGCAGCCTAACTGGGAGGCACCCCCCAGCAGGGGCACACTGACACCTCACACTGCAGGGTATTCCAACAGACCTGCAGCTGAGGGTCCTGTCTGTTAGAAGGAAAACTAACAAACAGAAAGGACATCCACACCGAAAACCCATCTGTACATCACCATCATCAAATACCAAAAGTAGATAAAACCACAAAGATGGGGAAAAAACAGAACAGAAAAACTGAAAACTCTAAAACGCAGAGCGCCTCTCCTCCTCCAAAGGAACGCAGTTCCTCACCAGCAACGGAACAAAGCTGGATGGAGAATGACTTTGACGAGCTGAGAGAAGAAGGCTTCAGATGATCAAATTACTCTGAGCTACGGGAGGACATCCAAACCAAAGGCAAAGAAGTTGAAAACTGAAAAAAATTTAGAAGAATGTATAACTAGAATAACCAATACAGAGAAGTGCTTAAAGGAGCTGATGGAGCTGAAAACCAAGGCTCGAGAAGTACGTGAAGAATGCAGAAGCCTCAGGAGCCGATGCGATCAACTGGAAGAAAGGGTATCAGCAATGGAAGATGAAATGAATGAAATGAAGCGAGAAGGGAAGTTTAGAGAAAAAAGAATAAAAAGAAATGAGCAAAGCCTCCAAGAAATATGGGACTATGTGAAAAGACCAAATCTACGTCTGATTGGTGTACCTGAAAGTGATGCGGAGAATGGAACCAAGTTGGAAAACACTCTGTAGGATATTATCCAGGAGAACTTCCCCAGTCTAGCAAGGCAGGCCAACGTTCAGATTCAGGAAATACAGAGAACGCCACAAAGATACTCCTTGAGAAGAGCAACTCCAAGACACATAATTGTCAGATTCACCAAAGTTGAAATGAAGGAAAAAATGTTAAGGACAGCCAGAGAGAAAGGTCGGGTTACCCTCAAAGGGAAGCCCATCAGACTAACAGCGGATCTCTCGGCAGAAACCCTACAAGCCAGAAGAGAGTGGGGGCCAATATTCAACATTCTTAAAGAAAAGAATTTCCAACCCAGAATTTCATATCCAGCCAAACTAAGCTTCATAAGTGAAGGAGAAATAAAATACTTTACAGACAAGCAAATGCTGAGAGATTTTGTCACCACCAGGCCTGCCCTAAAAGAGCTCCTGAAGGAAGCGCTAAACATGGAAAGGAACAACCAGCACCAGCCGCTGCAAAATCATGCCAAAATGTAAAGACCATCGAGGCTAGGAAGAAACTGCATCAACTAATGAGCAAAATCACCAGCTAACATCATAATGACAGGATCAAATTCACACATAACAATATTAACTTTAAATGTAAATGGACTAAATTCTCCAATTAAAAGACACAGACTGCCAAGTTGGATAAAGAGTCAAGACCCATCAGTGAGCTTTATTCAGGAAACCCATCTCACGTGCAGAGACACACATAGGCTCAAAATAAAAGGATGGAGGAAGATCTACCAAGCAAATGGAAAACAAAAAAAGGCAGGGGTTGCAATCCTAGTCTCTGATAAAACAGACTTTAAACCAACAAAGATCAAAAGAGACAAAGAAGGCCATTACATAATGGTAAAGGGATCAATTCAACAAGAGGAACTAACTATCCTAAATATATATGCACCCAATACAGGAGCACCCAGATTCATAAAGCAAGTCCTGAGTGACCTACAAAGAGACTTAGACTCCCACACATTAATAATGGGAGACTTTAACACCCCACTGTCAACATTAGACAGATCAACGAGACAGAAAGTCAACAAGGATACCCAGGAATTGAACTCAACTCTGCACCAAGCGGACCTAATAGACATCTACAGAACTCTCCACCCCAAATCAACAGAATATACATTTTTTTCAGCACCACACCACACCTATTCCAAAATTGACCACATAGTTGGAAGTAAAGTTCTCCTCAGCAAATGTAAAAGAACAGAAATTATAACAAACTATCTCTCAGACCACAGTGCAATCAAACTAGAACTCAAGATTAAGAATCTCACTCAAAGCCGCTCAACTACATGGAAACTGAACAACCTGCTCCTGAATGACTACTGGGTACATAACGAAATGAAGGCAGAAATAAAGATGTTCTTTGAAACCAACGAGAACAAAGACACAACATACCAGAATCTCTGGGACGCATTCCACGCAGTGTGTAGAGGGAAATTTATAGCACTAAATGCCCACAAGAGAAAGCAGGAAAGATCCAAAGTTGACACCCTAACATCACAATTGAAAGAACTAGAAAAGCAAGAGCAAACACATTCAAAAGCTAGCAGAAGGCAAGGAATAACTAAAATCAGAGCAGAACTGAAGGAAATAGAGACACAAAAAACCCTTCAAAAACTCAATGAATCCAGGAGCTGGTTTTTTGAAAGTATCAACAAAATTGATAGACCGCTAGCAAGACTAATAAAGAAAAAAAGAGAGAAGAATCAAATAGACACAATAAAAAATGATAAAGGGGATATCACCACCGATCCCACAGAAATACAAAGTACCATCAGAGAATACTACAAACACCTCTACGCAAATAAACTAGAAAATCTAGAAGAAATGGATACATTCCTCGACACATACACTCTCCCAAGACTAAACCAGGAAGAAGTTGAATCTCTGAATAGACCAATAACAGGAGCTGAAATTGTGGCAATAATCAATAGCTTACCAACCAAAAAGAGTCCAGGACCAGATGGATTCACAGCCGAATTCTACCAGAGGTACAAGGAGGAACTGGTACCATTCCTTCTGAAACTATTCCAATCAATAGAAAAAGAGGGAATCCTCCCTAACTCATTTTATGAGGCCAGCATCATTCTGATACCAAAGCCGGGCAGAGACACAACCAAAAAAGAGAATTTTAGACCAATATCCTTGATGAACATTGATGCAAAAATCCTCAATAAAATACTGGCAAACCAAATCCAGCAGCACATCAAAAAGCTTATCCACCATGATCAAGTGGGCTTCATCCCTGGGATGCAAGGCTGGTTCAATATACGCAAATCAATAAATGTAATCCAGCATATAAACAGAGCCAAAGACAAAAACCACATGATTATCTCAATAGATGCAGAAAAAGCCTTTGACAAAATTCAACAACCCTTCATGCTAAAAACTCTCAATAAATTAGGTATTGATGGGACGTATCTCAAAATAATAAGAGCTATCTATGACAAACCCACAGCCAATATCATACTGAATGGGCAAAAACTGGAAGCATTCCCTTTGAAAACTGGCACAAGACAGGGATGTCCTCTCTCACCGCTCCTATTCAACATAGTGTTGGAAGTTCTGGCCAGGGCAATCAGGCAGGAGAAGGAAATAAAGGGTATTCAATTAGGAAAAGAGGAAGTCAAATTGTCCCTGTTTGCAGATGACATGATTGTTTATCTAGAAAACCCCATCGTCTCAGCCCAAAATCTCCTTAAGCTGATAAGCAACTTCAGCAAAGTCTCAGGATACAAAATCAATGTACAAAAATCACAAGCATTCTTATACACCAACAACAGACAAACAGAGAGCCAAATCATGAGTGAACTCCCATTCACAATTGCTTCAAAGAGAATAAAATACCTAGGAATCCAACTTACAAGGGATGTGAAGGACCTCTTCAAGGAGAACTACAAACCCCTGCTCAAGGAAATAAAAGAGGATACAAAGAAATGGAAGAACATTCCATGCTCATGGGTAGGAAGAATCAATATCGTGAAAATGGCCATACTGCCCAAGGTAATTTACAGATTCAATGCCATCCCCATCAAGCTACCAATGACTTTCTTCACAGAATTGGAAAAAACTACTTTAAAGTTCATATGGAACCAAAAAAGAGCCCGCATCGCCAAGTCAATCCTAAGCCAAAAGAACAAAGCTGGAGGCATCACACTACCTGACTTCAAACTATACTACAAGGCTACAGTAACCAAAACAGCATGGTACTGGTACCAAAACAGAGATATAGATCAATGGAACAGAACAGAGCCCTCAGAAATAACGCCGCATACCTACAACTATCTGATCTTTGACAAACCTGAGAAAAACAAGCAATGGGGAAAGGATTCCCTATTTAATAAATGGTGCTGGGAAAACTGGCTAGCCATATGTAGAAAGCTGAAACTGGATCCCTTCCTTACACCTTATACAAAAATCAATTCAAGATGGATTAAAGATTTAAACGTTAGACCTAAAACCATAAAAACCCTAGAAGAAAACCTAGGCCTTACCATTCAGGACATAGGCGTGGGCAAGGACTTCATGTCCAAAACACCAAAAGCAATGGCAACAAAAGACAAAATTGACAAATGGGATCTAATTAAACTAAAGAGCTTCTGCACAGCAAAAGAAACTACCATCAGAGTGAACAGGCAACCTACAACATGGGAGAAAATTTTCTCAACCTACTCATCTGACAAAGGGCTAATATCCAGAATCTACAATGAACTCAAACAAATTTACAAGAAAAAAACAAACAACCCCATCAAAAAGTGGGCGAAGGACATGAACAGACACTTCTCAAAAGAAGACATTTATGCAGCCAAAAAATACATGAAAAAATGCTCATCATCACTGGCCATCAGAGAAATGCAAATCAAAACCACTATGAGATATCATCTCACACCAGTTAGAATGGCAATCATTAAAAAGTCAGGAAACAACAGGTGCTGGAGAGGATGTGGAGAAATAGGAACACTCTTACACTGTTGGTGGGACTGTAAACTAGTTCAACCATTGTGGAAGTCAGTGTGGCGATTCCTCAGGGATCTAGAACTAGAAATACCATTTGACCCAGCCATCCCATTACTGGGTATATACCCAAATGACTATAAATCATGCTGCTATAAAGACACATGCACACGTATGTTTATTGCGGCATTATTCACAATAGCAAAGACTTGGAATCAACCCAAATGTCCAACAATGATAGACTGGATTAAGAAAATGTGGCACATATACACCATGGAATACTATGCAGCCATAAAAAATGATGAGTTCATGTCCTTTGTAGGGACATGGATGAAATTGGAAACCATCATTCTCAGTAAACTATCGCAAGAACAAAAAACCAAACACCGCATATTCTCACTCATAGGTGGGAATTGAACAGTGAGATCACATGGACACAGGAAGGGGAACATCACACTCTGGGGACTGTTGTGGGGTGGGGGGAGGGGGGAGGGATAGCATTGGGAGATATACCTAATGCTAGATGACGAGTTAGTGGGTGCAGCGCACCAGCATGGCACATGTATACATATGTAACTAACCTGCACAATGTGCACATGTACCCTAAAACTTAAAGTCTAATAAAAAAAAAAGAAAGAAAATAACATAAGAGAAACTCTAGTGATCTTGAGAATAGCAATGAGTCTTTTGAGATGCAACACCAAAGGCACAATTCATGAAAGAAATAATTCAGAAATTGGACTGAATTAAAATTATAAACTTCTGCTCCATGGATAACAATTCCAAGAGCATGAGAAGACAAACCACAGACTAGCAGAAAATGTTTGCAAAGAATATATCTGATAAAGGACTGTTATCCAAAGTATAAAAAGAACTCTTAAAAGTCAACAATAAGAGAATGAACAACCTGATTTTTAAAATGAGCAAAATATGAACAGATATTTTGCCAGCTATACAGAAGACAAATAAGCATATGCATAAATGTTCAACATAATATGTAATTAGGGAATTGCAAATCAAAACAGCCGTGTGGTAGCTAACACTTATTAGAATGGCCAAAATCCTAAACATTAATAATACCAAATACTGGTGAGTATGTGGAGCAACAGGAATTCTCACTCATTGCTGGTAGAAATGCAAAATGGTACTTTGGAAGATAGTTTGGCAGCATCTTATAAAACTAAACATACTCTTACCATAATATCCTTCACCTTTGCAGAAATGAACTAAAAACGTATGTCCACACAAAAACATGCACGTGGATATTTATAGAAGCTATAGTCATAATTGCCAAAACTTGAAAGCAATCAAGATTTACTTCAGCCAGTGAATGATAAACTGCTACATCCAAACAATGGAATATTATTCAGTGCTAAAAATAAATGAGTTATCAAACCATGAAATACATGATGAAACCTAAATGCATATTACTAAGTGAAAGAAGCTAAAAGGGCTACATAATGAAGATCCCAACTATATGATAGCCTGAAAAAGGCAAAATTATGGGGACAATGAAAAGATTAGTGGTTTCCAGGGGTTAGGCAGGAGGGAGGAATGAATAGGCAGAGCACAAGAGGATTTTTAGGGCAGTAAAGCTGAGGTAAGAGGTGACACTCAAATCTGGAGGTGGGGCTCAGACACCAGACAAAATTGAGGACTAGCTAAAGCAGGGATGGGGTGGAAGCAGTTTTCCATAAGGCACACTTACCAGTGTGCTATGGCAACACCCAGGAGTAACCGCTCCTTTCCATGGCAATGACCCAATGACCCAAAAGTTACCTCTTTCTTAGAAGTTTCTGCATAGACCATCCCTTAATCTACATGTAATTAAAAGTAAGTGTAAATATGACTGCAAAACTGCCCTGAGCCACCATACTCAGCCTATGAGGTAGTCCTGCTCCATAGGAGCCCTCAAAGAGCTGTAACATTGCCGAAGCTGTAACATTGCTGCTTCAGTAAAGCTGTTTTCTTCTACCCTACCATTGACTGCCCTTGAATTATTTCCTTGGTGAAGCCAAGAATCCTCACAGGCTAAGTCCACTTTGGGGCTTGCCTGCCCTGCATCAAAACTACTCTATATAATACTAAAACAGTGGATACATTATATATTTGTCCAAACCCATGGAATGTACAACACCAAGGGCAAATGCTAATATATACTATGGACTCTGGGTGATAATGGTGTGTCAATGTAGGTTGATCAACTGTACCAAATGTACCACTGTAATGTGGAATGTTGACAGTGGGAGAGGCTGTGCATGTTGTGGTGACAAGAAGTATAAAGGAATTTTCTGTACTTTCCACTTATTTTTCTGTTAACCTAAAACTGCTCTACAAAAAAAAAAAATATTAACTTTAGAACATCTTTTAAGTAATGCCTGATTTTCTCTGTAGACTAGTACTTAAGAATTGGACATGTTAGCAAATCAACTGCAGCAAAATTGAAAATAATGGCTTTAATGGATTGGGCCCAGTGGCTCATGCCTGTAATCCCAGCATTTTAGAAAGCCAAGGTGGGCAGATCACTTGAGGTCAGGAGTTTGAGACCAGCCTGGCCAACATGGTGAAACCCCATCTCTACTAAAAATACAAAAATTAGTCGGGCCATGGTGGCACACGCCTTTAATTCCAGCTATTCAGGAGGCTGAGGCAGGGGAGTTGCTTGAACCAGGGAGGTGGAGGTTGCAGTGAGCCAAGATCAAAACACTGCATTTCAGCCTGGGCAACAGAGCAAGACTCCATCTCAAAAAAAAGAAAGAAAAAGGAAAAGAAAAGAATGGCATTAGTATACATACACATACATACCTACTACTTATAAGATACGAAAAAATTTTAATTCATGTTTCTCTTTTTCTAGTTTGCAGACTTTGTTATTTAAAATTGCTTTCCAGATTTACACATGTGAAATGTATTTGATGTCAAAACAATTTTAAAATTATTATGTATTGACAGAGCCCTAACAGAAATTCACTAATCTGTGAATGAATGTTTGATATATCTTAAACATTAAAAATATCACTATTGTGTGCTCAAGGTATAAAACCAGACGATGCAACATGAGCGGATGGTCTGTGTCTCTCATCCAGCACCCAGGTATTAATAAATGCTGCTTATGCCTTAGCACACTGATTAAATGGCACACGTTAGTGCTTTCTCTTTTTACTTCCTTAGGAATTTTCCTTTCTAAGAAAACTCTTGGGGATTTTTCTTAAAGTCAGATTTTAGCACAATAACAAAAACAAATATGAAAATATTTTAAACTCTTCATTTTTACATTGTTGGTGCATTTTTGGAAAATGCATTTAAAAAGAAAGGTGTTGATAAGTTATTGCTAATAGGACACCTATTAACATCGTGAGACACAACAATGTTCTATAGAACAGGACTTGGAAAACTCTTCACTATATGATTAAGCCCTTTCATAATAAAAAAAGATATTCTATTGACAAATCCTAAGTTAACCGACAGCATCTTTCTTTCATCCTGGTAAATATTGACAGTAATGTAACAGTGAAGTTTGCTACGCCATAGTGTTATTTCTTCTCTTCTAAGAAACACTGCTGGAAATAGTACATAGTGTATTTTTGAAAAGCTGGTGGTCTCCTGATGTACTCATGCATGTGGAGCATGTTAGAATTAGCAGAAATTATTAAAATCTGTCCTTGAAGATGCGAATTCTTCAAGAAATAATGTGTATTAAATTCACAGCTCAGTATTTCATTTTTGTTTTAATTTGATAGATGGATCTCTCACGATCTCTAATGATTCCTTCCTGTCTCTATACAATCATCCTGGAGGGAATATTTCTCATCTTAAAAAGTTGGACAAGAACTCTTTAATATCTCTACTTTAAAGCAGGAGTTATATTTATTTTCTTTTGTGTTGTATATAGAATGTATTTGTAAAATGTTCAAATAATGACAGCAAAAACACAAGATTCTATAACTGTTAGTTTTAGAATGTATGTATGACAGTACAGGGAGGCCATGTGAAACAACAAAGAGCACTGTGACCACGGATCATTCATAGAGACAGAAGATTGTTGCATGATGCAGGCTTACCAAAATTTCTCAGGTTTTGTTGATTCCTATCCTCTAATGAATTGATTTTCTTTAAGTAAAGTTTCAGTTACTGAAAGAGAAGAACTATAAAAGTTGTTTTCCCATTGTATAAGAAATACACTTCAATACTCATTGCACCTTATGGTTTTGATACAAATATGTGCTGTTGATGCAAACAAAAGTTTATATAAAAGTTACCTATAGACAAAAAAAATGATGTAAATTTGCAGTGTGGATGCAAATGAAATTACAGAAATTATTTTTGAAGGCAGAACACTGACTTATAAATTTGCTTGGTTTTTCTTTTCCGTTGCATACATTAGGTTAGTTCAGTCTTTTTCTGTGGTTTAGTCATATATTATTAGGTATTTAGAGATATAATAATTAAACAATCCAATCCTGCAACAAATACCAGTTTGCTAAAGAAAACCACAAGATAGAAAGTGAGAACATAACTGTGACAAACTTGCTATTGCACCACTTTGGTAGAAATACAAAGAAGGACATAACAGGTTGAAAGCATATGTGTCACACCGTGAAAACAATCAGTTATTTGCTTTGCTATCTTTTGTATGAACCATTCCTTTTCTTAAAATACAAATTTAAGCACATTGTACCTTGTACTTCCAAAGTTAAAATAATGGAGTGCTCTAAATTAAAAATAAAAAACAATAGCTGTGATAGCTCCCATTTTGGGAAGTATTACAGTCCTAATTCCTGAAAGAAGCTCAACATGACATTATCTATATGTTTATTTTGAATATTGTAAATTCTTCTCCCGAGTGGAAAGTAGAGGGTGTGGAACTTACAAATTCCATTGTGTAACTTATCTTGGGAGGGCCGGATTCCGTTAGTGTATCTCATTTTTCAGACAATTTTCTGACCTTGTGGAGCAATTAAGGAAGACCTCTTCTTGGCTGCTTTGCTAAATGTTCTTAGTGCCATCTGCTGCATGCTTCCGGCTACTGTAGGGGGAACTACTCTAGTTAATAGGAGCTTACGAAATAGAAAGAGCTGACATCATATTTATCAAATGGCAGTCCATGTGTGGAAAGAAAACACACTATTAAAGCATTCTGACATAAAAAACACTTTGGAAACTATCTTAGAAATAGTTAATAACAATTAGTTTTGTAATTCTTACACTAAAATTATATCTTTAATGTATTCCATTTCCTGTATAAAATGTCTATGTGTAATAATTTCATCTGATACGTAATTTAGCATTAGCTATAGCTCTTCTACAGTCAAGCTATTATTATCTTTCAGCTTGCTCCTTAAACAAACTATAAATCTATTGCATTTGGAAGCAGCAAAAATAATATAATGCCACTAATAAAGTCTATCGGGAGACATTCATATTGCTTTTTTAATTAAAGGGCTTCTTTTTGATTTAAAAAAGCTAGTAAATAAATAGGACAGATATAAAACAACTAAAAACCAGATGAACCATTATCCTGAAGAGTATTTCCAAAGATACATTTTGATAGCTAACTACTATTTCCTTTCTTCCCTCCTTCCTTCCTTCCTTCCTTCCTTCCCTCCTTCCATCCTTCCTTCCTTCCTTTCTTCCTTCCTTCCTCTCTCTCTCTCTCTTTCTTTCTTTTGTATTATACTTTAAGTTCTGGGGTACAAGTGCAGAATGTGCAGGTTTGTTACATAGGTATACACGTGCCATGGTGGTTTGCTGCACCCATCAACCCGTCATCTACATTAGGTATTTCTCCTAATGTTACCCCTCCCCTAGCCCCCCACCAACCGATAGGCCCCGGTGTGTGATGTTCCCCTCCCTGTGTCCATGTGTTCTCATTGTTCAACTCCTACTTATGAGTAAGAACATGCAGTGTTTGGCTTTCTGTTCTTGTGTTAGTTTGCTGAGAATGATGGTTTCCAGCTTCATCCACGTTCCTGCAAAGGACGTGAACTCATTCCTTTTTATGGCTGCATAGTATTCCATGTTGTATATGTGCCACATTTTCTTTACCCAGTCTATCATTGATGGGCATTTGGGTTGGATCCAAGTCTCTGCTATTGTGAACAGTGACGCAGTAAACATACGTGTGCATGTGTCTTTATAATAGAATGATTTATAATCCTTTGGGTATATACCCAGTAATGGGATTGCTGGGTCAAATGGTATTTCTGGTTTTAGATCCTTGAGGAATCACCACACTGTCTTCCACAATGGTTGAACTAATTTACATCCCCACCAACAGTGTATAAGTATTCCTATTTCTCCACATTCTCTCCAGCATCTGTTGTTTCCTGACTTTTTAATGATAGCCATTCTAACTGGCATGAGATGTTATCTCATTTGGTTTGGATTCACATTTTTCTAATGACCAGTGATGATGAGCTTGTCTTCATATGTTTGTTGGCTGCATAAATGTCTTCTTTTGAGAAGTGTCTGTTTATATCCTCCGTCCACTTTTTTATGGGTTTGTTTTTTCCTTGTAAATTTGTTTAAGTTATTTATAGACTCTGGATATAGCCCTTTGTCAGATGGATAGATTGCAAACATTTTCTCCCATTCTGTAGCTTGCCTGTTCACTCTGATGATAGTTTCTTTTGCTGTGCAGGAGCTCTCTAGTTTAATTGGATCCCATTTGTCAATTTTGCCTTTTGTTGCCATTGCTTTTGGTGTTTTAGTCATGAAGTCTTTGCCCATGCCTATGTCTTGAATGGTATTGCCTAGGTTTTCTTCTAGGATTTTTATGGTTTTAGGTTTCACATTTAAGTCTTTAATCCATCTTGAGTTAATTTTTGTGTAAGATATAAGGAGGGGATCCAGTTTCAGTTTTCTGCATATGGCTAGCCAGTTTTCCCAACACCATTTATTAAATAGGGAATCCTTTCCCCATTTCTTGTTTTTGTCAGGTTTGTCAAAGTTCAGATGGTTGTATACATGTGGTGTTATTTCTGAGGCCTCTGTTCTGGTCTATGTATCTGTTTTAGTACCAGTACCATGCTGTTTTGGTTACTGTAGCCTTGTAATATAATTTGAAGTCAGGTAGCATGAGGCCTCCAGATTTGCTCTTTTCACTTAGGACTGTCTTAGCTATATGGGCTCTTTTTTGGTTCCACATGAAATTTAAAGTAGTTTTTTCTAATTCTGTGAAGAACATCAATGGTAGCTTGATGGGGATAGCATTGAATCTATAAATTACTTTGGGCAGTATGGCCATTTTCACGATATTGATTCTTCCTATCCATGAGCATGGAATGTTTTTCCATTTGTTTGTGTCTTCTCTTATTTCCTTGGGCAGTGGTTTGTAGTTCTGCTTGAAGAGGTCCTTCACATCCCTTGTAAGTTGTATTCCTAGGTATTTTATTCTCTTTGTAGCAATTGTGAATGGGATTTCACTCATGATTTGGCTCTCCATTTGTCTGTTATTGGTGTATAGGAATGCCTGTGCTTTTTGCACATTGATTTTGTATCCTGAGATTTTGCTGAAGTTGCTTATCTGCTTAAGGAGTTTTGTGCTGAGATGATGGGGTTTTCTAAATATACAACCATGTCATCTGCAAACAGAGACAATTTGACTTCCTCTTTTCCTATTTGAATACCCTTTATTTCTTTTCTCTTGCCTGATTTCCCTGGTCAGAACATCCAATACTGTATTAAATAGGAGTGGTGAGAGAGGGCATCCCTGTCCTGTGCCGGTTTTCAAAGGGAATGCTTCCAGCTTTTGCCCATTCAGTATGATATTGGCTGTGGGTTTGTCATAAATAGCTCTTATTATTTTGAGATACGTTCCATCAATACCTAGTTTATTGAGAGTTTTTAGCATGAAGCGGTGTTGAATTTTATCAAAGGCCTTTTCTGCATCTATTGAGATAATCATGTGGTTTTTGTCACTGATTCTGTTTATGTGTTGGATTACGTTTATTCATTTGAATATGTTGAACCAGCTTTGCATCCCAGGGATGAAGCCAACTTGATCATTGAGGATAAGATTTTTTATGTGATAGCTAAGTACTATTTAAATGGAGAGAAAAGACTGCTTGTGATTACCTTATTTTGAAGAATAAGGAAACTAGTATCCAAGTATGCAACTCTATGACTCCTTAACCAGCAAACACCATTTGGACACATGGACTGTAACTCTTCCATAGACTGATACTGATGATAGAACTATATCCCTTTTATTACTTCCTTAGTTAGTTTTTCTTTTCCTGATAAAGCATTTATCATTCTAAGACCTGGTGTGTGTTAGGATGGCTGTCAGTTATGACCAAGCTCATGTGTCTATTCTGGTTCTAATCTGTCCCCTTACTCTAATACTTAAGATTCAAGGAAGAATGTGGCTACTCCATTTTTCAGCAGATGCTGTTCCAATTCTCACCTGACCTGGTGTACGGTTCTTTGGATCACTTGCAAGGGGCTTCACTTGCAAGAAGCTTGGTAATTTCAACGAGATTTTCTCATTTGCTATAATAAGCTTGTTGACATGCTTTGTGGCAATAATTATATAGTTTAATCCTTAATAGTCTGATTTATTACCTAAAATATGTAAGTATAATGCCCAAAGAGGACTGCCCCAGTCTTTATCTCTTAAACTGTCTGCTGGTAACTCTTATTCTGTAACAATCTCTTGAGCTAGTTTTTCTTTGCATTCCAGAGAATTATGCCTTTCTTTTACCCTGTCTACAGACCATTCTCATCTGGCAGATAATTAATATATTAAAGAATCTTATTCCTTGTAGTGTTTTAAAATCATCACTTCCTAACAACTACACAAGCCATTTCTTCAATTTTGGAAATGAAGCAGACTATGTGGTAATGCAAAAGGTGTTTAATTATGTATAAAACAGATCATAGTTGCAAAATGATAAAGAAACTAGAGGCATTATAGTAAAATACTGCAAGGAAAAAACATGATTAAAAGTGCTGCAAGCTAATAACAAATATATTACAAAAATACTTAGATTGACAGAACTCTTTAAAGAAAATATCAGTCATTGTTTCTAAAAGCCAACTGATTACAGTTGATCAAAAGCTTTGACACCAACCAGTGCTAGGTATGAAGAAACAATTTTTTCTCAGAGAGCCTTTTTTAGTGCTTTATCAAGTATAATCTGTCTAATATCTATCTGCAGAAAAGTGGCGAGGCATTCCCAAGACTTTCTTGGATTCGTGCTTTGATGCCTAAAATTTAAACTTCCCTGGGTGCGACCATAACATATTTTTTCATCTGTTGATTATAGTGATTATAACTTTAGGACAGCATAACTGTTTTTATTTCCTTTTCAATTCAATTTTCTGATTGTAATATTCACTCTATTTTGTTGACTAAACTAGATCAGATTAATTTTCATGGCAAAAGAAGTGGTACAGTGTATGAAAATATTTTCTGTTTTGTTATGTTATAAAGCACTACCCAACCCAATATAATCTCATAAAGTTTAGTATTAAAAAGGCACCTCTAATCAACTTTTCAAAATAATGAATTAATGTGCCTAAAAATATAAAGAATGCTTCCAGCATGAACATGGCCATGAAAGTCACCATTTTCCCCTTTTCCTATGGGAAAATACAGAAAAGCGACAAGAACAAAACAAAACCTGAAATCTACATTTTTAGTGAAACTAGGAAACAAATATATTCCAGACTCAAATCACATTTAAGGGAGTCTAAAGAAAAAAAAATTACATTACTACTGGCAGCGTATAAGAGGTCTAGTTCTTCCATAACCTTACCAACATTTGGTATGGTCAATGATTTCAATTTGATTCATTCAAATAGATGTGTAGTTCTATTTTGTTATAATCTTAATCTATATTGTGCTAATGCAGTGATGCCGAACACGTTTTCATATATTTATTTGCCATTTAGCTATATTTGTTGAAGTATCTATAAAAATATTCTATTTCAAAATTGAGTTGTTTTTCTCAGTATCGTGTATTGTTAATTTAAATTTTGCTAATCTGGTGGTAGGCAGTGGGGGGTAGTACTGTTATCTCATTAAGACTATAAGTAATATTTCCTTAACTGTAAAAAAGTTAAAAACATTTTTAAAGGTTTATTGGCCTTTCTGACACCTTTTTGGGCAAATGCCTATTCATGTTATTTTGCCCATTTTTTTCTGTTAAATTTTCTCTTTTTATTGATTTGTAGGCATTCATTGCATGTTATGAATATGAGTCTTTGTTAGCAAATGTCTTCTACTCTGGCTTGTCTTTTAGTAATTTTATAGCACCATTGGATGAACAAAATTCTTACTTACTTTTTTAAAAAGATTTTTTTGTAGAGTCAGGATCTCGCTATGTTGTCCAGCCTGTTCTCAAACTCCTGGTTTCAAGTGATTCTCCTGCCTCAGCCTCCCAAAGCACTGAGATTACAGTGAGCCACCACACCTGGCCCAAAATTCTTACTTCTAACATAAGCATGTTTATTGATCTTTTCCTTTGTGGTTAGTGCTTTTTATGTTTTATTTCAGAAATATTTTTTTTCCCAAATATCATGAATATATTTCCCAATGAGGTTTGCGGCAGTGCACAGTGGTTCACGCCTGTCATCCCAGCACTTTGGGAGGCCAAGGCGGGTGGATCACGAGGTCAAGAGATTGAGACCATCCCGGCCAACATGGTGAAACCCCATCTCTACTAAAAATACAAAAATTAGCTGGGTGTGGTGGCGCATGCCTGTAGTCCCAGCTACTCGGGAGGCTAAGGCAGGAGAAGCTCTTGAACCCAGGAGGCAGAGGTTGCAGTGAGCCGAGATCACACTACTGCACTCCAGCCTGGGTGACAGATTGAGAATCTGTCTCAAAAAAGAAAAAAAAAAAAAGTCCTTTTCCACTGCTCTACACTGCTTAATTCAATGCTCACAAATGCATGACTGTTTCTAGGTGCCCTCTGCTGTCCCACTGGGCAGCCTTAGTTATTCTATATTGTGTTAATGTTACTAAGTCTTGATATCTGGTAAGGATATATGCTAACTTGTCATATTTTACAAACTAATATGTAATATGTGTATCATTTTGCTTTTTATTCCTTCATGCATCTCACATCTTCCATGTAGGGTCATTTTATTCTTATTACGTAAATCCTTTAGGGTTACATTTTAGTGCGGTTTTGAAGGTGGTGAACACTCTTATTTTTCTGTGTATCTGAAGATGCCTTTATTTTACCTTCACTTTGGATAATAACTTCACTGGCTACCTATCTTAAAACTTCGAAGCTAGTATTCTACTGACTCCTAGCATCCTTAGTTGGCATTATGAAGTTATCAAACTGCTGTTCTTTTGGAGGCAGTCCATCTTTATTTTTCTGTTGTATTTAACATGTTTTCTTTGCTTAGGCATTTTGCATTTTTGCTATTGTGCATCTACATGTTTGTATATTTTTTAATTCAAATTTTATTGAGAGAATTATTGATTCAAATGTAGTTATAAGAAATAATACAGGCCAGGCGCAGTGGCTCATGCCTGTAATCCCAGCACTTTGGGAGGCCAAGGCAGACATTATCACAAGGTCAAGAAATCAAGACCATCTTGGCCAACATGGTGAAACCCCGTCTCTACTAAAAATACAAAAATTAGCTGGGCATGGTGGCACACGTCTGTAGTCCGGCTACTTAGGAGGCTGAGGCAGCAGAATCACTTGAACCTGGGAGATGGAGGTTGCAGTGAGCTGAGATCGCGCCACTGCACTCTAGCCTGGCAACAGAGCGAGACTCTGTCTCAAAAAATAAACAAATAAATAAATAAATAAATAAAAGAAAGAAAGAAATAATGCAGAGACTGGGTGCAGTGGTGCCAACACTTTGGGAGGCTGAGGTGGGAGGCTGTCTTGAGCCCAGGAGTTCAAGACTGATCTGGGCAATATAGTGTGACCCCTTCTCTACAAATAATAATAATAATAAAAACTATTAGCCAGGCGTGGTGGCACATGCCTGTAGTCCTAGCTACTCAGGAATCTGAGGCAGGGGGACAGCTTGAGGCTGCAGTGAGCCATAATCGTGCCACTGCCCTGCAGCCTGGGCCACAGAGTGAGAGTCTGTCTTTTAAAATAATAAGAAAGAAAGAAAGAATGCGGAGATATTTTGTGTACACTTTCCTATTTTTCTCAATGTTAAAATTTTGTAAAACTATCGTATAATGCCACAGCCAGCATTTATACAATCTACCAATATTATTCAGATTTCTCTAGTTTTACTTGTACTTATTTGTGTGCATGCGTGTGTTTAGTTATACACAATTTTATTACACGTATAAGTTTGTGTGTCTACTACCTAAATCAAGATAAAGAATACTTCCAATACCACAAATATCCTCCATTTTGCCCTTTTATAACTACATCCATCTCCCTACTACAGTCTCCTGGCTCTAAGGGGACAAACTATAAAGATCAATTTCTACTCATATTATTTTAGATCTTCCCATATTAGTTTAGATACTAAGAACATGTCTATAAGACATGTTCTGTGTCTTTTAGCATGTCTTTTGCACTTCCTATCTTTTTGTCCCCTTCATGCTGCAATCTGAAAAGTTTATTCTAACCTATCTTCCAGCTCACTAATTTTCTTTTTAATCTAGTCCGTTGTTTAATCTTTCCACTGAGTTCTTAATTTTAGTAACAGTTTCAGGATGAGAAGATTGGTTTGATTGTCTTAAAATCAGTAACACTTTTAAAATAACTTTCTGTTTCTTTTCTTTTCTTTCTTTTTTTTTTTTTTTTTTTTTTTCTGACAGGATCTCCCTCTGTCCCCCAAGGCTGTAGTGCAGTGGTGCGATCTCAGCTCACTTCAACCTCCGCTTCCAGGGTACAAGCGATTGTTGTGCCTCAGCCTACCGTGTAGCTGGGACTACAGGCACGCACCATGACCACTGGCTAATTTTTGTACTTTTAGTAGAGATGGGGTTTTACCAGGTTACCCAGCCTAGTCTTGAACTCCTGACCTCAAGCAATCTGCCTGCCTCGGCCTTCCAAAGTGCTGGAATTACAGGCGTCAGCCACCGTGCCCGGCTTAACTTTCTGTTTCTTAAGCTCGTTTTGTTGATATATATTTTTAGCTTGTAAGCATAAGTTGTTTTATAATATGTCTGTTAATTTCAGTATCTGAATTTTTATGGATCTCTATTGTCTGTTTTCAAGCAAGGGCTTCTTTACTTCTGGTTCATGCTTATTCTGAGGATATAGCTCTTTTCAGACTCTGCAGTTAGGTAGAAACTGATTTTGGAAGTGTGTTCCCTTGTATCAGGATGCTGCCAAAACCACAGTTCAGTTTCACAGTTGTTTCTTTCAATAGATAAATACCCTCTGGGCAAAAGCAAGTTTTAGTTTGGGACATAAGTCTCTGAATTTTTAGTTTATCCTAGATTTAGCCAGGTAATTTTTTACTATCTTGTTAGCTCACTTACGCTTTTCAGAAATCTTTGAAACATTTTATCTAGCTTTTTAAGTTGTTATTTCAGGATGTTGTGGGCCCACCATACATTATTCTGTATTATTTTAAAGTTTGAATCATGTAAAATAGTATGAATTTAGAAATTACACATGCACACACCCCCACACCACACACAGGTTGAGGAAGGACTCTGAAGATGTACTTGTGAGAATAGGAAAATTTGGGAGAATTTTATCAAAGCTATCCACACCATAATACTCTGTAAAATCAGCCACACAACCATGGAGTCTGTGTTTTGTTATTTACTTTTGAGGCTTAAAAAAAAAGATGTACAGATTGCCAAAACTTCTTGGCACAAATACAACTAAAACACAGAATGCAGCTTGGGGTGAAGGAGAACAGATTTATTTTCCATATTAATCACATAAGTTCATTTACTACTGAATGTTTCTAAGGCAGTTGAATTTAAAATAATCTATCGGGTTTTTTTTCTTTAGTTTTAAAACTGTGCTTTCAAATTAGCTAAAAGGAAAGATGATAATGGGTAGTGTTACATTCAATGTGTCTTCACTAGCGTGCTGAGCTCTGGAAAAGTCACTAAATGGAGTCTAGGAAGGTAAGAGAGTGCGAGCAGAGTCCTACACAAGAAAGCTCATGCACTGATCTATAATCAACTGAAGACAGGCCTCTATAAGGCAGTAACAACTTCAAAAAGCAATAGATAAGTGGATCTGAAATGAGGCCCTTGGTCAGCAATTATGCCTTAAGCAAAGAGTTATAAATTATAAGCTGCTTGAAGAAGGAACAATTAAGATAGCACTAATAAGAAAAGATAAAGACACCCCCAAAAAGCTGAGGGGAAAATAACAAGAGTATATATTTGACAAACATGTTCTTATTTACTACCCTGTAAATAAAACATCAATTTAGGTGGTTAGTAGTACTGACGGAAAAACAGTAAGATATTTTCATATCAAAAGAACTGTAATTTCAATGAAGACAAAAGATGATTCAGGATATCTATAAGTCCCATCGAACACTGTCTGCAAGAAAAAGATCATCTGTGAACAGACTGCAAATTCTCTCACATCAAGCTGTACTTTAAGATATCTTAACCCTGTACATACAGCAATCTTAGAAGGTCAAGAATAGTAAAGATTGGTGAGCTGTCATTATGATGCTGTTTTTCTCTTCTCCCCTCACCAAAAAATGGCTTCTCCTGTACCAAAAAGACATTTTAGAAATTACAGATGGGTTAACTTATTCAGAATCAGATCTACTCTGAGAGCCTATGGAATATCTTATAGGAAATGAACTAATAAAAGTTTCTCTTAGTTATCACATTTTGAATATGAGTTTTCCCTCCAGCACTTACTGAAGATAGTTTTTTTCAATTATTTTCATTAAATATTGAGTAGATACAAAAATACTTATAAAATATATGTAAAGTACAAAAATAGCAATGCAACCCTTAAAAAAACACATGTTTACCTACAACCCAGTTTAAGAAACACAATATTACTATCACTTTGCAAATCTCATAAATGCTGTTCACCAATCCTATCCTATTTCCTGGCCCTCCCTACCATTCCAAGTAACTGGAATTTCTGTATCATTCCTTTGTTACTAAATATGTTTTCTTTAAATAGCTACCAAATATGTTTGTATATGCAAACACTATATTGTTTATTTCTGCATGGTTTAGTACTGTATTTAAACGAAATTATCAAGTATAGCAAAATCTTCTTGAATTTGGCTTCATTGCTCCTATTATAAGATTCATTCATGTTGTATGTGGTTATAATTCATTCATTTTACTGCTATTTACTGTTTCATTGTAGGAATATCCCACATTTTATTTATTCAGTCTACTATTGGGTTGTTTCCAGGTTTTGCTGTTAACAGACAGTGCTTCTAAAGACATTCTTACACATATTTTTTGGTATCCATATGCATGTGATTTGAGGAATATATAGACAAAAGTAGAATTGCTAAATCATAAGATTGATGCATCCTCTGCTCAAATGGAAAACATCAAATGTTTTTGAAATGATGGTTCAAATTTACATTTCCACCAAGAACACATAGTGGGCAGCTGGTTCTGTATACCAGGCAAAATATGATGTTCTCAGATTTTAGTACTTTTGCCAGTCTGGCAAATATGAGTTAGCTTCTCTTTGTAGTCTTAATTTCCATTCCCCTTAATCTTAACGATATTGAATATTTTATATATTTTCTGTTTCAAGTGAAATGACTCTTCAGATTTTGTTTTCCTTTTATTCTTTTTGGCCCATTCTATTGGATTGTTTGTCTTTTACTTGTAATTTTGTGGTTTCTTTATATATTCTAGACTCTAATGCTTTGTCGGTTATATGTATTCCAGATATCTTCTAAATTTAGTTTCACTTTTTATTTACTTTATGAATATTTTGAGCAGAAGTTCTTTATTTTAATATGCTCATTGATATATTTTGGGGGGATCTTCCTTTAAAAGCCTTCTCTGTGCTGTAGGCATAACGATATTCTCCATCATTACAGCAGTTGAAAATTATTTTTATGTTTGGGTTTAGGTCCAATTTTATTTTTCTCCATAATTGTTCCAATACCTTTTCTGTTTTAGTCCCTTAATCGTCATTAATATAAAATGTCAACACATCATCAAGTGAGTTTATATATGTTTTATTCTGTTTCAGGGCACTCTTCTATTTTGTTGACTGGCTTAGTTACTGTAGTGTTATAATTATCCCTTACAATTTATCTGAATAAGACACCTTTATTCTTTTCAGGGGTTTCTGGGCTACTTAGGGCTCTTTGCTCTTCAGTATAAATTTTAGAATCAGTTTGTTAAGTTCATCATAAAATAAAAGACAAGCAAACAAAAAAGAAAATGTGTCAGAACTTTTACTAGAATTGCACTGAATTCATAGATAAATGGAAAAGACAACTGATACCTTTATAATATCGTATTTTTCAATCATAAACATGGTGTGTCTCTCCACTTATTTAGGTCTTGGTCTTACCTAATACTTTTCTGTTAAGTTTGATAATTTTTCTCATTAATGTCTTGCCTATTTTTGGTAATTGATTCTTAATTTTTTAATGTTATGTGAAAGGTTATATTTGTTTGATTCCATTTTCTCTTTGTTGCTAATATATAGAAGTGTGGCTAAAGTTTTTTATTAATTCATGTGTCTGGCAGTCTTGATAAATGTACTCAATTATTCTTTAGAGGTTTCTAGATTTTAAAAAATCATACCATCTATGATAAATAAGAGTTTTATTTTTCCCCCCTAAATTTCATAGATCTTTTAGCTTCCCTTGCTGCCCTGACAAATGCCCGACTAGAAGTGGTGGCAGCAGGAACCGCTGTTTTTGTCTTATCTTAAAAAGAATGTTTTCCAAGTTTTATCATTAGGTAGTCTCTGGGGTTTTGAACATCTTTAAATAGGGACTTTTTTACTTTCAAATCTTGGTTTGATAAGAGATTTAACACATACAAAGGTTTAATTTTATTAAATTATTTATCTGTACCCATTTAGATAATTATATATTTCTCCTAAATTTGTTAATGTGGTATATTACTGAAACTTGTTTTCTGTTAAACGACCTTATATTCCCAAATGAACACACATTTGCCAGAATGTTTATTACTTTTAAACAATGCTGATCTTTTCTTTAAGATGTTAACATGTATGTTCACAAGTTAGTCTGGACAGTAATTTTTGTTATATATTGTCCTCATAAGTTTCAGAACCAAGGTAATGAAAGCCTCGTAAGATGAGCTAGGAATAGGTCATTACTATTTCCTCTATTTTTTTTAACCTTCACAATATTAAAGGGTCTTCGAAAACGAGTTTCTCGAGATTTCTTTCTTCTCTTTATTTCTTCTTAAAAAAATATGGGATATATGTGCAGAACATGGAGATTTGTTACATAGGTGTACATGTGCCATGGTGGTTAGCTGCACCTATTGACCCATCCTCTAAGTTCCCTCCCCTCACCCCACACCCTACAACAATGTGGGTCGTTCTCCTCTCTGTGTCCATTTGTTCTCATTTTTCAACTCCCACTTATGAGTGAGAACATGAGGTGTATGGTTTTCTGTTCCTGTATTAGTTTGCTGATATTTCCTCTATTTTTATAGTTGAGGATAGTTTGGGTAGGACTGGAATTAATTCATCTATTGAATGTTTGCTGGACTTCATGAATAAAATAGTAGAAGCTTTTTTGGAACAGTATATGAGAAGGAAGACTTTCAACTACTGATTTTTTTTTTTTAATAGTGACAACTCAATTTGGGCTTACCCCCCATACCTATTTCTACTTAAGTTAGTTTGATTTATAGTATTATAGAAATTTGTCTTTTGTACCTAACACTTTAAACGTATTGGTATAATATCTGAACAATAACTTAAATTACACAGACTGCCTAGTTATGTTCCCCACCCCTCCACTGGTAATAGTATTTTTCACTCTTTCCTCCTTTGCACAGTCTGTTTGTGAATTTTGACAGTCATTTCCAATAATTTTTGGCGTTGTTTATTCTCTCTGTTTTCTTTTCATTTGATTTTCCATCTTCCATTTTTCTATTTTCTTTCGTTTGATTTTTCTATTTTATATGTCTATTTTCCTTTCATATTCTATTTTGGGGGATGAATTCAGGATTTTTTTCTGTTAGTAATTTCTTAAACTCATTCATTATGAGGCTTTTAAAATTTTCTAATGTAATAATTTGAAGCTTTCTGTTTCTTTCTAATAACTGCTTTAGCATTATCACGTAAGTTTGATATGCAGCATTTGTATTATCATTCAGTTTCCAGTGCTTCCTAAGTTTTGTTATAATTTCTTCTTTGATGTATGTGTTTTTTTTAGAAATATTTAACTTCTAAAAGTGTGAATTTTCCCTAATCTTTTTGTTTATTACTTCTGACTTAATTATACTGTGGTCATGGAATTTCTTCTGCCTGACTCCAGTCATTTGAAGTTTGGCGAACCCTGTTTTATGGCACAATATGTGGTTAATTTTGTAAAAGTTCTAAGTGTCCTTGAATGGAAGGGATATTTTGCAGTTGATTCATTAGGTTAAATTTTTAATTGTGTTATTCGAATATTCTGTGCTCTCACTGACTTTACATGTCTAATCTTGCAATTACTAGACAAACGTGTTAAAATCTCCCAGTCTTATCGTGTATTCGTCTTTTCATCCTTTTCATTTCATACATGCACACATACATAAAAAACTGTGTTCAATAGATGTATACAAATCAGAAATCTTTAGTCTCACCAGTAAATTGGAACTTTTCTCCACTTTGCAATTACTCTTTCATCTCTATAAATGTTTTTGGCCCTAAAATATATTTTATCTGTATTTACATAATTATATGGTTATACCATTCTTTTTCTTATTTCGATTTTTTTTAACTTTTTTGAGACAGGGTCTCGTTTCACTCTGTCGCCCAGGCTGTGGTGCAGTGGTGCGATCTTGGCTCACTGCAACCTCCACCTCCCTGGTTCAAGTAATTCTCGTGCCTCAGCCTCCCGTGTAGCTGAATTACAGGCGTGCACCATCATGCCTGGCTAATTTTTGTATTTTTAGTAGAGCCAGGGTTTTGCCATGTTGGCCAGGCTGGCCTTGAACTTTTAGCCTCAAGTAATCTGCCTGCCTTGGGATTACAGGTGTGAGCCACCACTCCTGGCCTCAACTTATATTTTAGATATACAAGGTACATGTGCAGGTTTGTTACATGGGTATATTGCATGATGCTGAGGTTTGGGGTACAGATCCCATCACCCAGGTAGTGAGCATGACACCCAATAGGTAGTTTTTAAACCCATGCCCCTTTCATGCTCTTCCCTCTAGTAGACCCACGTGTCTATTGTTCCCAAGTTTATGTCCATGTGTGCTCAGTGTTCAGCTCCCACTTATAAGTGAGAATGTGTAGCATTTGATTTTCTGCTCCTGAGTTAATTCACTTAGGATTAAGGCCTCCAGCTATTCCATGTTGCTACAAAGGACATTATTTTATTCCTTTTTATGGCTGCATAGTACTCCATAGTGTATAAGTACCACATTTAAAAAATCCAGTTCATTATTGATGGGCATATAAGTTGATATTGACCTTGGCAAAGAATTTTTGGCTAAGTCTCCAAAAGCAATTACAGCAAAGGCAAAAATTGACAAGTAGAACTTAATTAAACTAAAGAGCTTCTGCACAGCAAAAGAAACTATCAACAGAGTATACTAAATATATTTGCAAACTATGCATTCAATAAAGGTCTAATATCCAGAATCTATAATGAATTTAAACAAATCAACAACCAAAAAAAAATTTAAAAATAGGCAAAGGACATGAAACAGACACTTCTCAAAAGAAGCCGTTTATTTTTTGATGAACATTTTCCCAGCTTTGCTCCAGTCATCCATGTTCAAATTGTTTCCTGAAGGTTTAGGTAGGTCTTTCATTTTTTAATCAAGACTGAAAATTCTTGTCTTTTACTGGATCATTTTAACTGGATCATTAATTATATTTTTATATTCCTGCAGGTAAAATTAGGATATGTAATAGTAACAATACAAAAATGCAGATTAATTTCCCCAAATATCAATGAAACATTCTTACATTCATATAACAAGCTACCAAAGACTTCTGCATTATGTAAAGCAATTAAATCACAACTTTTGAAATGATTTAATGGCTTTGTTTAATGGGCCGTATGTTGACTCTGTTGTGTCTAGTGTATTTTGTAATGGATGCAAATTTCCTTGACTTTCTATGCTCAATAATAAATGTGTATTGTTATGTAACCAAACAAAGAAATCATATGTTTAAAATGGTAGGGATACTATTTAAATTGGATCTAGGTGTTAAGTGCCTTCAGATAACTGACAGACACAAACAAAGAAGCTAAACCCAAGGAAAATCACATTAGTTAGAAATAAGACGTTATCCGTATAAGAGCTAAGATATTCAGCAAGAACTATAAAACCTCCTTCCTGAACATACACACAACTTGACATTTTGCTGGTGCATTCATGTATATATCATAGTTTTCGTTTCAGATATTAGATCACTGCAAAATTAATTGTGGTTTTTGCTACTGAAAGTAATGGCAGAAACTGAAATTACTTTTGCATCAACCAGTAGTAAATTTTTAATAAAACATTTGCAAGTCATTACTGCAAATATCTAAATGTTGAGAGTTGAGAAGAGAGGGGTATTTATTTGGATTTATTTCTACTATCCTATTTTTGTGCTATTTGTCCCTCTTTATCTGTTTCTTTTTCTAATTTGTTGTTTTGGGTTGTCTTCTTAAATATTGAATAGATATTTTCCTCACTCATGTTTTCCTCCACAGATTTGAAAGTTACATATACTATTTCTATGTTTTATTGGTTACCTTAACATTTTCAGCCTGTATACTTAACTTATAAAAATCTGAATGTACTCCTTTAAATAATGATTTTATTAAATTTTAAGTCTGATCATTCCTTTCTAACTTATATGTAATTATTGAATACCACAGCTTACCTTATTTTAAACCCCCCAAAAAGTATTGTTTTAGGCACTCAGTGTTGTTTATATTTATCCATATATTTACCACTTTCTTTGTCCTTTAATCCTTTTTGTATTTTCCATGTGGAATTGGTTTTATTTTCCTTGAGTATATCTTTTGAATTTTTTAAGAGAGTGTCTTTTGGTTGTGAAATTTCTCACCTTTTCCTCACCTGACAATAACATTATTTTTTATTCTTCAAAATTATTTTTGCTAAGTATATAATCCTACACTGACAGGCATTTTCTCTCATCACATTGAAAATACTCCACTGTTTCCTGGCTTCCATTATTGTTGCTGAGAAATCAATTGTCAATCAAAATATAGTTCCTTTTTCTCTGGTAATTTTTTTCCCAATACATAATAGAAGTATATAATTTTAGGGTACATGTGATATTTTGATACATGTATAAAATGTGTAATCACCAAGGCAACTGGGACATCCATAACCCCCAAAATTGACCCTTTCTTTGTGTTGGGAACATTCCAATTCCTCTCTATCAGTAGTTTTCAACTATATGACAAATTATTGTTAACTGTAATCATCCTACTGTACTTTTGAACACTAGATCTTACTTCTTCTATCTTTAACTGTATTTTTATATCCATTTAGCAGTTTTCCTTCTTCCCCCAACCTCCCTCCTATCTTTCTCAGCCTCTGGTAACCACGAATCAACTTTACCTCCACAAGATCCACTTTTTTTAGCTTCCACATAAGTGAGAACATGCAGTATATGTCTTTCTGTGCCTGCTTATTTCATGTAATATAATGACCTCTACTATTTATGTTGCTGCAATGACAGGATTTCATTGTAATTATTTTTGAGGCTGAATAATATTCCCTTATTTGTATGTACCACATTTTCTTTGTCATTAAATTTTTAAATGATATTGATACAAGAGATAGAAAAATTATTTAGGCAGATAGTGAGGGTAAAATAGTCCTCAGCAGAGCTCCTCTTCTAACAAAAAGTGGTTCAATTTTTTTTTTTCTTTTTTTGAGATGGAGTTTCGCTCTTGTTGCCCAGGCTGGAGTGCAATGGGGAGCAATCTCGGCTCACTGCAAGCTCTGCCTCCCAGGTTCAAGCGATTCTTCTGCCTCAGCCTCCTGAGTAGCTGGGAATACAGGCATGTGCCACCACACCCAGCTAATTTTGTATTTTTAGTAGAGACGGGGTTTCTCCATGTTGGTCAGGCTGGTCTCAAACTCTTGACCTCAGGTGGTCTGCCTGCCTTGGCCTCCCAAAGTGCTGGGATTACAGGCATGAGCCACGGCCTTTTTTTTTTTTTTCTCTAACAAAAAGCAGCCTGAAAGATCAAGCTGCAAACATAGATAAGGAAGCTGGAAGCTTGCATGGAGGGATGCTAGCAGCTGCACAAAAAGAAATGGGCTACCTGGGGGCCAGCCATGTCCACCATGGGGGTTCCACCTCCCCACTTTTTTAGCACATACACAGTAAGAAAGAAATGGGCAACATGGACAAGCTCAGGCAGAGAACCCATCTGCACAATAAAAGATTGGGGTGGGGCTGCCAGAGATTCACGCCCTATGTAGATGGCACCCCAGGTCCTATGTTTTTCATGCCCTATGCAAATCAGACACCGCCTCCCGACTAGTTCATCTATAAAAACACCTGCATTTCATCACAGATCTGCAACCCATTTTTCTGGGACCCCTCTCTGTAGCAGAGAGATATTCTCTTTTTTTCATCTATTAAATTCACACTCTTTTTTTTTTTCAAACATGTGTACTTTTGCTTTTATTCAAAAGTTCTGCTGGATTCATTTCAAGATTAAGGAACACAGTATGACAGTCAGCCAAGAACTTAATTTTAGTGTACAAACTGCTTTAAACTACATATACGTTTTCAGAGTTAGGGAAATATAATATAGTGTCCTTCAGTTTAAATGTTGAGAAAAACTTTGCAAACATACAGAAGAAAAATAATTTTTATATATGTTCCTTTGGTTCACTAAACTTTCTCCTTTTTGGTACTGACTCTTGACTAGAAGAATGCGAGTGATGGAGCACTATTCTCCCAGATTCATGTTGACTTCTCTTCCGAATTTCTTTGGAAGATGTTACTGGTTGATTTCCATTTGCCATTATTCTGAAAGACTTTCCACTTCTTGTTTTGCTTTCAGACATATCAAGTTCCGATGTTTTATTGACTAACTGCTCAACCTGAGAATGAGAAATGGAAAGATCTGAACTTTTTTTATACCTCACAATTTCATCATCCTCCCAAACTAAACTTGGTTCTCCGAGTTCAGAAAATCGAGGGGTTTTTTTTTTCCTGCTCTTCCATTTTAGTTTCAATGTCCAAATCATCACTTGTATAATGCGCCTGGTCATCTTCTGCATCTTTGTCCCTCAGGATTTTGTGAAGTTGTGTTTTTATTTGTTTTAGTGATAGTATAGTTGAATAAATATTTTCCATTCGTTCTCTCTCAGTGGTCACTTTTACTTTGAAGGTGGGAAAAGGTGTTGAGACTTCGCCCACATTTAAATACATAAGTTCCCCTTCAAATATAACTCCTTCACAATCACCATCCTTAAAACCAGGAGGCTGGTAATCTGGGGGTGTAACTTCATCATAGTAAAAACGTTTCATGCTCAAACAAACATTAGGTAAAGGCCCCAGATTTTGCATTAGGGTATAAATCTTGCGAATTAGGAGAGTGCTTGCTTTCTCGGTGTCAGTACATAACATGCTAGACTCATTGCTTTGGCTTTCACTTATGAAGTCCATAAGTGGTCCATTATTGGTGTATTTGAATTTGAATTGGTAACATTCTGAAATTGTCTGAGGATCTTCTGGGTTTGTGTATATAGCTAGAACAGCCATGCTTAGATATTTTTTTCTGTAAAGCATCGTAACATCCTAGTATCCATTTCACTAACTGTGTAGATCCTGGGCAATTTTTATCTTCTCTCAGTATTTTGACACAAAGATCATCTAGATATCTGGTTCCATAAGCACATGCTGGAAATATTCCTCTCAAATACATGATACAGGATACTGAAACTGTGAGGAAACTCTTCACTAACACCAAAGACTGGTGTTCAGGTGGTATCTTATTGAGAAATACCAGTGCAGTCATGGAAGTCCTCTGCAACTGGGCAGTGGCCATCTTCTGATAAAATATTTTCTTTAATTCAAAATTATGTCTGAGGGGCAGGCGCCGGAAAATTCTCACTCTTAACCTCACTCTTTTTGTGTCCACATCTTTGATCTCCATGGTCGTGAGACAACAAACCTCGGATGTTACTCCAGACAATGAAGCCTCTTCAATATATTTTGAGGGTACGTGTAATATTTTGATACCTGTATACAATGTGTAAAGATCAAATCAGGGTAATTGGGATATCCATCACCTCAAACATTTATCTTTTCTTTGTACCACATTTTCTGTATCCATTCATCCACTGATGGACACTTAGGTTAATTCCAATATTTCAATTATTTATTTTTAATTTTTGTGGGCACTATATATATACACACTAGGTGTATATATTTATTGGGTACCTAAGATGTTTTGATGCAGGAATGCAATGCATAATAATCACATCATGGAAAATGGGATATCTGTCCTCTCAAGGATTTATCCTTTGTGTTACAAAAAAATCCAATTATATTCTTTAAATTATCTGAAAATGTACAGTTAAATTATTATTAACTATAGTCACCCTGTTGTGCTAGCAAATAGTAGGTCTTATTCACTCTTTCCAACTATTTTTTGTATCCATTCACCATCTTCACTTCCCCAACACCCTCCATTACCCTTCCCGGTCTCCTGTAAGTATTCTTTTACTCTCTATCCCCATGAGTTCAATTGTTTTGATTTGTAGATTCCCACAAATAAGAGAGAATGTATAAAGTTTGTCTTTCAGTGCCTGGCTTGTTTGACTTAACATGATGACCTCCATTCCATTCATGTGGCTGCAAATGACAAGATCTCATTCTTTATGGTTGAATAGTACTCCATTGCTTATATGTACCACGTTTTCTTTCTCCATTCATCTGTTGGACACAGGTTGCTTTCATATCTTGGCTAATATGAAAAGGGCTGCAACAAAAATGGGAATGGAGATATCTCTTTGATATACTAATTTCCTTTATTTTGGATATGTAGCCAGCAGTGGGATTCCTGGATCAAATGGCAGCTCTAGTTTTAGATTTCTGAGGAACATCCAAACTGTTCTCCATAGTGGTTGTACTAATTTAGATTCCCACTAACAGTGTACAAGGGTTCCCCTTTCTCCACTTCCTCACCGGCACTTGTTATTGTCTGTCTTTTGGTGTTTGTTTTGAGACAAAGTCTGGCTCTAGCATTCAGGCCGGAGTGCAGCAGTATAATCTTTGCTCACTGCAACCTCCACCTCTTGGGCTCAAGCCATCCTCCTACCTCAGTCTCCCAAGTAGCTGGGACTATATGCAGACACCACCATGCCTGACTAATTGTTGAATTTTTTTTTTTTTTTTTTTTTTTTGTAGAGGCAGGGCTGCCTAGGCTGGTCTTGAACCTGTAAGCTCAAGTGATCCACCTGCCTTGGCCTCCCAAAGTGCTGGGATCACAGGCATGAGCCACTGTGCCCAGCCTTGTCTGTCTTTTGAATATAAGCCATTTTAACTGGCATGAGATAATGTCTCATTGTAGTTTTGGTTTGTGTATATCTGAGGATCAATGATGTTGAACACTTCTTCATATGCCTGTCTACCATTTGTATGTCTTCTTTTGAGAAATGTCTATTCAAATGTTTTGCCTGTGTTTTGATTGGATTATTAGATTTTTTCCTCTTATATGTGGGTCTTGTACACACATAAAATTAAATACCTAGGAATTAGCCAAAGAAGTGAAAGAGCTCTATAATGGGATTTTTTTTTTATTTCTTCTTCAGATTGTTCACTCTTCACATATAGAAATGCTACTGATTTCTGTATGCTGATTTTGTACCTGGAAACTTTACTGAATTTGTTTATCAGTTCTAACAGTTTTTTGGTGGATTCTTTAGGTTTTTCCAAACATAAGATTGTATCACCTGCAAACAAGTAACAATGATAATTTGACTTCTTTCATTCTAATTTGAATGCCCTTTCTTTCTTTCTTTTCTCTGATTTCTCTAGCTAGGCAAACAAACAGGATCTCTGTCTCTGTTTTGAGCCACATAAAGCTGGGGGTGAAGTGACACACACACCACTGTGGCCACCACCACTAGGACTATGCTGGGTCAGACCTGAAGCCAGAATGGCACTGGGTCTCACCCAAGGCCTACTGTAACCACTCCCTGGCTACTGGCTATGTTTGTTCAAGACCCTGGGTTTCTACAATCAGCAGATGGCAAAGCCAGCCAGTCCTGTGTCTTTTTCTTCAGGGCAGTGAGTTCCCCCAGGCCCTGAGCAGGTCCAGAGGTGCTGTCTGGGAACCAGGAACTAGAGTCAAAAACCTTAGAACTCTACCTGATACTCTATTTGTACTGCTGTTAATCTAGCACACAAATCACAAGACAAAGTCCTTCCCACTCTTCCCTCTCCTTTCTGAAGGCAGAGGAGCCTTGCCCATGGCCGTTGCCACCACAGGCCCATGGGGTGTACTGCCAGACTATGGTTGATGTTCTCTTAAGTCCCATGACTCTTCAGTCAGCTTGTGGTAAATGCTGTCCGGGCTAGGACTTATGCTTCAGAGCAGTGGGCTTCCTTCTGTCCCAAGACAGACCCAGAAATGACATCCAAGAGCCATGTCCTGGAATTGGGGACCTCAAAAGCTCACTTGGTGCTCTACCCCCATGTGGCTGTGCAAGACAAAGTCCCTTTTACTTTACCCTCCACTTTTCTCACATAGAAGAGTGTAACCCCATAGCAACCATAGTTGGAAATGTGCTGAGTCTCACCTAAAGCCAGCAAGTCTCAGAGTTTCACCCAATGCCCTCAACGTAGTACCTGGGTATCATTGCTGGCTATTCAGGGCCCAAAGCCTCTTCAGTTAGCAGGTAATGAATCCTGCCATGACTTGTTTCTTCCCTTTAAGGCAACATGTTCCATTCTGGCCCAGGGTGTGTGTAGAAATGTCATCCATGAGCTTGGGCCTGGAAAGGGGGCTTCACTACTCTTACAGGCACCCTATCCTACTGTAGCAGAGCTGGTATCCAAGATGCAAGACAAAGTCCTTCCCATTTTTACCTTTCCTCTCCTCAAGCAGAAGGAAGGGGCCTCTTTTGGAGCTGTGAGCTGTGCAGCCTGGGGTTAGGGGAGGAGTGATGCCAGCACTCCATTAGCCATCCCTGCTGGTAACTCAGTAAGTACCCCCAGTCCACTGGCTCTGGGCTCAGTTCAGCACTAGGACTTGCATAGAAGTTGCAGTTCTTGTGGCCTAGATTGCCTTTCAAGTTTATTTAGGGCCCCAGAATACCTTCAGCCACGGTAGCGAGGTTTGTGGGAACTCAGGTTTGGACCACTGGGATTGGCAGTTCCCCTCTGGCTAGGGCTGGTTTAATGCTCTCTCTGTGGGCTGGTGTCAGCTGAGTTTGGTCCAGTTTTGCTTTCTGCTGTAACAGGTAGTGTTGAGTTCAGTGCCTCACAATTACTGCACTCTCCCTCTTGCCAGTGCACAGAAATGCTCTCTGCACCATGCCTCTGCTGCCAGGGGATGGGAAGAGGTGGGGTCCACAAGTCAAGACTGTTTTTCCTACCTCTTCAGTGCCTCTTTGAGTGACATGAAGTTAAAAGCAGGTACGGTGAGTGCTCACCTGATCTTTGGTTCTTACTAAGTGCTTTTTTTTCTGTAGATAGTTGTTAAATTGGTGTCCTTGTGGAAGGTACAATTGGCAGAGCTTTCTATTCTGCCATCTTGCTCTACCTCCTGATTCCATATCTTGACTATTGTGAATAGTGTTGCAATAAACACAGGGGTGCAGATATCTCTTCTCTATACTGATTCCCTTTCTTTCTTTGAGGTATAACCAGTAGAGGGATTGCTGGATCATAGGTAGTTTCATTTTGAGGTTTTTGAGGAACCTCCATACTGTTTTGGCATAGTGGCTGTACTAATTTACATTCCCACTAATAATGGGATATGAGTGTTCTTCTTTCTCTTTATCTTTGCCAGCGTTTGTTATATTTTATCTTTTTGATAAAAGCCATTCTAACTGGAGTGAAATATTATCTCATCATGGTTTTGATTTTCATTTCCCTGATGATTAGTGATGTTGAGCATTTTTTATATACCTGTTGGCCATTTGTAGGTCTTCTTTTAAGAAATGGCTATTCAGATATTTTGCCCATTATTTAATTGGGTCATTTGATTTTGCTGTAGAGTTATGTTCCTTACATATTCTGTTTATTAATCCATTGTCAATTGGATAGTTGGCAAATATTTTCTCTCATATCTCTTCACTTTGTTGATTGTTTCCTTTGCTGTGCAGAGGATGTGATGCCATTTCTGCTTTTGTTGTCTGTGCTTTTCAAATCTTACCAATAAAATATTTGCTCAAACCAATATCCTGAAGCATTCCCCAATGTTTTCTTCTAGTATTTTCATAGTTTTGGGTCTTTGATTTAAGTCTTTAATCTATTTTGATTGCTGTAGTTGTTAAAGATTTTTCAGCTAATCTATAGCATTCCATAGTTTAAATTACATAAGTGAGATGTTCATTTATTTTTATTTATTCTGTTTTAGGTTCACCACTTTATAGATTGCTTTTTTCATCACATCATCAAATTTCTCAATTTTTTTTCAAATATTGCCTCTACCTCATTCATATTCCTCTATTTCTAGAACTCCAACTTTTAAAATTAGATTAGAATTTTTTACTCTGTTCTACCTAACTCTTTTCTGTCATATTTCCTCTTTTTCTGATTGTGTTACTTTCTGAATAAATTCTTCAGATCCATCATCTAGTTCACTAATCTTCTCATGACATATTTAATCATCCATCATACCTAACCATTATTTATATTTCAATATTTTTTCCTTTCTGAAATTTTTACTTTGTTCTTTTTAAAGTCTGCTTGTTGCTTGTTAATTTTATAGCACCTTGGTGTATTTTAATCCTCTCTTTTGAAGCCTATATATGTTAAAAATGCTAAGTGTTGCCATTTTATAGTGTGACTGATAAATCTAATATCTAAATGTTTTGCTAGTTTGAATTATTTATTTGTTTACTCTGCTGGTGCTCATTCATATTGCTGTGTTTCCTTGGGTGCTTGTGATTTTGGCAATTAACTTCCATTTACTAGAACTTTCTCTGCAAGTATTCCTTGAGGCCTGGCTTGCTATTGGGTGGCTTGTTTTCATTTCCTTCTTTTAAGTTCCTGAGGATGCTACCAACCTGGTACACTTCTAAACTAAAACAGTATTAATAGCCTCTTTGAACTACCCAGATGATATGAATTCAATCTGCAATGCTTATGTACTGACCTATTAAATTATTAAGAAAACTTTAGTTCCCATAAATCTAATGCTAAGTTTTAATACAACTAGTTATTTTGTAATCTGTTTTCTATTAGCCCTCTTTATTCAGCTCCTTGGAGTTCTATGCCAGGAGAAACACCTATGAGACCCGAGAGAATCACCTATGAGACCCTACCTTGAGTAATTTTGTCTCTCGTTACTATCTGCCACTGCCCTACGAAAATTAAGGTTTAAGTTCATCTGAATGTTGGCAATTATGTTCAGGGGGATAGTTCCACTTGCCTGTCAGAATTATTTCATATTCGTTTTTGACCTCTGAGGGAGGCTGAATCAGAGTGCATCTTCTTCCACAATCCCAGAAACAGTCCTTATTATGTCAATTAGCGTGTGTATATGCACTTGCAAAAACACATATATATACACATGTATGTGTTTGGGTTGTTTCAGTTTTTGTTGCATCGGAATCCATGAGAGTCCTTCAAAAAAATCATCTACATAGCCTGTGAACCCTATCAGCAATACCATATAATGATTTCTGCTTGTCCTGGAAAGGAGATTAAATAAAATTCAGATTCTTGTAACCCTTCCCCAAAGATAGAGACTACGTAATGTCATCAAATTCCCTGTTAAATCTTTTTATTTGTTTGAGGCTTGTGTAGTTGATTGCTTGCTTATTTGTTGCTTGCAACAAATCATACTCTGACATTGCCCAAAAGTAATTGCCCCAGAAATAAAAGGTGTAATTTTTAAATCTGTGTATTAATTTTTATATAAATGCTAACTTTGTGGTCACAATTCCAACAGACTGATGACATTGAATATGATTCTGTCCTTACACCTCGAAATCACAATCTGTGGAACTTGAACTCTTTCAAGGGGACAAGCATAAGGAATATTTCTATGTGTAGGGGACATTGGTCATGTTTTCCGACTTGTCAGTTGCTTTTGAGTGTTCTTGCTTTGTTTGAGTAATTCCAGGCTCTAACAGTGCCAGAGCACCAAGATAAAGGCAGGAAAAATAGAATGGTCCCACTTAAGACTTTGAATTGGAAATGAGTAACTTAGGAGGTAGCAAAAACTCAGCTTCCATTTGGTTGGCTTTATGGAGCAGTATTGGTTTTAAGACCAACTACTAGCTAAAGGAGATATCATGCTGTTGGAAATTGCAGTACAATAAAGAAAAGTTCCAGCAAATAGGATGTTCACTGTGGCATCAATATTATCAGACCACTTTTGCATGGTTTGGTACATTGTTCCTAAATGCTTAGCTTTGGGCCTGGTTCTCTAACCCTTGCCTCAATAATGTGTGCAACTCAATACTCTCCAAATAAACTCCTTTTAATTTAATTAATCAGAGCCAGCTACTGTTGTTCTCATCTGAGAACCAAAACCAAAACGAAAGTCAATGCCAGGAGCACTACAAGGAAAAAAGGGCCCAGTCATTTACAGCCTGGGAAGCCAGTGACTCTTGATAGACACTATAGGCAGGTAGTTGCATGCTAGATCTGGGGTATAGACAATGTGCCAGCTGAGGTTGGAATGTTAGAGCAAATGCTACCAAATTTTCAGAATATTTGTGTGTAGTAGACTTAACTTTCTGTTTTCAGGAAATTGCTACAAGAAAGAGATGAAAACCTTAATGATTAGCAACTGTTCTATTTCTAAGAAAGATATGTTAAGTCTTCCACTGTAATTGTTAATTTGTCAAATCCTTCTTGTAGTCCAGTGTATGCTTTATATATTTTGAACCCATATTATTTCATCCATACAAATTTAGAATTGCTGTATTATCCTGGTGAGTTGAAACTTCTATCATTATGAAATGCCTCTTTAATCTCTAGTAATGCTTTCAGCCTTAAAATCTATGTTGTCTGATACTGGCATGACCATGTCTTTTTCTATCCTTTTACATTCAACCTTCTGTATCTGTGAATTTAAGGTATGTCACTTGGGTAATCAAGGAGGTGGCCTATGGTAGACGTTGCTGGTTGTCTGTCTGTTCCCCATTTGTTTACATGGTTCTCAATTATTTCCAATATATTCAACTAAAATAGTTCACTTTCCTTACCTTACTTGCAGTTGTGGTTGGTCATGAGATGGTTCTGGCCAATAAGCTGCAGGTAGAGATTCATCAGGAGGACACCCTTTCTGAATAACAAGCAAAGTCCATTTTTCCCTTGAGCTTTTCCCTTATTCTCACCTGGAATTTCATACATAATGTTTGGAAACATAGCTGCCACTGTTGTGACCGTAAGGATGAATGACACATGCTAAGCAGGTGAAAGTGGCAAATGGAAAAAGTTAGGCCTTACGTCCTTGTGGAGGCTTGCCTGCCTGACTCTTGACTCAAGTCTTCTCTGCTTGAAACAAATAGGCCTTACTTAAACCAGTGTTTTGGGGAGGGGGTCTCTATTAGCAGCTGAACACATTCTTTTTTTTTTTTTTTTTTTTTTTTTGAGACGGAGTCTCGCTGTCTCCCAGGCTGGAGTGCAGTGGCGCAATCTCGGCTCACTGCAAGCTCCGCCTCCCGGGTTCACGCCATTCTCCTGCCTCAGCCTTCCGAGTAGCCAGGACTACAGGCGCCCACCACTACGCCCGGTTAATTCTTTTCTCTATTTAGTAGAGACGGGCTTTCACAGTGTTAGCCAGGATGGTCTCGATCTCCTGACCTCGTGATCCGCCCGCCTTGGCCTCCCAAAGTGCTGGGATTACAGGCGTGAGCCACCGCACCCGGCCCACATTCTTAAGATACAATTGTAATGTTAGGATTCAGAATCTCCAGGAAAGGGGTATCTGTACACCTAGAAATACCAGGTTCAGTTAGGGAAGTGACTCTGTTCTTCTCTCCTGTGTTTGAAGCCAGAATGATCAGTGTTTATGGGCCTTTGCAGATATATCTTCTTCTCTTATATGTGGCTGTTAATAAAATTTCTAAATAGACAACCCTCTATTCCTAAAAGCATTTTCTAATTTGGAGAGATATATGGTTTTGTGGTTAAGATCACAGTTTCTGGAGTCAGCGATTTTTCATATCCTGTTCATATCCCCACTTTTTGGTTACTGCTTGTGTGATACTGAGCAATCTCTTAATGTTTCTGAGCTTATCTCCACATCTTAAAAATGGGGAGAGTAGTAATGCCCATGTCATATAGTTGTGGCAGGATTAAATGCAGTTCTTCAGAAAAGCATGTAGGAGAGTGTATATTGACTTTTTTTTTCCATCAAGAGTTAAAATTTAAAACTTGGAACTATTTTAGAATTTCTGCATTGGTTGAAAGAAATTTAAACTCCATTCAAACTCTAAAATTCAACAGCTCTGTTAAATATATGAGGGTTGTGTGATGGAGAAAATCAGAACAAAAAGTTTAAAAAAAAATAGAATGGGAGAGGGAGGCTGAGTTTATTCAGATTCATGTACATGTATGTTTCTGTATATTTACTTTAATATAACTTAGCTTCGGAACTACTAAAAACATGATAACTCATAGTCTGAGTGATGTTGGATTTGCCAGTTATGTTCCTTTACAAGAAGATATCTTAAAATAAATAAACATTCCAATATGTTGTGACTCTTAATTTTTTCTCCTAATACTTTTCTTGTTTTCTCCATAACAAAGCTGGAAGCCATCCATAAGTGTTATTTAACATTTACAGAGCAACTAATAAGTGCAAGGCACTGGCATCTATTATACCATAACACATTATTGTCTCTCATTTTGAAAATGAGAAAACTGGGGAACTGAGAGACTAAACACTGCATCCAGATTTACTTGTATGTTAAATAGGGTTATTGGGATTTAGGTTAATCCGTGTAAAATCTCTGATTTTGTCAGTATAATTCAAAACAGAAAACAATTTTGCACAAGTTTAATCATTTTTTAAGACAAAAAATTAGAACATCGTTCCAGGAGTATTAAGGAAATAGGAGTACTTTCATAATTCAAACTTGAAGAGTAGCGTTATTTTTCTTAAAGGAATGACTTTCTTTTCCAGAACAAAGAAACTTAAGGACCCCAGTAGATCAGTGAAGATGGAAATAAATGCAATGTTTTGAGGATTTATGTACCCATGAGCTTACAACCAAATTGAATATGAATATGTATATACATAAAAAATAAATACTACCTATGGAAAACCTATTTTTGATTTAGCAGATTAAAAACAAGCTTTTCCAAAAGAGAGGTAAATTTATTCAATAAGAAAATTCATTAAGCCACTTCTGGCCTTTTATTATCTTCAAATTCTAACAGATTTCCTTCTAACCAGAGACCATTGTTATACAAGAAAATTGTTAGCTGCTATAGTACATTCATATATTACTATATGATATAGTACATTCGTATATTACTATACGATATAGTACATTCGTATATTACTATACGATATAGTACATTCGTATATTACTAACTGAAGTAAAAAAATGTCAGTTTGATACAGCTCTTCTAAGGTTATGAATGTGTATTTTTATTACATTTCTCAAATATGATGCAGCAAACCACAATGGAAACACTTGCATTAAAATGACACTCAGACCAAATGTTCATGCTTGAATCTCTCATAAAATGCCTCTAATGAAGTGGTGAATAGGCATCTATGAACTCTAGTTATTTTAATTTGCTAATTGATATTTTATTACCACCTTAATCTAAAGAGCCCTTGTATAAATTTATATGGAATTAGATAAAATTATAATAAACCTATAGTGTCATTTGAGGCATCTATATTCCAATGCAATCAAGAAAAAAAGTCTCAGAAGAGCCCTCAAAACCCTGAACCAATTAGCCATTTATTTGTTCTCTGGATTTTTTGCTGCCTCTTTCATTTCTATCCTATAGTAGAAGCAGGAAGTTATGTTCATTTTTAGGTATACAAAAATACTGTTATTATTTTAACCTTCTAGAATATTGCAAAGTCTGACATGCTTACTTACCTGTTGACTTTCCCTGGTTTTGTATACATTGAAAGATTTTACTTTAAGTGGAAAAATGTTTTCCATATGAACATCTAGCATCATTTCCCCAGGTGTATTATAAAAACTAAAATTCTAAATATAGAAATAAATGGTACGTAGACCAACAAATATCACCAAATGGCAGCAAGCAACACTTCCCACCTCAATACCTTCAAAGGCTGACCTAAAAAGTTTGTTTAAAGCAGGGTTTCTCAACTTTGGCAATATTGACGTTTTGGGCAGGATAATTCCTTTTTTGTGGGGAGCTATCCTGTAAGTTGTAGAATGTTTAGCAGCATCCCCGGCCTCTACAACCTGGATGCCAGTAGCAACAGTTTCCCACACCCTCCCCCATACTATGTACTAAGCCAACCAGAAACACCACCGGACATTGCAAATATCATCTGCGGGGCAAAATTACCGCTGTTGTAAAGAAGTAGCTCCAGATGAATAAATGTTTATAAAACATATTAGTTGGTTTGGGGTTGTCAAGTTTTAGGTAATCTTTCTATCATTCCATGTTATGTATTTAAGTCTGCTCTAAAAATATTTTAAATCTTTCGAAAAAATACAGTAAACTATGGCATGAATTAGGTAGGGATAATGTTTGTTCTACAGTTTTAACATAGGTGGTAGGAACTCAGCAGTTGTAGGTTGGATTGAGGAATGGATAAATTAAAACAATTCTCATTAAGGGAATGAGATAGGGGTTTGGTCTAAACTCAAGCATGATTAGTCATGACCCAGCTAGCCACTGCAGAACTGAACACTGACAGCCCAGGCAAGGGGTCCAGGCAAGGGCTGGGGAGAATGGCCTCAGCATCAGGTGTGGGCAGGAAATAGTCTGCTAGGCAGAAGAGTGTATTCTTTTTTGTAGAATTATGCACTAGCAGGTTATTCAATGTGTATAACACAGAAATGCTGGAGCCAAGATGACATCCAGAGGTTCAGTAGGTAGGCAGGCAGGCAATTGACATTGTGGAAGTAGGTAAACCTGTAACAGGACCCTAGTCACCATTTTAAGATATGGGTCAAGACTTCAATTCCTGAGAGATGACTGAAACAAAAATGAGTATATCCCATGATAGTGTACTGTTAGGCGGCAGAGATAAAGCCTTAAGCATAGAGATGACTTTAGTATATTTTCCAGAATTGAGGTTCTGGCTGTACTCATAGTCTTCCCTTGTACTGCATGAGTAGATTCATGGCAGTTTGTATGCTTTAGTGGGCAATATTTTAAAGCTTAGATTGCAATTATATTAATACATATATATGTGTTTATATATGCACTCACTAAACTACACATACATGCATGCTCTTGGCTTTAAAATATTCAAACTCTGCCAGGTGCCATGGCTCACACCTGTAATCCCAGAATTTTGGGAGGCCAAGGGAGGAGGAGTTCAAGACAAGCCTGGGCAACATAGTGAGATGCCGATTCTACAAAAAATGAAGGAAAAAAAAAAAGCTAGATGTGGTGGCTTGACACTGTAGTCCCAGCTACTCAGGAGGCTGAGGTGGGAAGATTGCTTGAGACCAGGAGTTCAAGGCTGCAGTGAGCTATGATCACAGCACTGCACTCCAAATTGTGCAACAGAGTGAGACCCTGAGACCCTGTCTCTAAAATAAAAAATAAAAAATAAAAAGTATCCAAACTCTGGAAGATTAATTTGGAATAGAAACACCATTATTCTGAGTAAATGTGATCCCATAATATAACCATATGAAAAATGTAATGAGAGTTCAAGGCTGTTTTCTAACAGAAAGACCTATAACAAAGATCCAAAATCTCAGTTCAAGGGCTTTATAGTGACCACAAACCTTGCTGTCCTAGTACCTCCCTGATAGAAGTGTCATCAAGGTACTCCCAACCAAATCATGAGAAATAATGCAGATTACCAGGGAGGTCGAGGAAGTTCTAGCTATTCCAAATTTTCCCATATATCCCATATAAGTCATCCTGAAGATATCCTCAAGAGAATCTTTGTAAAATTCATTCCTTTGGCTGGGCGTGGTGGTTCATGCCTGTAATCCCAGCACTTTGGGAGGCTGAGGTAGGCAGATCACGAGGTCAGGAGTTTGAGACCAGCCCGGCTGATATAGTGAAACGCTGTCTCTAAAATACAAAAATTAGCCGGGTTTGGTGGTGCGTGCCTGTAGTCCCAGCTACTCAGGAGGCTGAGGCAGGAGAATCGCTTGAAACGTGGAGGTTGCAGTGAGCCAAGATTGCACCACTGCACTCCAGCCTGGGCAACAGAATGAGACTCCATCTCAAAAAGTTTAAAAAAACAACTCATTCCTTTAAGAATTACAGCCCAAGGGCCCATAATCTGGGATTGATTAGCTAGGTTTTTAAAAATTATTTCCAAGAGTCTGTGAGCCTCAAAAGTTGTAATTGTATGCAAAATTATACGTTTTTTAAAACTTTTTTGAAGGCTTTCATCAAATTCTCAGACCTCTGCCGTTCAGAAAAACTTTAGAATCATAAATTCACAGATATTCTAGAATAATGAATTCAACAGCTCTCACCAGACATCTGAAATATCACAGATATTTTAGAATGAAAGGATTAAATATCCATTACCATTTGAATATTGCTGTTAAAAGTAGAATGATATGCAAAACTCTATACATTAAGGTTTACTTTGTTTAGTTGTATCTAGTAGCCCTTAATAAAATATACATCTATGACTGCATAGCCTGGTACACTATGAGACATAGTTGCTTTCATCTGCTTTTAAACTTCACAAATAGTCACCTGAACGAGATCATCTGCAAAACTTAAAGTTTCTCTTCTGGGTTATCTCAAGCTTTATTCATATAATCCATTTTTTTTTACAAGTTTACATTACTTTTTTTTTTGTATCTGCTAAATTTCAGCTAAATATTAACAATTATGGAAGCTAATGTTTCAGAGAATTAATCAGCTATTATTTCAAATTGCAGGCTAAATCACAAATGGAACCCAAGCTAAATCTTGTTATACATAAATATTAGTAGTAGTTAACATTTACTGAGTACTTATTATGTGTCAGCACTAAGATAAGACCTTTACATAAACTATTTTAGCTACCCCAAAAGTCCTGTGATAAGGATATTATTATCCTCACTTTAAACATGAAAGAAACAAAGACTTAGTGAGATTTGGTAATCAGCCAGGAATCAGGATCCCACAATTCATAAGTTTCTTTATGACTCCAAATCCTTAGCATATTTTAAAATATATTTAAATATGTATTAGTATTTATTGCTCCACTTTCGATTTTTCGATTTTTGTCATCAAAACTAATATTGGGTTTGTGGCCCCCTGCTTCTTTCTTTTTTTTTTTTTTTTTTTTTTTTTGAGACGGAGTCTTGCTCTGTTGCCCAGGCTGGAGTGCAGTGGCCTGATCTCGACTCACTGCAAGCTCTGCCTCCTGGGTTCACGCCATTCTCTGGCCTCAGGCTCCCAAGTAGCTGGGACTACAGGTGCCTGCCACCTCACCCAGCTAATTTTTTTGTATTTTTAGTAGAGACAGGGTTTCACCATGTTAGCCAGGATGGTCTCGATCTCCTGACCTCGTGATCTGCCCGCCTCAGCCTCCCAAAGTGCTGGGATTACAGGTGTGAGCCACCGCACCCTGCCTTCTTTCTCATTTTTAATCTTCCTATTCACAACAGAATATATCTTCTTCCTTAAAACAATTTCAACTTTGTGTCTCTCTCTTTTAAAAAAAAAAAAAAACAAAAAAACTTCAGTCTTAGATACAAAATAACATGCAAAAAGGAAACCAGAAACTTGAAAACATGCCAGGTAATACTCCCTTTATGTCACAGTCCCTGTATTATGTATCAACAAAATTTTACACCAGAGTGGTAAAATTCAACTTGATTGCAATCTCACATTCCCTTTCTTTTTTAGGACATTTGCCTCTTGCTCCAATTAACTCTTTTTACTTTCATGATTCCTATACAAGGCCCACACTTTGTACTGTTTAAATCCTAATGCTTTTTATAATCCAGAGAATCCAGTCACTGCTGCAGACCCAGGATAGCCAAAAACTCAGGCCCACCACCTCTGGCTACCACTGGCCTCCTCCTTTTGTCTTAGTGGACCATGAGCCTTGTCATTTTGTAACTGAGCCATGACTCAAAAAGAGGCAGGAAGTATTCTTTTTTTTTTTTTTTTTTTTTTTTTTCTGAGACGGAGTCTCGCTCTGTCTCCTGGGCTGGACTGCAGTGGCAGGATCTTGGCTCACTGCAAGCTCCGCCTCCCAGGTTCATGCCATTCTCCTTCCTCAGCTAGGACTACAGGCGCCCGCCACTGAGCCCGGCTAATTTTTTGTGTTTTTAGTAGAGATGGGGTTTCACCGTGTTAGCCAGGATGGTCTCGATCTCCTGACCTGGTCATCTGCCCGCCTTGGCCTCCCAAAGTGCTGGGATTACAGGCATGAGCCACCGCGCCTGGCCTGAAAGTATTCTAAATACTCCAACAAACAGGACCATTCTGTAGTTCAGTTGTTTTTCAAAAACAACTTTAATAGCGTTTCTGTTAATATAATTTTATGCAGAAAGCTAATATGTATATATAAGAAAAAAGCAAATATCTTATTGAAACTCCAGAAACTTGATGACCCCACTCTTGCCAATCCCTGACCTGTCTGAGGGACTCTTGGTATCTCCTGTAGCTTTCAGTAGCACTGTTGAAAACTGTGTTGAATACTTAGCAGGTATTGACTTTCTTTTTCTGATCTGGTCAGTTCCTCAGCCTTGATTACAAATAAAATCAAACAAAAATGTAGTTTATCTAGCATGCATTTTCCTTCTTGGTAAAACTAAACACGAAAAATGCATACTTATTAAATAGAATTTTTTGAAATGTTAGAAATAAAATATAATGGCTTTTATTAAAATGTTATTAAAGTACTCAATAAAATCAATAAAAGATGTCCAAGTTGTTGCAGGCCGCACAATTGACAGTGAAATAGTGTCTGTCAAAATTGCAGCTTAGTTGTCGAAACACCTGTGCAGGCTCAGCCTCGGGACCTGTGAGAGTGGCTGTAACAGCCACTCAAGTCTCAAGTGAATCAACATTATTTTGTATAGTGCCTTCTTCAAACCTAAATCTTCTGCTTGCTTCTCCCACTTTAAAATAATTATCTCCATTCCCTTATCTTCAAATTGTTTCTCTGCTCACTCTGATTTGATTTCTATTTCTACAATTCTGCAAGGAAATAAAAATAAAAACAACTTCTTCAAATGACCTCTTTGTTGCTAAATCCAAAATCCTTACCTTATTCGCTTTCAGGCATTTCCCTAATGAAGTTCCTTTTTCTCTATTGTAGCAGTGGTCCTCAGTGGTTACTCAGGTTTCTTTATTTCAGTCTCTTTCCCTACTTGCTCCTTCTCTCTTATCCTGAATGGTCATGCTTACCAGGGTTGGGTTCTCAGGCCTCTTCCTTTTTAAACAAATCTGCATGCTTCCCCAGGTAATTTGATTCCGACTTATTGATTTCACCCATTATAAATATAGGTTGATGATTCTCAAATTTCAATTTCTAGCTCCCCCTGAGCTGTAAGTCCATATATCCAAGCATCAACTGGATATCTCCACTGAGCTGTCTCAACAGGTATGTCAAACTCAATGCAAAATTGAACACCTTTCCCTTCTTCAGACTGCCTTCTCTTTGACCTTTACTGATTGAGTAAATGATACCATCATTTACTCAGATATTTGTACCTGAAATTGGAAGTTAGGTTTAACATCTGTCCATGGATTGGTAGCTTCACAAACCTATAGCATAAACACTGTATCGTTATCATCTTTGAGTCTCCACTTGGAACAGTGTGTGCCACTTGTAGGTGTATAATCCATATTAAGCCTTTTCTGAAAGTAGAAGTAGTAACATGTAGTGTTTCTGGCTTCACGTTCTTCAGTGGCTCTCCCCACTCACATCAGGATAAAATTCAAAGTTCTTGCCAAGACTTTGTCATACAGCCCTTGTCTTACTTCTGCTGCCTCCTGCTTATTGCTACACCTCCAAAAGCCACTGGGCTTCAGTAGAATCCAACTACTTATTATTCTCAAAGTATGGTCAGCTCTCAAAATTTCACATCTTCTCCAGCTGGGCGCGGTGGCTCACGTCTGTAACTCCAACGCTTTGGGAGGCCAAGGTGGGCAGATCATTTGAGGTGAGGAGTTCAACACCAGACTGGCCAACATAGTGAAACCCTGTTTTCAATAAAAGTACAAAAATTAGCTGGGCGTGGTGGCGTATGCCTGTAGTCCCAGCTACTCGGGGGGCTGAAGCAGGAGAATCACTTGAACCTGGGAGGTGGAGGTTGCAGTGAGCTGAGATTGTGCCTGCACTCCAGCCTGGGCGACAGAGCAAGACTCCGTCACATCTTCTCAAATGTTTTCTCTTTGAGTTATCCCTCATGTCTTCACCAAAGTCTAGTTATTCCTCAAGACTTAGCTCAGCTATTACATTCTTTAGGAACCTCTGTAGCTTCTATAACATTCTGTGCAAACCTGTGTGAACTCATCACCATGTTATAATTACTTGCTCATTTATCCATCTACCCTACTAGTCTATGAACATAATAAGAATCAGGACTGTCTTTCATCATTGCACCACTCCAGGTAGCTGACACCTGATAGTTGAAGATTACTTGTTGAAGAGAGTAATAAGTTTTGAGAACTTCGTAAAAGAAGCTTTCTTAATTTCCTTTTAAAAAACAATGGTAAAATGTCAGTACCACTAGGGGGCACAGACTAGTAACAGAATTTTCCGGTACACTAGCTTAAAAGAGATGTTTGCCTTCTGTGGCAACCTCTTCACATAGTTTCTAAATATATGGATCTTAAAAAGTTCAACTAACTCTATTATTCCCAGAGAGATATGTTTAAATAGTTGGCTAACAGATAGAGAGCAGTGCTGACATATTAACATGTCAGAAAAAATGAAATCAGGTATGGCCAAATACGATTAACAGGGTTTTATAAATAAAGCTGAGAATAGCATTAAGAAAAAGATCAAAATGTAAATACAATTTCAAGAAATTGATACTATGAGACTTGGGACTATTTTTAAAATTTCAGCACAGAAGAGTGTCTATGCAGGGAAACTCCTACTTCCACAGGAAAAGTGAAGAGAAATATTGAAGCTATTTCTGTGTTTAGAATAAAACCTCAAATCCTCCTCCAAGATAACCAATAGAAACTTTCCAGTACTTTTCATTTGTAACAAAACCCATTAAGATTATTAATACAAAATAATAGGCTAAGTATTTTTTATTCAAAAGCTGATATAGATTAGTAGTTAAAAATCTAGTTTTGGTTCTGTTTTTGCCCTGCCTCAGCTAATTTTTAGTTTAAAAAAAAATTAACTTGTCTACACCTCAGTTTCTGCCCCTATAAATTGGATATGATTGTAGTGCCTACTTATGAAACTATTGTCACAATTAAGTGAAATTTATTTTGTTTTATTTTATTTTATTTTGAGACACAGTCTCACCCTCTGTTGCCCAGGCTAGAGTGCAGTGGCACCATCTTGGCTCACTACAACCTCCACTTCCCAGGTTCAAGCGATTCTCATGCCTCAGCCTCCTGAGTAGCTGGGATTACAGGCACCTGCCACCATGCCCAGCTAATTTTTCTATTTTTTAGTAGAGACGGGGTTTCACTGTGTTGGCCAGGATGGTCTTGAACTCCTGATCTCAAGTGATCCACCCACTTTGGCCTCCCAAAGTGCTGGGATTACAGGCATGAGCTACCACATCCGGCCTGAAATAATTACTGTAAACCACAGTGCCTAACACATACAAAACACATGATAAGTATTTGCTATTATTTTGCTTCAACAATTGTGATCAGCACAATATTTCAGTAATTCCTAGAAACAGTAATTTTGTTAGCTGCTGGAATAAAAATGGTGAGAACTTGTTGAGCCCTTTCCGCACTATTTCTCTACCAGCCTCTCCTTACAGCCACACTCATTCACACCCACCTCCTTTCTGCATCCCTGGGGCAGAGGTTGTTCTGAAGAACACTGTCCCATTTGCCATGTGAGGTAGGCCTGGGACTCCTACTGTGTTATGACTCTCATGCAGTCTGGTGAGGCTCATATGATCTCTGACGTTGTCCTGGGTTCTCTGATTAATTTCTGCTTGTTGAAGAAAGAGCGTGAGAAGTTTGTATCATAACTCTTAGAGATAAGAATTGTTGATGACTGATCAAAACAAATGGTATATTATGCTGATACATTTAAAATAATAGCAGGAGATAAATATGTTTACTGAACCAATGGTTATGATATCTATGAAATGCAATATAGCTGTTATGCTTATTGGTTTGGTTATGGCCTGATTGGAAGGAAATAAAAGCTAAGGAGAAGGGTGGTAGCTTAAAGGGACTCCTATTCAGGAGTCTGGAGACTTCAGTTCTACCCCTAAGCTTACAAGGCAAATTGCTGAGCCCTGTGCACATCATTAAACAGCAGCCAATCATGAATTTCCATTTCTCCATTAGTGCATTTTCTTTTTGTTGATTATTTTCTACTTTTTAAGTTTTATATTTGCCCCTTCATTATTTTCCCAAGCAGACTCATGTCACATGCATTTCCTTTTTATTATAGGGTTTAAGAATTCTATTTATCATTCCCTGTCTGATTAGCCCAGGAATTTCACAATGGATCAATATGCACCCATATCACTAAAGAGTGGCTACTAAAGAGCGTATCTTGTAGTAGGAGATAGGCGCAAATGAGAAAATGGGTAGGCATGAAGAAGAAGGAAAGTGGGAGAGTGAGTCATTGATGCTTTGTGAAACTCGTCCAGATCCAGTTATTCTGCCCCTCTTATGAGCATTGAAAGTCTTTTTTTTGTGCATCTCTAGCTCATGTATAGAATTTCAAATATTATTATTTCAGAGTACCTTTCAGAAGAATAATACAATGGGATAGAAAACACACTGAGGCCAGGAGCAGTGGCTCACGCCTGTAATCCCAGCACTTTGAGAGGCTGAGGTGGAAGAATTGCTTGAGTTCAGGAGTTGGAGACCAGCCTGGGCAAAACAGCAAGACCCCATCTCCAAAAAAGAAAAAGAAACACACTAAAATAAAATATCTCTAGAAACTATGTTCAGTTGAAACCATATCCATGTAGACTTCAGAAAATGTTTCCAAGGTCATAAATTTCAGGCAAGCATCTTAAGAGAATGAATGAGTAAAAGCAAACACATCTCAAAAGATGGGGAGGGCCAATCAACTCACATACTTTACACTAGCAGTTAACATTTGCCTTTACCTCTTCATAATGCTCTAATGTAATTATAATGCATAGAATATACACTGTTTTACTCACTGCTCAGTATGCCTATCCTCTTTTCTAAATTTGAATTTTAATATTTCAGCAAAACGAACTAATAAAAGGCAGTTTCCTAGCAACGTCTGTATTCAAAGGAACAACAACAAAGCTTAATCGCAAACACCTTATTTTCTCCAAAGTTAATTCCCGTCTTTTGAGGGAAGTTAGCAGGTAGCAAATAAAGCAAGGTGCAAACAGAGGCTCTTGTAGGAGAGGTTGGCACAGACTCACTTGGCTTTTTCTTTCTGGGCATTGAAAGGTAGGAAGGTTAGAACTTCAGCTAAGCCAGTCTTTCCCAATGGTTGCAGTCAGAGATTGATACAAAACCCCAGAACTGTTTGCTATTTTATCCATTCTCTGCTGGAGATGCAGATTGATTGGTGGAAGGAACAGTGAACTAGGAAGCCAGGTTGTTGGATTCCTAGTAACTCTCACACTACCCGCGAAAACTTGAGCAGGCCCTCTTTTTCTGGGCTGTGTATCCAAATGGCGGTTACTCTAGAAGACATAAGTGAAAGGTCCTTCTCAGCAGCTCAAAACGGCTACCAGTAACCGGGTCTTTTTTATTTTTTAATTAAGCTTAAATGGCATTTGCTTAATCAATAATACAGTTTCACTAGAACTAATGCTGCATCCCCAGAAAAGCATCACTTAGAAATTAAACAGCTGGCTGTCTTCCAGGGAAACGTGTCCCTGTGTCCTGCCTTCCTGAGACTTCTTGCCTGCACGCGGGGCCCAGCCGCGCCAGAGAGATGGAAGTGACTTTACCTACCCAGCGAAAGTAGCAGTCTGCAACAAGGAAAACAGCTAAGTTAAGAGGAAGTGGTTTTCATTTTACTGCTTGCAGAAAGGCCAAGATTTTGACGTTTAAAGCGGGCACACGAGTCATTTTAAGTCTCTAGATCTTTCACCCTGAAAGTCCCTGCACAGAAACTCCATAGGGAGTCTAAATATAGCAACAGCACCCCCTCCCGCCCCCTCCGCCTTCAGTCAGGGTCCCGCGCAGCTCTAGGATTGGAGAGCTTACTCCAGGGCGCTCTCTGCATCTGCCTCGAATAGCACCGCACGGAGCAACCTCTCTCGCACCTCCACAGTGCGTGGGTGTGAAGTGTATTAGGGGAAAGCTAGAGAGTGACTCTGGGTGATGGTGCTCGGCTCACAGTCACATGGCGTCGCCGCCAGCTGCACAGAGCTCCCAGCTAGCTTCTGCTGCCCAGAGGCTTGGGGGGAAGGAGGGAGGGAAGCAGGCTCCTGCTGGTGACCAGGAGCAGGCGAGAGGGCTTCACACAAATAATAGTGATAATAAAGAGTAAAAGCAAAGCATTTAAATCGAGCTATTGCAGAAGACAGAAATCAGCTGCCGCGGGCGTGGGTGTGTGTACAGGGTGGGGGAGAATTGGGAAAGTATTTATCTCGGAGGGGCGGAGACAGCTGCAAGAAGACTTTTGTCTTAGCATTGTTTTAGCCTTAGGAAAGGAAAAGGCCCGAAGGAATCCACCTTGCAACTATCTGCTATGTCTTTGTGGTGGAAGCTTAGTTTTGCCTTCAATTTAATTTGATGATTTTCTTTCATATTTGGGGAAGAGCCACTCTGTTGGAAGAAGTCCCCGAGCCTGGCACCCTTCAGTTTTCCCTATGCTGAATGTGAGATTTAAACTGCCTTTTCTTTGTAATACACTGTTTCTGAAGGCCAGAGGCTGCGGCCAGTGGCACCGTGGCCTCTCTCTCCGCCAAGGGCGCATAGGCTTTGGGCCACCCGGGTGCCAGGGGTGGTGGAAGACCCAGTCAGTTGTTCCTTGCAACAGGTCTCTAAGCTTGTATGTTACAACATAAGGTGGGTGGGGTCGGAACCCCGAAAAGCCGGCGTCCTGGACACCCCATCCTCCAGGTGTTCTTTCCCAGACACTGGGTCCTCGCCGCCGCTGCTGAACTTCTCAATCATATGACTTTCTCGGACTTAAATGGAAATTTCTTGACGGAGGGAACTGGGTTTGTTCTCCCAGGCTTCGCGCTGCAGTCAGGCAGAGCCCCGGGGCAGCTCGCTCACCGCGGAGGAGCCACTTTGGAGTTTTACGCCCTTTCCACACCCCACCCATGGACTGGAAAGGATGTTCAGTTACTCGCGAGCTTGTCTGATACTGGGATGGAAAGTCACAGTCCGCAGGCTGGAGTGAGGCGCGGGAAGATGCCTGGTCCTTGCCTCGCGGACTTGGCAGCCGCGTCCTGCGGGTCTGTCCACTGAACTGCTGAGGACTCGCCCGTGTGCGGGGACCCGAGTGCCACTTCCCGGAGCGTTACCTTGCGCTCCAGCCTCCAGGCTAGATAATACCTGGAAGGCAGGGCAGGGCTGTTCCCGCTCTCACCCCTTGCGGAAGGATGGCAGGATCCGGCGCAGCGACGTAGCAGCGGGAGGGCACAGCGACCTGCATCTCCAGTTTCTCCTCAGGACACAAGGCTGACTTCACCTTCCGGACAGCTGCAAAGCCCCTGCCAGAACCAAACCGAACTCGCGCCTCGGAGAGGGGCTTCTGGGGCCGTTTCGCTGCAGGGCGTGGGGAGTGGAGAGAGGGAAGGGGAAGCCTGGGGCTGGGTGTGCGCGCGTGGGAGCGCGCCTCGGAGCGCCCCGCACTCCCCCACTCTATCCCCGGGGGCAGTTTGGGAAGGAGGGAGTGGTAGTCGCGGGAATGAGGGAGCAAGAGAAACCCTCTCAAAGTGACGCCCCAAACAGGTCCGGATTTAGAATTCGAAGCTAAAGGCTGTTAGAAATTGGGACTCCTCGGCCTCCTCTGCAGCCCCTCCTTTCCCGCCCCGAAGCCCGGGCGGTTTGCTGGCTGCCTGCTTCCCCGCCCCCGGCTCAGAGGTCTCTGGCTGGCGGGCGCCCCGTCGGCCGCCGGCTTCCTCCTTGAAACCCGCCGGCGCACATGAGGCCGCTGCCCCCGCCGCAGGCGCTGGCGGCCCCCTCGCGGTGCCCGTGGTGATGCCATGCCCCGCCACCACGCGGGAGGAGAGGAGGGCGGCGCCGCCGGGCTCTGGGTGAAGAGCGGCGCAGCGGCGGCGGCGGCGGGCGGGGGGCGCTTGGGCAGCGGCATGAAGGATGTGGAGTCCGGCCGGGGCAGGGTGCTGCTGAACTCGGCAGCCGCCAGGGGCGACGGCCTGCTACTGCTGGGCACCCGCGCGGCCACGCTCGGTGGCGGCGGCGGTGGCCTGAGGGAGAGCCGCCGGGGCAAGCAGGGGGCCCGGATGAGCCTGCTGGGGAAGCCGCTCTCTTACACGAGTAGCCAGAGCTGCCGGCGCAACGTCAAGTACCGGCGGGTGCAGAACTACCTGTACAACGTGCTGGAGAGACCCCGCGGCTGGGCGTTCATCTACCACGCTTTCGTGTGAGTACCCGCGCCCCCTGCTATGCCCGCTGCAGGGGACCACTGTCCCTGGCCCCCTGGGGCGTGCTCCGCGCTCGCGCCCTTGGGCCCCCGCGCGCGTGCACACGTGGTGGCTTTTATTTCTTCGCACGTGTTCGTGGTCTTCCTTCTGGAGCCTCTCCCCTCCCCCAGCCCCACTTCTCTCATCTCTACAGCTTGAACCTTTTCCCCGAGGACACCCAATGAACTGCCCGGTAGCTTCAGGCTCCCGGGGCGAGAGCCAGGCAGACGCGGGACTTAGGCTGCGCGGATAATTGGGAGCAATTAGGTCCCAAGATACGTAAACTTCAACCGAACGGGGCGCCCGGGAGCTAGGGAATGCAAAGGGAGGACAGGCGCCCGTGTGAGGCTTGAGAGTATACTGGAGAGGTTAGGAGGTGATGGCGGGGTAGGACGGGGAGAAGTGAGGGGGCATCGAGGGCTAGGTCCTCAGTCCTAGGGGCGGAGTAGGGGAAGCTGCTACTTGGAGAGAGCTGCTAGGTTTTAAGCGCGCCCGGAAACACGCCTCGCCACCACCCAGCCACCACCAACGGAAAATCTGTCAGTGCATGTAGCCCTTCCTGCCACGGAGAAGGTGGCCAAGGTCTAGAGGAGGCCAGCAGGCCAGGCGAAGCAACGCTCCCGCGCTGCAGGGGGCGGGGAGGCAGCGGGGAACCTGGGGCGCAGGAACGCGGGCGGAGGTGCGATAGCAGAAGCGCAAATGGGTCGCCTCTGACAGAGATCGGGCAGTGGGTTAAGTCCCCGTTTGTGGCGCGGAGTCAAAGAGTGTGTGTGTGTGTGTGTGTGTGTGTGTGTGTGTGTAGTAAGCCTTCTCCATCTAGCAGAGAATGCTTAATGAGAAAATGATTGGAAGCAAATGTTTATTTTTCCCTTAGGCATTTAAAACCTTTCAGTGGCTTTAAAGTTTACTACTGTTTTTCCCACAAAGTCCATTCATTCAGTCTCCTATTAGAGTTACGTTTATCTGGGCATTTTAAGGTTGTTTTTATAATGTTACCTCGTGTCTAATTCTTTTTTTCTTCCTCTTCTCCTTTTGCTTCCTCTTTTTTTAGTATTATTATTTCTGCTTCTTTTTTGTTAAGATGAAATATAAAGACATCAACCTTAGAAGACCAGTAGAGAAAGTTGCAGATACTCGCTGATACATTCCTTGTTTCCTAGTAAAATAAGTTTTGAGCACACGGACTAGGTTTCTTTTAGAAATAAGTTATGTCATCCATACATAGCTCTCTCCTGGGATGCAGAATTAGCATCAACACCAGAAACGTGTTTTGAAATAACATGGAAGAAGGGCTGGTTTTGTAACTAGGTGAACCTGGAATTCAACCACATAGGAGTCAGGAAATTGGTGGAGTCTACAATCTGTGGGGCTCTGGTGTCTGGAAAATTTTACAGTCCCAGATTGACGTGAACATGTAGCATTAGGCAGAATATTCCAGCCAACTTTCCGTTTTACAATGCACACAAGGAGAACGGTTGTGTTGCATCATCATTACATCAAAAAGTATAACTTTTATGTAAAATTCACATTTATTTAAATGTGGTTAGGATAATGATAGAGAAATGCAACTGACACTTTTCTCGTTAATCTCCTCTGACCTGATATGTAATTAAACATATTACTTAATAAGCCTGGTAAATTATTTTGACCTGTCAGAATATACTAAAATAATTTAGCAATTATAATGCTCAATTTGGTAGCAAATATATATACTGTATAGGTTATGATTTTTTCTTTACAACAGTATGCTCAAAACATTTCTAGCCTTTCTTTTTTTTATATTATGCATTGTATATTCAGAGAGAGTTAAAGAAAGCCTTGGTTGGTGCACATACTTTGCATCTCCTAACTTGTTCTTGAACATGAATGAGAACTTGCAACACAACATTTTCTTTTCCATGTGTTGGTGTTAACAGGTTTGTATGGGCTTACAGAATTTTAAAACATTAATAAATGATTTTTCCAAAGGTTCAAGGTTGGATACTTCTCTGTCTACCAGGCTTTATCAGTCTAGCAGTATCTTTAGTAGTAGACAGGAAATAAATTGTGTACTTAATAGATGTAGCAAATGTGAAGTTTTGATTATACATTTTAGAGTCTGAAACTGCAATGCCTCAGCAATTAGATAGGGGTGCTATATCCACATTAGCACAAAGAGGGAATGGATAGTATCATCTTTTGGGAGGATTGTGCACAACTAAGCAGACCCTGAGGAAAGAGGCCATCTTTGGCAGTTGCTGCTTGTGATTTTAAATGAGCTTTAGAATAGCCAGACTTTACACATTACATTCATTTATCGAAGTTGCTTTATGCTGTAAGTTTAACTAGACCCCAATAAAATAATTTCGAGAGAGGTGTAACTAACTAATTCCCTGCCAGCTTGGGAATCCCCAAATCTTATTTTAATAACAGTATTTGTAGCATATTAAGGTTCTTGCCAAGAACAAGTGCACCGTGATTAATGAGGTACTTCAGGGGTGAATTTACTTGGTCAACCAGTGTTTTCACTGCCAAGAAACAAGAAAAGCATGTTTAAAGTTATGCTTGAGGTAAATATAAATTTCTATTATTTATGCAAAAATAATTATTATAATGGTATTTTAGGGTTATAAAATGTCTTTTCAAGAGTACATATCCTAGCCTATTGATAGGATGGCTGGACAGAGCAAGGGATGACCTACTTCAAATATTTTCCCTTAAACTTTATAAATTAGTGGAGATTAGGAGATCCTTGCCCTTACTATTCTTTAGGATTTACCTGACAGCCATATTTCCTATCTTCAACTTTTCTTCATTTTATTAGTGTGCTATTCAAACATGAGGTGGCTCATTTCCCTGAATGTTGTTTGTCCCTTTTTAATTCCTCCTTGTTTAAGGAAAATTTTGAAGAATAATGAGGGTAGTAGGGGGACACAGGATGAGGCTTCATATATAAATTTGCGTTGATGCAGCAAATGTGGTTCTGAGAAGTTACATGGGAAACGGTGTTGCAGATACATGTAATTGATCACTTTGCCTAATGTATCTTTGCCTGACTTAATGCTATGGATGTGAATTATAGATATTAAACAAGGAGACAAGAAGAAGTCACCCAAGCTAGGAGCTCTGAAGTCATCCTTTTTCTCATACTTACTCCTTCTGGTCAGGCAAAAGGTCATTAACTATTGTTTGTTTACTTTATAGGTATTTTTCAAATACATTCCCTTTTCTTCTTTACCACTTCTATTCCATTCTGTTTCTTACCTCTCCATTAGATGATTTGTAATATTCTCCTGCCTGATCATCTGGTTTCTGTTCTCAGCCTTCTCTCTGCTCTAACATCATAGTATTGTTCGTAAAATGCAAATCTTATCATATCATCCCCTTGCCTAAAATATTTCCATGACTCTTATCATCTACTCCTTCATCTATGTATCCATCTACAATTATTAGAGTGTGTAATATGTGCTAATTCCCAAATTAACAAGGCAAAGGCCTCCACTCTGGAGGAAGGAAAAGACGCCAGCAAGGGACTACTACAAGCCTGTGAACAAGTGTGAAACAATGTTATTGGTGTGCTTAGAGAGAGAGGTTACAAAGTGACATGAGAAAAGAAAAAGAAGTGAAGCCCGGGCAGAAAAGTCAGCACAGGCTTCAAAGGGGAAGTGAGGTGTAAGCTGAGTTTCCACAAATGAGTAGTTAATTTTCAGGTGGGCATAGCAGGAGGGAATGAACAATCTTGACAGAGAAAACAGCTTGAGTAAAGATATGGAGTTGTGAATCAGCACAGTAATTCTAGGTACTGTTAAGTATTTTCAGGGTGAGGAAAGCCACAAGAAAGGGTGGTAGAGCAAAAGGCAAATCACCAATCTGTTGGATAGATTCTGATGCTGACCATAGAATCTTGTATTTATCCTGTAGGCAGTAGTGGTCATTGAATGGTGATAATCAGGGGAATGATATAATCAGATATAAATTTTGGAAAGATCTGCCTTTCATTAGTTCAGCAAATAAATTGGAGTGCAAAATGGAGTCAATATGGCCTATAAGGAGATGATACCAATTGTGAGAATTTTCCATTCATTGTTGCATTCATTTATTCATAAACTTATTCTGTGAAATGTCTGTTGACTATCGACTATATGCTGTGGATCATACTAGAAAGGTGAGAGATGATTGCCTAAGGAACTAAGGCAGTAACTGTGGAGATGAGAAGGAGGAGTTTAACCAAAGAAATGTTAAGGAGATAAAATTTGCAGATTGTTTTCACCAGTCTGACATGTGGTATGAGGAAGATGATTCTGACTTGGTTGATTTGAGGAATGGAAGTGCCATTCACTAATATATGGGACAAAGAGTGAAGGGCACATATTCTGGTGAATATAATGGGTTCGGATTTGAACATGTTGGGCTTTTTGAGTCATTCAGGTGGAGATTTTAAGTGGTGGGAACATAGCAGTGAACAAGGCACAGTCTATTTCCAACCACGTTAGATCAGCAACCAGAACTGTTTCTGGCACATAGATAACACTCAATAAAATATTTTTGAATGAATGGAATCATTTACAAATCTGGAGTTTAATCTAAATATGTAACCAGATATTTAGCTTTGAAAGCCTCTGTCAGTTTTGTGGTAATTAAAGCAATAAGTAGAAAAAATGAGATAGTCCAAAGAATATATAGAGTGAGTGAGGGCATAGTGGAGGCTAGAGACTGGGGAACACCAACACCAAGCAGTGGATGAAAAAGTAAGAGCCAATGGAAGAACCTGGGAAAAGCTTTACAGCAACCCAAAGGCCGAGGGAAAGCCTGGGAGATCTTATTTTCATGAAAGCAAAGGAAGATGCATACGGAAAAAAGGTTATGGCCAGCAGTTTCCAATGCTGCAGAAAGGACTAGAAAAGTTAGGTAAGATTTCATTGGATTTCTTATGAAGGAGGCCACTGGTGGCCTTTGCTGCTGCAGCTTCAGTGGAGTGCTAAGAGTCATAAATATGATTCAAGTGGACTGAGGAGTGGTTAAGACTTGGGAAAATGGACCCAGTAGTGTAGGTTAGACTCCAGATTCCTTGGAAGAGTTCACACAAGACCCTCAGGGCATAGACTACTATATAGCTACTCCCCTCTAATATGCACTCTAAGCCCCACCCTTACTGCACTGCTCCACCCTGTGTCTCACCACCATGTGTTTGCTCATGCTGTTCTCTTGGCTTCTCCCCACATCTTGCACCCTTGCTATTAAACTCCTAATGTTTCTTCAAAGTACAGTTCAAAGATCACTTCCTCTTGGGCATATTTCCAAACAGTTCCCTTCCCTCTGCCAGGATGAGTTAGGTGCCCCTTCTTTCAGGTTCCATGGCACTCTACCAATGTCATTATAATGGTGCTTCCCCCATTGTACTGTCATCGTGGGCTACTTGGTCTGTCTCTCCCACATGACAGCAAGCTTCCATACAGTGAAATTTCTACTTATTTCTAAATATTAAGTGCCTAACAAGGTGCCTTGTGTCTAGTAGACCCTCCATAAATGCATGCTTAACTGAGTAAGTAAATAATTTTTCTTATAAGCCTTCCACAGAGGAGCTTCAGGGTGAGCCGAAGCTGAAAGAACTACCAAGTCTTTTCAGTTTTCTTAGACGTAAGATACTGACGATTCATTTAAAAGAAAAAAGATATGGGACTAGAAGTAGGAGATTAGTGCTTTGCTTGTAGCTTTGCCACTAATTAATTCTGTAAGTCATTTCACACATCTGGGTCTCCAAATCTTCATCTGTGATATGGGCACAATCGTGTCTGTGATCCGAGATGGTGGAGGATACTGTAGAGAGTCTAAAATGCTATCATTAAAGAGAAAGAGTATTTGGAATAAGAAGCAATCTGATCCTTTTATCATTTCCTTTCCTCTTCTCTGAGCTTGAGGGTTGCCTCTTAACTAGTTGCTTTAACTTAATTCCTAAATCCCCAAGGTCTCTGTGCTACATAGTAGCCAAAGTTATCTTTCTTTCTTTCTTTTTGTTAGTTTGAGATGGAGCCTCACTCCGTTGCCCAGGCTGGAGTGCAGTGGTGTGATCTCAGCTCACTCCAACCTCAGCTTCCCAAGTTCAAGCGATTTTGCTGCCTCAGCCTCCTGAGTAGCTGGGATTACAGACGTGCGCCACCATACCTGGCTAATTGTTTTTGTATTTTTAGTAGAGATGGGGTTTCGCTATGTTGGCCAGGCTGGTCTCATTCTCCTGACCTCAAGTGGTCTGCCCACCTCAGCCTCCCAAAGTGCTGGGATTACAGGCATGAGCCACCACACCTGGCCCAAAGTGATCTTCCTAAAGACTTAACAGAACACATCACTCCTCCTCTGCTTGGAGGAGGATCTGTTTATTGCTTGTCTCTCCCCTCAACCCCAATTCTTTAAAGGCAGGGGTTTCTGTCTTATTATTATATCACCAGCACCCAGAACACTGCCTGTCACATAAAAGATGCTCCATGCATACATACTGATTCATTTACTGACACCCCAGATCTCCAAAATACACTATTAGTTCCCTTGTGGCAGATGGAATTTTACTCTGTTGGCCATTCTATGTGTCAGACTCAATTAGACCTAATGAATTACTTTACTACCTACATATATATTCTATTCTGAATTAAGTTTATGTCTGTAGAGACTGATGTTTACATATTCTTTTTGCTCCTGCATTCCTTTAAAAAATCACTGATTTCTCTTAAGTCTACAGAGGCCTTGTAGAAGTTATACTGCTTTATACTGTGCTGATATATAAAATGTTTCATACTCTTCTAATCAGTCTTTAGAAATCTAAACAATGCTATTGTACTTGAAGACCATATTACAATTAGAAATGTTGAAAAGTGTTACAATATTAGTACTGGGAATATGATAGCCTAAAAGGAAAGAAATGAAAAGGGTATTTCAAAATGAAACGAAGGACTGATACAAAAAAACACTATAAACAAGAAAGATAGCCAGCAGCCTTCTGAAAATTGCTTGCAAAGAAGTAGCGCCAGTTTTAATTTTTAATTGCAAATGGCTATTTTGGCAGATGAAAATGCCAGCAGAGCATGTTTTATCCTAGCCCAATGGTGTGAAACTACTTGAAGCCCAATTGTTGAACAGTCACAGCTCATAGTTATCTTTAATATGTATGTGTTTTCATTTTAATTTCCTTTTTCTTCAGCCATTTATGAGTGCGTTATTTGAAGTTTTATTTGGTTGCAACCTGGGAGAAAGATTGGCCACACATCTGCACTTTTTTTCATAATTAAAGAAATTCTTTGATGGTCTCAGAGTTTCAGGTGATCTTTTAATCCTTTGCAATCAGTGTGTCTGAAGAGTGAGCTTCCCAAATGTTATTAAAGTCATCAATTTCTAAACTTAAAAATAGCTTGAAGTTTTTCATCATATACATTTGTGTATTGTGCATATATATTTCATACTCATACAAATACACATGCAACATAAGCACATACATACTGTTATCTTTTAGCAGAGAATTTGTGTTAGTGTAAATATTTCTATTTCCCTTTGTTTTGATCCTCTAAAAGTAAAAAACACTTGAATAAAATGCAATTTAGAAATAAAAAGAACATTAAATTTACTCTTGATAATATAGAGCTTATCTCTTAATTTGAAAGATAATTAAATTTTTACATGATGAAGAGATATACACCTTTTACAAACTCAGTCATAGTGGTCATTGTTCTCATTTATTGTACCTGTGAGGTAATTCTAGAATCCCTATTCCTTCTTCAGTCAGTGGCTGGATAATCTAATTATAATGTTATAATCCATCATTTCTCTTTTTGAACAGTCAATTTAGTTTAACATTTGCTTAACAGCCATTATGTATGCCAGGTAATGTGCTAGATGCTGGTGGTTCAAAGAAAGGAACGATGTGGACCTGACCTCAAAGAAATCCATTGGAGAATATGACAGATTTAGATTTAATGATCAACTTTACTTTTCCTATACAGGTACCAGTTTCTTAATCTATAAAATATCAGTACCAGTTTCTTAATCTATAAAATAGAAATAAAATATTACTTCAAGGTGTTATATGTATAGTATATGTGTACATAATGTTTAATATATACATATTAACAGTTAGCATGGTGGCTCTCGCTGAAACTAGAGGGAAAAATAGAGACAATGTGCTGGAAGGCTGTATTTATATGATAAAGGTCTAGGATTTTATCCTATATGTGATGGGCAATCTTTGAGGAAGATAGGATTTAGGCAAATAATAATGTCATTGGATTTCCATTTTAGATTGGTGATTCTACTAGCTCTATCAGTGATGGCTTGAGGGAGACAAAACTGGAGGTAGAGGATAAATTTTAAAACTGTTGTTCCAACTTAAGCAAGAGATAATTAGGACTTAGACTGGGGCAGTGGTAGGAAGGATGGGGGAAAGGTGTGACAATAGAGTTGAAATGTATTAGTGAATGATTGAATGTGGAAGATTAAGAGATACAGATTTGTTATTTCCAGATTATTGGATTGGGTGCTTGGGTAAATAGTGGTGCTATTAACTGAAATCAATAGAGGTGGAACAACAGGTTGGCGAATTGCAGGGGTGATAAAATGAGTTTAGCTTTGGAAATGCTGAGCTTTTGGTGCCTGTGGGAATTCCAACTATAAATGTACAGCAGCTCTTGGATGATGATTTAAAAGACATAAAATACAGACAGGAGTTATAATCACGAGGAAGGCAAATAAAGATAAAGGGTAGGAGGTCAAGGATGGAAATCTGGAGAATACCAACATTTAATTGATAAGCAAAGGAAACAAGGAATGAAATGGAGTAGACAGGAGGCTATAAGGAAACACTAGACAAAAAGATGGTCAGGGTTGTGGAAACAAAGGGTATTGAGAGAGTTTCAAAAAAAAATAAAAGTAACCAATTCTGAAATGTAGAGAGTGGTTTAGTAAGATAAAGATCCATCAGAAATTACCATTGGATCTGGCAATGTGGAATTCTTCAGTGATGTTATAAACTCATCAGTGTTAACCTTCAGTGAAGCAGTGAGGGCAGAGGCAGATTGCTGTTAGCTGAGAAATGAATCAGAAGTGAGGAGAGGAAACAGCATATTTAGGCCATATGTTCACTTAGTTTGGCAAGAATAAAAGGGAGATTGGACACTAGCTACAAGGAAATACAAGGCTAAAAGGAAAATCAAGAGAGAATAAAGTTATAGAGAAGAAGTTTTTTTATCACAAATAATAGTCATTTTAATGATTATGTGCTGGACATTGTTCTAAATTCTTTATGCACATTAATTCTTTTATTCCTCCGAATAACCCTAATAAGTAATATTAGTGTTATCATCTTCCTTTCAGCAAACCAGAATACCAAAGTAGGGGGAGGTTTAGTAACCTGTCCAAAGTCAGCTTCTGAGTTAATGGCAGAACAGGGCTTTGAACCAAGGCAGGTTGGCTGAGAGCCACACATGCTTAGCCACTATATTTTATTTCCTTTACTTTGCCTGTTAGAGTTTTAGATTTTTTCTTTCTTTCTTTCTTTTTTTTTTTTTTTTTGAGACGGAGTCTCACTCTATTGCCCAGGCTGGAGTTCGGTGGCGCGATCCCCGCTCACTGCAAGCTCCGCCTCCTGGGTTCACACCATTCTCCCGCCTCAGCCTCCCAAGTAGCAGGGACTACAGGCGCCCGCGACCACCCCTGGCTAATTTTGTTTTTGTATTTTTAGTAGAGACGGGGTTTCACCGTGTTAGCCAGGATGGTCTCCATCTCCTGACCTCGTGATCCGCCCGCCTCAGCCTCCCAAAGTGCTGGGATTACAGGCGTGAGCCACCGCGCCTGGCCAGTTTTTTTTTCTTTTTTTAAAAAATCAACTTTTATTTTAGAGACGGGGGTACTTGTGCAGGTTTGTTACATGGGTATATTGCATCCAGGTAGTGAGCATAGTACCCAATTGTTAGTTTTTCAACCCATGGCTCTTCTCTTCCTCCCGCTTCTAGTAGTCCCAAGTGTATATTGTTCCCATGTTTACATCTTTATGTGCTTAGTATTTATCTTCACACTTCTAAGTGAGAATATGTGGTACTTGGTTTTCTTTTCTTACATTAATTCACTTAGGATTATCGCTTCCAGCTACATCCATGTTGCGGCAAAGGACATGATTTCATTCTTTTTTATGGCTGCATAGAATTCTATGGTGTATATGTACCATTTTTTTTTTTTATCCAAACCACCATTGATGGGCACCTAGGTTGATTCCATGTCCTTGCTATTGTGAGTAGCATGGCAATGAACATATGAGTGTGTGTGTCTTTTTGGTATGATGATCTATTTCCTTTGGGTATATACCCAGTAATGGGATTGCTGGGTGAAATGGTAGTTCTGTTTTAATTTATTTGAGAAATCTCCAAATTGCTTTCCACAGTGACTCAACTAATTTACATTCCCACTAACAGTGTATAGGTGGTCCCTTTTCTCTGCAGTCTCACCAGCATCTGTTGTTTTTTGGCTTTTTAATAATAATCATTCTGATGGTATGAGGTGGTATCTCATTGTGGTTTTGATTTGAACTTCTCTGAGGATTAGTGATGATGAGCATTTTTTCATATGCTTGGGGGCCACTCGTATGTCTTCTTTTGAGAAGTGTCTGTTCATGTTCTTTGCCCACTTTTTAATGGGGTTGTTTTTTGCTTGTTGATTTGTTTAAGTTCATAGACTTCGGATATTAGAGCTTTGTCAGATGCATAGATTGTGAATATTTTCTCCCATTTTGTAAGTTGTCTGTTTATAAATCGGAGACGACACAAATAAATGGAAAAACATTCCATGCTCATGGATTGGAAGAATCAATATTGTTAACATGGCCACACTGCCCAAAGCAATTTACAGATTCAATGTTATTCCTGTCAAACTACAATGCCATTCTTCACAGAATTAGATAAAACTATTCTAACATTCATATGGAACCAAAAAAGAACCCGAATAGCCAAAGCAATCCTAAGCAAAAAGAACAAAGCTGGAGGCATCACTATCTGACTTCAAACTATAAGGCTATACCAAACAAAACAGTGTGGTACTCATACAAAAACAGACACATAGATCAATGGAACAGAATAGAAAATTCAGAAATAAAGTGGCACACTTACGATCTGATCTTCAATAAGGCCAACAAAAACAAGTAATGGGGAGAGGGCTCCCCAGTTCAATAAATGGTGCTGGGATAACTGGCTAGCCATATGCAGAAGAATTAAACTGGACCCCTACCTTTCACCATATACAAAAATTATCTCAAGATGGATTAAAGATTTAAATATAAGACCTCAAACTAGAAAAATCCTAGAAGAGAACCTAAGAAATAGTTTTCTCAACATCAGCCTTGGCAAAGAATTTTTGACTAAGTCCCCAAAAGCAACTGAAGCAAAACCAAGAATTGACAAGTGGGACCTAATTAAACTAAAGAGCTTAGGCTGCTATAATCTTGATTGTGGATGGTACGTGTGGGCCCAGGGCTCCTCATATCAGATGGGTAGAGTAATTATAAAAACTACTTTGGGGTCTAGTATAGCTCTCAGCAAAATAGTGTATGCACAATAAATGTTTGTTGAATAAATGAATTATAGTTAAAATGCCTTATTACCTAGAATCAAGGAATTACTTTTAACTTTGTACTAAGCATGTTTGTTTCTCTGCCTTCACATTCTAACCAGCTTAAGTTCTAATTTTTCTTTAAATATTTTTCTGACGTGCTAGCTTATTTTCTTATCATTATGCACCTCCCATAGCCTTTATTATTTGGATTATGTATTTTATTCCTTAATTACATTATTACATTGTATTCTAATTTGGTTTTTATCTAATTCTTTGCAAATAGTTTGTGTATGTAAAGAAACCAAAGTACCCTCTTTTTTTGTATCCTATATAGGGCATTATGCCCAGGTTTTCATTCTTTTGGTTTTGTTTGTTTGCTTTTGTTTGTTTGTTTGTTTTAGAGACAGAGAGTCACTCTGTTGCCCAGGCTGGAGTGCAGTGGTGTGATTTCGGCTCACTGCAACCTCCACCTCCCAGGTTCAAGCAATTCTCCTGCCTCAGCCTCCCGAGTAGCTGGGATTATAGGCTCCCGCCACCACGCCTGGCTAATATTTTTGTATTTTTAGTAGAGATGGGGTTTTGTTATGTTGACCAGGCTGGTCTCGAACTCCTGACCTCAGGTGATCCACCTGCCTCAGCCTCCCAAAGTGCTGGGATTACAGGCGTGAGCCACTGCGCCCGGCCTTCATTCTTTATTTTTAATCAAAATTCACCTAGCTTATTACCACTAGTGGAACTATTTGAATGTTTTAACTTTATATTTCCAAACAGGAATTTCCTTAAATTCTACTAGTTCGTATTGCGTAGCAACTTATATTGATTATCTGAATAATAATTTGTTCCCCTCACCCTTTTTTTTTTTTTTGAGACAGAGTCTCTGTCACCCAGGCTAGAGTGCAGTTGTACAATCACAGCTCACTGCAGCCTCCATCACCCACACTCAAGCAATTCTCCCACCTCAGCCTCTTGAGTAGCTGAGACCACAGGCACAGACCACCATGCCCAGCTAATTTTTTTTTTATTATTTGTAGAGACAGGGTCTCACTATGTTGCTCAGGCTGGTTTTGAACTCCTGGGCTCAAGCAATCCTCCCGCCTTGGCCTCACAAAGTGCTGGGATTATAGGAATGAGCTGCTGTGCTTGGCCCTGAATAATAATTTCTTAATGTAATTTCCTATAAACATTAAATTCCCAATTTATACAGTCATCATGGAATACCTAAGATTCACTACAAAATAGCATCATTGCTTTGTTTAAGTCTCATAATGGCTGAATATAGAACATGTTTACTCCAAACTGATTTTTTGATTTTTTTCTTCTCTTTAAAATAATAAATACTCATTTTCTTTACACTAGTGTGAATACATTTCATTCAGCTTCCATGCTTTTCTCTCTCCCCTTCCACATTTACATTTTCCCTGGATGTTTCTTACTTTCCCTTTCCCCTTGGTCTTATTGTATTTTTCTTCCAGTTAAATTGCTCCTAGTTTTTTTTTTTTTTTTTTTTTTTTCCTTTCTCTCTGTGCTTCTACCTTTCTGGAATGGTGTTTCTCCCCATTTCTTTGTACAAAATGTTGCTTTCTTTTCCTCTGAAAGCTGTCTGTTCTTAAGAGATGCATTGAATTTCTAATTACATGCTCTAAGAGTGTACTGCCTACGTAGACTGGGTACCTAATTTACATATTGCTCTATGGTAATTAATAGAGACTTCTAGAAAATGTGGATTTTAGAAATATAAGGGGAGAACCCTATTTTTCTTAGGGTTTTAGTTATGCTCAAATTTCTTAGAAAATAAGGAGTGAAGCCTTAAAATCGCTGAAGTTTTCTAATATCTATATATTATTTCTGAAATTTGGGAATAGTCAGATATTCAGTGAATAATTTTAAAAGTTTTTACCTTCTGTTTTGGAAGTTGACTACTTTGAAAGTTGACTATATACTTTGGAAGTATATAGTTAAGAAATAAATTAGAAATTAGTTTTTATGCCATGTGGAATTATTATATAAAAATGCACAATAAAGAAGTCCAAATATATTTGTAACATAGTTAAATATCAGTTAAAAATATTTACCCCAGTGGCTGTTATAATCATTAGGAGTTTCTTTACTCAGTGAGCCAAGAATAGATCTATAATCTGGCATCACAGAGCTGTACTTTTTCTGTTTTATTGAGAGGTTAAAGCATGGTCTCAAAATGCAAATGTATCATAGGAGTACATAGGAGATAGAAAACCACCTGCATTTTTTTCTGGTTGAAAATGTTTCCAAAGCATAGACCTTGTGAAAGCGATTCTCATAACCTTTTCTAGAATGAAAAACAAGTTTAAGGCTTCTATTTCTCTAAACCTGTTTTCTCTCACACCTGAATGAATCTAGGAGGATTGAATGGAGTTGAGAATTTAGATTCTTCTCCCCGTGTTTTGAGTCATTGGCTACATTTCTCAGCTTTCTGGTTTGTAAAATTAGGATATAATTCTTCAATGTTTGTTTAATAACCTGACCTCTTGCTAAGTGTAAGACCCTAGAGTAGGAACTATAGGGCTTAACATAAATAAGACATAGCATATTCCCTCAAGAAATTTTCATCTAGAAAGATATTCATTTACTGTTTACTGAGCCTCAAAAACCATCTCTCTGAATTGACTTAGGATAAAAGCAAAGTTTGGCCTTTCTCCAGTGGCATTTAGCTATTGCTCCTTTTGAAGGGATTTACAAGGTAAACTCCAGGATCACCATGTACAGAACTGCTGATTGCCAGTTCTCTTGACCCCTTGGGAAACTTTGGAGCTCGGCGTTCAGCTGCCTGTGCAAGTGGGCGTTCTGCTCAGGGCATTCCCACACTGAGACCAACACAGGAGTTCCCACTCATCATAGTAATTTCTAAACAGTAGTAATTAAACTAGTTAAACTAAATGTTCTAGTTAATAAAACATTCTGAGTATGTTTAATTTGCTCCAAAGTATTTTAAAAAATAAGAAAGAAACCAATGCTGTTTCATAATACTTTGTTTGGAGATGTTATTTTTTTCTCCCTAAATGGGTTAAGAACAACAGTATAAACCAAAAGTTGTGTTTTTTTTTAACAAAATGAAGTGTCTGTTTATTTTCAGTATACACTTTAAGCTTCTAATATTGTTCACTTAATTCTATTACATGAAAGGAAAATATTATACCTAGCCTTCCAAGAACACAATATGCAGTGGACACTCAAATATTGAATGAGTGAGTGCCCACTGCATATTGTGTTATTGGAACACTTTGGAAACACTTCTTCCATTTGTTCAACTTTCTCCAGTCATGTGGAAAATGGCTTTTTTCTTCAACTAAGAGTGGTACTTCCCAGTGCAGCTAAGGTCAAAAAGTGTTAGAAATGTGTGTTCATTGCAATCTCTAAAGTGCTTTTTATCCATCTTTTAAAGACTACATACTTCAAATGGATTTCAGACCTAGATCAGCAGTCAGATTAAAGAATTGCAAAGTGAGATTAAACTAGTTTTAAATTTATCATGCCTGATGATAAAATTCTATAGTTCTGTTTTGGTATGTCAAATGGAAAAGGCAGAGAAATTGATTGGCAATCCAAATGACATTTGGGAACTCACTTAGAACCTTCAAGATAGGATCCTGAACCCAAGGAGCACCTACTCTTATTCATCTAGTCCTTGACATAGAAGAAATTACAGTTTGTTTTGGGGAAACAGTTTTAACAAGCTCGAACATTCAAATTTGCCTTCAAGTATTTTTCTCTAGAAGAAACCCGGGTAAGTTCCCTTAGCTTCAGATCCATCAAGGAATAAACAAAATGAGATGGGTTAGGATCTTCCCAAACGAAGCAGCTACCCTAGTTATGTAGGTCCTACTTTAGTTGTGCACTGAGATCGTCCTGCAATCCTTCCAAAGGTAGGACAGGAAGCATAATAGGAAAGAAAACTATGTAGTCATCATATTTGTGCCAATCGTGTGGACTCCTATACAGTAGTTCAGGCTACCAGTTTGGTTGGGCCATGCTTCAGTAGCCCATTATTCCTTTCACTCAGTAGAATGGCTCCAGTTATTCCTCTGAAATTGGAAGTTAGAGTTTCACAGTATCTCTAGCAGGAAAGATTGCCTTACATGGTTCCAGATCTTTTACATCTAGTATTGGACTTGATGAGCTACTTTACAATTACATTTCCTAAACTAGTTGGGTCATGCTGCTGAGAGCTGTTTTCCAGAGCTAGTGGGTATGGAGTTTTCTTCCAGGCTTCAGGGCAGGAAGTGGATAATAAAAATACATTTATAGATGGCGCTAAGTGAGGTAGCCTAGACAACCATAAATAAGAATAATCAAACCATCACGTTGTACTGGAGAAGACAGAATATTCCTCTAATTGAAGGGTAGCTATCATAATTTAAAATTGTCATCATGAAGGATTGTACTTTTTTTCTCCAAAACAGGTTAAAGGCAAATACCTATTTTTTTTTTGGTTTCTTGTTGATTCAAATTCCCTTTCCACACTGCAATCTTAGTATAGATTTCTGGAGCACATGATAATATATTTAAAAGAGCTATTCACAATAAATCTGTTATGTTTTTGTACTTGTTTCAAGGGTGACATGTAAAGTTAGTGGTTGCTCTACAGTAAGCATCTGGTAGTGGAGCGGCAGTGCAGCATGACAAGGACCTGGACTGCAGTGTCAGCCCTGGGAATGTGCAGAAACGGAGAATAGGAGAAAATTCAAAGGGAGGACTGGAGTTCTTAGCTCTCCATTGGCTTCTGGTTGGCAAAAGAGATGAAAGAATCAAAATGTTCTTGGTTCCAAGCAAGTGTGACTGTGACCACGCAGAAGTTACTCAATTCTGTTTTAGGTAAAGAACAAGCACAAGTAGACATGTGGCCTGTTTGGGCTTTGGGAAAGACAGGGGATCATCAGTTACCAATGTAGAGTGATGGAGAAGAAATAAGGTCCTTGGAGAAGAGTGTATGGAAAAAGATTTAGGGAATACTGGCATCTTGGGAAATGAGAAGAGAAAGATTTGCAAAAGGGACAAAGAAGAGAAAAACTAGGAAAATACAACATCCACAGGAAGACTGTCTCTCAAAGGATTGCAATGGGATAAAAGTATTACAAAGAAAAGAAGTGAAAATGTGTGATGATGTAGAAAGCCAGGATAGAAGGCGAGGGGCCAGAACCTAGAAGAAAACTTTGCCATCTAGGAGTGGACAGCATGTGCAGTGCCATGTGTTAGGAGGACATCCAATTTCACAGGAAACATGATGTCCTGGAAAAAAAGGCCAGAACAACCCAGCAACTAGGTGGTGTGCAGACATAGCAATCAGTTTTTCAAAAGGGACCATGCAGGGTGAGGGGTGTCCCTGAAAGTATCACTGTATAACTAGGATGGGGACTCCAGAAGAGAGGGTGATATTTAGAGAGCCTCGAATGAAACCAGGGATATCTGGTTGGAAAGCAATCTTGCAGTCTCTAAGAGAGATGCTGATAAGTGCAAAGCAGTTCTAAAGAGCTTGAGATAATGCACCAAACGGTGCTTGCAGGGGAGAAGGGAGACAGATTAGGGTGCATAATTGATAAATAAATGGGTAAAGAGAGAGGGAGAATGGTAGATTAGGAATCAACAAAGTAAAGCTAAACTTTTATTTCTCCAAGCAGCTGGAGGTCTGTACAAATAAAAAAGCCTCAGGAACCCCCTTCCCTGAGAAGTGGAAAGATTAAAGTAATTGAGAATAACAAGATCCTGGAGTTATGGTAAATAAAAGTTTAGGTTGGTTAAAAAAAAAGTTTGGAATGGCAACATTGGGAGCTATGATAAGGCAACATTAAGAGATAAATAACGCGATGTCTTGACAACTGCAAAGGCCCTGATAGAGTTCAGGCATGATCACGTAGAAGGCTACCTGGTGTGTGAGATTGTGAGAATTTCTCTAACAGTAGTGTGCAGGGTAAATTTTAAAAAGCAGATGGAGCCCTAACCCAAGGCTGGCAACTTTGTAGCCAAAGTAAAGGGAATGAGAAATTTTCTAGAAGTCACACACACTGAACATGTGTGACCTTGACCTTGGGCAAATCGTAAACCCCTCCAAGCACCAACCATCTGATAAATGTGGAAATAAGGAGACAAAGTGTTAAAGCTCCTTATATAATTGCTGGGCAAAAAAAAAAAAAGTAATTTTTATACTTTGTAACCATATATAGTCTATAGCCTCTTCAGAGGAGGAAATGCTGCAATAATAGACACATGTGAAAAAACATGTGTTCAACGAATAAATAAGTGAATAAGTGAATTAGCATAACACTTATTTAACAACAACATTGTATTTGGTGCCAAGATTATAGAGCCAGATATTTCCTGTTGTGTGTACAAGTTCTGTGAGCTTGAACAAAAAGATTTTTCTTCAGAAATCAAGCCATATTTTATAATCTCTTTATTTTTGAGTGTATAGATAAAAACACACTCTTAAAGCAGGAACTACTGCTTTGACACATTTAAGTAATAGGATTAGAGAGCTGGAAGGACCTTTGGTGACCAACTCTAGTGCTATCTTTTTTAGATGGGAAAACAGCCTGCAAAAATGTTAAGTAGCTTCCTCAGGATCAAGTACTATTGGAGCCAGCATTGGTGGTCAATCCTGTATAGAAATGACTTCAGTTGTAGATCTGTGACCTTCCTTACTTACCTTCCTCTACCAAAGGTACTCTATAATTCTTAATAAATGAATATTGACATTCATTTTAAATACTATTGTTTGTTCAACTGTTCCATGAAGAATATTCTTTAAATAAGCATTGTAGTGCTAACAGGGAAAATATTTTTCCCTTTTATAAACTTCTAATAGCTGGCAAAAGATAGTAATTTCCATGACTTTTCTTTCTTCTAAGGAAGTTAAATTCTGAAGACGGTGTTTTTCTTGGAGTTAAACCATATATTGACTTGTTCTTTAAAGGATCTAATAAGTGAATAGATCAAGTAAGAAACAAATTAGTATTTAGCCCATTCAGTTGCAGCACTGTGGTTTCTTTCCAGATATGAAAATGTGAGAAATATTTCCTGAAATCAAGCAAGTGGGAGTGGGAAAGAGTATGTATAAATGTTACATGAGGAATCCAAAATCATCATCAGCATCACACACACACACAAAAATACATTTATTATTTCACACACAATTTCATTACACTTGGTAAATTCATTAGGGCAAGGCAAATGTATTCATCCAGACATTCAAATAAGCAGAAACATCTGTGCAGTCTTTAAATCTGCCATGTTAAACAGGCCTACCACTCTGTTTATATGCCCCAAAGAGCCTGAACCAAGACAGACGTAAGTAGGAGCAGCTGGATTTGACCCTAACTCTTGAAAATCCTGCCCTGCTTGAGAGGTAAGGCATATCTTCAGCTTTGCAAGCACACTATTTTGTGTGTGTGTGTGTGAGAGAGAGAAAATGGTTAAAATTAATGTGAATTTGGTTCTCCCTCCTCATATTTGTCTATATTAATATACTTTTTAATTGTTAATATTATCATTAGAAAGGTGATGGTTTCATGAATGAATTATGAAGGAGAAAAGAATTTTGGTATCTAAAATTGTTGGCCAATAATTGACCATTTTCTGCCTGGGTCATGTACGTGCACTGAGAGGTTGAAGTGTACTGTGTGTGCTTCTTCAGGCATTTCCTATTTATCTGAGACACTTTTGAGACAGAGAGGTGACTGGAGAAAATGAAGGGTTCTCCTTTATTTTTATGAACAATTCTCTACGCCTCATTACTCTCACAATTTTTGAATATCTACAATCTTTTCTCTCAGTTTTCTTAACCTCCACGCTGATGGTCCTGATTCAGAGCTACTTCGTTTATTACCCAAACACAGCTTGGGGAAGGGAAGGGGGATGTAAGGCAGTAGAGGCTTAATTCCCCTTGTTATTATACATGGCTATTGCTATTTGTCCTAGGGAAGAGGGTTAGCTTGGCCCTACTAGATAAAGAGCGTGTTAAAAAGGCCTCCCAAATTTACAAGTGAAAAACAAACATTTTGCGAGTAAAAAACAAACACACATATCCTTTGCCCATTAAACATTTTGTTTTGTTTTTTAAAATGAGCAAGGGATATGAACAGACACTTTTCTTTTTAAATTCTTATTTATTTATTTATCAACTTTTATTTTAAGTTCTGGGGTACATGTGCAGGATGTGCAGGTTTGTTACATAGGTAAACGTGTGCCACAGTGGTTTGCTGCACAGATCAACCCTATCACCCAGGCATTAAGTCCAGCAAACAGATACTTTTCAAAAGAAAATATATATGTGGCCAACAAACATATGAAAAAAATGCTAAATGTCACTGATCATTAGAGAAATGCAAATCAAAACCACAATGAGATACCATCTCACACCAGTCAGAATGGCTATTGTTAAAATGTCTAAAAATAACAGATGCTGGCAATGTTGTGGAGAAAAGGGAACTCTCATAACCTGTTGGTGGGAGTGTAAATTAGTGCAATCATTGTGGAAAGCAGTATGATGATTTCTCAAAGAACTAAACATAGAGCTGCCATTCAACCCAGAAATCCCATTACTGGATATGTACCCAAAGGAATATAAATGGTTCTGCCATAAAGACACATGTACACGTATGTTCATTGTAACACTATTGACAATAGCAAAGACATGGAGTCAAACTAAATGCCCATCAGTGGTAGACTGGATAAAGAAAATGTGGTACATGTATTCTATGGACTACTACACAGACATAAAAAAGAATGAGCTTATATCCTTTGCAGGAACATGGATGGACCTGGAGGCCATCAACCTTAGCAAACTAACACAATAATAGAAAACCAAATATTGCATGTTCTCACTTATAAGTGGGAGCTAAATGATGAAAACACGTGGATGCAAAGAAGGGAACAACAGACACTGGAGTCTACTTGAGGGTGGAAGTTGGGAGGAGGGAGAGGAACAGAAAAAATAACTATTGGGTCCTAGGCTTAGTACCTGGGTAACAAAATAAATCTGTACAACAAACCCCTGTGACAAGAGTTTACCTAAATAACAAACCTGCACATGTACCCCTGAACTTAAAAGTTATTTTAAAAAAGGCCTCCTTTGGTCATGGAGATTTGTACACAAACACAGAGCATTTTCCATTGATCCTCAGTTAAAGGCACCCTGCAGTTATTTAACCCTGACTTCACATACCAAAGGAAGTCTAATTATTTGATGTGTGCTAAACATCCTCAGTGTGGTGCTGCTGTTCAGCCACATTAAATTCACAGGACAAGTCTGCACCCTATGTAGTACAGATTGAGTATCCTTAATCCAAAAGTCTGAAATCCAAAATACTCCAAAATATGTAACTTTTTGAGTGCTGGCATGATTCTCAAAGGAAATGCTCATCGGAGCATTTCAGATTTTGGATTTTGGATTAGGGATGCTCAAACAGTAAGTGTCTGCAAATATTTCAAATTTTCAAAAAAAACCTGGAGAGGCCAAAACACTTCTGGTCACAAGCATTTCAGATAAGGGATACTCAAACCTATCAATCTGTTAAACTTTTTGATGTCTCCTAAAGACAGCCACAGCTGTTATGTATTTGTCACAGAAACCAGAATTTTCTTTAATTTAGAGATTTCTTTAATTTAGATAGTTTGCAAAGATGTAAGCATAAGAATGTTCCCTGAAACATTGTTTTCTAATTTTAAAAGTCTAGAAAAAACATAAAACTATGTTATTAGCATCTAGTTAAATCAATGATGGCAAAACTGTCCAAGGGAATACTGCATCCTTTGAAAAGAATGAGGTGGATATGTATGACATGGTATAGCATGATTTCTAAAATGAAAAAAAAACACACAAGGTATAAACCAGTATGTACAGCACATAACAGGTATACACTTTGTAAATTAAAAAATACACACATAGTAGGTTGTTCTCATTCTGTTCCATAAGGTCACTGCAAATACTGAATTAGCAAATACCGACTCATTGCTCCTAGTGGAAATACAGGGTTAGGTCCTATGAGCCTTTGGTCATAACATTTTCATCAATGGATCAATACATAACCTTATTTTATGTGTGTTTCTGTTTAAAGATACATTATTTAATATATATTGTTGATTCATTAACACTGAACTCACAGTTTGTAAGTCATACCTGAATGTTGTTTATCTTACACATATTTTCTCCGTAAGGCACATCACAGCCTTCCTGTGCTTAGGAATGCTAGATCACCCTTCAGTCTGGTTCAGTGTTAGCTGGGAACATATGTGAGAGGAGAGGTTCAAATTTTTGGCTGGTCTGCACATGTCTGCAAATGACCTCAAAAGTGCTGTATTAACTTAGAGGTTACAAATCAATTTTGAGTAGATAAATTCTCAAATATGAAATCCACAAATAATGAGGATCAGCAATACATAGACAGCATGTATGCATGTATATAAATGGAAAGTTTCTGGAAGGATTAAACTACTAGATGAAAGTTATCTTTAGCGAATAGGGCTGTGGGGAAGGAATGAGACAAGGTGCACCTTTTATCATAACCCTCTTTGCCCTACATGACTTTTTTACTGTGTGCATCCCGTAGTCCTTCTTATTCTCTGTCTCCTCCTTTTCTCCCACCATCACTATCATCGTCATTCTCTCAGCAAGCCAGTGCATTTTCTGAAGAACTCTAGGGACAAGGTTTTATTTGAGCCAAATTGCTCATAGTGAATATTCTCTGAATCAGGCTCCTGGAAAAGTTGGTCTACATAATTTTGCAAATTAGGAGTATTTTACAAATGCTAAGTATGACACTTAGAACATGAGTTCTCAGGGTAATTTGTGTCACATAATATTACCCCATATCCCAGCATGCTGGGATGGCCTGGACTTTGGGTACCTTTTGTCTGTCAAATACTCTTACTTAGGGGTCATGCACAGTGGCTCATGCCTGTAATCTTAGCACTGTGAGAGGCTGAGGTGAGTGGATTGTGTTGGAGCCTGGATTTTAAGATCAATCTGGGCTATATAGTGAGACCTTGTCACCAAAAAAAAACAAAAAAAAACAAAAAAAACATAGTAGCTGCGTATGGTGGGTGCATGCCCTAGTCCTAGCTACTTGGGAGGCTGTGGAGGGAGGATCACCTGAGCTCAGGAGTTTGCAGCTGCAGTGAACAATGATGATGCCACTGCACTCCAGCCTGGGTGATACAGCAAGACCTTGTCTCAAGGAAAAAAAAAAAACACACATACACACAAAACAAATCAATAAAAAACCCCACCAAATACTCTTACTTACATTCTTATTGCAGGTTGCCAGAATGGAAGTTTAATAAGTAGGAAATGAATAATATTAATAATATAACAATAAGTATTAAGTCAGCATATGACATATGGTATGGAAATTCTCTTCAGGTTGAATTCCCGTTTTTAGTCTACCTGCATCTCCCTCATAGAAAGGAGAGGAAGGGAAGAGGTAGTGAGTCTCTGGGTTTGGTCCTCACTGGCTTTGCGCTGGGCCCACTCAGAGTTCTTGGATCTCACCTTCCTCAGGATGTCCAGACTCAAGAGCATTCAGTTGTGGTTTGTCCTTATCATGCTTGGCTTCTTGAATGAGTTTGAAATCTTGCTATTTTTAACTTGTAATTTAGAAGATTGGAAAAGGTTTTAATTTTTGTTTGTTTCTTTCTTTGCATATGTCATGGTGAGTCCTTTAATGAAAGAAAAGCCTGAAGAGAATGTAACTACTTACCTCCCTGAAAGGCATTTTTTCTTAATGAATGTAGAGATTTCCACTTCCCCCCAGGTACTTCATGTGATGTACTGTGCCCCTAGTTAATTGCAAGCTGAAGCCAAGCTGACTGACAGTAAATCAAGAAAATGATGTATAAGGCATGCCCAATTATAGATGGAATACATTCATATTAATGGTATCCCATGGACTATCACCCTATGTCCATTGTTAATCTGTAATCTGAAATAATTCAAATCTCTGTATAATTGGGTTTCTGACAGCAGGATCCCATCCATCATACTACATCTTCTCAAATATTGAGAATATTGTCTTTTAAATATGTTTGTATACATATACACATATATATATACATATATAATGAAACTGTGAAAAATACATCTTCATTTGATAAAAAAAAGTCAACAGGCTTATAAAGAATAACTTTAGCAGCAAATGATGAGTTTATTTTAAAAATAAATTTTGTAAATGTATGGACCTCTAAAAATAAAAATACTAAAATTTCTTATATGTTTATTTTCCTTACCAAATATGACAGTTATCCACAAGTGGAACAGATTGTAGTTATTGCTGATCTTATGTCTGAAAAACCACATGGATTTGGGGGAAAAAAAAGCATATGGTTATCTATTGGTCTACATAGTTTACTGTTGCATGGGTAGACAGAAGCTTTCAGTAAAACTAAAGGGACCTTTTCTGATCAAACCCTGTGTATGGCTGATATATGTTCTGCCAATCCAGCCTTGTTTGAGTTTAAGGGTGCCTTCTGGCCTGGGGTCAATTTCTCTGTGATTGGTTTAATGTCATTTGCCCATAAGCATACATTGCAGGGTGCTGCCCAAGGGCAAGTGCACAGCTTAGGTACATCATCTCATTTACAAATCACCATCCGGCCATGTCTATGAGCACTGAGATATGAATCATCATTATTTATACACTTTAGTCATATTTGAAGTTCTTCTTACTAACCCTATAAAACTCTCAAATGAATTAGAATCCTCAAATTCACATAACTATCCTATCCATTTCCTGTAGGCAGAGCCATATGCAAAACTAACCCATTATTGAGAGGTGCTTGGTAAACATAGGCACAGAACAGACTCTAATCACGTCTTGTAAATCTGGGGTCCATTATAAATAATAAATAAAGTTTTATTGAAACACCATTATGCATATTCATTCATTTACTGTCTGTGACTATTCTTACATTACAACAATAGAGTTGAGTGGTAACAACAGTGATCTACAGCTGAAAAAGCTGAAAATGTTTACTATCTGGCCTAGGCCAGAAAACTATACTTTCTATCATGTGTCCTTGCCGTGTAGGCAGGTGACTTATGGAGAAATGGGATGAAAAAAATGGACATGGTGAGTCAATCATCAGTAGAGTTGAATTGAAAGAATGCCATTAGTTGGAGTCAGAGTCATGGCAAGAGAGAGAGAGTGTAAGGTAAAGTTGTGAGGAAGAAGAAACCATGCATTAAGAAGAGAAACCTGGTCAGGAGACAGAAGGCTGTACAACAACCCAGAAAAAACAAAACAAAACAAAACGAAAAAAAAAGAAAAAAAAAAAGAGATGCCATAAGATGAGAGAAAGAAAGAGAGAGGCAGAGACAGAGACTGAGAGACTGATCATCTGGCATATGGCCCTGAGGCAGAGATTAGCTTGTTCCTCAACTTCCCTAGGTTTCTGATAGCTGTTCAGTTCACAGACACATGCATGTAATGCCCCTGACCTCCAGGACCCCCATCTATGGACAGCAAGGAGCTCTTTTTGCAATCAAAAGAGAGGGACCAAAACAGATCATTATGTATTGCGCCATAATGAGGCAAATTTATTTCTCTTATTTGTAAGTTCCTATGGGAATGACTCCCCCATTAGATCACAGTATTGACGATAAGCATGAATAAGCTAATTTGGGTAGAAAAGTCACTTCATGTAGTAGAATGTAATGTTGACTGTTAAGATATCTCATACATCATGAAATTAAATAAGATTTCCCTTTTATTTCATTTGTTCAGCCACTCAGTAAATATTGAAGACCTATTAAGTATAAAGAAGTGCAAGACAGCTTGATGGATTAGAACATGTATGTAACAAACCCACTCCCAGGGAACATGTACAATCTTGTATGAAAGTTGAGACAGATACACTGATGACTACCACACAGAGAAACCTATGGTAATTAAGTTTGATAATTATTTATAGCAGTCACATTATGTACTAAAACATAAAGAACATAAGGCCATTCACCATGGCTATTGAGATGGATGAGGCTGAGCCTTTGACGTTGGAAGAACAGTAGCACTGTACACAAGAACTGAGGATCACTTCTTGCCATCAAGACCAGGGAAGCCATCATGGAACATCGTGCAGTGGGCACAAGAGATAGAATGCCCATTGCAACATCATTGGTAATAGAAAAAAATGAAAATGTCCATAAGGATAATAATGAGTAAATAACTGGCAGTGTCATTGTATAGGAAAATACCATACAGTAATTGAAAGGAATGAATTAGAGCTACATGAATCTATATTGATATATCTAAAGCCTAATGTTGAGCCAAAAATAAAGGTGCAAAAACATTTTTATAGTGTGAGACGAACTATGCAATATTTTAAAACATGGCAACCAATACTTTTATATTACTTAGACCAGCATACATATGTTGTATAGATTTTTTTTTAATGTTTAGACTTGGTAGATACTAGGATAGCTTTTAAATATGGAGGGGGAAAAAGAGAGGAAAATGATATTAAGGAGGCATATGCAGGAGTTTCTACTGTATGTGAATATTTAAATTTTTTTAAAACCTAAGCCTGCAGAAATATAGCAAAATGGGAGATGAATACATGGGCCTTCATTTTTTTTTTTTTTTTAATTCTCAGAGGTCTTCTGTTTGAAATATCTCAGAAGAAAAAAAAAGAAAAGCCTACGTGTGTTTATGTGGAGACACATTCCAAAGAAGGGACATGTGGCTGGTTATACTCAAGGTGGTTATGTTCAGTTAATCTACCAAACTGGATGATACGGGTCAGGACCCAGTTTTAGTTCAGAGATCCTCAGTTTTATTGTGTGCTTAGTCGTATTACTCAAATGAGTGAAATTAGCTTTTGATAGAGTCAGGGTACCACTTCATGTGACCAAACAAATGCACGAAGCCTGGAGATGGCTGTGTTTGAGCACAGGCTTTGTCCTGCTCGCAGATGTGCAACTGTGCATCTATGGACAGCAGTAGAGGGCTTCTAAGAACACTGGTGGCAAATATGTCAGGAGTCCCTGGCCAATACTGTTGATGCGAAGCTAAGGTTCTAAACAGTTTTGGATCACAGCCTCTTTCAGAATCTCTACGTATTTTAAAAACCTGTGAAGCATGTCCTTAAACAGACATGCACGTGTATGTGCACATATGCATGATTACATAAATTTCCACAAGTTCATAAACCAAGGGGTTTAAGAACCTTAGTTAGGAAACTCGTGTATAGGCACATTACCTTAGATAAATTTGGTCAAATCCTCCAGTGAAGATAACTAATGGTGCAGTTTCTGTGAAAACACACAGGACTCTGAAAATGGAGCTACGGACCCAGTAAAGAGTTTGTACAACTCAGTGAGACTTCCTAAATTCATTGATTTACATACTCTACTAACCACCATCAATCTTGGCACACAAATGACCAGAATATACAGAATCTATCTTTGCTTTATTTGTTTTGTAATGGTTCTTGAATGCTTCTTTAAAGAATAAAACTACTGGACATAGAAAATTCTTCAGCTTGTACAATCATTTAGGATGGTGTAATTCAGATGAAGCATTACACGTGAAAAGGAAACTCAGTCAGATGACAAGCAAATTCTTGGCATCCAACCCTGACCACCAATGCAGAATATGACTAAGGAATAACATTTTTAGTAAAAGGTCACAGACAACATGAACTTAACACATTTTATTCACCTGGTGGCAAATAGAAATGAAATCCCAGAAGCTTGGTTCCTTGAATAAATATTGCAGCAACTGACACATCCAAATATATTTAATACAAACAGTCTCTCATTGCAAGTGCTATGTTTTTTCTGACCATTACATATTTTTACTCATTATTTACACAGCTAATGACTGTTTTATAATGTTAAACTCAACCTTCCATTTTTCTGAAATTATGTTTATATAGTTATTGGTTTGATGGAATAATTAAAATGCACTTATGTGAGATATAAACTAAGTTTCCTTTTCCTGTCTTGTTTCTTATAATTTAATCTGTATTAGGTCATTCAACTAGTAATTGTTATTCTAATAATTTCCCCTATTTTCTTTTCTTTGAACTGGCTGACTAGCTAAAGTGTATAAAAACAGTGACTCATAGACATGCATTTTGAAGTAACCAATATAAATAGGTACATTCTGGTTATATCACATTTTAGACAACTGCTTAGTCAAATGAAATGCAAAAAGAAAAACGGAAAGAAAACTATTTCAAATACCTTGAAATGTGTGCTTCAAGCTGACTTTCAGAATAGGTGCACATTTATATAGCTATGTAAAAAAGAAGGGGAAAAACACAGAAATTCCAAAATATTTTCAAACTGGCTTAGACATCTTGACACTTTACTGTTTTCCTCTGCCAGGAGAGTAAATGAGTGGTTTGCCCTCTGGGGAAAAATCCATTTAAAAGCGAAACTATTTTAAATGCATACCTTTTTACAAGAAAGAAAAGAATAGTTCTTAGTAGTGGGGGAGTGGGTAGGATATATGTATATGGAAGGGCACAGTGAAATGTATTAGTATAGGGTCTTGTTTACTTGTAAGTATTTTCTTCCTTTTTGTCATTCCTCACACATTTACATGGTTAGCACTGGTGATACAAAGAAGAAAGAAATATTCCTAGCCTTCACGTGGTTTTAGTCTAAAGGGAGAACACTCAGGAAAAACAGTGTGCATCAACCTAGAGATGCCATGAGAATGAAATGTGCAGTAACTAATCCATGGAGGAGAGGATGGTCAGAGGGGGTCGTGTTTAAATTGGGTCGATTAAGGTTGCAAAGGGTCAGCCTATTTTAAGAGGGCAGGTGGGAAGGAATAGGAACAGAGGCCAAATGCAGGAGATAATATTTTGTAAACTGTTTTGTAAATGATAAATTGTACCTTCTGTGTGGAGGTAAAGTATGAGGGGAGATTTCTGCCTTCTTCCTATCTTGTTCTTATATATTTGTTCATATATTTAACATAGCTACCCCCTTATGGTATTATAATTACCTGATTACCTTTTAATCTCATCTGTGAAGTCCCTAAGTGTAGGAGCAGTACTTTATCCATCTCTTTTCCCTAGTGCCTAACAGGTCCAGACAGCTGGTAGATACAAAATGAAGACTCTTTTAGTTGAACTGAGTGAATGAAAGGATGGACAGATGGATGCATAGATAGATACTCTGTAATTACAAAGAAATGTACTTGGGCTATGACTCCTTCAGTGGAAAAAACAACATAGCAGAAAAAATGCAATACATGGGGTGTGGTAGAATTGTAAAAATATTTTTACTAGAAATACTCTTGGACTTTATGACAAATTAGAAATTATTTCCTTCTATGCCTGGCCCTTCCAAAATTTCACATTCATGCATACACTAGTATACTTGTTAAATTGTTGGACAAAAATCTCCTTCGATTTAGAAGTCTATTATTTCGTTGAGATGACAGTTTTTAACTAGTAATGAAAGTTTTCCAATGAAAACACTCTAATTTTGCAATGTGTACCTCAATTTTGTGAAAATAAACGGCTGAGTATACTGGAACAATCTTAATTCTGTTGAACTCCTTAAAATGATATTACATATCAAAGAGTACACCTTTAAACTACTAATGGAGGAAAATAGAATAACTCAAGGAGAGCAAGCAGACAGCTGGAATTTTTGGGAAATGTCTGTGGTATTTGGGTTTATTTTTAAGGGAAAGAAAAATTTCCCATTAAATTTTATAACACAATAACACTTTTAAAACTTATACTCAAAAAGAATCTTTATAATGCTGTTGTAAAACTCAGATTATATTTTATTCATGAATTACAGATTTCTTTTTTGATGACGGTGGTTAGGGTAAGAAGCGGCTTTTATAAGCTTTATTTATCTCTTTTAATTACCTCCTTCTCCTGTCTCAATGCTCACACTTACACTCACTTTAAAAAATTTTTATCTTTCATGGGATCTATATCTAAATAACACCACATCATATGTAAATTAAGAAACATTCCAAATATTCTCCGGGACATTGAAAGGAAATCAAGCAAAACATTCTGTAATGTGTAGGCAACTTTAAAAGTGCTTGAGGCAGAAGCAAAAAAAAAAAAAAAAAGTGAGAGAAAGAGGCTTTCTAGCCTGTGTCTTTTTTAGTTAGATGTTTCAGAAGATGAAGAAATTTTAATTATGTGCTTCCTTAGAGTGAGATATTAATTCCTCTGAATCATTCTCTCCAATTTTGAGTCCCACTCTCATTTTTCTCTCCCTCTTCTTTTCTCCTGGTTTTTCCCCCTCCCTCTTTACCTTTTCTCCTCCCTCTTTTTCCTCCCTCCCCTTTCCTTCTCCCACAAAAAGCCAGAATTGCTTGGTGGTAATTCCCTAGAATTGAGCAGGATTGAACTGGGGGTCACTCTGGCTTTGTACTGTTCCCTTTCTTATCTAACCTGAATATCCTTGGATCTGTAAGACTTTTTCTGATCCATATCACAGCCTTTTTCTCTCCTCACCGTTGCCAGTGGGATTTCTCGTGGGCTTTTGGAGAGGTAGAAGGCATACTTGTGAATGTCAAAAGAGCTGTATTCCTGTATCCTGTTTCAACCCTGAGGAGAGGCACTGTGCTAGTGAGGAAAGAACACCCAATCCTAGTCAAAGGACTGAGTTCAATTCAGCCTCACAAGAGGCTCTAAGTATGATCTTAGACAAGGAAACTTCAGGCCCCAGTTTTCCCATCTAGAAAATGAGAGTGGTTAGAACTATATCACACTGAGGATTATGTGAATTTATATATACGTATATAAAGCCGTGCACCCAAATGCTGTTTACAGCATTCTGTGATGAATTCCCTATTTCAGTTGGTACCATTTATTCACAGACAATCACAGGTATTCAGAGATTGTAAGAATTATGGTAGCAATTGCTTACTATAGTTTGTTTATTCCATAAGAGTGGCTTTCATTTTTTTTTAAAAAAGAGACCTCTCCCTTGGATTTTCGTTATAATATGTTTCACTTGCCACATTTTCTGAATTTTTCCATGTCTTGAAGCCTTTGTGATGGTGTTTCATAATCAACCTGCAGGTTGTCAGAATCAGTGGAGCATGCCATTTACTGCTTGTCTTAGATACACTCAATGATTCTTTCTTTCCTGAGTGCTTCAAGTTTTGGCTTTAAAGATCCTCCTTTGTTTTAATAGATTTTCCATTAGTGTCTGCTTATGTAATTTTATCTCCATTTCTAATTGTGAAATTTGTTGCATAGATGTAAATTTTCTTTCAGTATTATTCAGAGAGAAGATAATGGTTGATACCCAAAAGAGGAAGCTAAAAATGCCTTTTAAAATTCTTACTATATTTTGGTGATTTTTACCAATGACATTATTGTATAGTTGTGGTCATTATACCGTTCATTAAAAATATTTATTTGAAATTACTGCATGAATGCCAATCTCTGAATAACATCTTTGCAAATATAGCATGTTATTTTGTCAGTCCAAATGTGTGCTAAATACTAATTCATGTTGTTAAATGTGGATATAAAAATAGTTAATTCTCTTGCTAAGGATACTCATTTATCAAAGTAAAGTAACATTTTAATATTTTTCAAGACAACTATTTTTAAATATTTATTAGAGAAACTGTTCTAGGAGAAAAATTAAGATAAGGTATTATGTATTTTACTCTGTTATGGACACATACATATTTGGATATCAGATAGTTTCATATCAAATTACATATCTTTGTACTCAATAAATATTAGAAAAACTGTTTACTCATCTGTAAAATATAAATAATAGCATCTTCTCATTGAGTTACTTTGAAAATAAATAAAAATAATACCTATGTACAGGACTTAACCTAGTGTCTACCATAATGTAAGCACATAATGAATACTTGATACTGTGATTGAGTACATGCTATGACTATAACCCAGAATAAGACAATAGGAACATAAAAATAGAAATGATCATCATTTTAGATAGGGGAAAACAGAAGGGAAATACAGAGAAATGACATCATTGTGTTTGAGACCATATGGTATCAGAATTGGAATAGAAGGAAACTGGAGTTGGGGGAGGGAACTGGAAGAGTGTTGGGGGTTTGGGAATGAAGAGGTGATACTAAGTTGTGTTTGGGAATATATTGGATTTAAAGTGATAGAAAGTAATTGTAGTGAAGATGGACTGTAGTCATCTCATGAATTGGACCAGAACTTTAACATTGTTCATTTAGTTTTCCAAGAGATATTTACTGTGGGCCGATACTATGTGCTAGATACTGTGCATTGGTACAGTAACCAAGGTACAGTAAACCAAGGATGGAAATACATAAATTTGTGAGTCGGTTTTCTGAGTGAAAGTTAGAAATAAGGAACAATGTACTAGGCATGAAGTGTTGGTTAGTGATTACAAATAGGAGAGGAGAAAAGAAAAGTCCCCAATGACACAAGACTAGAGGCTGAAGACATATCAAGAGAGTGCTGCACGAGGGGAGAAGACAACTTTAAGACATTGTGATTTCCAGAAGAATCACTTTTATATAAATTGAATGCTTTCTAGAGCTTAAGATCATTCTTATATGTTTCAGTAACAGAAAATGAAGATAAAGATAGATTATTCTTGGCTTTTTACCTATTTACACATGAAAATGATTACATACATCTACTTATTCTAGTGTGATATTATTTTCATTAAAATAAAGGTATTGAAGGAATTGTTCAATGAACAAAGAAAACTGTACTTTTGACTAAATTGTAATTAAGTATGCTTGAACATTTTTAAATGCTTAGTTCTGTAATTTTCTGCACAACATGTAGTAAACCAGACATATTTCCAATAAACACTGCTTACCTTCTTTTTGTTTCCATGTTTAATAGCCAAGGTCTGTCTGTCTTTCTTTCTTTCTTTCTTTCTTTCTTTCTTTCTTTCTTTCTTTCTTTCTTTCTTTCTTTCTTTCTTTCTGTTTTTCTTTCTTTCTCTCAGAAAAGAAAAAACAAGCCTTGGATTCTTGTTTCAGTAGCTATGTGCAAACAAAATGGAAAAAAAAAAAACAGAGAAAAATCCTCCACAATAAATCGTAATGGACATATAATCTGTATAACACAAAACTTAGTCACCAAAGGATACTTGAAATGCTGCTAGATCAGTTCAAATCAGCAAATATGTATTGACTTCCCATTTTTTAGCACTATGTTAGGTGCTACAGACCACAAGCTCACAGTCTTCAAATTAAGGAGACAGTTATATAAATGATATAAAGGAGAATCTGTCCATCACAGTGAGACATCCAAATGGCTATGAAGATTCCAAGGAGAGACAGAGCATCTGGTTGAGAGAGAGCAAGAAGAAATTCCTAGAGAAAGTGGAATTAGAGAGGAACGGGGAGTAAGAAATGAGAGTAATGCCAGGCTCCGGATGAGGAACAACATGGGCAAAGACATGGAGACAAGCTTGGTGTGTGGTGTTCCTAGGAAATTATTGTCCTGTTGACTGAAGAAAAAGGGACATAAAAGTGGAAGACTGATAGGAGATTTGGATAGAGAGGAATATGTCGGGACATACTGTGAGTGCTATCATGAGGAAATTCGGATTGATTCAATAGGCAATGAAGAGCCATTAATGGATTTTGAGTAGGGGAATAACATTACTGGAGCAGCAATTTAGAAGACTGATTTGACACCAATGCATAGTATATTCTGGAATGAAGACAAATGGCAATTGGAGAAACTGGCTGGGAACTTATTGTTATAGTTTAGCAGTTAATGAAAGTCTGAACCAGCATGGAATGAAAATGAAAGAATCTATATATGGGTCTTCCAAGATGCAGATATTCAGGAACATTCCATACATCCAAAGTTTACATCTGTATAGTATTTTAAATTTCCATTTGCCCTCAGATATTTGGCACAGATCTGAGAGTAACCTTATTGGCACAGGTGATTCTCAGCTGCAGAGTACCACTTTTGTCTGTATTAATGGTGTCTTCTCTTCTTTACAAGGCCACCAAAGTGGATGCATAATTAAAATTTGTTGCTGTTTCTACTCTACTTGTCCTGGACGCTCATGCAGCCAAATTTCACTGGGGACCCAGGACCACACAAAACAGTATGGTGTTATGAACTGGTTGCCCCAGGAGTTTTAGAAAGTCTTCTTAATTACTTTAAAAAGGCAGCAGCTCTCCTCACCCACTGTAACTTGAACGTTGCATGTTTGGCCTCTAGGATCAGTCCTCAAATGCATCTCTACCTAGTATTCCATCAGGAGCAATTGGTATATTTGAAAATGTATTGCTTTATTTAATTTTCATGAAGCTCAGTTTCCCACATAGTAAAGACAATAATCTCTGAGCAAAAATAATTTCAGTTATTCTTATCACATTGTCTATTCATCTATTATATCTTTGCAATATTAAAATGCATTTAATTATAATAAAACATTTAACACAAGTAACTGGAAAACAAAAATCTTTCTCAACTGATTATTCTTAGTCTTGCTTTTATCTCCCTTTTACCTAATAAAAGCAAATTTAGTTTTCTTCATTTATGAATCCAATAAACATCATAGACTCAACTTCCTGATATTTATGCTCTATGAGGGTTTCTCCACCACACAAATTTATGTCCACTGAGAGCATCTTATCTCTGGCTCTGACACTTTTGGCCTGGAACTAATCACTGCCATTGACCATTGCATCTGGGATGCATTAGACTCTGTCCCTAGGTGCTTCAAGATTTTATTGTACAACACCATTTAACAAATTATTTTATTAATAACCCAAACCCTGTGAATCAAGGTACATTTTAAAGCCTAATAAAATTATGGTTTGGGAGGCCAAGGTGGGAGGATCACTTGAAGCCAGGAGTTTGAGACCAATCTGAGCAGCACAGTGAGACTCCATCTCTGCAAAAATAAAAAATAGAAAACATTAGTTGGGCGTGGTGGTGAATGTCTATAGTCGTAGCTACTCAAGAGATTGAGGCAAGAGGATAGTTTGAGCCCAGGAGCTTGAGGTTATGGTGAATTATGATTGCACCACTGCACTCCAGCCTGAATGGCAGAGCAAGACCCTGCCTCTAAAACTAAAATAAATGGAAATAAAATAAGATAGAAAATAAAATTAAAATGATGGCATGGGAGACCACTCACATTTCACAAATTTGTTTTAGCCTCTACACAAATACTAGTAATTAAATCATATTTTTTAAATTGTAAGATTTAGAAATGTGGATATGATTTTCCATATGTAAGAGAATCACAATTTTTTCTCATCCTCTATAAAAATTCATCCCCTGATTAATTCACCCAGTTGACAAATAGATACTTTTTCAATGAAATATATTTAAGTATTATAGTGCACTTTCTCAGACCGCAAGAGGTTATTTATTTTACTTCTGAAGGTTTTGAAGTTTGCCTCATAGACTGTAAGTGCCTAAGGAAAGAAACAGGGTCTTGTTCACCTGCAGTGGTTCCTGGGAGATGCTCAGAAGTTTACTCAGAGTTGCATAATGTGCCAAGACTATAAAATTTTTTTCCTCAAACTAAAGCCTTTGTAGATAGAAATCTATAGCTTATTTGCAAATGATGCTATGCTATGTTATAGTTACAGCTTTTATATTTGTCGAACTTGTATAATTGTTACAATTTTATAAGAGAATTTAATGCAGCCTATAAAGCAACATTAGTTTATCTTTGATATTCCCAAATCTACCTATTCTCACTTGTTATTCGTACTTTGTGACTTCTCCAACCTCACTTTTCTTGGGAAGGTCCACAGAATCTGATGCATTGAGGCCACATTAAGATGTAAATGATTACCAGACTTCTGAAATATTTGCATTTTTATCCACAACTTAGATTCAAGTGAGTCATAGCTATGTTTTGTATTCTGGGCATCTGCAGGCCAGGAAGTATGATGGGCAGCCCAAGAAGTTCTCCTGAAACTCTTGAAATCCTTCCCTTTTGGGCTTAGAACATTGATAAAGATTCAGTCTGAATTCCAAAATGTCTGTTTTGAGAGAATAAATGCCCAGGAAGACCCTTTGAAAATAAAATGGGTTTGTTCTACAAATTAGATATTTATGTATGTCAAGTTAAATAGTTAATTACTTCATTTTTGGTGATGTGTAAAGAATTTAATTTTATTTATTTTTTATTTATTTTTTTGAGACGGGGTCTTGCTCTGTCACCCAGGCTGGAGTGCAGTGGCATGGTCTTGGCTCACTGCAACCTCTGCCTCCCAGATTCAAGCGATTCTCTTGCCTCAGCCTCCCAAGTAGCTGGGATTACAGGCGCCCACCACCATGCCCAGCTAATTTTTATATTTTTTGTAGAGATGGGGTTTCATCATGTTGGCCAGGCTGGTCCCAAACTCCTGACCTCAAGTGATCCACCTGCCTCAGCCTCCCAAAGTGCTGGGATTAAAGGATATATATATATATATATATTTTTTTTTTTTTTTTTTTTGAGACAGGGTCTTGCTCTGTCAGCCAGGCTGGAGTGCAGTGGCACGATCTCACCTTACTGCAACCTCCGTCTCTCGGGCTCAAGCAATTCTCCTGACTCAGCCTCCCAAGTAGCTGGGATTATAGGCATGTGCCACCATGCCCGGTAACTTTTGTATTTTTCGTAGAGACGGGGTTTCACCATGTTAACCAGGCTGATCTCGAACTCCTGAACTCAGGTAATCCACCTGCCTCAGCCTTCCAAAGTGCTGGGATTACAGGCATGAGCCACCTCGCCCAGCCTACCCAAATATATTTCATGATACACATTTCTTAGAATCATGAATTTTTTTACAGTTGTTCATGGCTTTAAAAATTAATGTGAGATTTCTAAGCATATTTAGAATCCAGACATTTCCAAAGTGTGCTATACATACAGCTTAGCAGTTAGGCGGATATTGTAAGGATTTTTTAAACGTCTCCATTAATGGGAAAGATTAGTTTACCTACATTTAAGATTGCCTTCTTGCAACTTTCCATCTCTCATTTGAGCCTTATTCTGCACAATATAATTTAATCAATAGTAATCCACTTTTAAATTTCCACCCATATCTCTCCTCTTGTTTATCCAACTGTCTTATTAATATTTCCAAGGATGGCTATAGACATTTCTGCCTGAATATGCACAAAGCCAACTTCCTGTTTGTCCTCATCCCCTCATTCCAAACTTGCTCCTGTATAATCATCCTCATCTATGTATCTTGCCACACCCAACTCCATTTTTCTAGCCACTCAGACAAAAACAACCCAACAAAAAGGCAAACAAACAACCATCTATCTTAGTTCATTCGTGCTGTCATAACAAAATACCATAGACTGGATAATTTATAAATAATACAAATTTATTTCTCAGATTTCTGGAAGCTGGGAAGTCCAAGATCAGAACACCAGCAAATTTGGTGTCTGGTGAGGGCTACTCTTTGCTTCCAAGATGGTGCCTTGTTACAGCGTCCTCTGAAGGGAACTAATGCTGTGTCCTCACGTGGAAGAAGGAATGGAAGGGCAAAAAAGGGATTAGGGTGCTCCTTTCAACCTCTTTCATAAGGTCACTGAATCTTTTCTTGAGGGCTTTGCCCTCATGACTTAATTACCTCCAAAAGGCCTTGCCACTTGGTATTATCACTTAGGAGACGGATTGTCAATATATAAATTTGGAGGGATACATTTAGAACATAACATCCCCTCGGTCCCCCATAAAAAGCAAAATTTTGAATTATCTTGTCCATTTTTTTCTTTTCGAAAATGCCATGTCCAATTGATAAAATAATCCTTCATGATATCTCTATAGCTGTTCCACTTCTAACCACCTTCTCCACTTTCATCTTAGTAGTTTCTGCAGTGGCTGCTTACGGAGTTTCCTACTTCCGTTCTTGTCCCTTGTGGGCTGTTTTCAACACTGAAGCCAGGGCAAACCTTTTAAAACCTAAGCCAGGTCATATATTTCCTCTGTTGAGGATGTTTATGCAGTATTACTGAAGTGTTATGAATATTATTAATAATAGTATAAGCTAATGTGTGTTGATCACTTACTGTGTAGCGGAGCCTGTGCTAAAATAGTACAAGCCAATTCTCATTTTATCCCCACCACAACCTCTTATTATTCCTATTTTACGCATGAGAAACTGAGCTATAGAAAGATTGAACAATTTCTCAAGATCACTTAAATTATGAGGTGGCAGAGCTATCTTTGAGCTTAAGCTGTCAGATTCTAGAGCGCGGACATGAAAAAACTAAGCTCAACGTTCTCTCCTTTCTTTGTAACTGTTTAACCTCTTAACATGGTATACTCAAAGTCTGTCTGATAATCCCTTTTTATCAATGAAAAGGCCAACAATAACATGTGCCATATTTTGAAGGACAGCTTTGTAATGAAGTTTCTTAGCATCCTGTTTCTTAAGAAGTAGTTAGCAGTACACTGAGTAAATACCAAATATTTCTCTTGACATTGATGGTCCCAGCAGCATTTCAGTGTCCCGGAGCAACTCCTACTAAGTTTTAAAGTTTATCTTGCACTTCACTCCTCATTAAAATTCTACTATTGATGTCCTATTTTGACTTTTAATCATAATTTGTCCTTTTAAAATCGTTGCTCATTCAGGCAATAAGTGAGTATAAGTAATAAATGCTGTTTTCAGAAAATTGCATTAATAAATTCTGTTCTTCATGAGAACTAACAGGTACTAAAATGAATGTAATTGTAGATAAAGAAGAATTTGTTCAGTTGTGAAGTGGTACTGTGTTTTATCAGACTAGTAATGATGGCCGGAACCAAAGTTATTATAACCTAAATATTGGCATATAATAAAAAGTACTCTTTTAAAATTTATAGAGGTCTCGTGTGTAGGTGACAAAATTTTTAAAATCATACTTTTTTTCATAAAGTTTAAACAAATATAAATTTCATCCACTACCCAGTTTTAAAATATTTATTATTTTCCAATATTTCAGATATTCATGTCTAAATCATTTTCCAAAGGAAACTCATTTTATATATATATAGATATTTAACCCTCTTGTCGAGAACTGAGCCACTAATGTGTTATTTAATACTTATTTTCTTAGAAATGTAATATTCTATGTAATTATTATTTATATGTAAGTTATAATAACACATTGAGAATTTACCAAATGGAGTACAACATAATATTGACATGAGTTTCTATCTTAAAGTATTTCTAAAACTATCTCCATAGTTTTTCTTTAGTCCTATCATGCAGGCTTATCAGCTTACTTAGCATGATGACTGTTTCACAATTATACAATTAATAAAAAGTGAATGCCTTCCTTGAGGTACAGGAGGTACTCTAGAAAAATATGTTAACCCACCATCCATAATATTCTCCAATTACTGTAACATAATTGAGAATACATAGAAGATTTTTTTTCCCCATAGGAGTAAGTTTCTTACCATATGTTTTCCATTTATTCAGCCTGACTTTTTTAGTATTGATGTAGGCTTGGAAATGTTTTTACTATTGCCCTGCATTTTCCATGACACACACCCAATATGTATCACTAGAGTGTAGTGATTAGATGAGATTTAGAGACATGAAGATTGGTATTTAAAGGCTGCCTGTGACTTAACTAGTTTCGTTGGCTTGTTATTTGGTCAGTTTATTTAATCTCCCTATGCTTGTTCTTCATGGGTTCATATATGTAAAGCATTTAGCATACAATGGTGCATAATGGACCATTTTTCTGCATTTACAGCATCTCATCAATGGGCTAGAATAAGCTTCTTTAAATGAAAAACTGGACTGTTTCCAAATTATTTATTTATGTTTAGCCATCACAGCACCCAATAGAGTGTCACATTCAAAATGAACTTATGTGATAGAGGTGGCGCAGTGCTCATGCTTTCCCATACAACCCATCTTTTTTCATGCAGTGCTTGGTTCATATTTTCTTCCTTCTCCTAAACCTCTTTTTGGCATAATCTTTCTTCTTATTTCTTTCCTCATCTGATGCATAACTGTTTCCCTATTTAGAAAGCAATCTTTATTATTACTTCTTTTCCTCTCAGCACATTTATATCTTAAACCTTATTTTTTGGTGCAGCTGAGGAGAATAAATTCTATTGCCATGTAAGCACATTTACTTCAGTCACAATTTATCCTTAATATTTTTAATGATCAAAAGTACTAGCCATGAAAAATAGGTATTTTATGTCCTAGGAATAAGAGGAAAAATAAATAAAATTTTGTACTTTCCTTGTATAGTAAAATATCTGTGGCTTGTTTCTTTTTAATTCTCTCTAGCCAATCAGAAATGTGGTGATGATATGATAACATAAATAACTTTTGTCTGGAATGTTTTTATTGAAAAGCAGATGTGAATCAGCTACTAGACAGATATCATTACACCATGCCCATGAGAGACAAAAAAGAAATTAAAAATTAAATAATATTCACAAATAGCTAAACTAAAGCAAGTAAAACATCAAAAACTCAGGTTAACTTGGAAATAACTTTTTTTTTTTTACAATACCTAAGTAATATTTTTCTTTTCCCTTTAGAAAGGCTCCTGACATTGTTTAGCAAATACAATATTGTGGCCAACTTAAGAACTAAATCACTGTTCATCTTTTTAGGAGATTGCTTTGTTGTGTTACTGTTTTGTTTTGTTTAAGCTGCCCTAATTATTAGTAAGAGAAAAACAAGGCTATTTTGAGAGCTACAAATATGCATCATACAAATATAATGATCTAGAATAATTGCTGATTAATAAATAAACCGCATTTATTGCTTATACTCACTGATACTACTTTCTATGCATATCAGTGAGTGTATGTTGCTCTTTTAAAAACCTTCCAAGATAAAATATTTTAAAGGTCTTCCAGAAAACTCATTCCTGATACAATAGTATTTGCTTGAGAATTAAAATAATCCTGTTTCTCAAGAACAGAAAACCGAACACTGCATGTTCTCTCTTGTAAGTGGGAGTAGAACAATGAGAACACGTGGACATAGGGAGGGGAACATTACACACCGGGGACTGTCAGGGGGTTGGGGGCTAGGGAAGGGATAGCATTAGTAGAAATACCTAATGTAGGTGATGGGTGCAGCAAACCACCATGGCACGTGTATACCTATGTAACAAACCTGCACGTTCTGCACATGTATCCCAGAACTTAAATATAATTTTAAAAAATCGTGTTTCTAAGGAGGCCTAAAGTTTCATTTTATTAAGGTCTGTCAAGGATGTAAAGCATTAAATACTGCAATTATAATTATATTTGGTAATCATATTTGGTATTTTGCCCCCTACAAGGTTGACTGAGACTAAACTAGTCTTCCTAAGAGTGAGTACACCAAAAATTTAGGTATCAACCTGGTTACCTTAATTGCTGCTTAAAATTAGTTCTTAGGAAGTCACACTTCTCTAAAATTAAATGAAGTTTTTTAAAAAGTAATATTCAGATTTTGGTTATAAGTATAAAGCTGTAAGTCGAGAATAAATCTGAAATTGGCATAATTTATGCTATGTCCAAAAGATCCCAAATACAAGTTCCCAAAAAAGGAAATTAAAGTTTAGGAACATGACCTAAGTATAGTGCTTTCCCATTAAAGTTTGGAGCTTTTAAAATGCATTCTTCAATTCCAAAATAAGACTCTTTCAAAGGCACTTCTTTTTCAAATTTTATGGTGTGAAACACAAAATATATTCTTTAAAAAAAAAAGTACTTCTAGTGTTCTCAACCATTCTTTATATGTGTGTTGACAGTGTGTCCTCCGCTTTAAATCTTCAAGTATATTATCTGTACTCACTTTGGCTACCTATTTTCAGACCATCCAGTTTCAGATTTTGTTTGGAAATACTTCTCTGGACCATCACCCTACTCCCCAGAGTTTCTAATTCTAACTCATGACCTTGTTTCCTTCCTCCCTCTTCAACCTGTTACAATTTCCTAAATACTTTGCACATTTACCTGTAAAAGCTACTGACTTCAAAAGGACTTTAAACATTATTCCAAAGTGCTAGTGGACATGGAATACAGGAGTGAACAGAAAGTGTTAGGAGGGGATGTAGATAATGAATCCTATGTGATAGGGAAGTGCAAGAAAGGAGTGAGAGTTGGAGTCTAAAGTTAATACAAAAAAGGAAAAGTTCACACAGTTAAATTTATTCCTGAAATCTCTCAAAACGTCGGGTTCCTTGACAAATAACAAAATGTATTCTAACAACACAGTTTGTATTAATGAAATATAATTTTAGTAAATATTATTTGGAAATCAGGCCGGGTGCGGTGGCTCATCCCTGTAATCCCAGCACGTTGGGAGGCTGAGGCAGGCAGGTCACTTGAGGTCAGGAGTTTGAAACCAGCCTGGCCAACATGGTAAAGCCCTGTCTCTACTAGAAAAAACAAAAATTAACTGGGTATGGTGGCACATGTCTGAAATCCCAGCTACTCAGGAGGCTGAGGCAGGAGAGTCCCTTGAACCTGGGAGGCAGAGCTTGCAATGAGCTGAGATCGTACCCACTGCACTCCAGCCTGGGCAACAGAGCAAGACTCTGTCTCAAGAAAAACAAACAAACAAACAAACAAACAAACAAACAAAAAACACAAAAGCTATATAAGAGAAGCAGGGAAAATAAACTGAGCTCATGAAATGACAGTTTGAGAAAGTAATATCATCAAATGACTCGAGGTAAGGCCATCACTCAAAGGAATTTCATTGGGATAATGTGAGTTAAATAAATACAAAAGAAATAGGACATTATTCAAAACTGTTACTGTCATTTTTACCATTAAATGTAATTGTCATTAATCTCATAAATCTCCCCTATTGAATTCCCGATAACAAAGTAATTAGCTACATAGACATTTTATCAACTACGTAGGCAGACTGTAGTTTACAAGTACAAATATATTTTTGCGTAAAAGCATTGTTTTTGAGAATAAAATAAAGCCTTCAAAATTATGTAACTGCCTGGGTGTGGTGTCTCACGCCTGTAATCCCAGCACTTTGGGAGGCCACGGTAGGTGTATCACTTGAGGTTCAGAGTTGGAGACCAGCCTGGCCAACGTGGTGAAACCCTGTCTCTGCTAAAAATACAAAAATTAGCCAGGCATGGTGGTGCACGCCTGTAGTCCCAGCTACTCAGTAGTCTGAGGCAAGAAAATCACTTGAACCTGGGAGACAGAGGCTGCAGTGAGCCAAGATCATGCCACCTCCAGCCTGGACGACAGAGTAATACCCTGTCAAAAAAAAAAAAAAAAAAATCTCAGTTTTAAGACTGTGAGTTGAGGATAAAACCCATTTGTGTAATATGGCGTTTTAAAAGTAAGTACCAGAGTCTAAATCTATTGTCATCATTTAAATCCACCCAAGATTTGCCAAGAATTTCTGAAAAGAAAATCAAAAGCATCCTGGTAAACTTCTAACTAGTTCTGTATGGATTATTCACGTTATAGATTGGCCATTACATAAGAAACAACTTCCCAAATCAGGACTCACATGGGGGCATTAGAAGCACAGTCTCTGCCCAAAGCAACCAGACTACTTCCTTTCTTTCCATATAACTATATTTTTCATGGATAGTCTCTGTTTTCAAATTTCCACTTGTTTACCCTCGTTGGCACAGATCATAAAGAGTTGCCGCATGAGGGTGATTATAGGGTGCCAGAAGTTATATAACGCACACTCTGTTGTCTTTGAGGTAATAGCCTTAGGAGGCCACACCACTGCTATATTATATTACAGGGTGGCTATTTCTTAACCTCTTTGGAATTGACTCAGAATCTCTTAATGAACTACATAGGAATTTTAGTCATTATTTGGCTTCTGGTCATGAATAAAATTACCCCAAACCTGTTACCCACCTTACTCACTACTCTTGGCTTCTCATGACCTCATATTTGTTTCCGTAATCAGAATAATAGGAAACAATTCTAAACCAGGAGTTCTATAAACGGGTTCAGCTGTGGGAGTAAAATAGGAGTAATTTCATAGCTTCTCCGTATAATTGCACTGTATCTGTAAGAGTAGAAGACGTCAATCTTAAAAGATTTGAGGAGGTTATTTCCACACATTAAAAGGTAAAGTTAAATATCATTCATTTTTCAGAGGTAAATAATGATAAATAAAGAGAGATATACATCACGATATTAAAAAGGACTTTAATGTTATAATTTAAAAAGTCTCTAAACTTGTATTCATTTTAGTGGTGTATAAAAGGAAAATAACAACTGGAATAAATTTACATATTGATTTGTGGAGAAGTCACATCTTATCCCAAAATCATGACATTATCGATTAATCAATATCACTATCGTAAAACTGAATGACTTAAAAATGAAAGAGCATTTAATATTTTTCGCCAAATTTAATAGGCTAAGTGGTTTACTTTAAACTCTGTTTTGAATCAATTTAGATTCGTAAGTTTGAATCTCATCTGTGCCTTTAAAAAATTATTTAATTTCTTTTTAAATGACTTAATGTATTGAAATTATACCTAATGGCTAATTTGTAATGAAATTATTCAAAATACTTACAAAATTTACTCTAAAGTGATCTGAAATACAGATTTATTTATTGAATGTTAACATGAAGTTTTGAGAAATATGTTAATAATGTACTAAAGTAAAATGCTAGTATTTTATTATGAACGTTTACACTTAAAAACCTTGAGAGTGCATTATCATAAAATTCACAATAAAGTGTAAAGTCCAGTAAGAAACTTATTAAGTATATTCATGATATAATGGTGAACTAACTCCTAGGGTTCCAACTAAATGTGCAATTAGTAGGTTATGGTTTCCATCTTTTACAATTACATGTTCCATTGTTTATAGATATACTACAATAAACATTCCTAAAATACTGGTCATGATAAATTAGCAAAGAAATCAATTGAACAACTTTTAAAAGATGTGTGCTACTATAACTTTAGCAAATATTCATTAGGAAATAAATGAAATATTTTTTTTTTTCAAAGAAGATGTGAGAAACAGCTTCTGATAAGAAATGTCTGGTGTCTGCTGCTACTCTCCTACCACTCTGTCCTCACATCTGTTTTCAGTTGCCTTTACAACAAATCTTTAGGCTAGCTCAGCTCAAAAATTGGATCTCATCAAGCAAGGGGAGTGGAATGGGCTTGATCTATTAAATTAAGGCAGCCACCAAAGATGACTTAAGCCTCACCTCTGTCTCTGCTCTAGAGTTAGGCACCATTAAGCCTCCTATTGTACTTGTGTTGATCACTCAGATTCGTATCCCGACTTCACCCTGCATTGCCCTATCCAGGGGAATTCAGGCCTTTGCCTTTTTTTGTTTTGAAAGCTGACAGTTCAGGAATAAGAAAATTGAAAATCACCATTAGATAAATATTATAGAAATAGTTATTGATAGCAAGATCTACCCGTGGGTATTAAAATAAGTGGATAAGAGATGAAGGAGACATAGGATATTTATATTGTCTCAAAGTATTTCACCCAAGATATTTATTAATTACGAAGAAAAAGATAGTCACTTTACAGTGAAAAAATCAAGCAGGTACCAGTTGATGATTCGGTTAATGTCAACAGTAACAGGATACATGTATATCAAATGGTTGAGGTTAATATCAACAGTAATAAAATATATCCATATTATGTTTCCTAATGTAATAGTAATAGGGCATATTGAAATGATGTATCCCTATATGATGGTATTCATGTTAACAATGCATAATCTTAATCTAATGAGAAAATATCAGATGAGTGCAAGCTGAGAAACATTTTACAAAATAACTGACCAATAATCTTCAAAAATTTCAAGGTCATGAAAGGCAAGGAAAGACCAAGAGACTATCACACACTGGAGGAGATTAAGGAGATATGACGAACAATTACAATGTGGGATCTTGGTTTGGATCTTGGAACAGAATAAGGACTTTATTGAAAAAACCTTGAAATTCAAATAAAATTTGTAGTTAGTTAATACTATAATAATATTAATTCCTTGGTTTTGATAAATGTACTATGATTATATAAGAAGTTGATATTGGGAAGGCTGGGGAAAGTGTATAGAAACTCTCCTATACACGATAGTACAGGGTGTACAATTTTTGCCTCTTTTTCTATAATTCTTAATAAGTTCAAAATTTTAAAAGTTATTTCTTAAAAAAGGAAAGTTGACAGCCCAAATCAATATAATTCAACTGCATTGACTAAACATAATTACTGAGCATCAACTCTGTGTTAAGCATTGCAGAGGATACAATGATGAGAAAACGGAATTTCTGCCTTCAAACAATTTACAGTTTGGTGAGAGCAATGAAATAAATTAAGGTAGCTATATGAGAGTTGGCACAAAGAGGACAGAAATGACCTCCTGTTGGGACTCTGTGTGTGTGTGTGTGTTTTGGGTGAGGTGGTAGATTTAGAAAAGTTTTTTTGTGAGCATAACATGAACTAGAACTTGATTACTCCAGGTGTAACCAGAACTTGGTTACTCCAGGTGATTCATTAGTAGATGTCTTGGTCAGGTCAGGCTGCCATAACAAAATTCCATAGACTGGATGGCTTAAACAATGGAAACCTCACAGTTCTGGAGGCTGGAAGTTTCAGATCTTGGTGCTGGCTGATGTGGTTACTGGGGAGGCCCTCTTTCTGGGAGCTCATGTGCTCTCTCCCCACCATGTGAGAACATGGCAAGAAGGCAGCCACCTACAAACCAGAAAGAGGGCCTCCTCAGTAACCACATCAGCCAGCACCAAGATCTGAAACTTCCAGCCTTCTTAGAAGGACATTAGTCCTATTGGATTATGGCCAGGCCCTAAAGACCTTCTTTAACCTTAATTACCTTCATACAGGCCCTGTTTTCAAATATACTTATTGGGGATATGGACTTCAATGTATGAATTATGGAGGGACACACACATTTAGTCTGTGACATTCCACCCCTGGCCCCCCAAAATGTATGTCCTTTTTTAGTGCAAAATGCATTCATTCCATCCTATCGCCCCAAAAGTCTTAATGCATCAAGCATCAACTCTAAAGTCTAAATTCTAAAATCTCATCTAAATATTATTTAAGTCAGATGGATGAGACTCAAGGTATGATTCATCATGAGGCAAAATTCCTCTCCAGCTGTGAACCTGTGAAACCCGACAAGCTAATGGGCTTCCAAAATACAATGATGAGACAGTTATAGGATAGACGTTCCCATCACAAAAGGGAAAAATCGGAAGGAATGAAGGGGTGATGGATCCCGAACAAGTCAAACTTAGCAAGGCAAATTTCCATTCAATCTTAAGGTTGGAGAATAATTGTCTTTGGCTTGAATAATCCTCTTTGCCTTGAATAATCCTCATTGACTTTCCAGGCCTGGGGTTGGCAGCATCACTGCCACAGCTCTGCAGGGTGGCCCCACCTTGTGGGTCTCTGAGGCAGCTCCACTCTCTGAAACCAAGCAGGAAAGAGCCTTACCCACCTGTCTTCCCCTCCCCTTGGGCCTGTGGTGGGAGTGGCAGTTCTGATCATCTCTGAATTGCTTTCAGAGTCATTCTTCCCTTTCTTTGAAGACTAGTTCGTGTTCATAGACAAAGAGCTCTATGGTCTGGTCCTGTAGAACCCAAGAAGTTCGACAGCCTTCTGTTATTCCATCCCATTTTCTGTCTCCCCTATTTTTCAAACTGGCAGAGTCTCTGCTGGTGTAATCCTACTCCTGGCTGTGCTGAGATGGCTGATTACATTCATGAATTGCACCTATGCTCTCTATCAAGCAGTTGTTCAGCCATACCCTTAATGCTTAGTTGCTTAGTGTTCTCTTCAAAACAAACTTTCTTTCCTTTTTTTTTTTTTTTTGGAATGTGGATGGGCTGAGAAATTTCCAAATCTCTCAGTTCTGGTTCCTTTATACTTAACAGTTCCTTCTTCCATTCATCTCTTTCCTCTTGAATTTGACTATAAGCAGTGAGAACCAAAGCTACACGTTTAATACTCTGCTGAGTGTCCAGTTTTATTGCTCACAATTCCTGCTTTCTACAAAACACTAAAGGACAATTCAGGCAAGGTCTTTGCCACTTTATAACAAGGATCAACTTTCCTCTAAGTTTTAATCAGCTGTTCCTCATTTCCATCTGGGCCCTCATCAGAATGACCTTTAACGTCCATATTTTTGCTAACATTCAGTTTATAATTATGTATGTATTCACTAAGAAGATGAAAGCCTTCTCTCCAGCTCTCCTCTTTTCTTTGTGAGCTTTCACCAGTGTTGCCTTTAATGTTCATATTTCTACCTATGCTCTCTTAATGGCAATCTTAGCTTTTTCTAGCATGTACCTCCAGCTCTTGCAGCCTCTACCCATCACTGAGTTCCAAAACCACTTTAGAACTTTTAGGGTTTTTGTTTTTTTTGTTTTTAGGTACTTTTTTACAGCTTTACCCCACTTCTTAATCCCAAAATCTGTCATAATCAGTTCAGGCTGCCATAATAAAATGCCATAGTGGTATTAAACAACAGAATAAGTAACTTAAACGACATGAATTTATTTTCTCACAGTTCTGGATGCTAGAAGTCCCAGAGTGAGGTGCCAGCCAGTTCGGTTCTTGGCTTTCTTCCTGGCTGTAGACAGACACCTTCTTGCTGTGTGCTCCTGTGGTGGAGAGAGACAGTATGAGATCTCTCGTGTCTCTTCTTATAAGGACATGAATCTTATAGGATCAGAGCCCAACTCTTACATTCTTGTTTAACCTTACTTACCTCAATAGGTAAGGACATAAGACATAAACAAGGACATAAGAGTGGGGTTCTGATCCTATAGGTCAGATCCTGTAGACCCGGTAGGGTCTTCAAAGGCCCTATCTCTAAATAGTTATATTGGGGGTTGGATATTCAATATTCAAAACACTAGAGCACAATTCAGGCAAGTTCTTTGCCACCTTATAACAAGGATCACCTTTTCTCCAAGTTTTTATAACCTGCTGCTCATTTCCATCTGGGTCCTCATCCAAATGACCTTTAACGCCCGTATTTCTACCAACATTCAGTTCACGATTGTTTAGTATTCACTAAGAAGATGAAAGCGTTCTCTCAGGCCTTCTCCCTTTTCTTTTGGAGCTCTCAGATTTGAGGGATTTTGAGGGGATACAACATTAAGTTAATAAGAGTAGACAGCCTTTACTTTGGGAAAACTGAATGAGTCACTTGCTCAGGAGAAAGGAATAGGGATACTGATGAGTTTCATGGGGAGTCTACAGTGAGGGCTTATAGGGCTGTGTGGAAGGCGTAGATGTGTTTATTGTCAGAATAGCCAGAAGGATTTCTCATAGTTATGCTACTAGCATTTTGATAAAGTCTCAGTAATTGCAACTACTGAGGTTTTCATAAACTTTATTCCAAACCACATACCTTTGTGGTTTTTACTTGAGTCTTGTTTTCTAGAGAGACAAGATAATGACAATGAACACATTTTTATTCATCACTTTAAACTTGTGCTGCCTCTTGGGCTTAAATTTTCTAATATTATTTATTTAAGAAAAAGCACCAATTTTATACAGAATGTAATACTTTCATCTTTATACATGACAAAGTATTAGGATTATCAAAAATGTAACCATGACAACAGGCTTCCTTGCAACCTAGTTCATGATAGCAGAGTACATGGGCATGCAGATTCTTGGCAGGAAATATTTTTTGGTGGTATATGTATACACATAGATATACATAAATATACACATATATATCACCAGAAATTTTTTTTTTTCTTTTTTGAGATGGAGTCTCGCTCTGTCACCCAGGCTGGAGTGCAGTGGCACGATCTCGGCTCACTGCGAGCTCCACCTCCCAGGTTCACACCATTCTCCTGCCTCAGCCTCCCAAGTAGCCAGGACTACAGGCACCCGCCACCACGCCTGGCTAATTTTTTGTATTTTTAGTAGAGACAGGGTTTCACCGTGTTAGCCAGGATGGTCTCAATCTTCTGACCTCATGATCCGCCCGCCTCGGCCTCCCAAAGTGCTGGGATTACAGGCATGAGCCACGACGCCTGGCCTAATTTTTTTTTTTTTTTTGAGACAGAGTCTACTCTATCACCCTGGCTGGAGTGCAGTGACATGATCTCAGCTCATTGCAACCTCTGCCTCCCAAGTTCAAGGTATCCTCATGCCTCAGCCTCCCAAGTCCAGGACCACGCCTGGCTAATTTTTGTAATTTTTGTAGAGACGGAGTTTCGCCATGTTGGGCAGACTTGTCTCAAACTCCTGACCTCGAGTGATCCACGCATCTCTGCCTCCCAAAGTGATGGGATTACAGGGGTGAGCCACTGCGCCCAGCCTTCACCAGAAAATTTTATATGTATATAAACATAGAGTAAGCATTTTTTAATAGAAGAAAGTTAAAAAGACACACTAAGATCCACTAAGATTATTTCATAGACATAAGTAGACAGCCTAGTGTTTTTAAAAATAAAAGTATATAAGTTTTGGTGTCAGAAGTCCTAGTTTCCGATACAGTCTTTGGCACTTTCTGGCTATATATGCTTTGGAAAGTGACAACCTCCTGGGGCTTCAATTTCCTCATCTGAGGAAAATGGAAGCTTTATCCCCTGCCGTACCTACCTTACAAAATTGTCAGAATCAGAAGACGTCATGCCCAAGAAAGGACTTTGTAAAGTATTGATTTCACTCATTATTTCATTACTATAATAGTGGTAATTTTCTAATATTTATCACTTTCATTTCATAACTAAAGATGATAGGAAAAATCTAGAAGTATCAGAGTTAGCATAAAAAATGATAGGAATGATAAAAAGCACTTGTGAAAAGATTTGAGTGATTTGTAGTGATTATGCATGAGAAAGAGAAGGCTAGTAGGTAATCCAATAATTGTCTTAAAGCACTTGAAAACTACTCCAGTGAGCTAATACTGATGACCAGACTAGGAGAGTTCAGCATGAGTTATTTAGGCTAACTAAACCAAATAACTTTCCAGTAGTGAGGTTACTACAAAGTAGAATTGGCCTCTGGGGAGGCTGTGGAATCCCATTTGTGACAGCTGTCCCATTGCCTGGGGATAGCTAACCTCCAGTCTTGCCTGGAGTCAAGGACTGTTAACTCCATAGACTCAGGGCTCCCACCCCTTCAGCTTTGTGCTCTGTGCCTCCGTATGGATCTAGGGTGTTGGGTTAGTGGGCAAGGGAACTTCTTATTTTCCTGGTCATAATTGTTTACTTACAGAAGAAGAAGCAAGCAGTTGAAAGACACACCCTAAATATATAATGCATCAAGTGTATTTTCTTCCTTGAAATACACTTTACTTTTCCTTGGAAAGTAAAATGTCCAATTTTTATTTTAAAATATTGGAAACAATATTGTTTACTGAGTATAGTAAACAACAGAACATACTTCTTTCCAAGGTTATTTTCATTTAAAGTGATTGAGATGTGAAAGAAGACAAGAAAAAAGAGGTAGACTAGGAAGAGAGGGGCAAAGGGAAGGAGTCTGGAGTGTAGGGATTCAGACAGGCAAAGGCAGTGACCCATGGGGAGGAGTGGAGGAGGCGAAGAGGTAAGGCAAGGAAGGAGGACGTGGAGTGGGAATATTTTAGGTTTAGTAAAGGGTACACCCCACTCTTCCTTTGGACTGTGGAAATTGGCATTGTTATCCTTTATCCTCTGCTTTCAAAGAGTTAGTTAGCTGGTTAATCACTATGTTCACATCTTCAACTATCTGATACCTTTACTTTGGTCCATTACTTGAGAGGGTCACCAGATTGGACAATAGAAGTTATTTTCTATGCTTTGGTAGCAGTGACAAAGCCGTTTTATTCAGATTAAATTGAACCAAATGTTCTCAAACTAGAAGTTCTCCACTTCAACTGTATGGAGAGGATAACGTGAATCAACTTTTTTATTTCTAGAATTTCAACCAGTATTAGTATAATACGTTACTCTAAAAGCATTGCTTCATTATTTGTTATATTATAATAAAAAATTGTCTTATAAGCTACATTTCTAGCCTTAAAGACTTAAAAATTGAGACTGTACCGTGAATAGTAAGTGTCACTGTGGATCCTTTTTGGAAACAGGAGAAGAAAATATCTATCTGTATGTCTGCCTATCTGTCTATCTATCTGTCCATCATCCAATGTTTTGATTTTTTTTTTTGGAGAAATTATTTCCCATTTTTCCAAAGCCTTGGTAATACTTAGAGTTAAATTTCTTAACTAGATTAATTGCAGAATGGATTCAAGAGATGCTAAATGGAGATCCTTAAGAAAGTGGGCTATATATTGTGTACAGTGCACATTGCTCAGGTGACAGGTACAACAAAACCTCAGAAATCACCACTAAAGAACTTACTGTACCCCTAAAACTGTTGAAATAAAAATTTAAAATTAAAAAAATATTTTTAAGTTAAAAAAAAGAGACCGGGTATGGCGGCTCACACGTGTAATCCCAGCACTTTGGGAGGCCGAGGCAGGCAGATCACTTGAGCTCAGGGCTCGTGACCAGCCTGGCCAACGTGGTGAAACCCCGTCTCTACTAAAAATACAAAAATTAGCCAGTTGCTGTAGCATGTGCCTGTAGCCCCAGCCACTCGGGAGGCTGAGGCACGAGAATTGCTTGAACCTGGGAGGCAGAGGTTGCAGTGAGCTGAGATCGCGTCACTGCATTCCAGCCTGAGTGACAGGGTGAGATCCTGTCTCTAAATAAATAAATAAATAAATAAAGTTTAAAAACAAAGAAAGTGGGAGTAAGTGTGGCAAATTATCTTTGATCATCTAACTAAGGCTTTGCTATCAACTAATTTTGATCTTCCACTTCAGAGAATAGTTCTATTTTATTATTCAGTGAATAAGTATGTGTGTGGGCCTAACTGCATGGATGCTATAGATCTCTTACTTTAAGTAATGTAGTTATTACATAAAGACTGCTTTGTAGAAAGTTATTTGCTAAGTTGCACTTTAGATTTTTCATTACGTAAGGCACTGTAGTTCAGTCTTTAAAAAATTCAGTAGTTATTTTTTGCTTTGCTCAGGTCTTTTTGAGGCAAACAAAACCAACCAACCATAAAACAAACAAAAAAATTTTCTCTGGTTGTATTTCCCAAAAGACTTATATATTGGTACCTGGGGACCACTCAGTTTTCAAAACTGAGTATCCAAAGCTGTCTTGAGGACACATAAGGCTTAGTAGTCATGAACATATTTGTTATCAAGTTAATTATACTTTCTATCCAAGGGACTTCTAAGGAACTGCAAAATTGTCATCTATTGTAAAGGAAATTTTAATTCCCAGGGAAAATTAGAGAAAGAGGTTTAAATTGTTCTAATTTATCTTGGAATTGAAGTAATATTTAAATTAAAACATTGTGCTTCTGAATTCTATTGTGGAAAACCAGTCTTTGCCTAGGGCCCACTGATTTCAATTTTCAGTTCTGCCCCTGGTGTCTGCCCCTACTTTGTCTTGCAGTCTTGCATCTTACCAGACAAACAATCTGAGATTAACCATCAGTAGTTAAGATTGAGTGACTGGACAATAGCGATAACTGCCAGTGAGATAATAACTGAACTTTCTTGGCATGCTTCTCATACCAGCTTTCTGAAGGTATGTGTGACAGTTTTCCAGAATGACTCCCAGTGAAACTTTGTTTTTGTGGAATTCATGGCCCTTATTTCACTCTAGATTCTTTTAAACTAAGCCTTAGGGTTTTATATTCCTGTAGCCTTATACCATTAATATTTAGAAGGATTTTCCAGTGATTTATGAGATGGGAGCATTGGCTTAGAAAAATTGATCCATTTTAGAATTGAGGGAGTAAATCACTGAACATTTTAACCTAGTTTACTAGACAGTCTCTTTCTTTTGTTTTTAAATATATCCATTCTGAATCTTATATTGATTTTGAAACTGGTTATTGCTCCTATGTAACTGTTTAAGTAAATTCAGAGCACTGTATCTTTGGAGATACAATTATTATAGGATTTAATTTCATTAACTCTTGCAAAGACCTTTGGACTTTTGAGGTTACAAAAGCAGTGTTTTTGGATAATGGGAGGTAACTAACCTGACTTGATCTACTGCACATCCTATTTCGTACTTCATGAAAAAGACTGGGTATTCTCTACTCTTATCTTGAACACAAAGACACATCAGCATGCACATCAGCATGTGAGCTAGGAATGGGAGAAGTGTGTGGGAATGTAATGTATCTGAAAGAATGGAAAATTTTGTCTTTCTCTCCCTTTTTCTTGGATTATTTAAATTTTTTATGTCACAAAGCAGCAGAATAAAATTTCCATCATAAAGTATTTTACTCTATTATAACCTCAATTTTACTGAGTCAGAATATGCTCAGGGCTGACACAGGAGGGAGAAGATGTTTCCGTTGTATGGTAAGTCTGAGAAGAAGCAGATTGGTGTCTCTGTTCCCAGTTTTTGAAGTGAATTTCTGGAGTAAGCATCCTAAATTGAGAAAGAACATAAATATTTCTGTATGGAAATGTTAGAAAACAAGATTCTGGTAATTAGTATGAAATTTTACTATTCATCCCTTTAGATTGTCGTGGTTGCATTAATTGACCAACATTGCTTTTTAAAAATGCTGTCACTTCTCCTTGTTTATATCTATTTTTGCTTTTTTCCATACATTTGACATTTTCTTTAAAATCTGGGCATATAAAATGCTGATTAAAAATATTTTTATGTGGAGTTGAAATCAATGTGTCAAGATTCTTCATTGTATTTTCCTTCAAAAAAGGCTGCTGTAACATAGGACCAAATGTTAAGGGTGCTTGCTGGCATAACTCCAAAGCAGTGTTTTTGGATAACAGGAGTCTTTAATTCTTAGGTATAATTGATATTTTTAGTTAGTACTTTTTTCAGCTTTGTTTTTGGTTTGATTTGGGGTATATGTATGTATGTATGTTTCTATAACAAGTTTTGAATTTTTTTGAAGACTTATCTTCTTAGGCCACCAAAGCAAATTAGTTCAGTAATTATAGTCTCAGTTTACCTTGTTTCCCTCTCAGTGGGTCAACCAAAACCGCATGGCGTACTACTCTCTGAAGCCTCTACTACCCTGCTCCTCCGTGTTGACATGTGGTCAGGCAAGCCAGGACTTACTCACATCAGCTACATCAGTTACTGGGGTAAGAAACTCTGGGCTTTTCAGATACTGTCCTCCAGAAACACCAGCACCAGCCTTTGGGTTTAAGATCACCTGGTGAGATTGATTATCTTTAGGGAATGGTGCAGATGGGATAGTTTCTAGACAATTTGGGAACCTCAGAAATGGGAGTACTTATATTAGAATGACATAAAATAACTTTTTGCCCCAGGGATCTTGCAGTAAAGATTATCATCACAGTTGGCCATACCATGAACTTTTCTAAGTTATTTAAATTTACCTTGAAATGTTATCAGTGTCTGCTGTCACAGAGAATAAATGTATCTGGTATTAACATTTTACTCATGCTTGCCTTGCCTTTACTAAATCTTATCTTGTAATTGAAGAACTTGACTATTTTTAATTCTGAATACAATATGCCTCAGAATAAGGTTTTAAGCTTTAGGTAAGGTAAAGTTTAACTTTAGTTTGTATCTGTGACACCTAACACAATACTAAGGAATTCAACTGAATGAGAAATTTATTCTAGGCATCCACCATGTTCAAAACATACTAAGTACCTAGGAATTACTTATAGAATAGATGTAACTCTATTGAACTATAAATCAAATATCAACATACAAAGTTGAGTGAGCAGACTTGTTTGCCTCTTTTCATTTTTTGTTACACTGATGGATACCACATGTCTTAGGTGATTGGGGGTGCGGTGGCTAGTAATTACTGCCATTATTGTCTGTGATACAGCAGTGTTCAGATAGCAGCTATTCTGCTTATAATCAGATGAACAAGATATTATGTTTGGCTTTGTTTATGGAAAAAAAGAAATTTTATTAAATTGTGGTTAGAGGCCTGTTAGCATAAAGGATGAATGGTTTCTTGGAATTACAACTTGAATATTTTGAGAGAAACAAATGAAAAGTATCTCACTGTAGGGCTGAATTGGTTTGTGACCTTGCTTCTCTAGCTGAAATCTATTGACTCTCTCAGAAGTATTGCTAGGAGAAGAAATAATCCTATAAAAGGACATTAAGCAATGCTAAGAAAAAGATGATGATAATAATAATGCTTTCAGCTCACCATGTGCCAAACATCATATTAAACACTTTAAGTGCATTATTACATTGAATTCTCACAACCCTACACCATATCCTCATTTTACAGATGGAGAAAATTGAAGCCTAGAAAGATCAAGAAACTTTCTCCAGGCCATAAATAGAGGAATCAGGATTCAAATCAGATAGACCCCAGGGCTTGTTCTCTTCAACACCACATTACCCTACATTATTATTCAATTATTAAATAAAACCTTGCATTAGTGGCATTTCCAAATGCATAACAAAAAAATAAAAAAAAGTAACACTGGTCATATGTATCGTATTTTTTATAAAAATTACATTATTCCATTTGTTTTTCTGGAAATTTTTATTGCATTGAGTTGCTAGAATACCATAATATAAAACTTGGCATTTTCTCAATAAATGTGTATGATGCTGTAGTAGGTGTTTAAGATGTCTTTGGAACAACATTTAATTTGTAAGATCTTTTTTATTAATGTGCTGAATTAAGTAATTATTTCTTTCCCACTTTGGGTATGTTCCATATTTGATTTTCTGCTGCTTTCAAGAAGCCATACAATAGAATTCTTAATCCCGTTTTGACTCAACTTCTTTCCAAAAACTAAAATAAAAATAAAAGACATGAAGCACTTCTTTTATCTTATTAGAAAAGCCAATAAAATGAAAGAATCTTCAAAGCAATTTTTTCAAAATATAAAATTGGCAGAGTATTTTGTTTATGAAACTATGGAAACCAAGTTGAGATTTATAAACAAGGACTTCAAAACTTGTTTTGCTAATGCAGTGTCACTCAAGAATTCACTGAACCTCACAAGGTAAACTTGCAGAGAATGTTTGTTTTGGGAAATGATGATGATGACAGGCAAGAATTTTCTAGGTAGAAAATTGAATTTTAATTCAGCTACCATACAATTCACTCTTTTAAAGTATGAAAGTCAGCCATCCCATTACAGGGTATATACCCAAAGGACTATAAATCATGCTGCTATAAAGACACATGCACACGTATGTTTATTGCGACACTATTCACAATAGCAAAGACTTGGAACCAACCCAAATGTCCAACAAAGATAGACTGGATTAAGAAAATGTGGCACATATACACCATGGAATACTATACAGCCATAAAAAATGATGAGTTCATGTCCTTTGCATGGACATGGATGAAATTGGAAATCATCATTCTCAGTAAAGTATCGCAAGAACAAAAAACCAAACACCGCATATTCTCACTCATAGGTGGGAATTGAACAATGAGAACACATGGACACAGGAAGGGGAACATCACACTCTGGGGACTGTTGTGGGGTGGGGGGAGGGGAGAGGGATAGTTTTAGGAGATATACCTAATGCTAAATGATGAGTTAATGGGTGCAGCACACCAGCATGGCACATGTATACACATGTAACTAACCTGCACATTGTACACATGCACCCTAAAACTTAAAGTATAATAATAATAAAATAAAAATAATAAAGTATGAAAGTCAGCCAGGCATGGTGGCTCACGTCTGTAATCCCCACTTTGGGAGGCTGAGGTGGGCAGATCGCCCTAGGTCAGGAGTTCGAGACCAGCCTGGGCAACATGATGAAACCCTGTCTCTACTAAAATTACAAAAATTAGCTGGATGTAGTAGTGCATGCCTGCAATCCCAGCTACTCGGGAGGCTGAGGCAGGAGAATAGCTTGAACACAGGAGACAGAGGTTGCAGTGAGCCAAGATCGTGCCACTGCACTCCAGCCTGGGCTGGGTGACAGAGCAAGGCTCCATCTCAAAAATAAAAAAAATTTTAAAAAGTATAAAATTCAGTGGGTTTTAGGATATCCACAGAGCTAAACAACCATTATCACTATGGGATTCCGAAATATTTTTATTATTCTAAAAAAGAAGCCTCCTTGTCCATAAGCAGTACTCTCCATCCCCTACCACCACCCCTTTCCTAGGTAACCTTCTATCCATTTTTTATCTCTATGTATTTGCCTATTCTGGACATTTGGTATAAATGGAATCATGTAATATGTGGCCCTTTGTGCCTTTTCTTTCACTTAATGTTTTCAAGGTACATTCATGGTGTAGCATGTATGAATATTTCATTTCTTTTTACTGCTAAATAATATTCAGTTGTGTGGATATACCACAGTTTGTTTATCCACCAATCAGTTAATGTGTGTTTGGATCAGCTTATTTTGTTTATACTAAAATTCTGAAGAGTAGGAGCAGGAATACCATCCATGCTAGTTTCCAACTGGAGAATGATAACACTCTTGCCTTCTCTCTCAAATTAAACAAAATCACAGCCAATGAAATGAAGATACCTTCAGAAAGAAAAACCTTGACTTATTTAGGCAATAGATAACCATTTTTTTACTCGTTAAAATGCTTCAGTAAGTTAATTTTGCTTCTCATTACTTTGCCTAGCATTTGCTAGTGTAAATTCATTGTCTAGAACTCCCCCCAAAATCCACATTTACAAAAATATAAGAGGAAATATCCCCTTTCAATTAAGTATAAAAATAACCAAGGTAGTGCTATGAAACTAAAAGTATAAATTAGCATTATGTTTCCTCATTGGCTTTGTTGGATTAGTCCTAAATAACCCAAAAGGAAACATAAATTTCAATTTGTAGGGAGTTTTGTGATCTGATACTTTTAAGTGGGTGTTTAGCAAGTGGCAACAGAAGAAAGAGCACTAGACTGCAATTACTTACTGCAAATCAGAAGCTGCTGGAAACACTGCTTACTAATTGTATACCAAAGCACTTGAGTAAAAAAGTGTGGAAGGGCTATGAAAGCCCTGCTTCTCCTGTTACTTACTTCTGTAAACCAGGACACAAGTTGAGTGAGCTGTGCATTTATTGGAGCTCTCTTATAGAGCACGCAGATCCTGCATGTTTGGAAGTTACAACATTGAGGACGTGAGAAGAAAGCAATGGGGGCTTTCTGTGTATGTGAGAATAAAGCAACGGGGGCTTGCTGTGTGATGATGCTAGTTTGTAACTACTATTATGATAACAATAACAATGATGATAAGAGATAATAATAGCTTTTATTCATTGAGTAATTATTCTCTGTTGGGCTCTTTGCATCTACACGTTACCTCTTAGCATCACAACCCTCCTGGATAAGTTTTATTATCTCTATTTTACAGGCAAGAGAAGTATGCCACTGAAGAATGAAGTGACTTTTCCTTGTGTCAGCTAGCTAATAAGTAACAGAACTGAAATTCAAACCCAGATCCAAAGTCTCTCTCTTTGAACTAGTCAAGGATGGATAATTAATGTTTGACATTAAAACCATAGATGCTTCAAATCCATAATATTGATGATAATATGACTTATGTGGCCCAAAAGATGCAGCCTCTGCATGCATGCCCTAAGTAAACCTGTTTTGCCAGCTTTTGTTCCGGATCTTGCGCCTTCACAGTTGCCCCTTTAAGCTTATCCCCACAGCTTATCATCATCATGCTGTGATCCCAGGACATTCAGAAGATGTGATAGAGTTTTCATGGGATAAACCTGTGAACCATTCCCTTTCAATATCTTCAGTGCCCCTTTCTGACTTATAGAATATGGAGTCAGTCTAAATTATTTAAATTTTCCCTTGAGGATTCTCTAGCCCTATCCTAGATTTGCTCCTGGGTTGCCTTGGAGAATCAAATGAGTTCTTCCCTGAGGGGGAACTGGAAAAATCCTGGAGTTCCCCAGGACTTGAGGATTTCCTGGAGTGACCTCCTTCTTGTGAGATCCTTCAGATCCATGGTCCCAGCTTTCAAGTATGTGGAGAAAAGAGCCTCAGTAGAGTTATCTCTGTCCAAAGCCACTTCATAAAATACTTCCTTAGATATTTTAATGCTTGGCAGTCCCATCTGTAACATTACAGGGATTGGACAATTCCTCACATGGTTATGTTCTTTGGCCAGCACAGTATTAAAAAAACAAAACAAAACAAAAAACGCTCTATATTGTTTTTAGGAACAAAATGCTTGCTCTAGTTCTCCACGGTCTTCTCCAATATCTATTGTATCACAACCAGCCAACTTCCCTGATTAACACTCCCTGCCTGACCCTTAAAGGTGTTTGTTTCTGAAGGTACTGGAAGTGATAATATTCTAAATTTCTTCCAGCTCTACTATCCTCTGATTCTCTCCTTATTTTCAGTTTACAAAAAGGATTTGTACCTTTTTTTTCCTTTGGCCCCACACTTATGTCTTCCTTGCTTCCTTTCATTCTGCTTTTCTGACCTTCCCTTCAGTGCTCAGACATCAAGTGCTTCAACCCACTCTTAGCTGTCCAAGTTCTCTGCCATGGCCTCTTTCCCTGTCTCAGGAATCCAGCCCTCAAAGTACTCCTCTTATACCCCTACTTTACTCTTAATAAATTTTCTATCTCTATGAAGAATCATGAAAGTAAGCTCTTTAAATTGATTCATAATGAAAATAGATTATTCCTGGTATCTTCTATTTTACCATTAGGAACAAGGGTGGGACTGGGATGGAGAGGTGCTTAGGAGCTCCAATGAGTCTTTAATTGGTCAAGGCCAGGGTGGCGAGGATGAAAGGGTTGTGGAAGGGAAAGACCTAATCTGCTGATTTTTTCACACTTACCAAAGAAAGAGGAGAAAGGCTCCTCCAGGAGCCTCTTTACGTTTTTATGTTGAAAAGAGGAGCTGATCGCTGCCCCACTTAGAAATGTCTCACTACCTTCTCTGGAGAGGACAGCTTCTTTAAGGATGGCTCTGCCCTCAGCCATACGTGATTTTTTAACTCAGTGTGTCTTCCTTGGCCTGGATGCAGAGGATGGAAGATGGCGTCCTTACTGCTTCACCTGTTTTACCACAATTTTGTTAAGTGGAGAAATTATGGGTAATTAACTCAAGTTCACACAAATGCTAAGTGTTAAAACTAGTTCTCAAGCTAAAGTGTGTCTGAACCCCAAAGCCAAGCCTTTGCTGTCAGACTTTCTGAGGCTCTCAGAATCCCCCATTTTCAGGTACCTGTGGTCAGAGGAGGGAGAAATCAGCACACACATTCTCACTTACTCTTGGATTCTGGTCTTTGGTGGGAGCTTGAAGCAAGTGCTTGTTAGCCACATATACTTTTTTTTTTTTTTTTTTTTTTGAGACAGAGTCTCGCTCTGTCGCCCAGGCTGGAGTGCAGTGGCGCAATCTCGGCTCACTGTAAGCTCTGCCTCCCGGGTTCACGCCATTCTCCTGCCTCAGCCTTCCGAGTAGCTGGGACTACAGGTATGTGCCACCACACCCGGCTAATTTTTTGTATTTTTAGAAGAGACGGGGTTTCACCATGTTAGCCAGGATGGTCTTGATTTCCTGAACTCATGATCCACCTGCCTCGGCCTCCCAAAGGGCTGGGATTACAGGCGTGAGCTACTGCGCCTGGCCCACATATACTTTTTCTCTTGCCCAGCTGGTCTTAATTGTATATGGTTTAGATGTCTCTTAGGAATGCCTGGGTTTGTATGTTTGGTGTGGTAAAAAAAAAAAAATGCCATTTGTGTAACTGCTTACCAACTTACCAAGTTATGATGAATAAAGTAATTATGTCAAAATGTTTAGGTTTACATTGTCTGGAGCTTATAATTTTATAATTGCTGCTAACAGCTAGTTTTTCTTTTATGTTTTCACATCATTTTCTGTCCTCATGGAAAGTCTTAACCTGTGAGAAAGCCATCGGTATCTTCATTTTAGTAATAATGAAACTGAGACTTAGCTTACCAACCCACATGGTCAATATCAACACACAGGTCTTTTGATTTCAAAACCTACAAGAAAACTCTGTTCATGTATGTATAATCATTACCTATTATGCACATGGCATGATCACCTGGTCTCTATAAAGCAAAAACAAAAAGCCCGACATGATTCTCTTAGCCTTCCAATTCCGAATGAGTATGGGTTCCACCATCCATAGTCACCAAGGTCCTTATTCATTCAAGATCCTTCCTTAGTCAGATCCTGAGGCTTTTGTGTGCACTGGCAGCAATGGCATCCCACGCTTCCCTGACACTGGAGGATACCTACAGAAAAGATCCTAGCTGCTTGCCAATTTTAAGGCACATCCATGTAGTAGAGTGAGAGCCTACACCGACAAAGTATTGTGGTTTCTTCCCAAGAAACTATTTCTTAACTATTTTGCCTGGAAATCTCCATCCACAGAGGCAGACAGTAAAAGTTTCCAAAAATCTTTCATCAGTGTCTTTGAGATAGACTTGCCTCTGCCACCTGGGCATTAGTATCAGGCCTTGATATTGATTATTACACATTGTATACATGTATCAAAATATCACACTGTATCTCCAAAATAGGTACAATGGTCTGTCAATCAAAAATTATAATGCAAGAAAAAGTGTTGTTTTCATGCACTTGGAATGGGCCTTTGCATATGTTATCTGTGTAATGCTATGCATTGTCATTTGGAAAGTTTTAGTTCACTAGTTATGAAAACCTTCCAAATATTGACATATTAATTTATGAAATAACAAAATGTTACATTTGTTAATATGAATTAATAATGCTGGCATATGATAAAGAATGTGTGTGTATGCATTTGTGTCTGTGTGTGTGTATGTGTGTATTTCTGTGTGTGTGTATGCGTGTGTGTCTGTCTGTGTATTTCTGAGGCCCCTAGGCATTGCTCCATCTCTCCTCTATATAATTCTTAAGAAACATTCCACTGGGCTGCATTTCTTGGCCTACACCATTGTCCCTCCCTCTATATTGTTTGTTTGTACTTCAGGCCAAAAACAAAACAAGCACAAATAAGCACACTGAACAAGAAAGAGAAAAGGGCCCTTAAAATGAGATGAAGAGAGAGGGTGTAGGGCTATGTGTTGTGCAGAATGATTGAATGAATCCAGGCAAACTCTGATTTGGTTTGTAAGTTCTATTTTATCTATTTTAGTAACCTGTATTGAAAGCCTGGACCCAAAGAGCTGAGGTCCTAATTCAATGGTTTCTGTCTGTGATACAAAAAGTTTCTGGCTACTCACTAAGAGGTTTGCTTAGAGTAAATCCCTCAGTCAAGAGAAACATATTGTTTTGAATTGAAGCTCAGTTTTTAGTTAACAAAACTATATGCATTCCAACATACACTGGTTTTGTTCCTTTTCTTTTGAGCTGGATATACATGCATATAATACAAAATCAAAAGATATATGGTGGTTAACAGTGAGAATTCTTCCATCCCGTTCCTGGCCCCCTGACAACCAATTTCTTACTCCAGAGTCAACTACTATCCTTGCATTTTTTATATCCTTCAGAGATGTTGTATGCATTATCACTATGGATGTAAGTTTTTGTTTTTTTCATAAATGTTATCATATCATACACACTGTATATTATGCCTTAGCAGTTTATACAATACTGCCTTACTCATTTTCATAGTATACAGAATTCCATCAAATGGATGTGAACTAATTTATTTAACTGCCTTCAATTATTTCTAATATTGTCTATCATATTTCAAGGAAAATGCTTATATGAATGTCATTTTACTTGTATGTTAGTATATCAAGAGGATAACTTCCTAGAAATGTATCTTGGGCTCCTCTAAGAAAATACCATTGCTGAGTGGCTTAAACAATAGACATTTATTTCTCACAGTTCTAGAGCAGGAAAGTCCTAGATCAAGATGCCAACAGATTCAATTCTTAGTGAGGGTCCTCTTCTTAGCTTGCAGATAGTTGCCACCTAGCCGCGTGATCATGTGACCTCTTCTTTGTGCATGTTTAGAGAGAGAGCTGTGGTATCTCTTCTTTTTCAAGGATGTTGACCCCCTTATGGGGCTTCATCTTCATGACCTCATCGAAACCTGATTTACCTCCCAAATGTCTCACCTCCTAATAATATCACATTGGGGATTAGAGCTTCAACATATGAACTTTAATATGTTGAAAATTCAGCTCATAACATGACTGGGTCAAACTGTGTAAAATTTTGGCAGATTTGCTATTGCTTCACATAGGGTCCTACCCGTTTCCAATATAAGAAAGAGTAAGACTTTGAACCTTGCCAACAAACTGTATTATCAAATTTTGTGATGTTCCCTCGAGCTGATAGGTCAAAATGATAGCTCAGTATAGTTTCAATTTACATTTCTTTTGTTAATATATGAGGCTGATGAACATTTCATATGTTCATCATTTAGCACTTTAGCACTATTAGCACTTTATTTTTCTAAGAAGTAGGTATTCACAGTCTACCCACTTTTCTGTTGGATTGATGATCCTTTTCTTATGTGTATGTGAAAATTGTCATTTTTCTTTGATATAAGCTGTAAATACTTTTGCCAGTTTGTCTTGTGTCTTGACTTTTGTTAAGGGTGTTTTTATTTTTCATAATAACTTTTTAAAAATTTGTCTTCTATTGCATCTGTAAGATGAAATTATAAATTACTTCACTGCCCATCTTTAGTTTGAGAATCTTTATGGGTTGTTTTTTTTTTTTTTTTTTTTACTTTTAAGTCTTTGATACATCTGGGACTACTGTGGTACAGGTTATGAGATAAGAATCCAATATCTTTGTTTGATTTTATTGTTTTGTTCCTTCTTTTAATGTTACTCAGGTGTTCTGTATCTGTTTATTTCTTCAGAAAAAAATAGGTTAATCTATCAAATAAGGGAACATATCTCAAAAAGTCATAAAAGGGCTAAATTATATGATTCTATATGATTATCTACTGATTTTTGTCACTGTAAACATAATCTGGATAATTCAGATTTAGAATGTGTGTGTGTAAGTAAATATATTTTAGGACAGTTCTTAACTTATCAGTTAATTGTGTAACTCTTGTATTTAATTTACAGAATCTATAAATTACATTTATATAGTGAAGATGAGTTACCTTGAGCAGCCAGAAGTAGCATCAATACCAAGATCCTCCAAGGCTGTATATGAAGCGTTACTGAATACTTAAGCCAATATTGATTGCTCTCTGCTCTGTTTCCACTGACATTGATTGTCTGGACCATATATTTGAGTGGAAAATCATCTTTCTTAGGATGTTATGTCTATTGTATATGTCTTATCTACCTTCCCCAGAAAAGCTGTGAACTCCTTAGCAGAGAGATCATGACCTATACTTCTATTTAATCTGTTCAGCAAATATTGAGTGTCTACCATGCTCCAAACACTATCCTGAGGACAAGAGAGACAAAGAGAACCGTAGGCCCTGCCTTCAAGGAGCACATGGCTAGTGGAAACAGACAGTAAGTCGACAATGACAATACATGTGACCATATTTACAGTGCTCCAAGAAGTTCAGAAAAAAGCCATCTGATTTGGACTGGGAAGAACATTATGGGGATTTAAGGAGATAAAAAGTGAAAGCATACTTGAAGTGCTAGGCAAATGATGGATGTAAAGTAAGTTTAGGAAAGTCCTGAGTCACATTTTACTTCTGTTTATATTATAAGCATTGTGTCTCAAACTGTAGAATGATGTTTCATTTATTTGGCTTTTTCTAGGAAAAAGAAATGAAATATTTTTCCTAAGAAGTGAAAAGAACCCATAAGAGCTCCAGTTTGCAAAATGCTAGTCTTTTTATTGATCCCTTTTTTTTTTTTTTTTTGACATGGAGTGAGTCTCTCTCTGTCGCCCAGGCTGGAGTGCAGTGGCGTGATGTCGGCTCATTGCAACCTCCGCCTCCCAGGTTCAAGCGATTCTTCTGCCTCAGCCTCCCAAGTAGCTGGGACTACAGGTGCGCATCACCATGCCCAGCTAATTTTTGTATTTTTAGTAGAGACGGGGTTTCACCATATTGGCCAGGGTGGTCTCAATTTCTTGACCTTGTGATCCACCTGCCTCGGCCTCCCAATACTGATCACTTTTTAAAGTGTTCTAAATGCATGTTACATTGCTTTCTTAATCTAACTATACTGAGCAGAGTTTACACTTTATACTGAGCAGAGTTTACACTTTATTTGAAGTTTCAGAAATAGCATTCAGAACATCTTCTTTTGTACAACACAGCAACTTCAGGGGCTCTTCAAGATTTCCCAGGTTACTAGGTTCTTAAGGTTCACTCTTTTAAGAGAGTTTCTTTCTTTCCCATTGTCTAAGTCTAGACTAAGATCCAAGTTTACTTCCAGCATTTCTTTATCTTTATCCTTCTTCATTTGCAGCTTCTTCTTGTTTATGCTTTGGGAAACCAGATGAAGAAACTGGTCCAAATTACAGTATACCTAAAAGGAGAATTTACAGGGTCTCTGTGGCAGAATGGAGTTCCCGCTTGTAAATAAATATAAAAGTTTTAGTGCAAAAAGATATGCAATCAATTTTTACTGTCATCATATCTGTTAAAATTATTGTTGATTTCTCTCAGCAATGTTCAATACAGTTGAGGTTTCTGGATAAGTTATCTAAGTATATACGGAGTATGGTCATACATTAAAAAAATACAAAAGGTTTCAGACAGCATTTAATGTCATTCTTCAAATTCTTATTAAAATTGCATCGTATTTATCTATAGACAATAATTATCCACCTAACTTGTTTGAATGTTCTATAATAATGCAAAATGTCTATGATTGCAAGAAAAGTGAGTTTTTAAAATTTTTGGTCTTTTGGTGTGTTTTTTTCTCATTGTAACTGAATTGCCCAAAAATATAAGCTTGGTAAAAGCTTATTACCTCAAGAAATATTTCATGTCAAAACAGAGCACATGTTAAAGTAAAAACAATTCTTTAGAGTGAGAAAAACATTATAGCTATAAAAATAATTAAAGAGTTTTGACTATTAAAAATGTAACCTTAAGTCATTAAATGTTCATTACTCATTCAAAGTTCTTGCAGTTGGGAATTTACTGATGGCCTATTTGCAGTTAATTTTGAGGTTTAAAGTAAATGAACTTACCAGATATAACCCTTTGGAGTCCTGGTTAGAAAACAAAAACCATGCAGCTACTCCCATAGCTCTACAAACCTGTGGTGCTTTCAAGCGTCAATGGCGGAACAGAATGAGTAAGAGCAGAGACAAGGGGGCAGTGACTAAGGGACTTTAAGTCATGAGTCTAATTCCCCTGGGACATAGCTAGCCTTCACACAGAAAAAACAAAACAGAAAATCTCCACCAAAAAGAAGCATTCTTCGATCTCAAGCAACATCCCTAACTCATCCAAAGTGGTCATTTGTCCAAGGGGGACTAGATGAGACAGCATCAACCCAGAAAAATTAAGGAGCATCTGGCAGATGGGGAATCCCAAACGGCAGCCTCGCTAACAGAGTAAAACACATTTGTGAGAGACCCACAATGGAACATTTCAGTCCCTTTAGAAAGTTTCAGAGGTGGCAGACTTTGTAGTAGCTGAGAATTTGTGTTTAACTAAAAATTGGAAGATTATATATACTTATACCCACAAAGTATTAGGCAAATGGTAAAAGTTTTAAAATTATTGATACTGTGGTAAAATTTACATACCTGAAATGCATTACAATTCAGTGACATTGCATGCAGTTTTAAAATAACTTAGCTATATTTAGTTTTTCTAGTTGAAAACAAGCGTTTTTTTTTTTTTCAACCTCAGTGCAACAGGAAAGTGAAAAACAAAACAAAAACCCATAGTAAGTTGACAGTAATCTGATTGGGTAACTGATTTTTCTTCTGTTTCGAGAGTTATTTAGTTATTTAAGAGTTACTTAAAGAGTACAAGATTGAATTTGTAACTTGAATTTCCAGATTTAGCTAGAGTGGCTTACAAAAGCATGAAAATGGCCAGGCGCGGTTGCTTACGTCTATAATTCCAGCACTTTGGGAGCTGAGGTGGGTGGATCACTTGAGACCAGGAGTTGGAGACCAGCCTGGCTAACATGGTGAAACCCCGTCTCTACTAAAAATATAAAAATTAGCTGGGTATGATGGCGGATGCTCTAGTCCTAGCTACTCAGGAGGCTGAGGCAAGAGAATCGCCTGAACCCAGAAGCCAGAGGTTGCAGTGAGCCGTGATCCCGTCTCCAAAAAAACAAAAAAGAAAAGAAAAAGAAAACATGCTGTTTCCACAGAATTAATTTGTTACAATCAAACATAGTTGCTGTCCTATGTTTATTAATATAATTTCATCATCATCATATTTTCAAGTTACTCTTCCTAAATTTTTTTTACCTGCTTCTGAATCTCTGTTCTTTGGTTCCCACTCTTCTCTTTGCCTCATCTCCCTCACTGAATTGTGTGTTTCATGAAAGGAAAGTTTGTTTCCTATTTAGGGTTGTGGACAGAAGATTGGTAAAATTTCTTGACACCTACTATTGAATCAAGTTTACTTAATGTAAAACATTGGTGTTCCCAGTTATTTGTAAATCTACAAAAGATTTACAGTAGAAGAGGCAAAGCCTGTGAAGTGTCAACATAAAGGCTGCTGCTGCTGTCAACATCTGTTCCCCCAACTGCATACAGAACTCTAATGGGGCAGCCCATGCCTCCTGAAATCTGTTACCAAGAAAAAAAAAAAAAAGCCTAATAGTACAATACTTTTTATTTCTTAAGCCACAACAATAGTGAAACTGTATGTGTTCTTTTGCAGTTTTTTTTCCATTCTTCATAGGAAAGATGCTAAAGTATAATTTCATTTAGAATACCATATATAAATTATATATAGATGTCCTTTAAGAATTATAAAAATAATGAAAATTATATTTATCCTTTATGTCTTATGTTTTCCTTAATATTTCCTAAAGAATTGTTATATATCAGAAAACAATTCAAAATATTCAGAATTATTAGCCTCTTAACCACTGTGTTTATTAGCTTAAACTAGTAATAGAGAGCAAACTGGCTTTTCTTCTTAGCATAGGTTTTTGGAAACTTGAACTCAAAAATCAGTAAATTCAAAAGGAGTTATAGTTTCAGAGTATTTGGCATAATATATTTGAAAAGAATATTCCCTTCACTTATCTTTGTTTGCATTAGACTTGTGTTAATTATGTGATTCCTCTCCATAGCCTCAATAATAAAGAGATCTCAAGTTGGAATGTATAGTTCTATTTTTCATAAGTATCATTTAAAAACCGATTTATAAACCCTATGACTTATGAAATATTTGTGAACAAAACACCCAATGCCACTGGAATAATTCAAATGAAAGAGGGTCTTACATTGAGCAATTTGTCAGTTTAATACCTGCCCTTTACAATTGCTCTGCGGTTGACCCTTTAGTCGTATTTTGAGTTAGCAGATGAAAATAAGGTTTCCCTTGAAGTAGTGGTTGCTAAGGGCAACTGGTACTGACGCCGAAGACGAATACTCTATCTCCTTAGTATAATGCCTACTTTGTGAGCTAAATAAAGAGCTAAATTGTAGAGAAGAAAGTTGTACAAATGTGAAATATCAAGAAAGGAATAGAAACAGGAATATTAGAGATGGGAAAATAAGAAAAAGAATTACTATAATCACTTTTTTGGTAACTGCCTGGCATTTTGGACAGATGTCCTTATCTCCTGGGCACTCTGCATTTCCACCTTTCATAGCTGGAAAATTAACATTGTTCACTGGGGCAAGACTTTCTTTTGTAATATGAATTCATGTCATTAGTTCTTAGTGGATTTTGACAAAATGGAGGTGAGACTGTGATAGAAATATTTGTCAACTTTTTAGGCTTGGATTTTCAAGCATAAATATTTTGTGTCAGTAGAATTGCTTTATGCTATTTGGACAACTTGTAGTGTGCAGGGTCAGTTATCTCTAACTCCATGTCAGTACAGATTGTTTTATGAACATGTTGGTTTAATGAGAGAGTCTTCATATAGAATGTGTTATAACAGTGTTCATAATTTCTTCGACCAAATTGCACTTAATGTATTCATTGCTGTGATTTCAGAAAGGTTTTTAAAAACTTCATTGTATCCTAGGCAATGCTGTTTCTAAAGGGTGAGTTCATTACTCCTTTATGAGCATCTGCTCGATGCCAGGTGTTTTGCCTGTCTACAAGAAGCCCACAGACTGGGAAGATGGACATAAAATCAAGTAATTACAGATGAGTACACTGTAAGCTATAATCAAGGCATAAATTTGATGCTATAGGAGCACAGAGTGAGAAACATTCACTGAGTAAGTCACATTTAGCTTGCAGGATGGTTTGGAGTTTGCAGGTTGTGCGAGAAACATCTGCCTGCAGCAGCATTCCTTCCATGATTATCAAGGTTCATGCAACTGATCTGTTTCATTGCATGTATTTGAATGTCTCTTTCCTTCCTCTACACTTCTAGAATTAATTTGTTGGTTAAGGAAGATAACTCAGCTAGAGGAATCAGTGGGTTTTTTAATATGAGACTCTGCAAATACATTTCTTGTAAGTGTGAACATTTTGAAATTTTCTAAGGTGATGAAGAACAAAATGAAACTCTGTAGGCACAGCTAGGAATGGGCTCTGCAGGAAAAGTGTCAACTTTATGTTCCAGATTTCTCAGGACAGTCTAGACTCCAAGTGAGTCCTTTTACCCTGGTAGAAGTTTGCTTATCAGACCTTATGTACTGATGCTCTTGATCATAGAAATATGGTCAATGTAGCAAAGAGACAAAGTAATGAAGGAGGGCTAGTGAGGCCCTGCTGTAATATGGTGTAGGATTTATGAGACTGGAAAAGTATGTAAAGACATACTGTAGAAGGTTTTGTATGCAACACCAAGAAATTTGGACTTTGTCCTCCAGGCAAAGGAGCCATCACATTTTTCAAAAAGGAATGAGGAGGTGGAATTATTTTTATAATTTATTTTCTGTAAATTGTTGGGAAATGGATTATTTTTTAAAAAGAATATTTCTAATAGCAATATAGAGAATGGATTGGGCTTAAGTTTTCAGGAAAAAGACTAACTTTGAAGTATAGATTTATGTGTTACTAACTTATAGATAATAATTAAAGCCATAGGAAATGGGTGGGAGAACCCAAAGGAAGCATGTGGAATAAGAAGACAAGCAGGAAGAAGGAAGGAATCATTAAAAGCATATATGAATATGAAAAAGAGGAGAAACGTGCACACGAGACTTGGAAGGAGTGTTTAGAGAGTTAGAAGATAATCAGGAGAGTGTGTTTGGGAGCAAGATGTGGAGAGATTTTAAGAGAGAAGAGTTGATAAGGAGTGCCAAATCCTGTTAGGGCTGTAGGATGAGACTTGAAAAAGTGGATTTGGCAATTAGGCCATTTGAACCTTAGCGCTGGTAGGTTCACTTCATAAGGTCTTCTTTGTTAGAAAACAAAACATAACAAAGCTGTTAGTGATGGGATTCAGGATTCTTTAGCAGGGCAAGGGAGTAAAAGTTTTTCTCTGGAGGAAAAAAAGGGTAAGATTGCAGGAAAATGAAATAAATGTTAGGGCCCAGTAAAGGAAGCCCTAATCATAGAATTGTAGGACTAGCTATTACTGGTTGTTTAAATTGTACCACCATAGGTCAAAACTCCACCTAAAACTATTCCGGAGAGGTGAATATTGTAATTGCTTATACAGAATCCTAATTATGAGCTAATAAGAAGAGGCATTAAAACTAGCACCCCACTGATTTAATTTGGAGAGAGACACTTATATTAGCTGTTTCTAAGACTTATCTTTTAATTCTTCCCAAAACCAGTTATTTCACAGTTGGCTCACAGTTTTGAAAGTAGAACTGCTAGAGTAAAGAAAGAAATTTACAGCTTCAGATGTTTAGTTTCTGAAGGTGTCAGAATCCCATATTTCTCTTTTATTTATTTTTCACTGAATTTTGGAGAACACTGATTAACTTAAAGTTTTAGATTTAATTTTTTCCTATGGGCCATTACACATGAATGCCAGCTGTCTTCTGTCAAGTAAAAACTAGGACAGTCCCATTCCAGCCCACCCTGTTTTAAGCTACAGGGTCACTGAGAATGTAGTAAGAAATTATACATTTTTTGATCATGTAAAATATGGATCCTTTTTTTTCTAGTAATTACTCTCTTCCATATTTCACAATTTATCATTTCTGTGAGGAATAGCAGCACAAGAAATATACAACATCTGTGACCCTTAGAAGGGGCCCTCAGAGAGGCCTTGCATAAAGTTGTGCCCCCCTGTGGCTGGGCAGGAAGACTTGGTCTGCAGATAAACTAGCTAGATAATGGATGGTTTCTGTTATTTTGGTCTGAAGGCTTGATATGTAAGAGATGCATCCTTACTTTGTGCCTGTCCTTTCTTCTCATGGATTGAGAGATGCAGAGGGGTTATGTGACAGAGTTAGGAGAAAAAACATTGGCCTGGGTAGGAGTTCTGGCCTCTAGTGTTGACCTGGGCCCATATAAACTCTATAGCTGATGGTGGGCAAGTCAATGAAGCTCACTGAGCCAGAATTTCCTCATCTATAAGATAAAGGTGGTTGTGCCACCCTGACTACTTCATAGAATGGCAGTGAGGACCCAAGGTAAGAATACCTGGACAGACTACCTCAAGAAATGTGTTATTGTCACGATACTGGAACTACACCTTTTTTTAAAATAATTTCAACTTTTCTTTTAGATGCAGGACATACATATGTGACTTTGTTACATGAGTATATTGCATGATGCTGAAGTTTGGGATGCAAATAATTCCACCACCCAGGTACTGAGCATAGTACCCAACAGTTTTAAAACCTTTCCCCGCTCTATTAGTTCCCTATGACTGTTGATGCCATCTTTATGGCCATCAGTACCCAATGTTTAGCTCCCACTTATAAGTCTCACGGAGAGCTTTTGTGGTATTGGTTTTTTATTTCTGAGTTAATTCACTTAGGATAATGGCCTCCAGCTGCATCTATATTGCTGCAAAGGATATGGTTTCATTCATTTTTATGGCTGTGTAGCATTCCATGATATATATACATATACCACATTTTCTTTATCCAGTCCACCAATGATGGGCACCTAGGTCAATTCTATGTCTTTGCTATTACGGTTAGTGCTGCATTGTACATATACCTCTCTATATATATTCTAGGACAACTGCCGTCAAGATATTTGTACACATAAATGACCGTTGTTGTAAAACATAGCATTGTGTGTCTATATTTCATGACTTCAATGCTGTTTCAAAAGGACCTTAGTTTTTACCTAAACTCAATAACATTTTTATTTCTATTTTTTCTTTATGATTTTTTAAGCTTACTGAAAAGTACAGAAAACAATAAATATTCCCGTACTTTCCTCTTATATAAAATGGTTCCACCATCTTGTCACATTTCCTTCAAATTTTCTTACAACAAAACAAAGCTTACAGAGGTTGCTGAAACCCCACCTCTCCATCCCATTCACCTCTTTTCCTCTCTGAATGTTATTATCTTTAAATGTTCACACAATGACAAAAATCATGTAACAACACTTCTCAGAACATATACATGCCATTTAGCTATGCATGACTGTGTTTATAATATATAATATTACGTATATTGGATTATAAATATTATGTATGATTTTATATAAATATATATGTGCAAACATACACATATACACACATACACTTGTTTTGGGAAGATTTAAACTTGTACTTAAATTGTTTCATTCAAAAATAAGGTTTTCAAGAGCTGGGCGAGGTGGCTCATGTATCTAATCCCAGCTATTCAGGAAGCTAAGATGGGAGGATAGCTTGTGCCCAGAAGCTCAAGGCCAGCCTGGGCAACATAGCAAGTCTCTGTCTCTAAAAAATAAAAAATAAAGAAAAGGTAACAATTTTTTTAAAAGTGAGCCAAAAGTAATGTTTTGAGAGATTCAGCCATATTGATGCATGCAGTTTTAGTTTATTTTAACATGAGAAGAGAATGTGGCTATTAAATTGCTGGTAAGAAGGTACAAATATCTAGTAGACCAATTTGGAAAAAACAAGTAAATTTGGGAGAATGTATATCCTGTGACCCAGCAATTTCACTTCTCCGCATGAGAAACTCTTACACATGTGCACAAAGATATCTAAAAGGTTGTTCGCAGCAATGGTTTTAATCATGAAAACCTGGAAGTAATTTAAGAGGCCCTCATTAGTAACATGGGCAAACAGTGGAATATTATACAGCAGTGAAAATAGCATTTTAATAAAATGAATTATGGTAATCAGAAAAATTGTCAAACTATTAACCACATATAAATCTACAAACAATACTTGATAAAATACGGGTGTGAAAAAATTTTTAATATTAGGCACTTTATGAAGCAAGATGTTTTCTCCTATTCATCATAATTTTTACACAATCTGTTTCCTTTTTAAATGAGTGTATTAGGCTTGCATGAGATAATTACAGAAGAATAATAAGACATTTTCAAAAAAGATGCAGGTTAATAAATGGGCAAGATCTATTTTGCAATTTTTCTCCAACATTTTTGTGTGATGCTGAGTGGCAACTCTTTATCTCTTAGTGGGCCACAATCAAAGAACTCCATAAATTAGTGTTATTTATAGGTTATCTGCTTTAAGAAAATCTTGCATATTAAAACATAGACTTAAAAATATATAGTAAGCTGGGGATTTTTTTAAATAGAGGCATACTTGGATTTATAATTGGAAACACCTTTGCATAGGAACACTCCCAGTATCTTAAATATGGCTTACTATATGAAATTTATTTTTTCAAAGCTTCAAGAATACATATCTTGCATAAAGAAGAAATATATATAGTGATAGTAGTAATTTTAGCACTAAATAATGGTTGACACTTCAGTGCCACATATTAGTAGCTCTAGTGATAAAACTCTATCAAAGATGAAGATAATCAGTTTACTGCTACCCCTTACAAAGTCTGATATTTATTTGAGGTCAATCGCGGTATCATTCTTTAATTTCATATCTTGTCATGTTCATCACCGTGAAGTTGAGGTAAAATTCTTTTAACTCATTCTGTAAAACTGTTAAGCTATAAATCAGATGTTCATTAAAGTCAAATAGAGTTTAGTTTTGTGATTTCATTCTCCTCAAGAATCATTGAGCGATCTTTTCCCTGTGAAACGGTACTTCAGTGAGGATTGATTTTGTAGCTCAGATAGGATGGTTGTTTTTACTGGTCATTCCCCATGTTCATTTATCCTAATCTTACCAATTATGCACTTCTGGGTACCAATTGAACTGTGGAAGGAGCAAGTGGGATGCAAGGGAAGAGGAAAGGGCCATATAGAAGTTATAGGACACAATAACTCATGGTGGGTCACAACTTTATTTCAAGCAGCTTCTTCTCTGAAATCTGGTATGCAAATTCTAGATTTATTCCTAGATTTAAACCTTAAATTCTAGATTTAAACCTTAAACTATATACAGTGAAAGCAGCTGATGGTGGTAAAACAAACTGTAATCCAAGATGAATTTCAGAATGAGAAAATTTAGAAGAAATTAGGATATAATTCCTTAGGTTTCTGTGAAAAATAAGCAAGGCAGGAGTGATGAAGAAATATTTGGTAATGAAAGTCAAGAGAATTACAATAAAATAAATTACTTAGGACATGAGTTTAGTTACTGCAGTTTTATGTGGATGTTTACATTTTTAACTATTTCACCTGTTATATTGTTTTATTAAAAGGGTTCCTTTTTTCAGCTTTATTGAGGTGTAATTGGTAAATGGATATGTTAATTAGCTTGATTATGGCGATTATTTCACAATGTATACATAGATCTAAATATCAATTTATATACCTTAAACATATACAATTTTTACTAAGGAAGTTCTTGGTTAAACAAAATACCTTTTCAAAGTGTATCAACTGGGGACGGTGGCTCATGCCTGTAATCCCAGTACTTTGGGAGGCTGAGGTGGGAGGATTACTTGAGTCCACTAGTTCAATACCAGCCTGGGCAGCATAGTGAGACCCTTTCTCTACAAAAATAAACAAATAAATAATAAAAGTGTGTCCGTTGATGTTTGTAATTGATTTCTACTCAAGTAATCAAGTCAGTAGCTTCAGAATAAAGTTATTCTTTATTTTAAAACCCAAATAGGTAAAGCACCAGTAAAAATGAATGTATTTAGACTTTTTTTTTTCTTTTTGAGACAGAGTTTCACTCTTGTTGCCCAGGTTGGAGTGCAATGGCGTGATCTTGGCTCACCGGTAACCTCCGCCTCCCAGGCTCAAGCGACTCTCCTGCCTCAGCCTCCTGAGTAGGTGGGATTACAGGCGTGTGCCACCACGCCTGGCTAATTTTGTGTTTTGAGTAGAGATGGGGTTTCTCCATATTGGTCAGGCTGGTCTCGAACTCCCAACCTCAGATGATCCACCTGCTTCGGCCTCCCAAAATGCTGGGATTACAGGTGTGAGCCACCGCACCTGGCTTGTTTTGTTTGTTTGTTTGAATGTTGCAATTATGGGGGGATTTTCTGGTCATTATATGAACATGTTGAAAGGTTTTTAAATAGGGAAAAGAGAATAAATGTTCCATGATAATTTGGAAGTAAATCTGTGTTTTTTTCTTCTTCTTCTTTTTTTTTTTTTTTTTTTTTTGGAGAGATAAGATATCACTCTGTTGCCCAGGCAGTAGTGCTGGAGTGCAGTGGCATGATCATAACTCACTGCAACCTGGGCTCAGGCAATCCTCCTGTCTCAGCATCCTGAGTAGCTAGGACTGCAGGCATGCACTTCCATGCCTGGCTATTTTTTTATTTTTATTGTTGTAGAGATGGGGTCTTGCTGTGTTGCCCAGGCTGGTCTCAAACTTATTGCCTCAAGCTGTCATCCTGCCTTGGCGTCCGACAGTGCTGGGATTACAGGTGTAAGTCACCATGCCCAGCCGACTTAAGTTTTCTTAAGGATTTATTATACTTTAAAAGGCAGAATAGAGTTAACCGTAACACAGTCTCGTAATTAGAGATTATATTGATTTCTTGTTGGAAGTGCCAGAAGGTACCCATTCTAACACTGTTTTGGCTGAATCTTATAGATAAGGATGGCACTTTGGAAAAACTAAGGGTAAGATGGTACATGAATGGTTAAAAATCTGAATCAGCTATTAGAGCTGAAATCAGGTGGGACCTTCTAAATTTTAGATCCAGATTCTCTTTTAGGGAATAGCTTTTATGGAAAGGGAAGTGAAAATATTTTTCTGTAGTCTGCTTTGTGGTATGAAATACTGTTGATCAGACGACTGCTCAGGTTCAAATTAACAGTGACTAAAGATGAGATCAGTGGTTAAATGCTGACAAACTGTCATTTAGAGATTCACAAATTGCTCCAATGACCAAAAAGGAATTTAAATATTTTTTATTTGTATCAGCTGAGTAAGACCTCTCTTGGCTCCTCTCTTGACCTCCAGAATGAATTATTTAAGTCTAATGTTTTTTCTTACCAGGAGAGTTACATTATCCTACTTGGCTGCTTATATCAAGTTAATTAGAAGATTGCCAATTTCCCCACTCTATTAGAAGCTATATAAATATCACAATTAAAGGACAAATGATGGCTCTGCTAATCTCAAGAATTTATAATTTGATGATCTAAAGATTTATTTAATATAAGAATACTTTAACAACATAAATTTTTGTTCTTAGCCACTTAGTTTAGTTCATGTTGGGATGAAACGGCTAATTTGAACTTTGGTTAATTTGAAAATGTAGCATAATACAGTTCAGACTTAAGTACTCTTATTTTGGAGTACTGTTCATTACTTAGACTGTTAAATTAAACTTCTGTGAGCAAAACAGTTAACATTTATTGAATCTATGTTTCGGGCGTCAAGCTTTCCATGCAACACACCTTACTTTTCACACATAATTAATTGTTCCTTATTGTTCCTTCTTCATCTGTAAAATAAGGATAAGAACTAGACCCATTTCAAAGGCTTGTTTGAGGATTAAATGAAATGTATAGAAAGCACTTAAAACATTATAGAGTAAGCACTCAATAAATGTAAAATATTAAAATCAGCTGCTTTGACCATCAAAAAAGTTATATGTTTTGTCATGTTATTATTATGTTTAGGCATTATTGTTATCCCAACTCTTAAATGGGCAGGAAGCTCACATAACTCATAACTAACAAAGCTGGGATACAAATTCGGTTCTGTTTGGTTTTAGGGTCCAGTCTTTTATCTTCATTCAAAGAGATAAATGGCCAATCTATATATCTATATCTATCTATCTATCTATCTATCTATCTATCTATCTATCTATCTAATCTATCTTAGTTTAAGGTATTCTGAATTCTTCAAACAATTTCTGCCATGAATAATTCCATCCCTACCATCACTATTCTGGCTCAGGCCCATTCAACTTTCTCCCATTCCTTTTTTATTTTGTTAAGATTGATTAGGTTTTGGTGGAGTGTCTACTCTTAAAACACAATATCCAGTTCTGTGGTTCTAAACCACAGTGAAAATTGCTTGAGGTGCCACAAGTAACTTTTTTCAAACTAGTAAAATAGTACAATAAAAATCTAAAGTTTAGAAATGACTTTTTAAACCTAAATTCTAGCAGATACAAGATTATTCCTAAAATAGCAACCCATTCACTCCGCCATGATCTTATATGCTTTCTTGAGAGGGAAAGCAATGGTGGAGCTGCAACCAGTTCTCCAGCAACCTTACACAAAGCAGAGACCTAGCACCGGCACATTCCCAGCACAGCCTCTTCCATTCCATCCATCATGGAGGCCAGGTGACAGGCCCAGAATGGCTGAGCAAACCCATCCCTCAGCTAAGCCTCTGTGGAGGTTTTCTTTCTGCCTTAATTGACCAGATAAAAAAGAAGTATTAATATTACCTAGAATCATCAGATACCCTGTAATTTTAAGAGCAATTCACATAGTTTTCACTCTTCTGACATGCGACTACATTGCTGTTTACTAAGTTCATTGTAGACATGCAACAGCAACAACTGCAACAAAATTTCCAGATGGGACTTTAATACCAGAGATATGAGGGGAAATTTCTAGTAGCTTGAATTACTAAAATGATCCTCTGAAAGATTAATAAATTGTATTTTGGTGTACTTTGTGTAGAAGGCTATTTGTTAAATACCAGTTCAAGGTAAAAGGATGTTTAATTAAAGCTTCATATTCATGAGAATTTAACAAAACAATCAGCCAAATTGTTTTACTGTAGTTGTGCAGCAGTTAACTGAAACTTACATAACGTTTAAGGCTTTTTACCCCAACTTCAGACCCTCTGAAACAAACTCCACTTGGTTTAACCTCAAAAATACTGCTTTAGACAATTTTTTTAACTTCTGAAGAGCAAGAAGCAAATTTTATGATATCGGTTTTGCAAATAAAATGTTGTCAAAGAATGAATAACAAATTTGTTAATTTTATAAATAGATAGTATTACAAATTCTATAGCTAAGAGTTATTTTGTAATCCATGCATATGGAGAAAAGAAATAGAGACTTGTGGGGGCGGTTCTTTTTTTGATTTTTGTTTTGTTTTGTTTTGTTTAGAGTTGGGGGTCTCATTCTGTTGCCCAGGCTGAAGTGCAGTGGCACCATCATAACTCACTGCCTCAAACTCCTGAGCTCAAGCAATTCTCCCACCTCCACCAAGCCTGGCTAATTTATTTTTATTTTTAATTTTTTGAGACAGAGTCTCACTCTGTCACCGAGGCTGGAGTGCAATGGTGCGATCTCAGCTCACTGCAACCCCCATCTCTGGGGCTCAAGTGATCCTGCCAAGAAGCTTGATGTGCACCATGAAGCCTGCCTAATTTTTGTATTTTCTGTAGAGACAGGGTTTTGCCATGTTGCCCAGGCTGGTCTCCAGCTCCTGGGATCAAGCAATCTGCCAGCCTCGGCCTCCCAAAGTGCTGGCATTACAGGTGTGAGCCACCATGCCCAGCTAATATTTTTTTTAATTTTGTGGGCTGTTTTTTGAGGTATTTAAATAAACTCCATGTTACATCTTCATACATCATTATTAGAGAGAATGCTCAACTAAATTGTTACATTCTTTCCACAGCACAATAGAATTACAGAATAATTCAAAGCAAATACAAATTATTTTCTTAGCCCATCTTCTTAATTTGTAATATTGTCCCAGAATACCCTTCCAGAATAAATTAACATTTACAAACAAATGAGTTTTCAATAAGGATACATTATGAGTGTGAGGTTGAGCAAAGATAAAATACTAACATTTGTGTAGCAATGTGAAGGGCTGCTGAGATAACAGTAGGAACCAAATACACAATCACCAATTCATGTGGCTCAAGGGAAATAAATATGAACATTCCTGAGTTATTGGCCAAGATTAAGGAAATACAAGGTTTTTTTTTCTTAAGGAGTATGAAAAGGTTTAGGAAACAGGTAATTTTTTGCAAGTGATAAAAAAGTATTAAGTGCCTGGAATGTTGGAATAAATAGCTATGATCGAAGTAGAGAAAGATGTGTTTTTAAGGAACAAAAGCTCCCTTTGTTTTGTTCCACTCTCTGTGGAAATGCTTTAAGACTTAGCCCTGAGGACTGTGAAGCATCAGATAAGTTGTGATGTTCTCCCATGTCTTCAGCATGTGACCCATTCACACAGAATATTCAGATACAGATATGGGTTCTAATTGCCAAGTAGTTTACATTTCCCTAGACTTCATTGCAATTGATTTAAAAAAATGGCCACTTTACGGTATGATTTCACTTCGTACAGGTACACTTTTGGCAGATTCAGATAAAAAGAAATCATTCATATTTATTATCATTCTGCATGTTCAGCCTTTTTCCTTCCTTAGAATCAGTCTTGATTACTTTTAAAGGGACTTTACTAATCTTTATCTTCCTCTCCATCCTGCCATCACTGACCTGCCTCAATCCCTGTTCAACTCTCTCTTATTCAGTCTCCTATGTGGATTGTCCCACTGCCTTCTGTCCTCTGCGCAGCCACAAGGCAGTCTATTTAGGATGCAGATCTGTTTCTGTCACCCCACTGCTAGACCCCCGCAGTGGCTCCTCACAACCAGCCTATAGCAGACAAGCTTTTATTAGAGCAGACTATACTCCTTGTGTGCAGAAGTGGTGGTTATTTGTCATCTACTCTGCCCTTGAGATTCTCAACTCCACTCCAGCAACTCTGAACTTCTTGCAGCGTCCTGCCCTTCCCAGCATCTTATCTTTGCCCATGCTGCTCTTTATGTTCATTCTCTTTCCTCTTACTCTAACTTCTCCTTTTAGACTCAGCTCCCATATCACCTCCTCCAGACATTTGTTGAATGACCTTTGTCAATGAGCCCACGTCCTGGCATATCTGAATTACTGCACTTCTATGGCTGGTTTGTTTGTTTTGTTTTTGTTTTTGTTTTGTAGTTAAGTGTCTGTCTCCTCCAGTAGTGTTAATTTCTGAGGGATTGGAACAATGTCATAGTAATCCAACAAAATTTGAAAGGCTGAAAATAGTTAGTTAAACCATTTCTTAAAAAATGTTTTATTTGGCCAGAACCAAGGTACACAGACATAAATTCCTGTAAACAAGCATTTGCAAAGAACCCCAGTTCAGTCTATAAAGTAGCAAGTTTAGGTGGTGTAGACGTATGTCAGTATTTTTAAGTATTCCTTCATATGGTCTGATTTTTTAAAAAAACATTTTCCATTTATCGAATTCTATTTGTGATATGTGCTTCAATTTTGAGCTAGATTGCAAGAATGTATATGGCCCTGCAAAGAAAGTAATTACCTAGGATGAAGACATTTGATATATTTGCTGTTCCTGTGAAATTTGTAAAACTACTCATTCCAAGAGATTTTCTCTTAAAATGAGATTTTTAGAAAGGGAAAATTCATTAAATAGTTTACTTGTGGCTGCTTTTAAATACTAATATTTTGTGCTATACTTTGTGTGCCTTAAAACATTTGGCAAAACCATACTTTTCTACGAAAATAAAAATGAGTCCTAGCTTAGTTCTTTCTTAATACTGACAACTGCATTTAACGTAGGTGTTAATTTTGTTTTGGAATTTTTAACAACAGTTTCTGTTCTAGGGTTGAACTTCAGACTTTCAGATATGATTTTATTATCAAAAATCAGGCTTTGGGCAAGGTCATTTCCTATTTTCCTCTCTTTTATGTGTGTAATTATAAATCTTTAGAGAAATATTCCTCCCTCTGTTTATGGAGTAACAGTAAAATCATGTTAAATTCATTTTTGAAAATTATTTTCTAAAACCTCCAAAAGCAAGCTGAAATATTTGCAGGTTTATTATTTAAACCTTTAAATAATACATTCACAATGTGCATGCTCTCTTTGTCTTTATTAATTACTCTGGGTTTTTTTTTCCCAATTTCTTGGAAATTACCTGGTGAGAACCCTGCAGGACTGCATGCAGAGGTACTCAGTAAGTTAATTTAGGCAACTGCAGTAATGGCTGTCTTTGCTTAGCATGATATATGAAATATTTTGCAAAAAATAAAATCACATGTAGAATGACATATGCCTATAGAAATTCTATAATTTGATGGGTTCTTTCCTAAGAAAAAGGGGATATTAATTGTTATAAATGATAAAAAAAAAAGTTACTTCCATTCATGTAAATATAAAGTTTCCTCTTTGCTTAGAATTACCTTTTAAAACATGGAATGTTACTATCTGATCTTTATGTATCTTAATCCTATTGCAAATCTTTTGATTTGGTGATACAGCAAACAACATGCTATGTCTTTCCCTACCCCACTAAGTTTATTACATTTAAAAGATAATTATAATGCTATTGCATTAAATGTATAAGTTGTTTACAGAGAAAATGTTAACTTTGTAAATTTTGTTATGCCCCCCTCAGTTCAGAAATGTGGAGGCACACCACTGACTACACAATAGCTTAGCCCACCTTTCAAATTATTTCTAATATGATTCTTTCATGGTGTCTTTGCTCCGAATAAACTGAACTAGTCAGTGTTTCTCCAATAATTTTTATTCTTTTCTGCCTCTCTGCCTTTGCTCAATCTATTTTTCCATCTGATATGCTTTCCTTGGTGTTCAGTGCAAATCCCAAACACATCATTCCCCTTAACCACATAGGGAGGTGGTGACATTCTGGATACTTCCACCATGGGGCGTACTAAATAACTGCTTATTCACTTCAGTCTATATAGTCTAGTTGTGAGAACTGATATCCTGGATCATTAGAATTCACTGCGTGTCTGTCAGTTATCAATAGGTTAAACCGCAGAAAATAAAGCTAGAATATGTCTTTGTATTGAATTCATTTATTCTTTTTTCAATGTTTGACATGTATGAATAATACAGATATACTTTGCCAAGATATAGATGTTAGAATTGTCTCTATAGAGTGAAAGAAATACAAGTTGCTTCTTTGTGAAAGCTTCATGCTTTCTTAAAACAGGAAACTTTAAGTAGGTGCAGATTGACATGTTGAAGCATTTTGATGCAACTATTCTTAAAAATGCCTAGAGGTTTTACTGTCCAAATTTTTTTTTTGTTTTTTGTTGTTGTTTTTGTTTTTTTTTTTGTTGTTGTTGTTTTGCTAAAGCACAGCTAATACAATAAATCAAAATTTGTAAAATGTAATCTCTTCCCCTGTAGGATTTTGTGGTCCCTTTAAAAAATAAGGTAGGAAAGAAAATTTCAAAGCAATTATCAGACCTAATTTTTAACACAAAAGAGCTGTCAGATTTTATACCCTTATTACTTTAATCTGGGAGGTAATTTGTTGTATTGTTATAATGTTGACAGGCTCAAATTCCCTGAAATAAATTATCAGAATAAGAAGTGTAGTATAAGATAGAAAAATTTATTTTTTTGGGTATTGCTTCTTACCAAAAAGAAATGAGATTTGTGTGTGTGTGTGAACATTTAAACGAAAGAAAAAATAACAAACTATTAAAATGTAGTATTATGTTTGCATAAATTGATTTTGCAATAAATATTGGACAAATCTTTGCTGCAGAGCTGATTATTTTGGAATTTTGATTAAATGAGGCAGCAAAAGTCAGAAATATTAAGCACTATAAAAATGAAATTTGGTTAAAATGTCACTCAAGGTATAGTTATGTCTTTTCTTTTTATCATGAATTATTGAATGGATCAAAACAGAAGCATCTTATCTACCACTGTAAATCTAGCCATCATTATTTCTTATTTTATTAAAGCAGAAACATTAACATGCTTTGAGTACAAATTCTGAAGTGGAAAGGATGTTTTCTGTGTAAGATGAAGGATTCTGATAAATTTAATATTTTATATTTAATATTTTATAAAATATCTTGTTACAATTAAAATTTAAAAGATGCCTTGCTTTGCTTATGGCCCTGTGGTGGGTACTAAAGTATTTCTTATGTGAATAATATGTTCATATATATGCATAATTTTATAACTGAATAATCTGAGTCCATATGTGAATGTATATATTTACATATTTTTAATCAGCTTAAGAATATCAATCTGGAACTATTTGTTTCTTATTATTCCCATGCCCAAATCACTTCTCGATATTGGCTTAAGTGAATGACAAAATATTAACTACTTTAAGTGATAGGTTCTTTACCTTAGTCAGTTCCTAATACAGCAACCTAAACTGATGTCATAGAGGCCTTCCTTGAAAGCATCAAGGTGCCTTCTACATATCTGAATGAAAACAAAAGCATAATTTAACCGAAAAGGAGACTGTGACTACTGCAAATGTTCATAAAAAGAACAAAATAGTTTTCTATAGTAATCCACACCATCTGTGATTAAAAAGTATCATCTTTACTATTCCCTCTTGTCAAAAGAACAATACTTAGAACCACATGTAATAATTTTCCATGCTCATTCATATATATAAACATGAAGACACATATAGCAACATAATCATTCTACCAGTATTATACTTTTAAGGAAAATTCATTATCTTAACTGTTTCTTGGTTTTTATATCAGGGACAAAGATGTTTAGCTAACATGATCATACAAACTATGAGTGTGTGTATATGTGTATACCCATTTAGGCATGTGCACCAGCCAAGGTTTTCAACTGGAAATGACAATTAGCTACTTCATAAATGCTTTTGGCTATGCGTGCATATTCACAAAGCCACCTGCTTTTTAAAAGTATTGAAAATTTTTATTACTAAATTTCAAATCTGGATTTTACGAATGTTGCCTATCCTACTAGAGACCAGTGTTGATTAATACTCTTTTAAATATCAAGGCAGAAAGCCCAAATTAATATTAGCATAATTAATATAAATCAGTACTAATTTGTATTGATAATAGGGATGTTCTGTATGTGATCATTGTGTCCTGTGTCCTCACCTGCAGGCATTATCCTTATATGTGTGTACATATATGTTTATTTCAGAATTTTAAAAATGACGTTGTTATACTTTATATCTGGATTCAGTAGGGAATGAAACAAAGTTTATATTTGTTAATTGAAATGCATAATATTGAAAACTATCCAAAAATTGCCTTGAGAAAAATTATAGCCAAGATAAAATGCTTAAATATTCAATTTATTTCATGATCCTTGAATCTCCTGGAACTTAAATTATATATTAACCTGATAATAGTTAACTTAGGACAGAATGTAAACTAGATCCCACTTATAAATTTTATGTGCACATGTTTAACCATTCATCAGACACAGAACTTCTTTTATTTTGAGACAGTCTTACTCTGCCACCCAGGCTGGAGTGCAGTGGTGCAATCATAGCTCCCTGCAACCTCTAAATCTTGGGTTTAAGAGACCCTCCTACATCAGCCTTCTGAGTAGCTGGGACCACATATGGTGCCACCACAACTGGCTAATTTTTTTATTTTGCAGGCTGATCTCGAACTCCTGGCTTCAAACAATCCTCCCACCTTGGCTTCCAAAGTGTTGGGTTTACAGGCATGAGCCACTGCCTCAAGCCAGAATGTCTTGATGAAATCTGAATTAAAAAGATTTTGTTTCCACCAGCTATCCAGGGCAAAACAGAGTAGGACCACATTAATCCTTGATAGTAGCTCTCTTTACTCTTCCTAGATTTACTCTTAGATCTGTACTTCTGAATAGTCTTTACTTTCTTAATCATATGACCTCCTACAATAAGGTTTTTGTTTTATTTGGGTTTTCGCCAATGTATTTGTTGATATTTAAATTTTAATTGCAACAAAATGACAAAATTTCATGACTTTTATTTTTTTCAAATAATTTTTCACATTAAGACATATTTTACATGTATTAAGATATGAAATGAAAACAGGGTGGAGAAATATTTGGAAAAATTTGATTATATGTATTAAGATGTGAAATGGAAAAGAGGGTGGGGAAAATTTATGGAAAAAATTTTGAAGTATAAAAGGGAAACTTCTTTTAGACGTTCTTAAAGACATGAAATCACTTCGAATTTTACTCTATTGCAAAGAGAAGAAAAAGCTACATTTGAGCTTATTAAGCAAATACATTTTTGGGTTGGGTGGCAGCGGGGACAGGGTCTCACTCTGTTGCCCAGGCTGGAGTGCAGTGCTGCAATCCACAGCTCACTACAACCTCTGCCTCATGGGCTCAAGCAACCCTCCCACCTCAGCCTCCTGAGTAGCTGGGACTATAAGCCCACACCACCCTGCCCAGCTAATTTTTGTATTTTTTGTAGAGACGGTGTCTGGCCATGTTGCCCCGCCTGGTCTCCTGAGCTCAAGTGATCCACCTCCCTTCGCCTTCTAAAGTGCTGGAATTATAAAAGTGAGCCACTGCACCCAGCCCACAAATACTTTTTTTTTTCAGACTTTTCCCTAGGTTGAAAAACAAATCAAAATGGCAATAGGTGTAACTACTCTTTTGGCTCAAGTACTTTTCAGGAAGTAATCAGGTTCCTACCATGATATGGTGGAAGAGAAAGATCACAATTCTCTAAAACTTTGCAAATATGATATATATAGTTTTTATTAAGTTACTTCTACTTTTTGACAAATTCCAAAATAATCTAAATATAATGTTGATCAGTTTTGTTGAACTCCTGTCCTCAACTGATCCACCCACCTTGGCCCCACAAAGGTGCTGGGATTACAGGCATGAGGCACCATGCCCAGTGATCAGTTTTCCTTCCTTTTAAGATTCTCTAAAAATGAAACATGCATAGGAAATATATCTACTTTCTTAATAATACTTGGTTTGAACTAGAAGTTATTCTCAAAGTGTGCTTTTATTGCCTTGTTTTTAGGACATTTATTTCAATCCATACAAAACATCCAAATAATTTGGTCTTGGAATCCCATTCATTAGTGAACTAAAGGACCATCCAAAAAAATAACAGTCTGGGGTTACACTTGATCCTTGGAGAGGAAATATTTCTAGAAATATAAATTCTGTCATTCTCTTTTCTCCTGTAATTTACATAACACTCTGATGGCGGTTTTATGGCCCCTAACAGAGATTTGGCCCAGAAAAGAGATGCTTAAACTGAGGGTATACCCCTGCTAAGTCAAAATGAATTGTGAAATCACTAGAAATGGCTACAACTTCTCTTCATGTTCTGCAAATTGTTTCAAGATGTTTTCTATAAACTTTCACTACTTTTGCTTTATTTTTATTTCATTTAACAAATATTTACTAAGAACACACCATGTGCTAGCCACTAGATCTTAAGTGCCAAGTCACTGGTGAGCATAACAGACATTCTTCCTGTACTACAGAGATTACCCTCTGGTGGAGAAAACAGTAAGAATCAAATAACCATGCAAATAAATACACCCATTAATTTATTAAAAAAATGTATATTGAGCGCTCCCTGTGTTATGAATCTGTACTAGATTTGTGGAATATAGTACCTGAACCCATGAATCTTACATTCTGGTGCACAAATTAAACAGTAAGCAAATAAACAAATAAGTAAATATTATCATGGTGGGTGGTGATATGAAGAAAAATAAAGCTATATAAGGGCACAGAAAATTTGAGGGGTTGAAATAACATGTTTAGAGAGGAATGGAGTGAGTGAGGGAAAGAATGGTAACAGATAAGGTCAGTGAGATAGGAAAAGGCCTGGTCTTCTACATGGCAAACAGTGCTTGTTATTACAAATGGTGAAAGTGCACTGTAACAAATACAAGATGTTAAAAGAATGGACAACTGGAAGCCTACCCAAGGGAATCAGGGGAAGCTTCTGTTAAGAACTGAATTGTGTCCCCCCAAAATACAAAATTTATTTAACTCTCAATGTAGCAATCAGAAATCAATTAATAAGCTGGCATTGGTAAGTTCTTACCATTCAGTAATTACTTTGAATGTAAATGGATTAAATTATCCAATCAAAAGGCATAGAGTGGATGACTGGATTAAAAAAATTTAAAAAGCAAAACAAAACAAGACCCAACTGTATGCTGCCTACAAGAGACTAATTTCACCTTAAAATACACTCAGACTGAAAGTGCAGGAATGGGATAAATTATTACATGCCAATGGAAATAAAAAGAGAAGAGGGGTAGCTATACTTATTTCAGACAAAATAGACTTTGGGTCAAAAACTGTAAAAAGAGACAAAGAAGGCTATTATGTGGTGATAAAAGCGTCAGTTCATTAAGAAAATGTAGCAATTGTAAATACATATGCACCCAACATTGGAGCATCTAAATATGTAAAGCAGACATGAAGAGATTTGAAGGGAGACATAGACTGCAACAAAATAATAGTGGGGGACATCAATACCCCCACTTTTAACATTGGACATATCATTCAGACATAAAGTCAATAAGGAAACATTGGACTTGAATTATACTTTGGGCCAAATGGACCTAACAGACATATACAGAACATTCTACCCAACAGCAACAGGATATACATTCTTCTGAAGTATACACAGAGCATTCTGCAGAACAGATACTAGGTTAGGCCACAAAACAAGATCAAAATTAAGATCCAAATCATATTGAATATCTTTTCTGACCATAGTAGTAGGAAGCTAGAAATCAATAAGAGAAAGGATCATGGAAAATTAGCAAATATGTGGAAATTAATTCCCCATGTGACTGTGTTTGGAAATAGGGACTTTAAAGAAGTAACTAAGGTAAAATGAGGTTGTAAGAGTGGGGCCTTAATCCAATAGGACTGGTGTCCTCCTTATCAGAAGAAGAGACATTAAGAATAAATGTACACAGAGAAAAGACCATGTGAGTACACAGCAAGAAGTAGCCATTTACAAACCAAGCAGAGAGGCCTCAGGAGAAACCAACCCTGCCAACACCATGATCTTGGACTCCCAGCCTTCAGAAATGTGAGAAATTAAATTTCTGTTGTTTAAGCTACCCAGTCTGTGCCATTTTGTTATGGCAGCAGTAGCAGACTGATAAAAAAGAGTTAACCCCTTGAAAAGAAGCATAAAGGAACAACATGTGAAAAGCACTTGGTGCATTTGAGAATCTGAAAGAAAGCCGAAGCTAGAGATGACACATGAGAGTGGTGCCTGGGGAGATGAGAGAGGTAGAGGGAAGCCAAATCATACAAGGTCTGGTGGACTCTGCGAAGGATTTTGGCCTTTATCCTAAAGGGCTGACATGATTTGATCTGCATTTTTAAAATCATCTGACTGTGGAGAATTGGAGTAGGGAAAGTGTAGGTGCAGGGAGACCTATCCAAAGGTCCCAGGTGATAAATTACGCTAGATTTGGGAAGGTGACAGTGGAGTTGGAGAGAAGCGGATTGATCTTTAAGAATGAATTTGTTGGGACAAGGATTTCTTCTACATTTCTGGGTTTTTCAGATGGAAGGAAGTTGGTGCCATTTTAGAAGTGGAAAACACTGGACTCACAATTTTATCCCCAACTTGACAGTTCCATTTTGGCCATGCTGAATTTGAGATGCTTCTGAAACATCCAAGTGGAGAATCAGTCAGTGAATGAATCTGGAGCTCAGAGAACAGATGGACTGGAAATATAAACTTGGAGGTCAAAGCATATGTGTAGTAATCAAAATATGCTACAGTTTCAGTTCTCTGTGGACAGGGATTTTATCTGTTTTGTTCACTGATGTATTCAAATGCATGGAACAGTGCTGGTATACAGGAGGTACTGAATACATGTTTGTTTTAGGAATGAATGAATGAATGAAGAATGGATAGATTACCTAGGAAAGAGTTTGACATAAAATGAGAAACAGATCTAGAATAAAACCCTGGGGAACACCTACATTTATAGGCTTGGAAGAAGAGAATGAACTTACAAAGAAATAGCAAAGGAATTGTCACAGACAGAAATTCATAGAGTCCAAGGTTTAAGAAGCCAGGGGAAGAAGGCGCTTCAAGAAGGAAAGAGAATATACACTCTGAAGTGAGTAGCATGCAGCAGCAAGCCTAGCATATGAATGAACACTTCCGAATCCTAAAAGCAAGACCAGCTTTAAAATACTTAAATCTGTTTGTCACTGTTGTCAATCTTTGAATCTAATAAGATTTAATTTATTTTGTGTAAGATTTACCTCAGTTAATAGCCGCTTGGAACTACCTTTGAAAGCACATCTCTGACACATTCTCAGCCTGGGTGGATATACGATAACATCATCATTCTTTGTATTAAATTATGACCATAATGACAGTTGGGGAAAAATGTCAGCAACTAATAGAACACCAATAGGTTTTCTTGACAAGCTCACTTGGAGTATCCTCTCTGGATGAAAGCTCAATAATTTTTTGCTTTACTACCTCCTCCTGTTACTTCACTCTGTACTCCCTTATACTTCTGCATAAGAAAAACTTTATTAACTTCATGCATAACCACATAATTTGAGTCATAATTAAGATTCAGATGAGCAGTAAAACAATTTTATATCACCACCTGTATATACCTTCTAAAAATAGATGTTTATTAGTTACTTAGTTTTGGTCAGTCTTCCCTTGGAAGATAATCTACGTGGCAACAAAAACTTTCTCTCTCCTGTTTGCTGCATTCCCAGACCCAAAACTGTGCCTGATGTATTTTAGGTGCTCAGTAATATGTACATAATAAATAAATGAATACATGCTTAAAGTCGCACGGCAGGAGGTAGATATAAAAATGCTGGTTGGGTTTGCAGCTTAGTCAGAGATGCAATTCCTAATATCAGGTTACACATTTGAAATCCAAGCAAACATCTTGGCTTGCTAACATCTCTGGCTGACTTTTAAGCCCCAGCCCCATTTCGGATGTTTCCACATGAAAGCCAAACAGGCATTTTGAACTCCAGGCGTCCCAAACGTGACTCTTTCCTTTTCTTCCTGCACCACCCTTCCCCAGCCGTCATAAGTTCGCCTCTGAAAGGCTTTTCCTATCTTTGAGAGAAGCATCACCATCCCATCAACCTGTTCATCTGAGTTACAAAAATTTTCTACCTTCATCAGAAGTCCAACCAATCACCAAATTCTATTAATTTGGCTTCTACAATTTTTTTTCATATCCACCTTCCAAATCATCTTGGTTCATAGAATGATTTGCGTTTTCCCAGCAGTTGCAGTGATCTCCTAATAGTTCTGGTGCCTCTGGCCTCTCTCTTCTCCAGTCAATATTCCATATTGTCAGCCAAGATTTGCTAAAATAAGAAACTGATACAAATCTTCATTAACCAACAAGAGAACATCAGTTAAGTTCCTTTTATGCATCTATTCTAGGCTAAAGGAATAAGTGCTTGAAGCCCACAGAGGGTTCTTTGTCTTAGAGAGGGGCATGGAGACTAGACAGGCTTATGTCACTGCCCTTCTCAGGCTTCTCCTTTACAGTAGAGTAAAACTTAACCACTTAAGATGATATTCCCAGACCTTTAAGTGCAGACTCTCTTGCCTTTCTAGCTTCATCCCGTATCATTTCCAAAATCCTAAATACAGTCTACCTGGATCCTGTGTTGTGTTGAGAGAGTTATGCACTTCCATCCGGAGTTATGCCTTTTTCATCTCATTTCCCTAACTGGAATGAGTTTCCCTTTCCCCTACGTGCAAGATAAAATGCCATTCATTCTTTGAATCTCAACTCAAATGTTAGCTCACCTATGTGTCCTTACCCATTACACAGACTTCATTTATTTCTCTGTAAGAACAATTACAACTGCTGTGGAGCAGATTCTGAGCAACATAGAGACATATGTTCCTAGTGAGTCCATTTGTTGTTGAAGGCCTCTTCTTACTAAGTCTTAATCTCTACCTAATTAACTATCTTAGGTATTAAGTTCATATCAACTGCTATGTTTGTAAGAATTTCCTAGATTCCATACTTTATGCTCTCTAAAGCATTGCCCATCATTGTGCAATGCTGCAATACCTGCTTTGTTCTTTATTTGTAAAGTTCTTGTCTCTGATCTGTAGCAATGGAGGAGCTTGTCATAACCCTTTTGGTAGAAAGGCTCATACCATCTTTGGAGTTCAAGATGGAAATGGATCCTCCACTAAACTGAAAAAAAAAAGCCTTTATAACACATCCCATGCAATATTGTTAAATACTCTGCTTTTCCTTTTCTCTCTGATATGGCTTAGGAACAGTTGCTTATATAATTCATGCTTAATATTGTGTGGGTTACAAAAGGACATGAAAATATCTTTTTATCATGAGTATGGATAGTTACCTTGGGTATTGTTTGATAGCTAAAGTGCTTTCACTGATGACCATCTGACCAGTTTAATTGTCAGCTGATACATGTCAGAACTCCTTCATATACTGGCTAATTTCTGTCAGTTTCTAAATGATAACTGCTAATGTCAAGGCAGTTCAAAAATAGCAAAAACTTGATTTCCTCTTAATATCTTGAAGATCATATTCATGGGCACCAGCGAGTCTGGAAAATAAATCTGATGGATTTTTCTCATCATATTTAGAATAAACAAATTAATGCTAGAAATTGTTTCTAACAGGAGATAATAAAGGAAATGGGCAAACAAAAATAAATATATAGCTTCTGTGAGCCAATTGTTTTTTGTAAACTGGATGAGATTTTTTTAATGTAGGCAAGAATTCTAAAATTATACAGTTAAGCTAAATAACATAGTATTTGTTCCTGTCATAAATTGTCTTTCAATTGGGACCAAAATTGGTGTTTAAATGTTGTATTATAAAGAAGTGCATGCAAACTATTTATTAGTGAATATTTATTTAATTTGACAGAGGTAAGTGAGAGTGTTATTTATCCGTAGCCTGGCCAATTTCAGGCAAGTAATTGCAGGATGAGGAGTAATTCCAGTCCCTGTACCTGCTGGTGAGATCACTGAAGAACTCACTCAGCGTTTGTAGCACACAGAATGGCCACGGTTACATACCTGAGTGCATTCACAGTATAACCAAGCCCAAATCCTCGGCCAAATCCCTAAGGGAATCTGGGTTTTACCTTGCAAACTTTGGCTGCTAGGCACAGTTACAGAGCCTTGTTATGCTTTAGGCTCTCAATAAAAATGTTTGCCCTGGGTTATTACAAAGACTTTCTTGGTACAGAAATTCAGACAAGATCACGAAGCACAGGGTGAAAATACAGGAATGAGCAGAAGGAGCCAATTCTAAAGTTTTCTGAAGTCAGCTCATGCCTTCATAAATAGTGAGCCTCCTTGGTCGCTCACTGAAACAAAAAAGATGGACATGTAATTTACCTAGAAATATGGATGCCTCTAAATTTTAAAAAGGAAAATCATTTAAAACATGACACTTATAAAGTATCTTAAGATAATATTTGGTTTTATACTATGGTATTTTAATGATAATTAGAGAAATTCAATGCTATGAAATTCTAATGATATTCCGATACTAACTAGGATAATTATTTTACAAAATCTGAATAATATAATCTCCATTTTTCATCTTTTAAGAAATATCTACATATAATAATTTTCCTTTGTTATGTATATCAAAATTCAAATGTTTGTGATTGATACTTATGTTATACTTTTTACTGTTGATCTTAACAATAATCACTCTAATAAGCTTTCTACTTATGCCAGTGATAATATTATAGAGTTCCTCTTCCACAATTTGCCTTTGTAATCAAGTTATGAAGCCACATAAAAATTCCTAATATGTTATAGTTGCATCTTGTTCTTAACTCAAATGTCATTGCTCATCTTGATTATTTATGTTGTTTATCATAAGGAATTCCAACTGATTTTTCACAGCCCCCCAAAATAAAATTTGTCCCTTAAGTTTACTTAAAAGAATAGGACATACTTCTGAAAAAAGTAAAAATTGATTCTGAAATATTTAAATGGCTGTTCATGAGAATAAATGCATAACTTCACAAAGTGACTATTTCATACAGGAAAGCAATTATTTGGATGTGTAAGGCATGGTATGTGTGGTCATACTTTTTATCTGCTTCCTTATAAATGAATTACCATATTAGCATGAAAAAATTCTTAGCATCAAGGAGGCTTTTGTTTTAATTGCTGGTTTTAAGTTCATTTGCTTAGCTGAATATTCATTTGGCTTTTGTAATACCTAAAGCAGTGGGTGAAACCCGGCTCTAGGGGCTTCTTCATGGCCTTTAATTGTTTCAGGAGAAGCTTTACTTTTTATCAATTAATCCTGGGTACCATATTTTGTACAGAAGATTGAATTTTTTCTTTTTACACAGGTAAGACTGGTTTAGTGACATATGGCCATATATAGTAGGTGTTTAATTACTATCTATTAAGTGGATGTTGGATGTCAGACATGAACTGTCATATTTAGGTTTTCTGACATTTGAGAGAAGCATTCAACTTTGGTGAGATAAGAGAGAAGATTGTGTTTTCACAAAAGCACCCTTTAGAGAACAGATTGCAGGGATGTGTATTCATAAAGTGACGTATAAACTTTTTTCTCATCTTTAACCACTTTCCTCAATGCCATCTCAAAGCAGCAACTTAAATTCAGTTATGCATTTGATCCACACAATGTTTATTAAACACCTACTCCATGCCAAAGAGTCTTCCAGGGATGGGGAAAACAGAGCTTCTATGGAGTTTGCATTCTAATGGAGGGAGTGATAATAATTCTCAAAGATGCTGAAATTCATTTGTGAGCATGTTTCTGATTATTGACAAAATGTGAGTCATAATCCCCATGTAGTGGAATCTCACTGGCATAATCTGATGAGCTTCATAAACTGTGTCACAGCAGGAAGTGCCAGTTATTTAGTTTGAGCAAATCTAGACAATTTGAATGTCTAACACCTAGTCTTCTTTCACCCATGTTGTAAATGACCTGCTTAAAAGGAATGGTTGAGCCAATCAACAGTAAGTTATTGTATATCTCAAAATTGCTAGAAGAAGGGAATTTTTATGTTCCCACCATAAAGAAATGATAAATTTTAAGGTGATGGATATGCTAATTACTCTGATTTGATTATTATACAACATATACTTGTATTGAAACATACTGTATTTCATAAATATGTACAATTATTATGTGTCAAAAATTTTTTAAATATTTTGAAAAGAGAAATGGGTGACCACTCTAGATTTCACAGGAATTAATTACCAAATAACATATCATGAGAGAACATTCTTGGATGTTATTTTAGAAAATAACACATGTATTGTCAGTATGGGAACACTTATTTTTGGTACAGTCTTTAATAAAGCCTTTATTCATTTATGTAGGGCCTTGGGGCTCTCAATCTTAGCATTAACCACGTATTTAAGGGGTGATAGGCACAACATAAATTGAATCATTAGTTTAGAATCGCTCTCCATGAGGCTGCCTGTAGATTTTTGTTATCATCCATCTAAGCCACAGAAATAAAAATCGAGTGAATACTTTTGTTTATGTACCATGAATGCATTTCCCAAAAGCAGGAAAAATATTCCTAGCACTAAGGAGGTGTTTGAAAAATTTATTTATTAAGGACCATTTGTTTAGTAGAATATTCACTCAGCTTTTACGGTACAGTACTACCAAGAGTAGTTGGATTTCTGCCTTGGAGTCTTCCACGGTATGACCTCACACAACTCTTTCTCCCAAACATCATATGCCAGTCATTACCTGCATATGTCTAAGAGGGCAAGGATCCCACCCTCTATGGCCACCCCAAAGCATACATGCCTCATGCATGAGGTTTATTATTTACATTCTTACAAATTGACTTTGGGTGAAGAGTTTACCCTGTATTGCTAAAAATTTGCCTTGAGTGACTTTCCTGAGAAACTGAGGTTCCCTTGGCAGTCAGTATTTACTGATTCTAAATTCCATTAGAAATCCATGATCTTCTAAGAAAGTTCCTCTAAGTTGATCCTAAGAAGGTATGAATAGCTAATTATGTTATGATGTATGCCTCTCCCTTTGCTGGTCTGCATGTTCTGCTTGCCAGTTTTCCACCTGCAGTTGGTGGCATTAAGCAGCAGCTGCATTCCTTTTATCTTGGTTTTCAATTGGAGATTGAGGAGCTAAGCCAGGTCTTGAGATTCTTCCTTTCTGCTCTTTTTTTTTTTTTTTTTTTTTTTTTTGACAGAGTCTCGCTCTGTCGCCAGACTGGAGTGCAGTAGTGTGATCTCCACTTACTGCAACCTCCGCCTCCCAGGTTCAAGTGATTCTCCTGCCTCAGCCTCCCGAGTAGCTGGGACTACAGGTACGTGCCACCATGCCTGGCTAATTTTTATATTTTTAGTAGAGACGGGGTTTCACCATGTTGGCCAGGATGGTCTCAATCTCTTGACCTCGTGATCCGCCCACCTCAGCCTCCCAAAGTGCTGGGATTAGAGGCGTGAGCCACCGCACCCAGCCTCTGCTCCATCTTATGGTCTTATTTGAAATACTTTCATGCATTTGGGGTACCTAGACAAGGAGAGACTAAACAAATGATAGTTTCTCCTCAGCTTCCATTATAGGTTCCATTTTAAGCCTGCTATTGTATATCAATTGCTCTTTTTTTATTGAAATGTAAAGATAGTTTAATTTTGTTTTATAAAAATAACTCCTAAGAAATAGTTCAAACATGGATATAAAATGCTGTCAATGGAAAAATGGAGAGAGGTAGAGGTATTTATATTTAGCATTTATTTATTTCTTCATTCAATAACTGTTTACTGAGAATCTCCTATTTGTTGGGATCTGTGGGGCATAAATAGATAAGATATAATTCTACTTCCTTAGAACCTGCAGTCTAAATGGAAAAATTCTAATCTTGCCCTGAACCAGCAGGAATCTGAATTCCCGTTCAGATATTTAGACCAACTTTTCTGATGGAAAAGTATTCTGTCTTCACTGTGAGGCATATTTTGAAAGACTGACAATGCTCATTGAGGTGGAAGACAGAGGCAGAGATCTCTCTGCATTAGGCATCCCTTGCTGTTTCCATTCTACCTGCTGTTTCCAAAGATAACTAGGCTCAGAAGCCCCTCTCTCATGGGTTTCTCTGAGTACATCCCAATGTTCTTAAGTAATGATGAAGTAACAGGAAAAAAAATTAAAAACCAAAGTTCAGCTATATACCAGCAATATTCCATTTAATTCTCTTAACAATGAGATGATATAGATATTTGGCTAATGAAAAACCTGGATACTAAATGGCCAAGCCAAGCCAGGATTCAAAGCCATGTCTATGTGACTCCATAGCCTTGCACTTTTAAAGTCCTAATTTTGGGGCCTCTTGCTTAGAGATACTTCTCTGTGAAGGTGGCACCTATTCTTGGCAGTGGTGGCCCAGTGAGCCCTTTGTGGGTAGCTCCCATAGGTTCCTCTCTTGCCTCTCTGGTAACTCCTTTGCTTTCTCAAACAACTCCTCAGGGATTGGACAGTGCAGTGTCACTCTCTCAGCACCAGCTCTAGAACCCTCTAATGCAGGCAGTTCTCTAGACCACTCCTGAGGCACTTACTCAGGGACTGACACCCCAGACTTGGGGCCTCCTGTCTTGAGACCACAGAGCTGGAGTTTATCACCAGTGTCTCAGGTCATCGAATAATTTGGCAAAATCTCATATTTCCCTTCATCCTCATCCTTTCTATGCCTGATATGTACACTAAACTCTGGTGGGGACTCAGCAAACATTTGAGTCAATGTTAGACAGGTGACCCGCCGCCATATCTGTTAGGCATGCATGCAAGGCAGTGCTCATCATCATGCCACCATGTGGCCTCTGGCAGTGTCCTTTGTCCCATTCTGAGGAACTGCAGGCACTGTGCTTTTGAGTCACAGTGTATCAACTTTTTGTAGTTTTAGTATCATCTCCGTTGCTTTTTACTGCTATAAGTGCACAGTCCACTTAACCTTCTGGCAAGTTAGCTGCTTTTAACCTGCCATGGAATGGATACTCAGGTATTACAATGCTTTTTTACATTATACTTAAAAAGACAGATGACAAAACTCCCAGGAAATGACTTCTCTATGAATTAGTGCATTTTTTTAAGTTTTGAATCTACCAAATTAATTGTTGCCTGTTCTAGGGGCATTTTTGCTTCCTCCGTGGTTCTCACTTATATCATGTTATTTGTGTTGCTGAGTCTTTGGAAAAAGTGATTGCAAAGGCTGTTTTCTTTTCCCTTGTTCCCACAGATTCTAGATGGGGGTTTGACCTTGTGATTTTCTGCAGTTTCTTTCCTACTTAGCCATTTTTCAGCCAAAGAGGTTTCTGCTAACATGTAGAATTCCTTTTATGAGGAATCCATGCTATCATCAGTGCGGAGTGATATGTGAGTCATAATTACTATATTCATAAAACTCCTAGAAATGTAGAATGATAAGATATTTTACAGATTAGTTTGTCTCGTCTTCTTATTTTCAGTCTGAGAAAATGCAGACCATGGAGATTAAGGGATTTGTTCAAGGTCCCAGAGATAGTGGGCTCCAAATCAGAAGAAAATCTCAACTTCTAGCTCTAAGTCCATTGCTTTTCCCTCTCTCAATACCTATTGCTTCTTCTTAAAAAGAATCAGGAATATCTATTAAATGATTGTAGATTTTATATTTAAGTTTTTGAGTAGTTAGTCTCCTGTAGGTGAGCATTCCTTGGAAGACAAAGCAGCAAAGTCAAAAATGTATGAATTTAGAAGCCAGACAGACAATAACCAAATAGAGGTTCTATCATTTCCTACCTATGTGATAATGGAAAAGCTATTTTCCATTATTTCCATATTTTATCTACACCTCAGCTTTCTGATCTGTAAAAACTGAGATTATAACATCAACATGTAGGGTTACTGTGAGGATTTTAAAAATTAATATTATATAGTGTTTAGAACAGTACTCAGCACATAGTAAGTATTCAGTCAGTGAGATGTGCAGTTCTTGGATGTCTTCTTCCCCTTTATCTGAAACAGGTAACTTTTTTTTTCCTTTATGCTTAAAAGAGTGAATTTTGTTGCAGTGTTATTATTTTAGGTTTGTGATAAATCTTACAAACAAACTAGTGTGTAAACAAGCTTAAAATACACTTTTGATTTGCACTTTTTTTTTTAAAGTCCTGATCTCATTCCCCTCATAGACTGGGGAAAGAGTGAATGTAGATTTATGAAGACATTTACATGTCATAGCCCAGCATTTCCCAAACTGTGGTCTTGGACTTAGACCACTTGCATCAGAATCATCTGTGGGGATTGTTTAAAGAAGAAGATTCCTGGACTCCACCACAGACTCATAAATACTGTATCTTCATCACAGATCCAGTGATGAAGAGGCCCAGGAACCTCTGTGTTATAACAAACACAAAATGTGTTTTTATACACTAATTTTTGAGAACCACTGTTATAGATGAATTGCCAGTGAAACTCCAGATTACTTGACCAAAAATATTACTTTAATCATGCTACTTCCCTGTTTTCTCACTTGTCTTCAATTGGCCAAGGAGGGCTATCAGGCTGTGTGAACCTTATGGCTGTCCTACCTTATGGTACACTGAAAATATGCCCCCAAAGATGTCCATGTGCTTGTCCTCAGGGTCTGGGAATAGGGTACCTTATTTGGCAAAGGAACTTTGCAGATGTGCCTAAATTAAAGATCTTGAGATGGGAAGATTATTCTGGATTATACAGGTGGGCCAAGTGTCATCAAAAGGGACTTCAAAAGAGAAGGAAGGAGAATCAGAGTTAATACATGATGACAGAAGCAAGAGACTGGAGTGATACAAGGAAGGGATCCTGAGCTAAGGAAGTTGAAAAAGGAAGGGAAACTGATTCTCCTTTCAGAGTCTTCAGAAGGAACCAGCCCTGCTGGTACCTTGACTTTAGCCCAGGGAGGCTGATTTTGGACTTCTGACCTCCAGAACTATAAGATAATACAAGGCATACTGTCCCTTTGCTCCACTCTGTCCACTACTTCTATGACTTTTTCAAAGTTCTGAATAAAACCTTTCTCTTGCCTAAAAGCCGTCCTTGGCCCTTCCAGCCAAGAGTTATTTCCCCTTCTCTGAAGTTCTAAGTCAATCAGAATCTGTGCAATTTATTGTGCATCCAGTTATGAAAAGCTCTGTCTAGGAGTGTTTATATGCAAGATCTTTCAAATCAGAACACCCAGGTTTAAATCCTGATTCTGCCACAACTACCTTGGAGAAGTTTCTTAGACTCTCCAAATCTCATTGTCTTCATTTGTATAAATCGCATCAGATGGTGAAGTTTAGAGATGCTCCACCTAGAAGTGAACTGACATGGTGGCTGAATCAGAGTCAGGACTTCACACATGTGGCAATCATGGGAGGCATTGTTCCTTCGGCATAGCTCGGATTATTGTCATAAACATGACTATTCAGACCATGTTGTTGACATTTTATTAATATGTTCATGTTTCTGTTTCCCTGTTAATCCCATGAAATTAAGCATGATAATAATTATAATGACAATAATAATAATAATAGCAAAGTAGTATAGTGAAAGGAGTATTAGGGTTTGGTTGACTTTTTTTTTTTTTTTTTTTGAGACACGTCTCTTTCTGTCACCCAGGCTGGAGTGTAGTGGCACGATCACAGCTCACTGCATCCTTGACTTCCTGGGTTCAGGTGATCCTCCCGCCTCAGCTTCCCAAGCAGCTAGGACTACAGGTGTGTGCTACTACACCCAGCTAATTTCTGTATCTTTTGTAGAGATGGGGTTTCACCTTGCTGCCCAGGCTGAGCTCAAGCAATCCTCCCTGGGCTCAAGCAATCCTCCCACCTCAACCTCCCCAAGTGCTGGGATTACAGGCATGAGCCACCACGCCCAGCCTGATTTTGGTAGTCTTTTATTTCACTTCTAGCTTTGCAATTTACTGGAATGTGGAAAGAAAAGAACATGATTTATTTATATTTAAAATGGAAATAATAATGGTACTTACTCTTAATTATTTCAGGATGAAGTAAGATTTCAGGATTAAAGTCTTAGAGTACCTAACACATAGTAAAAATTTAGTATGTGTTAACTTATTAACGGTAATTGGTATCTAATTTTCTTTTTTATTTGTTTCTATTCTATACTATGAATCTTGATATACCTGTTACTTTATATATGGCAATAATATGAGAAACAGGAGGAATAATACTGGATAAACATCTAATATTTAATGTTATGCTTTGCTATCATATGCGTTATAGGATATAAATCTCACAGACAGGGTTTGCTGTTGGAGCAATGCTCATGCTATGAATGTATGCAAGAAACACATAAAGCCTGCCTAGGAACCTCTATTCTCCCCTCACTTTTTTTGCTTCTTTCTTTTCCTTTTTCCTTCCTTTCTTTCTTTCATCACAGGTGATCATATAAATAGTTTGGTACCTTAAGTACTTTAAAATCCATTGGATTTTGGAGCAATTTTTCAAAATTTTTCAAATTTTTCAAAATTTTGGAGCAAGATTTCAAAAAAAAAATCTATGATTCAATACATTGCCATTCATCATTACCTTCCCTTTACAACCCTTCATGCTATTTTAGTGCAGATGAGAACTCTCCTATTGTAGCTAGTTTGAATTCATTTTTCAAATGAGAATTCATGAGCTACTATGCTAAAAGTAAGGTCTGTTACATCTTCTGCACTTCCATTGTCTGCTAATGTTGTAATATGATTTTTAAGTAATTGACTTTCTTTTGACACGCTTTCTTATTTAGAAACTCAGGCTTATTTGTAAATCTGTTATCTCTATAGATGTTTATATATTTTATATAGATGTTTTCTCTGTGGTTTGTTCCCTAATTATTTTAGAGAGTCTTGGAATTACTTATTTTTATGTAAGACATATAAAATAGCTCCATATGACCAAGGAAATGTGATACAAAAATGCTAGGAAAACTTGGTAGTAATACTACTTTTGTGGTTAAAGGCAAGGAAGGGAAAATCAAGCCAATTCCTATAAGAAGAAAAAAGTATACTTGAATATACTAAATAGATGCTCCTTGTCATTTAATATTTTTAAAGGAAAGAAAAATTACCTCTTCTTTTTTCTTTTGCTTCTTTTATCCAAAGAAAGACGTAATTTTATAAATAACTTGCAGGATTAAATTTACCTGAAAGGCAATTGGGAGTTTCCCCTCTGACCTGTGGAATAGTCCGTTCTTTCTGTATTCTTCCTAGAACATAAAAGGGGTAATTGCAGTGGTTGTAAGCTCCCCCTAGAAACTTTTTCTAGTAGCCCAGTGCCTTGGAAATTGTCCATGAACTTACACACACACACCACATGTGAATTTAATATGAGAAATGGAGGATTCGTTTGAAAAAACTATAAAACATGTGCTCTCTTGAGAGATTTATGCCCCTTGTGTCCCTCCTTGGCCACTGTGCATGAGTGCCATGGCTGAGAAGTAAAAGTCAGAGCTGAATGAAGCCCACATTACTTTATAGACTTGACGACCTGTGGTTTTACTCATGAATAAGCAACAACTCATGCTTGTACAAAATGCCTGTTTGTCTGGGTCTCTCTCAGTTAAAAAGAGGTATTTTAAGTCAAATAGAAAATATATTGTTTAACTTACCATAGGCTTCAGTGCAGAAATACAAGTCATATATTACTTCATAACATGGTTGCATAGAGAAGGGAAACCATATAAACAATTCAACATAATTCTAATAATGTCTTGGTTCACCCAAGATAAAATTAACCACCTATCTTAAAGAATACACTACGTTAAAAATTTATTTCTTATGTACTAAAGCGAGGATGTATTTATTACTTAGAATTTTTTCTCTGTTTTTCCCCAAAATGTGGTTTCTATAAAAAAAATCTTAATAGAGAATTTGGTATCCTTTCAAATAGACTTTTTAATGCAGTATGAAATTATATTATAATCTAGTTGATGACAAAATTACATTGGGTTATATTAACTATTAATATATATATTCCCCAAATCTGTAAACTCTTAATTTCTTTAATGAAGATCAAGTAGTCATCATTTTTTCTATGCTTGTACAAGTTTTCCCAAAAATGATTAATCATATTAATTGTTGTTTTGGAATTCCACAGATTAATTTAAAAGTAGTATATGTGGGAGGACATTTCTTGAAGAAGTGTAGTAGAAAAAGAGAATTTCTATAAGAATTATTTTTAAAGGTTGAACTCACAGAAGTAGAGAGTAGAATAGTGGTTGCCAGAGGCTGAGGGAGGGAGATGGAAAGGGAAGGAGGAGATGTTGATCAAAGAGTACACAATTTTAATTAGGCAAGAGGAATAAGCTTTAGTGGTCTGTTGTGCAGAATGGTGACTATAATAAAAATGCATTGTATGTTTCAAACTTGCTAAAGGATGAGATTTTAAATGTTTTCACCACAAAAAAAATGGTCAGTATGTGAGGTGGCAGCTTTGTTAATTAGCTTGATGTAATCATTCCACAGCGTAAAAATATATCAAAACTTCACATTTTCTCCCATAAATATATATAATTATTACTTGTCAATTAAACATTTTTAAAATGATTGTGTTTAATCACCAAAGATAGTGTCTTTTATTCTTAGTAACAACCTCCATTTTGGATTAGAATATTTGAATTTTATAGTGAAAATAATCTACAAAATCAGTTATGCATTTATCAGATAGTTTATAACAAAAATGGATGCATCACAGTCATAGCTTTCTTAGCACAGTTTTCTGAAATGACTTAATCCCAAAGTAATTTACAGGCAGACTAAATGGATTTATTATGTATAAACATCCTCATCTCACATTATCTAAGAAAAAAATTGATGTTTGGTAAAAAAAAAAATTAATTCACAATAATAACATGAGCCCTTACACTTATCAGAAAAACCCAGGTATTTACAAAGTATAGATAAAAATCTGTTTTTTAAATTTAAATTTTTTTTTTTTTTTTTTTCGAGATGGAGTCTGGCTCTGTCGCCCAGGCTGGAGTGCAGTGGCGCGATCTCGGCTCACTGCAACCTCCACCTCCCGGGTTCAAGAAGTTCTCCTGCCTCAGCCTCCTGAGTAGCTGGGACTACAGGTGCCCACCACCATGCCCGGCTAATTCCCTGTATTTTTTTTAGTAGAGATGGGGTTTCACTGTGTTAGCCAGGATGGCCTCGATCTCCTGACCTCGTGATCCGCCCGCCTCGGCCTCCCAAAGTGCTAGGATTACAGGCGTAAGCCACCACGCCCAGCCAAAAATCTGTTTTTTAATATTGCCATATTCTCACAACAAACAGCTTCTTTTCATAAATTTTAAAGTTCAAGGTAAACAGGGCACCTTTAAAAAATCTTGTGAAAGGTGACTGCCAGTGCAGGCATGGCAAATAGGGGGAGATGATCAGATGATTAAAAAAGAATGGAGAACAGATTATGAATGTTGTTGAATACAGAAAAAATTTAATATTCTCTTTAATTCTGTTCTGTAGTTAAAGGAAAGAAAGAACAGTGAGGAATAAAATAGAGAGGATACAAAAAGCAGGAGCAAAAACAGATGAAAGCCTTAAGTTCTAATGATTTTTTAATTTTTTTCAAATTGTTTTAGAGATGGGGTCTCACTGTGTCACCCAGGTTGCAGCGCAGTGGCGTGATCAAAGCTCACTGCAGCCTTAACCTCCTAGGCTCAAGCAATCTTGAGGCTTACTTATTAAAGATAAACCACTCAGATCACTCTTAGTCGTGACATGCAGAGAAGTGATTTTTTTGTTGTTGAAATATAAGTCAGTTGGTTAACTACTATAATACTTCAGTAAGGATTTCAGTCCTTAAATGTGAAAACACTTTCTTGAAATTGAGTAAATGTAACCATTAATTTTAAACTGTGATGAGCCATATACCCCACATAGCACAGCAGGGTCTCAATATGACCTGCCATGGGGGCAAGAGGGACAAAAAGTGAGAAATGTTCTGAGCAGTAACTTCTCGCATAGTCACTTCTAGCTCCTGGGCTAGAGATTCCTACCTTACACCTTGATCAAGATTTATGAGGAAGTTAAAAATGCAGAAAATGTCAAGCCCATCTCTGAAGTATGATTCCCAGTTTGTATAAGATTGTCATCTTATAATATCTAAACATTATTCTTCATATTAAAAATGTTTTCACATGAAAATTCAATGATGGCATTTATGTACTCAGTGCCCATCCCTCTCAAAGAATATCCCTGTTGTTTTCTGAGGGGCAGCTACTTTGATTTCACAATTTTTCTGGATTTTTTTTTTCACTTTTGTAGACATATAGCAGTGATTTACAATGATTGCCTCTAAAATAATTTAGAATCAATAGCTAGCAACTGGTACTCCTTCAGTAATGCCTCAGGTTTCTGGATTGGTGTGTTAGTTAGCTGTTGCCACAATAATACTGCATAATATATTACCTAAACCTGAGGGGTATTCAGGAAGTATTTATTTCTTCCTCTCAGTTTGGGTGGGGTCAGCTGGGGTTTGGCTGATCTAGGCTGCCTTCAGCTGGGCTTGGCCTCAGTTGCAGGTTGGGTCTAGGTCTACTGCACCTTGATTTCATTATTCTTGAACCAAGAGCTCTGTAAGGCAGAGTCTTCCCATGGCCTTAAGTTGCAGGTTGGGTCTATGTCCACTGCACCTTTATTTCATTCTTCTTGGGCCAGGAGCTATATGAGGCAGGGTCTTCTCATGGCAAAAGGCAGAGTAAATGCACCAAAGCCCAACCTGGCAATAACATTTTAATCCTCTGCTAGTGTACTTCTGCTAACATACTACTTGTCAGCAAAAGTCACATGGCCAAGCCTAATAACAGTGAGGAAGGAAAATATCCTTTGATTCCAGTGGTAGGTTATGCAAAGTCATATAACATATGGTATAGCTATGGGAAAGAGTATTAGAAACAATAATGCAATATACCATGTTCCACCTTCTAGATCACAATTATTCGCATGCCACCCACACACAAAATAGCTTACTTCTGTCTCATTTTGTATATAAATATAATTTTAGGAAATTCCCATACTTTTAATCATAAGTATGAAATCAAGTTCAAATTCCAGGATCTTATTATTTATACCTGTTCCAGATGCAGTTCTTCTTGATCTGGAGGCCTGTTAATTTAAAAAAAAAGTTATCTAATGCCCCCCAACACACACTCCCAACATGTAATAGTGGAGTACTTTGGTCTGTGTGCCTCTCATTGTCCACTTTTTGAACAGAATATTCATTGTGATTATCCTGTGAACAATCCATTCAAAAAGGGGGACAATGAGAGGCACACAGCAGTCATTGATTGGTCCATAGCAATTCTGAAAATTGCCAGGTCTTCCTATTCTGGAAGAAGGTAATGTTCTTTGATTAGGTGTTACTTCTGTTCCCTGGAAATTAGCTAGAGAGAAAAAGAGATTGTATCAACACTTGCCTTGGTGAATGTATTCAGAAGCCATCAGGGTCTTCAAGACAAGCAAAGAAAAAAATTTCCTTTTATTTTTGACATTTTCTGTACTTCATTAATATGACATCTCCTGGTACATAACTACCCAGGTCTTGAGATTTCTAAAGTTCTCAGTGATATGATCTTTTCTTTCTTTATCTTACTAATAAATACTTATTTAGGTTTTTGCCTAGGTAGCATATTTTAATGACCCAAGCATCAAAAAGTATGCAAATGTATAAAGTGAACATGTATTTCCCAATATATTTTTATTTTTCTTATCTTTTTTTACACACAGAATAGTAGTATACTATAAGTACTGCGCAATGTTCTTTTTTTCACTTAATATATATCATAGATTTTTCCATATCAGTGCATTAAGAGTGCCCTCATTTTTTAGAGCTATGTATTATTCCATTTAATGGACATACCATTATTTATTACAGGACAAATGAGGTGTTTCCAGTGTTTTTCCATTACAGATAATTGTTGCAATGACTAATCTTGTACGTGTGTCTTTTCACACATGGGTTAATATATTTGTAAGAAAAAAATTATAAAAGTGGAAATGTAAAGTCAAAGGGTTTAGGAGGTTTTGTTTTGTTTTGTTTTTCTGTCACCCGGGCTGGAGTGCAGTGGCACAATCTCAGCTCATGGCAACCTCTGCCTCCTGGGTTCAAGCGATTCTCCTGCCTCAGCCTCCCAAGTATCTGGGACTACAGGCGTGTGCCACCACACCTGGCTAATTTTTGCATTTTTAGTAGAAACAGGGTTTCGCCATGTTGGCCAGGCTGGTCAAACTCCTGACCTCAGGTGATCCTCCTTGCTGGGATTACAGGCGTGAGCCACCATGGCTGGCCTGGTTTATGAGTTTTTAATTTTAAAAGAAACTACTGAATTGCCTTCAGTAGAATTTCTAACAGTACTTACTCCCACCAATAATATAAAGAGGGCTTCTTTATCTACAATCTTGTCAACACTGTGTGTTAACAAACTTTTGGAATTTGCTCAATGAAGTGAAAATGAAGTTGCTTTTCCTTTTTAAGCATGAGAGAGAACTTATTTCAGGTATTAGAGAAGTTTTTGCATTTTTCTAAACAAATTTACTTTCTTATACTGGGCCTATATTTTACTGGGTTGTTGGCTTCTACTGCCTTCAGTAGATATTAGGGCTAGGCACAATGGCTCACACTTATAATCCCAGCATTTTGGGAGGCCGAGGTGGGAGGAACCTTTGAGGCCAGGAGTTTGAGACCATCTTGGGCCACATAGTAAAATCCCATCTCTAGAATTAAAGAGTTAGCCATGCATGGTGATGTGAACCTGTACTCCTAGCTACTCAGAAGGCTGAGGTGGAACGATCACTTGAGCTCAGTACTTCAAGGCTACAGTGAGCTATGATCACACCACTGCACTGTAGCCTGGGTGACAGAGCAAGACCCTGTCACTATATAAAGAAAGAAATAATAAATAAATAAAAGATAAGTGAATATTCTGTAGGACCTGCATATATGCCAAGGAAATTAGTCCTTTTTAGGTTAATTGAATTGTAAATATTTTTTGTATTATTGACTTTACTTATATTTTAAACAACTATTTAGATTTTTTTTTGTTTTCTTTAATATGGATTAATTTATTAGTTTTTCTATTATGGCTTTTAAATTTTAGGAAATAGAAAGGCCTTCCACCACTTTGAGGTTATAAAAAGAATTCTCCTGTACATTTATTCTAGTACTTTTGTTATTTTATTTTGTTACATTACTCTCTGATCCTTTCAGAATTTGTTCTGGTGTAATGTAAGATAGGGATTCAACTTTTTTCTGTATGGCCACCCAGTTGTCTTAGCACCATTTATTGTATAGCTCATCTTTTCTATACACATATGAAATGCCACTTTTATCATATACCAAAATTTCATTTATTTTTTGTGTCTGTAACTTTATATTTTGCTTCTTAAATTTACATCTCTATTCATGCAGTAGCTTCATATCATTTTAATTACTGAGGCTTTATGGTGTTTTATGTGGTAGAGTTACTCATTCTTCATTACACTTTTTTCAGAATTTTCCTGGCTGCTCTTGTTTGTTTCTTTTTCCATATAAACTTTAGAATGAGTTTATTTTGTTCTGAGAAAAAAAAAAAGTATTGACATTCAGGGTGCCATTACATTTACAAATTAGCTGTGAAAGGATGAATGTTTTTATGGTACATTTTCTTATCCAAGAACATAGTACGCATTTCTATTTATGTATTTTATGTCCCTTAGAAGCATCTTAAAAGCTTTCTTCATATGGTTCTTGCATATTTCTCATTAAGTGTTTTTCTATTTCTGATTCTATTTATGGCTTAGCATATGTGATACTAAAAAGGAAGGACTCCAGCTGTTTTAACCCTGGCTCTACCTCCAAATTCCCACAGATTAGAAGAAACAGATAGATGTTATAAGTAAGCAGATAAAAGTTTTAAGTGAAAATGAGAGGACAGGTGGGTAGAGATAGCATATTAGGTGCTAACTAGTTTTTGTCATCCCATCCAAGGAAAGCCACCAGATTTGTCTGGCACACACAACATGGGCAAAGCACAATGGAGATAGAAAGGACTCAGAAGGCAGAGCAGTTGTCATTTAGAAGCAGAAAAGCAGTGGATCCAAGAATTTTTATTAGGCTTGGCTCCATATAAAAGCTATCCCAAATAACAGTGTCTTTCAACACAATAAAGGTTTATTTTTCTCTCATGTAAATGAGTTATGGGTATAGGCATTCCAACACTGTTATGGGACTAACTAACGCATCTGTGATTCAGGCTTCTTTTTTTCCCTCATTACTATGTTTAGTGTGTGATCTCCATCCCCAAGTTTGCCTCATGGTTCATGATGGCTGCTTAAGCTCTCACCAACATGCACATTTCAGGCATGAGGACAAAGAAAAGAGGAGTTAGGAAAAATGTGTGTACCTTCAAGTGAAGCCGGTTCTCTTCTAATACTTTCCAAGAAGTCCCACTCTGTCACTCATCTCCTCCTTAAGTGTACAAGAGGTTGCTCCCAACAATATAGAGATTCTGTTACTAAGGAACAAGGAGAGAATGGATTTTGGGGAGACAACTTCCAGTCCTGCCACGAGGAACAAACCTTCAAAAAATTATATCCTCCAAACATGTTGAGAAGTGAGAAGGAAAATACCAAGAAGAAAATAGGAAAGTGAATAAAATGAGTACAGTTCAATTAGTTATCATGTTTTAGAATAATTTAAGACAAACTAGTGCTCAGAAAAACCTGAGCTAGATATTGCTGCTTTGATTTTGTAGTTTTTGAGCTTGAAAATGTGTTCAAGAGTAATTGAATCACATGTTCCCTTTTTTCCTTTGGAATTGGAACCTCAGTAAGGGGTTAAAATACAATCCCCAACAAGTACAGTTGGTACAGGGGTCACAAAGATGATTAAGACATAGTCCCTGCCTTGAGTAATATGCAATCTAGTGTGGAAGGCAAATAGATACAGAGATACTTCTAGTGTGGAGTGAGGAGTGATCTGACAGAGGTGAGCTCAGGGTAAGAGGGACTACATATTACAGGAACCTGAGGAAGCCTGAGTAGGGGAGTAGCATTAGGAAGGGGAGGGGAGGTGGAAATTGCACTGAGTCCCAAAGGATCAGTTGCAGGGGAGGGTGTGGATGTATATGAGGGAAGGGGAGGAGGTGGTGGGAGGATAGAATTAGTTAGCTAAAGAGAAGAGCCAACGGGCAGAGAACTTGCCCAGCAAGAACAGAGTGTGTGAAGTCTAGCAAGTGAAAGAGAGTGCGGTTTATTCAAGGGCTTTGCCCACTCTTATGTCTATCTTCAGTTGGGAATGACTGAAGAGATGAAAGTGGAGAGGAAGCCACTGGGACTAGATCATAAAGGGTCTTTGGGACAAACTACTTGATTTTTCCATTATGCTTGAGTGCAGGAATCACTGGAGGACTTGAAGCAGGGATGTGGTGTGCTCAGACTTGCATTTCAGAAAAATGAATATAGAGGTACAGTGAGAATGGGTTGGAGGTCAGCAAGATTCAAAGAAAAGAGTACTAAAGAGGCACATTAGACAAGAAATGATGAGAGCTTAAACAAAGTAAAGAGTGGCAAGTGACTTGCAAGTCCTTAAGGCGGGAGAAGGGGAAAGAAACTACAGTATTTGGCATGGACTGAATCAGGAAGTGGGGAAAATGGGGGAAAGAAAGGAGGAGGATGCTCCAGTGTCTGTCCTGGACAACTATGTGAAAAGTATTACTCTTCATAAAGAAGTGAAAACAGGAAGGAAAGTAGATTTTGTAGCAAAAATAAGGTGTGTTCAGTTTTCTGTGAAATGGGGTTAAGATGCTAGTTGGACATTCACATGGGACTAGAGAAGGTTTGAACTTAGGAAAAGAACTGGGCTGAAGAAATAAGTTTAAGGGTAGCCTTAAGCCATGCTGTGACTAAGCCACGGTGAGTAGGGTAGGGTGAAAGGAGGACAGAACTATGAATAATACAACATTTAGGAACAGGAGGATGAGTGAATAAAGGAGACAGAGAAGGAACCAAAAACAAGGAGAAGTGAAACTAGGCAATAGTAGCACTGTAGAAGTAAAGAAAAACACTTCAAATACTATAGATGTCAAGTAAAGTAAGAGCCACCATACTTATTGGATTTAGCCATAAAAAGATCATTGAGGAACAACGCAAGGTAGCTTTAGCAGAAAGATAAGGATGAGGAGTGCATGAGCACCAAGGAAGATAAATGTAAAATACTTTCAAGCAGTGATGCTCACTGAGTTAGGGAGAAGTTAGACTTTATGTCCATCTTTTTAAAAATGGAAGAGTCATGAGCAAGTTTAAAGCCATACAAAGGTGAGAGACAGACAGTATAAGAAAGAGAGGAGATGCTGAAGCAAGTTTCTGAGAAGTTAGCAGCAAGAGGAATTTGGAGAATACGTGAAAGGATTAACCTTGAACCTCCAGTGTAAGAGGAAGAAAGAAAACCTGGATAAGTGTGGCTAAGAGGCTCCTAAGTGCTGGGGAGGACAGCAAGGACAGCAACTGTACATCTTAATGGTTTCTAATGGGTAATTGAGGAATGAGTTGCCTAGGAGCAGATCCTGCATCAGTCCTGCAGCCCCATGAGGCTGAAGATTTGGAATTTGTACTTCCTCCAGTCCACGTGGCTATGTCATTTTCTCCATTAGTGCTCTACTCAGTAATTCAGGTATAAGGTAGCTGAGAACAGTTTGATTTACACAGGGTTGAAGTTCTCCCAAATAGGTGTGAAGGGAGGATAAGGGACAAGGAAGGACAAGAGACTTGTTGGTTTGGGCAATAAAGTGGCTACATTGGAAAGAGAATGAAGACAAAAGACCAACATGGTTAATTGTGTGGGATGGGCTTGAGATTAGATCTTGTTGATATTTAAAAATTAATTAAAGTCAAAGTGAGAAGCGAGCTGTAACTTTGATTGCAGAGGAGCTTTGTAATACTGTGATTTCCTTCTCAAGTTCAAGACTGAAAAATGTTATTTAATTGAATGTTAAATTGTTATTGCTTGATCCAAAATGACTTAACACAAATTTTTTAAACATGTTCAATAACTAGTTTTTGTTTGTTTGTTTGTTTGTTTGTTTGAGACGGAGTCTTGCTCTGTCTCCCAGGCTGGAGTGCAGTGGTATGATCTCGGCTCACTGCAAGCTCCACCTCCCGGGTTCACGCCATTCTCCTGCCTCAGCCTCCCGAGTAGCTGGGACTACAGGCACCCACCACCACACCTGGCTAATTTTTGTATTTTTAGTAGAGACGGGGTTTCGACTAGTATTTTTTTTAAATGTAGCATTGAAGTTATAGCTGATTTCATTTGATGTTTGAGACTTTTATTTGTGCTGTGGTTTCAAATCCCCCTTTTGATACCCAGTTAAGATTAATCCTTTTTACTTACAAGCTATTATTCTACTTCATAGGCATATAAACTTTTATTGCAGTAGAGCCCAGAAAAACTGGTGGATGATGTTGCAATTTATATATCACAAACTACAATAATTTTAGGTTCTGTCATATAATTTTAGTAATTTTATTTAAAATTTAAGATTACCCAGTTTAGGCCCTGTAGTAACAGAATAACTTCTTCAGAGATCAATTTTCTCAGCTATAAAATCAAGAGACTAGATTGCTTGTTAACTCTACTTCTATGATTCTTTATTTTAATCTAATTTTCAATTTCACTTCAACTTCATGATAATTCTAATATCAGTCAATTAACTGTGCACAGTTACAAATTCTGTAACTCAGTCTCTAAGCCTTCTACATTGGCACAAGAGGAAGGCCATTGGTTAGAAGAGAAGTCAAGTGACTACTTGTGGATAGTTTAGCAAATATCTAACATACTGGAAAAAAATTCAAGATGCAAGGCTTGCTGTTGGATAACTTGGTGATCAAAAAAACTCTTTTCTTAGACTAAATATCTAATGACAATTGATTATTATAACCTATATTTAAGCTTAAAACTAGCAGTATCTGTAGGATGGTTCTCCTGAAAGAATTATACAGTTCAGGACATGTATGGACAAGGCTGCACCTTCAGAATTAAGTATTTTATTTCAGCAGAATCCAATATGAAAATTACCATTTCTTTCAAGAAAAGCATTGAAGACATTATTTGCATTTTAGATGTTTTCAAATGACATATTTTGAAGACTAGGTTGAAGCCATTGTTATAATAAACAGCTTCCAATGTTTCTCTTAAAAGAGTTATACTTTTTGTATACAATAGAGTACTACTAATATTTTTAATGTCTTAATAATGCACTAAATATAGTGTCTTTAAACTATCTTCATAAAAAATGACTATGTATCTTTAAATAAAGAAAAATCTTAATTTTTAGAACTATTTTTCATTTTTTTCAAAACTTAAAGTTTTGAATTAGTGAGTTTCAAGCACAACACAACTTGTCATTCCTCTAGATTTAGAATTCAGATTACTATTGGTGACTAGTAGTTAGAAGGGTCTTCTATTAAACAAATTGGATTGTTTTTATTTTTAAGAATTTTATAAATGTAGTCATTTTAGATGCTTTGAAAAATGAAGAAGCTTTCATCTCTCTTCTAATTTGTATAAAGGCTTTGTTTATATAACAAGTAGAAATTTAACATTTTTCTAGCATTTTAAAATAAATTTGAAAAACTACTTAGACAATATTATTTTTATCTTTTTAAGCTAAAAACTTAAAAACAAATTTTTATGGCAGAATGTGTATAGCTAGTGTAGCAATTTCAAAACTGGATATTTATTTTATTTTTGTTTCTTTTTTGTTAATAGTCTTTTTTAAGAAACATGAAACTCACAATTTAAGATTCATGCACATATGTGTGTACACATACACACACACACACACACACACACACGGATTCCCCAATTCAAATTTTTAACATAAGATTTGTGACACTGACAATTTTTGTCAGAACATATCAAAAGCTCTAAAATATCTCATCCCTTTGACCCTTGAATTCTATTCCCAGGAGTATAACCCAAGAAAACAAGAAAAATGGTTCTGTACAAATAATTTTAGCAGTGTTATGTATGATATTAAAAAGTGGCAGCAATCTCAATGTCCGATAATAAGGGGCATAATTGAGTAAATTATGGTTCAATAGTAGTAGTGTGGATTACATTGACAAAAAAAGATGAATATAAATTGCTAAGAAAAAATATGATAATCTGCTTATGAAGTAATATAAAATGAGAAAGTGTAGAATTAACATAATATAAATTATGCTTACATGTAAAAAAAGATTTCTTTTTTTTTTTTTTTGAGACGGAGTCTCGCTCTGTCGCCCAGGCTGGAGTGCAGTGGCGGGATCTCGGCTCACTGCAAGCTCCGCCTCCCGGGTTCACGCCATTCTCCTGCCTCAGCCTCCCAAGTAGCTGGGACTACAGGCGCCCGCCACCACGCCCGGCTAATTTTTTGTATTTTTAGTAGAGACGGGGTTTCACCGTTTTAGCCGGGATGGTCTCGATCTCCTGACCTCGTGATCCGCCCGCCTCGGCCTCCCAAAGTGCTGGGATTACAGGCGTGAGCCACCGCGCCCGGCCGTAAAAAAAGATTTCAAAGGAAAAAATTTACGTAGGCAATATGTAAAGGTGAAAGTATTATCATTTTCTTTTTAAAAATACTTTAAATTTGATGTGACAGTAAACATATTTGTAATATAGAGCTTTTAAAGAATGTCAACTGTATGATGAATATAAACAAGATTTCTCTTTTTTTTGAGATGGAGTCTCACTCACTGCGTCGCCCAGGCTGGGGAACAGTGGCGCGATCTCAGCTCACTGCAACCTCCTCCTCCCGGGTTCAAGTGATTCTCCTGCCTCAGCCTCCCAAGTAGCTGGGATTACAGGCATCTGCCATCACGCCCGGCTAATTTCTATATTTTTAGTAGAGGCGGGATTTCACCATGTTGGCCAAGCTGGTTTGAACTCCCGGCCTCAAGTGATCTGCCCACCTTGGCCTTCCAAAGTTCTGGGATTACAGGTGTTAGCCACCAAGCCCGGTCAGGCTTCATTTTAGTAGTAACAGTTTGATCATAACTTTCATCATATATATTATTTAATGTTAGTAAAATATTTATAATGAAAGAAGAAAAAATACGTAATTGTTATGATATGTCTAATCAGCAATCAAACAAAGCTTGCACTGCCTCTGGTGGGACAACAATATACAAAGGATAAAGGTGTGTGACTTCTATCCAGAAAACACAGGTGATTTTTTTTTTTCTCTTGGAAAGCCACCAGCCTGGTGCAGTTAGAAGCATTTCCTGAGAGTGTCTGAGAGAAGGCTTGGGTGGACATTGGAGGGTGGTGTTCTACCTGCGAATTTTGGCTCATTAGTAGGGCTTGATATCAATTTAGTGGATAGAGAACTACATATTGGTTTTTGTTTGTTTACTTTTGTATCATATATTTTGGAAACTTTTCCTTTTACATTTAAATGCTAATGAAATCACATTCCCTATTGACTTTCTTATATTTGTACTTTATCATAATACTTATAGGTAAGTATTGTTTCATGAAACTTGTCTCAGTTTTATCTGCAGGGAAGGTGCAAGGTGGAGAGGTAGAAGGACAGAGGAGAGGAAAGGAGAGCAAGAATATAAAATTTGTTACTTGGGGCTGGGCGCAGTGGCTCACACCTCTAATCCCAGCACTTTGGGAGGCCGAGGTGGGTGGATCACAAGGTCAGGAGATCAAGACCATCCTGGCTAACACGGTGAAACCCCATCTCTACTAAAAATACAAAAAATTAGCCGGGCGTGGTGGCGGGCGCCTGTAGTTCCAACTACTCAGGAGGCTGAGGCAGGAGAATGGCGTGAACCCACGAGGTGGAGCCTGCAGTGAGCCGAGAGCATGCCACTGCACTCCAGCCTGGGCGACAAAGCAAGACTCCATTTCAAAAAAAAAAATTTGTTACTTATGGTTTGGGTGAAAAAACTTTGAAAAGTAATACCTTACAGGGCAAAAATAATCTGTTGACAAGACAGGACTCAAAATGTTGACTTTCCACGTTTCTCAGATTCAAAACAGCCTCAGGCCCTTGTGACCTCATTCACCAGAAGTTCTTGGGCTGCTTTCAATTCCCAGAGACTTCATTATAGAATCCAGATATTCTGGTGTGTAAAAAAAAATTATTCTCTAAATTACTATAAATATATTAAAATATTATATTACACTTTAGGTTCTCAACTTTGTCCATTTACTATTTTTTAGTATATCTAAAACAGTATGCGAATAAACTGGTAAGACTTTCAGTTCACAGATTCGTTATAATATCTTATGTTTCTTTATTTCTTTCTGCTGTTGTATTGATTTATGACGTTATTTTCCATGGTCAATTACAAGAATTTGCATGGTAGTATAGAAAAAAAAATTTAAGAAATTAGGGCAACCAAGATGTCCTTCAGTAGGTGAATGGGTTAATGAACTGTGGCACATTCAGACAATGGAATATTATTCAGGGCAAAAAAAATAAGGTATCACATCGTGAAAAGACATGGAGGAACGTTCAATGCATATTACTAAGTGAAAGAAGCCAATCTGAAAAGGCTATATGCTGTATGATTCCAACTATATGACATTCTGGAAACAGCAAAACTATAGGGATAGTTAAAACATCAGTGGTTGCCAGGGGTTAGGGAGAAGGAGGGATGATGAGGCAGAACCCGGAGGATTTTTAGGGCAATGAAACTACTCCATGTGATACTATTATTATGTGAATATGTTATACATTTGTCAAAACCCATATAATGTACAACACCAAGATTGAACCCTAATGTAAACCATGGACTTTGGGTGATAATGATGGGTCAGTGTAGGTTCGTTGATTGTAACCAATGTTCCAGTTTGGTGGGGGATCTCAATAGTGGAGAAAGCTGTACCTTGTGTGGAGCCACCGGGTATATGGGAGCGCTATACTTTTGCTCAATTTTGCTGTGGACCTAAAAGTGCTCTTGAAAATGAAGTTTATTTTAAATAAAAGAAAGGAATTATGAATTAATATGAGAATTGCAAAAAGGATATAATTGTGGGGGAATTATAGAAATCAGCTACGTAATTCCATGGAGTAGCTCTGCTGAAAGTCTAACGATATGCTATGTCCAAAGGACTGAAGCAACTATCTGGGGTATGCTATGGGGGCCAACACAGAAGACATGGAAAAAAATCTTAAATTTTACCACATCCTGTTCTATCAATGACCTTTCCACCAACTGCTTATTTTGGTTTTACTCTGCTTCATCTCTATTGCTTCTGAACTTCCTTTTCATTTCATAACAGAAACTCTGAGCCTTTGCCGCCTCACTAAATTTCATTTTAAAACCTATTCTTTCTTAGAAATGATAATACAGAAACCACTTTTTACAAATACAACATTTAAAGAAAATCACAGTCACCTAAATAATCTGTTTCTGTATCAGAGAAGGCAGTGGACCTACAGACGGTCTGTTCAGTCAGCTGAGGATTTAGGACTGAGGAACTGTTAATTCCCACAGCAGCTCTACTGACTATTCGATAGTCCCAGGACCTGAAGTCTTTCAGAGTCTGCTTCATGCACTATAAATATATAAAATGAGAAAATAAAATTAATTATTGTGTTTTAAGAATATTTATAGCACTGTAAGTTTAGGCTATTATATTAATTATCTATCTCTGGGTAACAAGATACCATAAACTTGCTGCCTCAGAGGCACATAAATTTATTATCTCACAGATTCTCGAGGTCAGGACTGTAGGCAAGACTTACTTGGATTATCTGCTCAGGGTCTCACTTGGTTGAAATCAAGGTGTTGGCCACTAACAAACTGAGGTACCAGAGAAATTGTTTTTCCAAGTGTTTATTACAGTAATCCCCTAGGCTTCTCAATAAGTTTCAGTGTCTTCCCTGGATAGTGACATTGCAGAGAGCTACTGTCATTTTTTCAACTATCTTCAGTTCAAAAATATTTACTAAGTACTTCTTATTTGCCAGTTTAAAGCATTGGAAGTAAGAGACAAATCAGAGGACCTGTTCTCAGGGAACATATGATCTACTAGCAAAGCAAACTGGGGGAATGATGTGAAGGGAGACCAAGTCTGAGTCATTTTGAGAAGAGAACGGAAACTCAGAGTGGCTGTCCGGTTCAGTTTGTCTTGAGAGAAACATCCCTGCTAGTGAGTAACTAAAATTCTCTGCAGATGTTACATTTGCCATGAGTACCTGTTACATTTGGAGACTGAAGCAGTCTGCAGAGGTTATCCAAATTGAAAGCTAAAATGAGATTCTCAAAGAAAGATTAAGTCCAAATAGCAATTTTATGGCAGGGTTTGTGGAGGATCTGGGGAGAGATCACAGGCAATGGATATAGTTGAGCAATATAGTTGTATTCACCCAGCCCATAAGGGAGATGAAATTCTGACAAGGGTATCATAGGGTGAATGAAGACTTCTCCAAGCAGAGTTATGCAGATGGATGAAAAGATTCTAGGAAGTTGGATTGTGTGCTGAAAGTGTCAGCAAGCTGCTGGTGCCATTTTGTGCCCTGAACCCTATAGGTAGATCCCTAAGGATTTCAGCTGCTAAGCCCTTAAGTCCTGTTAGCCCTTGTCTCCTTCTCCAGTCTCCTTTACCTGCCCTCTAATTACGACTTTATTGATGCTGATTGAGCATCTTTTGGGAGGGAGACCTAGGAATTGTTCTGAGTTGTTCACTGTGTTTGCAGTGTAATGACCCTTGGTGCCAAAGTAACACCATTAGAGGGCTCTTTCCTGGTGAAAAACTTAAAAGTGTCAGGATGACATTGGTCACCTATAAATTAGGGAAGAGAGTGCAGATGAGAATTCAGGTGAAGTCAATGATGTCTTGCCCTTTTCCTGAGGGCGAAATACAGGAGTTGGGATGTTTAGAAAAGCTGAATAGGCAACGAGTTGAACTTTGATTGGCATGAGCTTGAATGTCAGATTGCCCAGTGAAAATGTTCTGAAAAGAAGCTCCATGGTTAAGGTGTCAAAGTGTCACATCAGTGAATACAATGTTTCCTTTTCTGTGGCTTTTCTAATAATAATGAATAGCCAGGAAGATTTTGTGGTTTACTTGCAGAGATGGCACCCCATGACTTTCTGTCACCTTTGGGAGCCAGCCTGTAAGAGAGTCCCAAAGGTGAAGAGACTTTCTCTCACCTGGGAGAGTAGGGGTCCCAATGTCTCGTAGGGCAGTGTTTCTCAAACTTACATGAGCATATGAATCACCTGGGACTCTTACTAAGATGCAGGGTCTGATGTAGTAGGTTAGAGAGTTGGAGGAGGTGAAAAGAAAAATTTGCATTTCAAACAAGTTTCCAAGTTATTCAGGTGCTTCTGGTCCATAATCTTCATTTTAAGTAACAAAACTTTGGAGCATTAGAATAGGAAAGACATACCTTAGATGATGTTATTGTGGCCTTGATATACTATAAAGCCACAAAATGAGAGGAAACATAGCTTACCCCATTAGCTGATGTATGAATTAAGAAAAGAACGATTCAGGATCACTTACAGATCTATGAGAAAAAAACAAAACCCAGGCAAACAAATATGCTTCCTGGTGGTAGTTTCTGTCTTTTCTTAAGAATATGTTATAAAAGAACAGGAAACCTGGCAGTTGCTAGAAAAGCAGACAAACCTAACTCCATTGTCCCCTAAGTCTGAAGGACATAATCTTCTGTTTTAAGTTTTAGGGGTCACTTAATACCAGATGGTTAAGTAACTTGGTCATGCTACTACCAACAACCTATCCGCTTCATGCTCTGCCATTGAGCCTATATCTCCCACTGGCTGTCAACTGCCTTCATACAGTAATACTGGAAGCAACTGAAGGTTTATTCGCTTGGGGATGAATTCTATACTTAGTTATCAAGTATTCTAGAGTGACTTGTGGTCGGGGGAAGGGTTAAGAATCTCTCTAGGAGTGGACTCACAGTGGAGCCCTGGTTAGAAGATAGCTTCAGTATTCTTTATTGTAAATAGGTCATTTGAATTTTTAATGCCATGCAATTCAAGGATCGCCACATAATTTGTATTTCTCTTAAACTTAATGCAGTGAAACTTTCCTTGTGTAATAGATGCTTTTGTAATGCAATCTTGGAAATAGTTTTCAAAGTTCATAAGGGTTGCAAAAGTTCTACTTGATCTGCTCACATATACAATTGTTCCTTTCCCTGCTCCTCTTTCTACTGCTATTTATATCAGCTGTCCTCCAGGAGATCAGTTTTCTTCTCAGCATCTGATATAAATAACCACAGTTCTCTAAGCATGGTCTGTTCAAAATTTCCAGGTAGTTCATGGACTGATATCTGGTTAACTGTTTTCATGATGTGGCAGTGACATGCATTTGTTACTAATATCTATTAATACTCTTTATATAAAATGCAATAACGGTTGCACCTGACCTCAATGATATATTTATTAAAAACCCTGCTATTTTTAATGGACAGGTAAGATGAGTTTGGATACTGCAGGGTCGTTCAGAAACAAGCAGCAGTGATATTCCTTTAGGCCATGCCCTTGAGTTGAAATTTTCCCTGAGAGTCAACTCCAAATGCAGAAATGAACATAATGTACCCAATAGAATGCAGCTGTCTGATTTGCCCCAAGCCTATTCAATATCTTTCAGACTGAAGGAGTGTGGGCTTCCGCTTATTTTCATGTTCCTTATACTGTAACTAAAAGAAACCGGAAATATTCTTGCTTCTTTGAAAATATTACAGATAATAAAAACTGGAATACAAAACTCTCTTTTTAGGGGTGAATATTGTTTTTAGTTTAAAATTGTCCATGTGAAAGGCTAGTCAGTCTAGCTTCTGCAAAAAATTCTTCAAAAACCTTTGATCATTTTAACCATTTTAGGTGTATTTTGAGCTAAAATGCACTCTTGACTTCAGGTAATGTAGCAGCAGCCATTAAATACTTAGAAGATTTAAAGGTCAAACTATGGAACAGAAGTAGAAGTTTTAACTATATAAATAACAGCATTAATAAATAGGCTTTAGTTTTTCTTCACTGGTGCTGAATCAAAATATTATTAAATATAATTAATGAAATATTTTATAATATACATTATGTATTTTAAATATTTTTCATTTTAGTCATCAAAACAATTTAATGATTTTAATAGAATTTTAATAGATTTAAGCTAACATTACCAAGCAACTTCGTAATTTAAATTTCAAAATGAATTTGTAGTAAACACAAACCCATTTTATTTTTATTTTATATTATACAATATAATGGATGACAACAGAATGTAATGACAATTTTTCAAATCCAATTTATTAATGTCCCTAGTAGTGACCATACCAAGATTATGCTGCAGTAAACCCTTTTAAAATCTAAATCCTCTCCTTACTATTAGGTCCATGCTTATATTCACTTTGTATCTATTACAAACAACTTATAAGGAAAGAATGCTGGAACTGGATTCAACCTCTGGTTTGTATTCTTACCAGGTCTGCTGACACTGAGTCTCAGCTTTCTCTTTGACGAACTGCGGACTCTAATCTGTACCTTGCCTGTTTTTTGGAGTAGTATTAACTGAGGTGAAAATAAAGTATTAGATGTGACATGAATTTTTTTATTGTATCTTTCATGGTAGACTGAGTAGGTTTTGCTGCAGTAACATAAGAAAAACAAAGCCCCAACTCTCAGTGAATATAATCTTAGCCCATAGGCAGAAGTTCATTTCTCCCTCATGCTTCATGTCTACAGGAGCTCAGCTTATGATCCCTTTGAGACCCAGCCTAACGGAAACCCCATGTTAGCATGTGTTTTCATAATCACCAGGTCAGGGAAAAGATACTGGTAAATCATGCACTGGCACTTAAAACATTCTTCCAGAAATGATACCTCTGCTCACACTCTGTTGGCCAAAGTAAGTCACATGGCCACACAGGTAAGCTCAGAGTAGGTGGGGAAGTGCATTTCTATCGTGAGCCTAGAGGGAGAGGGGAACAGGCATATCTACGATGAGATCTAATGACTATCACAGGTATTTAAATTTAAAACTGCAATCTATTTATCCTGTGGTGAATTTAGTGGAGAAATTATTTTTGCCTTGCAATGGTAAGGAGGACTGTTATGTAACTTTCTACTATGAATTATAGATGTGTACTGCCATCTACTTCTCATCTATTGAGAAGGGGAGATGTTCTGATCTGAAATAAATAAACATCAGAATACTTTTTTCACAATATATGTACTATGATGTTTCTATCAGTAGGAATAGACAGCTATACAAAAGTGAAATAGAAAAAGTGGTAAGAGGGCCAGGCACGGTGGCTCATGCCTGTAATCCCAGTACTTTGGGAGGCCAAGGTGGGCGGATCACCTGAGGTCAGGAGTTCGAGACCAGCCTGGCCGACATGGTGAAACCTTGTCTCTACTAAAAATACAAAAATTAACTGGGTGTGGTGGTGGGAGCCTGTAGTCCCAGCTGCTTGGGAGGCTGAGGCAGGAGAATCACTTGAACCCGGGAGGCAGAGGTTGCAGTGAGCCAAGATCGTTCCACTGCACTCCAGACTGGTGACAGAGCGAGACTCCGTCTAAAAAAAAAAAGAAAAAGAAAAAGAAAAAATGGTAAGAAAGGCAACAGAGGTACAACAGATTTGCTGAGAAATCCTATAGTTAGAATGGGGAAGGTTTTTTGGGAAACATGAGTTAAGGACTGGATATTGAAGCCTGGAATGGATATGGATTTATGGACAGGGAAGGATGATCTATAATACAGAGAAGTATAATTCAACACAGAAATTCTGATTTCTAGGCTATTACTGGAATACACTATTTCAAGGCTATTAATGACTACATTTATGTTATTTTTCCTAAAATATCAGGACCTTTTAATCTAATGACTCAGCTCTTCTGTGTCTCTGTTTTTCTTGCACTTTGTCTTATTGCTTTGCCATTTAAAAATCCAGCCATGAAAGGAATTTTGGAAATTGTGTTCTTTTCCATGTATGTAATTGCTCCTTAAAACTGAAAAGATCAATTAGGAAATTATTGGCTCCTTCGTACTTCTTTTACCACCTCTATTTATTAATTGATTGAATTGGGTTCGCCAGGTTTAGCTCTTTAATATCAGATCAATAAAAGATTAAATGTTTAAATTAAGTGAGCACACATGTAACTTTCACACTCCTTGCAATTTCTAGGAGCCACATCCAATCATTCAGGATTGTCAGTAACGGCAGCAATCAAGGCTAGAATCAGAGTACTTGCAACTTTTCATTCTTTTTCCTAAACTTCAGCCTACATTTATGGGAATAATAATGCAGCCATACTTTCCTCAAACTCAGTTTATATTTTTGTTTGAAATTAAAGCAGCTTTTTGAGACAAGAATTAAGATTGTTGCCCTGATGCTAGTCATAGTGAATTTCTAACCCTTCTAACCCTTCTTAAAAGGAGATGGTCGTATTTGTTTCCTTTGGATGCCGTATCAAATTACCACAAGCTGAGTGGTTCAAAAGAACAGAAATGTACTCTCTCACAGTACTTGATGCCAGAAGTTTGAAGTCAAGGTGTGTCTGAAGGTCATATTCTTTCTGAAGGCTCCAGGGAAGAAGCCTTCCTTGCCTCTTCCTAACATCTAGTGGTTCCTAGCAATCCTTGACCTGTGTTGGCGTGTAGCCGCCTCACTCCGGTCTCTGCCTCTGTCATCACATGGCTTTTTGCCCTCTGTCTCCCCTGTATCTCTAACTCCAAATTTCTCTCTCCTTATAAGGACATCAGTGGTTGAAATTAGGGTCCACTGTAATCCAGTGTGATCACATCTTAATTATATCCGCAAAGACTCTATTTGCAAAAAAAAAAAAAAAAAAAAAAAAAAAAAAAAAAAAAAAAGGGTCACATTCACAAATACCAGAGTTTAGGACTTCAACATTTCTTTATAGGAGACACAAATCAACTCACAACAATGGCATTATTGAAACTTTTTTGTAATTTTTTAGCATTCTATTCTGTGGGATACTTCCCCTCCCAGCCCAGAAATTTATGCCAGTTACTAATTTCATCAAGATTATTCCCCTTGCTACCGATTGCCACCTTATTTAAAAGTCTGCATTATTGTTGACCTGCCCCAAGACCTGGTTTCTTGATACCCAGTCTTCTCTTTCTCATGATTTTCTCCGTGCAACTTGTTAAACTTTTACTTTCTTTCAGAAAGCACTGGGAGGCAGTTCAGATGTACCAGGGTAGACAGGCTAGTGATCAAGGGTGAGTCAGGGATTTGCTGACAGGTACTAATGGGAGTAGTCATTGAACTAAACCTGAAGCAACAGTGAAACAAAACAAGGTTTGCATCACTTCTAAAGAAGATACTTAGAATTGTTTTCTTCCTCTTGCTTCAACAACTACATTGGATATATTTAGCTGAATGCTTTATTTTGACTCTAAGCAAAATCTCATAGCAACATCTTTTCTTTCAAAGTACCATTAATGTAATTTTGAGTACAGGAATAAGGAAAAAAGTTAGAAAATTTCATTGAGGATAATAAATTGAGACCAAACACTACCAGATAATACATCAAGAACATTAACATTAACAACATCCTTTTATGTTATGCTACATTCTTGTGTTAAACTAATGTATACCATACATTATAGATACTAATGTAGTAGTTGCGGAAAATAATGACGCTCTTTGATTCTATCTAGCAGAACTGCAAACTCTTAATTATAATAACAAAAGATTATGTGTTACACTCTAAGTCTTGCCTAGAATGATACAAGATATGGATTTTGAGTTATTTTAAGGATTATAATCCTTATATTTATGTTCTAGTTCAGGGGTTGATGATAACCTAAGGTCCAGAATTTGGATAGGAAAAAAAATGTATTTGTTTTTCCTAACTCTAACTGATATTTGATATCTCCTTCAATTATTAATGTAAGCCACAAACCTCAGGGGTTATGGCATCAATAGAAATCCTAGATTAATTTTAAATTATATCACAGGTATTGAATATATCTCAAATATAATTTATACTTAGCACTTCTTCAGAATTATGTTAGCTACTTAGACCTGCTGTGATACCTTATTTAATGCATTAATAAAGAATTCTTTTAATATTTTGATAACTATTTCTATATACTCATTTTTCCTTGGAATATTTTTATTTTATGCATTTTAAAACAATTCTGTTGAAAATAGTTCCTCGGGCTTCATGGGACTGCCAAAGTGGCCCATGACACAAAATCGGATAAAAATTTCTCTGCTAGTTTTAGTACCTTCTGTTTCATGATGGCAAATTAAAAGGCAGGTTCAAATGTCAGCATTATATACTACAATTTTCTTTCTTTCTCAGTCAGACAATTCATTAATCATCTGATATTTTTTATAATACTATACCTAACATGGGGATAAATGACTGAAAAAACAGGGTTGTAAAAATAGAAGCATAGCATACATTCCTGTCCTCAATGATATTCAGTCTAGTTAGTTACATAGCATATGAATTGCCATTGTCCATATCATATCTTAAAATAATTCTTATACTGTATTTTTATAATGCTTAAAAAATGTACTCAAAATGCTGTCCTCTGTAAGAACTCATTGAACACCTTCAACAGGGTTGTTAAATTGGTAAAGCAAGATCCTACTAGGTTTATAAATAAAGAAAAGGCTTTCCCTTAAGTAGTGAGAGATGAAGCAAGAAAACACTCAGCTCTCCCAAACTGTAGTTCAGTGGGACTTTCATTTCACATCATTTCCTTAGAAAAATCCTACGTCAGAAAATCTTCAGTCTTTTTCGTTGTATAATCTATACATCTCCGAAAAGTGTAAGATGGCTTGTTAAGAATAAAGTGTGGTTTGGTTGTGTAAGACCAACCAGAAAGGGGAAAGGGAAGAGGAATGATGTTGAGATTGGGAGAGTAGTTGCTGTCTGTGATCTTTTATACAGTTGATGTGTGATAGTTGTTTGTTTGTTTGTTTGTTTTTTTAATTCCAACCTGTTCTTAAATGCAAATACAAAAACTAGAGAAAGAGATGGAATCAAGCTAAGGTTAAACTCAAAAGTGACTTCAGTATCAACTTGTTGGTTGTATGTAGCCTTTCTGTCACAGAACTGTGCCCTGGGTTCTTTTTACTCAAAAAGTATTCCATAAAACAACCGCCTATTGGTGCATTACTTCACAGCCTGTTATGAATGAGAATCTTGAGTCCCACCCCAGACTTAATGAATCAGAATCTGCATGTTAACAAAATTCTCAAGTGATTTGAATATACAGCAAAATTTGAGAACCACAGATGACTTTCAATTCACCCATAATAACTGAGAAAAGACTGTAAATTCCTACACCTTGTTCTTCCATAATTTAAGGAGTTTCTTGCTTTGTTTCTACCTTCATTAAGGGATATGAGGCCCATGCTAAGAAAAATGCGTTTAATAACTACTTTGAGTGAAAAATCTCACTAAATCAGGCAGTTGTTCCTAAAGAGAATTTAAACAGATTTTCATCATAGACAGCATGGTATCTGAGACAAACCTGCCCCTGTTGGTGCTGTACCAGGCAAACTCAGTGAATGTAAGTGGGAAATGTTTTGGGAGAACAAGAAAGCCCAAGTATTGCATTTAGGCAAATCATAAGTGCATAGTGTGCCAGAGAAAACAAATGTTTTTCCTGCACTGGCTCTGACACGTTCACACATGAATGTGTTTCATTCAGAAAAAGTAAAGGCTCTAGAATGGCACAGTCTGGTTTTATGAGAAACAGATGTGCCATGGTTCACCCACTCCCTGACCACCTGTGGTTTGCCCATGACTCAACTTTCTTGAATGAGGGGAGTTAACTCTTGGATTCTGAACAAACTCTAAATTACATATTTATTTTCTTCCTCCTCATACTTCTTTTCACCACTCATTGCCATGATAGAACCTTACAATTCTGAGAAGTTTGAATTCTCAACACCCCAAAACATTTTCATTTAAAGTTGAATCCTTGCTAAAGGTGAATCCTTGCTCTGATATTTAGATTGAGATTCTGTTAAAAGTTCAAATAGAATACCAATTTATCCAGCTAGTTAGAGTGATTTTTGGTTTATATTTTAAAGCCACCTGGTTATGAGGTATCTTTACTTACTGCCTATTTTGTTGGTTGAGGATAGGAATTATTACCAGTCAGAAATATGCTTTTGATGTCATTGGTTAGTCACTTAATTTTCAGCTACCTCTGTTTATTGGAATAATGTGGAAAAATTAAAAAAAAATTTCTCAGACTTTAATTCAGGTAATACCTGCTGTTAAATGTTACTGTGAACTACTTCCTCCAACTGCTCACAAGTAGCCAAAGGGAAGGATTTGAACTTCATTACATTTTATCTCTCCTGCCATGCTCTGCCTTCCACTCTACAGAAAAGGGACAGGGAAATAGTCCAATCATAGGTAGGTGGATGGAAAAATACAAGGCACAAATAGCCCACATAGGGAATAATCATACCTTAAATAGTCACTGACAACATTTAAAAAAATATATTTTTATTTCCATTTATGTAATCAACTTAGGGTTGTTATTGACCTGCCACTGAGGCATTTGGTTTTTCTTTTCATAGGACCTTTTTCATTTATTTCTTCAGAAGCATTATCTAATTAAAAACAAACATTTAAATTAACATGGCCTGTCAAGGAAGTACAAACCAGTCTTGAGTTAAGCTATAATTACAATGACAACAATGTCAAAAAGAAAAAGCAAAAACCTTTTTTAAAACCTGTAATTACTTCATTGTTTATAATTTTTAATTGGAATGCAAGTAACAGGGAATTCAAATTTCATAAAACCGTGGTCTGTATATCTTGTTATCAAAATGCTATCCAAATAACACATGGCAAAATGTAATTTTTTTATGTAAATGGGGAGACTTATGAGACAAAGAAGCAAATAATCTGGCCACAATGTGAGTCTTTGGCAAACCTTGGAAAGGAACTCCCAAGTGCATTTCCTAAAAGAGTACTTTGTGTGTTCAAATGTACTAACTCTATCCAGAGTGAAAGAATGCCTAGGAATGAATAATCTGCACAATCTGATAGAATTAAGTGTTAATTATTTAGAAGTAAAATTTACTAGAAATCAATTTCAGTATCATTTTCAGATTTGGTTTTCAGAAAAGGAAATACCCTGTTTTAATAGGTTTGGAAATGCAGGACTACTTAAAGTTTACTTGGGTAAGATAACCCTTAATAAATTATCAAGGTACTTTTGGATTTATTAATTTTATAAACAATAAAACTAGCTGTTGCTAGATGTCGGTTATAGACTGAGCTGTAGAAAATTAATGATCTTTTAAAAAGACAGTTGATTTTTCACATGGCCACTGTATGATGCTTTTTAAGTTCACTTGATTAAAAAGGTGACAATACTAACATTTCAAAATTTAAGTCATTCTATATGATCAAATATGGTTCTATTTGATACATTAAAATATCTTAATTTGAAGTTAAAAATGCTTTGAATAATTAAATAGATATATAATAAAAATGTTGAATTCATGTGTCATGCATACTGATTTTGTACCTCATAAGCAAAGCTACAATGGTACTAACAGGGTGTAATTTGTTCAAAATAAATTTTTATACCAGATGATAGTGACCTTAAAAAGGATTTTTATTGCTCAAGCCTTCCACTTCCATTCCTTTGACATACTTAATGAGTTTCATCAATTTATGTCATTAAAAAAGATACATCTTCTGAATATGCCAGTTGACCAAATCTATTATTTTGGATGTTTGCTCAGATAGAGCTGGTACTGGGATGAAAAAAAAATGGCTAAGATATGGTTCCTACCATTAAGAAGCCTATGATTTGGCTAAAGAGAAAAATCTATCCAAAACTAGGTTTAATACAAGAAGGGTTATCCAGAGTGCTGGTAGGGAGGGAGACACATAGGAGAGTAAGAAGTAGCATTTGAATTGGATTTTAGGGGATAGGCAATTTTTTTATTGAAATACTGAAAGGCAATTTCAGGAAAAGGGTACAGTGTGAGCCAAGGCATGGACTCAAGAAAGTACAGGATGAATTTAGGTAATGAATCATCTGTGTGATTTGGACTCAAAATGAAAAAAAAAAAATATAAGAAAATAAGAGATGAAAACATAAGTCGAAGCCAGATTTGAGAAAGCTTAAATGATGTACTACAGCACTGAGATGAGTCTTTAGATCACGAGGGACCAAGAAAAAAACATAATTTTTTGTCATTAGGTAAAACTCATGTTCATTATTAAAAAGGAGAAATGTAAAGTAAATATACACATTTACAATACAAAAATCATCAAATACTTTGAACCACTTGAAACTGCCATTTTCAAAAGTCAACAGCAGTCAAATATCATCACTTTAATATAGCTCATCTTAATAATTGATTCTGGAATCAGAAATGTGCATTTTACCATTGACTTTTTTTATGAAAATAAATTATTAAAAAGCAGCATAATTAGGATTAATATAGGCATCACTCTTATTTAGTACAAAAAGCAATGTATCAATTCTATAATTTTGACCACCTACTGTGTTCTGAGCATACTGTAAGGCGCATTACCTACCTTTATTCATTCATTATTACTCGAATCACTTTAATGATAAATGATGGTCAGAAAATATTTATATAGATTTTCCCAAATCATCTGTAAGTAAGTGATTTTTAAAGATAGGAAAGTGATGCTCAAGATATTTATATAAATTTCACCAAGTAGTTAGCAAGTAAATGGTGGTGATAGGATTCAAATGTACATCTTTTGCCTTTTGTTTGTTTGGGGTTTGGATTTGGTTTTTGCTATACTACCATACATTGCTTCACGTTGGGGGTAAGCTATCTCCATAGCATGACCCAGCAATCCCCCAGTGAAAAGTCAAACATTTGTTGAGCATCTGTCTTGAAGGAGACCCCAAATCAGGTGCTGGGTGTAAGGGCGGACAGCATGAAAGACGTTGTCCTTTTTCATATGGAGCTTATATTTGAGTTGGGAGACAGGTGCAAAACGTTAGTTACAAACTAATTTCTTCACTAAAGTCATGCTATGTGCAAGGAGATAAAGTACAGATGAGTTGATGTTGTATAAGAGGAGGAAGTTAATCTCCAAAGCAGGAAAAACAACCTCAGACATTTAAGCTAATACCTGAAGGTAAGTAGAAATTAATGAGTTAATGGAAATGAGAGAAGTTTAGGCAAAGAAAACAGCCTAGGTACAGATTTCTGCTTTCTTTAGGTAACAACTATATCTCAAGGTAAACAAGCTTGGAATGAAAAGCAGGGTCCTAAAGAACATAGTTTCACTCTGGCTCTGCCCCACCCATTGATATGAGCAATCAATCATCTTCAATTATTTCTGTGAGTCTCCAAGTTGTATTCATACATGTTCACAACCACAGTCCATTAAACAATTTGGATCTTCACAGTCTCCTGAATTGCCTAAATTCCAAAGTGTGTACAGTTTAGGCTAACAAACGAGAACAGCCAATCCATGTAAAATAGGGGACTAGACTAAGTTATTTTGAAGCTGTATTTCTGTCCTAATAACCTATCATATTGTGTTTCTGATTTTCTACAAGTATTAATACTATAAAATTAAATGTTTGGTTTTATTAGAAACAGGGCATAGTGGATATGTACAGTAACAAAGGACAGGAAGTGAAGAATGAATTGATCGAGGTTCTTCTAGATAGACTCTAAAAGAATACTTCCAAGAGACAGGAAATATTGTATACCCATTGTCAATGTTTGAATATTATTAATGAATTAATAATTAAAATGTAAGGCAAGTTTTTACTTGCTAAGAAGACCTGTGCATTCATGTAACAAACACCATGATGAAGCTATAGAATGCTTCCATAACCCCCAAAATTTCTCCATTTCTCTTCCCTTGGTACTAGTTTCTGACAGTCACTGATCTGATTTCTGGCTCTATAGTTTGGCCTTTTCCAGAATGTCACATAACAGGAATCATACAGTATGTAGCTTTTTATGATTGGCTTTTTTTCACTTGGCATAATGCTTTTAAGATGAATCCATTTTGTTATGTGTATCATTCCCTTATTTCTTATATTTTTGAGTTGGATCCCATTTTACAGGTATACCATAAAAGGATAATTTGTTTATTCTTTCATTAATTGTTGGATATTTGGTTTGGTGATTATGAATGAAATTTCTATAAACAGTCTCAGATAGGTCTTTGTGTAGGGACTTTACTTGGATAAATATATAGGAGAAGGAGTCCTTGATTGTATAGTAAGTGTATATTCAACTTTATAAGAAAATGCCAAATGTTTTCCAAAGTTGCTGTACCATTTTACATTCTCTTCAGTAATGCGTGAGTTTCAGTTCAACATCTAAACCAACACTTGCTGGTGATTGTTTATAAATTTTAGCCATTCTACTTGGCATCTAATAGTATCTTATAGTTTTAATCTAATTTGCATTTTTGTAATAATGATGGTGAACATCTTTTCACATGATGTTTGCCACTCATAGCTCAAGTGATGCACCTTTTAAAATATTTTGACCAATTCTAAAAGAAAAATGGGTTGTTTGCTTTTCATTATTGAATTGTAAGAGCTCTTTATGAATTCAGGATGGAAGTTATATTTAATGAGATGGGTGTTTTACATATATTTTCTCTAAGTCTATGACTTGCCTTTTAATTTTGTTAGTATGTAGTACTTTTTAAACTTGTGTAGATTCTTTGAGATTTTCTACATAGACAATCATGTGGTCTCCAAATAAAAGACAGTCTTATTTATTCCTTTCTAATATGTATAATTTTGATTTCTTTTTTGTACTTTATTATGTTGGTTAGAACCTTCATTATGATGTTAAATAGGAATAATGAGAGCATTCTTGCCATATTCCTGGTCTTAGGTAAAAACACTCATTCTTTCACCATTAAGTGTGATGTTACTTATAGGTTAACTTAAGGTGCCTTTTTTCAGGTTGAGGAAGTTCCTTTCTATTCCAAGTTTGCTGAGGGTTTTTATCATTAATGGATGCTAAATTTTGTCAAATGCTATTTTTATATCTATTGACATGTTGATTTTTATTTGTGTAATAGTTGTTGTTAATATGCTGAATATTGACCCAAACTTGCATTTCTGGGATAAGCTCACTTGGTCATGATGTATCATCTTTTTTGTGTTTCATTAGATTTGATTTACTAAAGTTTTGTTGTGGTTTGAGAGCATATTTTATATCAGCGCTTCTCAACTAGGGACAGTTTTGCTCCCCAAACGACATTGGGAAGTGTCTGGAGAAATATTTAGTTGCCACATTTGAGGGAAGAGAGAGGATTTTCTACGGGCATCTAGCAGACAGGGACCAAGGATGCTGCCAAATATCCTAAATTGCATAGGAAAGCACCACACAACAAAGAATTATCAGGCCCCAATGTTGATAGTGCAAGTTCAAGAAATGTTGCTGTATGGGATCTCAAAAATTTTAAATTTGTTCAGATTTATTATTTTATGACCCAGAATATGACTATCTCGGTGAATGTTCAATGTACACATGAAAACAATGTTTATCCTTTTAATATAGGGAAGAATGTTGTATAAATGTCAATTAGGTCAAGTTGGTTGACAGTGTTGTTCAAATTTTGTATATCTTTACTGAATTTTATACCTACTTATTCTATAGATTACTGGAAGAAAAGTGTTGAAATGTCCAACTATAATTGTGAGTTTGTCACTTTTTTTTTAGTTCTCTCAGTTTTTTACTTTTTATTACATTTTATTTTATTCATGTCTGTTAGTTTTTTGCTTCTTGTATTATGAAGTTCTGTTGTTAAATATATTCAGGTTTTTACATATTATTAAAGAATTGACCTCTTTATTATTATGTAATGTCTCTCTATTCCTGGTAATATTTCTTGTTCTGAAGTCTACTTTTTCTGATAGTAATACAGTCACTCCAGCTTTCTTTTGATTAGCATTTGTGTGGTATATTTTTTCATCCTTTAATTTTTAACCTATGCCTTTATATTTAAAGTGTGTTTATTTATAACACATATAAAGTGCATTTATTTATAGAGTTGGGACTTCCTTTAATTTAATTTGACAATTTCTGTCTATTGATATTTTAGAGCATTTACATTTAATGTGATTATCAATATGGTAAACTTAAGTTTACCATATTGCTAGTTGTTTACTATTGATGTAATATGTTCTTTGTTCCTTTTCCTTCTTTTCCTACCTGTGGATTAACTAAATATTTTTATGATTCCATTTTTATCTACATTACTGATCTATAAGTTGTTCCTCTTTTCAAATATTTTTAGTAGTTGTGCTGGTATTTACAGTAAATATCTTTAAGCTATCACAGTCTATCTTCAAGTAATTTATATCATTTCACCTGTAGTATCAGGACCTCACAGCACATATTCCATTTACTCCTTTCCATTCTTTGTGTTATTGTCATACATTTTACTTCTACTTATAAGCCTCACAATACATTGTAACTATGCTTGATTTAGACGGTCAATTATCTTTAAAGGTGATTAAAAATAATTTTTAAAAATATCCTTTATATGTACCTTTATTTCTATCATTTTCAGTGCTATTTATTTCTTTACATAGCCCACAATTTCCATCTGGTACCATATGCATTCTGTCTTAAGGACTTCCTTTAACTTTTCTTATAGCATAGGTCTGCTGGCTTCATGCCTGTCCTCCAGCAGCAGGCAGTCACCTCCTGCATGCCTCTGCCACAGCAGGGACCTCTCTCTCGTTTCCTGCTCCCAGTCTTTCTCATAAGCACCTCACGCAGGCCTGTGGAAAAGTTTATAAATAAGTGTGGGCTTCCCTGTGGGTGGAGTTCCTAGATATTTCAAACTAATAATAGTTCATACTTGTCTTTTAGAAATTTGTGAAACTTTTAGCTAATTTTTTCCTACTCACATTTGTAGGGAGGCCACCTATTTTTCCCATGCTTTGCCAAAGATTAAATACTTTGTATGTCCCTCTTGAGGGGCATATCACTCTTTGAACTTAATTTACTTGGCTGCCTTGAACCTCAGCTCTCTAATGGGCTCAAGGAAAGTAGTAATTTTGTACATCTTCTGGCTTTTGGTCATTGTTAGCAGGAACAACGTTCTCTTGTATCTCTCTACAACATTTACCAAAGTGGAACTCCTCTTTTCAGCATCTTAAACAAATTTTGGATTTGAAATGGCTCAAAGCATTTGGGAACTCTATTTTACATACATTTTAAAATGAAGCTTCTATAGTTCTGTGGTATCTTATATGATCTTAATTGTTAATTAGTTGGAAGGATATGTGTCATCTATTAGTAAGTTGTAGAGTTTTTGTTTTTAGACATTATTTGTCATAACCCCAAAGGGTCTATTTCTACATAAGTATTGAAATCATTTTTCAAAAAGCAGCAACAGAAAAAGCTGCTATAAATTTCATGGCTAAAGATTGGGAGATATTTGGGGGTGATGGTATCTGCTGATATTAACCTTGTGATCAGCCTAAATTTCTATTTATTACATTTTTACTTGTTTTTATTCCTATAAATATTATATATAAGATTAATAGTCAACTTATGGAACATTTGTCACTGGAACATATTTGTCATTCCCTATTTATATATATACAAATGAAATACACATACTTGATCGAAGTAAATGCATTAAAAACAATCATCTTTAATTCCTTTGAATCTGTACTACATACAAACGACATAGTTTTAGGATTCTCTACAAATTCTTAAGTATAATTAAATCAGAATTAAGGTGATCATCTACATATTGAAAGCTGCCTTCCAAATGAATGAAATGTAATATAACATTTCAAATATAAAAGGAAATGTTGATGCCCACGAAATAATTTCATCTTCATTTATCTAGGATCAAATATTGTGAAGAAATTTAACATTATCTATGGATTAATATAAAGACAAATGCGATGGGCTGTAATTGAGCATTCAAATTAAGTTTTTCATATAGTGTGCTCATATGTTAGACCTTTAAGAAATGTGAATCAGATCTAATCATAGCAGCAGTGAGTGATAATGCAGTTTGCCAGCTAAGGCAAGGCACCCCAGGAAAATGCTATTCATATAACATTGCCTAATCAGTGTATATCTAAGGCATCTTTAAAGGAAAATGTATACAGATGCTCCTCCATTTATGATGGGGTTATGTCCAGATAAAGTCATTGTAAGTTGAAAATATCATTAATCAAAAATGAATTTAAAACGCTTAACTTCCCAAACATCATAGCTTAGCCTAGCCTACCTTAAAAGTGCTCAGACACTTAACATTAACCTACAGTTGGGCAAAATTATCTAACACAAAGCCTATTTTACAATAAAATGTTAAATATCTCATGGAATTTATTGAATGCCGTACTGAAAGTGAAAAGCAGAATGGCCGTATGGGTACTTGAAGTATGGTTTCTACTGTGTGCTTATTATTTTCATGGTGTCATAAAGTCAAAAAATCATAGCGTAACCCTGGTTAAGTCAGGGACCATCTCTATGTCCTTCATATACAAGATTTTATTATTTTACTTTTCAGAATTTCTCGCTGTGATGAAATTAATGTAGTTGGGAAAATAGTACTGGATTTAAATTCATTTCTAAGAACAGAAGAAAATTAAAGATATTAATTATGAAGTTACAAAACATATCAATGAGCTCTTTTTGGAATTTGAGTTTAGTATTTGAGTCAGAGTGATGTGAGAGATATTTATTTGCCAAGCATGAAGCAGAGACTTCAGTGGCTGCAGTAGCATAGTATCTGCTCCCAAGTGGTTTCCAGTCTGGTAAAGGGATATACAGAGCCTCAGTCTAAGTGCTGCAGGAGGCATGGACAGGATTCAGAATGCCCAGAGGTCCCCCAGGCAGCCAGGGAAGGGGAACACTGAAGATGGAGATCATTGGAGGAGGACGGCATTGCAAGCAGAAGATAAGAAAGAATCCCTTCTTCTCATCCACATGACACATATCATAAGATCATATGGCCTCAAAATCATAGCTCTTCTTATTTTCCTTAAGAACATGGAGTTTCACATGCAATTAACTTAAATCTTCCCAGCCCTCCATTCTCCCTTCAATAATTACCTTTCTATTTTGCTGTTCATCTAATGCGCTTTAACACTATGCTATGTTAGAACTATTTTTTCTATTCTGTTTATTTTCAGGCTTTTAAGAAATTTTTATTAGACGATTTTAGTAATTCATGTGAAAAAGCATAAATTTACCAATCTGTAGCAGCAGATAATCCAAGGGAGAGTTCATGCTAGAAGTGGGGGATCAGGAGTAAATATTCTCCTAACTAAGAGCTTAGGTCAAACTAGAGTCCAAGAGAGTAGAGAGGTAAAGCCTGTGCTAAGAGCCAGAATATAGCAAGAAGCTTTTGATACTCTCAGCTGCCAACTAGGAAACGGGTGAGAACAGGCACACAAATGAGCAAAGGGGTAGAAATGAGATTTACAGCAATTGTAATATATTTATTCAGTGCCTATAATCATCTTTGAATACACTCATTTATTTAGACTGTGCATTCTGTGTTGCATATTTGTTGATTAACATTTTCATTAGTTTACCATTGTAGAAACAAAAATAGTAAGTTATGTGTCTGTAAGAAAGAGACATGACCTGCTAGGTCCTGTCCAGAGGTCTTACTAACTTGGCTGACTTAAAGATATGATTAAAGGAATAAAGCCATATTAGGAAGAAGTGGTTATTAACATCACCCAGAATGGCCAGAAATTTCAGCATAAATATTTATGAGAGAGTCCACTGAAACTACACATTTAGTAAAGGGAAACAAGATCTTTGGTTTTTGAGAACTTTCTACTGGACAAAAAACCTTGAAGTCAAAAGCTAGTCAAAGGTACCACGTGATACTTCTTGTTTCAGGTGAAGCTGCCTGTCTATCACAGAGCAACCACTGCACAACATCCAGAGTTGGCATTAAATCCAAAAGCTTTGGAGATGAATGACTTCGTTAAGATTCCTCTCTGGGAATGTGAAGAGATGGGATCTAAACTCAAAGACTCTGATCCATAAATTTTTGGAGCTGTAAGTCTGAGGTCAAAAGACATGAATCTTAGGAAACAAATTTCCTTTTCTCCAGGGCTTCCTGTCTCTTTCCTCATCCAGTTATAAGGGAAAAAAAATATTACAGTAGAAGAAAAAATGGTCAGTGCAAGCTGATCTTGGCTAAGGTTAAAGGAGGGCCATACAATAATGGTCTGCCTCTTCCCATTTTTATTTAGCTTCCCAATAGAATAATGATCATGCTGTGGCATGTTTTGGAATAATTATATCTGGCAGAGGCATCACTCAGGTTTTGCCTGTATGTAAATGGAGGACTGTTTCCTTGTGAGTAGATGACCATGCCTCCCAATTTACCTGGCACTGTCTCAGGTTGTGCCCCTTTCTTCTCAAAATACCATGATTTGGATGAAAATATAAATTGCCACCCTGTTAATGAGCCACTGTTTTAGAGATGGCTCCCTCCCAGAAGGAAAGCTACCTAAAATACCCTCAGATGGTATTAGACATTAACGAAAAATAAACTTTAAATATTTTCTAGTCACATTAAAATAGCTAAAGTAAAAAAAGTGCAAATATCAGTAAAGGGATAATGCTTCACATACACATGCATGCACACACACACATTCACACACACGCTCTGGCCTATTTTTCAAATGGAAGTGCCTGTGAGGCTTAAAAGTATGATAAGAAGAAAAGGAAGAAAATAGATAAGATGTGCAAATGAGACAACCCTTACTAAAAGGGTGAAGGGACAAGGAGAAGTGCAGCCAATCCTGAGCAGAATGTACTGAAACATTCAGCATTTCTTCCCCAGGATGGCACGCTCCTCTGAAGAAATGATTCCATACGAAGGAGAAGGGTCCCCTTTCCAGATGACAGGCTTTGTCTTCAAAGCAAGGGTATGCAACTACTGGACTTTGTCTATACTTGGTAACTTTTATAAATAAATCAAGTCTGGTAATTCATGCTGTACCAAGAAAGGCTCTAGTTAGAAGAGCAGCATTAGCATTTTAGATTTTGGTCTAACAGACAGTGTAGCAAGGTCTCCTGGGTAAAGTTTTAAGAGCAATTAGAGCTAATAAAAAGACAGGCTTGTCAGCACCTGAACAATGTGGAAAAGGAGAGCCAGTGGCTTGGCTTTTGATTTTGAACTGGACCCAAGTTAAAGCTAATAGAATTGTTTTTTTCAGGAGTACGTGTGTGTGTGTGTGTGTGTGTGTGTGTGTGTGCACGTGTGCACTTGTTTGTGCGTAGCCTGTGCATGGGGTGAGGGGGTTCATGAACATAGATACAGTTCAGCTTTGGAATAAAAGTGAAAGGCATTTTTAGTTGCTTTCAAAACCTCTAAAAATAGCCATAAGTCTCTGCCAAAGCTAATATAGACAGGATTCCCATGGAAACCCTCTGGGCTAGAAGGGGCGGGTATTATTTTTTCACTGGTTATTGGTTAAAAGACTTCTACCCATTTTCTATAATGTAGGAGTGTGTTTACTGTCAAAACTGATGAATCAAATCTTAAAGGCACCTGCTTATCTGTTCTACTTATCTGAAGGAGAGAAAGTACAGTAGTGTCTGTACTTAATAAAAAATTTTCGCAAGGAATGCGTTAGTTAAGAAAAAAAAGTACCACCTTCTTTCACATTCTGTGCTTATATGTTCTGTAGCTAGTTTTTAAATTCCTACTTTGAGTCCATGGTCACAGCCAGATTTCATGATATTTTTACCCATATATTTATCTGTGATAACAGTCATCTGTTTTTACATTTTCTCATTTTGGGTGGTGTCTTATTTGGATGTATGTGTCAATTCCGAGGCACCAAGAATTAAAGGATGTATGATCAGCCTAGAATTTGACATTGTGAAGTTAACCCTTAGGAATTTTCATTTTCTTCACTTTCAGCTGGAAGATTAAAATTTCAAAAAATATTAAGAGCTAAGAATGATGAACTTATTTCTTTTCTTTTGAATTATAACACCTTTGGGGAAAGTATTTTAACAAAATAATTAGCTGTTTATCAGTTTACAAATACAGAGATAAGAAGAACTTAAATCTTTTTAAAGATTACAAAAAGCAAGAATACAATAGAATTCTAAAGGTATTTTCCATATATTTCAGTAGATTCAGATTATGACTAGTTAAATGATTAATTGATAGTTATTTTAAAAACTTTGATTGCTTTATTCTTTGATTTTATTCTTTTTCTTCTTTCTAATAATGCGTTTTCTAAACCATATTATAAGTAATAATTAACATATGTACATGGTTCTTAATAACCTACTAAACACTTCCATGTAAATCATATTTAATCATCATAAATATAAACATAAAGGTTTATAAAGTCACCATTTTTATAATTATTCTATAATTATGAAATAATATAAATATTCTTTATATGTCATTTTGTTTTATTTCTTCATGTGGTTAATGTCATTTAACTTATAGTTCTAGAAGATGTTTTTGCAGTAACTACAATATGCATATTTTTTTGCTTAGTATTTTACATCTTTAAGTAAAGATTGAGGAGGAAACGTAATGCCCTAAAATATTACAGCTCACCAAACACATCATGGAGTCATATTTTAGGATATTCTTAGTCCCAGATAGCAGGAGTAGTGGCTAGAAACAAACCTTTGATACGTAGAAGTCCCCCAGATTCCTAGATAGTATCTGGAAGCATCCAGGGCCTGGTGCTGAAAGGATCTGGTTTTCTTCTCCTGTTGTAGTGGCTAAGAGGCCTGTGTAGAAAAAGCTGTGGGTCTCACAGACAGCGATCTTATCGCTAGAGCTGGGTTAGGGGTATATCCAGGAGACATTTTCCTTCTCTGAGCCCCACTTGCAAGAGACATTCGCTATACCCAGAGGGAACTCCAGTAGAAGTGCCAGGTAAATCTGAAATATGTGCTACCATTCCATATAGGAAAAATTCAAAAAATCACGTCAAATATCTGGGGGGAAGGAAAGGAAAGGGTATCACAGTCAGGAAATAACATTTTTGTGGTTAACTTTACAGATTTTAAATTGTTGGTTTTAGTTTTGTGAGACTAAAGGGAGGTGAAAAGGGAGGAGGGAGGTCCCAGTGTAAAAAGCGTAGGTTTGGGAATTACTCAGGCCTGGGTTTTAAACACAGCTTTGCCATCCAACTAGCCAATGACTTTAGAATACTTAAAAAAAAAAATAGAATACGTTTTAAGTTTAGATCTTACACACTTTTTGATCGAAGACAGCAGAGTTAATTATATGAGGTGGATCGTGTATCATTTTAACCAGGCATCAGCTTTCACAATGGTTAAACAATGCTTGACACTGAAGGATTTTGAAAACATCAGGACGAAAAGGTGGTGTAGTATGGCCAAAAATGTGATACTGTTGTAATCTGCCAGAAAGCTGATTTAGCTTGGGCAGTGTTTCCTAGGTACTAGAATAAACACAGCCTATTGTCCAGATGAGAAGAGGATGATAGTGTGTTGTGATTAAATGAGTAAGTAATACTTATATATTGTTTGCTGCTGTTTGAATAACTAACATTTACTGCTGTATCTCATGAATTATTTAAGTATATTACAATCATCAATTTTAGTTAGATTTTCTCTTTATTTACTAAATTGGCCTATCATTGTCACTTATATCTTATTTAAATATTTAGTCTTATCTTCCCAAGATATAATAGTAATTGGGCAGCACTGAGCCATTTTAGTAATGCTTGTAGTAAGCACACACATGCACACTGAAACCTATACAATTATATTGATAAGCTATTATCCAGAATCGGATGTTTTCATAAATAAAAATTTGTTCCATAAATGGTAGATTTTAGTTTACCTAGGGGTAAACTGTGAATCATATAATGCATCACTTATTTATTACAAACATAAAAATTCACTTTCATATAAAGATATATCTTTATATTTATTTTTCTGAAAAAATGCTAGCACTCTGGGTCCTGGGTGTGTCACTTCCATAGCATATTGAATGGTATTAACAAGCCTTACATTAATTATTTTTTAAACAGGCTTAATAGCCCCACAGGCAGGATGTGTTGGCCTTAAAGGGCTGAGTTATTATAAACACTATCTGTGTAGACATTTAAAAGAAACAGTGTGGGAGTTAAAATTACAGGTTCAAGAACCTATTTTTCGTCTTTCTCCCACACATAGACTCATCTCCTGTCATATTATTTCCCAAAAGTTTGCAAATTTCCAGTGTTTCTCCATAAATCCTTCTTTTACATAAGTGTATAAAATGTCAATTACAAGTCATGCTTGGTGCCCTTTATTGTCTTAAGATTCTTAATATCTGAATGCTTAGAATGTAAATTCTTACAATTCTAATACCTTAGTATTTGAAAATGTTATGTTATGAGTACAAAGGTGTTCATTTCAAGACTGAGGCTTCTATTGTAATTTCTGTCCTAAAGGAGGCCTCCAGCCAGGGCTTTCTCTGAATTCCATAATATTCTAGTTAAGGGTTTGGCAAGTAAGGAAAGGGAAAGCCTAAAGAGGAAGACACATGAAAGAACAAAGTAATGTTTTCCAAGTAGTCCCTTGAGGGGTAAACATGAGCTGTTGTGGAAAGAAACAGGACTTCTCGGGGAGAAAAAACCTGGGTTGAATTCTGATTCCACCATTTTGTTGTCCTGTATCCTTGAGAAAGTATGTAATCCCTTTTCACTTTTGTCTCCATTTCAATATAGAACACTAATGAAAACAACTTTTTTTGATCAGATCCAGTACTCTCTTTTGTAAAATGATTCAGTACCTCTAAGTTACTGTGCAAGTATAAGGTCTTATAATCATTATTTTGATAATAGCTACCAAGAATAAGGAAAGAAAATCTACATAGCCAAGTCACTAGAAAGGCTGCATTTGCCAAGGTCATACTTAGAACACTGGGAAATGTTCATATGTGACATCTAATAATGAAAAAAAACACTCTGTTAGTTTAATTGTAAAATTAGGCTCGATTCTAAATTGTACTCATTTGGAACAACAAAAACAAAAATAAAAACCAACCAACCAACAAACAAACTGTATGAGACTTTATCAAAATATATTCCCCTAACCCACTAGGTAGAAATTGGTGACAAAAGAATATAAACTATTTGGTGTGACAAATAAATATTAAGTATCTGCTATGTGCTGGCTACTATGGGAAGTGCTAGGAATACTGTTTTGAACAAGGAAAGCACAATCCCTGATCCCTTTTTTATTTTTCTTCTATTTTTAATTTTTGTGGGTAAGTAGTATGTGTATATATTTACGGGGTACATGAGATGTTTGATACAGGCATGCAATGTGAAATAAGCACGTCACGAAGAATGGGACATCCATCCCCTCAAGCATTTATCCATTGGGTTGCAAACAATCCAGTTATACTCTTTAAAAAGTTATTTTAAAATGTACAGTTGTTATTATTTACTATAGTCATCCTTTTGTGCTATCAAATAGTAGGTCTTATTCATTCTCTCTATTTTTTGTACCCATTAACCATTCCTACTTCCCCCTGCCCCCAGCACCCCACTACCCTTGCAAGCCTCTTAGTAACCATCCTTCTAGTCTCCATGTCCATGAGTTCAATTATTTTGATTTTTAGATCCCAAACAAGTGAGTGAGAACATGCAATGTTTGTCTTTCTGTGCCTGGCTTATTTCACTTCACATAATGATCTCCAGTTCCATCCATGTTATTGCAAATGACTGGATCTCATTCATTTTTATGGCTGAATAATACTGTATTGTGTATATGTACCGCATTTTCTTTATTCATTCATCTGTTGATGAACACTTAGGTTGCTTCCAAATCTTAGCTGTTGTAAACAGTGCTGCAACAACATAGGAATGCAGATATCTCTTCAATATATTGATTTCATTTCATTTGGGTATACACCTAGCAGTGGGATTTCTGGATCATATGGTAGCTCAATTTTTAGTTTTTTGAGAATCCTTCGAATTGTTTTCCATAGTGGTTGTACTAATTTACATTCCCACCAACAGTGTACAAGTGTTCCCTTTTCTGTACATTCTTGCCAGCATGATCCCTTGAGTTTATATTCTGGTTGTGGGGGAACAGTGGGCAGGGTGGAGGGAGAAGAAATACAAGCAATAATCAATAAATAAGAATCTCAGATCAAGATAAGGACCATGCAGAAAGCTAAAACAGAGCAATGAGTCAAAATGACCAACGTCTACTTTACACTGGGTGGTCAGGAAAGTCCATGGTGATATTTAAGCAGAAGTCTTAATGATCAAAAATAAGCCAACACTTTGAAGACTGAAATAAGAGTGTTCTGTGAAGAGGGACCAGATATTATCAAAAAAGGTCCTAAGACAGAAATGATGTAGAGGGTCTTGAGGATCAGTATGGCTGAAACATACCAATAAGGCAGACGTGTGGATTCATGTACTGAGAAATAGGCAGGAGGCAGCTGATATCAACCTTCCTATATCACAGGTAAGCTGTTTAGATTATATTATAAGCCTGATGAGTTACCACTGTGGCTTTTTAGGCAGAAGAATGACTTGATCTGATTTGTATGTATATAAAACATAATGCTCTATGGTGATTAGACTGTAGGTAGGAAACAAGAGTGGAAACTGGGAGACCTGCTAGGAGATTATTACAGAAGAGACCTAGTGGCTTCAACTAGGATGACAGTAACAAAGACATTAATTCATTCATCTGTTTATGCCTTCAACAAATATTAACTAATGATCTACTGTGTGCCAAGTCCTCTCTAGATATCAGGCATGCACCAAGGGTCAAAAGCAAAGAAACTGCCTTTATGTGGCTTATATTCAGTAGAGGATATAGACAATCAAGGGGAATTAAGAGTGATGGGTCTAATTTTAGATAGGATGGTCAGGGAAGACTTCTGCTCATACCTAAATGAAGAGAGGGAGCAAGCATTGCAGTTGTCTGGGACAAAAGGGACTCAGACAGAGAGATAGCAAGAAGACCCTAGGATGGGAGTGTGCTTGAGGAGTTGGGATAACAGCACTATGGCTGGAGCACAGTTCGGTAGGAGACAAATGGCAAGAGTTTAGATCTGGAGGCCAGCTAAAAGCTAAATCATGCAAGGCTGGGTAGACCATAACACGGCCTTTGAATTTTGTTCTAAATTCACTGGAAGTCATCGGAAGGCTTTGAAAAAGGAAGTGACTTGATCTGATCTGTATTTTAAAATAATCACTCCAGCTACTGTGGGAAAAAAAGATAATGGATATGGCGGTACTAGAAAGGAAGCAGAAGAACCTATTTGGAGACTATTGGACTAAACCAGGCAAAAGATGATGGTGGATTGGCCTAGGTTGGTAGCAGTGGAAGTAGTAAGAATTGTTCATTTTCCAGATACAATCTGAAGGTAGAGCCTGCAGGATTTGCTAACACTTTCTATGTTGGATATGAGAGTAAAGAGCCAAGAAAATTCCAAGGCTTTTGTCCTGAACAATTGAGCAAATGGTGGCACCATTTGCTGGAGATGAGAGGGAAAAATATGGTATGTTGGGGGCAATAAGGGAAGGTTGGGGATCAAATGTTTGCATTTGGGCATGTTAAGTTAGAGATGCCTATTGTGGAGTTTGCTAGTAGAAAGTTGTATATATAAAGCTAGAGTTTAGAGTAGAAGATGAACTTAGAGATATATATGTGTGTCATCACAGCATAAAGATGGTATTTAAGCTATGTAACTAAATGAAATCACCTAGAAAATGAAGGTAGGTAGAAAAGAGGAGATGAGGAGAATGAATTTAAAATGTGCTTTGAAGATAGAGATAAGAGAACTTGCTGATGGGTCAGGGTAAGGAACAATCATAGCTAAATTTGTTTTCAACAACCGAGTGGATAGGTATAATTCACTGAGTTGGGAGAGACTGGAGAAGGAGCAACAATAAGTTTGTAGGAAAGGAATGAAGAGTTGTCTTTTGGTATGTTAAATTTAATGTACCTGTTAGAAATGCAAATGAACTTGTTAATGCATAATAGACATTTAAAATCAAGAGTGAAATCAGTTAATGGTGTTAGGGTAACTGGATAGCCACATGAAAAAGAATGAAATTGGACCCTTACCTCACATTATACACAAAAATTAAGTCAAAATGGATCAAGACCTAAATGTAAGAGCTGAAACTGTAAAGCTCTTAGAAGAAAACACAGGAGTAAATCATTATAATCTTGGTTTTGAGAAAGAATTATTAAATATGACACCAAAAACCCAGCAATAGAAGAAAAAATTAGATAAATTTGATTTCATCAAAGTTAAAAAATTTTTGTGCTTCAAAAGACACCATAAAGAAAGTGAAAAGAGAACCCACAGAATGGGAGAAAATATTTGCAAATTGCATATCCGATAAGATTATAATAACCAGAATATATTAGAAAGTCTTACAACTCAATAGTATAAAGACATTTCATTTTAACAAATGAGTGAAGGATCTAAGTAGATGTTTCTCCAAAAAAGATACGCAGATGGCAAGTAATACATGAAAAGATGTTTGATACTGTTAGCCATCAGTGAAATGCAAAACAAAAGCACAATGAGATACCACTTCACCCCAATTAGGATGGCTATAGTAAAAAAGGCAGATAATGATATGTGGAGGAAGATATGGAAATACTGGAACCCTCATACATGCTGGTAGGAATGTAAAATGGTGCAGTAATTTTGGAAAACAGTCAAACAGACTGGCAGCTTCTCAAAGGCTTAAATTTAATGTTACCATATGACCCAGCAATTCCACTAATAGACATATATCCAAGAGAAATGAAAACATATGTCCACACAAAAACTTGAACATTAATGTTCATAGAAGCATTGTTCATAATAGCCTAAAAGTAGAAATGCCCCTAAATGTCCATGAACTAATGAATGGGTAAATAAAATGTGGTGTGAGAGGCAGGGATGTGTCAGAGATAGTTAAGAGGAATTGGGCAGTGACTACTAAAAGGTACAGGATTTCTTTTAGAGGGAACCGTCAGCTGAAACCTAAAAAGAGGCTGAATACAAGGAGACCAGATGACTGACTATTGAGTTTGGTGGCCTGGAAACAATTGGTGGAGAGCCTTCTTGGTGGAGTTGAGGAGGGAAGTCGAACTGGAATGGATGGAGGAGAGAAAAGGTGAGGAAGGGAAGATAACTTCTGATAGCTTCTTCAAGAAATTTTGCTTTGAAGACAAACAGAATATGGGATAGGAAATGGGTTAAAGTTGACTTTTGTTATTTATTTTCTTTGTTTTAGAGCAGTTTTGCTTTTTGATGTGACTGTTTTAGTATAGAAAGAGAAATTGATGGTACAAATGGGAGATAGAGGATAATTATTGAAGTCTCTGAGAGAGAATGAGTCCACATGGAAAACGGATGAAACTTAGATAGAGATGGGGCCCTTCATTCAACGTAATTGGAGGAAAGTGGAAGACTGAGTAGGTAAAAATAAGTGGCCCCAGTTATCATATCACAATCTACTTCATGAGAATTAATGGGCTTCTTTATAGTTACCTTATTTTTAAAACCACTGTGTGTGTGTGTGCGTGTGCATTAATGTATTAAATTTATTTTCATTGTAAAAAAATTTATTTTCATTGTAAAACCCAATTTTTGTTTCCCTTTCATCGTGTCCCAATCTGGGATCATCCAACATGGTTTACATTTAAAAATATTTCACTGCCCACTTCACAATTGGAGCTATCTGTAAGGCTTTAGCCAACAATTCTTGCAGTGGAGGAGAGGGAAGCATTTCATCATATGGAAAAATAGCCACTCTGCAAATAGTGAGTCTCCCAATCTTTGGCCCTAGCCCGGAAGTCCTCAAGTAGTACTCTCCTTTCCTCAGATACTTTGCTTTTCCTATTTCCACGTATGCAATGATCAGAAAAGGATAAGCCTCCAGAAGAGAACAGAGTTAAATAATTTTGACTCTAAAACAGAAATATCATGCCATACCAATACATGAATAGAGAACAAATGCATATATATTGTTTTGTTCACCTTTTCAAAAGGAATTTTGAATTTTTGAAAGTAATGTGATATAATGTTTAATGCTGTATGCTTAATAAAAATACATACTTTTAAGGTAACAGCTATGTTTGGATTGTTTGATAGAATAAAGTATCAAAATAAATCTAAGCATGATCAAATACAAAATCATAGATACATCATAAAATATGAGGGCTATCTGTATTTTTCAATCCTTAGAATCATCTGGTGGAGTTTCTAAAATAAAATATCGATGTCTAAGCTCCACCCCAGATCAATTAAATCAGAATATCTGGAGGGGTACCTGAGCAGAGATTTTTTTTTTTTAAAGCTCTGTAGCTGATTCCATGTGCAGCCAGGGTTGAGAAACTTTGGGCTGATTATTGACAATTTCCTGTAGAAATGCACAGAACTGCCTCATAAGCTTGAGTTCTGGACATTGCAGACTGCCTGCTACTGACATACAGAAGGAAAAACAAACCCACTAAAATGCAATTCTACACCTTCTGAAACTTCTTATTTCATAGCTTTGTCTGAAAACAAAGCTTTGTATAAAGGACAAGAAGTTAAAATGTTGGGCTTTTCTCTTGGTTTGTTTCAAGATGGGGAAGTAGAATAAAAAGTTCATCAGGCTTTGGAGATGCAAAGAACTCAACAGCTGTTAATTTGATAGAAGTGGGAAGTCAGCCAGACTAAGAACTATTTTTAGGCAGTGTATTGACAGGTGTTTTACCTTCTCTCACACCCTCCTGGACAGGGCTTGCCTAGAGTAGATCTGAGTTTTAAAACTTTCAATAAAAGAAACAGAAGCCTGTAAAAACAGAGTCCACAGCAAGTAAGCCATCTCTACACCATCTCAAGCAACAGGTTGAGAAAGCTTAAATGGGAGATATGGTTTTAAAATGGATTTTAATGGCTCATTTGACTGAAATTTATTTTAGGGAGAAATGGATTCTAGAAAATGTTGGCAGTTATATCAGGTGAAATTATTTTGTTGTCAATAATCCAAAAATGAGAGCAATGGGAAGAGAGGAAAGAGACAAAGGCCAAGTAGGTCTAGCTCTTGAGATGATGGACATGGTACCTCAGTAAGCATTGGGAAACATCTCACATATTCTGCTTTTGTGTTAAAGATGATAAAGCATTGGTAGATGATGGTGAAATGTTTCAGTGATGGCTTGACAAGTAAATTTATTTCAGGGGTTTGACAAGAATAAAATATAATGAAACAAAATATTATAATCTTTGAAAGATATAAAATACAATGACGGTAAATATTATAATCTGCAGAACAATCAGTTTTGTTTTTAAAAACAGAATCTGTAAGATGACCTGAATCACACATTTATAAATCAAAAATATTTAGTATGAAATCAATAATTATTTCGAGAAAGAAAACATTATTCATATATGTGTACCGATTTTATTTTCCATACTTTTAGAGTGCTGTATTGCCTGTGGACTTTAAATATTTAAATTCCTAGTCTGTTATTAATACTAATTTAGTATTTGCATGCGAATATCATTTTAGTTTTATCATTTTCAGTTGTAGCTGAAAAGCTAAAACTACTTAAGGATTCCATTGTGTATACAATCATAAATTAGTAATATTAGCCCCTAAAAGTTTTATCAAAGTAAATATACCACTGCAGAAAAGATTCCTTCATTTATTTATTCATCCACAAATTTTACTGCTCACTAATGTGTCAAGCTCTCTATTGGCTTTCACATTTAGAGAGAAATATGAAATTCTCTCAGCCCTCAAGGGACCCTCGATCTAGAAGGGGGAAGGGGGCGGGGAATTATAACCAAAGAATGCCAGTAAATTTGGTGCACTGAAAGAAGTTGTTGCACATATAGTGAAGGAGCAGATAAAGGAGTGGGCAGCCTTCTGGAGCGTGAGTGGGGATGAAAGTGAGAGAAACAGGTTTGCTGTGTGCATGCAGATTTAACTGTGGCCAGGCAGAGGGGAATGGGTGGGTGTGGGGCAGACAGTGACAACAGCAGGTCTCAAAAAGTAAGTAGGCATTTAGGGCTCAGACAAGATGGAAGGGTATCCATTTATTCCAACTTATGAAAATAACAATAAATATATCTTGACTTAAATTAAACTTAATTTTTTGAATAAAGGACTTGAAGAATGGGAGGATGTTCAACCTATTAGGCAACCAAAGTATTTTTCAGCAATTTAAAAGCCAATAGTGTACAAGGATTCCCTTTTCTCCACACCAACACTTGTTATTTCTTGTCTTTTTGATAATAGCCATCCCAGCAGATATGAAGTTATAGTTCATTGTGGTTTTGCTTTGCATTTCCCTGCTGATTAGTGATGTAGAGCACCTTTTCATATTTAGGTGCTCTTCCCACACACACAATAAAGGGTAACTATGTGAGATGATGGATATGTTAAGACATTTGAATATAGTAACCATTTCACTGTGTGTGTGTGTGTGTGTGTGTGTGTGTGTGTATAACATCATGTTCTATACCTTAAATATATGCAATAAAAATGGCTTCTGATGGTAATGTTATTTCTAAGTAGGAACTTTTTTTCAGGCCTCATTAAAACAAGACTTCTGTGATTTTGATAAGAGATTTATGTAGTAGCTCTTGTGAGTTGAAAAGCTAGGGAGATAGATACAAGGAACTAGAGGATGCAATCTATGGTTGGGTTATTTACGTATAGGGAACAAGGACCTCGTGAAGCCCTAGACTATTATATGCAAAAAGCATGCTTTTGTTTATTTCTCTGGGGAGATAGTCTATGGTTTTCAGCAAATTCTAACATGATTCATAACCCTAAAAAGTTGATTTTTTGCCTTAAGAACTTACTTTATATATTTTATGATACCGACTTTTCACTGAGTGTCTTTATTATTTTGAGTTTATGAAAAATATTGCACTATGAAATTTAGCCCTAAATTAGCAAATTCTCTATCTTGACTTACATTTTCTCTAGTGCAGTTACAATTTTAAGGCTATTACATATCTTTTAAAATACTTACACAGAGAATACATCGATGCAAAAGATCACATACAAAATTTCAATGTAGACCTGAACTTATAATCAACCATTGCAATAGCCTCTAATAGCCTATTTTATGACAAAGTGCCATGAGGAAACTCTCAAAGCTAATTGTTGAAAAGAATGATAATGAACAAGTTTTAGAGAGTGGACAGCAGGTTATAATATTTATATATAACTCATTATAAATTGTCAAGTGGCTTTATACACTAAGAAGAGAAATTTATTTTCTATTCTGGTAAAATAAATAGCTTCAGAGAAGTGAAAATAAAAACAGGTATTTTGACAACATTAACACGTGTTAACCTTGTGAAATGGCCATCCTTTACCAGCCTCCATCTGGGGTTGTTCTAATGAGAGAATGTAGGGAAAGTGCTATGCATCTAACATGTCAGCCGAAGCTAGCTCAAAATTCACTAAATCCCACAAGATGTATTGAAGGGCTGTGCAGCATTCCTACTTGCTCAACCTGTCAATTGTTGCTTGTTGGATAAGAAAACAACATTACTTTTAAAAAATGTCACTGAACTGCAATGTTCAGAAAAAATAACAGCACCACCCTTTCTCACTTGCAAACATTGAGAAATGTTCAACTACAGCTTTCTCCTAAGAACTCTGAAGCTACCAAAGAGCTTTTATTGAAAGGATAATGTCTGCACACCTACCACACCTGAATTGCAATAGTTCTTTATAGATCTCTAACAGGAAATTTTAAAATTAAACTATATTGTTAAGGACAGCTTTTGTTTGCATGTCACGGATAATCTAGATTTTAGCTTATCAGTGTTGCCCCTTGTAAAACGCTATATTGAATATATCAATAAACAAAAGGATCTAGAACTAGAAATACCATTTGACCCAGCAATCCCATTACTGGGTCAAATTACTGGGTGTATACCCAAAGGATTATAAATCATTCTACTACAAAGACACATGCACACATATGTTTATTGCAGCACTATTTACAATAGCAAAGACATGGAACCAACCCAAATGCCCATCAGTGATAGACTGGATAAAGAAAATGTGGCACATATACACCATGGAATACTACGCAGCCATAAAAAAGGATGAGTTCATGTCCTGTGCAGGGACATGGATGAAGCTGGAAACCATCATTCTCAGCAAACTTGTTCTCACTCATATGTGGGAGTTGAGCGATGAGAACACATGGACACAGGGAGGGGAATATCACACACCAGGGCCTGTCAGGGGGTGGGAAGCTAGGGGAGGGATAGCATTAGGAGAAATACCTAATGTAGATGATGGGTTGATGGATGCAGCAAACCACCATGGCATGTGTATACCTGTGTAAGAAACCTACACGTTCTGCACATGTATCCCAGAACTTAAAGCACAATTAAAAAATAAATAAACAAAGGTAATATTATATAGATGCTATTCACTTGTCTAAATGTTTTTAAAAGTTAAATTTATATTTAGTTTGAAGCATTCTTTTCATACCTGAAAACATATATTTTTTTAAATGGAAATCTTTTTTTCACTTCCCTAACAATTAAAATATTTGGCAAAATCAATATCAAACTTTCTAAAGTGTGTATGGAAATGTAAAGGACAGCTAATGTCTTCAGATGGATTTATATTACAAAATATAAGACCTATTATAGAACTGTAGCATTTAAGATAGTGTAGTATTGGTGAGAGGTTAGATAGCAGTAAATCAATGGAACAGAATAGAGATTCCAGAAGCAGACCCATGCTTACTGGTCATCTTATTTATGACAAAGATGACACTGTGGTGCAGTGGGAAAATAATTTTTTCCCCCAGCAAGAACTGCAAGGTCAATTGGATAGCCTTATGGAAAAAAAAATGAATCTTGACTCTTTCATCACAACATACATGAAAATCAATTCTAGATGAATTGCAAATCTAGGTGTAAAGGTTAAAAACAAAATCTTCTAAAATAGGGGTTGGCAAACTTTTCTTGAAGTGCCCAATATTAAATATTTCAGGCTTTGCATATCCTACAATCTCTGTTGCAATTATTCAACTCTCTTCCATGGTAGCACAAAATAAGTCATAAACAATATATAAGCAGATTAGCCTGTCTGAACTCCAATAAAACTTTATTTATAAAAACAGGTGACAGGCTGGGTTTGGATTGCAGGCTATAGTTTTCCAATCCCTTTTCTAGAACATCTTTTTGAAGCTCAAGTAAGCAAAGATTTCTTAAACTAAAACAAAGGGTAGAAACCAAAAAATAAGATGTGCTATATTAGATTACATTAACATTTAAAAATGTGTTTATCAAAAGACACTGTTAAGATTATGAAAAGGCAATCCACACGGTGAAAGAAGATATTCAAAATACATATATTCAACAAAGAATTTATATCCAGTATATAAACACACACACACACACACACACCCTACAGATTAATAAGAACAAAGACAATCCAACAGCAAAAAACAATAGGAAATTATGAAAGTTTCACAAAAGATAATATCAAATGGCCAATAAACATGAAAAGGTTCTCGGCTTAATTAGTTATCAGTAAAATAAAAAATAAAATGTCAATGACATACTTCTGTGTATCCACAGATGAAAAAGATTGGCAATTCCAAATGTTGTCAAGGATGCAGAACAAATGGGACTTGTACCCTGCTGGTGACTGTGTCAGTGGGTACAACTCCTTTGGAAAACTGCATTATCTACTTGAGGTGATCATAGGTGTCCTTTGATCTAACAATTTCATTCTTTGGTAGCAACACAAATGTGTCCATATGTTCATGAAAAGACATATACCTGAATGTCCATAGTGGCACTATCCATATTGTCACAACCTGGGAACTATCCAATGCACAGCAACAGAAGGAAACATAAATACATGTGTTATATTCACACTAGGAATAGCATACAGCAGTGGGAATGACCTACAACTATACATATGGAAAGACACTGTGATATATTTACATAATATGCATTCATACTACACAGCAATAAGAATAATCTAAAGCTATATGCAACAACATGGATGAATGTCACCTTACCTCCACCTCCCCCAAAAAATATTGAGTGAAAGAAGCCAGAAGCAAATGAACACACTTTGTCCCTTTCCCTGCTTTATGTTTATTTTGTTCTCCTTTTATTTCTATTTAATGTAAATTTGGTGTTTCAAAAATAACCCACAATTCATAAGCCTATACTGATACAAATAAGTGATTGAATAAATTAATCAGTGAAGGAGAAGAGACACATTTGCCATGCAGAAAGCTCCAAATAATTTATGTAGATAACCCCCATGGAGCTGGAACATACCTCTGCCTTTTAAGGGCAGGCTGCACATAATGACTTCCACAATATGGACAGGAGGGGAGAAAAATAACTTTACAGTGGAGAAGGCTGGCAAACGTTACCTCAGCCAGGTGATTGCGGTCGACATCATCACTCATAAGTCATTTGACAATATGCAGCCTTGGCATGATGTGATGAGAATGGCACTTTACATCTGTGGTCTTCCTCCCCAAAACCCATAACCCCAGTCCCATCATGGTAACATCAGACATGCCCACATTGAGGGACATTCCACAAAATAGCTCATCTGTACTCCTCAAAACTGTCAAGGTCATCCAAAACAAGGAAAGCCTGAGAACTTGTCAGAGCCAAGAATATCCTAGGAGACACGAAATCTAAATGTAGTGCAGTATCCTGGATGGGATCCTAGAACAGAAAAAATGATATGAGGTAAAAACTAAGGAAATCTGAATAAAGTATGGACTTTAATAATGTATCAATATTGGTTCATTAATTATGACACAGGTACCCTACTAATGTAATATGTTAGCAATAGGGGAACTTAGTACAGGATGTACTAGAACTTTCTGTACTATCTTTGCAAGTTTTCTGTAAATCTAAAATTATTCCAAAATTAAAAGTGTATTTAAAATAATAAACAATTCATAGAGTAGGCACTGTGTTACACCGCAACTGGGAAGCGTGCTCTCCAACATCAAGTTATTAACAATAACAGAATATATAGGTAGAAAACAAGGAATAGTTGCATAACCCAATAGCCATTTATAATGTAGGAATTATTCTTTGTTTTTTCTACAAATTTAAATAGATTTCTAGTCATTAAACTTTATGAATGTGAATTACTTCTGTTTACTCCAACACATTAAGGTAGGAGCTTTATGAACAATTACTTAGAGATATTTTAAGTTCAACTCTTTATATATCAAACTTCATGCAGAAGAGATGAGTGATGAAATAGGGAATTTTTTTGTTAGTAATTATGGACTATTAAAAATTAACTTTCACTCCATTACACTCTTTCAACAAATATAATACAAGCATCATAGAATGTTGGAACTGAAAGGGACATTTAAGAGATTAGTTCAGCTCCTTAACTTCACATGAAATAACTGAGTGCCAGAGAATTTGAGACTTGCCCAAGGTCATAATAAATTTGTGGGAGAGCTGGAATTCACTTATTCAGTTGAGTGAGCATTTACAGAGTATTTATTATGTTTCAAGCACTGTGATAGGTGCAAGAGATATAAAAATTAGTGAGAATTTATCCTTCAGGTGGAGGAGGCAGGGACAGGGAGAGGCAGAAAAATAAATAGATGAATACAGTACAGCGTAGAAACAAGCCAGCAGACATGAGGCCAGGGTGCCATGAAATGAAGGAACAGGTTCATTTGATACAACTCAGGCATCACCTGAGCCTTTGGAAGATGGGTGGGATTTACACTGATGAGGAGGCCGGAACAGACATTCCAAGCAAAACAGATCACATAAGCCAGAGGTAAAAGAGGGAAAGGGAAATAATGTGTTGTGAAGAGCTCCATCCAGCTTCCAGGAACTGCAGAATAGTGTAAGCAGGGAGCTGAGATGGATGAAACCAACAATGCTAGATCCTGGAGAGGATTTTGTGCCATTTAATGAGCTAAGTCTTTATCATGTAAGAAATAGAAAGTTATTGCAAGGTTTTGAATTTTAGTTTGGCCACTCAGATGGCTTAGTGGAAGTTAGATTCGAGAAGGACAAGACATTACTGGGAACCCTATCAAAGAGGTTACTATAGCACTCAAAGGACGGATGGTAAACAGTTGGTTTAGAAAAGTGGTGATAAATATGCAGCAGGGGAGGTGGAGTCAATAAATATTTAAGAAAAATGATTTGCGATTAGTTGGATGGGGGTGGGGTAAGTGGAGTGGGTGGTTGAAGGTGTTGGCCGAGGAGTCTTGAGCTAGACTCCTAGTCTATACCACAGATCTTTGGAACTTCAAATCACAAGAAGCACACATTAGCCCCGAGCTACGTTTACACATTTTTCCACCTCCACCCTAGGAAGCAGCTCTGAATATCAGCAAGTGAAACAGTTTTCGATAAGCATTTAAACAACAACAACAAAACTCATATCCTTTTGGTCTTATCCTAGGTCAAAAGGTACCTTCTTGCCCTACACACATATAATCAAGAGGAACCACAGAGGTGATTCTTTGAAGAGCCAAGATAATTTGCTTCCAAGGCTTTTGTCTTTACTCCTAGGCTACAGAGCCTGCCCTAAATTTCAGGTATACCCCATAGAGGCCATCATCTTGAATCTCTGCCCCGACACACCCTCCATTAGGCCTTGACTGTGGGTGATTGTGCTGCCTATAAAAGAGAATGTATGAAGAGGATCAAGAGAAAATATAATCAGTTCACCGTTAAAAAAGCTAAACTTCAAATGCCTGTAGAATATTCAGTTAGAGAAAATCAGTTGGCAGTAGGATAATCAACTCTGAAACTCAAGGAAGGCATGCAATTTGAAAGTCAAAGGTCACGGTAAGAGAAAAACATGAACGTGGATGCCATTTTTCAAGGAGAGTCTCTAGCATAAGTGGAAAAGTGGGAAGAATGTCAGGCCAAAGATGAAGGTCACAGGGTCACCAGCACTTGAAGTACAGCTCTCTAGTAGAAAATTCAATGAAGAATTTATAGGTTTTAGAAATCTATTGCATAATATGATGACTACAGTAACATAAGCATGTACTGTATACAGGCCAGGCGCAGTGGCTCACGCCTCTAATCCCAGTACTTTGGGAAGTGGAGACAGGCAGATCACTTGAGCTCAGGAGTTTGAGACCTGCCTGGGTAACCTGACAAAACCCCATCTCTACCAAAAAATATAAAAATTAGCCGGGCATGGTGGCACTTACCTGTGGTTCCAGCTACTCGGGAAGCTGAGGTGGTGGGGGTCGCTTGACCCCCAGAGGAGGGGACTGCAATGAGCAGAGATCACGCCACTGCACTCCAGCCTGGGAGACACAGCAAGACCCTGTCACAGAAAAAAAAAAAAGAATATACTGTATACTTGAAAACTGCTAAAAGAATAGATTTTAAATATTCCCACCACAAAAAAAAAGGTAACTATGTGAGATGATAGATATGTTAATTAGCTTGATTGTGGTAATAATTTCACAATGTGTATGTATACGAAAACATCATGTTGTGCAGTGTAAATAAATACAATTTATATTTGTCAATTCAACCTCAATAAAACTGGAGAAAAAAATTTTAAAAAAATCAACAGCACAGTCAGAAATGTATCAGAGAAACTAGAAGAGAGTTGTATCCCAGAGCACAGAAGTTCAAATAGTTTTCAAAACAAAGTGATCAATTGTATTGAATATAGAAGAGGTGCCACTATAAATAGCTTTTGTAAAGATATTCATTAAATTTGGTAATGAAGAGGACAAAGGTAACTTTAGTGAAGTGATTTCACTGTAGTGCTTGTCTTTAGTTGCAGTAAGGTGGATTGAGGAGTATGTGAGTGAAGAAGTTGAGACTGCTTTTCCACACTGTTCTTTGAAAGTGTGGATGAAATTGGAAGGAGAAAGGCAAGAAAAAGTTTAGGAGCAGAGCCGTGGGAGACTCTTGATCTTGTCTGTTTGATTTGGGATGAGATGCTTAGTATATTTGTAGGCTACAGGGAAGGATGCCCCCCTAGAAAGCTGGTGTTGACAAGAGAGGGCATTATGAGGCAGAGTCCTGGAGGAAGAAGGAGAGGCCCAGGCCAGGGTCATAGGCACACAGAATGGGGGCTGGCATTCAACAGTCAAAGGATGATAGGGATATTTCTTTTTCAGGCCCAGAAAGGAAGGAAGCAAGCCATCATAAATGAATATGTAGACAAGTTTGTGAGAATGTGTGTATGTCTCTCAGAGAGAGTGGTGGGACAGAAGGGAGTTGAAAGAGTTCATACTTGACTGTTATTTATTTACTTATTCATTTTTTTTTCCTAGTAAGAGGTAAGGTAATCTGCTGAGAATAAGGTTAGGTGGAGTTCTAGGAGAGCAGTGAGTATTTGGATGAAGACTGAGGAGAGTAGGCAAAGGAATTACCGAGGAAAAAAATAAGAAGATTAAACTAAGCGGGAGGGTTCTTTTGGCATTTTGTTTTTTGTTTTCAGACGAGGTGTGATTCTGTTACCCAGGCTGGAGTGCAGTGGCACAAGAATGGCTCACTACAGCTTGGACCTCCCAGGCTCAAGGGATACTACCACCTCAGCTTCCCTAGTAGCTGGGACCACAGGCACGAGTCACCATGCCCAGCTAATTTAATTTTCTGTGTGTGTGTGTGTGTGTGTGTGTGTGTGTGTGTGTGTGTGTGTGTGTGTGTGTGTGTGTAAAGATGGGGTCTCCCTCTATTGCCCAGGCTGGTCTCAAACTCCTAGTTTCAAGCTGTCCTCCCAGCTGGGCATCCCAAAGTGCTGGGATTACAGGCATGAGCCACCATGCTGAGCCATGAGTGGGAGATTCTTAATTGGGATCAGCAACAATCTATAGTCTTGCATAATTTTTCAGTTGTACTCAACTACCACTATTTAGTTAAAGGCATTTATTAAGTATTCTTTACTATGTTCTTGGCATTATGCATTGCAAACATTACCACAAACCACAGTAGGTAGGTACATTTATTACCCCAATTTACAGGTTAAGTAACTTCTCCAAGTTTGCACAGCTGGTAAAAAGGCAGAACAGAGGCCTGTCCGACTCCAAGCCATATGTTATTTTCCATATGTTATACTTCCTCCCAAGGAGTTGGAGCTTTAAGAATTGATAAGACATTTTGCTTAGCCTGAGAAAACTCCTAATGCACAAGAGAAGATATGCCAATAAATAATCACAAGCAAATGTGAGGTATTGATATGCTCCAAGAGCAGAGAACAGGAGCCCATCATTCTGATGAAAGCTTCAGGGAAGCCTCAGGGGGCTGGCATCTGAGCACTGACTAGGTCTGAGTTTATATTCACCAGGTGGACAAGGAGTCTGGAGCATCCCAGACTTGGGGACTGTATGAGCAAGGACAAGGAGGTGTGAGAAGGCAACCCAGTTTTGCTCAATGCATCTGGGACATAGAGTGACTGTTGGGTGAGGAGTGGAAGACTTGGGGGGAGATATGAGATCAGATAATAAGGGGTATTTTATCTACTGAGAACTTTATCTGGTAATCAACTGGATAACATGTAAGGTTTTAAATAATGATATTAGATTTGAGTTTTGCAAACATGATCATGTTGGTAACAGGCAGGGTGGAATATAGAATAGGGAGATCAATAATTATAATAATTATAAGCTGTCACTTACTCTGGATCAGGCACTATGTAAGTGATTTTCTTAGATTCAGCAATTTAATCATAGAAAAGAAAGAATGAGCCCCAGGTTTCTAGCTCTGAGGCCAGTGTTCTTTCCACTGTTTTCTTATTTTTCATAGTTTTCTTGTTTATATCTAAACATAAATCTTCTGACACTAATAATCATTCAAATAGTGTCCCTACCCAAATTCATGTCTATGCAGAATCTCGGAATGTGATCTTATTTGGAAATAGAGTCTTTGTGGATGTAATTAGTTGTTAAAGTGAGGTTGCTAAGAGAGTGGGCCCTAAATCCCATGACTGGTATCCTTGTGAGAAGAGGGGACACACAGAAAGGAACATGAAGGCCAAGACAGAGATTGGGATGATGCAGCCACAAGCCAGAGAATGCCAAGGATTGCCAGGACCCACCAGAAGCTAGGAAGGGGCTAGGAAGAATTTGTCCCTAGAGTCTTCATAGGGAGCATGGCTTTGGTGACACCTTAATTTGGGGCTTTTAGCTTCCATAATTGTGAGAGAATAGATTTGTTGTCTTAAGCCACCAACTTTGTGGTAGTTATGGCAGCCCTAGGAAACTAATACACCTTTCTTGTTATATTTCCAGCTAGGGATATATTCTTATATGTTTATAACTGTGTGGATTTTGAGGGAGAAATCACTCATAGTTGATGATCTCATGGGCCTGCCATCTTTGTCTTTATTGCATTTCACTGTCATTTGCCTGATAGATTAATCTCATTTGGATTCCCTGGGGCAAATCTTGTTTTATCTTCATGTTGATGTTGCTGCCCATACTCAAGTATTTTGGGTTACAAAAGCAGAATTATCTTTTAACCCTAGCCTGGCAGTAACATGAAGACCTACTTTATAACCAAAACAATTTCTATGCTTGAAAAAAAGTATTATATAAAAGTACTCAAGCCTGCTTTCAACTTGACTTTTGTACTGACCTAGGGGTTGACAGAGTCTGCTTTTATTCAAGACTGGAAATATCAGGAGATGTTTGCAAAGTACATGATAAGCCAGTTAAGCAGTTGAACACAAAGAGAGTCTTTTTATATCTTATTTGAAACCCCTGAGTTTTGACAACATAGAACTGTGAAATTTTAGAGCTAGCCAAATAGAATTGACATGCAATGAATAGGAGTTAAAATCATTTTAATTTTGACCAAAACAATAGTATTGACTTTAACCCTACATCATTTTTCACTTTTGCTGCCAACCATTTTCTTTTGACATGTCACTTACATTTGTTACCTACTTCACAAATGCTCCTGGGATTGGTTCTCCTTACAATTCATTTTTCATAAAGGAAAGCTGGACATAAATGCATTTGAGGTTTTCTAGGGTTACCTATTCAGACTCTTCAGTCACAGAGACAATCTTATGCACCCTCTCTCTCTCTCTCTCTCTCTCCCACAAGAGCTTTCAGGTACATCCTGATGATAAAGAGAAAGACATGATGACTTGAGCAGTTCTATGCAGAGCATCTTCTCCACACCCTATACCGTGGTCCCACACAGCGCAGTTCATTTCATGCTTCCCCATGAATGAGAGTATTGTAAGTTCTATGTGCATGAAGAAATAAATGATTATCCCATTCTCCAGAAACACAAATGCCGTATCACAAAGCATGCACCATTTTCCTTTTAAAATTCCTTCCTGAAAAGTGTTTGTGGTTGTTGTTTTGATGAATTAATCATATTAGGACACAGAACGCAGATCATAAGCTCAGTGATGAAGAAACTCGTAACATTCAAGTTTCAATGGAAATGTTTCCTGCTCAGAAAGTCCCCTTGTCCCTTTGTGTCTCCTAACCTCCATTTTATTTTATCATAACACCAGGTTATGATAAAACCATAATACCTGGTTTTTTATCATAACACCAGGTTATGATAAAACCATAATACCTGGTTTTCTTATTTATTAATGTATTCATTGTCCTCTTGTCTGTCTAGACTCGTAGGCTCTTACGTGCCTTATCACTGCATTATCTACAGAGCCTAGAATGGTTCCTGTTGCTAATCAAATGTTTTTCAATGAATGAATCAATGACTACAGCTAGATATCCCAGGAATTATAAGGAGTAAGAATTCAGAGAAAGAAGGAGTAGTGGAAGCTGTAGGTAACTGAAGACAGGTTTTTTAGTAGAGCAGTAGAAGCAGGGACTCTGGTAGGGGACCTAGAGAGAAAATCTTTGGTAATGTCGGGAAGGAGTTAGCTTCAAGTCTTCAGAGACAAAGGAAAGAGGCATTCAGAGGTTGGGCACAAAACAGTTATGAGTGGGAGAGGATGAATGGGCATTTCCTAGAGTTGTGTCCTTCAGGCAGCTGTAGAGAGAGATGGTGGAGGGGGTTATGTAAGCTGAACACTCTCAAAGCTGACCTATAAAATATACTAAGTAAATTGGACTCTCAGTAAAGGAAATTGCCCAATTCCTAAGCACCATTTTCAGAGGCTTCACAATAAGAGTATTCATTCTGAAATCCTACATTTGCGTGTATATACATAACTCCATGGAAAATGACCTTATAATATAGTAATGATGTGCAATACAGTAACATGCTGGAAAAAAAATAGTGTAGACTTTGAAATGAAGTAACTAAATCACAATATGCAAGACATATTCAAGCAAATATTCAGATAAAGTTACCTGTCAGTGGGATGTGTCTTTGCCTGTTCTCTCTACCTGTGATTCCACATGGCTTTATATAGGAAACAAGAGAGGCTTATTTCACCCAAAATATCCTAGGTATTTTTTTATCCTCGATATTGCCAGATAAAGAAATTATAGAAAGAAGGCAGAGCATATCATTGTGTTGAAAGAAAAGTAAGGAACTCTAGTTATATCAACATTACCCAATGTCACCTGGTTACATTAAAAAGTTCTGAATAAACAGCTTGAGGGGAAAAAGACATTTTCTTTTTCTGAGTTAATATGTCTCTGTGCTGTAGTCTGGGCATCTTTTCAACTTTCCTTTGTTGACTTGGCTGTTTTTGGATTGGAGGCTTCTTTTTCTTATCTGTGTGGAGGAATGCTTTTCTAACTAGAGCCTGATGATTTTGCTGAGATGACAAGGCTTGTGTGGGTTTACCACAGAACACAAAAGGCCGTGTAGCCCAAAAAGAACTGAAATATGTTCTCTAATACCCAAGGGCTTACCAAATGTGGAGGTAACATTCACATTCCAACATGAGGAGCTGCCACACCACCTCTCCTGGCTCTATTACCTCTGGTGGCAATCTCATCCCTCCTCGAATCGTCAACCCTTCTGGCCAAGGGTCGGGTACACATTCAGCCAAGTGCTGTGATGGACACTCTTTCCTTTGGAGAGAGCATGATCAAGATGTGAAGGAGCTGCATGTGTTACTGACTGTGCTTCCAAACCACCACTGCTGTTCAGGGCATTGCATTTCTCCTATATGTAAAACCTTCCCTAGATTCCAAACTTGATGAGTCAAGACCTGATAGAGAGAAGAGAAGAGAAGAGAGAGAGCAGAGAGAACCAGATAAGTGGATGAAAGATGTAAGAGAAGCACAGTCATTGGGAGATTTCTGCTGTGGAGGGGAGAAGACTTTTATTATAATAATATTATAAACAATAGTTACTCTATGAGGTAATGTATTCACTGCAGGTAATAGAAAATTAGACTAACATTGGCTTAATGAGGTCAGGATTTATTTTCCCCACACAATATAAAATCTAAAGGAAGTCAGGCCTCCACAGGGTCTTGCAGGACTGGGGCTCTGTCTGGCCTACTTTTCTCAATGTGTCATCCTCATGTTCGTCCTCTCATGGTCACAAGATGATTGCTGCACCTCCAACCTGCATTCCAGTCAAGTGGCAAAGTGACCAAGAGGCTACTAGCAAGGCTTTTCCTTTTTATGGGAAAAGATCTTCTTCGAGGAATTCCTACCCATATCCCTTTGGCCAGAACTGAGTCATGTGGTAATCCTTATGTGCAGGAGAGACTCAGAGCTTGGGAATTCACTATTCTAGCCTCCGTGGTAGAGATTACCCCAGAAGAGAGAAAGTGATGGTAATGGATTCTGGATTAACCATTATGAGTCAAGCCCAAATTATCACATAATCAAAGGAAAATAATACATCTAAGCACCAAACTACAAAAAGCTAAACAGCAGTTTAAAAATGATCAAAGATTATGCAGCCAGAGGCAGCAACATCAGCCAATAAAGGTAACACCAACCAAAAGCGATTGACCAACACTAAAGTGCTTTAGACTTGCTTGGCTTTCATTTAGCATCTCATGAAGTATTTCTTCTCTTATATCGTTGAAGACAAACAGAAAAAAAATATTTTAGAATTAACACAGAGTATTTTTTCTCCTGGGATGTTAGAGGAACACATGCCTGCCTGAGTCTCCCTGGCACTGTGACTATGCTCCTTTGGTCTGGGGCAAAGCTTCTAGTAGCAAAGGTTGAAGACACCATGGAGCTGGGATTGTAACTGGAAAACATGACAAGGATAGGGAGTTAGTCAAGAACAGGAGCAGGGGTCAGGCACAGTGGCTCATACCTGTAATCCCAGCACTTTGGGAGGCCGAGGCGGGTGGATCGCCTGAGGTCAGGAGTTTGAGACCAGCCTGTCCAACATAGTGATACCCCATCTCTACTAAAAATGCAAAAAATTAGCTGGACATGATGGTGGGCGCCTGTAATCCCAGATACTCGGGAGGCTGAGTCAGGAGAATCCCTTAAACCTGGGAGGTGGAGGTTGCAGTGAGCCAAGATCGCACCATTGCACTCCAGCCTGGGCAACAAGAGCAAAACTCCATCTCAAAAAAAAAAAACAAAAACAAACAAACACAAAACAAAACAAACAAACAGAAAAGAACAGTAGCAGGCAGAATTTGTGTATTTTTCTCATTTTTCCTTCCTCTCTGGCACCTGATTAACATTTAGCCTTCAAGTTGAAGCTAAATCATCACCGCTTGCTTGGAGTCTATTGTACCTCCTGGGTGCACACATCACAGAGTTACATCCATTCCCGCAATAAACAATTACTTAGAAGCCACCATGTTCCAAATTCTGCCATAAACCCTGGGTTTAGGACAGTTCAACCTCTGCTGTCTAGAGTAGCACTACCCAAGAGACATATAATAGGAGCCCCATAGGTAATTTAAAGTTTTCTGTTATTTACATTTAAAAATAAACAGGTAAAATTAATTTTAATAATAGATTTGATTTAAACCAGTATATGCAAAATATTACTATTTTGACACAATTGTTATGACATATAAAAATTATTAGTGAGATATGTTATACTCTTTTTTTCATACTGCCTCCAAAATCCAGTGTGTATTTTAACATAGCACACCTCAATTTGAACCAACCACATTTCAAGTAGTCAGTAGCCACATGGGTGAGTGGCTGCTATGTCAGACGATGTTGCTCTAGAGCTTACAGACTATAAATAATGATTTATTATAAAACGTGCTTAAATTCTTTGTAGATTCTGGATGTTAGCCCTTTGTCAGAAGGATAGATTGCAAAAATTTGTAACAAAACTTCATGTTCTACACATGCACCCCAGAACTTAAAGTAAAATAAATAAGTAAATAAATAAATAAATAAACATGCTAACTATGCCTAATAAATGTCTAATTTATGCAGCTCACATCATTTGGGAATGGGGAAGCAGTCTCATTGAGGAAAGGTAGTGGCTTCTCTAGTCAGTTCTCCATATGAAGTCATTTGTCTCAGTGATTTCTCCATTACCCAGAGTCTAGATCTCAGCCACACGGGTTTAGAAAAACTTGATTTATTCAAAGTCCTAAAGTTTATTTACTTCGCAATACTGGCCTCTCACAACAGAAATCTGAGAGACCGGTGTATTAGAAATGAGAATCCTGGGCCGGGCGCGGTGGCTCACGCCTGTAATCCCTGCACTTTGGGAGGCAGAGGCGGGCGGATCACGAGGTCAGGAGATTGAGACCATCCTGGCTAACACAGTGAAACCCCATCTCTACTAAAAATACAAAAAATTAGCCGGGCGTGGTGGCGGGCACCTGTAGTCCCAGCTACTCGGGAGGCTGAGGCAGGAGAATGGCCTGAACCCAGGAGGCGAGCTTGCAGTGAGCCGAGATTGTGCCACTGTACTCCAGCCTGGGCGACACAGCAAGACTCTGTCTCAAAAAAAAAAAAAAAAAAAAAAAAAGAAATGAGAATCCTGGTTCATTTGTGATGAAACATGTCTGTGCATTTGTATTATCTCCACAGACCAGGGTTTGGCTACCCTGACCTGTGAGACAAATGCAGCCCCCCACCTGTTTTTGTACAGCCACAAATTCACAGTGGTTTTTGCATTTTTACATTTAAAATGAAAGAAGTCAAAAGAAGAATAAAATTTTTTGATGAAAATTGTACAAAATTCAAATGTCATTGTCTATAAATAAAGTTTTACTGGAACACAGCCATACTCATTCATTTAAGTATTATCTATAACTGCTTTTGTGCTGCAATAGCAAAGTTGAATAGTTACAACAGAGACCATATGGCCCACAAAGCCTAAAATATTTACTATCTTGCCCATTACAGAAAATGTTTGCCAAACCCATGTTATGTATGTGAATCACTTGAGGAGCTTTAGAGATGTACAACTATTCAGCACTACTCTCAAGTAATTCAGATTTAATTAGTCTCTGGTGAGGCCTAAGTATCAGTATTTAAAAAAAAAAAAAATTGAATGCTGTAGCCAATCTATGTAGGAAGCCAAAGTAACCAGAAGGTTGTGTGGAAATCATGGATGCAGAACAAAGAGAATCAAGAAAGTAACTTGAGTACCCGTCCTCCCAGTCCATGCCTGTCAGCATACAGGCCACTTGAGTCAGCATGCCAAGGCACATTCTTCTGAGTCAGCACTCATCCCTGTTCCTATTCACCTCTGTGACCTTGATGTTCCTACATTTCCAAACTTAATCAGCTCCTCTATTGATTGGCACATTCTTCCTGTGCATTCACCAGTTAATCCTGCCTTATCAGCCTGAGGGCCAATCTGTCTCTCTAACATGATTTTGTTTATGTCTGTTCTGAGTCACTATGTGCTGCTTTAATAGGTTTCTTAAGACCAATCTGATTTTTCTGTTTTGTTGTTTTCCAAAATGTTTCCTGGTTGCCTCAGTGCCCGTGCCTTAGACAACTTACATTCCAATTGCTGCTTTTCTTGGGTATCTGCATTTCCAGCCTGACATCAACTAGTCACTTAAGTGTTTGGTGGATGGGCTCATTGGTAGCTGAATAAGTGAACGGATGAATGAGTGGGGAAGAAAAGTGGGGAAAAAAATACAGGAGGAATTTTGTAGACTATGTATTGTGAGTATAGTGAATTTTAATGCTCTAGAGCTTACAGACTATAAATAATGATTTATTATAAAATGTGCTAACAAACCAGAATGTCCAGATTCAAATCCTGACTCTGCTACTTTCCCTGGAAAGCCCCATGGGAAGATCCCTTTGCCTGTATTAACAAGACTTTGGATATCTGTAAGATGGGAAGAGTTACACATACTTCACAGAATAGTATGCGGATGACTTATCAAATACAGTAGCACCTACTCCAATGCCTGACTCATAACAGCTTCTAAATAGAAAGTTTCATTCTTCTTCCTTCTGTTTAGCTAAGGCATCCTTTCACACTTAAAAGGGCCTGAATTGTTTATAGTTAAAAATAGTTTGCTGTCTTATTTATTATACTATACAGCAGATAGCAGTATTATTAAAGAGAACTTGGTAAAAATATTTTATTGTTTGAACAAATAGTTTATAACAATTTTTCAAATAATTCTGGATTCTATAATTCTATATTAACCTTATAGTTTGATGCCATGGTACTAATAATGGAATTTTTACAATAACAGTATCATATACCTATTCATTTGTAGTCCATGTCTTTTTTTGTATAAGATGAAATTTTATTTTTTCTTCAAAGGCTTTTTAAGTTTTAAGGTAGGATATTACTTAATTTGAACCCATGTCTTATATTTTATATCCTTAGGAAAAACATAGGCCATCCTAAAAACCTTGTCCTTTCTTATTTGTTGGTTTCTCAATAGCTGTAGGTATTGAAGGATTAAAAGTTTTCGACCCTAGCTTCACATTAGAAATCCCAGAGGAGATACTTTTAACCTTTAAATACCAATGCCAAGCCCCAGTCCAAACCATACTTTCTGATGGTGGAGCCAAAGGCATTATCTGTTTTCAGTCTTCCAGATGATACCAATGTGTAGCCAAAGTTGGGAGCTACTAATCTAAACCCACCCTCCATGGTTTTTGTTCATGTGTATGTGTGTGTGTGTGTGTGTGTGTTGAGACAGTCTTGCTCTGTCGCCTAGGATGGAGGGCAGTGGCATAAACTTGGCTCACTGCAACCTCCGCCTCTAGGTTCAAGGGATTCTTGTGCCTCAGCCTCCTGAGTAGCTGAGATCACAGGAGCCCGCCACCACACCTGGCTAATCCACCCTCTATGTTTAACATATGAGATGAAATGAAGTACAGAGGTGAAACGATTGGCTCAAAGCCCTTCAGCTTAACTGAAACTGAAACTCAGGTGTTTTACCTCAGACCAGTGTTTCAGGCTAATCCTAAACCAAGAATTTTAGGACATACAGTTTTCTTGATACATACAAAAACTTCACTGTAAGGAATATTTTTCAGTTAATTTAAATATAACTTATATAGAGAAAGGAAATATAACTTGTTATAGAAAGAGTATCAGTGATAGAAGAATTAAGTATACTTCATGTGTTAGATGTGGTGACTTATTCATCATTAGGTATGTTTTGTGAGGTAGACATTATCATTTATAAATTTCATATATTTTAAATGAGGAAACTGATACACAAAGAGATCAATAGACTTGTATTAGGTCACACAGCTGGTGAGTGGCAAAGTCAGGAAAGGAACTCAAAACATAGGACACTTAGTCCCACCTTTCTTTTCCCTTCCTAAAAATAGAACCCTATATTTGTAAAATATAATTTTTGTTTTGTTTTCCTTTTGGAGGCCGAGTGGAAAGGACCTCTTGGATAGGAGTGGTGAACAAAATGCACTTACGTTTCACAAAGGACCATTTTATAATTAACTTGGATGGGGCCCAGTGCGAGAGAACAGAAGAATAGTATTGAGATGAGGGGATCCTGCAGCGTCCAAATAGAATTAGAACTAGACGCCACTTGTCAAGATAAATGTTTGACAAAACGGGCATGTCTCTCCAGAATTCATTAAAATGTTGTTTTAAATATTAACAATTTCTTAAAGCAATGCTGTTGATGCTTAAGAAGTTATACTAACAAGTTTTTCTTTATTCTTCCTTGGTCCAGCTCTTTTGTGCTCTATAGAATGACTGTAATCACAAAATAAGCTCCCAAAGTAGTGAAAGTTCCTCAATATAAATGATAAGGCCACTAAAGCCCAGAGAAGCCATATCCAACATCACTTGAGCTAGAATGCAATGAAGATGAATTTAGTAGCTAATTCAATTTGACATCAAGTTGAGCTACAGATTAAATATAGAAAAATAGCCAGGCACAGAAAGACAAACTTCGCATGTTCTCACTTATTTGTAGGGACTAAAAAGTAAAACAATTGTACTCATGGAGATAGAGAATAAAAGGATAGTTACCAGAGGCTGGAAAGGGTAGTGATGGGTGCGGTTCTTCACAGAGAAGTGGGGATGGTTAATGGGTACAAAAAAATCACTAGAAATAATGAATAAGACCTAGTGTTTGTTAGTGCAACAGGGTGACTATGGTAAAAAATAATTTTATTGTACATTTAAAAATAACTAAAATAACATGATCAGATTGTTTGTAACACAAAGAATAAATGCTTAAGGGGATGGATATCCCCTAAATAAATAAATGTAGGAAAAACTTGGATAAATGTTTCTATTAGGGAAAAATAAAGTCATTTAGAACATTAAGGACATTAAAAGAATAAAGTACACGGTATTAAACTTGAAGATAAAAAAACAGAGTTTTTAGGTCCAAAGAATTATATTCAGTGTTTGTTTATTCAACAAAGGGTTTTTGTTTGTTTGTTGTTTTGTTTTGTTTTGTTTGTTTTTAGTATGTGCCAGAAATGGTCCTGGGTCTGGAGGTAACAATGGCACACATGGGGGGAAATCATCAATAAACAGTCAATAAGTCAATAAACAAGATCATCGCATCTTTGTAAGTGCTCTGAAGAAAATAAACAGGATGTGGTCTTGGAAAGTGGATGAGAATGGCTTCTTCCGTAGAGAAGCTGCGAGGCCTCTCGGGAGAAGCAGCATTTGAGGTAAGATCTGAAAGCTGAGAAAGAGCCAGCCACAGGAGGAGCTAAATGCCTGAGACAGCAGCTATGCATATGAGAGCAATAGAAAAGAGGCCAAAGTGTGCTGTAATGTATGTCCATGTACTCACACATGCATATCCACACGTGTGTGCATGTGCGCACTGAATGATGACAAAATGTGAACATCAGCTAGACTAGTATCCAGAAATCAGGATAGGTAAATTCCCTTGACATCATATTTTGAAGTGTTCTAACTCCCTTTTCTCCTACCCAATGCCCTCCCCCTCACCCCAAGCACACACATGGAACTTGGGAAAACATTAAAAATATTGACTTCCAGAAAGGTACATTACATCTTTATCTCTAGTTCAGGATGTCATATCAAATGACTCCTGCCTATGCCTGGTTGGTGGATTACTTTTGTAAATTCAACTATTTGGAAACCACTAGTTTTCAAAAGACTAATGTGCAGCAAAAGAAAATGTCTAAGCCTGTTTTGTGCTGCTGTCACAGAATACTTGAGACTGGGTGACGTATAGAGAACAGAAATTTATTGTTTCACAGTTGTGAAAGCTGTGAAGCCCAAGATTGAAGGACCATGTCTAGTGAGGGCTTTCTTTCTCTGTCATAATATGTTGGAAGGCATCACGTACCAAGAGAGCCCGCAGGAGAGATGGAAGGGGCCAAACTCATCCTTCATAAGGATGCCACTTCTCTGATAACAGCATTAATCCATGTGAGGGCAGAGCCCCTATGACTTAATCAACTCCTAAGGTGCTGCTGTCAACACTATTGCATTGGAGATTAAGTTTTCAACACATGAACTTTGGGGGACACAATCAAGCCATAGCAGCCAGCCACTATATTTTCATGGAAAGAAAACATATTGAGACTCCCACAAAGTAAACTTCTTTGGATGCCATGAGTGTAAAATCTTGATTTGAGCTTCATTTCATAGCCATGGTGGCAAATCAAATTGTTAAATATATTTGTGAGTCTATAATTATGGAGAAAGTCATTGTCTCATAATATATTCCAAAAATGTTTAAATATTTGTTTGTCCTCTTCTTTTTTCAGTGTCTCATAGTCTTTCTCTTTTACCATGCCCATTTATTTCTTGACATCACCATTCATGAACCTTCCCAACATGGTTTTAAGTTCAAGCTTCTTGTTTTTTCTGCTTTGGTAGGATCTTGCTATACCATTCTCTTGCCCTTCGAAGCACAATAAAGCCAATAATAGAGACATCTTCTTGTATCAGCATTTTGGAATCAATATTTTCATAGGTCTTTTACAGTTAAATCAGCTCTTGGATAAAGTGGAACTTTAAGAAAGTCTGGACTTTAAAATGACTATATTCTGGTAATCACAAAGTCATAAAACAGAGCATTTCAGTGACGATGGGTCATGTTTTTTCAGTCTTAATTTAGAATTTTTTTCAACTGACTTTGAGTTGCTGTTACAATTCAACCTGCCTCTGGTGTTTTATATGCCTTAAAATTTGTGGCTACTGTATAATAACCAGGAAAGCGTAGCTACAGGGTTCCAATTACTTTGGCAAAGGAGCCTTATTACATTGTCTCCAACTAAGCACATAATTAATGTCTCTATTTCAAGGCTATTTCAGCAAATTCAAAACCCAGAATCTATCCATACATATTTAGGGATGCATGGGAACACTTGTGATGTCTTCATTGCAGCAGACAGTAATACCAGAGGAATTTTTGGAAGAATATGGAATACTTTATCATGGGTTGCAAATATTTTAAAGATGTGGTTTGAAATTAAACATGTTGTTCTAAAAAGTCTCCATGGGAATAGAATGTAATAGAATTACCCACCTCCTGGGAGAGTTTTTTTATGGGTGAGACATTTTCAGATTGTTACAACGTCTGAGCAGGCATTATATGGCAAGAGAGCACATAGGAGATACATATCTGTCTACAGTGCGTAGGGCATTTGCACCTTGAGTATCCTGCTGGACAGTTATGTAGGTAAAAAGCCTGTTTGTAATCATCTGAACTTAAGCTTATCTCCATTTTGCAAATAAACACAAAGTATTTTTGCACAATCTTAATACTCACTGAATTTTGCAGAAATGCAGCTACCATATACATGAAGAGAATATTGTGGTTAGTTTTGTTCGGAACTTTACCAAGAATTGGTCACCATTTCAAAAAAAAATCACACCATTGATGGCAGCACAGCTTGTGGCATTTGAGTTGCCAATAAAACATGCCCATATTATTATACATTTGCAGCAGTTGCAGTTGCGAGGATTCTGCATTTAGGTGCCACCATCCAACAATTTAATTATATTTTGTAATCAAGCAGATCATGCCCAAACATTTACCTATAGAAATACATTTTTGTCATGAATTCCTCTTCTTATTTTTCCCCTTATATTATGGGGGAGTTGGCATTTTGTATTTAGGCAAATTATTTTATTCATTAATTTCTTTTCAGAATACTAGAGGGACATTTAATTATATTATCAAAGGAGAGTTAGGTGAGATAAGATCAAGAACAATTCTGAAATATATCACTCCTCCAAGAAAAAGGGGGATGTGGTGCCTGCGCACACATGTGCCCTTCAATGCGAAGAAAGAAGCAGGAAACGGAGATGGGAGAATTGGCCTTGATTTCAGCTCTTATTGAGTGTCAGGCCCTGTGCCCAGCCTTTCAAATGCATGATCTCATTTTTTGTGCATAGTGCTGAGAAATGCCATGTGTGCTTTGAATCCTGTAGCCCCAGAGTGCCACACTGGGAGCTGACTGCTTGACATTCGGAGATCAGAGAATGAGAGGAAATGAGTATATGAATATTCTTGACATTGCTGGAGTGTTAGAATTATTTAAAAGTTCTGTTAAATAAGTGACAGTCTCAGAGCCTGATGTATGGTAGTTAATGAAATTTTCACAAAGAAGTATTATCATAAAATTCGAAGAAAATCATAGTAGCTGCGCACACAAATTCACATGCATATGAATGTCAGTGCACGTTGGTGCATTCATGCTTCCTATTTATAGCTTTCGGGACACATCCGAAAGTGATAAATGAACATTGAAATGCTACACATATGTTTATATCCACTTTTAGCTATGGGGTTGTCTCAAAATGTGGTATCTCCACTGAGCCAAATCCCAGGCATTTAGAAAGTACGAAAAATTTAAAACTTTAAAGTGAACCAAAGAGGAGAGAGAAAAAAAAAAAAATCCTAAAACTGAGAGATATGGCAATCATAAACCTGGCACCAAATTACTTTTTAAAGTACAGTATGAAAAATGAAATGTGTCAGAATTGGTTACTAATACTTCTTTGTTGGCTAATTGTCATTTTTCAAGTGTTGGCTAATTGTCATTTTTAAAGACTGATAAAAGAGGACCTTTCCGATACACAGATATCATGGCATTTTTAAGCCTTGAGGTTAATTTTACTATATATAACATTTCAGGGGTGCAAATGTAAACATTATAATTTCAGATAAGGGACAGATTGCTTTCTTTTAAAAATGCCCAGGTAAAGCTAAAGGTTAGCACTTAATGAGGGGTGTATGTCTGTTCATCTCTTTTTTTATTGACCCGAATATTGCTGTAAGAAGAAATAAAACAAAGCAAGAGACCAAGTTCAGAGGAGAGAGTACCTGTGCTGAAAAGATGGCGTTTTGCAACCACTGCAATAAAATGAAAATGACTAGAATTTTGAAAACCTTTTTCTTAAGTTTCATTTGGTTGCAAGTTACAGAAACCCAAATAAAACTGATTTAAGCAAAAAACAAAATGTTAGGTCACCTGACTAAGAAGTCCAAGGGTATTGCTTGCTTCAGGCATAGCTAGATACAAGGAATTGAATTTTGTTAAGTTGTCTATCTCTCTTGCCATCTCTTGACTCTGCTCTGTCTCATCTGAATTGACTTCTGTCTAGGTAGATGCTTCCGACATGTTGGTGGACAGAAGCATAATATCTAAATTATTCTAATCCGAGCAAAACAAAACTTTCTTTTTCCAAAAATTAAAAAAAGGGGGGAGTGCGTGTCTTATTGAACCAACTTGGGTCACATGCCAATGAAGCAAATACTGTGGGCTGGGGCATGAATTATGCTGATTGCCAGGCCAAGGTTATGTGTCTCTAAGATAGGAGCAGAGAGGTGTCAGCCCCATCAGAACCTGAACCAAATGCACTGATACCACAGGAGATGAGATTCTATACCCTCCAATTGCTAGTGGCCCAACCCAAGAGGGAGCAGTCAGATATTGCAAAAATTTGTATTGCATATATTATAGTAACATAAATTTTAATTTTGTACATATCCCTCTTGAGATGCAAGAATGCATAGTTAGAGAATAACTGAATTTCAAAACTGAAAAAGATCTTGTAAGTTATGTAGTTGAACATTATCAATTTAAATATCTTTTGAGAATTCACTCATCTTTAAATTGAGTCTTGCTAATTGCAAAAACTGGTTATTGTATAGCAGTGCAAAATACTAGGTGGGAGTAATATAACATATGAATCAGAATTGTATTAAAAGCATTTGTTGTATATCCCAAAGATATTTTAGGAGTCACTCACTGATGTGAACTACAGGGATTATTACCAAAAGTTTACACAAAAATTGTTTTAATCTGATTTTCCCCATCCCAGCTATGTTATCACTTCTAAAGTCTCTATTATTATCATGACTTTTTACTCAGTTTAAAACGTTCATTGAAAAGTAATTCTAACTTCTTTTTGTATATATATATATATGTTCCTCTGCTCACTATTTCTCCTAATTATTACAGACAAGGACAACTGGTGTGCCCTGTTTACTAGGAAAAAACAATCACTTCATAAATATACACCTTTCAGAAAATGTACACCTTTAAAAGAAATCCAAAGTGAACCCCAAATGTACAGTCACACACTCAAATCCAAATTCCAATAGCTCACACTAAATAGAGAAGTATTTATAATAGAAATGTATTTGTGTTTCTAATAACCAATGAGTATATGAATATTCATATTTGCCTATTATAGGCAAGTCATTATTAAATATAATTTATGGAAGCAGTTACAAAATATTAAATATATTTTGAAGTAATTGCCAAGTCCTTTGTACAAAGGAAGAGAAATTTGACCCAAACTAATAATCTCCCATTATTTGAGATTTTGTCATTGTCAGTTTGAGTTTACATTTGAAAATTATGTGACTGCCTGGAATCCCACTCCCAAGCCTGGACAATGATGTAGGTGTTGTATTTCAAAACTAGCCAGGACCACAGAGAGCTAAAGGAGCTCTTTTTTGCCTGCAACTGGTTACCTCAATTCATTAGAGCTGATAATGAGGCCAAGGCCAAGGCCAGGGCTATGACCTCTGTGAATGTCCTAAGCTCCCTGGATATGAGGCCACAGACCATAGCACTGTCCCTGTCCTTAAGGAGAATAAGATTCGAAGGATATGGACAGAGTAATGCAAAACACTCTCCAACATTATAAGGCCCTCTACATAGCATGCTATCCAGTGCTAGTGGCCAGACTCTTCATTCCAGAGTTATTCACATCATAAATGGGAATTATAAAATGATAGGAATCTTTGCTGACCCATGAAAGCTGATTTAAGGTTTCAACATAATTAGCTGTATTTGTGATATTAAGACAGTAATATTAAATTTTGCAAGAAATACTGATACAAAAAATTCCAAAGGTCAAAATTGAAATACAAATAGATACTATAATGGGATTAAAGGGCAAGAACATCTAATGGTGAATCTGTTCAATGAATATAATGAGATTATTCTCAGGCAGATGAGTCCCTAGCTTAAACAAGAAAATGAACTATGCAGAGCAGAGATATAATATTGCAACTTCTATGAACTCACTGCCTTTACGTTTTGTCAACACACATTAATTCTGATTTCTTTTAGGACAATCGAATTACTATGACAAGTATCAGCAAAGCTTCATGAACATAAATAAATTTTTATTTAATCCTAAATTTATCTGAACTAGCTAATTTATTCACTATTCCCGTTAGAACAGCATATCAAATAAAAACTCACAATGCCCATGAACTATAAAATTCTTTAATTTATCAAAATATTAAGTATAGGCCAGGTGTGATGGCTCATGCCTGTAGTCCCAGCACTTTGGGAGGCTGAGGTAGGCAGACTGCTTGAGCCCAGCCTGGGAACATGGCAAAAACCCATCTCTACAAAACATATGAAAAAATTAGCTGGGAATGTTGGCACGCACCTGTCATCCCAGCTATTCAGGAGGCTGAGGTGGGAGAACCACCTGAGCCCAGGAGGTCAAGGTTGCAGTGAGCAGTGATCACTCCACTGCACCCCAGCCTGGGCAACAGAATAAGACCCTGCCAAAAAAAAAAAAAAAAGTGTTTAGTATAAATACTGCTTGTTATAGTTACATTGACAAATACCCCTAACATGCTATCAGAGCTCAGCCATTAAGTTAATGTTATATTTAATAGGTTATTATAGTGATACTGTTTAGCCAATTGAGGTTTTAATTGTGTAAGTAGGATACATTACAAATTAAGAAACTTTATTGGATTTTTATAGAATAGTGGCTTAGTGCATGAGTTATAACATAGACTTATGATGTGAATAAACAACAAAATAAGATCAAATTTTGGCCAGTATTTTGAGCAGGAAAAAATCAACATATTAAATCATTGGGATATTATTTATAATTATTAAAAACTCATGAATTCTTAACTAGAATTATACCTTCTATATTCATTATTAGTTATGAATTAATTCTTAAATGGCTCAAATATGAATATCACCATGTGTAAGATGCTAAACCAGTCACTGAGGAAAAACAAATAAATGTGAAAATTGTTGACCTTTTTAAGGAATTTATGGCCTAGAATGTATGCAAGATATAAAATACTAAACAAGAAGCAATTTAAAGCACTCTGTGATACCCATGAGTGAACTGGGGTGTAAATCCTCTAATACTTAAAAAACAGAACACAGTCACTATGAGATTGTAGCTAGGTCTTCAGAGATTAATATACTTCATATTAGTAACATGTGCTTGAAAGTTCATGAGTATGTCCAGATACTTCTTATCTCAATATTTCCTTGGATGTAATTACTCTACTTCTTTGAAATATCTTTTAAGCTGGTATTATGGTTTGAAGGTATCCTGCAAAGTTTATGTGTTGGAAAGTTAATCCCCAACGCAACAATGTTGGGAGGGAGGGCCTAATATGAGGTGATTCAGTCATGAAGGCTCTGCTCTTAAATGGTTTAAAGTTGTTATGACAGAAGTGAGTTAGTCATCAGAAGAGTGGGTTTGTTATTCAAACGAGTTTGGTTCTCTCACTTGCATGTGCTCTCCTCCTCTTCTGCCTTCTGCCATGGGACAATGCAGCAAGAAAGCACTCACAAAACACAGGCCCCTTGGACTTCCCAGCCTCCAGAACTGTAAAAACTACATCTCCATTTTTTATAAATCACCCAGTCTCAGGTATTCTGTTACAGAAGCACAAAACAGACTAAGCTGTTATTTCCATTTCAAGCATTAGGTTTCACTTAGTGTAATACATAATTCATAAATGTGAATATTCTCAGTTAGGTGCACAGAATGGGATTGATCAAGCCCCCAGTTCATGGTACACAGACATTAATAGTCCTGAGATTGGCTTCCTTTTTATATAATACTTCATTTTAAAAATTGTATTTGTCTACCCTATCTCCTATTTTCAATCCCATTTTCCCTATTTGTGTATATTTAATGTAGGACTGTTCACTTAATTTTTAAATTTTTATGAATGCATATATATGTATATTTATATACATATATAAGACATATAATTATGTGTGGGATATGTTTTTAAATTTACAAACATTTAGTTATATAAATGGCAAAGAGTGGTGTATCAGCCAGGGTTCTCCAGAGAAACAACCAGTAAGATATTTTATTTATATAGAGAGACAGAGAGAGAAGAGAGACAGAGAGACAGATTGCTTTCAAGGAATTTGCTTGCTTACACAACTGTGGGGACTGGGAAGTCTGAAATCTGTAGGCAGGCCAGCAGACCGGAAACTCAGGCAGGAGCTGATGCTGTAGTCCTGCTGCCGAATTTCTAAAGGAACTCTTGGTTTTGCTCTTTAGTCCTTTTGGCCAATTGAATGAGGCCCATCCACCCTGTCAAGGTAATCTCCTTTGCTTAAAGTCAACTGATTGTAGATGTTAACCACATCTACAAAATGCCTTCACTGCAACAGCTCTATTATTATTTGATTACTGGGTACTACCATTTAGCCAAACTGACACATAAAACTTGTCCTCATACATGGCTTCTGGTTTCCTGTTCTGCTTAAGATTTCCCCCACTTCTTCAAGTAACTTTATTTTAATTTATAACTATACACCTAGCTTCAACAACAGAATACACTTGTGGACTTAGGTTGTATACCATTTCAACTCAAGAAAAAGAATCTGTATTTTCTACAGTCCAGTCTAGTAACATTTCTTTGAGATCAAACACGGAGGTTCCAGAGTTTGAATGTGAAATGAATACGATGGAGGCACTGAAACTGGTTCTTGGCATCATAGTCCTTAACTGTGGGACTGCCTGCAGTCCTGTTCTTGAATGAGAATTATAACCAGCCTTCCTTGAGCACATTCTGCATGCCATACCTTGGGCCAAGAGCTTTTTATGCACTTTAATTATTTCTCACAGCAACCTCATAAAACTCTTCCAAATAGTGTAACAGAGAATTAAATGTGTAGCCCTCCAGATGATACTGAAGAAGCATCAAGCTACTTTGAAAAAAATATATTTTAAATTTTATTTATTATATCATATGTTCTATTTACTATATTTTAAGGCCATTTAGAATAATTCAGACAGAGGAAAAAAATTTACTTTGATTACTAGTACCTTATTGTGTACTTTAAATCTGACTCTTGATAACCAGACTAATAATTATAAGAGAAAGCCTACCTTTATTCCCACTCCTATATCAGACTGTCTGAGTTACAATTTGAATTTCAAAGGTAATGCCACACACTTTTTATTGATAGGAATAGTTTCAGAAGGAATGGTACCAGTTCCTCCTTGTACCTCTGGTAGAATTCGGCTGTGAATCCATCTGGTCCTAGACTCTTTTTGGTTGGTAAGCTATTATTGCCACAATTTCAGAGCCTGTTATTGGTCTATTCAGAGATTCAATTTCTTCCTGGTTTAGTCTTGGGAGGGTGTATGTGTCGAGGAATTTATCCATTTCTTCTAGATTTTCTAGTTTATTTGCGTAGAGGTGTTTGTAGTATTCTCTGATGGTAGTTTGTATTTCTGTGGGATCGGTGGTGATATCCCCTTTATCAGTTTTTATTGCATCTATTTGATTCTTCTCTCTTTTCTTCTTTATTAGTCTTGCTAGCGGTCTATCAATTTTGTTGATCCTTTCAAAAAACCAGCTCCTGGATTCATTAATTTTTTGAAGGGTTTTCTGTGTCTCTATTTCCTTCAGTTCTGCTCTGATTTTAGTTATTCCTTGCCTCCTGCTAGCTTTTGAATGTGTTTGCTCTTGCTTTTCTAGTTCTTTTAATTGTGATGTTAGGGTGTCAATTTTGGATCTTTCCTGATTTCTCTTGTGGGCATTTAGTGCTATAAATTTCCCTCTAAACACTGCTTTGAATGTGTCCCAGAGATTCTGGTATGTTGTATCTTTGTTCTCATTGGTTTCAAAGAACATCTTTATTTCTGCCTTCATTTCGTTATGTACCCAGTAGTCATTCAGGAGCAGGTTGTTCAGTTTCCATGTAGTTGAGTGGTTTTGAGTGAGTTTCTTAATCCTGAGTTCTAGTTTGATTGCACTGTGGTCTGAGAGACAGTTTGTTATAATTTCTGTTCTTTTACATTTGCTGAGGAGAGCTTTACTTCCAACTATGTGGTCAATTTTGGGATAGGTGTGGTGTGGTGCTGAAAAAAATGTATATTCTGTTGATTTGGGGTGGAGAGTTCTGGAGATGTCTATTAGGTCCGCTTGGTGCAGAGCTGAGTTCAATTCCTGGGTATCCTTGTTAACTTTCTGTCTCGTTGATCTGTCTAATGTTGACAGTGGGGTGTTAAAGTCTCCCATTATTATTGTGTGGGAGTCTAAGTCTCTTTGTAGGTCACTCAGCACTTGCTTTATGAATCTGGGTGCTCCTGTATTGGGTGCATATATATTTAGGATAGTTAGCTCTTCTTGTTGAATTGATCCCTTTACCATTATGTAATGGCCTTCTTTGTCTCTTTTGATCTTTGTTGGTTTAAAGTCTGTTTTATCAGAGACTAGGATTGCAACCCCTGCCTTTTTTTGTTTTCCATTGGCTTGGTAGATCTTCCTCCATCCTTTTATTTTGAGCCTATGTGTGTCTCTGCACGTGAGATGGGTTTCCTGAATACAGCACACTGATGGGTCTTGACTCTTTATCCAATTTGCCAGTCTGTGTCTTTTAATTGGAGCATTTAGTCCATTTACATTTAAAGTTAATATTGTTATGTGTGAATTTGATCCTGTCATTATGACGTTAGCTGGTTATTTTGCTCGTTAGTTGATGCAGTTTCTTCCTAGCCTCGATGGTCTTTACAATTTGGCATGGTTTTGCAGTGGCTGGTACCGGTTGTTCCTTTCTATGTTTAGTGCTTCCTTCAGGAGCTCTTTTAGGGCAGGCCTGGTGGTGACAAAATCTCTCAGCATTTGCTTGTCTGTAAAGTATTTTATTTCTCCTTCACTTATGAAGCTTAGTTTGGCTGGATATGAAATTCTGGGTTGGAAATTCTTTTCTTTAAGAATGTTGAATATTGGTCCCCACTCTCTTCTGGCTTGTAGGGTTTCTGCCGAGAGATCCGCTGTTAGTCTGATGGGCTTCCCTTTGAGGGTAACCCGACCTTTCTCTCTGGCTGTCCTTAACATTTTTTCCTTCATTTCAACTTTGGTGAATCTGACAATTATGTGTCTTGGAGTTGCTCTTCTCAAGGAGTATCTTTGTGGCGTTCTCTGTATTTCCTGAATCTGAATGTTGGCCTGCCTTGCTAGATTGGGGAAGTTCTCCTGGATAATATCCTGCAGAGTGTTTTCCAACTTGGTTCCATTCTCCGCATCACTTTCAGGTACACCAATCAGACGTAGATTTGGTCTTTTCACATAGTCCCATATTTCTTGGAGGCTTTGTTCGTTTCTTTTTATTCTTTTTTCTCTAAACTTCCCTTCTCACTTCATTTCATTCATTTCATCTTCCATCACTGACCTCTCATTCTTTATGCAGCAAAACAATGGGAGCAATTTTAGGTCCCTCAAACATTTTTACAACAAAATAAACAATCCTCTTTTTACTTAATCTGCAGATAAAGTTAACCATTGACTCAGCTTTGTCCCTCATGTGGGCAAAGCAAAACCCAACCTCATATCGTTACTTTAACTTAGAAAGAATTCTGTTTGTGTTAGTTATAGTCTCATTTTGGTAACATAGATCGTAAGACATAATTCTGAAGATGAGCTTTTTGCACATTTCTGAATCAAAGTAGTTGGTTTAGAAAGAGCCCTGTAGTCTGCATAGAGGAATCCTCTTAAGGTCCAAGAACTCATGTCTCACCACCAGTTGAAAATAGAGCAGAGGCCTGAATTCAGAGCCCCCGGCCCTGACCCCAACTGCAGCCGAGACAATTACACTGCATTCTGGTCTTACTAGAGCTCAGCCTCATAGAACTTGTTCTTGTAAACTCTGTGCTCATATAAACATGCACCTCTGCATTGAACTTAAGGAATTATAACGTCATCATTGTATTGCCGTGACTGCCCCTATTTCCTTATGATTCTTCCACAGCCCTATCAACTCCTAGGCTGCATCACTGTTAAAGTTTCCTGAGATAATCAGGAAGATTTTCTAAGAGATTGCACCAGGACATTTGTTCAGGCCTCTAATATCAGAACCTTACTTGTTTCTTGAGGCAACCATGGAGTTCAGTCTCAGACCAACCACAATCAATAATTGTCTTAGACACAATCTTTGTTCCTATATTCCCACTGATTCTCCTTGTTTTAAAAGAAACAATTTCAGAAGTGAAGAGGGGCATGCAATGCCACGTACACGTTCATTCTCACCATTTTAATTTTTGCATATAAAAACCTGCATAATAGACTCAACAAAAATCTGGGCTGCGAACAGATAGTTAATGGGAGAAAAGTCACCTCACTGCCTCATTGCTAACTACTAAGAGCCATGCCTCCCAAAGTCTTGTATGAGAATTGCCAAACATATAAATTTCTCCAAGGACCTTAGTTCTCACAGGCTTTTCTGAAAGTTTATGCTTAATGGTTTTCATTTCCAAAAGTAGAGCTTATACCAGCTAGTTCTGCACAATGTGTCCACACCAGAATATTCCCTACAGGCACTGGATCTGTCCTATAAATTAGTCTTTATCAGATTTCTTCTCAGAACTCTGGAGGTTTGGCGACATTGTATAAGTACTTTAATTGTTATGTAGTTTTGAGAAAAAGAAAAAATACTCCTAATATGTTCACAAATCATCACCCTAGAAAGTATTAGACCTACTTGTTGCTGTCAGATACTTTTTAGTTCGTTGGTTCTTTGACTAAATACTTAATATCATGATCTTCCTCATCTTTTTAATTTTCCTGAAGTGGCTTTTCAGATATTCCCCTAAGATAGGTTCTTCTAAACTGTTATAAATAATACTTTTGTTTGTGAGTAATATAAGCCCAATAATCTTCCTTTGAATAACTTAATAGCTATAAATAGATGCATTTCAGGAGATAAAATAAAGCATAGCAAATTATAAAACATAGACTCTTGAATATAAGCTTGAATATATAAATATAGATTGATATAAACTTGTGCATTTATATAAACTTACATGTCACCATTCTGACTTTTTTGAGAAATGCTTTACAGTATACTTTTTAATGTTAAATTTTTGTGAGTACATAGTTGGTTGCTACATTTATAGGGCATACAAGGCATGATAATCACATCACCTCAAGCATTTATTCATTGTGTTAAAATAATCCAATTATACTCCTTTCATTATTTTTAAATATCCAATAAATTACTGTTGACTGTAGTCACCCTGTTGTGCTATCAAATAATAGGTTTTATTTATTCTATCTAACTATATGTTTGTACCCATTAACCATCCCCACTACCCCCACCCCTCCACTGCCCTTCCCTAGTCTCTAATAACCATTGTTCCATTCTCTATCTCCTTAAGTTCAATTGTTTTGATTTTTAGATCCCACAAATAAGTGAGAACCTGTGATGCTTGTCTTTATGTGCCTGGCTCATTTCATTTAACATAATGACTCTAGTTCCATCTATGTTGTTGCAAATGACAGAATCTCACTCTTCTTTATAGCCCGGTAGTACTCTATAGTGTGCCATGTTCTATTTATCCACTCATCTGACAATGGACACAGATTGCTTCCAAATCTTGGCTGTTATGAATAGTGTGCAATAAACATGGGAGTGCAGATATCTCTTCAGTATACTGATTTCCTTTCTTTTGGGTCCATACCAGCAATGGGTTGCTGAATCATATGGTAGCTCTATTTGTAGTTTTTTGAGGAACCTCCAACTGTTCTCCATAGTGATTGTACTGATTTGTATTCCCACTAACAGTATACAAGGGTTTTTCCCTTTATTCCACATTCTCACCAGCATTTGCTATTGCCTGTCTTTTGGATAAAAGTGATTTTAACTGGAGTGAGTTAATATCTCATTATAGTTTTGATTTGCATTTCTCTAATAACCAGTGATTTGAACACCTTTTTCATATACCTGTTTGCAATTTGTATGTCTTCTTTTGAGAAATGTCCATTCAGATTTTTGCCCGTTTTAAAATCAGATTATTGGATTTTTTTCTGTAGAGTTGTCTGAGCTTCTTACATATTCTGATTATTAATCCCTTGTCAGATGGATAGTTTGAAAATATTTTCTCCCATTCTGTGGGTTGTCTCTTCACTTTGTTGATTGTTTCCCTTGCTGTGCAGAAGCTTTTTAACTTGATGTGATCCCATTTGTCCATTTTTGCTTTGATTGCCTGTACTTGTAAGATATTACTGAAGAAATCTTTGCCCACTCCAATGTCCTGGAGAGTCTCTCCAATGTTTTCTTGTAGTAGTTTCATAGTTTGGGGTCTTAGACTTAAGCGTTTAACGGATTCTGATTTGATTTTCACATATAGCAGGAGACAGGGGTCTATTTTCATTCTTCTGCATATGGAAGCTTCCCAGCACCATTTATTGAAGAGACTATCCTTTCCCTAACATATCTTCTTGGCACTTCTATTGAAAAATGAGTTCACTGTAGATATATAGATATATGGATTTGTTTCTGGGTTCTCTATTCTGTTCCATTGATCTATGTGTCTGTTTTTATGCCATTACCATGCTGTTTGGGTTACTATACCTCTGTGGTACAATTTGAAGCCAGCTAATGTGATTCCTCCAGTTTTGTTCTTTTTGCCCAGAATAACTTCAGCTATTCTGGGTCTTTTGTGATTCCATATAAATTTTAGAATTGTTCTTTCTATTTCTGTGAAGAATGTAATTAGTATTTTGATAGGGATTGCACTGAATCTGTAGACTGCTTTAAGTAGCATGAATATTTTAACAGTATTGATTCCCCACCTATGGACATGGAATATCTTTCTGTTTTATTGTTTCCTCTTCAATTTCCTTTATCAGTGTTTTATAATTTTCATCGTAGAACTCTTTCAATTCTTTGGTTAATTCCTAGGTGTTTTATTTTATTTGTAGCTGTTGTAAATGGGATCACTTCCATGATTTCTTTTTCAGATTGTTTGCTGTTGGCATATAAAAGTGCTTCATAGTGTACTTTACTTCATGGTGCCCGAAATCTGCTGAGAGGCAACTGGTGACAGAGACCTGAAGAAAGTGGAGCCCAGAAATGTCTTGGATTTTGACTTTATCTCTTTCTTTGATGGTCTTTCATGATGCTAAACAAGTCCTGTGTGCTTAGATAGAAACTGAAGCTTGTGAGAATGTTTTCTCTTTTACCTGGGGTGGATTGGGATCCTCACCATACAGCATTAATTTCTTAACGATATATATAATCATAGAAGACAATAGAGGCATCATTCCAGACAATATTTTTAAAGCCATTTGGCACAAGAAATAAGACAAGCAAAAATCCAAAAAGTGACAAAAGCTCTACCCAATGAGGGGGTCAGTCCCATCTAAGTAATGCAAAAATGGGATTGGCTTGAGGAAGTAGGAATGGGAACCCAGTACTGAAGTTATAGGCCAAATCAAAAGATGGGAAATCTAGAAGACATATTTCTTCAAAAAGATAACATAAAGTGCTTAGGGTCAGTTCAACAAAAGCCTTAAGGATCAAACCTGAAGAGACAAAAAATAGCAACAGACGAAGTAAGGCAATAAGCAGAGAATCATAATACTTACACAACCTCAAGAGGTTCTCTTGATATGACCTGCTGAGAAATAAAATATTATCTGAAAATTGCAAGACTCCAAGATGTTGGCCCAATATTCCTATTATTAAGGAATTAAATGTGTCTTCTGCATTTCCCATATTTTGATTTGGCTTGTAACTGCAGTACTGAGTTCCCATTCCTACTTCCTCAAGCCAAACCCGTTTTTGCTCCTTGCATGGTAAACCACTGGACTGAAGCTCATTAAGCCTTCCTTTCAAATTTTATTTATTAATTTTCAGTTTCGTTTTTCTCCCATATGAGAATAAGATCGACAAACAGCTTTACAGTTTGAAAAACTTCTTTCTATAAACAATAAACATTCAGTTTTATAAGCAGCCTTTGTCTCTGTTACTATTTATTATGTATATGTTGCATTTCTCATGGACATTTGTCAATGAGAATTTTTAATCTCTGTGGTAAGGTGTTTTCTTCCATTTATTTATTTATTTATGCATTTATGTGTTTATGCATTTGTTTATTTTGATGTCAGGAAGCCCTACAATTTAGTTGACTTATTTAATCATTCAAGAGAATAATATTGAAACAGTGAATTTTGATAGCATCATGTCTGGGTTCAATTATTAGCTACATCTTGCTAATCTGTATAATAGTCATACCATAGGGCTTAGTTAATTGTAAATACTCAATAAATTTTTATTTTTAACCTCACCATGTTTACTTAGTATTTATTATGAAAATAACAATATAATAGTTATTTCAAAAGTAATTGATTGATTTATGCAATAATTATCTTTACTTTCAAGAGGGTTAAATTCTATTAAATTATAAATGATACATTTAATTATCATCTAAAATCAACAGCATCTTTTACTGTTTAGAAATTATTTCTCTACTTAGTATCAGGATCTCTCCTGTCCTGATGATTATTATCATTATTATTTGTTTTAGTGACAGAGTTTTGCTCCATCACCCAGGCTGGAGTGTGGTGATCCAATCACAGCTCACTGCAGCCTCAAACCCCTGAACTCAAGGGATCCTTTGCCTCAGCCTCCTAAGTAACTAGGACTAAAGGCATGCACTACTATCCCTGGCTAATTTTTTTTAAAAATATTTTGTAGAGACAGGGTCTCAATATGTTGCCCAGGCTGATCTTAAACTCCTGACCTCAAGCAATCCTCCCACCTAGGCCTCCTAAAGTGTGCGCCTCCACACCTGGCCTAGACCCAAAGAATAAATAATAATCAATTGCTCTGTGCAAGAGGTTGACACAGGATGTGGAAAAGTGTTCCAGGCAGAGGAAGCTGCAAGCGCAAATCCCTACAGAGCAAAAGTACATGGTTTTGGGGTAACTGGAAGTCCAGTATGGCTATGTTATAGAAAGGGAAGTGAGAAGAAAGTAGGTAGTGTTAAATAACTTGGACTTCATCCTGACAGTATTCACTTGCCAAAGAAGAGTTAGGAGGAGACAGATGTGATCAAATGTGTTTCACTGGCAGCAGCATGGGGAGTTCACTAGGGGCAGGATGGGGACAGAAATTGAAGGAGAGAGTCAATGGCGGCCTTATCTGGGCTAGTGGCAAAGGAAATGGAGAGAAGCGGACTGATTTGAGTGATACTTAGGAATATCTAAGAAAGAAGAAGTTGTTACGATTTTGAATATTTTGCAAACAATCAAACGCACACTTAAGAGAGGATACATAAAAGGAGTATTCACTTTGGGAATGGCAAAAATGGAGAGATGCAATATGAAGAAACAGAGACTAAGTTGATTTATTTTTGTATGGTCTGGAATATTTAGTTAAAGTGTCTACATCAACCAAACCGGAATACAAGGAGTTGTTCTGTGCAAGAGGGTGCACAGAGCACTGTACAAGGGTACCCATTGTCAAAACCCATCATGTTTTTATTAGCTATTAATTTTCTCCTATGTCTTATGTTACTCATCCTGATAATCCACTGTATCTATTTAAAATAAATAGAAAGGCCCTTTTTACTTTTTATTTGTGTGTCTAGTGCCCCAGCACTTTCAAGGAGCCTTTCCCAAGCCAGGTGGTGAATGAAGAATAACTATAAAAGTGACACCACTGCCGGGCGCGGTGGCTCATGCCTATAATCCTAGCACTTGGGAGGCCAAGATGGGAGGATTGCCTGAGGTCAGGGGTTCGAGACCAGTCTGACCAACATAGTGAAACCCAGTCTCTACTAAAAATACAAAAAAAAAACTAGTTCAACCATTGTGGAAGTCAGTGTGGTGATTCCTCAGGGATCTAGAACTAGAAATACCACTTGACCCAGCCATCCCATTACTGGGTATATACCCAAAGGATTATAAATCATGCTGCTATAAAGACACATGCACACGTATGTTTATTGCAGCATTATTCACAATAGCAAAGACTTGGAACCAACCCAAATGTCCAACAACGATAGACTGGATTAAGAAAATGTGGCACATATACACCATGGAATACTATGCAGCCATAAAAAAATGATGAGTTCATGTCCTTTGTAGGGACATGGATGAAACTGGAAACCATCATTCTCAGTAAACTATCGCAAGAACAAAAAACCAAACACCGCATATTCTCACTCATAGGTGGGAATTGAACAATGAGATCACATGGACACAGGAAGGGGAACATCACACTCTGGGGACTGTTGTGGGGTGGGGGGAGGGGGGAGGGATAGCATTGGGAGATATACCTAATGCTAGATGACGAGTTAGTGGGTGCAGCACACCAGCATGGCACATGTATACATATGTAACTAACCTGCACAATGTGCACATGTACCCTAAAACTTAAAGTATAATAATAAAAAAAATAGCCAGGCGTGGTGGCATGTGCCTGTAATCCCAGCTACTCAGGAGGCTGAGGCAGGGGAATTGCTTGAACCAGGGAGGTGGAGGTTGCAGTGAGCTGAGATCGTGCCACTGCACTCCAGCCTGGGTGATGGAGTGAGACTCCGTCTCAAAAAAAAAAAAATGACACCACATTTTTTGAGTCATGTCTATGTTGACTAGGTAAAACCTTGCACACAGAACACATGTAAAAATTACAATCCATGTGGGCTGAATGCTGACTGTGTTGGATGGAAATTTGCACATAGGGCACTTCTCTACAATTCAGTCCTAAAAATGTCAAGACAAAGGAGCATTTAGTGACAGTCATTCTGGATAACAAAGATGCACTGCTTTCTAATGCTTCCCTTTACTTTCACATTTTTCTAAAGTTCACAGATGTGCCCTCGATGTGGTCTGTGTATTTTTGTGAACTGCTGGAAAATTTCACTCACACACCAATGGATCCAATGAACACAAAATACCTCTTCCAGGGAGCAGTTGCCAATAAGCAGTATTTTTAGAGGCACATGTCACAGTTTCTGTTTGCTTCTGTTGTGACTTTTAATGGGCCCTGAATGATTAAGAAATAGCCTCTGATAAAAGGCATCTCCCGACTGCTTCATTATGTACTATGGGTAGTAAATGTTTACTACACAGTGGGCTCAAGCTAACATGTTATTAAACCATGTTCCGGTTACATCAGCGCCCAGAGAATAGCTTTTCCCTTGAACATGTTTATCATTTCCTTAAATGCTCCTTAACAATGATGTCATATTATTTATGCATGCTTCCTCAGGAAAATATGTTGGTTGATTTTATGAATTATTTGGTAAACTTTGTTACTCACTCTAGGAGACTACACCTGTTTCCAATAATTTTCTCTTACATGTTGAGTAAAGGAATTCTATTGAGAGAAGAAGTGAGAAGTGAAGGACACAAATATAGATCTAAACACTAGAGCTAATAGGACATTTTATTGCATAGAATTCATGTGGTATGTTGCTGGGACTAGCTTTCCTGTGAGGATTGGAGAACCAGGATTTCTGCTATCTGACCAGAGTAGAAATCTATTCTCCTTTCTCATTGTCAGAGTAATGACAGTATAAAAATTTCTCACCCTCCAGCATTAGCAGGGAAACTTTCTATTTCTTCTGCTGTGATTGGAAATGAAAAAGGAAATGCTTGCTTTTGAAAACACTTCCAGCTACTATAATGTTAATACTAGAAATTATGACTGCGAGTAAGAGGAGGGGAAAAGTCATTCAGGTGCCATTTTGGCTTTCCATGAACATGGCTATAAAAATAAAGTGCCTCTTTGGGCATGCTTAGTCATTACTTTGGGGTTAAAGTTGAAGTCAGAAAAAAAACTCTGAAACATAGACATGTGTTTTTCATTCTGACATAAAGAATTAACAATTTTCCCCAGCTACAACTATGGAGGGTTAGTATCTTTTAATCTGTCTGTTTTCTAAAACAGCATGGTAACATTTTATTTTGCCTAACCTGGAGATGCTAAGAATACCCTGTGTCTGGTTCTCCTTGGTACAGAGTATTCGCTGTATAAACTGATGAGGTTGATTTCCATGTGTTTATAAAAAGGCAGGAAAATGTCTTCTTGCCTAAAACTCATGCATGGCATCATTGCACATGGCATTGCTCAAGCACAGATCTCGCCTGGTGGCTCCAAAATGAAAGGAGAGTGGGGAGTTGCCAGGGTCAGAGCCTTCGTGCAAAATAAGCTGCCACTAACTGGCATTGAGCTTCCATAACTCCCTGTGCTGGGTTTGCAGTGAAGGAAAATTGTGTTGATGGTCAGTTCTGAAAGCATATTTCTGGTAGAAAAGAAAAATAGTGGAGAGAGATTTTATTCTTTCTACCTGTTCCCAGACTACTCTGCTCAGGCTTCCTGAATCTAAGGAAGTCTAATAAATTCTGAATTCTAGAGAGTAAATTATGAAGGTTCATTTGAATGTCATCTGCTACCCAAGTTCTATACATCCCCTCTTAGGAAAGAATCATAATTTATTATAATTATTTTTCTGTTTGTGGATAAGTATACCATAAATGATATACGCAAGCATCTCTTTCCTACTAAAAAAGAATGCTATATTCTACCAGTAGTTTTCGTAAAAGAGTAAGAGACTCCTCTCAGAATGAATCTTCTATACTCCTATAGCTCTGTCACAGTAACAGCATGTGTCACAATTGGCATGTATTGAATTATTTAAGGATGATTCTTTCTGCCCCAGTAGATTAAGAGCCTGTGGAGGCCAAGTTCCAGGTGTCTCTCATTCTTGGACTTCTGTTACCGGAAAGGGTCCCAGTTCAGACCCCTAAAGAGGGTTCTTGAATCTCACACAAGAAAGAATTTGGGATGAGTCCATAGAGTAAAGGGAATGCAAGTTTCTTTGAGAAATAAACAAAAGAATGGCTACTCCATAGGCAGAGCAGTCCCAGGGGCTGCTGGTTGGCTATTTATAGGGTTATTTCTTGATTATCTGCTAAACAAGGGGTGGAGTAGTCATGAGATTTCTGGGGGAAAGAGGTGGGCAATTCCCAGGACTGAGGTTTCCTCCCCTTTTTAGACCATATAGGGTGACTTCCTGACGTTGCCATGGTATTTGTAAACGGTCATGGGGCTGGAGTGTCTTTTAGCATGCCAATGCATTACAATTAGCTTATAATGAGCAGTGAAGATGACCAAAGGTCACTTTCATTGCCGTCTTTGTTTTGGTGGGTTTTGGCTGGCTTCTTTATTACATCCTGTTTTATCCGCAGGGTCTTTATGACCTGTATCTTATGATACTAGTCCTGCCGACCTCCTGTCTCATCCTGTGACTAAGAATGCCTGACCTCCTTGGAATGCAGCCCAGCAAATCTTATCCTCATTTTATGCAGTCCTTATTCAAGAGGGAACCACTCTGGTTTGAATGCCTCTGACACTACAATGCGTGGGCCAGCACTCTACCTGTAGTAGGTGCTCCAATCATGTTTATTGAATGAAATCATATTGTACAGGGAGCCCATAGGGAATATCATTTATACTCTGCTAAAAAGCATTTAATTTTAGGATGGATTTAATGGCAAAACCTCTGTGTACTGACATGGGACTTACTGCTAAAATTGTGTACACAGGGGACCTCGGAATTGCCATGATAAAAATCAGTGAGAAAGAGCTAAGTGCCACTTTTGTATGAGGAAGGTCACTCCTGGCCAGAAATGGAGTCAGAGAGGCTTATTAACTTTGTGTAGAATGGAGCTAGGTTGATTAGACTGGCTCCAAAGGCTAGCTCCACTTAGAAGCCATAGTAAGTGGCACATTAAGTGCACCCAAGCTAAATTTCTCACTGTAAAGAAACATTGCAAAGGCTTTAAGAACAAGTGACAGCAAATTACAAAATAAGCAGCAAGTCAGGATTTACCCTACTACCTACTGTCATAACAATTACTGGGTCAAGTGAGGGGCATTTTAAAATGGAAACACTATTTTTCTAATTTACGTGGATTAAAAATGCATATTTCCCTGATTGATTTATAATCTATTGATAATTAATTTATAAGATACTATTACAATATAGTATACACTGCCTTGAAAACATTCCAAGTGAGATTGCTTTCCTGGTGAACATGCATTAGTTTTAATTTTTCTTTGTTATGCCCCACCTAGAAATGCTGTTTATTCACTCATAAGGAACTATGATGTTTAATCTATTGGATTTTGTGTTCATTGTATCTGTTTTTATCATTTACCTATGACTAAAGTGAACAGTGAGAAATATATATTTAAACCAAACAAAACTTTTAAAATATCTTTTTTTCAGGGGCTTATTTCCAGAATTCTCCCAGAGTGAAAGTCGTACCCTAAGAATATGTTAGGCCACTTGGGGAAACATTTATTTTTTATTTTTTTCCATAAAGTCTGTATTCTTTGTTAAATGGAAACATTTACTTTTGAAGCCTACTCAGGTATAGTTTATTGCTTCGTAAGAGGAATTTGAGTTTACAAAGCTTTCCATCAGTTTGTTAGCATGTTACACACATCTGGGAATAGAAACTTAACTGTTTTTAATCCAAATGGGCCTCTTCCTTTACGTCCCACAATTAATAGAAATTACTGTCTCTCACACCCACCTCATGTACCACCTTTTAAAGTGAAAGCTTTAAAATGGTTGTCCCTAGGTGTCCAAGAGGTATTGATTCCAGGACCCCAGGGACTGGTTTCAGGACCCCTGTGGATACCAAAATCTGCAGGTGCTTAAGTCCCCGATATAAAATAGTGTAGTATTGTATATGGCCAAAGCACATTCTCTCATATACTTTAAATCATCTGTAGATTACTTATAATATCTAATATAATGTAATTGCTATGTAAATAGTTGTTTTACTATATTTTTTATTTGTATTACTTTTTTGTTGCAATGTTATTATTTTTTCAAATATTCTTGTCCTCTTGTTGGTTGACTCTGTGGATATGGAGAGTCAACTGTACCCTGTTGTACTCCTTGGATCAGGCATTTAGGAGCAGTGGCTGGACTATGAGTTGGTTATTCTGGGCTTGCTGACTGTATAAAGATTTGGTTCATGTCACTGTCACCCAGAGCCTATGGGGCCAGGCAGGATCAGAGGAGGAAAGAGGGCAAGCAGGACTTCTATGAGAGCAAGAGCGTGGCCCAGTGCAGAGCCAGGCCCAAGGCCACTGATGCACAACATTTTGAATCTAGGAACAGAAGGAAAGGGAAGGGTGGGAAGCAGAAGACAAGGCGGTGGTCCTGTCCACCCTGGAAAATGAGTGCCTGCCTCTGAGAATAGGATGAATTAGCCATGCTCGGTGGTGCTCCTCCACCGCAGTGCAATGTAATGGCTCACTATCCAACCTGCAGCCAGGCTGCCTGGCTTCAAGTCGTCACTCTGGTACTTACTAATTGTGTAACCTTAGGGAGATTACTCAAGCTCAACAAGCACCTGTTTCTTCATCTGTAAAATGAGGGTTATAAAATCATTACCAACCTCATAGATTCCTGTGAAGATTACTTAGAAAATATAAAATACTCTAGCTCACTCCTGTAAAGAGCAACGCCCGACACAGGAAGTTAAGCATTTTTGCATCATATGTCTTTTGCAACTCTAACTGCACACCACTAAACTCTTTAAATTCTGTATGGCTTTCTTCTACCACTAGTATCTGCTATGCTCTTTGTTTCTGTGTCAAATCCTTGGCAGTAAATTAATTTTTTAATTCAAATCCAGTGGTTTACTCATGTCAAGCACCTAAGCCTAGAGACATAGTCTCAGTCTTTCCCTTTATCATCTTGTTAATTGTCAAAGCTGATGAGGACACTACCAATCCAGGCCACAGTGACATAAGAAGAATTAATTCTTTTCTTGGTTATTTTTGCATGCATTTCCTTTAAAGCAGAATACCCTCACTTAGAGTTTTAAGTAGGAGACAATTTGTCAGAAGATAATGCTTATTTGGAGTTTTAAGTAGGAAACGGTTTGGTGTAATATTCTTAATTTTATATGAATTTGTGCATAGAATCTTATCAGCTGAATTCAGAAAACAATGAGCAAATATCAGGCAAGGGGAGGCATGGTAAGGGAGTGGAGAAGTGGACCATGGTCAGGAAATATGGGATTCAGTTTGGGATAATTTTTTTTGAAGTCCTATATGAATGTATGGAGTTCTAGTGCTTGGGGTTTTAGAAGATGCAAAGCAGAATCAGCTTTTACTCTCAAGGAGCCTATAGAGTCAGGTGGGTGATACATAACATGTAGATGGGGACTTTATAACCTCAGAACCTAACACACGCCTGGCACATAGAAACTGCAAATCACTCACTTTTTATCCTTAGAACACAGCAAATGAGAAAATGTAATAAAAGGTTAAAATCAGATTTTTATAAGTATCGTAAGACAGGTGTAAAGTTCTATGTGGTATAAACAAGGAGAGATGAAGGAAAGATGTGGAAGACCAAGCACTTGACTGGGTCTTCCAAGATGTGCAGAATATGTGGCTTTGTGGGTGGAGAAGACATGAGCAAAGGCAGCAAGGTGAGAAGATTCAGGAAACATTGTGAGCAGTTTAGTTTGACGAAAGGGAAGTGGAGAGAAATGAAGTTGAAGAGTAGATTGGTTCCAAACCAATCAGGATTTTCAAAGCTAAGCTTAGATATTTGAACGTGATTCTGCAGGCAATGAGGATCCGAGGAAAACCTTGTATCAGAGTAGTAGCATGATCAGATTTAAGCGTCAGGAAGTCACATCATTAAAATGGATCAACAGCTTAACTATTGGGCAGTGAGTTTAGAAATGAGACTGGTGCAAGAGGGATTTATTTATGAGATAAAATTGATATGACTCATTTTGCACCTCTAAGTGACAGACGATGGTGCCACTAGCAGAGCCAGACAGCCCCAAAAGAAGATCTGGCTTGATGGAAAGATGACAAGTTTAACTTGGGGCACATTAAGTTGTTGGTGCTGGCAGGACATTCAACACCAAAACTCATGAGAGATTTTCAGTGGAGAGATCACTCATGTACAGAAAATAATTGAAGCCTTGGAATTACCAAAGGAGAAAATGCCTGAGAACAGAGGCTTAAGGCCATTTCCTTAAGGAACACCCCCACTTGCAGAGCAAGAGCACACAAACAGTGAATGGCAAGAAATGAGGTGAACACTTTGGAAAGCTGCAGAAGTCATAGGGGGAGAAGGTGTCAGAAAGGAAAGTCCAGACAAGAATTTTATTGTCGCAAATAAATATGGAACCTGAGAAGAGATGCTGAATTTGATGACTAAGAGAAAACTGGTGACCTTTCAGGAAAGTAGAAGAGTAGTAAGGGTCAAAGGCATGCTGTGAAAGATTAAGGCATGAACAGGTGGTGAGCAAGTAGAAGCAATGAGCATAGAAGATTTTCTCAAGATGGTTGATAGCAAAAGCAAAGACATCCTAGAATTATCTTAATTTTATTATTTGCTTAAAAGTCACAAACTTCACTTGACAACTTAACAGAATAGTAAAATTAAAGTAACTTTGTAAGAACGGGGAGACTACAACAGGCTATAAACTGAAAGAGAGTTTCCAGTGCCCCATAAAGGAGTAAAATTGAAAAATAACAGTGGGTGGTCAAGACCACAAAACAAGTGGGAAAATATGGGATCAAGGATGTAATTGACATGTTCCAATTTTATGAAATCCACATCATATATCTAGATTAACGTAACAATTAACATGGTCTGCCAAACAGCTCAGAGATGGCCACGAGAATTCCAACAGTGTATGAGCCATTTTGTAATCCAGTCATGTGGTCACCCATGGATGTGGCCTGTCTTCCCAAGGATGAATTAATTACCTTATCTCTTTATTCATTGTCTTTCCATTCCCATTGTCTTAGTAATATCAGAGAAGTAGACTGAGTAATCTTTTCACAAGAGCACTCCTCAAGGTGGAAAAGGAAACTAGACTCTCAGTAGTACATTCAGCAAAGAGTAGGGAGAAACAGTCCTCCTAAAACCTGCCTTGCATATGAAAGACAGGAGTCAGGTACAACTATTTCACTGACCTGAGAAATACAGAAAGATGTTTGGGGTGTTGTCCAGGGACTGCTAGGTTACATTTATTGTCAATGTGAGTAAGAATTGTCTAAGAGTAAAATATTGAGGAAGACAAAATGAACATTTGCCTACTTCTACAACCAAGAAGGGATATATGGAAGAGTTCATCTGGAAAGTAAAATCACATTAAAATGCTACAAATTAATGTAGTTATTGTTGTTAATATTATTATCAACACTAATAGAAATGGCATAAACATACCTTCACATTTGCTACTATATATTGAATTAAAAAATGGTAGAGATAAGGCTAAATTTATCCTAGTTCAACAATGATTCAATTCATATGAGAAAACTGAGCATGATTTGTTCGTTTTGAATGCCTTAAACCAAATATTTTAATGTGCATTACTCACAATTAGATTCTAAAAATGTAAAACAAACATGATGCTACAGCACTAGTACAAAGGCAGCAAAAATGCATTTTAAAAGCAGGAATACTACTTCAGAAAAATGTATTAAAATTGAACATGAGCTTGAGAAAGTACCGCTCAGTGCAATCATGGAACCACAATTAAAGCTGGGCAAGACATGGAAGGTTTCCTGATAGCCTTGTTTTATAATTGTAGAAACTGAGGGCCGAGCTCAGTTGCTCATGCCTGTAATCCCAGCACTTTGGGAGGCGGAGGTGGGTGGATCACTTGAGGCCAAGACTGTGAAACTAGCCTGACCATTATGGTGAAACCCTGTCTTTACTAAAAGTACCAAAATTAGGTGGGCGTGGTGGCGCGTGCCTGTAATCCCAGCTACTCAGGAGGCTGAGGTGGGAGGATCGCTTGAGCCCAGGAAGCAGAGGTTGCAGTGAGCCGTGATTGCACCATTGCACTCCAGCCTGGGGGAGAGAGCAAGACTCTGACTCAAAAAAAGAAAAAAAGAAACTGAGGCCCACACAAAAAAAAGAAAAAAAGAAACTGAGGACCAAGGTGTCCAAGAGCCCCATTAAATGAATGCTTAAAGAGAAATCAAGCAAAATCCCTTCCATAAATCAGTAGGATATGTAACACTATGAAAGATTTTATATTGATCAGTTAATTTTTTAAAAAATCGAAGCTCAGTTTGAATGAACCTTAACTTAAAAGTAATAAAATTAGCCCTTTTACATCATAAGAATTTGAAAAAGTTGTGAATAAGCATTCACACATACTTATTTAAACTTGTATTAAATGTGAAGAAAGGCTGATTAATAAAAAGGAAATTTCATTGAGAAATCATGTTAATGTCATCATGGTTTTAACAGGTTAACTTGTTTTCTCTCTTGATTATAACCATACGTCTCTGATTTAATAAATTTTCTGAGTCTGTATTAATACAGTTGTGTGTATTGTTAAGAAATTGTTAGAATTTTTAAAAACGATTTTTCACAGAAAATAAGCATACTGCAAGAAGAAAACAGCAAGGAAGGGTATTTTTCTGAGTACTATACATTTCAGTTGTATTTGTAGTACCTATGTGACAATCTTAATTATTGGTTTTATAAAAGCTAAGATCAGGTAATTTGAAATTTACATAAACATTGCCCTTAATATTTAACTAAAATATAATATAAATTAAATTGGAAATGTTTTATTTGATTTATCTTTTACAGAAGTATAAATATTACAGCATATGAGTTATTTTATTAACCCTTGTGTTAACAATTATTTTTGAGATATTTTGGAACTTTTAATAACAGAATTACTAAATGATTCTTTAATAATTATAAAGTATGTATTATTTTAAAATAATAAATATTTAATTTAAATTTTTAAGTTTTAAAAACATTTTCATATTTTAAATAATTTTTAGTATTTGTTTAAATAATCTTTGATTAATTCTTTAACAAAGAATTAGTGTTTTTAATAACAAGATAAAATTGGCATTGTTTTCTATTTCACAGTAATGCTTCAGTCAGATACATACATATGCTTTGTTAGACATGTTACATGCTCTGAAAAAAGAGTTAATGACTGCGTGCATTCATTATGAGGTAGAAAATTCTTACTACTATTGATCTTGTTATTTCATGATTTGAAAATCTTAAAAGTTAGTAAGATGTGCACTAGATGTAGGGAATTAATGTTTGTTTTTTGGTTTTCTTAACAGTTCGACAATTTTATTTTTATTTATTTTAATTTTTTAATTATTTTTTAAAATTTGTGTGGGTACATCGTAGGTGTATAAATTTATGGTGTATGTGAGATGTTTTGATACAGGAATGCAATGTGAGATAAGCACATCATGGAGAATGGGGTATCCATCCCCTCAAGCATTTATCCTTTGAGTTACAAGAAATCCAACTACATTCTTTAAGTTATTATAAAATAAAGAATTAAGTTATTATTAACTATAGTCGCCCAGCAATAAAGCTACTAAAAAATCAACATATCGATGAATGAAAATACCAGGAATTTAAAATGGAATCATATTACATAACTTGATTCATATTATTTCATAATTTAAAGCCCTTTTTGTACAAATCACTATTAAAATCAGTACTATTTAGTGTTTCTTCCAAGAGTATTCAAAAGTAAGAATTATCTGATATTCCATAAGCAATCCAAGTCAGGAATATCTAATGTGAATGGTTGGTAAAACTGTTGGGGTCCTATAGATACATGCCCTTGCTCCAGGAAAAACTCCTTTCTCCTATCTCCTGGCTTCCAGTCCAGTGTCCCAGGGGCTCTGGCCGACAGGCTAGCATGAGCCATCATGCCTCTTGGTATGTCTCACTGGAGTAATTTCTCACCTATCATGTTTTGCCATCTCAGCTTTGTCCCAGTGCCTCTTGAGCTTCTCCGAAGGTAACCTAAGCTTCCTGTTTGTCTGCCTATTGCAACAGCACCTATTGCCACTTCCTTGGCAGCCTGTTGACTTGGAAATAGAACCCTACATTTGGTTTCTGCTCCTGACACTTTCTGAGCTTCCTCTCTGGTCTTCTCTGCTCCCATTCCTTCCTCTGCCTTTTGCTTTACAGATCCCCTTTTAAAGTCCCTTCCATCTGGGTATTACACTACTCCTCCATTTTTCTCCCTCTTCACATCTGGGTCATTAGAATCCATTGTACCAGTGTAGGCCCATTAAGGACAGATGCTTCCACTCTGCAGTAAGAATTGTGTCTCAGTTTATATTTTTCTCTGTAGACATATGTCAGCTTCTCTTGTCATAGTGTGTGTACATGCAGGTTGAACAAGTAGAGGACCTCACGGTTCCAATTTGAAGTCCAAAATACTATCACCATCAGCTGTAAATTTGGGGAAACTGAGGGACAAAGAGGTTAAATCACTTGGATGAGTCATCCAACTGGTGAGACTATGAACTGGGATTCAAGCTCAGAGAGTCAGGATGACGAAGTGTGTGCTCCTAAACACTTACCTTAATATGAGGGTAAGCAGGCAGGGTGAAATATTGAGGACACTAACAAATCTAGTCACCCTTTACCTGGGTCCTTCTTTTTCTTTCTTTCTTTCTTTCTTTTTTTTTTTGTAAGTTGATTTAATAGGTTGTAAGTTTATCTACGAATTCCAAAAAGTAGGTGTGTTCTTTAATAAGCAGTGTATTTGAGTATCTTGTTTTCCTATAGTGAGGAGAATAAAATATGTAAAAGCAGGAAGACAGAGGAAGCCTGGGTGAAAGGCTCAGAGAATGTGGCAGCATTTTTTTTTCTCTCCTTGGCATCACATCAAAGACAGACTCACAGAAAAAGACAGGCAACCCTCAAGATATTAATGAAATGTATCATTTCCCTCTGTAGTGAGGACCTGCCTCTGATCACCAGTAAAGCCTCAAAGCCATAACAACACATACGGTGTTTATGAATTTAGGATTTTACAGAAGTATTATAAGAGTTGTCATTTTCCAAATAGTGTTTTGTATGTTCATCGTGTACTTGCTGGAACATTTTGTGAGTACATGTACAAACTGTGTCACTGGAGTTTGGCTGGGCTTCTGGAGAAAAGAAGCTGATATATGGATAATGGCAAAGCATGTTGTGACATGGATGCAAGGGCAGAGAAATAAAAGACATAGGTCTCACCAACGACTATGTAGCTTCAAGAGCTGGTGGAATGAGGAAGACAATGTGGGGATGTTGAGACAAAGAGACATAAAAGCAGTAAACCACAAGGGACAGATGGTAGAGGTGTGTCAGGGGTTGCAACTGTATTTTATAAATGGTGGTAGAATATTTGGCCTAGTCACCCAACATTAATGTTCTAAGCAACCTGAAATCTCTCCACAAAAGAAGCTTTCTATGAAATTCCTATTTCATACACTCCAACTGTCCCCTAAGGAGTCATTCTAAAGAAGGAATACAAGAGATCCATCCTGAGTTCTAATTCTCTTCTCTCTAACATGTGGACACTTATAGATATTACCTTTTTCCTTGAGCTCAGCTGCAGCATGCATATAAATAAGAAACAAATTTACTTGTCTACCTCCCAAATAGTCTTTCATTGAATTTCACATATTAGTTCTTGTTACTATGGAAGACATTTGGGGCTAAATATTCCATCACAAATGAAATGCTACAGCCGTTTCTCTCTCCTTCTGAATAGTATTTGTGACAGATTAGCCAGCTGCTCATGAAGTTTCAAGATTTTTTGTTTGGTTTTGTTTTTTTTTTTAATGTATTAGAGTTTTCTCTACTTCTGGTAATTTCTGACATTACAAGTCTCTCAAATCATACCTCTATCTCTTTTGCTTCTGCTTTTATTGAAAAACAATTATTTCTTGCCTGGACTATTTTACTCCTCTTCTGTTGCATTTCTTGGGGCCTGGGTCTGTAGTACCCTCTCACTGCAGTGTCTTAGTGTCATTGCCAAAGCTGCCCTCAGAGAACTCTATGTAGTGATTTCTAGTTTTTCTCTCCAGGTCCCTGGCCATGCTTCTTATTGCCTAATGAACCAGGATCAAGGAGTTCGATCTCTGCATTAGCCTCTGATCACAGCCCCTGAACGGCCCTATCTTATCCTTCGTGCATCCTCTCTGTGACTCTCAGAAAGGCTGTCAGTTTCCTGGTCAGTCTTTTCCCTAATAACCTAGGGCTCATAGCATGCTCCATAATGCCCTTTCTTTTCCCTCAAGGGATCTTTGAAAATATCTCTGGCATATAACAGGAGGGGCCTGGATCTCTAGTACCTTCTGTGACCAGCTGCAGAGACTATCAAATCCCTGAAATGACTGCCTAAGAATGCAACTCCCAGGCCACCCCACCCTGCAACATCAATTTAAATTTTCCTCAGAGGAAATGTTATCATTTCTTGGTCAGCATCTGCCACTGTATGTGGTCATTTGGGCGACTGCAGTTCTGCAAACTTACCTCTAGACATAAGAGATGTTTAAAATAGACACTTAGGGATTTACTAACTGATAAAATCATAGAATGATGTGCATGTTTTTTTGGAACTTTTTTGTACTCCCTATTCCTTATGTGTTATCTGCTGAGCTTTGTTCATAAGATTGGTCTGCACATGGTTAGCAGGGACTAAAAACCACAAAGTATAAAGATAGAGACATCCACAAGATGCTTCCATAAAGCATGCTTTCCTAGTGCTTTCGGGAACTTTTGGGTGCTTCTGTCTCTTTGTTTTTTTCTTAAATAATAAGTTTTATCTTCTGTCCATTATTATTGAGGGTCTAGCATTTATGGAGAATAGGACAGCAAATCAATCTATAAGCTCTTTTAGTTTTCCTACTACTGCTAAAACAAATTACTACAAACTTAGTGGCTTAAAACAACACAAATGTATTATCTTATAGTTCTGGAGGCCAGAAATCCAAAATAGGTCATAGGGAATAAAATCAAGGTGAATGCAGAGCTGTATTCCTCCTGGAAGCTATAGGAGAGAATGCATTTCCTCTTTTTCCACATTCCACAAACCACCTGTATTCCTTGACTCATGACCCCATGTCACTTAGATCCCTGCTTCCATTGTCTCCTCTGACTTGGACCCTCCTGCTTCCTTTTTACGAGGATCATTGTGATCACATTGGGCCCACCTTGATCATATAGGATAATCAACCCTCCCCAAGGGTCTTAATCACTTCTCCAAAGTCCCTTTGCCATATAAGGCAACATATTTATAGGTTCCAGGGATTAGAATGTGATTCTATTTGGGAGACCTCCCCAACCCCCACTTAATTGTAAATTTGAAACTACGTGTAATACTTTTCACATATTGCATTGAAAATAAACATGTTAATATTTTTATTAAGACAAGAAAGTTGTTTTTTAAGATCACAACAAGCAGTTACTTGGAATTTTCATGAAAGAATATTTACCACATAGTCTTAATACATCTTGGTGGCTAGATACCAAATTGTGGTTTGCTGACTTCTTTACACTGATTATATGTATCATTAAAAATGGATGAGACCTAAAACTGCCAGACTCCATCCAATACAAAAATACAAGTATTTGTAGGAAACTCTTAGAATTTTCACATGTAAGAATATGTCACATTTCTGAAAAAAATTCTACCCAGTGACACCATTTCTTACTATGCCTATGTGTTTTTTCAGCGTTAGTATTTGAACATAAACACTTTTCCCTATAAAAGCCTATAAGCCAATAGCAGCTGCAGAAGGGAGACCTGCAAGTTGTTGGCAGGCTCTGGGGCTCACTCGGGTTCCTGACCCAGGCCTTTCTGAGTCTTTCAGATGCTTCACACTTCCCTGCACATCCTACTTCTGTGACACCCCCGAAGTTGCACTTATGGTCCAAGCTAAATGCTACCTCAGGAGCTCAGAAATAAAGAACATTGGAGTGAAAAAAAATTCCGAATTATGCTTGTAAACCAAATATATATGGATAGTGTGAATTGTGCAGACAACACATTCAAATACATTTCATATGGTGAAGTCTAGCCAACCTCAAATCTATTAGTCTGATCTACTTCATCCACTACATTTGTGTAAGATTACCCTTCTTTCATAGTAAACACATATGTAAAATATTTTAATGTGTTTTTGTTAGATTCATTTTAATGTTTCCAAACTGTTTCTATTAATATTAATAAGTACCATTTTATATGTTTTCTCCTATATTTCTTGTTTTCATCCAGGACTACTAGATTCCAGTAAGAATAAAATTAAACATTAGAGGTTTGTCTTCCATATTGTTTAAGAAAATTAGTTTCCCTTTTTAAATAATTACTAATATTTGAAGATTATGAATCATAAATTAATCACAAGTGCCATACCTATTATTTTAGAAGCAATTGAGCAATATAAATGGTCTTCAGTTTTACCAGTTCTTGATCTGTAGTAAATTCCAGCGGTGGTGGGGTCTGTGAAATAATGAAGAAAAAAATTATTTTAAAAAAAGAGAGGAAAAATGATACCTAAATTAGAAAATCGTTGGTTTTATTTCTTGTATCAAAATATCTGATAATTTTAACATTCATTATGTGTTCTTTTAAGAACTGATGCTCATCAGTTTTCTCATCAGTTTTTCTGTTTTTCACTTGGCATTTATTGATATTTTCTATTGCCTGAGTAATTTAAGAGCCTGCAAAATTAACCTGCCTTTCAATTTGCACATGTACTTATTATGGTAAAATCAATATTTTCATCCTAGGATTGGTCATGTACTTTGCAGCCTAATGATAAGGAGAAAAATAACCTCAGAAGAGTGAAGCTGTGCTGGCCAGCAATGGAGATTTGATAGGGAAGAAAGGTGTCATATCACCTGGATATAGCCAACTAACAGCTTGATATATATGATTCCAAGCCAAAACCTACATTTAGTCTCTCTCTCTTTCTTTCTCTGTCTCTGTGTGTGTGTGTGTGTGTGTCTCTCTCTCTCATCTTTATACTATAGATTATAAAATTTGGATACGTAAATAGTCATCCCACTTATTTCTAACACAATTCTGTGATAATAATGCCTTTTCAGTGTGTAGCTTTCATTGTTTTCAAAGCACCTTTATAGCCCTTCTCTCCTTTGATCTTTACAACAACCCAGAGAAGTGGGCAGGAGAGACAGTAATCTTCCCATTTTGACACATGAAGAAATCTCTTCAAGCTTCACTGTCTTTGAGGACCTCTGGGTAATGATGTCATCTGTCCTGAAACTGCCAGATGACTTTTGCTCTAGAAGAAGGCTAGGGAGAAAAAAACAAAACAAAACAACAACAACAACAAAAAAACGAACATTTAGGCTGGGAGACTGGGCTGTCTTTTCCCCCTTCACCCCTAAAAATCTACTTTGCAAAGAGAGCAACATCCACTCACCATCCCCAACACTTTCTGTTCCCCTTCCCTGATTTCTATTTTTTCCACAGCACTTACTACTTTGGGTTGTGCTGCACTGTATTTCATTTATTTACTTACTGTACTTGTTGTCTGGCTTCCCCACCAGAATGTAAGATCCTTGAAAGTAAGTATTTTTGTTTGTTTTATACATATCTCCCCAGCAACAAGAACAGTGCCACTGGTAGAAGGCATAAGAAAATGCCAGAATGAGTCACTGAGTGCAGACTGGAACTGGGAACAGGAACAGTTAGCTGGTGGTCCACAGGGAAGGTTCTCTCCTTTTCCTTGGTGACAGTGAGAAGTCTTATTTGCAAGAGGAAGAGAGCATGACTTAGAATAACAGTTTGGCTTTAGGTGGGACCTATACTATGCAACATGTGGAACTTGGAGGGCCTTGGAGAAGCTGAGCTTGGGAGCAGGCTCACTTGCCTGGGGAAGGGAAGTCTCTCAGCCCATTCTTTAGCCACCTAGCAATAGTTGTTAGTCAGTCCTGTTTGTCTACCCACACTAGCACATGGGAGGCACTGTATTTGTCAAATGAATGAATGATGAATGAATGAAACCAGTCATTTATATATTGAAGTAAATCAGTGTCATGGAATGTTTTATGTTTAAATGAAGAGAGAAAACTTTAATCAGATTAAATATAGGAAGGATATTTGGGATCTAGAAGGCCAACCCAGTTGTTCAATCACAGTTGCCTCCATGGGGGTCAACCTTAAGCGTTGTGCCTGCAAGCAATCACACTTCTCTGGTGGAAAAGCCATTCTGATTCTGGGGCCCTTTTTCCACCATTTCCCTTCATCCACAGCAAGGAGCTTCAGCTCTGGAGACTGTAATTTGCACAAAGCAATTCAGGGTATAAAAGCAAAACTACACACTTGCAAGGTAAAGATACCAATTCATTCGACTCTAACCATCAAAAGATACATATACACATATATGACATGAGGAATACTTTAGTCACCAGTTACCCTTCCTGCAAGATTAGTCATTAGATCCCATGATAGGCCTTGTTAATGCCATGGAGAGAAAAGAGATAATTATAATGAGTTAAATTTAGAAACAACAGTCATTTTTTGTGGATTAGAAATAGTGAAAGTCAGTGTCTTTCTATCAGTCTTTCACATCAAAAGCTACAGGAAAATCATAAGAAATAATGAATAGAAGAAATATGTACTATTTCTAATTGAAAAATGTCTTTTATTTCAGCTCCCTTGTATGGCTACCTGCTTAAATATATTCATGCTTATGTTTAATGTCTCCTATAGGTTCCTGCTATAATCTTCTTTTTTTTAATTGTTCTTGGGTTTTAAAAAAATGTTTGTTTGACAAATAATAATTATACATTTTCATGTGATAGATAGTGATGTTTCAATCCATATAATGTATAATGATCAGAACAGGGTAATTTGCATATCTATCATCTCTAATATTTATCATTTCCTTGTGTTAGAAACATTCAGTATATTTCTTCTAGCTATTTGAAACAATATAATACATTATTGTTAACTGTAGTCCTTCCACAGTGGTATAAAACATTATAACTGATTCCTCCTATTTAGCCATAATTTTTATATCCTTTGACAAATCTCTCCCTATCCCTCCCTTCCCCCTACCCTCCCAAGCCTCCAGTTTCCTCTGTTCTACTTTATACTTCCAAGAGATCAACTTTTTTTAGCTTCTGCACATGGGTGAGAACATGTGGTGTTTAACTTTATGTTCCTGGCTTATTTCACATAACGTAATGTCCTCCAGTTCCATCTATGTTGCTATGAATGATAGGAATTCATTCTTTTTATGGCTGAATAGTATTCCATTGTGTATGTATGCCACATTTTCTTGATCCATTCATCTGTTGTGGTACACCTCAGTTGATGCTGTATCTTGGCTATTGTGAATAGTGTGGCAATAAACATGGGGGTGCAGAAGTCTTTTTGATACAATGACTTTCTTTCCTTTGGATAAGTTCCCAGTAGTGGCATTGCTGGATTATATAGTCATTCTATTTGTGGTTTTATGAGAAACCTCCATACTGTTCTCTAGAGTGGCTGTACTAGTTTATGTTCCCAACAAGAGGTATAATATACAGTTCCCTTTTCTCCACACCCTCACCACCATTTGTTATTTTTTGTCTTTTTTATAATAGCCATCCTAACTGGGGTAAGAAGATACCACATTGTGGTTTTGATTTGCATTTTCCTGATGATTAGTGATGTCAAGCATTTTTAAATACATTTGTTGGCCATTTGTATATCTTCCTTTTATAAATGTCTGTTCAGATAATTTGACCATTTTTTACTCATATTATTTGGGTTTTTGCTGTTGATATGTTTGAGTTCCTTGTATATTCTAGATATTAATCCCCTATTGAATGAGTAGCTTACAAATATTTTCTTCCATTCTATAAGTTGTCTTTTTGCTCTGTTGATGTTTCCTTTGCTGTGCAGAAGCTTTTTAGTTTTATATAATCCCAGTTGTTTATTTTTGCTTTTGTTTCCTGTGCTTTCGAGGTCTTGATCATAAAATATTTTCCCAGTCCAATGTCCTGAACTGTTTCTCATATGTTTTCTCCTAGTAATTTTATCATTTCAGGTCCTACATTTAGGTCTTTGATCCATTTTGAGTGGATTTTTATATAGGGTAAGAGGTGGAAGTCTAGTTTTATTCTTCTGCATACGGATATCCAGTTTTCCCAGCAGCATTTATTGACAAGACTGTCCTTTCTCAAATGAGTGTTCTAGGAACCTTTATTAAAAATCAGTTGGCTGTAGATATGTGAATTAATTGTTGGGTTCTTTATTCTGTTCCATTCTTCTGTGTGTCTGTTTTTATGTTAGTACTATGCTGTTGTAGTTCCTGCAGGTTTGTAGTATATATTGAGGACTGGTAGTGTGGTACCACCATCTTTGTTCTTTTTGCTCAGGATTGCTTTGGCTACTCAGAGTCCTTTGTGGCTCTATTCAAATTGTAAGTGTTTTTTTCTATTTCTGTGAATAATGTCATTGGTATTTTGATAGGAATTGCATTGAATCTGTAGATTGCATTGGGTAGAATTGTCATTTCAACAATATTAATTCTTCTAATCCATGACCATAGGATCTTTCCATTTGTTTGTATCCTCTTCAATTCCTTTCATTAGTGTTTTGTAGGGTTCCTTATAGAGGACTTTCACCTTCTTGGTTAAATTTATTGCTAGGTATTTTACTTTTTTGTAGCTATTGTAAATGAGATTGCCTTCTTGATTTCTTTTTGTTAGTTCATTCATGTACAGAAATGCTACTCATTTTTGTATATTAATTCTGTATCCTGCAACTTTACTGAATTCGTTTATCAGTACTAAGAGTTTTTTGGTAGAGCCTTTAATTTTTCTTTACATAAGGTCACGTCACCTACAGAGACAATCTGACTTCTTCTTTTCCTCTTTAAAAAAAATCTTTGTACTACCTACCTCTATTTGTCAAAATGACTTTTTCTCCTTTATAATGTGGATGCCTCTTTATTTTGTTTGGTCTAATTGCTCTGGCTAGTACTTCCAGTACTATGTTGAATAAAAGTGGTGAGAGTGGGCAGCCTTCCTATTCTAGTTCTTAGAGGAAAACCTTCAGCTTTTCCCCATTCAGTAAGATGTTAGTTGTGGTGGTCTTTGTTTTAATACAACCTACAAAATAAAATACATTTATGTACATATCTACATATATACACACACATTAAACATAATGTGTATGTATACATATATAGATATATTTATATTTATATAGACCTAAATACATCTGCATAGATATATGACACGTTCATGATAAACCAGTTTGACTGTGGTGTGGCCCACACACCTTTGCTTGCCTGTTTCTCCTCCCACAGTACTGTGGCTCTCCAGAGAGGCTCTCATATATACCCTGCTCCAAGAGCCCCAATATGTGTCCTGTTCTGCAGCAGGACCGCTTATGGAGATGCTCTTCATCAACTAGGTAGTGCTCATTTCTGTATGTTCTTGAAATCTGGAAAACCTCAAGACAGAAAATGAATTTATTTTTAAAGTGGAATTTAATGCAGCAATTAGACAGATGAGAAATATTTTTGGCCCAAGGCATTTTTGTTCACACCTTATAAAGGAGCATTTTTGGTTCTGCTTACAAATGACTTTACCACAGTGTTGAAAGTGTCTCTCTCTCTCCTCTTCTCTTCTCTCTCTCTCCTGCTTAAAAATGACTTTACCATGGTATTAAAGGTCTCTCTCTCTGTCTCTCTCAATTCTTTCATTCATTTATTCAATATATACTTAATATATTCTATGTGCAAGGCACAGTGCGAATAACTCTCGAAGATGTTTTACACTCATAAGACATGTGCCCAAAATGCTACAGCATTAATTTGCCACATGTATTATTTGGACAATTCAGTAGATGCCATAGAGGTTCTAGGAGAAGGAATGTTTCTGGACCAAGGATCAGAATAACATTCAGGGAGGAGGTGGCAAGCATACAAAAGGTGGAATGAATAGATGTTTGAGACAAAGTAAATTTTCAAGTTTACATAAAAAAGAACGTTTTTCTAAGAGAGTAGTGGGAAAGTGGAACTAAAGACTTGTAGCAAACAAGTTGTGGGTAATTCCAAATGTGGGCTGAGGGGCCTTAGATTTCTGTATTGATAGGTAAAGAGAGCCACACCAATAACAGACAAACAGAGAGCCAAATCATGAGTGAATTCCCATTCACAATTGCTTCAAAGAGAATAAAATACCTAGGAATCCAACATACAAGGGATGTGAAGGACCTCTTCAAGGAGAACTACAAACCACTGCTCAACAAAATGAAAGAGGACACAAACAAATGGAAGAACATTCCATGCTCATGGATAGGAAGAATCAATATCGTGAAAATGGCCATACTGCCCAAGGTAATTTACAGATTCAATGCCATCCCCATCAAGCTACCAATGACTTTCTTCACAGAATTGGAAAAAACTACTTTAAAGTTCATATGGAACCAAAAAAGAGCCTGCATTGCCAAGACAATCCTAAGCCAAAAGAACAAAGCTGGAGGCATCACACTACCTAACTTCAAACTATACTACAAGGCTACAGTAACCAAAACAGCATGGTACTGGTACCAAAACAGAGATATAGACCAATGGAACAGAACAGAGTCCTCAGAAATAATACCACACATGTACAACCATCTGATCTTTGACAAACCTGACAAAAACAAGGAATGGGGAAAGGATTCCCTATTTAATAAATGGTGCTGGGAAAACTGGCTAGCCATATGTAGAAAGCTGAAACTGGATCCCTTCCTTACACCTTATACAAAAATTAATTCAAGATGGATTAAAGACTTAAATGTTAGACCTAAAAACCATAAAAACCCTAGAAGAAAACCTCGGCAATACCGTTCAGGACATAGCCATGGGCAAGGATCTCATGTCTAAAACACCAAAAGCAATGGCAACAAAAGCCAAAATTGACAAATGTGATCTAATTAAACTAAAGAGCTTCTGCACAGCAAGGAAACTACCATCAGAGTGAACAGGCAACCTACAGAATAGGAGAAAATTTTTGCAATCTACTCATCTGACAAAGGGCTAATATCCAGAATCTACAAAGAACTCAAACAAATTTACAAGAAAAAAACAACCCCACCAAAAAGTGGGCAAAAGATATGAACAGACATTTCTCAAAAGAAGACATTTATGCAGCCAACAGACACATGAAAAAAATGCTTATCATCACTGGCCTTCAGAGAAATGCAAATCAAAACCATGAGATACCATCTCACACCAGTTAGAATGGCGATCATTAAAAAGTCAGGAAACAACAGGTGCTGGAGAGGACGTGGAGAAATAGGAACATTTTTACACGGTTGGTGAGACTGTAAACTAGTTCTACCATTGTGGAAGACAGTGTGGCGATTCCTCAAGGATCTACAACTAGAAATACCATTTCACCCAGCCATCCCATTACTGGGTATATACCCAAAGGATTATAAATCATGCTGCTATAAAGACACATGCACACATATGTTTATTGCGGAACTATTCACAATAGCAAAGACTTGGAACCAACCCAAATGTCCATCAATGATAGACTGGATTAAGAAAATGTAGCACATATACACCATGGAATACTATGCAGCCATAAAAAAGGATGAGTTCATGTCCTTTCTGGGGAGCTGGATGAAGCTGGAAACCATCATTCTCAGCAGACTATCGCAAGGACAAAAAAACAAACATCGCATGTTCTCACTCATAGGTGAGAAATGACCAATGAGAACACTTGGACACAGGAAGCGGAACATCACACACCGGGGCCTGTCGTGGGATGCAGGGAGGGGGGAGGGAAAGCAGTAGGAGATATACCTAATGTAAATGACCAGTTAGTGGGTGCAGCACACCAACATGGCACATGTATACATATGTAACAAACCTGCACATTGTGCACATGTACCCTAGAACTTAAAGTATAATTTAAAAAAAAAATAAAATAAAATTAACAGAAAAAAAAAGAATGTCTTTAAGAGACGGACATTGTTGCAGAGCCCTTTTACTAGGGTTAAACTGGAGTACAGAGAACATTAGAGTGGGGCTTTAGTGAGGTGTGTGGGCCTGATTTCAGGGAGTATGTAAAGGCTGGGAAACATGAATTGTAAGGCAGAGATGTTGGGGGCTAACAGAGAGGGAGGGGGTCAAAGGTAACCAAGGTGTCAATCCTAGATGTCTGGTAGAATAGTGTAGCATTTAATGGAATCAGAACATCAGGATGAAGGCAGTATTAATTGCCTACAGGTGATAAAAGTTGTCCACAGAAAATATCCAGCAGGTAGCAGGAAAGACAGACAGAATTGGGATTTGGGAAAGAGTCTGGACTAAAGATGCATATTTGAGAATTGCTCATGGAGAGATGAGAATTGATGAGATGTGGCAATGGATAAGATGTTTGGAAGAGTGAGAGGAAAGAGAAATGATGAGATGTGGCAATGGATAAGATGTTTGGAAGAATGAGAGGAAAGAAAATTAATGAGAGCAGAATCCTTTTTGTTTTTACCTAAATTTTAATGATGAGCCCTAGCTTTTACTGTCCTCCCTGTTTTAGCTGACTCTGTATACCCTCAGTAGTTCTCAACTGAGGGCAATATTTTTTTTAAGTATGAGAAGGAGAGGGTGTGATACCACTGGCATCCCTGGGTAGAGGCCAGGGAAGCCACTAAGCATCGTGTCATGCACGGGACAGCCCCACAACAAAGGATTCTCTGGCCCAAAATGTCAACAGTGCCAAGGTTAGAAACACTGCTCTGTGTTTGCCAAAAGAAAATCCCTTCAGTGTCTTGTTTAGTCAAGCAAACTGTCTCCTAAATTTGGTTATCTCCTACAAGAAATGGAAAGCAGAAATCCTTTCAGAACCAAATACGCTCTCCCACAAGGGTCTCTAATTCTTCCTGCACACTTCTCTGTAGAAGAAAGACTAAATATTCAAGAATGACAATTTGGGAGCAGATTATTTTTTATAAAACCAAGCAAACACTCATCTTATTTTTCAAGTAATTCCAACTGAACACATATATGGTAAAAGCCACTGGGAGGAAAACGAGGAAAGGGCTCCCACATGCTCATATCTCTTCTGGATGTTCACAGACATATATGTTAAGTAAACAGCATACCCATGTACTTGAGCAGCCCAGGTCTGCCTTTGAACCTTCTTTCCTGCTTGCCATGGACAGCATTGATCTACATGGGCTGTGTTGTGCTTGTACTTCATTGCACAGTTTCCAAATGTTTCTGCACGTGGAAATAATATTTTATTTTTGCAACATTCCTTAAGGGATGTCTAGTTGATTCATTGTGATAAAATTGGAACAATAAGTACATGTGAAAGAATCTAAATATTCATGAACTGTTCGACAGGCCACTTAACTTCTCTGTGTGGCATTTTAGGACAGTGCTTAAGGGAGGAAATTCTGTGCTATTCTGTCCAGAACATCTCTTTCTCTGTTTCCTCATCCATAAAGTGAGGATGATAATGTGCCCATCTCATAGGGTTATTCGGGAGGTAGAGTAAGCTAAATTATTAGCCACATCCCCAAAGTTCTGGAACCATCATAACAACATTATTCAGCATTGCTTGCTTAGCATTTCACCAAACCAAACTCTTCATATTTTATCATATTGTATACTTTGAAGTGACGTGTATTACCCCACACGGATATACTGATTTCTTCCCTTGTCAATGACACAAAAATAATCATGAAATATTTCTTACCTGAAAAATGTAGCATTTTTACTGGGATGACATTTTGTAAATATGTGTGGGTATCTTTAGAATGCCCCCAGACCAAAAATATTGATAGAGTTTTAACATTAATTAACTTTATAAATAGTGAGATCAAAGAAATTTTGCTTCTTCTTTGCTTGGTTGATTTCTAAAATGTTTTCACTGGAATTAAGTTAATGTTTAAATTAAATATGAGAAAACAACAAATATTTAAAGATAAAAGTTGCATGGGTTTTTTTCAGTATTTATTTTAGAAAAACCTGAAAGTTCATCCATAGGAAAGTAGAAAAATTATGACATATTTATATGATGGAATAACTATACAACAGTGAAAAGCAATGACATTTTTATATTTGTTGATATCTATAGATCTCAAAAATATAAGGTTGGATGAAAGAAGCAATATACAAAAGAATACATAAAGTTATACTACTTGTGTAAATTTAGTAAGAGACATTATGCAATACTATAAATGGACTATGGATAGCAATTGTATCTGGTAAAGAAGGTAGAGGAATAGGATGGGGAAGAAAAGGGAGACCTCATCTTTATGAAAAATGTATTTCTTTTACAAATCCAAATGAATACATAAGAAGCAAAATGACAAAATGTGAACATTTGTGAATTTTGGGGGTGGATACATGAGTGTTTGTTATATTATTCTCTGTACTTTTCTGCATTTTTAAGACTTAAAAAAGAAAAAAAAGACTTTCATTAAATTGGGCTTGGATATAGAAAAAAAGAACTGAATTGACTGCAAAGTAACAACTCTAAAATTAGGATAATTTGCCAAGACCTGTACTGCTCAAAAGCAATTCTCATTCCCATTCCAGTAAGAGGTTTAGTGTTGGATATTATGGATATTCATCTGACTCTGAAATATGTGCCTATATAGAATAAATGATTTTACTGTTTGAGTAGAGACTCTAAAGATAATACACTGAAAGATGCTTGCAAAATATAGGAATTGATTTTGATAATTTGCAAGACCTGATTACAGGTAGTCTGACACTTGTCAGGGTTTACCCAAAATAGTTCTATTGAACATAAGCTACCCTTGGATAAGAAGACTGAAGCACAATTAAATTCTATCCTTTTTGCTCAAGGAAACTTTAGGATTGGCCCTTTGCTGCAAGACTCTGTTGGCCTTCCTTCTTTTACGTGGAAATAGAATTCTTATACTCCTTAGAAAACCAAAGCAAGGCCTGTAATCTTTCTTAACATGCATGTGTAACTTCCATTAACACGTATCCCAGATAATATTCCAGCACTGCTATTTTTGTTGTATGGCTCTCAGATGGAATGTAGAAAAACAGCCAGGAATGATTTTCTTTTGGTTCCAGGTCCCATGCACTTTATTTCATTTTCCAGCTGCCCTTCCTCCACAAAACTGAAATTGAGCCAGGTTTGTTTTCTGGCTCTAAATTTGATCATAAATTGTATAAATTTATAAAGTAAATTTTATAAATGTTTTACTTAGTCGACCTCCATTTCAAGTATGTGAAACCCCCAAACTCAGGAATATGTTCAAGTGGTAACTTTTTTTTCTTTACAAGCAGGGTACAACATGAATTTTCTCCAGACACTGTAAGCATAGACCCAGCTCAAGGATGGTCAATGTGTATAATGGTTTCTTTCCTCCCCATCACTAACCATAGTGGCTATTGCTCGTATATTAAAGTGGTCTTTCCTGCCAATCTTAGAAGCAACCTCAGGATTTTCATCAACATTACACGCTCAATTAATCTGAATTAATACCCAAGAAGAAACCTATTTACTCTTGCTGCAGATGTACTCCAGAATGTATGGAATTACTTTCTGCTTCATAATCTGGCTAATTAAATATTGCATCAATTATATTGGTCGAGGCCATTTTTCCCTTTCAGTTTCTAATAGTAGAGTACCATCAGATGTCTAGGAAGCAAAATTGACTAAAATTTTGTGATTCTTAGATCACAAAATAAGGAATATATTTTTTCATCAATGAAATTTCACTCACTATTTTTATCATGAGTAGAGTAAATTTATCAACCATGTTATTTATTATAATACATGGAGTGAATTATTATTATGTTTCAGACATTGTGCCAAGTGTCATACATGTATTTCCTCATTTTATCTTTGCAACAACTTCATGGAGTAGGTTTTATAATTATACAGATAAGAACACTGAGGTGTAGAGAGATTAAGGAATTTGTCCAGTAAAACCTGAAAGTGGCACATTTCTGTTTCAAATCCATATACCTCCCAAGCTCTTTAACCATTACGCTACACTCAGTACTCACTTTCTAATTATTTACTCCATTTTACTATTGTAACTCTTTGGTTTATTTACATCTATTGTGTCTTCATAATGGAATGACTATATAATAGTATATCACTGTGCTGCTTCTCAGTTCCACATTCACACATCACACTGGTAGCTTGAAATGAGCCATAGACAGGGAATTTATGCCACAGAAGTTGGCAAATGCTACAAATTAGGGTTTTGTTTTGTTTTATTGAGACCCAGTTGTTAAACATTTACCAGAATGCCACTGACCACATTGGTGGTGTTCTTGTTATTTTTGTTTGTTATTTTTGCAGTTTGTTTTGCCCTCATTAGCTTCCTCACTAATAATATAATTTTGAGTAGAAGTTAAGATTTTGGTGGATGAATCTAATCAGAGAGTGAGAAGAATGATGAGCTTCATTAGATTATCTAGTCAAGCTGCAAATTACTTATTCAAAAAAGCCTGTATTTTAAGAACAGAAATATTTATTAGATGGCAGATAGAAAAGTAGAAAATGGGGTTTCTGAGAATAAACTGATGATTATGTGACCCTCAGATAAGTATCTAAAATTTTTTATTGTATTTATTAGAGCAAAACTGGAGAAGAATTTACAAATTTGGTGCTCTCTCTCTGTGTGTGTATATATATATATTTGAGACAGGGTCACTCAATCACCCAGGCTCATCATACAGTGGCATGATTGTAGCTCACTGCAGGCTCAAATTCCTGAGCTCAAGCAATTCTCCCACCTCAGCCTCCCAAGTAGCTGGGACTACACATGTGCGCCACCACACTCTGCTAATTTTTTTTTTTCTGTAGAGACAGGGTCTCACTGTTTTGCCCAAGCTGGTCTTGAATTCCTGTGCTTCAGCAATCCTCTTGCCTCAAACTTACATTCATTTTTTATGTAAACACTTTGATATATTTTATAATCTCCAGCTTTCTGCAATGTCTGGGATCACTGTCTATACAAGGTAATTTATTGTTTCAATTTCTAAAGGAAAGTGGTGAGATTTTGAGAGCAGAGCTGGGCCTGTTTTATCCTTTTATTTCCATTCTCTGTCCCACCCTCTGTCTTTTGATAATGCATAGCAATTTGTAAATACTGATAAATAACTGGAATTCATCTAGCCATAAGATTCATAGCTGGTGTTCTCTTTTTAACTTAATATATTGTATTTCCTGCAAGTCTGATAGAATATGGAACTGGGTGGAAAATTTGCATATTTCTGTTCTCATGTGGAATTGCTAAATAATATTCTAGTTCACCTTTTATATAAACCTTCAAATGAACCACTTAGCACCTCCTGGAGACCACTATTACATCAAATTTTCAAATTAATAAAATTACGTCATTATTCATTTGTTCATTCATTCAACAAATTTTTGATGAAGTAAAATAATAGTATAAGCATAACAACTGCTATTTATTGAACACTTAATATGCTCCAGGTTCTAATATACATACTTTACTGGCTGTATCCTACACAAAACACACAACAACATCATGAGGTAGCTGTTAATATTATTCCTACTTAAAATATGAAGAAACTATTATTTGGAAAGTTGAAGTTACTTGTCCAGATCTGAATCCAGATAATTGTTTCTTAATTCTGAGCTCTTCATTGTCTAGTACCTTGCCTTTGTATGTAACACCTGTACTAGGTGTTACGTGGAATGTCAGAGAAACTTGTAATATTGTTGTGAATATTGACCTTTCAGTCTCATTGGAGAAAATATACATGGTAATGATTACATTGAAATGGTGAGTATGTATTCATTTAGCCACAAAAATCCATCAAATGTAAAAGGCATAAATGAAGGACTTTCTTCTCAGTAATACTGGGTTTCCATTGCTATACTGCTTCCTTTTGCCAGCATAAGATATTCATATATCATGGAAAAATAGATCAGAGAAGTCATGTTATATGTTTTTTAAAGATGTAATATGTTAAACATATATATGTTTAAACATGTTATATATACATGTTATATATATGTTGAAGCATGTTATATATGTTTAAACATGTTATAGGTTTTTTACCTTAAATATTTGGAAAGTACACTATACATTGAATTAATCTGGCTAAATAGAAACCTGATAGTATATGTTATGGACACCAAGTTATTTTTTTTTTGGATTCTTCATCCTTTTTTTTATTATTATACTTTAAGTTTTAGGGTACATGTGCACAACGTGCAGGTTTGTTACATATGTATACATGTGTCATGTTGGTGTGCTGCACCCACTAACTCTTCATTTAACATTAGGTATAGCTCCTAATGCTATCCCTCCCCCCTCCCCCCACCCCACAACAGGCCCCGACACCAGGTTATTTGATAGCTCTTTCACGGTTTCTTCAAACACCACCCTCTGTCACCAACTCTCTAAATAGGATATCAATGTCCGAGACTTCAGTAGCTCTTTTCCTATGGACACCAGTATTGATTGAATACTTCCTTTGCTTCTTGTGCAGTGTGCTAGAAAGTTGTCCCCAAAGTAGAATAAAATAGATCTCCATACTCCCTGAAAAAAATAATATTTTGTAAAAGGAAATCAGTAAATGAGATTCAGTAATCACTCACAGATATTCCCTACCATCTTTGCTGTGTCTAATGTATATAAAACATAACTTAAAAACATAGCTTAACAACACTGCTCTCAAATTATATCACTTTAATTTTCATGAATTATGTTTATATATTTTGTATCATATAACCTAAAGAAACACCAACACTTAAAATAGTTACAGACCACAAATTTGTGAGAAATTTCACTTCACACCATTTTAAATAGTTGGTATTCTCCTTATAAATGTTATTATATATTTTATTCTCTAGACGTCTGTTAGAATATGGAGCTGAGGCCGGGCGCGGTGGCTCACGCCTGTAATCCCAGCACTTTGGGAGGCCGAGGCGGGCGGATCACGAGGTCAGGAGATCGAGACCATCCTGGCTAACACGGTGAAACCCCGTCTCTACTAAAAATACAAAAAATTAGCCGGGCGTGGTAGCGGGCGCCTGTAGTCCCAGCTACTCGGGAGGCTGAGGCAGGAGAATGGCGTGAACCCGGGAGGCGGAGCTTGCAGTGAGCCGAGATCCCGCCACTGCACTCCAGCCTGGGCGACAGAGCGAGACTCCGTCTCAAAAAAAAAAAAAAAAAAAAAAAGAATATGGAGCTGAGTGTGAAATTTGCATATTTTTGTTCTCACCTAGGATTGCCAAATAATGTTTTAGTTCACTTTTTACATAGGACTGAGTCCAAGTATATAAAATGATTTTTTTCATGGTTAATTTTAACTATTTTATGGCCTTTCGAGAGCAGTAGGTTTTAGGTATTTTTCTGGACTGTGTATTTGACTAACAACCATACAGTTCTTGTGTGAAAATTATTTAGAAATACACTTTCTTGCAGATACTACTTCCATTTGCTTGGAAATTGTCTTGGTATACTGGTGTTATTATTTTTATTTTCTCTGAAGAGATTTCATATCATTTTATACATTACAAGCATTTTTGTTTTATCATATTGAGCATATTCTAATAGCTGCTTTAAAATATTTGCCTTATAATTCCAAAATTTGTGTCATCTTTGGATTGGCATCTGTTGGTTATTTCTCCCTTAAAAGTAGATCGTGTTTTCCTGGCTGTTTGTCAAATAATTTTGAATTCTATCCTGGACACTGCAGGGATTATGTTGTGGGGACTCTGGATTCTATTACATTACTCTAAAGGTTGTTGATGTTTTTGCTTTAAAAGACAATTATCTTGGTTAGACTCAAACTGTGAACCATCTCCCCTGCAGTTATTGGTAGCTCAGTTCACCATTCAGAGTACTTTTGTTTTGTTTTTTATTTATTTTAAGTTTTTGATTGACAAATTATAAATGTATATTTTTATGGGGTACAACATGATGTTTTGATATATGTATATAATATGGAATGATTAAGTAAGCTAATTAACATATCTATTACCTCACGTAATTTTTTATGGTGAGAACACTTGAAATTTACTTTCAGTAATCTCAAAATATATAATACAACACATTATTAGCTCTAGTCACCATGTTGTGCCATAGATCTCAAAAACTTATTTCTCATATCAGTGCATGGGTGGTTCGGTGGTAGAATTCTCATCTGCCAAAAATTTATTTCTCCTGTCTAACTGAAACTTTGTTCCCTTCGACCGATATCTCTCTATTTCCCTTCCCTCCCAACCTCTGGTAACTACCAATCTACTCTGTGTTTTTATGAGTTTGACTGTTTAACTCATCCAAATAACAGAATTATCTTTTTTTAAGGCTGAGTAGCATTCCATTGTGTATATATACCACATTTTCTTTATCCATTCATTCACTGCTGGATACTTAGGTTGTTTCTATATCTTGACAATTGTGAGTAATGCTGCAGTGAACATAGGAGTGCAGGTCTCTCTTTGACATACTGATTTCAAATCCTTTGGATATGTACCCAGAAGTAGGATACCTGGCTCATGTGGTAATTTTATTTTTAGTATTTTAAAGATCCTCCATAATGGTTTTTCATAATGCTTCTATTGTGTCCTGTGCTTGCATACTTAAAAGAATAGCAAGAGACTTGAGCGGAATTTATACACAAAACTTGGAGTCCTCTTTCTCAGGCTCTCTCCTTTATGAAGTTCCCCAGCTCACTCTCCAGTGGCTCTTTCCTCATGTTGCTCCAGCTACCCTCAGTATAAAACTGTGAAGATCTGAAACTCAACCCATACCAGTCACTTACTCCAAGTATTGACTCCCCTTCAAAATCTTCCTACTTTTGTTCACTCTCCAAGCCCCCCGGCTAGTTGTTTTTCTGTATTTTGACCAGTTGTTATTTGCAAGAGGTTCAATTAGGAGCTTACTCTTCAAGATTACAAATGGAAACTCCTATACTGATTTTATAGAGAAAAACATTTTACTATTTGCCAGAAACACCTTGCAATAATATAGGAATGTATGAAGTTTATGATCCACGGACTAGGCAGTGGACAGTCTTCTGTGAGCAGCAGCTCTGATAATGTATGCATATTATGGCACCAGCACACACAGTTATTTTGATACTGTTAAGCTTATGGATGGTTGTTTTACATGAAGTCTACGGTTATGTTTTACATTTGCCCCTGGTCCTCACCTTCACTGAGATGCTCACTTAAAGCACTAAAGTATCCAGACTATTGAGAATTAATTCTGCTCTCAAGTAACTACGGAGCTTTACCACCATGTTCTGAGTAATTCATTACAATACGTAATATAGAATTGCCAAGAAAGTCCAACTTAAATCTCACCTACTGCCTCAGTCACTGCCATGACTGCAAGCTAAATCCTACACCTCTTCATAGTCTCCCTTTCTAACCACACTGCATATTGCTCACTGCTTGTAAAACTATCATAATTTCTATTAGTTTTGCATTACCACTATTTTGACTATGAACCCTTAATGGTGAAGACAAGCTATGTGCCTCCTATTAACATATTGAATCAAAAACTTCTACCTAGCTTGAAAACACCTTCTTGAACTGCATGCATCCCATTCTTCCAACTTGTTTTACTGCTGTAATTATGGACTTGTTCCTTTCCTTATTACGTCATAGGTATAGCATGTCACTCTCCATGCAGACCTTTGTTGCAAAATGCTTAGGATATTGATGACAACTGGAGTGGATAATTTAGAAAATAAATTTAAAAAAATGCTTAGGATATTGAAAGAAATACCTCTAAATTTCTACATTCTTTCTCATGCATATTCCTCCTAAAACGAACTGTTAAAGAGTATAGTGCCATATTTCTTACATGCTCTTTCTATTCCCCATAATCTCTTAGCCCTTTTTCTGCCAATGTTATACCGGATTATTCCTTTATATATTCCTATATATATTCCTTATATTTCATATAAGCATGAAAATGTTCTTTCTCTCATTTGGATATGTAATCCTAATTAAACAAAGTCCCAGCATTTTCTTAAAAGATATGGAGCTCATCTGTCGACTTGTACCAATATCAGATTAATTACTGTAATTATTAAGAAACATTTGAGGAATGTTGACATTCAAATCAACTATAGCATAAAACATGTACCAAAAAGATGATGACGTTAAATAACTTTTAGAAGACTATGAATCTTGGTTGTCAAGGGGTCCTTAATTGCTATCACATTGTCTGTTGCTTAATGCACATAAAGTATAAAAGTAACTTTAATCAAAACTAACTCAAGAATAGAACAAATAAGAAATATAATAGGATTAGTAAATTCTATTAACTGGACATTCACACACATCACGAAGCAAGGGTTCAGGAGAGATCAGGCTAAAGAGGTTTCTGGTGGAGGAGGGTCAACTCTAATGAAAACATTGGAAGTCGATGGGATGTGGAAGCATCATCTGTTGAAATGACTTCCACAATGAGAGAGAAACATCTTTCTCTCTTAATAAATCATTACGTCTCCACTGTCCATTGCACTTTGGCCCCTGTCTTTTTACGATAGCTGGCAAGTATTCACTGTGCCTGTAGGGCTAGACAGCAATAGGAATGATAAAAAGAAGAGTTGACAACTATGATTCATTGAATGCATACTGCATGCATACATGGTGCTCATTTGTATTGGCCAGACAATTTGTAAAACCGTTATAGTAATCCTCATTTTTCAGAAGAAGAACCTGATTCTCAGGTCACAATGTAGTTTATCTAAGATCATACTGGTGGAAGTGGCATAACTGGGATTATAATTCACACCCATCTGACTCTTAAATTTAAGCTAGTGGCTGAACTAATTTACACTCCTACCAACAGTGTAAAAGTGTTTCTATTTCTCCACATCCTCTCCAGCATCTGTTGTTTCCTGACTTTTTAATGATCGCCATTCTAACTGTCATGAGATGGTATCTCATTGCAGTTTTGATTTGCATTTCTCTAATGACTAGTGATGCTGACCTTTTTTTCATATGTTTGTTGGCAGTATAAATGTCTTCTTTTGAGAAGTGTCTGTTTATATCTTTTGCCCACTTTTTGATGGGGCTCTTTGTGTTTTTCTTGTAAATTTGTTTAAGTTATTTGTAGATTCTGGATATTAGCCCTTTGTTAGATGGATAGATTGCAAAAATTTTCTCCCATTCTGTAGGTTGCCTGTTTGCTCTGATGATAGTTTCTTTGCTGTGCAGAAGCTCTTTTTAATTAGATCCCATTTGTCAATATTGGCTTTCGTTGCCATTGCTTTCGGTATTTTAGTCATGAAGTCTTTGCCCATGCCTATGTCCTGAATGGTATTGCCTGGGTTTTCCTCTAGGGTTTTTATGGTTTTAGGTCTTACATTTAAGTCTTTAATCCATCTTGAGTTAATTTTTGTATAAGGTTTAAGGAAGGGGTTCAGTTTCAGTTTTCTGCATATGGCTAGCCAGTCTTCCCAAAACTGTTCATTAAATAGGGAATCCTTTCCCCATTTCTTGTTTTTGTCAGGTTTGTCAAAGATCAGATGATTGTAGATGTGTGGCATTATTTCTGAGGCCTCTGTTCTGTTCTGTTGGTCTATATATCTGTTTTGGTATCAGTACCATGCTGTTTTGGTTACCATAGGCTTGTAGTGTAGTTTGAAGTCAGGTAGCATGATGCCTCCAGCTTTGTTCTTTTTGCTTAGGATTGTCTTGGCTATATGGGCTCTGTTTTGGTTCCATATGAAATTTAGTGTAGTTTTTTCCAATTCTGTGAAGAAAGCCAATGGTAGCTTGATGGGGATAGCATTGAATCTATAAGTTACTTTGGGCAGTATGGCCATTTTCACGATATTGATTCTTCCTATCCATGAGCATGGTAGAAGACAGTGTGGAAATTCCTCAAGGATCTAGAACCAGAAATACCATTTGACCCAGCAATCCCATTACTGGGTATATACCCAAAGGATTATAAATCATTCTACTATAAAGACACATCCACACATATGCAGCACTGTTCACAATAGCAAAGACTTGGAACCAGCCCAAATGCCCATCAATGATAGACTGGATAAAGAAAATGTGGCACTTATACACCATGGAATACTATGCAGCATAAAAAAGAATGAGTTCATGTCCTTTCAGGGACATGGATGAAGCTGGAAACCATCATTCTCAGCAAACTTGCTCTCACTCGTATGTGGGAGTTGAACAATGAGAACACATGGACACAGGGAGGGGAACATCACACACCAGGGCCTGTCAGTGGGCTGGGGGCTATGGGAAGGATAGCATTAGGAGGAATACCTAATGTAGATGACGGTTTGATGGGTGCAGGAAACCACCACGGCACACGTATACCTATGTAACAAACCTGCATGTTCTGTGTTCTGCACATATATCCCAGAACTTAAAGTATAATAATAAAAAAAATTAAGCTAGTAACCACTGCAAGACACAGTGCTTTTTGGAGGGAATGAGCTCATCAAATAAGGACATACCTTGTAAGCTCTCTCTGGAAAGATTCAAGTTATAGATGTAAAAAAGCTTTGAAAGCCAGAGAGTGCTACAAAGATGCAAGGCATTGTTCCTGTTTATTTACTTTTCTTTGTTTTTCCCCTTTTCTGTAGTCACCTTTGGTAAATAGGAGAATCATCTTTAAAATGTGCAGTTCTCTTCAGGTTATTCTCTAGATCCATTCTATAATGAAACATATTCTTCAGTAACCTAAGACAGTATAAAATAGTAGAATTACTATAAGATAAACCCCTAACCTGTATAATTCAAACTGTACATATCACCCTTTATTTTCTATTAATCTAAACTTTTGTAATGCATACCCAAACTTAAGGATCAACTAGTAAGCCTGACTCAAGTCTTCACCTTCAAGTATTGCATAAAAGCAAAATTATACCAATGAAAATAAAAGGCCTCCATAAAAATCCTGCAAAGTACACAATTTTAAAAAGTAAAACAAATTGTAAAGTAATCAGTCCTATAGGAATGACATCCCTAACCTTTCCCTAAATTACATGAAGGTTGTGACATTTCGTGGCCACTGGTACAGCTAAATATAAACGGATTATTCTGTGCCTGCTCCCTGTGCTTTTGCTGACTGACACAACAATTAAGGAAACAAGTTTCCTTCGTAAATTATAGCTCCATGCAGCTTTGAGTAAGCAGAAAGTGTACATTAGAAATATTTTTAGCTTGACGTGAAACTTTCCAAAGGCTCCTAATTAAGCAGTTAAGTCCAAGAAACTATAATTGCAACTGCCAAAATAACTGGGAAATCATACCTTGGATGGGATCAATCTTAAACTAAAACTATTGTTTGGAAAATCTTATGAAAAGACTTTATTATTCTTTAACATCCTCTTTAATAGAAGGGTACTTCTAATATTGCCCACTTTCTGAGAAATTCAGGTGCACTGTTTATTTGCAGAGTATGTATACAGTGAGTGTGTAAACAAATACTAGCAAAAAGAATGACCGTAAGCATTGGTCATTTGTCACTAGAAAATAAACCTCCAGAGTCTTGTCCTAATGAACACTAAGATAGAGCATCACCAACCCATGGGTCAGATATGGATTCTCACCATGGATTCAGCTATCAGAAACAGTAGAAGAGATCTTTTTAGAACACCATCTCACTTATACCTTGATCCAAAAGCTATTTAACCTCCATAGATGTGTCACATTTTCAAAAGAATGGTAGCAGAGTTTTATGCAGACTATTTCTATACAACTCAGATATCAGATATTGTTATATGAAGGTAATGATTATTATATTTTAAACACTTTCAGATGAAAACATCAGTTGCATTCATGGGAATGTTCAGAGTCAGAGCATATATGAATTTAAAATAACAGTCATCTAGCTCCTGTTGTCATAACAAAGTCATGTTACGGTCACTGATGCAGTTACCTTGATAAATCTGTGAAGGTGTTTAGAGGATTTTATATTCATGTAATTTTAAATAAATAAGCATATTAAAGTGGTGTTTATCTCACTATTATTTTTATTTGAATTTCGTTATGTTATTATTTTGATTCAGTTTAATCCCAAATTAGAAATGTTGGTAGCAGATTAAGAGGCACAAAGTGGGCTGTCAGTAAAACTTTTTTGACAGCTGCATTTATGGAATGCTTATCATGGGCACCAGGTAATGCATGCATTTACTCACTGAATCCCCACTGCTAATGTTATAGCCATTTCTACTCAGATGAGGAGACTGAGGGTCAGAGAGGTTAGGAAGCCTGTTCAGGGTGACACAATACAAAGTGTCATAAATTGGGTTTGTACTCAACCACTCTGCTTATTAACATCAGCAGTATGTTAATGGGTGAACGATTGTTAAGTGTCCCAAGAATGAATGCAAACTACTCCAGCTTAGAGGAAATCATCAAACAACAGAATATAGTGTCAAAAAATGAGACTTAAAACTAAACAAACACATCACATTTGTTTCATATATATATAGTTTCAGAATAGGTCCCCTGGAACACTCTCATCCTATACTAATGGCATCACCATTTCTCAAAGAGTTGTGGAGCTATCCTTGGGAACTGATTTTAGAATCAATTAATAAGCCACTGTCTTACACAATGTAGCCTAATGGCTTCATAGTCTCACCACTCTTCTTCTAAAATTGAAGTGGGGCCTGGCACAGTGGCTCACACCTGTAATCCCAACATTGAGGTGGGAGGATTGCTTGACCTCAGGAGTTTGAGACCAGCCTAGGAAACATAGTGAGACCTCATCTCTACAGGGGAAAAAAAAAAAAAATAGCCAGGCAAGGTAGCACATGCCCTGTAGTCCCAGCTACTTGGGAGGCTGAGGCAGAAGGGTCACTTGAGCCCAGGAGGTCAAGGCTATAGTGAGCCACCATTGTGCCACTGCACTTCAGCTTGGGTAACAGAGCAAGGCTCTTTCTAAAAAAAGGACTGCCCTGACTGCTTATGTACCTTCCTTCCCAAACTTGGCTCTGAATGACATTTGGCTGTTAAAAGTGTCAAATTCATCCTCAAATGGTGAAAATGTGCCAATTGTCAAAGTAGTTAAAAGGTCCTATTGCAATTTACTTTAATCAATTCCAAAAATGTTTTGAGTAATGAAGGCATTATTATAAATGTGTAATCCATTAAGTTGGAAGATCTGATGAGGATCCTATTCATTTGGATAAATAAGTTATTTAAAAAGACCCCCAAAACAGGCCTCATTCCTTTAAAGTCCATATGTGAAACTTCTGCCTTGCTCCACATTCTGTGCTAGGGGATATATGGGTTGAAATAGAAAGTAAAGTGGATAGTTACTGATGCTTTTTTTATCCTAGAAAGTTGTAAGGTTGACATTGTCTCTTAAAAAAATAATAATAATAAAATAAATTAAAAAAAAATTCCCTTGCACTCCAATAAAGTTGTTGTTTTCTTTTTTTCTTTGAGATGGAGTTTCACTCTTATTGCCCAGGCTGGAGTGTAATGGCACGGTTTCAGCTCATGCAATCTCCGCCTTGTGGGTTCAAGCAATTCTCCTGCCTCAGCCTCCTGAGTAGCTGGATTACAGGCATGTGCCACCACGCCCAGCTAATTTTGTATTTTTAGTAAAGACGGTTTCTCCTTGTTGTTCAGGCTGGTCTCGAACTCCTGGCCTCAGGTGATCTGTCCACCTTGGTCTCCCAAAGTGCTGGGATTACAGGTGTGAGCCACTGCATCCAACAGAGTCTTTATATGGTTGTGGTGGTGATTGGGGGTGGACAACAGCGATTTACCAGAAGTGGAAGAGTAAAGGATTTAATTGAGAATTGGCCTTAGGCAAAGCTTAAAAGTCAAAACTTGGTCTTTCAAAACCCCGTTAGATCTCCCCAGAGCCTCTATTTCCTCTCCCAATGAGCTTTGCTCCTCCTCCAATCATCCTTCCATCCCCTGTATTTCAATGCTTGCTGTCAGAAAAGTACTAGCTAATGGCAGCTTGCCATTATGTATATGACCAACCACTTGTATTTGCATTAGACAATGAAACTTTCAGAGAAGGAAAAAGCAGACTAAGACATAGAGGAAAGCTTCTATCCTCTGCACCCACTCTTCTTCATGGAGACTTCCAAACCAAACCATCTCTGACACTTAGAGTGGTAGCACCTTCCTTAGATCGGGAAAGCCAAATAGCTTAGAAGATTACATTAAATTTACTGGTATAATCAAAATAATATATCACAAGCCATGAATATCTGAAGAGACCCTTGAATTTCTGGCATTGTATCTCCATCCAGAAAAGCTAAAAAAAAAAACTCCCAATGAAAAGCATCCAATTTTAAAGGAAATACCTGAAATTAGTCTAGTTCATGTCCCCAGGAGGCAAGGACACCAGAGCTGTGGTATTTCCTAAGCACTTGAAAGGCCAACAGTGACCTCCTCATGTAAATATCTTTATGATAAACTCTCAGGACAGCCATTTTTTTTTTTCTTACTTAAAGTTCCGGGATACATGGGCAGAACATGCAGGTTTGTTACATAGGTATACGTGTGCCATGGTGGTTTGCTGCATCTATCAACCCATCATTTGGGTTTTAAGACCTGCATGCATTAGCTGTTTGTCCTGATGCTCTCCCTCTCCTCATCCCCCTACCCCCGACAGGCCCAGGTATGTGTTGTTCCCCTTAATAGTGATAAAGTTTACGCATGACAAGAATGTAACATTGATCAACATTAACACTGACTAATGCTGGTTCATTAATAACAAATATATTTAGTTAACAAGATTAAAATTAAAGTTTTCTTGTGCAATTTGGAATGAAGAGAGGGGGACCCTGACCTAGTTTTGTAACTCAAATAACTTTACCCATCCCTAAAAGTCTATCTAACCCAAAGAAAAATGACAGACAACTTATAAAAACATCACTTCAGCCTTCAGACATCTGATTGACAAGATTAAACATATCCACATGACTCCACTCCACTATGAAGCCATGTTGTGGGAGGTTATTGAATCGTGGGGGCGATTACCCCCATGCTGTTCTGTGATAGTGAGTGAGTTCTCACGAGATCTAATGGTCTTATAAAAGGCTTCTCCCGCTTTGCTCAGCACTTCTCCTTGCTGCTGCCATGTGAAGAAGGACGTGTTTGCTTCCCCTTCTGCCATAATTGCAGGTTTCTTAAGGTCCCCTCAGCCATGCTAAACTGTGAGTCAAATAAGCCCGCTTCCTTTATAAATGACCCAGTCTCAGGTATGTCTTTATTAACAGTATGAGAACAGACTAATATAATGCCATATTTGACTTTCTGTTTCTGAGTTGCTTCACTTAATAGCCTCCAGTTCCATCTGTGTTGTGGCAAATGATTTCGTTCTTTTTAATGGCTGAGTAGCGTATGTACACATACACACACACACACACACACACACACACATATGCACACGCACATGCACACCAGATTTTCCTTATGCAGTCATCCTTTGATGGACATTTAAATTGATTACATATATTTTATTGTGAATAATGTTGCAATAAACATACAAGTGCAGGTATCTTTTTGCTATCACAATTTCTTTTCCTTTGGGTAGATACCAAGTAGTGGGATTGCTGGATTGAATGCTAGCTCTATTTTTAGTTCTTTGAGAAATCTCCATAGTGTTTTCCATAGAGGTTGTACTAATTTACATTCCCACCAACAGTATGTAAGCATTCCCTTTTCTCTGCATCCTTGCCAACATCTGTTATTTTTTGTATTTTTAATGATAGAAAGATATTTCTGATTCCTCAAAAGGCACTGTTTTTAAATAGGTTTGAGAAGTCCAGTTGAGTCATAAACTGGTGCCATGTGGTTTCATGTTGTCATGTGAAAATTTGATGATCTGCAAGAACTACATGCCCATCAGACAGATTCAGGGAAAAGGGGGCAAGCAGACAGAAATAAAAAATTCCAGCAATTTAAAACTTAAACAATGTATCAATGTTTCTTTCCACATAGCCCTCTATGTTTATGGAGAGAGAGGTCCTCTTCAAGAGGATTCATCAACAATGAAAGAGTCTTTGAAACATTGATCCTGTCAGGTCTTGATCCTATCGGGTCTTGACTCTCTACTCATGAATCTTTTCTCTCTCTACTCAGTGGTGGATTTATTTCTAGTAATTCATAAATGGCTCCCAGAGTCACCAACTTGTTGGAATTTATAATACACACCCCAAAATAAATCTTAAACATTCTACTATTTAACATTTTTCTGCATCAAATATATTCCTTATCTAAATATATTGGGTCTACAGAGAATGTTTTTTGAAGACGTCAACTTATGCTGGTTTCCTCCTTGCACACTTAGTCAATTTATGAATTTTTAAGACAAGAAATTTTATAATATTAGGGTCTTCTTTTACCCAAGATAAAAAATGCTTATTTAGAAGAATAAGTTTGTATGAGTTCTAGGAAGGCACATTGTCAGGTAATAGATATAAGGCTGGCTCTGTCTTACATCAGCCAATTTCATGGAGAACAGAATTGCTGTCCAGTACAAATGAAATATGAGTCAAAGTCTGGACTTGAGTTTGAATCTAAAGTAGTTTACTTATCTGAGATGGCTTGCACAGTTGGCACGATCTATAATGGCATTCATTTCAGAGTTGCTCAAAGTCGGCTTTCTATGTAAAAGAGAGGCAGAGCTATGGCTTTTTAGCTCTTGCTCTAAGATTCAGATCTATTAAATTATTTTTATTGAGCGCCTACTACACACACAGCAGCAGCACTCTGTCAATTTCATTGTAACTCCTGGAAAAGACATCTCTGGTATGACTCTTGTCCCCGGATCTCCTGTGGGAATAATAATCTTTCACACTTACTTAGTTCCTGGAGATGCTGTGATAATTGACAAGTGAATGTTTGTGAAGTACTTGAAATCCTCAGATGAACCTGTTATGTAAACATGGAAGAATGCTGCCTTTCCAGGTCACAGCCATAGCTGGAGCTTCTCTAAACAACCAGGTTTTCCTGGTTGGATGCTACTTGCCTAAGACTGTTATTTTGAGATAGCTGGTGTGTGCTTTATTAATATGTATCCCTGACTCTTGGCCCAGTGGAAGACAAAGATATGATGACCAAATTATATTTTACATGGGCTAAATATCTCCTAATCTCTCATTTCTTTTGAATGGAGTGCCTCAAATCTTGGTGATGATTCATTATACATTTATAAAAAGAGTGAGAGAAAAAGAAAACTTGCTTTTTGACTAACAGATACTCCTCGTGTTCAGGAAGATTCTTGCAAGGATATTAAAACCCTCAAAATAATAGTCTGCTTAGAAGTAGGTTCACATATAATAAAAGGGAGAAATTTCTCAAGTTCTATCAAATTTCAAAATAATTTAAGAAATCATCACATTAAAACAATGTATTATCAGATTAAGGATGGTATTGTTATAACCTTTTCAAGTAGTTCAAACATTAGAAAGCTATTCATATGAAGGTTTTTTAATGGACTCAGTGAACATCTTGCAAATTTATTTTGTAAGCTGCTGAAAATCCCTACTAGTTTAACTTGTCAACATACATCTGAAATTATTAGTTCAACGACACTTTCTACAAAATACAATTTTGTGTCTCTTGTAATGTGTGTCAACAGTTATCTGTATTAATTAGCACTCATCAGTCAGGAACTGAGCTCATTTCCAGCTATTAATCTGGGACCAGCTCAACAAAGACTCCCATTATCTAAGCAAGCCCAGCTATTGGTCCTTCAATCTAAATGTCATAGTTTTCTGGGTAAAGCTTTATTCCCACTTGTTTTTTTAATACCTAAACTATTATTGTCATGGCTTGCAATTTACCAAAAAGATCATTTTCTGAAGAAGGCATGTAGAAGGCAAAACACAAATTTTACCCAAAGTAGCTTTTAGACATTTTCAGTCTGTGATATATATTCAACTGATTTGAGTCCCATCAACTTCTCTCCACCCTCTACATTCATTTACATAAAATCTAAGTTATTCTGTAAACACTTTAGGGGCAAATTAATACTTTAAGAAATTACCTATACTTATTAATAAAGTTAAGAATAGTTATTATTTGTTTGGTAAAATTTTATTTTACAGAGTTGTTTTTCTTGAAAATAATTGAGATACTTTTTCCACAACAAGATTTTTATATGTAGATATCAATAAATTTGTTATATGTAGATTGATATCAATAAATTTCACCTTATTAATCTAGATACGTATAATGTAAAAATAGGTAGCTAGAGATGGAGATAGTTCACTGCATATATAACTACACATACACATACTATTAGTAGTTACTATCCTTTCTGTTTCTCATTTTTCTTCAGTAAAATTAATTAATAAACAGCAAGGTTCTCTGTGGCCTTCCTAACAGTGTTTAAAATGAACTCTTTAGCAATATTAAAGAGAACACAAACAATTTAAGTATGAGTAAATGGGACATATTTCATGATATTTATATAAACATGAATGTCTACCTACCCCAGTGATGTGCTGGAAGTTGCTCATACAAGCTTGTGAGAGCTGGATGTTAAATTTTCTGGATTTTAGAAAGGAAATCAATACATCAAAGATATATCTACTCTTCCATGTTTATTGCAGCATTATTCACAGTAGCCAAAATATAGAATCAACCTATGTGCCCATCAATGGATGAATGGATTTTTTTTTAATTTGGTATATATACACAATGGAATATTATTCAGCCATAAAAATAATGAAATCCTGTCATTTGCAACAACATGGATGGAACTGGAGGCCATTATGTTAAGTGAAATAAGCCAGCCACAGAAAGACAAATATCACATGCTCTCACTCATATATCGGAGCAAAAAAAAGTGGATCTCGTGAAGATAGAGAGTAGATTGGTAGTTACCAGAGACCAGAGAGGGCAGTGGAGAGAAGGAGATGAAGGGGAAATATATATATATATATATATAAATGGCACTTAATGGTAAAGATGTTAAATTTTATATGTATACTTTACCTCAATAAAAAAAAGATAAAATAATTTTTTAGGAATTTTATGAGCCCATTTTTAAACACACACGTCAAACAATTATATAAACATAATTAAATAAATTACATTAAAAACAATAAATACTCCAGACTCATCACTCTCTAATTATTGTATTGCCTATGTTCTTGGGATTATATATTATCTCTACATGATGAAATATTATATCATAGAGAGCTACCATTACAGACTTCTTCCCAACTTCACAGTCAGTGACATCTCTTTTTAAAGCTTACAATAGCAGAAGTATTTATACCATGGAAAATGGCAAATGCTGTGCATTAGCATTTATTTTTCCTGGAGAATTGATTATTAAATAATTAGTAGCACACCACCAATTTATCCTAGCAAAATTCTTAGGTAAATAATTATGTTGATCCTTTATATCAATTTATCCCTCCCTCCTGATAGACTTTAGTCAAAGCGAAGAAAGTACATCTTATGTCCCCTTCTTCCAATAGACAGTTATCCAATAGACAGTTGAATAAGACATATGTATTTCTCTTAAATTCTGTAAAAAGTGCTTTGAGATTTTGTGATTCTAAGCCCTCTTTCTAAATTTGAACTTCAGGTGGGATCCTAGACAATACTGAACATTTCTTTCCTTTTGGGAGGCTGCGGGGGAGACAGTATCTCCTTCTGTTGCCCAGGCTGGATTGCGGTGGTGCCATCGCAGCTCACTGAAACTGTCGCCTCCCAGCTTCAAGCAATTCTCCTGTCTCAACCACCCGAGAAGCTGGGACTACAGGCACGTGCCACTACGCCTGGCTAATTTTTGTGTTGTTATTAGAGACAGGATTTCGCCATGTTGGCCAAAGTGGTCTCGAACTCCTGGCCTCAAGTAATCTGCCCACCTCTTTTTGAATGTAGGCCAGCAAATAATTTTTGTTTTGCACCCTTCTGTGGGGCAGCCCTGGCTGATGTGCAGCCATGTTGAGTGATTGTCCTGCATCCAACAGCAGGAATGAAGCTTAACAGGCACTGAAGGGAAGTGAAGCAACCCTGGGGAAGGAGAGGATTCAGTATAAATGTAACACACCAAAGTAATTCATCAGTAGTACCCTTTCCAACAATAGCCCAAGTCTTTACAGTTCCATTTCCATTCATTTTTATTTTGTAGCAAATTATCATGTTTCTTATAAACATTTAGAGAAATGTATAGTTGGATTATTATTATGCACACTGAAACTTAAAGGTATATTTATGACTTTCTGCACACCTCCTAGGTGGAATAAATATGCCATTTTTTGTAAACCACTTCTAACAGGGACCATGACAGACCAAATCATGCCAGTGCCCTACTCTGTAGTGAAGTATCTGTGCAATGAGGTTACAATGACCTAATAAACGGATATACCATGAGAACGCTTAAGAACCTGCATGCAACATTACCTTTGAGATTTAAATGAGTTCTTCTCTGAAAATATAATGCAGATCTTTCCAACTTAGTAGAAAAGCATGCTTTTAGTTTGCTTAGTAGAAAAGTAGTAACATTAGAAAAGGGGGGAAATAGATGTATGAATATAAATAAATTTTTTTTTAAAATTTGGTTGTATTGAACTTTCAAATTAGCCAACTAATGGTACATATAAAATAATTATAATCACACTTTACTTAGACAGCATTAAATATGGGATGATCAGAGTATTATCTGTGATCGCAAAACTGTTAACAGATTATGTAGCTTTATTAGAAAAAAAATTTCTTTTTACTATTAATATGTGTTCATTTATGTAAAAAATTCAATATTACTATGAAATTCTGCTGAAATTTTTAAAAATAATCCAAAAAAGTTTACGATGTCTATCATTAAGTCTTAAAAGAGAGAATAAGTGTGAGGATATGTTAAAGGATTCTTTTATTATACTTCAGTCCTTTGAGGCATTGTGCTTTCTATTCATCTTTTTTATAATGTCAAAACATGAAAAAATCATATCTAAATGACTTGTTAAGGAGTTAGTAACAACCTCTCTCTTTCTTTGTACACACACACACACACACACACACACACACCATGGTTTGTGTGTGTGTGTGTGTGTGTGTGTGCGTGCGTAGATTAGAGCAAGCAGATTAACTTTATAACGCTGGTTGAGAAGTGTCATTTATGAGTTCACAATTTTCCAATTCTAATTACATAGCCTTGTGGAAGGAAAGACATAATTATCATTTCTAGTGTCCCTGGCCTCACTGAGCAAATGGCTCTTGATATTGACATTTTGTACCATGGATAATGATACTTTCCCTTCATTTAGTGGAACAAGAAGTGCTATACAAGCACTCACTCATCAATGACCATTGTTTTATCATCAATTATCACACATTAGAAAAGAAACAGCACCAAGCCTCACCCAATATAAATTATTATGTTCTCACCAAGCCTCACCAGTATTAAACATTCAAATTTAGTTCAGGCTTTGGATAGGAAGATAAGAAACTATGCCATGGTGGACCAAATTTTTTTAAACCAGTTCTAGCATTTTAAACACGATAAATTAAAACTATTTGAAATTTAAACGTTTATATCTAAGGAACATGAAAGCCCTGGCTAAAATTAACTAGATACTTAAAAAAAAAAAAGTTCATCATCTAGTTACACTAAATACATTATTTTACTAAAATGCTAGGTTAAAAGAAGGAATTATTAAAATAAATGGCAATACAAATAAAGAAAGGTACTTTGTGTTTTTGTCTATATCAGTATGCATACATACATGCACAAAAAATAACTTAAGCAAAAGTAAGTAGATCTTAATTTTATACACCACAGTCCATTATATTTGTAGACAAAGCTAGAATACAAAAATTTTATTGTTTGGTCAAGTATTTTTATTTATACTGACAAGACACCAAGGAAATGATGTTCATATGGTTTAATGTAGTTTGGAAAGGCACTCGTGAAATTTTGGCTAATATTAGACTTGGGGGAGAAAGCACTATTATGGAAACCAAGGGCTTGGAAGTAAATGGTCTATGAGTCAGAAGCATATTATGCTGTAGAAATAATGAGTGCTACCAGCTGAGATATAAAATTCACCATGCAGATTTCACCCTCCGGTATAGAGATTTTAAATTAGATTTTAGCTAAAGGCCTATTTTCTGAAAATCTTAACTAAAATTGTTGCCTGAAATTTGTCAGTATATCTGAATTTATCTTAAGACTTAATTAACCAAGAAGTTGAATATGGGATCCTGTATAAAACCATTGTAATTCACATCCATACCTCTCAAAAGAAGCAAAAATGAGAAGTTTTGTTTCCTATGAATTGAGGAAAGTATACACTCTTACTGTGTAAATTTTGAATGAACATTTTAAAATATCTTTATTAGGCACAGCTGCATACAAATGGTATTTCTATTTTGGCTCTGTTAGCAATTCTGTTGTTTCTATCATTGACTTTTTCCATCTTTCTTCAAGCATTCTGGAAAGAGTCCTTCTAAGAAATCAACACACATAAAACTGGTTTAGATTACAGCCTACCTGGCATGTATTTCTTTGCTCAATTTTTTCATTGCAGTAATCTTGAAGTTGACAATGACATAAGCCTCTTACCTTAAAAGGTTCAAAGATTCCCTACATGAATTTTAGTTTCTTAGATAAGAGTTTTTTTTTCATAATTGGAAAATGTATAATTTGATAAGAATTTAATAATAAAATAGGCCAATAATTTTACCAAATCCTTGATAGCAATATATATGTATGTATACATACACACACACACACACACACATATATACACACACACACACACACACACACGTGTGTGTATTTAAATAAAGATGCTTTCCAGCAGGGTAGACAAGTTGGGCAAAGGAAATATGGTATGAGCTCTTTCCTTTATGACTCCTCTGCCCCATTGAATCCTTATAAAAATATTAGACTAGTGATGGAAATTTGTCAACAGTTACAGAATAAGAAAATACGTTAAATCTGAATATATGGTACTGAATACGGCTAATAATTCTTTAAAAAATTATCTAATGACAAAGAAATATTTGTGCATTAATTAAAATTGATTGATGAAAGTGCCCAGGATCTAGACCGTTGCATTGTGGAGGTCCCCATGTCCAGCAGATCTACTCCATGGCCAACTCTGGTGATGTAGCTGCACACACCCCAGGTTGTGCTACGGTAGAAGAACCCCAGACCCTGCCCCTCCCCCGTGGGGCTGGAGATGCAGAATGCTGGGGATATGCCTGAGGGTTATGGACTCACATGCTTAAGCAGAACAAAGAAGTACATATCAGGCCCAGAATAGGGGAAGATACTCTGTCACAAAGTGGCAAGCCCAGCACAGGCTGTGAAGGCTCTTAACTCCCACTAGGGAAATATCACAGGCCCATAGCACTCATGCGGCCATGCAGGGGCCAACAATCTGTGCATGACTGCCTTTCCCAACAGAAAGATATATGACTAGAAGAAAAAAAGGACTATTCAAACTATTCTTAATAAACTTTTTTCAAAGAAATAAAGCACTTATTCTCTAGGTTTCTAATGTTTTAAGTTACAGTATACTAAACAAATCTTCATTTTATTCTTTTTTTTCATTTCCCTAGGCATTTATAACTGGCAATGAGAGAATTTTTAATGTTTATATTAAAAAATTTTAAAGGACACAGATCAATCATAATTTTTTCCATTGATTATTAAGATCACTTTGCACAGTTTCAATTTTCAGGCATTTTCATGGTCCCATTTTACTGTGCAAAGACTGACTATATGCTTCTAATGTCGGTATATTTTACAGGAAGGGCAGTTTACATACAAAACAAGTTTACAGGATGAAGCCTTTTCAATTGCCTCAGTAATGACCTTGATATTCTGTCTTTGTGATTAAGCATAAAACTAAAAGACCTTAGAATGTAAGTGAGCATCTATCCAGTGAAATAATTTGTGTTTTTTGCATATTTACAAGTCAGGGAAGACAAAACAATGGCAGCTTTGTTGACCCAGTATGTTGATTTGTGACCTGAAATACTGGAAATTTTCTCAGTAGATGTTACATCACATACTGATTATTAGCAGTTATTTACTGATAGCTCAATACGTATGCAAGAGAGGAGACACAAGTGCATGGCATGGACCCTACTCTCAAAGAGTTCACAGTTGAATTGAAGAATAAAAGTATGTTCACTAATTTACACAGTAAACATTTCTTGAATGCCTACTATGTGCTGGGCATTGGGCAAACTCTTGGTATTCATGAGAAAGCAAAATGCACAAATAACTCTGCCTCATAGAACTTGCATTCCTCAATAGTGAGTAAGAAAAATATATTTGAGTGAAAAATGGTGTAGAACAAAAAGGAGAACAAATAGGGCTTAAGAGGTTGCGAGAAGTCATTAGAGAAAGCAGAATTTGAGCTGAATCATAGCTAGTAGAACTATATATGGAGTACACCTTAGAATAAACTTATTCTAAATTTTTCCCATGGCATTTAACTTTAAAATACATTTTTGCTTTGAAAAAATTCATTTATAAATATAGAGAAAAATTTCACAGATGCTGAGCTATGCTTTAAAATTGTTTCTATATTTCTATGAAAATATATGTGTGGCATGTCTCTACATCCATAGAAATTTATTTCAAAAGTTCGTTTGCATTTGCACGCTGAGATCAGATGTTCCTGTGTTTCTGTCACTTCATACTCTTTTTTCCAAGAAAAGAGACTGTTTTGCTGACACATATAAATTTTTGGAGGATTAGACCATTTTCCTATTGTGGAACATGTATACATATTTATATATATTTATATTTTTCCAATATAAATATTGGAAAACATTTTTCTGAAAATAGTAACCTTCGAAATGTGATTTTTTTTAACATTGTTGCTCTCCAACCCTCATATTTATATTTTCAGTTTAGTACATTTTTTCTTTATATTTAATTTTTCCATTATTTTATTTTAAACATTCTGGTTTTATATCCCGTTTATTTGTCTTTCTAAGAATAACTTTCTTATATATAGCATTCTCTGTTGTCTAACGCTTCCATTCCAAGATGTTCTCCAGTTCTGTATCTTGATTGTGGTGGTGGTTATAAATCTATGCATGTAATAAAATTTCATAAAATTATGCACACACATTCAAAAGAGCATAAAAACTGGTGAAATTTAATTAATATCTATAGTTTAGTTAATTTCATTGTGTCAATGCTGGTTTCTTGGTTTTGATGAAGTGTTATAGTTATGTAAGATGTTGCCATGGCAGAAGCTGGATGAAATCTACACAGAAGCTTTCGATGCTAGTTTTGCAATTTTTACGAGTCTATACATATTTCAAAATAAAAAGTTTTTTAAGAATATTCTCTAGTTTTCATCCTTATTCAGATTAGACCTGTTTATGCCATATAAATGTAAAGGCTTTATATACTCAAAGAGCATATAACTTCCTCTTTCAAAAACTCCAAGGCTCTCTGATATGACACAGACAGTTTTATTATAATAGAGTTGTATTATAATATTTGAAGTTTTATTATAATAGAGTTCTATAATAATAAACTTTTCCTTTTAACTACATATGCCTATTCCATAATGCCTTGAGAAAAAATTCCAGTCAATGGCATTGAACACATCTATTGATAGAAATTATATTTTTTTAAGCATGGGTGGCAAAAGTTATTTAATGAATCATCTTCCAATGTGCAGAAATAGTTGACAAATAATGTACCCTTGTTTTCCCCATATTTTTCGTATTTTTTTCAATTTGCCTATATCATACATCACTTTTTCCAATATATGATTTTATCTTTGCTTCTCCTAAAATGCCATTTCTCTATTTTTCTCAAATTTAACTCTGTATTTTTTCTTGTGTCTTGTGCCTGCTTCCCTCACTTATTCCAGACTTTTTTTTTCTTTTGGAGCCAGGGTCTCACTCTGTCTGTCGCCCAGGCTGAAGTGCAGTGGAGCAATCACAGCTCATGGCAGCCTCGACCTCCCCAGGCTCAGGTGATCCTTCCATTTCAGCCTCCCAGATAGCTGGGACTACAGGCATGCACCACCACTCCGGGATAATTTTTTCATGTGTGTATTTTTAGTAGAGACAGGGTTTTGCCCTGTTTCTCAGGCTGGTCTCTAACTCCTGGGCTCAAGTGATCTGCCTGCCTTGGCCTTCCAAAATGCTAGGATTACAGGTGTGAGCCACTGTGCCTGACCTGTTCCTGATTTTTAAATACCTGGTTGTCCTCTTCTTTTGTCATTTCTTTATTATTATGTAATCCTATTCACCAAAAAAAAAAAAGCTTTTTCCCCTTTTGTTGTCTCCATCCTCAAAAAGTGATTATTGATCTCTTCTTTATGTAAGATACTAGGCAGGACCCCAAAGGGAAGACAATGCCCTCTCCTGAAAAGCCAAGGCCCAGTGAAGAGATGAGAGACAGGTCCAATGAAACAAATACAAATGGTATGAATAAAAATACAAATGATGTGAGGCTCCTGATGCTAAGTGTCACAAGCACGATGACACTTCTCCAGCCCTATTTCCATTTCTACTCTAAATTAATTTTGTCTTCTTTTGAAGTCTCACCTGCAAGGTAGCAGACCGTAAAAAATACCTAACCCTCTGAACTACTTAAACTCTATTCCAATTCGGTTATTTCAACAGGACCTTTTCAACATGCTCAGTCTTTCTTGGTGGCGGAAAGATTTTAAAGCCCTAGAATACAGGAATTGGAGTCGTGACTTCACCCTTTATTAAGTGTGTGGCTTTGGCTTACTTAATCTTTCCTAGGCTTCAGTTTCCTCATCTGTAAAATAATGGGAGTAATGATATAGAAATGTTCTGAGGATTCTGTGAGACAATTCGTGGAAAACACTTAGTAACATACCAAAAAATTAGTCAGCACAGTGTATATTATTTTTCTTCTTTTTTTAATTATCAAGGTCAGTGACTTTTAGAGAATCAATGTATTCATTTTCTACTACAAGAACTTTAATCAATAGTATCTATTTTCCTTGTAAAAATCTGTTCCAGAGATACTTTCCCCTTCCAAAGCATTACTGTATTTCATACACTTTGAGGTATGAATATAACTCCTATGATCTTTATTTCTGTTTATTCTTGGTCTTAATGTATTCCTGGCTCATCACTGTCCTTTTAAGGCATGTGTGTGTGTGTGTGTATGTGTGTGTGTGTGTGTGTATGTTTTAGGGGAATAGAGGAAGGGAAAGGAAAAGAAGTCAGACTCTACTCTGAGTAGTTTTCCCTTTGATTGTTATGTTTTGTCCATTTCATAGACATTAGTAATTATATATACAATATTAGAAGCTTTATCTGAAGTGTTCTGTGGATATTAGGGTTGAGAGCTCATATTTTTTAAGATAGCAATGTAAGTATTGCTATCCAGTCCTCTAAAATATTCCCAGACTGATAGGATTAGAAGAGTGGCCACCAGGCAATTTGAAACCCTTCAAGGACGTGATGAGAATGAAGAAGTCCAGCCAAACAGGGAAACAGCATGTGCCTCATGAATTTTCTTTTTTGTTAATAATGACTCAAGAAGAAAACAGGTGGTTGTAACTATGCAGACCAAGCAGCAAAATTCCAAATACAGAAAATAAACCTCAGAGATTCCTTTAAAGGATTATTTAAACACAAACAAATTCCTAGGGGACAGTAACAAAATTGAAATATGTAGAAGAAAGACCAGTGTGGTGTGTATGGAATTAGAGAATGAGTTGTGAGTGTGACCCTCAGAATCCCGGGAGCACATAGGCTTCCAGAGATGAAATGGCCAAAGAAAGAATTCACCAGAATGTCCCTAAGTAAAGGTCTCCAGAAAAAAGTTTCCTTGGAAATTCAGTTCAGATTCCTCCTGACCTTCTGCAAAAGATTCTCCTTAGTGTGTGTCTGGATATCTTCCTCAGAAATGACTTGATTGTAAACAGAGAGAAAAGGAAATTAATGGAGCTTAAGCTTTAGGGCCTCTCACTTGAGCTTCATGGGACCCTGTACCAAATTGTCTGTTGTAATTTTGAATTCTTCTTCTGGAGAAGGCTCCCAAAATGATATATGTTTCGGGCCCCATAAAACCTGGATACATATGTAACTAACCTGCACAATGTGCACATGTACCCTAAAACTTAAAGTATAATAAAAAAAAAAAACCTGGATCCACCCCCAGCTGTCAAGTATAAAAACTCCTTTAAACCAACTAGAGTAAGTCATCTCTCCTGAGGTCTCTAGCTTTTTCTTTCTACCCTTCTCACTGTGTCTGCTCCTTTTTCCTGCCCTCTGCCAGTTTTCTCAGCCTACTCATGACTTCCCGGCCCTACTAAATCTTTAGTACATGTGGTTCTGGCTGGCAGTGGTGCTAAGTCTGGCTCAGACTCTATGTGAACTTTCAAACCAAACTCCCACAGGCAAGTTAACTGACTCCTGTCCTTCTGCCCCAATTCCAAATTCCTTGGAGAGGGACCTGTCTGTCTAGCACAAGCTGGTTGTCACCTGGATCCAGTCAGCTGTAGCTGGGCTAACTGGGGAGGGTCCTGTCATGGGCCCATAGAACTGCTTCTTGGAAAGTGAGAGGGGAAATTCTCTAAGGAGGAGTAAGTGAGGAGGCCATAAATGTCATGTCTACTGTATTTAAAAAGGAAGTTGACTAAGTGTTTTCAATCTGCCAAAGATACACTAAGAGCTGAAGAGGGAGGGGCACTAGCAAATAACTTGCTTCCTCATTATGATTCCCGTAGTGTTCCAAAGCCACTGCTTTCCTGCTGTCTCTTTTTTTAGTACTTTTTAAATCCCTCAGTAAGTTGCTTTCAAAAGATTTTTTCTAATTAACAGAATATGTCATAAGCTCATTCTAGTATTCTACCACCCTTATAATCAAGTTTTGTCCAGTGAGTCCATTAGGCTAGGGGAAAAAACCTAGCCAATGTCTTCCTACTTTTTTATTTATTTATTTATTTTTGAGACAGGGTCTCGCTCTGTCACCTAGGCTGGAGTCCAGTGGTGCAATATTGGCTCATTGCAGCCTCAACCTCCTGAGCTCAAGCAATCCTCCCACCTCACCCTCCCGAATAACTGGGACTACAGGCACTCAGCACCATGCCTGGCTAAGTTTTTAATTTTTTGTACAGATGAAGTCTCACTGTGTTGCCCAGATTCATCTTGAACTCCTGGACTCAAGCAATCCTTCTGCCTCATCATCCCAAAGTGCAGGAATTATAGGTACAAACCACTGCACCGGGCCACCAATGTCTTTTAAATATCTAAAAATTTATAATTGTTTGTTTTTCTCCTTGCACTGTTATTCATAGGAATGTTGCCAAAAAAGAGAAATTGTATTATTTTCCAGAGAAAATAGGCTAAAAACTGGAAGCAGCTTATGGCAGACTAAATGACTCAGTTGCTACTGTGTGTATAAACGTACCCTGTAAAGTGTAGAGGATGCATTTCTCAGCAACAGGTGTGCCTTAAATGTGTTAGATGGGAACATAGGAAAAGTATGGCCCCAGGCTTCTAGGAAAAAAACAGCCTTTTCCTGCCCATACTAAATAGCCACTTAGAGACTAGAGTTTTTCCAGACCCTTACATGTTAATCCTTTTTAACAAGTTACCAGATAGCTGAACACAAACTGGGTCAAGCAAGTCTGTTTCTCAGAAGGCAAGATGTCCCATCCTAACACCATAAATCACACTCACTTTAGAAATACGTTTTTCTTTGATCCAAATGTCTTTTCTTAATAACTCATTCCTAAGATTTCCATTTTCAGATTCCTGTTTTTGCATAAGATTGCATGAAATATTTTTTGCCATTACACACAGTGCATTTTATTGAAAGGACTCTAAAGGGCTTAGGGAAAGGAAAATTTCCCTAAACTGCAAAGAAAGTCAGCTAATCATTCTGAAACATAATAAAAACTAGTTTTTAAAAATAGCTCATGATAGGTAATGGGGAGTAGGTAGACCCAAACAAGATTGGTCAGTTTCTACCTGGACAATAAAGTAAGGCATTAATTTCCTTCAGATATAGGTATTTCTGTAGCAGATATTTTTTAGAATTTTTTTAAAAGTTGTGTAAGGGTGTTTTATTTATCAGAAAAAATAAATGTATTTTGAACTGTTTGAAATGTAATCCAAAAATTACAGCTGAAAACATCAATTATTTAAATTTATGTTACACAAATAATTGTAAGTCTTGTGTACTGGAAGTAAACAATAAAAGTATGAATTTTCTTTTGACCACCCCTTTCCCCTACCAGGGGAATAATGGCTCCATGGCAGAGGCAGTTTGTACCTCAGTCCATATACATCCCCTTCTTATTGGCATTGCAGAGGGATTGCAGCCTCCCCGCGGCAAGTAGCTCAATAACCAAATATTGAAACTGTCTGAGTCTGTACCCTGCTGCCCATGTCATAAATTCTTGTATCTTAAGGTATCAATTTTTTATATGCTTTACTTTTACTTATGCTTTTTATTCCTATGCCCTTTCCCTTGTACTCTACACCTACCTGAAATGCAGCATGCATGCCAGCCATGCCTATATCCCATGAACACTACCTCCAATGCTACCTGACTCTCTACCCTTCCACTTTTCTTTTTATTATCATTAAAGTAATAATGGGCCATTAGTACTACTCAAGACACAAAGCCAAGGAGTTTACAAAAACTAAATTACTAAGTACTGTCCTAGCAGCCTTCCTAACTTAATGCCAGTTCCAAAACGGCAAACTCTTTGCCCAGAAGCAATGTTTGTTCACTGAGAAAATCTGGGTCAGTACATGGCCTTAGTTAAGCCACTTGTTTTTTCTTTATCTCATTTTCCCCCACTGTGGAATTAGCCTGGTTATTGGCAAAACACTCTGATATTTTTATTAAATATTAAAATGTTAGCAGTAGCCAAAGCTTGAGTGAATTTGATTTTATGAAGCCATGCAGAATTATTTGGAGATGCTAGTTTCTCTCAATAATAACATCACTACATAATTTAATTTCATACACACACACACAGGGTCCTAAAAGTCTTAGCACAATTTTAGGCTTGACTAATTTAGAAATATAAGTGCTACAAACTTAAAAAAAAAACTCCACATAATTTGAAAGTTTAACTAGACTTCTTTCTCATTTGTTTACTTTTGTGAATTTTGAATAATAAAATTTTAGTTTTGATTGTTTTTGTTTAAACATTTGCTACTTTCAGTCAGAAAAACTGACATGTATTTCAAGGATATGGGAAAACTAGCATTGTAAGAATTACAGAGCTCTTCACATCTGAGTCAATATTTGTACATTGCTTTAAATATAGTTCATGTCTTTCATCCAGGAAACACTTGTTGAGAACCTTCTACCTGTAAGGCCTACATTACATCAGTTACATTTCTTCATTTAATCCTTACTGCATCTTTGGAGTTAGATATCATAATCCTCACTTGGAAAATGAGGAACTTGAAGTCTAAAGGAGTGAAGTGACTTTACCATGATACTTAGAAATTGTATGTGGAAATCAGGACCTCAATCCAAAATCCTCCAGGTCTGCATCTCAAGTTCTTTCCACACTCTTGCATTATCACTCTCCTTGTTGATGTTCTGCGTATAGACTCTATTTCATTCAAGTGTGGATATATCTAAAAGTCCTCATGAAAATGTATATTGAAAGGCAGTCTGGGCCAAAATACAGAAAATTCATAAACCAAGTACCTCATAGATATAATCTCCTTTATCCAGCATAATTAAAGGAACTAAGCAGAATTAGTGGATTCACTACAGAATATCGAACCTATCTCAGGTCATATAATGGTCCTGTCACCATTCTTCTCTCTGTAAGATTCAGTGCATTATCTCTTTGACAGGCTAATCCCTAGGATGAGCTCTTTTGATCATAAGGGATCCTGAACAGGATGTTTTGCCATCCAGAAAACCAGCACCACTGAGACGCCAGCTGGAGACATGTCACGAAAACTTGGCCCTAATTCCAAAGCCAACAGTGTGTTGAAATTAGGGCATATCATTTGCTTAGTTCCTGACTGCATACTTTACAACTGACAACTGAAGATTACTAATAATGTCTTCTACTCATGTGTACCCCTCATCCAGGAGGAATCCAAGTCATTTTATCAGTGTGTAGCAGCCATTTAAGTCTCTGATTATAGAGTGCTTTTAAGTCCTCAGAATCTTTATTGTGGAGCAGCGCTTTTCTGCAGAGAAGGATTCTCCATTAAAGATCTAAACCTTATAAGCACTTCCTGGAACCATACTGCCTGTGTCAACTTGCCTGGTAGACAGACAAACATTTTATTGAACATATACTATATCTTGAGAGCTTTACATTATGTAATCTCAATTAACCCCACAGTACTTTCAAAATAGCTGTTATTAAACCCATTTTTTAAACAGGAATACTAAGACTTAAGTAAAAGTAAAATAGATAACTTGCCCAGAGGTCACATAATATAAAATAGCAGAGGCAAGGTTGAAATCATGTTTGTCTGATTCTGGAGTCTTCATGTTTGCAACTTTATTATGTCCCCTCAGAATTTCCCCATCATGCTTATTCTAGTTTCCTCCGCCATCTCCCTTTTTTTTTTTTTTTTTTTTTGAAACGGTCTCACTCTGGTTGCCCAGGCTGAAGTGCAGCGGTGTGATCTCGGCCCACTGCAGCCTCAACCTCCCAGGCTCAGGTGATCCTCTGACCTCAGCTTCCTAAGTAGTTGGGACTACAGATGCACACCACCATGCCTGGCTAATTTTTTGTATTTAGTAGAGATGGGGGTTTCACAATGTTGCCCAGGCTGGTCTCAAACTCCTAAACTCAAGCAATCCACTCACCTCCACCTCCCAAAGTACTGTGATTACAGACATGAGCGACTGCATCTGGCCCAGCCATCTCCATCTTTATCCTCCTTTATAAGAATCTTAGGCTTATCCAAACAAGCTAAAAGAGATGATACAGTTGTGCGTTTATAGTTAGACACATAGATCTGTCTCCAAACCACACTTAAGTCAAACCCTTTAGTTCATTTCAGTCCCTGCTATACATCCACATCAACAATTAGTTAATTTAAAAGCATGAAAACAGTTTCAGAATTTAGACTGTGACCTAATCTAACCATATTGCCTAAGGACCTTGAACCTCATAACCTCCGTCATTAACATTCTCAACACCATTAAAGATGTAATTAGAATATCTCCTTTAATTTGGAAAACTACATGAACTTCTTAATTTTAACCACCTCCCCTTTATCTGCATGAGCTCAAATTATTTGCTGGCAAAATGTATTTAATTTTTTTTTCTGTCAAGCCCTTATGAATTTAATTGATTAAGCTCTGTCACTGCCACAACTGATATAGGCATATATTGGATATTTGAGAGGCTCACCTATTAGTTTAATAGTTCAGTGATAAGTATATGTGTATACATAGAATTGAAGGAAGATAGTTTGAAATTATGTATGGGAATCAGCATTTGCTCTATGGAAGGAAATAAGTTACTGAATTGTAATCTAACTAAATATATCACAAAAAATTTGCTTAGCTTTTGCTTTCTCAGAGTTTCTCACAGTTTTCTTTATACTCCTCTTTAAAAAAGTAATTGTAAGAAAATACTTTGGTTTTGTTTAATTTGAGAATTATTTAAGTTAGAATACTTGATACCTGAAGCTCAGAGTCTCTCTTGCCAGCCTGTTAACAACTTTCTTTGGTCTTAAGGTGCCTTAAAAGAAACACAGAATGTTGTAGAACAAGGAGAATTATAAATCCACATTGGTGAAACCAACCTGCATTAGTGCTGTGTGTGTTTAGGGCATACTTGAAGAAAAATACAGATAAATGGAAGCATATTCCAAACAGAGCCAACAAGAAGGAGAAGGGATTTTTAAAACTTCACAAAGAGGTATAGTTGAAGGAACTCAAGATGTTTAACCCAAAGAAAAGAAATTGCAGAGGTAATAGAGCAGCTGTTTCCAAATAACTGGAGATTCTGGCTGAGTATGGTGGCTCATGCCTGTAATCCCAACACTTTGGGAGGCTGAGGTGGGAGGGTCACTTGAGGACAGGAGTTAAAGACCAGCCTGAGCAACATGGCAAAACCCCTTCTCTTAAAAAAAAAAAATTAACCAAGTACAGTGGGACATGCCTGTGGTCCTAGCTACTGGGAAGGTCGAGGCAGGAGGATTGCTTGAGCCTCAACACACAAGACTTCAGAGAGGTATGATCAGCCACTGCACTCCAGGCTGGGCAAGAGTGAGACTCTAAAAATAATACTAATAATACTAATACTACTACTACTACTACTACTAATAATAATAATAATAATTGGAGAGTCTTGTGGTGGAAAAGCAATTTAGACCTGTTATTTGAGATTCCAAGGAACAGACCAGGGCCAATCCGTCAGTCACATAGAGTTACATGGACTGCATGTAACTTCATGGGAGTCCTCCACCAGGACTTCCAGACAAGGAGGTAAATGTGGGCTGAAATTTTGCCATGCTCCTATGGCCAAGCACTGTGGCTTGGATTAGGCTGTGGTATGCAGAGTTTCTTTTAAAAAAATTGATCTGTTTAGAAGAGATGCCTTTTTGTAATGTGCCCAAAAGCACTGTGTGTGTTATGTAGACTCTGATTTCATGTTCACAGAATTAAAACATTTCTAATTAGTCATTTCTTTTCATGAGATAAAATCAGCTTCCTCAAAAACTAGTGGCCTTTTGGGTCTCTAAGCCCCAAGAAATTGGATGACGACTTAATAGAAATTTCATTCTAATCATGATACACACAGGCCTATTAACCAGAGGGAGTCTGGGAGTGGCCCAGACCTGAGCCTCAATTCTGGCACTGGCAGTGGTTGTTCAAAGAGTGGACCTAGCTGCAATGGAAGGAAATGAATTCAGGAGACTGCCATATTGCATTCAGTGAGTGTTATGATTGGCAACCGGTGACTCTGCAGTTGCAGCTGGCATCAAGAACCAGGCAAAGGTGACAGTCAGGTAGAGCACAATCATGGGAAAGAGAGCAACCAGTAAGCTCTATGAACAGAGCTAAATGGATGGCAGTCTACATGGTAGCTGAGCTCCCATAACGAGATGGTGTTCTGAGGAGATCTGCGGAAGGTGAGGCAGCCCCCACTTCCTAAGGAAGGTAATGAAAATAGGGATTCAAGTACAAGAAACAAGGTTGAGGGACTGGGGATAAAGTGGGGATGGTTAATGGGTACAAAAATATAGAGATAGAATGAATAAGGTCTAGTATTTCACAGCACAACAGAACAATAATTTACTGTAAACTTAAAGATAACTATTATAAAAGAGTGGGACTGTAATGTTCCTAACACAAAGAAATGATAAATGCTTGAGATAATGGATACCCAATTACCCTGATTTGATTATTACACATTGTATGCCTGTATCAAAACATCACCTGTACCCCACAAATATATACACATATTATATGTGCCCATAATAATTTTTAAAAATTAAAAAGAAAGAAACAATGTCAAGAGCCACTTTCTGGTCAAGACTTAGTCTCTGATAAGAGAAAAACACCCAATAAGAATTAGTGCTTACCTATAGTGCAGGATTTGTGATGAGGCTGTCTCCCCAGTTGTCAAACCGGAATTCCTTCTATCCCGGACATGTGGGGATCTGAGCTTGGGGCCGATGGACACTACAGGCGAGGGTCATTGACTTACTTGAGAGCAGGAAACCAGGCGATTTGGAAAATGAAAATATTAGGTTAGCATTTAGACAAAATGGTCCTTTAGGTATGTTCTAACCCTTACATATTCTGATTCTGTAGTAATAGATGGACTTTTTTGAACTTTAGTTTTTCCATTTTCTCATTTACTTTGGTTAAATACATGAGTGTCTTTTCCCCTGTAGGCTTCCTCGCTCATCTTTGACAAGCATCGCCTTTGTAAAGACAGAACATTTTGACACAGCCTTTTTGATATTCAGTCACGTCAAGATGTAAAAATGTTTTTACATTGAAAAGGATGAAACTTTTGCTTTGTTAAAGAAGTACTTTTTAATGACAAAAAAAAATGGGGGTGGTGTTTTCGAGTAATGTGCCTAAGGGATGTTTTCACTCCTATGCCTTCCTTCAGGATATTCCCCACAGGGGGAGCGAGGCCCAGTGTCGGGTCAAAGCTGGACATGGGGTGCACCACAACTTCAGGGCAGCCCACAAAGCCAGGGTGCGATGAGGGTCAAAGAGAATTTGGATAATTTTTGTGCAAAGAACTTGGTATTTAAAGAAGTTAAAAATATAATGGTTTGCTCTTTAAGGCATATCAAAATATTCCCTTGCCAAAATTGCTGCATTGAAAAGTCCACACCACTAAAATGGCCCTGTCAAAATTTCACCTGCACATGCTCATACTGTAAAGTACAGCTATTTCTGAAGTGCTGGTGTTTTGATTATTATTCTGTTTGACTATTATTTAAAAATGTTAAAATTTAGAATCATGGTATAATTATTACATTGTATAATCAGATACCTGGATTTTTGTCATGACTGCAATGACATCAGGATAAATAACCCTGCTCCTTGGCTCCTTGGCTCCTTGGGTGATGTATTTGTCTTTTGTCTTTTGGGTTTTTTGTTTTGTTTTGTTTTGTTTTGGAGACAAGCTCTCTCTCTGTCACCTAGGCTGGAGTGCAGTGGCATGATCTGCAGCTCACTGCAGCCTCAACCTCCCAGGCTCAGATGATCTTCCCACCTCAGCCTCTTGAGTAGCTGAGGCTAATTTTTGTATTTTTTTGTAGACATGGGGTTTCGCCATGTTGTCCAGGCTGCTCTCGGACTCCTGGGATCAAATGATCGGCCTGCCTCAGCCTCTGAAAGTGCTGGAATTACAAGTGTGAGCCACTGCACCCAGCCGGGTGGCATATTTTATGTCTCTTCCATACTGATGTGCCCTATAATCTTGGCTAAAAAAAATACAATAAATTCGGCATCTTTATTAAATAGCATCCAAATACTTAAAGCCACTCATTTTTTAAACTGTTTTATTATAATCTGATTGTTCTAAAAAATTACTTATTTGAATGCCTATATTATTTATTTGAATGCCCCTATACCTAACATGTAACCAGGTAGAAATTTTAATTATACAGTGTACTAATAATCCAGTAATGCAGATTTCTTATGTATGTCATCATGATAACTATAATTTATACTATATATGTGGTACATAGGCTTTTAAAAGTCAAATATTCACTAGAAGAGGATGATGGTTATTTCTCTGCTGCTTCAGTTTTCTTGTGTTAAATTTTTCCTTTCATGTTTTAACCATTTGGGACTAAAATCTTGAAAAGAATAGGTTTTTTAGCTTCCAGGTAGATACCCTGAGAATACACACACATAGGTCCAGGATTGGAGTGACTGATGCTTTTCATACAGTAATAGTCCCTGTTGAGCATCCTCTATGCCCCAGTCCTGCGTACTCTGCCCACTGCCTCAATATTATCACCACGAGCTTTTGAGAAAAGAACAAGCATCCTCATTTTATAGAAGACTGAACCAAAAGAGGTCTTCTTCATTAAATTATTTTTTTTAGTTTGGAAGAAGAGATCATTTAAATATATATCACTGTTATGGTTTGACTTTTAATTTTTTGGTTCACCATGTGACATATTCTGATTTTGATTCTGCAAAACCTAGTAGGAAATTCTGGGAAACAAATGAAGTAGATTGCTAGTTTTTCCCTTCTCTTGTTATTTTCTACTCTTTGTAATGCATTTACATATTAATGTAGTAAATGCTGTGATGATATGGCTGCCAACTCTTTCATCATTTAATCTGTTAAATAAACAAACGTGCTTTGGAATCAATCACTAAAGAAATAGCTACTCACTAAAGTTAGAGATTTATTTTACTTTGAGTATAATAACTCGCTTGTAGTTGTAACAAGCAAACTTAAACCAAAATATTCTAAATTATACTTGTCATATTAATCCAAAAAGAACAATATTTAACCTAAATGTAAACTAAAAGCCAACATGTTGATCCACTAATTACAGAATAATAAAAGCCAGACTAAAATCAAAGAAACTGCCCCAGGTTCCTTGTAATGTACTCTGACTCTGTACATAAAGTTACCTCTCCCACCTTCTCCCACCCCTCTGAGTATTAGTCCAAGGATACATCTCTCCATCTATCAAAATCTGAGATTGAGCAGGCATTCATCTGTAACCTCATATTTTTTCCTCAGACAGATCGTTGAAAAGATAAATGTTCTAACTGGGAGAAATGGAGAAAATTTTGCTCTTTCCTCCCTCTTCCAGGATAGGAGGCTTCCCTAAAGAACAAGAAACAAAAACAAAGAAAGAAAGAGCAGCAAAACAAATAAACAAACCTAGGTGTCCAGGAAATTATGCATGTTTCTTGACAGAGTTTCTTCAGTCTTTGAAATGGACAGATGGATGAATAGATGGAAGAGAAAATGATTTTATGTAATAGCTTTATCCAAACATGTTCACATGTACCTCTCTCCCTTCCCTTTACTTCCTAAAGAAGTGCTTTTAGCATGTGTCTGAGTCATGACCTAATGTAATATGTGTTGTTATTAACCTGCTGACATTTTTAAATTCTAATTTTAAGTTAAATCAATCATAGTGATCTCTGTTATAATGTCACTTTTGCTAATTTGCCTTCCAGTATATTTGTCATAAGAGCATAAGGAGGTCTACTCTGTAGAAAATGGACCAACAAGGGTGTGTTGCACATGAGGACGTGGTTTGTCTTGTGAGTCTCAGCAAAAAACAAAATGTTAGGACCTACTGCTCTGAAATAGCAATCATGGCTGGTACTTGCTGAATAATTTCTAAATGCCAGAAATTGTTTCAAGATCTTTACATGGATTATTTCATTTAAACCTCTCAAAAGCTCTGTTAGGCAGGTATCGTTATTCCTATTTTATACCCTAATGTGCTTAAGTAATTCAGCCAAGGTCACACAACTGGTAATTCTTAGAGCCAGGATTTGAACCCAGACCATCCAGCACAGGCCTACACTTTGCTGATTTACAACGAGGAAAAATTTTCATTTCGCGAATTGTACAAAAATAGGGGGATCTACATTCAAAGCAACTTCATTATTCAATGAAGAGTATTGTTCAATACTCTCCCATCTCTGGAGAGTATTCAAATTATGAATACTGTCAACCAAAAAACCTTGAAATTGATGTCCGTATTTTACATTAAATTATTTTTATAGAGAATTCATTCATACAGATATTGGAGAACCTAAACAATCCCTGTGAACTTTCCAGATAGCTCTTCTACTAAAAATCAGAAAGCTATGCATGATTTTTCTGCTCTAAAAGTGTCCAGAAATGAGAGTGCTCACATTTTTGTAGCGGCCCACTAAAGCATTTTATACACTTAGAGAATCTCCTTTCTTTTAAATCTAAGCCTTCCTAGGATTAATATATCTTGCATTTTCTTTTCAATCAATGAGATTTTGTTTTCATTCTCTATAAATACTTTATATTCAGATAATTTTTCTAATCACCTCTTCTCTCTGTTATTAATATTGCTGAAGCTAAAATAAAATGTACCAATTGAATATGATATTTGAGTTTAATGTTTTTATTTGTATTTACTTATTGGAATGAGACATGCTCTTCACCTTGGGTAATTTAAAAACCATTATTATAGTTTAAGGTTCTGTGTTACATCTGTCGCCAATATGGTGTGCCCTTCCTGAAGTATACTATCAATTTTGTAAAACAACCTCAAATCCCAGTAAGTAAAGCAGTTCTGCAGGTACTTGTACAATCTGGGTGAGATTTTATTTGACCCCATCAAAAATCTTTCTCTAATACAATCCTCCAACCTTTTATGGACAGGAAAAGAACAGAAATGCTTACATGATATTTCTGCTTCCAGATATCAGATGTGATTTATTACTGAGTAAGGCAACTGGCACAATGGCTTTAACTGGCTTAGAAGAGCCTAACTGTACTTTCTCCTTAATCATGTTAGTGGCAATCTTAGTATTTAATTACATTTCCAGAGCATCTCAATAGGAGTAGTGTTTTTCGTACATTAAAAATAATCTAGAAAAAACTGTTTTCTTGTTTCCCAGACAAATGAGATGAGCTAGTTTCTCAGACCAGAAACATTCTAAGATAATAATTTAATATATATGCTTATATTTTAAAATTCTTCTCTTATGTGCATATAAACGTATATCTTTTGCAAAACTTTAATGACAGTCAGCAAGTATGTTGATAATTACGAGTTGAGAAAAGGCTGTATAAACCATTACACTCAGTGATATATAAACTCTGGAATGTATTTTTGATTAAAGCTCCTCACTTTACTTAGATATAAGTAAAGATTTATATCTTTACTTGTATTTTATTTATATTTATATTTCTAAAATCCAGCTGATATTATATTTAATGTTTTAATTATGATATCCTTTAAGCATTAAAAACCATAGTTTTTAAGCTAAATGAGAATGCCCTTCTCAAACCTGAAAGGACAAATATTTTTGTCCTTTGCCATATTGAGAGTAGGAAAATAAAGGAATATCAGGGTTTTAGTTTTCTGGAAAATACATTATGAATAATTTTACCTAATTAGATAAGCTAGACATGGTTATGTATAATTTCTTAGAAAAATTTTACAAAGTGAATTCATTCATCTACCTAGAAGAGATAAATATGCACTAAATTTCTTAGATCAGATAAGGTAACAAAGTTGTAGAAATGGGGATAAATAGAGTTTGGGACCTGGATGGTCTATCTACATAAATATTTATTGCAAATGGTTTAACAATCATACAATGAGATTTTGCAGGAAAATTTATTTTCACTTTAATCACTGAAATAACTAAGACCAAAACAGAAAAACCTATTATTCCTCAAATCCAATGGGAAGAATTAATGAGAAGAAAAAGAGCCAAAAGGCCTTTTGTCAAATAAATAATGATACCATAAATAATAATAATAACAGCTACATTTTACTGAGTGCCTGCCATAAACCTGGCACTGTGCTTGGTACCTAACATTGTCCTCATTCCTCACAGCACACAAGAAACTGAGTGTCACACTCTACTTGAAGGGCAGAACAAGATTTCGGTCCCTAGCCCATGTGCTTCATTGAGTTACACACTTCTCTGAAATACTTGTATTTAAAAGTAAGCACAAAAGCGTAAAATGATTACATCTGTACAAAATGGAAAAACACATTTCTCAAAAACATATAGCAGGGTTTATATTGTAGCCAATTATTATTTTCTTTAAATAACATTGTACACATTTTTTCCAATAATGTTACCGTTAATGAAAATACTTTGGGGATGTGGTTCTGGAATTGCCTGAAAATCCTACAGCATATTCCCTTTGATTGTCTAAACTGGTGGACTATATTTGTCTGGGGAGATTGATTTCATTTTTAAAAGCAGCCTGAAGGCATTTAAAACCTTGTTTTATGCATAAAGTGATGATTAAAGTAGTTAATACAATATTGCTCAAAACTCTTTTACAGAAAGTCCATTATGACAACCTCATCACAGTGAACTCAGCCACAGCCACACAATCCCTTGGCTTTGTTTTATGCAGAATCTCTCAGATGCATCATTATTCCTCTATAGCGATCAATTTAATTGAGCATTTTATCCAATAATATGAATTCTCCAAGAATGTCATTTGTATCACAGGAATAAATCAACATTCATTTCACTTAGATTTTCACAAGTAAACTTTTCTCCATGTTGGAGTTTCCAGTGCAGACTCTAATTGTTTATTTCCAGGTTTTATTGGAAACAACATATTTCATCACCAGTTACCAGTTTTCTCAGATACACATTATTTTGTCGAAAGAACACAACAAATGTCAAGTTGTCACTGTTTGTTAATCAGTCATAATGTGTGAAACATCTTGGCAGAAACTTCTTTCATTCTTGCTTTGTTTTAAATGAAAATGTTTTGTTATGTAATTTTAATTACTCAATCATCATCTTCCCAGTAAATCTATTTTTTAGTAGCCCAAATCTATGTCCATTTCACTATTTCTATTGGTCCCTTGGGTTCTTCATGTATTTTTATTTGAATTTTTGCATCAGAAATATTAATTGAAATAAATTTAACATATAATGAATAATATTATCATCACTAATGTACCTGCTATCAATAAACAAATATTAATTTTTTGTTATGATTATTTTAGTGTTTTGAAAAATATTTCAGGTAAAATTTCATGTGCTATCTTCCCTTCCTCAGTTTACATTTCTATATTTTTATTACTGTTTACATGGTAACCCATATATATAATGTATAGAGTTGTTTGTGTTACTTTTCTTTTTTATAGAAATTATGTCACATGATATAATATTTTCTGTAATTGCTTTTTCACTTAACCTAGTCAATTGGCTTTTTGGTATCTTAGGGGAGATGTCTTTTTAATACAGAAAACAACATTTATAGTTAGTTATTTGTCTCTAAATTATTATCCTGTTTAAAAGAGTTTTAATTATAAAGCCTAGTTTTTCATAAGATTTTAGAGTAAATTTACAAATTTAAAACCAGTAATTTCGTGGATAAATTAATATATCAGCTTTAATTATTCTTGAATTAATATTCCATTGGTTTATGCATTTAATAGGGTTAAAATTCCCTATATATTTGAAAATATCTAAAGAAAAATTAAGCAAGCTCTCTTAAACATTTTTAATGAAAACCACAAATTGGATATATCTGTTTCTAGCACTTCAAACACCCAGGAAGCAGACTCTCAAATACTCATAAAAACAATAAAATCTTCCTAAGCACTCAAACACTGCTTGTAAACAATAAGCCTAAGTGGATAGTTCTAATAAATCAGATTGCCTTGAGCATCTAAATATTGATTTAAAATTAAGGTAAATCTTTTTAAGTATTTCAATTAAAATCTCATCTTTTATGTCAGATTCCTTTAAATGCCTCTCTTTAAAAAGCAGATAGCACAAGTTAAAATTAACAAAAAAGATATAAATCATTATTACACTTGGATTTCATACAAAAGTATTATACTAAGCATTTGTTTCATGTCTTTTTCCATCTCCATCATGTGTCATACTATCAAGAGTTAAAATTGTTTATCACAGAAGCAAAATAACCATCTCAAACTGGCTGTTTAGTTAGAGATCAAGTTTACAGAGTACAGAATTAGGACCTTGGTATGTTTGCAGATTTGGATTATGGCGAGAGATTTGAGACTAAAACACAGGAACCTGAGTGTACTTTCTTACATGGCAGAGCCAGTGATCACTGGGATGGGACCTTCCTCACACTACCATCTGCTGCGGTGTCAAGTAGTCTTTTGCAGAGAAATGGTTTTTCATGGTCTGTCCCGTATGCATCCCTTAATTATCACTCTCACCCATTTTTTTTTAATTTTGTTTTACTTTAATTTCTGGGATACATGTACAGAATGTGCAGGTTTGTTACATAGGTATACATGTGCCATGGTGTTTTGCTGCACCTATCAACCTGTCATCTAGGTTTTAAGCCCCGCATGCATTAGGCATTTGTCCTAATGCTATCCCTCTCCTTGCCCCGACCCCCCCGACAGGCCCTGGTGTGTGTTGTTCCCTTCCCTGTGTCCATGTGTTCTCATTGTTCAACTCCCACTTATGAAGGAGAACATGTAGTATTTGGTTTTCTGTTCCTGTGTTAGTTTGCTGAGGATAATAGCTTCCAGCTTCATCCATGTCCCTGCAAAGGACAAGATCTCACTCTATTTTATGGCTGCATAGTATCTCATGGTGTATATGTACCACATTTTTTTTTATCCAGTCTATCATTGATGGGCATTTGGGTTGGTTCCATGTCTTTGCTATTGTAAATAGTGCTGCAATAAACATACATGTGCATGTATCTTTATAGTAGAATGTTTTATAATCCTTTGGGTATATACCCAGTAATGGGATTGCTGGGTCAAATGTTATTTCTGGTTCTAGATCCTTGAAGAATTGCCACACTGTCTTCCACAATAGTTGAACTAATTTACACTCCCACCAACAGTGTAAAAGCGTTCCTATTTCTCCACATCCTCTCCAGCATCTGTTGTTTCCTGACTTTTTAATGATTGCCATTCTAACTGGAATGAGATGGTATCTTGTTGTTTTGATTTGCATTTCTCTAACGGCCAGTGATGATGAGCTTTTGTTCATATGTTCATTGGCCGCAGATCTCATACAGAACTTTTTACCACAGACTCCTTGAATTTTTACCTTCTGACTTTTTCTGATGGAACTGAGGCAAATAAAATACAATACAGTTAAGTTTCAGTTAAGTATCTTCTGTAGACGTTATTAAAAATCCATAGGCCGGGTACAGTGGCTCATGCCTGTGATCCCAGCACTTTGGGAGGCCGAGGCAGGTGGATGACTTGAGGTCGGGAGTTCCAGACCAGCCTGACCTACATGGTGAAACCCCGTCTCTACTAAATACAAAAAATTAGCGGGGCATGGTGGCATATGCCTGTAATCCCAGCTACTTGGGAGGCTGAGGCAGGAGAATCGCCTGAACCTGGGAGGCAGAGGTTGCAGTGAGCCGAGATTGCGCCACTGCACTCCAGCCTGGGCAACAAGAGTGAAACTCCATCTCAAAAAGAAAAAGAAAAAGAAAATCCATAGATGCCTTTGCTTTCATATATCTTCTATCATTGTCCCAGCTTGTGTAACATTATGAACTCACGACCTTTGACAGGATTATCATTTTCTTTTTTGGTACTCTGATTGTCACAACCCCAGGAGGCTTTTTTTCCCCCCTTACAGAACCATTCCCAGACATCTTTGAAAGCATTCTCACTTCCTGGTAACAATTACATAGTTCAAATACAACTTTGTTTTCTCTACCCCATGACAGGGAATCAATTACTCTTCAAGGAGTCCTGGCTGGGTACTTTTATGGAATATAGAGACCAAAATCTGGGCATTAGGGGTGCAGGTCAAATTGTTACTCATGAGAAAGAAATGGTGACATTTTCCCAGCCTACTTAATGACTGAGCTGGGAGAGATATTTTTTCAAGTTCATGTGAACTTCATGAAGTTCATTTTACCTTTAAATTAGATTTTATTAAGGCTTGTTAAAAACTTTTTTGTTCTAATATAAAATGTCTTTTCTCATTTGTTTCCCTTTCAGACTATCGTTCTTTCACCATTCTGAATATGCCATTTTATTAGTTGCTATATTAAATTATGTGATTAAATTATGAGAATGTCTAACCTTTGTATAATTAGATGTGATTTGCTAAGATCGTGTATCCCTCTCAGCTGCCGCTGAGTCTTTTTCTTTATATAAATCATAATGTTATAGTCATATTTTGGATAAGCATTATGTTTTCAAGAAACATTATATTTCTTTCTATGTTATATATAATTTTTGACTATAAGAGACAATGCTGTAAACAAATATCCTTATGTATGTCTCTATCACTATCTGCCAGTTTCTCTGGGGTCTAAATCCAGAAGTATAATTTTTAGGTTATAGGTTCTGCTCACTTTTAATTTTACTAGATATTGACAAATCACCTTTCAAACTGGGCTGACAATTTGCACTCCCTCCAAGAGTGGTGAGAGATATGAGATTTCCAATTTCTCCTTATTCTTACCAATACTTGATACTGTCAAATGTTTTAATTTTTTGCCACTTCTGATAAGAAATCACTCCTCTTCATTGTTTTACTTTTCACTCCCTTCATTACAAATGAGATTGAGCATCTTTTCATGTTTTTATTTCCTGTGTAGAATTTCTGTTTAATGAATTTCTTGTCCATATCCTTGCCCATTTCTGTTTTTGTGTCTTTTTCTTTTCCTAAATGATGTTTCATATTCTAAATATTTACCATGTATGTTAATATACATCTTCTCTTAGACACTTTACTTCTACCATTGTGGTACCTTTTATTGTAGAGACGTATGTGTCTACATAGACAATTTAACAGTTTGTTTAATCGTCTTGTGTTTTGTGTCTTATGATACAAAAAATACTTTCTTGCCCTAATGTAATGAGGTTATGCTCCTAAATTTTCGAGATGTCTCAAGTTCTTTTTTCACATTCAGGTCTTTAAATCATTTGGAGGGGTTTTTTTGTGTGTGATTTTTTTTAAAGTCTAATTTATTTTGTATTCCTTTCCAGTGGCCACTGTTCCAATATCATGTTTAGTCCATTTTCCTATTTTCTTTGCTGGTTTTTAATACCAAGATCAATATATGCTCGAGTAGCCTCCTAAGCTGAATATTCTTTTGCACAGATCTGCTTTTCTTCTATCCCTGTAGCCACCAATATTCTTGATTACTACTTATTTATAACATCTGGTAGAACAACTCTCTACTTCCTGATTTCTTTTTCTTAATTGTTATGTCTAATCTTGGATCTTTACTCTCCATATGATAATCAAATCACTTTTTCAGTCTGCCCTTTCCCCAGGGAAAACTGTTTATGGTTTGTTTGGAAAATGACAGAATTTATAGAAAAATTCGAAAGAACTTATCTCCAAAAAATATTGTGTCTTCATCTTTTCAAGGGACAAAATAATATAACTAGGTGGCTTATAAACAACAGAAATTTATTTCTCACAGTTTTAAACTCTGGGAAGTTCAAGATCAAGGTGACAGCAGATTCAGTGTCTGGCAAACGCCTGCTTTCTGGCTCATAGATGAAACCATCTAGCTATGTCCTCACATGGTGGAAGGGGCGAGGGGTCTCCTTATGCCTGTTTTATAAGAGCACTAGTCCCATTCATGAGGCTTGACCTCCATGACATAATTACCTCCTAAAGGCCCAACCTCCAAATATCATTACCTTGAGACTTCAGGTTTTGACATACGAATTTGAAGGGGACACAATTATTCAGACCATAGCACTTGCTATCCATGCACTTGTGTGGCCAAATTCCGGTCTTCTGTGAGTAACAATGAAGGTTACAGACATATGTGTGTATCTGTTATATTTATGCCTGAGAATCTTAACCCTTTTGTTGCCCCTGTGAATAGTGTCTTATTATTCTATTTCATTTTCTACTTTGCTATTGTGGCTGCAGAGTAACACTACTGATTTTTATGTTTTGGTCTTATATCCTGGCAACCTTGCTGAATTACCTAATTAGCTTTACTAGGTTTTATATTATCTTGGATATTATATATAAATAATGTCAACTTTTTTCTCTACCGTGCTAAAACTCAGTTTCTTGTCTTATTGCTTTTACTAGAATGTCCAGTACAGCGTTAAGTGGTAGGATTGATAGCCCTTAAGGCCAAATACCAAGAGCAAAAACATGAACAGTTGGATTGATCCAAGATTGATGGAGCAGAGAGGATTAAAGATGTCGACAAGATTCTGTATACAACTGGACAGTGCTGATATGATGATGGTAATTATGATGATAGCCAACTTTTAATGAGTGATTGTCACTACATTACAGAAACAGGGCTAAATATTTTATATTTGTATTGTACTTAAACCTTAGGAAAGCCATAGAGGAAGGAAACTCTTATTATCACTATCTTAGGGATAAGAAAATCAGTCCTAGCAAAGTTTAGTGGCTTGCTCATGGCCACACAGCTATCAGTTGATGAACACAGAGCACTAATCCAAGCTGCAGGTTCAATCCCTTAGAATCCTCAATGGTAGACCATCAACTAGTTCTTTAGCTCTATGAAGAACAGAATTAGAGGTAATGGATTTCAATTTGGCCATAAATGGTTTTAAGCCCATTTTCACTTCTTCTTCAAGTATGTCTCTGATTATTTTCTCTGGAGTTTTTTAAAACAGATAGAAACCCATGTTTTTTAGATTTCACTTAATAAACAATTATTGCACACCAATCATGTGACAAGCATGATAAGATAGTCAAAGATATTATCTATCAACATTTCTTCAAAGAGATTTCAGTGTACTAAAGCAGATGAATGAGGATGTGACCAACTATAATTTCAAGCAGAATTTTAAAAGTGTTACAAGTAAAAGTACAAGCAAAATGCTACCTTGGATAAAAGTCAGGGAATAGATTATATTACTTTTTTATTTTATTTTATTTTATTTTTGAGACTGTCTCACTCTGTTGCCCAGGCTGGAGTGCAGTGGCATGATCTCGGCTCACTGCAGTCTCCACCTCCTGGGTTCAAGTGATTTTCCTGCCTCAGCCTCCCAGGTAGCTGGGATTGCAGATGCATGCCACCACGCTTAACTAATTTTTGTATTTTCAGTAGAGATGGGGTTTCGCCATGTTGGCTAGCTTATCTCAAACTCCTGACATCAGGTGATCTGCCCGCCTCGACCTCCCAAAGTGCTGGGATTACAAGCGTGAGCCACCACACCCGGCTGTATGTAGATTACCTTTTGAGACTGTTTTCAGTGGTGATTCTGCAATTCAGTCATTATTTTTAGGATTTTTGATTGTTTATTCACTGATTAAAAAAATAAAAGGATGGAAATGAGTAAATTTATCTGGACACTTGCCCATGCACTTGATTTTTTAAATGAACAGAATAAAGAAAGCAAAAAGACAGTATACTTTCCCATTAAGTAATAATTTTGTAAAATATGTGATGCCACTTCAAAGGCCAAAATATCCCAATTTAAATTTTAAAAGACCTGTGCTATCACAGATATATTTAATCTCTGAATTTTAGTCCTGCTGTACAAAGAGAGCATCATGTTAAAAGTAGATGTGGGTGGTTCTAAGATTCATTTGCATAATTGTTAGTAATGCAGAGCAGGGTACGGGCATCAACTAGGAAATACTCTTTATAAAAGGCCTGAACTTGCACAAGCAAATCTTGGGGAAACTTCCTCTGAATACATAAGATACCATAAAAATAAAAATAAAAATGTCCCTAAATGCAGTGGAATGAGTGAGAGAATCCATCAGCAGGTGATGTGTTCAGGGAAAGTCCAAGACATGATATTGTATAAAGTTAAGAGAATCAGATTTAAATGCTCAAAATTTTGGTCCTTTTACTTTGCTTTTCTTTAACTTTTGGGTATTCATTTTTCTAAAAATCAACATTTTAAAATTCACTTTTGAGGGTTTGGGAGTCATTATGTACATGGATGGACATATTGCTTTTATTTTCTTCCCTTTGATCAGCACACATCATATACATTCTAGGAACGGTTTAACTCATGTCTCTGCATTCTGCTGGGTTGGTGCTGATTATGAGGTGATTTTCCAAAGAATACATGGAAGTTTGACAAGAGTGTACGCGTGCATCATCATAAGAGCTTTATGGTCTTTAATTTTGGAAGCAACTTTTTTTCATGTGGGAAAAATAGATCAATATCCCATTTTATCTTCAACTTGATTTAGATAATTTTAATGTGACTAACAAGTTATGACTCACGCATGTGTTGGTCTGTAATTAATCACAGGCCTAAGATCCATCAGAAGCCCACTCTTCTGTGAGATTTCCAATAGTTGTGAACCTTATGTTCACCAATCTTCTTGCTTTATTCTTAAGAGGTGTCAAGTAATCATTGTCTGATGAGAGCAACTGAAAATAAGAACAGTACCCATGCTCTGCACTCTCAAAATGTTTAACAACGTGATTTTCCCTCTTACACTGTTTCTATCTATTTATTTATAATAACATTACTTTGTAGAGTAGTAGTTGATGCCTCCTGTTCTCAAAAGAACAATGTTGTTGTTGTTGTTGTTGTTGTTGTTTTCTGGGTGTGCTGTCTTTGTAAAACAAAGTGAGAAATTATAACATGAAAAATCCTGATAAGACTACTTTTTCTGCTGAGCTCATGCTCTATTAAAAAAAATCCCTGAAACATCCATTGTTGGATTTTTATAGATTCCTCTTGGAAATTCAGAGCCAAAAACTTTTAAAAGGTTTAAGAAAAGAAATAAAAAGAAGAGGAAGTCCAACATGAAGCAAATACACTTGGGATGGAGCTGACTCAGGAAGACAGGAGTCAAAAAAATAGAGCATTTGCAAGGAACAGTGAGAGATAACATCAGAAAGACAGCATTGTATATACACAGGAGCCAGGGGTGCAGAAGAACTGAACAGAAAAGTTCCCATTGCTACCTGCCGGAAAATCTTATGCTGAAGCTCATTACACAGCAGCCAATGAGTAAGAATAAGAGGAGACCAGGCGGCCACCTGGGCTGCCACAAAATATAAGGAAATAGAGAGAACAAAGAATACAAAAAGTAGGAACCTAAAATAAGGCAGATTAAGAAGAGTGAGGTGGTACTTCAAATGCCAAAGAAGTACAAGTACCATTGAATAAGTACAAGTTGCTGCTGAAAGGATGTCATTAATACAATTAAATGCAACTCTATATGACATAGTGATCATTATGGTTATTGCTTGTAAGAATCAATATTCTTAAGGACATATATGATAGTCTTCTTTAGTTTCTCAGAATTTATATGATGAGATTAATCTCTGCCACATCAAGTAGATCTTCAAAGATATAACTCAATTTAAAAACCTGATACATATCAAACAACTGAGGTTTGAATTATTTGACCAAAAAATTTTACATCATGATTAGAATGATGTTCTTGCCTGAAGATACTCCCTTGTCAATCTAGGATATAACCCAGAGCCTACAAATCCTGGTAAAAACTACTTTTCACAGCTCATGCTATATTAAAAATCCCTGAAGCATTCATTGTTGGTTTTTATAGACTCTTGAAAATTCAGAGCCAAAACCTTTTAAAGGGTTTAGGAAAAGAAATATAAAGAAAAAAGAAGGAAAAGTCCAATATGAAGCAAATACACTTGGGAAAGAAAGAAGTCATCATAATAGAGCATTCACAAGCAACAGTGAGAGATGAGAGATAGCATCAGAAAGAGTATTGTGTATGCATAGAGGGTCCGTCCTCAGAGATACATCCTCACTTTCCTTTTGATGTGTTCAAGTGAATCTCTGAAACCATGTATAGTGTTGAGTCTATAGCAATAGAAATCATTATAAAAATTCAAAGAATAAAATACTTTTTTTTTTTTTGAGACAGAGTCTTGCTTTGTCAGTCAGGCTGGAGAGCGGTGAGACAATCTTGGCTCACTGCAACTTCAGCCTCCTGGGCTTAATCAATCCTCTTACCTCAGCCTCCTGAGTAGCTGGGACCACAGATGCACACCACCATTTTTGCCTAATTTTTTGTATTTTAGGTAGAGACAGGGTTTCACCATGTTTCCCAGGCTGGTCCTGAACTCCTGAGCTCAAGCGATTCATCCACCTTGGCCTCCCAAATTGCTGGGATTACAGGCGTGAGCCACCTTGCCTGGCAAGATAATTTAAATTTTTAAAATGTAGGTCATGGCTAACTAATCATAATAATTATTATACTCCACTCTTCCTACACACAAGTCACTTCTCTCAGCCTCAGTTACCCTATCTTTAAAATGAAATATTAATAATGGCAAATTCATAGGATAGTTATGAAGATTAATATGAGACAATAAGCATAAAGTATCAGAACAACTAGACAATTTGCTAAATAAGAAATGATTCAACAAAAATTAGCTTGTATTATTTTTAATTTGTCAGCTTCATAAGTGCAGGGACGATTTCAATTTTGACTACCTTTATATATACAGCCAGCTTCATACATCAGTGCATTAGTAAATAACAGAAACTTATTATTTCTTGACTAAATAAATTATGACATGGTAAGAAATTGTTCCTGCCCTCAGGATGAACACAATCAACTGAAAAAGATAAAAAATTCGACATTTACAAAAGAATGTACTTTGGTAGGCTGAAGCAGGAGGATCACTTGAGCCCAGGATTCCAAGTCCAGCTTAGGCAACATAGTGAGACACTCTCTCTAAAAAGAATTTTAAATTTTTAAAAAGAATGTACTAAATATTATAAAATGGGAAATTTGAAGCACTATGAGAAGGACTTACCTTTCTAACAATATGAAGGAATATGTACTCTGAAAATCCTTTTTATAACATCACTTACAAAAATACATAGTTGAGCTGACAAAAAAATAAGAGAGCCCCTTAAAGGCCTGAATTAAAGAGCGATTTTGAATTCAGAGAGAAAATAGTTGACATCTGCCATGTGCTTCTGCCATTGCCTAGTGGCTGAGAGCTTAGATCACACATGCACAAGGGAAAGGAAGCAGAGCCTTCTAGCTGGTAAGAGGGTCCCAAGTAAAGCAAAAACTGCTTAAGGGCAATTGCTGCAAAAAAATAATAAAATTGGGTGAGGGAACCACCTCAGAAAGGGAGAGACTAAAAAAATTAATCTATTTCAACCTTGGATCTCACTGGAGGGAGGAAAAACATCTCCTAGCTCTTATATGAGTGTCAACTTGAGTTCACATTATCTGTGTGTTCCCCCAAACCTAAGTTCACACCTCACATAAGCAAAAGAAAATCATATCTGGGAGAATAACCTTTACCCCAAGACTCCAAGAATTCTAACAAATGAATACCCAAAGAGCATGAGCTAGCATGAGTGAGGGTCAGCAAAAGAAACAAATGACAGACTCAGACCATCAAAGATTGCAGATAGTGTGTCAGGCAGTTTCAGAATGTAAAATAGACAAGTAAAATCTTCAATGAATAAAAGAGCATTCCATAAATATGAGTGGGGAGCAAGGGAACATTAGAGATACACAGGCATCATACCTGAAAGAAGAATGAATATAACTCATGGAAATTATTATGTGTATGTATGTGTGTGTGCCTGTTTAGTAAACATTAGCATCTTAGACACAACTGAAGAGAGAACTAGTAAAGTAAAATATAGACATGAAGAAATTACCCAGAATGCAATATAAAGGGGAAAAGGATGAAAAATATGAAAGAGAAGTTAAAAGGTACATTTAATCAGAATTCCAGAAAGAATACAGAATTATAAAGAAAAGGAAATATTTTAGAATATGATTATTAAGAAATTTCCAGAATTGAAGAGAAACAGCAGTTATCCAGTTCAAGCAGCCAAATTTATTCCAAAGTGGAGTAATAAAAAGAAATCCATACACACTATAGACAAACTGTAGAACACAGAATAGTCTCATTAGAAGCCAGAGAAAATAAGCAGACAACATAAGAAAGAATGACAATTAGACTGACAATTCTTAGCAATAACGGAATATAGAAGACTGAAATAATTATTTTAAAGTTCTGAGAGAAAAATTACTGACAGGTGTAATTGTATGTCTTTCAAGCACAAAAGCAAAACAACTTTGTTTTTGGTCATTCCAAAAAATAAATATTAAAAACTGGAACTAAATAATTTATTACCCAGAAACCCTCACATGTGTATTTTCCTAAAAGGTCTACTTCAATAAAAAGGCAAATTGCCCCAGAAAGGATGTCTTATCTAAAGACAAAAAAGAATGATGAGTATTATTATGTAATTATGAGCAAATAGATGGAAAAAGCTAATTGTTACAGTGTTAAAAACTACTGTAAAACAATTGCAAATAAATTTTAAGAGGATTATCAGAATAAAAATGTTCTAAGAAAGAAGGAAAATTTTCTTAAAGGAAGATGTATTAGTCCATTTTTATGCTGCAGATAAAGACATACCTGAGACTAGAAAGAAAAAGATGTTTAGTGGACTTACAGTTCCACATGGCTGGGAAGGCCTCACAATCATGGTGAATGGCAAGGAGAAGCAAGTCACATCTTACTTGGATGGCAGCAGGCAAAGAGAGAACTTGTGCAGGGAAACTCACCATTTTGAAAACCATCAGGTCTCATGAGACTTATTCACCATCACAAGAACAGCACAGGAAAGACCCACCCCCATAATTCAATCACCTCCCACCATGACACGTGGGAATTGTGGGAGTTACAATTCAAGATGAGATTTGGGTGAGGACACAGCCAAACCATATCAGAAGATCTGAGATACAAGAAAGTATGATGAATAGATAAATCTAAACAAATGTTGACTACAAATAATTGAAAATAATATTTAATTTGCACATTAAATAATACAATTAAAAAGCAAGACAACAGCATATCAGTTGTTGATAGTGGTGGTGATTAAAGTTGTGTTCAGAGGTCCTTGTATTATTCCAAAAGTGGGTAAATATACTGATTAAATTTAAACTTTATTGAGTTATGTATGCATATTAGGAATTAGAGTAAGCACTAAAATTATAGAGTCCAAGACTGCAATTCCAAAACTAGCAGACAGAAAAACTAAGAAGAGGAAAAAAAACCTAATTAGCTTGAAAAGACGAAAAGGAGAAAATTTTTAAAAGCACAAATATACTGTTAACCAAGTGAGTGAAAATTGGCTAAATACTTGAATTAAAAGACAAAGAATGACAGATAATACATTTTAACTAACAATATTATGTTTATAAGCAGCCCACTTAAAAATATAACACATTAATATTAAAAATAAAATTGTGAGAAAAATAACTACCAAGAAAACAAACCAAAGGGAGCTGATATAGCTTTAAAATCAGATGAAATAAAGTTTAAGACCATGAAAAACATTGTCAGAGATAAAGACGGTTAATACATAAAGTAAAACGTTAAAATTTGGCAGAACTACAAGAAGAAACTAGCAGATCCCGTCTGCTAAGAAGTAGAAGGTAAGTTAATGCATCCTAGGCAGTACAAGGAAGGTTTTTCGGAAATGATGAAACCTGTATTGGGACTCAAAGATGCGGAAGTTGGCAAAATAAATAGGGTAGAATTGATAAAGGAAACAAGTTTACAAAAGCAGAGAACATAGCATTTTTGAGAAACTGCAAGTACTTTAATATGACGCTGTGCACAGAGGGCCTGTAATAATGAGGAGTAAATGAAGAACTAGCATACTAGTTTTATGCACTGTTAGACTTTATCTTGAAAAATGCAGAAAATCACTGAAGAACCTTAAGCGGACAAGAGTCATAGTCAAATTTTACTTTGAGACCAGTAATTCTGGTGGTGCTGAGCATAATGGCTTAGAAGGGATCCAGACTGCATTTGCGATGAACCATACATGTTTCTGGTCTCAGAATTGGGGGACCATAAAGTAGTGACAACGACTGTAAAACCAAATGTCAGTCCACATGACCTGGGCCTTACTGCTCTTTGTAATGCCCAGATAATAAATTTCCAGTTCCACTAAGTGTTAGTGAATACCCATCACTTGGCCAAATATAGGGGTGTCTTACTTTTCTGCCATGTTGCATTCCTGAGTAGTCCTTCATTCACATTTTTTAATTCATTTAATATTTATTGTGCAAACTACTACTTCCAAGCATACTTTTATAGGCACTGGGGATACAGCAGTGCGCAGAAGAAAAAATTCCCTATCTTCATGGAGCCCACAGTCTGTATGTACATCTATGTGTCTGTGTCTCTGTGTGTTTGTATATGTATAGGAAGATACAGACAATAAACATTCCACATAAGTAAGTTATATAGGACATTAAAGATTAGTAAATACTATGGAAAAATAAAAGAGAGTAAGGGAGATGGACAGTGCCTGAGCAAAGAAAAGATTACAATTTTTAGGTGTCATGAGGGAACCTTGCTAAGGAAATATCTGAACTAGGACTTGAATGCAGTAAGGAAAAAACCATGCAAATATCGAATGAACAGTATTCCAGGCAGCAGCAACAATAAAGTTAAAGACCCTGGAGTGTGATTGTGCTTGGTGTGTTGAAGAACATCAAGGAAGTCACTGTGGCTGGAACAGAATGAGGCAGAGGGGAAGCAGATTAGATAGGACCTTGGAGCCTCGGAAGCCACTGGGAAGCTTTGATCAGAGAGCTACTCAACAGCATATAACTGATGCATTTATAGTGTGTATTAGGAATAGCCTGAAATGTATTCAAGTAAAGACTTACATTCTCCCTTCACCTTCCACCCTCCTTTCTTGCCATCTCTGATTATTGAAGGTATAAAATGAAGCAGTACCACCAAGGCCATGGTAAGAGAAACAAACTCACCTTGACTCAGCATCTACTATGTGCCAAGCGCCATGCTAGAAACTATAGTTTTATCTCAATTCAGCAGCAAAATCAGTCTATCAGGTTTCAGTGGCACAAAGAAGAGAACACAGAAATATTTTAGTCAATTACCAAATGGTAAGCTACAATTTTTTAAATAAGTCCCCCCTGCATAAAGAAAAGATAAATTTTTAAGTTGATGGATTTCTGAATTACTCTGATTTGATCATTAGACATTATATGAATATATCAAAATATTGCATGTACCTAGAAAACATGTACATCCACTATGTATCAATAATAAATTTTTAAAAGCCCCCAAGCCTTCTTGGACATTTGCTAAGGGCAGTGTGGCTGTTTGCAGCCCTATATGCAGAAACCTCCATGAATATGTAGGGTACAAGGCAGAGAGAACTGAATTCAGTCAGAGCTGAATGGTGCTTGGAAGGTGCCCAGCCTCCCAAGAAGATGTCTATTTACCCTCAGCGAGCAGTCACAGTGCCCTCTGCCCAGGAGGGCAGGATTAGCTTTGAAGCAGGGTTGTTTGTTTCTCTTTTTAGAAAAGCTCTGTTGAAACATAATTGATATATTTAAAATTGCATATATTTAATATATACATTTTGATGGGTTTGGACATATGTACATATTTGTGATACCATCACCATAATCAGCATACTAAGCATATTCATCACCTGTCAAAATTACCTTGTGTTCTTTTGTGGTTTTGTTTTGCTTTGTGATAAGAGCAAGTAACATGAGCTCTATCCTCTTAACATACTTTAAAGGGTACGATGCCATATTGTTAACTATAGGTACTATATTGTACAGCAGATCTCTAGAACTTACTCATCTGGTATGACTGAAACTGTATATAGGGTTTTTCATTTCTGTGGCAACTCTATACATGAAAGAGCTGTTTGTGGGGGAAGTTATTAGGTTGCATTAAAACAAGTCATTGAGAATAGCAGTGGGGTTGTGGTGTGTGGCAGTGGCTGCTGCTATGGGAGGTTGTGTGCCTAGTGGTCATGAATTGTGCCACCACTGGCACCATTTGAGAATGGATGGAATAGTAGGACACACCAGGATCAAAACCATCTTGCCGAGGTTCTTATTCTTGATCGAAATAGATTTGTATTTCATAAATTATCAGATAAAAACCTTTGTGTCTTAACTAAAAGTAAAGTGGAGGTCCCAGTGACAAGCTTTGCAAAAGCCCCACATCACATAAGCATATCATATCAGAAGACAGTAGAAAGAATTGTGAACATCAAGATTGACACCAAACATCTGGCCCTTGTAAAGAGAACATGTAGCCCTCCCAAGGGAGTTCCAGTAATTGGAATGGAATGAACTCTATCCAAGTATCTGCAAAACTCCTAAATCAGATTAACAAATTATTGTCCACTGTTGTGGAAGAATTTTGGGAAATGGGAAAGGTGCTGGAAGACTAGAGACAGACAAATTTTATTGTTGATTCTACTATGTTAGGCAATTTCAAGAGCCAACAAGCTTCATATTGATCAAAAGCAATATTCCAGAATGGATTTAATAGGTGGGTATATGAGTACTTTGAAAAGCAAGTGTCCTTGGGATCCTGTCTGTGCTCACCAATAACAAATCACATTACTCTTACTTTAATTCCTTGTTTGACAGATTTACTATGTCCATAATGCTAGTATTGCACAGTTAAATTCAGATTTCAGTAAAGTAGTTGACAAAATCTAACATGAAAGTCTTCAGAAAATGTTCATTTATTCAATTCTACACTTGAGTATGTGTAAATGGTTGGATGTGTAAATGGTTGGATGAACATACTCAAAAAGTGTCAATTCAGATATTCTAGAGAATTATCAATATATGAATGAAGATATGTGGATAAAGGATCCTTCATACCCAGATCACCTATGATTTTAATACTCTTACCTGATTACTATCACTATTAACCATGGCTAAAAAGCCTAGAAAAAGGTGACAAATTAAAGTGACTTAAAGAAAACACCATATAACTAAAATTGCCTGCTCCATATGCCCCCCAAAATGGTTACATAATCTACAGTCATGTAATGAATGCCTCAAAAATAATGGAGTTGCATAATTTATGCACCGATGTTAGAATTCAGTGCCACCTAAGGTGCAACTCTACCATCTTGTTTAATCCTTCCTAAAATAAAGAAATATATAAACATATACTGATTTTAGATGCTGAATTTTAAAACAAAAATATAATCGCTATTATCAGGCAAGACTATTCTAGAATCCCCTATCATCCATTCTCTATTTACCTCAAAAATCTGATAGTAATCTAGGCAGGAAGGCTTGAATGTCCACACATTTGGATATAGGCTTTCAGAGGCTCTCAGATCTTGGATTATAGTAATTATTGCTATGTTAACAACACTGTGAATACTACACTTTATGGTCAATTTAAAGGAAACTTAGGGTCATTTTTACTGTGTGTAATGGTATGTCTTTCTCATTAGATTTAGAGCCTAATCCCCATGTAAGAGGCTACTCTCATTTGCATTAGCTATATATACACCATCACAGAATGATGGACAAAGATTTCTCTCTCCCCTCAAAAAGGAAAACCATTAACATTTACTGGGTGCTTGCTAAAAGAGCATCATTTTAGGATCTCTAAGTACTTTAATTAAAACATAGAACCTTCCTTCAGGAAGGTAAGAACTCATCTCCATCAGCAGCATCACTTTATGCACAACTGAAAGTTCCTGTTCTTAGGCTCTTACTGCTCTAGGTTATCTTAGACTGCTCTAGTAGATCTAAAATAGGTCAAGTTTGATCAGATAATTTGTAGTGCCTCAATTGGTCAGAGCCCTTGACATACATAGGTCTTCTCTAGTTTTGAGGAGGAACATTGCTAACTCACATTTGTGATGAAAGTTCACCCAGATCCCTCTAGCAAACTATGCCGGTGGCTTCACTACAGATGTACCTCTCTGGCAGATTCGGAGATTTCAAGCAAATGTATCAAACCCTAATGTGCTATGACAGGAGGATTTCCTCCACCAATCATAAGTAGAAATGCCTGGGAGCTATTATTCAACAGGAAACAAAGCTCCTTCATCTGAAAAGCAATTTGCAGACCGACACTCCTGCTACAGCAATTTTTATCATGAGTTTGTACTTTGAATGGAACCTACCTTAAAAAAAAAAAAAGACAATGTATCTTATATCCTGGATGTTCCAGATTTTGAAACAGAACATTCATAGCAGAAAGTATCAGTTTTCGGAAGCTCTTCTGCTCTGAATTAAAATATCAGAGTTGGGTTTTTTTTCCTGTTTAAACAAGAAAAAAGTATACTGCCCATAACAAATTATATTGTTTATCAGTCATATAAGCTCTTAAAGCAGAACCATATGAATACAGTCCCTGTAAAGTTATAGTAGGAAAAAATAGACATATGGACATCCTGGGGGAAGAGGCGGCCATGTTCATTTTCCATTTGCCTACCCCAGAACATTCCATATTGTGTAAAATTTTTCCATGCATGTGCATCTCCAAAAATGAAAATAAAAATTATAAAACAGCTTTGTGAGCATGCTGCCAGCAGAAGAGTAGGGTAGAGCTGGATGCATAATCAACCTTTTTGATGTAAGGACTGCTGGCAAGCAGTGTGGGCCAGCAGAGCACATGGGAAGCTGAGGAGCAGCCATAGATACACTGGAGACTTCTCTGTCCCAGGCTGCATTGAGATGTATGCATCAGGCTATTGTGGTTTTTTTTTAATACTAATTCTAGATATTTTTTTCTTTGTAAAATAAGGCTATCAAAAAGAGGAGCGCAGAATGTTTCTGCCAGTTTGTAAGTGTGTGACAATGGGCAGGAAACCTGGCTGTCTTCAACAGAAAGGGAGTAGGAACCACCAGGAGAATGGAAGAGATGCTTTTGCAGGGAGCGTGAGAGAAAATTTTGACACACATCTTCCCCAGCCTAATCTGCAATGCAATGCTTTAGGGAGAGCCAGGCACCATGTTAAAATCTGGTTAAACTAAATATTGTACTGTTTTCTTTCCTTGGTAAACACTGACTTGGTAAGAAAAAATGATATCCTTTGTATATGAATTTGTTCTCCTGGTAATAATAATGAATTTAGACCTATTTTTCCACACCATTTTTGCTGCCCAGGCAGATATTATCAAGCCAGCTCACTAAGTTTAAGTGAGTAATCCACGAACATTCATTTATTTAATAAACTTTAATTAAGCATCTACTCTATGCCAGGCACAGTGCTTGGTACAATCACAATAGAAATATTGCCTCTACTCCAAGCTCCTGCTTATTGAAACTATACCAGGGAGGCTTAGCTTTCCCAGGTTATCCTGGGACCCTAAACCCACAGCTCCTAGCAGGGATTCTCATCCTTTCTGATGTTCTAATACTATATAATTAGGTATATAATTGGGTGTTGTGAACCACCCTCACTCCTAAAAGTATGATTAGAGTTTGTTTGTCCTATACATTAAAATGAAAATAATTTGGTGTAGAACTTTATAGTAGACTTCAGGATAACTAAAAACGTTCTCAAACACTGAAATCTAAACAACCATTCTGCAAGAGCAGCTTTTCTGGGCCCTTTTAACATTTATCATCTCTATTGACTCAAATGAGTCAAAGCAATTATTCTGACACTTGAAATTTTACCTTTAACGTTTCCTGGGAAACATAGCTTATACTCACCTCTACACTTCTTGTGGGTTCATTTAAAGAGGAAGTAATCTGGAAAAGAGCCATGAATAACAGAATTACCCAGTACCTTGATGTTTTCTCATTTCTCTGCCGGCATTCAGCCCAACAGCTGTCACTGTACCTCTACAGGAACTTAGTTCTTGTATGGCAACTTGAGTGGCATTGAGCTCTGATAGAAGGTCATAACATCTTTGTTAGAAATAATATGCAAATTTTTCCAAGAGGTTATGTCTCAAGTTTCTATTCTAAAAGCAAGAAAAGTCACAAAACAAATTTCTTTGTAGATCAAATACTAAGAGGTGAAGAAAATTAATTTCCCTCTGGCTTTTGTCTTGGTTGACAATTCTTCTGGGATAAGGTTGATTATTTTTATGATTCCTCATGGAGACTGTCAGCTCTGCCTGATTAACTGAAAACTAGCATAAAAAGATTGTATAATGAACATTATTCATATAAAATTATTCCTTTTAGAGGCTAAATAAGAAAATTTGCCTTACATAGAGGGAAATTTGGCACTCTATGTTGGTTGTCTTACTTTGATTACCAAAAATCACTTTTTGAGTCCTGTATGATAACTCCCATATTTTAGAGTAGCAATTGATCTCATAGGAAGTAAATAACATAGCCACACAACTATTATGTGGTCAGACAAGGATTTGAGTGCAGTAATTATTAGCTGGGAGTGTCCATGAGCACGTGTGCACACACACACACAAGCCTCAGCTCCACACGTTCTGATTCAGTAGGTTTAAGGTGGAGCCCCAGTAATCCCAGACTTTGGGAGGCCGAGATGGGCGGATCACGAGGTCAGGAGATCGAGACCATCCTGGCTAACACGGTGAAACCCCATCTCTACTAAAAAAAAAAAAAAAAAAAAAAAAATTAGCTGGGCGTGGTGGCGGGCGCCTGTAGTCCCAGCTACTTGGGAGGCTGAGGCAGGAGAATGGCGTGAACCCAGGAGGCGGAGCTTGCAGTGAGCAGAGATCGCACCACTGCACACCAGCCTGGGTGACAGAGCGAGACTCGGTCTCAAAAAAAAAAAAAAGAAAAAAAACTCCATAGGTGATTCGTGTGCTCCTCCCAGTTAGGAACCACTACCCAATATGCTACTTCAACTACAGAAGGGCTGTGAAATGACAAGAATGCTCCCCAAAACATCTGATTAACAATTCAAAAACATGCCATGGAGAACACGATTTTTTAAAATAGGACTTTTTGAAGGAAAAGAAGAAAGGGTGCAGTTATATGGATTCTTTAAGAAAAAACAAAACCAAGGAGAACCAGGGTTAGGAGGAACGTTAAGTAACACTTTGAATTAGTCATTACCGTGTACAGTGTAATGAACTCAATTTCTGAGTTGTTGAACCACTGAGGAATATGTATAATATATATTCAACATATATATTATTTAGAGTCAACATATATTATATATATATACTATATATATTCAACATATATATAAAACTTACCCATAATAGGCCTAATGCATTTATTTAATGTTTATGTATATTAAAAGTGTTAGTCTTTTTAAAGAATGGAAAAAGGACTTTAGAGGCTTTTCTCTTACATCCAAAGTAATATAAATTCAAGGGATTTATAAAGTATTACAGATCAGAAAGGCTTTGTGTCTATTCCAGAAAATGAAGTTACTTACTAGAAATTTCAGTGAGATCTTTACTAGATGGATTGGACAAATTATAAGATAGTTGGACACTGTAGAAGGATTTTTTTTATTTTAAAACAATGTGCCTAAGTCACAAAACTTAATAGTCTCAAAATAGACAATGGATTGAGTTCCAAAAGTTTATTTCTTAGCAAGTCTATTAAATTATAACAAAGTTATGTACAAATTATAATAAAGTACCCAATGAGCCTTTGTAAAGGAGGTCACAATGTAGTTGAAATGTCATATACTTTCCTTGAAAAATACTTGAAAATAATACTTCTATAGTTATTTAACAGTATTTAAACCAAGTCTTTAATTGAGTAGCCATAGTAGATATAAAAGCACGTTGGAAATGGCAGACAAAAAGCAAGTTTTAACTTTGCATGTTGACTGTACCTTAAAAGTACCCTATGTGGATTATTTACCTAGTAAATTGTATTAATGATCATCTCCATTAAATGTTTAGAGGAAGATTATTGAAGAAAAACAAAAAGTAATATCTACTTGTAAAAAAAAAAAATACCTACTTGTAGTGGGTCTCGAATTTCAATTACCAAGAAACTGAAGAGTTTATGTAAAATGCAGATTCCATGCTGTAATTGCGGAGATTCAGAGTCAGAAGGTCAGATATTGGAAATTTTATATTTCTAACAATACACAGTAAGAAGCACTAAAAACTCGTCCATAACTGTACTGCTTTTTGCTTGTCCCAGTATAAATTTTAATAACACCCACTCCCAGTCTCAGTATACTTATTTGGATGATAAATTATGGTCAACAGAGGTTTAGAGTATGCAGAATTCTCTGAAGTCTTCCAAGTTGGAAAAAGTGCCGCTCCTAGAATTGGTAGGACTCCCTGCCACCCTGTAGTCACTGGTACCTTTGCTGTGTGGTGGTCACAGAGCCATCTCTCAAAAACTCATAGAAAATGCAAGTATTGTTGAAACCACTCCAAAAGAGGTCTCCTTTGGTGTTCTCTTACTAGGGAATTCTGAGTCCTGGTTTTTTGTTTGTTTGTTGGTTGGTTGGTTGGTTGGTTGGTTTTTTGTTTTTTTCTTGTAGTAAATTCTTATCTACCATGTTCTCATATTATAGTCATCTTAGGAGGTCATTCCGAGCAACATGAAAAGCAAGAAGAAGAGCCCCAACATAGAAAACAGAACGTATTTGGGTAACGATGGGAAGAGCAGAGTACTCCAGGCATAGAAGGAGAAAGAAGGTAAAAGTGCAGATTGGACCACTTTGGGGCCCAGGATAATGGGGGAAAAAATTGGAATTACATGGCTTCTGTGATGGAAATTATTGGAAAAAAAATTTATTAAAAAATGAGGGTCTAGCAGGGCAAGGTGGCTTACGTCTGTAATCCCAGCACTTTGGGAGGCCGAGGCGGGTAGATCACTTGAGGTCAGGAGTTTGAGACCAGCCTGCCAATATGGTGAAACCCCACCTCTACTAAAAGTACAAAAAAATTAGCCGGGCATGGTGGCACACGCTTGTAATCCCAGCTTCTTGGGAGGCTGAAGCAGGAGGATCGCTTGAACCTGGGAGACAGCTGTTGCGGGGAGCCGAGATTGTACCACCGCATTCCAGCATGGGCAACAGAGTCAGACTCCCTCTCAAGAAGACAAGCAAAAAAATGAGGGTCACTCAGAGATGAAACTTTTCTTAACTTTTTCTTGGTTAACTAAGATAACACATATGAAAATACTTGGTAAACAAACAAACGAACAAACAAAAATAGAACCAAGAGAAGAAATAGCGAAAGAAAAGGCAAAAAGGAGGAGAGGGAGTACGCAAGCTGTGGCTCCATTAGGACAGGCCCTAGAAGTAAGGAAGGGAGGACCACAGCCTAAAATCATGGCTTTGTTGGGGATGGGGGCCAGTGGAAGGGAAATATTTCTGAAACTAATTTTAAGAGTAAGTGAACTCCCTAGAAAATATTTTTGTCTTATAATTGATACTGTGCTTCTTCTAAAAAATGAGGTAGTATCTATTCTCTCTACACTTCCCAAATCCTGTCAGTCCTGTTCATACTACCAAAACAGACCAAGGCAGGAATGGTTTTCTTGAATATTTTGTTCATCTTCCATGACAGATGTAGAACTTCAAGTACTAAAAGTTTGCTGTTTAATTAATATTCAGGCAAAATACATTTTCTATCTGTTAATGAACAATGGCACCTGAGGGGAAAATGTCTGTATACATGAGGGGGAAACGTTTGTGTAATGAGATTTTTTTTTTAATTTTACTTTAAGTTCCAGGATACATGTGCAGAACATTCAGGTTTGTTACATAGGTATATGTGTGCCATGGTGGTTTGCTGCATCTATCAACCCGTCAGTGAGGTTTTAAGCCCTGCATGCATTAGCTTTTTGTCCTGATGCTCTTCCTCCCCTCGCCACTCCCCACCCCCGGCTATAGGCCCCAGAGTGTGTTGTTCCCCTCTCTGTGTCCCTGTGTTCTCATTGTTCAACTCCCACTTAGGAGTGAGAACATGTGGTGTTTGGTTTTCTGTTCCTGTGTTAGTTTGCTGAGAATGATGGCTTCCAGCTTCATCTATGTCTCTGCAAAGGACATGATCTCATTCCTTTTTATGGCTGCATAGTATTCCATGGTATATGTGTACCACATTTTTTTGTCCAGTCTATAATTGATGAACATTTGGGCTGGTTCCATGTCTTAGCTATTGTGAATAGTGCTGCAATAAACGTAAGTGTGCATGTATCTTTATAATAGAATGATTTATATTTCTTTGGGTATATACCCAGTAATGGGATTGCTGGGTCAAATGTTATTTCTGGTTCTAGATCCTTGAGGAATTGCCACACTGTATTCCATAATGGTTGAACTAATTTATACTCCCACCAACAGTGTAAAAGGGTTCCTATTTCTCCACAGCTTCTCCAGCATCTGTTGTTTCTTGATTTTTTTAAATAATCACCATTCTGACTGGTATGAGATGGTATCTCATGTGGTTGTGATCTGCATTTCTCTAATGATCAGTGATGTTGAGCTTTTCTTCATATGTTTGTTGGCCGCATAAATGCCTTCTTTTGAGAACTGTCTGTTCATGTCCTTTGCCCAGTTTTTGATAGGGTTCTTTGTTTTTTTCTTGTGAATTTGTTTAAGTTCCTTATAAATTCTGTATATTAGACCTTTGTCAGATGGGTAGATTGCAAAAATTTTTTCCCATTATGTAGGTTGCCCGCACTCTGATGATAGTTTCTTTTGCTCTGTAGAAGACTGAGACATTATTAAACAGATAATTTCATGGCCTGATATTTCATTTACATTTTAACAAAAAGATTTTCTCCTGATATTCCATGTTTTTCTCAAAATTCATTTCTAATAACCATATACTATTCCAACTTGTACATGTACCAATATTTCCCAGCAACCATCATCCTTTCTTGTTACATTTGAGATTCTTTTTCTCTCAAATATTGCTGTGCATTGGCTTTTTCCTTCTCTCAGATCGTTTACTAATGATAGAATTATGAGAGTGCGATTATGGGGTCAAACAATATGAGTAGTTTTGAGGTGCATGATACATATTTCCAAACTACTTGAAAATAGATTTATACACACATTCTGCACTGTGTAAAATTTTTATCTCAAATTTAATTATTTTGATAATAAAATATATTTTTCTTAATTTACTTTGGTTTACTTATTAGGTCAAACATATTTACCCATATTTTCTCTTTCTTTGACGTTTTCGTCTTTTCTTTTTTTATTTTTCCATAGATTATAGGGGTACAGGTGGTGTTTGATTACATGAATGAGTTCTTTAGTGGTGATTTCTGAGATTTTGGTGTACCCATCACCAGAGCAGTATACACTTCACCCTCTGTGTAGTCTTTTATCCCTCACCCCCTTCCCACCCTTCACCCCAAGTCCCCAAAGTCCACTGTATCATTCTTTCTCTTTTTTTTTTTCTGAGACAGAGTCTCACTCTGTCACCCAGGCTGGAGTGCAGTGGCATGATCTCAGCTCACTGCAACCTCTGCCTCCCAGGTTCAAGTGATTCTCCTGCCTCAGTCTCCTGAGTATCTGGGTGTGCACCACCACGCCCTGCTACCTTTTGTATTTTTAGTAGAGATGGGGTTTCACCATGTTGGTCAAGCTGGTCTCGAACCCCTGACCTCGTGATCCACCCGCCTTGGCCTCCCAAACTGCTGGGATTACAGGCGTCAGCCACTGCGCCTGGCCTATTGCACCATTCTTATGCATTTGTGTCCTCATAGCTTTGCTCCCACATATCAGTGAGAACATATGATGATTGGTTTTCCATTCCTGAGTTACTTCACTTAGAATAATAGCCTCCAATCTCATCCAGATCACTGTGAATGCCGTGAATTCATTCCTTCTTATGTCTGAGTACATATATATATATCCCATCTCATATATATATATATCTCATCCTATATATATAAAGAAACTTTATATATATAAAAAGAAACTGTGGTATATATATGATGAAATATATATATATAAACTGTGGTATATATATGATATATATATCATATATATGATTTATTTTATATATATTCCATCATATATATATATATACTCCATCATATATATATATATTTATATATATACCACAGTTTCTTTATTCCCTGTTGATTGATGGGCATTTGGGTTGGTTCCACAATTTTGCAGTTGCGAATTGTGCTGCTATAAACATGCATGTGCAAGTATCTTTTTCGCATAATGACTCCTTTTTCACTGGGTAGATACCCAGTAGTGGGGTTGCTGGATCAAATAGTAGTTCTGCTTTTAGTTCTTTAAGGAATATCCACACTGCTTTCCATAGTGTTGTACTAGTTTATATTCTCACCAGCAGTGTAGAAGTGTTCCCTCATCACTGCATCCACGCCAACACCTACTGTTTTTTTTATTTTTTTATGGCCATTCTTGCAGGAATAAGGTGGTATCACATGGTGGTTTTGATTTGCATCCCCTGATTATTAGCGATTTTGAGCATTTGTTCATATGTTTGTTGGCCATTTGTATATCTTCTTTTGAGAATTGTCTATTCATGTCCTTAGCCCATTTTTTTAATTATGCTTTAAGTTCTAGGGTACATGTGCACAACATGCAGGTTTGTTACATATGTATACGTGTGCCATGTTGGTGTGCTGCACCCATTAACTCATCATTTACCTTAGGTATATCTCCTAACGCTGTCCCTCCCCCCTCCCCCCTCCCCCGACCCCACAACAGGGCCTGGTGTGTGATGTTCCCCTTCCCTTAGCCCATTTTTTGATGGGATTTATTTTTCTTGCTGATTTATTTGAGTTTGTTGTAGATTCTGGATATTAGTCCTTTGTCACATATATAGATTGTGAAGATTTTCTTCCGTTCTGTGGATTGTCAGTTTATTCTGCTTACTGTTCCTTTTGTCATGCAAAAGCTCTTTTAATTAAGTCCCCGCTATTTATCTCTGTTTTTATTGCATTTGCTTTTGGCTTCTTGGTCATGAAATCCTTGCCGAAGCCAATGTCTAGAAGGGGTTTTCCAATGTTATCTTCTAGATTTTATAGAGTTTCAGGTCCTAGATTTAAGTCCTTAATCCATCTTGAATTGATTTTTGTATAAGGTGAGAGATAAGGATCCAATTTCATTCTCCTAAATGTGGCTTGCCAATTATCCCAGCACCATTTGTTGAATAGGGTGTCCTTTCCCCACTTTATGTTTTTGTTTGCTTTGTCAAAGATCAGTTAGCTGTAAGTATCTGGGTTTATTTCTAGATTCTGTATTCTGTCCCATTGGTCTATGTGCCTATTTTATACCGGTACCATGCTGTCTTGGTGACTATGGCCTTATAGTATAGTTTGAAATCAGGTAATGTGATGCCTCCAGATTTGTTCTTTTTGCTTAGTCTTGCTTGGGCTATGTGGGCTCTTTTCTGGTTCCATATGAATTTTATCATTGTTTTTTCTAATTCTGTGAAGAATGATGGTGGTATTTTGATGGAAATTGCATTGAATTTATAGATTGCTTTTAGCAGTATGGTTGTTTTCACAATATTGATTCTACCCATCCATGAGCATGGAATATGTTTTCATTTGTGTGTATCATCTATGATTTCTTTCAGCAGTATTTTGTAGTTTTCCTTGTAGAGGTCTTTCACCTCCTCGGTTAGGTATATTCATAACTATGTTTTTGCAGCTATTGTAAAAGGGGTTGTGTTCTTGATTTGATTTTCAGCTTGGTCGCTGTTGGTATACAGAAGAGCTACTGATTTGTGGACATTAGTTTTGTATCTGGAAACTTTGCTGAATTCTTTTATCAGTTCTAGGAACTTTCTGGAGAAGTCTTTAGGGTTCTCAAGGTAAACAATCATACCATCAGCAAACAGTGACAGTTTGACTTCCTCTTTAATGATTTGGATGTTCTTTATTTCTTTCTCTTGTCTGATCGCTCTGGCTAGGACTTCCAGTACTATGTTGAAGAGGAGTGGTGAGAGTGGGCATCCTTGTCTTGTTCCAGTTCTAAGAGGGAATGCTTTCAACTTTTCCCCATTCAGTATTATGTTGGCTCTGGGTTTGTCATACATGACTTTTATTAAATTGAAGTATGTCCTGTATGTGCCAGTTTTGTTGAGAGTTTTAATCATAAAGAGGTGCTGGATTTGTCAAATGCTTTTACTGCATCTATTGAGATGATCATGTGATTTTGGTTTTTAATTCTGTTTATGTGGTGTATCACATTTATTGACTTGTATATGTTAAACTATCCCTGCATCCCTGGTATGAAACCCATTTGATCATGGTGGATTATCTTTTTGATATGTTGTTAGATTCGGTTAGCTAGTATTTTGTTGATGATCTTAGCATCTATGTGCATCAGGGATGTGGGTCTGTAGTTTTCTTTTTTGGTTATGTCCTTTCCTGATTTGGGTATTAGGGTGATACTGGCTTCATAGAATGATGTAGGGAGGATTCCCTCTTTATCTTATGAAATAGTGTCAACAGGATTGGTACCAATTATTTGAGTGTCGGGTAGAAATCTGCTGTGAATCCATCTGGTCCTGGACTTTTTTGTTGGTAATTTTTACATTATTATTTCAATATCACTGCTTGTTATTGGTCTGTTTAGGGTAGCTAATTCTTCCTGCTTTAAGCTAGGAGGGTTGTATCTTTGCAGGAATGTATCCATCTCTTCTAGGTTTTCTACTTTATGCACGTAAAGGTGTTTATAGTAACCTTGAAAGATCTTTCGTATTTCTGTGGTGTCAGTTTTAATATCTCCCATTTCATTTCTTATTGAGCTTATTTGGATTCTCTCTCTTCTCTTCTTGGTTAATCTTGCTAATGGTCTATCAATTTGATTTATCTTTTCAAATAACCAGCTTTTTGTTTCATTTATCTTTTGTAATTTTTTGTTTCAAATTCATTTAGTTCTGCTCTGATTTTTGTTATTTCCTTTCTTCTGCTAAGTTTGGGTTTGGTTTGTTCTTGTTTCTCTAGTTCCTTGAGGTGTGACGTTAGATTGTCAGTTTGTGCTCTTACCATCTTTTTGATGTAGGCCTTTAGGACTATGAACTTTCCTATTACCACTGCCTTTGCTGTATCCCAGAGGTTTTGATAGGTTGTGTCACTACTGTCGTTCAATTCAAAGATTTTTTTAACTTCTGTCTTGATTTCATTTTTGACCCAGTGGTCACTCAGGACCAGGTTATTCAATTTCCATGTATTTGCATGGTTTTGAAGGTTCCTTTTGGAGTTGACTTCCAGTTTTATTCCACTGTGGTCTGAAAGAGTGCTTGATATAATTTCAATTTTCTTAAATTTATTGAGGCTTGTTTGTGGCCTATGATATGGTCTATCTTGGAGAAAGTTCCATGCACTGTTGAATAGAATGTGTATTCTGCAGTTGTTGGATGGAATGTTCTGTATATATCTGTTAAGTCCATTTGTTCCAAGGTATAGTTTAAATCCATTATTTCTTTGTTGACTTTCTTTCTTGATGACCTGTCTAGTGCTGTCAGTGGAGTATTGAAGTCTCCCACTATTACTGTGTTACTATATATCTCATTTCTTAGGGCTATTAGTAATTGTTTTATAAATTTGCAAGCTCTAGTGTTAAGTCCATATATGTTTAGGACTGTGATATTTTTCTGTTGGACAAGGCCTTTTACCATTATATAATGTCCCTCTTTGTCTTTTTTAACTGCTGTTGCTTTAAAGTTTGTTTTGTCTGATACAAGAATAGCTTTAAATGTGTTTTGTCTGATACAAGAATAGCTTGCTTTTGGTGTCCATTTGCATGAAATGCCTTTTTCCACCCCTTTCCTTTAAGTTTAATGGTACTTATGTGTTAGATGAGTGTCTTAAAGGCAGCAGATAGTTGGTTGGTGAATTCTTATCCATGCTGCAGTTCTGTATCTTTTAAGTGGAGCATTTAGGCCACTTACATTCAATGTTAGTATTGAAATGTGAGGTACCATTCCATTCATCATGCTATTTGTTGCCTGTGTACCTTGGTTTTTTGTTTGGTTTTTTAAATTGTATTTTTGTTTTATAGGTCCTGTGAGATTTATGCTTTAAAGAGGTTCTGTTTTGATGTGTTTCCAGGATTTGTTTCAAGATTTAGAGCTCCTTTTAGCAGTTCTTGTAGTGGTGGCTAGTAGTGGTGGATTCTCTCAGCATTTGTTTTTCTGAAAAAGACGATCTTTCCTTCATATATGAAGCTTAGTTTCACTGGATACAAAATTCTTGGCTGATAATTGTTTTGTTTGAAGAAGCTGAAGATTGGGCCCCAATCCCTTCTAGCTTGTAGGATTTCTGCTTAGAAATCTGCTGTTAATCTAATAGGTTTTCCTTTATAGGTTACCTGGTGCTTTTGTCTCACAGTTTTTAAGATACTTTCCTTCATTTTAATAATCTTCATTTAGATAACCTGATGACAATGTGCCTAGGCAATGATCTTTTTGTGATGAATTTCCAGGGTGTTCTTTGTGCTTCTTGTATTTGTATGTCTAGTTTTCTAGCAAGGCTGGGGAAGTTTTCCTCAATTATTCCCCCAAATATGTTTCCCAAATGTTTAGATTTATCTTCTCCCTCAGGAATGCTAATTATTTTTAGGTTTGGTCATTTAACATAATCCCAGACTTCTTGGAGGCTTTGCTTATATTTTCTTATTCTATTATCTTTGTCTTTGTTGGATTGGGTTAATTCAAACGCCTTATCTTCAAGCTCTGAATTTCTTTATTCTACTTGTTCAATTCTATTGCTGAGACTTTCCAGGGCATTTTGCATTTCTATAAGTGCATCCGATGCTTCCGGAAGTTTTGATTTTTTTTATTTATGCTATTTATTTCATTGAATATTTCTCCCTTCACTTCTCATATCATTTGTTGGATTTCCTTTCACTGGGCTTCACCTGTCTCTAGTGCCTGCCTGATTAGCTTAATAAATAACCTCCTGAATTCTTTTACAGGTAAATCAGGGATTCTTCTTGGTTCGGGTCCGTTGCTGGTGAGCTAGTGTGATTTTGCGGGGGCATGTTAAAGAGCCTTGTTTTGTCATATTACCAGTGTTGGTTTTCTGGTTCCTTCTCATTTGGGTAGGCTCTGTCAGAGGGAAGGTCTAGGGCTGAAGGTTGTTGTTCTGATTATTTTGTCCCGTGGGGTGTTCCCTTGATGTAGTACTCTCCCCCTTTTCCAGTGGATGTGGCTTCCTGAGAGCCAAGCTGTAGTGATTGTTATCTCTCTTCTGGGTCTAGTCACCTCACTCCTGGCTGGTACTGGGGGTTGTCGGCACAGGTTCCAGGCTAGTACTGTGGGTTGTCTGCATGGAGTTCTATGATGTGAACCATCTATGGGACTCTCAACTATGGATACCAGCACCTGTTCCAGTAGAGGTGTCAGGGGGGTGAAATGGACTCTATGCTCGTTCTTAACTTTGGTGGTTTAATGCTCTATCTTTATGCTGCTTGGCCTCCTGCCAGGAGGTGGCACTTTCCAGAGAGCATCATCTGTGGCAGTATGGAGAGGAACCAGTGGTGGACAGGGCCGTAGAACTCCCAAAAGTATATACCCTTTGTGTTCAGTTACCTGGGTGGGTAGGGAAAGACCATCAGGTGGGGGCAGGGCTAAGCATGTCTGAGTTCAGACTCTCCTTGGGCAGGTCTTACTGTGGCTGCTGTGGGGGATGGGGGTGAGGTTTCCAGGTTAATAGAGTTATGTAGGTAGGAGGATTATGGCTGCCACTGCTGAGTCATGCAGATTGTCAGGGAAGTGGGGGAAAGCCTGCTGTCACAGTCCTCACCCAGCTTCCACACAATCTGAAGGGCCGGTCTCAATCCCACCATGCCCCTGCTAGCAGCACTGAGTCTGTTTCCAGGCAGCGGGCAAGCAGGGCTGAGAACTTGCCCCAGGCTACCTGCCTCCTAGCCGCAAAAGAAAGTAGGACATTAGTTCTTCCCCTGCCTGTGGAGTCTGCACGCTGGATTTGCACCCTCCCCTGAGTTCTGATCAGGAGGCTTCTTGACCAGTTCAAATTGTTACAAACTTCAGCTGGAGATTTCCTTTTCCCTGTGGTGCTTTCCCTCTGCCTCTGGCCTCCTTCCTGAAGGGTCCCCATGGTGCCAGGCAGTGATGGCCTGCTTGGGGACCCAGCAAGCTCCCAGGGCCTTTCCCGCTGCTTCCTCTAACCCTGTATTTCACTTGGCTGTCTAAATTGACTCAGCTTCAGGTAAGGTCAGAATCTTCACCTGCAAACTAGGCCTTTAGTTTCCCCAGTGGGGATGTGTGTTCAGGGGCGGAGGATCTCCCTTTCCCACTTCCACATTTGGGCACACACGGTATTTGGGGTGTCTTCCAGGTCCTGCAGGAGCAATCCACTTCCTTCAGAGGGTCTGTGGGTCCTTTCGAGTTTCCTGATTTATTCCTGCAGTTGTTCTGGGGCAAAAATTCAAGATATAAGCCTCCACACACTGCTTCATCCATCAGAGTTGGGGCTGCAGTCTAGTTCTGCCTCTCATTTGCCATGATGGATTATTTTCTTTCTGAAGTTTTCTGATTATGTTATTTATTTACTAGTTGGGGTCATGTTTTTCTTAAAGATTATAAGAATCTTGTAGTCAATGACTGTCACATTGGTGACCGTGCTTTTTTTCCATCTAGATTATATGGTGCCTTTTAGATTTTAGTGTATTCCTTTGAATCACGTAAGAATTTCAAATGTTTATTACTTTAACTGTGTTATCTTGTGCATGCTTATAAAAGTCTACCCCCGGAGAGGAGGGAGAGGATCAGAAAAAATACTGTTGGATACTAGGCTTAGTACTTGGGTGATGAAATAATCAGTAAAACAAACCCCCATGACACAAGTTTACCTATATAACAAATCTGCACATGTACCCCTGAACCTAAGGTAAAAATTCAAATAAATAAATAATAAAAGTCCATCTTCAAATTGATTTTCTATAACTAATCATTTATATTTTTATTTAGACTGTTTGGAGGTTTATTATTTACAACTAGCTCCAATATATATGGAATGTATTTTTGGTTAATGCTGTGATACAAAGACTTCACATTATTTTCTCTTTATAAATAGCCACTTGTCCTACAATTTATTAATCCTTCCTTTCTCTACTATGAAAATTGTGGCTATTTATCTTACTATAAGTAAAAGGAGCTTGGTGTTTATTTCCTCCTAGGCTATCTCCTTTTCTTCCTTGACATTCCTATCAATCATATGACATGACAGACCATCTTAACTATTATACCTTATATTTTTATTAAAAATAAGCTTTCAACACAGTTTATGACAAGTCAGTATAAATGATTTTACTTTACTTGGAGAAGAGATTCTGACCAATCTTCATCGGCAAAATAGGTTAGCTGAGGTTTCTAAGCAATCCCACTAAAGACTTTTTATAAAAGTGAGTTTGGGTACTTTTTTTTAATGAGAAGGAGGTCACTTAAAAGATGTAATGTTCCAAATCCACATCATTAAGAGAATAAAAACTTAGTGGTGCCTTTTTCTGTTAATTATTTCTAACCACTATCATGCTGTGACATCAGTGGAGATACAGGCTTTTCTTTTCTTAAGAAATTAGCACATACAATGAACCATGACAATAATTATCATAACCCTTGAAATTTTAATATATAGGAACATTGCCACAGTGTTATTTTTAGACAGATCTCCTAAATTGCTTTCTACTAGTCTTTCAATGACATATACCTTGAAAATTTGGAACATTTAAAAAGAGCTCAAATACACAGAAATAGAAAATGAAAGAGTGGTTACCATAGGTGGAGAGAGGGAGAACATGGGGAGATGTACACCAAAGGATACAAAAAGCAGATATGTAGGATGAACAAGTCTAGAGATCCAATGTACAACATGAGAACTAAAGGTAATAAAATTGCGTTGTGTTTGGAATTTTTGTTAAACAAATAGATTTAGCTGCTCTTGTCACAAAAAAAGTAATTATGCGAGATAATAGATATGTTAATCTTCTTCACTATAGTAACTCTTTTGCTATCTATATGTATCCTATAACATCATTTTGTAAAACTCAAATATAAACAATAAAATTTGTAATTTGTAATTTTGATCTTTATTTTCCCCAGACATTTAAAAATATGTCAAAGAATATACTTCATCCACAGGCAGATTTTTCATATCCATTTAACTATGTCTCCAGAGAGCACTTATTAACAGAAGCTAAACATATGGACCTTCTAAAATTAAGAAAACCTTTTTGGAACTTGAAAAGACTTTTGAATAGGGCTAGAAGCAACAAGCCATAGTGAATTATTCAACACCAGGATATCAAAGAAATGGAGGAAGTAATTTCGTGCTGTAGAAGCAAAGTTCTGTAAATTGATATGTGATGATATTCAGGATAGTTTAATTTGGTAGCCTGGAAGAGAATCAAATGAATTGAAGAAATTCTTATAAATATTTCTTTCTTCTTTTTTAAAATTAAAGATATCTGCTAATTTGAATATGCCACCTGTGCTTTACTCCAATGTTCAAATTTCTTTTTATAAATTGCAAAAAATGCATCTAATTTTACAAATATTCCTCACTCTCTACAATTAAAAATATATGCATATAATTTAATATTCTTATGAAATCAAATATCTAAAATAGAAAAATCCTAACACAGACCTTACTTTATGATCATCTTTGTGATATTCTAAATCCTCAGTTATTTTAAAATTGAAACAACGGGGAAGTTTTCAAATAAAAGATCTTATTTCACTTGAAAGAAAAATGTAGGTGTAAGGGGAAAAGTTATAGGTAATAAGATTTAATGGCTGTGAGAAATAGACAAAAACTGATAGTGTTCTCTAGAGAAAATAGCTTTGGGGCAGACAGAAGAGAGATGAGGTGTGATACTGAGTGAAGTTTTAAAAATAAAGAAAACAGAAGCAGTAATAGCAGAGAAAGAACAAGAATTAAAGAGAAAATTTAATCAGAGGATAACGTGTGAAGAGTCCCCAAACTATTTTCTTGATCAATATGACGGGAAATTAAGCGTTAAATTTTTCCAAAGTGAGAATAATGATCTTTGACCAACATTAGCTTGTTTCCATGGTTAGAGGCTAGGATAAGGTAATGTTTGTAGTGGTTTAGGTGGGGAGACAGCCTGCATTGAGGCTCTGGTCCAGAGCTGGGGCCTCAAGAACCATGAAGAGAGCTAAGCAGTTCAAGAGGATGTTTTCTAGAACTCTTGAAACCTAATGGAAACCCAAAGACTGGAAGCAACAATGTTCAAAGATAAGACCCTCACTCATCATGTGCCTATTTGGAGGTTTCTTAGCTTCCTAATATAGAAGACAGAATTCAAAGCAGATACCTAAAGGAATATCTGGGAGATTTCTAAATTAATAGACTGACTGTATCTAAGGCAGAAAATAAAATGTTTCAAACTGTTAATCACAGGCAATTTTACATTAAGTGAGATTAAAGATTTTGGACATCCTCCCAGCCAAAATTTAGACATCAACCCACTTTTACTGGATAAAACAAAATGTGATAATCAGTGAGAACAGTTCCAGGTTGTTCCTTGCTCTTGAATGTGACTGACTTTCTTTAATGTGGAGTTATATATCCATTGATAAAATGAAGTCATCCCTTTATCAAAATATATGCATCCCTTTATCAAATGCAACTCAGTTATTTTTTTTACTTGAATTGCACGGTTACAAACACATTACTACCACCAGTTTGTGAATACACCTAAATTGCAGGAATACTATTTAACCATAATGATAATCTGATTATTATTTATAATATTAAGTTCTGGGATTCATTATGATTTTATTTCTCACAAATTTCCAAGGAAATTCCAAATTGCTAAGTTTAGAGCTGGACAGGACCTTTAAGTTGAATTCTTTTAACCTTCTCATCTTATAGTTGAGGAAATAAAATGATACAGTTTACATTTGTTCAGTGTTAACACAGTGAGGGGTAGAAAAGGAAACATTTGCCAGTGCATATAATGCTTATATTGAATATTATAAGAATTGCATTTTTTCTACTGCTGCCTATGGACCATTCTCTTACCTATCATTCTTCACCCGATTAGCCATTAGTGTGTACACATTCATAAACCTAAACCTTTTCAATTATAGTAACTCTTATAGAATGGAAAGGTAGGGGGGTGTGTGTGTGTGTGTGTGTGTGTGTGTGTGTGTGTGTGTGTGGCTGATAAATTATTGACTTCTGTGTACTATTCTTTACCCATACTTTATCACTTCTTACCTGGACCTCCTTCTCTTCTAACTCAAATACCCTTGCACTCTAAATTTTGTTGCTGTGTCTCTGGATAACTACATAAAGAAGAAACCGAAAGAGGATAAAAGTGAACATAGGTATCAATTTATATATAAAGAGGGAAGCATGAATCTGACTTGGTACTCACTCTATGAGCAGCACGGAAACAGGTATAGGGATTTATCAGCTTCATATCAGCTGACCACCACAAGAACCCATAAATGGAAGATACATGTTGTTTTAGACACTTGCAAGGGAGGATAAGTGAAAGAGAGGCCTGAGCAAAGAAGCTCACACACAGGGCCTGTGCCTATGACTCCAGATGAAGCCCAGGTCAGGCTGTGAACAGCTCTGTTAGCTATACTAACCAAGAAGTTTTTAACTGTATCCCAAGGGCAATGGAAAGCCGATGAAGGCTTTACAGCAAGAAAATGACAAGACGAGATTTATGTTTTGGAAGAATCCTCCTGGCTTAAATGTACGGAATGGAGAAAGAGTGGTGCAAAGGACAGAATGTTTATGACACCCAACCCCAAATTTATGTTGAAATCCTAACTCCCAATGTGATGGTATTAAGAGATTGGGCCTTTGGAAGGTAATTAAGCCATTAGGGTGGAGCCCTGATGAATGTTATTAATGTCCTTATGAAAAGAGGCCAGAGAGCTAGCTAGCCTCTCTTTCCGCCATGTGAGGTTACAATAAGAAGTTGGTAGTCTGCAACCCGGAAGGGGGCCTCACCAGAACCCCACCATTCTGACACCCTGATCTTAGATTTTCATCCTCTAGAACTGTGAGAAGTAAATTTCCATCATTTGCAAGCCACCAGTTTATGGTGGTTTGTTAAGTAGCCCAAACTGACTTAAGACAAGTGGGAAGGGGCTGAGTAGTAAGACCAATGCCTAGAATAGTGCTTGGCAAATAGGAGATGACAAATGAATAACTGTTGAGTATGTATGACAGCAGAAAATCCAATTATGATGCTGTTGAGAAATCCAGGCAGGAGAAGGCATCACTGGGGCCAGCATGGTAGCTGTCAGTGAGTGTGCATTAGGATTAAGTGTTTAATGCAAGTGTGCAGAACTAAGAACATCCTATGTTTTTATGGTGTGTCCAAATCCGGAGTAAAGACAAAGTTTTTTATTTTGTTTGCCAAGATAGCATTTTCCTTTTAGCAGTTTTTCTTCTTTAAAGATATTGTACTCTTTCACCACTAAAGTTGCATTACCTCTGAACTGGCAGTTTTGCTGATGGCTTCTGTGGTCTGGAGGCTTGCCCATTTATTTTCTGATTTCCCCTTTGGCAGTGCACATTTCTGCTCTCATTCTTCACTGCAAGCTTCAAATATATAAGCGTTCTAGTTACTAACAACCAAGAGACAAAGAGATTGGGGGATAAAAGTACAAGAGCAAGCAGATTCATACCTGATGAGTTATTGGAGTGTTTCCCTTAATCAATGCCATTGTCATCCCAAATGTTGGCAGATCAAGCTTGGATAGGATCCAGTATACTCACTGTCACTGAAAATAGTTAATTACTTGGAGGGCATTATGTGTGGTGGTAGCACAGGGCTATGTACATATAGGTAAATCAAAAAAAAACTTAATGGGCATATTAATTCATAACTTTTTCGTAGTAAGCATCGATGGATTAGATCTGTTTACTGAATTTATAGATACTTCCACTAGAGAATAAAGCTTTTCACCTTCTTGTTAATCCAGGGTCCTCCTTGCTTAGTGTCAGAGCTGTTTGTGATTTACCAGCACTGACAACTACTGTTTTCCTTTTTGGTTCATTTATCAGAGAGGTTTCTAGCCTTGTGTAATGCAAAATGCTCAGGCTTTGTTACCATACTAATTTGGGTTTAAATTCAAGTCATGGGATATTTTAGCTTGGTGACCATGGGCAAATTGTCAAATTTTTCTGAATCTGGCATTCTCCTAGTATAATAATCACAATCCCAAAGAAGTGCTTGATGAGTTTCATTTGATTATTTATTTTCTTTTAAGTCTAGCACAATGTTAGACACATAAAAGGAATGAATCTTCATGACCGTTGTATCAAATAAAAAAGTTCTCCAATGCTATCTTTGTTGTATTTAAAAACATTAGATAGGCAGAAATATTTTTAAATAGATGCTCAGAGATAATCACAATGGTGTTATTTGAATTCTATATTATTACTTGGAAGACTTTATTAACTTCCTTTAAAAGGACATGGGGACCTTTCAGAGAGTGGAAGGTGGGAGATGGGAGAGGATCAGGAGAAATAATTAATGGGTACTAGTCTTAATACTTGGGTTATGAAATAATCTGTACAACAATCCCCCATGACACAAATTTACCTATGTAACAAACCTGCACATGTACCCCTGAACTTAAAATGAAAGTTTTTTTAATGGTGCATACTTCTGCATTCTCATTTATGATATATACATTAAGCCTAATTTAATTTAGATAAAAATAATAACTCAAAATATTTGGGATAATAGCTTGAAATTTTAGGTGTATCTTTCCAATTTCTATTTTTTCACCACAAGTAGATTTCAGTAAGATTTTAATCAATGGCAGTGTTGATGCTAAACAAGACTAGGGAACTCTCAAGTTAGCCCTTGTGATAAAATTACAGAAATTCAGACCTAAAATACATCTTCAAGGCCACTAGATCATCATGAGAGTTTACGGTAGTAAGTGGCACCATGTCAACGTAACTACTCCCTAGAGCAGTGGTTCCCATTTGTATTCTGAGGACCAATGGGAGACTTTGAGTTGTGGCATGGGGTGTGTGAGTCCTGGGTCCACTCTTAACTGTAGAAAATCAGTATTATGTATCCTACATATGTATGCAGCTGCTTTTCAAAAGTATACAGACACTATTGTGATTAGAAAAATACAAATTCATTCCAAGGCATTACCACATTTCAGTAGTGTTTTGTTATGGGTTTTCTTAACCAACAGTTGTGTAAAGTCTATCTGTTCTCATGTGAAATCTGTAGACATTTTAAACAGTGTAGGGGAAGGAAATATCTTCTCTTCCCATCTTAGAGTCACGGCTGAGGCCCCTGTAAGAAAAGACAGATTAACAAGGAAAGCTTACAGATTCGTTTAATGTAAGTTTTCATGACATGAGAGCCTTCATAAAGAAATGAAACAGGTAAAGTTGTGTATTTTTATGCTTAGGTTTGATAAAGAGTGGACAGTCCTGAGAAATATGATTGGAGGACAAAAGGGAATGACCTAATGGTAACAAACTGGGGGAACTTAACAAGGCGTGTTTGTTCAGATTCTTCTCTGGGTCTGTGTGTCATCAAAGATAAGGATGTTCCTTTCCTCCAGGTGTAGGGAGGGCACCTCTGGAATGAGGAACTTAGGATCTGCTTCAGGGGATATGAGGGAGGGAAAGGTAAGAGTAACCTTGCTGCTTAGGCTGTTTTGTCAAATACCAAGGTGACATGCTTTGGGGTAGAATGTCCTGAACCCCCACCAATGGAGTCCTTGTATTTGAAGGTCAGAGGCTTGGATTTATTCATATGGGCATAACAACTTTGAATAAAGAAACCATGGCATATGCAGATAGCATCTGGAGCGCTTACTCAGTTTAAGCTGGGGAAGAAAGTAATGAGGAACTTGATAAAAGAGAATAACAGTACTAGAGAAAAGCTATGAAGGATACATGGGCTTATTTTCTTGGTGAAGGAAGATGATTTTTAGCCTGCCAATGTTTTAATTTATTAAACTACCAGAAGGGAGTACTTTAGGGAAGAAATAACAAAGCTCAACAAAGGGCTATCTTTCACAAGCAGGCCACCCTGTGAACTCAACCTCTTCAGTGCCAATAAGGAGGACTGGTCTCATGCTTCAAGATTCCACCTTCCCCCTGACACATCTAGCATGCCGTAGAGTTCTCTCTTGCCCATTTTAGATGTGAAAATATAAATTTAAATTTAAATTTATAACAAGGAACAAATTAAACAGGAAAACTCCCATTGCTATGACAAAAGAAGCATCGAGCCCTCAAAGAGCTAAAGAGTAGATCTTGGTTTCTTTGCTAAGGAGCTTGTCTTATAAGGCTAAGTTGATGGGGGCTTTCTAGCCACTGGTGGCCATGGAATTGCCATTGGCTGGATCCTTACATTCGGGTCTCAAGCCAGGGGGCTCGGGCAGTAATGTATTATACCTGGGGTGGAGGTGGGAGCCTTTGGAAGAATGCAGGCCCAGCAAGTCTCCTACTCAAAGGAAACATGCAAAACCCAGACCAAATAAACACTTCTGGCTGTCTGGCTCTCTTCACCTCTCAGTAGAGAAGGTTGCCTTTTCTATGGCCCTGCACTTTCAAAAAAGATATAGAGAGAAAGTTACAATAATAATACAAGAACCAGAACATAGAACTGTTAATTTAAAAAAAGATAAACAGATTGAAGTTATTTAGTCAAGAGAAGAGATGCCAAAAGGAACATCTTAATAATGGCTTTTTAGCAAAAAGTAAAAAATAAAAATAAAAAATGCTGCAGTGAAAATGCAGATCTATTTTTTTCCACTGAGGCAAAATAAGAAATAGCCAGAGTTGGCAACAAGATATATTTAGATTAGGCATGAGGAAAGACTTCTCAGTTATAAGGGATGTCTATTCTAATTATAAAGGGTATATAGCTTGACTGCTTATACAGTCTGGCTTCAAGGATATTTTGCCTCTTATTTTTAAAAGCTTAAATAACTATTGATTCTTTTCTCCCAAATAAAAAGGTTCATGCTTTTTGTTCTTTTAAAAAAAAAATCACAACAAAGAATCCAACAAAATTGATCAAATGGCTTCCATAGTGAGTAATTTTCCTGAGTTTTTCCCAAATAAATATTCCTTAAATCTCCCAGAAAATAGCAGATTCCATCTTAAATATTTAAATTTTAGAAAATGTTATTTTTAATGAGAAATGTATTTGTCTATGCTAAGAACTTAAAGATTTAAAGCATAGCAGACTTTTTCCTGTGTCATGTGTGCCTCACCTGTACACATAATCACACACAATCACGCACACACACACAGGCACACTGACTAAACTTTAAGTACTGTCAAAAAAAAAATTTCCAACCAATAGAAAATGACAAGTGCATTTATTGTATGTCTGTTTTCACATCCAGTCTTGCTTGTATAGTTATTTATGTAAGATCTTGTACTTGAATATTAACACATAAAAATAAATCTGGCTTGAAATGTTAAGATTCATGAGGGACATAGATGCTACTAAAAATCATAATCAGTACCAAAATTCTCACCTAAACTAGAATTTCTAGTGCAAGCAGAGCCTCACACATGAATTTGCTAATTGAATTCTTCCCTAGACTGTGGATATTAGGCAGCTTTGGTTTTTATCTCTGATAGATAATCTTGGGGAATTGAGATATTACTATAGAAGTGGTCTTTTGGAGAAAATTCATTTTTAATGGTAAATTATTAAAAACGGAGCTCTTTTATACCACAGTGACAGTGTGGAAACATTGGTAGTTTCTATGGTAGCAATTTCTCATTTTATGTCTTTTTCCCAGCCACTTTATTATTTATACAGGTTTAGTAATAGGTATTAATTCCTAATACAAAGTAAAAACAATTCAGGTTTCACACCAAGCATTACATGGTCATAACCCAGTAACTACCAGATATTGTGCCTGCCTTTAAATATTTACGATTTAGTTGATATTAGCTCATGCTCTCTAAGACTTTTCAGGAGAATAAACCAAAAGAAAATCTAAGCAAGCCGGAGGGGAATAAAAAATAGGAACTGTGCCGATGATAGAGAGAGGCAGATTACTATGAGATGACAACTCACTTCACTCCCCCTTACAAACAGTTGTGCAAGTACCACTGCTTCCTAAGCACTATCGGAGAAGAAAAGCATGTTTGTATTCAGCCTGATTATTCCATCCGCAGATCTTAGCAGTAAAACCTTCTCAAGTCTGAAAGGGAGAACATTTTTCCTATTGTCAGTTCCACGGGGGTAGAATTGAATTCTTCCCTTTCATATCTCATTGTTAAGTAAATTCAAAAAGTTTTCCTATATAACTACAGTCTTCTGCAATATTTTATTTAATAATTGATTTTATATACCCCCCCAAAAAAAGTTTACTTGCTGGGCCATTTCTGCCTCTGGCAATGATGTTTCCAAATGAGGAATGATGCCTCTAAGATGGAGCCTCAAGTGTTGGAAGTTTCAACTTCTGCAGTCACTTACAGGGCAGATTTGAAGGGGGATGGGTAGACCCTGTACTGAAATACCCACCTAGAGAGATGTCTAATATTTCCACATGAATGCTCATTTTCTTGTCCTCTTCCTGTATCATGAACATATTCCCTGGCCATGGAGGAATAAGGCATCAGCGTTCTTACACATCCACAGGAATGAGTTCTATGTCCCAGAAGAGAGGCCAGGGAACTGGAGAGGAGCCCAGGGTGCTGAAGGGAGATCTGATGCAGGGAGGAGTTAGGGAGCAGACAGTCCTCAAAATTTCCTCTGCTGCTGCTTATCTTCTATGGTGTGTGGTAGAAATAAATTAGATTGAATAAATCTTGAGAAAGCATTAAGCCAGAAAAAAATACCAATACTTATTTCACCCTTACTTTCCCTTTTCTGTTGTAAATTTGAAATATTTTTAAAAGTGTGAATGTAATAACACTGTAAGACATGAAAAAGCTTTTTGTTAAACTGAGACCATCAAAAACCTACAGAGAACTTAATCTGGAACAGATTCTGGGGGATTTAGGAGCCCCCCCACCATTTTTTTATTTTTATTTTTATTTTATTTTATTTTATTTTATTTTATTTTTTGAGATGGAGTCTTGCTCTGTCACACAGGCTGGAGTGCAGTGGCATGATCTCGGCTCACTGCAACCTCCACCTCCCAGGTTCAAGCGATTCTCCTGCCTCAGCCTCCTGAGTAGTTGGGACTACAGGCACATGCCACCACACCCAGCTGATTTTTGTATTTTTAGTAGAGACTGGGTTTCACCATGTTGGCCAGGATGGTCTCGATTTCTTGGCCTCGTGATCCGCCTGCCTCAGCCTCCCAAAGTGCTGAGATTACAGGCATGAGTCACCATGCGCGGCCAGGAGCTCCCTTTTCATAATGTGTTTTGCCCTGGGAAGGAAGGACATGCCCAAGAAGCCTGCCGCCCACTCCCTCCCACTCCACCCTTCAAGTTACTATACCCTGGATCAGGATTTCTCAACATCAGCACTATTGACATTTGGGCCAGGTGTTTCTTTTCTAGGGGGGCTGTCCTGTGTCTTGTAGGATGTTTAGCAGCATCCTTACTGTCTGCCCACTAGACGCAATAGCACCCCGCACCCCTTAGTTGTAACAACCAAAAATGTCTCCAGATATTGCCAAATATTCCTGGGAAAGGTGTGAGGGCCAGGGGGAACAGACTGTATGCAGCTGAGAATGATTGATCTAGATGAAACTTTCCAAACTGAGTTTCCTGTGTCACTATGCCCCATAAAAACGTGGCCTCTTGGGAACTGGTGCATGCACTCCTCTCTCTTAAAGATTCCTGCTGCACAGTAGCATATTAGGATCTCTCAAAGTCCAGCTTGTCTTTGTTTAAACTCATGCCAAATTTATTTAAGTATGGGACCCCTGTTTTTCACTAATGTCAATCAGTACTTTGTGGAACTCTTTGTCTTTGAAACACTCTGGATTGCCTTGGACTGATAGAGCCTAGTATAATGGACAATTTGGTTTATATTAATTGTTCATGTGCTCAAAAGTCTCTGAACATGAGAGTTATCATTTTTGTGAACGTGTCTCAAGATCATGAGAGAGAGGTCTTTATATGAGGAAAGGCACATTTTATTCCTCCAGGACCTTGAAAATTTGGGGAAAAGTCAGAGTGATAGAGAAAAGGACAGAGGTGACAGAAAAGTTCCTAATTAGAACTTCAAAGGAAATTGAGGGCTGGCTGGCCCTACCTTCCTTTCCCCTCCAGAAAATCAAGCCAAACCAATCAATACAATGAGAGGGAGATAAATGGCAATACCTGGCCTAGAGAGCCACCAAATAAAATTTTCGGGTCCTATCTACTAATTGGGGGCCCCTATGCTGTATATACTTCTATGATACTATAATATGTTAGGGTGAAAGAACTAAAATCATGCAAACAAGCTGAAGTAAACAAGCAGCAATTATTGAAAAGGAAAGTTGCATGAAGTCCAGATTTACAAAGACTAGAGCTAGAAAGAGAAAATTTCAGGAGCTGAAGTGTTGCCTTCTCTTCTCCCCTCTTGCCTTGTCTTCTCTCGTCTTCTTTTCTCTCTTTTTGTTCTCCTTTCTCTCCCTCCCCTTCCCTGCCATCTTCCTGATGGTTTCAGTTCTCATAATTTCAGTTAGCACATGACTTTGTGACTTTGTTGTGATCTAGGGCTGACTTTGGCCCTGATTCTAGATGGCTTTTTCCCAAAATGACTTGATCGTTCATGGCCAACCAATGGACGAGGTGGCCTTGCATCAAGGTGTTTGCCTCTGGTCCAGTCATCTGAAGCCAAGGAAAGATGGGGCAGGCAAAAAATAAATCAGAGGGTCACCTAGACTACTCATTCAGCAGTCTGTAAGGACAAAGGCAGCTCTTAAAGAACTCATGGGAGAGACAGAAACCTCAAAACATAGCTATTGCCACCTATGCTGTGTATAGTTTAAGCAGTAGTAGTCACATAAACAAAAACAATAATAATAGCATTATTGAGTGGTTGAGTGCTAACAACAAATATGTCAGGTACTTTTCTAAATGTTTTTTGGTAATACACTCATCTTATTCTCAAAACAAGTCTATGGGTTAGATATAGTTATATGTTGTATTTTTCAGATGAGGAAACAGAGGACTGAAGTTCAGTTCCCAAAATCAAGCAGTTGATAGATGGTGTAGCCAGGATTCAAACCTACACATCTGGCTCACAGTCTATGCTCTTAGTTAATCTGCTGAGCTCCCTTTCTGAAAAAAAAATTAATCATAATAATTAGAATGTAAAAAATATAACTTCAGGAAAGTAGATGCCTAGATTTTGGCAAACTGTTCTGGGTGGGCTTGCATTTCAGAAGTATCAACCAATGTTGAAGGAAGCCTGCCTTTGGTTATAGACCAATCATGTCATTTGTCTCTGACGTTCCATGCCCAAGATGGATGTATTCTTCAAGAGCTCACTAGTAATTTACTCCACTTAGAGTTTGTCTGTTTGTCTGTTGCTTGGAGCCAAGAGCCTAAGCCCAGCAGTTGTCCACTACAATCCAGAGCTGGGGCCTGGCTGCTCACCAAAAGTGTCTTGCAGCGGCACTGCCTCTACCTCCATTATATAAGATAGTGGGGCCAGGCACAGTGGCTCAAGCCTGAAATTCCAGCACTTTAGGAGGCCGAGGTGGGTGGATCACCTGAGGTCGGGAGTTTGAGACCAGCCTGGCCAGCATGGTGAAACCCCATCTCTACTAAAAATACAAAAACTAGCCAAGCAGGTGCCTCTGATTCTAGCTACTCAGGAGGCTGAGGCAGGGGATTCACTTGAACCCGGGAGGCAGAGGTTGCAGTGAGCCAAGATCACCACTGCACTCCAGCCTGGACAACAGAGCAGGACACTATATCAAAAAAAGGGGGGAGGGGGATTCTGCCTGTCTCCTCACTTCCAGTCAGTCTGTCCATCTGTGTTATAAGATGTACCTCTCTTCTTTATTGGTAAACCAAAAGAATGGTTTGATCCCTTTAAAAATAGTAGAGTATTCTGAGCCAGAGTGTTGGAATACGCATCTAAGATAATCCGTGACCCTACGCAGATCATTTATACTCCCCATAGCTTGCTCTATTATTAATAGGTGGCCATTAAAGCCTCTTTCTGAAGACTTCTGCCACTCAGGTGTTATTTCAGAATCAGGAAACTCAAACCTTTAACATTTTTCTGACATTTATTTGAGTGAAGAAAAAGCCTGACAATCTCTTTTTCTATGTTCTACATTTTTGCTCAGAATAATATTAATAGTCTGTCTTTTAGAAATATTTTTCTTACTAAATACCAGCCAATACTTTTTATATGTGTATTTTGTCTGATTTTCTAAGTGCAGTGGTTTTGCCACACACTAAAATGTGGATGGATCAACCATCTTCTTTAACTAGGGAGTCAAGGGGTTCTGCTTGCTACCACAGCACCTATCTGGCTTCAATAGATGTAATCTTAGGCTGTACATTTGAGTTGCGTTCAATTGGGAACAAAAATTACCTTAAATGTTCTTCCTTATCTATTTAATTAAACTCAATTCAACAGACATTTATTGGACCACCTGAAACATGAAAAAACACTATGATATTAACCTTAGTAAACTCAAAGAATAGTGAAACAAAGCCCTGCCAGAAAGGGGCTTATTGTCTAGTTGGGCTGAAGGGATAGAGGAGGAGACAGACTAAAATAAGAGTTAGAGTAAGCAGCCCCAAGTTCCATATTAAGATTGATCTCATAACATGGGGAATAATATACATGTTATAAAATCAGCATAGCCATGCTGCTTGAGTTGAAAGGAAACAGCAGTAAGATTCAATTAGAAATAAATAGGAAATGCTTCATTAGAGGCCACTGTGCAGGAAATATAGTTAGGAGAACCAGATGTTCAAAATATATGAAGAAAGACACAGAAATAAGAATACACATGGCAAGTTTAGAAAATAATGTGAAGGTTGATTGGGCTCAACAGCATGTTTGGCGTGAGTAGAAGATGAGCAAGAAATAGTTGACCAGGGGCATTTCTGGAAAGCCCAAGGATGTAGTGAGTGGCAAAGAGCAAGATAGTGGTGTACTGGGGAGTTTTGGGGAGTAGACAGGAGTATCAGGGTTTGAATTCTGGAGCTGCTACTTACTAGTTGTATGACGTTGCTTGCATGAGAGATTCTCTTTGAGCTTCAGTTTCCTCCTCAGTAAAATTGGGAAGGGAAAATAAGAGAATCTACTTCACCAGGTTATTGCAATAATTGCCTCAGCTAAACCATTTTAAGTTCTTTGTAGACACTCAGTAAGTATTTATTAATAAGTACTCATAATAAGTACTCTAAATTTGTTGACTAATCTTTGTCCTAGAGTCTTGAAGTGGACATTTTTGACAGAAAATTTCCCAGTGGACCAAAACAAAGCTGGGTGTCAGTAATTCATAACTCACTGAATCACTGAACCTAAACCCAACTTGGCTTTATGATCTGAATATATTAACTTTGTCAGTTAAGGATGTAAAGAAAAATTTAAGACATGTGGCTCCCTCAACTTGAAATTCTTGATACAGTTAATGAATGTTCCTCCAAAAAAGGTTGTGGGTGGGAGAGAACAGAGCCAAGAAAATCCATTTACTTACAGCTTTTGGTGGTATGTAACTAGCAATTCACTCAAACGATATCAGAGGTACTATCCCCAGTTCTGTAAGACCAACTTCGTATTTGTGGACATATTTTATGTATAAACATCCTAAGGACTCTAAACATATACCAAACACTCAGTTAATCCTCATGGATTATTCAATAGATAAGAATATTATTTTACTGTCTGTGCTTTAGCTATCTGTTATATAATGCTCTACTTTTTATGCAGTCTTTGTTATTTAATTTTATTTTTCAATTGAGAAATAATATTGTATATACTTACAGTTTACAACATGATTTTTAATATATGTATACACTTTGAAATGACTAAATCAAGATAATTAACATATCCTTTACCTCATATTGTTTTTTTGTAGCAAGAACATTTAAAATCTGCTCTCAGTAATTTTCAAGTAGGCAGTACATTGTTTTTAATCATAGTTACCATTACCCACAATAGATCTCCTGAGTTTATTCCTCCTGTCTAACTGAAATGTTGTATGCTCTGACCAACATCTCCCCATATCCCTCTCACCAGTCCCTAGTAACCACAATTCTACTCTCTGCTTCTATGTTCTCAAATTTTTCAAATTCCATGTAAAAGTGAGATCATGCGGTATTTGCTTTCTATGCCTGGTTTATTTCACTTAACATAGTGTCCTCCAGTTTCATCCATGTTTTGGCAAATGACTAGATTTCCTTCTTTTTTAAGGCTTAATAATATTTCATTGGGTATATAGGACACCTTTCTTTCTTTCTTTTTCTTTTTCTTTTTTTTTTTTTTTTTTTGAGATGGAATCTCACTCTGTCACCCAGGCTGGAGTGCAGTGTCTCAATCTTGGCTCACTGCAACCTCAGCCTCCTGGGTTGAAGTGATTCTCCTGCCTCAACCCCCCAAGTAGCTGGGATTACAGGCACCCACCACCACTCCTGGCTAATTTTTGTATTTTTAGTAGAGACGGGGTTCCACCATGTTGGCCAAGCTGGTCTCAAACTCCTGACCTCAAGCAATCCACCTGCCTCTGCCTCCCAAAGTGCTGGGATTACAGATGTGAGCCACCGCGCCCAGCCAGGACACATTTCTTTATCCATTTACCTGTTGATGGACACTTAGGTTGATTCTGTATCTTGATGATTGTGAATAATGCTTCAGTAAACTTGAGAGTGCAGATATCTCTTCCACATACTGATTTCATTTCCTTTAGAAATAGAAGTAGAATTGCTAGATCATGCGATAATTCTAGGTTTATTTTTTTGAGGAGCCACAGAATATTCTGTTTTCCATAATGGCTGTAATAACATTCCCACCAATAGTGTACATGGGCTCCCTTTTCTCCACATCCTCACCAGTACTAATTATCTTTTGTCTTTTTGGTAATAGCCATCTTAACAGGTGTGAGGTGATGTCTCATTACAGTTTTAATTTTCATTTCCCTGATGATTAGTGATGCTAAGCCTTTCTTTATATACCTGCCAGTCATTTGTGTGTCTTCTTTTGAGAAATTTTTTTAATCCTTTGCCCATTTGTTGCAGTTTTTAAAATTTCAACTTAAATTTTAGATACAGAGGGTACATATGCAGGTTTGTTACATGGGTATATTGCACACAGGTAATGAGTATAGTACCCAATAGGTAGTTTTTCAACCCAAATTTGCCTTTCTCCCTGCCCTAGTAGTCTGCAGTGTCTACTGTTCCCAAGTTTATGTTCATGTGTGCTCAGTGTTTAGCTCCCACTTATAAGTGAGAACACACAGTATTTGGTTTTTTGTTCCTGCATTAGTTCACTTAGGATTATTCTTTTGCCCACTTTTATTTGTTTTATTGCTAGTGGGTCATTTGAGTTATACAATATTTAAATAAAAGAGAACCATAAACAGTTTTTGTCTTAGGGGATAATTTTTTAACACAATGGTTTCCTTTTCAGGTCAAGATGAGCTCAGAAAAAAAGGTATTGAAATAATTCAATCATAGTTTACTAAATGAGAACATTTTGCTAATACTTTATGGGTTACATGAATAACATTCAACTTGGGAGATTTTTATAGTATTGTTCATTTTGATTTCTTTTTCTAAAGAATATTAATGTCAAAACAAGTTTTCTTATAGTTCATCTTCTAATCATTACACACCATAACATGCTCACTTGAGATCTACCCATCATTTTTATAACAATTTCCAATGCAGCTGAGATGTGAACTCATGACAGATTTTTTTAGTTTTTTGAGATTGAAGAACAGATTTCAAAATAACACACTGAACTAATCACAGGAAACTAGGAAGCAGAAATAGCAATTTTTCTGAACAGAAATTAATATTGGAACTATCAAGTCAGTAATTTTATTTGAAAGTGAAAACTAGGGTCACCAAAATCCCACTTAGAGGTCGTCACCTCACACTGAAGACTAAGATAAAAGCGCCTCTTAAGTGGGTCGCCATCCGCATCCTAGTTGTGGGCACTCTGTCCTTCCAGACCCCACAGCCTATTGTCATCAACAGCACATCTCTGGCACTGTGATTAGCTCAATGTGCTATTTTTAAATCTACTATTCATGCTCAGAGCTCTCACGCAGGTGGAAGACCCTTGCCTTCCCTTCCCAGAGCTATGCAGTATTCTTCTCTCTCACCCTCCTTCCACTCGCATACCACACACACACCTTCAACACTTCGACCTCCCTTATGGGGTGAGCAACTGCTGTCTTGGTTTGCCTACAACTGAAGGATATCTTGGGATATGGAATTTTTGGTACTAAACCCAGGACATTGGGTCACATACGTGAGGAGTGATGAGGGTGAGATAGTGAGGGACCTCTGGCTGTTCCTCATCTTATTCCTTTTTTTTCCTTTTGTTCCCTAAAAAAATTATTCATATAAACAAGGAAGAGAGGATCCTTTTACTGTTCAATTAGTTCTTCTCAAAAATTTATCATTTTAGGGCATGGTTTTCTTAATCTATTAACCATTTTCTGAAAAACATCCTAAGATTTATAAATCATAAAAATGTTTATGTTTATTTGATAATATGTAGCAGAAATAGATGGACCTACTGTTGAAAATTCTCTCTCAGTAAAACATTAGCACCTCTTAATAAAGGGAATAATTGAGTGATTTTTTTCTCAGAAAGGTGTCTAAATAAGTATACCCAACATTCTGGATAAGAATGTTCTCATGTAGCATCCTGTAAATCAGTGAGAAGGAAACAGAGGCAAGATAATATATATGGAGCCTTGGAAATCTAGATGAGCTTACAGATGGATCTCTTCAATCCAAATCTGTCAACTCAGTAAAGATGTTTATAAAAATCAGTCAAAACAGCTGCCAGGCATCTGAATCACTTAATTAAATGCTTTATATCTCAACTAGTTTTTGCATCTTGTAATAATGTCCCTAAGAAGCCAACATCATCAGAATAGATCCACAAATATTCATTTATGCATTCAAATATTTCTTAATTGAGTATCCAGTATGTGCCACTTGCTCTTCTAGACATGTTCTAAGAAATATGGCCTCAGTTCCTGGGCTTAAGGAGTATATAATACACTGGGGATACAAAACAGAAAACAATAACCCATTAAATACATAACCAGAGCTCATAAAGGCTTTGGGAGAAAATAAATATGTTCAACAGCAGGGTTAAAAAACAAAGTGGGCTTGTTGAAATCTAAAGGTTGGCAGGCACCATCCAGGCAGGAGTGAAGGATTGTTCTGGGTAGAAAGAACAACTTGTGTGAGGGAGGAGCTTGCTTAGTAGTTCTAGGAATCTGAGGGAGATGCAATGGGAACCTTGTGGGCAAAGGGCAGCTGCTGCTGAAGGTGACAGTCATTAATTGTAGAGAATTTTGTAAGCCAAGACAAAGGCTTTGCATTTTATATGAAAGGTAATGAGAAGCTACAGAAGAGTTTTACACTTAGGAACTTAGATATGCAGTCCATTTAATGTTGCATAAAGATTACTCTATCTACCTTTGTGAAAACGACATAAGAATGAGAGAAAAATAGCAGAGAGCCAGAAGAGGCTGCATCTGAGCATCAGGTGGATCCAGAATTGTTCTCCTCAACTGTCAAGAGGTGGGGGATTGAGAGCTGAGGCTGAGTGTCTGCTTGCTTACCCCTTTGCCTTCAGGGGTCCACCCTCATTCATCCCAGGAACTACCAGAGATGGTGATAAACTGCTCTGCCCCCACTGAATTTTATTGGTTTGGGACACAAAACTGACTTTAAAAGGTTAATTAGTATTACTGCTGCAAGGAATCAGCTCATGAAAAGTTATACTGCATTAAAAACTAGCAGGCTTACATTATTTATGGAAAACAGCTGTTGAAAATTGTCTGCTAAAGCTTCATTTCTTCCCATTTCCCTTCTCTCTATCTGGCACTTTATTATAATTTCTAGAAGTTGGTGTACTTTTTAACTATGATCATTATTTCTGATCATACAGTTGGTGATGTAAACAGTGGTACCTAATGACTCCCTAAGCCTCAAATTATATTAAAAGACAATGAGCAATATCTAAGGGCTACCAACAACACTAATATTCCTTAGAATTTTTCATTTAATTATTTGAAGAGAAAAACTTGTAATTGTGAAGGTTTGAAATCCTCTTTATATAATATTTCTAAGGGAAAGATAAGAGTTGTAGTTTGCTGAAAATCTGTTCAATTAGTTCTTCTCAAAAATTTATCATTTTAGGGCATGGTTTTCTTAATCTATTAACCATTTTCTGAAAAACGTCCTAAGATTTATAAATCATAAAAATGTTTATGTTTATTTGATAATATGTAGCAGAAATAGATGGACCTACTGTTGAAAATTCTCTCTCAGTAAAACATTAGCACCTCTTAATAAAGGGAATAATTGAGTGATTTTTTTCTCAGAAAGGTGTCTCAGATAAGAGTTGTAGTTGCTAAGAACAATGATGTGCTCCAACAAGTTTCTCATTACCATGGTGACTTCTCTTCTTTTAAGTTCAACAAATCATCCTTTATACTTGATAGATGTTTAGACAGAGTCAACACTTAGAGGCTGCATCTAAAAAATAAAAATGCCTCACAAAACATTGACACAAGGAATTAAATTTTATAAAACTGGCTAACTTTGGGCCCACTGGGGCATGAGGGGGAGGATTTATAGGTGTTTCAGTAGTACTTAGTGATTCTTTATTAGCCATGTGGAAATGCTAAAAGTTTTACAACCCGAATTCTGTAGTTTTAATTTGTGGCAAATATCCTTGGACTAAGTCCCACTGAGATTCTCAAATATTTCAACTATGACAAGCTTCAAATTTTTTTCAGAAAATATGACTTGTTCATATCTCACTTTGGAAAACTGTTTGATTTGTTTATACTACAAATCGGAGAAGCAAGTCATCTCTTATTTTGTGATGAATTGTTTTTGTCATGTGTTCTCCTATGACTTAGAGATCCTAGAGATTTCTACAAACAACAGCTTTTAGCCTAATCTAGGTGACAATGAGACAAACACAATAAGAATTTTAAATAAATTCAGTGTCTCACAACAGAATCACATCAATCTAGAGAAATGAGAAAATGGGTCAAGTAGATAAGAAAATCTAACTTCCTACTGTTGGAAAATAAACTATTTAAAGATCATGATATAAGTAATATGAATACCAGCTCAACCATACTCTGTATTTTTCTTTAACATTACATACTTTATTGCTTCCATTAATTGAATTTTCTACGATTCTATTGAATTTACCAGTCTATATTGTTTTAATTAAGCATATTGGTATAAATTTGCAGTCATTTATAGGTGACCAATACAAATTTTTTTTTCACTTGTTTTCGCAAAAGATAGATAATTCTGGACTCACAGATCTCTAGACACTGTTCCTGGTCATAACAGGTATTCAAGAAACATTGGTTCCCATTCCTATACCTAACACCTTCTGCACATTACAGGAAGAAAAACATGTGATCCTTGAAAAACTTAGTCTGGAGAATAAATACATGAAAAGGAGGGAAAATAGAAAAATTACATGCTAAGAAATGTGTACTGCTTGAGAACTCTTTAAGCAACAAAAGTGTTGTCTCTATTAAAAGCAGACAGGTGAGGTTACCTGAGAAGAAACCCGTGTTTTCATGTTCATCTCTTTAACATGGGGCAGGTCCTTAGGTACAAAACAGATCTGAACTTCTTGCTTTCTGTTACTCTTAATTTAACTGGCTAAATCAGTAATATGACTTTGCTTTTAGACAGTTATACTAGACAGATATTTTATTGAGTACTCTTTGAATTTAGAAAAACAAGGGTACTAAAATATGCCCAGTGATGTAGGAACTATGTGCAGTTGGAAGGACTCTTTGCCAAAACTCTAAGGAATCTTGTGGATTCCTTACAATGTGTTTCATAATTGCTACCTGGGTTACATTTGTACTAAAATCCTTTCTTCATAGGAATGATCTTAGAGTTAAATAATTTTCTATTAGTCTTTTAACTACCTCCTCTCTATAAATTTTTAAAGAAAATTCACTTAAATTACTTTTAGTATGGGAGATTGTAAGCAGAAGGCCCCATAGATTTTGGATCTGTGGTAGCATGGGAAATTTTCTTTTCTTTCTTTAAATAAGCCTTATTTTAGAAAAACAAATCTCTAGCTAGCTAGCTACATAGATAGATAGAAGTAGACAGAGATATAGATATAGGTATGGAGTAGACTCTAATATGTCTCTATGTATATCTATGAGGAAAAGTAATTCTTAGTCTAATTCCTATGGAAATTAGACATTAGAATAAATGCTAATATACCTAGCACAGTTCTCTACTCTGCAGGTGCCCATAAGCTCTTTATTTTTTATTCATTAATTCTTCACTCAACCACCCAGGATTTATTAAACATTCTGTGCCAGGCACTCTGCTGGGTGTTAGAGATATAAAGATAAGTAAGACTTGGTCCCTGTATTTAAAGACTCACAAAGCATCCTAAGGCTAGCTCCAATTCCTTAAGTCATGCGTATAGAAGTATAGAGAGATCACTATGATTATATAATTAATCAGTCCTATAAACCATATTTTAAAATCCTAACCTCATAAATGCTGACCCATAACAGAGGTTCCTCATAACTAGCTGTAAAACCATAAACCAGTCCTTTAATTTCTCAATGCATTAAGAAGTTTGATTTGTAAAATGTGGTACTGAAACTAAGATCCCTTTTATATTTGTAGGATTGATCTGAAAGTGACTACTGATTGAATGCCATGTTGATGTGGATGAAGAGAGGAGTTGAAAGCTTGTCAGTTAACCAACAGAAAAAAATTAAAGTTCGGTGGAATAAGACCAAATGGACAATGAACTGCCCACTCCCTAAACCTCCCACAGGCACATAAAGTGACTGCCAAAAAGTGCACTCTCAGTTGTCTGGGCACATGGAAATATCTGGCACAGTCTCTTATCCATTAAAATCCTAAATATATTAATTAAGAACCTTGTCTTTGGAATTGCAGAACCAACTTCATGTGTTTCATGTGGCTTTAAACTGCAAAATTGTCAATTTATAAGCTTGCAGTTGTGCCAATGGAATACATAAAGTACATAAAGTACAATGGAGTATATAAAGTACAATGTACATAAAGTACATAAAGTACAATGGAGTACATAAAGTACTCTAGTTTGAACCAGAAGTTTTATTAAACTATTGGATAGAAGAAAATGGTCCAAGATAAGAACATGCAAAATCCAGAACATGAAAAATGCTCATTTTACCCAGGATAATTTAAAACGTATACAATTTGTTAGATATAATTGTTGATGAAATTAATAAAGAATATCAAAAAGCCCATTAGGTAGATATTTGTTAATATTAAACACAGTCTTATGACAGGAAATATCAAGAACAAGGACTGCATTTTATTCATTTTTTGTTTAGATGAAACTTACATAATTTAACTTTTCTTTATTCCATAACTGTCAGGAAGCTTAGTGTAAGATTTGATGCTCATTCCTAGTAACTGGTAACTATTTGTGCTCTCCTCCTTTTCTTACATTTGATGTTATTGTTTAGTGTTTGTCCCACTTTATGAATGACCATTTTTTAAGCTTTCTTAAGTCATCTTTGCAGAGGTCATATTTAATAAAAAAAAAAGTCTGCCTTTGTCTCATCATAGAGCTGAACAGTGTTCCTTATGTGGAGTAGGAGCTTAACACATATTTGCCACATTGTTAATTCATTGTGAAGGATTTCATAAATAAACCTAGAGAAAAAGATATCCACTAACGTATTAAATATTTTTTAAAAGCAAGTTCATCTGAAAGGAGCAACTATGTCTTATTATCTTAAAACTTCAAAGGAAGTTTTTCTTTAAATGTAAAACATACCTCTTAATTCCAGAAAGACTGATCCTTCATTTGGCTTTTGTGCATTTTAGCCAGTCTTGGCTTTCTAAATCATGTTGAAAACAAACAGACCATTTGTGCCATGTTTGCTGTTAACTAAGTAATAAACCAAGAGGATTTAGCTAATTTTTTGAGGTCATTAACATGATGAAGTTAATCACCTGAGTTAAGACATATGGACATTTTACCAAAAAAAAAAAAAAAAAAAACCGCTCAAATGGTCCTTGAAATAAGGTTAAATAGATCTAATTTATGTTAAACTTTAATTAACCATATGCACTACTGCGTGATAATGTGCATGCATATGTTGCTTACATTAATTGCTTTCATAAGTTAATTACTGCAACACACTTTGGCTTCTGTTCATTTAAAACTTAACAAATGTTCGCACCAGCTGTGGAAGTGATTGAAGGCAATAAATGAACGAGTAAACCATTGGTTTACTTGTTTAAATTAAATCTGCTATCTCAAGCTGTCCTGTGTCTTAATACATTAGAAAAGACACTTGGGAATCAATGATCATGTAATTCCTATTTTAATCACTGTTAGTCATACTTAAAGTAATAGGGACATTGAACTTTTACGTTTGTTGGCTGACCTCTGCTTTCTATAGTTTACTGGGCCATCATTGACTATGGTTTACTTTTATTACAGCAGAATTGAGCTACAGTTTCATATAATTAGATATTTGTCTGGTCCTTGTATAAAAGCATACAGACTCTGTCATGCCTGATGTCTTTTATTGCCCACTTTAACTGGATACTAAAGTTTGTGTTTAAAGAGATGATTTATATAGACAAAGAACTTCTTCTAAAAAATAATAGAATTCTATTTTATTGAAACTAAAGTTTACTTTTTTATTACATCATTTGTCTCTCTGAATCTGTAGCATGTTGGCCAATATAGTATGATAATAAATTACTACTAGAATACCTCATATGAAAACTTATATTTTTCTTGACTATTAATTTGAATCACTTTTTTAAGAATCAAATTTCAGGATATCTGGTTAATGATGGTGGGTTGAACACATACATTAGCCTCTGAGCCCCTTCTGAAACCACATCAAAATGAATATAAAGAGGTCTTTTAAAGATCCTAAATCACTAGGACACAAGAAATAAAAGAGAACACAAACAACCCTGGAAAGCATATGGACAAGTGGTAACTGACTTAGCAGAACCTAGAAAGTTAAATCCTAAGTCAGCAGGTGGGAAAGCCAAGAAACCTGATTTATATTGCAGACCAAAAGGCGAGGAACTAGTGGCTCCAGGCACCTCTGGAAGTGGAAGCGAAGTGAGGCTAAAACAAAAGCCTTCTTGTAAATTTCCTTAAGAGGCATTTAGACACCCAGGGCCCCTTCCCAACTCTGCATGCGAGGTAATTGCCTCACACTTTGCCTCACACTTTGGCAAAAATTGGAGGACGATTCTCTGGAAGGCCTGCCAGAGAGAGCTTCCAGATTGTAGTCCCCAAAGGCTAGAGTTGAGGGAGGAATACTGGACTGAAAACAGGCAGGTAAAATGAAAGTTAATACATTACAGGTAAGCTCTCCCTCACTTGACTCCCAAAAACCCACCAGGCACTGGAAGAGCCTTCTCTCAGGAATCTGCAGCCCAAGAATAAACACCTGACTGCATAGAAATAAGGGCAGAGGGGATGTGGGGAGTTCCTCATGAAAAGACCCAGCCAGATTGCCCTAAAGCCCATCTAGCTAACAGAGCTTCCAATTAGCATCTACTCTTCTCAGTAGCTGGCTTATCTGAGGATGGAGTTTACAAGGTCTTAATAATAGAAACATTGAATATGAATTATAAATCTGTCGGGTGAGTGAGAGCTGGGACATGGAAAATATGTGTGTTTGTGTGTGTGTGCGTGTGTGCGTGTGTGTGTGCATGTGTGTGATGAGCGTGGCAGGGAAATAAGGAGAAAGGGAGCTACATCCTCATCTTCCTAATAGGAAGACAATAGATGAGGCCTAAGCCTGAATAACTGAGAAGCAGCAAATAGGCATCTTATTTAGATTTTCTTTTTTAAATCAGTTAGACCTGAAAGCAGTTGACTTGGGAGCAGGAAACTATGTGCCTCTCTCAATGATATGCATGTATCACTTTGACAAAAATAAACACTTAATTTAAAATTATAATAGATGCTTACATAGTTTTCATTTTAAAAACAAACTTTAAAGAGAGTAAGAGAAAGCTGTTATTCTTTTTTTAATCAATTTCCCATACTTGTTATTTTATAACTTATTTTCATGTAGATCCTCCTGATTATCTGCTATTTTAAGACCTACATAGCCTAGGAATTAGCATTTTTGGACGCCTTGTCCTACATCATCTCATATACGGTAGCTTAAAATGCATCTATATCCTGCATAAATTATATGTGGTATAAAATTAAAGAGAGTTTTTGTAATGTTGCTTTTTGAACTATTATCACTTCAAGAAACTCATCTACTTTATGACTTACTTGTTAGCATTGTCAGCTTTTCTGTGCTGTATTTTATACTAAAACTGTTTCTGAAAATGCCTGAAAAATGTTTCTTGAAAATTCATTTAACATTGTCTTTCTCAACTAAGAATATATCTGCCAATTGACTATGATTTTTATAAAACATTAATTATGTTGCTTTAAAACAGGTTTGAACATAAAAAACAAATTCAATGTCATTCTAGAGTAATAACCCTCAAGAAAATACCAGGACAGGAGAAAAATCTGAATTTTTAATAAGCCAATATATTTTGGAGTATGATAAATTAAAATCACCTTCAGATGCTGAGATTAAAAAAATTCTGGACAGAACTTACCATGTTAAGGATTTAAAAGTTTTAATTACATTAGGATTTACCTTAAGAGATATTATGATAACTATAGATAAGAGCCAAAAGGAGACCCATGAGATTAGCCTTTCCTGGCCGGAATGTTTTATCTCTCTGCATCTGATTAGTTTCTATCATCTGTTGAAGGATTATGCCTTTGCTTCTGTCGGGATGCCATCCATAATTCTTACAGGATGAACTTCCCAGTCTGTTGGCGGTGGAGGGGATGAGGGAGGTTAGGAGGCAGCACCCTTTTTCTTCTGGAGATTTGCACCTTGCTTCTAACCATATCGTGTTTGCTCAGTCTCTGCTCTGAGTACTTATTAATGATCTGTCATCTGTCACAGGTAATTCATTCTACTTGATTGTTTCAAATTAGCTCTAGTGAGTTGACCATTACTTATCTTCCACTCCATAAACCTAAATCTTGAGATCCTTAAAAAATAAGTAAAAATCATGCTGCAAAAATACAATGTATAAATCAATTGCATTTCTTTGACTTATAAATTGTTACTTTCTTTAATTTGATTACACTGAGGTCATGTGTCTCCTCCTAATAATAATAGTAGCCATTTGGTAGAGGATTTTATAGTTTACCTTTGCATTCACAAATACTGATTTATCATTACTATGAGCCGATAATTATTCTAGTTTTAGGCAAGGTCCCTGATCTCATAGAATTTTTTTCTTGAAAGAGGCTATACAAACAATAAACAAGCAAATAAATGTAATTAAACAAGTAAACAAATAAATGTACACCATCTCTGAGCCCAGGAGTTAAAGGCTGCAATGAGCTATGATCATACTACTACACTCCAGCCTGGGCAACAAAGGGAGATGCTATCTGTAAATAACAATAAGAAGAAGAGATAAAAACTGGGTGTTTAAGGAATAAAGGCATGTCAGAGGCATGAAGATCCTACTTTAGCTTGAGTTACGGGGTTTCTCTGAGAAGGTAGCATTTGAAATGAAGGCAGATAATCTGCTGAACATACATCTAGGGACAGAGTGTTCCATGCAGAGCCAATAGAAAGGCCCTAAATTAATTATGGCAACCTATATATATCAATGATGATGGTGATGATGACTGATGATGACAACAATGATAATGATAAAAAGGAAGATAATGATGTTGATGACGGTGGTGGTGGTAATGATGATAATGGTGATGATGGTGGTGATGGTGGTGATGACAGTGGTGATAGTGTGATAACAGTGGTGGTGGTGGTGATATCCTACATTTATAAGTGTAGCTCAATAAAACTAAATAAAATGCCCACGGTCACACAATTAGTAAATTATATAGATCCCTAGACAAAATTATTTAGTGACAATGAGATTTCAAAGGTGATCTGAACTTTGGCCTTTTGGCTGTTATATCAGAAGTGCTTTAGATAATTGCCATATCTTTGCAGGAATCCCCTAATTTCAAAATTCATCTTTAAGTGTTTCCTAAATTATAGGGACTAATCCTATGCTGAAGGAATCCTAGTACTCCATCTTGGTAACAGGAGGCTCTTTCTCTTTTGTCTGGGCTCTCATAGCTCAGCTATGTTTTTTCACTCCACTGATCAACAATGTCAGTCAACTCTGAAAGCTTGGTTTTAAGCATCTCACTTCTTATTCTTGCAACAGTCACTTTAGTGTCCCCAATCCCACTAAATCTTTGGCCCACTGAAACCTCTAATACAGTGACACTGACAATACCCATCACCTCACTCAGGTACTTACTTTCTTCTTTTAACTAGTACAAATTCCATGTACCTTCACTATGACACTCCCTTGCAATGAATCCGCTTTCTCAACAAAACTTCCAACTTTAACTGAATCCATATATTGGCCTTGTTCTATCTTTTTTTTTTTTTTTTTTTTTTTTGAGATGGAGTTTCGCTCTTGTCACCAGGCTGGAGTGCAATGGCGTGATCTTGGCTCGCTGCAACCTCCACCTCCCAGGTTCAAGCGATTCTCCTGCCTCAGCCTCCCAAGTAGCTGAGATTACAGGTGCCCACCACCACGCCCAGCTAATTTTTGTATTTTTAGTAGAGATGGGGTTTCACCACGTTGGCCAGGCTGATCTCAAACTCCTGACCTCAGGTGATCCACCCACCTCAGCCTCCCAAAGTGCTGGGATTACAGGCGTGAGCCACCTCAACCAACCAGCGTTGTCCTATCTTTGTCTTGTGCCTGAGAAACTAAACATTGGGAAAATCACATAATCATGCTGACTGGTATCCCTTTAAATTTATGACCATATGTCTCAAATGGGTCCTCATTCCCCTGCTAAGCATACTGCCGGCACTCAGAAGCAGCTGCATCAAATCTTCTCTTCTTTGCATGATTAGTTGTTTCTTTTATCTTGTATCATTCTCACCAGCTTTTTGACATGATCTAATATATCCCTTTAAAAACAAAACAAACACCTTGGCTCTGTTATCCCCATCCAGCTTATGCCTATTTCTCTGTTCCTCTTTATAGCAAAACCTCTCAAAGGGACGGTCTCCACTTCCTTCATCTCCCATTCACTGTAATTCATTCCTACTGAGGTTCCACTCTCATCTTTTCAATGAAACGGTTTTTGCCAAATTCAAAATCCTCACTGTACCAAATTCAATGACATCTCATCTGCCCTCCTCTCACTCTACCTCAAAGCAGTATTCCATGCTTTGGATCCAGCATTCCAGATCAGCCTCCTTGAAACTTTCTTTTCTTGCATTCTAAGACTCAACACTCTCCAGGTTTTCTCTTCCCTCCTAGGAGAACCCTTCTCAGCCTTCTTAATAATTTCCCTTAAATGGTCTCAGTCAATGCTATGTCTTCAAATCCCATCTCTTCTGGTAATGCCCTTTTTTATTTGCTTCTCTGATCTCCAGACTCCCAACTAGAAGCCTCTCTGACATTTCCACTTACTTGTCTGAGAGTCTTCTCAAACTTGGCACAGCCAAAACAGAGTCAACCAGAGTCTTGATGTCACCCAAAAAATCAGAGAAATAATTTCCTTAATCATCTCATCTGAAATAACCTACCCACCTATTCTCTATCCCATTATTCATTTTTGTTTTCTTCATGTCACTATCAGAAATTTTTACTCACTTTTTTATTTTCTTGTGCCTGATCTACTTTCCCACCAGAATGAAAGCTCTGTGGGGGCAAGGACAAGGAGCTCATCTGACTTATTCTGGCTTTAGTCTCAGAGCACAATACGATGCCTGATTCATAGCAAACACTCAGTAAATATTTATTATAAAATTAATTAGAAAATGAATGAAAGAAAAATTAAACACTTCAACTTTAACATTAAATTTAATTCAAAGATCTAAGTGAGGGGTTTTCCTAAAATGAGGAAAGGTAGCATAGAATTAGATGTTGTATTAAAATGCATCACATGCAAAGTTTTAAATATATAAATGTATCATTTTTCCAATCTCTTACAACTGAAATTATAACCACAGAAAATATTATATTTTGTATTCTATAATTCAGTTATCTGATTTTTAAAATTAATTAATCTACTTAACTCATTAAAATATAAATGCTGTAACAAATTCTTGGCTTTTGTCAAAATCTGTTTCTTGCCTCCGTCTTCCACATGTAATTCAATTTCTCTGAGCCTTGGTTTTCTCATCTTTGGGCTTGATGACTTCCAGTTTTCAAATTCTCTGACTCTGTCTTAACATTATCATCATACAGATGTGTTCTTGTTCATGGATTTGCTTGTCTCTGTAATTTTCTCACATTTTCATTTGTGTATTTTGCATAATTGAGATAGAACTGCGGCTGTAACTGTAACTGGAGCTATATGCGTCTCCAGAGAGCTGAGAGTACAAACAAAATAGCTAACTTATAAAAACAACTATTCATATTGATAAATTACACATATGAGCTGAGGATTTAAAAGAGTAAAGTAAAATTTTATTGTAGTAATTTACAAATAATGCTCTATAAAAAGGAATTAGTGCTTTACGAACCCAGAGATGCTTTAAAATTCTTTAATAGTCACTCTCTCCTCAATTTTTTTGGATCTCCAGGGAAAGCAGGACTTGCTCCTGTGTGATATTCTGTAAGTCCTGGACAAATTCAGCTGCCAACTGAAGTCCATTTTACTTCAGGCAAAGAACTATGTCTTCCTTTGCTTGAACCAGCAAGAATCTGCCCTGAGGGACAGGATAACAAAGCTTCACAGGCATGCACCCACCAGAACCACATTTAAAGGAAAGTTATGCTTGCCTCTACCACAGAACCATATGTCTGTAAAATATAGCACACATTACCAAAATAAATATAATTTTGATCAAGTTAAAGTATGTTTCAATAAAAAGTAATTTTCTTTTCTTCTATAAGCCTTTTAATAATTCTTTCCTATATCAGTTTGGCTATGTAAAAGCAGGTGGATTGTGCATCCTCTCCCAAAATGAAGAACAAAATTGAACAATCAGCCACACAAAGAAGTCCTCAGAAAGCTGCATGCTCTCAAATTTGCCAATTAACAAGAGAAAAATGTGTGTTACTCTTTTAAGTTCTCTGTTATTATGCATGTGTAAACCTCATTTTAAAGTAAAATTTTTTTTATTTTAATACATAAAATCAATACAGGGTTAAAGATAATGGGAGTTTTTATTTAAGTTCTACATAAAGGTCCAAATATATTTATGTAGACCCCAAGTTTTCTCAATAGTCTATCACCCTAATTTGACCATGATGGAGTTAATACTGGCTATGTAGTCAAAAGGCTTTATAACTTACAATTGGGAAATGTGAGCATATCACTCACTCTTTCTAAGTCTGTTTTTATCATGTTCAAGAAGTATCACCCTGCCCTGACCACCTTACAAGGTTGTTCTGATGAAATGAGATGATGCCAGATTAAAATACTTGGCATACAAATGAAAAGTTGGATTTCTTGAGCAGAGAGCACTGTGTCCCTAGTAACTAATTAATTCATTAATTAAGACATTAATTTAATAAACTAAAGCATTTCCTGAGGCACTGGGGCTTCAAGAATAAGTAGGACAAAAAAATAGATTCATGGTTGCCTAAGCCTGGGAGGTAGGAATGGGAGTGGAGGCAAATGATCAGGGGACTTCTATTTGGAGTGATAGAAATGATTTCATAAGATGTGGTACTAGTTGCACAATTCTGTAAATGTACTAATATCATAAAATTGTACGTTTATTTATTTATTTTTCTTGAGATGGAGTCTCGCTCTGTCACCCAGACTGGAGTGCAGTGGCATGATCTCCGCCCACTGCAACCTCCAACTCCTGGGTTCAAGCAATTTTCCTGCCTCAGCCTCCCAAGTAGCTGAGACTACAGGCATGCACCACCACACCCGGCTAATTCTTGTATTTTTTTTTTAGTAGAGATGGGGTTTCACCATGTTGGTTAGGCTGGTCTCAAACTCCTGACCTCAAGCAATCTCCCTGCCTTGGCCTCCCGAAGTGCTGGGATTACAGGCACGAGTCACCACGCCCAGCAAATTGTACATTTAAAACCATTGAATTTTATGATATGTATATTATACCTCAAGAAAGCTTTTTTAAAAAAATAAAGCATGGTTCCTACCATCAAGAAGCTTATAGTCAAATGGGGAAAACTGACATATAAACAAAAGAAGGCTACAGTATGCTAGAGAAATGTGGATGTTGTTGTTGTTGGCCTAAAGTTATACATAATTGAAACTTCAAGTGATTTAAGTATTTTAAAAGAAACGTTAAATACTTCTAACATTAGTAATACTGTTTCAGACCTAGAACAGATTTCGTGCTCTATTGTAAGACATACAATATCTAAAACTTGCAAAAACTCATTAACCCTGTACCACACTTGTCATATATGAGACTGTATTTTAAGAAACAAGGCCTTGACATGCCTTGTCTGGAAATGTTGCCAATATTGTCAATTTGATGTTCGTTGAGCATTACAGAACGCTCAGTGCTTTTGGCGAGCGGGTGGAAGCTGGGTTGAGGAGGAGCGTCTGTGCCCTGGCACACTTGATTGCTTGAACCCAGTCCCTCAGGGACACTAGCTGGCAGGGCTCCCGGGTCATCACAAAGCAAGCAGGACAGAAGGGGTAGGCAGAGCAGAGACTGCCAACCCACCACAGCTGGGGGCTCTCCTTCCACTCGGAGTAAGTCTGCAATTCCAGCCCATGCGTTCTTTCTCCAGAGACACTTTTCTGCTTTAGGGAAATGCAAAGGACACCCTTACTCTGGGTTTGAAATTGGATTTCCAACTCTGTCAAGCATCCTTTATTTCCAGAAGTTGTCCTAGTTTAAATCCTAAGCCTCCAAACTTTTTCTTCAACGTACAAACAGGTCCTCCTTGGAGAGACACCTCTCCACTAAGCACCTGCCTCCCTGAACATGTATTGTATATTGTTTTCTTCCAGCCTATTCCATACACCTCAGAGGAGAGAAGCCTCATGTATGCTTCCGCACTGATTAATTTATGCAGTCTTTCACTCACTCAACACATACTTGTCAGGCCTTATTATCTACTTAAACTTGATGCAAGCCTGCAAATCAGAGAGTATCTCTGGTATAGACCACATAAACCTACCTACACATCTCCCAACTGAGCTGGTATTTGGCCCCTGGCTGCCCCATGAGAACATGTTCCCTTAGCAGAGAGTAGGCATTTCTTTCTTTTCACGTCTATGAAGATGAGTAAAATGTAAAAATGGGTAGAAAGATTAATAGCAACCATCATTTACCCATTGGTTTTCTCTGTTTTGTAACTAAATGTGAAGGCAGCACATAAAAAACGTTTATTCTCCATGGTGTCTTTCTCTCTGAGTCATTTTAAGGTTTGAAAGAAATATTCATTCTTCTTAAAATGCCTCTCTGGGCCCTAGTTTTCTCTCTTATAAAATGAGGTTGTTGTATTCACAACCTCCAAGCACTCTTTAAGCTTGAACATTCTTTGATGTTCTGAATCATACCCAAAATTCAGCCCTTTATTTCCCATTGAGAGGTAGAGATTTGAAGCAGAACCAGAAAGGGCCTGCCTATTCCCAAAAAGAAGATTTAATAATTTGACAATGTCTACCAAAGGAAACTGAATCATTATGCATTATTATCATTATGCATTATTATTGAGACGGTTATTATTTCAGCCAAATTATTAACATTTCAGCAGGAAACTTTTTTGCCTGGCTCTGATACTTGTTTTCATGCCCAGGACAGGTGTTGCCTAACCTGGCCTGAATCATATCTGACTTTAGAGTCTCCCCAGCCCTACTCATGCCCCAGCAAGGGCTGCAACAGTCATGTCCAGTCACTGGTGATGCGATCACTGGGACAATAGGAAGACAGGCCCAGTGTGACTAGGATTCTGGGATGCTACCAGCTGTCAGTCAACACTACCAGATGCGGACAGAGATGGCTTTAATGTGTATGTCCTAGTAAACCGTTTTCGTCAGAATAATAAAGACCGCTAAGACAAATCACTTCGATTGCTTAATAATCTGCTTGCTCTACAAAGAAGCAGTATCAGGTAGCAATTAAGCACAAGGATTCTGAATTTGAGTCTACCTGTGTTTGAGTCATGGCTTCTGCACGTACTAGCTCTGTAACTCTTAGCCTTAGTGTTCCCTGTTGGTAAAGGGGGAATAACAGTAAAGTTGTTTTAACGATTAAATAAGGTAATACATGCAAAGTATTTAGAGAAATAGCTGGCATATGATAACCTGCGTTAATTATCTGTATGCTGTAACTCCCTGTGGGAAAAAAATTTAAATTAAACTTAAGTCATAAAGAAAAAAATTAGATGACTGAAAAAAAATACGGCATAATATGAAGGACATTAGTGTCGAGTGGGGTCTTATTAAACAAAGATTCAGAAATCCCTGTTCCATAAGATGGTCATCAGACCGAAATGTTTATAAAGTACCTAGACTAAGATAGATCTCAGTGAGTATTAATTTCCTTTCCCTGTCTAATATCCTCAATTTTATTTCTTTTGCCTTCTTTTTAAATTTATTTTTCTGTTTATTTTTTAACCTTGCTTCCTTCTATCTGCATGCATAGGATGGGTGTTGCCTAACCTGGCCTGAATCTTATCTGTCTGGAGAGTCTCCCCAGCCCTGCTCATCTTCCTTCCTTCCTTCCTTCTTTCCTTCCTTCCTTCCTTCCTTTCTTCCTTCCTTCTTTTCTTCCTTCCTTCTTTCCTCCTTCCTTCCTTCCTCCTTTCCTCCTTCCCTCCCTCCCTTCTTTCCTTCCTCCTTCCCTCCCTCTCTTCATTCCTTCCTTCCTTCTTCCTTCCCTCCTTCCCTCCCTCCCTTCTTTCCTTCCTTTTTCTCTCCCTCCCTTCCTTCCTTCCTCCTTCCCTCCTTCCTTTCCTTCTTCCCTCCCTCCTTCCTTCCTCCTTCCCTCCCTCCCTTCCTTCCTCCCTTAATTCCTTCCTTCCTGACTTCCTCCCCTCCCTCCTCCCTTCCCCACCCGCACCTCCCTCCCCATCTCTTTCTTTCTTTCTTTCTTTCTTTCTTTCTTTCTTTCTTTCTTTCTTTCTTTCTTTCTTTCTTTCTTTCTTTCTTTCTTTCTTTTCTCCCTCAACTACTGATTGCTGGTTTCCTTCTCCATGCCAGGCACTCTGTGGCTCCTTGGGATAAAGTTGGGAAACAAACCAACATTGTTCTGACCCTCTTATAGTCTAATGCGGGGAAAAGTTATTCATCAGATTACCTCATTAATGAATGTGTAAATACAACTTTAGATAAGTGTTCTGAGCAAACACAATGTTGTTTTGTAAGGGCATATGTCTGAAACACCATGCCTGTGAGAGGCTGTGAGAGAGTTTACCCAACCCATAAGTGGGGAAGGGCATTTTCTGCTAAAGCAGTAACTCCTACAGAGAACCTGTGGCCTGAGCTGCCATTTTAAGAATGTGACTGAAGCTCAGGGAGGCAGGTAACAGAGGTGCTAAGGCTCTCTACTGGAGAGATTTCAGAGAAATAGAACAATATCTAGCAAAAAGTTGCTTTGCCTTATATATAACCAAACAGTATTTTATGATTTATTTCTAAATAAGAGTTTATTTTCCATTTACAGAATCACACATTTTAAATGTTATTCACTGACCTGTAGTATCCAAATTAAACCTATTTCTCTTATTCTGCATAAATTAATGTTAATATTATCAGTAATTGCCCCCATACATACCAAACATGCATCGAGAATTGTATGATTACTCTATGTAAAAATTGAGACGTGGAATCATTCTTGACACCTTAGCTCCGTACCTGCCAAGTAGACATAAGGAGGCTCAAAAATATATGCTACAGATAAAAAATTAAAGAGACTGACAGATAAAAGAATTAAAGAAAGCATAACCTCAGTGGCAGAGAAATTCTGCTTTCAGTATACTAATTTACTTTTAACTTTTCAGATTATTTTGGGAAAATTTGAATACAGAAGTGAAGCTTCAAAAATATCTGAGCCTTCTGAGCAGAAATACAGGTTTCTTTAGAATAGTTTTTCCTCCCGTGTTCACTGTGGTGCTATGGGGACTCTACGGTGATATGGAATGACTGCGGTAGGGGCAGTGTCTAAACCTAACAAGTCCAGTTTAATTTGCCAAAAAGTTTCTCACTTTGACCTTGGCCTGCATCTACCTGGATAAGCCTATTTGGCTGATTTCAGGAAGAAAAATGGCTGTAGTTTTTAATGAAAAATCACCTTTTTGAAGTTTGTCTTTCACTTTATGCCGTATTTGGCATACTTGGCTAGATTACACAAACTGTTTAAACTTACAAAGCTGAACTGCTCTGAGGGGAGATTTGGAAATTAAATAATCGATTTTTTTATCCTTTTCATGATCATACCATTGATGCAACTAAAGGCAATTCAACATTAAAACAAACACAATTTCTTTTTATTTACTACTTAAATGTAGCCTGCACTGTTAGTAATACATGTTATTTTCTCACCCTTTTTTAAATTAAATGTGTGGTTCAACCATTTTTCAAAAGCATCCGCCTCTTATACTGTCGCTGAAAGATGATCGTGCCCTTCCTTGTGCCATACAGAATCTGCATAAATATATCCTAAACTACAAGCTATTGTTGAGGATCTACCACTTCAGATAGGGAATTGAACATAAAGAATTTGCTAGTGTCAAATGAATGCAAAGCTGGTCTCTCTGTGATGAGGCTTATTTTTAGTTACTAACAATTTTTGAAGCCTAAATTACAGAAAATAGCAATCATTCTCTAGTGCATTGGCTCTTAAAATTAATCAGGCAACTGGGTTAATAATAGCATATTTTTATTAATAACCTACAGAAACACCTGTACTTATTCATCAGAAATCTTCAAAATGATATTCCAGTCAAGAAGTGTCAAATTATCATTTGAAAATTATTGAATAAATTCTAGGAGTAGTTTATTACTAAGAGTGAGTTAAATACCTTTTCAGCGCATTCATTTGAGGAGACACAGTGGCACAGAGGTTAAGAGCAAAAGGTACTCAGTTAGACTACCTAGATTGCAACCTTAGTTTCAATAGCTACTAACTGCGTGATCTTGAGGAAGTTACTTCTCTGGGCATCAGTTTTCTCATCTGTAAAATGGGAATGATATTAGTAACACAAAATGACTGCTAAGATTTAGCTCCTACTTTGCACAAGGCACTGTGCATGAGCAAGAGAGAGAATGACAGATAGATATTACATGCCTAGTACTCTTCTAGGATTTAACCTTCACAACAGCTGTATAAGGCAGAAAGTATTATTTCCCCCTTTTTACAGATAAAGACATTTAGAAACCAAGAAGGTAAACAACTTGCCTGAATTTATCAGAGAAAGTATCAGAGCCTGAATTTAGACCCAGAATGTTTAGCCCCAAAGTCTGTCTTCAACCACTAATCTACAATGCCTGATTCACACATCAACATATGGCTGTTATTTAATGAGATGATATAGATAAACCACTTAGATCATTGCATGGTTCCAGTAAATATTCAATGAGCATTCATTACTATTATTAGTTTATGTATTGTCTCCTTTATTGCATTAAATACTTAACTTTCCACTAAGATTTTTTTCTTATACCCTCTTTTGCCACATTTTGTGAGATTTGGTAAGATTATCTTGGGGTCAACACATAATAAAAGGCATCACACATTTTTTGTTTCTAATAATTTCATGCACCAGAGTGTCAAACAAATCAAGGTCAATTCTTTAAAAAGTATTCATTCATTTTTTTCTACAAATACTTATTGAGCACCTACTACATGCCCGATATTATTTCAGGACCTATTCTAAGGCATTCAGCAGAGAACAAGACAAAGGCCTGTCTCTCACACAAGTTACCTCCTAGTGAATCATTTTGTCATTAACTGAATTCAAACTTGAGCCTTTAATCCTGGGAAATAGTGCTATAACCAAAACTGAAATCTTCCACTGTTAAACACTTGAGACATTAGCAGGAAGATGTTTACACAGCCCACAGCCCTCTGTGTCACTGGCCTTTCCTCATGGGCTTAAGAAAACTGCTTCAGAGAAAACCTCTGAAAAACCTGCCACCAACCTGTGGCAGCCTACCTCAAACCAGCAGCTGAAGGACAGAGCAAAGACATTCCAGGATCTCTGAGAACTGTATCCATAAATAAAGCCCATTCAAAAAGGATGCACTGATCATGTTTTTCTCCACTGGAACATGAGTGGATGTTTCACAAGTCACCCATTCTCCTCATTGCTGCGTGGTGAAAGCCACAAGTTCCAAAATAGATGCTGAGGCTTTCAAATTCCTGAGGACAGAATTTGATTCTTATTCCCTTAAGTTATTTTTCTCTTGCCCTCATCCTTCCAAAAAAAAATTCATATTCTGCTACTATCGATATCTCATGTGAAATAATTATATTAGTGAAGGCTTTTCATATCAGATTATGTCCTTTGAACATACAAGGAAAAAACTCATTGTTATAACAATATGATCATTCAAGATGCTTTTTTTAGTCATTTTATTATTTGAAGAGAAATGAGTTTATAAAAAAATATAATTTCCTACAAATTTAAGGGAAAAGCATATGCTTCTTTTTTCTTTTTCTTTTCTTTTTTTTATTATACTTTAAGTTTTAGGGTACATGTGCACAACGTGCACGTTAGTTACATATGTATACATGTGCCATGTTGGTGTGCTGCACCCAGTAACTCATCATTTAACATTAGGTATATCTCCAAATGCTATCCCTCCCCCCACCCCCCACCCCACGACAGGCCCCGGTGTGTGATGTTCCCCTTCCTGTGTCCATGTTTTTTTTTTTTTTGAGACAGAGTCTTGCTCTGTCACCCATGCTGGAGTGCAGTGGTGCAATCTTGGCTCACTGCAACCTCTGTCTCCTGGGTTCAAGTGGTTCTCCTGCCTCAGCCTTCTGAGTAGCTGGGACTACAAGTGCAGGCCACCATGCCTGGCTAATTTTTAAATTTTTTAGTAGAGACAGGTTTTTGCCATGTTGACAGGCTGGTCTCGAACTTCTGGCCTCAAGTGATCTGCCTGCCTCGGCCTCCCAAAGTGCTGGGATTACAGGCATGAGCCACTGCTCCCCACCTGATATATGTATACATTGTGGAATGATTATATCAAACAAATTAACATATCCATTTTTCTTTATTCTGCAATACTGGTGTAGAATATTCTTAAGAGACTGAGGGGGAGAAAAGAAGTACATATATTGACCGCTCACAAATTTTAACATTTAATCTCATTTAATTCTCATAACAACACTGGAAGTAAGTACATGTAACCCTCATTTAACCAAGTGAAAACAGAGATTCGGGAGAGCCATGTAACTGTTCCACTTTCACTGACACAGCAGAGCCAGGACTAGACCAGCTGTATCCAAAGGTCACGTCTTCTCACGAACCACAGTATTTTACTTCAGCAGAGGTCATGCAGATATCCATAAGACCACTGCTGTTCAAGAGAAAACAGTTCCAAACGGCCTTTTATAGAACCAATTGCTACATACATCACATTCATATTAACATGAAAAACCATCTATATGTGTTCCTATAGTTCATCAAAAAACTATCACAACAATGTTAAAGCAATTATGCCTCTCGGATGAAGTGTTACATTTTAAACAAATTACTTGATGATTCTATTAAAAGGAATAAAAATAATGTAATTGACATAGATGAGATTAGCACCTTTCCCCATTCATTTTATGATATACCTTTTAAAGACATCATCATCATCAAATAATATTTATTACACGCTGTAATTCCTAGAAGAGCAGGATTTGGACTGAAAAACATAACTGAGTTACAAGCAAGACGTATTGCTTATTTAATACATCATAGACTGCTATAGAAGTGTTATGTTTTTATGTAATGGTTAGGAAAACCTCTGCATTAATTTGTAGAAAAAAATAGAGAAAAATCAAAAGCCTACAAAAATTTTTGTACAACTTTGAATTTAACTATTTCCTCTAAGAAGCCAAAGACACATTTATTTCTTCTCTGCCTTAACATTCAATCTAATTGAAAAAGCTAGGAGACAAGGAAATAAATATGGATTTGTTTAATGGTAAAGTGCTTGATATTTCTGTTAATTATAACTTGACTATTGAACAACTTGCACTCAGAAATCTTAAAGTATCTCAAATATTTATCTCATTTACAACATATGGGAGAGGAAGATTCCTTTCTCTTTTTCCTCCTATGATAATAAAGACCGGCAAGGGAATGTACAGAGAGTTTCACAATGAGTTGTGTAATCATGACCAGTCCCCAGACTTTTGAGTCTGATGGTCTTCCAGTCTGGCAGTCTCACAACTCTTCATATTCCTAGCCTTTGCACTTTTAATTTTCCACCAGTGATTATTTTAACCATATCCCTAGATGACTAACATCCATATAGCCTTTGAACCTCAGTATTAACCGCAGCTGTATCATTGAGCTCACAGGGCCTTCTATGTAGGCTTTCATGGATAATATTTAATAAGATGATGTACAGGGGGAAAAGGTAAACAATTTTTCTAACATTGAAACTAATATATATGCTTCACTTAACATGCTATTTCTCCTGAGCTTTGAATATGAAATAGGCATTGTTTCACACTACAAATTTGAGGTCAGGCAGTTTTTAATTTACTCTTTTCATGCTAAATTTGGAGTATCTAAAGTTATTATCATCATCAAAAAATATTTATTCAAGCTATACTTTATAGAAGAGGGGCAGAGTTTGGACTGATAAACATAACGGAGATACAAGCAAGACTTACTGCTTACTTAATAGGTCATTTTCCATTTTAACTACTTTAGAGGTGTTAAGTCCGTTCTTAGCCGCTGGTTTGAAATATCTAAAGCTCAGCAGAATATCTCTAATGAAATACCAATGGAAGTGTTGAAGGGTTTCTTACTCTTAGTTTGAAATTCAATTCTGATAGATATAATTGACTGCACCACATCCAGAAGTATTATCTGTTTATCTTTGTGCATTTCAAAAGGCAGAAAAAAAGTTGACTTACCTCATAAAGAGATCTCATGGCATGTATCTATATCTCTCAGTCCATCAGTCAACATGTCTATCAAGAATGGCCATGTTTATTCTGTCAAATATTAAATTATGAGACTTATGATTGCAGCCAAAGAGGACATATCTATTTGGAAAGTTATACAGATAAGTGACATGAAGATAGAGAGTTTATAGTTCATTTTTGTTTTACTAGAAACAATTACAGAATACTTTAACTAGAACGTTGGCTTCTGTACAGTTTAGATACAGTAAAAATATTTTTAAAAAACATTTTAAAAAACAGTTTCATGAAATTCTTAGGGATCCACTTATAAAATGTTGTGGAGAGCTACTAATATGCTGAAGTTTTCCAGAACAACAAGAAATCAATTAACGTAGCACCACATCAGTTTAAAAAGCAATTTATCAACTTTTCCTACCAACTCAGGGTCAAATTTCATTGTGTCAAAAACTTAATTTTAAAATAATTGCTGGAGTGAACTTTGATTAACAATAGCACAAATTTGAAGGAGATGTGTTAAGGTTCCTTGAGGTCATTCTTATGAGACTAAGAAAGAAAAGGAAAATATATTGGCTTCACAAATGGCCAAGATCTTTTTAAAACCAGCTAGCTTACAAATCCAACTGACCTGTCGTTACCATACTTCACAGTTAAGAATCATGAGAACAACTTGTTCTGAATCTTCTGGCTGACTCCCCAAGCAGAGTGAGCATTGAGTATCTTCTGTGATTAACATATAAACTGTTTTATTCAGTTTTGGCTTCCTTTCTCTCTGTTCCATGAGAGAAAGGAAAAGAAAAAAAAATCTTTTTCTTTTTAATGGATTCACAGTCAGTATAAATTTTTCCTCTCAAGGTATGTATTATAAGAAAAAAGAAAGTGGACATTGATTTTATAGTATTTTTCTATACTTAAACCTATACCCAAGTAATGTATGTTTTATATTTTCAAAAAAATTTTCCTTAAGTTATTTTCTATATATTTCAGTATTTAGGTTATTTGTTGTACTAATAGATTAACATATGCCAAGAGTTCATTATCATTTTCTTTAAATAGATTAATAAAGGAAAGCCTGAAAGAGCTTGAATTTTATAAAGAGAAGATGAAGATTTTACATATGATGACTTTAATTGATGTTGACAATATTATCTCCTTGAAATTTCTTAGGATAGGAGGGAAGCATATTTGTGGATCAAAGGAAGTTTTAAACAGCAAACAAATGCACATATACTGTCTTGTTGGAGCCCCATTCTCTCTGAAAAACACTTTTTTTATTTTTTCACTCTTTTTTGGTTAGTATTGTTATTGGATCAAAATCAAAGTAGTGTTCCTTGATTGGCAATGTTCGTATTTTTTTATATTCATTCAGGAAACAGCAGAAAAGAACACTTATTTTTAACTCATTAAAATTAAAACTCAGACACAACATCTTTGGCTTTCTCAAATGGATGCTGAAGGCTGGAAAGTTGAGTCTGGCTTGCAACTAATATTAATTTTCTACAGCATTATATAAATCATCTGCCTGTGCTGTCTCACAGAAAATATAAATAGTGGAAAAATAATTTCCTCTTTTGGAGATATTGTGGCTTTTGGCTCTCATGGTCTAGGCCAAAGGGTGCAAAATAGAATTACATGTGGCAAATAGCATTTCCCACCATGCTAAGTGGAGCAAGATCCTTAGATCCACCATGTTGAAACAGAGCCTCCCATGTAAAGTGGTAGACAAGGACAGCTGTAAATATCCTTGTAATACTTTTGTGTCTCTCCCATTTCTTTAAAGTAGATTATGAAACATCAACATCAATAAATGCAACATTTTTCTGAGCTTATACTCCATATGCATATTGTAGTGCCAATATTATAAACTGTAGAGAAAATTTTTAACTACGTGAGTATAGCTTTAAACATTTTCATATTACATGCATTTTTACATGTACTTCAAGCCAATATTTGATCACATTCAATTTTAACATTTTTGCTCGAAAGTGCCAAAATTTTGCACTGAATGAACACATGAATGAACATTTCTGCAATAGTTAATAAATCACTCTTTCCATTCTTTTTCATAAATCATTATGGGAATAAAACTAGCTGCTGCTCCCACAAAAATTACACTGGAAAGCAAGAATAACATTTCCCTTGCCCTTTCCCTCCCCCAATAAACTAAATTTTTTTTAAATGGTTATCAATTTAATGCTATATTTAACCATGTAAGAAGAACAAAAGTTCTTCCCTTTTTTTCAAAATGCTATACCCTCTCAAATAGTTTTTTATTTAAAACTCTCTTGTACAATCTTTTTATTCAAAACTCTCTACCCTTTTCAAATTTCCAAAAGAGATGAAAAAAAATTGCTTTTGTTCCTTCAGGAGCAGAATTAGTATATCACAGAAATTTCTCTTGAATTATTTTTCAACAAGGATCCTGGAAAGCCACATCACTAAAAATCAAGAATAGCTAAGAAAAACTAAGAATTTTGCCTGCTAGAAGTTTGATCTCTTGCTGCTTTTTAAAAAAATCTGTCTTGATAGCAGTTTTAACATAACTGGTAGCGTATTCAGTATCATTTCTTCATGACATGCCACTAGCAGCCAATCTTGGTAAACAAACTGATTAAAAGATTATCTGTCACCCAGGGTTTCATCATCCTCTACAGTGATTCACTTGTTTGGAATCAAGGCACAGTCTGAAGTCACTGAATGGAGTTGATGAAGCTAATGCTTCACAAATAGAAAATGAAAATCATCTGAAAACCAGGGAGAAAATCCTCACTGATTATCGCCAACTTGTTGGTAGAATTCTAACCGTATGGTTTCCATGCATGAATCACAGGAACCATTGGTTGCAGCAGAGCCCCTCAGCTGTCTCACTTCCTCCAGTGGCATGAGCCTGCTGCTGTACCTTGTATTCACCTGGTGACAGTGATGACCAAGATGTTTACACCTGCTGCAGTGATGAGCACACAGGCATGAGCAGTCCTTCCACAGTTGTGTGTGTGTCGGAGGGCATTGGAGGGGAAGTGAATTCCAAGGGCTGGAGCGGTAGAACAATTCCAATCTAGCATGATCTGTCTTGAATTCTAAGAATATGTTTTCATAACTTGGAGGATGGCCATATCATGGAAGGGGGAAACCCAAATATTGACGCTTTTTGCCTATCATGATGTCATAAGGATTAATCATCCAAATGTAACTTTCTGAGCTCTACAAAAGGTCATGTGAAATCAAATTTCTATTAATAATTAGATTAGATATCTGATCCCAAGCCCTCATAACAATCTTCTCTGGCCTTTTTTGTTACTGCTGCTTAGAGCTGAGAATCCCTGTTTTCTGAAAACTTTAAGCCTGATTTCTAGTTCCTCCTGCCTTTTCCCAGATCCCAAAAAAATCAATGTTAAATCAACTTGAGTATTTTCACATGCAAAGGAAGTATTTGAACATGGAACAAGTGTGGATATTGTCCCAATGATCAGGATTTTCAACTTTCTTGTTCTTCTCAGATCCTCTCTTCCCTCAAAAAATTATTCTGTTAAATTAATTTAACCTCTTAGCCTTCTTTTGTTGTTGTTGATTTTTTGTTGGTTTGTTTTTTGGTTTTTGCTTGTTTGTTTGAGACGGAGTCTTGCTCTGTCGACCAGGCTGGAGTGCAGTGGTGCGATCTCAGCTCACTGCAACCTCTGCCTCCCAGGTTCAACCAATTCTCCCTGCCTCAGCCTCCTGAGTAGCTGAGATTACAGGCACCAACCACCACACCCAGCAAATTTTTTTTTTTTTTTTTTAAGTAGAGAAGAGGTTTCACCCTGTTGGCCAGGTTGGTCTTGAACTCTTGACCTCAGGTGATCCACCCCCTTGGCCTCCCAAAGTGCTGGGATTACGGGTGTGAGCCACTGTTCCTGGCCTAACCCCTTAGCCTTCTATTAATAATACAAAAAGATATGTCCTCCCCTAAGATACGTAACCTTTCAGTAATTATAAAAGTATATACCTGTGCTCAGTTTTTATTTGATGATGCTGTTTTTATTTTATTTTAATCCACAGCTATTTTCCACGAAACATCCTATAGAAGAGATACTTTCTTAGGGATGAGAATTATGTATTACGTACTTAGAACAAGGGCAAAGTTTAACTCTTAGTACATGGCAAAGCTGATCTCATCCCTGAAGAGTGTAATGTACTTCTAGAACTTCATCTTCTATCCAAATCCATTAAATTAAAAGAGATTGAGGGAACTGAGTGGAATAGTCATCAACATTTCACTAAATAAAATGAAATCTCTCTGAAATTAGTTTGGCTTCTACAACTCTAGCTAGACAGAAACATTTGTCCCTGACACACTGAAGTCATTACTTAAGAGCAATTGTGCATTTGGGGAAAAAAATGGCCATTGTAAGTTTGCAAAGTTGAAGGTAAGAAGGATGGATGGTGAAATGGAAGCAAAGAAGGATTCAGTAAGATTAGTATTTTTGGATAAGGATAGTTGATGTGTCACACAACAGAGCCAACTTCAAAGTTTGACTTCAAAGAAAACTCTCCAAGAAAACACACTTGTGCATGTACACAGACACACACACAGAAAGCAAACACAAACACTTGGTAGTTTCTCCCTTTCATTTGTGCTAACAACTTTTCCATTCTACTTGGTCTAGGATTTTCTTTTCCTTTTTGATATGCTTCAAATTTTGCATCCTTGAAAATAAATTTTATTAGACATGATGCTAGGTTCACTTTAGACCCTTGTGTTGTACACTTCTTAATAAACATAGCTCATAACTTCTCCTTCTAGACCACAGTAGTCTAGAATCTGTCTTGCCACTGTGTTAAGAAGCACCCCAAAATTTTAGAAAATATTTTTATAGTGGTGTAAAATTACCTTATTAAAATCAGAAACTCTATAAAATATTTTAGCCTTTTACACCAATGCTAAATTCTAAACCTAATTTCATGTTGTAAATTATTTTCTAGCTTAAGCTGAAGAGTTTAGACCTTGTGACAATCAAAGCCAACTGATCAAATTCTACCTTCTTTGAGGTGCCCTTTCTTGGATAGTAACTGCTTCTTTCCTCAGTAATTTTCTAACTAGCAAAGCTCTTGAAGACCTTTCTCGGGAATCTTCCCTACCATTCATCCCTTCTTTATCATCCTGCCAAAATAATTTCTTCACTGGGACTTTTTGCTATAATTACCTCAATTTTGTTGTTTTAACTTAAAAGTAATAAACTCATATGCTACATCTAGATTACAAATTCCGGAAATAGAGATTGAACTCTTTCCTGCATTTCCTGTTTTTCCTGAGGATCCAGTAATGTGCTCTTGAATGCAATAAATGCTTACTCACCCTCTCCAGTAGGCTATTTCCATCTGATTCTGTCATTCATCCCTTCAGTGATTATTTGTTAAGTACCTAGTGCATTTTGAGCACACTGTGTGGTTCTAGATACACACCACATAGTGAAACAGACTTGGTCCCTGCCCTCGTGGACCTTACAACCCCATGATGAAGGCCACATAACAAGAAACTTCTCTGGACACACATTTTATCCAGTGAAGATGTTTTTAAAATGTGATTAATTAACATTTTTTCAGGTGGACTTTAGCCTGACTTACAGCCAACTAGCTACAAACCAAGATTTCTTTCTTGTGAATAACAATTTAAATTGGCAACTTGTGAATCACAAGATCTTTCCAGTCCTCACTGAATGTGATAAAGCCATTTATGTTGAACCCAGTGTGTGTTTTAGTTGCTTTCTCATAATGTAGGAAATGACATCAACAAATTGTAAAATGTTTAATGACTGAAACAACAATTATACTTAAATTCCTTTTCAAATCCAATGAATCATACTAACCTGTAACCTCTGTCCCTCTCCCTCCCCACAGAATAAGAGCTCCTCTCTTAAGGCAGCCCCCACCAATCCCTGCTGCCCCCTTTAAAATCCCTTCATGCCCATCCCTTCTGTAACTAAGAAATCTTGGACTGTTTGCACCAACTTCAAGAAACATGAAGAGGTCTCACATTTTTAGTTGCCTTTGGAGATGGGAGCAGGATAGACAGAGTCAGGAGTAGAATGAGACTTCCTCAAGATATGTATGTTACAGAATTTTGACTTTTAAAGATTGAGATGTACAAAAACTTAAAAGAAAAAATATGAAGAAAATGAAGAGAGGCAGTATGGTGAGAAAATGAAGTGACTGGAGGAGACAGCACAGCCAATATTTCACTCACAATCATTAGTCTTTATCTCATCTTTCTGCACCCCAGATTTTCCCTGGGGTGACTTATGAAATTTCAATTAACGAACCACCAACAAAGAACAGAGGCGAAACTGAGTCAACAAAAGGCTCTTGATACTTAAGTTCAGATTCCTTGGCAATCTTTCAAAGTTTTTCTTTGGCAGACCTCAGCACAACCACGTAAGAATATGTCTATGTCTTTGAGTTCATCTTAATGTTCTTTATACAGCTTTCTTATCTGTGACACAGAACAAGTTTCACTAAAACCATATCAAGCTTCTGGTTCCAACTATAGGTCTGTGTTAGAGAGCCACACCTGAAAAATCAAGCATGTCAGATGCAGACCTGTATGCCTTTACTGCTGTTCAAGAGGAAAGTGTAAGTGCTGTGGGAGGAAGGCAGGAGGAGGAGCCAGAGGCTTGGTAGGGGTGAAGGTAGATGGAGAAGAATGACTAAAAGTAAGTGCAAAAAATACTGCAGGAAAGCAGTTTGAGATAACTAAGGCAGCATTCCAGTGTATCCACTTAAGGAAGGGTTGTTAATACAGCTATACTTCTGTGGATAAGAAATTAACTTACTGTATAATTGCATTCTCGGAAGATCTTTCAAGACTTTTCTGTGTGTGTGTGTGTGTGTGTGTGTGTGTGTGTTGATAAAAACTCTCACTTCTAGTAAACTTAGGATAATAGGCTATGTCTTGCTAATCTATCTCACTGGTTATTGAAAAACTGTCGCTCTGTAGTCAGGGGTGGCAGGAATTTAAGTTGAAAGCATGATATGACTACAAAATGTGCATTTCTAGATACGCAGCCCTTCCCCAAACAGACTTGGCAGAATAAGTTAGTTTAAATGGTTGGTTCCATCTGTGTGGTAAAATTGTGTCTGACATCTGTTTAAAATGAGCACAAGATGCTTGAAAAAGAAGGGCAAGCCTCACTGTTGAACGTGATGGAATCTGGGGGCCATGGCCCTCGTGTGTATGTACAAGCTCACAGCTCACACGGTTCACCAGTCTTGTCAGCTGTTACTACCTTTTTATCTGGATCCTGTTAACTTGAGATTTGTTCTTAGCTTATGGAAAAGGTCTCCCTGTGTTTTCTTCCTCCAGATAGGAGAAGTCTCTTGGCAGAGTTCTTCAAAGGCAGTTAAGTCAGTAGCATCATGGAAATTTGGCAGCAAGTTGAGTACCAGAGCAGATCTAAACGTTAGTTTAGGTTATTTTCACAAGCAATTGTTCCACAATTTTTCATCCCTTTATTTTAGCAGTTAGCATAATCACTCACAACAGTTCCTAAAGTGAACCTGCTTGTCCATTCTTATCATTGTGTAGTCTGAATAACCATGAAATTTAAATTTAAATTGGATACATAAACATGGCAAAACATGAATAAATCATCCAAGGCCTTCTGAATTGTTCAGTTTTCACCTGCTTAAAGTTAATGCAAAAAGTCAAATTGAGGCCTTTGATTAAATAAAAAATTGAACAACTAGATTACTTTGATATATTTCATCTCTGGTAATTTTGTTCTTTTGCCTTTTAAATCATTTTAAATTGCTTTGAGTGTTGCCAAAATGCATGCTCACCCTAATCTATTATAACTATAAGTAGGAACTTTGTGCCTCTAATTAAAAAAGAAGATGTATATTCTAGGTGATTTAATCCACTCTATATTTGTTGGGTTACTTGGGAAGTGTTGCAGATTAATATAGAAGGAATTAGGACTTGGTCCTTGAATAGTGTCTCAAATATTAAAGATCTTGAAACTGAATTATTTTGCATTTTGTACTTTGAAAACATTGTGATGCACCAAAGTAACATAAAACTGGGTCTTCTAAGGTTATGTTTTTTAAAGGTACTATGCAAAAACAATAATTCTTGCCTGTAGTCCCAGCTACTAGGGAGGCAGAGGTGGGAGGAATGCTCGAGCCCGGGAGGAGGAAGTTGCAGTGAGCTGAGATAGCACAACTGCACTCCAGGCTGGGTGACACAGAGTGAGACTCCATCTCAAAACAAAACAAAACAAAACAAAACAAACCCAGTAATTCTCAAAATAAGGCCAACCTTAAAATATCCCAGGTACTAAATCATTTAGCCTATAATCTGATATCACTGTTTAACAGAAACTTTTCCATTGCTGTCAACTAAAAGGTAAGAAAAGGGAATGAAACTAATAAATTCTGAGCACATGCTTCGTGTTGGATACATTTAGTGCTTTACATTTGCTTTTTGTGCTAAATCCTTTACTAAGTTTATCATTTCATGCAATACCTGCAACAACCCAGTGACAACATCTTTATTTTACATATGAAAGAAACAGACTCAGAGAGGTTGCTCAAAGCCACACAACAAGTCAGTTATCAGAAGAAGAAAAGATCCAAACCAGAGCCAAAATTATTTAGCAGCCTCAAAAAAATTGACTTCAGTGTCTAACCTTCCCTCGTGTTTAAATACTCTTTCCAGGATAGGAGATGTAATTAAAACAATAGCTAAACAAAAACTCAAGCCATTATATCCCTTGAGGGCTGGGGGGAAGATTTAAATTGGTTTTGTTGTTATTTGGTTTTTTCTTTTTTCTTTTTTTTTTTTTTTTTGAAGCTTCTTTTTAACCCTTTTTTTCTTTCTTTCTTTCTTTTATTTTTTTTATTTTTTTATTTTTTATTTTTTATTTTTGGTAGAAACAGGGTCTTGCTATGTTGCTCAGGCTGGTCTCAAACTCCTGGCCTGAAACTATCCTCCCACCTCCACCTCCCAAAATGTTGAGATTACAGACATGAGCTGCTGTACCCAGCCTTTGCTTTTTTCTTGACATGAAATCTTACATGCAAAACCTATGTATTCAACAGATTAAAACTGAGATACTCTTGTTGGAGGAGAAAAGGGGCAAGGTAAGCTGAACTCCTGAAACTCTGGCTTTCCCCCCTCCCACCAAGATGGGCTTCTGACATCTCAGAAGGACCACTGGTTTAAGTTATGTTAGGCAATCTGAATGTATAATAGAGTTACTGTTAATAGACTATTTAAAGGTTCCTGAAAAGTAAGCATGGATGAAAACAGATGTTTAGAGCACTAGGTGTTCAGGCCCGTTGCATTACAGTGCCCAGACACTAGCAGCCAGGCTGGGCTTTGCCTCTACTTTAGAGCACAGCCTTGAGTGCTTCACTTCGCCTTGTGGGTCTGGGTTTTCTAAGCTTCATAATGAGTAAGGGTGGACCTAGAGCAGTAGATCTCACCCCTGGCTGTACATATGTAGGAAGCTTTTTTTTTTTTTTTTTTGAGATAGGGTCTTGCTCCGTTGCCCAGGCTGGAGTGCAGTGGCACAATCTCAGCTCATTGCAACCTCCACCTCCCAGGTTTAAGCAATTATCCAGCCTCAGCCTCCCTAGTAGCTGGGATTACAGGCGCGCACCACCACACTTGGCTAATTTTTGTGTTTTTAGTAGAGACGGGGTTTCACCATGTTGGCCAGGCTGGTCTTGAACTCTTGAGCTCAAATGATCTGCCTGCCTTGGCCTCCCAAAGTGCTGGTATTACAGGCATGAGTCCCTGCACCCAGCCGTAGGAAGCTTTTTAAAATGCCAATACCAAGGCCTCGCTCCCAGGGATTCCAATTTACTTTCATCTTTGGAGCAAGCCTGAACATGATCATTTTTAAAATACGCCCCTGATGATTCTAATATGCAGCCAGAACGGAGAGCCACTGGTCAGGGTGATCTCCCTGTTTCCTTCCATGTCTACACTGATTGTTTTCATCGAAATGCTAATGAGGATATTTTTAAATGCCTCCGTTCCATAGCATCGGGAGCTTAAGGAAAGTTCATTCTTATGTCACTCTCCTAGTGTCCATATTATTCATGGACTGAATTTAATCACATCATGGTCCTTTTTCATAGAAAACCTGAGAAAAAGGTGGGTAGCTTAAGGAGTTCCCCAGGAAAAGATTTCATTCTTGTTCTCATCTTTTTTTTCCAGGTCTTTTCAATGTTTTCTATAAATCACTCTTAAATGTTAAGTCTTACAAATTATAAAAAAGAAAAATTCTGAGCCCTCCTTCAGAATGACTACATTATTTTCTAGATTCCTTAGAGCAAGTGCTGTGCCTTATGAACTGATGTGTCCCTGGAGCCTAATATAGTGGGTGCCTGGCACATAATAGGTGCTCCATCTTTTTTTTTTCTTTTTATGAATGAAAGGCATCCAAGCTTTCAAAATTCTGACTCATGTTACATGGAAAGGGTTCCCTTATGAAGCTCAAACTGCCCATTACAAGAGAACAGTTTGAACATGATATAAAACAAATGGGCAGTAGAGAGGTAGTCAATGTGATAGCCTCCCCATCCCCATCCCAAGGTTACCAGTTGGGAAGATGAGTGGTTGATTTGATAGGGATTGTTTCACATAACCTCTTTATAACATATAGTTAGTGGAAGCACAACTTACTGTTGTGTTCAATTTATAAACACTGTTTCACAATTGTTTTTCATGTGAGGTTTAATATCCTGCCTGTCTAGCCCCAGACACCCATTCTACACATCCCTCCATCATATCCATGGGCACAATCACAGCCACTCCCTTCATCAAACATGTGCTCACTTTCTAGGCTCTCACTTTAAGTGTCTATCTGTAAGCTATTAAAGTCAAACATTTCTGCTATATTGATATGGTTATGGGATTTAGATTATTTTGTGCAGGTATATTAAGGTAAAACAGAATATGAAAACCATATGAGGCCTAACATATGAGGTACATAATAAATATGTGTTCAATTAATGTTATCAGGCCTTACACTAAGGTCAAGAATCAGGTAACAATCCCAGTGGCATAAATGGAAGAATTGCCCTAGTAAGTACAATGGAAACATAATTTCTTACATTTTCAAAGTGCAATACATTATCTGAAAACAGGAAAAAATGTGGTAACCATCCATAGTAACACATTAGGGAGAGATGTTAATGTTCCTATACCACAGCCAGGATCTATTTCACTAACAGCACCAATGAATGCAAAACTTTATGGAAGCCTATATATATGCTACCTGTTTATGGCAGTAAACGTGAAGAGAAGAGGTGTTTATCTTTCTCTTTTCTCCTGAATACTTCTGAATTATATCTCAACACTTAGAATATTAGCAGCCAGCCAGTACTCTTTGTTTTCCCTCTCGAAAATATGAACTTTAAATCAGATATTTTTGCAGGAGAAAATAAGTTTAGTAATCTGGGGTCTTGTTATGAGGCAGAATATGCATCAATAAGCAGAATAAAATGCATTCAGCTTTCAGGCTAGGCCTGGACAATAACGACCCTGCAAATCAGAGCTAGAATTCTAAATGCTGTGCCTGGGAATCTGCCCAGGGCCTTTTGGGCTCTCATTTTTGCTGTTTTGTATTTGATATTTCATTTATATGCATCAAACTAATACCAACTTTCATATTTGGGCAAGGAAAGGAAGAGAGAATGGTTGCTAGAATTAAAGAACTCCAAGGAACTCTCTAAGGAACATAGCTCCTAATAAAGGTTTCAGAGTTCCATATTTTTAGAAAACATGTATGTATTGATTATCTACAAAGACATTCAACACACCTCCTTAATTCTAGAAATAATGCTACCAGTTGTGGATATCATGAAAATATTTTAGGAGGCATAATTTACTACAGCATATCTGAGTTGAAAGAGTAGCGAACAATATTCTTTTGGTTATGTAATATGCTGGGCAGCCCTGAGATTCAGAAATGTTGAGGAAAACAAGAATTCTTCCCCATAAATAAATCACACTGTCTCATTTTAGAGTTTACAGTATAAAATGATAGTTTTTATCACTTTTTAAGTTGCTTTGGGGAAAACTCAAACTGAAACTGTTGGTGAATGAAATTTTATAAACTTGAGAATCCGGGAGATTCACGACACAATTCAAACCTACTTACAGGAATTATATCCCAAAGCACAGAAGTGTGAAAAGTGTCTTGAGTGTGTTTAATTTCTTAACTAAGCTTTCAACAATAGCTCTTTTCATCTAAGACTTGAAAACAAATAAATGTAGAGAGATTTTATGCTGCTAAGGATTTTTGAAAACATGCCAAGCTGTAGGCCAGAAGGGAAAGGAATGCTTTGATACACGCTATTTTGCGTATGCTGAGTTTTTATCTCTAACAGAGTAGGATCATACTGAAAGAAGCCTGACAACACACCCTTACTGACATTATTATGACATCAGAGCCCCTCAAATAATGGGAATTACTAACATAAAACTAAGTAAGGAGGAGAAAGTGACCAAATGATCCCATGGCCATTCCATCACAGTATCACTAGCACAAATGATCCAGATCTATCAATAAGCAACTAATTAAGACAAACTTTACACTGCCCATGATGTCAATTTATAAAAATATTTATTTGTGAAATAAACATCTCCAGTCCCTTATTTTCTTAACTTTTTAATAAATATTTAAGTGTTTCCCTCAATATTCTATTTCTATTTCAGTGTCCCCAAATACATTTGTTGTTGTTGTTGTTGTTGTTTTGTTTTGTTTTTATTTTTTGAGATGGAGTCTCACGCTGTCACCCAGGCTGGAGTGCAATGGGGCGATCTCGGCTCACTGCAACCTCCGCCTCCTGAGTTCAAGTGATTCTCCTGCCTCGGCCTCCCGAGTAGCTGGGATTACAGGCACCCACCACCATACCTGGCTAATTTGTATTTTTAGTAGAGACGGTGTTTCACTATGTTGGCCAGGCTGGTCTCGAAGTCCTGACCTTGTGATCTGCCTGCCTCAGTCTCCCAAAGTGCTGGGATTACAGGTGTGAGCCACTGTGCCCAACCCAGATAAGTTACTTTTATACAGAACTGTTATCTAATGAAACAAAAAAAGACTCTTCTATCCAGGCATGGTGGCCTGTGCCCGTAGTTCCCACCACTCAGGACCCTCTTGTCTTCTGAGTAGCTGGAACTACAGGTGCAGGCCACCATACTTCAGAGGTGGGAGGATCATTTAAGCCCAGGAATTCGAGGCTGCAGTGAGCTGTGATCACATCAATACACTCCAGCCTGAGGAACAGCTCATCTCTTTAAAAAAAATGCAGTTAGAGCCAGGGATGGCGGGCTTGTGCCTGTAGTTTCCACTAGTGAGCCTGAGGTAGAAGGATAGCTTGAGCCCAGGAGTTTGAGACCAGCCTGGGCAACATAGTGAGACCCTGTCTCCAAAGTTACTATTCTAAATGGTTAATAATTTATTCACTTCTGAAGCTGATGAAATTTAAGAAACTGAAAAGTAAATATAATGTGGACCCTCATTATATACTGTGGATAAGAGTGATATAAAAGAAAAATTAGATAATGACACAAAATACACATTTATAATCACATGCCAAACTAGGCAAGACCACAAGCATTTTTTGGAAATGATTTCAGGTTAAAGTGGAGTGGACTGGAGGCCGGGTGCGGTGGCTCACGCCTGTAATCCCAGCACTTTGGGAGGCCGAAGGCGGGCGGATCACGAGGTCAGGAGATCAAGACCATCCTGGCTAACACGGTGAAACCCCGTCTCTACTAAAAAAATAGAAAAAAAAATTAGCCGGGCGTGGTGGCGGGCGCCTGTAGTCCCAGCTACTCTGGAGGCTGAGGCAGGAGAATGGCGTGAACCCGGGAGGCGGAGCTTGCAGTGAGCTGAGATCGCGCCACTGCACTCCAGCCTGGGTGACAGAGCGAGACTCCGTCTCAAAAAAAAAAAAAAAAAAAAAAAGTTGGGTGGACTGGGGAAGGCAGGGTTGGTGGGGATTTGGACGGGCTGAGACGAGAAGATAAAGCATTTCAGGTGTGGACTTCAGAAAGGATGAACAAATGAGCTTGAAAATGATGAAATCCATTCAGGTAATTGTGCATGTGGAGAAAAGAGGTTGACAGAGGAGAACAGAGAGATTATATCTGTAAGTGAAGTAACTCAGGAATGGAAAACCTAAAACCACATGTTCTCACTTGTAAGTGGGAGCCAAGGCCAGGTGGGTTGGCTCACACTTGTAATCCCAGAACTTTGGGAGGCCAAGGCGGGCAGATCCCTTGAGTCCAGGAGTTTGAGATCAGCCTGGGCAACATGGTGAAACCCCGTATCAACAAAAAGTACAAAAAATTAACTGGGTATGGTGGTGTGCACCTGTAGTCCCAGCTACTTGGGAGACTGAGGCAGGAGGATCGCTTGAGCCTGGGAGACAGAGTTTGCAGCGAGCCAAGATCATGCCACTGCACTCTAACCTGGGTGACAGAGTGAGACCTTGTTTCTCTAAATATATATATATATATATACATATATATATATATACACACATATATATATATATACACATATATATATACACACATATATATATACATATATATATATATGGGAGCTAAGCTATAGGTATGCAAAGGCATACAGAGTGATAAAATAGACATCAGAGACTCAGATGCAGGAGAGAGAGGACTGAGGGATGAAAAACTACCCACTGAGCACAACATACATTACTCAAGTGATGGGTGCACTAAAATCCCAGACTTCACTACCATACAATTCATCCATATAACTGAAAACCACCTGTACACCTAAAGCTACTGAAATTTTTTAAAATTAATAAGTAAAATAAATCACTAAGCTCAGAACAGAGAGAGAAGCCATGTCTGGGTCATGCATGGTGGCCTTGAAAGGCAGCTGAAACTCTGTTTAGTCCAGAGGGACATAGAGAATCACTGAAGGTTGTTAGAGATGGAAACCGAACTGAAATAAGGAGGAATTCAGGAGTAATTTATAGACTGTGTGGCAGCAGAGAAAAAGTGGAGCCAGAGAGACTAATAGGGAACCAATGGCAGCATCCAGTTGTGAGGCCACTGGAGCCAGGACTGGATGGAGACAATTTACTTGCTTCTCAAGGCCACACACTGTCCCTCTGCAAAGGACCTTATGCTTGCTATTATGCAATGCCCAGCTACAATCAACACCTATCTTTCATTTAGGAATTTTGTTACCTGAGGATTTAGATGCATTTAAAGACACTCTTGATTCTTTATTTCCTCTAAATTAATGAGATTTATATCTCATACTTCTCAGAGGAAAAAAATGGTTTAATCCTAGTTCTAATGTTTATAAGCTGAAAGAGCCTCATTTCTCAAAAAATAAATAAATAAATAAAGCACTAAGTTAATTTACATATTTACAAAAGAAAAAACATTCTGCAGTTGGTTGAGTTTATGTGACAAGTATTTTCAGACATTTTAGAGTGAGTTTCCTTTGAAGGCAGTGATAAGAGTTTAAACTTCAGGTCTAAAGTAAAATATTTTAAATGGCTCCTTAGCTTTGCTTGCTAAAAAGTAGAACATTATCCAATGGAGATGGAAAAAAACCCTCTTTGCTTGGCCAGTGCAATACATGGGCTGCATATACGGAATTCATACTTGCAAATGTTCTATTTTAAGCTTGAGTCAAAATATGATTTGGCTAATATATTTTAGCACCTGTTTTTCACTGAACAAACCTCAGTCTTACTGGAATTAAGTGTATTATTTATTTTAATTTATGACTATTTTATCTTACTAAATGCCATAGAAAATCAATTGATATCTGCATTTCTAATACATGAAAATGCCTAAAATCTGGAAAGGAGTATTGTTTAGCAAATAAATATACATTGCTTAAATGATAGTATAATAGAAAACATTCATGTTAAAAACTGAGTTGGAAACCTTCATTTAGATTGCTATAGCTATTAATCACAGCTTTTATTTTATTTATTTATTTATTTATTTATTGAGATAGAATCTCACTCTGTTGCCCACACTGGAGTGCAGTGGTGTGATCTTGGCTCACTGCAACCTCCACCTCCCAGATTCAAGCAATTCTCGTGCCTCAGCCTCCTGAGTAGCTGGGACCACAGGCGCACACCACCACATCTGGCTAATTGTTAGTATTTTTTAGTAGAGAAGGGTTTCACCATGTTGACCAGCCTGGTCTTGAACTCCTGGCCTACCTGCCTTGGCCTCCCAAAATGCTGCAATTACAGGTAAGAGCCAACTCACTCAGTCCACAGATTTTATTTTTAAGATGGTGAGCTTCGTATATTTTTTTGTGAAGTCAGTCATGATGAGTTTCAGTGCCTTGTTTGAGGTCTCACAATTTTCTTTTGCTTGAGAAAATTTTTTAAAAATGAATATTTACTTAAATGAATCATAGCAATGCTGTCTTGACCACTTTTACAACATTAGTTCTCAAGCCAGTGAGTTTCTTGGCAGCTTTGTATTTATTCAATCAGTGTACTCAGTAAACGTAATTGTGCCCTGATAGACTTTTAAATGTAAGTTATCAAACATTAAAAATGATGGCATCATTTAAGCTGCTCACTTTACTCCTCTGGATGACCCTTGCAATTTCATGTGGATTATTATAGAGATCTGGTCAAATGTTTTGTATTAATCAATAGTAGGAACAAGCCTCATTACTCTCAAGTTTCTAAGAATATTTGCAGCCTTCATAGGTTTTCATGTTGTAATTCTGTTTATTTGTTGATTCTAAAACAAACCACCTTTATTCATAGTGAAAATATGCCTTAGGGTACAGAAAGACATTATTTGTATATGAACTATAAATACCTTATTGATTTCCTATCCTTGGTGATTACAAGAAAATATTCATTTAAGATCATCTCTTATATAATTTAATAACAGCAATACCATTCTTTGCTTTTTAAATAAAAAAGTTATGATACTTAGAATTTTACATATTTTGAAATTTATATGTAATTTATACAGAGTTGATCCTCAATATTATTAGTGTATTCCATGTTTGCAAATTTGCTAACCCACTAAAAATGTATTTATGAGGTGAAATAACACCTATGGCACCTTTGTGGCCCTTTACAGAGCAACAAAAAAATTTTAGTCTCCCAACATTCGGGTTCTCAACTGAGTTTGAACAAACTGACACTCTTGTCTTCTTGTTTCAGCACTCACACTGTAAACATGTGTCCCTTGCAAGACCTATTTTCTGCTGTTTTTCACATTTTCGTGCTTTTTTTAAAAAAAAATTCTTTTTTGGTTTACGTTTTATTTATCTATTTGTTTATTTTGTAGAAATTGGGTCTCACTACGTTTCCTAGGCTGGTCTCAAACTCCTGGTCTCAAGTGATCCTCCCACCTCGGCCTCGAGTGCTGGGGTTACAGGCATGCTCAGCCTTTTGTGCTTTTTGTTGATAATTTCACCACTTAAAATTGGCCCCAAGAGTAGTGCTGAAGTGCTGTCTACTGTTCCAAAGCACAAGAAGGCTGTGATGAGCCTCTTGGAGAAAACACAGTTGGTTAGATAAGCTTCTTTCAGGCATGAGTTACAGTGCTCTTGGCTGTGAGTTCAACATTAGTGAATCAACAATATTAAATAACGTATCATTAAATGGAAGCACAGGTAAAACAATAATATGTATTGATAAGTTGATAAAACTGATGAGACCAGAGGCTCCTGGGGACTTAGTCCTGTATATCCCTACGAGCAATGGCTTGGTATTTACTAATTCAGTGTTTGTAGTGACTTTACAGAACATAACTGCCACTGCAAATAATGAGAAATGGCTGTATCTCCTTCTGTTTTTTTCTTTCCTAGAAGCCATTTTCTCAACATTTCATCGTGAACTATTATGGCCTCATCGGGAATGTGAAGTGTGTCATCTGAGCAGATGTTCTTATTGTTTTCCTATCCACTGACCCACAGCATCAAACAATTTAGAGGAGAAAAGTGGTCCTGTCATCTCCAGAGTTATTATCTATTTTATTTTTAAATCCAAACTTCCACAATCAAGTTGCTATTAAGGTTTATCTTATTAGCATTTAAATTTTTAGGAAATGCTCATTACTGGGTTAAGCACAAAAAAGTCACATTGCTTGAAAAGTGCTATTTGTAAAACAGAATGGCCCACTTTGTCTATGTGTAAGAGGATCTGCTGCACATTTTTACCTGGAATAATATTGTCATGGATTTGGACATATGTGGAAGTGCTATTTGTGTTTATGCAGATCAACCTCTTGGTTTTACAGAAGAGAGATGCCAGTCCCAGGGAGGTTAAAGTGCCTGCCCAAGGCCGTGTGCTGGAGCAGAAGGGGAGGTGCTGCCTCCAGTCGAGTTAGAGCACTTCCCACCATCCACCACCATCAGGTCCTGAAGCCAAATACAGAAGATAGCATATATTTTTATTACTTTGAGATATCATCCTGAGCCCAAGAAGAATTTCTTGTTGCTGTCTCATAAATATATTACTTTGTTATTTATTAGTTTAGGCAGTTTATGACTAGCAGTCAAATATTCCCAATAAGGTTCGAATCAAAAATGTTATTTTGTTTTTGTATTATAAAAAGAAAAGCAGGCTAGGTGTGGTGGCTCATGCCTGTAATCCCAGAACTTTGGGAGGCCAAGGCGGGCGGATCACCTGAAGTTAGGAGTTCGAAACTAGCCTGGCCAACATGGTGAAACCCTGTCTCTATTAAAAATAACAAAAAAAAAAAAAATAGTTGGGCATGGTGGCAGGCGCCTGTAATCCCAGCTACTCAGGAGGCTGAGGAAGGAGAATCTCTTGAACCCGGGAGGCAGAGGTTGCAGTGAGGCAAGATCACCACACTGCACTTCAGCCTCGGTGACAAGAGTGAAACTCCATCAAAGAAAGAAAGAAAGAAAAAGAGAGAGAGAAAAAAAAGAAAAGCATATTTTGAAAGGTATCCTCTTAAATTTGTGGTGACCCTCAAATATTTATGCTAAAACTTAACTTTCAGTATGGAAACAGAAACATGGGTTCAATTTAAAATCCATGACTGGATCATGAGCAGGGCAAAGTGAGAGGCATTGTGAGATAGGGCCAAATGCTTCGAGAATTTACTCCATACAGACTGTGTTCAGGAACCCAGCACTTCCTCTGTGACTCAATAACTGGCACATATGGTTGCCAGGGACTACCAACAGCTGATTTCAATAAAAGTTACCCAATTACACCTTGAAGACCTGTTGTTTCTGGAGGGAGTTGGAGGAATTAAGGAATGTGGACTGAGTTTTTAAAATATATCTTACAGAAGTCAGAGGAAGATATAGAAGGACAGGAATATACTCAAGATACAATATTTTCTTCTACTGTACTTTTTGTTACATGGAACAGAATTTTAGCATTGGATCCCTTCAGCTGTGACAAAGGAGAAGGTCCATGGTTATAAAGTTTTCCATTAGACTCTCCTCACACACAGGAAATGAACTTCCATAAATTTAATGATATGACTCTTAGGGTTTTATTTCTCCCATTTTATAACCCTCTTTAGGATAGAAACACATTTCTTGCACTATAAAAATTTTAGTCAGCAAATTTTTCATATTCTCACTGGGATTTCATAATCAGTCTGTACACCCTTCCTATGCAATAACTTTTGATCAGTATAGTGAAATATAATGGTATTATGTAATTTTAAGATGTACATCTTAAAGACAAAAAAATATCCCTTTATTTAATTCAAGATAAATAAATCAGTGAGGAAAATGTATGGTGAAAAGTTTGGGCATATATTAGTTATCTTTCAATATATTTTTCATTTTTTTCTTTTTATTTCCTTCAACCATATGATGCAATCAACGGATATTTGTTGGGTGCTTTGATGTTTTCAGATCTATGCTATGCACTACAAGGGTCTCAAAAAGGAATGAAGAACAAAGTCCCTGCTCTCAAGAATGTAGAGTTTTCCATACAAGGTTCTAAAAACCATTAAGGTCACTTAAGATATCAGTCAGAAGGTGAATAGGATGATGTTCCTGGATGCAAATTTTAGAAATGTGGCATACTAAAATCTTCCCCTGGAACTTCACCATTCACACCTAAGAAGTTAAAGATGTCTCAGTAGGTTCTCACTATGTTGTCTAGGCAGGTCTCAAACTTCTGGCCTCAAGAGATCCCTATACCTTGGCCTCCCAACGTGTGGAGGTTACAGGCATAAGCCACTGCACCTGACCCATTTTCTCCTTCTGAAAACTCTTTTGGATTTTAGGATACCATGTTCTTTGGATTCTTCCCTGCTTACTCTGACCTTCCTTCTTGACCCTCACTGTCTCTTCCTCATTCGCAGGGCCACTTCTCCTTAGCGACCCCAACACAACCAAGTCTCAAAATTGGACATCTGATATATGTGACAAAGATATGTTTTCATTTATATAAAATGTGAATAGAAACTTACATACACACACACAAACATACAAACACACACACACTCACAGTGTCTCAGAAGTTCTGCAACAAAGAAATACAGTTATTGTCATTGAACCCAGAACTCCCTAAGTGTTTTTGACAGAGCAACTTTTTCTTGAGACAGATCTATAAAAATCTCTTGGGATAGTGGTGTTCTATGGAAAACAGTCTGGGGAATACTGAATTAGAGAACCGTGTGAGACATTTTATTATTAACATGCAAACTCAAAGTACTGAAAGTGTAGAGAAGAGAAATATCATTATGATCTAGACGGGTGAAGAAAAGAATCTCAAAGGAGGATAGACTTTTAAAGAAATAAGTGAAAAAAAAAACAGAACATGTGATGAGGAGGGGGAAATTCAGATTATATCTCCCAAATTGATGATATTGATTATTTGAAAGAGGAAGGCAAAGGTGTAGACAATGATTATTAGGGACTTTGACTTTCTAAGTTATACATTTCTATATTGTTTATGTACTTGTTTTTACAAAGTTTTACAAATGTTTTATGAAGTGGCTTATTCTTATAATCCAGAGATATTCTCCTAAAACTAACTAAAGTTTATTTATCAGATTAACTAATGATGTGTATAGCTCTTACTTCCACAATTATCCATATATACATATATGCAATATTTACAAACATAGAGATGTACAAATATAATATCTCGGCCAAAAATAATTGAAGCATCAAAGTCAACCTACATTGTAATCTTGGGCAGCACCTGTTGTTTATTCATCTCTCAAGTGTGGCTGACTTCAGGGATGAGAATAAACAATGTGATCTCTTACTAAGCTTCCCTTTGGACTAGTCATCCAATTGGTATGTGATGACTTTATACCTGAAACTAAGGAGTTGAGGAATAAGCTGAAAATAGCCAACTTGGGTTTCCTAAGTACAGTTTGGCTTCTGTAAGAACTGTTTGGTTGCTCCTCAATTTCAGTGTATTCATTTTTTAAAGTATATTTATTTTAAAAGTGGCAAATTCAGGTATTACTTAATAATTAAGAAGCATTTATGCCCAAACACAATATATGTTTACAACCAAATTTGAAAGTAATTGAACTGATAACCCTTTAGACAAAGGAGATGTGTTATAATAAATATTATTGTCAGCTTTCCTTCATCTTAAGATTTTTTGAATCTTGGAAGAAGATATGCATGAACTTTGTGTTGGGTATTTATAAATGTATACACATATATACATAGCAAAATGTAAGCACAATACAGGTATAACATGTAAGGTTAGACCATGTAAACTTGCTGAAATTCAGTTGTTTCTGACCTACAATAATGGCAATTTCATATGGTTGAACCTAATGGTTTGTCTCAGTCATTAGTTAGTGGTGCCTCCTCCCCTAGGTAGAGTTTTCCAATTGTGTTGGGATGGTATTTTCACTCTTGTAACATTCCCAACTTGTATCAGAATTCCCTTCATCTTCCCTCCTCTACTTTTATATTATTCTATTCCGTCATTTTTCTCCTAGATACGACTGGACAGATTGTTTACTTATAGCAGTCCCTATATGTTAATCCATTTCTTTGGTCAACAAATTCTCAAACATCAGACCTTAAAGGTCAAAGAAAATCCCTGTGTTGAATTCAGTACCATGTATACAGAATTAGTCAACTATTGCGGCTCTTTCCCTATTATCTATCCCTATTTCTGTTACTGTTGATGTTGTCTGGGAGTATCTAAACACTCCCAGGAATTCAGGTACTTAAGAGGACTGTCTGGATAACAACGTCTGGTTATCTGATGTCAACTTCTGAACCTCTTGGCAGGAGTCCTAAGGCCTGCATAGAAGATTGGCTCTAGGACAAATGCTATCAAGAAAATATTCCCATTGGGTGCAGGTGGCTCATCCTTTTAATCCAAATCACTCAGGAGGCTGAGGTGGGAGGATTCCTTGAGGCCAGGAGTTTGAGACCTGCTTGGGCAACATAGCAAGACCCTATCTCTAAAAAAATAAAATAAATTAGCAGGGCATGGTGGTGTGCACTAGAAGTTCCAATTACTCCAGAGGCTGAGGTGAGGGGATCACTTGAGCCCAGGAGTTCAAGGCTGCAGTGAGCTGTAATCACACCACTGCACTCTAGCTTGGATGACAGAGCAAGACCCCATCTCTAAAAATATAATAAAAGACAAATAAGAAACTAGTCCCCCATAATTCAAACATGCTTATTACTCACTATGATTACAGATCAAAATAACTACCAGCTTCAGTGGATTAAGTATCTAAACCTTGATGTGATTGGCCAATAGTTTGATTACTACCATGTGTGTATTACATATGCACATGTATTCAATGCTGATACAATAATCTGTAAATAGAAAAGTGCAATAGTTTTCTATATGCAGTTTCAGTAGTACCAAAGCTAATTACCAGTTGAGAAGAATTTGGCTTTATAAGAGGTAAGCCAAAAGAACAAAGCTGGAGGCATCACGCTACCTAACTTCAAACTATACTACAAGGCCACAGTAACCAAAACAGCATGGTACTGGTACCAAAACAGAGATATAGACTAATGGAACAGAACAGAGCCCTCAGAAATAATACCACACATCTACAACTATCTGATCTTTGACAAACCTGACAAAAAACAAGAAATGGGGAAAGGATTCCCTATTTAACAGATGGTGCTGGGAAAACTGGCTAGCCATATGTAGAAAGCTGAAACTGGATCCCTTCCTTACACCTTATACAAAAATTAATTCAAGATGGATTAAAGACTTACATGTTAGACCTAAAACCATAAAAACCCTAGAAGAAAACCTAGGCAATACCATTCAGGGCATAGGCATGGGCAAGGACTTCATGTCTAAAACACCAAAAGCAATGGCAACAAAAACCAAAATTGACAAATGGGATCTACTTAAACTAAAGAGCTTCTGCACAGCAAAAGAAACTACCATCAGAGTGAACAGGCAACCTACAAAATGGGAGAAAATTTTTGCAATCTACTCATCTGACAAAGGGCTAATATCCAGAATCTACAAAGAACTCAAACAAATTTACAAGAAAAAAACAACCCCATCAACATGTGGGTGAAGGATATGAACAGACACTTCTCAAAAGAAGACATTTATGCAGCCAAAAGACACATGAAAAAATGCTCATTATCACTGGCCATCAGAGAAATGCAAATCAAAACCACAATGAGATACCATCTCACACCAGTTAGAATGGCAATCATTAAAAAGTCAGGAAACAACCGGTGCTGGAGAGGATGTGGAAAAACAGGAACACTTTTACACTGTTGGTGGGACTGTAAACTAGTTCAACCATTGTGGAAGACAGTGTGGCTATTCCTCAGGGATCTAGAACTAGAAATACCATTTGACCCAGCCATCCCATTACTGGGTATATACCCAAAGGATTATAAATCATGCTGCTATAAAGACACATGCACACGTATGTTTACTGCAGCACTATTCACAATAGCAAAGACCTGGAACCAACTCAAATGCCCAACAATGATAGACTGAAATGTGGCACATATACACCATGGAATACTTTGCAGCCATATAAAATGATGAGTTCATGTCCTTTGTAGGGACATGGATGAAGCTGGAAACCATCATTCTTAGCAAACTATCGCAAGGACAGAAAACCAAACATCACATGTTCTCACTCATAGGTGGGAATTGAACAATGAGAACACTTGGACACAGGAAGGGGGACATCACACACCAGGGCCTGTTGTGGGGTGGGAGGAGAGGGGAGGGATAGCATTAGGAGATATACCTAATGTAAATGACGAGTTAATGAGTGTAGCACACCAACATGGCACATGTATACATATGTAACAAACCTGCACATTGTGCACATATACCCTAGAACTTAAAGTATAATTTTAAAAAAGAGGTGCTAAATATGATCTAGTGAGTTCTGTGGCAGACATTTTTAAGTAGAAACAGGGACAATGTCTTGTTATGGCTTCTTGATGGGGTCAAAGGCTGTATTGCCTTCTAGCTACCGGTAAAGAAATTCTCTAACCCTAACCAACAAGTGCCTCAGCCCCTACCTCTGCAAACTGCAGTCAGTCTGAAGGCAATCTGCCATGCCAGAAAGCCAGTTTTCAGAATCTCCCTTTCAGAAATCTAATATGGAAATAGACAGTCTTGTAAAGACTTGCATTATCTATTTACTAGTGAATAGATGAATATCTACTTGCCATTAAATATAGCAATTAACCAATACCAGTCAACAATCATTGAGCTGCTTCTTTTTTTTTCTTTATTTCTTCTGAAAAAACAAATGGAATACATGTGCAGAACATGCAGTTTTGTTACATAGGTATATGTGTGCCATGGTGGTTTGCTGCATCTATTGACCCATCCCCTAAGTTTTCTCCCCTCACCCCCTACCCCCCAACAAGCCCTGGTGTGTGCTGTTCCCCTCTCTGTGTTCATGTGTTCTCAATGTTCAACTCCCACTTATGAGTGAGAACATATGGTGTTTGGTTTTCTGTTCCTGTGTTAGTTTGCTGAGGATGATGGCTTCCAGCTTCATTCATGTCCCTGCAAAGGACATGATCTCATTCCTTTTTAAGAGCTGCTTCTTTGTATAAGTGCCTGGTGGTTAACACAAGTGCCTAGTAGGTGTTCAATAAATTGTTCTTCCACTAAATTAAAAAGAGTAAAATAAAGGCCTAATCTCAGGGGCACTATAATCTTCTCATAAGAATACAATGTGTTTGTATAATGTTTTTATTTCATCACCTACATAATCAAATCCTATCTACACACAGCATGTATTAGACTTCATTTTACCAATGAATAAAATTGAAGCTAACAGTACATCAGAGATTTGTCCAACAGTTACAACCTAGGAAGTAGTGAAACTAAACTAAACTCTAGGCCTTCTAATGTGTAATTCAATGATAGTTCTACCAAATCTCCCTGGTTCACTAAATCAAACTGAAAAGGAAACGCTTTTGGTAACAGAGGAAAACCATAGCCACATTCACTGATGTCCCAAATGGGTTGAAAAATGAGTCCCACTTTCTGCAATAAATGGCCCTCAATTAATAATTTATTGGTCATAGGTTACAGGTTATCATAGTCATATCATATTGATAGGCCTATAAATGTTTTACCATTAGTAAAAAGAAAATTTCAAGATTTGGGAGTCATGGGAAATCTTTGCACCTTCCTCTCAATTTACTGTGAACATAAACTTCTCTAAAAAAACCTAAGTCACTCAAAAGAAAAATATGGGTCAACAATACTTTTTTAGAGATGCCATGGATTTTTTTGTCAAGCATTTTGCAATTTTTTTTTTACTGGAGGGAAAGGATTTTGTAGAAATCCTTTGAAAGGCTGAATTATTATGGAAAATAATTTTGAACTTTGAGAACATTAAATTCCTTTGTTTCCCAAAGCTTTGTGGCAAAAAAGAGATGCTCTGGAAAACTTTTCAAGCACTTAGAATTTTACAGTGATGTAAAAGTTGTCTGATACCTATTATGAGTAATAGTACCTGGTTAGTTTTCTATTGCTTTTCTTTGAATTACGGTTTTCCACCAAGCAACATTAAACAGGAAAGACAAAGATCAAATACTCTTCCGATCAACTGATGCTCATTTTATCTAATACAAATGACAAAAAGGGAATAGTAAAGAACAGAAACAGTTTTTCTGTCACTTGCAAAATAGTATTGGGAACTTAGTTCTGCCAAAGAAATTAAGAAATATGTGACATCTCTATCTGCCTTTATTTTTCCTTTGGTTATTTTTGTATTTAACGAGACAAAAACATTCAACAGTGTACATAAACTTTTCCCACATTTTAAATTTATTTTTGAATGATAACCTTTAAATTCACAATAAGTTCTGACATAAAGGTACATTTATGATGGGCCCTTTATCATGAGTACCTGAGTAGGAGGAGACATACACTGAAAACTTTGCTGGGGGAGAAGTAACATTGTCTTGCCAGATGAGAGTGGAAATCACATTTTAGCCCTTTGTAATACTCTAAACCGAGGGTTAGTAACCTATGGACCAAATCCAGCTTTCCACTTGTTTTTGTAAATAAAGTTTAATTAGAACATAATTACACCTATTCATTTACAGTTTGTAGCTGCTTTTGCACTACAACTGCAGTGCTGAGTAGCTCCTAGAGAGACCATATGGCTCACAAAATCTAAAATATTTACTATCTGGTCATTTACAGAAAAAGTTTGTCCACCCCTGCTATAAATCTTTCTCTCTTCCCTTCCTCTCCTACAGATGGCAATAACTAGTGGCAAAAAAAAAAAAAAGGCCTAGACTCTCTTATGGCAAGAAGTGGAAAATAACGCATTTTTTCTGGATTGTGCAGGTGATACTTCTGGGTCCCTGCCAGCCTCGTGCATTTTCAAGGGCCTAGGAATCAGAAACCATTTCTGACTCTTTGACAGCATAGCCCTCCTCCCACTACTCTCTAAATAGAAGCATTGACATCAGAGTATCCTAAAACAACCAAATATGGGACATGTTTATTTAGTGCATCCCTGTCAGCTTACTAATTAGAAAACTGAGTTATGTTTCTCTTTTAAAAAATAGGACAGGTGCCCATGAAAACTGAAAATTTAGGCCAAACTATCTATGCTAATAACACTTTCTACTTTTTTTTTTTTTTAGATGGAGTCTTGCTCTGTCATCCAGGCTGGAGTGCAGTGGCACCATCTCGGCTCACTGCAACCTCCGCCTCCCGGGTTCAAGCAATTCTCCTGCCTCAGCCTCCCAAGTAGCTGGGACTACAGGTGCACGGCACACCCGGCTAATTTTTTGTATTTTAGTAGAGACAGGGTTTCACTGTGTTGCCCAGGCTGGTCTCAAACTCCTGAGTTCAGGCAATCTACTCGCCTCGGCCTCCCAAAGTGCTAGGATTACAGGCGTGAACCACCACTCCCGACCCTAACACTTTCTACTTTTACATCTCCCAGCGCCATTTAATATGTTTTAGTTTCAACTATGCACCTAAAACAGTAATAACAAAATTTAAGTAAACATCTCTAGAACTTTCAGTGAAGGATAAAATATGTTAGGTAAAGCCACATTTTTGTCTTTCTTCTTATCCTCCTAATGTGTTTCTACCTACATAAAATCATCAACTTCAATTTTTTTTTTTGGTCACAAAAAAAAGCTTGATGCTTATATACATAGCAGCAGCAAGAAAAAAAACATACCTTTTTTCTTTACTTACCAGACCCCAGAGGAGTGACTACAGCTTTAAAGCTGACTGTGAATATATTTTTGGAGAGAGGAAGTTTGTGTTGTCTAGTGTCCATCGCTTGCCAACTTTTCTGATCTATAAAATACTTCAGTGACTTCACACACTGATGCTGGCTTTCAGCTTTCTTTTAGCTCTGGTCACCAAGAGCAACAAGTGCCATTGTAGGTCAATCCCTAGAGAAACATCTGTCTTCTCTATTCCTTGGGCAGGTACTTTCATGTGTAGTAGTTTCAGAGTTTATGGTTATTTCTCTCTGGAGACCATCTGTCTGCTGGGTTTATTTTTTCCTGATGTTGTACCACATCATAAAGTCTACTGCCAAGAGTACTTTACTCAAGAAGATTTTGTTTTCTGCTGTTTTAGTCACTTCACTGCTTTATTTCTGTAAGCCAAATCAAGTGGACAAAATCAGTAGCAATTCCCCACTCCACGGCCCTGTAGCATAACCTGGCTCAGTTTGGTTGCAAGTTCTTATGACTGCTTTAAAACATTCTCCTCACACAATAAGTGATGGGTCCTCTTGTATATACGTGTAACAAAGAGCTGCACTGAGATTTTCCATGAAATGTGAATGCGCTCAGAAAGCCTTTCCAAGTTTTTTAAAACAAGTGAATCATGTAGGTCTAATCAGTTGAAAGTAACCAAATTCATAATTGATTTTTATTAGCAAATATAGTACTTTGAAATAGCTTTTTATGCTGCATGACCCAAGGTTAACAAAAAAATAGCTTTTTGTTTCCAGGGAAAAATAAGTTTAAGCTTATTTTTATCCTTTCTTACTTTAGTTCCCAATAATCATACTTAAATAAATGTACTCCAGAGTTTCTATTTTTCATTTTCAGATAATGTAATGGTTATTATCATATAGTCATAGAAAATTGCAATGGTTAAGTCATTATTTGCCTAATAAATTTACAACCTTTTTACGGAAAAATGATTCCGGCCAGACAAATGTTGTCAAACACCTTTTAATGTGTTTTCAACCTTTGTCATAGCTCACTTTCTTGCATAAACAGAGCCTTCCAAACAAAGCATGGAAAATTTAAACCACATAGATTCGTATTATCAAAACTATTACACCGGATTATTTTCCATAGTGTCAGCATTGACATTAATTTCTTGAGAAGATAACTTTAAAAGGAACACTCACATGGATTTTACAATGTCTCTTCCTCACCCTTACAAATAACTTTTATTCATTCACGGCTATAATTAGCACTTCCTGTAAGGCAGCCCTTTTCTCGGTTGTGGATGGGCACACTGTGAATTCATTAGCATGGTAGCCAGGTCAGCAGAGTCATTAGTGGTCATTTTAATGATGACTTGGAAACCCTGCCTGGTCAATTTAAGTGAGGCTCATTCCCATGTACTGACTGCAGCCAAGCAGCTTCACAATATTACCCATTTATTTAGGCAGCTTCAAATAGTTTCCCAGGAACTGGAGTAACAAGAAGCTGAATGCAGAGGTCTGTGTGTCAAGAAGTTTCCATGACTAGTGAACCCTGAGCACTTCTCTGTACACATTCAAACCCAACTCTTACATTCATTCTTCAAATGGGTTTGCTTAGACCAAGCCAGATTACTTGAGCACCTTAAATTTTGCTGGGTATTGTTTCATGTTTTACATTTATAAGTGTTTTGCATTTTAAGCAGGGATTTTATATAATAAACCAATATAATTCATTGTCATCATTGTTATCCATGTTAGCGAAAACTTGTAAAATTATGTAGCAATTATGTGTCAACTGGCATTTTTAACTCTCTTTGGTATTTATTTATTTATTATGTTAAAACACAGATTCTCATTTTGAGGCTATCTCATTTTATTCTCAAAACAATACTAGAGGAGAAGTAGTGAGGATGTGGAAAGGAAGCCATGTACCTGGGACACAAAGAGTATGAGCTTGGGGATCAGCTGACATCTGACTTGCAGACTGTGGCTGCAGGCAGGGGAAGTAGCACACAAAAGCATCAAGTTTCATTATTATATCATGTTATTATGTTACAGCATGATATTGTGCAGGAAACAGAAACCAGCCGGACCTGCCTAGAAGGTCTATCTGGAGAAATGGAAGAATTAATGTTCTTGTGAGGATCTTAAAAGCCAGATGAATGAGTCTGGATGTGATAGCAAGGGAAAGGAACCATAAGTTTTAAAACAAGGAATTGGCATGATAAAAGCAGTTCCATAGAAAGCAGGGGCCGGAAGACCTATGCAGGCTGAATTCCAAATGCACCATTGCTTTGGCTTGATGACTTTAGGGGTTTGGGGGTTTCACTTACAAATTCAGTAAATGTCACCTTTTCAGTGAGAGAGACCTTCCCTGACCACTTTGTCCATACGTTCAACTCTCCCCGCTTCTGCATCCTATCTATCCTCTTTCTCTGCTATTTTTTTCTCCTTAGCAGTTATCACTTTCAAACACAGTATGCATTTTATGTAATAATACGTTGTTTATGGCCCATCTTTCCCGCTATAATGTAAGTTCTGTAAGGGCAGTGATTCTTGTCTATTTATTCACTATTATACCTTCAGCACCTAGAACACTGCCTGGCACATAGTAGCCCCTGAATACTACATGTTGAATGCGTCAATGAATTGATTAGTACCTGTACCAAGTCCTATTCTTGATACTAGAAATAAAGTAGTTAATAAGATACACAAGTTTTCTGTTCTCATGGAGGATACATTTTAGTAGTGGATACCAAAATAAACAGAGTTGTAATTCCAAGTGGTGCTGTTTGCTCAGAGGAAAATATAACAGAGTTAACAAGAATATCAAATATCAAATAAATGCTCTCCTGTTGCACACATTGAATATATAACAGTCGAAAAGGCTGTTTTTGTTTCCAGTTTTGAATTCATTATTCCTGAACAATCTACACTGGTTTTTTATCACAGTTATTTTTCCTGGAAAAGACACAGAAACAGCTTGCAAAAGCAAGAACCTGACTGTGATAGATTTCTAAATTGTAGATCTTATTCCATTCAGCAAGATCATTCCCAGTCATTCCATTCAGCCATGAACTGCATGTCCCATCTACTATGATGGAAAACATCCTTTTCAACTGCTATCAAGAAGCAGAGCCTTTTTATTTATTTTGACAGGCCAATATCTATTTGGTTCTTTCCACACTGAATGAGTATCTTCAAGAAACTCAGACTTCTGATAGGGACTCAGTGATGAGACAACAATTAAGAAGAATCTGGACTTTCCCATTCCAAAGCCTCTTCTCAAGGCAGTTGTGATCCTTTTAAAAAACACAGACTAAAGTAAGTGGACAGAATAAGTACATAGATAAAGAAACACAGAAGTTAGGAACACAATTTTTTTATTATACTTTGAGTTCTAGGGTACATGTGCACAACGTGCAGGTTTGTTACATATGTATACATGTGCCGTGTTGGTTTGCTGCACCCATTAACTCGTCATTTACATTACATATTTCTCCTAATGCTATCCCTCCCCCATCCCCTGACCCCACAACAGGCCCCAGTGTGTGATGTTCCCCTTCCTGTGTCCAAGTGTTCTCATTGTTCAGTTCCCGCCTGTGAGTGAGAACATGCAGTGTTTGGTTTTCTGTCCTTGTGATAGTTTGCTCAGAATGATGGTTTCCAGCTTCATCCATGTCCCTACAAAGGATATGAACTCAACCTTTTTTATGGCAGCATAGTATTCCATGGTGTATATGTGCCACATTTTCTTAATCCAGTCTATCATTGATGAATATTTGGGTTGGTTCCAAGTCTTTGCTATTGTGAATAGTGCCGCAGTAAACATACGTGTGTATGTATCTTTATAGTAGCATGATTATAATCCTTTGGGTATATACCCAGTAATGGGAATGCTGGGTGAAATGGTATTTCTAGTTCTAGATCCTTGTGGAATCGCCACACTGTCTTCCACAATGGTTGAACTAATTTACTCCCACCAACAGTGTAAAAGTATTCCTATTTCTCCACATCCTCTCCAGCATCTGTTCTTTCCTGACTTTTTAATGATCTCCATTCTAACTGGTGTGAGATGGTATCTCATTGTGGTTTTGATTTGCATTTCTTTGATGACCAGTGATGATGAGCATTTTTTCATGTGTCTGTTGGCTGCATAAATATCTTCTTTTGAGAAGTGTCTGTTCATATCCTTTGCCCACTTCTTGATGGGGTTGTTTGATTTTTTTCTTGTAAATTTGTTTAAGTTCTTTGTGGACTCTGGATATTAGCCCTTTGTTAGATGGGTAGATTGCAAAAATTTTCTCCCATTCTGTAGGTTGCCTGTTCACTCTGATGGTAGTTTCTTTTGCCATGCAGAAGCTCTTAGTTTAATTAGATTCCATTTGTCAATTTTGGCTTCTGTTGCCATTGCTTTTGATGTTTTAGTCATGAAGTCCTCGCCTGTGCCTATGTCCTGAATGGTAATGCCTAGGTTTTCTTCTAGGGTTTTTATGGTTTTAGGTCTAACATTTAAGTCTTTGATCCATCTTGAATTAATTTTTGTATAAGGTGTAAGGAAGGGATCCAGTTTCAGCTTTCTACATATGGCTAGCCAGTTTTCCCAGCACCATTTATTAAATAGGGAATTCTTTCCCCATTTCTTGTTTTTGTCAGGTTTGCCAAAGCTCAGATGGTTGTAGATGTGTGGTGTTATTTCTGAGGCCTCTGTTCTGTTCCATTGGTCTCTATCTCTGTTTTGGTACCAGTACCATGCTGTTTTGGTTACTGTAGCCTTGTAGTATAGTTTCAAGCCAGGTAGCATCATGCCTCCAGCTTTATTCTTTTTGCTTAGGATTGACTTGGCAATGTGGGCTCTTTTTTTGGTTCCATATGAACTTTAAAGTAGTTTTTTCCAATTCTCTAAAGAAAGTCACTGGTAGCTTAATGGGGATGGCATTGAATCTATAAATTACCTTGGGCGGTATGGCCATTTTCACAATATTGATTCTTCCTATCCATGAGCATGGAATGTTCTTCCATTTGTTTGTGTCCTCTTTTATTTCATTGAGCAGTGGTTTGTACTTCTCCTTGAAAAGGTCCTTCACATCCTTGTAAGTTGGATTCCTAGGTATTTCATTCTCTTTGTAGCAATTTTGAATGGGAGTTCACTCATGATTTGGCTCTGTTTGTCTGTTATTGGTGTATAGGAATGCTTGTGATTTTTGCACATGGATTTGTATCCTGAGACTTTGCTGAACTTGCTTATTAGCTTAAGGAGATTTTGGGCTGAGAGGGTAGGGTTTTCTAAATATACAATCATGTCATCTACAAACAGCGACAATTTGACTTCCTCTTTTCCTAATTGAATACCTTTTATTGCTTTCTCTTGCCTGATTGCCCTGGCCAGAACTTCCAACACTATGTTCAATAGGAGTGGTGAGAGAGGGCATCCCTGTCTTGTGCCAGTTTTCAAAGGAAATGCTTCCAGTTTTTGCCCATTCAGTATGATATTGGTTGTGGGTTTGTCATAAATAGCTCTTATTATTTTGAGATACGTTCCATCAATACCTAGTTTATTGAGAGGGCTGTTGAATTTTGTCAAAGGCCTTTTCTGCATCTGTTGAGATAATCAAGTGGTTTTTGTCTTTGATTCTGTTTATGTGATGGATTACATTTATTGATTTGCATATGTTGAACCAGCCTTGCATCCCAGGGATGAAGCCAACTTGGTCTTGGTGGATAAGCTTTTTGATGTGCTGCTGATTTGGTTTGCCAGTATTTTATTGAGGATTTTCTCATCGATATTCCTCGGGATATTGGTCTAAAATTCTCTTTTTTTGTTGTGTCTCTGCCAGGCTTTGGTATCAGAATGATGCTGGCCTCATAAAATGAGTTAGGGAGGATTCCCTCTTTTTCTATTGATTGGAATAGTTTCAGAAGAAATGGTACCAGCTCCTCTTTGTACCGCTGGTAGAATTCAGCTGTGAATCCTTCTGGTCCTGGACTTTTTTTGGTTGGTAGGCTATTAATTATTGCCTCAATTTCAGAGCCTGTTATTGGTCTATTCAGGGATTCAACTTCTTCCTGGTTTAGTCTTGGGAGGGTGTATATGTATAGGAATTTATCTATTTCTTCTAGATTTTTTAGTTTATTTGCAGAGAGGTGTTTATAGTATTCTCTGATGGTAGTTTGTATTTCTGTGGGATCGGTGGTGATATCCCCTTTTCATTTTTTATTGCATCTATTTGATTCTTCTCTCTTCTCTTCTTTATTAGTCTTGCTAGTGGTCTATCAATTTTGTTGATCTTTTCAAAAAGCCAGCTCCTGGATTCACTGATTTTTTTGAAGGGTTTTTTGTGTCTCTAACTCCTTCAGTTCTGCTCTGATCTTAGTTATTCCTTGCCTTCTGCTAGCTTTTGAATGTGTTTGCTCTTGCTTCTCTACTTCTTTTAATTGTGATGTTAAGGTGTTGATTTTAGATCTTTCCTGCTTTCTCTTGTGGGCATTTAGTGCTATAAATTTCCCTCTACACACTGCTTTAAATGTGTCCCAGAGATTCTGGTTGTGTCTTTGTTCTCATTGCTTTCAAAGAACATCTTTATTTCTGCCTTCATTTCGTTATTTACCCAGTAGTCGTTCAGGAGCAGGTTGTTCAGTTTCCACACAGTCATGCGATTTTGAGTGAGTTTCTTATTCCTGAGTTCTAATTTGATTGCACTGTGGTCTAAGAGACAGTTTGTTGTGATTTCTGTCCTTTTACATTTGCAGAGGAGTGCTTTACTTCCAACTCTGTGGTCAATTTTGGAATAAGTGTGATGTGGTGCTGAGAAGAATGTATATTCTGTTGATTTGGGTTGGAAAGTTCTGTAGATGTCTATTAGGTCTGCTTGGTGCAGAGCTGAGTTCAAGTCTTGTATATTCTTGTTAACCTTCTGTCTCGTTATCTGTCTAATATTGACAGTGGGATGTTAAAGTCTCCCATTATTATTGTGTGGGAGTCTAAGTCTCTTTGTAAGTCTCTAAGGACTTGCTTTATGAATCTGGGTGCTCCTGTATTGGGTACATATATATTTAGGACAGTTAGCTCTTCTTGTTGAATTGATCCCTTTACCATTATGTAATGGCCTTGTGTTCTTTGTCTCTTTTGATCTTTGTTGGTTTAAAGTCTGTTTTATCAGAGACTAGGATTGCAACCCCTGCTTTTTTTTTTTTTTTTTTTTTTGCTTTCCATTTGCTTTGTAGATCTTCCTCCATCTCTTTATCTTGAGCCTATGTGTGTCTCTGCATGTGAGATGGGTCTCCTGAATACAGCACACTGATGGGTCTTGACTCTTTATCCAATTTGCCAGTCTGTGTCTTTTAATTGGGGCATTTATCCCATTTACATTTAAGGTTAATATTGTTATGTGTGAATTTGATCTGTCATTATGATGTTAGCTGGTTATTTTGCCCATTAGTTGATGCAGTTTCTTCCTAGCATCAATGGTCTTCACAATTTGACGTTTTTGCAGTGTCTGGTACCGGTTGTTGCTTTCCATGTTTAGTGCTTCCTTTAGGAGCTCTTGTCAGGCAGGCCTGGTGGTAACAAAATCTCTCAGCATTTGCTTGTCTGTAAAGGATTTTATTTCTCCTTCACTTATGAAGCTTGGTTTGGCTGGATATGAAATTCTGGGTTGAAAATTCTTTTCTTTAAGAATATTGAATATTTGCCCCCACTCTCTTCTGGCTTGTTGAGTTTCTGCCGAGAGATCCGCTGTTAGTCTGATGGGCTTCCCTTTGTGGGTAACCCGACCTTTCTCTCTGGCTGCCCTTAATATTTTTTCCTTCATTTCAACCTTGGTGAATCTGACAATTATGTGTCTTGGGGTTGTTCTTCTCAAGGAATATCTTTGTGGTGTTCTCTGTATTTCCTGAGTTTGAATGTTGGCCTGCCTTGCTAGGTTGGGGAAGTTCTCCTGGATAATATCCTGAAGAGTGTTTTCCAACTTGGTTCCATTCGCCCTGTCACTTTCAGGTACACCAATCAAATGTAGATTTTGTCTTTTCACATAGTCTCACATTTCTTGGAGGCTTTGTTCATTTCTTTTTACTCTTTTTTCTCTAAACTTCTCTTCTCACTTCATTTCATTAATTTGATCTTCAATCACTGATACCCTTTCTTCCACTTGATCGATAAGGCTGTTGAAGCTTGTGCATGTATCACATAGTTCTCATGCCATGGTTTTCAGCTCCATCAGGTCATTTAAGGTCTTCTCTACACTGTTTATTCTAGTTAACCATTCATCTAATCTTTTTTCAAGGTTTTTAGCTTCCTTGTGATGGGCTCGAACATCCTCCTTTAGCTCGGAGAATTTTGTTATTACCAACCTTCTGAAGCCTACTTCTGCCAACTTGTCAAAGTCATTCTCTGTCCAGTTTTGTTCCATTGCTGGTGAGGCGCTGCGATCCTTTGGAGGAGAAGAGGCACTCTGCTTTTTAGAATTTTCAGCTTTTCTGTTCTTGTTTCTCCCCATCTTCGTGGTTTTATCTACCTTTGGTCTTTGATGATGGTGATCTACAGATGGGGTTTTGGTGTGGATGTCCTTTTTGTGGATGTTCATGCTATTCCTTTCTGTTTGTTAATTTTCCTTCTAACAGTCAGGTCCCTCAGCTGCAGATCTATTGGAGTTTGCTGGCGGTCCACTCCTGGCGGTCCACTCCAGACCCTGTTTTCCTGGGTGTCACCAGTGGAGGCTGCAGAACAGCAAATATTGCAGACTAGCAAATATTGCTGCCTGACCCTTCCTCTGGAAGCTTCGTCCCAGAGGGGCATCGGGCTGTATGAGGTGTCAGTCGGCCCCTACTGGGAGCTGTCTCCCAGTTAGGCTACATGGGGGTCAGGGACCCACTTGAGGAGGCAGTGTGTCCATTCTCAGATCTCGAACACCATGCTGGGAGAACCACTGCTCTCTTCAGAGCTGTCAGACAGGGACGTTTAAATCTGCAGTGGTTTCTGCTGCCCTTTGTTCAGCTATGCCCTGCCCCCAGAGGTGGAGTCTACAAAGGCAGGCAGGCCTTGTTGAGCTGCGTGGGCTCCACCCAGTTTGAGCTTCCAGGCTGCTTTGTTTACCTACTCAAGCCTCAGCAATGGTGGATGCCCCTCCCGCAGCCAGGCTGCCGCCTCACAGTTTGATCTTGGACTGCTGTGCTAGCAGTGAGCAAGGCTCCATAGGCGTGAGACCCATCGAGCCAGACATGGGATATACTCTCCTGGTTTGCTGTTTGCTAAGACCATTGGAAAAGCCTAGTATTGGGGTGGCAGTGTCCCGATTTTCCAGGTACAGTCTGTCACGGCTTCCCTTGGCTAGGAAACGGAAATCCCCCCACCCCTTGTGCTTCCTGGGTGAGGCAATACCCCGCCCTGCTTCAGCTCACCCTCCATGGGCTGCACCCACTGTCCAACTGGTCCCAGTGAGATGAACCAGGTACCTCAGTTGGAAATGCAGAAATCACCCGTCTTCTGTGTCGATCACACTGGGAGCTGCAGACCAGAGCTGTTGCTATTCGGCCATTTTGGAACCAATCCCAACAATTTTTTTTAATAACAGTAAAAACAAGAAATTCGAAGCCCTGGAGAGGGCCTATAAGAAAAGCAAGAAGTCAGGCACAGTGGCTCACACCTGTAACCCCAGCACTTTGTGAGGGCAATGCAGGAAGATCACATGAAATCAGTAGTTAGACCAGCCTGGGCAACAAAGTGAGACTGTCACTACAAAAATTTTTGTCTAAATTAACCTGGCATAGTGGCATGTGCTGGTAGTCCTAGATACTTGGGAGGCTGAAGCAGGAGGATTGCGTGAGCCCAGATGTTCAAGGCTGCAGTGAGCTATGATCTGGCCACTGTACACCAGTGTGGGCGACAGCGCAATATGTTGTGACACATGCACCAAAAAAAAGAGAAGCAAGAAAGAACGTAGGAAGAAATCAATCTTGTTCACCCAGAAATTCTCCAAAGAACTCAGATTTTTTACTCTGTGTTTTTAAATATTGAGAAAATGGAAGGCATGTAACTAACAGCATATTTTTAACAGTTTAAAAAACCACAGTCATCAAGAGTAATTTCAGATGAGCTGAAAACCAGATAAACCACAACATTCCCCTGTCCCCAAAAAGGACTTTTTTAAATTACAGGAATAGAAAAGAAATAATCCTACTTGTTGGTGGTCAGTATTGTTACAGTAACACCAAGAGATCAGAGCTATGAAAATCCTAACCTCTTCCTAATTTTCCATCAAAAAGCCTGATTTTCCACCACAGAATGCAAATGAAAACCACAATGATATTTCATCTCACACTAGTCAGAATGGCTAGTATTGAAAAGTCAAAAACAACAGATGCTGGTGAGGCTGTGGAGAAAACGGACAACTTATATCCTGTTAGTGGGAAGGTAAATTAGTTCAACTACTTTGGAAAGCAGTTTAGAGATTTCTTAAAGAACTTAAAGCAGAAAACTACCATTTGACCCAGCAATACCATTACTGGCTATATACCCAAAGGAAAATAGATCATTACACCAAAAAGACATATGTACTCCTGTGTTCATTGCTGCACTATTCACAACAGCAAAAATATGGAGTCAACTAGCTGCCCATCAATGGTGGATCGGATAAAGAAAATGTGGAGGCTAGGTATGGTGGCTCATGCCTGTAATCCCAGCACTTTGGGAGGCCAAGGCAGGTGAATCATGAGGTCAGGAGTTCGAGACCAGCCTGGCCAACATGGTGAAAGCCCGTCTCTACTAAAAATACAAAAAATTAGCCGGGCCTTGTGGTGGGCACCTGTAATCCTAGCTACTCGGGAGGCTGAGACAGGAGAATCGCTTGAACCCAGCAGGCAGAAGTTGCAGTGAGCCGAGATCGCACCATTGCACTCCAGCCTGGGTGACAGTGTGAGACTCCATCTCAAAAGAAAGAAAGAAAATGTGGAACATATACACCACGGAATACTACACAGTCATAAAAAAGAATGAAATTGGGGTCACAGTGGAGCAGGCTCTCATGTGGAGGTGGGGAAGTTTGGTCCATCAGAATGATCACCAAGAAACACAAAGCAGACCTGGGCCCTGGGCTCCCAGAGAAGAAAAAGAAGAAGAAAGTGGTCAAAGAACCAGAGACTCAATACTCAATTTTAAACAATGATGATTACTTTGCCAATGTTTCTCCTATAAGAGCCACATCCCCCTCTAAGAGTGTGGTCCATGGGAAGGCACCTGAGATGCCTCTAGTGAAGAAAACAAGTAAAAGAAGGGTGTCAGCACCCTTTGTGAGGAGCACGTAGAACCTGACACCACGCTGCGTGCCAGACGGTCAGAGAAGTCACCCAATCCCAGGAAGCAGGTGCTTGGCCATTTGGAGTTCCTCTGTGGGGAGAAGAAAAAGAAGAAGTCACCTCCAGCCATGTCCCATGCCTCTGGGGTGAAAACCTCCCCAGACCCCAGACAGGGTGAAGAGGAAACCAGAGTTGGCAAGAAGCTCAAATAACACAAGAAGGAAACAAAGGGGGCCCAGGACCCCACAGCCCTCTCAGTCCAGAACCCTTGGTTCTGCGAGGCTGGGGATGCTGCGGACACTTGCTCAGTGGGGAAGAAGGGTGAGGAACAGGCAGCCTTGGGGCAGATAACGGAAGCAGAAGAGCCCCAGGGAGCACAGTGGGAAGGTGAAGAAGAAGAAAACAAAAATCCACCAGGAGGGAGATGCCCTCCCAGGCCACTCCAAGCCCTTCAGGTCCATGGAGAGCAGCCCTAGGAAAGGAAGTAAAACGAAGCCAAAGTTGAGGCTCCGGAATACATCCATCCCCAAAGGAGATGGCCCTAAGGCCCCCGAGAAGAAAAAGATGAAGTCCAAGAAGGTAGAGCAGCCAATCATTGAGGAGCCGGCTCTGAAAAGGAAGAAAAAGAACAAGAGGAAAGAGAGTGGGGCAGCAAGAGACCCTTGGAAGGAGGAAACAGAGACGGACTTAGAGGTGGTGTTGGAAAAGAAAGGCAACATGGACGAGGCGCACATAGACCAGGTGAGGCGAAAGGCCTTGCAAGGAGAGATCGATCGAGAGTCAGGCAAAACGGAAGCTTGTGAAACCAGGAAGTGGACGGGAACCTAGTTTGGCCAGTGGGATACTGCTGGTTTTGACAACGAGGAACAGAAACTGAAGTTTCTCAAACTTACTGGTGGCTTCAAAAACCTGTCCCCTTCGTTCAGCCGCCACCCCCTCCAAGCCCCGCAGCACGATTGCAAGGTCCAACATAGCCCTCAGCAAGAAGGCGGCCGACAGCCTGCAGCAGAACCTGCAGCAGAACCTGCAGCAGGACTGTGACCGGGCCATGAGCTGGAAGTACAGCCGCGGAGCCCGTCTCTGCTTCTCCACCGCCCCCAACAAGATCTTTTATATTCATAGGAACGCTTCCAAGTTAGCCAAGCTGGAAGATTAAACTCTAGAGTTTTGTCCCCTCAAAACTGCCACAATTGCTTTGATTATCCCATTTATGCTGGAGATTACAAGTTTTTTTTGGTGAAAAATCAGATCTTGGTGATGACCTTGAGCAGTAGGATATAAATAACTCCCATAAACTTAGCGTTCCAATAATGGAACACTAGGCATAAGTGGGTTATTCAGTTGTGCTGATGAAAGCCATCTGACAGTTGGCTCACATTGAACACCTGTGGAGACTAAGGACAAGGACAAGGACAACTATCTTGATGGGCTTGGATGAACTGGGGAGAGGCAGCTCATGTTTGGGGAGCCAGGAGAACAAGTGAGTGGCTAAAACCTCCTGTTTTCTGTGTTAAACATTCCGTCCCTGTTTGAGACATCAATGTGTACAGATGACCTTTGTTGAGTGTTTAGCAGGTGCTAGGCACATACTAGTGTTTTCCTTAATGTATTTAATCTTCATAATTATGAAATGGGTGCTATTATTATCCGCATCTTATAGATGAGGCAAAGGAAGTTCAGGGATAAAGTAATAAAATGCCCTGGGATCACCCAACCACTAAAAACAAACAAACAAAAGAATGAAATCATGTCCTTTGTCCCAACATGGATGAAACTGGAGGCCAAAGTCCTAAGCAAATTAGTACAGGAACAAAAAAACAAATACCAGATGTTCTTACTTATAAGTGGATGCTAAATGTTGAGTACCCACGGTCGTAAACATGGGAACAATAGACACTGCAGACTACTAGAGGGGAGGGGAAGGAGAAGGGCGTAGGTCAAAAAACTACCTACTGGGTACTGTGATGACTACCAGAGTGTAATACCCATGTAACAAATCTGTACATGTACCCCCTCTATCTAAAATAAAACTTGGGGAAAAAAAGCATGATTTTCTTTTTTTTTTTTTTTTTTATTATACTCTAAGTTTTAGGGTACATGTGCACATTGTGCAGGTTAGTTACATATGTATACATGTGCCATGCTGGTGCGCTGCACCCACTAATGTGTCATCTAGCATTAGGTATATCTCCCAATGCTATCCCTCCCCCCTCCCCCGACCCCACCACAGTCCCCAGAGTGTGATATTCCCCTTCCTGTGTCCATGTGATCTCATTGTTCAATTCCCACCTATGAGTGAGAATATGCGTTGTTTGGTTTTTTGTTCTTGCGATAGTTTACTGAGAATGATGGTTTCCAATTTCATCCATGTCCCTACAAAGGATATGAACTCATCATTTTTTATGGCTGCATAGTATTCCATGGTGTATATGTGCCACATTTTCTTAATCCAGTCTATCATTGTTGGACATTTGGGTTGGTTCCAAGTCTTTGCTATTGTGAATAGTGCCGCAATAAACATACGTGTGCATGTGTCTTTATAGCAGCATGATTTATAGTCATTTGGGTATATACCCAGTAATGGGATGGCTGGGTCAAATGGTATTTCTAGTCCTAGATCCCTGAGGAATCGCCACACTGACTTCCACAATGGTTGAACTAGTTTACAGTCCCACCAACAGTGTAAAAGTGTTCCTATTTCTCCGCATCCTCTCCAGCACCTGTTGTTTCCTGACTTTTTAATGATTGCCATTCTAACTGGTGTGAGATGATATCTCATAGTGGTTTTGATTTGCATTTCTCTGATGGCCAGTGATGATGAGCATTTCTTCATGTGTTTTTTGGCTGCATAAATGTCTTCTTTTGAGAAGTGTCTGTTCATGTCCTTCGCCCACTTTTTGATGGGGTTGTTTGTTTTTTTCTTGTAAATTTGTTTGAGTTCATTGTAGATTCTGGATATTAGCCCTTTGTCAGATGAGTAGGTTGCGAAAATTTTCTCCCATGTTGTAGGTTGCCTGTTCACTCTGATGATAGTTTCTTTTGCTGTGCAGAAGCTCTTTAGTTTAATTAGATCCCATTTGTCAATTTTGTCTTTTGTTGCCATTGCTTTTGGTGTTTTGGACATGAAGTCCTTGCCCACGCCTATGTCCTGAATGGTAATGCCTAGGTTTTCTTCTAGGGTTTTTATGGTTTTAGGTTTAACGTTTAAATCTTTAATCCATCTTGAATTGATTTTTGTATAAGGTGTAAGGAAGGGATCCAGTTTCAGCTTTCTACATATGGCTAGCCAGTTTTCCCAGCACCATTTATTAAATAGGGAATCCTTTCCCCATTGCTTGTTTTTCTCAGGTTTGTCAAAGATCAGATAGTTGTAGGTATGTGGCGTTATTTCTGAGGGCTCTGTTCTGTTCCATTGATCTATATCTCTGTTTTGGTACCAGTACCATGCTGTTTTGGTTACTGTAGCCTTGTAGTATAGTTTGAAGTCAGGTAGTGTGATGCCTCCAGCTTTGTTCTTTTGGCTTAGGATTGACTTGGCAATGCGGGCTCTTTTTTGGTTCCATATGAACTTTAAAGTAGTTTTTTCCAATTCTGTGAAGAAAGTCATTGGTAGCTTGATGGGGATGGCATTGAATCTGTAAATTACCTTGGGCAGTGTGGCCATTTTCACGATATTGATTCTTCCTACCCATGAGCATGGAATGTTCTTCCATTTGTTTGTGTCCTCTTTTATTTCCTTGAGCAGTGGTTTGTAGTTCTCCTTGAAGAGGTCCTTCACATCCCTTGTAAGTTGGATTCCTAGGTATTTTATTCTCTTTGAAGCAATTGTGAATGGGAGTTCACCCATGATTTGGCTCTCTGTTTGTCTGTTGTTGGTGTATAAGAATGCTTGTGATTTTTGTACATTGATTTTGTATCCTGAGACTTTGCTGAAGTTGCTTATCAGCTTAAGGAGATTTTGGGCTGAGACGATGGGGTTTTCTAGATAAACAATCATGTCGTCTGCAAACAGGGACAATTTGACTTTCTCTTTTCCTAATTGAATACCCTTTATTTCCTTCTTCTGCCTGATTGCCCTGGCCAGAACTTCCAACACTATGTTGAATAGGAGCGGTGAGAGAGGGCATCCCTGTCTTGTGCCAGTTTTCAAAGGGAATGCTTCCAGTTTTTGCCCATTCAGTATGATATTGGCGGTGGGTTTGTCATAGATAGCTCTTATTATTTTGAGATACGTCCCATCAATACCTAATTTATTGAGAGTTTTTAGCATGAAGGGTTGTTGAATTTTGTCAAAGGCTTTTTCTGCATCTATTGAGATAATCATGTGGTTTTTGTCTTTGGCTCTGTTTATATGCTGGATTACATTTATTGATTTGTGTATATTGAACCAGCCTTGCATCCCAGGGATGAAGCCCACTTGATCATGGTGGATAAGCTTTTTGATGTGCTGCTGGATTCGGTTTGCCAGTATTTTATTGAGGATTTTTGCATCCATGTTCATCAAGGATATTGGTCTAAAATTCTCTTTTTTGGTTGTGTCTCTGCCCGGCTTTGGTATCAGAATGATGCTGGCCTCATAAAATGAGTTAGGGAGGATTCCCTCTTTTTCTATTGATTGGAATAGTTTCAGAAGGAATGGTACCAGTTCCTCCTTGTACCTCTGGTAGAATTCGGCTGTGAATCCATCTGGTCCTGGACTCTTTTTGGTTGGTAAACTATTGATTATTGCCACAATTTCAGAGCCTGTTATTGGTCTATTCAGAGATTCAACTTCTTCCTGGTTTAGTCTTGGGAGAGTGTATGTGTCAAGGAATGTATCCATTTCTTCTAGATTTTCTAGTTTATTTGCGTAGAGGTGTTTGTAGTATTCTCTGATGGTAGTTTGTATTTCTGTGGGATCGGTGGTGATATCCCCTTTATCATTTTTTATTGTGTCTATTTGATTCTTCTCTCTTTTTTTCTTTATTAGTCTTGCTAGCGGTCTATCAATTTTGTTGATCCTTTCAAAAAACCAGCTCCTGGATTCATTGAGTTTTTGAAGGGTTTTTTGTGTCTCTATTTCCTTCAGTTCTGCTCTGATTTTAGTTATTTCTTGCCTTCTGCTAGCTTTTGAATGTGTTTGCTCTTGCTTTTCTAGTTCTTTTAATTGTGATGTTAGGGTGTCAATTTTGGATCTTTCCTGCTTTCTCTTGTAGGCATTTAGTGCTATAAATTTCCCTCTACACACTGCTTTGAATGCGTCCCAGAGATTCTGGTATGTGGTGTCTTTGTTCTCGTTGGTTTCAAAGAACATCTTTATTTCTGCCTTCATTTCGTTATGTACCCAGTAGTCATTCAGGAGCAGGTTGTTCAGTTTCCATGTAGTTGAGCGGCTTTGAGTGAGATTCTTAATCCTGAGTTCTAGTTTGATTGCACTGTGGTCTGAGAGATAGTTTGTTATAATTTCTGTTCTTTTACATTTGCTGAGGAGAGCTTTACTTCCAACTATGTGGTCAATTTTGGAATAGGTGTGGTGTGGTGCTGAAAAAAATGTATATTCTGTTGATTTGGGGTGGAGAGTTCTGGAGATGTCTATTAGGTCTGCTTGGTGCAGAGCTGAGTTCAATTCCTGGGTATCTTTGTTGACTTTCTGTCTCGTTGATCTGTCTAATGTTGACAGTGGGGTGTTAAAGTCTCCCATTATTAATGTGTGGGAGTCTAAGTCTCTTTGTAGGTCACTGAGGACTTGCTTTATGAATCTGGGTGCTCCTGTATTGGGTGCATAAATATTTAGGATAGTTAGCTCCTCTTGTTGAATTGATCCCTTTACCATTATGTAATGGCCTTCTTTGTCTCTTTTGATCTTTGTTGGTTTAAAGTCTGTTTTATCAGAGACTAGGATTGCAACCCCTGCCTTTTTTTGTTTTCCATTGGCTTGGTAGATCTTCCTCCATCCTTTTATTTTGAGCCTATGTGTGTCTCTGCACATGAGATGGGTTTCCTGAATACAGCACACTGATGGGTCTTGACTCTTTATCCAACTTGCCAGTCTGTGTCTTTTAATTGCAGAATTTAGTCCATTTATATTTAAAGTTAATATTGTTATGTGTGAATTTGATCCTGTCATTATGATGTTAGCTGGTGATTTTGCTCATCAGTTGATGCAGTTTCTTCCTAGTCTCGATGGTCTTTACATTTTGGCATGATTTTGCAGCGGCTGGTACCGGTTGTTCCTTTCCATGTTTAGCGCTTCCTTCAAGAGCTCTTTTAGGGCAGGCCTGGTGGTGACAAAATCTCTCAGCATTTGCTTGTCTATAAAGTATTTTATTTCTCCTTCACTTATGAAGCTTAGTTTGGCTGGATATGAAATTCTGGGTTGAAAATTCTTTTCTTTAAGAATGTTGAATATTGGCCCCCACTCTCTTCTGGCTTGTAGGGTTTCTGCCGAGAGATCCGCTGTTAGTCTGATGGGCTTTCCTTTGAGGGTAACCCGACCTTTCTCTCTGGTTGCCCTTAACATTTTTTCCTTCATTTCAACTTTGGTGAATCTGACAATTATGTGTCTTGGAGTTGCTCTTCTCGAGGAGTATCTTTGTGGCGTTCTCTGTATTTCCTGAATCTGAACGTTGGCCTGCCTTGCTAGATTGGGGAAGTTCTCCTGGATAATATCCTGCAGAGTGTTTTCCAACTTGATTCCATTCTCCACATCACTTTCAGGTACACCAATCAGACGTAGATTTGGTCTTTTCACATAGTCCCATATTTCTTGGAGGCTTTGCTCATTTCTTTTTATTCTTTTTTCTCTAAACTTCCCTTCTCGCTTCATTTCATTCATTTCATCTTCCATTGCTGATACCCTTTCTTCCAGTTGATCGCATCGGCTCCTGAGGCTTCTGCATTCTTCACGTAGTTCTCGAGCCTTGGTTTTCAGCTCCATCAGCTCCTTTAAGCACTTCTCTGTATTGGTTATTCTAGTTATACATTCTTCTAAATTTTTTTCAAAGTTTTCAACTTCTTTGCCTTTGGTTTGAATGTCCTCCCGTAGCTCAGAGTAATTTGATCGTCTGAAGCCTTCTTCTCTCAGCTCGTCAAAATCATTCTCCATCCAGCTTTGTTCTGTTGCTGGTGAGGAACTGCGTTCCTTTGGAGGAGGAGAGGCGCTCTGCGTTTTAGAGTTTCCAGTTTTTCTGTTCTGTTTTTTCCCCATCTTTGTGGTTTTATCTACTTTTGGTCTTTGATGATGGTGATGTACAGATGGGTTTTCGGTGTAGATGTCCTTTCTGGTTGTTAGTTTTCCTTCTAACAGACAGGACCCTCAGCTGCAGGTCTGTTGGAATACCCTGCCGTGTGAGGTGTCAGTGTGCCCCTGCTGGGGGGTTCCTCCCAGTTAGGCTGCTCGGGGGTCAGGGGTCAGGGACCCACTTGAGGAGGCAGTCTGCCCGTTCTCAGATCTCCAGCTGCGTGCTGGGAGAACCACTGCTCTCTTCAAAGCTGTCAGACAGGGACACTTAAGTCTGCAGAGGTTACTGCTGTCTTTTTGTTTGTCTGTGCCCTGCCCCCAGAGGTGGAGCCTACAGAGGCAGGCAGGCCTCCTTGAGCTGTGGTGGGCTCCACCCAGTTCGAGCTGCCCGGCTGCTTTGTTTACCTAAGCAAGCCTGGGCAATGGCGGGCGCCCCTCCCCCAGCCTCGTTGCCGCCTTGCAGTTTGATCTCAGACTGCTGTGCTAGCAATCAGCGAGATTCCGTGGGCGTAGGACCCTCTGAGCCAGGTGTGGGATATAGTCTCGTGGTGCGCCGTTTCTTAAGCCGGTCTGAAAAGCGCAATATTCGGGTGGGAGTGACCCGATTTTCCAGGTGCGTCCGTCACCCCTTTCTTTGACTCGGAAAGGGAACTCCCTGACCCCTTGCGCTTCCCAGGTGAGGCAATGCCTCGCCCTGCTTTGGCTCGCGCACGGTGCGCACACACACTGGCCTGCGCCCACTGTCTGGCACTCCCTAGTGAGATGAACCCGGTACCTCAGATGGAAATGCAGAAATCACCCGTCTTCTGCGTCGCTCACGCTGGGAGCTGTAGACCGGAGCTGTTCCTATTCGGCCATCTTGGCTCCTCCTCCCATGATTTTCTTTTTTTAAACTAAAAGGGATTTTTAAAAATATGATTAAGAAACAGTGAAAATATGAGATGGGAAAATTGTTGGCTATTAATAAGTTCATATTTTTGCATCTAGCTTTGTATCATAAGGTATCAAAGTATTTGAAGATGAAACTGAAGAACTTTCATTAATAGTTTCTCATAATATTTTAGCTTTTATTTATGTACAGGAGTATGATAAATTTTAAAAAATCTTGAAAAAATGTGATGAATGCCAAATGACCAGAGAGAGAAAAAATATCCTGAGTGCCAAAAAGGAGTAAAATAGGAGGCCCTGGGCTTTGTATATTGATAAGCTCAATAACAATTCCTAGAAATATTCTAGATAGAATATTAAGCAAATGATTTATAATAAATTTGAGGGCCAGGCACAGTGGCTCATGCCTGTAATCCCAGCACTTTGGGAAGCCAAGGCGAGTGGATCACTTCAGGTCAGGAGTTCAAGACCAGCCTGACCAACATGGTGAAGCCCCATCTCTACTAAAAATGCAAAATTAGCCAGGCATGGTGGTGCACGCCTGGAGTCCCAGTTACTTGGGAGGCTGAGGCAGGAGAATCGCTTGAACCCAGGAGGTGGACTTTGCAGTGAGCTGAGATTGCGCCATTGCACTCCAGCCTAGGCAACAAGAGCGAAACTCTGTCTCAAAAAAAAAAAAAAAAAGGGAAAGAACAACTATCATTCCTAGAAAATAACATAAGTTCATCAAGAGTAAAAAAATTACATTAAATAATGCTTATTTCTTATTTTGATAGGTTAACCAGATTGCTACATCAGGGGAATAGAGTAGATAAAATGTCTTGATTTCAGCAAAGCACTGATAAGTGCTTTATAATATCTTTGAGGGAAACAAAGAGAAATTCAGGTAAGATGATAGTCGTGGGAGAAGAGGTACCTGATAGGGGTGCTCCAAAGTCAAGATATGGTGTTTGTAAAGAAATTCGGAAGATAAGGGTAAAACATTAGGAGGTTCTTGTTTAGGGAGTGGGTAGTTCATGCTAGGAATAAATGAATCAAGATTACCATAGTAATATGTAAATGTAACAAATATAAAGACTTTCCAGAAATCCAAGTGAGCAAAATCTATTCATTTTCATTTAAGTTCAATTTGAATCAATGGCGTCATTTAGTTCTTTTAAAAAAAATGCAACTTTAGATTGAATACTCCCATTTCAAAGAAAGAGTAGTAATAGACAAAAACACATCTTTACGGCTTTTGTTACTTGGTCAAATATATCCTGAATACCTTGTAACGTGCAGAAAACATCTGTGGCTGCTTACATAATATATGCGGTACAAGTGGATAAAAATAAGCAAAAGTTTGTCTTCCCATTTAACTGAAAGCCCTGATGAGGACACAGACTATGCCTGAGTTCCCAGTTCCTGGTACAATGTCTGTAAATATTTGTGATTGATATAATACAGTGAAAGTAAGATAATGATAGAACAGTGCAAAGAAATTGGGAATGAAGTTAATCCATAAAAATGTATACCAGAAGGATCTGGGACACTATTACTATTTGTAATGTGGGTCCCAAATTCACCTTTGAGCCTCTTGGCATCCAAGGCAAGGAAACAAATATGTTAAAAGATCACAGTCTCCGAAACCTAAAACTTCATCCCTTTTGCCAGAAGCAACGTGTTAATAGATTTTTCTTGCAATAAAATCCTGAGAGAAATTTCTCACAGGATGCCTCATTGAGCAAATACAATGTGAAATAGGGAGAAATTCTTAAAATACGGTAAGCTGGTTAAATGCTTTTTACTCCTAGTTAAAGTAATTCCTTTAGGGACCAAAGAAGTAGGGTCCAAGTACACAGATTGCCAGTGGTCAGCTTTGCTCCAGGCCCTGTGGTGTGGTAGGAAAAGTACAACAAATTAAGTGATTGCATATACTTGAGACAGTCTTTTTTGAAACCAAACTTTTGCTGTAGCTGGGCAGTATCCAGTTTGAATCTGTATTCCCCAGCAAGAATGGACAATGCAGATATTTACTGTTGGTGATTAAATGCCAATTCTTTTGCTTACACTGAAGAATGAGAATGAGTCTCAGTCCCACTTTGAGGGATGTAACAACAAACTGGGCAAACGTAAAGAACAGTGACAAGGAGAATGACACGTCAGGACATAATTTCATATACAAAGTAGGCAGCAAACTGGGCTCGGTATATTGAATCTGAAGACCAACAGGGAAGTCATGATAAAACCAACCTCAAACATCTGAAGAACTCTCTTAGGGAGGAAGGAGCACACGTCTTCTGTGGTCCAGATCCTGACCAAGGAGTAAAGGTCCCAGACAAGGAGAGCGAACTCAGGAGAAAATCAATTTCCAACGGTAGAGCTGTCTGTAACAGGGCTATGCCGCCGTAAAATGATGGGAGGGTCCTGGATGCTGGAGGGGTTTAGAGAGACACTGCACAACTGTCTATCAGTGATGTTTCAAAAATAATCCCTGTCCTCAAAGGGAGACTGAATCAGAAATCCTTCTGGCCACACGAATTTCCTGATCCTGAGGTGAGAAGGCATGCTCCATGTCTGTCTACGCGGAGTCCACTGACTGCTCTGAGGGAAACCTCTTGAACTGTTTATGGGTTCTGTTGCCATCTCCTAGCTTTTTTACATTAGCCATAGTCCTTTAAAGAAATACTCTAAGCAAGCAGAAACCACAGTTTCCCATACCCTCCAATTTCCTCTTAACATCCCACATGTAAAATGCAATATTTCATTCTTTAAAAACTGCTCGCTGATGACGATATTTTTAAAACTTCACAGGCCGGGCACAGTAGCTCATGCCTGTAATCCTAGCACTTTGGGAGGTAGAGGCGGGCGGATCACGAGGTCAGAAGATCGAGACCATCCTGGCTAAAGTGGTGAAACCCCATCTCTACTAAAAATACAAAAAAAAAAAAAATTAGCCAAGCATGGTGATGGGCACCTGTAGTCCCAGCTACTCAGGAGGCTGAGAAAGGAGAATGGCGTGAATCCGGAAGGGGGAGCTTGCAGTGAGCCGAGATTGCGTCACTGCACTCCAGCCTGGGTGACAGAGCAAGACTCTGTCTCAAAAAAAAAAAAAAAAAAAAAAAAAAAAATTCACAGAGATTTCAGTGATAGTATTTATTGATTAGGGTCTTTGTTAATATTTAAGGTTCATTGCACTTGAAAAGCAGAATCGTGCAGTGTTCTAATCAATTATTCCAAATCACCGTTAAAGACACTAAAAATGTCATATTTAATTTTTATTGCTTTGCAGTGGAAGCTGAGGCATGCTCTGAGTAGATCCCAGGTGCCAAATGCACTTCTCTTATGGAAACATTATGCATAAAGGATATTTTGCAAAGTACCAAGTTTAGAAAGAAAGGTAAATTTAGGATGCTGGAAGAAAGAAATGACTCCAGTGCTTCCCTCTGCTGATGAAGTTTTGATTTCATTAGGTGGCCTGTCCTCCAGGCAAAGTGCTGTGCCAGCCAGTGGGGTCAGCTATAGTCTCTAATGTCAGCAGGCATACTCCAGTCATCATAATTCATGAAATGCTCTCAAGGTCCCCTGTCAAATGCACTGAAGATCATACTTCATCAAAGCAATACTTAAAGTTTATGAAAAGTCAGAAGCAGGGTTGAATTTCCTTTGGAAGTTATTTCTGAAGAATTGTTTTCTTAAAATATTCTATATCTTCTTCCTGTTAGCATCTTTTATTTCAATCCTATGGTTCCATTCCATTTAAAACATTTAAGGGCCAGGCACGGTGGCTCATGCCTGTAATTCCAGCACTTTGGGAGGCCGATGCGGGCGGATTATGAGGTCAGGAGATCGAGACCATCCTGGCTAACACAGTGAAACCCCATCTCTACTAAAAATACAAAAAGCATTAGCCGGGCTTGGTGGTGGGTGCCTGTAGTCCCAGCTACTCAGGAGGCTGAGGCAGGAGAATGGCGTGAACCCGGGAGAAGGAGCTTGCAGTAGGTCAAGATCACGCCACTGCACTCCAGCCTGGGCGACAGAGTGAGACTCCATCTCAAAAAAAAAAAAAATTTAAGATCTCCCCTCCCTCAAAACTTTCTTAATGAGTATAACTAACTTACATGGGCCATTATGCCATGGAACACTTACAGTCTGCCAAAATGCTTGCAGAGAGCACCTGCTAGGTGGAAATGTGTGGTTGCTTCAATCAGCAAAGCCTACTCTGTTGATTTGACTGTTGTATCATGCTAAGTTCAGGGAGATGTCTACTTTAAACCTCAGCTCCATTTCTCCTTTCTTCATTGCATCATTCACAATTGTTTGTGAGTACCTGGGGATTGTGTGTTTGTGTGAATGCCAATAGGGTAACTTGCCATGGTTCGTTCAGTAGAGCTTTTCTGAATGTTTTATTTTCACATCATTTTCATTCTTGCTAAATGAATCTGTGCTTGATGCACTAGTTCTGGAAGCTAGACATTATCTGTTATACAAGCACCCATGAGATTCCCAAGTCAAGCTTTTTGTCAAATTAAATCTAACAAATTGATTCTTAATTAACCCACAAGAAAGGCTGATGATAGTTTTCTTGAGTAAACATAGAGTCCTTTGAGTTGGTAATATTTAAATTTTTTATAAATTTCCTTCTTTTTCTCTTACAATAATCAGTGCCTTCCAAATAAGTTTTGGATAAAAGATCTAGATCAAAATGAATTTCCTCAGAAACAAAATATAAATGACTGTTTCAGGCAAAATAAAGGCCAATAGCTGTTCCAGACTAATTTTGAAGGAATATCCATCTTATGATACCTCAGGATTAACGTATACATGGAAAAACATTCATATATTTTAAACTCATCATAAAGCTGACAGGTGCAAAACTGGGCCCTCTTCCAGCCCCGTCTTACCAATTCTCAATTACAGATGTCTTAATTTTTATGTGTGCCATGGGCCCTTCAGCAATCTTGTGGAAACTATGAACCATTCCTCAAATATATGTGACTACAAAAGGAAAAATTATGATGAAATCTATTATTAAAACATTACACAAATTTGCAATATGGCAATGCATATGCTTCTTTATTAAAAACAACCCCTAGCAGTAGGGCTAATAGCTACATAATCTTGAAATGATGAGCAAAATCAATATTCAAGATGAAACAATTATGGTTTCATCTACAACTGTAAAATGAGATTTTAAAATCTGTGATTTTTGTGAGCAACAAATTCACAAGTACGGCTAATACCATCATGATCTATTGCCATGGTTAGCGAAAGATAAACACATAAATATCCCCCCTCTATGTTCACTACCCCCTAAATTTTACACACAGATCCCCTGGAGGACCGTGGACTCTACATTAGGATAGCCTGAGCCCAGTGACTCTTGCCACCGCTTCTACTTGTATTCAACCACTAGAGAGGTGCGTTGGGGTCATGGTCAGTAATCAGCATGCATACATGCGCACAGGATCCTCAGAAGCAATAGAGTCAGCAAAACCACACACACAAACCTCACTATGTCACTGCCAATCAGCCCAACATCTGAACACTGTCACCTTACGGGGGTCACTCTGTGTCAGTTCAGTGTTTTCTCCAGCCAGAAAGTCTGCCTCTGGCAATGATACCAAGAGCTAATTCAGAGCAGAATGTGTTCATTGTTCTCCATGATGTCATTTGCCAAATGAAAGAAATGGTTCTAGAATATCCTCTATGCTTATTTACCAAAACTTTATATGCTTGGTCTGCACTGTCAGGATAACATGTTCCATACATTTACTTTTTCTAGGGGGAAAAAAATACTTCCATATCTCCAGCTAGAATTTATAGCCGAGATTTAAATCCACATTTCCACGTGGATGTCTAAAACTGGATTTATCCTCTTCTCCCCAAAACCAGTTTCTCCTTCTGACTTTGACTTTTCTTCTCCTGACTTGTACAGTCATCTCAGACTTTCCAGCCACCACACCCGCTTCCCAGACTCCACTCCCCAATTTACAGCATCCCTTCAGTCTCCCTGTTTATTCCATTCTCATTTCTACTATGTTCATTTACAGCCTAACCTAGATTCACTGTTACCCTTGTTCCTGCCTCTCACTACTCAGATCCATTCTATACACACTGCTGCCAACTTAATTTTCCCAGAAGGCAACTCTGATGACCCTTTTATCCTGTCCAGAAATCTTCAATGGCTCCCCATTTTCTACTGAACTAAATGCAGACTCTGCCCTACAAGCCTCTCCTCCACTTAGCTCCAGACTCCCAATTCAGCCACCTGTTTCATCCTGTTCTGCAAACTTTGATAATTCTCGTTCCATGAAACAAAAGGCAAATAGTTTGCCTCATTCATTTTCTGACTTGCTGCCTTCCACATTTTGTACCCTCCTTCTAGGATGTGTTTCTCCAGAAATTTCTCTTGTTGAAACCTTACTCTTCCTTCAAAGACCATCTCAAACACCATCTTTTTTTTGGAACACTTCTTGATGTGCTCCCACCTTTCCCAACTAAATAGAATCCCTCCCCACTTTCAGCCTCTGTAGCATTTTTCTTAGCACTTATCTGCCTCTGCCTTTCATTCTGATCCAATGTGTTCACTTTGCCCACCTCACTAGATTTTAATTCCTAGTGGTAAGAATTTGTAGACCATTCCTGAAAATCCATTTTTGGCATAGGAATTATTTCAACACAATTGAAAACATGTATTGAGTACCCATTGTAGAAGGCACTGTACCAAAGGCTACCAGCTGTACAAGGCTAAATTAAAACAGCATTCAAATATTGATGAAGAAGGAACTAGCAATAAGATGTGTTTCGAGCACAGACATAGATTATAAAACTGCCATTGGGATGCTCTTGAAGGAGGAAAGCATCTTAATGATTAAATAATCCCCTGCTCGCTTTTCCAAGTGTTTTCTGGGAAACCTGGACTTGGTGGGGAAAGGGAGGGAATATCCAGATAAGGGCTCCTCACCAGAGGAGGACATCTATCACTGTCATCTGATGCCACATCATCCTCCCAACTACCTTAGTAATCCCTGTATTTTACTTTCTCATTTATAGTTTGGGGGTCAGGTAGGTGCACTGGATTTTGACCACTAGTTTGCAAATTTTAGTCCATTAGGACCAACTTAAAATATAATCCACAGTATCCTGAATCATTAGATGCATGAATCAAAAGTAGGATGATGCCAGACACACTTTGGGAGGCTGAGGTGGGAGGATCCCTTGAGGCCAGGAGTTCGAGACCAGCCTGAGCAACATGGTGAGACCCTGTCTCTACAAAAAATTTTAAAAAAAATTAGCCAGGCCTGCTGGCCTGCGCCTATAGTCCCAGCTCTCAGGAGGCTGAGGTGGGAGGATAGCTTGAACCCTAGGAGTTCAAGGTTAAAGTTACAATGAGCTATGAATGCACCACTGCACTCTAGCCTGGTCAACAGAGGAAGACCCTATTTCTAAAAAAATAAAAATGAAAAATAAAAAAGCATGATGAATCATTAACATCGTGTACTAGGTTTTTTCACTAGCAGGCTCTTTCCTCTTGGAGCCTTCTGTTTAGAATGGCAACCCCTTTCCCCTCAGTTTGAGGAGATAGAGAAGTGTCTTCCTGAGCCGAGAATACCACCACCATTCTCATCTCTGATGCTTATTCAGCACACTGCATAGAGGCTTAGACTACACAGTGCTTAGGTTCTCTTTCTGCTACACAACCTTGGAAGAGCTACAAATGTTAATTCTCAGTTTTCATATCTGTAAAATGGGGATTATAATAATTTTATTCCATAAATTTCTGGGGATAACATAGAGATAATTGATAATGTAAGAATGAGGAGAATGCATTTAAAAGGGACTTAGCACAGTGTCCAGCTTGTAGGAACCCCTCTATGAATGTTAGTCATTATTATCAGCATAGAAAACATGTTGGGATAAATATAAAGAAACAAGGAATAAATGTGGTGGGGTCATCTATTGACCCCTGAATAGTCAGGGGTCAACAAACATTTCTGTGGGCCTTACTGACCCTGTTATAACTACTCAGTTCTGCAATCATAGCATGAAAGCAGCCATAGACAATACATAAATGAATGACTGTGACTGTGTGCTGATAAAACTTTATTTACACAAACAGGCATTAGGAGCCAGATTTGTCCTGTAGGCATAATTAGGCAAACTCTGGCTATACTGCCCAAACCCTGGCCTTTGGGAACTTCCAATCAAGTGTGGTGGTAAGACTTGTAAGACTTTTCAGGGGAAGCAAGGAGGAGTCAGGGACTAACTTCACCATCATCCAGAGGAGCATAGAAACTTGGTATTTTAAGACAGCTTACTATATGAATTTCCCAGAGAGGAACACAAGTAAAAAATATGACCTAGAGCAAATAGCTCAGGTTTTTTTTTTAACACTGCCTTTCAAAATAAGTAACTTCAACTTTGAAACAGAGCCTTCCCTTTTAGTAGACATTTTCCTTGGAAACTCAGCTCCCGCCTTGATCCTAGAAGTTACACATTTGTAGGAATAAAAATATCTGTAGATTAATTGGTAGACAATGCCTGATCCTGAATTCTGTTTCTTATCCTTATATATGAATAGACAGAGCTGAGAAGTCATTTATCCAGCAGTTTGACTAGAAGGAAATGGAAAGTGTATGGGTAGCAGAGGAAATCATTCACTTCCTTTTCTATTCTTATTATTAATATATGATCTTATTATTAATAATATAAAGGAATAGCAAATGAGAATCCATGAGCAATATCAGACCATGAAAATGAGCCAGTGGCTGAGTAACAACCAATTAGGACACTTGATAGTTTAGCAAAGTTGCCAAACAGGAGACAGACTCGGCTCCTTTGAACGAAGAGTGACTGCAGTGTGGATTCCCCAGATAGGAGAGCAAGAACATACTTTCTGGGCCTCTCTCAGGATCGTTGTTTGGGAAGGAAGTTGTATGGGAAATTCACAAACTCTTAGATGCTAACATTTAAATGCAGCATGCCACACACACAAACCCACAAACACAACCTTTTTTTCATCAATAAAATTGCAGAGGAGCCCCATTTGCACAGTATATCACATTGTATTTTAATATCCAAAATGGCTAGTCCCTTCCAGAGTTTTTATGAGTTAATGTGTGCTAATTTAATGGGCCTGGTGCTTTATTCATTTGAAGCAAGAAATTAAGTCTGTGATAATAAGGTAAGGTTCTTATCAGATTTCTCTTTTTGTTGTTTTACAGTTTTCTCCTTGTCTTTGGTTGCTTGATTTTGTCAGTGTTTTCTACCATCCCTGAGCACACAAAATTGGCCTCAAGTTGCCTCTTGATCCTGGTAAGTGAAACATGAACAAGAACGTACATGAATGTTGTATAAGAACTGCCTATAACATTTATACTATGCATCTTATCCTACAAAAAAATCCTATCTAAAAAAGAGTTACTGAGAAATATAAAAATGTCAAAGATTACTGAAACATTTGCCCACCAATTTAACATGTAGTCAATCCTTAGAAATATATAGAAATGTTCAGGATTGCTATTACACAGCAATATCTTGTGTTGTAGATATATCATAAATAGAAGGCAATATTAGAAAGCAGTTTTAAGTATGTTTATCTATGCTAATAAACAAATTATATAAGAAGAATCAGTATCTATGAGGCCTCTCATTATATTGTGAAAGACTATAGAGTAGAGAGCATTTTCCAATAACTGTAATTTGGCAGTAGCTAAATATAATTGGCCAAGAACTATGAACATATGGCACCTCATAAGAAAATAGAAGGCTCCTTCATGCTCTTTTCAACCAACAGACTGCATTATGAGTTTTGCTGCTAATGCAGTTACCTGGTGATAAATTCTGCAGTTTGCTCTGTTTCCATTATGCTGTCAATCCTCAACCACACAGAATTGCTCAATTCACTTTAAAATGGAAAAAGACCCCAAGATATTTTTATCAGAATTATTCTGAGCCTTTTAAGCTCTCATACTTTCTATTACAACTAAACTATAGCACTGTACACTCTAATCACATCTGATTGAAAGTTTGGTTCATTTTCAACTATTTTGACCCACTCACTTTGTCCAAAATTATCAGATTTGACAGTCTTAGAGCTATTTGAATGAACTACAAACTGGAACAGCTCACTGTTTCTGTAAAGCCTAGGGGTATACAGAAGCAGGGGGAGGAAAACGGTAAGATGGTTTATGTGCCCTAATAAGCAGAGGTTGGTTATGTTACAGCAATAAATATTGAATATGAAAAAATTGTTACTACCACGAAGGTGGAAACTGAAAGATTTCAACTCATATAACCTGAGAGAGGGGGCAGATGCTTTTCCTACCTTTGCTTTCAGATGGCTAGTTTGTACTCAAGGTTGCTAAGACATCATCAAGTCTTTCTGTGCAATATCAGGGAGACCTCATTTTGAATCTGTAATAAATCTCTCTCAATTCATTTGCATACAAATTGTGCTCCAGCAGCATATTGCTCATGTTAAGGTTACCGTTTCAAAGCCCAAGGTAGAGAACAGATAGACCAAAGAGCACATCAGAGATCTGTTCCATTTGCAAGCTTTCCCTTTGGGTAGAAAGTAGGCTTTTAACCTTGTCTGCCCTTTTGATAACACAAATGATCTGAGCCCAAGGGCTAAGGTATAGCTGGCTTTTAGGTCCACATATGGAACTACAACCAGGAATTTTAGACTGAAAATATAAATCTGATTTTTAAACTTGGAAACAAAAAACTGGATCTACTGCATGACCAATATTAGGAATAAATCAATCATTAGGAATCTCATGAAAAGATTTCTTCCAGAGCCAGGTCAAAAATCCAAAATGTTAGATTTATATCCTCCAAACCTCTGAAATATAAATTCTGTCATTGCTAATGAATTTCTAAATAGTCCAAAGAAACCCATGTAATCACAAAGTCTAAAACTGATTAGTATCTTGACTTTTAAAACCTGTTAAATAGTGAACAATGGATCAGAGTTTAGTAACTAGAGTGCATTTAGTAGAAAATAAAAATGTAGATGTCAGTCTTGAATGCTTTCTGATTTAGCAAGGTGGAAATGAGTTCCTCTATGCAGATGAGGCCTTTGTTTTGAGCAATGTGGTTAGTGCTACAGATATATATTCGCAGAAACCTGTTGCAACAAGGCTTTCCATAGGGAGAGGGTTTGTTAATCCTACTATCTTTGTACTATAGTGATACATTGTCAAAGTATATTCTCAAAACCTACCTAGAAATATGCAGACTGCATTGCAGAGCTAAGATTCACAGATGAAATTCTTCACCAATGTTTTCTCCAAAATCTTTTTATCTGGACACAAAAATTCAAATACTGTCTTTTACTTTTTCTTTAGCAATGAATAAATTAGGAAAGCATTAATATTTTAATTATTTTTCACAATGAGTTAACATAGTATATTATAAAAGTTCAATCATTTGTAGAAGATTTGGAAAAGTCAATCATTAAGATGACAAATCTTAATGATTTAAGTAATGTCTCATTTATTACCTTTTAACATGTATTTTTGAGACAGTTACTATGATTTCAAAGTCACAGAACTCATAGAACACGATTCTGATTAGCAGTAAAGTTCCCAAGATGAGACATATCGAAGGAATTACCATCCAAAGGAAGAAGAAGGATTATCATTGAAATAGTAAAAAGCAATGGCTTTTAAAATGCTTGCAAGACCAGGCACAGTGACTCATGCATGTAATCCCAGCACTTTGGGAGGCCAAGACAGGCAGATCACTTGAGGTCAGGAGTTTGATACCAGCCTGGCCAACACAGTGAAAGCCTGTCTCTACTAAAAAACACAAAAATTATCTGGGTGTGGTGGCATACACCTGTAATCCCAGCTATTTGTGAGGCTGAGGCAAGAGAATAGCTTGAACCCAGGAGGCGGAGGTTGCAGTGAACCGGGATCGCACCACTGCACTCCAGCCTGGGCAACAGAGCAAGACTCCATCTCAAATATGAATAAAATAAAATAAAATGTTTGCAAAAATGTACAATAAATCCACATTTGTACACTTTTCGTGTACACTGTTGATGTATAAAGACAACACCAGAGGTGTACATTTAGAACTATGTGTAAATCCTATATCAAGATTGTGTATTTTTTCATAACTTCCATCCCTTTTGGTTTTTTTAACATTTTAAAATATGTTCAGATATTTCCTACAATTCTATTTCTGTGCAAGTGAAAGGCACCGACACTTGTGACAGGGAGCACACTACAGGCAAACCTGGCTTGTAGACAGAGCCCTCTTTGACACTCACTCTTTTCCACCTAATTGTTCCCTTGAGGGCACCAGCGTGTTAGGTGCAGGCCATCCCTTTAGACATCTCTTGCTTGCCTCCTGGGGGCCCCCATAAGGACTTTCGCTGTCCATCCCACATCCAAAAAGGAAGTCTCCCCTCATTTCCATCCAGAATGGCACTGCCAACGCTCTTGTAAACTTGTAACTTCACAAACTTGCCTTGGTTACAAGCCAAATGAATACCTGTGTTAATTTGCTCATTTATTCTTTTCAGTTGTGGGAACTGAGATTTCAGCCTATACAACCAGGTTCCTTATTTCTCTCCATAGAAGCAGTGGAGCATAGACTTAAGAATGTGATACAGACTATAGTCGGGCTCCATGAATTCAAATTTCACTCCTGTCCAATTTTAGCTGTGCGACTTGGAAAATCACTCCACTGTGCCTTAGTTGTCTTATCTGTTAAAAGTGAATAGGAGGATTCTAGAAGAAAGACAGAGTAGGAATCACCAGGATTCTGTCTCCCCACCTAAACAACAATTGCACTGGCAGAATTTGATGTAATTCAATGGATGGAACTCTGGAATCTATTGAATGTTTGCAACTTACAGAGGAAGGCTTAGATGGTAAGTTGCAGTTAATTTTGTCCATTTCAGCTCTTAGCACAGTGATAGCTACCCATCCCCTACGCCCAGGCCCATTGCAGGCAGCTGTGCACATGTTCCAGGAGGGACCTGAACACAGCTTATAAGAGCCAGGATGGGCAAAAAGAACTCTGTCCTCCAAATATCAGAAATCTGACCTCGGATCACTAATTGCTGCTTCTGATCACAGAGGCGCAGACAAAAAATGTGGCAGCCATTGCTGTTGCACCTTCACCCATTGCTGTAAGCCCCTCCCCTACCAGCAAAAGTGACTTCTAGGGGATTAAAACGATCCTCCCCACATCCTTCATTTTTCTTTTTTCCTTTTTTGGAATACAGTGTATAAAGATGTAATTATGTGACATTAATAACTGAAAGGTGTAGGGCTAGAGATGTAAAGGAGCAGAGTTTTTGTATGCCATTAAAGTTAAACTGGTATAAATTCAAATTAGAGTGTTATAACTTTAGGATGTTAATTTAATTCCCATGGCAACCACAAAGAAAATAGCTATAGAATATACACAAGGAGAAGTGAGAAAGGAATTCAAACATTTCACTACAAAAAAAAAATGAACTAAACACAAAAGAAGGTAGCAATTCAGGAAATGAGAGACAAAAAAAGCTATGAAGTATATGTAAAACAAAGAGCAAAATGATGAAAGCGTCTCCTTATCATTAATTACTTTAAATGTAAGTGGATAAAAGTTTCTAGTAAAAGACAGAGATTGGCAGAATTGATAAAAATACATCATTCAACTGTGTATATGCTTAGTACAAGAGACTTACTTTAGATTCAAAGACACAAATACATTGACAGTAAAAGGGTGGAAAAGATATTTTATGCAAATAGTAAACAAAAGAGAGCAGAGGTGGCTATACTAATAACATACAAAATAGACTTTAAATCAAAAAAGTTATAAGAGATAAAGAAGGGCATTATATATTAATAAAAGGTTTAATACAACAAGAAGATGTAATAATTATAAACATTTATGCACCTAATAACAGGTAATAAAATACATGAAGCAAAACTGACAAAATTAAAGGGAGAAATGGATAGTTCTACAACAATAGTTGTAGACTTCAATACCCTACTCTCAATAATGGATAGAACAACCAAACAGAAGATAAGTAAGAAAACAGAAGACTTAACACAATAAACCAACTAGGACTAACAGACATAATACAGAACACTGTACCCAATAACAATAACATAAACATTCTTATGTTATTCATATGCCATTATGTTAGCCCGCAAGTTAAGTCTCAACAATTTTAAAAGATGGATACCACACAAAGATGGATACCACACAAAGTATTTTTTCCAACCACAATGGGATGAAGTTAAATATCAATAACAGAAGTAAAACTGGAATATTCAAAAATTAAACAGCATGCCTTTGTTTTATTTTTTTTTCTTGAGACAGAGCCTCACTTTGTCACCCAGGCTGGAGTACAGTGGTGGGATCTTGGCTCATTGCAACCTCGACCTCCTAGGTTCAAGAGATTCTCCTGCCTCTCAGCCTCCTGAGTAGCTGGGACTACAGGCACGCACCACCACTCCCAGCTAATTTTTGCATTTTTAGTAGAGGCAGGGTTTCACCATATTAGCCAGGCTGGTCTTGAACTCCTGACCTCAAGTGATCTACCAACCTCAGCCTCCCAAAGTGCTGGGATTACAGGTGTGAGCCACTGTGCCCAGCCTAAACAGCATACTTTTAAACAACCAATGGGTCAAAAAATAAGTCTTAGAAATTAATGAAAACAAAACGCAACCTGCCAAAACCTATGGGACACAGTGAAAGTTGTGCTAAGATTAAAAATTATAGCTATAAATGCTTACATTAAAAAAAGAAATATCTCAAATCAGCAACTTCATTTTACAACTTAAGGAGCTAAAAAAGAATACAGTAGACCCAAGCTAGCCAGAACAAAGGAAACAGTAAACATGGATAAATGAAATAAAGACTAGAAAAACAATAAAGAAAATCAATGAAACCAAAAGTTGGCTGTTAGAAAAGGTTGACAAAACAGACAAACCTTTAGATAGATGAACTAAGAAAAAAGAATACTCGAATTAATAGAATCAGAAATGGAAATGGGAATATTGCTACTGATTCTACAGAAATAAAAAGGACAATAAGAGAGTACTGTGAACAATTGTATGCCAACACATTGGAAATCTAGATGAAATGGACAAATTCGTGAAAACACAAAACCTACCAAGACTAAATCACAAAGAAATAGAAACCGAATAGTGCTATAACTAGTAAGGAGATTGAATCAGTAATAAAAAATCTTTCAACAACAACAAAGAAGCCCAGGATCTGATGGCTTCACTAGTGAATTCTAACAAACATTTAAAGAACTAATATCAATCCTTCTGAAACTATTCCAAAAATATAAAAAAGAAGCAACACTTCCTAACTAATTCTATGAGGCATTACTTTGATGCCAAAGACACAAGAAAAAGAAAACCATAGACCATTATTTCTTATGAACATTAGTGTAAAAATCATCAACAAAATGCTCGTATATTTACCAGAATATTAAGAGGATTATACACCTTGGTCAAAGGGGATTTAGTCCTTCAATGAAAGAATAATTCAACACACAAAAATTGATCAGTGTTATAGGCCACATTAACAGAATGAAGGGAAGATGCCACATAATTATCTCAATTGAAGCCAGAAAAAACATTTGAAAAAATTCAGTACCCTTCTATGATTAAAATATATATATATACTCCACAAACTAGGAATGGAAGAAAACTACCTCAACATGATAAAAGCCACATATGAAAAACCTACAGCCAACATCATACACAAAGGTGAAAGACTAAAACTTTTCCTCTAAGATCAGGAAGAAGGCAAGGATGTCTGTGTTTGCCATCCCTATTCAACAAAGTACTAGACGGCTGTACTAATTGCTAGCTAGAGCAATTAGGCAACTATTAAATAAAAGAAACAAAAGGCATCCCAACTGAAAAAGTAAGTAAAATTATCCCTGTATACAGATGATGTGATCTTATATGTAGGAACCCCTGAAGATTTAAAAAAAAAAAAAAGACTGTAAGAAATAATAAATGAATTCAGCAAAGTAGCAGGATGCAAAGTCAATATACAAAAATGAGTTGCATTTTACCAACAATGAAGAATTTAGAAAGGAAACTATGAAAACAATTCCATTTATAATAATATCAAAAAATACTTAGGAATTAACTTAACCAAGGAGATGAAGAACTTGTACAATGAAAACTACAATAACATTGCTGAAATAAATTAATAAGACATAAATAAATGGAAACTCATTCCCTGTCCATAGTTTTGAGAACTTAATATTGTTAACATGTCCAAAGTGATCTACAGATTCAATGCAATTCCTATCAAAATCCCAATGATGTTTCTTGCAGAAATAGAAAAACCCATCCTAGAATTCATATAGAATTTTAAAGGACCCCCAAATTGCCCAAACTATTTTGAAAGTAAAGAACAAAGCTGGAGGACTTATAATTTTTTATTTTAAAACTTACTACTACAAAGCTACAGTAATCAATCATGAGGTAGTTTCCTATAACATTATGAATGTATTTAAGCTACAGTAATCAATCATGATGTAGTTTCCTGTAACATTATGAATGTATTTAATACACTGAACTATAAAATGATTAAGCTGTAAATTTTATGTTATATATAGGCATAAAGACCAACATTTAGACCCATGGAATAGAATAGAAAGTCCAGAAATAAACCCACACACTTACGGTCAAATGATTTTTGACCATTCAGTGGGGAAAGGGCAGTCTTTTCAACAAATGGTGATGGAAATATTAGATATCCACATGTGAAAGAATGAAGCTGGACCCTTACCTAAGACAATACACAAAAATTAACTTGAAATGCCTTAAAGACCTAAAACTATAACATTGTTAGAAGAAAACATAAGGCAAAAACTTCATGACATTGGATTTGTCAGTGATTTCTTGGACATAACACCAAAGGTGTAGGCAACAAAAGAAAAAAACAGAGAAACTGAACTTCATAAAAATTTAAAATGTTTGTGCATCAGAAGACAGTATCAACAGAGAAAAAAGGCAACACACAGAATGAGAGAAAATATCTGCAAATAACATACCTGAGAAGGGGTTAATATCTGGACTATGTAGAGAATTTCTGAAACTCAACAACAAAAACAACCTAATTCAAAAAATGAGCAAAGGACTTGAATAAACATTTCTCAAAAAAAAAAGAGGTACAAGTGGCCAATAAGCACATGAAAAGATGCTCAACATTATTAATCATTAGGGAAGTGCAAATCAAAACTACACTGAGTACCACCTCACACCCGTTAGGATGGCTACTATCACAGAAACAGAAAATAACAAATGTTGGTGAGGATGTGGGAAAATGGAATCCTTGTTCACAATTGGTGGGACTGTGAAATGCTATAGCCACTATGGAAAACAATACAGCTTTTTTTCCTCAAAAAAATAAAAAATAGAATTACATGATGCAGCAATTCCACTTCTGGATGTATGCCAAAAACACTGACGGCAAGGTCTCAAAGAGATGTGTACACCCATGTTCATAGCAGCATTGTTCACAATAGCCAGAATGTGGAAACGACCCAAGTGTATACTGACAAGTGAACGGATAAGCAAAATATGGCATATACATACAAAAAAAGTATTCACCCTTAAAAAGAAGGAAATTTTGACATATGCTTCAACATGGATTAATGTTGGGGACATTATGCCAAGTGAAATAAGCCAGCCACAAAAAGAAAAATAATGTATGATTCCACTTATATGAGTGAGATACCTAGAATAGTCAAAAAAGTATAGAGACAAAGTGGAATGGTTGTTGCCAGGGGCTGTAGGGATCAGGGAATAGTGAGTTATTGTTTAATAGATGAAGAGTTTCAGCATTACAAGAAGAAAAGAGTTAGGGAGATGGGTGGTGGGGATGGTTCTGTAACATTACGAATGTATTTAATACCACACTGAACCATACTTTAAAATGGTTAAACTGTAAATTTTATATTACATATATTTTACCACAATAAAAAAATTGAGAAAAATCTTTTAAAAGATTAAATGAGCATTAGGAAAAATAGCTAATACACGCTGGGCTTAATACCTAAGTGATGGGTTGATAGATGCAGCAAACCACCATGGCACACATTTACCTATGTAACAAACCTGCACATCCTGCACGTGTACCCCGGAACTTAAAATAAAACTAAAAATTAAAAAAAATTAAATGAAATTTAAAACTCAAAAAAAAAGTGGTTAATGATATAGCCTACTTCATAAGGCTGATGTGAAAATTAGATAAATTCAAGTGCTTAGGACTGGGCCCAACAGAAAGAAAACTCTTGGAAAGATAGCAAATATGATCATCATGGGATCTTCCATGTTTAATGGAGACCTCATAGGGACACAAGTACAGGTGAACTGTGGAACATTTGAAAATGCTACACTTAAGGAAATATTATATTTTATAATAGAAAACAAGTATCTGTGTAAGAGTTTTCTCACCGCAATCACTGTTAATTATGGAAGCTTGCTACATAAACATGTTCTCTAAAAGTGACTCAGTGGTACACATTCGGCATGCAGCATGTGTTCACAATAGCCACTTATTTCTGGTGGCTAATGAAACTGATTTCAATTGTTGAAGCATTTTAGTAAATACGTCTGATGACAGTGCTTGTGGCTTTATATCTCTTCTCTCGATGTCTGCATCTACTGAGTGAAACATTGGGCAGGAATAACTCCAGATCTGATGGACTTGCTTGCTCTGCCATCACCCTGGTGATAAAATTTGTGAACTCAAGAACGTGTATGAAACTGTGTGTCCACATTCCAGGGACAGTTAAAAGCTGGTGTTAATTTCCTATATTTGGTGATTCCATCAAAAATGAAAGGGAGCCAGCATTTTTTAAGTACCCTTCATTTATTAGGCTCATTGATTTCTTACTAGAAAAATAAAACTGGCAATGTAAGTATCCCCTCCCATTTTCACAAATAGCTAAATAAGTTGTGCAAGATAACACACCAAGTGTAAAATAGCCAAGATTCCAGCTTAGGCCTGGCTGAGGAAAAGACTGGGCTGTCTTCAGAGCATCCCGCTGCCTCTCATTCTCTTGCTTCTTTCAAGGCTGACAAGTCTACCAAAATGCATTTGCCAGTACCCAATGAAGTGCTCATGTCTAAGGCTTCTTTTTGTTCCATATATGCCAAATAAGGCTTACAACACTTTTACTTAGGATGCTGTGCTTTCATAAAGAGTTCCACTTACCAAGTTATCACAAATGGGTATATCAATTCAGACCACTAGAAGTTCTTTGTACTGAGAATTCTAAATTCTGTTTTGCAAATATTCAAGAGCCTGATTCATGGGGTAAATAGTCAAGTGTAAAAGTTCATCTTCTAGCCCCAGTTCACTTTGCTCAGGTGAGTATCATGCTGTTGAAGTGAGTTCTCCTATTTCCAGGTTAGACTATTGTGGTAAGTTTTGTTTGGTTTGTTTTGATTTCATTAGCCAAAGGTTGTAGGTTTTAGCATTGTATTTCCCACCTTTTTGAGAACAATACTGTCTGGAGTGCATTTCCTCTCTGTTAAAGAACTTCTTGCCATCCAGATTAATTTTAAAGTATTTATTTTAAGTTTTTAGATGAAAATTGTCCATCATGTTGAGAAAAGAGAACTCCATTTGATGAAAGTGATGCATATTATTTGCAAAATTCTTATTGCAGGTTATCATTTCTAAAAGTGCCCACCCATAAGCAGTAAAAGGAATGCCACTATCAATTTTAGCAAGACAGAGCCTGTCTCAGTATATTTGCTCCTGTACCCTCCTGCTGTGTTAGAAAGACTCCAAACTACAAATGGATCGTGCTCAGCATCTGGATGAGTACTCTATCCAGGCTTTCCCAAACATCCAGATGTTTGACAGCTTCTACATATGCATATTTTCTCCTTATGCTTCAGGTAGCAAAGTAAACATGGGTTTATTGTTTCCCTGCACAGTGACTCTGCTCCTGAATTGTGTACAAACTCAATTTAGGCAGGTCTAATTATATCTTAAATGTACTAGTGGAGCTTACTATTTAAAGAAAATCTATAGGGAATTCTTTTGTAAAGTGAAGCATCCCCTTGGAAAGGTAATAACAGCTACATAATTTGTTACATGTTTGTTTTCTTTTTAATGCGGGCACATGCATTTTTAATTGCTATATAAATATTCACTATATATATATAACATGGTATTGAAGAATTAGAGACATCATTGCCACTTCCTATATACCAGTATTAACGGGGGAGGGAAAAATCAGCCACAAGCACATTTACTGGTCCTTGCAAAGTAGAAAGGTTTGCACATGAAATTGTAAGGGTTTGATACAGAATGAGATGACAGTAGTCTTTACATTTAAAACTTCTGGTATTAAATATTGTAAGAGAGGATAACAGAGTGTAAGGATAAGAATCCATTCGAGGATATTAAATCTTATGTTTGTAAAGGCAGTAACGCAGTATGAGATATGAAGCAATCAGATGTGAGGAATGAGCAATGCTTCTTTAGATTTATCACATCCCTATAATTTACTGCAGAAAGCTCTCAGAATATCCCAATGAACATTGAAAACTGCAGTTATTTTCCTTTGCTTTTCTTTCATCAAGGAAAAATGCAAATAAACTCTAAAATGATTCACAGAGACTAACGACCCTCATCAATCTGCCGATGACTGAAAAGAAAAAAGCAGGAATAGTTAAACACCTACACTGAACCTTAACAGAAGGATAATAACATAGTAAGTTGCCCCATAAAAAGTATTTCAGATATTAGAGGAAAGAATTTTTGAAGCTAAAGATAATGATTGTGCCTGAAAAAGACCATGCCTCTATCTACAATTAAGGAAGGAAAGAATTTTCCATATTTTTATGCAAACATTGATGTCTAACCAAGTGGTCCAGGCTATGCTACCAAACTCTGTACAACTTTGTTTCAAGACTTGACAGGCTACCCAGCAGACATCCTTAGAGCTATAAATGAGCCATATTCAACCAGGTCCACACTGATGTTTAGCTCTTATGCCCTTTTGAGCTTCACAAAAGTATATCTGATGGAGAGAGAAAGAGAAACAAGGTAGTATGATAAATTTTACAGGGTTACTGGAAAATAAGTCAAAATGTTTGTCAGTAGAAGGAAAAACACCCTTCCCTTACTATCTTTCCATGCTGTGATCATTTCCATCATTTGAAACCTGGACCAAATACCTCCTCCTTCCTGAAATAAACTTTCTTTCCTCTAACTTTCCTCAGTCCTGTCTACTTGACATTGTATCTTCTCCATTATTCATTTATTCAACAAGATGTATGCAGTACCCAATAAGGATGAGGCATTCTTTTTTAAGAGCTGAGGAGATAGCAATGAACAAAACAGCCAAAATCTCTGTTCTCATGGAGCTAATGTTTTTGTGGAAGACCTAGAATAAACAAACAGGAAAATCAATATATTAGATATTACAAATAAAAGGAAAGCAAGAAAAAGGAATAGGTAATGAAGGAAAGTTTAGATAGTATGTTTAGAGAAGTCCACTGAAATGGGTGGCAGAGACTTGAATGGAATGAGGCGATGAGGCATGCAAAGATTAGGGAAAAGAAAATGCCAGGCAGATAGAGCTTCAAGGACATAAGCTTTAGACAGGAGCATACCTGGTGAGACAAGGAAGGGCAAGAAGATGAGCAACTGAAGGAGGGTAAGCCAGGGTTGGGAGAAGTGGAGAAAATGAGGCACCAGTTGAACTGTAAATTTCCTGAGAAGAGAATCCAAAGCTGACTCAGTGACACCACTTAATACAGTAATAGTTGGTGGCAAATCATCAGTAAATGAAAGGAGATGGCCCATTTAATTATATAACACTAATATTGACATGTTCATGGAATCATGGATATGGCACCAAAATTCAGACAATATGCAGGACCTGACTTTAGAATGGACTAGAGCAGAGAGTAATAGGATGGGGGACATTTAGGAAGCAGGTGAAGTTATTCAAGTAAAACACAATAGAGCCCTAAACCAAACAGAGGCAGCATGAATAGCGAAAGGGCATGGACTAGAACAATATAGAGAACTTACAGGTTAAACCAAAACTGTAAGTCCTGTATAATTGGTTTGTGCCTCACAGAAATTTCTGGGAGGGCTTTCCTCAGCAGATTAGAAGTATTCTGCCCCTTCAGTTACTACATAGCTGCAGGTTACCTGCCTCCTGCCAGACATGGTTTGCTTTGTCTGTGGTTCCCATTTGCTTACTGCCTCTCTGATTGATTGAGACCTGCCATCTTGCTCTGGCCTACATATCCCAACTCTGGATTTCCCACTTGGTCTCTGATCCTGTGGATTTCTATAGATTTTCATATATTTCCCTGGGTTCTGCTTACTTCCTCTTCTAATTTCTCCAGCTCCAGTCCCTTAACTCATGCAATTTTAACTCAAATATATATTAAATGCTTCCTACATTTTAGCCCCTGTGCTGGGGTCTGGAGTCCCAAAAATGAATAAGGCATCGCCCTGCCCTGGAAGAATTCATTGTCCACAGTATGGTATTTTCTACAACCTCTGACTGATTCCAGAAGAAAATAACCTTGAAATCATGGTGAAATTACTAAATTAGAAGATGAGAGAGAAATAGGTTAATTCATCATTTTTTAAGTTCCCACTTTAGGACATATCCACACAAGAAAATAGGTCTATCTCTAAGTCATTTTTTTATCTTGGAGATTACAAATGAGATGATCAAAAACTATTTTCAATATAGGTTACTACTGATCATGCCCATTTATTGAGTATTGCTTTGGTACTGCACAAAACCAAAAGCTGGAAGCAATAGGGTAGGTCCCACTGTTCCCCATGCAGGTATACACACCAGGGGTTACAACTAAAGTGAGAAGACACATCATGCCTCTGCAAAGTAGATTAGAGAAAAATTTTCCAAGCTGTAAATGGCAGCTTGACAAACAACATTACAGGCTGGATTCAATGAAAACGCTGCAGACCTGGCTCCCTCCAGGGCTATAAATCACAATGAATACACAGAACATTACTGGAAAATGCAGAACAGAAAAGAGACTGTGCAAGTGTTACAGGCCCTCCAGCCTTGGCTCACTGAAGACTAATTTAGGGAGATTCAGTGCCGCAAGGTCTCAGCATCATGGGAAAACCTGGAAAGCCCTCCTCATGAAAGAACACTGCAGAAGAGTCTTAACAAAGAAATGGAAACTCCAGACCAAAACAGCTCTCAGGGGAGACCAGAAGGGTAGAAAGTAAAAGAGGACCACCCCTAGGAGTGCAGGGCAGTAGGGAGGACTCACTCTGGTTCTCACTCCCCACCCCTTACTCTCCTGAACGTTATTTTTTAAATCAGGTGAAATCAAGTATGAATAACATCAAATGCAACCTCAAAAGAAAGAGAAATCCCAACATATTATGTTGGAGGAGTGTTATGCAGAAATAGAGAAGGGCCGGGGGGCATTCCTGCCTCTTTGACTTAATGATAATAATGACTGGAGAATTTGTGAGTTAATTACACCTCTATAAGTCTGGAGGTTTCTCTGCCTGTCAGTTAGCCCATCTGTTTCTCTTCCATAGGCTCCTTTCTGAGTCACTTTCTGGTCTTGACCTATAGCCTACAGCGGTGGAGAATTGGATGCCCAGGGTCACTGTAGCCAGGCAGGGATGCGCATACAACTGGGTGAGGCAAGTGGGCTGTGTGATGAGTTTGGGAAGCTTGTCAGTTTGTAGAGTCCAAGAAAGAGCTATGGAGACCTCTAGGATAGAGGTCGAGCTGTGTCCTTCGAAACCCCAACACTGTGAGGACAAACATTTCCTTAAGTCACTTCTGCAGTTTTTTTTTTAATCTTGAGCTGTTCATTGATTCATTAATTCATTTATTCACTCATCAAATATTCACTAAGGACCTACCAGGTATGCTGTGAGCCAGAGGCATGGCATACATTATATAACAGCTGTACACTGAGATACTCATATAGTCCCCATCGCTGTCTGTGATGATTCTTTAAAATTATTTTCCTAGTTAAATCAGGTGGAGAATGTGGAGCATTATGCAAATACAGTCAATCTGCTACCTTAAGTTTCCCTAATGCAAGTTACCTCATCCACAATTTATGAAATTGTACATACAGTAATGATGTCAATGTAACACAGAAGTTAGAGATTATTTTTCTCATATAATAGCAGCTCAGCATACAACACATTGGCCTATCTGAATGCACCAAGCTTGAAGGAATGCAGTACTGCCATGTCTACCTTCTTTATTTTGGATACTCGCTCTTCCTTGGAAGTTACTTAGACAGATCTTCCCAGTCTTGTGCAGAAGACACAAACATAGATGATGAACAGAAGTAATCCATCATTAGCATCACCACATTGTATGCAAAGCCAACACCTCTGTCTACCTGTGATATATGACAGGGTGACCTTATCTCCATAATGCAGCAGCCTGAATATTTACCAGCATCCCAGTCCATCAAGCTCTCTTCACCTACATGTTAAGTGAAGGCCAAGATTACTCCAGCATTTCCTTATTAGAATTTGACATGCCTTTTTAATTGTACTTCTATCTTATTAGAATTGTTTTCGTTAGGTCTCTGTTTACAACGTTTCCTAGGTTTAGAGTGGTTTGGTTGAATTCTATTTTTATCATAAGCCCTGTTCTTTTTAGTGTGAAATCTTGCCCCAAACTATGTTTTCCAGCAATGTATATATGGCATTGTGGCAGGAAAGCCCATATTTCAGTGGATAGAGTTTACCCATTCTGCCTATTCAAAAGCACACTATATTCTGATTGATAATGCAGTCCTTTCCAGTGAAAGACATCAACAACACAAACTAAGTTTGGCGGGTATCATCCTTAGGTCCCATAAATCAAAAGGATAAAAGGATAAAACCTGCATCAGGACATGGTTTGGAGTATTCTTCATCCAATCAAACTTTTCTACTCTCCTTTATCCAGCTATATTAAAGAAATCTTTAAGCTTTACAAACCTATTTATCAAAAGTTCAAATTTTTAAAATTAGCCTAAATTTTAATAAAGGGAACTATCAGGCAGTTTAGATTGAAAAACAATGTTATATGGTGTTAAAGTTAGAAACAAATTTTACAGCTATTACTATAGCACAAACAATATTTTGTTAAAAATATAAGACAGTCTGATTTAATAATTATAAGCTTTCTTTTTCACTTATTTATGTATTTTGACATTTTCTCAGTGCATAGCACCTATAACATTGGGATCATTCTGTCTTTTCCTATTTTTAACCCAGAGTAAAATTCCAAATATTTTTTAGAATTAAAAGATTTAATTCTTTACCTTATCAGAGAGGAAAAAACAAAGTCTTTTATCTGTCCACTCACAATACAGAACACTTCTTACACCAGATGTGTGGGGGTTTTTCCCTACACGCAAAGCAAGCGATCAGTTTTAGAGTGGACACCAGCTGGGTGTCCTCTAATTCAATTCAGTTCTGATACCACCTACCTGGAGATAGAGTCAGATCCCACAGATCTTGTGGCTCAGTCCCATGAGACTGCCCCAACTTTCAGATGCCAATTGCAAGCTTTAGATTTGCTTTCTTACCTATGCTTCCAACCAATCAACTATAGATCAGCGTTCTCGTGACCTTCTCCTTGGGCTCAATTAATTTGCTGGAATGGCTCACAGAACTCAGGGAAACACTTATTTCATTTACCAGCTTATTATAAAGGATATTACAAAGGATACAGATGAAGAGATGCATAGGGCAAGGTTATGTAGGAAGGGGTGCCAAGATTCTATGCCCTTCCTGGGCACACCATCCTTCAGGAACCTCCAGATGTTCAGCTATACAGAAATTCTTCAAACCTTGTCCTTTTTTATTTTTATGGAGGGTGCTTCATTACATAGACATGATTGACATTGTCCACTGATCATCAACTTAACATTCAGCCCCTTTCCCGTCCTTGGAGGTTGGGTGGTGGGATTAAAAGTCCCAACCCTCTAACCCTGTCTTGGTCTTTCTGGTGACCAGCCTCCATCCTGAAGCTGCCTAGGGGTTTCCAGCTACCAGTCAATTCATACAAAAAGACACTTATCACTTTGAAGATTCTAAGGATTTTAAGAGTTGTATGCCAGGAAACAAGGAGGAAGACCAAATATACTGTGTATTTCACAGTATCACACCTTGCTACACACAGGCTTCTCACATCCTGATCTTTCCTACATCTCTAGGCTAATTGCTGCACCAATTTCCCTTAAAGGTGCCCACACATGCACACACACACACACAGTCATGTGCTACATGCCAGCAATACTAAACCATTCATATTTTTCATGCACACTGTCTCTGTGCCTTTAAAAATAATGTTCCTTCTATTTGAAAAACCCAGTTCTACCACTTCCCTTCACCATCTTGGTAATTCCTATCAATTTATTAATTCTCAGCTCGCTCTCTTCTTGAAAGTTTACCCTGACTCTCCAGGAGTTGTTACATTCCCTACCCTTGTGTTCTGGGGTTCAACACAGCTCAGAGGGAATGGTCTGTAGCAGTGGATGGTCTATAACGGTGTTCATCACACTCTGCTACAGTTGTTGGTTTCCATACATACTTTTATTTCTGTTAGATTGAAAACTATATAAGAATAGGAACTATTTGTTAGTAGTCTATGTATTTCCTAGTATGTATCACAGTACTTATCATACAAGAGGTGCTCAATACCTATGTGAATAACCTGACCATTCAATCTAAGGAAGCCAGCAGTGATTCTCCACATGTATTCCTGTTTTATTGTCTTTATAGAATTTATAACTATTTGATGTTTGCTGGCTTATTTGTTATTGTCTTTCATTATTGGTTTTATTATACATAAGAACATAAGCTCCCTAAGAGTGGACCCTTATTGTTTTGTTCATCACTTTAGCCCCAGTGCCTAGAACAAAATAGGTATTCAGTGCCTGGAGCAAAAGAGATGCAAGATAAAACTGTCAACTTCATGTAATGAATGAGTAGATTCAGGTTTTTCTCTCCTGTACTAATAGCAAGCTTTTTAATAAATTAGTATATAGGTTCAATGCCTCCATGGAGACATTAAAATACTCTGGTTTCAATTAATCTTGCAATTTTAGCAGTATTAAATTCCAAAAACAATTTTTCACTCATTTGGAAGATCTATAAAGGCAACTGTAATTAAGTAATGTGGAACACAAGTTTCAAAGTCTAAAATAAAGTGATTATTCGCTCATTTTGTGCCTCTTTTTTTTCACTCTTCCTCATTTTTTTCTGAGATTCACTTACCCTTCTGAGTCTGGGCTAATCAATCATTTATGTTATTAAAGCAAATATGCTTATCTAATATCAAAGCAGTATAATCATGCACATTAAAGAATAATAGTATAACATGAGTCTGTAGCCAACATTAAAAATGCATAAGATCATGTAACAAGAATTACTGCAAAGACCTAGCCAGTTATTCAACACTAACATATTTTAATTAAAAACTAATTTAGTAATAACCGAATGATTCACTAGTGATCTCTAGATGCAAAAAAAAAGACTAGTGTCTTCAAACAGCTTCCTATAACATTTTAGATCAACTGAGCCTAGTCAAACTAAAACATAGTTACCAATCCCTCCTCAGACCTCACATGATACTTTTGTTTTTCACTTTTAACACATATTTTGCTTTTAAAGCACTGTGTCCAGTTTAAATATAAACTGGACACAGTGGCTTATGCCTATAATCCCAGCAACTTGGAATGCTGAGGAAAGGGGAACACTTAAAGCCAAGAGCCCGAGACCAGCCTGAGCAACACAGTAAGTCCTCATCTAGCACATGCCTATAGTCCTAGCTACTCAGAAGGCTAAAGTGGGAGGATTGCTTGAGCCCAGAAGTTCAAGGCTGCAGTGAGCTATGATCATGCCACTGCACACCAGCCTGGGTGACAGAATGAGTTTCTGTCTCTGAAAAAAAAATGCATTAACCAAGCATTTCTTGAGTGCCCACTAGTTCTAAGTTAAGTGCCCTAGCTCATTCCTGACTTCATTCATGCTTAAATGAGAGGACCTAAGTAAGTAGAATGAAAGCCTAATTGGTTACAAGAGAGGAAGGGACTCATTTCCACTGGCAATTGAAGGAAGCTTCCATAGATGGAGACATTTGAGGTGGTTCTAGCATCACAAAGGTCTTGGTCAGTCTGGCTAGATTTTATGGGGGTCAGGTAGATGAACAGAAGCTCAAAGGAAGATTGAAACAGAGAAGAACCTACTCTTCTGAGTACAGTCATTTGAATTTTATGTTGTAAGTGATTGGAAATGGAAAGGAGGTCCTTAAGTAGCACAATGACCTGATCTGATCAAATTTGGTTTTGAGAAAGATAATTTTGACTATGTCTTGAGGAATAACTGGAATGGAGAAGGAATAGTGGAGGGCAGGAAGAAATGGAGGCTGCTGCATTGCCCAGAAGCTACATGAGCATCAGGACTAAAATAGAGGCAGAAAAGATGGAGAAGAAAAACTGAATTCATAGAACATTCCTGAGGCCAAGCCATCAAGGGGTGGTGTTTGAGGTGAGAGGCTGGAGGTGAGGATTTCTGCACTTTCTGACTTTGGGGCATGGTCAGATAGTGATGACATCAGCCAAGACTAAGAACACATGGTGTTCGACAATTTCAGAGGAGAGATAGGCTGGTTTTAAATATATTACATTTGATTCATTTGGGGACCATCAGAAGGTACTGGAAATATTTATCTATAGTCCAGGAGATACGGGAGTCTGGATTTGGAGATCATGGCTATGTAGAGAAAAAGAAGGGAACTCGTGAGGTGGAGAGTGAAAAAAAATGGATAAGGAAATAGTAGCCACCATTATGATGAGCAAAACACTCTGGAAACAGACCCAATATTAACACACTTCATTTTCGTATTAAGCCCCTAGGAACCTTCATTTAAAGCAGTGCTTCTGTCAAAATTTAGACTTGAGGCATTTCATCAGATGCCTTCCCAGGACATGGCCTAACACCTGCATCATTTTCAATGCTAGCATTTAACTTGTTAGAGTATTAGCTTACAGCAGTCTTCATCCAAAGTCCTGGTGCTCTGGGATGATGGAAGCAAAATTGGGGATGGCGTCTTCTTCCTTTGAAAGAGCTATGGATTAACATTGCATTGAGGACTTATTGATATTAATTATTTTAAAGAGCTCACTGGGAACCATTCTTAAACCTAATCTAGGATAAAAAACCAGAAATCTTTAGGGTAATTGCAGTAACCTGCTACTGCCAATTTTTTCAAAGGACAAAGGGATGGAATTCTCCAAGAAATGGAGCACCTTGGAAGGTTTAGGTTTTTTATCTACATAAATATCATTGTTTGCAGGATACTAGCATCACTCCCAAATGTCAATTCTCTTTCCAATAATTACTGGGCCAATCATAATTGCCTCTTAACGCATCAAAGGGAATGTCTTGCTCTTGACAACCACACACCTAAGCTATTATGAACTGTAAGCAGTCAGTCCTTACCCTTAAGCCTCTGGCATAAATAATCCTGGCCAAATACCTGAGCAGCAAATATCAATATAGGAGTTCAACCACTGACACAAGCACCTGCATCATTAGGACAGAATGATTTCAAAGGACAAGGTAATTAAACAAAAAAAAATAACCTTAGGTTACCCACATATGTGAACCTCCCTTGATATGCCATCAACTGAAAGCGATAGATAGATAGATAGATGATAGATAGATAGATAGATAGATAGATAGATAGATAGTTGATAGACAGGTAGATCTCAAAGTTTGGGGTTTGCAGCAGATGAGGGCAGGAAGGCAAAAGAGAAGAATTAATTGCTTGGGAAAATCTCCAAGAAAAAAAAAATTCATCTGAAATGAGGGATTGCTCTTTCTCTTGACTCAGTAATCTTCAGAAATAGAGGAATAAAATAAAATCTTCACATAATTTGACTCTAGCCAGAGCCAGAATTCAGTTTTATGTTTCTTTCAACTGCCAACAACTTTGTTTTAATTATAAGATGGAAATTTCTAACCACTATAGTGACTAGCAGCTTTTTATAAGACTGACATTTCAGATGAACAAAAACATTATTCAAGGAGATTCACTTTCCAACAGACAAAATGTGACCAAAGCAAATAACGACATTCAAGTTGTATGAATCAGGCCCTAGCCTATAAATGTTCAGTGCATTCTGCATGACAATAGTCATCCCACTGCCCACCTTCCCACCAGCACAGTGTCTCTCCTCAATACTCAAAGATTTCAATTAAGTAATAGTATCAATTATAAGCCACATGCTTTTCTTAATATTTTGAACACTCAACATTTGATTGAGAGGCACGGGAAGATAGGTATTATGTCCCTAACTTCCTTATTAATATTCTCACTTCATGGCCACTCCTTTACACGCAGTGCTAAAGTCAGAAAATAAGATAAATTCAAAGTCTCTACTCCCCAGCTTTGGCTTACATGCCAGAAAAAGTGAAAAGTGATCTAATTCTCTCTATTGTCATATTCTAAAGACATCCGAGCCAGACATTTGTCAAAATTGGAGAAAAGGATGGCAATTTTACCAAAACTGTTGCAACATAATTGATGCTCTAGATTTTCCAGCAAGAAGAAATTGAGCAGCTGAACAAGATAAGCAAGCATTCTACAAACTTATAAATAAAAACACTTCAGCCGGGAGAGGTGGCTCACGCCTGTAATCCCAGAACTTTGGGAGGCTGAGGTGGGCGGATCACCTGAAGTCAGGAGTTCAAAAAAAGCCTGCCTAACATGGCGAAACCCCATCTCTACTAAAAATACAAAAAAATTAGCTGGGCATGGTGGCACACACTTGTAATCCCAGCTACTCAGGAGGCTGAGGCAGGAGAATCACTTGAGCCGGGAGGCAAAGGTTGCAGTGAGCCGAGATTGCACCACTGTACTCCAGCCTGGGCGACAAGAGCAAAACTCCATCTCAAAAAAAAAAAAAAAAAAAAAAAAAAAAAAAAAAAATTCAAGTGTTCCGAATTCCCATTTAAATGTATTTTGGAAAGTATATAAAAATCAAATATAAGATGGTTCTTCCCATATCTGCTGTTTTTCTTTCCTTTATTGCCAGTAAACAATACCAAATCTCACATTGTTTCTCATCTCCTCAAAGACATTCTTGGAAACTTGTCCGTTCATGGCCACGTTGAGGACCAGGGCTGAGTAGCTGTGGGTTGGCACTTGGCAGTGAGCAGAATAGTATTCACTTGAAAGTTCTCATAATTATGGAAAATCGTCTAATGAGGATATGATATATTTATATTTTCAAGCTTCTGCTTTTAGCATGCATCAGGGAATGCCTTGTTCTTAGCTTAGATTCTCATTCCTATTCCCTTGCCTAGAATAGACACACTTATGAGTCTTGTCCCAGTTTCCATGCCCTGATCCTCGGATCATCTCCAGGTGCCCAGTTCCTTTCAGAAGGATCTTCTGTCTCTACCAAAACCTGGTGAGGGATGAGAGCAGCTGTGGTCAGAGCACAAATCCAAACTTCTGCCCAAGGCCTTTGTCCTGGAATGTACTCCCCATTTCTTGCAGAGTAAAAGCCAAAGTTCTTACAGTGACCTAAAAACTATGTAGGGACACAGTCTAGTCAGCCATTCCCAGATATCCTCACCTCCTATCCCTCTCCTTTTACCCAGTCTACTTCAGCCAGCCCGGTCTCCTTGTTCCTCATTCACACTCAGAGTTTTTGCACCAACTGATCCTTCTGTCTCGAAACTTCTTTCATCAGATATCTGCTTGACTCCCTTAATAACTTAGAGTTTGCTCCAAAAGGCCTACCCTGCTCCTATTTAAAGCTGGAAACCTTCCATCTCTTCCCAGCACCTTCATCCTCTTTTATCACTCTCTATAGCACTTATCTTCCAATGCTCTATCTTTCTGTATCCCAATGTACTTGTTCATTATATTATCTGCTTGCTTCCACTAGAAACATCAAATGGACATGGATATGTTTACTCTGTTCAGTTCTGTATTCCAGCATTTAGAAGAGCACCTGGCTCAGCAAATATTTAATGAGTGGGCTTATTTTATTTAACAGAGTTAAAGCGATTTCTGTGTATCAGGCACTGTTCTAAGCACTGTAAAAATATTAATTCATTTAAAGTCTGGTGACAACCCTATTAAGAATGGATTTTTCATTCCAATTTTATAGAAAAAAAAAACTGAGGCACAGAGAGGTTAAGTTAAATTGCACACATTCCATAAATGGCAGACCCCTCCATGCTTCTATCCCCTGGGCTCTGCTGAATGAATGAATGAGACATAGTGGAAACCACCTTTTCTGCACTTTGTTCTGAGCGTCCCACTCTGACCAAATTAATGATCCCAGTGTTTGACATTGACCCATTGAAGTCAATGTGCTGGCCCTTTGCTTCCCCAAAACTTGTAGCTTATTAGTTATTTAGAAGCCAGTATCAAGGAGAAAGAGGCAAGTAGGCCTTATCTACTGGGATAGGTCTACCTTTTAGTAGAAGTATGAAAAGGATCAAAACAGAATATGCAAATACAGATCAAGGAACTAGTGAAGATAGGGCTGTGGAAATGAATCTCAAGCCCCTTGGATCAGCAGTAGACCCTTCCTTCTGGTCCAGCTTGTCATGCTTTGCTAGGCTAAGGGCTGCCTCCACAGATTGCAGGAACCTGGAACTTACCTGTGGGACAGACCGACACGTATTTGCATAGTAATTTGTACAGCTAGCTGTAGCTTATTGGAATGATTACTTCAATGTTTGGGAAACATTTAAGATGATTGAAAGGGGGTAATTAGCATTTGGGAGGAGGCATATCTCCTATCAATTTTCCTTTGAGTCGATACTTAGAGAATCTCTGCTAACAAACTGTTGCCAAATAAAGATCCTGCTGGGTTTTCTTTAATTAATGAGATGGCTTGATTGTAATTATTCCATTAATTGTTTAAATGCAAATAAGTGCTATTAAGGGTCTTGAAAAGTGTTTCCTCTTAACTATGCTAAATCTTCCCCCTTGTCCTCTCATTTCTGTTCTGAATTTGCCTAGTATATCCTCTTTTAATAAATAATACAAAAATAAGCATCAACCAAACTCTAGTGGTATAATCACAAATTCTGAATTAATGGAGTCTGAATAGAAGTGATGAATTGTATTAGTGTTCTGGAAGAAGATAAGATTCCACTGAATCCATATTTACCATGCAAACAAGCAGGGTAATAAAACAGAAGAAGTTGTAAAAATGGGAACTTTCAACAGTGTAAACAATTTATAGTCTCTGATGAGATACCAATCTTGGATATATAAACCTAGTCTTTGAATACTGTACTTTCAGTGACTCTAGATACTCTTTATTATGGGGGAAAAAAATTCTTGCCTTAATACAATTCTATTCCCTGCCTGCCAAGATATGGGGCTGGGGGATACTGTACTTTCAGTGACTTTAGAAACTCTTTATTATGGGGGAAAAATGCTTGCTTTAATACAATTCTATTCCCTGCTTGCCAAAATATGGAGCAGCAGAGTCTCCCCAGCTCCCACACCTGCAGAGAGATTCTTGGGGCTTCACCACGGCAAGACGGTGTGAACAACACAGCTGCATAGTCAGGCTACCTGTAGGGAGGTGTGAGAGCATTTCCTCCCTCGAGGCTTCATGGCTGGCCTGGAATGTAAGCACGGATGAAAAAGGGGATGCAAACGAGAGAGGCAAGAGTTGTTTCCTTTACAGCTTAGGAAATTTTTCAGAGCTCTCCTTGTTTCAAGAGGAGAATCCACTGCTGTGGGTTCCTTGTTCCTTTTTCCTTCAGCCCAGCCACCCCGTTCACTCTGACCCAGGCTGTAAATTTACTTCCTGTGCACGTTGCTCTAGGACTTCTTTTATCTAGATTTTACAAAAGGTCAACTTGACACCGCTCTATCACTTTACATCTATTCAGGCATGCCATGCTGCTTAGGAAAGAGTAAGAAGTGCACTTTCTCTCTCCAATACATTCTTTTCTGGGCAGACTCTTAGTTCTGAATAGACAGTTATTTTTGCCCAGAGCTTATTTCTTGTTAATGTCCTGTAAATTCAATATATGGGTCTATATTTCCATGGCTTTGGTCACTAGTTGTGTACAGGATGCTTTATTAGTTAAAATTGTGAATCAGTCCTCTCATATATCATTAAAGTACTACCATGGTCTCCAAATCAAGTGTCGTGTTGCCAGGTAGGAATAAGTCTACAACCAAATAAAGGAGCAGGAGAGTAGAGGAGGGTTTCAAGTTACTGTGGCAGATCAGTTCCCTCCTATACTAAGTGATTTTCCAAATCAATTCAAGCAATGGCAATTCATCCTGCTGTGGATAGAGGCCGTCACCCATCAGAGGTTGTTTGGTAAGTGTGTGTGCATAATGGGTGGCAAGCAGGCAGTGATGTATTAATTAAGACATATTGATGATGTGAGCAGAGGTGTATGACAGCAATAATATTCCAAACACTACTGTGGGCAAATAAGAGTGATGGCTTATGTACAGTAGGAGTCATCTCTATCAGAGATAAAAGTTACACTTGGCAAGCAAGGCATTTTCTCTCCAGCAGGGAAACTTTAGAAAAACAAATGGGAATCAGAATGTAGCTTGGTAAATAACACAACAGAGAAACGGATTGTGACAGAAACAAAGGATACTCCCATGAATTCCTGGATTCAGCTGTCAGGATAATTCACCATTAAATCTAACTGCTAAATATTTGCCATGTGCTATGTGTTATGCTTAGGGAGCATTAAAAAAAATGCATTCTAAAACACTTGGAAATTGCCCAGGTAGTTCTCTTGTTTTTATCCTCAACTCAGTTTTTTTTTTTAAGCCGGTATAGAAACATATTGATTCTTAATCTATTGTTTAATGGTTCAATTGAACAACAAGCAGAAGAGATTATTAAATTAGTTCAAGATTATCTCTGATCAGGCCCTTCATCTTACTCAATTTAAAAGTATACTTGATTTGGCCGGGCGCGGTGGCTCACGCTTGTAATCCCAGCACTTTGGGAGGCCGAGGCAGGTGGATCACGAGGTCAGGAGATCGAGACCATCCTGCCTAACACGGTGAAACCCCGCCTCTACTAAAAATACAAAAAATTAGCTGGGCGTAGCTACTCAGGAGGCTGAGGCAGGAGAATGGCGTGAACCTGGGAGGCGGAGCTTGCAGTGAGCCGAGATTGCGTCACTGCACTCCAGCGACAGAGCCAGACTCCGTCTCAAAAAAAAAAAAAAAAAAAAAAGAGTATACTTGATTTATGGCATGAGTGGTCTTGAATGATTTTGATGGATGACTGGAAACAATTAGAGATATAAATAAATAGCACAGAATCATGACAGATTTCATGAAGAATACACTGTGAAGATTCACATGGTTAATAACATTGAAATTATTAAAATAAAAGAGACTGCATATATTAGATTTTTCTTTGTGATCTAGTTGTTCAAAGCAGCAGAAAACTTTAAATTTTCCTTAATTTTGAAAGTGTGATTAATGGAATATTGTTACAATGCCATTGATTTATATACTTTGAGGATAGTTAACTTCTTTATGTTTATTAGAAATTGCACTGAGAGCTAATATGCAGTTTCTATTGGTGGTGATATGTTCTGTTAACAGGGCCTCCTGTCAGTTTTTATTCTGAGATTTCTGCCTTTCCTGTTCTTTTGCATGAGCCTAACTGACTGAGTTTCAATATCAAGTTCTGAAAGCAAGTGAGCATACTAGTGTGCATGCAATGTGCACAGAAAGATGTGTTTTCCTACCTCTCAAAGCTCACCAAAGGATATTACTCATATTGCCACAAAGTACATTTACACCAATAACACATACTTTGGTAATGGGAAAAATAAATAATCTTAGGTAATAAAATGCACTTTGGTGCTTATAAAGGAAAATAATCATCATAGGTAGAAGAGGAGGAAGGCAAGACTAGGTTTTGATTCAAAATGTTTTCTGTTTTGCTAGGAAGTCTAGAAGGAATTTGGTCAAATGACCTGAGGAGGCAAGGAGATTTCTCCCAGTGGCACATGGCAGTCCACAAGAAGACTAGGGGCAGGGAAACAAAGCAAGATTGTATCTGATTTCTACAGGACTCCAACACTACCCTGCCAATACCCTTTTCTCCTCTGAAAGCCATGATCCCAAAGGTTTCCATTTCTTCCGGGTTTTTCACATTCTACCAACAAGCAGAATGTCTTCCCCACTGACAGCTCAACAGTTGAGCTTTTCGGGGTTCTACCCCTTCATCAACACAGCCTTTGCTTTCCTGGTTACTGAGTAAATAAAACACACTGGCCACTTCTGCTTAGCCTTCAGGAGCCACTCTGGCTCCACCCTGAAGTTCCATTTCCTCCAAGAACTAAGACATTTGGAGATTCTGCCTAAAATATGCTTAAATAAAAGGGATAAACTGTCTCTCACTTTCTTTCCCCCACAGCTTGTCTTAAGAACAACGGTGTAACCATTAGTGAAAAATCCTTTCAGGCTAGTAAAATGTAAAAAGAGAAGAGGTATCGGGTAACAACAAATGAAAATAAAATCATTCAGTGGTAGAAACCATAGGAGTGAAATTAGGTAGTTACTGTCCTCCAGCTTACATTAATCAAAATAAGCCCACACTGTCACTAAGACATCTTGCAGTAAGAAGCCATTCACCCTCTCATTGCAATTAGTGTCATAAAGCTGAATAGACAGGTCAGAAATGAAAATCATAGGCCAATTAAGTTATTCTCATTTTTCCACCTCCAGCTAGCTCTTTTTGAGAATTTTGATTTTAATAGATAATAAAACAGTATGCTAATTGGGTGGTGCTGAGCCTGAAGCCGTGAACTGAAGGAAACTTCAACAAACATTTGGCTAGGGCCTGCTCTAAGCAGAGGGGCTACGACAATGGGTAAGGCATTTCTCTAGAAACCAGCACTCAGCAGAATTTCTGGCACGAGATTTTGTGAGTTTTCTAGTGGTGTGTCTTATCTTCCCCCAATAGATTATAAACTCCTCGAGGGTGACAGAACACATTGCTGATCTTTATATCCTGCATGTTTATGGTATTCGGTAGACATTTATAAAATGAATTCATGAAAAGCAGAACATCTAGAAATGAAGTCAACATTGCAGAGAAGTTAGCTATATGAAACTCTGTAAATACCCTCAAGGAAGAAGGAAGAAGCAGATTTTCTGGAAATCAAGGGACCTCCCAGTATAAGAGCAATTCCTTTGGTCCAAAGAAGGGCAGCTATAAGAACAGAGACATAACTCCTCCGTAAGAAAAGATAAAAATTCTGAAAGTTCTCTAAGAACATGCCCAGCCCTGACCTGCCTCTCACTCTCAGTAGCATGGAAGCCGTACTATCTCTTATCTTGACACAAGCATCCACTTCAATCCACAGGACAAATATCACCAATATGAGAAGATAAGATCTGTTTTATAGTCAACTTGGCTGACATGTACTAATTTCTCAAGGTCAGGATAGCTCTCTAAATAGAAATACTTGTTTGTTTTAAGGAATTTTATTTAAATTTGTGTATCTTAAATTTTAATTTTGATCTCGGCTCACTGCAACCTCCACCTCCCAGGTTCAAGCAATTCTCCTGCCTCAGCCTCCTGAGTAGCTGGGATTACAGGCACCTGTCACCATGCCTGGCCAATTTTTGTATTTTTAGTAGAGACCGGATTTCACCATGTTAACCAGGCTGGTCTCAAACTCCTGACCTCAAGTGATCTGCTTACCAAGGTCTCCCAGAGTGCTGAGATTATGGGCATGAACCACTGCTCCCAGCCTCATGTAGTTCTTAAGAGGAAGAAAAGCCTATAGATTAGTGAGAAGTAGACAAATTAGCAATTTGAATCAAATGAAAACTTGGTTTGATTTCATTCATTTTGGAGACACTTTCGGTGTTTCCATTTTGATCTGATTCAGGACATTGATCTTCGATTCTAAGTTGCACTGGTTAATTTGTGATTATTTTACAAAATCATAACAGAATACATATCTGGGTCCAGTTCAAGGTACAGCAAGCCATTTTCAATGTTTCCAGCTTGGTGTTTATGATTCATACATGAATCATTTGGGCATGCAGACACACCCAAATAGAAACCTCAAACCAATTAAGGTATAAATAGGTTTAGGATGGGGGAGGATGGACAACAAAAAAAACCTCAGTAAGGCTCCTCCACAAAGGGCACCACTTCAGCTTGGTCCCATGGGCAGACTTCACCTGTGGCAGGTGAAGGGGAAAGCCTAAGACATCCTGTGCCCTGATGCAGATGTGACTTACAGAACATAAAACGTAAAGGCAGAAGGGATCATCTGGGTGGCTGCTCATACTAGGCAGGCATTATAGCTGCTGACAAGAGCCAACCCATCCCTAAGGATCTAAAATCACTACAAGAGAGGACGGAAGTCCTCTCATCATGGCATCCCAACTAGTAACTGGGATGCATAGGGCCACTCCAGGTAGGCAGCGAGGGGTAAACCAGGAATGTCCTGCTGTTCCCACCTCTTTTCCCCAAGCAGGGGGCACCCACTTCCTGCCTCCAGCCCATATGGTCTCAATTTATGGCCTCAATACCTGATAAAAAACCAGCCGTGATCCTTCCTTAGTAACAAAGTGTCAATCAGTCATTTGGAATGGGGCATTTTCAAACTATTGCCTCCCTATGATCTTCTGAAGAACCTCTGGGATAAATGAACATTGTTATTTAGGTATGGTTAAATGAATTACTTTTCAGGAGCAGATTTATATATTAACAGGTGTGAAAAACTTGAATGGATAAATCATTTATAAAGAAATTTCAGGAATCAACTAATCCCAAGGGGAAAGACCCACTAAGACACTAGATTTTGCTGGAGCTACTCAAACAAATTCATCTATCATATCTACCTAAGCCTTCCAATCAATGAGACTAGCCGCAGTGACACTGTCTGTCAAAACTACCTCAGTCATTTTTTTCCAAGGCAGGAAGCATCCATACCCCTTCACACCTTAATCTAATTTCCCCTATCTCCACCCCACTCCCACTTCTATGACCCCCTTCCCCCCATACCCACCCCCGAAGCATCTACTAGCCAACTTAGTGAAGTTCTGTCACGCTCTCACAACCACCTCTGTGCAGCAATGATTCTGTAAATATCCATGTGTCCTCAACACCAGGTCAAATTAGTCCCTTTGGTAAAAACATTCATTCCCTCAAATTCTCTTCCAATACACTAATATACCTTCCCAAAAAGTAAGGAGAAGCTTGAAAGCTAGCTGGATTGATGATGGTATGTGATGTTCTATAAGTTATAGTTAGTAAGCATGTTTTTAGGATATTTTTCTGCTCTCCAAAGAGACACAATTCCGGAAGATATTTACTTTTGTGTATTTCCACATTTTGGTTTAAGTTTGGAGCCATCTCTAGATCTTAATTTCATTCCCCTAATATGTGTTATACTAGTAGAATTTTCCAAATTACATAGAATTATAACTGCAACTCTTCTGACTGATGCCTTTTTTTTGCATTTTATGATGCAGTTTACATCACAAATTCTTTCCCTGCAGGGATTATGTAAAGAGGCATGTTGACCTGCTAGCCCTATGTTACTTTAAGTATATGCACACACACAAAAAGGAACAAAAACAGCTGGGAATTGATTATGTTGATATTCTGAATAAAAGCAATAGTTCTAATTATGTATGTCTAATTAGCCACAGCTCTTCAAGAATTGCTGCAAATGTCACAGGGTTTATAATGTCGGCATTTCATCTTCACGAAAATGCTATTTGATGGCATAAAACCAGAAAAAACTAATGGTCACAGAAGACAGCTTGTAGATTAGACAAAGGTCACTGTGTTTTAATGAACAGTGCTGTTAATTAATGAGAAAACAACTGGTACATGAGCTTTTAAGCATTGTGAATTTGTACCCAAAAAATCAATCTGCCTAAAACAATTTTAAGTAGCTAAAAAACAAAATAACGGCAAGAACATAATTTAAACCTCAAATGGTACAGCAGAGTTATATGTATCAATTAAATTGAATCACAGTTCTCAGGTGTGACATATGAAGAGGCTTCTTTAATGCCTGGAAAAGAGGGTTAATATGGATTGGTATTCTCAATACATATTGTAGATAAAATTCAAGACTAGCTCTACCACTGCCTCTTTTCTTTTTTTTTTTTTTTTTTTTTTTTGAGACAGTATCTCGCTCTGTTGCCCAAGCTGGAGTGCAGTGGCATGATCTCGGCTCACTGCAAGCTCCGCCTCCCGGGTTCACGCCATTCTCCTGCCTCAGCCTCCTGAGTAGCTGGGACTACAGGCGCCCGCCACCACACCCAGCTAATTTTTTGTATTTTTAGTAGAGACGGGGTTTCACCTTATTAGCCAGGATGGTCTCGATCTCCTGACCTCGTGACCCACCCGCCTCGGCTTCCGAAAGCGCTGGGATTACAGGTGTGAACCACCGCGCCCGGCCACCACTGCCTCTTAGGCTTCTTAATTTCCTTATCATTTAAGAAGAATAAGAAAATTCTTCTATGTTTTACCAAAATTCTGTGAGGACAAATGAGGAACCATTGTAACTCCTACAAGGTGAGTGATAAAAATAATACACATTTATTGTCTTTGCTTTTGTAAAGAGTTATCCAAGCCAAGCTTCTAGGGGCTTAAATAAGGAAGGACAGGACCATTGTTAATAACATCAAGTTTCCACTACAGCTTTCCTCCAAACAAGTCAAATATTCTGAATATTATTCACTAATCTCTTTAGCTGCCATTTCAGTAAATAGCGAGCATTTTATTTCAACTAAAACCAAGCAAGAGAAAATGAACTGCTTTATCCTGAGGTACAGCAGCAAAGGCACCAGAACTTGTCTCATGGCTTACCCAGCAAGGGTCAGAAGAACCATCCCTAATTTAAATCATCTCGACTGAATGTAACAGATTTTTGTATTTTCAACTCATATGAAAATAAAACAATGAGACCTCATCCAAAGGGTGATTTAGAGAGTACCTCTAAACAAAACACAGTGAAAATAGACCCAGCATCTGGATTTGAAGAACACATTTCCTCTTACGAGTCTATCCCATTGTCTAGATTGCTGGCAATGGCTTTTTTAAATTTAAATTGTTATTGAGATAATTGTAGATTCACATGCAGTTGTAAGATATAGTAGACATACCCTGTGTATACTTTACCCAATTTCCGCAAAATGTAACATTTTGTAAAACTATAGTATAATATCACAACCAGGATAATAATATTGATACAGCTCACAAATCTCATTCAGATTTCTCCAGTTTTACTTGAATACATTTGTGTGTGTGTGTGTGTGTGTGTGTGTGTGTGTGTGTGTGTGTGTATTGGCTCTGTACAGTTTTATCACTTGCAGAGATTAGTATATCTAAAACAACAATCAAGATATTGGACAGTTCCGGCCGGGCACGGTGGCTCACTCCTGTAATCCCAGCACTTTGGGAGGCCGAGGCAGGCAGATCACGAGGTCAGGAGATCAAGACCATCCTGGCTAACACGGTGAAACCACGTCTCTACTAAAAATGCAAAAAATTAGCTGGGCGTGGTGGTGGGCGCCTGTAGTCCCAGCTACTCGGGAGGCTGAGGCAGGCGAATGGCATTAACCAGGGAGGTGGAGCTTGCAGTGAGCCGAGATCGCACCACTGCACTCCATTCTGGGCAACAGCGCGAGACTCTGTCTCAAAAAAAAAAAAAAAAAAAAAAAAAAAGATATCGGACAGTTCCATTGTCACAAGGATCTCTCAAGTTACCCCTTGCTAACCACATCCACCTTCTCCTTCACACTTGCACACCCCTTCCCTTCTCCAGCCTGACCCCAGCAGCCACTAATCTGTTCTCCATTTCTGAAATGTTTTTATTTCAAAAATGTTATATAAATGGAATAATACAGTGTATAACTTTTTAAGACTGACTTTTCTTGCACTCAATATAATTCCCTGGCAATTCATTTATGTTACTCTGTGTATCAATAGTTCATTCATTTTTATTATTGAGTAGCATTCCATGGTATGGAGGCACCAGAGCTTGTTTAACCATCCTCATGGTGAAGGACATCTGGGCTGTTTTTGGGGTCTGGTCATTATGAATACTTCTTCTGTGAACATTCATGTACAGGTTTTTGTACAAACATAAGTTTTCATGTCTCTGACACGAATGCCCAAGAGTACAATTGCTGAGTCATATGGTAACTATATGTCCAGTTTTATAAGAAACGACCATGCTCAGAAGGACCATACTGTTTTACATTCCCATCAGCAGTGTTTGAATGATCCAGCTTCTCCGCATCCTCCCCAGCATTTTGTGTTGTCACTATTTTTTGCCACTATTTTTTATTTTAGCCATTCTGCTAGCTGTGTAGTGATACCATTGCGATCTAATTTGCATTTTTCTGATGGCTAATGATGTCAAATAACTTTTCATGTGCTTCTTTGCCATATGTGTAACTTCTTTTATGTATGTCCTCTTTTATGAATATCCTATTTATACCTTTGCCAATTTTCTAATTGAGTTTTTGGTTTTTTACTGTTGAGTTTTAAGGTTTCTTTACATATTTTAGATATTAGTCCTTTGTCAGATATGTGGTTTACAAACATTTTCTCCCAGTCTATGGCTTGTCTTTTCATCCTTAGTACCTGGGCTCTCACAGAGTAAGTTTTTACTTTTGATGGAGTCCAATTTCTCATTTTTTCCTTTTATAACTTCTGCTTTTGATGTCAAGATTAAGAACTCTTTGCTTAGTCCAAATCCCAAAAATATCTCCATTTTTTTCCTAAAAGTTTTATTATTTTATGTTTAATTTTTAAACCCGTGGTCCATTTTTAAATGATTATCATAAGATAGGAAGTATAGATTAAGGTCCACTTTTTTGCCTATAGATGTCCAATTTTTCCAGCATCATTTGTTGAGGGCCCTTCTTCCTCCATTGAAATGCTTTTGCACCTTTAAAACAAATCAATTGAGCATATTTGTGTGGGTCTAGTTCTGAATTCTCTATTCTGTTCACTGTTCTATATGTCTGTATGTTCCATATGTCTATCCCTCCACCAATCCACAGTCTTGATTACTGGAGCTATAATAGTAGGCTTTAATATCAGGTAAAGTGATTGATCTCGTTTTATTCTTCTTTGTCAGCATTGTTTTAGCTATTCCAGGTCCTGTGCATTTCCATATAAATTTTAAAATAAGTTTGTATCTACCCCCCAAAAAAAACTTTGCTGAGATTTTGACAGGAATTTTATTAGACCTGTAGATCAATTTGGGAAGAATTGACATCTTTGCTATGATCAGTCTTCCAATTCATAAACACGGTATTTCTCCTCACTTATTTAGGTCTTTTCTGATTTCTTTTATCTGCATTTCATAATCTCAATGCACATAAACCGTATGTGTTTTTCTAAGTGGATATTTAAGTTATTTTTATTTGGAATTATTATAAATAATAATTTTGTGTTTCTAATTTTCATTTCCACATGATCATTGTTAGTATAAAGAAATATGATTAATTTTTATATTGATCATACATCGTGCAGCCTTAGTGAACTCACTTGTTTCAAGAGTGTCTTCGTAGATTTCTTGGGATTTTTCTGTAGACCATCATGCCATTTGTAAATAGAGACCATTTTATGTTTACCTTTCCAAACTGCATGTTTTTTTTTTCTTTTATTTGGCTTATTGCAGCAACTATTAATATAACTTACAATACTATGTTGAATAAGAGTGATGAAAGTATACATCTTGGTTGTTCTTAATGTTGGGGAAAAGCATTCAGTCTTTCACTATTAAGTATGATGTTAAGTTTGTTGTAAATGCTATTTATCGAATTAAACTGTTAAACCTCTTTTCCTAACTTGCCAAGAGTTTTTTTTAATCATAAATGGGTGTTGGATTTTGTCAAATGCTATTTCTTCATCAATTTATATGATTTTTTTTTAGCTTTATTATATAATGCATTATATTGATTGATTTCAACCATTGAGCTAGCCTTGCATACCTGGAATAAATCCTACTTGCCTATATATTGACTGATTGACTGTTTGCTAATATTTTGCTGAGGATTTTTTGTGTCTAAGTTTATGATAAATATGGGTATGTAGTTTTTGTTTTGCTTTGTTTTATTGTCTTTGTCTGGTTTTGGTGTCAGGATAATACTGACTTCATAAAATCATTGAGAAAGTTTTTTCTCCTCTATTTTCTGGGAGAAATTGTGTGAAAATGATATATTCTTATTTAAATGTCTGGTTGATTTTGCCAGTGAAACCATTTGACCTGGACATTTCTGTTTGGGGAGATTTTAAACTATGAGTTCAATTGCTTTAGCGGTTATAGGGCTACCTAGATTGTCTATTTCTTCTTTGTTGAGTTTTGGTAGCTTGTAGTTTTAAAGGATTTGGTCCATTTCTTCTAAGTTATCAAGTGTATGTGCGTAAAGTTACCATAGTACTCCTTCATTTTTTCAGTGGCGTAGAATCTATACTGATATCCCCTATTACATTCCTGACATTGGGGATTTTCATCAGCTTTCAAGAAAGAGATTTATCAACTTTATTGATTTTCTCAAGGAACCACTTTTTTGTTTCATGGATTTTCCATATTGTTTTCCTCTTTTCAGTTTCATTAGTTTTTGCTCTTTTCTATGTTATTTCCTTCTATCTGCTTCCTTTGGGTTTATTTTACCCTTCTTTTTCCAATTTCTTGAGGTAGGTACTCAGATTATTAATATGAGAACTTTCTTCATCTATAATGTAAGCATTTAGTGCTATAAATTTTCCTCTCAGCACTGCTTTTACTGCATCCTACATATTTTGTTATGTCATTTTTTTATTTTCATTCAGTTCAATTTTTTAAAAATTTTTGAGACTTTCTCTTTGACCAATGGACTACTGGGAATATTGTTTAATTTCCACATGTTTAGAGATTTGCTTGTTGTCTTTCTGTTATTGATTTCTAGTTTTATTCCATTGTGGCTTGAGAACACATTCTGTCTGATTTTATTCTTTTAAACTTGTTGAAATTTGTTTATGACCCGGAATATAATCTATCTTAATAAATGTGCATGGGTGCTTTTTAAAAATGTGTATTCTGCTGATGTTGGGTGAAATGTCTCATATCAGTCAGATCCTGCAGGTTGAATGTGTTGTTCAAATAGTTCACATACTTGTTAATTTTCATTCTAGTAGTGCTATGCCCATAGTTCTGAGCAAGGATAAGGTGGGTTGATGAAGTTCCCAAATACGACTTAACATTTGTCTATTTTTCCTTTCAGCCCTATTGGTTTTGCTTTATGAATTTTGAGACTGTCTTGTCATTTTCCCCTCACCTTCTTAAAAAAAAAAGCAGCAAGCAATATTTCTGAACAATAGGGCTTGAATAAAGAACTTGTAAATGTACTTTATCCTGCCTTACTGCAGCAGAGGAATAGTGCAGTGACCTTGGCATACCTAAGAACAATGGGCATATATCTGTCATTTGTTAAGAACAATGGACATATTGGTGTCATCTGTTTCCATGAAAAAGAAAAATTACTACACGGTAGTGTTCGGGGGCTCAGGCCACATTTGGGATTTTCTTGGGATCCCTTATAATATGAGTACTCACAACTGGAGTGCCAAATGTCCTGGCATAAGCAGGAATTAGGGGCAGGGATTAAAAAGTGGATCTGCCATTCAACCTAGGTTGGGCACAGGCACAACTACATGGGCATTTTGGGCCTGAGTATGTTTTCCATATTTGGAAAGATGTGCTGGATTAACAAGAAATGATCTGGCACTTTAGATACCTTAATAAATGAACAGACTCAACTACCCAGATATACATTCAAAACCAAAACAAAGCCAAAATCAAACAAAACCTTCGGATTATTAATGAATGTATGTTGACCCTAATTTTGGTTATCTGTGCATAAAGTCATCTTTGAAGGTTTATCCTATAAGTAATTTTGAATAACTGTGAGTAAGCAGTGATGATATTGGGTATTTATTTCCCATCATGAGAAATATTTGTGGATTACTTAGTGCAAAATAAGAGAAGGATAGAATGATATAGCTCTACTAGGCATTTCAAAAGTGCAGCATATCATCACATGCTCTAATTAAAGAAACAGACATTTGCCTGAAATTTGCAACAAAAATGCCACTTTTATAAATTTGGTAACAGTTTTTATCCTGCGAGTAAGAATGGGAGAATGGGGAGTAGGTTAGAATGTTTACTTTCTCTGCTTTGTATTTCTGTGATGTTTGGAAGTTTTAATAAAGACAATATATTACTTTTACAATTAAGCTATTATAACAACAATCTATAAATGTTGTTCTACATTATAAATCTTGAATCAACCCTCGTTTTAAAACAAGAAAGTGAATTATTTTTTAAAGGAAAAACAATTTTGATAAATAAAGTGCCTGTCCCTATAGAGACAGCAAGGTGACTGTGCTAAGCTTGCTCCAGAAATGCTTTCGTTTTACAAATTCCATTTGGTTTTTCATTCTATCATCGACTGTTTAATGAGCCACTCTAGCTGGCCTTTCCCCAGGGTTAACTCACAACTCTTCCTAAATAATCTCAGTCATTTTCCTGGAGCAGGTGTTGTTTTCTAGGCAGCTCTTGCCAAAGGGCAGCATAATAATTAACAAGCTTCAGATCTGGAGGATTCAGGGTCTCATTTCTGGCAAAGGATATGTGTGTCACACTGTAATGCTTTTGAAACTTACTGTTTTATAAGGAGATTTTGACACTGTAACGAAAGAATTCAGTATACTTCGAAATATTTGCTTCTTTTTCTCTAAGAACAACTCTCGAAGATTTAGAGATTATGTCACTCCTTGCAGCAAAATGAAGCTCTATTTTCTGTAAAACTTGCCATTATATTTCAGGATCGCTATTTTATTTCAGATATTTCACATGTTACTGGGTAGCTAAAGTCAGCTACACTATAAATTCCAGACGAGACAGATCCATTATTCAGCCTGCACATTTAGTATTGAAACTGACTCCCAAATTTACGAAGCATTAATGACTTGAAAAGGAATAGCATTCCATGATAGGAAATGCAGACAGTATGAGGTTCAAATGCTGTCCAGATTTAGTTTGATCTGGAGAAAGGAAATGTTCTTAACTTTAGATATTAACAACTAGATCCTTTAGACAAAGTGCCTAAATGTCCAAAAATATGCATAGAGCTTCTTACTGTGGTTTGCTCCATAATGCTTCTCTCTGATATGTCTTATCTGATATTTTAGGAGTTCGTGATGATTGTCGTCTTTGGTTTGGAGTTCATCATTCGAATCTGGTCTGCGGGTTGCTGTTGTCGATATAGAGGATGGCAAGGAAGACTGAGGTTTGCTCGAAAGCCCTTCTGTGTTATAGGTGAATATCAGAGTCTCAGATACCTGGACTATGACACCAACATTCTTGTCTTCTATCTCCTGTTTTGCAATATTTGATTAATATTAAAAGCTAACATCCATGGAGTACTTATCATGGACCGGGCACTCTTGTGTCTTGAAAATGTTGACTCATTTGATGTTGTCTCCACAGCATTATGAGGTAGATATTTTTATTATCCCCATTTTACAGTTGAAGAATTTGAGGCAAAGAGAGACGGAGTTAGTTGCTGAATGTCATACAGCTACTAAGTGGTAGAGCTTGAATTTTAGCCAGGCAATCTGGCTCTAGAATACCCACTTATATCAATTAACTTATATGGAAATACATGTTTCTCCAGTGTTGCCCTAATTTAGGGGAACATTGATTTCAGTGAGTATAAAAAACCCTTTTTGCTCTACAATATGACACCAGTTTATGCTCTGGATCAGCTGGAATAGATAGCCATACATTGGTACTGGTAATGCATATCAATTAACATTCTTCAAGAATGATTATAAGTATGGTTTGCTTAATGCATTGGTAACTGTAGACTGGACAAAGTGCTCTACACTCTGAAATATGAATCCCCCACCCTCCAATCCAAAATACCCAAATACATAGCACATCTCTGCACCTCCCTAGCTGCCATTGTTTCTGAGAGACATCATTCACCTGGGTTCTAGCTTGAAATTGTACTTCCTAATGAAGATGCCATAGAGCATTCTGGAATTAAGATCTAGCATTTCCCAGTAATATTTAAAAGTATTATAAAATGGAAAAGTCTATATATAAAAGCTATTATTATTATTATTTAGTAGCTAAATTTGGCTCTCTTGCTTTTTTGTCTTTCTCACTTCCTAGGCAGCCATTCAAATCCAAATACTGAAAATTCTTGATGAGGCTTATTTATTTCAACTATTTTCAACCTGAAAAAGTAGGTTTTTAATTTACAAAATAGTTTAGGCTATCTTCTACAGCTACCACAGGTTTTCTGTTTTGTTTTAGGAGTCAGGAATTGTTGCGTAATCTTCTCAGTTTCCTCCCTTACTCCTGTTCCCTATGGTGGGGGCAGAGTGGATTTAAGGAAGAAAGTGTATCACCATCCATGGGCACTGTTAAGAAGAATCCTTTATTCCATACTTCTTTCATAGTATGCACATCTCAAAAGTCTCCACTTATTAAACCAGAATTTATGGAAATGTGGCTGTGTGTGAGGCACTGGTGTTACAATAGTGAATCTAGTGGAATTCTCAGTTAAATCTATCTTAAAATACCTTGTTTGGCCCTCACGAATGCAGTCTGTTTGTCTGTCTTCTCCAATAATAGGCTTTACTGCTTTTTGGAAGCCATCATGCTAAGGTATGGAGCAAAGTCGGTGGTAACTCCAAGCCTTGCAGGTTCATAAAGCCCCAAGGCATATTAGTGAAGGCATTAGATTTTTCTCCCTGGAGATGCTTTTTTCTCTCTGAATTCTCTACTCAGGCAGCATTACAAAGGACTGTAACCTGATGTGAAACTACTGCACAACAAGTACTTTCTGTCCCATAAGGGGCCCAAACAAAACAATTCACAAGGCAGATGGTTAGCCAAGATTCACTCAACTTCTACAGGATAAGGTCAGTTCATGGATGACTGGAAAAATGTTTCATTCCAGATTTTAAAACCAATTAAAAATTGGTTTTGTTCCAATTTCAGAAGCAATGCCAATGTATCTCTGGCCTCCATGCGAAAAAGAAAGCTTTTTCCCAGATGTCTGCTGCCTTTTGATAGCTGTTTTCAGCTACGGATACATCAACACATCTTAGTCCTTTAGTCTTTCTCTTCCTGCCTCAGATCCTTGCAGGTCTTGATATAATATGTAGTTCTAAAAATGATGTTATGTTATCTATAATCTTACTTGCCTTTGGATGTATCAATAGTGACCTTAAAAATTTAGTATGATGCCTGGCGCAGTCACTCCTGCCTGTAATCCCAGCCCTTTGGAAGGCTGAGGAAGGCAGATCACTTGAGCCCAGGAGTTTAAGACCAGCCTGGGATGGAAAGACCTGTCTCTACAAAAATTTAAAAATTAGCTGGGCATGGTGGCATACACCTGTAGTCCCAGCTACTCAGAAGGCTGAGACTGGAGGATCATTTGAGCCCAGGAGTTTGAGGCTGCAGTGAGCCATGTTCCTGCCACTACACTCCAGCCTGAGTAAAAAGAGTAAGACCCTGTCTCAAAAAAATACTAGTATGACATGGTTTAGGCATAATTGCAGTTTTGTTAACCCTTCAGACCTTTTCTTTATTTAGATATTTTACCTCTAGGAAATTAATTGCTTTGGAAGAAAATTTCATGGATAAATATATAATGAATCCCCATTAGAACAAAGTCTAGATTTGTACTTACAGTTAGGATAATTATGAATTTTTTAGTCTTTTATTAAATGTACATGTTTGACCCATGGTCCAGCTGAATGGATGTTATAGTGAAGCATGTTCAAATGTGGCTTATCAGTATGAGGTCAGTAAAATTTAACCTACACAAAGGAATCAAACATCACCTTCCTGAAGGCAGCAAGCTGTACCAGATGACTGTTGAGACTATTTCTAGGCCCGTTCAACAGGTTCATAAAAACGCTTGATGTAACTGGTAAAATACTAAAGTGAACACTGTAGTCGCCTTGTTCAACCTAATTTACTGTGACAAAATGAAAAAAGAAATAGCATCTCTTATCTGTCCCTGATAACTGTTCTGAATGGGTGTTTGGAAATATAGCTAAAACCTCCCAAAACTTCATGTATTTGTAAGATTTGATTACTCTGAACATTCCAAGTACACACCCAAATATTTTTAGAAGTGTTGAGCATTCGAGAAAAGAACATAGAAAAGATTGTGGTAGACTGGCTGTGCCTTCAACCTGGGAAATGCTTTCTGTAAGCACACCAATGTTTTTCTTTCCAGTTGGAAATACACTGAAGCTGCTAGAGTGGTCAGCTAACAAGCCCCATGTACTATTGCACCCTATTGACAAAGGCCCAATTGATAGAGGTTTTATGGGCTAATTACTGAAGGTTTTAGCATGTCCCCTTCTGAACTGCCCACCTTCCTTACCCCTGCACTCTAGCCAAAACCAAGAGCATTTCAAAAGCCCACTGATCTCACAAATCCTAAAATCATTACATATTTGTGTTTGGAAAACATATTTTAAACAATTATAACATAAGGGAAGAAATAAATCTATTTAACTTTTTTTAATTAGGTACTTTGTTTCATTACTACTGTACATTGATGTATGTCTGCTTGGTTTTAAGCATTTGCTTTGAAAATTAGTAAAATCTTATCTAGAACATAAAATTCTTCCTCATATCTATGTGTTCAATTTTTATCTCTCCCCTAAGACTCTTCTGTCATAATAACATTCTATAGCTATGAGCACTAATTGCTGTATTGCTGATGTGGATAGTCAAGTGTGTTTTGGGATGACCACCCAAGCTGCCCTTCATTTACCCAGACTGGCTGCTTTATGATTTCTCTATGTGAAAACACAAAACACTCACCCAATAACATCGGCATAAAGAATTTGTGAATAACCTCTAAGACTGATTTCATAGTCATTCTTTTTTCTAGCTTTCATTACTGACCTACCCAAAAATTGCAAATAGACCTAAGGCTGAAACTTGGGTCACAATAATGAGCCTGATGTGTCAGGAAGCCAACAAATTACTTCTCACAGTGGCTTTTTTTAGATTCCTTGGTGACGCTTTCCAAAGGCAGATATAACAGGGCCATATTTTTCAGTCTTGCAGGGAGTCTCAGTGAGAAAATACCAGCCTGTTGTTAGTCTTGGATCTGCATTTGATGCTAAGTGTAAGTTGATTTCTTATTGTTATTTTAACAGTTTATTTTCAGTGTAATTATTTCCACAAGAGGACAAAAGAGGAATAAAATAAAATTTTATTTTATCCTACGTGGATAAAATAAAATTGAAGCCTTTATTAAAATCGACCACATGGCTGAGACTACTCTAATATATCTATGATTTCATCTTATTAAAAGGCAACTTAAGTTGCTAATGTGTTCAAAAGTTAGATCAGACTCCCAAAACTGCCACTGTGTTCTAAATTGATTTTGAGACATCATTTTTCTGTTTCTCTGTCTTCTCTATCTTTTGTTCTAAGAGACTTACTCTTCAATGGCATTATTTTCTATACCTTCTACTCCCTTTTCCCTTTAGTAGAAATTATATTATTTCACTTATTTTCTGTTAGTCATACACTCTTCTGCAACTTATTACTTCTAAGTGTTCAAACTCCCTCAGTGCATGTAGATTCCTTCCATGTGATTAACTGGACCATCTGAGGACAATTAAAACCTGTTGGATTGGCTGATCACAAAACATTAAAACAATTTTAATCCCTCTAGTTAGTAATAGCTGATATTTATTGAGAACTACTATATATTAGGTACTACTTTAAGCACTTTATAAATATGGTCTTATTTAATTCTACATAAGTACTATAATGTCCTTATTTATTTTATTTTATTTTACTTTACTTTATTTTATTCTATTTTATTTTATTTTATTTTATTTTATTTTATTTTATTTTATTTTTTGAGGCAGAGTTTCCCTCTATCACCCAGGCTGGAGTCCAAATGGCATAGTCTCAGCTCACTACAACCTCCGCCTCCTGGGTTCAAGCCATTCTCATGCCTCAGCCTCCCGAGTAGCTGGGACTACAGGCACACGCCACCACACCCAGCTAATTTTTGCATTTTTAGTAGAGATAGGATTTCACCGTGTTGGCCAGGCTGGTCTTGAACTCCTGGCCTCAAGTAATCCACCCGCCTCAGCGTCCCAAAGTGCTGGTATTACAAGTGTGAGCCACCACGCCTGGCCTTTATAATGTCCCATTTTATAGATGAGGAAGTAAGACAAGACTGAAGACTTTATAGATGAGGAAGCAAGACAAACTTAAAAAGATGATAGGTGAAAGAACCTGGATTTATTTCTCATGATTTCACTCTAGAAAAATATACATACCCAACTGGAAAATTGTCTTTACTGTTTATTAGCATTTTAAAATTAAATTTAATTGAACCTTATCTATTGTCATCAACTTGTAAACAGAAGAACATGATACTATTATGCTTATCATTAGTAATTCAAGATCTTTAAAGAAAAGCCAGGCTTTATAGAACATTAATTGCAGTATCAGCCTTAATTATATCAACTAAATTATGTTACCTATTGCTGCTCTCTAACCTGAATGGGAAATTAGGACCTAAAATAGACTTACTTACCTGTATCAAACTTGCATATACTCTTCAGTTGTTGTTATCATGAGGCTCCCTGTGTATTTCCAAATTGGAGACCTCTGGAGAGCAAGTAACATTACTCGCAGGACTACCTTCAAATGTTTTTTAACATTAATAAACTATCGGTAATTTAGATAATTGTTGACCTGGTACACAAACTTGAAAGTTGAACTTACAAGACAGCTTGATTAGCTGATATGGTTGGACCACATGAAGAAAATTTATTTCCGAAGAGGAAAATGAATAAGGATTATTTCCCACTCTTTCTATAAACTTTAGTAGAGCACTATGATATACTGTATTAACATTCTGTACTATCACATGTTACATAAGAAAATTCATTCACAGACAGGGTATTTATTATGTGTCAAACATAATCTTAAGTATAAAGGATACAAAAGCGACTAAAACACGGTCCCTGCCTGTAAGAATAGAATCTCCTGTGCCCTTAGAGAATGGCAAAACTTAAAGGAGGTATACTATAATTATGGTGTTACAGAGCAAAGGTGATGGAAATTGAAGTAGTCCTAGAAAGAAGGCTATGGAATATCATGAGTGATTGTATAAAACAAAGAAGCAAAGGACTACCCCCAGGTTTTCAAATTATGTTTGAGTCATCCACTGAACATTTATACAATTTCTACCATGTCCAAGCATGCTTATGGATGCTGGAGAGGCTGTATGGCACCAAATGGGCAAGGTCTTCCTTCTTATAGAGATAATATTCGTGTGGACGAAGAAAAACAATACACAAATATGTTTTTGAAAAACAAGATAATGTCATCTACAGATAAGCACAATGAAGAAAATAAAACAGAAAGAGTAGAGGCTACCTTAGCTTGGGTGGTCTGAGAAAGTCTTTCTAAGTAGTTGACACTTGAGTTGACCTGAATATTAAGAAGAAGCCAGCCATGAGGAGGTTTAGACACAGATCTTTCCAGGCCAGGGAATAGTAATTGCAAGGATTATTAACACTTGATGAGCTTGGGTTGTACAAGGTGGAGACATAAGGTCTCGTGGCTGGAGCTCAATGAGCAGTGGGGAGAATAGCAGAAGGTGATAGGGGAGACAGGCAGAGGTCACACCCTGAAGGCCATGTAGCCTCTGCTACCCTGAATCAAGGTTCCTTCTAAAGACAGGCCACCAGGCAAAGGTCCTACGGGTTGCTGGCAGGCCTAATATGAATACTATTCAGGTTATGAACAGCAGCATTAATCAGGCAACAAAAAGTATGGCTGTTTAATGCCCTGGGTTTTTTAGTCATGTATGCCTGTTGGAACTTCATATCAGCAATATACAAATTATTACCCATTTATGTTTATAAAAAACATAAACATAAGTTTATAAGGAAATAATCCTCTGAATTTTGTTTCTATATTTCTGCCCTTAGAAACATGAAATTTTACATTGTTTTTTAAAATGTTATTTTTCTATGAGGAACTGGAATTAGAATGTGATGGAAACTTTTTTACAGCCCCAGTGGTATCACCAGTAAGCAGTTCCTAAGATCCTCCTTGCCAAGGGACTCTATTCCATACTCTTAGTTATGATGATTGCAGTGCAGAATTATTTCATTAAAGATTGTTTATTTCTTTTGAGAAATTGTCCCTTTTTGCCTTGAGATGTTATCTGAAACTGTATGATCAATAAGAAGCATTAAACTGTCACTATGGGGTAAATTTTCAAAGTGGTGCCTGCAATTTGCCAGTATGAGTCCCATTAACTTCTGTGGAAGTCCTGCAGTTAAACCCCTGCACATGGCTTTGAAAATGTTCTACAAGTTTGTCTTTGTGGTGCCTTTTTTATTTTTAATAAATATCACAGAGCAACTCAGTGCATAGTTGATTGCAGTATTTAAGAACGTGGATAATGTACTGTGCAGGAGGAGACTTTTAAAATTAGATTTTAAAGCTTCATTTCTATTAAGAGTCACAACAACAATATAAATACATCTTTAGTTCTTCAAAGAGCACCTTTCTATAAAGGAATTTGGAGCTCAATTAGAATATAGAGCTTATAAAGCAGCACCATGTCCCTCTGAGACATTGTTTACTTCACTCTATAGATGGAAAAGTCGAGGCACTGTGAAGTGGGGGTGCTTTGTCCTTAGCCCATAAATCAGCAGTAAAGCTAGGAATAGCATGCTGGCCTCCCAATAGCTCATTGCTCTAAAGCACTGCCTCTTGTTAGAGTCAAATTTAATTATAGTATAATCCGTTTAATCTACATGTGGAGAAATAATGAAGGAGCAGGAAAAATGAATTTCTTAACAGATCAGTGGAAAACCATATTACATAGATTAGCAACTGTCTTTTCAAGATCCGTATTTTCAGCATGTACTAGATGGTATCTGATGCCATGAAAGCAAATATTCTAATTCCACTGGCCAGAACTGGCAAAGAACTTCTTATTTTCCTCACTTTGAAACATAAGTAAAGGGGTTCCACTTGAAAATTAATAAGCCATGTGATATGATTCGATTCCTGTCCCCAAATCTCCCTCCTTCTAGGGGCCATTGTCTAAAGTCTAAAAGAAAACATACCAGGCACAGTGGCTCATGCCTGTAATCCCAGCACTTTAAAGGGAGAGCAAGGTAGGAGGATCACTTGAGCCTAGGAGTTCAAAATCATCAACCTGGGCAACATAATGAGACCCTATCTCTACAAAAAAAACAAACAAAAACAAAAACAAACAAAAAAAACTGTAATAGCTGGGTGTGGTGGAACACACTGGTAGTCTCAGCTACTCAGGAGGCTGATAGGAGAAGGTAACTTCTGCCCAGGAATTCAAGGCTGCAGTGAATTATGATTGCACCACTGTACTGCAGCCTGGGCAACAGAGTAAGACAGAGAGAGAGAGAGACAAAGAGAAAGGAAGGAAGGAAAGAAGGAAGGAGGGAAGGAAGGAAGGAAGGAAGGAAGGAAGGAAGGAAGGAAGGAAGGAAGGAAGGGAGGGAAGAAGGAAGGAAGGGAGGGAGGGAAGGAGGGAGGGAAAGAAAGGAAAGGAAAGAAAATAAATGTAACTATTATAAAAGATGTTCAATGTTTTATTTTGGAATAACTTTAGACTTACTTAGAAGTTGCAAAAATAGTACAGAATTTCCATGTTCAAATGTACTCTTTACCTAACTTTCCCCAAAATATTTTACCTACGTATACTGCAATTATCAAAACCAGGATATGAATACATACTATTAGCTATAGTCTTTATTTGAATTTCACCAGTTTTTACATGCGCTCAATTTTTATATACACTCCTATAAAATTTTCTCACATGTATATATGCATTTAACCACCACCACAATCAAAATACAGAACTTTTCCATCACCCTAAATAAACTTGGAATGATATACTTTGTATTATTCCTTTACAGGTACTCCCTCTCTTCAATCCTAACCTCTGGGAACCACTATATCTGTTCTGTTTCACTGTAATTTTGTCATTTTTATAATGTTATATAAATGAAATTGTAAAGTAGTAATCTTTTGAAATTGGCTTTTTCTTACACAGCATGATGCTCTTGAGATCCATCCAAGTGCATCAATAGTGCATTCCTGTTTATTGCTTAATAGAATTCCATGATCTAGATGTAACACAATTTGTATATTCATTTACCTAATCAAGGTCATTTGGGCTGCTTCTAGTTTTTGGCTATTACAAATAAGGCAGCTATGTACATTCATGTGTAGGTTTGTGTATGAACGTAAGTTTTTATTTCTCTAGGGTCATATAGTGCTAGTTCACCTTTATCAGAAACTGCCAAACTATTTCCTTTTAAAATATAGAAATGCCAATGCAAACATGTGCATGGAGGTCAGCAGCCCCACCCCCTGCCCCACGCTGCCACTGCTGCCAGTGTGAACATATGCATGGAGGCTGGCAGCCCCACGCTCACCACTAGCCTGCCCCTGCACTGACACTGCTACCAGCATGAGCGTGCACATGGAGGCCGGCAGCCCCATGGCCACCAGCACTCTGCCCCAGTTGATGAGCATTCACCCCACCACACTGCCACTTGCTCTTGGCACTGCTCTTGGCACTTACAAATGAGCACAGATCCTGCTGCCACCACCCCAACAAAGTGGTTTGGCTGGCACCACCCATCAGAGTATTGTGGCCAGAGGTGCAGGAACACCTTAGCGCCTCCACTTTAGCAGTTTCCTAACCTCAAGGGGCCAGAGAATAAAGTCAGAGATCCAGTAACAGCCTCCCAAAGTTGCAGCATACAGCCCAAAAGTTCTGAGCTGAGCCTTACCCCCTAAATTCTTCCAGAAATGAAGCCAGTCAACTGAACCCACCTTATATGAGATTCAAACCTTCCAGGGCATCAAAGAAGATAGAGGCAAAAAAAAAAAAAAAAAAAAAAAAAAAAAAAAAAACTATCCAAAGGACAGCAATTTCAAAGACTGAAGGAAAATCAGCCCACACAGATGATAAAGAACCAGTGCAAGAGCTCTGGCAACTCAAAAGTCAGAGTACTTTCTTACCTCCAAACAACTGCAGTAGTTCCCCAGCAATGGTTCTTAACCAGGCTGAAATGACAAAAAGAGAAATCAGAATGTGGATAGGAACAGAGATCACTGAGATTCAGGAGACAGTGAAAACCTAATCCAGGGATTCTAAGGATTACAACAAAGTGATACAGGAGATGAAAGACGAAATGGCCACTTTAAGAAAGAACAGAACTGATCTGATAGAGCTGAAAAACTCACTTCAAGAATTCCAGAATACAATCACAAATATAACAGCAGAATCGATCAAGCTGAGGAAAGAATCTCAGAGCTTGAATATCACTTCTCTGAAATAACTCAGTCAGACAAAAATAAAGAAAAAAAGATTAAAGAAGAATGAACAAAATCTCCAAAGTATGGGATTATGTAAAGACACCAAATCTATGACTCACTGATGTCCCTGAAAGAGAGGGAGAGAAAGCAAGCAACTTGGAGAACATATTTCAGGATATCATCCATGAAAATTCCCCCAACTTCACTAGAGAGGCCAACATTCAAATTGAGAAAATGCAGAGAACCCTTGTGAGATACTATACAGATAACCATCCCCAAGACACATACTTGTCAGATTCTCTAAGGTCAAAACAAAACAAAAAATGTTAACAGCAGCTAAAGAGAAGGGGCAGGCCACCTCCCAAGGAAACCCCATCAGGCTAACAGCACACCTTTCAGCAGAAACTCTATAAGCCAGCAGAGATTGAGGACCTATATTCAGCATTATTAAAGAAAAGAAATTCCAAACAAGAATTTCATATCCAGCCAAACTAAGCTTCATAAATGAAGGAGAAATAAGATTCTTTTCAGGCGAGCAAATGCTAAGGGAATTCATTACCATCAGACCTGCCTTATAAGAGGTCCTAAAGAGAGTGTTAAATATGGAAAGGAAAGATTATTACTGGCAACTACAAAAACGTGCTTAAGTACACACACCATTGATGCCAAAAAGCAACCACACAAACAGATCTGCATAATAACCAATTAACAACACAAAACAGGATTTGATCCTTCAAATCCACACATATCAATATTAACCTTAAATGTAAATGGGCTAAATGCCCAATTAAAAGGCACAGAGTGGCAAGTTGGACAAAGAAGCAAGACCCAACAGTATGCTGTCTTGAATAGACCCATTTCACATGCAGTGACACACATAGGATCAAACTAAAGGGATGGAGAAAAATCTACCAAGCAAATGGAAAACAGAAAAAAGCAGGAGTTGCTATTCTACATTCAAACAAAACAGACTTTAAACCAACAAAAATCAAAAAAGATAAAGAAAGGCATTACATAATGGTAAAGGGTTCACCTCAAAAGGCCAGACTTAACTATCCTAAATAGATATGCATCCAAAACAGGAGCACCCAAATTCATAGAGCAAGTTTTTAGACACCCACAAAGAGATTTAGATAACCACACAATAATAGTGGGAGACTTTAACATCCCACTGGCAGTATTAGACAGGTCATTGAGGCAGAAAACTAACAAAGAAATTCAGGACCTGAATTTGACACTTGACTAAATAGACCTAATAGACATCTACAGAAATCTCCACCCAAAAACAGGAGTGTATATATTCTTCTCATCTGCACATGGCCCATAATCTAAAATTGACTAATCAGCCATAAAACAATCCTTAGCAAATAAAAAAAAATCATACCAACCACACTCTCAGACTACAGTGCAATAAAAATAGAAATTAATGGAAATTAACCTGCTTCTGAATGACTTTTGGGTAAACAATGAAATTAAGGTAGAAATTCAGAAATTATTTGAAACTAATTAGAACAAAGATACTACATACCAGAATCTCTGGGACACAGCTAAAGCAATATTAAGAGGGAAGTTTATAGAGCTGAATGCCTACATCAAAAAGTTAGAAAGATCTTAAGTTAACAACCGAACATCACACCTAGAGGAAATAGAGAAACAAGAGCAGATCGACCCCAAAGCTAGTAGAACACAAGAAATCAAAATCTGCACTAAACTGAAGGAAATTGAGACGCAAAAAAACATACAGAAGATCAATGAATCCAGGACTTGGTTCTTCGAAAGAATAAATAAGATAGATAAAATGCTAGCTAGACTAATAAGGAAAAAAAGAGAGATCAAAATAAACACAATCAGAAATGACAAAGGGATGTTACCACCTACCCCACAAAAATTTAAAAAACCCTCAGAGACTACTAAAAACACCTCTATGCACACAAACTAGAAAACCTAGAAGAAATGGATAAATTCCTTGAAACATACAACCTTCCAAGATTGAACCAGGAAGAAATTGAATCCTGGACAGAGACCAATAATGAGTTCCAAAATTGAATCAGTAATAAAAAGCCTACCAACCAGAAAAAGCCCGGGACCAGAGGGATTCACAGCTGAATATTACAAGAAGTATAAAGAAGAGCTGGTACCATTCCTACTGAAACTATTCCAAAAAACAGAGGAGGAGGGACTCCTCCCTAACTATGAAACCAGCATCATCCTGATACCAAAACCTGGCAGGGACACAACAACAACAAAAAACAAAACTTCAGGCCAAATCCTTGATGAACATAGATGCAAAAATTCTCAATAAAATCCTAGTGAAATGAATCCAGCAGCACATGAAAAAGCTAATCCACCACTATCAAGGAGGCTTCGTCCCTGGGACACAAGTTTGGTTCAACATATACAAATGAATAAATGTGATTCATCACATAAACAGAATTAAAAACAAAAACCACATGATCATCTCAATAAATGCAGAAAAGGCTTTTGATAAAGTTCAACATCCCTTCACGTTAAAAACCCTCAACAAACTAGGCACTGAAGGAACATACTTCAAAATAATAAGAGCCATCTATAAGAAACTCACAGCCAACATCACAGTGAATGAGCAAAAGCTGGAAGCATTCTTATTAAACACCAGAACAAAACAAGGATGTCCTCTCTCACCAGTCCTTTTCAACATAGTACTGGAAGTCCTGGCCAGAGCAATCAGGCAAGAGAAAGATATAAAAGCCATCTGAATAGAGGGGAAGTCAAACTGTCCCTGATTCCAGTCAGTATGATTCTATGCCCAGAAAACCCCATAATCTCTGCTCCAAAGCTCCTTGGTTTGATAAACAACTTCAGCAAAGCTTCAGGATACAAAGTCAATGTACAAAAATCAGTAGAATCCCTGTGCACCAACAACATCCAAGCTGAGAGCCAAATCAAGAATGCTATCCCCCAAGCCTGCCACCATGGCCACCTACAAACTGGTGCAGATCCAGCACAGCGAGAGTGAGTGGAACCTGGAGAACCACTTCAGCGGCTGGTACGACGCCATCCTGAGCCCAGCGGGCCATGAGGCGGCAAAGCAGGCACGGCGAGATGCTGGCTATGAGTTTGACATCTGCTTCACCTCATTGCAGAAGAGAGCGATCCCGACCTTCTGGACAGTGCTAGATGCCATTGATCAGATGTAGCTGCCAATAGTGAGGACTTGGCGCCTCAATGAGCAGCACTATGGGGCTCTAGCCGGTCTCAATAAAGCAGAAACTGCTGCAAAACATAGTGAAGCCCAGGTGAAGATCTGCAGGTGCTCCTATGATGTCCCACCACCTCCGATGGAGCCCTACCATCCTTTCTACAGCAACATCAGTAAGGATCACAGGTATGCAGACCTCACAGAAAATCACCTACCCTCCTGTGAGAGTCTGAAGGACACTATTGCCAGAGCTCTGCCCTTCTGGAATGAAGAAGTATTTCCCCAGATCAAGGAGGGGAAATGGGTACTGACTGCAGCCCATGGCAACAGCCTCTGGGGCACTGACAAGCATCTGAAGGGTCTCTCTGAAGAGGCTATCATGGAGCTGAACCTGCCAACTGGCATTCTCATTGTCTATGAATTGGACAAGAACTTGAAGCCCATCAAGCCCAGCCCACGCAGTTCCTAGGGGATGAAGAGACCATGTGCAAAGCCATGGAAGTTGTGGCTGCCCAGGGCAAAGCCAAGAAGTGAAGGCCAGCAAACAGGCACCCTCCCTGCCCATTGCATCCATCTGTCCCTCCCTCCTGAACATGTCACACTGACCACATCTATAGACATCTTGAGTTGCAGCTGCAGATGGGGACCGGTGGCTCCCATTTTCATTTTAGCCATTTTGTCTTCTGCACCCACTCCCTTCATACATTCTAGTCAGAATAGCACTTCTAGGGCACAGGTTCTCAGTCTAAGCTGTGGAAAAGCCCCCCTTATCCAAGAGAGTTCAAAGATAGTGACTTGGGTTTTTGCAAGTGCTTTGTTTACTAAGGACTTGTGAGGAGGAGCCATGCTGAGCTACGACCAATGAGGAGAAGCAAGAGAGCCTGTCTGCCCCCAGGAGCTAGTCCTGTGCTTGTCTGTAGTCAGGCCACTGCCTGGGGGCTCTAGTCATCCCAGTGGAAGATGAATGTAACCTGCATGGTGATGTGACAACTGTTTCCTCCCTGACCCCAGAGGAACTGGCTCTAGAAGGTTGGGATCAATCCTGAATTTAGTTTATGTGTTACATTTACTTTTATTTAAAAAAAAAAAAGTATAGTGTATATAAATAATACAAAACAATAACCCTTCTAAGGGTTTCTCGTGGTGGTTGAAATAGTCCCACATGTGGTCATCAGAACATAAGCCATTCCTCATACCAATATGGGGTAAGCTCCTTGACCTTTGAGGGGCAGGAGTGCTTCATGCTGTGTGTTTTAGAATCCCTCCCTGCCTTGTTTCATGGCAGTGAAATGCCTCTTGGTCCTCTCCAAGTGTGTTTTTCACTGATTTCTGAATCATGTTGCAGTTGCTTGGCCCTGCCACATAGGTCTAGTGTTCATTTGAGCATAACTGTACTAAATCCTTTTTCCAGATCAGTATAATAAAGGAGTGATGTGCAATAAAAAAAAGAATGCCATCCCATGCACACCAGTTAGAATGGTGATCATTAAAAAGTCAGGAAACAACAGGTGCTGGAGAGGATGTGGAGAAATAGGAACATTTTTACACTCTTGGTGGGACTGTAAACTAGTTCAACCATTGTGGAAGACAGTGTGGTGATTCCTTAAGGATCTAGAACTAGAAATACCATTTGACCCAGCCATCCCATTACTGGGTATATACTCAAAGGATTATAAATCATGCTGCTATAAAGACACATGCACATGTATGTTTATTGCAGCACTATTCACAATAGCAAAGACTTAGAACCAACCCAAAAGTCCATCAATGATAGACTGGATTAAGAAAATGTGGCACGTATACACCATGGAATACTATGCAGCCATAAAAAAGGATGAGTTCATGTCCTTTGCAGGGACATGGATGAAGCTGGAAACCATCATTCTCAGCAAACTATCACAAGGACAGAAAACCAAACACCACATGTTCTCACTCATAGGTGGGAATTGAACAATGAGAACACTTGGATGCAGGGTGGGGAACATCACACACTGGGGCCTGTCATGGGGTGGGGGGAAGGGGGGGAGGGATAGCATTAGGAGATATACCTAATGTAAATGACAAGTTAATGGGTGCAGCACACCAACATGGCACATGTATACATGTGTAACAAATCTGCACATTGTGCACATGTACCTTAGAACTTAAAGTATAGTAAAAAAATAAATAAATAAATAAAAATTTAAAAAATGAATAAAATACATAGAAATACAGCTAACCAGGTAGGTGAAAGATCTCTACAACAAGCATTATAAAACACTGCTCAAAGTAATCTGAGATGATATAAATAAAAGGAAAAGCATTCCATGCTCATGGATAGGAAGAAGCAATATTGTTAAAATGGCCATATTGCCCAAAGCAATTTACAGATTCAGTGCTATTCCTATCAAACTACCAGTTCTTCACAGAATTAGAAAAAAAAATTATTTAAAAATTTGTATGAAACCAAAAAAAAGCCTGAATAGCCAAGGCAATTCTAAGCAAAAACAACAAAGCCAGAAGTATCACATTGTGTGACTTCAATCTATATTACAAGGCTACAGTAACCACAACAGCATGGTACTGGTACAAAACACATAGACCAATGGAACAGAAGAGATAGCCCAGAAATAATGCCACACACAAACCATTTGATCTTAAACAAACCTAACAAAAACAAGCAATGGGAAAAGAAATTCCTATTCCATAAATGGTGCTGGGATAACTGGCTAGCCATATGCAGAAGATTGAAATTGGACCCCTTGTTTATACCATATACAAAAATCAACTCAAGATGGGTTAAAGGCTTAAACATAAAACCTAAAACTGGCCGGGCACGGTGGCTCACGCCTGTAATTCCAGCACTTTGGGAGGCCGAGGCAGGCGGATCACGAGGTCAGGAGATCGAGACCATCCTGGCTAACACGGTGAAACGCCATCTCTACTAAAATTACAAAAAATTAGCTGGGCGAGGTGGCGGGCACCTGTAGTCCCAGCTACTCGGGAGGCTGAGGCAGGAGAATGGCGTGAACCCCGGGGGGCGGAGGCTGCAGTGAGCCGAGATGCTGCCACTGCACTCCAGCCTGGGCGACAGCGAGACTCCGTCTCAAAAAAAAACAAACCTAAAACTATAAAAACCCTGGAAGATGACCTGGGAAATACCACTCTGGACATATAGGACCTGGCAAAGATTTTATGACAAAGACAAAAGCGATTGCAGCAAAAACAAAAATTGACTAATTTTGTCAATTAAACTAAAGGGATCTAATTAAACTAAACAGCTTCTGCACAGCAAAAGAAACTATCAACAGAGTGAACAGACAACCTACAGAATAGGAGAAAATATTTGCAAACTATGCATCTGACAAAGGTCTATTATCCGGAATCTGTAAGGAATTTAAACAAATTTATAAGCAAAAAAACAAACAACACCATTAAAAAATGGGCAAAGTCCTTGAACAGACACTTGTAAAAGAAGACATACACGTGGCCAAGAAGCATATAAAAAAATGCTCAACATTACTAATCTTTAGAGAAATGCAAATCAAAACCACAATAAGATACCATCTCACAAAAGTCAGAATGGCTATTACTAAAAAGTCAAAAAATAACAGATGCTGGCAAGGTTATGGAGAAAAAGGAATGCTTATATACTGCTGGTGGGAATGTAAATTAGTTCAGCCGGTGTGGAAAGCCGTTTGGCAATTTCTCAAAGAACTCAAAATGGAATTACCATTTGACCCAGTAATCTCACTATTGGGTTTATTCTCAAAGGAATGTAACTCATTCTACCTTAAAGACATATGCACTCATATATTCATCTCAGTACTATTCACAATAGCAAAGACATGAAATCAACCTACATGCCCATTGATGGTGGATTGGATAAAGAAAATGTGGTACATATACACCATAAATACTACACAGCCATAAAAAAGAACAAGATCATGTCTTTTGCAACAACATGGATGAGGCTGGAGGCCATTCACCTAAGCGAACTGACACAGGAACAGAAAACCAAATACACATGTTCTCACTTACAAGTGAGAGCTAAGCATTGAGTTATATGGTCACAAACAAGAGAACAACAGACGCGTAAGCCTACTTGAGGATGGAAAGTGGGAGGAGGGAGAGCATAAAAAAACTACCTATCAGGTACTATGCTTTTTACCTGCGTGATGAAATAATCTGAACATCAAACCCCCATAATATACAATTCACCTATATAACAAACCTGCACATGTACCACAGAACCTGAAATAAAAGTTTAAAAATAAATCATAAAATAAAATGTTGAAATGCCTAGAATGTTTCATAGCATTAAATTAGACCATGCTGTCTTAAATGACATCTTATTTTCATAGAAATCATGTTTCTGCTTTTTCTGTTTTTCTATGAAAATTTTTTTAACAAGCAGAAGTTAACGAAATGTATATTTTACCACTTGGGTCAAGAAACAAATGAAAGTATTGCCCATTAAGGAGCAGTTCTTCATACTGTGATAAATGAATGTAAGTATTATGTTTACATAGATGAAGTATAAAGAGACCAATTAATGTAAAAAGCCAATACTGTACAAATTCCTGAAGGACCATTTTTTAAATCTAACTTTAATTTTTAGAAAGTCCTTATTCAAGCAAACTTTACTGAGACCAATACTAATTATACTTTCCTGCTAAAAGATACAGATAATGACATTAGTTAGAGCCTTAAAGTACTACTCCAATGGAATAAAATATTTAAAATTGCCACCAAGACCCAGTGGTGCTTTATAGAGAGTTGGGTCCAATATTCATGGTTCTAATGTGATCTAAAAAGAAGTCGTTTGTTCTCCTTAATTCAACACCTCTCAGAAATTGCCCTATTCTTAAAACTATTCTCTAAGACTACTTTTCCTCCAAGACTCTGCCAAATGTCTCCCCTTGGATCTTCCACCATAACCAACAAAAACATTATTTTCTCAAAGTTAGAAACAACCCTGTGTGGCCAAAATATATGAATCCCAACTTCATTCTCACTCTGGTTGTAAGAAATGCTGGAATAATTAATTACTCATTTGGAAAAAATTAAAGCTGTATCCATATCTATCTTACCAGATTCCAAGATAAACTCCAAATAAATCAAAGATTTAAATTAAATAAGACCATAAAATACTGGGCAGAAGAAATTGGTAAACTCTCTTAGAACCTTGGAATCTGGAAAGATTTTCTAATTATAACTAAAAATACAAAAGTCATAGGAGAAAATATTGATAGAATACATAAAATCAAAGAATACTGTATGATAAACTAAACAGCAACGTCAAAAGACAAATGTGGAAAAATATTTACAACTCCTACTAAAAAATAGAAACTAATCACCTTAAATTATAAGGAGCTCTAGAAATCAAGAAAAACCCAACAACCTAACAGAAAATAAAATGGATATGAACAGACTGGTCACAGAATAAGAAATACATATATACCTCTTAAACATACCCAGTCTCACTCATAAAAAAGAAATGCAAATGAAAGCATTCTCTCACCTATCAGATTGGCAAAAATCTGCAGTTTGACCACACACTTTATTGATGAGACTGCAAGGAAATAGGCACTCACATGCCACAGGAGTGCAAAGGGGTATCACCCTTATGGAAGAGTGTCAATATCTACCAAAATTACTTAAGCATTTACTCTTTGACCCAGGAAGTCTACTTCCTAATAATTTCATCAATTTGTAGTAAATGTTCACTATAGCTGAATAAACTATTGTAAATCCAAACAATAAAATACAGTGGAAGACCTTTCTGCACAGCTACAGAAGAATCCCAAGATATATGAAATAAAAGAAAAATGAAATGTAATACTGCATATATAGTGTGCTACTTTTGTGTAAGAAAGGAGAAAAATAAAAGTTGACTTTCATATTGCTTGTGTTTGTATAAAGAAACATTGAAATAATTTTTACAAAAAGAAGAGAATAAAAATGTTTAACTGAGGATAGCGAATGAGGACAGCATGAATGGAAACGGGTAGGAGTAAGATTTTTCAGCATTTACCTTTTTATGTCATTTTAATGTTTAAAATATAAATATGTTAACTATTCAAAAACTAAATTAAAAGAATTATTGCCTGGCACAGATGAAGTACAGTTTAGATGTTGACTATTATTATTTTTGTATAGCAATATTTGGATGGGTTAATGGGCTCATATTATGTACAGTTGTTCCGAATCTACTCACACTCCAGGCACTTTTGTCATTGCAAAGAGGGACAATGCCAAAGATAATTTACCATAGGATTTCCATGTGCACCTCCTCAGTTCTAGGCTGAAGTAACATAGAATGGCATTTTTAACTCACGAAAAACTCTGTTCTAAAAGGTGCTTTATTATTTGCCTTAATTTGCTCTTCATATATTTCCTTAATTTTAAACTTAGAATTTTAGTTGTAACTTTTCAAAGGATTGCCCAAGAAGATGCAATGAGATGATACATGTAAAGTGCTTAGCTTAATGCCTGGTGTTTAATCAATACTCCATAACTCTTAGTGGTAGCAAACAGAATCATAAAAGTGATGTGTTCAGTGAAGCCTCTAATCAATCCTAGAATCGATACCTACAATCAGAAAAAAATTATCAACTCAGACCATCTTTGTATGTTTTTGTTTATTATTTTTCCTCAAAATATCTTCAATAAGGCATTCCTAGAATTTGAGAGTCTGTGTATCTTAAATAAGAATGCATTTTATTTTAAGAGGTAAATGGAAGGAGCAAGAACCAAGACAGGTACTTTTTGAGTCTGGAGTCCTTAGATATAATAAGTAATTTCAGGAATGGTATGTATGGTACCTAAAGGATGTGGTTTAATTAGAAGGGCTTTTGAAGCTTTCTTGTAGACTGGTTGTTCATTATGGCTTCATCTATGTTTCTCCCAGAAGGCTTCCCTGGCCTCTTAACTAAGTTAATTGTCCCTGCAATGTGCTCCTTGTATTTCTTCTGTCATAATATTCATCACTCATGATTGTGGTTACTCGATTCAGCGTCTTCTATGCAAACCATGCTTTCAGCCTTGTGCAGACAGAAGGCATCCATCTGGTCCACACCAGCCATGCCCTTTAATATTATATGCCCAGGTCCTAGAAGTTTCTGGCCACAATGAATGTGTATTGAATGAATAAAAAATTGAGAAAACTGCAAGCTAGTAAACAGTCACATGAGAAGCGTCATCCCCCCGGCCCCCATCACAACCCCTACACACACAAAGTAAAAACAACACAGTCAACATGAGCAAATAGAGAAAAAAAATGTGGCAATTATTCAAGCAATGCAAGGTGAAAAATAGCCCCTTTGCCTCAGTTATCAGAGGTTTTCAAAAGGATATTTTTTGCCTGCATTTTTTAATCTAATTGCTTCAATTATTTTATTTGGTCATGGGAACATGATTATATTTTTTAATAAAGTGCTTAATTTGCATGCATGCTTTGAATTGTAGGTTCTTTTACAGGAGGCTTGTCTACTCCCATATTGCCTTTTTCTCAATTATTTTACTTCTGCCTTTTGCAAAATGTTTTAAATATTTGATTTTAGCCCCTACCACAGACTCCAAATCTGTGCTTGGAATTTGGAGATCAAAGTACTGTAGCTAATCCTTAGGACATTTGCCATTGTGTGACTTAAGAATCCATCTCTTATCAAGTTTCTGTGGTTTTCTGGAGTATTTACAGGTCACAATGTCAAAATGTGCACATCTGAAACTATTTTTGAATTATGCTTTCTTTATACTCTTCCATATTTAGTTAATGGGAAAATATCCAGCTCCTGAATGGTATTGAACTCGATTAGGCCATCTCCAGTCTCCTTATAAAAGATTCCTAAGTTGTAGTATCACATGTTTTCAATAAACCTTGTTTTTGTTCTCCTTTAAACAGAGCGTGTCTTATTCAAAAAGCTCATGACAGTAGGAAAGGAATTGATAATGAAAAGAAAGTGAGTCCGAAGGAGGATTTTTCCTCATAGCTTTAGGATTTGTTATAAGACAATGTGTTTCACCGCCTGACCTGCAGCTTCAGGAGTTGGTTGCCATGAATTCTGATCCTGTTTCTGGAAGTAATTTATCGCATTATCTTGTACAAGCTTCTCTGGGACACTCTTTCTTTCCTTTTAAGCACAGATAAGAGCAGCAATACACTTTGCAGCGTTCATAAACAGCAATACATAAAAGTAAATATGAAATTAGAAAGTTCCAAAAACTGCTCTAATCTAGTGCCAGTGAGGGAAAATTTTGGTAAGGATTTTATAAGTAAAGATGGGAGTTAGATGCATAATTATATGTGACCTGTTTGGTTAATAATCCCACTGAAATACAGATAGATGATAGATAGATAGATGATAGATAGATAGATAGATGATAGATAGATAGATAGATAGATAGATAGATAGATGATAGATAGATAGATAGATAGATAGATAGATAGATAGATAGATATAATAGATCTACACATGGCAACAAGCAAGATTTTCAAAATTATAATGAATGTCAGGTATTTATTCTTGGCTTATATTTACTCAAATTCACTCTTTAAAGTGCTATCTTTTTATTCTTCACAGGAGGAAAAGTCTATTTTCACACCCCAATGTTTATCCCTAAGGATTAGCCAAGTGCCTAAACTGTATCCATTTCATATTTCCAAAAATAGGAAATTGTGCATTGAAAAATATTGAGAGCCAGGTGAACCAGGTAATTCTAAATTTTCCCAGATAATACTTAGAATGAATTCCCATCCATAAATGTCCTTTGCTAAGTGACGTTTCATCTCAAGTGGCATCTCCATTGTAACATCCGAGTAACACAGTCTATTCAAAGAACTTCCTGAAGATATCCTTTCAAAAACTTTTAGCAGTAGGTGATGATTAATCATAATCTGTATGTCATCTGAAAATAAGTATCAAGTTTCTTAAAGAAAAATTACATATCCCAACACTACTAAACATAACTGGCTGCTAAGTTTCAGAGGGTCCATATCATTTAACTGCTTAGAGTAAGTGCAAAAAGGGAGTATTATAAATTAGGTATTGTAGTTTTGCTCTGTAAATTTAAACCCATAATGCCATTGTTTGGCTGTTGATGTTTAAATATTCAAGCTATGACCTTGAATAAGATATCCAAGCATGGAATTTCATCATAGGATGTTGGGATTTCCAGCAGATGTTTCAAATTTGATTATTCATTGGTGGAATCCAAATCTTTTTTTTTTTAATCTGCAGTCAAATACTGGTATGGGGTTCTGTTTAGAAATCAAAACTGACTGCAGCTTTGTCATTTGGTAGGTGTGAAAATAGGTACTGAAGAAAATTTTAAACATCTGATGGTATCAACGTGCAAAATTGCTGTTCCTAAAAGCTGTCTCAAACTTTCTATATAAAAGAATATAATATAAAGCCACTGTATCATTGCCCTAAACCATGTTCTAAAGCATCAGAAAATACACATGACTTTTCATCTCTTCGATTTATTGAAAACTGATGGAATTACACCTAGGTAATTTACTCAAGATACTAGACTATGCCTTAAATAGGATGTGCCTCCTACTCATTCATGATGACTCTCAGGGGACAAATGCTTCTTTCCTGTTTTATAAATACAGAAACACAGCTTCCTTACCTCCTTCAGTCTGTAACCCACATCTGAAATTAAATGTTTGTGATCACACTTTGAAGCAATTTGTTTCAGTAGGTTACTGATATTGCAAGGGATTCGTCCTGTAGCATGAGAAAAAAAAAAAAATCTACTGCCTGACTCTGCATCCCTGACCTTTCCCCCAGACTCCAGCCCCATTCACCATCTACCAAATGCCTACTAGCCATCTCAAAATTAACATGGCCATAACGGACAAGTAGTTCTGCCCTTCAAATAGTGCTCCTCACCTATCCCCAGTGGTATTTCCCCAGCTTAGTAAATAGCACTTTATTCACCTGATTGCTTAGACCAAAAACCCTGAAGTCAGCCTTAGACTCCCTCGTTTGTCTCATCCCACAGTCAGTCCTTCAGCAAGTCTTGGCCTCTCCACCTTCACAATGTGCACCAAATCCAGCTCCTTTACAGCTCCTCCTGACTTTAACCTCACTCTTGTAATGCTGCTCTCACCCTTTGTCCAGACCACAGCAGTGGCTTCTTACCTGGCCTTCCAGCTTCCTCTCTGACATCTGGCTTCCTTTCTGGCATCCAGCCTCTTCCTGGTTGGTTTCCCAAAGGTAACCAAAATGATCTTGTGAAATACACATCTGATCCTGCACTCTGCCAAAAACCCTTTCCCTGCCGCTATCATATAATACTTAGAAGGACATCTAAAGCTATTCCCAAAGCTGTCGTGATCTGGCTGGAGCCTTCTCTCACTCCGCTCAAGCTAACTTGATCTCCTTGCCTTCCCTTGAACACACTGAACACACTTCCACCTCAAGGTCTTTTTATATTTTTTTGCCTGGAACCATTTTTCCTTAGATATGATCACGGTCACCCCTTCACTTCGTTGGGTCATGGCTCCTCTGAGATGCTTTCCCATTGAGACAACCGAAAATACTAAAAACGGCCGGGCTCAGTGGCTCACGCCTATAATCCCAGCACTTTGGGAGGCCAAGGTGGGTGGATCACTTGAGGTCAGGAGTTCGAGACCAGCCTGGCCAACATGGTGAAACCCCATCTCTCCCAAAAATACAAAATTAGCCTGGAGTGGTGGTGCACACCTGTAATCCCAGCTACTTGGGAAGCTGAGGCAGGAAAATCGCTTGAACCCGAGAGGCGGAGGTTGCAGTGAGCTGAGATCATGCCATTGCACTCCAGCCTGGGTGACAGAGACTGTCTCAAAAATAAAATAAAAACTAAAATATTAAAAACATGTTAATTATAAGATGTTTGCTAAATTTTACCTGAATATCAACCATTTGCAAGTAGTTATATTCCCTATTCTTAATAATACTTTACTTCTTGGAACTTCACATTAAGATAGAGCACCCGCCCCTCTGTGACTCCACCCTCATCCTGCTCTGCATTTCCCCAGGGTTTTTGTCACTACCTAACATTATATTCTGTACTTGTTTATTGCTTTAACATCAGCCTACCCCAGGAGAACATAAGCTCCATGAGGGCAGAAAACTCTTCTCTTTTATTCACTGCTCTATACCTCATGCTTGGCTTATAGTAGACATGCAACAAAAAATATTTGTCGAATGAACTAATGAATGAATAAATAAATTGCCTTAACACTTAATTTGAGAAAAGTCATATCCAAAACACTCCTTCTGATGCTTCCTCGTTCAACCAGTATCCAAAACAAAAAATGTACCACTTAGAATTTGAGAAATTCAAAGTTAGAAAGGATCCTTGAGACTTGCCAGTTCAATCCAACTATTTTAAAGGTATGGAAACCAGCCCTGAGAGATAAGTGGTGACAAAGCTAGTTAATGGCGAACAGATAATTAAACTAGGCATAGTTCAATGTTCTTTATGCTTCCATGCTTTACATCTCTGTTTCTTTTGAAAGTTCCTTCTGTATACATAAGCAAATATAATGGAACCAGAACACTTCTATTCCTTCTTATCTTGCTGCTCTGTTGGCAATAAAACATCTGGCACATGATATACATGGGACACTAAAAAAATTATAAATTTCTGCAGAAAAGGGCTCACATTGATAAGGCAGATTGACCTCTCTGTCTCAATCTGCTGTCCCATTGGGACAACCTAAAATATAAAAAACATGTTAATTATAATATTTTCGCTAAATTTTACCTGAATATCAACTATTTGCACGTAGTTATATTCCCTATTCTTGATAATACTTTACTTCTTGGAATATCACATGTAAGCCTTTGCTTGACTTTCTACATCCCTGTTTACTAGGCTTTCTATGACATAAAAGCTACCAAAAGAGAAACACGGGAAAAAAATATATAAGTGCTCTGGAAACAGAAATTAGTTTGATTTTTGGCTCCATTTACCAGCTAAATGACTTTGGATAAGATTCTTGGACTTTCTTAGTATCAAATTACTAATCTAGAAAAGTGAAGGGAAAGGTATATCTATAAAACATTTTTTTTTAGATTGAGAGTTAACATGATACCAGGCACACTAAGGCAGACTAAAGGCTTTATATGTATTATTTCATTTAATCATCCCAATAGCCCTGTGAGAAAAAGGGATCTATTCCCTATTTGCAGGTGAGGACTCCAAGACTCAGCAAGATTAATAGGCCCAAGGTCACACAACTAAGAAAGGACAGAACTAGAAATACCTGGGCTGTTGCACATGAAGTTTATACTCATAACCTCTGTGCCTCCTTGAAGGGCTATTATGGAGAAACAATGAAATAAAGTCTGTGTACTGAGCATCCCGCACAGCCTCATACATCAGAGGTACTCAATAAATGTTGCCCATTTCTCTTCTGTTTTCCCACCACTGACTAAATAAATTACCTTGGCCAATGTACTAACCTTTCTAGGCCATAGCTTCTTTTTTAAATAAGTTATGGTTCTCTTTTTTCTCATTACAAAAGCAATACATGGCTATTAAAGATCATTTGGACAAAAGATATATATATATATATATATATATATATATATATATATATATAACTAAAATTTGTATGGAATCTTACCACCTAAAGATAATCACCATTAATATGCAAATGTATGTATTTATACTATTTATTTTTCTATATACTATAAGAATACATAATCTGGCCAGGTGCAATGACTCACACCTGTAATCCCAGCACTTTGGGAGGCCAAGGCTGGTGGATCACTTGAGGTCAGGAGTTCGATACCAGCTCGACCAACATGGTGAAACATCGTCTCTACTAGAAATACAAAAATTAGTTGGGCATGGTGGCGGGTGCCTGTAATCCCAGCTACTGGGGAGGCTGAGGCAGGAGAGACACTTGAATCCTAGAGGTGGAGGTTGCAGTGAGCTGAGATTGCACCATTGCCCTCTAGCCTGGGCAAAAAGAGGGAAACTCCGTCTCAAAAAATAATAATAATAATACATAATATTTTGGGAGAGCAAAACTGAAATCCTGCTATCCTGCTATGTAATCAGTTATTTAAATAATGATGTTTAGAAACATTTTATCTCACAATATTCTTCTAAGACATAATGTTTTGTGGCTGTATCGCATTTGTGGTAATAATAATAGTAATAATAAATTAGCTCAAATGTATGTTAGTATTGTACTGAGATGTTTCACAGTTAACTTATTCAATTCTTGCAACCCTATGACATAGGTACCTTTATTATCTACATTTTACAGATAAAGAAACTGAGGCACAGAAAGATTCAGTCACTTAACAAGGTAACCCAGCTATTAAGCAGCAGAGCCAGGATTGGAACTGAGGCACATGAGCACCACAGCCCATGCTCTGGAAGGGATATAGCATGTTGTTTTTTATTAATCCATCCTCATTAGAAATCTGGATTGGTTCTCATTTTTTATACTGCTACTAATAGTGTTAGGTATGAGCTGGGAGGAGAAAAAAACAATAGTTTAATAAGTATGCTGCTGCAAACTTGTTAACATCTACAATTTTATCATACATCCCTACAGTTTAAATTCCTGAAATAAGTTATTCACATTGTTAATGGTTTTGTCAAATAATGTCAAATTGCTCCCCCAAAAAATACCATACCAATTTATTCTTACAGAAAATCTTCATCAAATAACTTTTTTTCTCTGCCTTGCCAACATTGACAATTCATTTTTTTAAACTTTGTCAGTTTGATAGAATAAAATGGTACCTTTCTAGTATTTTAAATTTCAAAACTAGAAATTGTAAAGAACTTTTTTATATATTAATTAGTCATTGTTTCTTCTTCCTAGGATAAATTCGTCTATGTGCCTTCTGTCCAATTTTCTACTAGCATGTTTTCTTAGTGTTTTATGTTTATATATTAAAGATATTAATCTTTTGTTCATCATCATATATGTTGCCATTTTTTTCCAGGTTTGTTTTTTGCATTTCAATCTGTGTAGAGTTCTTTTTTAATGTATGGAATTTTCGTGTGTTCGTGCCTTCACTTCTCAACTGCAAAATATGGGAGATTAAACTATATTGTTTTTAAGACCTTTAAAATTATAACATTGTATTCTATTTCTTTCCTAATTACTACAAACAAATAACTTATCAGGTAAGTATCTATCAAATAAGTTTTGAACATCTACAGTATGATATGTACGGAGCTAGTCACTGAGGTTACAAAAAAAAAAGCACGTCTGCATGCAGTTGGTTTCTTATAGCTTACTATAGAAGAGACCAGCAAGTAAACAGACTACTAGTATAATCATGGGTAATAAGTGTTATGACAGGAGCATACCTCAGACCTCTGGGCACAAGTGGCCTTGACTGGTTGATATCTGTGCTGAGTTCCAGAAGCAAGCAGAAGTGAGCCAGGTAAAGAAGGGAGAAGGGCCTTCTAGGCAGAGCAGCAGCATTTTATAGAGCACTTTGAATGCCAGGTAGCAGAATTTGATCTTTCTTCTATGTATTGGAAGGCCTTTTTTAAATCACAGAGGTAGTATAATCATCTTAACATTTTCATGTGGTAGTAGAATACAAAGTGGTTTAGAGAAAGGAAAAACAGGAGAGTGAAAACCAGGCCATACATTGTAGGGATGACCAAGAGAGAAGTAGCGTAGCCTGAACTAAGGAGGAGACAGGATAAATGGAAAGAGAAAATTAGATATGAAACATACTATGGAAGCAGAATCAACAAAAGTAAACCACTCAGTAGATATGAGACGAGGAAGACAATAAAGAAGGAGATGTTAATCCGTGAATTTAATATGAGGTCTGTATCAGAATTTTGTTGTTTAACTTGATTCATTTATTCTGAAATTCACTTGGTAAAAATAAATACGTTTACAATAATTGATACTACTTTGAAAAAGAATAACATTTGTGTCACACGAATATAGGAATAGGCAATAAAACATAATAGAATCCCAAAATAGGCTTCTCAATAAGTATATGCAAACATTTGGAGAATGACAGAGTTTTTATTTAGATGGTATTGGGAAAATTGACTTTCATATGGGATAAAAAGTAAGATTAGTTCTCTACTTCACCACAGAGACAAACAAAAATTCCGTTAAAACTAATGATTGTATAAGTTAGAGTAATGCTTAGTTATTATATAAATCTCCAAATTCTAGTAACTAAATAAAATAGAAGTTTATTTCTTACTTGTGTAATAGTCCAATGAAGGTGTTCTTTGTTTGGGGTTGGGGTATATGGTAAAGGCTCTGTTCCATGCAGTTATTCAGGAACCCAGGCTGACAAAAGCACTGCCATCTTCAGCACATGGTTTCTAAGGGCATTCTTAGTACCAAACTGCAACTGACATAGAAAAAGAGAAAGTGATAAGCCATATGTGCTTGCCCTCAACTGGGAAGTGGCATACATCATTTCCATTCGTCTTCATTAACTAGAATTAGTCACCTCATCTCACCCAGAAGCAAGGGGTCCCGGGAAATGAGACCTCTAGATGGGCAACCACTTCTCAGAGATAATGCTGTACCTTAGAAGGGAAGCACATATCTGTGGTAGACAGCTAGCTACCTTTACCACAAAGACTATTCTGAATAGTAAACATAAATTCATTAACTAAATAAGGATGTAAGTGTGCCAAAATAAAATATAGGAAAATATTTTTATAATCTTGGTTGGACAAAGTCATTCTAGATAACTTAACTTCTGTGACTTAAAAATGACATGAAATCCAGGCATCTAAAACAGGAGGGGGATGGTTTTGTTTTTCCCACTGTATTTGCAAAGATTGAAGACTTATAATATCCCAGGTAATAAATGAGTGTGCTTAGAACCATGTCTATCACATAGTGAACAGTAAACATTAGATTTACTAGTACTATTTTTATTATTATTAGCATTCCTTTTTATTAGCAAGGAGAGAGAAATAAGTGTTTCCATACATTGTTAGTGAGAATTGGTACCATCATTTTGAAGGCATCTTGATATCAATCACAAATCAAAATATGCCAAGAATTCAGTCTCAAGAAATTTAGCCTTAAATTCCTTATCCTAAAAATAAATGTACAGGACTATTCGTTTCAGCATCATTTTAATAGCAAAACCAAAAGTAACCTAAAAATTCATTAATAAGTGTCTTAGTCTATTTGTTTTATAATAAAGGAATACACAAAGCTGGGTATTCATAAAGAAAGTAGGTTTATGTGGCTCACAGTTCTGCAGGCTGTACAAAAAGCATGGTGCCTGCATCTGCTCCTGGTGAGAACCTCAGGCTGCCTCCACTCATGGCAGAAGGTGAAGTGGGGCCAACATGTGCTGAGATCACATGACGAGAGATGAAGCAAGACATAAGTGCCATTTTCTTTTTAACAACCAAATCTTAAGGGAACTTACAGAGCCAGAACTCAGTCATTACTTCAAGGACGGTACCAAGCCATTCATGAGCGATCCTCCCCCATGACCAAAACACCTCCCATTAGGCTTCACCTCTAACACTGGGGATCACATTTCAACATGATATTTGGAGGTCAAATATCCAAACTATAGCATAAGTAATTGGTTAATTAAATAAATTAGTGTCCTACCTTATATACATTTGTATTGTTTTGATATTTTACTTTATAACTTTAAAGTGTATATTTTATTAAAATTATTCAAAACTTAGCTTATAGTGAGGCCACTAGAATAATTCAAAAAACTGGAACAAAAAAATGTGGTGGGAGAGGGGGATATAAACATCAAGAACATTGTATTTGTCGTACTTCTGATTGTCTCAGAGAGAACAAGATGAAGTGAGTTTAAAGGGAAAGAGGTAAATTTATGTTAGTTATTAGGGAAAACTTTCTGAGACTATAGAATAACTTTTAATTTACAAAAATTTTAAAAGCCTGAAGTCTCCAGACAGTTTCTAGAAGTCAAGATATACCCTCTTTGTGGCTTACTTACCTCGAGAGGGTTTATCTGTCCTTATAACTACTAGTTTGAAAGTGTTCAACCATGCTTTGTTTGATCCAGATGATTTAGTTCTTTTCATTGTGATTTTACATTGAGCCATGTTATACTTTCTAATACATGCATTATGCAGTGTAATTGTAGCAACAAAACACAGTCCATCAGGTTCAGATGTACAATTGGCCTTGCTCTAACCCAATCCTTGAGTTCACAATAGGGAAGCTTTGGATGTAAATAATGAAGGCTTTTTGGTATTTCAGTGACTAACACCTTTTAGACAGGGTCCATGGTGATCAATTCATATTGATTTTGCTGACTAAATAATACTTGAGCAAAGTTCCAGTGGCATCTAAAAATAAGCTCTTTCACAGTCCTTATGTGTCTTAAATATCATTATGGTATTTATTTTGTTCAAATCTTTGCAGTCACCTCAAATTTCAAGAATTCATGTGTAAATCATTCTAAGTGATGCAGTAAATTAGTGAACCTACTTCCTAATACCTTGTAAACCTATATTTCACATTTCTACTGGGCTGCTTATAATCAATAGCTCTTTCTTCACTACTTCCCAACTTGTTCTAATTTGTTTCCTTTGAGAGAGGTAGATTTTAAGAGTTCTGGATTACATGCTTTTTTTTTTATTCATGTGACTTAGAGCTCCTCCTTGTTTATTAGCAGTTCTATTTCTTTCTCTAGCCCCATTTTCTCTTGAAGCAGCCATAAAAGTACCATCTGTTTTTCAGCATCATTTTATTTCTGCTTTCTCCTCCCTGCACTTTTCTCTTCTCTGAATGCTTTATGCGATAACAATTTATTCCTGATTTATTATCCACCTGCTTTCATAGCCTCCCCCTTTCTGTTCCTCCTCCATCCCTATCCCACCCTGGATGGAGTGGTATACCATAATTCTTAAGGACACAGCTTTGGAGTCAAGTAAGGGCCAGCTCAACCACTTATGCATGTTAGTGACTTGACCACTATGAGCCTCAATTTCTTCATTTATAAGAAAGAGAAGGTTATAATATCATCTACTACATAGGTTGGCTTGAAGAATTAAATAAAATAATGTACATCAGGGTTTCTCAGCCTTGGCACTATTGACATTTGGGGCTGAGTCATTCTTTGTTCTGGAGGCTGTCCTGGGCATTGTAGGATGGTTAGCAGCAACCCTAGTCTCTACCACTAGATGCTCGTAGCAACCCCCTTCCCAGCTATGACAATGCAAAATGTCTCCAGACATTGCTAAATGTCCCAGGGAGGCAAAATTGTCCCCATTCGGAATCATTGATGTATATAAAACATTTAGCACAGTGCCTGGTACATAGTAGGGACTTGATCAATAATTGTGATGGATGGATGGTCAGATGAATGATTGAATATTCATTTTTAATACAAGTGTCTAATATAATTCTTGACAGTCAATTAACTACTTAATACATAAATGGATAAACAAATGAACCTGAAGCCAGTGAGCTTCAAGGGCTGTCCATAGTTTCTACCTTACACCAAAATGTGTTATCTTCACTAAAAACAAGCTTCCTATGTTTCAAAAAATATTTTAGACAATTAACTAACTGCACAGCTTAAGCTACTCCCCCAATTTAATATATATGCATATACTTTAAATAATAGGGAGATTTTAAAATAAACTCTAATGGATGATAGCTATAACAATTATGTTGCTATAGAATTCAGTGCTAGAAATTGAAGTGATCCTTTGATTAACCTGAGTATTTTAGGTTGATATCCCAGTCAACAAGCCATTGATGTGGTAAGAGAACAAAGCTCAGCCAACTTTTAAGTGTTTTTTAATCTAATTTATCTTATTTAAATATTTATTGAGTGCCTACTATATTTCAGGCACTGTTCTAGGTACTCAGGATACAATTGTGAACAAAACAATGATAAAACACTGTGGAACCACCATTCTATGAAATAGTAGATCACAAAAATAGTAAATACATAAATAGAAGTAAAAATAAAGACTACTCATAACTTGTAAAATACTAGCCTAGGAAATAGTCTAGGTGGTACTGACAGCAAAATTCCAGTGGATGACTGTAACCCAACCAGAAACATTTTTGTGACTGCACTCACTGTTTGCCATTTGGTTGCTCATCTATGATTTCAGTTTACTGAACTCTAACTTTCTCGTCTGATCTGAATTACAATGAGGGTATTAAATCAAATCTGTGGTTACCTTTGCATATTTTGGAACTTCAAACATTTAGATTGTGATTCACTGTGTGCATAATTTTTTAAATTGTCTCAAATCAACAATCTTTCTCTTACTTTTCTAGGTTTTCTCTAATGAACTAACTTTATAGCATACTTTTTGTGCTGTAGTCTAACAAACCGATAGCTGAGTTTTTTTAAAAATGAATACAATATATGCTTTTTCTGCCTCGCTTTTTTCATCTGTAAAATGGGATCTGTGGGATACCTAACACATAAAGTCATTGTAAGGATTAAATAAGGTAATGTTTATTAAAAAAAAAAAAAAACCTTAGAACTGAAGAAAATGCCAAGCACATAGTAAGTTTTAAGTGTAGTATTTTCTGCACCCCTACTAGCCATGTACTTATTTCTAGTATTTCCAATATTTTAGCATAGTAAATGAGGTAGTATATCTTTTTCTTTTCTTTCTACACTTGGGAGAAAGCAAGATTACAATGAAATAAAAGCAAAATGTATGTCCAACAGGGTCATATAAGTAATGTCTGTTTGTAAACCACTAGTCTCAGGAGTAAATCCCTCAACATGATGAAAACCAAGAGATGTGTTTGCACATAACTCTTTTTATAAAGTTTTTTTAATTGCAAAGACATAGTCGTTGTTATAAACTTCCAACATACAGAAATTAATAATTTACAAAGTGAAAAGCCCCTTTATGCATATATTCACTTCAGCTCACTCCCTTTAGAAATAATTAATAGTAATAATCAGCGTATAGTCTCACTTTTTTTTTTTTTTTTGAGACGCAGTCTTGCTCTGTCGCTAGGCTGGAGTGCAGTGGCACGATCTTGGCTCACTGCAACCTCCGCCTCCTGGGTTCAAGGGATTCTCATGCCTCAGCCTTCCAAGTAGCTGGGATTACAGGCACGTGCCACCACACCCAGCTAATTTTTGTATTTTTAGTAGAGACAGGGTTTCACCATGTTGGCCAGGATGGTCTCGATCTCCTGACCTCATGATCCGCCCACCTTGGCCTCCCAAAGTGCTGGGATTACAAGTGTGAGCCACTGCGCCCAGCCTAGTCTCAAATTTTTTTCCTAGTCATATACTAATATATATTTCTATTAAAATAAAATCACATTGTACATACTGTTTTGCAACTGGCCTTTATTCACTTAAAATATGTCTTTGGTGTCAGTGTCAACACATTTAGTTCCTTCTTGTTTCCAACAGCTGCCAAGAGTGGTAACTCTCTTTGGCTCTCTGGGTACTTACCCACAAAAGCACATGCATTTAGAGCTGGTGGAAAAAGTCCTTCAGGGCGGACACCGGTGGCTCACACCTGTAATCTCAACTCTTTGGGAGGCCAAGGCTGGCAGATGATGTGAGCTCAGGAGTTCGAGACCAGCCTGGGCAACATAGCAATACCCCATCTCTACAAAAAAATACAAAAATTAGCCAGGCGTGTTGGTGCATGCCTGTAGTCCTAGCTCCTTGGGAGGCTGAGGTGGGACACAGAGGTTGCAGTGAGCAGAGCTCATGCCAGTGCACTCCAGCCTGGGTGATAGAGTGAGACCCTGTCAAAGGATGGAAAGAGGGAAGAAAGGAGAGGAGAGGGGAAGAAGCCCTTTGGCTGAAACTTGCACTGCCAACAACTGACCCCCCCTCTCTCTCAAAGCACTGACCCAAAAAGGGGCACCAGCAGAGAGGCTCAGAAGATCTTCTCAGTCCACACCAGGAGACCAGACCTTTCTCAGTGCAGGGAGAAGGATGAGCTGAATGAGGAATACTCACTTATACAGCAGTTAATCCAGAGGATGACAGAAACATTACAAATGTGACATCCTTGAAATGGAACTCCTCTTTGGAGTGTGGAAGCCCAGTCATGCACAACCCACTTGGAGCAGGAAGGAAATTGTATTTGAGGATGTTAAAGTCAAGCTAACTTTTATTAAAATTGCCACAGGAGGCCATTCATCCCCACTTCACTTATCCCACTTCAAAGCCTACTTCCCATCACTCAGATGTTTACTTATGGAGTGATTAAGTTTTCTTTTATCTTTTCTATGCTTTCATCAGATGCTCTTTTTCTCTTTTTTGCTTAGAAAAGGCAGATTTTTTCAGCCTAATGTCAATATGTCAAACATTAAGTATTCATTCCCTTGCAATGCACAGTGTTTATACTTACATACCCTATTATAACAAATGTAATATTATTTAATTATGCAGCAAACTTACACATAATTGGTGAACAGGTCTAAAGAATACTCTATACAGGAAGCATAGAGTATTCAGCTTAGCTGAGGCCTTTGTTAAACAATATGCAAAGTTGCAGGTGCCACATTAGGGAATTTTGGGGGAAAGGAAATGCAAACTTATTTGGCAGGAAAACAAGAGAAATGATTATATCTCACAGCACTTTCAAGCTGGACACATTTACATGCCTCTGTCACATCACCCAGAAGCTGTGGTGTTGAGGGCTGAGGCAGGAGATCCTTTTGCCACAGGAAAAAGGATGAAACGAGAGACATTGTGAAAGGTTGCCCCAAAGTCTTAAGGCTCCCTGAAACCTTGGGTTTTTTGAACACCATTGTCCAATCTGTTGAAGGTTAAATAATACGTTGTTCAAAATTGCATAGGTAAAGCGCAGAATGGCCAAAGGGTCAGAACTACAGCAATAGGTAGGTCCCATTCTCTGCCTTTTCATTCTTCAGTCTTCGGAAATGCCACAGAGGCCAAGTGGCACTAGGTGCAGCTGGGAATCAAGATCTGTTTATCTGTACCTTAAATAGGTCAAAGTGAACCTTTTGGAAATATTGTTTTGGTAAATAAAAATTCCTGGTCGTGCTAACTGTGGCTATTTCGACCTGTTTCTTTCAGATACCATTGTTCTTATCGCTTCAATAGCAGTTGTTTCTGCAAAAACTCAGGGTAATATTTTTGCCACGTCTGCACTCAGAAGTCTCCGTTTCCTACAGATCCTCCGCATGGTGCGCATGGACCGAAGGGGAGGCACTTGGAAATTACTGGGTTCAGTGGTTTATGCTCACAGCAAGGTAAGATTTGCTCTCTGAATTTAAAAACACAATTTTTGAAACTTTTTCATTGATCGCTGTAATAGTTAATAAACCTGTCACAAGAAAACTTAGTCATTGCAGAAAATGGTTAAAACAATTTTGGGACATGATGTACAATGGATTATTTAAGAGCCATCATAAACATCCAAGAAGTAGTAAAGTGAATAGAATCCTCATAGAATTCTTTTTTCCTTTTTCAAAGATTTCCCACCTCTAAAAATCTTTCATTCCTTTTATATCTAGGAATTAATCACAGCTTGGTACATAGGATTTTTGGTTCTTATTTTTTCGTCTTTCCTTGTCTATCTGGTGGAAAAGGATGCCAATAAAGAGTTTTCTACATATGCAGATGCTCTCTGGTGGGGCACAGTAAGTATAAAAATACATTTTTTATTTATTGGATGTTGTGAATTGTTTTTTTTTAATACAACGTAATGGTTCCTATGGATGGTTTCAATAAAAATATTAAATTGCGAAAGAGAGTTATATGGAAAATAAATACTACTTATTATTGTCTAAAGGCTTTCCACATCTTTTTAGGCCAACTAAGTTGTCTTGTAAACCATCATTAATATTTCTTGAGTGCTAGATTGTTGCCAAAATTAAAAATATATAAAATATATAAATATATATCATTTTTAAAATGGTGATTAAAACATTGATAGTTTGTTTATTTGTTTTAACTTTGTGGAGCACAAATTTAAATGATCAATTGTTGCATTGATTTTCCGCTCTTCAAAAGTTTATCTGGGGTTAAAAAATGAATGGAAGCTGTGAATAAAATTGCAGCACAAAGAAATGAAAAAGAAGACTGGTAACCATCTGTGAGATCAGAGATTATAGTCACCTAATTTCAAAACTTTCCTCTCAAAACCTACTTTTTCTTTATATTATTAAAGAATAATTTTCCAAATAAATAAAGTAAAATCATGATTCTTACATAGAAAGAAAATTAACACATGCTAAACATTCATTTAACTCATTTTAAAAGTTTAAGTCATTATTAATGAAGAAACCAGTAAGATGTTAAAACCAGTTCAAAGCACTATCCAAAGGACAGAAACATTTAAAGATCAGGAATATTGAAATCAATGTGCAAATAGAGGCAAAACTGGCTCCTTCCACAGTGTGGGAGGGAAGTCAGTTCAACCTCCACTAGGCAGAATTTATTTACATGTCCATAGGCAAGAATTATTTTGCATTGCTACCAGTTATCAACAACTTACAGAGTTGTAAAATAGCTCAAAGGCTATGAAAAGAGCAGAGCCCCATAAAATCAGAATCCAAAAACCTGGAAGGGTGTACTCTGAACAACGCATAGTTTTCCACTGAAGCAAAAATTTTCCCTGCATTGTAAAGAATTTATGAAACAGTCATTGGAGCTATGCCGTAATAAGAATGACATGGGATATAGGAGTGCTTTATGCAATGTATAAATTACATTTCTTTTTATTTTATTCCTTTAAGGTATTCCAAAGGGGAGTTATATGAAAATAATCATAGCCAAACATGGTGGCTCACGCCTGTAATCCAAGCACTTTGGGAGGCTAAGGCGGGCCAGTTGCTTGAGCTCAGGCATTTGAGACCAGCCTGGGCAACATGGCAAGACCCCATCCCTACAAAAAATACAAAAATTAGCCAGGTGTGGTGGCACACTCCTGTAGTTCCAGCTACCTGGGAGGCTGAGGTGGCAGAATCACTTAAGCCTGGCAGGTAGATTATAAATGCTTGTCTAAAGAATGTCCATATCGTTTTGGTTCAAAAAACCCCGTGAGTTCTCTTTTAAACCACCCTTAGTATTTCTTGAGTTCTAGATTGTTGCCAAAATAAAAATATATCATTTTCTTAAGCTGTGATTTAAACAATGATAGGCTTTTTATTTGTTTGTTTAGTGAAGCACAGAGTTACCAATTGTTGCATTGTTCCACTAGTCATCAAAAGCTCATCAGCAAGACCCAGAACATTTGTCAGAGAGGGGGAAAATTTGTTAGGGCTGTATTTAGCAGAACTTGTTGTATTTGTTGATTGCATAGCAGCAATAAAATGAATAAAAATGAGAAATACATTCACCTAAAGATTCGAATTTTTTTCTTAAGTTATCTAAGTAAATGTCTACAAGATTATGCCATTGGTTTCAAAGGATTCCGTTGGTTTAATAATGTGGTTTCCGGCTGCTCTTCACTATTCACAAGCAATAATGGGCATTTCGAAAAAGAGTGGAAGCTTGAAAGAGAGCAGTCATCTGACACTCTTAAAATACTTTTTATATGTAGAGAGCAAATGAAAATCTGTGACTCATGATGGGATAAACTGTAAACTGAGAAAACAGGAGGCTTTTCTTGCCAGCAAGGGGAAGACAGTTTATCATCCCAGCCTTCAAAGCAATGGTTTGAATTCAAGTTTAATTTTTGCTTCTCTTGGATAATTCTAATGTATTTGACTTACTGAGGCACCCAGGTGCCCCTTTTGCCACTGAGATGCAGTTGTTGGTGAGTTTAGCCTGGGAGCTCATTATCTTTCTTTTTATTAGTCTTCCATTTCTCCTTATTACAAAAAAGAATTGCTGTATTGTGTGTTAAACAGTGTGTGGGAAACTCTTAATATACCTCTCAGTTAGTCATCAGTTTGTTTCTTTTGCCAGAATAACCCACACGGTAGGTTTTCAAAGGTCATATCTGTGACTTTCAGGGGAAGAAACATTTTCATTGATTTGCCTTTCAGTTCTGCTAATTTGACTGACATTTAACCCGTACTTAACAGGTTCCTGAATGGCCTAATTATGTTTCTATTTTTAAAAAAAATCTAGTCTTGAATATGAGAGTAAAAATTTTATAAGAGATCAAACTTCGAAGAATTTTTTAAGGCCTTATTGGTCCGTAGCAGGTTTGTTGATATTAACTGACTCATTAATGAAATTGTCTGAATCCTAAAAAGACAGAAGAAGCAAACAAACAAGAGAGCTCATTGTTTCTATTCATTTTAAGAAGAACATATACTAGATTCCTAGTGGGAAATAAAATAAATTTAGACTATTATACCTTTTATTTATACATTAATCAAGACCTTAGTGAAAATTATGGTTGGGTATTTCTTAGTTAAAATTGCGCATGTTGCACCTAATGGAAACCTTAATAACTATGGAAGTATCCAGAATAAATAGGGAAATGATAGCATCCTAAATGAGAGTATTTCTAAGTGTTACACTTTGATGAAAAAAGGAAATCCCCTATATTAAAAGATCCCACAGTATCAACATTAAGTATCAAAATATAGGTTTTGTTCCACAGATACGCTGTGCCAGTGAATTTTCAATACTAACTCTGGAACTCCTTCCATTAAGATAGTGAGATCTGTCCCCTAGATCAACATTTGGAGGGATATCATGGTGGGATCAGTGCTGCCCAAAAAACTTTGATCCCTGAAAGCAGTTTCATATTAGTGAATAGCAATACCTAGTTCATTGAGTAAGTGAAATAGATATAAAAGACCTGGTACCAAGAACATAGCAAGTGCCCAATCAAATATGAGAGCTATTGTTGGTGTAGACATCATTGCTGTGGAAGTTAAATGAAAGCACCTTTAATACAAAAGGAACAAAAAAAGAGCTATGTGTTTTGATGCAGACCCACAGTTTGAACACAGAAGAGGCTTGGGAATTGGAGGTTGTGATGAAAAGATGTCCTGGGTTCTGATGTGGCAACTAAAGTTGCATTGATGGCAGAAAATGGAAGAGGGAAGTAGCTCTAGTAGCTGAGGCACTGAGAGTTGCTGGAAAAGGGGATCTTCTGATTGTTGGATAGAGCTCCATTTATTATCATTTTCTATTGTTATTTTTCTCATTTTTGGTTGTTCCAGATTTATTCTGAAATAATTTAAGAATGGGTTTCCCTGGAGTTATTTTCTGTTATTAAATCCTTCCTGTTTTGTGGGAGTGATTTTTCTCTTTTTGATCTGCTTTAGATTTATTTTGAAATAACTTAAGATCAGGTTTTCCTGCACTCCAGCCTGGGTGCTTGAGTGAGACCCTGCCTCAAAGACTCCCTTGGGGAGAATTATACCGTGCCACGGAAATCTACCAACAGTATATTGTTCACCTGAACACATTAGCTATAAACTAATGTACATAGATTTACTAAAAACATAATTGTATCTTCAAAATCAGGTCAATAAATATTTGTTGATTTGTTGCCTGAAAGAAAGAAGGATTTATATCTCCTGATTTGGAATTAATTCTGCTATTGAAAAGAAAAAAAACTTTAGCCTAACCAGTGTCTTAAATTATAATCTGACCATAGCCTCAGCCATCTCATTTAAAAAAAAAATCAAGAAAAGTCTGGACCAGAGTTTTCATTTGTTTTTCAGTATTATTTCTGAGGAAGAATTCCTGAATGCTAAACACACGAAGGTGCCCCCACTCCACCTCAGATTTTCCTAACATAATTACAACTTTATGCCAACATTTCCAACCCACAGATTTTCAGAATGTATTTTCTTTCACCTGTGTGACTGTATTTGAGCATAGGAAACATAAGGGCCAAAATATATCTAAGCTGTTTCTATCTGCAAGACGCCTTCAAATAAATGGTCCAGCTGAAGAGATGGTACAAAATACCAGGGATTCCTGAGGCCAGCTGTGGGGAGGTAGCAGGGCAAAGCAGACCATCCCTGCCCAGATCCTCATCCGCCTTGTTACCCTGCAGCCTGAAAAGGCAGCTGCCAGCTTCTCAGTTTAAGAACTGTGGCAAGAAATGGCAGCTTCTCACTTAAGGAGAATACTACTCTGCCTAGAACTTTACTGAAAGAGATGGTGGACATTTTTGTCACTTGTAATTTGTTTTTAATTTTAAAAAGTAAATTCAAAACGTCATGACCTTACCTATGATATTATAAAGATCATACTCAAAAGTCACGAGTATGAATCACAGAAGATTTTTATAATAAAAATGTAATCTATCCAGTGCATGTTCACCAGCATATCTCTTACAAGCTCTGGAATGAGGAAAAAAAATGGAATTATGTCCAATATCGTGATGTAAAGATCCATCTCTCTATTCTCCTGCTTCTCATCTCTTACACACACGTATATATAAGCAAAATGTCACGCTCACATGGGTGTGGGAAATCAAAGCTCACGAAACACTATTTAGTTTACTTGCCCACTTATGTAAATATTGTATTTGTTTTAGAATAGAGTAGAAGCTCTCAGAACTTATTTCCTCTTCACTGACTGGCCAGATTAACCAACACTCCTCACTCCCACAAAACATACTGAGGCTTGCAGAGCACAAAATGCTCTTTAGTATCCACAGAATTCTGTTCTGAACATTGTTTGAATGCTTGCAAAGAGTCAGCATGTTCATTACCAAACCTTTTTTTTTTTTTTTTTTTTTGAGACAGGGTCTCACTCTGTCACATAGGTTGCAGTGCATTGGTGCATTTATAGCTCGCTGCAGCCTCAACCTCCCAGGTTCGAGCAGCCCTCCCGCCTCAGCCTCCTGAGTAGCTGGGACCCCAGGCACATGCCACCATGCCCAGCTAATTTTTTACTAATTTTTTGAAGAAAAGGGGTCTCACCATGTTGCCCAGGCTGGTCTCAAACTCCTAGGTTCAAGCAATCTGTCTGCCTTGGCCTCCCAAAGTGCTGGGATTACAGGCGTGAGCCACTGTGCCCGTCCCATTCCTAAACCTTTTTATGTCAGTTGTATTTGTAATTATAATGGCATGGTTTAATTTTATATTATTGCATAAACTGATGACATATGGTACAGAAAGAAAGATGGATGGTTTACGAAAATAGAATGCTTTAGAAAAGCTTGATAAATGCAAAATACTAAATATGCTAAAATACTAAAAATACTTCAAAATCAGGGGTGAACACACAACTATGTGGGGGAAAAATCTTAAATATTTAGGACTCTGTTCTCAGATAGCTCCCACAAAAGTTGAGTTTATGCACCACTAAAAAAAAAGTTAATTTTAAAAAACATTAAAATTAAGGAAAATAAATGATGCATTATGAGTGAGATTTATGCAAAAAAGATAAGGCAGAACCCCAATTGCAGAACACATTCTTCATCAAGAATATTACATTTATGTGCTTTAGGCTAAAATAAAATATGCAGCATATAAGTCTCTTTGTGATTATCTGCATTAGTCAAATTTCTGACTAAGCAACCAAGTAGCCATCATAAAAGTTTCAATTAAGAAGACTTCTCTGTGTATTCTCATGCATTAATATATAATATCAGAAAATTATCTCACCAACAGAGAATAACAAGGCTGTCTCATAAGAACATTTATTTTACATTGATTCAACTGCTTTATGGTTCTACTAATTCCCTTGCAGCACATTTGCTATGCAGAGTAAAAGTCTGATGTATTGTGATTCACTTTTAACACTGTATATATTAGAAGAGAATTAAATGCTTTGACTCAGGAAGTATCAAAAATATATTAGTACAAAAAGAACCCATTAACCGACCACACTTTAGTTCTTTCTGTCATCCCAAACCCACCCAATCCCTGTCATCCCCACCTACCTAGCCCATATGTAGTCATGAAGCATCCTCATGGTTCACCCGAGATGAACAGAGTCACTGGGTTTAATTCCAGCACCATCACCCATGGGACTCAACCCTTGCACCCTAATGCCATATGCACATATAGAACTGGCAGAGAATTACACAACAAAGGGGGCGGGATGTGATGGAAGTATCTTCAAAGGAGCAACTACATTATTTATTTAATGTTGGATTCCCAGTCTAAAGATAGTGTAAAGGGATTATTTATTTAATGTTGGATTCCCAGCCTAAAGACAGTGTAAAGGGAGTGTGTTATTTATTTGTTTTTCTTTATAACAGTAATCCATTTTTTCCAAAATCAGCTCTGGCTCTTTAACTTCATTTGGCCCATATTACTGTGTTAACTGTATACTGTTAAGTGATAATAGCAACCTGCCCTTCTGCCTGGGAGTCACTGACGTACGCAGTTTGTAAGCATCTGCAATACAGAGATGATGAGATACAATTGAATAAGTCATCTTCCCATGCCATGCCATCAGGATGCTGCTGGGTTCTTGAAGATCTGTGAGAAATGTTTCTAGAAAACGAACTGACTGCCTCATCACCCAATTCAATTGTGAAGTCTAGATGTGATTTCCTCCAAGCCCCTAAAGATCGCATATGCAGCCTCTCCAGGTTCTCTGAAACATGCTGCTATTCCAGAATCTCCCCACTTATTCTGAAGAACGGGTGCCCTTGGGTTCTTGTGTGGGCCTGCCCTTTCTCCGACCCTGAACCTAAATGAAACTAATCATTACTGGGTTCTACCAGTGAAAAGATTCATAACATTTTTGGAAGGCAGAAAGAGGTTTATTATTTAGCACAAGCATGGGAGAATAAGAACCAAGAGGGCTCCTGCTACTCAGTTCATGTACAAAGGATCAACTGATAAACATTAGCAGGGCCTCCCAAGTGCTAGGAAAAGAAAAGAAATATAATGTAGTTGTACAGTTCCAAGGAGACTCACTGGTACTTCAAGGGCAGCTTGACCTGAAAGTCCAGAAAAATCAATGAATATCTATGCAGCGCTCATCTAAGGATGGTTTATCAAATGCAGCTGGTCCTTGACTTAAAATGTCAAAGCCAGATCAAGCAGATGGGTCAGGGTGAATACCTGGAAAAAATTAACATCTTTTTATTGTAAGCACATCTTAAAGACTTCATAATTTTATGTCTGGTGCTATCTTTCTGTTCACATCATGAAGCCCAGGTGTCCTCTTTGCCACCACAGAAGGGAAATGATGCATGCACGCTCCAGGCAAAAAACGAGGGAAACCCACACCAACTCCCTCTCTGGCATAGAGGGGGACAAAACTGCCACCCTGTTGCCAGATCCTTCCCAAGCCTAAGCTGCCAACAAAAGGCCCCTTTGCTTTAACCAGGAAACATCCCTAGCTCCTTTGAAATCAGAGGGGAGAAAGTTATTGAGGCTGGGGGTTCAGTTGCTGGCTGTTCAGGTCCCTTGCATTCAGTGAAATGTGATCATCCCGGAAGCCTGAACCGGAGTGTAGGGAGAAAGTGGGCAGGGTCTTTGCTCACCCCCAGAGGAACTCCAGAGTGCTGTTCTCAGATTTCACAACCTTCTATTCTCCCCCGCAAACCACCCCTGTAAGAGAAAGGGGCAACCCTAAATTCAGAATGAAAGAAAGCAGGCACTCTTTTCTACTCAGGATGAAACACTGAGCACATTGTCACTTGGCTGTGTCCCATTCTTCAGAGTTAGAGTCAGTGGTTTAAAACCCACTCTGTGAGCACTGGGCCGAGCAAATGTATTATTGGAATGAAAAGCAAAGGAAACCACGAAATGTAACATTTTTGCTGTGACCAAACCATGAAAGTTCTTCTTCAGTCTATTATTATTAATAAACCGATGTAAAAGGATTAAGCTATTTTTCAGAAAAAGTATAGTAGATTAATATCTGTCCCACATATATAAAGATTAAGAATAAAATTGACCTGGAAATTTTTTTTCTGCATTCTCAAGGAATTCTTTTGAGAATTCCATATTAATACTGCTGATGACATTAGATTAATTTGGCTCCTGTAAAGTTCTACTACATATTCCCTCTCTCTGACATTGAATGAGTTCTTCCAACCAGCAGACCTCTTATTAACCTGTCCTTGACCCCTTCTCAGACCTTCACAGCCCAAGCCTCTTTGCCTATTCCAAGCCTCTGACTCCCCACACATGATCCCACCTTCTCCTTGTCTATAATTGAAAGGACAGACATAAGCATTCCTAATCCTTCCCTCCACTCACACTGAGGCCACATCATACCCCCACTGTGGAAGCGCTGTCCTTTCACACTGCCTGGGCTAACCCCTCCAACTGTGCCCTTAACCGAATTCCTTCTTGGGTACTTTACCCCATCAGGAAGCCGCCACCCCTTCCCTCTTCAGTCTCACCCTCTCTACAAACATGCAGAAGTACATCCTGGAAAGCCTCCCTTCAAGTCAGAGATTCCTGGGAGTTCTTGCCCTCTACATCTCACTTCAGTTGTTGCCAATGTTCTTCAAAGTATTATTCATTTATTTACTAAATATTTAGTGAGTTTCTCTCACTTTGTGGCAAGCATTATGCTAGATGTTGGGGAAATAAAGAGCAAGCTGAGGTTCCACTTTCTAGTTAAGGAAATAAGAATCCCTACCCAAAGAAAAATACAACAGACTATCACTCACGTTAATGTTATTACGAAACAAGGAGCTGTAATATAGAGTAATCAGAGTCTCTACTGAAGATAGGTAGGAAAGGCCTCTCCAATGAGGGAGTATTTTGGATAAGACCTGAAGGATGAAAAGGAGCCCTGGGAAGAGTGAGGAAAATGGCAATTCCAGCTGAGGGAACAGCTTGTGCAAAGGCCCTGAGGCAGAAAGATCCTGGCTTGTTTGAAGAGCCAAAAGGCCACTGTCATTAAAGTGCAGTGAGCAAGGGTAAAATCAAAATGATCTTAGGTAGGTGGAGATGGCTTAATTAGTAGCTTAGAATTTATTTTGAATTCAACAGCTAGCCATTGAAGGATTTTTTAGATGGAAATAAGAAAATGATACCCCTTGCAGGTATATGAAGAAGGAACTAGAGGAAAGCAAAAGCAAAAGCAGAGAGAGCAATTAAGAGGCTACTATAGCAGCCTGGTCTACCATGGTGGCAGCAAAGACAGAGAAAAGGGGGTGAATTTGCAAAAACCTAAGGAGATCGAATCAACAGGACTTGCTGATAGATTCCGTGGGGGGAGTGAGGGAAATGAATAGTTAGGATGATTCTGAGGCTTCTGACATGAGCAAGTGGATAGATTGGTGGAGCTCTTGGTTAAGACAGGAAGGAATATATTTGGTAGAAATAAGAGTTCTGTTTTAGACACATTCAGTTAAATGACTGTGTGACATCTAAATGGAACTGTCAACTGCAGATATGTGAATTGGGAACTCAGAAAAGTGGTCTGGCCTAGAGATATAAATTTGGAGTGTTTAGCATAAAAGTGGCATTTAAATCTATGAGAACATTTAAGATCACCTGGAAAGAGAGAAAAAAGAGGGGATAGAAAAGAAAGGAAAGTCTAAGAAGAATACAATTTTTAAAAGAAGAAAAAGACTTAGAACAAAACCTTAAAAATCCAGTGTCCAAAGGTTGAAAAGGGTAAGAGGAGCCACAGAAAAAGAGCCACCAAGGAATACAAAGAGAAAACCATGGAAGTGAAGAGAAGAGTGCTTCTAGAAAGAGGTGGTCAGCTGAGCTGAATGCTTCTGAAAGGTCTGGCATCATAGAATTTGTCTCCCTCTTTATCAAACCTGCTTCTGAATTGTTCCCCCTCTTTCAAAGCCCAGGTAAGGTGGCATGACCAGAGCAACCACTTTCTCAGTGATTGCCAGTGACCACCTATCTCCACCATATTCAGTCTCTTTTTCTCAATGCTCATTGTCCTTGTTTTCTTTTTCTCTCTCTCTCTCTTTTTTTTTTTTTTTCCAGATGGAGTTTCACTCTGTTGCCCAGGCTGGAGTGCAATGGTGTGATCTTGGCTCACTGCAACCTCCACATCCTAGATTCAATCAATTCCCCTGCCTCACCCTCCTGAGTAGCTGGGATTACAGGCATGCACCACCACACCTGGCTAGTTTTGTATTTTTAGTGGAGATGGAGTTTCACCATGTTGGCCAGGCTGGTCTCAAACTCCTGGCCTCAGGTGATCCACCTGCCTCGGCCTCCCAAAGTGCTGAGATTACAGGCATAAGCCACCGTGCCCAGACTCACTGTCCTTGTTTTCTATTAGGCTGTGACATCAGAGATTACCTGGTCTTTGTGAAACTCTCCATTCTCTATTGAGTTTCCATTTATATAACCCTTTCCCGATTGTTCTACTTTTGAAAAACTTGAAAAACATGACATCCAAAGACATTCTTCTCTGACTTTCCTTTCCCTTCCATTCCTTAAATGTCTGTGTTTTTTGAGGTGTCCCTGGACCCTTTCTGTGTACCTTTTGTAATCTCAGTTATGCACATAGCTTTAACATCACCCTGTTACTGATTCTAAAACCCAAATCTCACGCCAAACCAAATTTCTCTCTCAGGACTCAAGCTCTCATTCTCAGTTTCCTGCTAGACATTTCTGCATTAGTCATACTGACATTTGAAAAACCATTATTTGCAAAACTAAACTCTTCACCTTTACTCCAAAACCTTCTCTTTTTCATTATAATGCTTTTATTTATGGTGCAACCATCTTCCCACTTAAAATTTTCAAGTCACTGTTAACTTAGTCTTTCCTTTTACCTCAATCAATAAATTTATTTCTATTGAACTTCCTAAACATTTCTCTTTACTCTCCACTCTCATAGTGTCTTAACTGGTCTCTGCACCTCTCATTTCTTCCTATTTCAATCTCTCCTGTACATTTGCTGCCATAATTTCAGCTTCTAAAAGCACTACTCTGATCACATTATGTACTTTGCTTACAAAAACCTTCCGTCAGTATTTCTGGGCTGCAAAACAAGAGAGCAGAATCCTATCCCACCCATAGGGCTTTCATTCCTTTATTCAGTAAATATATATTGAGTGACTACTGTATGCCAATCACTGTGCAAGGTGCTTGGATTCAGCAGTAAGATAAAGTCCCAACCCACATACAATTTACTTTCTAGTTGGGAAGGCAAACAATAAACAATTTAATCAATATACAATATCATTTCAGGTATTGATACATTCTATGAATAAAGATGAACAGAATAAGGATTTAGGAAACAGTTGGTAGGGAAGTAGCTTTTTTTGTTGTTGTTGATTTTCGTGGGGTTTTGTTTTGTCTTTATGAGAAAATGACTGTTATTATTATACAGTGTCCCCCAGCGATTATTTTTCTGTAAATTATTGGGGAACAGGTGGTTTTTGGTTACATAAGTAAGTTCTTTCACGGTGAGTTGTGAGATTTTGGTGCACCCATCACCCAAGCAGTATACACTGCACCCTATTTGTAGTCTTTTATCCCTCTCCTCCTTCCCATCCTTTCACCTTGAGTCTCCAAAGTTCATTGTGACATTCTTATGCCTTTGCATCCTCATAGTTTAGCTCCCACCTATGAGTGAGAACATAGGATGTTTGGTTTTCCATTCCTGAGTTACTTCACTTAGAACAATAGTCTCCAATCTCATCTAGGTGGCTGCAAATGCCATTAATTCATTCCTCTTTATGGCTGAGTAGTATTCCATCATGTATATATATATACCACAGTTTCTTTATCCACTCATTGATTGATGGGCATTTGGGTTGGTTCCACATTTTTGCAATTGTGAATTGCGCTGCTATAAACATGCATGTGCAAGTGTCTTCTTCATATAATGACTTCTTTTCCTCTGGGTAGATAACCAGTAGTGAGATTGCTGGATCAAATGGTTCTACTTTTAGTTCTTTAAGGAATCTCCACACTATTTTCTATAGTGGTTGTGCTAGTTTACATTCCAACCAGCAGTGTAGATGTGTTCCCTGTTCACCGCATCTCCACCAACATCTACTATTTTTCCACTTTTTTATTATGGCCATTTTTGCAGGACTAAGGTGGTATCACATTGTGGTTTTCATTTGCATTTCCCTGATCATTAGCGATGTTGAGCATTTTTTCATGTGTCTTGGCCATTCATATATCATCTTTTGAGAATTGTCTATTCATGTCCTTAGCCCACTTTTTGATGGGATTGTTTGTTTTTTTCATGTTGATTTGTTTGAGTTCATTGTAGATTCTAGATATTCATCCTTTGTCAAATGTATAGATTATAACGATTTTCTCCCACTCTGTGAGTTGTCTGTTTACTCTGCTGACTGTTTCTTTTGCCGTGCAAAAGCTCTTTAGTTTAATTAAGTACCAGCAATTTATCTTTGTTTTTATTGCATTCACTTTTGGGTTCTTGGTCTTGAAATCCTTGCCTAACTCAATGTATAGAAGGGTTTCTCCAATGTTATCTTCTAGAGTGTTTATAGTTTCAGGCTCTATATTTAAGTCCTTAATCCACCTTCAGTTGATTCTTGTATGTGGTGAGAAATGAGGATCCAGTTTAATTCTCCTACATATGGCTAGCCAATTATCCCAGCACCATTTGTTGAAAAGGGTGTCCTTCGCTTCTCAAAAGAAGACATTTATACAGCCAACAAAATTATGAAAAAATGCTCATCATCACTGGTCATCAAAGAAATGCAAGTCAAAACCACAATGAGATACCATCTCAAGCCAGTTAGAATGGCGATCATTAAAGAGTCAGGAAACAACAGATGCTGGAGAGGATGTGGAGAAATAGGAACACTTTTACACTGTTGGTGGGAGTATAAATTAGTTCAACCATTGTGCAAGACAGTGTGGCAACTCCTCAAGGATCTAGAACTAGACATACCATTTGACCCAGCAATCCCATTACTGGGTATATACCCAAAGTATTATAAATCATTCTACTATAAAGACAAATGCACTTGTATGTTTATTGTAGCACTTTTCACAGTAGTAAAGTCTTGGAACCAACCCAAATGCCCATCAATGATAGACTGGATAAAGAAAATGTGGCACATATACACCAAGGAATACTATACAGCCATAAAAAAGGATGAGTTCATGTCCTTTGCAGGGACATGGATGAAACTGGAAACCATCATTCTCAGCAAAGTAACTCAAGAAGAGAAAACCAAACACCACATGTTTTCACTCATAAGTGGGAGCTGAACAATGAGAACACATGGACACAGGGAGGGGAACATCACACACCAGGGCCTGTCAGGGGTTAGGGGGCTGGGGGAGGGATAGCATTAGGAGAAATACCTAATGTAAATGATGAGCTGATGGGTGCAACAAACCAATATTGCACATGTATACCTAGGTAACAAACCTGCACTTTGTGCACATGTACCCCAGAACTTAAAGTATAATAAAAAAGATAAAATTCAGCCTTAAAAAAAAGAAAAAGAAAAAGAAAAGGGTGTCCTTTCCCCATTTTATGTTTTTGTTTGCTTTGTCCAAGATCAGTTGACTGTAAGTACCTTGGTTTGTTTCTGGATTCTCTATTCTGTTCCATTGGTCTATGTGCATATTTTTATACCAATACCATGCTGTCTTGGTGACTATGGCCTTGTAGTTTGAAATCAGGTAATGTGATGCCTCCAGGTTTGGTTGGGTTTGTTTTTGTTGTTGTTGTTGTTGTTTGGTTGGTTGGGTTTTTTGTTGGTTTATTTGTTTGTTTGTTTTGGCTTAGTCCTTCTTTGGCTATGTGGGCTCTTTCCTGGTTCCATGTGAATTTTATCATTGTTTTTTCTAATTCTGTGAAGAATGATGGTGGTATTTTGATGGAAATTGCATTGAATTTGTAGATTGCTTTTGGAAGTATGGTCATTTTTACAATATTGATTCTACCTATCCGTGAGCATTGGATATGTTTCCATTTGTTTGTGTCATCTATGATTTCTTTCAGCAGTGTTTTGTAGTTTTCCATGTAGAGGTCTTTCACTTCCTTGGTTAGGTATATTCCTAAGTTTTGTGGATTTTTTTTTTGTTTGTTTGTTTTTTGTTTCGTTTTGTTTTGTTTTTTTGTTTTTGTAGCTATTGTAAAGGGGATTGAGTTCTTGATTTGATTCTCAGCTTGGTCGCTGTTGGTGTATAGAAGAGATACTGATTTGTGTATGTGAATTTTATATCCAGAAAGTTTGCTGAATTCTTTTGCAAGTTCTAGGAGCTTTCTGGAGGAGTCTTTAGGGTTTTCTAGGTAAACATTCATATCATCAGCAAACAGCAACAGTTTGACTTCCTCTTTAATGAGTTGGATGCCCTTTATTTCTTCCTCTTGTCTGATTGCTCTGGCAAGGACTTCCAGTATTATGATGAAGAGGAGTGATAAGAGTGGGCATCCTTATCTTGTTCCAGTTCTCAGAGGGAATGCTTTCAACTTTTCCCCATTCAGTATTATGTTGGCTGTGGGTTTGTCATAGGTGACTTTTATTACTTTTATTACATTGTTATATTATGACATTTTATTGTCATAGATGTCCTTTGTGTACCAGTTTTGTTGAGAGTTTTAACGATAAAGGAATGCTAGATTTTGTTGAATGCTTTTTCTGCGTCTATTGAGATGATCATGTGATTTTGGTTTTTAATTCTGTTTATGTGGTGTATCACATTTATTGACTTGCATATGTTAAACTATCCCTGCATCCCTGGTATGAAACCCATTTGATCATGGTGGATTATCTTTTTGATATGCTGTTAGATTCGGTTAGCTAGTATTTTGTTAACAATTTTAGCATCTATGTTCATCAGGGATATTGGTCTGTAGTTTTCTTTTTTGATTATGTCCTTTCCTGGTTTTGGTATTAGGGTGATACTGGCTTCATAGAATGAATTGGGGAGGGTTCCTTCTTTATCTTGTGGAATAGTGTCAATAGGACTGGTATCAATTCTTCTTTGAATGTCTAGTAGAATTCTGCTGTGAATCCATCTGGTCCTGGACTTTTTTTGTTGGTAATTTTTTAACTACCATTTCAATCTCATTACTTGTTATTGGTCATTCAGGCTATCTAATTCTTCCTGATTTAAACTAGGAGGGTTGTATTTTTCCAGAAATTTATCCATCTCTTCTAGATTTTCCAGTTTATGTGCGTAATGGTGTTCATAGTAGCCTTGAATGATCTTTTGTATTTCTGTGGTGTCAGTTGTAATATCTCCCATTTCATTTCTTCTTGAGCTAATTTGCATTTTCTCTCTTCTTTTTATGGTTAATCTTGCTAACGGTCTATCAATTTTATTCATTTTTAAAGAACCAGCTTTTTGTTTCATTTATCTTTTGTATTTTGTTTGTTTGTTTCAAATTCATTTGGTTCTGCTCTGATCGTGGTTATTTCCTTTCTTCTGCTGGGTCTGGGTTTGGTTTGTTCTTGCTTCTCTAGTTCCTTGAGGTGTGACCTTAGATTGTCTGTTTGTGCTCTTTCAGACTTTTTGATGTAGGCATTTATGGCTATAAACTTTCTTCTTAGCATCGCCTTTGCTGTGTCCCAGAGATCTTGATATGTTGTGTCATTGTTGCCATTCAATTCAAAGAATTTTTTAATTTCCATCTTGATTTCATTTTTGGCCCAATGATCATTCAAGAGCAGGTTATTTAATTTCCATATATTTGCATGGCTTTGAAAGTTCATTTTGGAGTTGATTTTCAGTTTTATTCCACTGTGGTCTGAGAGAGTGCTTGATATAATTTCAATTTTCTTAAATTTATTGAGGCTCATTTTGTGGCCTGTCATATGGTCTACCTTGGAGAAAGTTCCATGCACTGAATAGAATGTATATTCTATGGTTGTTGGATGGAATGTTCTGTATATATCTGTTAAGTCTATTTGTTCCAAGGTATAGTTTAAATCCATTGTTTCATTGTTGACCTTCAGTCTTGATTATCTGTCCAGTGCTGTCAGTGGAGTATTGAAGTCTCCCACTATTATTATGTTGCCACCTGTCTCATTTCTAAGGTCTGTTAGTAATTGTTTTATAAATTTGATAGTTCCAGTGTTCAGTGCATATACGTTTAGGATTGTGATGTTTTCCTGTTGGACTAGGCCTTTTATCATTATATAATGCCCTCTTTGTCTTTTTTAACTGCTGTTGCTTTAAAGTTTGTTTGTCTAAGAATAGGTACTCCCGTTTGCTTTTGGTGTCCATATTCCAAAAATGTCTTTTTCCACACCTTTACCTTAAGTTTGTGAGACTCCTTATGTGTTAGGTGAGTCTCTTGAAGTCAGCAGGTAGTTGGTTGGTGAATTCTTATCAATTCTACAATTCTATATCTTTTAAGTGGAGCATTTAAGCCATTTACATTCAACGTTAGTATTGAGATGTGAGGTACCATTCCATTCATTATGCTATTTGTTGCCTGTATACCTTGGTTTTTTGTTTTTTGTTTTTGTTTTTTAAATTGTATTTTTGTTTTATAGGTCCTGTGAGATTTATGCTTTAAAGAGGTTCTGTTTTGATGTGTTTCCAGGATTTGTTTCGAGATTTAGAGCTCCTTTTAGCAGTTCTTGTAGTGGTGGCTTGGTAGTGGTGAATTCTCTCAGAATTTGTCTGTCTGAAAAAGACTGTATCTTTCCTTCATATATGAAGGATAGTTTTGTTGGATACAAAATTCTTGGCTGGTAATTCTTTTGCTTGAGGAGGCCGAAGACAAGGCCCCAATACCTTCTAGCTTATAGGGTTTCTGCTGAGAAATCTGCTGTTAATCTAATAGGTTTTTATTTATAGGTTACCAGGTACTTTTGTCTCACTGCTCTTAAAATTCTTTCCTTTGTCTTAACTTTAGATTACCTGATGACAATGTGCCTAGGTGATGATCTTTTTGCAATGAATTTCCCAGGTGTTCTTTGTGCTTCTTGTATTTGGATGTCTAGGTCTCTAGCAATGCTGGGGAAGTTTTCCTCTGTTATTCCCTGAAATATGTTTTCCAAACTTTTAGATTTCTCTTCTTCCTCAAGAACACTGATTATTCTTAGCTTTGGTCATCTAACATAATCCCAGACTTCTTGGAGGCTGTGTTCGTATTTTCTTATTCTTTTTTCTTTGTCTTTATGGAGTGCGTTAACTGAAAGACCTTGTCTTAGAGCTCTGAAATTCTTTCTTCTACTTGTTCAATTCTATTGCTGAGACTTTCCAGAGCATTTTGCATTTCTATAAGGGTGTCCAAAGTTTACTGAAGTTTTGACTGTTTTTTATTTATGCTATCTATTTCCTTGAATATTTCTCCCTTCACTTCTTGTATCATTTTTTGGATTTCCTTAAATCGGGCTTCACATGTCTCTGGTGCTCCCTGATTAGCTTAATAATTAACCTCCTCAATTCTTTTTCAGGCAAATCAGGGATTTCTTCTTGGTTTGGGTCCATTGCTGGGGAGCTAGTGTGATTTTTTGGGAGTTGTAAAGAACTTTGTTTTGTCATATTAACAGAATCGGTTTCTGGTTCCTTCTTATTTGGGTAGGCTCTGTCAGAGGGAAGATCTAGGGCTGAAGGCTGTTGTTCAGATTCTTTTGTACCACAGGGTGTTCCCTTGGTGTAGTACTCTCCCCCTGTTCCTATGGATGTGACTTCCTGAGAGCTGAGCTGTAGTGATTGTTATCTATCTTGTGGATCTAGCCACCCAACAAGTCTTCCAGACTCCGGGCTGGCACTGGGGATTGTCTACAGAGTCCTGTGATGTGAACCATCTGTGGGTTTCTCAGCCGTGGATGCTAGCACAGTATTTAGGGTGTCTCCTAGGTCCTTCAGGAGCAATCTGCTTCCTGCAGGGGGTCTGTGGGTCCTCTCTATTTTCGTTTTAAAGGCAGACTTTGTAATAGGACACACTAGTGGGCAATTTATAGTTGTATACTCATAAGCAAACTGTTTAAATTATCTGAATCCAAGTTTCCTCATATGATCACAAGATGAGGTCCCACAACAGGTCGTCTGCAAGCTGAGGAGCAAGGAAGCCACTCTGAGTCCCAAAACCCCAAAAGTAGGGAAGCCGACAGTGCAGCTTTCAGTCTGTGGTCAAAGATCCAAGAGTCCCAAAATTGAAGAACTTAGAGTCCAGTGTTCAAGGACAGGAGGCATCCCGGATGGGAGAAAGATGTAGGCTGGGAGACTAAGCCAGTCTTGGGAAGTGGCTTAAATTAGGTGATCTGGGATGGTTTTCTGTGGAGCTGACATTTCAGCAGGTACCTGAATGCAAACCTGGAAGTAACAGAAATTCAGAAAGAGAAAAGCAAGGGCAAAGGTCCTTAGGCAAAAAAAAAAAAAAAAAGAGCTTGGTGTGCTGATGAATAGCAAGGCAGGAGGGGCAGAAGCAGAATGAGAGAGAGCATGGTAGAAGACCATATCTGAGAAGTTAGCTGAGGTCAATCATGAAGAACCCTGCAGGCCATGGAGGAGCTGGGACTTTGTTCTAAGAGATGTGGGGAACGCCTGGAGCAGTCTGATCATAGGAGAGGCATGATATTCAAAGACATTCCCTGGCCTAGCTTTAGCATATCTAGTTAACCTTCTCTTTACTAATCCTTTACTTTTCTTTCATTGTAAATTGAGAAATTATAGTTGTATATATTTCTGGGGTAGAAAGTGATGCTATGATTTACAAACACAATGTGGAATCATTACATCGTGCTAATTAACATATCCACCACTTCAAATACATATCAATTTTTGTGGTGTGGCTGGGTGCAGTGACTCACTCCTATAATCCCAGCATTTTGGGAGGCCAAGGCAGGGGGATCATTTGAAGTCAAAAGTTCAAGACCAGCCTGGCCAACATGGTGAAACCCTGTCTCTACTAGAAATACAAAAATTAGCTGGGTGTGGTGGCGGATGCCTGTAATCCCAGCTACTCAAGAGGCTGAAACAGGAGAATCACTTGAACCTGCGAGGCAGTTTGCGGTAAGCTGAGACCGTGCCACTGCACTCCAGTCTGGGTGACAGAGTGACTCAGTCTCAGAAAAAAAAAATGTGGTAAGAGAATTTGAAATTTAGTCTTAGTAATTTTGAAATGCACAATACACATTACTAACTGTATTCACCACACTGTGCAATAGATCTCATATATATATATATATACACACACACATACACATATTGTTCCTGTTTAACTGAGGCTTTGTGTCCTTTGACCATCATCTCCCCATTCCCCCAACCCCCAGCCTCTGGTAACCAGCATACTACTCTCTTCTACCATGGGTTTCATTGTTTCAGATTCCCCATGTAGTGAAAACATGCAGTATTTACCTTTCTGTGCCTGGCTTATTGCAGATCATCTCATGAGATGCAGAAACATCATTTGATCAAATTTTATTTCATAATAAAAATCCTCAACAAATTAGGTACAGAAGGAATGTAACTCAACACAATAAAAAGCATATATTATAAGCCAATAGCTAACATTATACTCCACAGTGAAAAATTGAAATCCTTTCCTCTAAGATCCAGAACAAAATAAGGATGCCCACTTGAGCAAGATCTAGTGCTGTGCTGGCTTCAGGTCTAACCCAGTGCAGTCTCAGTGATGGTGGCCACAAGGCTGCTTGTGTCGCCCCTCACCAAGCTCCAGGCACCTCAGCACAGAGAAAGAGAGACTCGTTTGTTTGGGAGAATGTAAGGAAGAGAACAAGAGTTTTTGCCCAGTAATCCAGAGAATTCTTTCAGATCTTATTCAAGACCACCAAGGTGATACATCTACAAGTCTACAAGAACCATAGCATTACTGGGCTTGGGGTACCCCTTAATGCAGAAATGCCTGCAGTGACCAAAAACTTAGATCATAATACTGAAGTCCCTTCAAATACCAGGAAAGCCTTCCCAAGGAGGATGGCTACAAACAAGCCCAGATTACAAAGACTACAATAAATACCTAACTCTTCAATGCCCAGACACTGACAAACACCACAACCTCAAGATAATCCAGGAAAACATGAGACACTCAACATAACACAGAGAATGAATTCAGAATTTTATCAGATAAATTTAACAAATAAATTGAAATAATTAAAAAGAATCAAGCAGAAAATCTGGAGGTCAAAAATGCAACTGACATACTGAAGAATCATCAGAGTCCCTTAATAGCAGAATTGATCAAGCAGAAGAAAGAACTAGTGAGCATGAAGACAGGCTATTTAAAAATACATGGTCAGCAGAGACAAAAGATAAAAGAATAAAAAAGAAGGAAATGCCCAAAATATCTATAAAATAGCTTCAAAGGGGCAAATCTAAGTTATTGGCCTTAAAAAGTAGGGAGAGAGAGAGAAAGTTTATTCAAAGGGATAATAACAGAACTTCCCAAACCTAGAGAAAGATATCAATATTCAAGTAAAAGAAGGCTATAGAACACCAAACAGATTTAACCTCAAAGCATTCACTAATAAACTTGCAAAATTCAAGGATAAAGAAAAGATTTTATAAGCAGCAAAAGAAGAGAAATAAATAACGTGCAATGGAGCTCCAATACATCTGGCAGCAGACTTTTCAGTGGAAACCTTACAGGCCAGGAAAGAGTGGCATGGCATATTTAAAGTGCTGAAGGGAAAAAATATTTTATCCTTGAATAGTATATCTGGCAAAAATAGCCTTCATGAAGGAGAAATAAAGACTTTCCCAGACAAACAAAAACTGAGGCATTTCATCAACACCAGACCTGTCCTATAAGAAATGCTAAAGTGATTTCTTTAGTTTGAAAGAAAAAAGGCATTAAGGAAAAACTAAAAACCATCTAAGGGTAGAAAACTCACTGGTAATAGTAAGTACACAGAAAAACAGAATATTATAGCACTATAATTGTGCTAATTATTTATATTTTAAGTAGAAAGACAAAAAGATGAACTTATCAAAAATAACTACAACAGCTTTTCAAGATATACACAGCATAATAAGATAAAGTAGAAACAACAAAAAGTTTAAAAGTGGGATGACAAAGTTAAAATGTAGCATTTTCATTAATTTTCTTTTTGTTTATTTGTTTATGCAATCGGAGTTAAATTGTGATCAGTTTAAAATAATGGGTTATAAGATATTATTTGCAAGCCTCATAGTAACCTAAAATCAAAAAAGCATACAATGGATACACACAAAAAAATAAAAAGCAAGAAACTAAATCATACCACCAGAGAAAATCACTTTCAATGAAAGGAAGACAAGAAGGAAAGAAAAAAGCAAGAGAAGACCACAAAACAACTAGAAAACAAATAACAAAATGGCAGGAGTAAGTCCTTACTTATCCATAATAACACTGAATATAAATGGATTAAACTCTCCAATCAAAAGACACAGGATTGAATGGATTCAATGGATTAAAATTAAATTTTAAAAAGCAAGACCCAATGATCTGTTGACTACAAGAAACATACTTCATCTATAAAGACTCACATAGATTGAAAATAAAGGGATAAAAAAAGATATCCCATGCAAATGGAAACCGAAAAAGAGCAGGAGTAGCTACACTTAGATCAGACAGAATAGGTTTCAAGACAAAAGCTATCAAAAGAGACAAGGAAGGTCATTATATAATGATAAAGGAATCAATTCAGCAAGAGGATATAACAACTATAAATATATATGCACCCAACACTGGAGCACCCAGATATATAAAGCAAATATTATTAGAGCAAAAGAGAGAGACATACCCCAAGTCAATAATAGCTGGAAACGTCAACACCCAACTTTCAGCATTGGACAGATCATCCAGACAGAAAATCAACAAAGAAACATCAAACTTAATCTGCACAATAGACCAAATGGACCTAATAAATATTTATAGAACATTTCATCCAACAGCTGCAGAATACTCCACACACTTCTCCTAAACACATGGATTATTCTCAAGGATAGATCAGGATAGGCCACATGTTAGGCCACAAAACAAGTCTTAAGACATTCAGAAAATTGAAATAATATCAAGTATCTTCTCTGACCACAATTGAATGAAACTAAAAATCAGTAACAAGAGAAAATTTGGAAACTATACAAACACATGTAAATTAAACAATATGCTCCTGAATGACCAATGGGTCAATGAAGAGATTAAGAAGCAAATTGAAAAATGTCTTGAAACAAATGATAATGGAAACACAACCTATAACAAAACCAATGGGATACAGCAAAAGGAGTACTAAAAGGGAAGTTTATAACTAAAAGTGCTTACATCAGTAAAGAAGAAAAACTTCAAATAAACAACCTATTATGCAACCTACAAGAGCAAGAGTAAACCAAACCCAAAGTTAGTAGGAGAAAGGAAATAAAGATCAGAGCAGAAATAAATGAAATTGAAACAAAGAAAATACAAAAGATTAACAAGGCCAGGCACTGTGGCTCACGCCTGTAATCCCAGCACTTTGGGAGGCTGAGGCAGGCGGATCATGAGGTCAGGAGACCGAGACCATCCTGGCTAACATGATGAAACCCTGTCTCTACTAAAAAATACAAAAAAAAATAGCTGGGCGTGGTGGCAGGCGCCTGTAGTCCCAGCTACTCGGGAAGCTGAGGCAGGAGAATGGCGTGAACCCGGGAGGCGGAGCTTGCAGTGAGCCCAGATCACACCACTGCACTCCAGCCTGGGCAACAGAGTGAGACTCTGTCTCAAAAAAGAAAAAAAAAAAAGATAAACAAAAGAAAAAGTTGTTTTTTGAAAAGATAAACAAAAATGACAAACTTAGCCAGACTAAGAAAAAAGGAGAGAAGACCCAAATAAATAAAATCAGAGATGAAAAAGGAGACATTAAAACTGATACTACAGAAATTCAAAGGATCATTAGAGGCTACTGTGAGAAACTATATACCAATAAATTGGAAAACCTAGAAGAAATGGATAAATTCCTATATACATACAACCTACCAACATTGAACCATGAAGAAATCCAAAACCTGAACAGACCAATAACAAGTAATGAGATTGAAGCCATAAAAAAAATTATCCCAGCAAAGAAAAACCTGAAACCTGATGGCTTTACTGTTGAATTCTACCAAACAATGAAAGAAGAACTAATACCAATCCTGCTCAAACTATTCCAAAAAGTAGAGGAGGAACAAATACTTCTAAACTCATTCTATGAGGCCAGTGTTATCCTAATACCAAAACCAGACAAAAAATGCATTTAAAAAAGAAAACTACAGGCCACCATCCCTAATGAACATTGATGGAAAAATCCTTGACAAAATACTAGCAAACCGAATTCAACAACACATTAAAAAGATCATCCATCATGACCAAGTGAGATTTATCTCAGGGATGCAAGGATGGTTCCTCCTATATTTAGAACACAACAAAGATGCTCATTTTCACCACTGTTATTCAACATAGTACTGAAAGTCCTAGCTACAGCAATCAGAGAAGAGAGAAATAAAGAGCATCCAAATTGGGAAGGAAGAAGTCAAGTTATGCTTGTTTGCAGATGATATGATCTTATATTTGGAAAAACCTAGAGTCCCCATAAAAAAACTATTAGAACTGATAAACAAATTCAGTCAAGTTGCAGAATACAAAATAAAATACAAAAATCAGCAGCATTTCTATATGCCAACTGCAAACAATCTGAAAAAGAAATTGAGAAAATAATCCCATTTACAATAGCTACAAATAAAATTAAATACCTAGGAATTAACCAGAGAAGTGAAAGATCTCTACAAAGAAAACTATGAAACACTGATGAAAGATATTAAAGAGGATACAAAAAAAGGAAAGATATTTCATGTTCATGGATTAGAATAATCATTATTGTTAAAATTTCCATATTTCTCAAAGCAATCTACAAATTCAGAGCAATTCCTAACAAAAATACCAATGACATTCTTCACATAAATGGAAAAAACAGTGCTAAAATTTATATGGAACCAGAAAATACCCAGAAGAGCCAAAGCTATCCTAAGCAAAAAGAGAAAAACTGGAGAAATCACATTACCTGACTTCAAATTATACTACAGAGATATAGTAACCAAAACAAAATGGTACTGGCATAAAAACATATACTGACCAATGGGACAGAAGAGAGAAACCAGAAACAAATCCGTACATCCACAGTGAACTCATTTTCGACAAAAGTACCAAGAACATGCAACGAGGAAAGGACAGTCTCTTCAATAAAAGGTGCTGGAGAAACTGGATATCCATATGAAGAAGAATGAAATTAGACCCCTATCCCTTGCCATATGGAAAAAAATCAAATCAAAATGGGATTAAAAAGTTAAATCTAATACCTCAATCTATGAAACTACTACAAGAAAACATGAGGGAAATTCTCCAGGGCAAGGATTTCGTGAGTAATATCCCACAAGCACAGTCAACCAAGGCAAAAACGAACAAATGGGATCACATCACGTGAAAAAGCTTCTGCACAGCAAAGGAAACAATCAACAAAATGAAGAGACAACCCACAGAATGGGAGAAAATATTTGCAAATTATCCATCTGACAAGAGATTAATAACCAGAATATATAAGGAGCTCTCATGACTGTATAAGAAAAAATAAAATAATCCAATTTTAAAACGGGCAAAAAATCTAAATAGATATTTCTCAAAAGATGACATTACAAACCACAAACAGGCATATGAAAAGGTGCTCAATATAATTAATCATCAGAGATATGCAAATCAAACTGCAATGAGATATCATCTCACTCCAGTAAATGACAGGCACTAACAAATGCTGTCAAGGATTTGGAGACAGGCAATAACAAATGCTGGCAAGGATTTGGAGAAAAGGACAGGCAATAACAAATTCTGGCAAGGATTTGGAGAAAAAGGAACCATTGTACACTGTTGGTGGGAATGTAAATTAGTATAATTTAGCCACTATGGAGAAGAGCTTGGAGGTTTCTCATAAAACTAAAAATAGAGCTACCATGTGATCCAGCAATCCCACTGCTAGGTATATTCCCAAAAGAAAGGAAATCAGTATATCAAAGAGATATCTGCACTCTCATGTTTATTGCAGCACTATACACAATGGCCAAGATTTGGAAGTAACCCAAGCATCCATCAACAGACAGATAAAGAAAATGTGGCATATATACACAATGGAGTACTATTCAGCCATTAAAAAGAATGAGAACCTGTCATTTGCAGCAACATGGATGCAAGCGGAGCTCATTTTGTTGAGTAAAATAAGCCAGGCACAGAAAGACAAACTTCACATGGTCTCATTTATTTGTGGAAACTAAGAATTAACAGTTAAGGATTAAGAAAATGTGGCACATATACACCATGGAATACTATGCAGCCACAAAACAGGATGAGTTCGTGTCCTTTGTAGGGACATGGATGAAGCTGGAAACCATCATTCTCAGCAAACTATCGCAAGGACAGAAAATCAAACACCACATGTTCTCATTCATAGGTGGGAATTGAACAATGAGAACACTTGGACACAGGATGGGGAACATCACATACTGGGGCCTGTCATGGGGGGGGGGGAGAGGGGAGGGATAGCATTAGGAGAAATACCTAATGTAGATGATGAGTTAATGGGTGCAGCACACCAACATGGCACATGTATACATATATAACAAACCTGCACATTGTGCACATGTACCCTAGAACTTAAAGTATAATAATTAAAAAAAATTAACAGTTAAACTCACAAAGATAGAGAGTAGAATGATGGGTACCAGAGTATGAGAAGGGTAGTGGAGAGAGTGAGCAGAGAGGGAAGCGGAGATGGTTAATGGACACCAAAAAAAAACCAGAAAGAGTGAATAACGTCTAGTATTTGAAAGTACAAAAGTGTGACTATAGTCAGTAATAATTTAATTGTACATTTTAAAATAATTAAGAGTATAATTGGATTATTTGTAACACAAAGGATAAATGCTTGAGGTGATGGATACCCCTTTTACCCTGATATCATCATTACATATCGCATGCCAGTATCAAAATATCCCACATAACTCATAAATATATATACCTACTGTGTACCCACAAAAATTAAAAATTATTAATAAATTATTAGTTTGATTTAAAAAAAACAAGGATGCTCACTTTTGCCACTTCTATTCAATATAGTAGTGGAAGTCCATGCCAGAGCAGTTAGACAAGAGAAAGAAATAAAAGGCATCCAAATAAGAAAGGAAGAAAGGAAATTTTTGCTGTTTGCTGACAACATAATCTTATATATAGAAAACCCTAAAGATTCCAGAAAAAAACTGCTAGAACTAATAAATTCAGTACAGTTACAGGAGACACAATCAACACCACAAAAATCACTAGCATTTCTATACATTAACAACAAACTTTCCAAAAAAGAAATCAAGAGAGCAATCCCATTTACAGTAGCTACAAAAATTAAAATACTTAGGAATAAATTTAACCAAGGAGCTGAAAGACCTGTACACAGTAGTCTATAAAATATTAAAAAAATAAATTGAAGAAGTCACTAATCCTTTTTAAATCCACCATGCCCCAGTCCAGCTGAACAACTCATACTTTTCAGAATCTACTCTATGTGTTCTCACTGTTCTGCAGCTAGCCACCTCTTTCTCCTCCCTAGATCACCTTCTTTATCATTTCTGCTTCTCAAAATGTTACCCCTCTTTCAAAGCCCAGGTATGATGACATCTCCCTAGTAAAGCTCCCTCAACACCTCAAGCTTATAATAACTAATCTCTTCCTTGAATTCCCATAGCAGGTTATTTGTACCTCCATTATAATACCTCTCTCATCCTGTTTTGCATTTTAATTATTCATGTGTGGCATGTTTCTCTTATTAGGCCATAAATATCTTAGGACAAGAACTATGCCCTCATTTTTGTTCCACTACAAATCTTAACACATACCTTGCACACACCAGACCTTCAGGAAATGCCTGCTAAGGTAACGAAGGGACAGCCTAAATTAACATAAATTATTATTTGTGTACTGATCCAGTCCTAAATCCATGGTGCTATCATTTCTGTATCACTGATGGTTATCCACTTACTTAAATAATCTTTCCTTAAATACACTTAGAAAAGACGGAAAACTGTGTTATAAGGGAGGAACAAGTATGTAGGTTATTCCTTTCCTTAAACAAAGAGAAGTTCTGTCATGCGTCATGGAAAATTAAAGCACAGTAATAAAAAGCACGAACAAGATTTGTTGAATAATGATTTAGTGGAAACGTTGCTTGCCTCCTGTTCATAGGTCCTAACTTTCCTCTCAAGTACTTAAGCTGCACATTCTATTTATTTTGTTTCTAGATTACATTGACAACTATTGGCTATGGAGACAAAACTCCCCTAACTTGGCTGGGAAGATTGCTTTCTGCAGGCTTTGCACTCCTTGGCATTTCTTTCTTTGCACTTCCTGCCGTGAGTATCTTTGCACCAATAAAGCAGTTTAAATTAGATCTTAGAGACTTATTAGAGTGAGCTCTCACAAATTCGTATGCTTGGGAACATATCTATATCATTTACAAATATAATTTTTCCGATATAATGTTGACTTTTCTAAATATATCTACTTGGATAATTTATAAAATATGGTCTTCCCTTGGAGACACTTAATCTGAGACTTTATTTAATGTAGGCTCATACTTTGTGACCAAATAATCATTCAGATGGCTCACTTTTTAGGCAACATGCTACTAAGACATTTAAAATATTTGCAAAGATTTAAAGCTATATTCTTTTAAAACTGATCCTTCCAATTTGGTTTATAATGTGTGCTACTTAAGAGACAGATGTGCACAATGGAGTATTTTTCTCTTCAGATCCATTTGAGTGAAAAGCATATGACCTTAAAGGGTGTTAAACATGTCAGATGATTTATTCATTGTGTCATCATCATTGATTTTTTTAATGAGCAGTTTCTGTATCTTATCAGAATAAAGGGCACATTTATCTGCCCCCAAGCTTCTGATTATTTTCTCCTTAGTGAATGAAGCCTGCCTTTCTCATACTTTTATTCTCTTGTGTCTTTAAAGGCAGCTGTTCAAAATATTACAGTTTGCCCCCATTTCCAAGTTCTTGCTTTTGTTCGCTCCATCTGGGGTAGGGAAGGAGGAGCCAATAAAAAGGAGGGTTAACGCGGTGGGAGCAGAAGTGCTTAAGGAAAATAGATCCAGTCTTGCTCCAGACACAGCTCAAGCTGTGCCAACCAGAGACCCCAGAGCACCTCTCCAAAGCTCTTTTAGGTGGTAGGGCTTCTCCTCTGCCTATTAATAAGTGCAGAGAACACCCTTGTCCCACCAGTGCCCAACTTGAGATTCACCAGATCGTTCTGCCCCAGAACACTCAAAATCACAGAAAAGAGACTGAAAAGGCCATGCATATGCTTGGGTACTAGACCTCAGTTTGAATACATCTTTGTCACATACTAACTATATGACTGCTTTAGTTTACTAGGGCTGCCTTAACAAGTACCACAGACTGGGTGACTTAAACAATAGAAAGGTATTGTCTCACAGTTCCCAAGACTGGACGTCCAAAATCAAAGCATTGAGAAACCACGAGAGCCATGAGAGAAAGAACTGTTCCAGGCCTCTCTTCTTGGCTTATAGATGGCTCTTCTTCCTGTGTCTTCACATCATCTGTGTCCAAATTTCTACTTCCTAGAAGAACACCAGTCATATTTGATTAGGGTCCATCCTAATGACCTCGTTTTAACTTGATTACCTCTGTAAGGACCCTATTTTCAAACAAGGTCACATTCTGAGGTCATGGGGATTAGGACTTCAACATATGAATTTTGGAAGGACGCAATTCAGCCTGAACAGTGACCCTGAATAAGTTTCTTTTTTAATAGAATGGAGGAAGAATTATTGAGCCCAGAGAAATTTTGTGCGGACCAATGTAATAATGTAAGTCAAGTGCTTGTCATGAAGAGAACTCTCAATAAATGTTACTTCCCTTTGCCTGTATGAATCTAGAAATACATGTTTCCTGGAACAAAATGATGAAATCCAGGAGAATTAAAAAAAAAAAAATCTTACGTATCCAAGGCAACTTCATCTGGCAATCTCAACAATTCAGAACAGAGAAGAGATTCACTCAATAATCAGATTCCCTACAGGAAAATACCTTTAGAAACAATACAACGCAGTCTTGGGTTTTTTCCCAAAATAATGGCACAAAATAATTGCAGCTTTTGTGTTTATATTTATCCTGAGGCCACATGTAGAGCAACCTCTATGATTCAGTGAAAAACTATGAACAAGGAGGTAGGCAACCTCTGGGCTGTTGAAATAGACAACAGGCTATGTTCTGTCCTCATAGGAGAGCCACTTGAGACCTAATTCATAACCTAGTCTTCATTCAGAGAAAATTCTGATAAACTCACCTATATGGTTTCACAATTCTTTGAAGATTATAAACAACAAATATAGAGGAAGATGATAGAACAAACACTGCAACAGAAAGAAATGGTAAAAGACTAACAGCAAAGAAGGGAAAAGGAAATCTGTGAGTAGCAAGCAGACATCAGTGTTCAAAATGTGTATCCTGTCAGTAAAAATAAAATTAAATTAAAAGGGAAAACAAAATGTATGAAGATCTAGGGCCAATTAGTGTTAGGGTCAACAAACCTCTGGAAGTTGGCTGCACCCAGCACAGCAAAAAGGCAGTCCCCATAATGAAACTCTAAACTATCACAGGGAGGTTAAATATGTCACTAGGTTAAGTTAAAGGTCAGAGACTAAGTAGTCATTCTTGGAAATGTTTCCAATAAAGTAAGTATGAAATTTTTATATGCAAATTAAATTAACCTATGTTGGAAATCTGAAAATTTTGCTTTCACAGAAAATTACATTTCTTAAGAACCCCAAGAAAAGTAACCTCTACTAAGGATCTTTTACTGAAACTTCACAATATTTTCTGAGTCCTTATTTATTAAATGAAAGACTGAATGGTCCATATATACCTTTAGAAAAAAACAAGATTGCCAGAGATTTTATTATATCCTGTGTATCTGCCAACCAAAAGAGTTGTCTGATTGAAATTTAGGAAGACACATTGACATTTTGCTGAGAAAGCTAGAGGTGGATTGTGGGCTGCCCCTATGTAGGGTTCCTCCCACCCAGGACACCTGAGAACCAAGAAAGAAAAGAGCCTTTCTCCATCTTACCCTCAAAGCAGAAGGGCCATCCTGCACATCACAGAGTCATACAAGCCACCCATCCAAAGCGCCACTGTGGGGTCACTTCCCCTGGTGCCCGCTCCATCTCTGGGCTAATGAGCTCACAGAAGAAGCCCCAGCTCCCCTGTGTTACCCTGATATGCAGGTCTTTCTCCTTTTTAGAGTGCTCCCTTGTCTTCTGCTAGATATTCCTGCTAAGAGTATTTTCATTGATGAAGAAATTGAGTTTTATAGAGACTGAATTCCTTGAGACCTCCAGCTAGTAAATTCAGTGCAAGAACTAGTGCTGTTTGACTCACGATATTAACCATTCCATTAAAAATATTGGCCACTGTAATCCTTAACAATATTAACTAAATGTAATTATTGCATATAATAACATGTTAAAAACCGTTTAAAAAAACAGGGCATCTTGCTGGGCGTGGTGATTCACGCCTGTAATCCCAGCACTTTGGGAGGCCGAGGCGGTCGGATCACAAGGTGAGGAGATCGAGACCATCCTGCCTAACATGGTGAAACCATATATCTACTAAAAAATACAAAAAATCAGCCAGGCGTGGTGGCGGGCACCTGTAATCCCAGCTACTCGGGAGGCTGAGGCAGGAGAATGATGTAAACCCAGGAGGCGGAACTTGCAGTGAGCCGAGATCGCTCCACTGCACTCCAGCCTGGGCAACAGAGCAAGACTCCATCTCAAAAAAAATAAAAAATAAAAAAAATAGGATGTCTTTCAGCATTGCCTATTTGCTATGTGTGGGTTACAAATTAGGTTCATTTAATCCAGAAGATAATGAAGGGTAAATTTCTTTACATTTATTGGTGTCAGTATTTGAAGGGATGACATATATGTTCAAAGCTTAAGCCATGTTTTATGTGTGTATATACAAATATAATAGACCTTATTTTCACAGACTTCTGTTTAGGTGCACCAAGCTGTGTACTAAGAGAGAGGTGGAAAAAAATTGGAAAGGAGCCATGATGAGACAATAAGCAGACCTGGTTTAATAACTGCTGTAATGTACAGTCTGGCACAAGAAATACGTAGTGAACATTTACCATTCACTAATATATGTTTCCGAGCAATGCCAATGTGATTTTCAGCACATTTTAGATTGTTTGGCAGATGATAAATTTGTGCTATGTAGGGCCTGTCTTTATTTTCCAAAGGGGATTAAACTCCGAACCTCACATCCACATCATAAGTGCTCAAAATGGTAGCTAGTGCTGTTAATTCAATGTCTGCAAAATCTAAATTATGCTCCATACAAGTGGATTATACACATATATGCACATAAATGCATGTATATATACTACATATTATAAATATATGCCAGAAATTTTGGTATTTCATATTCTCTTACATGTCTACACTTTATGAAAAGTAGTATTAAAGGGAAAATAAAGAAATCTTTCCTAAATGATCTTACACAGCAGAAAAAAATTAGAAGTTACAAATGACTTAAGTTGTTCTGGATTTAGAAATGGAGGGGCATTTTTATAACACCTAAATGGAGGGAAATGTTGTTTAAATCTATAAACCAGATCACAGAGACCAGGTTTTTATAAAGCTTAGTTTGTACAATCACAACCTGTATGAGATAGAGATCTTAGACAGCGTAAGACAGTCACTGAAAAGGAGAGATGGAAAACAGAACCTATGATGTAATTTCTAATTTCATAGTACAGTCATTTATACTAATTAATAATGGAGTAGATCATTGCTCACGAATAGCAAATAGTATTATCAGACCACTGCGTATTTTAAACATGATTGCATTACTTATTGTCTGGTTATTGTCACTGATGTACTCAGAAGTGTGGAATCTCAAGATAAGAAGGAAGGTTAAAGGTTATCTAGAGCCCAAAAATATCTCAGCCAAGTTGTTATTCAGTTGAGACTTAACACCTTCTAGAAATGAAAAACCCACCACCTCTCCAGACAGCCTATAGCATCTTTGAACCATCTTTGAGCTACTCTAAAAATAAAAAGAAAAGAAAAGCAACCATTCCTTACCTGTAGCAAATACTGACTTAGTGCTTATAAAATGTCCATCTCTAACCAAAGGGTTAGACTCCTTGAAGTTTAATAAAAAACTAATAATTTATAGCTAGCAAGTAAAATCCACAGACTTGAAAGCAGCAGAGCTCCCAGCCCCATGCTAATAAACTCAAGAGTTAAAGACAAAGCCCAGAGACTGAATTTAGCAAGCTCCAAAAGCCAACCCAAGGCTGAGACAAAGCATCTTGTTTTTACAAATGTTAGTAGACCAGAGCAAATTGAAAAGAGTGGGGGACATCAAAGAACCAGAATTTTGGCAGATCAAGATGATAAGCAGAAGAAAAGCAAACTGGCCCAAAACTAATGTAAACCTAGAAGGGAATACTAATCTTACTAATCCCAAAAACTGAATAGGTGAGCCAAAATAAAAAAGGCAAGGAATGGTAAAAGTGTGAATTAAAATGGGAATGTGCTTTGCAATGATCCACGTTCTTGTCTCTAGTGTACAAATGGGCAAAATAGAAAACCTTCTACTCTATATCTTCAAAACTGAGTATCCCTGCTCTCCATTTTACTTTTCTTTTAGTAGGTGTACAGTTATAACATTATAAAGAACTACAGCTGGGACAGATTTTATACAGTCCTCTCTCCTCCATTTCATGAATAGAGAATCTAACTTTCAGAGTCTCATCAAAGTGCTAGAAGTATTCCCATGTTCACAGCAGTGAGACTTTAACTCCCTCAGATTTAAAATCCAGCTCTGTCCCAAGTTGAAATTCATGTTCTCTACATTCCATCACTGGATGAGACCATTCAATCTAACTTAGGCAAAAAGAAATGTCACAGAGAAGGCCACACACACACAAAAAAATTTTATTGTGATTTTATTTATAATCATGGTGCCTATGCTATACCACAAAAGATAATAAATGACAATGCCTAATTGACTTACTAAAGAACAGAAGTTGTATCTCCTGGCAGTATTGCCCAACAATTTGCCATTGGCTATTGGTATTATAATGGAGATAAATACTGCTTATTTTAATAAGTAACATGTTTATGGACAGGTTACATACCGTTTGTCTTCTCTCAGACTCATTTTAGTGACTTTTTAATATTTGTATTATTTAACAGTGCTTTTGAAATTTTTGAGTGCCATTTTTGTATTTTGTTCCAGGGCATTCTTGGCTCAGGTTTTGCATTAAAAGTACAAGAACAACACCGCCAGAAACACTTTGAGAAAAGAAGGAACCCAGCTGCCAACCTCATTCAGGTAAATGTCAATGTAATAGGTAGATGGCAACATTTGTGTCCATAGTGCTTGATGGGTCATTTTCCAATCTCTGTGCTTCATTGCTTGGTAGAACTACTGCTTTGTTCCTTTTTATAAAATGAAGTCAGAACTTAATGTACAGTCTTGGATTTGGACAGTCTTGGATTTGTTCCTCCTCTCCCAAACTGAAACACATGTATTTTTAGCAAATGGTCCATGCATTGTTCAGACTAAGTAACCATGTCAGCAAGGCCATGCAAAGGTTAGCAGTTGTGTGGCTCGTGGAATTATCTAATATGTCTTATGAATTACTTGATGAAACGTAATTGATCATTAAGTGATGGAGCAGAACAGGGCATTGTTCCCTGCATTCCAATTACTTTCTCCAGCCAGATGTATGTTGCTGTTTTAAAGAACAACATATTTGTTTAGAATGTCAAGGTTTAATACCTGTGAAATTGCTTTTAGTGCCATCTAGGGCAGTTAGCGGAAATAGCTATCCTATTTTGAGAGCTGATGGGACTATGGAATACATCAGTGTTTGAGAATATTAAACAATAAGTATATAATTTGAAGCTAGCTCCTAATACATAGGTTGTTATTTAGTATTTCATTTTCTTTTCACTAACTCAGGATTAGCTTCAGCACTAAAAGGAATGCTTCTCCTTTTGCCATCCATATATTTTCCATCCTAGATCCAGGTTAAGAATCACAAAATATATTTTTTGTTAGATTCATAATGTAGAGTTGACATTTAGTTATGGACAAAATAATTCTACAATCTAAAGTTTCTCCCCTCCTGCTAGGGAAGTGGAAGCTACCGAATTTCTAAACTGGAGGGTCTTGAAGTGGTGCTCCAAGGCCCTAGGAAACTTGCCTTAAAGCTGCAGTAACGGGCACACTGTTTTGTTGCTGTTGTTGTTTTGTTTTATTTTTTGTTTGTTTTGTTTTTTTTTTTTTGAGACAGAGTCCCGCTTTGTCGCCCAGGCTGGAGTGCAGTGGTGCGATCTCGGCTCACTGCAAGCTCCGCCTCCTGGGTTCACGCCATTCTCCTGCCTCAGCCTCCCGAGTAGCTGGGACTACAGGCACCCGCCACCGCGCCCGGCTAATTTTTTGTATTTTTAGTAGAGACAGGGTTTCACCGTGTTAGCCAGGATGGTCTCCATCTCTCAACCTCGTGATCCGCCCACCTCGGCCTCCCAAAGTGCTGGGATTACAGGCATGAGCCACGGCTCCCGGCCACAAGCACACTGTTTTAATTTAGATTGTAGGTTTGGGTGGGTGGGTTGGTGGGAGATAACCACCACAACCCCTACCTTTAGTGTTTATCTGTGACTGTGATATATGCAGTGCCTCCCACAGACATGGAGCTGGGGAAAGAAGGGGGCAGTATGGTTCAGTTATATCATGAAGGAGATCTGTTTATATCTAATCATTAAATGAGGATATTAATTTTTAAATCAAGCTATTCTGCAACTGTTGACAAGAAAGTAGACCATCAGGCATGACTTCCAGTGCAAATCACTGAGAATCTCTATTTTTTTACATTATTTTTTACAATTTTTTTTTTTTACATATTCTTTACAGGTTTTAAAAGGTCACTAAAGAGAAAGTAAACTCTATTTTCTTATATGAAGTTGGAGTTTAAGATCTGATGCCAAACAATAATCAGCAGAATGAAAAGAGGAGTCACACACTTTAGGACACACGCAAAATACCCCAAGGTCCAGAATTCATAGGCTTTCATCCTTTAGCACTCCTTAACTGGTTACACATGTTCCAATACTTCTAATAAGTTTTTCTCTTTACTGTTCTTATCCTTTAATTTTCCTTCACTCTAGAACAACGTTTTCCAACCTGTGAGTGCAGAAGTTATTGCATGGGTTCCTTTCATCCGTCTGAGCACCAAGCTCTGTCTACATATGGAACCAATAATACATTTTACACAATAAAACCTCTTGGAATATCAGCTGTTTTGTTAGAAAGTGAGCTCTTTGAGGAATTTCTCATGCACATATCAATTGTGATGATACAAAGCTGTGCCGCTCAATACAGTAACCACTAGCTACATGTAGCTTTTTACATTTAAATTAATTAAAATTAAAAACCAAGTTTGCCAATGGCACTAGCCACTTCTCAAGTGTTCAATAGCTACAGGTGGCTATCGGCTGCCATACCATACAAAAGAAATATAGAGAATAACTGCAGGAAATCTCCTGATCTAACTTGTCATTATTGACTACTAAACTGTGCAACAATAATTTCCAATTGAACTTGAAAATAAATTGTTATTTCTACAGCAAATCATTGGAGCAGAGGCATTTATATGTCTACAGTCAAAATGAGGCAAGGCCTCCCTCACAGGTAACCCTGTGGAGGACAGGCTAATTGAACAGTTTTACCTGGAGGCCTAGAATTTTATTTTATGGAACTGGGTTATGTAACATATATTGTGATCAGTAATTGAACTTGTACAAATGCAGGTAACAATGAAGTAAAATCGTGAGTTTTTATTTTACTTAAAACTCCAACTTAAATGTTGTTCTTAACAAAAATAATGCAAAATGGAATGCTTGAAGCATTCAAGAGTACTTTTAAAATCTAATCATAGTTTCATTAATCAAAGTAGAATCTACTAATTTTAAAAGCAAGTGCTCCTTCATTTAAATGCAATTAATTTATTACACATAGAAATAATAATATAATTATTAATTTGTTCATTGTTCTTCCTTGCTATAGTCTTTAGACAGAATTCAAGGCTTTAAGCCTTGATTATATATTATAGAAATTTATATTTCAGGATGTAATAGATTGAAAAGCAAACTTCATTTAATCATCCTTTCACCTTCTTACCCAATAAACCTGACTTGGTCTGCTGAACACACAAACCATCAAGCCCAAAAGCGTCTCATTTATTTTAGGCCAGAGTCACTATCTTCTTAAAAGGGCAACTGAGATGCCCAAATTGCTTCATCATTTGGTTGGTGAGAGAACTAAATTAACCAACATTTCAGGGTTTTAGGAAAAAAATTTAAAACCCCAGAAGCTTGCAGCAAATTTAGCTGTGTCAATATCTTTGCATGATTCTTTTAAATTTGCTTTTCATTTCAAGCTGGAGCAGTCTGGAAAAAGAAATTAGCTCTCAGTAATGTTTTGAATACCTGCCCAAATGTCACAACTTTTATTAATAATGCTTAAGACTCATGAAGTGCTTTTTAGTTTGCAGGGTGCTTCTAATACATTATGTTACTTGATCCTCGAGACAAGCCTAGGAGGAGCTAGGACTCAAATCCCTGCTGTCTGAATCTGAATCCATTACCCCTTTCAAAAAGCAGCATTTACATCCTCATAAATATATGCTTTATTAGAAACAGAAACAGGGAATTAAGTAAAAGTTTGTGAAATAAATGTTGGTAGGGATAGATTAGAAGATGTTGCTTTGATGCCAACTGACCCAAAAGAAAAATATATATATTTGTCTTGAAACTTTGGCTTCCCCTAGTAAAATGACTTAGTCTCCACCCAATTACCCTAAAGCGAAGCCACTAGTCATTAAGCTCAAGCCACTTATATAGAGATTTTACATCTTTTTAGTGCTCCAGTCATAAATAAAAACAGTGCCAGGTGTGGTGACTCATGCCCGTAATCCCAGCATTTTGAGAGGGCAAGGTGGGAGGATTGCTTGAGTTCAAGATCAGTCTGGGCAATATAGTGAGACCACATTTCTTTAATAAATAAATAAATAAGAACAGACTCAGAAAAAAAAATCTTAGATGTGAAAAACATGAAGGCAGGAAAAAAAACAGAAGGTAAGATAAAGTTGTGAAAATTTCCCTGAAACTAGAATAAACAGAGATTGAAAATAAAGCAAAAAAGATAAGAAACATGAAGTGTCCATCCAGGCATTCCAATATCCAGCTAATAAAGATGTCTCAGCTCAAGTGCAGGGAAACTAAGAGGAAGATTTTATCAAAGAAATACAACATTATGATTCTCCAGAACAGGAGGACAGGAGTGGCCACAGTAGAAGAGCTCACCAAGTGTCCAGCACTGTGAACCAAAAACTTCACACCAAGATTATCACAGTAAAATATCAGAAAACTTACCAAAAGGGGATCCTAAATGCTTTCTGAGCAGGACAGAGCCAAAGGAACAAGAATAAGGATGACATAGGATTTCTCATTAGTAATCCAAAAATTAGAAGACAATGAAACAATACTTTCGAAATTATAGAAATTATTTTCAACCTAGAACTCTATATCCAGCCAAACCACCATCAAGTGTGAGAGCAGCACCAAGGCACTTTTAGGCATGCAAGATCTCAAAAATTAATCTACCATTTACCTTTACTCAAGAAACTTTGTAAATAGAACTTCTCTTCCACAACAAGGGGATAAGCCAAGAGAGAAAGAGACATGGAGTCAAGAAAACAAGAGATTCCGCACAGGAAAGAGCAAAGGGGATTTCTATGATAATAGGGAAGGGAAGTCCCAAGACAACAGCTATGCAGGCCTTGAGAACAGAATGAGAAGGAGGCTGAGAGCTCCAGGAGAAAGATCTTCAAGGAAGCGAAAGAATGGAGTTCTCAGATTTCATGATGCATTTGACCAGAGGAATTTTATAGTTCTGTTGGAAAGATCTGGAATGTAATCATAACAGGTACATATATGCAAATCAAGAAATTAAAATAGGGCAATTATAACTCCAAAAAAACCAAAAACTTGTATAAGAAAGAAAGAGCAGCCATAGTACATCACATTGCTGAACTGGGAACAGCAGTTACATTGTCATAATAATATTAAATAGTAACTTAGCTAAGAATTGTGATATTAAAATGTTGATAGGATGAAAGGAGGGGAAGAGGGCATGTAAGTGGGCAATATCATTATCGTTCAGGATAGGAAGTTAATTGATAATGTCTAAAATTGAAAAATCAAGAAATATAACTATAAGCATAATCCTTAAAAATAAGCATTCTTGGCTGGACGCAAGTGGCTCATGCCTGCAACCCCCGCACTTTGAGAGGCTAAGGTGGGAGGATCACTTGAGGCCAGGAGTTCAAGACCAACCTGTGCAACATAGCGAGACCCCACCTCTACAAAAAAATTTTAAAAAGTCAAGTGCAATGGCACACACCTGTAGTCCTCACACACCTGTAGCTACTCAGGAGGCTGAAGCCAGAGGATTGGTTGAGCCTGGGAGTTTGAAGCTGCTGTGAGCTATAATTGTACCACTGCACTCCAGCCTGGGTGATAGAGTATGACCCTGTCTCAAAAATAATAATAATAATAAATAAGGATTCTTAAAAATAGAAGCAACAACTATAAGAATTGAAGGGGTTGCCTCTGAGGAACAGAAAGTAGTGTGAAGAAAGATGTGGAAAGGGATTGCTGGTTCATAGCCTAAAACTTTCAGGACTTTCACATTTTAAACTCTGTACCTTGAAAAAATAAGCTCTGTGTTCATTATTCCTTTGGATGGTCAGCTGAAACCTTCTAAACCATTTCCAGTAAGGATCAAACATGCCATAATGGTAATACTTGCAAGACAAACAAAATACTCCCAAAAAAACTGAATTATACTGGCCTTGTACTTATTGAGCAAAGTCCAAATCTCTTTGACTGCCTAGAGCACCAGCATCACCTGATAAATGGCAAAGTTGGCTCTCATTTTGCTTCTTGTTGATTTGTCCTTTGAATTGTATACACCATGTAAATTAACCATAGGAAATCCCTCTAAGTGTTATTTTTCTCTTGCCAACTACTGTGTGATTTTGGCTTTAAATATAGGAACATCAGCTACTGGATCACAGGGATGTGGGTTCAAAGTTCAGCTACTAGAAACAATTTGCTAAGAGAGACCTAAGAACAAAATAAAGTTATTAGAGTGTAACGGGCATAGAGTTCCACTTTCCACCTTCATTTTTACTGTTAACTAATATCAGCCATGTGACAGATGCCACCTGCACCTTCCATACCTCTCATTTAAAAGGCATTTTTGGGAGATGAGTAATGAAGGGAACAAGAGCTTAGCTGTTGGGATCAATTTGAGAGAAAAATAGCAAGACATCAGGTCTCATTGTAAAGAAAATCTTTAATTTTCTCAGAGTGGCCTCTTTTGCCCCCAGTTCTTTATAACATTCACAGGCAATGCCTTGGTCCCATTCTTTTGTTGTTCTGTTGTTTTGGATTTTTTCACTGGTATCTAATAATGTGCAGACCTGCCATATGCTTCTAGTTCTACAGGAGTCTTGCTTTCAATGTATCAAAAATCATATATGTGTGACATCTTCTATGGAAATTGTTTAATTAAGGCAGCCGTCTGTGTCATCACAACATTAGAGGATCTCTGGGCATCACTACTACAGAAGAAGCTGCAATCCTAAATCCATGTGTTTTCCTTAATTATTCTAAATCACTCTATAAATTGTGCAGGTATAATATTTGCAAAGATTAACATTTCAAGATGATGCAACAATAGTTGCATTATATAAGATGTCAAGATACTTAGCACAAATTTCCACAGATTTGTAGATTAAATCAGCATGAGCCATGTAATGAAGGCAAGGAACTTTGGTTCAATCATTTAAACCTTCCTCAAAAATATAAAAAGTCCCTCAGTTTCTACCACTATATTTTTCTAGTTTTTTTATGTCACTTTCTGAAATTTCATTGAAGTACAATGTGCATGCAGAAAAGAGCACATATCTTAGGAGAACTGAGCACACCTGCATAACCAGCACTCAGATAAACAGAGCAGGACCTCCTGTGTACCCCTTCGCAATCACTATCCCATAAGGATAACCACTGTGCTACCTTCTAACAGCGTAGAATAGTTTTCCCTGGTTTTTGTACGTTATGGAAATGTACTCCTTGGTGTCTTCTTTTTCTCACTCAACGTTATTCACATGAAGTTCATCCATGTTGTTGTGTGTAGCTATATGTACTATTGCCATATAGTATTGTACTATGTAAATGGTGTCACAAATTTTCTGTTTATTCTACTGTTTCTGGGTATTTTGGAATTTCCAGCTTTAGTTTATTAGAAACCAACATATAGTACATATCTTTTAATGAACATATATAAGCATATATTTTGAAAATATACCTAGGAGTGTGTAGTTGTATCATAGGATACTTAAATGTTCAGCTTTCATAGAAACTTCCAGTTTTCCCAAGTAGTTGTGTGAATTTTTAACTTTTATTTAGCATACATTTATTCAATGATATTCTCAGGAAAAGGAATATTGTTAGATCACATTTTCTTCATTATGGATTTCACAATCATGACTGATGTGTTATGTACTAGGGATGTGGCCCATTTAAATGAATTGGTCTGCCAGGCATGGTGGCTCATGCCTGTAATCCCAGCACTTTGGGAGGCCGAGGTGGCAGATCACCTGAGGTGAGGAGTTCAAGATCAGCCTGGCCAACATAGTGAAACCCTGTCTCTACTAAAAATACAAAAATTAGCTGGATGTGGTGGTGCGTGCCTGTAGTCCCAGCTACTCAGGAGGCTGAGGCACGAGCATCGCTTGAACCCAGAAGGCAGAGGTGGCAGACAGCCAAGATTGTGCCACTGCACTCCAGCCTGGGGGACAGAGGGAGACCCTGTCTCAAATAAATAAATAATAAATAAATAGGTTTGTCACATAAAATAAAATGTTTTGATTAATCTACTATAATAAAAAAGTTTTCTCTGAGGGGACTGGAGTAAATACCTGGCCATTAGAGATGTTTGCAGACTCATTAAAAAGAAAGAAATTTACCAAAATCTATATGGGAAAGTAAGGTCGGGCAATCTCTCAAATGAGCAGTTCAGATGGAAGCTTTTCCAATAACAGTCTTCAAGCAGTCAGCAAGTCTCCGTGGAGGGATTCTATGACTGACAGCCAGGCAATCTGAGATATTGTCTCAACTCCACCAACTTTGTATAAACCTCTTCATTTATCTGAGCCCTTTTTTTCTCACCTACAAAACAGGAATCTTAATTCACACTTTGATGGTGAGGATCACATAAAAATACTTTGTCTTATGTATGCCAGGTGTAATTATATGAAATGGAGAGAGTTGATGTTTTACATCAAAGAGCTATAAACATATTCTTAGATCATGGCATAAATCCGTAGGTGTTTTGCAGCTATACACCTAGAGAGTACATTTTCCCCATCCTGTTTTAGTTCTGCTTCTTGATATCACTATCTTCATTTTTAGCATTAGAAGTATTACATAGTTCAAGGATTTCATTAATTCAATCACTAGCATACCCTGGTGTTCATTAGTTAACTAGTTAGCTTACTAGTTGCATAATGGATTTTCATTAGTCCTTTGCTTCTCCCTTATCAAATATTGATTAAAGATCAATCTCTAGAATGTATGCTCATGCTCAAGTCGCTCACCTAACTACTATCTTGGATATTAGCATTTAACCAGTCAATCATTACTTTTTGTTTTGGATAATATAGTATCTTTCCCTTACCAATTCAAAAATTACATTATATTGCACTTTTTGGGCCTTTTGCTTCTTGGTATGTTGTTTTGAAAAGAAGCTCTGGCCAGGCACAGTGGTTCATACCTGTAATCCCAGCACTTTGGGAGGCCAAGGCAGGCGGATCACTTGAGGTCAGGAATTTGAGACCAGCCTGGCCAGCATGGTGAAACTCCATCTCTACTAAAAGTACAAAAAAAAAAAAAATAGCCAGGCATGGTGGTGGGCACCTGTAGTCCCAGCTACTCTAGAGGCTGAGGCACAAGAATCACTTGAACCCAGAAGGCAGAGATTGCAATGAGCTGAGATCGCACCACTGCACTCCAGCCTGGGCAACAGAGTGAGAGTCCATCTCAAAATAAATAAATAATAAAATAAAATAAAATAAAAGAAGTTCTGATGTGGTGCAATATGTTTAACAGCCAGCTGAAAATGCCAAAGTAGCCTTCTTCCTCCTTTGGGTATTTATCAGGGCTAAGTATAAGAGGCAAAAGATTCTTCATGTGTAGTAACTTAATCATTTCTCTTTTTATTTTATTCTAAATCCTGCTCTCTTTTTTCTTTTTCATGTCCCCATCTATGCCACATGCAGTGTGTTTGGCGTAGTTACGCAGCTGATGAGAAATCTGTTTCCATTGCAACCTGGAAGCCACACTTGAAGGCCTTGCACACCTGCAGCCCTACCAAGTAGGTATCAGTGTGACAGCTGCCACTGTAGTTGAGTCTTTTCAAGTCTGTTAAACAAACCATACCCACACACACAAAAAAAGGTGTTAATGTTTGGCTTCTCTTATTCTCTGTTGCTCCTAAAGAGATTCAAACCTATTTAGTAGCAGTTCTGGCACAAAACTAAATGGAATCAGTATCATTCCTCACAATCCACAGACTGGGGTTAAAGATTAAAATAATGTAAATTTTATAGAGATTTATTTTTACTATTTCATGCTTACTTTCTAATGTCTCATTTCGTAAAGCCCACCAGCATCCTAAAGGTAAGCACCACAGTTCTTGAAAAACAAGGATTATTTATTTTGCACCCATCGCCTGACCCCAAGAGATGAGTGCTTAGAGAGTAATCCATCTTTGTACGTTTAGATCTCTCAAAGCCATTTCTCATCTGGATCCTCTCTGGATGGTCCTCAAGCTTTTACTTGCAGATCAAACTCACATCAGTGGCAAAAAAAGAGAAAAATAGGAGTCCTAATAGGATTATAGTTTACAATGAGGCAATGGGACCCAGCGGATTAAAATTTGGAATTTGCATTCACAATTTTAAAGTAAGACTACTTTTCTTCACATTTCATTGGCCAAAGTAAATCACTCAGCCATGCCTAAACTCAAAGAAAATGGGGAAGTACAATTTTACCTTTTACCATGTGCCTAGAAGCAGGCAAGAACCAAGGACATTATGGACAGTCCTAATGATTACCACAGAGATCTGTAATTAAAAAAAAAAAAAAGGGCTTAGTCTTGGAGTCTTGGAAACCTGGACTCCAGTTCAACTATCACAGAAAATGTTAAATCATATTCACCACCTAATTAAAGAAGTCCTCATTGAAATACCGAAGCAGTAAGTCATGAGAAAGGCTTTCTGTGAGTCACCCAGCTTGATTAGCGTAGTCAGTTCCTCAGGTTGTTCAAAAGTTATTAAATTGCTCATCCGACATTTGAGAGCACCAGCTGCTTTTCTTCATAGCCCAACAAAACCTTAATCCTAGTGGCTTCATGGGATTCAGGACACCTAACTACTGTGACTCACAAAAAACCACCTGTTCTTACTGATCTTGGGAGATATCAGCTGAGGAAACCTCCATGACATTCCCTGGCAGTACCGTCTTAATGGAGGTTTGTGATGCAGCAGAATGCATACCATTGGGAAGCACCAGATCCATCATTAACTACATTACTTCCCTGTTCTGCCCTTGGCCTCAGTTTTCCCACCCACAAAGAGAAGGACAAGAGTTGGGCAAGATGATTCCTAAGCTCTAATGGGAAATGCCTCCTGGTGGGTGGTATCTAAAATTCTTGTCAGCACCTAGGACAGAGATATTCATAGCACTCCAGGGATTTCAGAGAGGATGGAACCTTAGCATGGATAGAAGCATGGATGCTGTTGAATGCATGTTTGGATTAAAATCCTCTTTTCATTTAGATCTTGAAGTTTAGTTGAACTTTTTATGGAGTTTAAGACCCTTTCAACATTTTGATATTAAAAAACCGAAAATAGAACCTAACTCCTGTGCCATTTATTCCTTGGGAGTATGAACCAAAAATAAAAATTATATAGAAATTGTATTTCTTGTCTTCATGAAGTTTGCTAGGTAAATGTAAAAAGGGAATCTGAGTAGGAAAACTGATAGAGAATTCTCAAGTGACAGAGGAGAGTGGTCTATTATCATATGTGATTATTTGGCTTCCCACTTACTGCAGTTTTTGGATTAAAAGTCATTAAAAGCCTGGAAAAACTGTTTAATAATGAGTCAAATTCCCCCAGTAAATCAACTATTATTTTATTCACATAAGTTCTTTCTACTCCTCTGATATTTTCCCTGTCTTAAGTGGGGGTGGAGGTGGAGGAGGATTTATGCAAACACCTGTGTTCCTCATGTCCTACTGTGCCTTTCCCTCACTTTCCTTTTCCTGCAAACTCATGAACCATGGGGCTCAGCTCCATTGAATGAAGAACAGTTATTTGTCCAGAATGACACAGCAGTCACTGGTAAAGTTCATGGGAAACTAGATGTCCTAACATCTCTCCCCTTCCAGTGATGCTTCATTGCTTCAAAATGCAGAGGTTCTTAATCCTTGTTGATGTTTTTTGTTAAACCATTGAGAATGTGATGGAAATTATGGGGTCTTTCCCAAGAAAGATAATCAATGCACGAGAAAATCAATACTTTGCCTACAATTTTAATGTATTCACAGAGTCCCTGAAGCCAAGTTCAAACTTTTGTTTTACAAAGCAAACTTGCTTTAATCAAGTGACAATAATTTTCAGTGACTTAGAGGGATCTTTTTACATTTAAGTGGCTTACCGAATGGAGAGTGTTGTAGTAAGAAACAGACTACAATTACTATTTTATTTACATTGTGTATTTTCCTTTAGCATTCAGCCTAAGAACTTCTGATGGGAAAGATCATTTATTCAGTCATGTATGCATTCAACAATTACTCATTGAGCACCTATGATGTGCAAGGCATAGTTCTAGGCACTGAGAATGAAGCAGTTGGAGTAAAAAAAAAAAAAAAGTTAGAATCTCTGGCCTTGGGAAGTATGTATTCAAGGGATGTTGGGATAGACAATATAAATAAATAAATATAGGATATGTTAGATGGCATTAAGTGCTAAGGAGAAAAGTAAAATAAAGAAGGAATTTAGGGAGCATCAGAGGCTATAATTTCAAATAGGTGGCCAGGGGGAAGATCAATTTATCAACAATATCATCATCATCATCATCAATGTTACTGTTATCATTAAAAAACACCAGCCCCATGCTCTTGTTCCCCAGTTTTAAAGACATAGTGGGATGCTTTGATTCCACTAAACAGGATGAAAGAGAGGTCTAAGAAACAGCTGTGCAGGGCAGAGAGAAATGGGAGGAGGGACACTCAAACCTGCCAGGGATACAACCAGCAGTTCCTTACTCTCTCTTTTCAGGTCTGGTTTGTCTCTTACATACACTCTAGAGGTCTTAGCAATTCTATTTCAAAGTTTTATTTTAATAACAGAAGGATGTATAGAAGCAAGTACTTTTCTTGATTTTCTCCTCAAAGAGAGTGAAGCTGCAAAGGGCAAAACACAGGTAAATATGCTATTTAGGGAATGAGTCAGAAATTTTATGAGGCTATGGGGAATTATCAAGCTCCAAAAACACCTTGTGGTACCTTAAGAAGTGGGGATTTGGAGATTATCTAACCTAAAGCCTTTGATTTACTCATAAGAAAACCAAAACCTGCAAGCAAATAAGGTGCCTGCCCAAAGGCACACAGCTCGTTTGCAAAGAGTACAGACCCTACACCATGGTGCTTAGACCTACATTTGCTAAAATGAGTTATTACAAATGCCACCCAACAGTATAGGCTAAAAGAGTTTTGGTAAATATTCTATGTACCTTATTTACTCCAAGGAAATTTAGATTTTATACGATACAAAAAAAAATCTGCCTCAGCAAGTGACTGAGATACAATTCATTAATGAATCCAGGTTTAGAAACCAAAGTCTGCCAGATGCACAGAGAACAGTTATGTTGTAACTAGCAACATTCTAAGAGCCCTTGCTAATTCTGGTTAGATCAGAACCACTTTTTCTTAGCCATGGATAGCTTTGGCTAATGAAAAGTCTATTGTTTTTTATTCTATGTGGGCAGTCTTGGCTTTGCCAAGTAAATGTTGTGCTATCTCTGGTCTGTATCACAAAGAATATATGTTAGCAAGTTGAGTACATTTATTATAAAGAACACTGCTTTTGTGGATCTTGCATGAAAAGAGTTACTTAAGGTATTTGATTCCCCAATCTCCAATTTGGCCATTATCAAGTGCTATAAATATATTCACTGGTTTATCATCATTTCTCTTCTGCCTGCACGCACCTGAAGGAAAGAACAAGGGGAAGCATCAAGCAGGTTTGTGATTTCTCTCTTGCTACATGTTTGTTTATAAATCTGATACCTACCAGGTGTTTTAAATGTGTCTCATGTGAGTAAAATCGATCAACAAATACAAGATGATTAAAAGTGACCTTTCACAAGATTGCCTGCAAAGATTGCTATTTTATTGATATTTCGCCCCTTAGTATCAAAGTGTCTTTCCCTAACTCACTCCCTGCTTTTTCAAAATCTGCAGGGCATGGAACATTTGGAGGTGGGGGAGGAGGGGAACTGATCTTGGATTAGTCCTTGCTGTTGTTTTCCCAGACAGAAGTCTTATCAAAGTATTCAAATATGGTAATCTAGAGAATGAAAGAAAGAAATTTTTTTTCTGAATGTAAAAAGTCCAGGCAGCAGTCTAGGATACACTCCCCTTCACTAGGGTCCTTCTTTTGGAGTGATATATATATATATATATATATATATATATATATATATATATATACACACACACACATATATATATCATATACATATACACATACATACATTATATGTATAGGTATATATACCTATACATATAATCTTTTTTTTTGGCAAGATGAAACCACCTCTCTGTGACATCTCCAGATCTCCAGCCCACTGAGTGCTGAGGTCTACTCAAGTGACTCAAAGAGCCCCATCCCCATCTTTTAGGAAGAAGACAACCCTCCCAAAAATTCCCCAAATAATTTATTATCAGTTTCCCATGACTTAGATGGAATGAGTCGTCAGATTACAGCAGAGAATTAAACCTAGAGGGAATACGAGGTGAAAGAAAAATTTCTTGATCTGTGTTAATGAGTACCAGGAAGTGCCTAGATTTGAGAGCAAAGCCCTGAAAAACAGAGCCAGGTGGAACCCAGTATTAATGATGTGAAGAGTGGCAGAGGCAGAACCAGCAAGGAGAATCCCAGGTGCCTGGAAAGGAAGAAGAGATACATTTTTTTTCCTATCATTGTCACTGTGTTTCCATAAAGAAATGAAGGCATCCACCTACCCAGAGTTGGTCCCTAAGTGGAGGCCAGTGTGGGCCCAGGGATTGTTCTTTTAGCTTAGTACTATTATAATAATTATATTAATAATAATATATTTATGCAATACTGAAGCCAGTTTTGAAAGTTCACTTGGTGTATTAAGGCTCTGGATTATCCATTTTTGCATTATGTTTATATGTAAAGATAAACAAATGAAAACATAAATGCATTCGTCTATGATGGGAGATAGGCACGATAGGATATACAACATCAGGCACATCTTCTGCGTAGGTAACCTACCCAAGGGATGGCATTAAAGTTCTTTCTCTTATTTGGTAGCTCTAACTACCAAATAAGCCAAGGGCTTTGGATATTCCTTGGAGATATTTCCAGAAAAAAGTCATTCTTCCCCACCTAAGAAACGTTTTTGACCAAAGAGAGGTTCTAGTCATTAGATTCGGAATAGTCTTTGCCTAGACACTGGAAGAGACAAGCTGACCAATTCTAGACTTTTAGTCCATTTTCTAGATTCCATACAGAGCTCACCATCCTTCTGTTGTGACAATTTTACTTGAAAAAAGTTACACAAAATAAATCATAGCCATTTTAAGGTAGCTTATAGTTGCTTTGGTGATATTTTAAAAGCTTTCATTGTCTCAGGAGCTTTCCATTTACTAATTATCTCAAAGGGTGATCTGCCTCCAAATCCAAAGGACAGAGACCATCTTTGGCACAAATTCCAGAGCTACCTGAGAGTGCGATCACCCATCTTAGATTCATCCTCCAAAACGGAGCTGTTAACACCTAAAAGAGAAGTTTGTAAATGACATGGAGGTGCTTGAATAAGTGTAAACTCTATGGCAATCCTGAAGGAGGGGTCACCTTGGGCTGGCACAATGATATTGTACTGTTTTTAAATGTTAGCACAGCAGAAAACAAAGACAAAATTAAAGTGTCACTGTTGAGCTTCTGCTCACTAGTCCAAAAACAAGCTTCCTATTCAGTTATCACTATTCAAAAAAACTACCAACCAAATTTTCCACATTTATGATGTTCGCATATATCTACGACATTTACCTCTCTGCATGCAGCAGACTGAGGTTGTCAAAGATAACTCACCCATAGGTTTAAATATGTACAAAACCACTGAAGTGGGTTGATGACTTAGAGAATCACACATGGAAATTTCTTGCTTCTCTGTGGTCATTGAACATTTGGCAAAAACCACCTTGAAATAAGTCCTGCACTATTACTTAGCCTAGATTCATTATTTAATATCTTATATTTCATACACTTAGGTGTCCTATCTTCCAACTAGCTGTCACATCACCCTGGGTAAAGCTATTACAGAATGTGCTCAATAAATAATTCTTGGATAGAGTAATAAAATGGCCCTGACCTCAAGTAGTTTGTGGGAAGAGATAAAACACCAACAAAAAATGGGAAGAGAGGAGAAATATAAAAAGAGAAATAAAAAATTAAAAACATTGCAATAATCTAAGGAAAGTAAGCTGAAGCTCCCATTTAATATTATGTAAGCTTTCACCTTGTTGTGCTCCATACACAGAATTTATAATCCTGCATAATGAATGCAGAAAGGCTATTGTAATAACAATAGCAACAGTACCATCTTAGAAAGTAACAAAGTTGTCCTTACCCAAGCAAAATATCACAAAGTAAAATGCATTTATAATGAGAGTTCTTCCTTACAGAAGAGTAGATCTGGGTCCAGAGTATTGTTAATTAATGCTTGACCCCATTTCAAAGGAACTAATTAACACCACCCAACTGCAGAGTAATTTACTGCCTTTGGGACCACTGAGTTATTGATGGTGAGTCAGAAAGGCAGAGGAGACAAGCTTCAGCCCAAGCAGGAGCCAACATTTTCACCTTTTAGCCCAGAGCTTGGAATCTCCTAAGTCCTTCTTCATGGTTTTTCTTTGTGTTACAAACTGAGAGAAACCCAAGTGTAGATGAACTCAACACAGCAGCCAACATCCGCCTCTGGGTGCCTGGCACTCTCACCAAAGGACGGAGCCATGACTGTAGAGTGGGTCATACACAGAGAGGCTTTTCTTTCTGCAACATTGATTAAGATGTCGAACACATTTATAGAACCCTTAGTTAACTACATTCCCGGCTTTGGAATGTTCTTGTTAAAAAGGGATTTTGTCTTTCTACACTGAGGCTAGGGTATGTTTAAACAAAATTTGCCTACGATGTCTTGGGCTAAGGAAAAATGTCACATTATTTATGACAGATCCAAAACTTTTCTTTAAAAATACAATGGCCAAGTGCAGTGCCTCATGCCTATAATCCCAGCACTTTGGGAGGCCAAAGAGAGTGGATCACCTGAGGTCAGGAGTTCGAGACCAGCCTGGCCAACATATTGTGAAACCCCCTCTATTTTAAAAATACAAAAATTAGTTGGGCGTGGTGCTGCATGCCTGTAGTCCCAGCTACCTGGGAAGCTGAGGCAGGAGAATCACTTGAACCTGGGAAGCAGAGGTTGCAGTGAGCTGAGATCACACCACTGCACTCCAGCCTGGATGACAGAGCAAGACTCCATCTCAAAAAATAAAAAATAAAATAAAATACAAGCCATTAATCTGAAGAAGAGCTTTTTAAATATAGCTCAACTGAGCAATAGTGAAAATACTGTTTCATCAGTTCTTTTTGGTACATTCAGGTACAAATTACTGTTAGTCTCAACTGAGCCTGCTGTTTTTTCCTCTACTCCAATCATAAAATACTTCTTTAGCATCATTTAATCACTCATTTCTTTTCCTCTGAATTCCCACTAAAACAGTACTAATCTCATATATGTGGTGGTAAATGTGTTTATTGATTTCATTCTATTAAAAAATTAGTTGGAAAAGTCATTTTTAAAATGGGACAAGTTTTTTTCTGTTTTGATATAAATTGTCATTTTCAGAGAACTGAATTTACCTGTGAATCCATCTGTCCAGAATAAGCCAATATTCTCACCTTGAGGTTTTATGTGGTTCTCCCTTCCTCCTTGACCAGATTATCAAATAGTAGTCAGTCATCACATTGATACAAGAAGGCTTTTCCTTCTATCTACCTAAGTTTTATTGCTACAAAAACAGATTATATTATCTGAGGTTTTGAGATTATCTATACATCTTGCTGCCTCTAGTTACTCTGTCTTCTTAATCAACAATGGTTGGCTATATGCCTGCTTGATACTTAAGCTTCCTTAATGGCAATTTTAAAAGCTTTGCTAGAACCCTTTCAGATTTCTGAGTAGACTAAAGTTGCTTTACCAGGTACCTGTGAGACTGTTGTAAAGATGCATGTCTTAAACGTTAAGGCAAAAATGATATTTTTATATTACATTACACTCTTGTGCTGTGAGCCACCGAGTGCTTTTTCTGAACCACTCCTGTGTGGTTGGCTTTTGGGGGAAGGGGGAGTTCTGAAGCTGTGTGTGGCTCTTGGAGAGAACTCTAGAACCCTGGTGGAAGACTGTGTGCTCTTATATTTTTTCTGCATTTATTTTCTGTTATTTCAATTTTCTTTCTTCTGTGTGCAATGAATGATCTGCATGTGTTGTTAAACTAAACTCAATAAGACTAGATTTTGGTTTTTTTCCAACATAGTCAACTTGTGTCCTTATTGGCAAAATGTTCCATTGTTTCAAAAACAATCTTTCCAAAATGGTCTCTCCTTCTGTTCACATTTATTGATAGAGGAAACGGATTTAGTCTTCTAACAACACATCATAGGACTTAAAATAAGAAACGTACTTTTCTTTCGTTTCTTACAAACCAGCAATCTAGAATCTTTTCTTCTGTTTTGTTGAACATATATTCTGACAATTGGTTACCTATATCAACTATAAATGCAGATGTTTCACACAAACCAAGAACTTACGTTTTCAAATTTCAACAATTAATGTCATGAATTTATTGATTTCTGTAGTTATTCTTTGAAGTTCTAAAGTACGTTATTAATCATTTATACTATGTGTTATTGATATTTATTACAGGGGTAGCTATATTCTAAAGTATTTATTCTTACATGCTAACACAGAGACTATCATCATTTGTATGTAATGCCTAGTTCAAATCCAATTTTTCAACCTAGCCGTTAAGATCACTGGATATCTTTCAAGCAGCACAATTAAACAACATAGTACTCTCTGCTTAAATAGTCTGTGTACTTCTATATTAAAAACAATAAAGCCAAATGGCTTTGTTTTTATAAAAGAATCCCTGAGCACTTTCCTATTCGTGAAATGCTTAGTAATGTGCTGCTCTATTTCCCTCACTCCTAGTAAGTTCTGTAGTAATAAGCAGAAGCTCTTCAGAATGTACACCTCACGGAAGCAGAGGTACCCAGCATCCGGGCTATTGACATGAGATTTGAGAATGCCAACTAACCTCAGGTGCATGACCAGGTTACACCGCCACCCCACCTGAGCCCTGTTCAGAGACTCACTCTTTCTAGGGACTTCTTGAATGAGGTTTTCAACCCGCTTGAAATTTTCCTTGTTGCCTGTTGCCTGCTTTGATACTCTCCACCGCTGGGACAAATAGTCGGCGTCCCGCGTAGAACTGGCAGTCAGCCCTTTGGCGCCTCCTTGTGGTTGGACAACTGCTGAGCTGCTGCACGCACTGGATTGTTATGGCTCAGTTGCCATATTGTGCCTGAGGCGAGAATTTGTAGAATGCTTATCCCATGAAGGGCTAAAACCCTAATTAAGTATAACAATAACTACAGCATTCTAAGTCCCAGAGGATTACTGTGGGGTTATGATGATGCCACACAGTTGCCTGGCAGAGAACAGCCGGTAGTAGACTGCATGCTAGGCCATTTGAATAACCTGTACATCTGGTTCCTAGAGATGAGAGAATTCTCTCTTGCAGGGTGACAGTGCAGGCTCTGCTGAGCATGGTCCTCAGCTGTAACTGTGGGACTGTACCCTAAGAGAGATGCTCCGATCAATGACCACAGCAATTTTTTTTTTACTTTCTGCAAAGCAAGACCTCCTTGTTGGTCTCTTGGGGATAATCCTTGGCATTCTTCCTAAAAATACTGTTACATAAATCTTCAAAAATCATATTCGTAGATGTCACCAAAAAAAAGGCAGGAAAATAATGAAGACTTCAGTGTTTCAGTGAAGAGTCTATATTTTTAATCAATTCAATGTGTGTTTTCAGTAACAGTCACCTGATCAGCTTAATAGTCATCTAATCAAGACGCTGTGTTGATTTTCAAAGGGAAACAAAGTAGAAAAATAATAAAGTGAGCTTTTTGTAAGAGGACACAAGAACAGATCTTTGCCTTGGAAAAGAAAATTTTGCCTGGTTAAAAAGTTCTTGATTAGAATCTTATTCTTAACTTTCATATAATTATGTCAAAAGAGAAAGTGAAAACATTACATTTTTTCTAATTTAACATGTAATATGCCGAGTTTATTTTAAAATAATTCTTGGGAATCTTTAAAATAATAGACATTAGCAAATATCCATGTAGTTGAGAAGGACAAAAGGGAAATGTTACTTAGAATTTATTTTTGTCAACTTTAAGTGCTTTAAATGATACTAAGATTTAGAGAATATTATTCACATTTTCCAATTTATTCATAAGGTAATGTCAAAATGGTTCATAGAGGCAATTTTTAAAAATATTTTTATAGGTATGATTTTTAAAATACTTTTATTATAAACAAACTATGGTGGATTGAATGCTAATACTTTCATTTTGGATGTTTTTACTTTTTTAGTAATTGAATTTTTTTAATTTTTCATATTAAGTGTTTTTATGATGGTTTATCCATTTCTTATGTATTTAGTTGACATAGAAAAGAGATATATCTTGAAAGTTGGAGAAAATAATTTGATATTAACTAAAACCAACCTTTTATAGTAATTAGCATCTGTTAGTTCCAGAAAAGGTAATAGATAAAATCAAATATAGTGAGGACCAATTGTAATGATATCTATGTCAACTTGAGCTATTCATTAATCTGAATAAAGGTGCAGAAGTGAGCATATGCTTCCTGAACTAGATCATTGTAAATTTAAATTATGGAACAGATGTGTTGAAACTAAAAAGAGATTTGAAACTTTTACAATTTAAAAAAAAAAAAAGCTTGAGAAAAGTAGATATTTTTGGGCACCATCCCTTTGACAGATTTGTTTAAATAATTGAAGGCTTTGGGATGACATGGAAAACCTAGCCTGAGAATTAAAAGATGCAGGTTTATGATGTTATTGTTGCTCTTGTTTAATGTAATCTATCATTTAATCACACATGTGTCAAGCACAGATAAACTCTTCCACTGTTGGGATTGTTGTAAAGAACTCTTGAACCCACCTGACCTCATCACCAAACTGCCCCGCCTGTTCTTTGCATGTGCCTTCAGCGAGTCATGCTGGACTTAGCTGTGTCTGCATTTCAGAGGGGAGCTGTCAGTTGCATGGTCAACTTGTTTATTGTTTCCAGAACTCCCTGACCACCAGTTCATGATTTGATTTGTTTTCATGTAAACACACATAAAACGTGGTGCCCTTTTAGAATATCGTTTGTTAAGCAACTAGGCATGGAAAAATAAATGTTACTGTTTCTTGTTAGCTACAAAGCACATATCCACTAAACACATTTGCTGTTGGCATGCTGCAGTTGGGGACAGTGGACATTGCGGTAAGTGGACAAAACAAGGCCTCCACTTCGTCTCAAATAAGCCTTATCCATGAGAACGCTGCTTTCATACCCCACAAAGGCTGCGGCTTTACTCTCTCAGAGTAGCTGCTCTGAGAGACTTCCCTCAGACTCATTGCCCAGGATTTCTTCAGGCCCTGCAGAGTCCTGGGCCTCTCACATTGATGACAGTATCACCTTCTAATGAATGGCATAATTTCACTATAAAGGAAACAAGAAAAAAAAACAGAATGGGTACACAAAGCTTCTTACAGTTCATTTGATTCCCACAAGAATCCCTTAGCTGTGTTGCTATGTTTATCTCCAAGTTAGAGATGAGAACCCTAGCCCCCGTGTGTCTGATCCCAACCTGCCCTTCCTAGCACATCATAGCATATCTCTTGATTAGGAAAGTGTGAAGATGCACTTTGGATTTTATGATTGTTGTTAATGCTTCTTTTATCAGCCCACAACAATTTGATCTTAGCCGGCATCAGAGAACTGAATGCCTGAACAAATATAATTTACCAGTAGCTGCCACAGCAAATCAATAACCTGTTTACTAGCAGGAAATTGTGTTAGTGAACATAACATCTCATTCTCTTCATCAGTCATCACATTCATTATCTGTTGGGGCTGTTCTATCTTGTGTGGTTTTCATCTCACAAGAATGAATGTAAGCATAAAAGAAATCTAATGTTAAGTGTTGTGTGTTTAATATTATGTATGTGGTGCTACCAACTGCTATGAGATTGCATGAATTTATGGATAACATAATCTTGCCTGGAATATAAAATGCATGCCAAATGTAGGTATATATGTAACTGTCATCCCTGTTTACCTGTAGAAATGTCTAGAAATTACAAAGAGATATGCTCCCAAACAAAAAATAATTTTTTAAATCTCAAAAGTTGAGGTTAAAGCTAAAATTACCCAACTGTTTTTCAAGTGAATTCCAAAACAGTTCTTAGTTATCTACAGTGTAATTGTGTACAAAATGCTGTATGACCTCAGTCTTTTCTACAATGAATCCAAGAAGGATGTATGTACCTGTAGAATGAGATTGATCTCGAATGCAAATATAGAGATTAGATAAAGCTCAAATTTTAAATAAGGGAAAAATAATTGCTATGCTCCTACGTGCTGAAAACATCTTGTCTATTGAAATATATGACCACATGAGCTTCATCAAATTACTTACCCAAGCAAAGTGGAAGAAATTGCTTGAAATGGAATAATCATGCCTCTGTTCTCCACAGTCAGAAGCTAAGTTTTAAGGAGCGAGTGCGCATGGCTAGCCCCAGGGGCCAGAGTATTAAGAGCCGACAAGCCTCAGTAGGTGACAGGAGGTCCCCAAGCACCGACATCACAGCCGAGGGCAGTCCCACCAAAGTGCAGAAGAGCTGGAGCTTCAACGACCGAACCCGCTTCCGGCCCTCGCTGCGCCTCAAAAGTTCTCAGCCAAAACCAGTGATAGATGGTAAGCCCTGTTTTTCCATAACCATTTTTAATTGGATAGGCTATAGTGAGTGAGATTATGAAGTAATTAATTCTCCATAGTGCCACTTGAAGAAAGAAGAAAACAACCCCAGAGAAAGAATTGTTTGTTTGTTTTATTGGAAGTTTATTCATTGCCTTGGGCAAATGTACAGAACATAAGTTTACTTTTGGAAACCACTTTGGCAGCTAAATTTACATTCCAAAGAAGCTGACAAAATGTTGTTAATTCTTCACTTGTATCTACAAATTTATTTCTCAGACAAGGGCCACATTAAGATCAATGGGACTGTCATTCTGATGTATTTGTGACGTCTGACCAGCAAAGGTCCAAGACCCAGGGACAACCAGGTGCTTGCTCTGTGAATATCTTGAAACACAGTAAGGAGGATGATCATTTCTGGTCAACAATGAAGGTGCTCTTTCCCTCTCTCACACACTCCATCTACCAGCAAATCAGAGACCACTGCTTATCTTCCTTAGAGAGGTTCCTGTTGAAAGTTATTTCGAAGTCTTCCAATGATAAGTAAAATTCAAGTTCTTCTCCCAAGAGGAATTAACCTATTTTATTTATCATATTATGTAGCAGACATTCACTTGCCAACACATTTTATTGAGTGCCACATAATTTTCATGTTTATAAAATAAAATATTTTATTTTTCATTTAAGATAAGCTTGGCTTTCCTTTTAACTAGGCCCCCTGGGATCTCTTATACTGGGCAAGGAACCAAAATCAAATAGCATTTCCCATTAATGCATAAAAACTACAAAGGCTATCAGTCCTTCTGTTCCCTTTTCCTAAATAACGTGTATTTTCCCAGGCCCTCAAAGCTCGAGGAATAAAATTAACAACCAGGGGTCATAATCACAATGATCTGAGGATCCCTGCAGTGAAGTCCCTGGAACCGCAGTCCACGGGTCCCTCTCAGCTTACTCAAAGGTCCTCAGGGATATCTCTTCCACGCTCAAGTGAGCAACACAAGTCACCTCTTCACGCCTCACTCCACACCCCTGTGGGTGCCATGCTCTTCAGGGCGACCCCTAGTGGCTGCACTGACGTGGCTCCTCCTGGCGGAGCTTGCAGGTCCCATATGGGCGCAAGACGGCTGATCCTGCCATGCTTCCCCGCAGCCTGTCCTGTGCTAAGGAAGGAAAAACCTCCGCCACCAACACGGGACACTCCTCCATCGAGCCACTTGCAGGATCTGAGTCACTTGTGGCACAGCTTTTCAGTGTCCTCTAGTTTCCTCACTCTCCTCCTAGGATTTTGGCTGAAAGCCCTTGAGCAGCTGAGTCAAGAGTTACCAGTGACAGGGCTTTATGTTGCACTCAAAATAGGCTTGCTGAATATAAATGGGTACATCCTTTCTGGAGGGCAATTTGGCAAAATATATTAAAAGTCTTTACATATGTCTAAGCCTAGACACATCCCACCTACCAATTCTATTTCTAGGATATAATAGATACAATGAAACAATGTCAGGCATTAGAAATGATGCTCTAAATTAAAAATTATTGACACAGAAAGATGATAACAAAAAAATCATTCCATTTATATATATTATATAAATTCATGTATCTATAGGAACAAGTCTGGAAAGATTTACAAGAATGTGTGAACAGTTACCTTTGAGTGGTGAGATCACAGTTATATTTTGTTTCTTCATTTTTTAATCTGTATTTCCTAATATTTCTACAATGAACAGGTAAAGCTCTTGTAATAAGAAGGCAATAAAGGATTTTCTTTTTTAAAAAAAAAAAAGCCCTCAGTTTAGAAAAACAAAATGTTAGGGGGAAAAAAAGAAAAAAAAAACTAGCCCTTCAAGAAAAAAAATTAGCCCTTCCTTTCACACACTGCCCTCTCCCCTGCCCCTACTCTAGGGGCCCTTGCCCTGACTGTTACTCACCTAACACCTTTCCTTAAGCTGATTTCCTCCCAAGTGGTAGAAGGAGCAGCTTGTCTTAATGGTGGGAACCAGTCTTTGTTGAGTGCAGACATAGACTATGTAATGATGTTTAATAGCTTCTACTACAAATGGAACTTGTATTAGTTTGCTCAAGCTGCTATAACAAAGTACTAGATGCCTTAAACAACAAAAATTTATTTTCTCACAGTCTAGAGGCTAGAAGGCCAAGTTTAAGGTGTCAGCAGGGTTGGTTCCTTCTGAAGGCTTTCTTCTTGGCTTTAGATGGTCTTCTCCCTGAGTCTTTACATAGACTTTTCTCTGTACCCAGCCATGTGCAAATTTCCTCTACTTATAAGGATACCAATCATATTGGATTAGGAGCCACTCTAATAACCTCATTTTAATTTAATAACATCTCTAAAGACCCTATCTCCAAACAGTCGCATTCGGAGGTACTAGGGGTTAGGACCATAACATATGAATTTTGGAGGGATGCAATTCAGCCCATAGACAAAGCTCATGCTCACCCACATCACAGCATCCCTGGAAAGCTGAGATGTGTCCATATCTTCATCCCCGGCCCTGGTTTCACACTGCATTAGAAATCATACATTACATATTGCAATGGATCCATATTCTTCTAACATGTGCTTCAAAAAGCATTCAACTTTGTAGTGTAAGGTCCTTACTGTTGGCTGAGCATATTTAAATAAAAAATTCATAGAATCTGGATTTTTAATTTGGAAAACAAATTCTACTTGTACTGTTTGGCCAGAGGAAAAGAATTTTTCACAGTATCTAGAGTCACCACTATCTATCACAATATTTTCAGTATCTGCAAAGATGTCTCAGAGGTACAGAAACAGAAGTCCTATTCTCTACCAAATCACAAATTGGAGAGGTCTCCTGTCATCTATTTTCTAGGTCATTTCATACGAGTACAGTTTTGTTTGTTTACAAAAGAATTGCTTCTCCCTTGTTGATGCCCATTCAATTAATTCTGAGTTTCCCAAGTGACCAGAGGACCAATTGCTGTTCTGTTGAAATTACTTTGTTGGCTACCCACCTGCAAGAGATAGTAGCTCCTGCCTCCTCATTTAATCCAATAGTCCAGAATCTTTACCTCTGATTGAATTCAATGTTGCGTCTTGGGAAACTGGAAGTTCTTTTTTTACAAGAAAAAAAATTAAGTAGCTGTCAAATAAATGTAGACTTCAGTTATACATCTTTACTTATAGTACCTCTTTAGGTTTTAAGTATTTCTAAAATCATCTACTTACTACCATAGAAAATAATATATAACACTTATAGCCAGTTTTCAATTATTCCAGGTCTATTTGCCCATTCACTTCTGGGGCTGTTTTCTTCTCCTCTGCTCTCCTCACATATTTTCAGCATTCCATTGCCCATTAACATGCTCAGGAGAATAGACAAATAAAAGAAAGAATAATGGAAACTCAGATCAACCTTTAAGTTAATAACAAAAAGTTATATTTGGAAAATAATAGACTTGCAATTGAAAGATAGTATAATAGAGAAAAAAAAAATATTCAGGGTTAATCTGTAAATTTTAATAATTCCTGACAAATCTGATACTCTTTACTACAGACAGTAGTGTTTTCATAATTTAATGACTCTTTAAGAAGGTTATTAAATATCCATGGCATTTTTCTCTTGCTATAATTTTTAATAAGATTAATATGTTACACTTAAAAAGGACGCAGTTGTCTCTCAATATTCCATACTTGTGTGTACCAGAAAAGTAGAAAGTAGCAGGCAGATGCTGAAGCCACAAATGACAAACGAAAGAAAGTAAACTCTAAAGGACTGATGTGGTGTTATCATACCAAATTTATTTTGACTGCTATGATATGAATCATATTTTTAACTGATAAATTCTATAATAAAAGATAGAAATACTCTATTCATTGACAGTATGTAACCCTCTTCACATAATTTTAGAAATTAGGTAATATAGAAATATTTTTGTCAAGTATATGAGTAATAATAATGATAAAACGAACATGTATTGAATTCTTCCCATTGGCATGTGTTGTTCTAAATTCTTTACCTCTATTATTTTATTTAATTCTGTCAATACCCCTATGGAGTAGCTGAGGTATTATCCCCATTTTATGGATGAGGAAACTAAGAGTTGAATCTAAGTAACTTGCCCAAGGTCTAGCAGGTATAAGTAAAGGAGCCACCATGCACATGCAGGCAATTGAATTTCACGGTCCTCCTACAAACGTATTCTAAGATGTTCTCCTAGATATTATATCAATTTCCCTTTAAGAATCTTTCATTTCTTCCCCTCCCCCAACCCCCACCACCCTCTTCTTGCCGCTGCTCTTCCAACTTCAATCGGTCAGATTCCCCTTCCCATATAAGCCACTTGACCATGACCATGCCACTATCCCATCTTTCTCCCAGCCTCAGCTGCCAAACCTCTCAACTACATCATCTCAAGGCAGCCAGAGCTAGAAGATTAGGCAAATTGGGGAAATGGCCTTTCAATGACCGTTCTCTGTTTTGATCAAGTATCTGGGAAGAGACTCAGGATAACAGCCATACTGGTCTGTGTCTATTTTCCCTGGAGGGAGGCCAATGGTAGGGTCATCTGAGGCCTGTTTCAAGATGCAAAAGATAGTGTCAGAAGATGCACAGGTGTTGCCAACAGACAAGCAAGTGGAAGGTGGCAGATTGCAAGCGAGAAATGGAGCAAGCAGCCAAAATCCACAAGAATGATACTAAGGTAGAGCTAGGAGAAAATCTTCGGATTTCTGGTGACTAGTTTGCTACGAAGGAGTCCTACACTTACTGAACCCCACTGCATTTGGGAGTGCCTTACAGAATTGCAATCAAAGAGTACAATAACCTGGACAGTGAAGGAGAAGGACGTAGCTTTAGGGAGCTCCACCTTACAGTGCTTGATATTAGCTAAACCCAACGTTCTGTAGTAATTAGCATGTTCGTTCCAGAAGTGGCAATAGATCTGAAAATCTGTCTCACATACATGTATAACCATGCATGTTTTAACAAGTCTAACATTGTTTCTGCTTAAGGAGAAATTACCATTCCTGCTGAGCAATCCTCAGTGCTCATGTTAGCTGCCATGGAAGGTACATCCTCATCAGGTGTTTATGGGAAAAACTGGCACAGCCTGGGTTCAGGAGATGTTTAGGGTTCACCAGGGTGGGATCTGGGTGAGATGAAGATGCAGAATATCTTCCGATTGTGGGGGTCCCTCAAGGCTAGTGCCTTTGTTCCAGGCACTGATGGTAATTCCTCTCTCTTCACTACCCTTCATGTTCCTTTCTCCTCTCAGCCAGTGTACCAATTAGGATGCATTTAGCAGCAGGTCACAAAAGAAGCAGATTCAACTACCTTAAACTATAATGCAATTTATAATACCACATAGAAAGAGGCTCAGAGATAAGACAGCTCTCCACAGAGCCTCAGGGCTCTGGCTTCATTTCTCTGATTCTCTGAGTCTTCTTTTGACTTTTTCCATCTGTCTGCCTGCCTCCTCCTCAGGCTGGAAGCAAAATGGCTACAGCAGTTGCAATATCTTCTATAGATGCAACACTTTCAGAGGCAGAAAGAGGCCATCTTATGTTTGTATCTCTTCTTAAAAGTGAGGAGAACTGTCCATTCACATCTTATTTTGCAGAATCCTCATGCCTAAAACAATCACCAGCATGGAGGATGGGACCGCCATCATTGGCTGTCACCAGTCAGGACCCAGCAGCTGGATCTCGGCCAGACTCCCCTAAAGCACATGATCAAGTGTGGGGGGAAGTAGCTGGATAAATTTAAGGATTTAGGTTTGGGGATTGCATTTGGGGAAAGCAACTTTCCATAGTATAATATTTGATATAGCCAAGAAACCTCTTCCACTTTGGGGTGAGGGTAAGGAGTCAGCATGTCCTTAAACATGGTGCTTTCTCTCAAATATTCTGTCTATATGTCATTTCTGTTCCTCTAAATGTCCGGGCTTTTAAAAACATAAAAGCCAGATTTATAATTTTTTTCACTTTTCTCTCATCACATCATTTCCATGAAACAACAAGCATAGACTAGACTGTCTCCTTGAATTTCAAATGAAAGGCAAAGTGGGTAAAGGAACAACTAGCAAAAATAAATAAATTAGTATTTCAATCATATAATCCTTCCTCACATACAGTCAGCCCATAAATGTTCTATCACCACCACCACTAAGGGAAAACTGGTACAGTTCCCTTCCTCTCCACCTCCTCAGCAGCTTCCTGACACCTCGCTCCTCAAGCTGTTTCTCTTGGTGACTCCTTCTTCCTTCTGAAGTTAATAACTAACCCAGTCTCACCTAAAAATAGCAAAAAAGTAGAAATACACCATGTGGGGTGCCAGAACCCTCAAGTCTTCTTAAAGATAGTTCATCCCCTTCCTCTCTTCTCTTAACTTCTACCTAGGTTCTAGGCCCACCAGTCTACCACAACCCTTGTTTGAAAATATCAAGATCACTGAAAACAGTGACAAAAAGGCAGCATTTTAATGCAATGGTTTTGACAACTATCCTGAACTAACAGTCTCTTGTATCCATAATGGCCTATTTTCTTCCAAGCAGTATAAATCACAGACTATCAGTATTTTCTATTTGACTAATTTATGCACACGAGCTTTCATCTTACACTAATCCTCTTTTATGCTTATTTTCCAATGGCATCTTCCTCCCTCATGTTTTTCTCAGTCTCCCCAGTTGACATTTTTGGTGTTTCCACAAAATGCCAAGCACCACGCTGCACATAGCATTTTTCCTGACTTTCCATAATGATGGCCCAACTTCAGCCAGGCCTTGATTATAATTTTCCACATGATGCTTCCTGGCACTTTCTGAAATTGCCTGATAATGACTCTGCATTGTGTTGACAGAAATAATTCTTGTTAAAGCAGTATCCTATTAGGGCTTCCACTTAACCTGTTTGTGCAGATTTCTGGCCTGGGATTCTGACTGAGTAGGGCACCCATTCCTGTCATCCTCTATTTGTAACAAAATCTGAGGGTTTTCTTTAATGTTAAGAACAAAAGGATTTATTGAGAATGACTGGATCTAAACTCTAGAAATTTATTCTTCATATTTAACTCTATATTCAGCGTAATTGTTGGAGTAATTCTATGCAAAACCCTACAAAGGGTATTCAGTAGGATTCTAAAACGCACTTTCAGTACTTCCTTAACTTATTGGTAAAAACCATTACCTGAAGAAATTGTCTCAATTCTGATCCATAGGTGTCTTTTTTCTTTAGTTGTCCAGGTTCTTTATTCAGTCCCTCAGGCATCTTCATTCAAAGACATATCCTACTCCTCTGCTGTGTTTCATATGTACTCTTGTCCCCCTAAGATCTGCTTCTCCTATTGGGTGGAGAGTGACCTCTCAATCTCTGGTTTCAGACCCCAAGTGACTACGTTATTTCTTGGATTTCTGAGAAGAGTTGTGTCTTAGTTTGTTTGGACTGCTATAAAAAACATACCATAAACTAGGCAGCCTATAAACAACAAATATTTACTTCTCACAGTTCTGGAAGCTGGAAGTCCAAGATCATGGTGCTGGAAGATTCTGTGTCTGGAGAGGGCCCACTTCCACGTGATGGAAAGGGCGAGGTTCCTCTTGGGTCTCTTTATGAGGGCACTAATCCCATTTATTAGGGCTCTGCCCTCATAGCCTAACCATCTCCCAGAGCCCCCACCTCTTAATACTATCACTTTGAGGGTTAGGGATTTAACATATAAATTCTGGGGGGACACAAACATTCAGACCATAACAGGTTGCTTCTTCCATTACTTTTTGTGAAATGCTTGTTCTTAGTTTTTAGTGACGGGGAAATGCTTTTCTATTTTGATAAGACTGAAGTTCCACCTGGCTTTCTACTCTAATCCAAGTGCTCTTTGTATTATAGAACAGGATTTCTGTCAGATTTCTCTAGGTTCTGTCCCATGGTTTGTTGTTACTCTACAGTGATAAGGAAAATTATATTCTGTTTCTGTTGGTGGATAAAATAGCTTCCTGCTTGAGCTCTGAATGGATTTCATCTCCTCCCTTCCAGCAGAAACTGAGCTGCCAAATGACCTTCGAGTGCTGCCTTAACCATACCTTTTGGCTTCTGTAGATCCAGGTTTCATTGAGAAACCCAGGGTTATAAACTGGAGCCCTATATTTTGTTTCATCAGCAAAGTGTGTGTGCATGTCCACATTGATACTTTAAAATGAATCTGAATGCTGTATTAGTTATCTATTGTTACATAGCAAATTACCCTCAATTTAGTGGTTTGAAATAACACATACTTATAATCTCACAGTTTCTATGGTCAGGTATCCAGAAGCAGTTTAGCTGAATGGTTATGGCTCAAAATCTCATATGAGGTTGCAGTCAAGCTCTTGGCTGGAGATGCTGGGAGAGGACCCATTACCAAGCTCAACTGAGCATTTGCTAGCAGGCCTTTTATTTCCTTGCCACATTATTCACACCCTAGGTTGCCTGAATGTCCATATGACATGCAGCTGGCTTCCCCCAGAGAGAGCTGAGAGAGTACGCAGAGAGAAGCTGCAGTCTTTTATGACATAAGCTCAGAAGTGTTATGCCATCGCTTCTTTCATGTGTAAGTGGTCACAAAGACCAACCCTGTACAGTGTAGGCAGGGACTATACAGGGGGGTAATACCAGGAGATGAGGGCCACTGGGGACCATGTTAGAGTCAGGCTACCACAAATGCCTTCAGATAGATTATGTCTTTTAAATTGCAGATTTCAACCAGTCCCTATTGTCTTTCCAGGAACCCAAACCACCAATTCCCCATTCCTTTCGACCTCTCCGTTACCTACCTGCCTTTAACGACATGGGTTTATAACTTCTGGTCTAACCATTTTATGTCCAGTATCCTTTGTATTATATCTCAAAAAAAAAAAAAAATCCTGGCCTCAACCTATAGCTACGCAATTATATTCCACTCTTAGTGCAGACTCTCAAAAGGAATATTAACAAAATATTGAGTATGTGATTACTGCAGCAACAAGTTAAATAAAATGAGGAGGCCAGGTGCGATGGTTCATGCCTGTAATCCCAGCACTTTGGGAGGCTGAGGGGGATGGATCACCTGAGGTCAGGAGTTCGAGACCAGCCTGGTCAACATGGTGAAACCCTGTCTCTACTAAAAATACAAAAATTAGCCAGGCGTGGTGGCGGGCACCTGTAATCCCAGCTACTCAGGAGGCTGAGGCAGGAGAATCACTTGAATCCAGGAAGAGGAGGTTGCAGTGAGCTGAGATTGCACCCTTGCACTCCAGCCTGGGCGACAAGAGCAAGACTCCATCTCGAAAATAAATAAATAAATAAATTGAGGGAGCAGGACATGAACTAGTCAGTTGCAAAACCAAAGTGTCATAACTTCTAACGCAGCTCTCTTTCTTGTACAATGTATGGCCCCTCTTCAGCTTTTCAAGAGGTTGAAGATATGTTCTTGGTTGCTTCAAAGGGCAGAAGCAGAACTAAAAGGTGTGTGATACCAATATTTAGTTCAATATAATGGCAGCTTAGCACTTAGAGACTCCACAGCAATTGAGTGGATTCCATAATTGGAAGCATTCAAATCAAAGTTGGATGATCAACAGTCAGGAATTTCTGGAAGCTTAAGGAGATCAAACCAGAAAACCTCTAAGAAATTTTCTTCCAAATCTGAGTTTTTATAATCTGCTCTTCTGGACCAATGCAAAGTATCTTCCTTAGCCATTAACTCGTATCCTCACTAGCAATTCTATACTAAGAAATAGAAGAGGAAAGCAAGGATTGGCTGAGGAATGCCAGGAGTGAGTTTTCTGTCCTTACCCTAGTTTCACGTCTCTTTGATACCGAGAAAAGTGCTACCCGCTGCTTCTTGCCTCTCATTCCTCCCACTGTTTCTTTTCCACTTTCACTGTCAGCCATAGTCCTTTCTGTCCTAAGAAGTGTATCAGGTGTGTCCCACCCACCATTGTGAGGTTTATGTGTGTGCTCCATAGCGGCTCATTCTTAGAACTTGAATAAGCCCTCCACTGGATTTCAATTCATATCAGAAGGTATTTGAGGGCTGCTACTCAGAGCTAGCATGTTTCTGGGCATTTAGAAGGCAGGGAGGAGGCGTGACAACTGTCACCCCAAAGAACTTACTGTTTGTCTGTAAGTTTTACCACCCCAGCCCACCTCAGTTACAGTATTGATTGGCACTGAGGGGAACAAAAGGCACCTTCCTCATTCTTCAGACTTCATAGTTTTCAGAAATAACCTGTGGGTGACGTCCAAAATTCGCACAAAATAAGCACAAAATTAACCATTACACAAATCACAGAATTTAGCCCATATTTAAGAGAAGCACTTTTCAGCTGCATGGTGATTTTTCCTTCATATATCTCAAATTATTTCCTTCAAAGTCACACTTAGTTGTCTGCTGCATAAACAGAAACCAATATGACACAATTTTAAAATTATATTTAATCGCTTTCATGGTGTGCTCTACTTGGTAAAGAAGGGGGGAAACAAGGTTAAGTAAAGGCCAGGATCCTTTTTCTGCAATGGATGACTGACATGGGAAAGAGATGAGTTACCCAGGCTTTGCTTTTTGCTACCTGCAGTATAAAACTCCCTGACATTGTCCCAAATTGCTTTTACAGGTATTTTATTTTCAACATCTAATTTGTTCGGCTTTTCTTCCCTTGCCATCTTTTTCTTCTTTTGCCATGTATAATGCATAACAACAATTTCTGAACTCCAAAAGCATAGAAACCTCAGAATAACATTACCTGGGAAAAATTAATCTCTCTACCTCCAGCTACCAAGAGAATCATTTGCACATGAAACCCTGAGATTTGCGTCTTTCATTAATCTAATGCAGTAGCAATTGTTATACCACATCGTTCTATTGGAATTGATGACTAATCATTCCCAAAACTCTTTTGAAACTATTGTTCCCATAATTTTGTGTTTTGATTGAAAAATGTCATGACCCTATATCTCTTCATGTTATCTGTTGCATAGCTAACCCTCTCCCTCAGATTTAGTGGCTTAAAACAGCAACCATTTGTTTAGCCCACAATTCTGTTAGGCAGTTCTTCTGGTCTTAAGTGAACTGACTCATGCTCTGTGTTCAGCTGCTGTGTTGGCTGGTGCTGACTGGACTAAGGTGGTCTCAGTTAGAATTACTGCTCTTTGCTCATGTGGTCTCTCATCCTCCAGCAGGCTGGGCTGGTTCACATGGTGGTGGTGGGTTCCCAAGAGCAGTACATTGATATCTGAAGGCCTCTTGAAGTTCAGGCTCAACCTATCACAGTATAATGTCCACTATGTCCTGTTGGTCAAAGCAAATGGCAAGGACAGCCCACATGCAAGAGACAGAGAAAGAGATTCCACCTCTTCATGTGAGAAGCTGCAAGTGTCGTGGCCAGTATTGCAATCTACCATCCCAGCCATTTAAAGCTTATTTGCTTTTAGTATTTTCAACATCCTGTTGGTTCTATGAAGACAGTGTCAGTGTCTAATTGACTTTTTTATTTCTCCCTGTAGTATCCTTCACTCAAAGAGCCTAAGAAAGAAAAGGAAAATAGCATTGTTAGCACCTCATGTATCGAGGCATTGGCTAGACATTTTCTATGAATTGGCTCATTTAATACACACATAGCCATTTTGCAGATAAGGAAATTGAGACTCAGAAAATGTAAATAACTTGCCCACATAATTCAGTCTAAATGCCAAAACTGGGGTTTGAAGTTGCACTTAGGTCTAAGTTCAAAGCTTTTTATGTTCTACCATGCATGCTGCTTAGCATGTTTTCTTTCATATAATTCATGCTGCTAATGAAACAGTATAAACCAGCTGTATGTTAACTGCTAGTGAAATGATTTATTGTCTTCTTTTTCAGTAAATATGGCAAGTCTGCTCAATTTATTCCCTTTATCATTGCATACACTACAAATATTCTCTCCCTATACCTTCACATGTCAATTAAGGTATGCAACAGTAATTTCCATTTTTTTTAAACAATGCTTATGTTACCATCTCTAGACAAGTTAGTCCAGATGATTTTGGGGTTAACATGTTGGCATTTCCTGGCACTATTACTGCTAGCTGAATAAGAGTTGAAAGTTGGGGAAAAATTTACCAGATCTGTATTAGTTTTTTCGCACACTGCTATAAAGAACTACCTGAGACTGGGTGATTTATAAAGAAAAGTTTAATTGACTCACAGTTCCACAACCTGTACAGGAAGCACGCCTGGGATGCCTCAAGAAACTTACAGTCATGTCAGAAGAGCGAAAGGGAAGGAAGCGTGTCTTTACGTGGTAGCAGAAGAGAAAGAGACAGAGAGAATGAGAAAGTGAGAGTGAAGGGGGAAGTGCCACACTTTTAAACCATAATCCACCCCCATGATCCATTCACCTCCCACCCAGTCCCTCCCCCAACATTGGGAATAACAACTCAACATGAGATTTGGGTGGGGATACAGAGCGAAACCATATCAAGATCTATTTAGAATTCTCCAGCAGATTTGATTAACAATATAGATTTGTGATTCTGCAATTTGTAGGGTCATTATAAAACATGGCTGCCTTGATTGCAATCAGATATCTCTGAATATGGTTCAAAGGAAACAGATCTCGTTCTTGTGGAGATAGGATTACATAACTCCCTCTCAGTCATTTTGCCATTGATTCAGAATGTTTCTCCCTAAGATGAAGTACTGTTTTAGCTTAGAATGGTAACAGCAATTCATCACCAGGCACAGTGGCTCACACCTGTGATCCCCACACTTTGGGAGGCCCAGGCCTGTGGATCACTTGAGCCCAGGAGTTAGAGACTAGCCTAGGCAACATGGCAAAACCCCATCTCTACAAAAAATGTAAAAATTAGCTGGGCATGGTGGCACAGGCCTATAGCCCCAGCCACTTGGGAGGCTGAGAAATGGGAGGATCTTTTGAGCCCAGGAGGTTGAGGCTGCAGTGAGCCATGATCGCATCACTGCACTCCATCCTGGGCAACAGAACAAGTCCCTGTCTCAAAAAAAAAAAAAAAAAAAAAAAAAAAGCAATTCATTGATCTCATCTAGTTTGACTAGTTCAATTATACATGTGAGAAGGCTATCTGAGATGATGTCAGGTGTGGAGCAGTGACTATCCCAGTGATCTGAATGTGATTGACCACTTGGCTTCACCAGGATTATCTCACTGTTTGGTTCTAATAAAGGCAGTCATTCTAGTCTATGAGTTTACCTCCCTTTTGCTACAAACACTTCAGTGATATACTATTGAAACTATAAAAATCCATAAAAATTGGTTTTTGTATGTGAGTTTTAAAAAATTGTTTTCACCAGGCTGTGAGTTTTATGTCTTTGTTTTCTATTGGGATACTAATAGTGCTATGACTATAGTATGTTCTCAAGGAAATTCTTATGAAAATTGAATTAATCCGACACAGTGCATGGTTTTGGAGTAAAACAGAACTTGTTTTAAATCCTAGTTCCCCCACTAGGTTGGGTGAGATGAGACAAACGACTTAACCTCACTGCCACTTTAATTTGTTCTCTCTCTCTCTTTAGGGTGGTAGAAATGATACCTACCTAATAGGGTTACGTGAGTAATAATAAGATATAATGTGTGTAAAATTCTTGTACAATGCCCAGCACAGAATAGGTGCTCAATATATTAAATATATTGTTATTATTTATTAATTAATTAATGCTGATTTCTGCATTAATTTTGACTAATTGAAATCCTGGACTTGCTTAATTTGCATGTATTTGTCTTCCCTTCTTCCAGTACTTGATGGCAATTTCTACCTGTGGTAAATGGAACGTTAAAAGTTATATGCTTATACAAACTTTAGTCCTTTATTCCTTGGAGTGAGTTTTAAGAGTCCTCATGTTGAATAATTCATGTAATCACAGAAATAATACTATGTATCAGGGACCGCTTCCTTTATTAAAGATAAAGGCAGTGGAAATACTGCCTTTGTCAGAAATACTTCAGTTACTCTGAGAGAGAGAGACATTTGTTTACTATATGACAGCACAGTGCATGGCAAATAATAGAAGTTTGGAAAATATTTATTTTGAATGAATGAATAATGAACACATTGTGAACAAATAAATGGTTTACTATTTAATTATTCAGGAATCAATTAAGCTTTATTAATAAAAATTGTTTGGGGGTTTTAAAAAGCCCACACACAAATGAGAGGCATCACAGAGGCAAACGGTATGACATTATTAAAATCGTTATTGCTGAATCACAGTTCAGCAATAAGCAAGTGTTTGAGGCATTCAAATAAGTGAGTATTTGAGTGACTCTAAGAAGATAATGAAACTCCTCCACTGTTTTACAGTTGCAATAATTTTTAAGGAACATATAAAAACATATTCTAGTGTTTCCATTTGAATAAAGATAGTATATATAACATATGCAATTAAAAAGAAGAAAGAAAACAAATTTTAATGTGTTTTTCTTTTCACCTTATGGGCAGTTACTAGATGTATGATCAGCAATTTTAGCAGTAGAGACCTTATTAATTGTTTTTGAAAACTCTCTAGTGCTTCACACCGTCACTCAAAACAGAGAAATTCCTTTTAATTAAATGTCAGGAAGTATTCCAAGAAATTTTGCCAGCATTTCTGCTAGCCAGTAAGTAAGGTTAATTGACAATCTTTAAGAGAGAATCTTAGAGACATTCATATCATAATTAATGTAATTTAAGATGCTGAGGATGCATGAATTACCTACTCAGTGTAAATGGGGTCTTTGATTGTGAAGAGAAATACTCAAGTGCAGTGGTATCTTACAGAATAGATTCCCTCATTAGTGTGAATTAGTGTTTCTGAATGTTGCTAATTAGCAAGCCTGGGAACAAACACAATGAAAAATCAAGTTTACCAAATCACAAAAAAAGTACTGGTTAGCATATTTGGTAAACATGGGTCGATAATTATTTTGATTGAATCTCCCAGCAACCTAGTTTATTGTGGTTGCAGGCCCTGTGCACAGTATGTTTTACCTGCCATAGGTATAATCAACCATATACTAAAAGTTTGTAATGACTGTTGAGATCAAAAAGTATTTCAGAAAGTCACTGAGAATATAGTTTTCTGAGATAAGGAGATGATGTTCTATTTCTGATGTGACTGTAAAAAGGCATAGAACTTAAGTGAGAAAACAACAACAGTGCCTCTCATTTTCCCAGAATTTATTTCAACTGGCTGTTGAGCCTGCCCTTGCTCTCTTAGGACTCATGTTACGTAGAAATGCAGACTGTGTGCAGTTCTGGTCACCTCCTAGGGAAGCACTGAGAAGGGAGCAAGTAATAAACCTCAGGAAAAATAGTTTTTTGTTTTTTGTGTCAAAGAGCAGTGGGTGATGGTTTTAAACATCTGAGATAGAACTGGTGATAAAGAAAAGTTAGGAAAGAAGACATACTGAAAAGTAAAATTGAGGGATGTGAACCAGGTAGAAAATACTGTATCTACCATGCTTTTCAAGCTATGGTAGAGTGTCATGAAATCAAATGAATGGGTTATGATCAGCATTCTTTTAGTGAAATGAAACAAGATGGGATGAGAAGTTATGGAATGAGATGGGCATATCTGTTGTAAAATGGGATAGGATAGGACAGAATAGGAAATACATATTATAGAATGCATCACAAGTAATAAGAGCCAGTGTCATTTCTTGAGCCTTTTAGGTTTTACTCAAAGATTTTTGGTTTTACCAAAGTGGTATATGTATACCTGGTTTTAAAGGTCAAGTAATAAAGATTAACACAAAATGAATCACAGATTTAAATATAAAGCATAAAGCTTTTAGAAAAAAAGTAAGAGAAGATCTTTGGGATCCAGAACTCAGCAGAATGTTCTTAGGCTTGACAACAAAGGCACTACCCATAAAAAGAAAACTGATAGGCTGGGTGTGGTGGCTCACGCCTGTAATCCCAGCACTTTGGGATGCTGAGGCAGGCAAATCACGAGGTCAGGAGTTCAAGACCAGCCTGGCCAACATGGTGAAACCCTGTCTCTACTAAAAATACAAAAAATTAGCTGGGCGATGTGGCAGTTGCCTGTAATCCCCGCTACTCAGGAGGCTGAGGCGGAAGAATCGTTTGAACCTGGCAGGCGGAGGCTGCAGTGAGCCGAGATTGGGCCGCTGTACTCCAGCATGGGCGACAGTGGGAGACTCCGAAAAAAAAAAAAAAAGAGAGAGAGAGAGAGAGAGGGAGGGAGGAAGGAAGGAAGGAAGGAAGGCAAGCTGATAGAATGGATCTCATTGAATTAAAAACCTTTGCTCTGCAAATGAGACTAAGGGGATGAAAAAACAAGCTGCAAACTGAGAGAAAATATGTACAAATGACATATCTGATTAGAATATATAAAGAACCCTCAAAACACCACAGGGGAAAAAAAAAAAAACACCAGTTGAATAAGAAAATAGGCAGAAAACGTGAAGAACATTTCACCAAAGAGCATATAAACATGGCAAACAAGTGCAAGAAAAGATGTTTAATATCATTAGCCCCATGGGGAAAGTCCAGTTAAAACTACAGGAGATATCACTACACACCTGCCAGAATGGCTGAAACAAAAAAAACTAGGGATGACACAAAATGCTGGGGGAGATGCAAAGAAGCCGGATCACTTACACATTGCTGGTGGGAAAACAGTTTAGTAGTTTCTTAAAACTATTCAGTTAGTTACTATCTGACCAAGTAATTTTATTCTCGGGTATTTAGCCCAGAGAAATTGTTATGTTCCCATAAATCCTATATATGCATGGTCGTAGTAGCTTTCTTTGTAATGACCCAAAACTGGAAACAACCCAGAGTAATATTAATATATATAATATATATTTTATTATATATTACATATATTATTATATTACATATAATATATTAATATATTGCATATATTATATATGTACTATATATATTTAAAATACAGCTGAATAATATTCCGTAGCATGTATGTGCCACAATTTGTTTAACCTTTTGTCTATTGAAAAGTTTAACCAATAGGCAAAAGGTTAAACATATCGTGGCACATACATGCTATGGAATACTACTCAGCAGTAAAGATGAGTGAAGTATTGATACACACAACAATGCAGCTGAATCTTGTGAGAATTATGTTAAGTGAAAATATACCAATCCCAAAAGATCACATATCATTAATTATTAAGTATTACTGTATACATTAATGTAGTGTGGGAAGTGTATATATATATATGTGTGTGTGTGTGTGTGTATATCCATTTATGTAACATTCTTGAAATTATAGAAATGCATATCATATTAGTGGTTGCCAGTAATCATGGTGGGAGCTGGGAGGGAGGAGGTGTGGCTCTAAAAGGACAACATGAGGACTCCTTGTGGTGACGGAAATGTCTATATCTTGACTGGATCAGTGTTAATATTCTGGCAGTGATATTGCACTATACTTTTGCAAGATGTTACCATTGTAGGAAACTGAATAGAGGGTACACAGAATCTCTGTATTATGTCTTACAAATTACATGTGAATCTACAATTACCTCAAAATTGAAAGTTCAATTTAAAATAATAAAAGTCAAATGATATAAGCCCTTTGTTACAGAATATAATGATTTTCTTCCTCAACTCTCCCACTCTATCCCTAGACCACCTTTCCAGGAGCAGCCATTTTCTATTTATTTTAGTTATTCCTCTTGATATTTACATATCTCCATATTTTTCCAATAATATGAGTGTACTGCTAACTTCTGATTAATTCATTTTGAATACTGTTTACTTTCTATTCTGGTAAATGAAGATTTCACTCTTTTTTCACTCTTCCTTCTGCAGACCCTCCCAACCTTTCAATGTAAGTCACTATAGTTTTTTGAGAAGTCAAAATTCAGCATCTACATTATGTATACATATTACACTGCACTATGGTTGTTTCTTACCTTTTGCTTTTCCTGTAGTAAATAAATACCTTGTTCATTGTTGCTGTTTTCATAATTCTTCCCACATCTTCAATAATCTCTCAGTAATATTTTCCACAAGGTAAATTGCGTCAGGTAACCAATCAGTCCCATTGTGACTTTTCTTTGAGAACACATTCTGGAAACCTCCATTCTCCTTTTACCTGAGCTGGCTGCTCTCTAAGCCTACTGCACAGCCATTATCTTTTGAATTCCCTTTTATTTTCTTCTAGATTGGATTCTCAGCTTTCAGGATCTTGTGTTTTTGTCTTTCTTGATTCACTCCATTATTTCAGACAGTAAAAATCCAATTTTTTTTACATAAAAAGATGACATGATGACAGAAGGCATGATGATGACAGCTGTCAATGTGTCTGTCCCTCAATTCACACTAGTCCTATCTGGACCAATTTCCCTCTCCACCTGACACACTGCTTTCACACGGGAATTTTCCTTCCCTGTCACCCTGCTGACTCCTGTTGCGTCTCTCTGTGTCACCCTGTTCTGTGGCTGTGTCTCCCACTCTCTTCGTTTACTTTGCCATTTTGATGAAGTACATCCTATCATACATTCCTGAGAAGAGTGTCTGGAAGGCAAAATTTTTAAGAGCTTGTATGTCTGGAAATAGTTCGTATCCATTCTAGAATATCTTATTGGGTTTTTTTTTTCTCCCTTCATTTTCTCTGAAAGAAGAGAGAAAATATGAAGATATTTCTCATAATAAAGATATGAAAATCTGTTATTTGAAAGTTGGACTTGCATACTGGCCCCGATTTTCTTATCCTTCCTCTTTCATTTTCTACCTCTTTGTCTTTTTGTCCTACTTTCTAGGAGTTTTAGCTAATATTATCATCCAAACCTCTTACTAAGATTTTCATTTCTGCTATCATTTCTAAGGTCCTTTGTTTTTGTTGTTTTTGACTAAGGGTTCTTTTATTTTAGTATCCTATTTTTGTTGCATGGATAGAGTATTTTGCCTTATATCTGTGAAGATATTAATGACAATGTTTTGAAATTTTCATTTCCTTAGTTTCTGTTACCTTCTAGTTGCTTTTGAGCTCCATTTTTGTACTGGAAGATTTCCTTAGATACATAGTAAATTGAATGTTTTCTCATAATAAAATGTTGGAGACTAGAAGGGTGACTGGAGTTTCTGAGTGTATTAGAGCTGATTAACTTTGATCTTCACCATAGGTTGACCTGAGTCAACCACTTTTGGGGGAATTCCTGGCAACAGTATCTTTAGCTCTTTTTTCTTGCACTGATCAGATTCCCCAGAGAGTAGCTACTCAAACTCCTAGAGGGAAAAGGTCTTACTACCATTATTACGATAACGAGCAGGTTGTGGTGGATCCTCAACATTCAATCTGTGTATGATCACTTAATACCCCAGCTTTTGGTTTAATACCTGTCCTTTGACTGTGTTGGATGTATCTTTGGATGAAGGGGTGAACTCTCATCTAAAGATTTCTATCTTCTGCTGGAATAGGAGAGGACCATATGCCCAGGAGTCTGGGAGAGATTGCACGCAACCTTCCTTATCTTAGTTATCCCCTCTTTATGCTTGGATCAAGAAGTACCTAACGTTGCCAATTCCTGAGCCTTTTGAGTTTTCCAAAGTGTAAATCTTGTTGTTCTTAGCTTTTCTCAGTGTTGGCATAGGGTTTTCTCTCTGGTGTCAGCTAGTCAGTTACCTAACTTGTCCATCTGCTTTCCCACTTCCAAAATTATGTTGTTGTCATCTCCTTTCCTTTTCTCTTCTTTTATGGGTTTATGTCTTTTTTTAAAGTATTTCATCACTATAGTTTTAGTGGGTTTTTCAAAATGAGCAAGATTAGCTGTATATGTTCAATCTACCATCTTAACCCAGAAAGGAACTTCTGTCTTAATTATATGTGTATGTGTGCATCTTTGTATGTGTGTGTGCTGAATCACAGCATAAACTATAATCCTTATTGTGGATGAAAGCCAAAAAAGTCAGTTAGTCCAGGCCAACAAAAAGTAATCAAGTTCAGTCAAAGGCTAGTCATATTTTCTCTTTGCTATGAAAGCCTCCCATAGAGCTGAGAGAGTTTTGAAGACATATGAGGACATTTTTTCAGAATGTGGTATTCATAGGAAGCTCTAAGTCTATCTCTTTAGAAAAAAAAAAGGTAAGCTACACTTCCTCTAATACTGCATTTGAATGTGTCCTTCATTTCTGTTTTGAGTACTAAGATTATTTATTCTAGGTCCCAAATTTTTATGTCAAGAATGTCATAATACTAAATAAGTAAAATAAAAAATAATAAAAATAACAAGTAATCCCAGTGCTAAGTTATGCAATCTGTATCAATCTGTAATCTTCAATTCCACTAAAAAAAAAAAAGTTTGCTCTCCAAATTGCATCTACTTTGGCAAAAATGCATGGAAAATGCAATTACCTGTTCAAAATATTAAAATTAGCTCTTTAGAATATTGCTTTAAAAGCTCAAAAGGATATTTAACTTTGAAACCAATATGTGCTGCAGATATGGATACCTAGAGGCTTTTTTTTCAATAAAAACTAATTTTCAGAATTTTTTTCAAATATTGTATCATTTCTACAGCCTAAAAAAAATGTAGTGAGAGTGTGTTCACAGATGCATCAAAATTGTTATTATAGCATTATCTTTTATTTCTATGGGAACTCAGTGAGATGATTTTTCTAACTCTTAATTTTAAAAAACTCACTTGTAAGCTATTACTCCAAATCTCCTAAGATTCAGAATTGAGTAAACAATGGTCACATGATTGAGATTTTACAATTTGTTGCTACAGTACCAGCAATATAAAGTATTGGGATAAATGTCAGTTTGGAAAAGGTGATAGGTGTGAAATATCCAAAAGTGACATGTGAAGTAATGCTATCTTGCTGTAAAGTATTTAGATTTCCATTAGTGTTACATTGTTCCTGAAGAGAAAAACTAAGTCTGGATTGCCTTCTTTTTTATATTAATATGGATGATACAGTGAGAGAGAGAGAGAGATCCCTCTTCCTTTTGTACCAATGTGAACATTCTTCTATTATTTACTAATTATAAATATATAGATCCAAGAATTTAAAGTGGGCTTACAGATTGCATTTCCACCTAAAAATAAACACGCAGCATACTATATTTATTCAACAAATATTTCCCAAGTTCTACTATAAAAGTTACTCATTCTTTTACTTTAAACTTCTTTTGCCTCTTAAATATTTTCATGGGCTAATAGGGGAAGATTCTATTTAAAATGTTTATAAAAAGTAAACATTATGTGGAAATTTTGGGTTTTTTTCACAGTAGGATTTTGAAGTATACCTAGTCACGAATGATCACAAAAACAAAACAAAAAAATTAACCATAGTACAACAGAAAATAATAAGGCCAAAATCCCATGAATGACAAGGCACGGTCCTGCCCTCATGGAGCTCACTGTCTAACAAGGAAAGGGGCTTGTAAACAATGAAATATAATACAGTGTAATAACTGAGAAGACATAGGCATACATAGTAAAGGAAGGACTGCATCAGTCTTCCTTCAGAGGTGGTAGACTCTTGAAAGGCTTGTCATTCCAGAGCTAAGCCTGAGGCTCTAAACTCCATCACGCCACCCTGCACACTTCATCCTCTGTGCTTAGGACCTCTCAAAATAAAAGAAATTGCTAGACTACAAAATAAAGTTATGGTTTTCAAAGTGCCACAAAAGTTACATGTAGGCTGAAATTAAAATGGTGTGTTCTAATTATTCTGATGTTCTCCACATTGTGAGTGTCCCTTGCTATTGTTAGTGCCCCATGCATATTATAATCTGCCCACCACAAATTCAGCACCTAGAAATTACCAGCCAAACAAATAAGAAAAGCAACGAGGATGGATGAGGGTGTGTAGACGATACCCCTTGGGAGAATGTCCAATGATGATGATGCTTGAACAGCACCTAGGAAAGCAGTTGGAATTTGGTGTGGCTGGAGAATGGGATGGAAAGGCCATTATAAGATGAGGCTGAATGGGAGCTTCTGGGCCATCAGAACCAACTTCCTTCCCAAGGCAACCAGAGATGTTTAAGTTTCCATCTATGCTGAGAAATCGACTTTGACATTAAACATCAATTGATGTACAGGAAGAGATTGGAAGGGAATATACCAAAACTTGATAGGATTTGTCTTAGAGTGTTAAAACCACAGGTGAATTTTTTTTCTTTCTTTGTGATTTAATTTAAAATTCAAATTTTCAAGGTTTCTACAATGCACATGTATTACTATTATAATGAGAGAAAAGCAAAGTGAAAATAAAAACTATTTGAAAGGAAAAACATCTAGAGTAAAAAATACATTATCCAGAGTATTTTTCTGGGTTCCTTATTCATGCCTTGAGGACCTAGTTTGTCTCTTGGTTACTTAGCAGCATCTAACATGGAACAGGAAGAAAAGTCCCTAGCCAAGGACTTAGTGAAATGAAATTGTGCTACTGCATCAGGGCCCAAGCAGTTACTCTAAACTCTAGTTGGATTAAAGGAATTGTCTTTGGACTAGCACATGTCTAAAATGGTAACTCTAAATCTAGGATGATATTTAAGGTTTTGAGAAATGATAGCAGAGGGTGGCAGGGGGTGAGTAATTTAAATACAACCAGCAGCAGAAAGAAGGAACCCTTGGAAAGTAAATTATAATTCATTACGGGATGTAATAAATTAGTTATCACCACCATTAATAGTAGCCATTTTAATATGTGTTCCCCATAGCATAATGAAATAGAATCATCACATACTTTATTTAAATTCCTAAAATAAAAATGAATTGTGAGGTTGGGCGCAGTGACTCATGCCTGTAATCCCAGCACTGTGGGAGGCTAAGGCACGCAGATCACCTGAGGTCAGGAGATCGAGATCAGTCTGGCCAACATGGTGAAACCCCATCTCTACTAAAAATAGCCAGGCGTGGTGGTGCGCACCTGTAGTCCCAGCTACTCTGGAGGCTGAGGCAGGAGAATAGCTTGAACCCGGGAGGCAGAGGTTGGCGTGAGCCGAGATCACACCATTGCACTCCAGCTGGGCAACAGAATGAGACTCCATTCAAAAAAAACGAAAACAAAAACAAAAATGAATTATGAACTTCTAGCCCTCACACTTTCACTGTAAGTAACATATCACAATAATGGTTGCCTTTTTTATGCGATGCATAAATATTTTGTTACAGAGTACAAAAATACTTTTCACGTTTTGGTTGATTCAAGGTTTGGAAAGAATGAGGAGCAGCGGCAGGCAGAGTGACTGTGGAGAGGTGAACAGTACGGCAGAGAGGGCATTCCTATGACTGTTGGCGCATCCGAGGAGATAGGAGCAGAGAAGCCCAATTTGAAAGGAAAAGGCAAATGCCATCTATCTGTTGGGTGGAGGCAGGCGCTGAGTCTGGAAGCGTGTGGGGCCACGGGGCTGGGGGCTCGGGCCTCCCTGAAGCGTGGTGGGTGCAGGGGCGAGGCGAGCAGAGAGAGGCCAGGCAGGATGAACCACCGGGGGCCAGGACCTGTTGCTATGGTGACAGCGTGAAAACAAACTGTACACTCACATATACACAAGCGTAAGCGTCTTCATTCGTGCCAGGAAACATGCAAAATTAAACGCCTCGTTTCCTCGAGCGGGAGCTACCGAAGCAAAGTTGGGTGGGAGGTCAGGCCTTGCAGGGTCCAAGTGATCCTCCGAGCTGGATCTGAGCGCCTCAGCGAGAAGGTCCCCAAATCCTCCTGGGAGGCGTTGGAGAAAGGCTTGAGTGTGCAGAAAAGGGCTGAGGAAGAGGAGGAAGGGGAAACAGGAAGGAGTCCACTGTGTCAGGCTTAGGATTCACAATTTCTGGGGGGCAGCGGCAGCTCTGCACAGGCCGCCCGGGGGCGGGGGCGGTGGGAGCTCAGGGCGCCTGTCCCGGCACCACCACAGATTCCCAGAACCAACTCCCCGGTGACCAGACTGAAGAACTAACAGAACTGACGATACTTCCATCCTTGCTGGGTGGTGTCAGAGGAAGGGAACCAGCGCACCTGGCATGGAGGGCGGCGGCAACGGTAGTGGCAGCTGGGTAGGTGAACGCAGCATGGGTGATGGCTGGGGTCAGCTCTGTGGTGTACAAAGGATAAGGGCCCAGGCCTCTGGGCATGCAGGCATCAGAGCAGCCCCCATCAGGTCATAGGGGTCCCGAGCGATGAAGTAAGTGTGCTCCTAGGTGGGGTGCATGTTGGTGGGATTTGGAGTTGCCATTAGCTTGCTCTTGGCCATCTTGGTGTTGGCTTTGGCAAACTCTAGCCTCATGATCTGTGGGTTTTCGGGATCTAAGCGAATATCGTTCAGCGCATTTTTGGCCGCTTCTGCTCCTGCCCCGCTGTCAAAGATCACAAAACAGGCTGTCTCGCGGTGAGCTTGAGTAGGGACTCTTCATACCCCTTGAACGGCCGGAAGATCAAGTAGGGTTCTCTGGGTTTAATGTCCATGGGGAGGCCGCTGATAGTGTCCGGACCTCCTCTTCCAGGACGCCGCCGGAACCCGCGCTGGAGCCAGTACAGGTGCTGCCGCCGCGCTCGCCCTCCCGCTACAGGTTGCTCCTGGTGCGGGGGAGGGGGCGGGGCGGCGGGAAGGGAACGTCCGGGCGAGCACGGCGGCGGCGCCGGCCCCAGCGTTGTGTGGGCATGGTTGCCTTTAAGTCCTGGAATTTTGGAAGATTTTTTTTTTTTTTTTTTTTTTTTTTTTTGTGGAGACGGAGTCTCCCTCTGTCGCCAGGCTGGGGTGCAATGGCGCGATCTCGGCTCACGCAACCTCCGCCTCCCGGGTTCGAACGATTCTCCTGCCTCGGCCTCCCGAGTAGCTGGGACTACAGGCGCCCACCACCACGCCTGGCTAATTTTTGTCTTTTTAGTAGAGACGGGGTTTCACCACGTTGGCCAGGCTGGTCTCGAACTCCTGACCTCAGGGATCCGCGCGCCTCAGCCTCCCAAAGTGCTAAGATTACAGACATGAGCCACCGCACCCGTCCTGGAAGATTTTTTTTCTTCATTCTGTTTTCCTATTTTTCAAATACTTCATATCAAAAAGTATACATTATTTTTGTGATGGAAAAATTCTTAAATTCCTTAGGAAACTTTAAATGAAGTATAAATAATTTATAATCTCATGCACTAGTACAGCTAATTTTATTTTTACATATTCTCTTCTAGCTACTTTTCTTTTCACATACTATTGTACATAGTTATAATCAACATAAGTAGTTTCATATTTTAATTTCATTGCACATTTTTAAATATTTTCATGTTATTACATACTATTCATAATTGCCTTTTTCAGAGCTGTGTAGTACACCTGCATGATCAAATGCTATAATTTACTATAATTTGCAGTTTTCTACTTTAGGGCATTGAAACTTATATAACTATTTTTCTATAGTAGGTGATAAACATTATTGCATTAAGCTACATTTCTATTCTTTTTGAACTTATTTTACAAAGGAAACTTACCTTGTATAAAATTGTAAGATTGCTGATTATATAGCAAAGACATAGACTCAATCTAAGTGCCCATCAGTGACAGATTTGATAAAGAAAATGTGTTACATACACACCATGGATACTATGCAGTCATAAAACAGAATGAGATCATGTCCTTTGCAGGAACACAAATGGAGCTGGAGGCCATTATCCTCACCAAACTAACACAGGAACAAAAAACCAAATACCACATGTTCTCACTTTTAAGTGGGAGCTAAATGAGGAGAACACATGGACACAAAGAGGGGAAAAACACACACTGAGGCCTACTTGAGGGTGGATGGTGGGAGGAGAGAGAGGATCAGAAAAAGTAACTGTTGGATAGTTCCTGGGTGATTAAATAATCTGTACAACAAACCTGAGTTTACCGATATAATAAACCTTCTCATGTACCCCTGAACTTAAAAGTTTAAAAATCAAAAATAAAAATAAAAAGATTGCTGATTATACATTAAGTATTTTATTGTCATAAAAATTAATCCAATTTATATTGTCACCAGCAATGTCAAAGTGTACCAAATTCATGTCAATTTTTATTAGTTATTATTCTTTTGCAAATTAAATCGGTACAAGTTCATGCTTTTAATTTACAATTTTAAAATTTCTAGTAAGGCTGAATAATTTTCAGTCATTTTTTGCTAGTCTTTCCTGACTGACTTATTTGTACATATATATTTTGAATTGTGATTCATTCAGATAAGTTCCTTATACATTGTGGATATTAAGCCTTTTTTATATTTTGGAATTCTTCCCTAATGAAGAATTTTTGGCATTGTAATTTAGTTATTGTGGGTAGCACCATGTTCTGTCTTCATGATCAAAGCTGCCAGCTCTCTCCTTTATAATTTCTTCTATTGCCCCAAATGTGAGGACGTTATTATTCCTCCACAGACAAAACAAGTGTTTCCGCTATGGTTTTTTTTGTTTGTTTGTTTGTTTGTTTGTTTGTTTGTTTTTTGAGACAGAGTCTCGCTCTGTCGCCCAGGCTGGAGTGCACTGGCGCGATCTCGGCTCACTGCAAGCTCCGCCTCCCGGGTTCACGCCATTCTCCTGCCTCAGCCTCCCAAGTAGCTGGGACTACAGGCACCCACCACGACGCCCGGCTGTTTTTTTTTTGTATTTTTAGTAGAGACGGGGTTTCACCGTGTTAGCCAGGATGGTCTCGATCTCCTGACGTCGTGATCCACCCGCCTCGGGCCCCCAAAGTGCTGGGATTACAGGCGTGAGCCACCGCGCCCGGCCTTCCGCTATGTTTTTGACAATTGGGTTTTATTTTTGTCTGTGACTGTGTAAGCTGCTTGTGTTTAAAAGCAGTAGTGATTTCTTTAAAAGAGAAAGAGGGCCAAAGCCTGAGAAGAGGGGGTTTTTTGATGGCTGCGAGTAGAAGACAATGACTGGAATTCAGCAGGCTGAGGCCTTCAAGCTCAATTAAAGATGACTAGAATGTTGTGATAGGACAAAACCTTGTTCCTGTATCACCAATTTATCAAAGGATTTTTAAATTGTTTTTCTGTTTTTTATGATGTAGTCATTTACTGCTGTCTTGTGAGGCACGTATGTTGTCTCAAATTGCTCCTCTGCAAAATATATCAGCAGCACCAAGGAACACAGGATGGCGGATTAGCCAAACACTGCTCAGCTCTGGCTGAGGGAGACCAGGAGATGTCATTTTTCTACCTACAACCAGTGGTCTTTGCCCTTGGCTATACATCGCATTCTTCCAGAGAGCTGGGAACTCCAACGCCTGGGTCCTAGCCTTTGGTTTCTAATGTTATTGGTCTTGAGAGCATCCTCATTATTGGGATTTTTTTTTTAACACTCCCCAAATGATTTTAATGTGCAGCCAAGGTTGAAACCCACTGTAATCATTTCATCAAGAAATGCAAAGAAGATATCCAAAAGAAAAGAAGTCAATATATTGAAGAGATATCTGTACTCCCATGTTTATTGCAACACTATTCACAATATCCAAAATATGGACTTAACCTAAGTGCCCGTCAGTGAATGAATAAAGAAAATGTGGTATAGATACACAATGAAATATTATTCATCCATTAAAAAGAATGAAATCCTGTCATTTGCAGCAACATGGATAGGACTGGAGGCCATTATGTTAAGTGAAATGGGCCAGGCACAGAAAGAAATAGATCATATGTGCTCATTCATATGTGGGACCGAAAAAAGTGGATCTCATGAAGACAGAGCTTAGACTGGTGGTTTCCAGAGGCTGGGAAGAGAAGTTGGAAATTGGAAGAATGGGAATGAAGAGAGGTTAATTAATGGCTACAGTCTGATAGAAGAAATCAGTCCTAGCGTTTGATAGGTCAGTAGGGTGACTATAGTTTACAGTAATCTGTTGTATATTTCAAATAGCTCAAATAGCTAGAAAAGAATAATTCAAATGTTTCTAGCATAAAGAAAAGACAGATATTTAAGATGATGGATAGCCCAAGTACACTGACTTGATCTTTACAAGTTTTATGAATGTAATAAATTATCACATGTACTCCAAAAAAATGTACATCTATGTATCAATGAAAAATAGAATTATTTTTAAAAAGAAATGCAGAAAGAATCTAATCCGTAAAAGAAGGTGACTAAGAAAAAGAACTAGAAACTACCTGTCCTTCTTCCATAAATACCTTCAATTTGATGGTAAAATTTCATAGTGGAAATAGAAATATGGTTTTTGGACACAGCAGAAGTTTCCAAAATGGTCTTCTTTACCATCCTCTCTCTTCATCATCTCAAGTCCAAGTGGCCCTTTCCAAACAGTATAGAAAGTAGCAATTAGCAGTTTTTCAAAATTCAAAATTTGGCTTAGATCTTTTTATTTTATTTTTATTTATTTATTTATTTAGAGATGGAGTTTCACTCTTGTCACCCAGACTAGAGTGCAATGGTGCGATCTTGGCTCACTGCAACCTCCTTCTCCCACGTTCAAGCAATTCTCCTGCCTCAGCCTCCCAAGTAGCTGGGATCACAGGTGCCTACCACCATGCCCAGCTAATTTTTTTTTTTTTTTGTATTTTTAGTAGAGGTGGGTTTTCACCATGTTGGCCAGGCTAGTCTCGAACTCCTGATCTCAGGTGATCCACCTGCCTCAGCCTCTGAAAGTGCTGGGATTACAGGCGTGAGCTGCCGCACCCAGCCAGCTTAGCTCTTTTTAAATGTCAGGGAACAGAGTACTTGAAAGCCAATCCTTAACACTGCTAATCAATAGGAAACAGGAAAGGCTTGGGGAAGATAAACAGTTGTATTTTATATTTATTTTTCTCCCTAATGCCAAGCATGGACCATTCATGGGGCTAGATCTGCCAGGGAGGATCCCAAGAGGATCCCTCACAGAGAGCAGGACTTTGGGGAGGACCTTATTCCATTGGCATTTTGCCCTTTTCTGAGTAGGTTTTGACTAGGTGCTCACATGAGTTCACGGTCCCATAACCTACATCTCCCAAAATACCAGGACAGAGAGGCAAATGTGTAGTTGGAGAACAGAGGGCCAGCCTCAGCTGGAAATATAGCCCCTCCTAAGTACCTTAGCATTCAGAGGGGTTTAAGCCCCTAGGAGTAATAAGAAAGACATTTAATGTGTTACTAACTTCACTGGAAATAAAATTGACAACTCAAGATATAGCAGGTCCACAAATAAAATTGTTTCCTTCATCATCGTTTTGTTAGATGGATGAGGAAAAAAAAATTGGTTCTTGGCTGGACCACTGTCTGTGTGGAGTTGGCACATCCTCCTCAGGCCTGCATGGATTTTCTGCAGGTTCTCTGGTTTCCTCCCATATCCCAAAGCTGTGCACTGAAGTTCATTGACGTGTCTAAATGATCCTCATCTGAGTGAGTGTGGGGGTGTGTGTGAGCATGCTCTGCTCTGAGATGTGCCCTGTCCATGGCTGTTAGCTGCCTTGTGCCCTCTGCTGCCAGGATGGGCTCCAGCCACCCTCAACCCTGGACTGAAATAAGTGGGTTGGAAAATAAATGAATGAATGAATGAATACAAATTATTGTAAAATCAAAATGTGTCAGACCAGACTCAGTGGCTCACACCTGTAATTCCACAATTTGGGAGGCCTAAGTGGGAGGATCATTTGAGATCAGGAGTTCAAGACCAGCCTGGGCAACATAACAAGACCTCTCCATCTCTGCAAAGAATTAAAAAATAAAAACTAGCCAGACATGGTGACCTGTGCCTGTAGTCCTAGCTACTAGGGATGCTAAGGAGGAAGGATAACTTGAGCCCAGGAGTGAAGTTGCAGTTACCTATGATCACACCACTGCACTCTAGCCTAGGCAGCAGAGGGAGACGCTGTCTCAAGAAATATATAATAATCAATAACCATACATCTGGTAGTAAAATGAGTTTGGTTAAAAATAACTAAATAGGCCAGGCATGGTGGCTCACACCTGTAATCCTAACACTTTGGGAGGTCGAGGCCGGTGGATCACCTGAGGTCAGGAGTTCAAGGCCAGCCTGGCCAACATGGCGAAACCCCGTCTCTACTAAAAATACAAAAAATTAGCTGGGCATGGTGGCAGGCACCCGTAATCCCAGCTACTTGGGAAGCTGAGGCAGAAGAATCGCTTGAACCCGGGGGGCGGAGGTTGCAGTGAGCCAAGATCGCGCCACTTCACTCCAGCCTGGGCTAAAGAGCAAGACTCTGTCTCAAAAATAAAATAAATAAATAAGTAAATAAAAAATAGCATACAATAATCATACAAATACACAACAATTGATGCAGTAGGAAAGCACTCAGCAAGCCCACCAATATTTGCTCGTTTTTTTAACTGTATAGTGGTAGGAGGTGCCCCTTCTAATTTTCGCTATGCAATCATTTATTCTTTGATTTAACCTCCCGCCATTATGACCACTGTCACTCACTGATTAACCAAAAATTAGGTAAATAATTATCTTACTTGTTTTTATTAATCTTTCTTAAATGTATATGTAGCTCACATTTGTTTCAGTGTTTAATATTGTGTTTTGTGTCTTTATGTAGAAATTTGGTGACGTTTTTGTGACCAGAAATATGCCATAGGACTTTAACTCTTCTTTAGATCAAATAGCTATGGTAAAATCATTTTCATTATATGTGATTTCACTTAAAGTCACAATTTCCAAGAACCTACCGAAGACATTAAGTGAGGACTTGGTGTACTTATGAAGCAGAAAGACAGCATCTTGCTCATTTTTGTAGCTTTGAAGCAAGAAAAAAAAATTCCCTAATTCACTCCTGCCTCAACACATGCCAGCAAAGATATATTTCCTATTCATTTGCTCTAACTACACCTACCCAAAAAAAAGCAGAATTGAGTGTTTAATTTATGGCTTAAACAATCAAGTTATAAAGTGCTGTATAAAACTGCACAATCAGATGCATTTGAGTATAATGTAATTGATGACCGACTCTCATCCTCTGTCCAGCCCTGTTCCTAAACAGGATGAGTCTCTTATTGGGGTACAGGATGTTGATGGGGAGTGCAACATTAGGCTGGGAGGTAATGTCTTGTAATCATCTGGGATGTTCGCAGGTTCATTTATGTGTGAACAATATAGTTTCACTATCTTTACTTTTGTGCTTATTGTGACAGTAAACATCTGCTGAAAGAAAGTTTTCCATTAACCTCAAAATTAAAGGACTCTATATTTTATGCTATTTCATTATTTGGACCTGCATTATCATATTATGGCTGGTTATACAGTGTTTTCAAATACAGAAATTATTAATATAGGCTTGCAGGATCTGTCTTGTAACCACTCCAGTGTTCCCCAACTTTCTGAGATATGAGAAGAGACTAAGATAGAAGTACCTCTCATTCAGTTTCAGATGAGGGAAAGCAGTCATATGCCTCTGTTTTGAAGGACAGCATAAAACACTCTTGTGAATTCTGTACTGGGAATCTTTTTTTTTTTTAAGAGAGTGGGTCTCACTCTGTTGCCCAGGCTGGAGTGAAGCAGTACAATCATAGCTAACTGTACCGTTGAACTCCTGGGCTGAAGCTATTCTCCCTCTTCAGCCTCCTGAGTAGCTTGAATGACTACAGGCATACACACTACCATGCCTGGCTTTTTTTATTTTTATTAATATTATTATTTGTAGAGACAGGGTTGCCCAGGCTCATATCAAACTCCTGGCCTTAAGCAATCCTCCTGCCCCAGCCTCCCAAAGTGCAGGATTAAAGGAATGAACCACCATGCCCAGCTGTACTGGGACTCCTGATAAAGTTTGTTATTCAATATTTCCTTTGGGGAGCTAACATCTGGGCATCTCCCAGGGCTCTATAATGATGGCTGGTGGCTTCAGTTTTGTCAGCCACCCAGCCTGTATATGAGTCCTCTATTCCACCTGACCTTTCCACATCCCTTACACAACCCCCTTGAATTTCCAGGGTCTGTATATTTCCAAGGCTCCTTTGGGTGTGGCCTGGCCCAGCACATGGCCATGGTGACCACATTGCTCAAAATCAAATCTCCTCTGGATTTGATATGGGGTCCACACCGTGCCAAGTGCACCAGCCCTGTGAAGAAAAATGTAATGCAGGAGATGGGAACCCAGATACCAATAAGAGATACAAGAAGGGCAGCCCCATGTGGTGGTTCACGCCTGTAATCCCAGCACTTTGGGAGGCTGAGGTGGGCAGATCACCTGAGGTCAGGAGTTCGAGACCAGCCTGGCCAACATGGTGAAACCCCGTCTCTACTAAATATTTAAAAATTAGCCGTGTGTGGTGGTGGGCACCTATAATCCCAGCTACTCGGGAGGCTGGGGCAGGAGAATTGCTTGAACCCGGGAGGCGGAGGTTGCAGTGAGCCGAGATTGTGCTACTACACTTGAGCCTGGGTGACTCCGTCTCAAAAAAAAGAAAAAAAAAGAGAGAGAAATACAAGAAGGGCAAATCTGGAAGTGGTCAGAGGTGAGGCTCAGGGTCAGACAGCTCCAGAACCCAACTGCTGGGGTTAAAGTTCTCATTCTGTCATTTATTCTCCAGGTGTCGCTCGGCAAGTTTCTTAGCCTTCTGTTCCTCACTTTCATAATCTATAAAACAAGAGGTAATGGTAAAACACACTCAGGCCGGGCGTGGTGGCTCACGCCTGTAATCCCAGCACTTTGGGAGGCCAAGGCAGGTAGATCACGAGGTCAGGAGATCGAGACCATCCTGGCTAACATGGTGAAACCCCGACACTACTAAAAAAAATACAAAAAAAGTAGCTGGGCATGGTGGCGGGCACCTGTAGTCCCAGCTACTTGGGAGGCTGAGGCAGGAGAATGGCGTGAACCTGGGAGGCAGAGCTTGCAGTGAGCCGAGATCATGCCACTGCACTTGAGCCTGGGTGACAGAGTGAGACTCTGTCTCAAAATAAAAAAAAAAAACCGCTTCATGGGGTTTTGATACAATTAATTAAAGTTCTTGGCACATAATTAGATTTCTCTAAAAAAAAAAAAAACTCTTATTACTATCATCATCATTATTGTCCTGGAGTAAAGAATTGGAAGCCATCAGGGAAAGTTTTCCCAGCTGTATTCATTTCTTGGGCTGCCATCCCAAATTACCACAAATCAGGTGGCTTGAAAGCACAGAAGTGTATTATCTCACAGTACGGGAGTCCAGAAGTCTGAAATCATGGGCTCATTATGGTTGCTTCCTTCTGGAAGCTCTGTGGGAGAAACCATCCCCTGCCTCTCTCCTAACGATTGGTGGGGGCCAACAATCCCTGGTGTTCCTTAGCTTGTAGATGCATTACTCCAGTCTCTGCTTCCATCTTCTCTGTGTCCCTATGTCTTTGCCTTTTCTGTTTCATAAAGACATTTTTGCTGCATTTAGGGTCCCCGCCTAATCCAGTGTGATCTCATTTTGAACCTTACATAATTACATCTGCAAGACCTTTATTCCAACTAAGGTCATATTCCGATGTTCCACGTGGACATAAATCTTGGGGTGACTCTATTCATCCTACTACAGCAACTAAGAGCAGGTTACAATAAAATCAGAGAAACCATGAACAATTCCTGGAAAGAATGTCATCAAACCATGGGCACGATGTTTATGGGCTAAAAAGACTGTGTTGTGTGGGTGGTCAATCCAGCAAACTGGCTACCCTGAAGGTCATCACTGAGTCAGAACCAACTGTCAAACACAGAGTTAATCAATGTACTCTCATTCCAACTGGGGCAAATTTCTCTGGAGAAAACATGTATCTGACAGGAGCAGGCTGTACACATCAGGCAACACACACGTGTAGTGAGCTCTTTGCCCTGTCTCTCCTGACATATTGTAGTCACAATTTAACCCCAAACTCGTTCTGATACTGCGTAATGCAATGCAAAGGGCATGGGCTTTGGAGCCTCAGGGAACTGGATTCTAATGTCAGCCTCTGCAACTTACTAGCTCCGCTTGCCACCTTCATGGCCTCAGATGAGGTACTTACCCTCTCCAAGCCTTAATTTCTGCATCTGAAAATTGGTCATAATACCACTAACAACTTGTAAAGTTGCTCTGAGTATGAAAATTAATATATGCAGAAGCTGCACCTAAGTACCTGGTGTAAATTTCAATGAGCAGTTGCTATTTGTCTTAGTCTATTTGCACTACTATAAAAAACGCCTGAGACTGGATAACCAGTAAAGACTAGAAATTTATTTCTCACGGTTCTGAAGGTTGGAAGTTCAAGATGGCACCTTGCTACTGAGTCTCCCAGAAGAGACAAATGCTATGTCCTCACATGGTAGAAAGACCAGAGGGTAGGAGGGCCTACCTAGTTCACTCCAGCCCTTCTATAAGGTCGCTAATCCCATTCATGAGGGCTCCACCCTCATAAATGAATCACCTTCTAAAGTTCCCACATCTTAATACTATCACACTGGTGATTAAGTTTCAACATATGAATACAGGAAGACAAATTTCAAAAAATAACACTATTATTATCATTATTGTGAGGTAGTAGTTTCATCTCTCTCCTACTAGGCTTAAAGGCAAGAAAGCCAAAGGGACCTCGAAGAAGAGCTGTGAAGATCCATGTGTCTACATGTATCTCATCATCTCTTCCCGCACCACCGCCTGCATTACAGCACAAAAGTAAACTGCATAAACACACAGTAAATATTCATTGATGTAAATGACACACAAACTGCATTACAAATATAAGCACTGCCTCAATGAATGAACCTCCAATAGCCTTTCAAAATTTGGAGCCCAACCAGGACAGCCCATGGCAAAGTCTTTTCCTTTCATGACTTAGCAAATGAACACTGCACAGAGCAAAGGCAACACAAAGTAGTATTAGTCCTCTAGTGTATGTCAACATTTAGAGAGGCTTGGACCATATAAAAATGGTATTTGGAGGCCAGGAGCAATGGCTCACCCCTGTAATCCCAGCACTTAGGGAGGCCAAGGCAGACGGGTCACTTGAGGCCAGTAGTTTGAGACCAGCCTGGCCAACATGGTGAAACCCCGTCTCTACTAAAAATACAAAAATTGGCTGAGTGTGGTGGTGCGGTCCTGTAATCCCAGCTACTTGCGGGGCTGAGGCATGAGAATTGCTTGAACCCAATAGGGGTGGTGGTTACAGGGTTACAGTGAGCCAGATCGCACCACTGCACTCCAGCCTGAGCGACAAAACAAGACTTTTTCTCAAAAAAAAAAAGGTATTTGGAGGCCACATAACTCCTCTTTCATGAGAGCATTTTTATTACTTTACTTTGTATTGCCAAAGTAATACATGTTCATTGGAGAAATGTTAGAAAATACAGGCAAGCAAAAACAATAAAATCATTCTTAATTTCAGATATGCAGAGAGTTTTTTTCTTTAACAATATACTGTGACACTTTCCCAGTCATTAGTCTTCAACATCATTTTTTAAAGTTGTCTAATATTCCATTATATAAACCTACCAATATTCATTTGACCTATCCTCCATCACAGGAATTTTAACTTCATTCTAATATTTTGTTACTGAAAACAGAAATGCAATGAAATGAGCTTATTCCTTATTTGCTTTACAAATTCATAATAATTTGGCATTTATTATAACCCTGCTGCCTTCCCCAAACATTTGCAATTAACCCAAAAGTAAATTTCCTTGGTTTACGAAAAACTGATTTTTTATCCAGTCTGAAAATCGCCCTCAGCTTTGGCTGTATGATCTGAAGCAAGCTCTTTCCTGGCTGCCTGTATCCAGTAACTAATAAGTAGTCAGCATTCTTGGCTCCGGCTACTTAGCTTACTTGTTCAGGACATAAGGCTAATGGGGTCAGTGTCATGGGATATGAGCTTGATATATACAGGCCAGTTAGTTACAAGTCCAAAAACTATTTCTGTAACTCCAGACAGCTGTCACTTAAAAGCTGGCTGTTAGTTTCCAAGGAACTGGGCAAAAGAGCATAGGTGGATCAACACAAATCCATCACCAGTACTGGAAAGATAATGTGTCGATAGCTTCATCTTGCCCGTAGAAAACAGTTCAGAAAAGTATTCATATTTAAAACTGGGGAGGCTGTAGAAAAAGAAGAAAGAATAATATTGGCAAGACAATTGGCTGACCTTATACATATCTTGGTTTATCAGCTTACTCTGTGAGTATCCCGCCATTTCCACGTGAGAAAAATTCAGCAACATGTTTCAAATTGCGGATGGTGGTGTTATTTAACTGGCAATATTCTCTTGCAGCTGACACAGCCCTTGGCACTGATGATGTATATGATGAAAAAGGATGCCAGTGTGATGTATCAGTGGAAGACCTCACCCCACCACTTAAAACTGTCATTCGAGCTATCAGGTTGGTGAAAATCTTGAACAACGTGATTCAGAGACATACTTATGATTAATTGAATTACTATGTTGCTAAGTTCTTTTTCTGCAGGTAAATATCCTGGAATAACCACTTTCCCTTTCCTATTCATCCATATGCCTATTGAATTGTGAAATATTTGTTTCTTAATACAAAATTCTGCTGTGTTCAACACAAAGAGTTATAAAACGTGGGTGGGATTTGAAAAGCCAGGTCATATTAGAGAGATTACACGAGTCTTGGCTTGTCGTGTGTATTTGCTACTTTAAGGACATTTAGTTTATTGATGCAATTGGATTTTTTAATTATTTTTATGACTTGCTCCAATCTGTATTCTGTACAGAATTGTATATCAAAGAAAAGGCCTTGTAGGTTATTTCAAAATGGGTTGAGTTCTGAAAATGGGAAACCTAAAGTATTTTGCAGTGACTTAGTCTTATTATCTGAAATGTAATTGTTAAAGGCTGATCTTAATTTGCTTCCTCTACTGATGGCAGAGAGCTAAGAGAGTATACCTAGCAACTTAAATTTACCTTTTCCATGACCTTTCCCACCACACACACACACACACACACACACACACACACACACACACGCAATCAAGATCTGGACTAGATGAATTGCTGCATGCTCAGCTGGCCCAGTTTAACCCTTTTGGGAGAATTTGTATTTGTCAAGGAATGCTGAGTAACTATATTGCAAAAAAAAAAAAAAGAAAAGAAAAGAAAAGAAATACCTCTGCCTGTTGGTGAAAAACTAGAAGAAAGTTAAAAATATCCAAACCAGGCCAGGTGCAGTGCCTCATGCCTGTAATCCCAGCACTTTCGGAGGCTGAGGGGGGCAGATCACTTGAGGTCAGGAGTTCAAGATAAGCCTGGCCAACTTGACGAAACCCTGTCTCTACTAAAAATACAAAAATTAGCTGGGTGTGGTGGCGGGCACCTGTAATCCCAGATACTTGGGAGGCTGAGGCAGGAGACTCTCTTGAGCCCGGGAGATGGAGGTTGCAGTGAGCTGAAATCATGCCACTGCACTCCAGCCTGGGCAACAGAATGAGATTCTGCCTCCAAAAAATAAAATAAAATAAAATAAAATATCCAAACCAATTTAGCTATTCACATGTTTGGTCTAATCTTGAATGTTAGCATGATTGATTACTTACTTCTGTTTTTAGTTGGTCATTTGGCATCATGTTAGACATTGATTTGCCCTATAGCTGAGAGTCACTGGGAAAGCAGAAATGAGTTCTAAAGATTTTCATAAATGTTTGTGGGGGCAAAGAAAATCATGGTGTGATGAAACTCCAGAAGATGTTTAAACACTATCTGTAGCAGCAGCCTAAAAAAAAACAAAAGTTCAGTTACTTCTCAATGGAACCCTCAAGTCACAAACCCTATGGGTGGAGAGATTATACCTTCCTATCTGGCCTGGACAGTCCAGATTATGCCTCTAGTCTCATCATAAGTGTTAATAATGCTCCCATCTTTCTCAAAGTATCCCAGTTTGGACAATCAATTATATGGTCACCCTATCTCTAGTGAACCTAGAAGTCTTGGGTGATGTATAAGCCCAGATAACCCAGAATATGTAGTGAAATGATGTCTGAAGCCTTCAGTTAAAGGGATAGAGGATTTAGAACTGCACTGTCCAATATGATAACCACTGGCTACTTGAGGCTACTGAGGCTATTTAAATTTGAATTAATTAAAATGAAATACATTTTAAAATTTAGTGGATCAGTCGCACCATTCATATTTCAACTGTTCGATAGCCACAGGTGGCCAGTGGCTACTTCATTAGACAAAGAAACGAAAGATTTCCCATGTCACAGAAAATTTTATTGAACATTACTGGTCTAGAAGTCACCTTGAAATTTTTCACATGTTGAGTATATCCATAAAAGACCCTAAAGTAAAGGTGGGACAATTCAGTCCACGAATTAATCTGACTTGCAACAAGTATGGAAAATCTTATCTAGTGAGAGCAGATTAGGCTTCCTAAAAGTCATACTTAACCCAGTTTATGTCATTTCCCAAGACCTTCTGAAGCTTTCTGCTTTTGCTTTACAACCTATAAAAAGGATTGTGAGCTGCAAGAAAGAAAATGAAATAGGTTTATTCTGCTAGCTAAGCACTTCAGCAACAGCTTAAGATTTACTTTGTTATTCTTCTTGAAACTTGACTGATTTTTGTGAAGTCTTTGCAGAATTCCCTTGCTTTTCAGAATTCTTTCTTGGTTCTTATTTTTAATGGAACTTTACTATTTACATGTCTATCTTTTTGTGGATTCTTGACATTTTCTGCTTGCTGCATTGTGGTACCTGAGGGGGATGTTTTTCTCCTCCATATCCTGATTCTGCCTAGTGGTTTTTCATCACTTCTAAATTCCATTTCAAATTAACAGATTGTGTCGCTTGAACCCAGGAGGCAGATGCTGCGGTGAGCCAAGATTGTGCCACTGCACTTCACCCTGGGCAACAGAACAAGACTCTGTCTCAAAAATAAAAATAAAAATAAAGAGAATACAATTAAATTAACAGATTCTGTAAAAACCTAATAGATACACTCAATAGCTTAATAACCTAATTGAAAATATTTTACTCATGGTGTACTTAATTTCTAAAGATACATAATTTAAAAACCAACTAATACAATTAGCAGCTCTAAAAAGAAGTTTGCAGGTATAAGTCCTAAATCTTATGCAGAAGGGTTCTTTTCCTAAGGTGTTTAATTATGTTCGTAAGTTCAACATCAGTTGCCGGAGGGTTTTTGCCAGAACATGCCCACCTCTTGCAGCTCCCCTGAAGCAGTATGTATATGTATATTACAGATTGCAGGTGTGAAACATCTATTATTCATCTCAAAATAGTAACTTTGGGCATTTTTCTTGTTATTTTTTAATTGTTAGAATATTTAATACGAATATTTAAATATGCCTTTTGTATTTCAGTAACTCTTGCAATAGTAGTTTTTCCTAGCAGCCAAATTAAAATGTGTAACAAAAAATATGTATTCTACTGCAAGGATGACAGTATGGAAAATAATATTACTACCTTCACAAAGAGCAAAGTAAGAGTTCTTATTTTCAGTTATCAATATTTTTTAAACATCTGCCATTTTCTAGAGATGACTAAGGACACTCTCTGAATTTGTCTGGATTCTATTATCCAAATGCACTCTGACACTTTTTAAAAAATAAATAATGTCACTGTTCATGGTACATAGTAAAGAATTACTATTCTTAGACTATTTCCAAAATATGTCTTTTACTCAGAAGAAAACTTAGTTTTGTATATTTCTTCCAGAATTATCATAGATTTTTCTCAAAATATTATTTCAGGGAAATGCAAAAATGTGCTGGAAATGTGTTTTCAAACTCACCTTTAGGAGTGAAGATTGTACTTATTTTTAACAAAAGCCCCATATTTTAGTGATTCAGTTCAAACAATGTTAAGTTTCTTTTTATCCACTCATAGAAATTAGTTCCTAAATGGAAAGATAAAATTAGCAGGAAAGTAAACAAACAAATGGATAGACTCTAGAGGATTCTACACACTCACATATACCTATTTCGTAGTAGATCACCCATTTTTCTATCACTGTCTTAAAAATATAGCCCATAAATTACCTAGATATGTTCCTTCAAAATGTCAAGTATCTGGCTAATTGGGACTATCTGAAGGTAACAGACTATTACTTTTCATGCTAGTACTTGGCTTTGTAGTCATTACATATATATACATGAATCTTGGGCAAAGTTTTACACAAAAATTAATATATGCTGTTTAAATTTAAAATAACAGGGCAGGCATGGTGGCTTATACCTGTAAACCCAGCAGTTTGGGAGGCTGAGTTGGGCAGATCACTTTAGCTCAGGAATTCAAGACCAGCCTGGGCAACATGGTGAAACCCTGTCTCTAAAGGGAAAAAAAAAAAAGAATGACACTAAAATAACAAATATTTGAAAGTCATATACAACTGCATATTTATGGAAGAGCCCCAGAATAATAACTTTTTTAAATATAACAGAAATTGTATTTATGTACTGAACAGGCAGGTAATTTATCAGATATGCACACCAATGCAACGTATAAGTACTGTGTAAAGGATTCACCATTTGGGGAAAGAGCTTTGTTAAAACAGTGCAATGCAAAGCTTACCTGCTTCTTACCGGTATTGTTTTCAATGAATTACTACATCTAGGATCAAGGCTACTCTTTTTTTTTTTTTTCAATTTTTAAAACTATTTCAACAGATATAAAATTATCCTGTCAAATTGCTATTAAAAGTTTCTAAGCACTAATCTCTTCATGGATTGGTACCCAAGAGTTGGTGAAGCAGCTCTGGTCCTCAGATCACACTTTTAAGGCCACTCTTAATAAGATCCTCAGTGACAGTTGTTTTCCTGTCCGTTTGTTTTATACAACCATGTTTTATGTCAGTTGTCAAGAACTGAATCAAAATACTGTGAAACCTGTTCTTTTTGTGAATATCAACAAAACCACTGATGCAGATTATTCATTATTCTGAAGAGAAATGACCAAGACGCTATCGATTGTGCCTTGCTCTTACCGTCTCTTACTATCTCCGTGCAATAATGGTCATGCCTGCTATGTTTCACTTTATGAAACCTTTTCTTTCCCAGGCCAGACTAGCCTTTTAGAGAATCAAATGAATACATGAATAAGGTCCAGGGTGAAAACTCAAAGAAGTCTTTAGTTGAAGCTGACAAACGACTTTACACTGGTACCATTGGCTAATTCTATCCCCTCCTCCCACCCTCCCTGAAGCTGCTAGGGAGAGGTAGTCCAAGAAACAGGACAGCCTCTGTACATCCTTGAGCAACTCATATTCCCTCTTCAAGCCTCTGTTTCCTCACTGGCAAACTGGGGATGGTAATGGTATTGACCTCATAGGGTTGTAGTAAGGAATGAATAAATGAATAAACATTTGCAAAGCACTTAGAACGGTATACACGGTCAGCACTATGTAAATGCTAATATTATTACCCTTGAGTTGTCTGGACTCCTTATGCCTTCCAGCATGCTGCCTCCACTGCCCGTCCTCTGCTCTGGGTCAGTCTTTTCCTTTCTGAGCTCCACCCGCTTCCATGATGAGTCACATGAGAAGAGCACTTTGTTCTGTCTTTGAATCAGGGTGCTCCCATCTTCCAAAACATACACAGCCTCACCTGCTTGCATCTCCTTCACCTGGAAGCACTTGCCATTTTCCCCTTGAAGTTACCTTCCCACTACCTGGACTGAGAAATTACTCAGAGTTGGAAGAGCAGTTTTTTTTTTTTGAAACAGAGTTTCACTCTTGTTGCCCAGGCTGGAGTGCAACGGCGCGATCTTGGCTCACTGCAACCTCCACCTCCCAGGTTCAAGCGATTCTCCTGCCTCCGCCTCCTGAGTAGCTGGGATTACAGACATGCACGACCATGACTGGCTAATTTTGTATTTTTAGTAGAGACAGGTTTTCTCCATGTTGGTCAGGCTGGTCTCGAACTCTCGACCTCAGGTGATCTGCCCCCCCCTTGGCTTCCCTAAGTGCTGGGATTACAGACATGAGTCACTGCGCCTGGTCTAGAAGAGCAATTTTTTCAACCATGAAGAGCAATCATGAGCCAATGTTCCAAGTAAATCTCACCTCTTTTCTCCTCAGGGTGAGCTTGCTGCCTTCCCAGGCACCCTCTGAAGAAGCAACAGGATAATGAAAGGGAGAAGTTAGCTCTTCCCTCTCCCTCCCTGACCCTTGTCGAAGCCTGACTATAGACTCTTTAAAACTCTTCCCAGCGTTCAGTGCATGCATTTGAAAAATAGGTCTTGAGCTTCAACTGTGCACCAGGCACAGAGATAAACGTTAACAAAAAAGATGGATCCCTGCTTAGAGTTGTGAGGAACTACCAGAAAAGTAGAGTCAATTACAATGCAGAGCAGCATATTACTACAGTGACAGGACGGTTTGGGCCAACCTATATCGGCACTTTTGGGGAAGGTGGCATTTGGGAAGACTCTAAAAGAAAGAAAAGAAGAAATCTGGTAGATATGTAGGAACTAGCCAGGTTACTAAGGAGGATATAGAGGCTGGGCAGAGAGAACTGCAATTGCAAAGAAGCAGAAGTGAAGGTGGCATTAGAAAGCACGGGTGATGGTTGAAGGTGGAGGACAAGGATGAGGAGAGTAAGGCTGAAGAGAAGAGCAGGAACCATAAGAATGAGCAGGAATGTGGGGGATTCTAAGTACAGAAATGAATTTATCAGATCAGTGCATGATATGGTTTGGATCTGTGTCCTTGCCCAAATCTCATGTCAAACTGTAATCCCCAATGTCAGAGGAGGAGCCTGGTGGGAGGTGATTGGATCATGGGGGCGGATTTCCCCCTTGCTGTTCTCATAATAGCAAGTGAGTTCTCATGAGATTGGTGGTTTAAAAGTGTGTAGCACCTCCCTCCCGCTTCTCTCTTTCTTCCTGCTGCTCCGGCCACATAAGAAGCCTGCTTCCCTTTTGCCGTCCGCCATGATTTTAAGTTCCCTGATGCCTCCCCAGTCGTGCTTCCTGCACAGCCTGCAGAACCATGAGCCAATGAAACCTCTTTTATTTATAAATTTTTCAGTCTCGGGTATTTCTTTACAGCAGTGCAAGAATGGACTAACGCAGTGCTTCATTTGAAAACTTGGAAAGATGACTCTGATTGCAATGTAAGGAATGTATTGGGAAGAGAGAACTATTATTACAATACCTGGATCTGCTGGGGCCTGAGCTGGGCAGTCATGATGGAGAATAGTCAAGGATGGATTTCAGATAGGATTTGGATATTTACTGATTGGAGAGGATGGAGGGAAAGAACAGGAGGAATCAAGGATGGCATATCTGGAGGATGGTGAGACAGGCTGGCTTGAGGGGAGATGGTGCATTATTGTGAGTGTTGAGTTCAAGCAGTCACAGTAGGGCTCAGCAGGTAGGTGGATCTCTGGATCTGACACCCAGGAGAGCAGTCTGGAATATGGACAAATTTGGTAGCTGTCAGCACAGAGATAAATGGTTTGTGGAAGTCTCACCCCAGGGAGTAAAAAGAGAAGATGGTCAACACAGAAGTCTAAGGCTCACAAACAGGAGCTGCAAAAGTAAGAATGCTCTGAAGGAGATAGATTCAAACAGCCAGACAGATGGAAAACCAGGAGAGCGTGACAGAAGAGAAGCCAGAGGAAGAAAGTGTTTCAAGTAGGAGGCAGATGTCAACGCTGTTAAATGCTGCTAAGAGGTCAAAGAAGATAAAGAGTGAGAAGGTCCTTTGAAAGTGGCAACAAGGAGGTCATCTGTGACTTCGGAGAAAAATTCAGTAGAAGGAAAAGGGTTTGAAGCCAGATGGTAAATAGAACACTTTTTTAAATTACCAGAATCTCTCACTCTAATATGAACATAGATGAAGTGTCAAGAATTTCTTTGTAACTAGCAAAGGCTCATCAACTCTTCTAAAATAGCTCAGATCTGATCAGTGAACTGAAGAACCACTAATGACATTTCAGAGTTCCTGAGGTGGATATGCAAATCAGGCCTCACTGTTACCCTGGGTTGGGTGATAAAGTTTTTCAGTTTTCTTGCCCCTGTGTTATTCCTGTTCTGAAAGGCATGTATGGGACCATTATCTTGACCATCCCTAAAATGCAATCTCAGCTGTGAATCCTTCTTGCATCTCACTTCATATTTCAGGCAAGAATACTCCGCAAGTAAAGAAGAGGCACGTGTTTGCCATTGCGGGTTTTGTTAAATCTACAAGCTGTTTAATCATCACCAGTTCTTAATTTTGCTGATGGCATCTCTGCTATTTTAGCAGAGGTGATGAGTCTTTGTTTGCAAGTCACTATTAAGACATTCTTGACAGCCAATCTATGACATGTTACAGTAAAGGACGCTGCTAAAGAACATTTTATGGATCATTTAGCACATATCTTTAAAATCAGCTAATATACTCCCTGGAATGTTGTTTTTGCTTGTTTTTGTTTTGAAGGTAATTAGTTGTGGCTACATTTGCTCCGAGGCTGTGTTAAAGTAGTGTTTTCACTGAAGATGCACTTACTTTGTAGCATGTGAGATATTAAACCTTTTCTTTGGCTATAATTTAAACTGAGTTTTCTATTATTTGCTAAAAATATAGAATCTCCTATTCCATGTTAAAAATATTTTAAAGTAGTCAACATGTATAGTCAATTTATTTATTTACTTATTCATTTCACACTTTATTATTTGGTTTTTTTTTTTACACTTTAAAATTTATGCAAGATTTTACACTCCTAGGAACACAAAATCCCCAAATTTAGTCGCCATATCAATGCTTACAAATTCCTGGCAGGAAAGACTTCTTCGGATCTGGAAGTTCTTGCTTGGGTTTTACTACTCTTATACCCTTAAAAGAAAATCCAACAAAAATCTACAGGAGGGGCCAGGTGCAGTGGCTCATGCCTATAATTTCAACACTTTGGGAGGCTGAGCTGGGAGGATGGCTTGAGCCCAGGAGTTTGAAACCAGCCTGGGAAACATAGCAAGACCCATCTCTACAAACATTAAAAAAAAACAAAAACTCTGCAGGAGAGCCTACTAGATCCTGCATATAAAGGACAATAATGGCAAGCATTAGGAGAACAAGTCTACTCTCAGTGGTGGAAACAGTGTGGCCACAGAATGTCTGAATGTCCTAAGTGAGCCAAATGGAATATCTGCTTGCCCCTACAGTGAGAATATCAGACAGACTGTACACACGTGGAGCTAATTTACATTTCTCTATCAAGAGTTAAAACCAAGAAAATGAGACAGATCAGTGCATCCAGGGACTCCTGGGGTTCCTTGGTCTTGTCTAGTAACCCGATCTAAGATGAAAGAAGAGTAGAGGAATCTTAGATATATAATTTTATAACTTGCTTTGCAGATTATAAAACTGTCAGAGTTTAAATACTGTAAACACAAATACAAATCTATATTGTTGAATTATGTTTATGTATTAACAAGAAAACAACATTAAAAAGTATTCTAAATAACTAACACATATGCCTTCAATAGTGACCCAAATTATCAAGCTCTGCAGCCCTAGTTGTCTGCTGGATTTGTCCCGTGATCAATTTCGAGTGAGGGCTGCCTCAGGGGAAATTCTGTGATCAAAAGGCTCTGGGTCACCTGAAGGATGAGCCTTGGGGTCCGTGCTTTTAAGACAGATAAATGCTGTATTTCTCATGGAGAGTCAGAAATCAGAAGATAGAATTTTCCAAACTGGAAGAGGGAGTATTTCAGTCTGTTTTCTGATGTTTATAACAATATCTGAAACTGAGTAATTTATAAGGATGAATTTATTTCTTACAGTTATGGAGGCTGGGAGGTCCAAGGTGGGCAGGTGTATCTGGTGAGGGCCTTCTTGTTGGTGGGGACTCTCTGTGGCACCCTGAGGCAGCACAGGGCATCACATAGCAAGCAGAGTGAGCATGCTAAGTGCTAACTTAGGTCTCTCTTCCACTTCTTATAAAACCACCAGTTCCTCTCTCATGATAACTCATTAATCCATTAACCCATTAATCCATAATTTATTCATACAGCCAGAGTCCTCATGATCTAATCACCTCTTAAAAGTTCCACCCCTCAATACTGCCACATTAGGCATAAAATTTCAACATGAATTTCGGAGGGGGCATTCAAACCATAACAGAGGGATGTGGAATGCATGTCGGTAGTGTAAATTAACCCAAATAACCAACATAAAGTGAGGGGTTAAGGGGGAGAAACCCACATCCACCCCACAAACATAAGATCTGCAATCACAAGGGGGCCATTCAGCAACCTTCAGAAACTTAATAATATCCCCATAAATGAGGGTGCAGAGTAGGTAAAGCACTGTCATCTCCTCCAGAAATCATTTCTGATCACCTCTACCAGTCTGGGTTAAACACCCCTCTTCTGCATTCCCATATCAACCTGGGCTTCCCACCACCTTGCACATCACAAAGTGAATTTTAACTGTCTGCCTACTTGTCTGTCTGCCCTACTAGACTGAAAGTGCCCAAGCAATAGGATTTGTTTCTTCATTGCTGTATCCCTGGCATCTAGCACAGAAGCTGGCATATAATAGGCACTCAATAAATGTTTGATGAATGAATGAATGAATGAATGAATGGACAAATTCTCGAGTCCCACTCATCAGGCATCACTAGGGGAGGCAGCCACATGGAGCTTATCTAGAGAGCTCCAAGCTCTGGACAAATGAAACTCTCAAATCCTATCAGAGCTCACAGTCGCAGCAACCATTGTCTTGCACCATGCTTGTAGAGAGGAAGAGACCAAGGACCAAATGATCATTGTCATCACGTAGGAGGCTTCTTTAACTCTGCCAGCGCCCAGCAGTTAACAGTTCAGAGCCTAACACAATACTCAGCACAACGTCATAGGTACTCAATGAATATTCATTGAAAGAATGAATGAATCAGTCACTTTAGCACTTCCTTTCCCTTCCAAGGTAATCCTTTGAAAAATTAATGGAACTTCTTAACTACTTCTTGCATGAAACTTCAGACCTCACTCAAGGACGGGGAAGCATTTCAGTTCTGATTAGAGGTCTGACACCAAGGCACACTAATGCCATGTCAATGGGTCTGACATGTGCGACTTAGAAGATTTTGCAAGCTGGCATGAATCATGATCACTTCTTTGCATGAGAGCAGGGATTGTTCCACCCCCAACACACTCCACCACCACATGCCACCATCACCCCAATCCTGTCTCTACTCCAGTGGCTCTCAACCTTGGCCACACATTAGCATCACCTGAAAAGTTTTATAAAATCTTTGGACCATGCCCTGGAACAATTAAAACAGAATTTCTGGAGGTAGGACCCAGGCATTTTTTAAAGCTCCCTAGGTGATTCCAAAGAGCAGCCAAGCTTGGGAAGTACTGCTGTCTTGACAGTCAATCAAACTGCCTCTTCAGTTCACAGTTGGCTGAGCCCTCTCCGCCCTTGCACATGGTTTGGCTGCTGGCTGGGTCCGTCCATCTGTTTGGCGGTGGCAGCAGTCACTGCTGCTTCTGTTTTCTCATCGTTCTTATCTCTGCATATTCATATGCAATATTTTTACCCTAATTTAGAGGATTGGAATAAGACTTTTGTAAGATTTTAGAACTCATGGCAGCACAACAAATGCACCTACATTTCCTTATAAGTGCACATGTGTTCGTGTGTATATATAGATGTCGTCTACCCAGAGTTTCACTTTGCTTTAGTTATTTCTTCATGCTCAGAAAATTGTATGAGCAGACTTCAGTTTCAAGAGGAGGTACTAGTTTAGGTTTGTGATGAATCTTTTACACCCTCTAGTGGTACTGCTGGGGCATATCAGTTTTGTGCAATGGGTTTATTAGACTCCTAGTCTCTTCATAACCAACAGCATCAAAGGAGACTAACCTTAGAGGTCTTTTGCTCTTTGCTGCTGTATTAATCCCAGTGATGCAATCTACCCTCATGAAGAAAAGAAGCAGATGAGTATGTAACTTATTCCTCAGCCTTTTGCTGGTCCTCCAAAGGGCTCGTCATAGGTACTTAATGAATATTCATGAAAGAAAGGATGAATCAGTCACTTCAGCACTCCCTTTCTCTTCTAAGGTAATCCTTTGAAAAATTAGTAGAACTTCTTAACTACTTCTTGCATGAAACTTTAGACCTCTCTCAAAGAAGGAGAGACATAGTAAAAACAGGACATTCACTTAGCAAAAGTGTATTGAACACTTACTATGTGCCAGGCACATGTGAGTAAAAACAATCATATCATATCAAAGTGTCTTTTTCATTGTTGTTATTTTGTGTTAAAGTATGAAGATCTTAATGTTAAGACAATAGAGGAACCTTATGATTAAGAGCTCAAAGCTGGAGCCAAACTGGTTCACGTCCTAATTCCACAATTACTGGATGTTTAACATCAGGCAAGTTACTTAACCTCTCTGTGCCTCAGTTTCTTTATCTGCAAAACAGGGATGGCAATAGTACCCTTATCATAGGATTATACTATAAAGTGCTATCTAATATTATCATTTTAATCATTAAATGTATCTTAAAGGTCCTAATTTAACTCTAGAATGATTTGCCCAGAAATTCCTTTCTAGTAGGAAATACACAAGTCATATCAAACTTCTTTTGTAAGCATGTAAGAGGCCACCAAGGTCTTCTGCTTCTTCCCCAGGCCAGTTCATGGGCTTTCATTTATTCTTGGCTTCAGGGCATTTTCTCTTAGCTCTTCTTATCTAAACCAGGGGTCAGCAAACTATAGCCAGGGGATCAAAATCTAACCCAAGGGGCTTGTTTTTATAAATAAAGTTTTATTGAAATGTAGTTACACTCATTCATTTATTTATTGTCCTATGGCTGCTCGCATGCTACAGTGGCTGACTTGAGTAGTTTCAGCAAAGACCATACAACCCACAAAGCATAAGATATTTACTACCTGGCCCTTTATAGAAGAAGCTTTCTGGCCCTTGTCTAGACTCTGAGTCGCTCTGGGCTTGCTCCCAGCTGTGTTTAGAGAGTAAGACACAGAAGGTCTGGGCTAGCCTATGTGAGAACTAAGCATGAAACCAGGTTTCACTCTTCTACCTGCCAACAAGGACTCCCCTACTCCTCTGGTCTCCCCTCCACCCCCTCATCCTGTAGTTAAAGCCCTTAGTATATGAAATGCAAGTCTTAGAAAAAAAATTGAAGAATTGAAAGACCTTTTGAATTCGTAGTTGATACCTACTTTGGGACATTTTCCTCAATTTTCAGCACCCACATATTTTTTCCTGGTGTCTAGAATTATTGAACTCTGAGCTTCCTTGCTCCCTGCAAGTAACAAGATAATGGCCTACTCTCTCCTCTTATCAAAGGCTAATTGGGTAGCTTTTTGCTCATGATATACGTTGGGAATATATTACATATATTTGCTGGAAAATATACCCTGTAAAGCAAAACTAACAGACTCCAATGAGACTGATGTATATATCCTACAAATGAGGTAAAGTAAGCAGACAGCCCCTAAAATTTGTGATAAAAGGGAAAACATTACAATTACTGGAGGTAGGTAACCCATATTAGCCATGGACTGATTCCCAGAAGGGACCTTATGAGAGAATGCAGGTGGCCAGGTTGAAAGGCAGATGTTTTCCAAGTATGGGATCCCCTCTGGAAAGACAAGGACAGAGATGAATAAATGACTAATGTGGCCTTGGATTCATTTGTGTGAGAATGTCAGAGCATACAAGGCAGAGTAGGAGGTCAGATCCATAGACAGCCTAAACATTCTCCTTAATGTTTACAAGGTTGCCTGCCTGGGATTCACTCTGTGTTGCAGCACTGTGAGTGGAATGGTAAAAATGTGAGCCTTGGCATCTGCAGTAACCTTGTTCTTACTAGTTCTGTGACCTTGAACAGGTAACTCAACCTCCTGAGCTTTACTTGACCCAAATGTCAAAGGTGGAAAATTCTTAGAGTTTTAAGTTGACAGAATGCAGGTAAAGTACTTAGCACTGCACCAGCCATCCAGCCAAGCACAACTCTTGGAGACCCACTCAACATTAAGTTGAAGAGAGCAAGATCTATGTCTTGTTCACCTTTGTATCCCCGCCATCCAGCTCTGTGTCCAGCAGATGGATAGTGGGTGCCCAGGTTAAGTTCATTGCATCATAGAGACAGAGGCAGTTCCAGGCATTCCAATGATGACCAGAGAAATAAGAAAATGCTGCAGGGGGCAAGGAGGACAATACTAAATACTCAGAGATGCTTTCTCAAACTTAGCTTGGACACAAATTTTCCTCTCTCTACCTTCTATTTTGATCATGAAAATCGTGTACTGTCCTGAAAGAAGTGAGAGGGGATTGGGTGGAAAGAGGGAGGCTGAGATAATTGAATAATGTAAACATGTCAAGTTATGTGACCCCACTGACCTGGCATCTTCATTCACAGAGTATGATGGCTAAAACAGGAGCCCCAGAGAGCATCCCTCACACCTGGTCCTGCTTAGAGCAAGACAGGCACACGTGATTTTTGGAAGCACTGATAGCAATCTCCTAGGAATGAAAAACTGAGGTTGTATTCTTTTTAGACTCTAGCCACATGTTTTCCACTGTTTTCTTGATGGTCTTATAATACTGTAAATTTCATTCAACCAATATAATTCCATCCCAACAGGCTCTTCCCTCTCTTTTCCCTGGACAGTTTTGTTTTGCTATTAGGTCTTTCTTTACTTTTGCTGCTTATCATGTTGTAGTATTACATATTTCTTGACTTCCACTGTTCTTGCCTTTCTCCTTATTTCCTCAAAATGATATGTTGTTGCTTGCAATGCTGTTGCTTTGTGTGATCCTAATTACGTTAGCAATCTAAGGAAAAAGAAAATTATGTTTTCATGATTTTCAGTAGCAGTTCTATTTAAATGACTTTTCTGAACCCCACATGGTCCTAACTATTGAATGAGTGAACATTTCTTTTACTTTAGAAAGTTTTTTTATTCATGGAGGAAACTCAGAGGCTTATGCTCTTTCTGAAATGTGCCTGAAGAACTTCAATCTATTCTAAGGCATTCTTTTTAGAAGATCTGTACAAGAGTCTGCCTTGTCACAGAACACAAACATCTTTGAACTATGGAATAGCAAATCCTCATTTATTTCTTCAGCTAGCATTTAATGAACCCCCTAATACTTGCCAGGGATTATGCAGATGCTGAAGTAAAGAGCACAGTTCCTGGCATGAATAAATTCCAGTGGGTGAGACACACTGCCACAGATTTAGCTACCTCACAGTGCATTTGAAAGCACAGAGAAAGACCATCTACCCCAGTGAGGGTGGTTAGGAAAGATTTCCTAGAGCACTTGGTGCTTGAGCTGAATCTGGAACAATTAGCATTTTAGGTAGAGTGCAAAGAGACAGAATCCTGATGAATGAGCACTTTGGTGACAGGAAAATCCAGATGGGCTGGAGAGCAGGCAGCATGCAGAGGAATGACTAGAGATGAGTATTTGGAGAGAGAAGGGGGGAATTCTCACCATTCACTACCCTCTTCCTTCTAGAGTTGCCCGAAGTCTCCACAGTAGAGCTTCTAAACAAATAAACCTCCCATGTTCATTAAACTCTGGGCCAAGTTTTGGGATATGAAGAGTAGAAGACATAATCCCTGCATTCAAGGTTCTCACACAGTCTGGTGGAGGAAGCTAGAATATGAGTAAATAATTACAGTGTGGTGTGTTAGGTACTAAGCTAGAGGTTAACAGAGAAGTGATTAACTGTTTTGTTGGAATCATAAAAATTTCTATGAAAGAAGTGAGCTTTTTTTGAGACAAGGTCCCACTCTGTTACCCAGGCTGGAGTGCAGTGGCAAGACTGTCAAGGCTCACTGTAGCCTCGACCTCCTGGGCTTAAGTGATCCTCCCACCTCAGCCTCCCAAGTAGCTGGGAGCATAGGCATGTGCCATCATGCATGGTTAATTTTTTATTCTTTGTAGAGACAGGGGTCTCACTATGTTGCCCAGGCTGGTCTCAAACTCCTAGGCTCAAGCAATCCTCCCTCCTCAGCCCCCCAAAGTGCTGTGATTACATGTGTAAGCCACCACACCTGGCCAAAAGAAGTGACTTTAAAACAGAGTTTTGAAAACACAGCAGGATTTCAGGAAAAAGAAATAGCAAATGGAAGTAATTGAAGTATATAATTGATTGGCTAGGGTTTTTGTGGACCTACACATACTTTATTGTTGCTGGAACCTAAAGTTCCAAGGACGAAGTGGAAGGTGATGAGGCAAGAGAGATAGAGGCCAGTTTATAAACAGCCATATAGGATGTGCTTCTAGGAGTTTGATGTTTATCCTATAGGCCAGGGAAAACCAGTGAAGGACTTTAGGAGGGAGGTAATATGCCCTTACTTGCATTTTGAAAGGTTTGTTCTTTCTAAGCCTATAGCAGTGGAGATGCAAATGAGGGGACAGCTTTGAGAGCTATTAGGACATGCCTAGTCTTCTTTTAACGAAAGTATAATGACAGGGTCATCATTCTTTATATAAATCATTGATTTCAAAAATATCTATGGGCCAAGTGCAGTGGTTCATGCCTGTAATCCCAGCCCTTTGGAAGGCCAAGGCAGATGGATCACTTGAGCTCAGGAGTTTGAGACCAGCCTGGGCAACATAGGGAGACCCCCCCTATCTCTGCAAAAAATATAAAAATTAACCGGTGTGGGGGTATCTCCTTGTAGGCCCAGCTACTTGGGAGGCTGAGATGGGAGGATTGGCAGATCTGGGAGGTCAAGGCTGCAATGAGCCATGATTGTGCCACTGCACTCCACCTGGCGTGACAGAGTGAGACCTTGTCTCAAAAAAAAAAAAGAGAAAAAGAAAGACAGTCTATGCTTTTAAACATTCCCTCCACACTTATAAACCATAGAACCTGATTTAGAACTTTCATATCTCACTTTGAATCTCTTTAATGTTTTTGTTTTCAACCCACAACACAGCCAGTTGAGAAAATCTATTTGATCTCCATCTTCAAAAACTTAATCCTTAATAAGTAAGATTTTTTTTAGCATCAGTAATGCACTGGTAAATGCTGAACAACCAGCTCTTCAGAAGGAAATCCTGATTTGTATTGTTTGCCAATTTCTGTAGTGTAAATACTCCTGTCATAGCTGTTTTCAAACTACCAATGTGACATCACTGAGCAGGAATTGAGAAGACGAGCAATATTACATTATTAGATAGAATTTCCATGGTACAGACGCAATAGATGTGAACAACTCAAGAGCCTAGAGAGTAACATACAGTAAAATAATTAGGAAATGGTGAGGTTTGAGTACATATTACCTTTATTTTTAATATAATGTACTTGATTGTAAGTCTATGTAATTTAATTTTTAGTAACAGCTGTATTTAATAACCACCAAAATTCTTTTTTTAAAATACTTTAAGTTCTAGGGTACATGTGCACAATGTACAGTTTTGTTACATAGGTATACATGTGCCGTGTTGGTGTGCTGCACCCATTAACTCGTCATTTACATTAGGTATTTCTCCTAATGCTATCCCTCCCCCTGCTCCCTACCCCATGACAGGCCCTGGGAAGTGATGTTCCCCGCCCTGTGCCCAAGTGTTCTCATTGTTCAATTCCCACCTATGAGTGAGAATATGTGGTGTTTAATAACCACCAAAATTCTTTTTTTTTTTTTTTTGAGACGGAGTCTTGCTCTGTCGCCCAGGCTGGAGTGCAGTGGCGTGACCTTGGCTCACTGCAAGCTCTGCCTCCCGGGTTCATGCCATTCTCCTGCCTCAGCCTCCCAAGTAGCTGGGACTACAGGTGCCCGTCACCACACCCAGCTAATTTTTTGTATTTTTAGTAGAGATGGGGTTTCACCGTGTTAGCCAGGATGGTCTCGATTTCCTGACCTCGTGATCCACCCGCCTCGGCCTCCCAAAGTGCTAGGATTACAGGCGTGAGCCACCACGCCCGGCCTAATAACCACCAAAATTCTTAAAAGTAGTCAGTGCTTGGGAGTCAATGCAAGGTTGCTCCAGGCACCACTGCACATACTCCTCTTTTCTAAATAATTGAAATGATATTTATTAATCCAATTTTCACTATTTAATTCTCATACATAAAGTAGGAAAATCTGTAAGTAAAGCACTGGAAAAAAGGCAATACCACCTGAAGAGTGGTATGATGTATAAAAATAAATGATAAACCTATTAAGAGTTTTAAAATCTACTCTGTTTTGCATACTTATCATTATGTGAGTATATTGAAATAACATAAAAGATAATCAGTTTCATTTTTAGTATTGATCACAATTATAAACCATGGATTTTAATTTTAACTTTAGCTAGCTAGCTCATAAATAGCAAATTATGTAAGTAAAAATGAAATTATTTAAGGTTTGCATAAACTATGACTGCGTGAGTGCTAGAGTGCAATATTATCTATCAAATGCCTTCAAAATGTACTTTCTGTTAAAACATCTCTGAAAGGAAGAGAGAAAAGCAACAAGCAACTTTTGATGAATTATCTGAAAGAGCTCACATAACATCCCACCAAGAAAAAATGGCAGATCCCCATTAGGGCAAAAAAGGCAGTTGGAAGTATGTAGGTTCACATCTGGGCAGATGCGTCCCAAACCACAAATGTGTGAGCTACAGCCAGAGAGAACACACTGACGTATGCTGTAGCTTGCGCCTCTTCTACCACCATAGGAAAGAAAGAACTGCCAAAGATCCCACTCAGACTTCTCAATTCTCCAGAATTGATGCCATGGGAAAACCAGGAGGTAATGTGGCAGTGGAAACCAGACAGATCTGGGTGGAATCCTGATTTTGCCTAATACCAGTTGCTTGTTTTGGGGGGCAAGTTACTTAAGTTCTTTGAACCTCAGTTTCCCAAAATATAAATAGGAGAAAGGAATATCTTATCAAGTGCTATTGAAGACATACAAAGTACTTCACATAACAAGTGGTAGACAGATGTTATGAAAACACAAACAACCACACAACAACAGCAAAACCACCTTGGGATATATGAAGATGATTTTCCTTTTTTCCTGCCCACCCAGTCATCATTAGCTACTTTGAAGACAGCAAAGAAGGGTTCTAGGCTGTTAGATTAGCTCTTCTGGTTTTATTCTTAATATGACTCAGGTTAGAGATCTTCTCTTTATCTCTTTCTTTCCTTCCTCCTCTTATTCAACAAATATTTTTTACTGTGTCAGAAACTGTGCGAAGCTCTAAGCACACAATGTCATAGTAGAAGTGGTAACAACAATAGCTAACTTTTATTAAGCACTGACTGTTGAACAAAAGACATCTAGGCCGGGCGCGGTGGCTCACGCCTGTAATCCCAGCATTTTGGGAGGCTGAGGTGGGCAGATCACAAGGTCAGAAGTTCGAGACCAGCCTGGCCAATATGGTGAAACCCCATCTCTACTAAAGATACAAAAAATTAGCAGGTATGGTGGCACGTGCCTGTAATCCCAGCTACTCGGGAGGCTGAGGCAGGAGAATCGCTTGAACCTGGGAGGCAGAAATTACTACGAGCTGAGATCATGCCATTGCACTCCAGCCTGGGTGAAAGGGCGAGACTCTGTCTCAAAAAAAAAAAAAAAAAAAAAAAGACATCTATGTCTGCCTTTACCTAATTGACAGTCTGGTATATGGAAACAGATATTTACATAATTGCTCAGGACCAGAAATTTCACATGTAACATATTTTGTTATTTTTCTCAGTTTTTTTGATACAGGACACTAAGACTCTATGAAACCTAAATGCTGGTAAACCAATTTGGAACCAAAGCTCAATACTAAGAGGTTAAATTAAAACACTAATTTTCTTTACTTTCTGCTGAATAATTTTGCTTAAATGGTTTTGGGGGGAAATACAAAACCTATACTGAATAAAGAAGAGATTGGTGAAAAATATGTGGTTAGAGAAAGGGAGTAAGAATATTACAGATAAATGATTCAGGAATAATTAGGATATAATTAATTGAAAGTTAATAATACAATTGCAAGGTAGGGTTTAGGCTTTTTAACCTATAAAACAATTTGGATTCCTTGAAATCAGCTGTCACCTAAGATAGACAATGGATGTTTTCTTTTTCAACTTTACATTTGTTCCTAATCTTCCCACTTTCCACCAAGTGACAACAAATTTTGTCTCTTAGTGACTGATTCCCAGCCTGGAATCTACAAGTGTGATAATGGAAGTCTATGGGCCATTTAGTAGCTGAAAAACACCAACGGATTTAAATTTACCTGCAATAAGGCTACACAAACTAATTCAAATGTTATGTTTCTCTGCTTTCATCAGAAATTGCATCAAGTTATTGCAGGAACTAGTTATCTTAGGCAGATTAGCTATTGATGGCATCATGGAATTTGTTGATGAAATATCATTGTAAAAGATGGGGCCCATGTTGCAGGAGGCATTGTTATAAGAGGTCCCTGGTTCTGAAAAGCTTAGGCTCCCAAGCTTAGTTAAGAAATGTGTTATGGCAGGACCCAGTGGCTCATGCCTGTAGTCCCAGCACTTAGGGAGGCTGAGGCAGGAGGATTGCTTGAGCCCAAGAGTTAGAGCCTGGGCAACACAGTGAGACCTCATCTCAAAAAAAAAAAAAAAGTGTATTATGTTTAAAACAAAAAGAACTTGGCTAGCTAATCCAGCAGTATTCTGCAGGAATAATTTATGGGAAAAAAAAAACACAAATTTCCATATTAATGTACATTTCTCTAGAGAGAATAGAGTGTTTTGCAAACACATTTGTATCTCAAAAATGCATGTAGTTCCATAAAAGACCATTTTAACAGCCTTTATATTTTTTAAGGGATGCTATTACTAGATGTTGTATCTTGGACTTCTGGAGATTGCATGGAAAAGTTAGAATTGCATTTTGACTTTAACTTACATTCAGGGTTTCAACGGACATTAAAAAGGCAAAACACTTAGTGTTCAGCCTCTTTTTTAGTGTGTTTTTCTATTCTTAAGGTGTTGTCTCACATGAGATGTTCTTAAATTGTCCACTGTAATCTCAGGCTTTTATATTACACATCTGCAGAAGCCAAAAATAATTTGATGCATGACTTTTCCCCCCAGAGTTTCTTATTATATTTACTGGTAAACTATTTTGGTAACTTATATTAACAGAGTTATAAAGATTAATATGTAATATGTTCTCATACAGAATTATGAAATTTCATGTTGCAAAACGGAAGTTTAAGGAAACATTACGTCCATATGATGTAAAAGATGTCATTGAACAATATTCTGCTGGTCATCTGGACATGTTGTGTAGAATTAAAAGCCTTCAAACACGGTAAGCAATGGAAATGTCATTCCTTGTAAAGGAATGGGCATAGAACCTATCTAGGAAGAACTTCTCTTTAGTAGAGTAAACCTCTGAACTCCATATTTTTCATTCATTTTTAGTGGGCAAATGGAATTTGCTTTAAACATTGATTTTATTTTGCTTTTAACATAGATATAACTCAGGCATTCAAAGCATCCAACTGTCTCATTTTCCTTATCTGTAAAAATGGGAAGAAAGTTAGTTCTTGCCTTATAGGGTTGTCATGAGGATTGAACAAGTTAATGCATGTAATTCATAACATGTAACAGGCCTGGTACTGTGTCTAATAAACATCAATGGTTGTTGCTGATGTTTGAATTATTACTGCTGCTGATCCTAAATTATCTAAATTCCATTTATTATCTAAATTCTAATCATCCTTTGGGAATAACGTACTATTTCTCCTTCATTAAGTTTCATCCAACCATCCAACCTGTGAAGACGGGCCTTTCTCTGACCTTTATACAGTAGCAGAGTCTACTGCAGAGCACAAGAGCACTCAGAATCTCGGTGTGCTGGGCCAAAGTTGAGACTTGGCCCTTGTGTTGTTTCCTGGTTGCAAGTGTGTTCACCTTGCTCTGGACTAAGACTGAGGTCCTTCATTCATGTCCTGTACGGTTCTACAAATATACTATCCTCCTAGTAGCATCTTATTGAGTGATTAAAAGAAATGAATTCCACATGTTAATTCCAACCACATATGGTTGATTGTGATTATCTCAAAGCCAAAATATTCAGTAAATTCAGTTTTTTAAGAGCCTTGCTTTATTACCAGCACAAATTACCAGCATTTGTGATTGTATAGTGCCCAAAATGCAAGGACTGAGACTTGAACTTTTTTTTATGCCCCCCAGCACACTTAGCCCAGTGTGAGGCATATAATGGGCCCTTAGTAAAATACCTGTTCATCAATTGTTATAGAAATAACAATTTGTTAATTCATTTAGCAGGTAATTATTGAGCCCATCATGTGTGCCAGGACCTGTGGACATCCAGAGATTGATAAAATAATGACCCAGACCTTGTAGAGTTTGCAGTTTAGTAAATTAGATGTCATGGCAGGAAGTGAGTACTGCCTATGTTTCTCTTCAGACAAAGTAAACTGGAAAGTTGTCTATACTCTTGATAATTCAATTCTAAACACATACAAAAAAAGAAGAAAGTGATTCTCATTTAGGCTGGTCAAGTTCTCTTGGAAATTGCTTTAATTCATTCTGTAACATCTGTAACATGACCAGAGATTGTGGTCATATTGCAATCTCTGCCTAGATGGCCATGGCCTTCTAAGTTCTTTAATAAAACTGTCTACAGCTCCCAAGGTTTTATAAAGTTGAACTGCTACAGAATTTATAGAACCAATCTTGGGTTTCTAGCTCATGTATCTTCTCCAACTTGAACTCCGAAAGAAAAAGACCATGGCTTTCTTATCTGCTTATCTTTCACACATGTACAATAGATGCTCATAGAATAATCTGTTCTATTAATGTAAGATCTCTATAGTTATGATTTTTGTCATATTTTGAAATGGTTAAATTCAGGAACTGCCTGATCAGAGGTAGAAACATATTACTTTGTAGTTTAGGACACTTTTACTTCCAGAAGATCACCCATAAGTGATTTCATCTTGGACCAGAATAATGAGAAAATTAATTTCATGTGTAATCTCATGTTCAAATAAGCATATCAACTGGAACAAGTTCTTTCTTATTTCATCTTACATAAATTGAAGATAACTGTATTTAATTTTTTTTTCCAAAACTCTTCATTCTGACCTAGGGCAATCTCCACCTTCAGCCCTCATAATCAGATCTCCTCTTTCTCTGATAGTGTTGATCAAATTCTTGGAAAAGGGCAAATCACATCAGATAAGAAGAGCCGAGAGAAAATAACAGCAGAACATGAGACCACAGACGATCTCAGTATGCTCGGTCGGGTGGTCAAGGTTGAAAAACAGGTACAACTCAACTACGCTGGGTATCTTTTTAGCCAGAATTTTTTTAATCAAAATTTATTATAGGCAATTGTATGTATTCCAGTGATTATTTTAAAATAAATAAAATCACAAAAAGAGTGAATAAAATTAAATTTTCTTTGTGTGTAGACAGTGCTCTCTGAAACACTCTGGATTTCCCTTTAAGGAATAGAAAATCTCATCTCATCAATTAATAGTTAATTGGAAACAACTATAGATTTCCAATAGTTGAAAATCGTTTAAAAATAACAAAGATCTATTCTTCATTTGTGTTTCAGTTGTTTTTATTGTTTCTTTTTTAGGTCATTAATTTTTTTTTTTTTTTTTTTGAGACAGAGTCTCACTCTATTGCCCAGGCTGGAGTGTAGTGGCATGCTCCCAGCTCACTGCAACCTCCGCCTCCTGGGTTCAAGTGATTCTCGTGCCTCAGCCTCCCAAGTAGATGGGATTACAGGCATGCGCCACCAAGACCGGCGAATTTTTGTATTTTTAGTAGAGACAGGTTTCACCATGTTGGCCAGGCTTGTCTCAAACTCCTGACCTCAAGTGATCCGCTTGCCTTGGCCTCCCAAAGTGCTGAGATTACAGGCGTGAGCCATAGCACTCTGCAGGTCACTCCTTTTAAAAGTAAAACAAGGCCGGGTGTGGTGGCTCATGCCTGTAGTCCTAACACTTTTGGAGGCCGAGGCGGGCAGATCACAAGGTCAGGAGTTCAAGACCAACCTGACCAACATGGTGAAACCCTGTCTCTACTAAAAATAAAATAAAATAAAATAAAATAAAATAAAATAAAATAAAATATAAAATAAATAAAAATAAAACTTTATTATAATTCTGATGACACATTGAATGTTTGTTAACCTCAAGTCTGTTGCATCTTCATATACAAAGACAATTTTCCAGAAATCAAATGGCTCCCCCAATTTAATAAAAAATACTTCATATATTAATTCCGGAGCATTTTGTACCTTTATTTTTTTATGTAACTTTAAATTCAGAATCACCTAGATTGATGCTTAAGGTATTGGTTTCATTATAGAATAAGTTCCTTACTAGATTTCTGTAGAGTTTCAGAATGTCTTCATAGAGGAGACTTAGGAAAGACAATCTGACAGGAATGGGAAGTCTTTTTTTTTTTTTTTTTTTCAGACAGGGACTTCTCTGTCACCCAGGCTGAAGTGCAGTGGCACAATCATGGCTCACTGCAGCCTCTACCTCCTGGGCTCAGTCAATCCTCCCAACTCAGCCTTCCTAGCAGCTGGGACTATGGGCATGCACCACCACACCTGGCTGATTTTTGTATTATTTTTGGTAGAGACGAGGTCTCACCATGTTGCCCAGGCTGGTCTCAAACTCCTGGGCTCAATTCTCCTGCCTCAGTTTCCCAAAGTGCTGGCATTACAGGCATGAGCCACTGCACCCAGCCTGGAATGGAAAGTCTTAAAGTTGCATTTTTATAGTGCTTATATGACTTTTAAGAGGCACTATTTAAAGAAGTGGTGGGGGAGAGATGCTAATAAAGACTGTATAGAAGCCAAAGTGTCCCTCTCTTCCTAAGTCCTCCTCTGGCCCCATCATTGCTAAATGTTACATTCACTAAGGGTCAAGACTGCATCGTACTTTATATTCAATATTTCTTTAAATGTGTTGGCACACCTTGACTTCATTTTTCAAAATTAAAAAATGAAGTCCATTCTTAATAACAGATTATACTCATGTGTAACCATTTTCCTCACTTCTAGGTACAGTCCATAGAATCCAAGCTGGACTGCCTACTAGACATCTATCAACAGGTCCTTCGGAAAGGCTCTGCCTCAGCCCTCGCTTTGGCTTCATTCCAGATCCCACCTTTTGAATGTGAACAGACATCTGACTATCAAAGCCCTGTGGATAGCAAAGATCTTTCGGGTTCCGCACAAAACAGTGGCTGCTTATCCAGATCAACTAGTGCCAACATCTCGAGAGGCCTGCAGTTCATTCTGACGCCAAATGAGTTCAGTGCCCAGACTTTCTACGCGCTTAGCCCTACTATGCACAGTCAAGCAACACAGGTGCCAATTAGTCAAAGCGATGGCTCAGCAGTGGCAGCCACCAACACCATTGCAAACCAAATAAATACGGCACCCAAGCCAGCAGCCCCAACAACTTTACAGATCCCACCTCCTCTCCCAGCCATCAAGCATCTGCCCAGGCCAGAAACTCTGCACCCTAACCCTGCAGGCTTACAGGAAAGCATTTCTGACGTCACCACCTGCCTTGTTGCCTCCAAGGAAAATGTTCAGGTTGCACAGTCAAATCTCACCAAGGACCGTTCTATGAGGAAAAGCTTTGACATGGGAGGAGAAACTCTGTTGTCTGTCTGTCCCATGGTGCCGAAGGACTTGGGCAAATCTTTGTCTGTGCAAAACCTGATCAGGTCGACCGAGGAACTGAATATACAACTTTCAGGGAGTGAGTCAAGTGGCTCCAGAGGCAGCCAAGATTTTTACCCCAAATGGAGGGAATCCAAATTGTTTATAACTGATGAAGAGGTGGGTCCCGAAGAGACAGAGACAGACACTTTTGATGCCGCACCGCAGCCTGCCAGGGAAGCTGCCTTTGCATCAGACTCTCTAAGGACTGGAAGGTCACGATCATCTCAGAGCATTTGTAAGGCAGGAGAAAGTACAGATGCCCTCAGCTTGCCTCATGTCAAACTGAAATAAGTTCTTCATTTTCTTTCCAGGCATAGCAGTTCTTTAGCCATACATATCATTGCATGAACTATTTCGAAAGCCCTTCTAAAAAGTTGAAATTGCAAGAATCGGGAAGAACATGAAAGGCAGTTTATAAGCCCGTTACCTTTTAATTGCATGAAAATGCATGTTTAGGGATGGCTAAAATTCCAAGGTGCATCGACATTAACCCACTCATTTAGTAATGTACCTTGAGTTAAAAAGCCTGAGAAACCAAACACAGCTAATGCTATGGGGTGTATGAATATGTCAAGTTTAGGTCATTTAGAAGATTTGACACTGTATTTTGAAATTATGGGAGTAAACACCTTCAAATTTCAGGCATTTCTGCTTTGTGACTAAATACAAACTACATTTTCAAGATTAGGCCATAATGTATATTTAAACACAATGGCTATCAACAGCTGCTAATAAGGTATCAACTAAAGCAGAATTGGGGAATAATAGAAATGGCTGCTTATTTCAAGATATATTTGCCAACCCATTCCTATTCAGTCATTTTATTATTAATGTAATTTGAATGTCAATTTGTGTGCTTTTGGTGATTTAGCGCTGTGGCAAGCAATTTTGCACATCATTTTCATGTTGTTCTTTATGACAAGAATGTTCTTCAATTAGAAAATGTGCAAATAATGAAATTCAGGGCCAGTGAGGCAAATAGACTATCTGACATATTTGACTTTATGAAAACATATTGCCTGATGGCAGAATCAACTTTATAAGTGGTCAACTTCTACACAAGCGTATGAAATACTGGTCAGTAGAACAGCCATTGTGATTGGACTGGTTTCTCTGCAATGGCGCCAACCCCAGGCTTGCCAATACTGCCTATGTAAAGGGCAAGTGTGAGAAGCTATTCTCATTTCGCTGACATACAGGTAGGACTATGGGGGATGGGACATTTGAGTGGGACTGAGATAGGAAAGGCTTGAAAAGAACCCAGAAACACCACCAGGAAGTTGGCAAAGTAAAAGAAAATGACTTCCCCCTCAAAGGGCAATGAGAGGGAGAGAAACAAACCAAAATAGAAGAACTAGACTTTTTAGAAAATGAGTATTGCTAGGGAATTCAACTACCTAATCTTCCCTTATTCTTATATATAAGCAGAGAATTTTTGCAAGGTATTTATTTTTTAATATGCCCTGAATGTCTTTTGCTATTATGTGTACATTTTGCATATGAAAGTCTAAAACGAAACTTCCTTTACTTTTTATACTGTAGTGAAAATTTTCTATTCTTCCCAAGAATGTTGTCCCAAATCTGAAATTACTGGTTCAATTTCCTGATATAAACATTTACAATTAGAAGCTAGATAGTACTGGCAGAGTCTGCAAATCAGAACACTTAAATATATCATGGCAGCAAAAAGACCAAGGGAAACAAAATGACAAATGTATTTATCAGAAAGCAAGCAATGCTGACTGCTTGTTAGAAACCCATCTAGCTATCTTAGGTCACCAGAACTTCAGCCAACGTAATGACATTCAAAAAAAAAGGACATAAGAGATAGCATTTCAATTCAATTAAACCCTAGCCACAGGAGGACTCAAGAAAGGAAGTTGTTTCCTTGGCAGACATAAATGCTGCCTCCAGAAGTACTTCTCCAGCAGCCAAGCAGAATGAGCAGGGTTATCAAGTGGATGTTCAAAGGAAGAAGGAGGCCCTGAACTCCACCAATCCTCCCCAGCCCTCCCCAACAGGCTTTCTCCATCATTGACTCTCCCCTGCTTTTCTTCTTCATTAACTCCTTATTCATTCCCTGCCAGTATTTTGCTTCTGAACTTCACCAGGCCTTAACCAGCCTCCATCCCCAGGTCAACCAGTTCTCCGCTTTACCTAAAATGTGCTTCTCAACCTTTTAGAACCTTGTCCCTTTTGATAAACATGGAAATTTTTAAAGCTTCCTCTTCGCATCCCACTTGGATTCTAAGACAATTAGAATCATTTAGAATCTTTTTGGCTGCTGGAAATGTATAGAAGATAGAGGCTAAATTTTACACTTCAGTTAAGACATTGTCAATCCTTTTAAGCAATTGTTTTCATTTTCAAAATACAGAATGTTAGTAAATTATGAAAATCAATTTTTCATCTTCATTCAACCTGAAGTTGTGATTCCCCCTTGCAAGAATGTTGCATACACACACACACACACACACACACACACACACACACACACACACACACACACACACACACACCCCTCCACTGACCTAAAGCCAGACACCTGCCGTGACTGGGCAGGCTCTCTCCCATTATTAACAGAGGAAGAGGAGGGAGGCAGCAACTTTCAGGTAGCACTGATTCTTGGACATACTCTGTCCTGGGTCAAACCCCACTGGCAGCAGGAATTCTGAATGTATTGGGGACCCCTCCTTAGGCCTCGTTAAGTCTCAAACACAGTACAGCTCACCCAGCATTGCTGACGACTGAAGATTCAGAAACAAAACCTACACACAGCACTGAGGTCTTAATCATAGCAAAATGTGATAAACCATGTTGTGAAAAACTTTTATACATTGAAGCCATGACCATTTTGTGTCTATCTTACTCTAGCACAAAAATTGGGGGATGTTAAAAGATAGTTGTGTGGAAGCTATAAGGTTCTGTCTGTCGTGTTACTCTCTGTGGAAATGAGAGGGGTCTCCCATTTACACTAAGCAAATTTCCATTGGTCAATTTTAATGATGTCTTGAAGCACAATTTAGCTGAGCACTGAGTAGCCATATGCTTTCTGAGTACAAGTGTGTCTGCCTTCTTCAACATGTAGGGTTGATCAAGCTAATACTTAATTGCAAATATCCCTTGTATGAGGTTAACTAAAAAAATTTTGCTATGTCTGATCTACATGTTTGCATTTTGTTCAACTAAATTAATATTTGTAGATTGCAAGTTTTGTTTAAAATAACTTTATTGAGTTTTTAAGTCCTGATCTGTTCTAAGGTGCCTTTCTCACCTCCCATTGATTCAGTGATTCTGAAGTTCTTAATTTGCAAGTAAAATAAGTCTACTAGAGAGGAGGAAATCAGGCACAAATTGACCAATTCTCATGCCATTTGCAAAGCAAAACTGTAAGGATGATGAAACCTGGCTAACTAAATTAATGGATCATTTCACTAAATCAGATAGAGGAAATATCATAAATATTAACTTGTCTCCCTAGAAGCTGAGATTTTTCGCCTTAAATGACATGGTTGTGTTTTTGTAAGAGAAACTTAATCTAATCTAATAATGTGCATTTAAGTAAGCAGTTCTAAGTCATGTATGACAATGCAATTGTCTGTTTCCTGAAAACAAATAAATCGGGAACACCATATCCATTTCAAGCTATCATTAAAGTGTAATTTCCTTTGCTCTCTTTTACTGGGATTATTTGTTTTAAAGTAAAACATTAAAAAGATGTCTATAAACAGCTAGTGTGACTATTTTTATCTGGAACTAACTAGTTGGTTCTGAACTGACTGGACCAAGTCAACCAAACTGACTGTATACAGATTTTGGACTGAAATATAAAAATTATCTTTTTGCAGTGTTACGGAAGAAGTCTTTGGTATTTTGGGAAGGGGGGAGATTTGCATATGCTCCTGGGGTTTTTGTGAGAACTATTAATTTGAAATTGATTGTAACTCAGATACCACGCATGTGAGTTTTGTGTTATCTATAATAAAGGGATTTGCTAAACAATGTTAAGAAATGGGGGCCAGGTGGGTGCCCAAATGTTGCAGCCTCTGGCTACTCAGAACTACCATTTTAAGCACCTACCCAGCTCTGCCTCACCAGGGAAGGGCTTCTGCTCCAAAAGGACCTTTTTTTCTTCTTCCCTAAAAAAAATCCCATTTTTTCTATTTCACTAGCAATTTTGCACTAAGTGCCAAGGGTTAATCCCAGTGGAATTATTTTCAAAGAGATACAGAATGTTAAAACTCTGGAATACAAAGCAACAAAGCCCGATAGAGATGTTTTAGACAGGAGGAAGAATTACAGAGTGTTATCCTAGAGGGAAGAAAGGGCTTCCCACTACTGCTCTAAAGAGATCAAATAGTTATGTGCCTGTTCTATCAACTTCTAGATGAGGGAAAAGAAAATTGTGTATGGTATATGCTTGCTTGACCAACTTAAAAATGTTAAACCGCTTCCAAACATTTTTGGAAATACTTTAGCAGTACTTCCCACTCCTTCCATTTAAAGCAAAATATACTTACAACAGTTATTCTATCCTAACCATTCATGAAAATGGGCTGCCAGATCTTCAAGTGACAACTTCTATCAGTCTAGATTCAACTGCTTTGAGAATCTGGTACAAGTAAAAATTGTTTCTTTGAAAAACTTAAATTTTATCTCACACAGCTCTGAGATTTGAAAACAAAATAGAAATCTAAAAATGTTTTTAAAATAAAAATAGGCTGAGCACAGTGGCTCACGCCTGTAATCCCAGCCCTTTGGGAGGCCGAGGTAGTTGGATCCCCTGAGGTCAGGAATTCAAGACTAGCCTGACCAATATGGTGAAACCCCACCTCTACTAAAAGTACAAAAATCAGCCAGGCGTGGTGGTGTGCGCCTATAGTCCCAGCTACTCAGGAGGCTAAGACAGGAGAATTGCTTGAACCCGAGAGGCAGAGGTTGCAGTGAGCCAAGATTGCAGAGATCACACCACTGCACTCCAGCCTGGGCAACAGAGTGAGACTCCATCTCAATAAATAAATAAACTAATTAATTAAATAAAACAAATTTTCATTAACTGCGACAAGACTTCTCCCTCTAGCCCACCTAATTCCAAATTACTGAAGTTTTTGCTACATTTCAAAACAGAAACGTAGCAGATACATTATGCACAAACTATCGATTTAGGCACTGCTCTGGAAATCACAGCACCACAAAAACTGGTGAATGGCAAAACTTTCCTGTTCAAATAAATAGGAAGGTCAAAGGTACATTGATATGATATATTACTCTTTGCCTAGTCATATGATTTACTTCTTTTCTGTCACAATGTTGGCGACTATTTTAAGTCCAGTATGCTCTAGGATAGATATCAGGGTTCTAGGGTTTCCATACACTGTCATAACACCTGCACCTACTTTTAGAACTTTTCACTTGTATGCTTTTTTAGGTTTTTTTGGTTTTGTTTGTTTGTTTGTTTTGTTTGATTGTTTTTGGACACAGTCTCTCTCTCTGTCACCCAGGCTGGAGTGCAGTGGTGCAATCTCAGTTCACTGCAACCTCTACCTCCCAGGTTCAAGCAATTCTCGTGCCTCAGCTTCCTGAGTAGCTGGGATTACAGGTGTACACCACCATGCCCGGCTAATTTTTTGTGTTTTAGTAGAGACGAGGTTTCACCATGTTGCCCAGGCTGGTGTCAAACTCCTGAGCTCAGAGGATCCACTCGCCTTGGTCTCTAAAAGTGCTAAGATTTACAGGCATGAGCCACCGTGCACAGCAGCTTTTTTTATCTTTGGTGACACTCATCTCTTTCCATTACTTGCTGCTTCTTCCTTCTCTGTTCCTTTGCCTGCATTGCTGTGACTCACTTCCTGTATCACCAATCCCTATCCATTCCTGTGCCCCCCAAGTAACTAGGTACTCACACCCTCCCCTTGCTGCAGCTCAGGGTGCCACTCACCCTCACTTAAGCCATGAGGACATCACACCATGCACACCCCCAACACATAGATGCTTTTCAGAAGTGCTGGCACTGGCGCTCCTCATCTGAGCCCTCTGGCCAATGCTGCAATGCCCAGTTCTACCCCCGCTACCAGAAATCCCTCTGCTTGCTTGGTGGGAGAGGAGGCAAACCCCACTCCAGGATGGGAGCTCCTTGCTCTCTTTTTTTTTTTTTTTTTTTTTTTTTTTTTGAGACAGGCTGGGGTACTGTGGCACGATCTCGGCTCACTGCAACCTCAACCTCTCGGGTTCAAGAAATTTTCCTGCCTCAGCCTCCCTAGTAGCTGGGATAACAGGTGTGTGCTACCACGCCTGGCTAATTTTGGGGTTTTATTTTTTGTTGTTGTTGTTGTTGTTTTATTTTTCTGAGATGGAGTTTTGGTCTTGTTGCCCAGGCTGGAGTACAATGGTGCAATCTCAGCTCACTGCAACCTCCACCTCCTGGGTTCAAGCAATTCTCCTGCCTCAGCCTCCGGAGTAGCTGGGATTACAGGCATGCAACACCATGCCCACCTAATTTTTGCATTTTTAGTAAAGACGGGGTTTCACCATGTTAGCCAGGCTGGGTCTTGAACTCCTGACCTCAGGTCATCCACCCTCCCCCGCCTCCCAAAGTGTTGGGATTACAGGCGTTAGCCACCACGCCTGGCCTAATTTTTGTATTTTTAATAGAGATGGGGTTTTACCATGTTGGTCAGGCTGGTCTTGAACTCCTGACCTCAGGTGATCCGTCCACCTCAGCCTCCCAAAGTGCTGGGATTACAGGCATGAGCCACCACGCCTGGCCACTCCTTGCCTTTAGGGTAAACTAACTCTTCCACTCTGGGTTCCCAAGCCCTTGGTTGTCACCTGCTGCCCCTCCCCTTCCCCATATCTACAGCATCTCACCCTTTCCCCTCATAAGTATGCTTAAGCCTCTCCCATGTTACCAACAACTTTCCAGTACCCTCTCTTCCTCTTTTTTTTTTTTTTTTTTTTTTTTTTTGAGACGGAGCCTGGCTCTGCCGCCCAGGCTGGAGTGCAGTGGCGCGATCTCGGCTCACTGCAAGCTCCGCCTCCCGGGTTCACGCCATTCTCCTGCCTCAGCCTCCCCAGTAGCTGGGACTACAGGCGCCCGCCACCACGCCCGGCTAATTTTTTATATTTTTAGTAGAGACGGGGTTTCACTGTCTTAGCTAGGATGGTCTCGATCTCCTGACCTCCTGATCCGCCCGCCTCGGCCTCCCAAAGTGCTGGGATTACAGGCGTGAGCCACCGCGCCCGGCCGTCCCTTCCTCTTTTTTACTCTATACACCACCTTGACTTTAGAAACAAACTGCATCTTATAAAATAAATTATATAAAGTACTTCCATTTCCACAGCATCCACCCCACTAACCAGCACATGACAGTCAGACTCACGACCACCCAGCAGCACAGAAAAGCTGCACTAGAAGTTCATCTGTGACCTCTTAGAAGCTAATTCGGCCGGGCACGGTGGCTCACGCCTGTAATCCCAGCACTTTGGGAGGCGGAGGCGGGTGGATCACGAGGTCAGAAGATCGAGACCATCCTGGCTAACACGGTGAAACCCCGTCTCTACTAAAAATACAAAAAATTAGCCGGGCGAGGTGGCGGACGTCTGTAGTCCCAGCTAGGCGGGAGGCTGAGGCAGGAGAATGGCTTGAACCCCGCGGGGCGAAGCCTGCAGTGAGCCGAGATTGCGCCACTGCACTCCAGCCTGGGCGACAGCGAGACTCCGTCTCAAAAAAGAAAAAAAAAAAAAAAAAGCTAATTCAAGGGACACCTTCAACCAGCATCCCTTTTGGCTTTTCTTTAATAGTGGACACTGCAATCACTCTTTCTTTCTCTTAAAATTTCTCATCTTTTAGAACGCCACCCCTTTCCAGTTTGTAAGTTATGGAGAAAAAAACCAAAGTATTTTTTCTAAACTTTCACTCAACAATCGACACAGAAGACTTCTGTGACCTCTGGTCACCAAGGCGTTGTATGGGGATTTCTCTCCGCTGTCAAAAGACAAAATTACAACACAATTTAGTTTGAAGATCTTAATTGGTTTTTGTTTGCAATTTTAAAATTGTGCAACACCTCCTTCTATACAATTGAATGAATGTTACAGTGAGTCAAGCAGAGGAGGCTGGTTTTATAAACTGACAAGAGCTGAGAAGGTCAGAAACAGTAAACAAAATGCAGATTGGTTTCAGTTAATTTCCTCATAAAAGTTAAAGCAAAGGGAACTTCCTTAACATGTTGGCTAAAACTGGCCTGTTTGGAAATTTAGTTATTGTCTCTATCTCTCTTGATTTCTTGAAAGGTCAAACAACTTAGTTTTGGCTTGGTGATGTGTAAGTTTAGCATAAGTGATTCAACTGTGGTTTGGTCTGTTGGGCCTGGCAGTAGTAGTTCAATCCACATCAATGGGCTCCTATAAATTTCCTTTAACACCACCAACAGCCAAACAATCAGTTCTGCAGTGGACACAGCTGAGTGTCTTCTAATTAAATTCAATTCTGGGCTGGGCTTGGTGGCTAACACCTGTAATCCCAGCACTTTGGGAGGTGGAGGTGGGCAGATCCCTTGAGCTCAGGCATTCGAGACCAGCCTGGACAACATGGTAAAACCCCGTCTCTACTAAAAATACAAAAATTAGCCAGGCATGGTGGCGGGCACCTGTAGTCCCAGCTTCTCAGGAGGCTGAGGCAGGAGAATCACCTCAGCCCAGGAGGCGGAGGTTGCAGTGAGCTGAGATCATGCCACTGCACTCCAGCCTGGGCTACAGAGCTGGGCCCTGTCCCAAAAAAGAAAAAAAAAAATCAATTCTGAATTATCTACCTGGAGGTAGCATTAGATCCCACATGTTGATGACTCAGTCCCACAAGACTGCCCTCCACTTCGGATGCCAATCACAAGCCCCAGGTTGTTTTACCTGGGCTTCTGACCAACTAGGGATAAATCGAGATTCCTACAACCCATTCCTAGGATCGGACTCATTTGCTAGAGCAGCTCACAGAACTCAGGGAAACACATTTACTGGTTTATTATAAAGAATATTTCAAAGGATATGGATGAAGACATGCATAGGGCAAGTTTATCAGGGAAGGAGTGCAGAGCTTCTACCTCCTTCCCAGGCATGCCACCCTCCAGGAACCTCCGGGTGTTAAGGTATACAGGATCTCCACAAACCCAGTCCTTTTATGGTTTTATGGAAGCTTCATTACATAGACGCGATGGATTAAATCATTAGCCATTGGTGATTAGCTCAACTTTCAGCCCCTCTACCCTTCCCAGAGTTAGAGGTGGGGCTGAAAAGTTCCAACCCTCTATTCACATCTTGACCTTCCCTGTGACCAGTCCCTGTCCTGAAGCTACCCAGGGGCTCCCAGCCACCAGTCGTCTCATTAGCATACTAAAGACACTCATCAATTTGCAGATTCCAAAGGTTTTAGGAGCTGTATGTCAGGAAACAGGACTAAGACCAAATACTGTACATATTTTACACTGCCACAGTCCTACCTCTCTGACTTGGTCATCTTTATAGACTTCTCCAAGCTCCTATTGTTTCTCATTTCTTTTTCTTTTTTTTTAATTTGCTTTTTATTTTTGCCAGGCCCCTCCATCACACAGAAACATTTCATTTTTTAATCTATTTGCTGAGTGAAGGAGAACAATCAATTCAGCCACTTGAGCTGATTTAACTTTTTTTTTTTTTTTTTTTTTGAGACAGAGTCTCGCTCTGTCACCTAGGCTGGAGTGCAGTGGCATGATCTCAGCTCACTGCAACCTCCGCCTCCCAGGTTCAAGCGATTCTTCTGCCTCAGCCTCCCGAGTAGCTAGGATTACAGGCATGTGCCACCACGCCCAGCTAATTTTTGTATTTTTAGTAGAGACGGGGTTTCACCATGTTGGCCAGGCTAGTCTCGAACTTCTGACCTCATGATCTGCCAGCCTTGGCTTTCCAAAGTGCTAGGATTACAGGTATGAGCCTCAGCGCCTGGCCTGTTTTGCATTTCTTTTTTTTTTTTTTTTTTTAATTGATCATTCTTAGGTGTTTCTCGCAGAGGGGGATTTGGCAGGGTCATAGGACAATAGTAGAGGGAAGGTCAGCAGATAAACAAGTGAACAAAGGTCTCTGGTTTTCCTAGGCAGAGGACCCTGCGGCCTTCCGCAGTGTTTGTGTACCTGGGTACTTGAGATTAGGGAGTGGTGATGACTCTTAACCAGCATGCTGCCTTCAAGCATCTGTTTAACAAAGCACATCTTGCACCGCCCTTAATCCATTTAACCCTGAGTGGACACAGCACATGTTTCAGAGAGCACCGGGTTGGGGGTAAGGTCATAGATCAACAGCATCCCAAGGCAGAAGAATTTTTCTTAGTACAGAACAAAATGGAGTCTCCTATGTCTACTTCTTTCTACACAGACACAGCAACAATCTGATTTCTCTGTCTTTTCCCCACATTTGCCCCTTTTCTATTCGACAAAACCGCCATCGTCATCATGGCCCGTTCTCAATGAGCTGTTTGTTGGGTACACCTCTCAGACGGGGTGGCGGCCGGGCAGAGGGGCTCCTCACTTCCCAGAAGGGGCGGCCGGGCAGAGACGCTCCTCACCTCCCAGACAGGGTCGCGGCCGGGCAGAGGCGCTCCTCACATCCCAGACGGGGCGGCGGGGCAGAGGTGCTCCCCACATCTCAGACGATGGGCGGCCGGGCAGAGACGCTCCTCACTTCCTAGACGGGATGGCGGCAGGGAAGAGGCGCTCCTCACTTCCCAGACTGGGCAGCCGGGCAGAGGGGCTCCTCACATCCCAGACGATGGGCGGCCAGGCAGAGACGCTCCTCACCTCCCAGACGGGGTGGCGGCCGGGCAGAGGCTGCAATCTCGGCACTTTGGGAGGCCAAGGCAGGCGGCTGGGAGGTGGAGGTTGTAGCGAGCCGAGATCACACCACTGCACTCCAGCCTGGGCAACAATGAGTACTGAGTGAACGAGACTCCATCTGCAATCCCGGCACCTTGGGAGGCGGAGGCTGGCAGATCACTCGCGGTTACCAGCTCGGCCAACACAGCGAAACCCCGTCTCCACCAAAAAAATACGAAAACCACTCAGGCGTGGCGGCGCGCGCCTGCAATCGCAGGCACTCGGCAGGCTGAGGCAGGAGAATCAGGCAGGGAGGTTGCAGTGAGCGGAGATGGCAGCAGTACAGTCCAGCTTCGGCTCGGCATTAGAGGGAGACCGTGGACAGAGAGGGAGAGGGAGACCGTGGGGAGAGGGAGAGGGAGAAGGGGAGGGAGAGGTGCATTTCTTAACTGTAGGTGTTCCCATGGATTCCATCAGCCTCTTCCCTTTACTCCCTCGAGCTCCATGCTCTCCCCAGGTGGTCTCACTTATGATTTCAACTACTAATGCAGAATGATCCCACCCAATCACGTATCTCCAGCCCAGATGTCCTTCCTGAACATCTTCCCTAGGGCCCAAAGTTACCACAAATGCCCCAGATTAAAACAACTTAAGGGCAGGGATATCTCACTCACATTATACCTCTAGCTTCTCACACAGTACTATGTAGTAGGGACTCAATATGTTAATGAACAAAAGTGTTTTGTTCACCCCGGGACTTTTATTTGGCTTTCAACAACTTCCAACCCCTAATTTCAGAGGCTCTGCAGTCAAGAGGAAAGTGCAATCATCAAGACTTACTCACACTGTGTCACAAATTTAATCTGTTACTTTTCCCAAAGGTCTTTACTGTATAGTCTGTTACTTTTCCAAAGGGGCCCATGAAGAAGTCAATGCCACATAACCAGTAATCATGTCTCTACAAGACTAGGACCTAAAGAGCCCCACTCCCATCCCACTCAGACCTCACATTCTTGGTCTGTACTCCTCCCCATACCCCAAAACAACTGAGTCAGACCCCATAGATGACACCCATGCCTAGACTTTGACCGCTCATCAGAAAGACTGCCTTCTGTCAAACCTCACTGTAGACCCCAAAGAAAAAAGGAGGACTATCTACTCTTCCCCTGTCCTTGTGCCCTGTAACACCATATTTCTGCTCCCCACTTCTCTTTACTCTTTCCTACCAATGCCACACCCATAGCCAGAGCCCAGCCTACACAGTCTTTGGATCCCACGCCTTAGAATAACAACTCAGGCTTAGTGACTGCCAATATTGTGTCAAAAAATGCTTCCCAGTTACCATCAATTATAATCCTTACCACATTACCACAAGAAACAACCTTCGATAGAAGGACATTTTTATCTAACTGGAAGAACAGAGGTAGGGCTAACTCCAGGCAGAACACAATTTGTTCAATGACATCATCAAATTTCCAGATTATTTCTGTCTCTGCTGTCCTCTTTTTCAGCTGTATATTATTGGTGGCTCCTCTTATTGTCTACAAGATGACAACAGTGGCAACTAATGCCACACACCTTCTTAATCACATCTAACCAGAGACAGGAGGAGGCAGGAAACCCTCCACTCAAGTGCAGAGTATAAATCCTTTCCTAACACCTGGTTAGGTTAATACAGGTCACATGCTCATTCCTGGACCAGTGAATCACAATGTGTAAGGCCTGATTTGATTATGTCAATCACCATTCCCCTTTTGGAGCTAGGGAGATAGGGTACGCTTTTAAGAAACAATAGTTTTATTAGAAGAAAGATGGTAAAAGAATCCAGGCAAAAGACTGTTGCTCACCTGAGGTAGTCAGTATTATCTCAATTTTATGTGGGAAAACCAATGCACTAAGAAATCAGTGACTTGCTGAAGATCATAAAGCCATCTACTGGTAGAGCTGTTATGTAAGTGCTTGTAATCTCACGCCACTGTTTGAGATATTCACTCCTCCATTATGATACCTAAGCTGTACCCACACAGAAACCTTTGGTGACTGGGATTTAGAGATGAGAATTATAGCCTTAAAATATAAAATATTAATTTCATCATTTGTGGTATGAAACTTGAGAAAATACTCTTTTTGCACGTCTTTTACAAAATAAGTTTTTTCTCTAGTTTATGAGCCATCAATTATTATATTATAGATTTAAAAGTAAACATGATATTCTCCTTGAGAATAGTGTAGTTATATTCTTCCTCGAGCAAATTCATAAGTGTTTTCATACTTTGAATATGATCTTTCTAACTTTTATTTGGTAACTGGCCATGTAAAAACCATGTAATTAGCAAATCTTGTTGGCTTCAAAATAGATTGCAAATTCAACCATTTCCTAACATTTCTACCATTCTACTCTAGTCCAAGTCACCACTGTTGCTCTGTGATAGAGGACTGCAATTGCCTCATAAGACATACAGACTGCTAGAGAAAGAAGAAATTTGAACGGGAAGAGTTCAACTGAGGACAGGTTTAGCTTGCCATAATCTTGGCTAGAGAGATCCAAATGTAGATTTGGCATTGGGAGAAAGTTCTGGAATGGATTAATTCACAGCTTGAGGGACTTCAGAATCTCCATCTGGAGCCTTCCTCCCACCTTTCCATTCTCCCCATTTGTCTGCACTTCAAGGTCCAGGAAAACCCTGGGGCTTCTAGGAGGGTCCCTTTTTAGAAATCCTGGTTTTCACTCAACTCAGAGCAGCCTAACCAGGCTCCAGGCCTGAGAGGAGGAGTTCCTGAAAGCGCCGACTTGTGTGCCTGGCTCCTTCCCTGGGCTGGGCCTCCCCAGACCTCAGCACTTGCCCAAAGAATCCCCTTCAGGGCTGGATAAGTTCATCCTAAGGAAAGAGGACAGCACATCGAAGGCTTTGCATCACAGGTAGCTTATTTTATTGGATTGCTTTGCCAATAACACTTCTTACACTCAGGAGACTTCCCTCAGGCACGTGCCTAGAAGGCCTGAGAGGGACAGGTCCCCGCCACAAGTTCAAACTTTCTTCAGTGTCTTTCATGTCTTTCTCACCAAAAGTGAAGCCAAGACTTCTCCTCTCATCCCCACTTCCCAGGGGAGATCTGTCCTTAATTACGAATAGAGTGAACTCAAATAGAATACCTAACGACCAATCACTTGGTAAGGGAAAGGCTGAGGTACGCTAAGACAGACGGTTCCACTTATCCTGGAGGCCAAAGACAGGTCTCTGGTGTACGGTGGCACACTAATGGAGGCGACCAGATCATGGTTGGTCAGGGGCTGGCTCCGGACACGCTCCAGCATCTTGAGGCCTGCAGAAGAAGTGCCCAGGGCTGGTGAAGTAGAGCCCATTACTGGGGCCCTTGGCAGGCCTGGACTCCACCAGGGACATCGCAGGGAGGATGTCACCCCAGCCAGGCCTTCCAACGTAACCCATTTATACCTCCCCACTACCCTCTACTCCCTGAAAATTGGATATCACAAAAGTGAGCCCTTCCCTTCCCAGTGAACTCTAGGAACCACCTGGATTCCCCAGCCACACAAGGGATCCTTCAAGAATCCAAGGTGCCACACAACTCAGCCAGAACTCCACCATCAAACCCTCCACACCACAGTTCAGCCAAGGATACCTACCTTGATTGTGACGACAGGAGTCCTGGCTCCCCACATAATAGAACATGTGCAGCAGCCACTGCCTTGCCCTATGTGGTCCAACTACAGTCACATGAGTCTGGCCTGTAGCTGTGAACCAACTCTCCAGCTGAATAAGGGTGTGGCTGTGCACCTCAATGCAGTGAAGGTATGTGTCACCATGCCCTGTGAGCATAAGAGGCGAGAGGAGGGTCTATCAAGCACCAGCCCTTGGGGAGTGGGGAGGTAGCCTTGGGGGAACCGATGTGTGACTGATGAAGGTAGGAAAGAAGGGAAAAATTGAAAATGGAGAAGACAAGGATGAAGGAGGGGATGTGGGCAAAGGCCACTCACCAAAGATGAGCTCCTCCTGGTCCTCTTCCATGTGAAACACCATTGGATCATGAAAGTTTTCAGGCAGGGTCTACCACGGCTTCTTGCTGAGGGCACTTGTTCCCATGGCCATGCTCTGCTCTGACCTGATTCAGAAGAGGGGCAAGTCCAAGCAACTGGTTGGTAAAGGACTTGAAAAAAGTGAGGAAGGACCTAGGCTCTGTCCTTAAAATAAGTACCCAAAACAACCCGCCCCTTGAACCACCTTAGGGTGGGTGTTCAATCCTGGGAGGTCTTCCCAAGATAATTCATTCCAAGTAATTATCTGCTCTGAGCTTAATCCTTTCATGCCAAACTTAATCATCTGACTAGTGCTTGCTTTTCTGATGCCCCGGAATCAAAAATTTTCTTCACTCTGAATTTTGGAGTGAAGTCACTATTTTGCAATCAGCAGTGTAAGAACTGATTCAGGCAGGGATCATCAAGGGATGCTGAGACAAATGAGGAGGCAGGGCAAGGATTGAAGGATGGAGGTGCAAGAAGGCTCCAAATGGGCTCCCTAGATTTGCACAGGTGCTGGCAGCCACCGAGTGACCACGTAGTATACTCCAACAAGACTGGGTTTGTTTGGTGTGCTGCATCAAGGGAGAGCAAACAACACAGGAAAATAAGCGTGTCGTGGGGAGCCAATTATAGGAGTTGTCTAGGGGAGTCTAAGGAGTGTTTAGGGAGTAGGGACCAGTTTTTGAAAATGGGGCAATTTGTTGATTATCCTGGTAACTTTATCTGGGAGGTAGGAGGATTAATGTGGTCTTGATTACAGAGTGTCAAATCTCTCTTGTTTCAAACATAGAGTGGACTTTCTACATCTTGTTGCATGACAATCACTAAGCAATCTTGACTGGTTAAAATATTTTGCAAGAGATGTTTATGTTTGGTAGGGAAGATTCGAACTTGCCTGTCAGCTCCCAGCTGCAAGTTCCTAGGTACTTTTTCACTTATCATCCTCCCCTTTTGACCAAAGACAAACTCAGCCATCAGGACTTTCATCTGTGGGGTTCAGATCTAACACCATTGCCAGAATCCACTGATCACAAGTTTATCGGGACAACATTGTCTGTATCTGCATACAGTTGGTCTCTCATGTACATTTTGTTGCAAAATATAATAGTGAAAATATAATGACCACACAGTAGCATTTCAGACTGTACAGGATGCACTAGTCAAATACAATACCAGTAATTACTAGAAAAAAATGACTATTAATACTATTAATAGGCTGCAAAGACAGAGGCCTAGATTTCAAAACCAGGCCATGAAATCATGTCCCAAATCCATCTGAATCTGATCTAGAGAGCCAAGTGGATTTGAGACTTCCAGAAGAGGCCAGAAAACCTCCCCATTTCCAAAGTTCTCCGATATGGAACAATTCAATCACCTATCTACCGCCTATATAAATATTTGCTTTTTATTTTTGCCAGGCCCCTCCATCACACAGAAATATTTCATTTTTAATCTCCTATTTGCTGAGTGAAGGAGAACAATCAATTCAGCCACTTGAGCTGATTTAATTTTTTTTTTTTTTTTTTTTTTTTTTTCTTGAGACAGAGTCTCACTCTGTTACCCAGGCTGGAGTGCAATGACATGATCTCGGCTATTGGCAACCTCTGCATCCCGAGTTCAAGCGATTCTTCTGCCTCAGCCTCCTGAGTAGCTGGGATTACAGACATGCACCACCATGCCGGGCTAATTTTTGTATTTTTAGTAGAGACGGGGTTTCACCATGTTGGTTAGGCTGGTCTCGAACTCCTGACCTCGTGATCCACCCACTTCGGCCTCCCAAAGTGCTGGGATTACAGGCATGAGCCACTGCGCCTAGCCTGATTTAACTTTTGGGAGAAGGTCATACACTAATGGTAAATTTAGATTTTGTGCTGGCATAGAATACTTGAAAAATTCTACTTTATATTTTTAAACCTGAATCGTTAACAAGAAGCATTAACATTATAAAAAGGAGATTCCAAAATATCTGTACAAAGCATGAATAGTTCCCTAAAACAGCTCAAATAATCACAAACACACCCTACTCAAGTAAGAGAAGGAGAGTTGTCATGAGAGTTAAGGAGGCCGCTAACAAATACCCACGGACTTTACCCCATAAAGTACATTATGAATGTCACTAATTAATAATTGAAAAAGGTTAGTTTTTTGTTTTGTTTTGTTTTGTTTTGTTTTTTAGACAGTCTCACTCTGTCGCCCAGGCTGGAGTGCAGTGGCACTATCTTGGCTCACTGCAACCTCAGCTTCCCAGGTTCAAGCAATTCTCCTGCCTCAGCCTCCCAAGTAGCTGGGATTACAGGCGCCCACCACCGTGCCTGGCTAATTTTTGTATTTTTAGTAGAGACGGGTTTCACCATCTTGGCCAAGCTGGTCTTGAACTCCTGACCTTGTGATCCACCCGCCTCGGCCTCCCAAAGTGCTGGGATTACAGGCGTAAGCCACTGCACCCAGCTGGTTAATTTTCTTTTTTAAAATCAATGTGTTAATAGTTATATATCACTGTATAATAAACAAGAGGGTTTTTTAACTTTAGAAGTACATGTCATTTGCCAGGTGCGGTATCTCATACCTGTAATCCCAACACTTTGAGAGACCAAGGTGGGTGGATCACTTGAGGTCAGGAGTTCAAGACCAGCCTGACCAACATGGAGAAACCCCATCTCCATAAAAATACAAAAATTAGACGGGCACGTGGTGCGTGTCTGTAATCCCAGCCATTCCGGAGGCTGAGGCAGGAGAATTGCTTGAACCCACGAGGCAGAGGTTGCAGCGAGCAGAGATCATGCCACTGCACTCCAGCATGGGTGACAGAGTGAGACTTCATCTAAAAAAAAGAAGTACACATTTTATTACAATTAACCTAGGAAAACCCAACTTTGATTTTGACTTCTCAGTTTTTTATGTTATTCTTAGTTTGGTAACCAAAAGAAAACTCATAGTATGTTTGAGTACTCAAAGTTTAGAGGATGTCAAGCAAAACTGAATATTCCTTTAATTTTTCCTTTAATAAAATTCAAAGTGCAAATATTTTTATTAACAGTGGTCACTGCAATAAATTCAGTAAAAGACATCTTAATAGTTTGAACATTTTGGACTTTGGGCCTGAATTTCATCTAATTACTTATTTATTTTATTTTTATTTATTTATTAATTTCTTTTTTAATTTTTTGGAGACAGAGTCGCTCTGTCGCCCAAGTTGGAGTGCAAGATCTCGGCTCATGGTACCCTCAACTGCCTGGGCTCAAGTAATTCTTGCACCTCAGCCTTCCAAGTAGCTGGGACTACAGGTGCACATACTTGGCTACTTTTTGTATTTTTTCTTTTCTTCTTTTTTTTTGGTTGGGGGGACGGAGTTTCACTCTTGTGGCTCAGGCTGAAGTGCAATGTCCTGATCTTGGCTCACTGCAACCTCCACCTCCCAGGTTCAAGCGATTCCCCTGCCTCAGCCTCCGAGTAGCTGGGATTACAGGATCACGCCACCACGCCTAGCTAATTTTTGTATTTTTAGTAGAGACGAGGTTTCGCCATGTTGGCCAGGCTGGTCTTGAACTCCTGACCTCAGGTGATCCACCTGTTTCAGCCTCCCAAAGTGCTGGGATTACAGGCGTGAGCCACCGTGCCTGGCCAATTTTTGTATTTTTAGTAAAGATGGGGGTTTACCATGTTGGCCAGGCTGGTCTTGAACTCCTGACATCATGTGATGCACCCGCCTCGGACTCCCAAAGTGTTGGAATTACATACACCAGCCAACGCACCCAGCCTGGGCCTGAATTTTTGAAAAAAGAATTAAGAAAATAGGTTTTAGACTAGAGTACTAGCAGTTGAAATGCATGAATTTGGGATTTATTTTGAAGACAGAGCCATCAGGATTTTTTATTTTAAGATTTTGGGCAAGTGTCAAAAAAAATTTTTTTTGGTGGGTTTTTTTTTGTTGGTTTATTTTGAGATGCAGTTTTGCTCTTGTTGCCCAGGCTCAGGTGCAATGGTGTGATCTCAGCTCACCACAACCTCTGCTCCTGGGTTCAAGCAATTCTGCCTCAGCCTCCTGAGTAGCTGAGATTACAGGTGTGTGCCACCAAGCCCAGCTAATTTTGTATTTTCCGTAGAGACAGGGTTTCATCATGTTGGCCAGGCTGGTCTCAAACTCCCGACCTCAGGTGATCTGCCCGCCTTAGCCTCCCAAAGTGCTGGGATTACAGGCGTGAGCCACGGTGCCTGGCCTCAAAAAAAAGTTTTTAAAAATCAAATTCTAGCCAGGCAAGATGGTTCACACCTGTAATCCCAGCACTTAGGAAGGCCGAGGCAGTTGACCTCCTTGAGCTGAGTTTGAGACCACCCTGGGTAGCATGGCAAAACCTCATCTCTACCAAAAATACAAAAAGTAGCTGGGCATGATGGCCCACGCCTATAGTCCCACCTATTCTGGAGGCTGAGGTGAGAATCGCTTGAACCCAGGAAGCAAAGGTTGCAGTGAGCTGAGATCGCACTACTGCGGGCCAGCCTGGGTGACGAAGTAACACCCTGTCTAAAAAAACAAAAAGCTAAAAACAAAAACAAATCAGATTCCAGACTGAGTACCCCTCCAGTGTCTTTCCACCTCTTCCTCCTGCAGCTATGGCAGCAGCAACAGCAGTTCCCCCAACCTGAGGCTGCTTCCTGAGTAATACCCATAGGCCCTTCAGCTGAGAGAGGAGCTCTCTGCCTCAAAGAAGTGTTTGTAGTCAGGGAGAGCAGTGCAGCCAGCTAGGACCAACTGGTGGCCCTGGAAAAACACTCACACCACACACGCCTTTCCTGTTGCAGGCCGTTCCCCCAAGAGTGGAGAGAAACGTGAAAGCCTCAAATGAGTCTGTGCAGGGACAGCAGTAGAGACCCAGACCTGGCACCAAGTCCTGGTCCTCCCTCCAGGTGAGGCAGCAAGACTGGCTATATTGGGTTTTGCTAGTGGGAGACAGACCACCTGAGGAGGGAGCCTGGGTGGACTATTGTGAGAAATATGAGACCACATGTGCATCTCCTGGAAAATCATTTTGCACAGTCCTGAGATTGAGAGCCCGGAGCATCCCCCTTCTGGCTCCCTCTTTCCTTCCCCTCTCTCCTCTGTCTTCTACTTTAATCTGATGTTCCACTTCGCGGTCTCTCTCTCTTTCTCTCATCTTCCCTTATACCCCCTCCTTCCTCTCTCCTTCTTCCTGATTTTCCTTTTCCTCCTGGAGAGAATTGTCTTTTCTTAGAGGAAAGAAGTGGGGTGAAATAAACAGATTTTCTTCTGTCCAGGGGGAAAATAAAACAGAATATACGCTCTGAGACTGAGCATGGTGGCTCACGCCTGTAATCCCAGCACTTTGTGAGGCCGAGCTGGGTGGATCCCCTGAGGTCAGGAGTTCAAGACCAGCCTGGCCAACATGGTGAAACACTGTCTCTACTAAAAATACAAAAAAGTTGCCAGGAGTGGTGGCACACGCCTATAATCCCAGCTACTCTGGAGGCTGAGGCAGGAGAATTGCTGGGACCTAGGAGGCGGAGGTTGCAGTGACCTGAGATCATGCCACTCCAGCCTGGGCTTGTTGTCCATGCACTCCAGCCTGGGCAACAAAGTGAGTCTCAAAAAAAAAAAAGAATATATATATATATATATATAATATATATATATATATAATATATATATACACACACACACATACACACACATATATATACACACACATATATATAATATAAATGTATGTATATTATATATTATATATGTATATATTATATATGTATATATTATGTATGTATATATTATGTATGTATATATTATGTATGTATATATTATGTATGTATATATTATGTATGTATATATTATGTATGTATATATTATATATGTATACGTGTGTGTGCATGTGTATGTGTACACTCTGAGAAAATTAGAGTACAGAAGGCAATTAAACTGAAAAGAAAGAGTTAACAAGATAGCCCAGTCCCTTGGTCAGTGAGGGGAAGCATCAAGTGTGACTTAATCTCCTTCTTGCAAGAAGTTACATCTCCAACTTGATTCTTTCAAATGCACAAATATTAACCAACAATCCAATCCTCTTTCAACTGCTTAATTACTGTTGCTTTTGAGTGCTAATCATCTGACTTTTCCTGTTTCCATCTGTCCTGTGGAGCTATTTGGTATTACACATCAGTGTTAGTGTCTGAACTTTGAAGGGTTTTTTGAAGAAAAAAAATTATAAATAAATTATTAATTTCCTGAAGTTTCCTTGTATGACTTTATGTTGGGAGGCAAAAAAAAAAAAAGTTAAGTTTCAAAACATTTATTCATAAGTGACACCAGTATTGTCAGGGTGCTTGGATTTCTACTAAGAAAGCTAATCTTCTAGGTAGCTTTGTGTACATGTTGATAATCACATTCTCAAATATTACCTTTTTGGTAAAATTAAGCAACCATTAACTTCTGTGCTAAAGCGTTAAGGAAAAATCAGATTCGTCGGCTTGCATTAAGGAAAAATCAGATTCACCAACTTGGTAGCTCTCACCTGCAATTCCAGTTACTCAGGAGGCTGAGGCAGAGAATTGCTTGAACCCAGAAGGCAGAGGTAGCAGGTGGCTGAGTTCGCACCATTGTACTCCAGCCTGGGCGACAGAGTAAGACTCCATCTCAAAAAAAAAAAAAAAAAAATATATATATATATATATATATATAAAACCGATGCTGGCGAGATTGCAGAAAAAAACAGAACACTTATACACAGTTTTATACACTGTTGGTGGGAGCGTAAATTAGTTCAACCGTTGGGAAAGCAGTATGGTGATTCCTCAAACTGCTAAAAGCAGAAGTACCATTTGATCCAGCAAGCCCATTACTGGGTATCTATCCAGAAGAATATAAATCATTCTACCGTAAAAATATATGCACATGAATGTTCATTACAGCTCTATTCATGATAGCAAAGACATAGAATCAACCTAAATGCCCATCAATGACAGACTGGATAAAGAAAATTTAGTACATATACACCACGGAATACTATGCAGCCATAAAAAAGAACAAGATAATATCTTTTGCAGGAACATGGATGGGGCTGAAGGCCATTATCCTTAGCAAACTAACACAGGAAGAGAAAACCAAATATTGTATGTTCTCACTTACCAGTGGGAGCCAAATGATAAGAACTCATGAATACAAAGAAGTAAACAACAGACATTAAGTTCTACTTGAGGGTGGAGGGTAAGAAAAGGGAAAGAAGCAGGAAAGATAAATAGTGGGTAATGGGCTTAATACCTGGGTAATGAAATAATCTGTACAACAAACTCCCATGACACAAGCTTACCTATGTAACAAACCTTCACATGTGTCCCAAAATCTAAAATACAAGTTTTACAAAAATTATCTTTGAAAAATAACAAACCACTTATATAGTCAGCAGGGGTGGAGGAGAAGGCAGCCAGCTAGGACCAGCTGGTGGCCCTGGAAAAATTATTCATGCACAATTATGGAAATAATATCATCCTAAGTACCACATAGGGCAACAAACGCAGAGTCAGAGATGGTGTGCAGTGAGTTGTCTAATACTAGTTATGCACAATCTTGGTTACCTCATATTTTAGAGTAATAAAAAAGGCAAGGTTTGCAAGTGTAACACATGGAGTAAGTAATCATCTTTATTTCGTATATTCATGGGAAGGTGCACACACACAGCAAAGAGAGGAGTCCTGATACTCTTAGCTTTGCCTGTCCATGCTGGATGTAGACTCACAGCAAGATGGGCACATCTGAAACCAAAAGTGTCAATAATTTTCTGATGGCAGAGGGTTTTTTTGGTTTTGTTTTTCTTCTTTTGTTTTGAGTTTAGAGACAGGGTCTTGACCTATTGCCCAGGCCAGAGTAGTGACGCAATCATAGCTCACTGATGTCTCAAACTCCTGTACTCAAGTGATCCTCCTGCCTCAGCCTCCCAAAGCACCAGGATTACAGGTATGAGGCACTGCACCCAGCCTCATTGTAGAGTATTTATTTATTTATTTATTTATTTATTTATTTATTTATTTATTTGAGACAGGGTCTCATTCTGTCGCCCAGGCTGGAGTGCAGTGGCGCGATCTCAGCTCACTGCAACCTGCACCTCCCAGGTTCAAGTGATTCTCCTGTCTCAGCCTCCTGAGTAGCTGGGACTACAGGCACGCACCACCACACCCAGCTAACTTTTGTATTTTTAGTAGATACTGGATCCACCATGTTGTCTACGCTGGTCTCGAACTCCTGGCCTCAAGTGATCCACAGCCTCTCAAAGTGCTGAGATTACAGGCGTGAGCCACTGTGCCTGGTAATACAGCATTTAAAAAGCAGGACTATGCTAACAAATACGCACTCAAATGAAATATAGTTTCTATTGCATCCTACATGAGTTTCTCAAGATTCCTTATACTTGAACAAATAGATATTCTATGAGAATTTGGCAGCTTCAAATGTGTGGGTTTCATTTAGCATGGCTTCTCAAGTTCCCAGGTCATAAATCCATTTCTCATTCAGTGGCTCTATCACTCTGTCAATCTCTGGCTCACAGTTGCAGTTTTTCAACTCGCAGATGATGTCAAAACATAGAAAAATAGAATCCTGTTTAGTGCTGATGGACATTAACTTCTAACATCAATTTAACTCCAGGTGATTAGTTTAGACTAATCGTGATAATCTCATTCCCCTTGCCAGTGATTGCTTTAGGAAATGGCACATGTACCAGTTTTGAAATGAAGTAAAACCTAAAGGAGGCTTCCAGCAGAGGTTGTCTCATTTCTGAAAAGAGACACAAAAAAGGACTCATATCTTCTTTCTTTCTCCTGGTGTTTATGACAGGATATGATTTTGGAAATGGCTACAGGTATTTTGCTACCAACCTGAAGAGGAAGCCAACACAAGGTGGAAGGGAGCCCTTGGCATAATATGCCTGGAATGTCTGCTATTGGCACTAATACAGTGCTTTATTAGCATCCAACTGGACCAGTGTTTCCTATTATTTGCTGTTCAAAGCATGCTACATGATTCTGGTCCCTTTTACATACTTCTCTCATTTTGATTGATTGAGCCCAGCAATGTTCCCCTTTCCAAGGAGGGAGAATGAACTGCAGGTAACAAGTGTTTTATCACATAAAACCTCAAGAGTGAAAAGCACAAAGTATGTCTTGATTATTTTCATTAATAAGCACTTTCCAAGTCATATTAAGCATCAAAGAATTTATAATCAAAATGTATATGCAGTAATTCAGGCCCTATTGAGTACCAAAAAACTAATACTATAGAAAAATCCTTACCACTTCATCTTGTAGCCAAAAATATATAAATAAATAAACAGAGAAAAAAGAAAAATTCTATTTCTACATTAAATGTCAAAGCCCTTCATTTGGAATTCTCTTACTGTGTATCTTGCTGAAGAGAAATCCTATTAATACAACTAGTATGAGAAAGTCTTCAGTGATAGTTCTATCAAACCTGAAGAAATACACTGGGACAAGTCCAATAAATGTAACAAAAGTCAAACATTTATTCTAAAGGACATTAGACTTAATGTTGAATCAGGGAAACTTTAGGTGGAGAAAAATATTATCGATAATATAGAAAGCCAATCATTGGCCTGCTAACCTAAACATGTATCAGAAAAAAATTTACATCTAACCCATAGAAAGTTTCAGTCCCATCTTAATTTTTAAGTACCACTGAATGTACACTGGAAAATAACATAAGCAATGAGAAATGTTTCAATGTCTTTTCATCTTATTTTGGTCATGAGAAAACTCACATTGTAATGAATTGCAACTATACTAAAGTCATAGATTCAGCTATTTTGCCCTCAAGAAAGTACACAATTCAATGACAAAAATAACGTAAAGTAAATCATATCCTTTAAAATTTTTTTGTTTTTTTAGACAGGGTCTGCTTCACTCATCCAGGCTGGAGGGCAGTGGTACCATCACAGCTTACTGTACCCTCAACCTCTCAGGCTCATTCGATCCTCACGTCTCAGCCTCCTTAGTAGCTGGGACTACTACAGTCATGCCCCACCATGCTCAGCTAGTTTTTTTTGTAGTTTTTGTAGAGATGGGGTTTCTCATGTTGCCCTGGCTGGTCTGTCTTGACCTCCTGAGGTCAAGCAATCATCCCACCAGAGCCTCCCAAAGTCCTGGGCTTACATGCGTGAGCCACCCAGCCCCGCCTAAATCATATCCTTAAGTAATGATTTTGTTGGAAAGGTTTTTACAAGTATCACAACATATTCAAAGTAAATTAGCTCTTCCTGGTGATTTAGAGCAATTGTCAGGCAAACTTTTTCTATAAAGGCCACAGAGTAAATATTTTATGTTTTATGTCATGCAGTCTCTGTCAAAACTACTCACTCAGCAATTGCAGTGCAAAACTGGTCAGAAGCAATACATAAATAAATGATAGGTACCGGTCTATCTCAAAAATCTCTATTTATAAGCACACATTGAATTTTATATAATTTAATGCATAATCAAATATTAACCTTCTTTTAATTTTTTAAACCATGTAAGCCATGTGATCCATGATTCCTAAACCACAAGCTGTACAAAAAGTAGACAAAAAAACGGATTAGTCCTACCATGTACCAAGTAGTACAAAACTTCAATAAATACAAGGCTGTGTTTTATTGATGCATGAACAGAAAGGCAAATTAATGAAATAGAATAGAAAACCAAAAAAAACCCACATATATGCATAGAAATTTAATATTTGATAAAGGAGACAATTCAGATTAGTGTGGAAAAGGTGGATTACTCATTCAATGATTGAGTAATCATTGGGATAAACAGATTCACCTATTAAAAATCCAATTGAGACCAGGCTCAGTGGTTCACACATGTAATCCCAACACTTTGGGAGGCTGAGGCACAAGGATCACTTGAGCCCAGGAGACTGAGATCAGCCTGGGCAAGATGGTGAAATCTTTTCTCTACAAAAATGAAATAAATTAAAAAATTAGACAGGAGAAGTTACGTGCACCTGTAGTCCCAGCTACTTGGGAGGCTGAGGTGGGAAAATAACTTGAGCCCAGAAGTTTGAGGCTGCTGTGACCTATGATCACACCACTGCACTCCAGCCTGGGTGACAGAGTGAGACCCTGTCTCCAAAAAATAAAACAGTAAGAATAGATGTAAAAGTATATATGTATAAAATATTAAAAATCTGTTTGAACAAGACCTAACAACCAAAATCAAAACACATCTCAGGAACATCAAATATTTAAATGTTAAAAAACAAGCCCAAACCATACCAGAGGAAACCACTACCAAATATTTTATAGTCATGGAATGAGGAGGGCATTTCTAAGAATGAAACAAAATCCAGAGACAATAAATATAAAAAGATTCATGAATTCATCTCATAGATATTAAAAATATCTCCATGGCAAATTCCACCAAAACAATGTAAAAAACAAAGGACACACTGGAAAGAAGTATTTGTGGCTCATTTTACAAGCAAAGCACTAATTTTCATAATATATCAAGAGGTACTACAAGTCAATAACAACCTAATGGACAACAGCCTAAATAGACAGGTCACAGAAAGTGCAATATAAATTGTCTTTATACATATGAATGAAAAGGTATCAGGAAAGACATAGGAGAATCCAATAAGGAGATATTCAGTGTCACTTGGAATAAGATACATGCAATTTTAAACACCACTAAGAAACATTTTTCATCTATCAGACTGACAATTTAAAAATACATGGGTTTTGTTTTTGTTTTGAGACAGATTTGCTCTTGTCATCCAGGCTGGAGTGCAGTGGTGCAATCTCGGCTCACTGCAACCTCTGCCTCCCGGGTTCAAGCGATTCTCCTGCTTCAGCCTCCCAGGTAGCTGGGATTACAGGTGCCCACCACCATGCCTGGCTAATTTTTGTGTTTTTAGTAGAGACAGGGTTTGACTATGTTGGCCAGGCTGGTCTCAAAACACTTGACCTAGGTGATCCACCCACCTTGGCCTCACAAAGTGCTGGAATTACTGGCATGAGCCACCACGCCCAGCCATTCTTATGCCTAGTATTGTAGAATGTGCTTGACTCCTTTACAGGATTTTGTTTGTTTTGTTTTGTTGTTTGAGACAGGGTCTCCCTGTCACCCAGGCTGGAGTGCAGTGGCGCGAGCTCCACTCACTGCAACCTCCGCCTCCCCTGCTCAAGCGATCCTCCCACCCCAAACCCCTCTCCCAGCAGCTGGGATGACAGTTGCCCACCACAAAACCTGGCTAATTTTTTTATATTTTTGGGAGAAACAGGGTTTCACCAAGTTGTCCAGGCTGGTCTCAAACTCCTGAGCCCCCCTTGGCCTCCCAAAGTGCTGGAATTACAAGCATGAGCCACAGTGCCCAGCCACTACAATTTGATTTCTTTCAACATTTTCTCTACTTGTTTTTCCACTCTGAATATGACCTTTCTAACTTATGTGTTTTTTGTTGTCTTTTTTTTTTTTTTTTTTTGAGACATAGCTTTACTCTTGTTACCCCAGCAGGAGTACAATGGCATGATCTCGGCTCAACGCAACCTCCGCCACCCGGGTTCAAGGGATTCTCCTGCCTCAGCCTCCTGAGTAGCTGGGATTACAGGCATATGCGCCACCATGCCCGGCTACTTTTGTGTGTTTAGTAGAGATTGGGTTTCTCCATGTTGGTCAGTCTGGTCTCAAATTCCCAACCTCAGGTGATCCGCCCACCTCAGCCTCCCAAACTCGTGGGATTACAGGTGTGAGCCACTGCGCCTGGCCGACCTTTCTAACTTATATTTGGTAACTGGCCTTGTAAAAGCCATGTAATTAGCAAATCTTGCTGGCTTCAAAATAGGTCCCAAATTCAACCATTTCCTAACACATCTACCATTCCACTCTGGTCCAAGTCACCATCGTCACTCTCCTAGAGTACTGCAATTGCCTCATTATAGATACGAAATGCTGGAGAAAATGCAAATTTGAAGAGGAAGAGTTCAACTGAGGACAGGTTTAGCTTGCGATAATCTTGGCTACAGAAACATGTAGATTCCGCAATCGGAGAAAGTTCTTCAATGGAGATCCAGGAAGCCTTCCTAGTCAATTTAATTCATGGCTTGAGGGACTTCAGAATCCTTTGCTCCCTGAAAACCACCCCCTCCACGCTCACCCCCACCCACAAACTTGGGCAATCAGGGACAAGGCTGGCTACCTCATATTCACCAGATTCCCTGGCTGCCTACTTCACCAGGCAGTTGGGGTGGGAACACTTTCCATCTCTATCTGGAGCCTTCCTCCCACCTTTCCATTCTCCCCATTTGTCTGCACTTCAAGGTCCAGGAAAACCCTGGGGCTCCTAGGAGGGTCCCTTTTCAGAAGCCCCCATTTTCACTCAACTCAGAGCAGCCTAACCAGGCTCCAGGCCTGAGAGGAGGAGTTCCTGAAAGCACCGACTTTTGTGCCTGGCTCCTTCCCTGGGCTGGGCCTCCCCAGACCTCAGCACTTGCCCAGAGAATCCCCTTCAGGGCTGAATAATTTCATCCTAAGAGGACAGCACATCGAAGGCTTTGCATCATAGGTAGCTTATTTTATTGGATTGCTTTGCCAATAACACTTCTAACACTCAGGAGACTTCCCTCAGACACATGCCTAGAAGGCCTGAGAGGGGCAGGTCTGGCCACAAATTCAAACTTTCTTCAGTGTTTTTCATGTCTTTCTCACCAAAAGCGAAGCCAAGACTTCTCCTCTCATCCCCTCTTCCCAGGGGAGATCAGTCTCCGGTGTACGGTGGCAGGCTAACGGAGGTGACCAGGTCATCATTGGTCAGGGGCTGGCTTCGGACACGCTCTAGCATCTTCAGACCTGCAAAAGAATTGCCTGGAGCTGAAGAACCAGAGTCCCATTACTGGGGCCCTTAGTAGGCCCAGACTCCACCAGGAAGGTTCCAGAGAGGATGTCACCCCAGCCCAGGTCTTCCAAGGTAACCCATTTACTCCTCCCTGCTACCCTCTCCTCCCTGAGCAATCGCATGCCACAAAAATGAGCCCTTCCCTTCCCAATGGACTCTGGGAAGCACCTGGATTCCCCAGCCACACAAGGGATTCTTCACGAATCCAAGATGCCACACAACACAGCCAGAACTCCACCATCAAGCCCTCCACCTCCACAGTTCGGCCAAGGATACCTACCTCGAGCGTGACACTTGGAGTCCTGGCTCCCCACGCAATGGAACATGAGCAGCAGCCACTGCTTTGCCATTGGTGGTCCGACTACAGTCACACGTGTCTGGCCTGTAGCTGTGAAACACCTCTCCAGCTGAATAAGGGTGTGGCTGTGCAGCTCAATGCAGCGAAGGTACGTGTCATCAAGTCCTGTAAGCACAAGAAGTGAGAAGAGAAACTGTCAGCCACCAGTCCTTGGGGAGTGAGGAGGTGGCCTTGAGGGTAGGGATGTGTGACTCATGAAGGTGGGAGGAGAGGGGAAGATTGAAAATCGAGAAGGGGATGAAGGAGGCCGGCCTAGCGCAGTGACTCATGCCTGTAATCCCAGCAATTTGGGAGGCCGAGGCAGGTAGATCAGTTGAGGTCAGGAGTTCCACACACGCCTGGCTAACATGGTGAAACCCCGTCTCTACTAAAAATACAAAAAATTAGCCGGGCGTGGTGGCAGGCGCCTGTAGTCCCAGCTCCTCGGGAGGCTGCGGCAGGAGAATGGCGTGAACCCGGGAGGCGGAGCTTGCAGTGAGCCGAGATCGCGCCACTGCACTCCAGCCTGGGCGACAGAGATTCCATATCAAAAAAAAAAAAAAAAAAAAAAACACGAGGCCGGGCGCAGTGGCTCACACTTGTATTCCCAGCAGTTTGGGAGGCCGAGGCCGGCAGATCAGGAGGTGAGGAAATCGAGACCATCCTGGCTAACACGGTGAAACCCCATCTCTACTAAAAATACAAAAAAAATTAGCCGGGCGTGATGGCGGGCGCCTGTAGTCCCAGCTGTTCTGGAGGCTGAGGTGAGAGAATGGCGTGAACCCGGGAGGCAGAGCTTGCAGTGAGCCGAGATCGCGCCACTGCACTCCAGCCTGGGCGGCAGAGCAAGACTCCGTCTCGAGTCTCAAAAAAAAAAAAAAAAAAAGTACAAAAACTAGTTAGGCGTGGTGGCAGGCGCCTGTAATCCCAGGTACTCTGCAGGCTGAAGCAGGAGAATCACTTGAACCCAAAAGGCAGACGTTGCAGTGAGCCAAGATCACGAGCGAGAATCTGTCTCAAAAAAATAAAAATAAAAAACAGATGAAGGAGGGGACGTGGGCAAAGGCCACTCACCGAAGATGAGCTCCTCCTGGTCCTCTTCCATGTGGAACACCATTGGAGAATGAAAGTTTTCGGGCAGGGTCCACCACGGCTCCTTGCTGAGAGCACTCGTTCCCACGGCCATGCTGTGCTCCCACCTGATTCAGAATAGGGGAAAGTCTAACAAACTGGTTGGCAAAAGACTTGGAAAAGCGAGGAAGGGCCTAGGCTCTGTCCTTAAAAAGGGTTGTCCTTAATAAGGGTTGTTGGAATCCAAACAACCCGCCCCTTGATCCACCTTAGGGTGGATGTCCAATCCCCGGAGGTCTTCCCAAGATAATTCATTCCAAGTAATTATCTGCTCTGAGCTTAATTCTTTCAAGTCAAACTTAATCATCTGATAAGTGCTTGGCTTTCTGATGTCCTGGAATCAGAAATTTTTCTTCACTCTAAATTCAAAGAATTTTGGAGCAGGGGGTTGAGGGTATGGAGGTGCAGGAAGGCTCCAAATGGGCTCCCTAGATTTGCACAGGTGTCGGCAGCCACCCAGTGACCACACAGTGTATTCCAACACGACTTGGTTTATTTGGTGTGTTGCGTCAAGGGAGAGCAAACAATAGAGGAAAATAAACTTGATAGGATAGTGTCATAGGGAGCCCATTGTAGGAGTTGACTAGGGCAGTCCAAGGCGTGTTTAAGGAGTAGGAGCCAGTTCTCTAAAATGGTGCAATTTGATGATTATTCTGGTAAATTTATCTAGGAAGTTGAGAGACTAATGTGGTCTTCACTGCAGAATGTTATCTCTCTCTGGTTTCAAATATAGTTACAGAATAGACTTTCTATATCTTGTTGCATGACAATCACTGAGCAAACTTGACTGCTTAAAATATTCTTCGGCCGGGTGCAGTGGCTCATGCCTGTAATCCCAGCACTTTGGGAGGCTGAGGTGGGCGGATCAGGAGGGCAGGAGTTCAAGACCAGCCTGACCAACATGCTGAAACCCTGTCTCTACTAAAAATACAAATACATTAGCCGGAGTGTGGTGGTGCACACCTGTAATTCCAGTTACTCAGGAGGCTGCAGCAGGAGAATCGCTTGAAGCCGGGAGGCAGAGGTTGCAGTGAGCCGAGATCGCACCACTGCACTCCAGCCTGAGTGACAGAGCGAGACCCCGTCTCAAAAAAAAAAAAAATTTTGCAGGAGATGTTTGTGTGTGGTAGGGAAGATTCAGCTTGGCCTGTCAGCTTCCCACTGCAAGTTCCTGGGTGATTTTTCACTTTTCATCCTCCTCTTTTGACCAAAGACAAAGTCAGCCATCAGGACTTTCATCTGTGAGGTTCAGATCTACACCACTGTCTGAGTCCACAGATCACAAGGTTATCGGGAGAACATTCTCTGCATCCACATACATTTGGTCTCTCATATACATTTAGTACAAAATATACAAGTGAAAATATAATGACTGCACAGTAGCATTTAAGACTGAACAGGAGGCCAGGCGCTGTGGCTCACGCCTGTAATCCCAGCCCTTTGGGAGGCCGAGGCACGTGGACCACCTGAGGTCAGCAGTTCACCGCCAGCCTGGCCAACATGGTGAAACCTCGTCTCTACTAAAGATACACAAATTACCTGGGCGTGGTTGCGGGCGCCTGTAATGCCAGCTACTCAGGAGGCTGAGGCAAGAGAATCACTTGAACCCAGGAGGCACAGGTTGCAATGAGCCGAGATCATGCCATTGCAGTCCAGCCTTGGGGGCAAGAGCGAAACTCCGTCTCAAAAAAAAAAAAGAAAAAGAAAAAGAAAAAGAAAGACTGAACAGGATGTACTAGTCAAATGCAGGTAATTACTAGAAACAAAATGATTATTAGTCCTAGTAATAGGTTGCAAAGACAAAGGCCGATTTCAAAACCAGACCATGAAATCATGTCCCAACTTCATCTGAATCTGTTCTAGAGAGACAGGTAGTCTTTTAACCTTGCCACAAAACTCTTCTGCCTCAGCAGTAATGTTTTAGGGAGGTGCTGCAAACAGTGTTTGCTATCAAATAAAAGCTGTCCTTGGCTGGCCAAGAAGAAACCAAAAACTATGAAATCATTCATAACCACCATGAAACTTTAATTTAAGCTAGTTTGCTGGACCTCCAGAAAAGAAGTTAGTGTCATCTATTGATTTCTGCTAGGACCAGAGACATATTTTGGACCACCTTTTCTAGTCATATTATTCCTATTACTGGAATTGGAGCTCCCAGAGTATAGATGAAGAGGGAGTCGGTCATCTCTCCTGGAAGGTCTCCTGAATAGTCCATACTTTTCTCAGAGAAACATCATTTCCTATAGGAGTACATGTTTAAAATATTGAAAAATATTATTAATAAAATAGTTTAAAACTCACTCCATATTACACAAGTTTGTATAATGATCAGGTGATCTGATATCCACATAAAAAGTAGTGCCTTAGTGTTGCACAAACTGAAAGGGATATGGGGTGTATAAGTGTCATTTATCACAGTGAGAGTAGGAAAACTAGTTCAACATGTGAACACTGCTTGAGTGGAGGCTGAGGAGTCACTGAAGATTAAGGACTAACACTGCAAGGAGAGACTCAATACATTATTGCAATAATGTCAGCAGACATACTTTGTTGTTTGAGATCATCCTGTGAGCCAGGATTTCACTACCAGCCCAAACAACAAAGTGAGACTTCGTCTTTACTAAAAACTGAAAAAAATAACCGAGTGAGGTGATGCGCACCTGCAGTTCTAGCTTATCCAGAGGCTGAGGTGGGTGGATCACTTGATCCCAGGAGTTTCAGCTAGAATCATACAACCACACTCCAGGCTGGGTGACACAGCAAGATTCTGTCTTTTAAGAGAAAAATTTTAAGCTAAATAAAAATTTAAAAAACAATAGCTATAGTTGACAAAAAAATAAGAAAGTTTTCCTTTACCTTAGGTGGCAGGAAAAATTCTCTAATATAGAAAATTGAGGCCAGACATGGTGACTCACGCCTGTAATCCCAGCACTTTGGATGCTGAGGCACGTGGATCACTTGAGGTCAGGAGTTTGAGACTAGCCTGGCCAACATGGTGAAACCCCATCTCCACTAAAAATACAAAAGTTAGCCAGGCATGGTGACATAAGCCTGTAATCCCAGCTACTTGAGGGGCTGAGGCAGGAGAATCACTTGAACCAGGGAGACAGAGGTTGCAGTGAGCTGATGTTGCGCCACTGCACTCCATTTTGGGTGACAAGAGCAAAAAAAACTTTGCCAAAAAAAAAAAAAAGTTCAAGATAAACTGTCATTCGTCGTTTGTGAAAGAATCCTTTTCTTTGAGACAGAGTCTCACTCTGTTGCCCAGGCTGGAGTGCAGTGGTCCAATCTCATCTCACTGCCTCAGCCTGCTAAGTAGTTGAGATTACAGGCGGGTGACACCACGCCCAGCTAATTTCTGCATTTTTGTATTTTTAGTAGAGACAGGGTTTCACCATGATGGCCAGCCTGGTCTCAGACTCAGGGCTTCAAGTATTCTGCCTGCCTGGTTCTCCCAAAGTGCTAGGATTACAGGCATGAGCCACCTTGCCAGGCCGAGTTTGTGAAAGAATCTTAAAAACTTTTGGTTGCCCTCTAGGGAACGCTTAAGCACAATGATAAGTACAGCAAAATTTTAAAAAGAGGGCAAAGATACCAGAACATGTATCTTGTTTTACTGTCTTGGGTGGAAGTAACTACTCGGGGTCATCAAAGCTTGATCTGAAGACATTGGTTTGGTCATCTTCTTCCAAAAATCGTTGTTCTGGAAGATACTTAAGAATTCTCAGTTTATGGTTTCTTGATGATGTCCTTAATTTATTAAGGCCAACGGTAGTTTTTCCTCTGATTTTGAGATGTTTAGTCTTTTCCAAAAGACAAATCTTCAGATTTCTAGTCATGTAGAGCCATTAGGTGGGTATTTGGGGGAAGATTATTGTTATCTATTAAAAGCTAGACACACCAAATGAATCCTTTGTAGTATTTAGAAATGTGAGCTTGTGATATGGCAGAGTACGGGTTCAGAAGTGAATTCCTAAATGTATGGAGAAGCCTATGGATTCCAGGAGGAGTTGATGTCATTGTCTTCAAGGCTAATAGCAATTCCCAAGCCATGGAAGTTTGAGTGTTGGAGAACATTCTCAAACTTAGTTTTACAGAATTCATTTTTTTCTAATTGTTCTTTTTTTTTTTTTTTTTTTTTTGAGACCGGGTTTAGTTCTTGTTGCCCAGGCAGGATTGCAATGGTGCAGTGGTCTCGGCTCCCTGCAACCTCCACCTCCCAGGTTCAAGCAATTCTTCTGCCTCAGCCTCCCGAGTAGCTAGGATTACAGGCATGAGCCACCACACCTGGCTAATTTTTTTGTATTTTAGTAAAGACGGGGTTCTACCATGTTGGCCAGGCTGGTCTCAAACTCCTGAACTCAGGTGATCCACCCGCCTTGGCCTCCCAAAGTGCTGGGATTACAGGTGTGAGCCACCATGCCCCTCCTTCTTTCTAATTGTTCTAAATATTCATTTGGTACAGCAAGATTGTTTATTCACACTAAAAAACATTTGGAGCTGTTCTTTTGTGTACCACAACCCCTCCCCCCAATCACTGAAGAATACACTAGAATTCCTTAAGTCCAGAATAACAGTCAAGCAATTTTATCATCAAAATCTTGTCTGTCTATCAGGAATATCCTCAATCCATTCTGGAGATAAGCAGACTATGACTAGAACATATTTACAAACCATCAGTATGGCAACTGCTTTGGTTAATGCTACTTGTTTAGCATAGTGGCAAATTATTTCCTCAGGATTCTGGGTTATTGCCCTTTAAATTAGTCTCCATTTTATTATATGGCTACTCCCTTAGGTAATGGCAAAGCTTCTAAAAGTTCTTTAATTTCTTGCCTTTTTGGGTTTTGTTTTGGTTTGGTTTGGTTTTTGTTTTTTTTGTTTTGTTTTGTTTTTTTTTTTTTTGAGACAGAGTCTGACTCTGTCTCCCTGGCTGGAGTGCCTGGTGCGATCTCAGCCCTCTACAGCCTCCATCTCCCAGGTGCAAGCCATTCTCCTGCCTCAGCCTCTCGAGTAGCTGGGATTACACGCGCAAACCACCGCGCTCAGTTTATTTTTGTATTTTTAGCAGAGACGGGGTTTTGCCATGCAGCCATGCTGGTCTCCAACTCCTGACCTCAAGTGATCCGCCCGCCTCGGCCTCCCGAAGTGCAGGGATTACAGGCATGAGCCACTGTGCCCGGCCAATTTCTTGCCATTTTTAATGAGACTTCCACAAGAGGTCAGAAAACCTCTCAATTTCTAAATTTTCTGATATGGACCAACTCAATCACATATCTACTGCCTATATAAATACTTGCTTTTATTTATTTTATTTATTTATTTTTAGCAGGACCCTCCATCACTCAGAAACTGTTCCTCTTTTAATCTCTCCTTCGCTGAATGAAGGAGAACAATTCAGCCACTTGAGCGGATTTTAACTTCTGGGAGAAGACTATACGCTAACGATAAATTTAGAATCATGATAGCATAGAATACTTGAAAAAATCTACTTTACATTTTTAAACATTAACCATTAACAAGAAACATGAATTTTTTTTTTTTTTTTTTAGACGGAGTTTCACTCTTGTTGCCCAGGATGCAGTACAATGGCGCGATCCCGGCTCACTGCAACCTCCTCCTCCCGGGTTCAACAGATTCTCCTGCCTCAGCCTCTGGACTAGCTGGGATTACAGACGCGTGCCACCACACCCGGCTAATTTTGTATTTTTAGTAGAGACGGGGTTTATCCATGTTGGTCAGGCTGGTCTCGAATTCGCGACCTCAGACGATCCGCCAGCCTCGGCCTCCTAAAGTGCTGGGATTACAGGCGTGAGCCACCGCGCCCAGCCAGGAAACATTAATATTAAAAAAAAAAAAAACTTTCCAAAATATCTGTACAAAGCATGGATAGTTCCATAAAACGGTCAAATAATCACGAACACTCCCTTCTCAAGTAAGAGAAGCAGAGTTGTCATGAGAGTTAAGGACGCCACTAACAAATACCCAGGGACTTTAATTTACCCCATAAGTATATTATGAACGTCACTAATTCATAATTGACAAAGACAGTTTCATTTTTAAAATCAAGGTTTTAACAGTTACATGTCAGTCTATATAGTAAACAAGTTTTTTAACTTTAGAAAAAAGTACATATCATTTTATTAGAAATAACCTTTAAAAAAAAAGTTTTCTTCTGACAGTTTTTTTATGTTATTCTAAGTTTGGTAACCAAAAGAACACTCATAGTATGTTTGAGTCACTCAAAATTTGCAGAACATCAAGCAAACCTGAATATTTCTTTTTATATGTAAATTAAAAGAGCGAATTTTGGCTTGAACCAGGGAGTCGGAGGTTGCACTGAGCTGAGATCGCACCACTGCACTCCAGCCTGGCGACAGAGTGAGACTCGGTCTCAAAAAAAAAAAAAGAAAAAGAAAAAAAAGAAAAAAAATTTTTTTTTTTGAGACAAAGTTTCACTCTTGTTGCCCATCACATAGCTTCTGCATAGCAAAAGAAACTATCCACGGAATAAACAGACAGCCTAAAGAAAATACTTGCAAACTATGCATCTGACAAAGGTCTAATATCCAGGATCTATAATGAACTTAAACAAATTTACAAGAGAAAAACAAACAGCCCCTTAAAATGTGGGCAAAGGGTATGAGCAAACAATTTCAAAAGACATACATGTGGCCAACAAGCATATGAATAAAAGCTCAGTTTCACTGATCATTAGAGAAATGCAAATCAAAACCACAATGAGATGCCAACTCACACAAGTTAGAATGGCTATTATTTAAAAAGTCAAAAAATAACAGATGCTGGTGAGGTTGCAGAAAAAAAGGGAACACATACACTGTTGGTGGGAGTGTAAATTAGTTTAGCCATTGTGGAAAGCAGTATAGTGATTCATCAAGCTGCTAAAAGCAGAAGTGCCATTCGACCCAGCAATCCCCTTACTGGGTATATACCCAGAAGAATATAAATCATTCTACCATAATGACACATGCACATGAATGTTCATTGCAGCATGATTCACAATAGCAAGCACATAGGATCAACCTAAATATCCATCAATGACAGATTGGATAAAGAATATGTGGTACATATACACCATGGAACACTATGCAGCCATAACAAAAAGAATGAGATCATGTATTTTGTGGGAACATGGATGGAGCTGGAGGCCATTATATTTAGCAAACTAATGCAGCAAGAGAAAACCAAATACCACTTGTTCTCACTTACAAATGGGAGCTAAATGATGAGAACTCATGAACGCAAAGAAGGAAACAATAGACACTGCGGTCTACTTGAGGGTGGAGGGTAAGAAAAGGGAGAGGAGCAGAAAAGATAAATAGTGACTAATGGGCTTAATACCTGGGTGATGAAATAATCTGTACTACAAACCCCCATGACACTAGTCTACGTATGTAACCAACCTTCACGCGTACCCCCAAGCATAAGCGTTTTAAGAAAATTATCTTTGGAAAATAACAAACCACTTATGTAGTCAGCAGGGGTAGAGGAGAAGGCAACCAGCTAGGACCAGCTGGTGGCCCTGGAAAAATTATTCATGCATAATTATGAAAATAACATTATCCAAAGTACCACATAGGACCACAAACACAGTTAGAAATAGTGTGCAGTGAGTTGTCTAATGCTAGTTATGCACAATCTTGGTTACCTCATATTTTAGAGCAATAAAAAAGGCAAGGTTTGCAAGTGTAACACATGGAGTAAGTAATCATCTTTATTTATTATATTCATGGGAAGGTGCACGCACACAGGAAGGAGAAGAGCCCTGGTGCTCTTAGCTTTGCCTGTCCCTGCTGGATGTGGACTCACAGCAAGACGGGCACATCTGAAACCAAAAGTGTCGATAATTTTCTGATGATAGAGGGTTTCCTGGTTTTGTTTTTCTTATTTGGTTTGTTTTTAGAGACAGAGTCTTGCCCTATTGCCCAGGCCAGAGAGTAGTGGCGCAATCATAGCTCACTGCAGTCTCAAACTCCCGAATTCAAGCAATCCTCCTGCCTCAGCCTCCCAAGTAGCTAGGACTACAAAAGTGCACCACGCCAACCAGCTAATTTGTTGCATTTTTGCTTTGGTTTGGTTTGGTTTTTTGTAGAGACAGGGTTTGCTATGTTGCCCAGGCAGGTCTCAAACTCCTGGGCTCAAGAGATCCTCCCGGCTCAGCCTCCAAAGCACTGGGATTATGGGCATGAGACACTGCACCCGGCCTGATTGTAGAGTTTTTAAAAAGCAGGAAAATGTTAATGAATATGCACTCAAATGAAATATAGGTTCTATTGCATCCTACATGAGTTTCTCAAGATTCCTTATACTTAAACAAATAGATAATCTATGAGAAATTGGCAGCTTCAAATTTATAGGTTTCATTTAGCATGGCTTCTCCACTTCCCAAGTCATAAATCTATTTCTTATTCAGTGGCTCTATCACTCTGTCAATCTCTGGCTCACAGTTGCAGTTTTTCAACTCCCAGATGATGTCAAAATATAGAAGAATAGAACCCTGTTTAGTGCTGATGGACATTAACTTCTAACATCAATTTAACTCCAGGTGATTAGTTTAGACTAATCGTGATAATCTCATTCCCCTTGCCAGTGATTGCTTTAGGAAATGGCACATGTCCCAATTTTGAAATGAAGTAAAACCTAAAGGAGGCTTCCAGCAGAGGTTGTCTCATTTCTGAAAAGAGACACAAAAAAGGACTCATATCTTCTTTCTTTCTCCTGGTGTTTATAACAGGATATGATTTTGGAAACGGCTACAAGTATTTTGCTACCAACCCGAAGAGGAAGCCAACACGGGTGGAAGGGAGCCCTTGGCATAATATGCCTGGAATGTCTGCTATTGGCACTAATACAGTGCTTTATTAGCATCCAACTAGACAAGTGTTTCCTGTTATTTGCTGTTCAAATCATGCTACATGATTCTGGTCCCTTTTACATACTTCTCTCATTTTGATTGATTGAGCCCAGCAATGTTCCACTTTCCAAAGAGGGAGAATGAACTGTAGGTAACCAATGTTTTATCACATAAAACCTCAAGATTGAAAAACACAAAGTATGTCTTTATTATTTTCATTTATAGCACTTTCCAAGTCATATAATATTAAGCATCAAAGAATTTATAATAAAAATGTGTATGCTCTATTGAGTACCAAAATACTAATACTATAGAAAAATCCTGACCACTCCATCTGGTAGCCAACAATAAATAAATAAGAAGAGAAGAATTCCTATTTATACTTTAAAAATCAAAGCCCTTCAGTTGGAATTATCTTGCTGTGTATCTTGCTCTCAGGCTGGAGTGCAGTGGTGTGATCATAGCTCACAGCAGCCTCAAACTCCTGGGCTCAAGTTATTCTCCCAGCTCAGCCTCCCGAGTAGCCAGGACTATAGGTGCAACCACCACACTTGGCTAATTTTTTATTTTTTATTTTTGTAGAGACAAGGTCTCACCATCTTCTCAGGCTGATCTCAAACTCCCAGGCTCAAGCAATCCCCCTTCCTGTGCCTCCCAAATTGCTGGGATTACACATGTGAGCCACTCTGCCTGACCTCAAATGGATTTTTAAATGGTTTGCTTGTTTATCACAATGATTACTCATTCACTGATTGAGTAATCTGCCTTTCCACATTAATCTGAATCATCTTATCAAATATTAAATTTTTATGCATATATGTGGGGGTATATTTGGTTTTCTATTCTATTCCATTGATTTGTCTTTCCATTCATGCATTAATAAAACACAGCCTTTTATTTACTGAAGTTTTGTACTATTTAGGACATAGATAGGACTAATGCTTTTCCTTTTTTTTCTTTTTTTTAAATTTTACTTTAAATTCTGGGCTACATGTGCAGAATGTGCAGGTTTGTTACATAGTATACATGTGCCATAGTGGTTTGCTGCACCCATAAACCCCTTATCTAGGTTTTAAGCCCTGTATACATTCAGTATTTGTGCTGATGCTCTCCCTCCCCTTGCTCATCACCCCCGGCAGGCCCAGGTGTGTGATGCTCACCTCCCTGTGTCCATGTGTTCTCACTGTTCAACTCCCACTTATCAGTGAGAACATGCAGTATTTGGTTCTGTTCCTGTGTTAGTTTGCTGAGAACAATGGCTCCCAGCTTCATCCATGTCCCTACAAAGGACAGGAATTCCTTCTTTTTTATGGCTGCATAGTATTCCATGGTGTATATGTACCACATTTTCTTTATCCAGTCTATCATTGATGGGCATTTGGGTTAGTTCCAAGTCTTTGCTATTGTAAATAGTGCTGCAATAAATACATGTGTGCATGTGTCTTTATAATAGAATGATTTATAATCCTTTGGGTATATACCCAGTAATGGGATTGCTGGGTCAAATGGTATTTCTGGCTCTAGATCCTTGAGGAATCACCACACTGTCTTCCACAATTTCTCATGCCTGTTTTTTGTATAGGTTGTGGTTTAGAAATTTTTTTTTTTTTTTTTTTTGAGATGGACTGTCACACTTGTTGTCCAGGCTGGAGTACACTGGCGCGATCTCAGCTCACTACAACCTCTGCCTCCCGGGTTCAAGCAATTCTCTTACCTCAGCCTCCCGAGTAGCTGGGATTACAGACGTACACCACCACACCCAGCTAATTTTTGTATTTTTAGTAGAAACGAGGTTTCACCGTGTTGGCCAGGCTGGTCTCAAACTCCTCACCTCAGGTGATCAAACCACCTCGGCCTCCCACAGTGCTGGGATTACAGGTGTGAGCTACTGCGCCCAGCCAGGAATCATTTTTACATGGCTCTAAAAAATCAAAAAACAAATTATTTTTTCTTACACATAAAATTATGTACAATTCATTTTGTGTTTATAAATAAAGTTATATTGGGACAGTGCAGTACCATTCAGTTATGTATTCCCTCTGACTAATTTTGCACTGTAATCATTGAGTGAGTAGTTTCGACAGAGACTGCATGACACAGAACGTAAAATATTTACTATCTGGCACTTTATAGAAAAAGCTTGCCTGACTGTTGCTCTGAATCACCAGGAAGAGCTAATTTACTTTGAATACACTATGATATCTATAAAAAAAATTTCCAACAAAATCATCACTTAAGGATACAATTTTTTTTCTTTTTTTTTTTTTTTTTTGAGAAAGAATTTTGCTCTGTTGCCCAGGCTGGAGTGCAATGGCGCAATGTCAGCTCACTGCAACCTCCACCTCCACCTCCTGGGATCAAGCAATTCTCCTGCCTCAGCCTCTCGAGTAGCTGGGATTACACCACGCCCAGCAAATTTTTGTATTTTTAGTACAGACAAGGTTTCACCATGTTGGCCAGGCTTGTCTCAAACTCCTGACCTCAGGTGATCAATCTGCCTTGGCCTCCCAAAGTCCTAGGATTACAGGTGTGAGCCACCTTGCCCAGCGGATACAATTTAATTTAAATTTTTTTTGTCATAGAACTGTGTACTTCCTTCAGTGCAAAATAGCTGAATCTATGACTTTAGTATAGTTGCAACTCACTAAAAAGTGATTTCCTCACGTCCAAAATAGAATGAAAAGACATTAAAACATTTCTGATTGATACGTTTATATTTTCCAGTGTACATTCAGTGATACTTAATAAATTAAGACAGGACTGAAACTTCACATGGGCTAGCTATAAAAGTTTTCCATCTAGTGGGCCAATGATTGGCCTTATATATTACCTATAGTATTTTTCTCTACTATAGGTTCTCTGATTCAACATTAAGTCTAGTGTCCTTGATCATAATTTTTTATTTTATTATATGTATTGGATTTCTCCCCAGTGTATTTCTCAGGTTTGACAGAAATATCACTGCAGGCCAGGCACAGTGGTTCACACATGTAATCCCAGCACTTTGGGAGGCCAAGGGGGACAGATCACTTGAGCTCAGGAGTTTAAGACCAGCCTGGCCAACATGGTGAAACCCCTTGTCTAAAAAAATTATAAAAATTATACGCATGGTGGTGTGCAACTGTAATCCCAACTACTCAGGAGGCTGAGGTGGGAGGATAACTGCAGCCCAAGAGTTTGAGGCTGCTGTGAGCTATGATCATACCACTGCACTCCAGCCTGGGTGACAGAGGTTCTGTCTCCAAAAAAAAAAATTAAATTACATTAAAATATATACATAATAAAAATAATAAAAACCCATTTGACCCATACCTAACAACCTAAATCAAATCACATCTCAGGAATACATTTAAATAATATTATTTAAATGTAAAAAAGAAAACCCAAACCATGCCAGAGGAAACCACTACCAAATATTTTATAGTCATGGGATGAGGAGGGCATTCCTAAGAACTAAACAAAATCCAGAGGCAATAAACATAAAAAGATTCATGAATTCACCTCATAGACATTAAAAATATCTACATAGCAAATACCACCCAAACAATGTAAAAAACAAAGGACACACTGGAAAGAAGTATTTGTGGCTTATTTTACAAACAACACACTAATATTTATAATATATCAAGAGGTACTACAAATCAATAACAACCTAATGGACAACAGCCTAAATAGACAGGTCACAGAAAGTGCAATATAAATTGTGTATACATATGAATGAAAAGGCATTGGAAAACACATATGGGAATCCAATAAGAAGATATTCAGTGCCACTTGTAATAAGATAAACGCAAATTAAAGCAGCACTAGGAAACCATTTTTCATCTATCAATAAGACTGACAAAAATTAAAAATATTTGATACTCATTATTGGTGAGAGTGTAAGGAAATAGATACTCATACACATGTGGTAGAAGTATAAACTGTCAACAATTAGGAAGGAAACTTGGCTATATCCATTAATGCACTTTTAGCAATTTATCCCACAAATATATTCACACATGTGCAAAATGACATATACACATTGCAGTACTGCAGTATTGTTTGTTACAACATAAGGTTGGAAATAACCTAAAAGTCCATCAATATGGAATGGGTTGAATGCTATATCCATACAATGGAACACTATATAGCTATAAGAAATTATGAGAAAGTGTTTCTGCTCTAAAATGCAACCCTCTGCCAGACCTATTGTTAAGTTTTTAAAAAGGCAAGGTGCTAAAGAGTATATTGTATGATGCAATCTGAATATAAAAAAGAAGACATTGTATATGCGTATTTATCTGAGAACCAAGGGTATACAAGGAATTAGAAACAGATTTCCTACAAGAAATGATACTGTATAGCTGAAGGACAGGACTTGGAGGGTATCTTTTTCACTAAAAGCATTTTTTGAATTTTGAACCCAATAAAGAAATTATCTATTCAAAAAACAAAATTTTACGTTTAAATGAAAATGACATAGCTGATATTCAATTATTGGTTCAGTACAATAAAGAGTAGTTCCACATACAGAACATATCTTAAGGCTTCAGAGGACATTCTCTATGGGAAAATAAATATTGACCCTATTGAACAGGAAATATGGTAGCAAAACACACACACACACAAATCCATTTAGCATCATTCTTGGTTTTTTGGTGTTTTTTTGCTTTGTTTTGTTTGTTTTTGAGATGGAGTCTCACTGTATCGCCCAGGCTGAAGTGCAGTAGCATGATCTTGGCTCACTGCAACCTCTGCTTCCCAGGTTCAACTGTTTCTCATGCCTCAGCCTCCTAAATAGCTAAGATTACAGGCATACGCCACCACACCCAGCTAATTTTTGTATTTTTCATAGAGACAGGGTTTTACCATGTTGGCCAGGGTGGTCTTGAACTCCTGACCTCAAGTGATCTGCCTGCCTCGCCTCCCAAAGTGCTAGGATTACATGTTTGAGCCATCGCACCTACCCTGTTGTTTTCTCTTTTTTTTTTTCCAGCTTCCCCATGAAAATACTTCAGACAGGGATCCTTCAGTGGGATCATTGCTTACAGCTCATTAGAAAATGACAGCTCAGCCGGGCGCAGTGGCTTACGTCTGTAATCCCAGCACTTTGGGAGGTTGAAGCAGGTGGATCACTTGAGGCCAATAGCTCGAGACCAGCCTGGCCAACATGGCAAAACCCCATCTCTACTAAAACTACAATAAATTAGCCAGGCGTGGTGGCATTCCTATAATCCCAGGGAGACTGATGCACCAGACTCGCTTGAACCTGGGAGACAGGGGTTGCAGTGAGCCGAGATCACGCCACTGCACTCTAGCCTGGGTGACAGACCAAGATTCCATCTCAAAAAAAGAAGAGAAAAGAAAGACGAAAGAAAATGACAACTCAGACTCCTTAAACTGTACTAAGGTATACACAGACCTTTGCCAGAAGTTTGATTGGAGTTAGAAATACTATGGTACCTTTGACAATCATGAGACTTTTTCCCTAGGAAATTTTTAGTAAAAGCAATGTTGATTATTGTCCAAAGGTCAGGGATATACATTTATCTTTGTATGCCTAGCAAACTAGAATGTGCTTCACTTCTTTACAGGTTATTTTTATTTCAATATTAGAATACATTCCTAGCCATTAAAAAGAATTTCATGGCTGGGTGCGGTGGCTTACGCCTGTAATCCCAGCACTTTGGGAGGCTGAGGCAGGTGGATCATGAGGTCAGGAGATCGAGACCATCCTGGCTAACACGGTGAAGCCCCGTATCTACTAAAAATACAAAAAATTAGCTGGGCGTGGTGGCAGGCACCTGTAGTCCCAGCTACTCAGGAGGCTGAGGCAGGAGAATGGCGTGAACCTGGGAGACAGAGCTTGCAGTGAACCGAGATCACGCCACTGCACTCCAGCCTGGGTGACAGAGCGAGACTCCATCTCAAAAATAAAATAAAATAAAATAAAATAAAATAAAAAGATGTTCATTCACTTTTCAACAAATAATTATTAAGGCACTGGGCTAGGCCTCAGGACTAACTGAACAATTCAATTCTAGAAAGAAAAAAGTGGCCATTTTGTGTAGACAATTTATTTTGGCAGTCTGTGTGACAGTCTGTAAACAACCTGAGTTTTTTTTGTTTTGTTTTTGTTTTGTTTTGTTTTTTTTGAGACAGAGTCTCACTCTGTCACCTATGCTGGAGTGTGGCGGTATGATCTTGGCTTACCGCAACCTCCGCCTCCTGGGCTCAAGCAATGCTGCAACCCCAGTGACCACCTTAAGCAGCTGGGATGACAGGTATGTGCCACCACACCAGGCTAATTTTTGTATTCTTGGATGAGACAGGGTTTCACCATGTTACCATGGTCTCCAACACCTGAGCCCTTCTCAGCCTCCCAAAGTGCTAGGATTACAGGCATGAGCCACAGCATTTGACTACTATAACCTGAATTCTTTCGACATTTTCTCTAAGTGTTTTTCTACTGTGAATATGATCTTTTAACCTTTATTTGGTAATTGGCCTTCTGAAAACCATGTAATTAGCAAATCTTGCTGGCTTCAAATTATTTTCCAAATTCAACCATTTCCTAACACTTCAACCACTCCACTCTGGTCCAAGTCACCATCGTCACTCTCCTAGAGTACTGCAATTGCCTCAATATAAGATGCAGGCTGCTGGAGAAGGGGCAAATTTGAAGAGGAAGAGTTCAGCTGAGGACAGGTTTAGCTTGCCATAATCTTGCCTAGACAGATCCAAATATAGACTTGGCAATCGGAGAACGTTCTTCAATGGAGATTCAGGAAGCCTTCGTATTTGATTTAATTCATGGCATGAGGGACTTCAGAATCCATTGCTCCCTGAAAACCACCCCCTCCACCCCCACCCCCACCCCCACCCACAAACTTGGGCAATCAGGGACAAGGCTGGCTACCTCATGTTCACCAGCTTCCCTGGCTGCCTACTTCACCAGGCAGTTGTGGTGGGAACACCTTCCATCTCTGTCTGGACCCTTCCTCCCACCTTTCCATTCTCCCCATTTGTCTGCACTTTAAGGTGCAAGAAAACTCTGGGGTGAATAATTTCATCCTAAGGAAAAAGGACAGTACATCGAAGGCTTTGCATCATAGGTAGCTTATTTTATTGGATTGCTTTGCCAATAACACTTTCTTACATTCAAGAGACTTCCCTCAGACATGTCTAGAAGACCTGAGAGGGACAGGTCCCGGCCACAAGTTCAAACTTTCCTCAGTGTCTATCATGTCTTTCTCACCAAAAGTGAAGCCAAGATTTCTCCTCTCATCCCCACTTCCCAGGGGAGATCAGTCCTTAATTACGGATACAGTGAACTCAAATGGAAACCCGAACAACCAATCACTTGGTAAGGGGAAGGCTGAGGAACGCTAAGACACACGGTTCCACTTATCCTGGGAGCCAAAGACAGGTCTCCAGTGTATGGTGGCACACTAATGGAGGTGACCAGGTCATCGTTGGTCAGAGGCTGGCTTCGGACACGTTCCAGCATCTCCAGGCCTGCAAAATAAGTGCCCAGGGCTAATGAACCAGGGCCCATAACTGGGGCCCATTGGCAGGCCTGGACTCCATCAGGGAGGCTGCAGGGAGGATGTCACCCCAGCCCAGACCTTCCAAGGTAGCCCATTTACACCTCCCAGCTACCTCTCCACCTTAAGCAATCTCATGCCACAAAAAAAGATGAGCACTTTTCTTCCCAATGGACTCTGGGAAGCACTTGGATTCCCCAGCCACACAAGGGATTCTTCAAGAATCCAAGATGCTACACAACTTAGCCAGAACTCCACCACCAAGTCTAAAACCACAGTTCAGCCAAGGATACCTACCTCGAGCATGATGATAGGAGTCCTGGCTCCCCACACAACAAAACATGTGCAGCAGCCACTGCCTTGCCCTGTGTGGTCCGACTACAGTCACACGAGTCTGGCCTGTAGCTGTGAACCAACTCTCCAGCTGAATAAGGGTGTGGCTGTGCACCTCAATGCAGCGAAGGTATGTGTCACCATGCCCTGTGAGCATAAGAGGTGAGAGGAGGTTCTGTCAAGCACCAGCCCTTAGGGAATGGGGAGGTGGCCTTCAGGGTAGGAATATGTGACTGATGAAGGTGGGAGGGGAGAGGAAGAGTGAAAACTGAGAAGACAAGGATGAAGAAGGGGACGTGGGCAAAGGCCACTCACCGAAGATGAGCTCCTCCTGGTCCTCTTCCATGTGAAACACCATTGGTGCATGAAAGTTTTGAGGCAGGGTCCACCACGGCTTCTTGCTGAGAGCACTCGTTCCCATGTCCATGCTCTGCTCCGACCTGATACAGAATAGGGCCAAGTCCAAGCAACTGGTTGGCAAAAGACTTGGAAAAGTGAGGGAGGGCCTAGGCTCTGTCCTTAACATAGGAACCCAACAACCTGCCCCTTGAACTACCTTAGGGTGGGTGTACAATCCCGGTATCTCTTCCCAAGATAATTCATTCCAAGTAATTATCTGTTCTGAGCTTAATCCTTCATGCCAAACTTAATCATCTGATTAGTGCTTGCCTTTCTGATGCCCCGGAATCAAAATTTTTTCTTCATTCTAAATTCAAAGGATTTTGGAGCAGATCTACTGGGTATGAACCAGGACAGGGGTTGAGGGATGGAGGTGCAAGAAGGCTCCAAATGGGCTCCCTAGATTTGCACAGGTGCTGGCAGTCACCCAATGACCAGAGTGTATTCCAACAAGACGGGGTTTGTTTGGTGTGCTGCATCAAGGGAGAGCAAACAACACGGGAAAATACACTTTACACAAACAGAAGAATGTTGTAGGGAGCCAATCGTAGGAGTTGACTGGGTGAGTCTAAGGAGTGTTTAGGGTGTAGCGGCCAGTTTTCTAAAATGGGGCAATTTGGTGATTATCCTGGTAAATTTATCTAGGAAGGGAAGTAAAGAGATTAATGTGGTCTTCATTGTGGAATGTTCTCTCTCTCTGGTTTCAAATATAGTTACAGATGGACTTTTTACACCTTGTTGCATGACAATCACTGAGCAACCTTGACTGGTTAAAATATTTAGCAGGAGATGTTTATGTTTGGTAGGGAAGATTCAACTATGCCTGTCAGCTCCCAACTGTGAGTTCCTAGGTGCTTTTTCACTCTTCAGCCTCAACTTTTGACCAAAGACAAAGTCAGCCATCAGGAATTTCATCTGTGGGGTTCAGATCTACACCATTGTCAGAATCCACTTGTCACAAGTTTATCGGGAGAACCTTCTCTACATCTGCATACAGTTGATCTCTCATGTACATTTTCTTGCAAAATACACACAGTGAATATATAATGACTCTACAGTAGCATTTAAGGCTGAACAAGATGTACTAGTCAAATTCAGGTAAGTCCTGGAAACAAAATAGTTATTAATCCTAGCAACAGGTTGCAAAGACAAAGAACTAGATTTCAAAACCAGGCCATGAAATCATGCCCCAACTCTATCTGAATCTGTTCTAGAGAGACAGGTAGTCTTTTAACCTTGCCACAAAACTGTTCTGCCTGAGCAGTAATGTTTTAGCGAGGTGCTGCAAACAGTGTTTGCTATCAAATAAAAGCTGTCCTTGGCTGGCGAAGAAGAAACCAAAAACTATGAAACCATTCATACACCATGAAACTTTAATTTAAGCTAGGTTGCTGGACCTCCAGAAAAGAAATAGTGTCATCTATTGATTTCTGCTAAGACCAGAGACAAATTTTGGACCGCCTTTTCTAGTAGAAAAGTCATATTATTCCTATTACTGGAATTGGAGCTCCCAGAGTATAGATGAAGAGGGAGTCAGTCATCTCTCCTGGAAGGTCTCCTGAATAGTCCATACTTGCCTCATTTTAGGTGTCTGAGTACCTTTCTCAGAAAAACATCATTTCCTATAGAAGTAGATGTTTAAAATATTGAAAAATATTATTAATAAAATAGTTTAAAACTCACTCCATATTACGCTAGATAAGTTTGTATAATGATCAGGTGACCTGATAGCCACATAAAAAGTAGTGCCTTAGTTTCGCACAAACTGAAAGGGGTATGGGGTGTATAAGTGTCATTTACCACAGTGAGAGCAGGAAAATTAATTCTTCAACATGTGAACATTGCTTGAGTGAAGGCTGGGGAGTTACTGAAGATTAAGGACTAACACTGCAAGGAGAGATTCATACATTAATGCAATAATGTCAGCAGACATACTTTGTTGTTTGAGGTCAGTGTTCAATATTGATAAAACTGAAGGTAAAAATTAATACTGTCAGGAAAATTCAAATTCCAGAAGAAACCTGTAGAAGAAAATCTGCCTTTTGAAGTGTTGAATAGCTATTAAATTTTTGTTAGTGGAATCAGGTAGAGGATAAAAACTGCATTAGTCAGTTAGATTTAAAACAATGAATCGGGGAGTGGTGACTCATGCCTGTAATCCCAGCACTTTGGGAGGCCAAGGCAGGGGGTTTGGGGGAGGTGGGCGGGGGGGCGGGGGGGGGCTCCGTAAGCCAAGATTTTGAGACCAGACCAGGCAATAAAGGAAGACTTCATCTTTACTAAAAACTAAAAAAATAGTCAGGTGAGGTGGTGCGCACCTGCAGTCCCAGCTATTCGGGAGGCTGAGGTGGGAAAATTGCTTGAGCACAGGAGTCTAAGCCTGCAGTGAGCTAGTATCACAGCACTACAGCCTGGGCAACAGAGCAAGACCCTGTCTCTTAAAATATGATAAAAATTTAAAAACAATAGCTATAGTCTGCGAAAAAAGCACAAGAAAGTTTTGCCTTTCCTTAGGTGGCACGGAAATTCTGTACTACAGAAGATTAAGATAAAATATAATTTGTGAAATAATCTTAAAACTTTTGGTTGGCCTCTAGGGGACAATGAGGTACTTTGATAATGAGAGCAAAATTTTTAAAGGAGGGCAAAGATACCAGAACATGTATCTTGTTTTATTGTCTCGGGTGAAGTATCTACTTGGTGTCAGCAGCTTGAACTGAAGATGTTGGTTTGATCGTCTTCTTCTAAAGATCATTGTTCTGGAAGATACTTAAGAATCCTCAGTTTATGATTCCTCAGTGAATTCCTTTCCATTGAGGACAAGGGTAGTTTTTCCTTTGATTTTTAGAAGTCTTTTCCAAAAGACTAAATCTTCAGATTTCTAGTCATGCAGAGACTAATTAGATGGATATTTGGGGAAGATTGTTGTTACCTATTAAAAGCTAGATGCATCAAATGAATCCTTTGTAGTATTTAGAAACATGAGCTTGTGATATGGCAGAGTACAGGTTCAGGAAGTGAATTCCTAACTGCATGGAGTAGCCTATGAATCCCAGGAGGAGTTGCTATTGCCATCAAGGCTAATTAGAAATTCCCAAGACATGGAAGTTCAAGTCTTGGAGAGCGTTCTCAAATTTAGTGTTAGAATTCATTTTTTTCCTTCTAATTGTTCTAAATATTCATTTGGTACAGCAAGTGTGTTTATTATTGTTAAAAGGCATTTTGGAGCTGTTTTTTTAATAACAGTCACGGGAAATGTGTGCCAGACACACCCCCCACCACCCAATCACTGAAGAATACGTTGGAATTCCTTAAGTCCAGAATAACAGTCGGGCAATTTTATCAGCAAAACCTTCGCTGTCTATCAGGAATATCCTCAATCCATTCTCGAGATAAGCAGACAATGGCTAGAACGTATTTACAAACCATCAGTATGGCAACTGCTTTGGTTAATGCTACTTGTTTAGCATAGTGGTAAATTATTTCCTCAGGATTCCGGGTTATTGGACTTTGAATGAATCTCCATTTTATTATGTGGCTACCCCCTTGGGTAATAGCAAAGCTTCTAAAAGTTTTTTAATTTCTTGCCATTTTTAACAAGACTTTCACAAGAGGTCAGAAAAACCTCTTAATTTCCAAAGTTCTCTGATATGGAGCAACTCATCACATATCTACTGCCTATATAAATATTTGTTTGTTTGTTTGTTTTAAGCAGGCGCCTCCACCACTCAGAAATATTACCTCTTTTAATCTCTCCTTCACTGAATGAAGGAGAACTATTCAGCCACTTGAGCTGATTTAACTTCTGGGAGAAGGTCATACACTAACAGTAAATTTAGAATTGTGATAGCATAGACTACTTGAAAAATTCTAGTTTACATTTTTAAACATTAATCATTAACAAGAAACATTAATATTTTAAAAAGAACTTTCCAAAATATCTGTAAAACGCATGGACAGTTCCCTAAAACAGGTCAAATGATCACGAACACTCCCTTCTCAAGTAAGAGAAGGAGAGTTGTCACGAGAATTAAGGAGGGCACTGACAAATCCCCAGGGACTTTACCCCATTAAAGTATATTATGAAAGTCACCAATTGATAAATGACAAAGACATTTTCTTCTTTGTAATCGAGGTCTTAACAGTTATATGCCAGTCTATAAAATAAACAAGAAGATTTTTTAACTTTAGAAGTACACATCATTTTATTACAAATAACCTAAAAAAATTTTTTTTCTTTTGACTTGTCAGTTTTTTATGTTATTCTCAGCTTGGTAACCAAACAAATACTCATAATGTGTTTGAGTCACTCAAAATTTGCAGAACATCAAGCAAACCTGAATATTCCTTTTTATATATAAATTAGAAGAGCAAACATTTTTATTAACAGTGGTCATTCCAAGAAACCAAAATAAACGGCATCCTAATAGTTTGATTATTTTGCACATTGGGCTTGAATTTTAGAAAAAAAAAAATAAGTCAACTTTTTTTTTTCTGTTTTTTTTGAGACAGAGTTTTGCTATTGTTGCCCAGGCTGGAGTGCAATGGCATGATCTCGGCTCACTGTACCCTCTGCCTCCTGGGTTCAAGCAATTCTCCTGCCTCAGCCTCCTGATTAGCTGGGATTACAGGCATGAACCACCATGCCCAGCTAATTTTTGTATTTTTAGTAGAGACGGGGTTTCACCATGTCGGCCAGGCTGGTCTCGAACTCCTGACCTCAAGTGATCACCCACCTCAGCCTCCCAAAGTGCTGAGATTACAGGTATGAGCCAACACGCCCAGCCCAACATGTTTTAGAATAGAGTAGTAGTGGTTGAAATGTATTGGGATGTATTTTGAAGACAGAGCCCTCAGGACTTTCTGATTTCAAGATTTGGGGCAAGTAGCTCCAAAATAAAATGTTTTTAAAAATTTGATTCCATACTTCCCCCAGTGCCTTTCCACCTCTTCCTCCTGCAGCTGTGGCAGCAGCACAGCAGTTACCCCAACCTGAGGCTGCTCCCTGGGTAATACCCATAGGCCTCCTCAGCTGAGCCCCTTTCTGTGCCCCACAGACATCCATTTGAAACAATCAAGTGGACGGCCGGGCACTGTGGCTCACGCCTGTAATCCCAGCACTTTGGGAGGCTGAGGCAGGCAGATCACCTGAGGTCAGGAGTTCATAGACCAGCCTAGCCAGCATGGTGAAACCCCGTCTCTACTAAAAATACAAAAATTAGCCGGGCATAGTGGCACGCATCTGTAATCTCAGCTACTCGGGAGGCTGAGGTAGGAGAATGGCTTGACCTGGGAGGCAGAGGTTGCAGTGAGTGGACATTGCACCACTGCACTCCAGCTTGGGAAATAGAGCAAGACTCTGTCTCAAAAAAAAAAAAAAAAAAAGAGAGAGAGAATCAAGTGGAAGTGGTAGCCCCTTGCAAGAAGGAGATTCAGTCACACTTGCTGCTTCCCTCAGTCAAAAAGCAGGGTGCAGCAAGCTAGGACCACCAGGTGGCCCTGGGAAAACACTAACACCCACTCACACCTTTCCTGTTGCAGGCTGTTTCCCCCAGAGTGGAGAGAAATGTGAATGCCTCCAACAAGTCTGTTCAGGGACAGCAGTGGAGTCCCAGACCTGGCATCAGGTCCTGGTCCTCCCTCCAGGTAAGGCATCGAGACTGGCTATATTGGGTTTTGCTAGTGGGAGACAGACCTGAGGAGGGAGCCTGGGTGGACTATTGTGAGAAATATGAGACCACATGTGCATCTCCTGGAAAATCATTTTGCACAGTCCTGAGATTGAGAGCGTGGAGCATCCCCCTTCCTGCTCCCTCTTCCCTTCCCCTCTCTCCTCTGTCTTCTACTTTAATCCGATGTTCCACTTCTCTCTCTGTCTCTCTCTCTCTCTCTCTCCTCTATCTGTCTCTCTCTCCTCTCTCTTCTCTCTCATCTTCCCTTCTTCCCCCTCCTTCCTCTCTCCCTCCTGGTTTTCTTTCCCTTGTTAGAGAAGACTGCCTTTTCTCAGAGGAAAGACTTAGGGTGAAGTAAACAGAAAGATTTCTTTTTGCCCAGAGGGAAAAATAAGATAGAATATACAATCTGAGAAAATTAGAGTACAGAATGCAATTAAACAGAAAAGAGGGAGTTAACAAGATATCCCAGCCCCTTGGTCAGTGAGGCGAAGCATCAGGTGCAACTTAATCTCCCTCTTCCAAGAGGCTACCTCTTCCACTTGATTCTTTCGAATGAACAAATATTAACCAACAATCCAATCCACTTTCAATTGCTTAATTACTGTTCCTTTTAAGTGCCAACCATCTGACTTTTCCTGTTTCCATCTGTCCTGTGGAGCTATTTGGTATTGCGTATCAGTGTTAATGTCTGAACTTCAAGGGATTTTTTGAAGAAAAAAAATTACAAATAAATTATTACATTCCTGAGGTTTTCTAGTATGGCCTTTATGTTGGGAGTCAAAAAAAAAAAAAAGAAAGAAAGAAAAGGTAAAGTTTCAGAACATTTATAAGTGACACCAGTGTTAACAGGACACTTGGATTTCTACTGAGAAAGCTAATCTTCTAGTTAGCTTTGTGTACATGTTGATAATCACTTTCTCAATTATTAACCCTTGAGTGAAATAAAGAAACCATTTAACTTTTGTGTTAAAGCTTAAAAAATAAAAAAATCCAGCTCACCAGTGTGGTGGCTAACAGGAAGCTGAGGCAGGAGGATTGCTTGAACCCAGGAGTTCAAGGTGTGCTATGATCATGCCATTGCACTCCAGCCGAGGCGACAGAGTGAAACCCAGTCTCTTGAAAAAAAAAATTATATTCAACATTGAAAAAGTATCTCTGAAAAACAACAAAGTACTTATGTACTGGGTAGGGGTGGCTGCCAGCTAGGGCCAGCTGGTGCCGCTGGAAAAATTATTCATGCATAATTATGAAAATAATATTATCCAAAGTACCACATAGGACCACAAATACAGAGTCAGAGATAGTGTGCAGTGAGTTGTCTAATGCTAGTTATGCACAATCTTGGTAACCTCATATTTTAGAGCAATAAAAAAGGCAAGGTTTGCAAGTGTAACACATGGAGTAAGTAATCATCTTTATTTCGTATATTCATGGGAAGCGCACACACACAGGAAGGAGAGGAGCCCTGGTGCTCTTAGCTTTGCCTGTCTCTGCTGGATGTGGACTCACAGAAAGACGGACACATCTGAAACCAAAAGTGTGAATAACTTTCTGATGGTAGAGGGGTTTTTATTTTTGTTTTTATTATTTTGTTTTGTTTTTAGAAACAGGGTCTTGCCCTATTACCCAGTCCAGAGAGTAGTGTCGTGATCATAGCTCACTGCAGTCTCAAACTCCTGGGCTCAAGTGATCCTCCCGACTCAGCCTCCCAAAGCACTGGCATTACAGGCATGAGACACTGCACCCAGCCTGATGGTAGAGTACTTAAAAAGCAGGAATATGTTAACAAATATGCACTCAAATAAAATATAGTTTCTCTTGCATCCTACATGAGTTTCTCAAGATTCCTTATACTTGAACAAATGATAATCTATGAGAAATTGACAGCTTCAAATGTATGGGTTTCATTTAGCATGGCTTCTCATGTTCCCAGGTCACAAATCCATGTCTTATTCAGTGGCTCTATCACTCTGTCAATCTCTGGCTCACAGTTGCAGTTTTTCAACTCACAGATGATGTCAAAATATAGAAAAATAGAACCCTGTTTAGTGCTGATGGACACTAACTCCTAACATCAATTTAATTCCAGGTGATTAGTTTAAACTAATCATGATAATCTAATTCCCCTGCCAGTGATTGCTTTAGGAAATGGCACATGTCCCAGTTTTGAAATGAAGCAAAACCTAAAGGAGGCTTCCAGCAGAGGTTGTCTCATTTCTGAAGAGAGACACAAAAAAGAACTTGTCTATTCTTACCTTCTCACAGTGTTTATAGCAGGATATGATTTTGGAAATAGCTACAAGTATTTTGCTACCAACCTGAAGAGGAAGCCAACACAAGGTGGAAAGGGAGGCAAACCAAGAAACTGAATTTGAGCCCTTGGCATAATATGCCTGGAATGCCTGCTATTGGCAATAATACAGTGCTTTATTAGCATCCAACTGGACCAGTGTTTCCTGTTATTTGCTGTTCAAATCATGCTACATGATTCTGGTCCCTTTTACATACTACTCTCATTTTGATTGATTGCGCTCAGCAGTGTTCCACTCTCCAAGGAGGGACAATGAACTGTAGGTAGCAATGTTTTATCACATAAAACCTGAAGAGTGAAAAGCACAAAGTTTATCTTGATTATTTTCATTCATAAGCACTTTCCAAGTTACAGAATATTAAGCATCAAATAATTTTTTTTTGAAATCGAGTCTCGCTCTGTTGCCCAGGCTGCAGTGCAGTGGTGCAATCTTGGCTCACTGCAACCTCCACCTCCCGGGTTCAAGGAATTCTCCTGCCTCAGCCTCCCGAGTAGCTGGGATTACAGGTATGCTAATTTTTGTATTTTTAGTAGAGACAGGTTTTGCTATGTTGGCCAGGCTGCTATCGTCAAACTCCTGACCTCAAGCGATCTGCCCGCCTCGGCCTCCCAAAGTTCTGGGATTATAGGCTGAGCCACTGTGCCCAGCCTAGCACCAAATAATTTATAATCAAAATGTATATGCAATAGTTCTGGCCTTATTGAATACCAAAAAATCCTTACCACTTTATCATGTAGCGAAAAATAAATAAATAATGAGAGAAAAAGTCATATTTATACATTAAAAATCAAAGTCCTTCAGTTGGAATTCTCTTACTGTGTATCTCACTGGACAGAAATCCTATTAATACAACTAGTATGAGAAAGTCTGCAGTGATATTTCTATCAAACCTGAGAAAATACACTGGGAATAGGTCCAATATATGTAATAAAAGTCAAAAAATTATTCTCAAGGACACTAGACTTAATGTTGAATCAGGGAACCTATAGCGAACAAAAATACTATAGAAAGCCAATCACTGGCCCTCTAACCTAAACATGTACCAGAAAAATATTGACATCTAATGCATAAAAAGTTTCAGTCCCATCTTAATTTTTAAGTATCACTGTCTGTATACTGGAAAATATAAACATAAAAAGAAATGTTTCAATGTCTTCTATTTTGGACATAAGGAAACTCACATTTCAATGAATTGCAACTGTACTAAAACCATAGATTCAGCCATTTTGAACTCAAGGAAGTACACAGTTTGATGACAAAAATAATTTAAATTAAATCATATCCTTTTTAAAAAATTCTTTTTTTTCCTTTTCTTTTCTTTTCTTTTTTTTTTTTTAATGAGACAGGGTGTCGTTTTGTCCTCCATGCTGGAGTACAGTAGCAAGATCACAGCTAACTGCACCCTCAGCCTCCCGGGCTCATTCGATCCTCCCATTTCAGCCTCCTGAGTAGCCCAGGCTGATCTTGAACTCCTGGGGTCAAGCAATTGGCCCATATCAGCCTCCCAGAGTAGAGGGGTTATAGGCGTGAGCCACAGGGCCCAGGCCTTGGCCTAAATCATATCTTTTTTTTTTTTTTTTTTCTGAAACACGGTCTCACCCTGTCACCCAAGCTGGAGTGCAGTGGTGCAATCAGGGCTCACTGCAACCTCTACCTCCCAGGCTCAAACAATTCCCATGCCTCAGCTTCCTGAGCAGCAGGGACTACAGGCCTGAGCCACCATACCCAGCTAATTTTCATATTTTTTGTAGAGATGGGGGTCTCCCTATGTTGCCCAGGCTGGTCTCTAACTTGTGGGCTCAAGCAATCTGCCCTCGTCGACCTCCCAAACTGGAGGGATTACAGGTGTGAGCCACTGTGCCTGGCCCTAAATCACATCCTAATAATAATTTCATTGAAAATTTTTTTATAGATATCACAATGTATTTAGAATAAATTAGCTCTTCTAGTAATTTAGAGCAATTGTCAGACAAACATTTTCTATAAAGGGCCGGACAGTAAATATTTTATACTCTGTGGCATGAAGTCTGTGTCAAAACTAGCCTCACTCAGGCTGGGTTCAATGGCTCACATCTGTAATCCCAGCACTTTGGGAGGCCAAGGCAGGCGGATCACTTTGAGCTCAGGAGTTGGAAACCAGCCTGGGCAACATGGCAAAACCCCATTTCTTCAAAAGATAAAAAAAAAAAAATTAGCTAACCATGGTGGCTCACGCCTGTAGTCCCAGCTACTCAGGAGGCTGAGGCTGGAGAATGGCTTGAGTCTGGTAAACGAAGGTTGCAGTGAGCTGAGATCGTGCCACTGAACTGCTGCCTGGGCAACAGAGTGAGACTCTACCTCAAAAAAAAAAAAAAATTATCCACTCATCAAATGCAGTGCAAAAGGGGTCAGAGGCAATACATAAATGATGGGTACTGCTCTGTCCCAATAAAACTTTATTTATAAACACATATTGAATTTTATATAATTTTATGTCATAAAAGATCATCCTTTTGGTTTTTTAAACTATGTAAAAATTTTAAAATAATTCCTAAACTACAAGCTCTACAAAACACAGGCATGAAAAAGGCTTAGTCCTATCTATGTACTAAATAGTACAATACTTCAATAAATAAAAGGCTGCAGTTTTACTAATGCATGAAAAGACCAATCAGTGAAATAGAACAGAAAACCAAAAATACACCCACATATATGCATAGAAATTTAATATTTAATAAAGGGGACAATTCAGATTACTGTGGAAAAGGCGGATTACTCAATCAAGGATTGAATTATCATTGGAATAAACAGGTTAACCTGCCGGGTACGGTGGCTCACGCCTGTAATCCCAGCACTTTGGGAGGCCGAGGGGGGTGGATCACAAGGTCAGGAGATCAACCATCCCGGCTAATATGGTGAAACCCCGTCTCTACTAAAAACACAAAAAATTAGCCAGGTGTGGTGGCAGGCGCCTGTAGTACCAGCTACTCGGGAGGCTGAGGCAGGAGAATGGTGTGAACCCAGGAGGCAGAGCTTGCAGTGAGCCAAGATAGCACCACTGCAGTCCAGCCTGGGTGAAAGAGCGAGAGTCCGTCTCAAAAAAAAAAATAAATAAATAATAAAATAAAATAAACAGGTTAACCTATTAAAAATCCATTTGAGGCCAGGTGCACTAAGTCACACCTGTAATCCCAGCACTTTGGGAGGCCAAGGAGGGAGGATCACTTGAGCCAAGGAGCTTGAGATCAGCCTGGGCAAGATGGTGAGACCTTGTCTCCACAAAAATAAAAACAATTAAAAAATTGGCCAGGCATAGTGGTCCATGCCTGTAGTCCCAGCTGCTCAGGAGACTGAGGTGGGAAGATAACTGGAGCCCAGGAATTTGAGGCTGCTGTGAGCTATGATCATACACCGCACTCCAGCTTGGGTGGCAGAGTGAGGCTCTGTCTCCAACAACAACAGCAACAACAATAACAACAACAAAAAACAGTAAAATTAGACTTAAATATATGTAAAATAATAAAAATAATAAAAATTCACTTGAACTATACCTAACAACCTAAATCGAATCACACCTTAGGAACATCAAACATTTAAATGTAAAAAAGAAAACTCAAACCATACCACAGGAAACCATTAGCAAATATTTTATAGGCATGGACTAAGGAGGGCATTCGTAAGAATGAAACAAAATCCACAGATAATAAATATAAAAAGATTCAAGCTGGGCACAGTGGCTCATGCCTGTAATCCCAGCCCTTTGGGAGGCCGAGGCGGGTGGGATCACTTGATGTCAGGAGTTTAAGACCAGCCTGGCCAACATGGAGAAACCCCATCTCTACTAAAAATATAAAAATTAGCCAGGCGTGGTGGTGCGTGCCTGTTATCCCTGCTCCTCGGGAGGCTGAGGCAGGAGAATCGCTTGAGCCAGGGAGGCAGAGGTTGCAGTGAGCTGAGACTGGGCCACTGCACTCCAGCCTGGGCGACAGAATGAGACTCTGTCTTAAAATAAAAATAAATAAATAAATAAATAAATAAATAAATAAATAAATAAATAAAAGACTACGTAGCTATAAGAAATTACAAGAAAGTGTTTCTGCTCTAAAATGCAACCATCCACAAGATATATTGAGTTAAAAAATGGCAAGGTGCTAAAGAGTGTATTGTATGATGCTATCTATACAGAAAAAAGAAGAAAAGAAATTGTGTATGTGTATTTATCTGAGAACTAAGGATACACAATAAATTAGAAACAGGTTTCTTATGGCCAGGAGCGGTGGCTCATGCCTGTAATCCCGGCACTTTGGGAGGCCGAGGTGGGCGGATCACGAGGTCAGGAGATTGAGACCAGCCTGGCTAACACAGTGAAACCCCGTCTCTACTAAAAATACAAAAAATTAGCTGGGTACGGTGTCAGGCGCCTTTAGTCCTAGCTACTCGGGAGGCTGAGGCAGGAGAATGGCGTGGCCCCGGGAGGCAGAGTTTGCAGTGAGTGGAGATCGCGCCATTGCACTCCAGCTTGAGGAACAAGAGCAAGACTCCGTCTCAAAAAGAAAAAAAAAAAAGAAACAGGTTTCCTACAAGAAATGATACTGTATAGCTGACAGACAGGACTTGGAGAGTATCTTTTTCATTAAAGGCACTTTTTGAATTTTGAGCTCAATAAAGATATATATTCAAAAAACAAAATTTTAAATTCAAATGAAAATGACTTAGCTGAATTTTTTTCAATTATTGGTTTACTAAAAAAAAAATAAACTTTTTTTTTTTTTTTTTTTTGAGAAGGGGGTCTCTCGCTCTGTCACCCAGGCTGGAGTGCAGTAGTGAGACCTTGGCTCACTGCAGCCTCTGCCTCCTAGGTTCAAGCAATTCTCCCACCTCAGTCTCCCGAGTAGCTGGGACTATGGGGCACGCCACCACGCCCAGATAATTTTTGCATTTTTAATAGAGACAGGGTTTCACCACGTTGGCCAGGCTGGTCTTGAACTCCTGACCTCAGGTGATCCACCCGCCTTCTTGGCCTCCCAAAGTGCTGGGATTATAGGCATGAGCCACCACACCTGGCTTTTTTTTTTTTTTTCCAACCAGTTTCCTCAAGAAAATGCTTCAGACAAGCATCCTTCAGTGGGATCATTGCTTGCGGTCATTAGAAAGTGACAGGTCAGACCAGACATGGTGGCTCATGCCTGTAATCCCAGCACTTTGGGAGGCCGAGGTGGGCAGATCACCTGAGGTCGGGAGTTCAAGACCAGCCTGGCCAACACAGTGAAATCCCATCTCTACTAAAAATACAAAAATTAACTGGGCACGGTGGCGGGCACCTTTCATCCCAGCTACTCACGAGGCTGAGACTGGAGAATCGCTTGAACCTGGGAGGTGGAGGTTGCAGTGAGCTGAGATCACGCCACTGCACTCCAGCCTGGGTGACAGAGTGAGAACCTGTCTCAACAAAAAAAAAAAAAAAAAAAAGAGGTCAGACTCCTTAAATTACACTGAAGTTTATACAGACTTGCAGAGCCATGATTGTCGAGCCTGAAGTCTGAATGGAGTTAGAAATACTGTGGTACCTTAGACAATCATGAGATTCTTCCCTAGGAATGTTTTAGTAAAATCAAAGTGGATTACTTTCCAAAGGTCAGGCATATACATTTATCTCCTTAGGCCTAGTAATTTCGAATGTGCTTCACTCCTTTACAGGTCCTTTTTTATTCAATATTAGAATAAATTGCTAGCCATTAAAAAGACTTTCATTCATTTATTCAACAAATAATTACTTAGTGCCTACTATTCGGCAGGTGCTGTGCTAGGCCTCAGGGGCATTATAACATTGAACAATTCATTTCTAGAAAATAGCTTCATTGAACAACTGTTGAGTATATTATTTATAAACTTATAGAAAATATTATTCTCCCATTAAAAAATGGCCATTATGTGTAGACAATTTTTATTGGCAGTCTGTGAACAATCTGAACTCTTTCAACATTTGCTTTATAGACTCGCTCCAGGTTTAGACATAAGCCAGTCAGGGAGTCTGGCGTTACAAATGATATTTGGTCAAGAAAAAGCAGCAGGATAGAAACTTCTAACAACTATTAACAGCCAGTTTACCAATACGTAAGCATAATCTGCCAAACATAGCTGGTGTAACTGGTGACTTCACACTTTAGCACTGCACATTTTCTTCTCAGCCAAATATGTGACAATAATAACAACATGGTAGGAGAAAGGTGCCTGTTGTTATAAGACATTTCCACGTGTCTCATCTCATATAATCCACACTCCCGTTATCCCCATTTTGCTATCAGGAAACTGCTTTTAAGATAAGTTTCAATAGGTGTCTAACTAGTAAATGGAGTTTGAACTGGAACCCAACTCTCCTCATGCTAAGGTTTATATTCATTCTACTAACGCATGGGCTTAGTGTTTATAAAATAAAATGCTTTAAGTAAGTTATCTAGAGGTGCACCTGAGTTAACATAATTAAAATTACCAGCTGATCCTTACAAAAAATTTCCCAAAGAAGGTTCTGACTAATATATATTAAAAGGCATGGCCAGTGGGGCACGGTGGCTCAAACCTGTAATCCTAACACTTTGGGAGGCTGAGGCAGGCAGACAGCTTGAGCTCAAGAGTTTGAGACCAGCCTAGGCAACATGGCAAAACCCCATCTCTACAAAAAATACAAAAATTAGCTGGGCATGGTGGCATGCACTTATAGTCCCAGCTACTTGAGAGGCTGAGGTGGGAAGATTGCTTGAGCCCAGGAGGTCAAGGCTTCAGTGAGCTTTCATCATACCACTGCAATCCAGCCTGGGTGACAGGGTAGAGTTCGTCTCAAAAGAACAAAAACAAAAAGCAAGGCATGGCCTTCCTTAGGAATTTGGTTTGGGGATTCTCTAACAATAGCAACCAATTGAGGGTGTCTGGGCTCATGGTTGGGAATTTTTGTTTGTTTGTTTATTTGTTTTGAGACGAAGTCTCACTCTTTCGCCAGACTGGAGTACACGATCTCGGCTCACTGCAACCTCCGCCTCCCAGGTTCAAGAGATTCTCCTGCCTCAGCCTCCCGAGTAGCTGGGACTACAGGTGCACACTACCACACCCGGCTAATTTTTGTATTTTTAGTAGAGATAGGGTTTCACCATGTTGGCCAGGATGGTCTCAATCTCCTGACCTCGTGATCCACCTGCCTCGGCCTCCCAAAGTCCTGGGATTACAGGCGTGAGCCACCATGCCTGGCCCTTTTTGGTTCTTGATTATAATTCATCTTTAAATAGTTAAGAGCAACTTGTGCTGTTTGATATTCATGGCCAAGTAAAACTCTTTGACCCTCAGACAAACAGTATGATTTCATATATATGAAATATCTAGGCCAGGCATGGTAGCTCACACCTGTAATCCCAGCATGCTGGGAGGCCAAGACAAGAGAATTGCTTGAGGCCAGGAGTTCAAGATCAGGCTGGGCAACATAGTGATACTTCATCTCTACTAAAAATTTTTAAAATAAAAATAAATTGTGCCAGGCACAGTGGCTCACGCCTATAATCCCAGCACTTTGGGAGGCCCAAGGTGGGCGGATCACTTGAGCTCAGGAGTTCGAGACCAGCCTGGCCAACATGGTGAAACTCTGTCTCTACTAAAATACAAAAATTAGCTGGGCGTGGTGGTGCACACCTGTAATCCCAGCTACTCTGGAGGCTGAGGCAGGAGAATCACTTGAATCCGGGAGGTAGAGGTTGCAGTGAGCTGAGATCGTGCCACTGCACTCCAGCCTGGGCAAGAGAGCGAGACTCCGTCTCTAAATAAATAAATAAGTAAGTAAGTAAGTAGTAATTAAGCAAGCCAGGTGTGGTGGCACGCACCTATAGTATCAACTACTTGGGAGACTAAGGTGGAAGGATCACTTGAGCCTGGGAAGTTGAGGCTGCAGTGAGCCATGATTATGCCACTGCACTCCGGCCTAGGTGACAGAGAGAGACCCTGTCTCAAAAAAGAAAAAAAAAAGAAATATCTAGAATAAGCAAATATATCAGCAAAAGGTCTCCTACTACTGCTTGACCTACAAGAAAGAGTCAAATAAGTGTTAGCCCAGTTAAAGTGAACGTTGAGTCTCTGCATCACAGCTCATGCTGTTAGTAGGAAGGATGCATTTGACCATTCCACAAGATTAAAAGATTTCTTACTGAGAATCCAAGGGCCAAAGGCGGAAGGTGGAGGGAGTGATCAACTCTGAAACCTAGATTCAAAAAGCACTTCTGTGTGACCTCAGAAAAGGTATCTATCTCTCAGCATCAGTTTCCCTACCTGTAAAATGGTATTAATCATTCCTAATTCCCAGCAGTTGCTGGATCACATAAGTTAATGTGCCTGAGTGCAAGGCTGTGAGCCTTCTGCCTTTCCCTAAGACACAGGTGAGCTGCTCATCCAGCAGATGGAGACTGTCTGGAAGGGCCTATTGGGCTGCCTACTATGGTCTCAAGCTTTGAGTGGCTAGGGCTAGAGGCCTGACCCAACGGGAGCCCACTGGTGAGAGGAATGGCAGTAATTGCAAGGGCAGGGCTTGCAGGAAGAATTTTTAATAGAATCTGCTGCTCAGGAGCCTTACACAAATTCCCTGGGGCCTGCTTCTTCCTACTCACCACCAGGGCAATACTGGGACCAACATGCTCTTAAGGGAACCTGGTGGCTTAAGACAGAATATTTTGAGATTCAGATAGTGTTTTACTTTCCCGTGTGGCTATGAAAGTGATTCTAGAGTTGGCACTCAAGTCCAGGTCCCATCTTTCCTCATTTTGGAAGGCTTTCTGCTGACAAATCCAATATGCTTTTTTTTTTTTTTTTTTTTTTTTTGAGACGGAGTCTCGCTCTGTCGCCCAGGCTGGAGTGCAGTGGCTATTCATAGGTGCAGTTATAGTGCACTAGCCTGGAGTTCCTGGGCTCAAGCCATCCTCCTGCCCTAGCTTCCTGAATAACTAGGACTACAGCCATGCACTACCACACCTGGCTAAATCCAATTATTTTAAATTAGCTGGAAGAAGAAAGACATTGGGGTTCTTCTTACTTCTCCTTGAGAGGACCAGATTTGGTCCCCAATTTTTAGAACAAAAATATTCACATTGAGAAAGCCAAGGATAGATCGAAGGGAATGCAGAAGCAGTCACATACTAGTTACATGCAGCAAGAAAGTCATCCTTTAGATTTATAAACTCCTTGTCATGTTGTTTCCTCTCCTGGCCCCTTCTCCACACTTTTAAACAAGCATGTTGTGGTCTCAGTTGAGAGCTTGACAAGGTTTTTGCTATGGTTGAGACATCAATCTCTTTTGTAATTGAATCTATTCACCAGGGAGAGTGTGAGCAAACCATGTTCAAGCTCTTTGTCTTTGTCCTAACTAGGCATTTACCATATAAACATAATAAGAAACAAGCCCCTGCAAGTCTTTCTTTTTAACCAATTATCTGGCTGTTTCTCTTGCTGTAGTCCTGCCTTCATTAAAAGCTGTCCAGGGGGTAGGGCACAATCTTTGGAAGCATATCTAAGATGCCAATTTCTTTGCATTTCAGTGAAAAGTAAGTCATCAGGGTATTTGGGACATCTCTTCAAGCTTTTCTTGATGGTCTATATCAGCATAGCCCCCTCCTTTCCAGCTTTCCTCATTCCTACTTTAGAGTCCGCTATTGTGCCTTTATGCCTTCAAATTGGGGTATACCCATATATCCATATAAAAAACATTTTTCTTTCTGTAATCATTACAGGGGAGTCCAGTGTGATTTACAGAACAAATTGAAATCATTCTATCAAGATGTAAAAAAAATTAAGGGGAAGGCTCTGGGCTGGGGAATGTTAATTAGCCCCTAACCCACCCTATCATCTTTCTCTAGTTCACAAAGATAACTGTCAATTTATCCTCAATGTCCAGAATAATGCCTTATACCTAGTAAGCAATCAACAAATATTTGTTTAGAGAATGAGTAAACTATTACCATAGTTTATTTACCTGCTGAAATTATATTTTTCTAATTTTAAACTATTATGCAAAAAAAGTTTCCAGTTAAATATTTTGCATACCTCTTTTTGAACACCTGTTTATCTGTAGAATAAAAAAGTTAAATTAGAATGTCTGAAGCAATGTTCTTCAGTATAATCAATATTACTTCAAAGATTAATTTTAATATTTTAACTTCAATTAATACTGCCAAATCTACCCCCACCCCTAGCAGTGGCTATCCTGATTTATACTTCTACTAAGAATATTCACTTTTCCACAAAATTGATATTTTCAAATTTCAGTTTTAGCCAGTGTGGGAGAAAATGGATCTCTCTATTTTTTTGCTTTGCATGCCAGCATCACTAGTGCAGTTAAGCATCTTTTTTATGTGGTCAGTTTTATTTCATTCTTACTTCTTCATCTATTGTCTATTTATACATTTGCCCATTTCTCTGTAGGGTTGTCTTTTTCTTATATATATTTGTTTTCACTATCTATTCCAGATGTTAATTCTTTGTGCACTGTATGTTTCCTCTTTTTAAACTTTATTCATGGCATTTTTGTTCTATGAAACATTTTAGCCCATAATCTCACATCATGGAAGAGTAATTACCTTGCAAACCTCTCTTGTCTACTCCTACTCAGTAGCATCAAATCCAGTTGATTCAAGTCTTGCCCTCTCTTTAGAGGAAATATAGTGTGGTGATTAGAAGCATAGGCCAGGCATGGTGGCTCACACCTGTAATCCCAGCATTTTGGGAGGCCAAGGTGAGCAGATTACCTGAGGTCAGGAGTTTGAGACCAGCCTGGCCAACATGGTGAAACCCCGTCTTTACTAAAAATACAAAAATTAGCTGGGCATGGTGGCGCATGCCTGTAATCCCAGCTACTTGAGAGGCTGAGGCACGAGAATGGCTTGAACCCAGAAGGCGGGGATTGCAGTGAGCTAAGATCACGCCACTGCCTGGTGACAGAGCTAGACTCTGTCTCAAAAAATAAATAAATAAATAAAATTTTTTTTAAAAAAATAAGCATAGACTCTAGGACCAGGCACAGTGGCTCACACCTGTAATCCCAACACTTTGGGAGGTCGAGGCGGGCGGACCCCTTGAGCCCAGGAATTTGAGACCCGCCTGGGCAATATGGTGAAACCCTGTCACTATAAAAAAAATACCAAAAAAAAAAATAGGCTGGGAGTGGTGGCTCACGCCTGTAATCCCAGCACTTTGGGAGGCCAAGGCGGGTGGATCATGAGGTCAGGAGTTTGAAACCAGCCTGGCCAAGGTGGTGAAACCCCGTCTCTGCTAAAAATACAAAAATTAGCTGGGCATGGTGGCAGGCACCTGTAATCCCAGCTACTCGGGAGGCTGAGGCAGGAGAATCACTTGAACCCGGGAGATAGAGGTTGCAGTGAGCCAAGATCGCACCACTGCACTCCAGCCTGGGTGACAGAGCAAGACTCCATCTCAAAAAAAAAAAAAAAAGCCTAGCTGGGCAAGGTGGTATGTGCCTGCGGTCTCAGCTACTCAGGAGGCTGAGGTGAGAGAATTCATTGAGCCCGGCAGGTTGGAGCTGCAGTGAGCCATGATGGTGCCACAGCCCTCCAGCCTAGGCAGCAGGAAAGAGGCCCTTCTCAAAAAAAAAAAAGCATAGACTCTAGGGCCAAATTGATGTGCTCAAGCAAAGGTTTTGCCACTTACGGTGTAACCTTGGGCCAGTTGCTTAACCTCTCTTGACCTCACTTGCCTTCTTTGTAAACCAGAGGTGATAATAGTATACCCATTTCATAGGGCTGTGGTGAGAACTAGAGGAGTTAATACATTTAAAGAGCTTAAAAGTGTCTGGTGCATAGCAAGTGCTACGTAAATGTTAAACCTTTCCTGCCCTTTTCCTCTGCTCCTCCTTTCCCTTGTTTCCTGTTACAGCATTCCTTCTTTTTTTCTTACTATTTCCTCACTATGCCTTTGCTTGAATACTAAAAAGAAACTACTGGTCCAACAGCAGGCAACACCTCATGCGATTACTTTAAATGACTTCAAAATAATACAAACATATCCAGCACAATAGTTTACATTTTAAAGGTGTTACACCCATTTTGTTTTGAGATGTGTCAACAAAACCCGTGTTTCTTTTCTTTCTATAAGTTTAAAATGTCCCCAAATCAATTAACAATAGAGGAAAGTCACACGATCTGTTTTAATTTTTCTCTTTATACTGCTATCTCCTGTTTCCCCTGTTTTTACACTTCTTTGCAGCTCACTTTCCTTATCTGTAAGATATTCTTAGGATGAACTTAGTAAGAAATGTGCAAGATCTAGATGAAGACCCACCAGATAGGATGCTCTCTTGCAGACACGCAACTCACTGACTCAACCAATGAGGAAATTATCCCACAAAGCAGATAATCCTAATGGAGGGCAGAATTCAGGACTGAGCATCTCAGTGATGCCGCCGGGAACCCAGGCTTCTCTGTCCCTTCACCGGACTAACCGAGTTCGAGACCACAGGGGGGTCAGGTAGCCAAGGCTGGGCTTTGACGGTAGGAATGAAGGAGGTGAGGGTGGCGCGCCGCAGGCCTGGGCCACTCCCTGAGTAGGGCGGCGGCGGCGGCGGCGGCGGCGGCGGCAGCGGCGGCAGCGGCTGCAGGCCTGGCCGATTGTGAGGAGACAGCGGTACCTCCTGGGCCGCGCACCCGACCCTTCCAGGGGTCCCGGCTCGCGCCGCGGCCGCGCGAGGCGCGCTCGAGCGGAAGTGGCGGCGACCCCGCCGGAAGCGCGCGGCTGCGGCGCGGGAAGCAACCCAGAGCCCTCCTCCCGCCTGCTCTGTGTAGGAGACAGCCTGCGGAGCCCACTGCCGGCGCGCAGAGAGCCCAGCAGCTCTTGAGTCCAGGAAGCAAGGGTGGGAGGAGGGACGAGCCAGTGGCAATGACCCAGACCCGGACGACCCCCATTGCTGAGCCAGCGGAGCTGCTTGGTGAGTGGCCTCCAGGCGGCATCTCTTGCTCTCAGCCCGGAGGGGGTTTTGGGGACCCAGGCTGTGGGGCTGCCTCTTCCCATGCCTTCAGTTCACCCCGATATGGGGTGAAAAACCCTAGAGACCCTCGGGTGTCGGTCCACCAAGGGAGGTCCAGACTCCCCAGGAATGTTGCCTGGGGAGGGGTGTCGCGGTGGGGGGGGGGGTGACCCAGGCCCACCCTCTGCAGGGCACTTAAAATGCTCCACATCCCCAGTGGATGCCTCCTGTCACGCATCACACCGTGGTGTATTTGAGATCCCATCTGCCACTTGGGCTGGAGGGAAATGAATGTTTTTGGGTTTCTTGTCATTGCTTCCTGCGGATTCCATTTTACTCCTGTTCGTTTATGGCCTCAAACATGAATTTGAAGAATTTTGCCCTCCCTGGCAGTATTGGGAAGAAGATTCTTTTGTTCAAGTCCGTTTGGACAATTAGATGGGAGTATTAACAAAAGGTCGGGCTGGGCACAGTGGCTCACACCTGTAATCCCAACACTTTGGGAGGCCAAAGAGCAAGGATCGCTTGAGCCCAGGAGTTCGAAACCAGCTGGGGCAACAGAGGGAGAACTTGTCTCTACAAAAAATTTAAAAATCAGCTGGGCATGGTGGTGCACGCCTGTAGCCCAAGCTATATGGGAAGCTGAGGTGGGAGGATTGCTTGAGCCCGAGAGTTTGAGGCTGCTGTGAGCTGAGATCACGCCACTGCATTCCAGCCTGGGCAACAAAGCAAGACCCTGTCTGAGGTCAACTCTGCCCCCAGGAAGGTATGGGACCTTGCAATCTTATCTAGGTTGCGTCTTTTTCATTGAAATCACGAAATCATTAAGGTAAGTAGGGAAGGGTCAAGATAGCTAAGATGAGTGAGGGGACACAGACACCAATAAAAGTTCTAACTTTGAGGACTCCTCCAGTATTCTTTTCATCCTAAAGCTTCTGGCCTATCAGCTAGTTCAGACACAGCCTAGGAGTCTCAAGCCAGTACAGGAACAAGGAGGCAGGTTGCCCTCTTGGGGCAAAGCTGTGGCCCCACCCTTGATGAAGAACGCCTGTAGGAACCCAGGACCTGTGAGCAGGTAGAGTCCTGAAGGTTTAAGATTCTGTGGAGCAGGTATGTGCAGTGCCAGTGCGCAACCAGCAACTGATGGACAGGAATAGGTAGAGCTGCTCTGAGTGCATTCCTTTGGCAAGCCTGGGCCAGAGGCACACAGGAAGGAATTAGTCATGTGGTATCATAGGCCAGGTGTGGAAGCAAATGAGCCAGAGTGGAACCAGGACCAGCCAGGGCCAAGGCAGGGAGAAGAGTTCCTCTAGCTGACATTGACAGGAAAGCAGAGTCAAAAACCTGGAATGGTTTGCTTCAAAGACTGGATGCTGCCTAATGACCTCGAAGGCCAGTGATACCTGGACTCTTGAGTGAGCAAGGCAGATTTTGGAATGAGCACACAACTTCAAGTAAGCCCGGAGATGATTACCTGTAGTTTCTGCTGCTCTTAGAGGCAGAATCATCTGAGAACTGATTGAGGAGTGCATGTATACCCCAGAGACTAGTGCACTCTAGGATAAAAGGAGTCATTCAGCCCTTACTTTTGGTTGGATGCAGGGTGTAGTTTCAATAAAATGTCACAGAACAAATTTCTAAGACCTTTAGGTTGAGTGAGTGTTAGAGTTTGTCTAGTAGTATATTTCTCATCAGTTACCTATTTAGCTGTTCTGCATAGGCCTTTGAGATAAGGAAATAAGTAAGATAAATTCTCCCCAGAAACCGCAAAACAATTATAATGTTGAGAGAAGAATGAAGTAGTAACTCTGTCTGTACTGAAGAAGGAATTCGGTGTACAGAAAAGAGGTCACTGCCTGAGGTCGGGAGTTTAAGATCAGCCTGGCCAACATGGTGAAACCCCATCTCTACAAAAATACAGAAATTAGTCGGGCATGATGGTGGGTGCCTGTAATCCCAGCTACTCGGGAGGCTGAGGCAGGAGAATTGCTAGAACCTGGGAGGTGGAAGTTGCAGTGAGCCAAGACTGTGCCATTGCACTCTGGCCTGGGCAACTGAGCGAGACTCCGTCTCAAAAAAAAAAAAAAAAAAAAAAAAGTAACGTGACTGGTCACTGTGAGCTGGATTGGAGGAAGGTGGGAATGGAGACTAAGGGCTCTTGCTGAGAGGAGTTTGAGTAAGCCTTTTTCAGGTTCTCTTGTCTTTAGCATTTAAATCCTGGACTTTATAAGTAGACTGACAGTTGTGGCATCAACACAACTAAAAGGCAGGGTTACCCTCTTAGAGTACACTTGGAAAATCAGTCTGAAATGAAAGAAACTTTCTTGGTGAAGTGGAAGTGGAAGTTTTGGTTGGGTGCAGTGGCTCATACCTGTAATCCTAACATTTTGGGAGGCAAAGGTGGGAGGATTGCTTGAGACCAGGAGTTTGAGACCAGCCTGGGCAACATGGCGAGATCCCTTTTCTTTTTCTTTTTTTTGGGGGGAGACGAGGTCTGGCTTTGTTACCCAGGCTAAAGTGCAGTGCAATGGCATTCTAACACTCACCCAACCTAAGGGTCTTAGTATCCATACAAAAAGCATTGACAAAAAGCATGCCATATGTTAAGATCAAGGTTTATCTTTGGGTGTTGAGTGCAACACTTGTTATAAGAAGCAAAATAAACTTAGAAGCAAAGGAGTGGATGAGGATCTGTCTTGGGGGAAAATCCAAAGATTAGTTGTGATCAGAGTATAGTACCTTTTGGCCTGACTTATATAACAAACTCTGCAATATGTTAAAACCTTTAATGAAAACAAGGGAGATGTTGGACTCTAATGTCACTCTTAATAATGAAATAACCAACATTTGTTGAGCTTTTTACTACATACCACAGGTGTTCTTCTAAGCTTTTTACTTTCATTAGCTCAATAGTCTTTGCCTTATCATATAATAGGCACTACTGCATGGATATATGTTGTCATTTACTGAGGAAGCAGTTATCAAGAGCCCAGACAATAAGCTGAGAAATCTGAGTTGACTTTAAAGTCCTCCTGTGTTTCAACAAGGGTGCCAAGACCATTCGATGGAGGAGGGACAGTCTTTTCAAAAAATGGTACTTGGAAAGCTGGATACCCACATACAAAAGAATGTTGTTGGCCTCCTTACCTTATACCAGATACAGAACTTAAAGTGGATCAAAGACCTAAATGTAAAACTGTTAGAAGAAAACACAGGGCAAAAGCTTCATGATGTTAGATTTGGCAATGATTTCTCAGATATGACTCCAAAAGCATATGCAACAACAACAAAAAAGATGAATTGGATTTCATCAAAATTATAAACTTTTGTGCATCAAGGAACATGAAGAAGAATGAAAAGACAACCCACAGAATGAGAAAAAAATATTTGCAAATCATGTATCTGATAAGAGATTAATATACAGGATAACAACCCAATTGAAACATAAAGTAGCCAAGTGCATTGGCACACACTTATAGTCCCTACTATTCAGGAGGCTGAGGCAGGAGGATTGCTGAGCCCAGAAGTTCGAGACCAGCGTGGGCAACATTGCAAGGCCCTATCTCAAACAATAAATTATAAGCAAAGGACTTAAATAGACATTTCTCCAAAGACGATATACAAATGGCCAATAAGAACATGAAAAGATGTTCAACATCACTAGTCATTAGGGAAATGCAGATCAAAACCACAATGAGATACCAGTTCATACCCATTAGAATGGCTGTCATCAAAAAAATGGGGCCAAGCACAGTGGCTTACGCCTGTAATCCCAGCACTCTAGGAGGCCAAGGCAGGTGGATCACCTAAGGTCAGGAGTTCAAGACCAGCCTGGCCAACATGGCAAAACCCCATCTCTACTAAAAAAAATGCAAAAATTAGCTGGTTGTGGTGGCAGGCGCCTGTAGTCCCAGCTACTTGGGAGGCTGAGGCACGAGAATTGCTTGAACCTGGGAGATAGAGGTTGGAGTGAGCTGAGATCACGCCACTGCACTCCAGACTGGGTGACAGAGGAAGACTCCATCTCAAAAAAAAGAAAAAAGAAAAGAAAAAATGGAAAAGACAAAATTGTTGGCAAAGATATTGAGAAATTTGAACCCTTGTTATTACTGGTAGGAATATAAAATGGTGCAGCCACTGTGGAAAACAGTTTAATTTGTCCTCAGAAAGTTAGAGAATTACCTTATGACCCAGCAATTCCATTTTTAGGTATATATTCAAAAGAATTGAAAGCAGAGACTGAAATAAGTGCAGATACTTGGATGCCAGTATTTATAATAGCATTATTCACAGTGGCCAAAATGTGGAACCAACCCAAGAATTGATGAGCAGATGAATGGATAAACAAAATATGATTTAGACATACAACGGAATATTATTCAGCCTTTTTTTTTTTCTGAGATGGAGTTTCGTTCTTGTTGCCCAGCCTGGAGTGCGATGGCACAATCTCAGCTCACTGCAACATCCGCCTCCTGGGTTCAAGCAATTCTCCTGCCTCAACCCCCCGAGTAGCTGGGATTACAGGCACACGCCACCATGCCCAGCTAATTTTGTATTTTTAGTAGAGACGGGGTTTTTCTCCATGTTGGTCATGTGTCCGGAATTGATGGGTTCTTGGTCTCACTGACTTCGAGAATGAAGCGCGGACCCTCACGGTGAGTGTTACAGCTCTTAAGGTGGCACATCTGGAGTTTGTTCCTTCTTATGTTTGGATGTGTTCGGAGTTTCTTCCTTCTGGTGGGTTCGTAGTCTCCCTGGCTCAGGACTGAAGCTGCAGACCTTCACGGTGAGTGTGTTACAGCTCTTAAGGCGGCGCATCTGGAGTTTTTCGTTCCTCCCAGTGGGCTCGTGGTCTCGCTGGCTTCAGGAGTGAAGCTGCAGACTTTCGCGGTGAGTGTTACAGCTCATAAAAGCAGTGTGGCCCCAAAGAGTAAGCAGCAGCAAGATTTATTGCAAAGAGCAAAGAACAAAGCTTCCACGGTGTGGAAGGGGACCCCAACGGGTTGCCGCTGCTGGCTCCGGAAGCCTGCTTTTATTCTCTTATCTGGCCCCACCCACGTCCTGCTGATTGGTAGGGCCAAGTGGTCTGTTTTGGACAGGGCGCTGAATGGTGCGTTTACAATCCCTGAGCTAGACATAAAGGTTCTCCGGGTCCCCACTAGATTAACCAGATACAGAGTGTGGATACAAAGGTTCTCCAAGGCCCCACCAGAGCAGCTAGATACAGAGTGTTGACTGGTGCACTCACAAACCCTGAGCTAGACACAGGGTGCTGATTGGTGTATTTACAATCCCTGAGCTAGATATAAAGACTCTCCACGTCCCCACTAGACTCAGGAGCCCAGCTGGCTTCGCCTAGTGGATCCTGCACCAGGGCTGCAGGTGGAGGTGCCTGCCAGTCCCGCGCCCTGCGGTCGCACTCCTCAGCCCTTGGGTAGTCGATGGGACTGGGCGCCATGGAGCAGGGGGTGGTGCTCGTCGGGGAGCTCAGGCAGCACAGGAGCCCGTGGAGTGGGTGGGCGGCTCAGGCATGGCGGGCTGCAGTTCCCGAGCCCTTGCCCCGTGGGAAGGCAGCTAAGGCTCGGTGAGAAATCGAGCCCAGCGCCGGTGGACTGGCACTGCTGGGGGACCCAGTACACCCTCCGCAGCCGCTGGCCCGGGTGCTAAGCCCCTCATTGCCCGGGGCCAGCAGGGCCGGCCGGCTGCTCCGAGTATGGGGCCACCAAGCCCATGCCCACCCGGAACTCCAGCTGGCCTGCAAGCACCGCGCACAGCCCCGGTTCCCGCTCGCGCCTCTCCCTCCACACCTCCCTGCAAGCTGAGGGAGCCGGCTCTGGCCTTGGCCAGCCCAGAAAGGGGCTCCCACAGTGCAGCGGTGGGCCGAAGGGCTCCTCAAGTGCCGCCAAAGTGGGAGCCCAGGCAGAGGAGGCGCGGACAGCGAGCGAGGGCTGTGAGGACTGCCAGCACGCTGTCACCTCTCAGTCAGGCGGGTCTCAAACTCCCAACCTCACGTGATCTGCCCGCCTGGGCCTCCCAAAGTGCTGGGATTACAGGCATGAGTCACTGTGCCCAGCCTGAATCTTTTTATGCTTATTGTTTGTGGATTTTGTTTCATTCTTACGAATGCCCTCCTTATTCCATGACTATAAAATATTTGCTAATGGTTTCCTGTGGTATGGTTTGAGTTTTCTTTTTTACATTTAAATGTTTGATGTTCCTGAGGTGTGATTCGATTTAGGTTGTTAGGTATAGTTCAAATGAATTTTTATTATTTTTATTATTTTACCTATTTAAGTCTAATTTTACTGTTTGTTGTTGTTGTTGTTGTTGGAGACAGAGCCTCACTCTGCCACCCAGGCTGGAGTGCAGTGGTGTGATCATAGCTCACTGCAGCCTCAAATTCCTGGACTCCAGTTATCTTCCCACCTCAGTCTCCTGAGCAGCTGGGACTACAGGCATGGACCACTATGCCTGGCCAATTTTTTAATTGTTTTTATTTTTGTGGAGACAAGGTCTCACCATCTTGCCCAGGCTGATCTCAAGCTCCTTGGCTCAAGTGATCCTCCCTCCTTGGCCTCCCAAAGTGCTGGGATTACAGGTGTGACCTATTGCACCTGGCCTCAAATGGGTTTTTAATAGGTTATAACCTGTTTATTCCAATGGTAATTCAATCCTTGATTGAGTAATCCGCCTTTTCCACAGTAATCTGAATTGTACCCTTTATTAAATATTAAATTTCTATGCATATATGTGGGTGTATTTTTGGTTTTCTGTTCTATTTCATTGATTGGTCTTTTCATGCATTAATAAAACTGCAGCCTTTTATTTATTGAAGTATTGTACTATTTAGTACGCAGATAGGACTAAGCCTTTTTCATGCCTGTTTTTTGTAGAGTTTGTAGTTTAGGAATCATTTTAAAATTTTTACATGGTTTAACCCAGGAGGCAGAGGTTGCAGTGAGCTGAGATTTTGCGACTACACTCCAACCTGGGCAACAGAGCGGGACTCCATTCCAAAAAAATAAGAAAAACAGAAAAATAATAATTACATCTGCAAAGACCTTATTTCCAGGTAAGTCCACATTCACAAGTATCAGGAATTAGAACTTGGACATATCTTTTTGAGGTATTCAATTTAACCCACTACACCCAGTTGACAATATATATCAACACCCTCTTCACTTAGTGTCCTGAAGGAATTGATCCTATAGTGGAAAAGTTTTTGTTTCTATTTTTTCTTTTTTTTTTTTCTGAAATCGAGTTTTGCTCTTGTCGCCCAGGCTAGAGTGCAGTGGCGTGATCTCAGCTCACTGCAACCTCCACCTCCCAGGTTCAAGTGATTCTCCTGCCTCAGCCTCCCGAGTAGCTGGGACTACAGGCGCGTGCCACCACGCCTGGCTAATTTTTTGTATTTTTAGTAGAGACGGGGTTTTACCATCTTGGCCAGGCTGGTCTCGATCTCCTGACCTCATGATCCACCCACATCGGCCTCTCAAAGTGCTGGGATTACAAGCGTGAGCCACCGCGCCCGGCCTGTTGCTCTTTTTCTTTGTACATTCTGTTAATATTTTCATCGTTAATTAGTAAATGATGGCAGTGTTTTTCAGACTGCAAGTTGTCACCCATTAGAGAATGGTGAAATTAGCTTAGTCGGTCACAATCAATACCCTTTATAATATAAAAGAATGTAGCAAAGTCTATTAATTTCTTTTTGAAATATATAGACATGATGTAAAATGTTTTGGTTTTTTTTTGTTGTTGTTGTTGGGGGGGACAGAATCTCACTCTGACGCCCAGGCTGGAGTGCAGTGGCACAATCTCAGCTCACTGCAACCACCTCCGCCCTCTGGGTCCAAGTGATTTTCTGCCTCAGCCTCCTCAGTAGCTGGGATTACAGGCACCCGTCACCACACCTGGCTAATTTTGTATTTTTAGTAGACACAGGGTTTCACTATGTTGGCCAGGCTGGTCTTGAACTCCTGACCTCGTGATCCACCTGCCTTGGCCTCCCAAAGTGCTGGGATTACAGGCGTAATCCACCGTGCCTGGTGTAAAATATATTTTTTATTATGAGTCTAAGTCAAAAAAGCATAAGAAACATGTATGATGCATTCCTACCTTGTAATAATGAATAGCCATTAAGAAGACTGAGGTTAGGCTGGGTGCAGTGGCTCACACCTGTAATCTCAGCACTATGGGAGGCCGAGGTGGGTGGATCACCTGAGGTCAGGAGTTCAAGACCAGCCTGGCCAACATGGTGAAACCCCTTCTCTACTAAAACTACAAGAATTAGCCAGGCATGGCCGCGCATGCCTGTAATCCCAGCTACTAGGGGGTGCTGAGGCAGGAGGATCGCTTGAACCTGGGAGGCAGATGTTGCAGTGAGCTGAGATCGTGCCACTGCACTCCAGCCTGGGCAACAGAGTGAGACTCCATCTCAAAAAAAAATAAGAAGACTGAGGTTGATCAGTATGTACTGACAGATGGGGATGTCCTTGGTACATATGGATGTGGACTGAAAAATCAACTCTTTATAGTGTAATCCCATTTAAAAAAAAAGGTTACAAATTGTGCTTTTCTATGAGTAGTGTTGACTGTCAACACCAGACAACACTACTCATAGAAAAGCACAATTTGTCTCTAAAGGTCCACCAGAAAAAACTTTTGATCATGCAAACCTAAGTTTATTAGAATTCCTACACCATCATTTTTGTTTGTTTGTTTTTGAGACGGAGTCTTGCTCTGTCGCCCACGCTGGAGTGCAGTGGAGCGATCTCGGCTCACTGCAATCTCTGCCTCCCAGGTTCAAGCTATTCTCCTGCCTCACTCCCAAGTAGCTGGGACTACAGGCACCTGCCACCACGTCGGGGTTTCACCATGTTGTCTAAGCTGGTCTCGAACTGCTGACCTTGTGATCCGCCCACCCACCCTGGCCTCCCAAAGTGCTGGGATTACAGGCGTGAGCCACCGCGCCCAGCCCTCCTACACCATCTTGACAGAACCTTAGTACAATCTCAGAAGGAAAAAGCCAGGTAGAAGGCCAGACGTGGTGGCTCACACCCGTAATCCCAGCGCTTTGGGAGGCTGAGGTGGGCATATCACTTCAGATCGGAGTTCCAGACCAGCCTAGCCAACATGGTAAGACCCTGTCTCTACTAAAAATACAAAAAGTTAGCCAGGTTTGGTGGCGGGTGCCTGTAATCCCAGTTACTCAGGAGGCTAAGGCAGGAGAATCGCTTGAACCCAGAAGGCAGAGGTTGCAGTGAGCCGAGATGGCACCACTGCACTCCAGCCTGGGTGACAGAGCAAGACTCCATCCCGGGGGGGAAAAGAAAAAAACAGGGAGAGATCTTTATATTTTAGGGCCTGGGCTGGATAATTTTTTCTTTTCTTTTCTTTTCTTTTTCTTTTTTTTTTTTTGGAGATGGAGTCTCACTCTGTCACCCAGGCTGGAGTGCAATGGGGTGATCTTGGCTCACTGCAACCTCCACCTCCCAGGTTCAAGTGATTCTCCTGCCTCAGCCTCCCAAGTAGCTGGCATTATAGGCACGTGCCACCACGCCTGGCTAATTTTTGTATTTTTAGTAGAGATGGGGTTTCACCATGTTGGCCAGGCTGGTGGCGAACTCTTGACCTCAGGTGATCCGCCCACCTCGGCCTCCCAAAGTGCTGGGATTACAGGCGTGAGCCACCGCGCCCAGCTTTTTTGTTTGTTTGTTTGTTTGTTTTTGAGACGGAGTCTCTCTCTGTTGCCCAGGCTGGAGTGCAATGGCGTGATCTCGGCTCACTGCAACCTTCGCCTCCTGGGTTCAAGCAATTCTCCTGTCTCAGCCTCCCAAGTAGCTGGGATTACAGGCACGTGCCACAACGCCCAGCTAATTTTTGTATTTTCAGTAGAGATAGGGTTTCACCATGTTGGCCAGGCTGGTCTCGAACTCCTGACCTGAAGTGATCCCCCCGCCTCGGCCTCCCAAAGTGCTGGAATTATAGGCATGAGCAACCACTCCCAGCCTAAAATTGACATTTTAAAATGTTATTTTATTTATTCATTTTAAAATAATAGTAATAAGCCAGGCACGGGCCGGGCGCAGTGGCTCACGCCTGTAGTCCCAGCACTTTGGGAGGCCAAGGTAAGCAGATCATGAGGTCAGGAGATCGAGACCATCCTGGCTAACACGGTGAAACCCCGTCTCTACTAAAAATACAAAAAATTAGCCGGGCGTGGTGGCAGGCGCCTGTAGTCCCAGCAACTCGGGAGGCTGAGGAGGCAGGAGAATGGCGTGAACCCGGGAGGTGGAGCTTGCAGTGAGCCGAGATCACGCCACTGCCCTCCAGACTGGGCAACAGGGTAATACTCTGTCTTAGAAAAAATAAAAAAATAAGCCAGGCACAATGGTTCACACCTATAATCCTAACACTTTGGGAGGCAAAGGTGGGAGGATCACTTGAAGCCAAGAGTGGAGACCAGCCTGAGCAACCTAATGAAACTGCATCTCCATAAAAAATAAAAAGTTAACCAGGTGTGGTGGCACATACCTGTAGTCCCAGCTACTTGGGAAGATTGCTTGAATTTCGGGAGTTTGAGGCTACAGTGAAATACAATGGAGCCACTGCATACCAGCCTGGGTGACAGAGTGAGACCCTTTCTCTAAAAAAACAAAATGACAATAATAGCCACTACATGTTATAACATTTTTATTAAATCAATTTTTATCCAATATTAACATAACATTACATTTTTAATGAAAAATAACTATTTGCCAAAACAAAAAAGAATGGCATCATTCTACATTTTTGCAAATATGTATAGCGGGGCTCATTAGGCAATTGCCTGGACTCTCATCCCAGTCCACTTCTATTTATTAGCTGGTTAGCATTGCAGCAATCATCCTCATTCTAATGTATCCATTGTCCATTGCTGAGAGAAAGAAATGTATGAACTCTACCTAATGTTGGTGAGCAGTGTGCCTTATATGGTTTGGCTCTGTGTCCCCACCCAGATCTCACCTTGAATTGTAATAATCCCCACATGTAAAGGGCAAGACCAGGTGGAAGTAATCGGATCATGGGGGCAGTTTCCCCCATGCTGTTCTCGTGATGAGTGACTCTCACGACATCTGATGGTTTTATAAGCGTCTGGCATTTCCCCTACTGGCGCTCATTCATTCTCCTACCACCTTGTGAAAAGGTGCCTTCCGCCATGATTGTAAGTTTCCTGAGGTCTCCGCAGCAATGTGGAACTGTGAGTCAATTAAACCTCTTTTCTTTGTAAGGTACCCAGTCTCGTGTAGCAGCATAACAGACTAATACAGTGCCTTTGATAATTTTATAACATTTATTATTGGGAAACAACTGGAGCAAAGAAGGCCTGTACTCCAACACAGGTTCATGCACCCTACCATGCGAGCGCCACCTGGACTGGCTGGAGATGGGATCTGTGCACTGCTGAGGCCTTGTACTGGCTAGCCAGGATCTGAGGGAGCCAATTAGCGGGTGCCCCTGGAGGAGGTGGAGCTTACAGAAGGAACTAACCTGGCACCATGGGCCAATCTAGAGCAGTCTTGTCCTGTCCCCAGTCCACAAGGGATTCTCTCTAATTTCAGATCCCAGTCTGAGGCCGGGTGCAGTGGCTCATGCCTGTAATCCCAACACTTTGGGAGGCCCAGGCGGGCAGATCACCTGAGGTTGGGAATTTGAGACCAGCCTGACCAACATGGAGAAACCCCGTCCCTACTAAAAATACAAAAAGCTGGGCATGGTGGCGCATACCTATAATCCCAGCTACTCGGGAGGCTGAGGCAGGAGAATCACTTGAACCCAGGAGGTGAAGGTTGTGGTCAGCCAAGATCGCACCACTGCACTCCAGCCTGGGCAACAAGAGCGAAACTCTGTCTTAAAAACAAAACAACAAAAAAACAAAAACAGATCCCAGTCTGTTTGCAGGCAGTGGCACCCAGCCTGGTTGCAACCCTGTGCGGGGTGACACGGCTCTATGGGAAGTGTGTCCATCCCGGAAAGGGACTCCTTTTGCATACTTGCCTCACTGGTGCAGGTTTAGGCACATTCTGAAACCATCAGTGCTTTACTTGGTGGCTGGTCACCTGGAAAAGATATTTGGTAAGTGTCCTGGTGTCTTTACCACTGCGCTACACTTTTGACTCCCCTGGCTCACCCTAAACCACCCGCCTGAAACCTAAGGCAGAATCTAGTGTCCTGCAGGCCAGCATCCCAGTGACATCTTTCCCCTCTCCCCCCAATCCCCTCCCAGCCTTGCCCCATTTGGTAAAACTTCAACCTTCCTTTCTACACAGGCTCAAGCAGAGTCTTCCTCCTGGTGTTCCAGAAGGAGTTCAAGGTCCTGCTCCATATGGGACAGCTAGATTCTGAGGGCAATGTTGAGATCCTCATCTCCAGAAGGTGCTGGTGCCAGAAATATGACAAAAGGCTGATTGACGGGCCAGGCGCGGTGGCTCACGCCTGTATTCCCAGCACTTTGGGAGGCCAAGGCGGGTGGATCATGAGGTCAAGAGTTCGAGACCATCCTGGCCAATATGGTGAAACCCTGTCTCTACTAAAAATACAAAAAATTAGCTGGGCGTGGTGGCACGCATCTGTAGTCCCAACTACTTGGGAGGCTGAGGCAGGAGAATTGCTTGAACCGGGAGGAGGAGGTTGCAGTGAGCAGAGATCGTGCCACTGCTCTCCAGCCTGGGCGGCAGACTGAGTGAGATTCTGTCTAAAAAAAAAGAGGCCTGGTGTGGCGGCTCAGGCCTGTAATCCTAGCACTTTGGGAGGCTGAGGCAGGTGGATTGCCTGAGGTCAAGAGGTCAGGACCAGCCTGTCCAACATGGTGAAACCCCATCTCTACTAAAAATGCAAAAATTAGCCAGATGTGGTGGCACATGCTTGTAATCCCAGCTACTTCGGAGGCTGAGGCAGGAGAATCGCTTGAACCCAGAGTGTGGAAGTTGCAGTGAACCAAGATCATGCCACTTCACTCCAACCTGGGCGAAAGAGCAAAACTTCATCTCAAAAAAAGAAAAGTATTTAAAAAAAAAAAAACTAGCCAGGCTTTGTAGCATGTGCCTGTTGCCCCTTCTAATTGGAAGGCTGAGGTGGGAAGATCACTTGAGCTTGGGAGGTTAAGGCTGCAGTGAGCAGTGGTTGCACCACCTCACTCCAACCTGGGGTCAGAAGGAGACCCTATCTCAAAAAAAACAACTTTGTAAACTGTGATCCACACCTCAGTGCAGTGGGATAAAACTGTCCAGTAGCCTTGGCCTCCGAGGCCCTGTCTGAATCCTCCTTTTTTGCACCTGTAGCTAAAGGGCAGCAAGTGTTTTCTGTACTCTATATTCACTTTTAGACAAGTCACTTTTAGAGACTTGTTTAAAGATTCAAAATGAGTTATAATAAAAAATAAATGTAAAATATACCTAGCAATTGGTATCGATTGACAAGAAAGCTTTCTTTGCTTGTTCCCACATGAAGAAAAAAGGTGAAGAATTACAAAAGGTTGGTTCAGCTTTTCAATTTTTTTGTGTTAAGTGGGTGTAGCTAGGATAATTAATGTCCCAGGGAACTTTTGTAAATAAGGAAGAACATTCCTGTTTATTCTTTCATTAATGCTAGTTTTGAAAAAATAGGCTCTATAAATTAAGTTTTCATGTGTTGAAACATTGACAAATTGATTCCATTCTCCTTAACTGTTAGTTAAAAAGAACAAGTCTGGTCGGGCACGGTGGCTCACACCTGTAATTCAAGACTGGGAAGTGGAGGCAGGCGGATCACCTGAGGTCAGGAGTTCCAGACCAGCCTACCCAACATGGTGAAACCCCATCTCTACTAAAAATACAAAAATTAGCCAGGCATGTTGGCATGCGCCTATAATCCCAGCTACTCAGGAGGCTGAGGCAGGAGAATCGCCTGAACCCAGGAGGCAGAGGTTGCAGTGAGCCAAGATTGTGCCATTGCACTCCAGCCTGGGTGACAGAGCAAGACTCTGTCTCCAAAAAAAACAGAACAAGTCTGTCATGTTTCTTTATCATGATTTTCAGTAGCTTAAATGACAAAACACATTATCAGTTAGTATAAAACTTTAAAATATCGCTTGGGCCAAGCGCAATTGCTTATATCTGTAATCCCAGCACTTTGGGAGACCGAGGCAGGAAGATTGCTTGAGTCCAGGAGTTCAAAACAAGCCTAGGCAGTATAGTGAGACCTTGTCTCTATAAAAAAAACTTAAAAATTAGCCAGGCATGTTGGCATGTACCTATATAGTCCCACCTACAGAGGTAGCAGTAGGTGGGACAGAGGCAAGAGGATCACTTGGGCCTGGATTCAGGCTGCAGTGAGCCATGATCACACCAGCCACTGTGCTATAGTCTGTATGATGGAGATCGTGTCTCAAAAAAAAAAAAAAATCACTAAATTAGCATTTGGTATATGTCAGGTTTTATGGTTTTTACTGTTTGTGAAGTTAAATATCTTTTTATACCTTTGTCAAACATTTGTGTTTCTTTTGTAGATGCTTTCTCTCTCTCTCTCTCGGGTGTTTTTTTTTTTTTTTTTTTTTGAAATGGAGTCTTGCTCTGTCACCCAGCTGGAGTGCGGTGGTGCGATCTCAGCTCACTGCGACCTCCGCCTCCCGGGTTCAAGCGATTCTCCTGCCTTAGCCTCCTGAGTAGCTAGGATTACAAGCACAAGCCACCACGCCTGGCCAATTTTTTTTTTTTTTTTTTGTACTTTTAGTTTCACCGCCACATTGGCCAGGCTGGTCTCAAACTCCTGACCTCAAGTGATCCCCCCACCTCGGCCTCCCAAAATGCTGGGATTACAGGCGTGAGCCATGGCGCCTGGCCAGAATGCCTTCTCATGTCCTTTGCCTATATTTCTATTGATGTGTTTCTTTTTCTTACTAGTCTACAACAACTTTTTATTTTTTTATTTTTAGAGACAGGGTCTCGCTACATTGCCCAGGCTGGTCTTGAACTCCTGGCCTCAAACAATTCTCCTGCCTTGGCCTCCCAGAATGCTGGGATTACAGGCATGAGCCACTGTAGTCTAGCCCTAGCTCTTTATTTTTAATTTCAGTTTTCATTTGGTTTTACTTTTATTTATAGTACTTTTTCAGTATCACAAATGTTGATGTTTTTATGGGACTAAATCCATTCAACTTTTTCATTATGAATTTTTGCATTATGATTTTTATTTTATTACAGTATATTGTTGTAATTTTTTGTTTTATTGTTGTTAATTTCTTACTGTGCCTAACATAAATTAAACTTTATCATGGTATGTATGCATAGGAAAAATCACAGTACATATAGAGTTCAGTTATATTCATGGTTTCTGGCATCCACTGGAGGTCTTAGACCATATCCCCCAAGGATAAGGGGGCACTATTGTACACGAATTTTACAGATGAGGACAGTGTGAGAACATCAAATAACGTTTTTCCTGCCTCTTTGTCACTTTTCATGTGAATACATTCTCTCACACTTGGCTACAAACTCCTTTTTGGCATGGATGATAAATCTGTATTCTTCTACTACTGAGACCCTAGGTACACAGTTAAACACTAGATGATTGACTGTTACAGTGATTGCATATTTATCAACCAGTTAGCCTTAATTAATGCATGTGGTATTAATGAATAAAAACCAGGTCAATCTGGCATGGTGGCTCATGCCTATAATCCCAGCACTTTGGGAGGCCAAGGCTCGCAGATCACTTGCAGTCAGGAGTTCAAGACCACCTTGGCCAACGTGACGAAACCCCGTCTCTACTAAAAATACAAAAAACTTAGCCAGGCATAGTGGCGCACACCTGTAATCCAGCTACTTGGGAGCCTGAGGCAGGAGAATTGCTTGAACCTGGGAGGTGGAGGCTGCAGTGAGCCAAGATCGCGCTCCAGCCTAGGTGACAGACCGAGCCTGTCTCAAAAAATAAAAATGAAAATAAAAAACCAAGTCAACTATATGGACATTTGACTGTATATAAATCTCTCTATATGCTCTACAGTATCAAGAAAAGTCTGCGAAAATTGCATATTAATAATTGGGAAAATATATTGAAATTTTTTTCTCCATTTGCCTCAATGATAACATGGGACCATGGATTTTTTTTTTTTTTTTTTTTTTTGAAGAGATGTGGTGTCGCTGTCACCCAGGCTGGAGTGCAGTGGCGAACATGGCTCACTGCAGCCTTGACCTCTTAGGCTCGAGCAATCCTCCTGCCTCAGTCCCCCAAGTAACTTGGACTATAGGCACCCACCACCACACCCAGCTAATGTTTATATTTTTCGTAGAGACAGAGTTTTGCTGTGTTGCCAGGCTGATCAACTCCTGAGCTTATGCAATCCACTCACCTCGGCCTCCCAAAGTGCCAGGATTACAGGCGTGAGCCACCTTGCCCGGCCAAGATGAGGTATTATTACATCATTATTGTAAGGTACTGTTGGGCCCTCTTTCTATTTTGTTATTTTGTATGTGATCATCATTGTTGCTCATCATTCCTGTTCTTGGTATAGTTCCTACTTTTTCTGCGTTCCTTTGGCCTATTCACAGTTTACTACATCCATCCTTCTCTACTTTTATAGTTAGAGAAATGTGATAGCCAGTCCTACACTTAATAGAAGAAATAATACCCAGATATTTACCCTCCTTCAAATTAAAATTAATAAAGATTAAATATATCCTTTTTTGTTTTATTTATTTTTGAGGAGACAGTCTCACTGTCACCCAGGTTGGAGTGCAATGGCACAATCACAACTCACTACAGCCTCTACCTACCCATGCTCAGGTGATCCTCCCATCTCAGCCTTCCAAGTAGCTGGAACCACAGGCATGCACCACCATGCTCGGCTAATGTTTGTATTTTATTTTTTGTAGAAATGGGGTTTTGCCATGTTGTCCAGGCTGGTCTCGAACTCCTGGGCTCAAGCAATCAGCCCACCTCAGCCTCCCAAAGTGCTGAGATTACTGGCATGACCCAACATGCCAAGCCAAACATATCCTTTTATGTGATTTATTTGTGAATTACAATGGTCTTTAATTTCTTTTTTTTTTTTTTTTTTTTGAGACTTTTTCTTTTCACTCTTGTTGCCCAGGCTGGAGTACAATGGCATAATCTCGGCTCACCGCAACCTCCACCTCCCAGGTTCAAGTGATTCTCCTGCCTCAGCCTCCCGAGTAGCTGGGATTACAGGCATGCACCACCACACACAGCTAATTTTGTATTTTTAGTAGCGATGGGGTTTCTCCATATTGGTCAGGCTGGTCTCAAACTCCAGACCTCAGGTGACCTGTCCACCTTGGCCTCCCAAAGTGCTGGGATTACAGGTGTGAGCCACCATGCCCAACCTAATTTCTTTTTTAATAGCTTTTTAAATCTTGTCAGTTTGCATTTTCCCCAGAACTCCCTTCTGTGATCATATATCTTCTTCCTAAAGCACATCCTTTAGAAGTTTTGGCTGGGCATGGTGGCTTACGCCTGTAATCCCAACACTTTGGGAGACCAAGTAGGGCAAATCACTTGAGGTCAGGAGTTTGAGATCAGCCTGGCCAACATGGGGAAACCCTGTCTCTACTAAAAATACAAAAATTAGCCTGGCATGGTGGTGCCTGTCTGTAATCCCAGCACTTTGGGAGGCCAAGGCAGGCGGATCACCTGAGATCAGGAGTTTGAGACCAGCCTAACATGGAGAAACCTTGTCTCTACTAAAAATAGAAATTTAGCCAGGCGTGGTGGCACACACCTGTAATCCCAGCTACTCAGGAGGCTAAGGCAGGAGAATCACTTGAACCTGGGAGGCAGAGGTTGCAGTGAGCCAAGCTCATGCCACGGCACTCCAGCCTGGGTGACAGAACGAGACTCTCTCAAAAAAAAAAACAAAAAACCACCTGGGTGCAGTGGGTCACACCTGTAATCCCAGCATTTCCTGAAGGTCAAGAGTTCAAGACCAGCCTTGCCAACATGGTGAAACTCCGTCTCTACTTAAAATATAAAAAATCAGCCAGGCGTGGTGATGGGCGCCTGTAATCCCAGCTACTTGGGAGGCTGAGGCAGGAGAATCGCTTGAACCCAGGAGGCAAAGATTCCAGTGAGCCAAGATCGCGCCATTGCACTCCAGCCTGGGCAGTAAGAGTGAAACTTCGTCTCAAAAAAAAAAAAAAAAAAATGGGTTCTAGATTTACAGAAGAGTTGTGAGGATAGTACAGAGTGCCCATTTACTCCACACTCAGTTTTTCCTATTATTAACATCTTATATTAAAGCCCATACTTTATTCTGATTTCCTTAGTTTTTACCTAAGGTCCTTTTTCTGCCCCAGGAGCCCAAACAGTGTACCACATTACATTTAGTCATCATGTCTCCTTAGGCTCCTCTTGGCTGTGGTAGATTCTCAGACTTTTTTTGTTTTTGATGACCTTGACAGTTTTGAGGCATACTGGTCAAGCATATTTTAAGATGCCACTCTAGGCCAGGTCCGGTGGCTCACGCCTGTAATCCCTGCACTTTGGGAGGCCAAGGTGGGTGGATCACTTGAGGCTGGGAGTTTGAGACCAGCCTGGCCAACATGGTGGAACCCCATCTCCACTAAAAATACAAAAATTAGCCGGGCGTGGTGGCATGCGCCTGTAGTCCCAGCTACTCAGGAGGCTGAGGCATGAGAATTGCTTGTACTCGGAAGGCGAAGGTTGTAGTGAGCCAAGATTACACCACTGCACTCCAGCCCAAGTGACAGAGTGAGACTCTGTCTAAAAAAAAAAAAAAAAAAGATGCCACTCTAGTGGAGTTTGTCTGAAGTCTCATGATTAGACTGGGATTAGGGGTTTTGAGGAGGAAGACCATAAAGTAAGCGCCATTTTCATCACATTATACCTGAAACTGCCATTGCAAAATCATAACTGAGAGTGAAAGAGAGCTGATCTAACCAACTCCATCTTGCTTCTAACCTCCAAACTGTCCTTTTTCATTCCTGGGCTTAGGCTCAACTAACTTTAGGAGGAACTTAGTTTATAGGTTAAAACGAAGATGATAACAGCCCTTTCCCAAAACAAACCTCCTTGCCTGGGGACTAGACTCCCTTTGTAGGACTAACAAAGGAGCCACAAGGTTAGAAATTATAGTTTAGGAGTCATGCAGCTGGAGGCTACAAGATTCAGACCCTCCCTAAACTGCTCTTAAGATCAGTGCTTGAGATACTTTACAGACCCTGCACTTGATGGATCAGCTGGCACCACCACCCAGATCGATAAACTGGCTCATCTGATCTTGTGGCCCCCACCCAGGAACTGACTCCGTGCAAGAGGCTTTAATTCCCTATGATTTTATCTCTGACCTAACCAATCAACACTCGACACACTGTCCTTCCCCCACCCACCATATTATCCTTAAAAACTCTGATCCCCGAGTGCTCCAGGAGACAGATTTGAGTAATGATAAAACTCTGGTCTCCTGCACAGCCTGTTCTACGTGAATTACTCTTTCTCTATTACAATTCGCCTGTCTTTATAAATTGGCTCTGTCTAGGAAATGGGCAAGGTGAAGCCACTGGGCAGTTACATACCGGAGGTACATGCTATTAACATGACTTCACTTTTTATGTTGACCTTGATCATCAGGCTGAAGTAGTCTGTCAGTCCTCTCCACTGTAAAGTTACTCATACCTTCCTTTTCCTTATTGTAATCTTTTGAAGGAAGTCATTACGTATAGCTCACATTTAATGAAGGAACCGGGAGTTATGCTCCACCTCCATAAGGACAGAGTACCTACATAAATTATTTGAAATTCTGCATGGGAGATTTGTCTGTTCTACCTCACTTATTTAATTATTCATTTTTAACTGTGTGGACTCAAGTGTTACTAGTTTTTTTTTTTTAAAAAGAAGCAGCTTGTGGTTTTGTTTATCCTATTTTGTTTCTTATTCCATTGGCTTTTGCTTTAATCTTTTATTTCCTTAGGTGTTTTGTTATATAGAGACAGGGTCTCAGTGTTGCCCAGGCTAGTCTCAAGTGATCCATGCAAGTCTCAACTCCCGACCTCAAGTGATCCTCCTTCCCAGGCCTCCCAAAGTGCTGGGATTACAAGTGTAAGCACCCGGCCCTTAGTTTTTGTTTCTTTAGGATCATTCTGTTTTCTTTAATTTTTGGAGTTGAAGCTTTACCTCACTGGTTTTCATTCTTTTTTTTTTTTTTTTGGAGACAGAGTCTCTCTCTGTCGCCCAGGCTGGAGTGCAGTGGCGCGATCTTGGCTCACTGCAACCTCTGCCCCCCAGGTTCAAATTTTTGTATTTTTAGTAGGGAAAGGGTTTCATCGTGTTGGCCAGGCTGGTCTTGAACTCCTGACCTCAGGTGATCCTCCCGCCTCCGCCTCCCACAGTGCTGGGATTACAGGAGTGACCACCGTGCCTGGCACCATTCTTTCCTCTTTGATAACTGCAGTATTTTCCCACTCCACCCTTCATCCTCTCCAGCACATTGAAACCACCTTTGCAAAGATTATGACACCGAGAGAAGTCTAGCATGGCTGACCCCATCTTGCTTCTAGCCTCACTCATTCCTGGGCATAGGCCAAACTAACCTTGGGAGGAGTTTAATTTCTAGTTTAACTTTAAGGCAAGGATGATAATCGTTCCTCTCTAAAACGGATCCCCTCCTTGTTCAGGAACTGAAACAGCCTTTGTAAGACTAATGAAAACCCACAATATTAGGATTATGAGAGGGCCTGACTTCTGCCAAAATGTAGGCATAGTTTTTGTAATCCCTTACTGCTCAGAAGGTATGTGGTCATAGGTTACAAGATTTGTGACTTCCTCAGTTTCTCTTATAGATAAGATCACTATTGTAAAACCTAAGATTGATCTTTTGAATTGTTTTTCAAACTTTTGCATTCTGGCAACTGACATACCCTACCGGGGCCCATGACTCCTGACTCAGCCAGTCCTGTGGTCCCCACCCAGAGGTGGGCTTAGTGCACAAGGACCATTTTCCACACCCCTAAGATTTCATCTTCAACCATTCCCTAGCCCCCTGCCCACCAAATTATCTATAAAAACTCTGGCCTCTGAGCTCTCAGGGAGGCAGATTTTAGTAATCTTAAACTCCTGTCTCTCTGCTTGGCTGGCCTTGCATTAATTAAATTAAACTATTTCTTTACTACCACAATGCTGTCTCAGTGAATTGGATTTCCCTGTGCAGCAGGCAAGAAGAATCTGTTGGATGATTACAACATTGCTGGATTGATAGCAGCCTCACCTGCCAGGCTCAAACTCCAGGTATGCTCTTAAAGCTGCCCTTTCTCTTGGGATATCAGGCTTATCCACCCTTCCTGACCTTCTTTGAATCTTGAAAAGATTAAAGGATTGCCTGTGAAGTTTTGTGTCTGTTACTTTGCTTTTTTTTTAGATGGAGTTTCGCTCTTGTCACCCAGGCTGGAATGCAGTGGCGCAATCTCGGCTCCCTGCAACCTCTGCCTCCTGGGTTCAAGCGATTCTCCTGCCTCAGCCTCCCAAGTAGCTAGGATTACTGGCGCATGCCACCACACTTTGCTAATTTTTGTATTTTTAGTAGAGATGGGGTTTCACCATGTTGGCCAGGCTAGTCTCGAACTGCTGACCTCAGGTGATCTGCCCACCTCAGCCTCCCAAAGTGTTGGGATTACAAGTGTGAGCCACCCAGCGTGTCTGTTACTTTGCATTATAAATATCCCACTCTTTAAATTTCCATAGAGTTTGTTTTGCCATAGAAAGACAATGTTACTTTTTATTCATCATCTTTTAAAGTCTTGGCAAAAATTCCACCAGTCCTACCAGAGACCGCAGGTTGACTCTGCTGATTTGGCCTCTATGCCTTATTCATGCTTATCATGACTCTTCTTTTTTTTTTTTTTTAAGATGGAATCCAGCTCTGTAGCCCAGGCTGGAGTGCAGTGGCACGATCTCAGCTCACTGCAACCTCTGCCTCCCGGGTTCAAGCAATTCTCCTGCCTCAGCCTCCCAAGTAGCTGAGATTACAGGCACCTGCCACCATGCTCAGCTAATTTTTGTATTTTTTTAGTAGAGACAGGGTTTCGCCATGTTGGCCAGGCTGGTCTCAAACTCCTGACATCAGGTGATCTGCCTGCCTCGGCCTCCCGAAGTGCTGGGATTACAGGCCTGAGTCACTGTGCCCGGCCCATTTTCTTTTTTTTCTTTTTTTTTTTTTTTTATTATACTCTAAGTTTTAGGGTACATGTGCATATTGTGCAGGTTAGTTACATATGTATACATGTGCCATGCTGGTGCGCTGCACCCACTAATGTGTCATCTAGCATTAGGTATATCTCCCAATGCTATCCCTCCCCCATTTTCTATTTTTAGAAGAATCAGGCTTTCCAGATTTTGGTCAGTTCCTAGTTCCAAGAACTGATCAAAGTTAGCCACCAGATGGAGCTCAATCTTATCTTAACTCCATCCCCAGCTTGTTCTTTAAAAGACAAACTGGAAAGGCCTTTTTTCTCCTTTATGCTAGTTTCCAAAGCACATTTCCTATAAATAATCACATTTAGGAAGGGAAAGGACAAAGGGGAAAACTATTAAACTTATCTATCCACATGATTCAGCAAAACTGTCAACTCCGCAAGGCAAGACTTAGAACCCATCTGTGTAGCCAGTGAGAACTCTACACCCATTCCCAGCCTTATCCTGCTGCCAAACCATACCACAGTGTGTCAGGGAATAAGAGCTACTTTTCCTTGCTTGGTCCTAAATGGATTCACTCGTTTGTGTGGGGTTTTTTTAAGTCAGTAAAGGAAAAATTCAGAACTCCAAAAAAGTCTCTATATAGTTTACATAAGATGATATTGGTGATAATTAGATACTAATCACATTAATTTCTCAGATTCACTGCTCTTGAGGACTTCTTTTCTTGAAATATATGAAAATTCAGAACTCTGAAGAAAAAGAGGGACCTGATGATAAAGAGACCTGATTCCCTCATTTATACCTGAGATAATGGATGGTATCACTAACAAACCAACTTTTCATTGATCAACTAAGCACTGAGAGCCACACCTCTTCTATTCTCTAAAAATAATTACAAAGATGAGCATGCAGAATGTGTTATGACAAAGAGCAATATATAATTTTAAAGAACCAGATGGGGCAGAGCATGGTGGCTCACGTCTACAATCCCAGCACTTTGGGAGGCTGAGGCAGGAGGATCATTTGAGGTCAGGAGTTTGAGACCAGCCTGACGAACATGGTGAAACCCTGTCTCTACTAAAAATCGTGAAAATTAGCTGGGCATGGTAGCTTGCACCTGTAATCTCAGTTACTCGGGAGGCCGAGGCAGGAGAATCACTTGAACCTGAGAGGCAGAGATTGCAGTGAGCTGAGTTCATGCCACTGCACTCCAGCCCGGGCAACAGAGTGAGACTCTGTCTCAAAAAAAAAAAAAAGAACCAGATACTGCTTTCAGGATTTAATGCCCTGACTAGGATCCTGAAAGATGACGCAATCCTACTACCAGGATGGCTCCCAGAAGCATGGAAATAACAGTGGCCCACACTAAGTGAGGTAGAAATGCCAAAATTGTAGCAAAAGGTAGATGAATGAAAAGGCTCGGAAAAGTGAGTATGCTATAGACTATATACGGCAAATAGTTGGAAAATCCACAAGAGGACCCAGAAAATATATTACTTACCAAAGCAATAAGAAATGTTCTAGTGAGAATGTCACCAACACTGCTAAGTTCAGTAGTGGCTCTTCTCTGAGAGCCGGGACTTACAGTAGGAGATGCCGTGATAAAACTGGTCTCTAATAGCAATTGCGATGATAGCCACTATCCCCCAAAGGCCAGTCAAGGCCACTTAACCCTCAGATGCCAGAAAGACACAATCATCATAACAAGTGGCAAGTCAGCTTCACAGAGGGACCTGACTACTAGAGGGTTATTAAATGACTAAGGAAAAATACCTGGGCAGCCAACAAGGGTACTATTCAATCTGTACATCAAAGAAATCAAGGCTAGATGATTAGGCTGGAAGCAGTAGTCTCATGCTCCCTTGCCCAGTTTCCAGACATACGCCAGTTTCCAGATCTGAAACTGAATGACTGAAGGAGAGGCCAGATCCCCAGGAGGAAGGACCTGGCAATGCTATGGCAGTACATAGTAATGGTTCCCTCTTCCTTCCCACAAAGGAACCTACAGTCATTTACTTCAAGTAATATACACTGGGAAAAGAGAAATAGCCAAACATCATAGACTCTTGGACACAAGGTCCCAGTTGACAATGATACATGTAGATTCAGCATCATCTGCCACTCCTCTTAGAGGGAGGACATATGGGGTCAAGTAATAAATGGAGTCCTAAGATCTAGCTCACAGTGGGCACACTGGGTCCATAACCCACCTAGTGATCATTTTCTCAGCTTCCAAATGTATACTTGGAATGGAGATTCTTGGCAGCTGGCACAACTCTAATATTGATACTACTCCTCTGGGGTGAAATTAGAGTGGAGAAGGGCTAATGAAGCCCTCTGAAACTGCCCCCACCATCTTCCTGATCAAGACCAAATCAAATCCAGTATTACATCCCAGGGGGAATGGCAGAAGCTAGCGGCACCCTTAAAGACCTAAAGGATAGAGTTAGTCATCATCATATCTCCATTTAGTTCACCACTCTGGTGCCTACAAAAATCAGATGGATCCGAGAAGACGGCAGTGAACTGCTGCAGACTCAACCAAGTGGTGGCACTAATTGCAGTTGCTGTGCCAGGTGTGGTGTTTTTATTAGAAACTGATTAACACAACCTTTGATATGAGATATGCAGCCACTGATCTGGAGAAGTAAGTATTCTCTTCCATCCCTATCAGAAAAGATCAGAAACAGTTTTCTTGGGCCGGGCACGGTGGTTCACGCTTGTAATCCCACCACTTTGGGAGGCCAAGGTGGGTGAATCACTTGAGGTCAGGAGTTCAAGACCAGCCTGGGCAACATGGTTAAACCCCATCTCTACTAAAAATACAAACATTAGCTGAGCATACTGGTGCATGCCTGTAGTCCCAGCTACTCAGGAGGCTGAGGCAGGAGAATCACTTGAACCTGGGAGGCAGAGGTTGCGGTGAGCTGAGATCATGCCACTGCACTCCAGCCTGGGTGACAGAGTAAGACTTCGTCTTAAAAAAAAAGTTTTCTTTGAGCAGGGTGCAGTGGCACACACCTGTTTTCCTAGCTACTCAGGAGCCAGAGGCAGAGGATCACTTGAAGCCAGGAGTTTAAGGCTGTAGAAGGGTATGATGGCATATGTGAATTAGCCACTGCACACCAGCCTGAACAACATAGTATAGTAAGACCCCCATCTCAAAAAAAAAAAAAAAAAAAAAGGTAATTACTGACAGGTGGTAGAGGTAGGGAGTGTTTAGATAATGGAAAAGCCTAGCCTAATAACACAGCCTAGTAGACGGTCTTAAAGTTTTCAGCCCCAATTAAACCTAAATAGATTAAAATATCCAATCATTTCTTGCATATCAGAGACACACTCAGTACAAAAGGACATAATCCTTTTTCAGCCACAGACAGACAAATGGATTAGGCATAAGAATAAAATCTAGGTCAGTCACAGTGGCTCATGCCTGTAATATCAGCGCTTTGGGAGGCGAAGGCAGGCAGATCACTTGAGGCCAGGAGTTCAAGACTAGCCTGGCCAACATGGCGAAACCCCACCTCTGCTAAAAATACAAAAATTAGACAGGCATGGTGGCACATGCCTGTAGTCCCAGCTACTCAGGAGGCTGAGGTGGGAGAATCACTTGAACCCGGGAGGCGGTAGTTGCAGTAAGCGAAGATTGCACCACTGCACTCCGGCCTGGGCGACAGAGTGAGACTCCATCTCAAAAAAAAAAAAAAAAAAAAAAAAAAGAATAAAATCTGGGCCAACTACAGTGGCTCCTGTAATCCCAGCACTTTGGGAGGCCAAGGCGGGTGGATCATTGGAGGCCAGGAGTTCAAGATCAGCCTGTCCAACATGGCAAAACCCTGTCTCTATTAAAAATACAAAAATTAGCCAGGCCATGGTGGCTCATGCCTGTAATCCCAGCTACTCCAGAGGCTGACACATGAGAATCACTTGAACAAGGAGGCAGAGGTTGCAGTGAGCCATGATCACGCCACTGCACTCCAGCCTGGGTGACAGAGTAAGACCCTGTCTCATAACAAACAACAGAAAAAAGAAAAAAAACGGCCAGGCACTGTGACTCACACCTGTAATTCCAGCACTTTGGGAGGCTGAGTGGGGCAGACCACAAGGTCAAGAGGGAAACCATCATGGCCAACATGGTGAAACCCCATCTCTACTAAAATACAAAAAATTAGCCAGGCGGCCGGGCGCGGTGGCTCACGCCTGTAATCCCAGCACTTTGGGAGGCCGAGGCGGGTGGATCATGAGGTCAGGAGATCGAGACCATCCTGGCTAACAAGGTGAAACCCCGTCTCTACTAAAAATACAACAAATTAGCCGGGCGCGGTGGCGGGCGCCTGTAGTCCCAGCTACTGGGGAGGCTGAGGCAGGAGAATGGCGTGAACCCGGGAAGCGGAGCTTGCAGTGAGCCGAGATTGCGCCACTGCAGTCCGCAGTCCGGCCTGGGCAACAGAGCGAGACTCCGTCTCAAAAAAAAAAAAAAAAAAAAATTAGCCAGGCATGGTGGTGCATGCCTGTAGTCCCAGCTACTCGGGAAGCTGAGGCAGGGAAATCGCTTGAACCCGGGAGGCAGAAGTTGGAGTGAGCTGACATCATGCCACTGCACTCCAGCCTGGTGACAGAGCGAGACTTCATCCCAAAAAAAAAAAGAAAAGAAAAAGAAAAAAAGCTAGCTTTCTGTGCTACCCAGAGAGGGGTCCATACAGTGTTGTTCTGGATTCCTGTTGTAACTTAAAGGGAAACTTTCACAATGTCCAGAGCCCTTGATGTCCTCAAATTTCTTGCAGCAGGAAGTCACTTAGGTGACACTAACTTTGATTTCCAAATGGAATGATAGTACATCTAAAAATGAAGGTGATGGCATCTATATCATAATCTTTTTTTTTTCTAACAAGATCCAAAGTCCACAAATATATCATAAATCTGAAGAGGAACTGGGAGAAGCTTCTGCTGGCAGCTCATGCCATTGTTGCCATTGAAAACCCTGCTGATGTGTCATATCCTGCAGGAATACTAGCTAGTGGGCTGTGCTGAAGTTTGCTGCTGCTGCTGGAGCCACATGTATTGCTGGTCACTTCACTTCTGGAACCTTTGCTAACCAGATCCAATCATCTTCTGCCACCCACATCTTCTGGTGGTTACTGATTCTAGGGCTAACTATCAGCCTCTCTCAGGGGCTTCTTATGGTAACCTACCTACCTACCACTGCTGTATGTAACAGATTCTCCTCTGAGCTATGTGGATATTGTCATCCCATGCAACAACAAGGAAGCTCAATCACTGAGTCTAATGTAGTGGATGCTGGCCCAGGAAGCTCTGTGCATGTGTTGCACCATCTCCCATGATCATGCCTGATCTCTACTTCTATAGAGATCCTGAAGAGATTGAAAAGGAAGAGTAGGCTGCAGCTGAAAAAGGAGGAATTTCAAAGTGAATGGACTGCTGTAGTGCAAGTTTACTGCTACTCAATCTGAGGTTGCAGACTGGTTTAAAGACATGCAGGTGCCCTCTGTGCCTATTCAGCAGTTCCCTACTGAAGATTGGAGCACTTAGCCTACCATGAATGACTGGTCTGCAACTTCCACTGCTCAGACCACTGAATGGGTAAGAATAACCACTGAGTGGCCTTAAGCTGTTCTTCCACAAGCTCTTAAACAAGATGGAAATAACGCTGATGGAAATAAACAACAGTTTCCAAGAAAACACGAACAGCTGAAGTGGCAATGTTTAAGTAACATCTGGTAGACTTTAACATGAATGTTATTAAGCAGGAAATTATGATCTTTTAAGTTGGAACATGTAATGTTAATCCTTTTGCACCAAAATATCTCTTTAAGTCTAAATTATCCACTTTTTTTTTTAATTCTTCGTAGAGATAGAGGTTTCGCTTTGTTGCCCAGGCTGTTCTTGACTTCCTAACTTCAAGCAATCCTTCTGCCTCAGCCTCCCAGAGTGCTGGGATTATAGGCATTTGCCACCGTGCCTGGTGTACCCAGTTTCTGTTATCAACAGAATGCAGTGGTGTATGGTTGCTAAAGGGTCCCAAGATCAGGACCTACGTTAAGGTGGATTTTGAATTATTTAAAATTCTGATTTTGTTTTATTTTTAATTAATCTTTGGGGGAAGGATGGGAGGGGGGTGAGGGTTGAAGAAGTAAACATTGTACCTATTGGATACAATGTTTAATATTTGTGTGATGGGCACACTGGAAGCCCAAACCTCACTATTACACAATACATTCATGTAACAAGCCTGCACATGCACCTCCTGAATCTATTTTTAAAAATTTAATTCTCTAGCACAGACTCCCTTTTTTTGGTAAGATGGCGGGGTACGACTTAACTACTCGCATCACGCACCTTTTGGATCGGCATCTAGTCTTTCCGCTCCTTGAGTTTCTCTCTGTAAAGGAGATATATAAAGAAAAGGAATTATTACAAGGTAAATTGGACCTTCTTAGTGATGCCAACATGGTAGACTTTGCTATGGATGCATACAAAAACCTTTATTCTGATGATATTCCTCATGCTTTGAAAGAGAATAGAACCACAGTTGTTGCACAACTGAAACAGCTTCAGGCAGAAACAGAACTAATTGTGAAAATGTTTGAAGATCCAGAAACGACAAGGCAAATGCGGTCAACCAGGGATGGTAGGATGCTCTTTGACTACCTGGCGGACAAGCATGGTTTTAGGCAGGAGTATTTAGATACATTCTACACATATGCAAAATTCCAGTATGAATGTGGGAATTACTCAGGAGCAGCAGAATATCTTTATTTTTTCAGAGTGTTGGTTCCAGCAACAGACAGAAATGCTGTAAGTTCACTCTGGGGAAAGCTGGCCTCTGAAATCTTAAAGCAGAATTGGGATGCAGACATGGAAGACCTTACATGGTTAAAAGAGACCATAGATAATAATTCTGTGAGTTCTCCACTCCAGTCTCTTCAGCAGAGAGCATGGCTCGTTCACTGGTCTCTGTTTTCTTCAATCACCCCAAAGGTTGTGATAATATTGTTGATCTCTTCCTTTACCAGCCACAGCATCTTAATGTGTCCACACATTCTTCACTATTTGACTACAGCAGTCATAGCAAACAAGGATGTTCGAAAACGTTGGCAGGTGCTAAAAGATCTAGGTAAAGTTACTCAACAGGAGTCTTACACATATAAAGACCCAATTACAGAATTTGTTGAATGCTTATAGATTAACTTTGACTTAGATGGGGCTAAGAAAAAGCTGAGAGAATGTGAATCAGTGCTTGTGAACGACTTCTTGGTGGCTTGTCTTAAGGATTTCATTGACAATGCCCATCTCTTCATATTTGAGACTTTCTGTCACATCCACCAGTGTATCAGCATTAACATGTTGGCAGACAAATTGAACATGACTCCAGATGAAACTGAAAGGTGGATTGTAAATGTGATTAGAAATGCAAGACTGGATGCCAAGATTGATTCTAAATTAGGTCATGTGGTTATGGTAACAATGTACTCTCACCCTATCAGCAAGTGATTGAAAAGACCAAAAGCCTTTCTTTTAGAAGCTAGATTTTGGCCATGAATATTGAGAAGAAACTTAATGACAATAGCAGGTCAGAGGCTCCTAACTGGGCAACTCAAGATTCTGGCTTCTACTGAAGAAACATAAGGAAAAGATTTTAAAAAAACTCTAAAAGAAAGATGAAATAATAAAACTATTATATAAAGGGTGACTTACATTTTGGAAACAACATATTGAGTGTAAATTGTGAAGAATTGGAATAAAATTGACTGATTCAAAAAAATTTAATTCACAAAAAAATTTTAATCCTTTTAAGCTAATTATAGATTCACATGTAGTTGTAAGAAGTTACAAAGAGGCTAGGTGCAGTAGCTGACGCCCATGATCCCCGCACTTTGGGAGGCCGAGGCAGGCAGATCTCTTGAGGCCAGGAGTTTGAGACTAGCCTGGCCAACATGGCAAAACCCCATCTCTACAAAAAATTAGCAAAGCATGGTGGCACATGCCTGTAATTACAGCTACTTGGGAGGCTGAGGCATGAGAATCACTTGACCTGGGATTACAAGTGTAATCCCAGCCATAGGCTGGGTGCAGTGGCTCACACCTGTAATCCCAGCACTTTGGGAGGCCAAGGTACGGGTGGATCACCTGAGGTCAAGAGTTCAAGACCAGCCTGGCCAACATGGTGAAACCCCGTCTCTACAAAAACACAAAAATTAGCCGGGCATGATGGTGCGCACCTGTAATCCCAGCTACTCAGGAGGCTGAGGCAGGAGAATCGCATGAACCCAGGAGGCAGATGTTGCAGTGAGCCAAGATCACGCCATTGCACTCCAGCCTGGGCAACAGAGTGAGACTCCACCTCAAAAAAAAAAAAACAAAAAAAAACCACCAGCCATTTGGGAAGCCAAGGCAGGATTGCTTGAGACCAACCAGAAGTTCAAGGTTGCCTGGGCAACAGAGCAAGACTGTCTCGAGACAAAACAAAAAGTCAGCATCTTCTGCCCACTTTTACTTTAACATACATTTATGGATCTATTGTCTCTTTCCCTGTTCTAAAACTTTAAATTTCACAAGAATGAAGATTTTGCTGTCTTGTTTCCTGCTGTGTCCCCAGCATAAACAGCATAAAGAAGTGCCATAAGATAGAAATTTTTGTTTTCTGTTCACCAGTATATCCACAGCACCTAGAACAGCATCTGCTTTAGACTTATTAGATGAAGACTTAAAAAAAAAAGGAACAGCACTTCTGCACATATTTAGCACTTGATACATATTTGTGGAATAATTTCTATCATAACTAGCAGCTACTTCCTAATTTGATATGTAGCATCCCGTATTAACAGGACTTTTGTGAATGGAGAGGACATCTATTTATTCTTTGTTATGTGCCAAATATATTTGTATTAATCATAACTCTTAATATTCCTTTAAAATTAAATAATTGTTTCCACAGCTCTTAAAATAGAATTTAGGAACCTAGCAACATGCCACTCATCCATTAACAGTGATAAATTATTTAATTTTATAAACTTTTCATTAAAGTAACTGATATAGTTTGGATATGTGTACCTGCCCAAATCTCATGTTGAATTGTAATCCCCAGTGTTGGAGGTGGGGCCTCACGGGAGTTGACTGGATCATGGGGGCAGCTTTCTCATGAATGGTTTAGCACCATCCACTTGGTGCTGTTCTCATGATAGTGAGTTCTCATGGTGTCTGGTCATTTAAAAGCATGTGGCATGGCTCACACCTGTAACCCCAACACTTTGGGAAGCCAAGGTGGGCAGATTGCTTGAGTCCAGGAGTTAGAGACCAGCCTGGTCAACATAGCAAAACCCTGTCTCTCTGAAAAATATAAAAAGTCACCAGGTGTGGTGGCACACACCTGTGGTCCCAGCTACTTGGGAGGCTGAGGTGGGAGGATCACTTGAACCGGGAGTTGGATGTTGCCATGAGCCAACATCCCAGACACTGCACTCCAGTCTGGCGACAGAGCAAGACCCTGTCTCAAAACAACCACAATAACAAAAAGCTGTTGACACCTCCCCTGCAACTTCTTGCTCCTGCTCTGGCCATGTGATGTGCCTACTCCTCCTTCATCTTACACCATGATTGTAAGTTTCCTGAGGCCTCCCCAGGAGCCAAGCAGATGCCAGCATCATGCTTCCTGTACATCCTGCAGACTCGAGAGCCAATTAGACCTCTTGTCATTATAAATTACCCAATCTCAGGTATTTTTTTTACAGCAATGCAAGAATGCACTAATAACGAATCTAGGTCGGGCACAGTGGCTCACGCCTGTAATCCCAGCACTTTGGCAGGCCCCAGGCAGGAGGATTACTTGAACTCAGGAGTTTGAGACCAGCCTGGGCAACATAACAAGACCCTCTCCATGTTGGGGTCTCTTTAAAAACACACACAGCTGGGCGCGGTGGCTCACGCCTGTAATCCTAGCACTTTGGGAGGCCAAGGCGGGCGGATTACCTGAGGTCAGGAGTTCGACACCCGCCTGGCTAACATGGTGAAACCCCATCTTTACTAATGATACAAAAATTAGCTGGGCCTGGTGGCACACACCTGTAGTCCCAGCTACTCGGGAGGTTGAGGCAGGAGAATCACTTGAACCTGAGAGGCAGAGGTTACAGTGAGCTGAGATCATGCCACTGCACTCCAGCCTGGGCAACAGAGTGATACTCCATCTCAAAAAGAAAAAAAAGGCGGGGCACGGTGGCTCACGCCTGTTATCCCAGCACTCTGGGAGGCCGAGGTGGGTGGATCACCTGAGGTCAGGAGTTCAAGACCAGCCTGCCCAACATGGTGAAACCCCATCTCTACTAAAAATACAAAAATTAGCCAGCCATGGTGGCAGGCACCTGTAATCCCAGCTACTCGGGAGGCTGAGGCAGGAGAATCGCTTGAGCCTGGGAGGCGGAGGTTGCAGTGAGCCGAGATCGTGCCACTGCACTCCAGCCTGGGTGATAGAGTGAGACTGCATTTCAAAAAACTAAAAAGAAAACACACACACACACGGCCAGGTGCGGTGGCTCATGTCTATAATCCTAGCACTTTGGGAGGCCGAGGTGGGCAAATCATTTGAGGCCAAGAGTTCGAGACCAGCCTGGGCAACATGGCAATACCCTGTCTCCTCTAAAAATATAAAAATTAGCCAGGTGTAATGGCACATATCTAGTCCCAGCTACTCAGGAGGCTGAGGCAGGAGAATCACTTGAACCCAGGAGGCAGAGGTTGCAGTGAGCCAAGATCATGCCACTGCACTGTAGCCTGGGTGACAGAGTGAGACTCCATCAAAAAAAAATTAAACACACACATACACAAATCTAATGTATCAGATATCCTTAAATGCTTCTAACACTGAAAATGAGATGAATATCACAACTAGAATGGTTATCACATTATACATAAGTGGGTTGCAAAAACTGATTTTATTATACACGTATACTTTTTAATTTACATTTGGATTCAAACTTTTTTTATTATACACTCCTGGCATATGTAACATTCAGATAGTTCTCTTTCTAGCACTATGATAATCTCATCAGATCCCAAGAGTTGGGGAGGAGGACTTGATTTCAGACTATCCAGTTTGCAAATCCACATCACATATGCCTTTACGAATTATTTTGAATAGGTAGTATGCATTACACAAACACTATACAGTGAAGTCTTTTTCAACCTCTCTCAGTTAATTATATCTTCTCAAAACTATTCTACGCAAACACAAAGACATATGTACTATATGTTTTTGTTTTTGTTTTGAGACAGAGTCTCACTCTGTCACCTAGGCAGAGTGCGGCAGTGCGATCTCAGCTCACTGCAACCTCTGCCTCCTGAGTTCAAGCAATTCTCCTGCCTCAGCCTCCCAAGTAGCTGAGATTACAGGCACGTGCCACCATGCCTGGCTAAATTTTGTACTTTTAGTAGAGATGAGGTTTTGCCACGTTGGCCAGACTGGTCTCAAACCCCTGACCTCAGGTGATAGGCCCACCTCGGCCTCCCAAAGTGCTAGGATTACAGTCATGAGCCATCATTACCAGCCTACTATATATATATTTTTTAACACTGTATACAATACACACAGTTTGCACCTTTTTTTTCTTCATTTAATAATGTATCTTGAGGATTGTTGCATTTGGCACTTCATCTAAATACAAATTATTTTTTCTCCCACTAAAATATAGATTTCATGATGATGAGCACTTATCTTTTCACTGCTTTTTATTTTTAAATGTGTTTTTCTGTTGTTTCATGAATATTTAGTTTGTATGCTATCTTTTGCCTTTGTCAGTAATGCTGTTGCAATCAATATCCTTGTACACGTCAATTCTTACAAGTAGGAGTATAAATACAGGATGAAATTCCAAACGTAGATTTGCTGTGTCAAGGGGTGTGTACCTTTCCAATTGATAAGGTATTGCCAAATGTCTTCCCATTGAGGTTGAACCAATTTATATACTCACTAGCCTTGTTGCTAACATTATAACACAAGAAGCATTAAAATTGATTTTTGAACAAAATCAATGTATATGCTTTTAAGTGTTCTTTCTTTTTAAAAAATCATTATTGGAAAATGCAAGCAGGAATACATGGCAAGCAGAGCCCATGCAATGGCCAGAATTCCTACAGCAGAAATGACTTCAACATTTGTTTATAAAGATTTTCTCCAAATGATTTGTTGAAATAACTTGAGTCTTCAAGGTTTAATTTTCCAAATGTTGGCTCAAACCTGCACTGAAATTCTGGCCTACGGTGTCCTAGCAAAAATCTCCCTTTGCAAGATGCTGAGGTATATTGGCAAAACCGCAGATCACATGACTCCGGGAGTTTGAGACCAGCCTCGCCAACATGGTGAAATCCTGTCTCTACTAAAAATACTAAAATTAGCCGGGCATGGTGGGGCATGCCCGTATTCCCAGCTACTCAGGAGGCTGAGACAGAAGAATCCTTGAACCTGGGAGGCAGAGGTTGCAGTGAAGGTGACAAAACGAGACTCTGTCTAAAAAAAAAAGTAGAGGTCAAGGCAATCATTCCTAGGGACCAGGTAGAACCCAACTGGAGAGGAAGATGACACAATTCAACATGCTATGGAGGAGGGAGAGTAGGTTTTATCCAGGATCACATGGGACAAATGCAAGGACAGGCTCAAGTTTCCCACATGCAGCATTTCTCAATCCCATTTTCCTTGGCAAGAGTTCTTCCCATTACTAGGCTATTCCAATATAGACTAAGCTGTTGCCCTGGAAGGACTCTATACTTTGCAAATTTTTTTTTTTTTTTTTTTTTTTTTTTTTTGAGACAGAGTCTTGCTCTGTCACCCAGGCTGGAGTGCAGTGTCGCAATCTTGGCTCACAGCAACCTCCGCCTCCCGGGTTCAAGCAATTCTCCTGCCTCAGCCTCCCGAGTAGCTGGGATTACAGGCACCCGCCACCACACTCGGCTAATTTTTGTATTTTTAGTACAGACGGGGTTTCACCATGTCCGTCAGGGTCAGGATCACCTGACCTCAGGTGACCCACCTGCCTCGGCCTTGCAAAGTGCTGGGATTACAGGCTTGAGCCACTACGCCCGGCCTGTAAACTTTTAAGATGTTATTAGAGACAGGATTCCGCTCTGTCACCCAGTCTGGAATGCAGTGGTACAATCATAGCTCACTGCAGCCTCCAACTACTTAGCTCAAGCGATCCTCCCGCCTCAGCCTCTCAAGTAGCTAGGATTATATGGAGGAGCCACAGCCTGGGAAATTTCTAAGTAAACATATACTATTACACTCCTTACGGGGAGGAAGAGGAGGAGTGTGGGATGTCGAAGACAGAGGATGCAACTTGTAGAGAGTAAGTGAATGAAGGGGGAATTCCGGCAAGGAATTGCCGACTTGAGGCTGACTTCATCTTTCAGGGTCCACGAGGCTGGTGTCAGACCTATTGGGAGACCCTCTGCGTTAGTGAGAAAAACGGCAAGAAATGGGAGCACGCGGAAACCTCCAAGACTAGAGCCACCAGATGCCACCGACAGCACGCAGCTGGACCAGCACGGGGGAGGGCCTTCGTGGGTCGAGAGCTCGCTCGGGAGATAGTTGGTGCTTTTCTTTCAGGAGAAGAATCCCTGGCGGAGTCTGACCGTTCTCTGGCGCACAGCCCCGGGGGTGGGCACAGCAGCCGCCCCTGCTGAAGGGACTGACGCCTCCGACGACCAGCAGCCAAGTTAAACGCACTGTTCCGTGAGCAGCTTTGTTGGAGACAGCGCGGTTCACATTCTCTTCCAACGGAGCCGCTGACTGCGGAGCTGGGAGGGGACGTGACAGAACCCAGCCATCCAACGTCCCCCCACCCCTCCCCAGCTGGGACCTCCGGCTGCTTCCGGGCTGCGCTGGGTGGCGTCAAGGAGCCGCCCCTCTGGGCCGCGTCCCTCCCTCACGCCCTGCACACTGGCCCTGTGTGGCCGGCGGGGCGCCTAAAAGGGCGGAAGGATGCAGGGGCGGAGGGGGCTCGGGATTGCACGCCTAGCTCAGACCCCCCAGCCAGGACCCCTCGCGCTGTTGGACACGCCAGCCTCCCGACCCTGCGGCTCCTACGGGAGGTGACAAGGACCCTGCCAACCTGGCCTGAATGGCCCAGTTTGATACAGATCAGGTTTTCAATGAATGAGACCGCGGTGTGGTCTAGGCGGAGGGATGAGAGGAGGGGATTCTGCTGGGATAAGTGGGGGCGGGGTAAGGAGGGGATTCTTTTCCTGGGCTGAGGAGAACGCAGGGACAAAGTACACAGGGGTAGTTGAGTGAGCAGGTGAGGCCCTAGGCTGGTTCCCCACCTTCTCAGGATCGGAGCCACTCACTTCCTGGTACTCTCTGCAGTCTCCTGGCGTTAAATAACATCCCTTTGCTGGAGACTCTGGATTCACATCCATAATCGCAGCCTCCCCTACTCATCCCCTCACGCTTCCCATGAACTAACCTTGAAGGACCCGACCAGAGCCCTGACCTCCGTCCCACACACCTGCTACATGGAAGGTGTTCTCCACATCAGTTCAAGGCAGTGTCACTCTTCAGGATGTTCAGGCTCTAAACCTTGGACTCCTCCTCCAGATTTCTCTCTCCTTCCTTCTCCTTGTCTCTCCCTTGCACTTACGGTTCACTTTTCCTTCGTAGCTTTGTAGCTCATTCCCCCTTCCACTTTCCACACCACCTTCTGGTCTGTTAATTAAATATTACCTGGTTTCCACTGACACCTTCCCTGGGTTCCCAATTGAAAATCACAACATCATCCTCCTCCTCTGCTTTTTTTCTCCAAATTATATCCTCACCCAATTATGTGTTATTCTCATTAATCTTGCTTAATTAATTAGCAGACATTATTAATGCCTGTTTCCCCTATCACCACCACTAGACTATGAACTCCTAAGGACTCCTTCCTTCCACCACTGTTGTACTCGCTTCACCTAGAACTGCTTGGCACATACAATGTGCTCCATAAATATTTGTTGAATGAAAGACTAGACACAACTTAGGATTCACTCCCCCATGTGGCATCCATAAGCCCTGTATGCAGGTAAAATGTCAGTGGGTTGACTAAATACTGGAAGTGGAAAAAACTTCACCTCTTTGGTTTGCAGTTGTCTAGGATATTTAGGCCAATGGAAAATCCAGTTTTCCTTAGAATTAAGCCAGTGCCGCCAGACTTGCCAGTTTACCATGCTTGTCTGACTGGTCCTCAGCATGGGTCATACGTGTCCAATGAATTCAAACAAAATCTTGAGAAGACACGAACCTTGCCCTTCGGCTGGGCGCGGTGGCTCACGCCTGTAATCCCAGCACTTTGGGAGGCCGAGGCAGGCGGATCACGAGGTCAGGAGATCGAGACCATCCTGGCTAACATGGTGAAACCCCGTCTCTACTAAAAATACAAAAAATTAGCCGAGCGTGGTGGCGGGCGCCTGTAGTCCCAGCTACTCAGGAGGCTGAGGCAGGAGAATGGCGTGAACCCGGGAGGCGGAGCTTGCAGTGAGTGAGCCGAGATCGCACCCCTGCACTCCAGCCTGGGCGACAGAGCGAGACTCCGTAAAAAAACAAAAAAAAAACCTTGCCCTTCATTCCCCATTTCTATCATAATCTACACAGAGTTTTGAACAGGCATTTTAAAATCAACAATATATTATTTACAATTTTGTTAGTATACATAACTCTAACTCACTGTTAAAAATCACCTGTCTTTATATCCATTAAATGACACTTGCATATGCTCCAATTTTTCACTAATGATTTCGAGAGCATTCTGGGACACAGGTGTCTGGACCTTTCATAAGTAAACAGAATTCCTAGCGACGGAATTGTGTATGCAGTATGGAAACACCTTATAATATACTGTCCTGGATATTGTAAAGGTGAACCAACATTCTGTTAAATTTAGAGCAAGTTGCAGAAAACTATATGATACTTAATTCTGTGCTATATGTATAATGGTTTCTTAGGGTTTTTTAAATTTTTTTTTTCTTAGAGACAGTGTCTCACTCTCTTGCCCAGTCTGGAGTACAGTGGCACAATCACAGCTCACTGCAGCCTCGACCTCCTAGGCTCAAGTGATACTCCCACCTCACCTCCCAAGTAGCTGGGACTACAGGCATGTGCCACCATGTCCAGCTAACTTTTTTTTTTATATAAGAGAGAGGGACCCCACTACGTTGCCCAGGTTAGTCTTGAACTCCTGGGCTCAAGCAATCCTGCCTCAGCCTCCCAAAGTGCTGGCACTACAGGCATCAGCCACTGCACCCTGTCTGCTGCCATATATAATGTACATTTTAAGAACTCTATATAGATTCATTTATGTATATGTTTAGAAAAAAATTCTGGAATGGGCTGGGTGCAGTGGCTCACACCTGTAATTCCAGCACTTTGGGAGGCCGAGGTGGGCAGATCATGAGGTCAGGAGTTTGAGACCAGCCTGACCAACTGGTGAAACCCCACCTCTACTAAAAAAATACAAAAATTAACTGGACATGGTGGCACACACCTGTAATCCCGGCTACTCAGGAGGCTGGGGCAGGAGGATCACTTGAAGCCAGGAGGTGGAGGTTGTGGTGAGCCGAGATCGTGCCATTGCACTCCAGCCTGAGCAACAGAGCGAGACTCTGTCTCAAAAAAATAGATAAAAGAAAAGAAAAGAAAATCTGGAATGAATCAAAATACAGTCATGCATCATTTAACAGGGATTCATTCTGAAAAATGCACTGTTAGGAGATTTCATAGTTGTGCAAACATTATAGAGTGTACTTACACAAACCTAGATTGTATAGCCTACTATACACCCAAGCTATATGGTAAAAGCTTATTACCCCTAGGCTACAAACCTGTATGGCATATTATACAACTGAATCCTGTAGGCAACTGTAATACAATGGGTAGTACTGTACCTTTTATAGGACTGGCAGTGCAGTAGGTTTGTTTACACAAGCATCATGCCAAACACTTCATGTGTTGTGCTGTCACCATTCTGATGGTTACGACGCCACTGTTATAGGAATTTTTCAGTTCTATTATAGTCTGATGGGACCATTATTGTATTTGAGGCCCATCATTGACTGAAATGTCATTATGTGATATAGATATATGAGATACTATTCAGCCTAAAAAGATGGAAATCTGGCCGGGCGCGGTGGCTCATGCCTGTAATCCCAGCACTTTGGGAGGCCGAGGTGTGCCGATCACATGAGGACAGGAGTTTGAGACCAGCCTAGCCAACATAGTGAAACCCGGTCTCTACTAAAAATACAAAAATTAGCTGGGTGTGATGGCGCACGCCTGTAATCCCAGCTACTCTGGAGGCTGAAGCACAAGAATTGCTTGAACCCAAGAGGCAGAGGTTGCAGTGAGTCGACATTGTGCCACTGCACTCCAGCCTGGGCAACAGAGTGAGACTCTGCCCCAAAAATAAAAATAAAAAGATGGAAATCCTGTCATTTTCGGTGACATGGATAAACTTGGAGGATATTATGTTAAGTGAAATAAACCAGGCACAGAAAGAAAAATATCTCATGCTTTCACCTATGTGTGGAATGTACAGAAGTTGAACTCATAGAGAATAAAATGGTGGTTACAAGAGATTTGGGGGTGGGGGGATTCAGGAGCCATTGGTGAAGAAACAACAGCTGTTCCATGAAGGTTCCCATTGATAAATGCAGAAGGAATGAGAGAGAGAGAGAGAAAATCACCACTGGACCACAGTAATCATTGCCTCAGGCAAAATTGACCCCTGATGCTAAAACTCACGGGTGATGGTTTAGGCAGAAACAAGATATTTGCATAGTCTGAAGTATCTCCTCCACAATATTTAGTAATACAAATGGAAGAACCACAAGTTTTCAGTAAAGAACACAAGCAATTTCCTAGCCAAGTGATCAAAATTAACATCACCTGTCCTGAAATACGATGCACTGAGAAGGGCACATGATCACATCATTTTGTAGCATCCTTCTCAATAATGTATAGCTTCAGTCTAATCCTGAGAAAACATCAGACAAACCCAAACTGAGATGCATTCTAGAAAATAGCTGATATTCTTCAGAAGTTCCAAGGTCATGAAAGACAGGATAGACTAAGAAACTGTGAAAGATGAGACAAGACCAAGGACATAGGACAACTAAACATGATGTGGGATTCTGAATTGTATCCTAGAACAGAAAAACTAAAATCATGAAAAAAATGGTGAAATGCAAATAATTTCTTGGTTTTGAAAATTATTTTGTGGGCTGGGCACGGTGGCTCACACCTGTAATCCTAAAACTTTGGGAGGCCAAGGTGGGTGGATCACCTGAGGTCAAGAGCTCGAAACCAGCCTGGCCAACGTGGGGAAACCCCTTCTCTACTAAAAATACAAAACTTAGCCAGGCGTGGTGGCAGGCATCTGTAATCCCAGCTGCTCGGGAGGCTGATGCATGACAATCGCTTGAACCCAGGAGGCGGAGGTTGCAGTGAGCCAAGATCATGCCACTGCACACCAGCCTAGGTGACAGAGCAAGACTCCATCTCAAAAAAAAAAGAAAAAAAATTGTTCTACGGTTAGGTAAGATGCTAACATAAGTAGAAGCTGTGTAGTGGGTGTATTGAAACACTGTGATTTTTGAAATTCTTTTGAAAGTCTAAAATCTCAAAATTAAAAATGAAAAAAGTAAAGGTACAATGTATAAAATATCCTGCCACACATTAAAATACATACATATACATACATATAAAATATGCATATATTACATAAAATTTATTTGGGTAGAGCTGGAAGACTGAGAGCCATGAATGGGAGAGGCTTTTCATGTTTTATTTTTATAAATATATGTAATAGAGGCGGGGTCTCACTATGTTGCCCAGGCTGGTCTTGAACTCCTGGGCTCCAGAGATCTCTCCCACCTTGGTCTCCCAAAGTACTAGGATGACAGGCGTGAGCCACTGCGCCAGCCACTTTTGTTCACATACCCTTTTATATCTTCTGAATTTGCTACAATGACATATATTACATACTTTAAAACAAAAATTAAGTAAAATCAAAGAAAAGGTTGGCAACATAATGAGTGGATTGCTAGACTTAGCCTAATAATTGGCTCAGGTTTCACAGAACTGGACTGTGAAACAAGGTCCAGTTTCCTTTCTGAATCTATCAGTCACCAACATAGCTGGTCTGGGATGCGTTTTCTTTGGAGGTCTTTGAAAACTACTAAAACCCAAAGTATCAAGATATATCCTGGTAATATTTTTGCAATTCTGGGAACATATATAACAAATTGCATCCCATTCCAGTATTAAAATAAGTATAGAAGCCAGATGCAGTGCTTCACACTTGTAATCCAAGCACTTTGGGAGGCTGAGGTGGGCAGATCACCTGAGGTCAGGGGTTCAAGACCAGCCTGGCCAATATGGTGAAACTTCATCTATACTAAAAATACAAAAATTAGCTGGGCATGGTGGCAGACTCCTGTAATCTCAGCTTCTCGGGAGGCTGAGGCACGAAAATTGCTTGAACCTGGGAAGCAGAGGTTGCAGTGAGCCAAGATTGCGCTACTGCACTCCAGCCTGCCTAAGTGACAGAGCAAGACTCCATCTCAAAAATATATATATAATATAAAAAATATAGAGAGAGATAATAAAGAAACAAATTTGAAGTCATGGAATTCGCCTTTCTTAAACTGGTTTCAATGAAACTGTTATCTATTTTGTATTCACTACAATCATAAGGAGACAACATAGCATAAGAGCCAAGATTCAAACCTCAACTTTTCCATTTACTGGATGAGTGACTTTAGATAAGTTTTTTAGTTTCTCTGTGTCTGAAATTCAAGGCAGTAATCAGAGAACCAATCTCATGGGCTTCTTTGAATATTGAAGAAGAGCACACATCCAAAACAGAAAGGACCTGGCACTTGAGCAAGCCCTCAAAGGTTAACAAATAAATTTTTAAGATATTCTAGCTACTTTTAAAAGTTTTTAGCATTTAAGAGAATATAATATATTGGATTTTGATTTAATTATTATTATTTTTTGAGACATAGTCTCACTCTGTCACCCAGGCTGGAGTGCAGTGGCACGATCTTGGCTCACTGCAACCTCCACCTCCTGGGTTCAAGTGATTCTCCTGCCTCAGGTTCCCAAGTAGCTGGGATTACAGGAGCCCGCCACCACACCCCGCTAATTTTTGTATTTTTAGTAGAGACGGGGTTCACCATGTTGGCCAGGATGGTCTTGAACTCCTGACCTCAAGTGATCTGCCCACCTTGGCCTCCCAAAGTGATGGAATTACAGGTGTGAGCCACCACGCCTGGCCTCTGATTATTTTTAAATTGAGCAAATTATATTTTTAAGTCTGTAAGTTTTGGGTTATTAGTTATGAAAGCAGGTACATATGCATTTAGTGTTTTTATTGCGGAAATGTTAATTAGTAGTCATAAATTAAGTAATCAGGGATTAAACAAAATGAGTATTCTTTATCTTCAACCAGAATGAATCTTTCCATATAGCTCCCTGAATCCTCACCCTTCCTGCCTCCTGCTCCTACTTATACTCCTCCTTCTACCAGAAACTGCTCCCCTCCACCAGAGCTCTAAATCACAACCCCTCTGCTTTCACTGGGGCTTGGAGGCTGCTACCTCTAGACTCTCCCTCCCACTGCATCAACTCTGCCCTCCCTCACCCGACACCCCGAGTAATTAAGCTCCCTCTTCCCCCAGCCTCTCCGTTCCCAGCTATTTCCCCATCCCAACAAAAATTACCCAGGTTTTCCCATCCAGGAGCATCAGTTCTGCTTACTAAAAACGTCCACTAAACATATTCCACATGCATCCCCATTTAAATTTTTCAACTCACTCCAACCTGGTTTCTGAGAATCTCACTCCTGCAACTGAACTGCTTGTGCTAAAGCTAGCAGTGAGCCCTGTGGTTCACAAACCAAGGAGCTATTTCATGCCCTCATCTGACTGGACTGCTGGACAGAATTCCCCAGAATAGATAATACCCTCCTTCTAGCTTGGGGTGGGGGTTGGTGCCCCGGGGCAGTGGGGGTGGGAGTTGAAGACTATTTAGAAAATTTTCACTTAGCTGGGCGTGGTGGCTCATGCCTGCAATCCCAACACTTTGGGAGGCCGAGGCAGGCAGATCACGAGGTCAAGAGATCGAGACCATCCTGGCCAACACGGTGAAACCCCGTCTCTACTAAAAATACAAAAAAATTAGCCAGGTGTGGTGGCGCACGCCTGTAGTCCCAGCTACTCAGGAGACTGAGGCAGGAGAATCGCTTGAACCCAGGAGGCAGAGATGGCAGTGAGTTGAGATTGTGCCACTGCACTCCAGCCTGGGTGACAGACCAGGAAGAAAGAGAGAAAATAAAACTTTCACTTAAACCCCCAAACACTGTGAGAAGACACAACTACCTTTTGAAAATGTTTTTCCTTTTACCCTGGAAAGAACACTGATCAACACTAAACTAATGTAAATTATTTATTATATAACCATTAGAGCAGCCGGGCAAGGTGGCTCATGCCTGTAATCCCAGCACCCAGGAGGCTGAGGCGGGTGGATCACGAGGTTAGGAGTTCAAGACCAGCCTGGACAAGATGGTGAAACCCCGTCTCTATTAAAAATATAAAAATTAGCCAGGCGTGATGCCGGGCGCCTGTAATCCCAGCTACTCGGGAGGCTGGCAGAGAATTGCTTGAACCCGGGAGGCGGAGGTTGCAATGAGCCGAGATCAGGCCACTGCACTCCAGCCTGGCGACAGAGCGAGACCCTGTCTCACAATAAATAAATAAATTAATTAATTAATTAAATAAAATCATTAGAGCATTATTTAAAAGCTGGAGTTTGCAATTACTTAAACCATTACAGATTTAAGAACAATTGCCCACACACACATCCATTTCCCTGTCCTCATCTTTCATGGCACAAACAGAACTGGGGTCTTGGCCTCTTGATCCCCAGGCCAGCAGGCTTTCCGCAAGCAACGCCGTCCCTGCCTGAGATTCCCTCAGGCCCCAGCCTTAAACGGAGTGCCCAGAGGCCCATGAAGAACCGTGCAACCGCCTGGCTCGTGCTCTGGCTAAAAAGAGAGCAGCTGATCATATGCATGCCTTGTGGAGATGACCCTAGAGCTCTGATTTTTCAACAGCATGCATCCACATCACCTGGAGGTCTTCTTAAAACACGGGTCTCTGTGCCTCACCCCCAGAGTTTCTGATTCTGTGGATGTGGGGTAGGCGACAGAGTTTGTTGTTGTTGTTTGTTTGTTTTTGAGACAGAGTCTCGCTCTGTCGCCCAGGCTGGAGTGCAGTAATGGTGCAATCCCTGCTTACTGCAACCTCTGCCTCCCGGGCTCAAGCGATTCTCCTGCCTCAGCCTCCCGAGTAGCTGGGATTACAGGCACCGCACCACCAGGCCCAGCTAATTTTTTTTTTTTTTTTTTTTTTGAGACAGAGTCTGGCTCAGTTGCCCAGACTGGAGTGCAGTGACGCGATCACGGCTCACTGCAAGTTCCGCCTCCTGGGTTCACACTATTCTCCTGCCTCAGCCTCCCGAGTAGCTGGGACTACAGGTGCCTGCCACCACGCCCGGCTAATTTTTTGTATTTTTAGTAGAGACAGGGTTTCACCGTGTTAGCCAGGGTGGTCTTGATCCCCTGACCTCATGATCCGCCCTCCTCGGCCTCCCGAAGTGCTGGGATTACAGGCGTGAGCCACCACGCCCTGCTGCAATTTTTGTATTTTTAGTAGAGATGGGGTTTCACTATGTTGACCAGGCTGGTCTTGAGCTCCTGACCTCGGGTGATCCACCTGCCTCAGCCTCCCAAAGTGTTGGGATTACAGGAGTGAACCACCGCGTCCGGCTTTTTTTTTTTTCTTTTTGGACAGGGTCTCACTCCGATTGCCCAGGCTGGAGTGCAGTGTCACGATTTTGGCTCACTGCAGCCTCGACCTCCCCGGGCTCAGGTGATCCTCCCGAGTAGCTGGAACTTCAGATGGGTGCCACATAGCCCAGCTAATTTTTCATATTTTTTTGTAGAGACGGGGTTTCACCATATTGCCCAGGCTGTGACTTCTGGGCTCAAGCGATCCTCCCACCTCGGCCTCCCAAAGTACTGGGATTGCAGGTGTCAGCCACCGCACCCGGTAGAGTTTTTTGCTGTTGTTTTTTGTTGGTTTGTTTTTTGTTTTTTTGTTTTTTCTTGAGACGGAGTCTCGCTCTGTTGCCCAGCCTGGAGAGCAGTGGCGCCATCTCGGCTCACTCCAACCTCCTTCTCCCAGGATCAAGCGATTCTCCTGCCTCCGCCTCCCTAGTACCTGGGATTACAGGCACGCGCGCCAGGCTAATTTTTGTATTTTTAGTAGAGATGGGTTTCACCATGTTGGCCAGGCGGGTCTGAAACTCCTGACCTCAAGTGATGGGCCTTGGCCTCCCAAAGTGCAGGGATTACAGGCGTGAGCCAACGCGCCTGGCAGTTTGCATTTTTAAGGAGTTCTCAGGTGATGCTGATTCTGCTGATCGCGGGACTCCGCTTTGAGATCAGCTCTCCTAGGGTATCTAAGTGACGGGGCAGACCCGCAAAAGAGATTTAGTGGAAGATGGCCCCCTAGAGGAGCTGGCCTGGGATTCCTGGGACTTCTAAACCTACAGTGCACAAATGTCCTAGATTTTCCACCTTTGGTTGCTTCTAGCCACAATCTTCCTTCCCAACCACATCTTGCCCTTTCTACTCACAAACCAGGAGGCACACCCAGGGTTTTTTTTAACATGGTGATTTGCAGAACTGTCCTAGGCCTTCAGACTAAGGAGCTGGAGTGATCCTGAAAGATCCCGGAAGCGAAACTCGCCTTTCCGGGCACCTGGGTGAAGGAAGCTTTTCCTACCAGGGCCCCTAAAGCCACTCACCTCGATTTCTGCGGATCCAAAGGTGGAAAGACACTGTCCCGATCAGGAGCATCGCAAGGGTCTGGAGAAAGGGCCATCCATAAATGAAGATCAGGACTCCGTATTCTGAGACTGTTTCAATCACAAATAAGACTCGGAACAGCCTCTGGAAGGCCGACAGCATTTCGCGTTTCTGGCCTGGGAAAGTAAGGGTGCGCTAAGGCACGAGTAGTACAGCTCCTCCCGCCACCGCAGAGCCCGCCGGCGGGAAGAGACCAGACACCGACGGAGAAGCGAAGTTCAGGACGCGAAGGAAAGGGCCACTTCGGGTCGGGGTCAACCCAGACTGGACCAATGCACAGTCTAGGTGGATTAACGCGCCACCGCGAGAAGTGGGCACGGGACCACATGCGGCTGGCAAGACGTCCCAGGGCTCAAGCTCCAGGCTCGGTCACCAAACAACGGTGATAACATCCACAACGCCACGTAAACCATCTTTGGGCCTTGATCGTTTTCCAATAACCGACTGAACTGAGGGCGTGACCAAACGACAAGAACCGGAGGAGAGGACCCGGAGAACGGAGCAGCATCCCGCCGCCCGCCTCCAGGAAAGCCCGAGGCACTGTAGCAGGAGGGTCTGGGCTCCGCGCCTTAATTACACCGCCCTGGACCCGCCTCTTCCGCCGCTCGCTCCTCTGACCGGCACCCGAAGGTGCTGTCCCGCCCACGGACTCGCTCACACTCCGTTTCTTCGATCCTTTAGACGACTTTTTACCGTTCAGGGATGCTCTCCGTTACCGCCTCTGCCATTTGGTTGCCCTCCCTGCGGTCCAAGGGCCTGGAACACTCCCCAGGGCTGCCAGGCCAGCGCTTTCCAGGGGCTCCAGCCTACAGCGCCGCCACCTGGGGCTGGAGCCAGAAACGCAGGGGCCGGGGGCTCACCGGCTGCCAAGTAGAGGGCGTCGAAAATGGGGCTGGGTGTGTAAGAATGCTTGTGATTTTTGCACACTGATTTTGTATCCCGAGACTTTGCTGAAGTTGCTTATCAGCCTAAGGAGATTTCGGGCTGAGAAGATGAGGTTTTCTAAATATACAATCATGTCATCTGCAAACGGACAATTTGACTTCCTCTTTTCCTAATTGAATATTCTTTATTTCTTTCTCCTGCCTGATTGCCCTGGCCAGAACTTCCAACACTATGTTGAATAGCAGTGGTGAGAGAGGACATCCCTGTCTTGTGCCAGTTTTCTAAGGGAATGCTTCCAGTTTTTGCCTATTCAGTACGATATTGGCTGTGGGTTTGTCATAAACAGCTGTTATTATTTTTAGATACGTCCCATCAATACCTAATTTATTGAGTGTTTTTAGCATGAAGCGCTGTTGAATTTTGTCAAAGGCCTTTTCTGCATCTATTGAGATAATCATGTGGTTTTTTTTCTTTGGTTCTGTTTATATGATGGATTATGTTTATTGATTTGCATATGTTGAACCAGCCTTGCATCCCAGGGATGAAGCCCACTTGATCATGGTGGATAAGCTTTTTGATGTGCTGCTGGATTTGGTTTGCCAGTATTTTATTGAGGATTTTTGCATCGATGTTCATCAGGGATATTGGTCTAAAATTCTCTTTTTTTGTTGTGTCTCTGCCAGGCTTTGGTATCAGGATGATGCTGGCCTCATAAAATGAGTTAGGGAGGATTCCCTCTTTTTCTATTGATTGGAATAGTTTCAGAAGGACTAGTACCAGCTCTTCCTTGTACCTCTGGTAGAATTCGGCTGTGAATCCTTCTGGTCCTGGACTTTTTTGGTTGGTAGGCTATTAATTATTGGCTCAATTTCAGAGCCTGTTATTGGTCTATTCAGGGATTCAGTTTTTTCCTGGTTTAGTCTTGGGAGGGTGTATGTGTCCAGGAATTTATCCATTTCTTCTCGATTTTCTAGTTTATTTGCATAGAGGTGTTTATAATATTCTCTGATGGTAGTTTGTATTTCTGTGGGATCAGTGGTGATATCCCCTTTATCATTTTTTATTGCGTCTATTTGATTCTTCTCTCTTTTCTTCTTTATTAGTCTTGCTAGCTATCAATTTTGTTGATCTTTTCAAAAAAGCAGCTCCTGGATTCATTGATTTTTTGAAGGGTTTTTGTGTCTCTATCTCCTTCAGTTCTGCTCTGATCTTAGTTATTTATTGCCTTCTGCTAGCTTTTGAATGTGTTTGCTCTTGCTTCTCTAGTTTTTTTAATTGTGATGTTAGGGTGTCAATTTTAGATCTTTCCTGCTTTCTCTTGTGGGTATTTAGTGCTATAAATTTCCCTCTACACACTGCTTTAAATGTGTCCCAGAGATTCTGGTATGTTGTGTCTTTGTTCTCATTGGTTTCAAATAACATCTTTATTTCTGCCTTCATTTCATTATGTACCCAGTAGTCATTCAGGGGCAGGTTGTTCAGTTTCCATGTAGTTGAGCAGTTATGAGTGAGTTTCTTAATCCTGAGTTCCAGTTTGATTGCACTGTGGTCTGAGAGACAGTTTGTTATAATTTCTGTTCTTTTACATTTGCTGAGGAGTGCTTTACTTCCAACTATGTGGTCAATTTTGGAATAAGTGCGGTGTGGTGCTGAGAAGAATGTATATTATGTTGATTTGGGGTGGAGAGTTCTGTAGACGTCTGTTAGGTCTGCTTGGTGCAGAGCTGAGTTCAATTCCTGGATATCTTTTTTAACTTTCTGTCTCATTGATCTGTCTAATGTTGACAGTGGGGTGTTAAATTCTCCCATTATTATTGTGTGGGAGTCTAAGTCTCTTTGTAGGTCTCTAAGGACTTGCTTTATGAATCTGGGTACTCCTGTATTGGGTGCATATATATTTAGGATAGTTAGCTCTTCTTGTTGAATTGATCCCTTTACCATTATGTAGTGGCCTTCTTTGTCTCTTTTGATCTTTGTTGGTTTAAAGTCTGTTTTATCAGAGACTAGAAATGCAACCCCTGCCTTTTTTTGTTTTCCATTTGCTTGGTAGATCTTCCTCCATCCCTTTATTTTGAGCCTATGTGTGTCTCTGCCCCTGAGATGGGTCTCCTGAATACAGCACACTGATAGGTCTTGACTCTTTATCGTATTTGCCAGTCTGTGTCTTTTAATTGGAGTATGTAGCCCATTTACATTTAAGGTTAATATTATTATGTGTGAATTTGATCCTGTCATTATGATGTTAGCTGGTGATTTTGCTCGTTAGTTGATGCAGTTTCTTCCTAGACAAACAGCCAAATCATGAGTGAACTCCCATACACAATTGCTTCAAAGAGAATAAAATACCTAGGAATCCAACTTACAAGGGATGTGAAGGACCTCTTCAAGGAGAACTACAAACCACTGCTCAACAAAATAAAAGAGGACACAAACAAATGGAAGAACATTCCATGCTCATGGATAGGAAGAATCAATATCGTGAAAATGGCCATACTGCCCAAGGTAATTTATAGATTCAATGCCATCCCCATTAACCTACCAATGACTTTCTTCACAGAATTGGAAAAAACTACTTTAAAGTTCATATGGAACCAAAAAAGAGCCCACATTGCCAAGTTAATCCTAAGCCAAAAGAACAAAGCTGGAGGCATCATGCTACCTGACTTCAAACTATACTACAAGGCTACAGTAACCAAAACAGCATGATACTGGTACCAAAACAGAGATATAGACCAATGGAACAGAATAGAGCCCTCGGAAATAATACCACACATTTACAACCATCTGATCTTTGACAAACCTGACAAAAACAAGAAATGGGGAAGGGATTCCCTATTTAATAAATGGTGCTGGGAAAACTTGCTAGCCATATGTAGAAAGCTGAAACTGGATCCCTTCCTTACACCTGATACAAAAATTAATTCAAGATGGATTAAATACTTAAATCTTAGACCTAAAACCATAAAAACTCTAGAAGAAAACCTAGGCAATACCATTCAGGACATAGGCACGGGCAAGGACTTCATGTTTAAAACACCAAAAGCCACGGCAACAAAAGCCAAAATTGACAAATGGGATCTGATTAAACTAAAGAGCTTCTGCACAGCAAAAGAAACTACCATCAGAGTGAACAGGCAGCCTACAGAATGGGAGAACATTTTTGCAATCTACTCATCTGACAAAGGGTTAATATCCAGAATCTACAAAGAACTCAAACAAACTTACAAGAAAAAAACAAACAACCCCATCAACAAATGGGCAAAGGATACGAACAGACACTTCTCAAAAGAAGACATTTATGCAGCCAACAGACATATGGATAAATGCTCATCATCACTGGCCATCAGAGAAATGCAAATCAAAGCCACAATGAGATACCATCTCACACCAGTTAAAATGGTGATCATTAAAAAGTCAGGAAATAACAGGTGCTGGAGAGGATGTGGAGAAATAGAAACACTTTTACACTGTTGGTGGGACTGTAAACTAGTTCAACCATTGTGGAAGACAGTGTGGCGATTCCTCAAGGATCTAGAACTAGAAATACTACTTGACCCAGCCATCCCATTACTGGGTATATACCCAAAGGATTATAAATCATGCTGCTATAAAGACACATGCACACGTATGTTTATTGTGGCACTATTCACAATAGCAAAGACTTGGAACCAACCCAAATGTCCATCAATGATAGACTGGATTAAGAAAATGTGGCACATATACACCATGGAATACTATGCAGCCATAAAAAATGATGAGTTCATGTCCTTTGTAGGGACATGGATGAAGCTGGAAACCATCATTCTCAGCAAACTATCGCAAGGACAAAAAAACCAAACACCACATGTTCTCGCTCAGGTGGGAATTGAACAATGAGAACACTTGGACATAGGAAGGGGAACATCACTCACCAGGGCCTGTCTGTGGGGTGGGGGGACGGGGGAGGGATAGCATTAGGAGATATACCTAATGTAAATGACGAGTTAATGGTTCCAGCACACCAACGTGGCACATGTATACATATGTAACAAACCTGCACGTTGTGCACATGTACCCTAGAACTTAAAGTATAATAAAAAAAATAAAAATAAATTTAAAAAAGAAAATGGGGCTGGGGTGTGGGCGGCAGAAAAATGGAACCCATGCATCCTCTGAGGAAGCCAGGATCCATCCTCAAAGCCCCGGAGCTCCCAGGCCGCCTCACTCTGCCTCCGGTCCGCGCTCCCCCGCCCTTCTCGGGAACCTGCGAGCAGGCACTGGGCCCGGCGGCGGGACTCAGACCCATGTGGGCGACGCGCCTTCGCGGGCTGTCGGCTTAGCTCGTGACCCCCTAGGAGAAAACTGAGGCTCCCGGGACCAGAACAGATGAGTTTGGAGAGGAGGGAACTTGAACTTGGGTCCAATGCTCGATGGCTCCAAGGTCCGCGCCGTCCCTACCATAGCAGATTCACCGTTCGAGCGTTCCATTTTACACACACGAATCCGCGCGGGGCAGGAGGAACAGAGCGCAGATACGCGGCGGCAGCGGCTTCGCTGGGCACTGGAAGGCCGGTGGGCTCCTCCCGGGCCACCCTCTCCCCGCCCAGCACACTCAGGCGCCCGCCTCTGCTCTGCGCCTCGGCTGCTCCAGGTGCTGGTGCCAATGTATAGCCTAGGCCTCTCTCGCTTCTCCGACCCCTGGTGTTGGGTGTCCCCTGGCGATCGCGGGAACCCTCAGAGCAGCGGAATGGGATCTGTGCGGGACGGAGCGCGAGCCCCAATCCCTGTGGCTTTAAAACTCCCCGGCGCTTAGGTTATTCGATGCCCACCAGCCTTACCGATTTAGGTAAAGGAGTAAATAAATTGGCACCTGTAAGACAAGAGTCTCAACTACAGATAGTGGCAGGACACTGCAGCTCCTGACTTACAGCCCTGAATTTGGATGGCTCCTTCACAATTCGCCAGAGCTGCTAGGAGGAGCGGGGACGTGGGAACAGATAGGGAGGTAGTATGTGGAAGAGTAAGTGCCAGGAGGACCTTGGTTAGAGCCCTGACTTGGCCATTTACAAGTTGTGTGATCTTGGACAATTTACTTTTGTGAGCCTGGGTGTTCCAACTTGAAAAGGAATATAATTATTTTTTCCTTGCAACAATGGAGGTGGGGAGGTAGTATTTGAGTGTACTAGGCATAAACTAGTATGGGCATTTTGCATGTTAGGGTTTCACTGGAAATGCCTCCTTTCTGACTGCCCCCTATACACGCACACACACACAATCTATTCTGTTCCCTCAATGGTGAGTAAGGAAGGATAGAGGAAGCCTCTTTCCTCTTAGTGTACCTTCCTTGTCACCTTGCATTTACAATAGCTACTTCTAGGCACTGAACCATATTTTTAAAGACTCTTCTCCTCTCACTGTTGCTTGATGTTACATGGATTAATAGGTATAGGATCCAAGGTTCAGGGCAGTCAGAGAGTTTTATAGACATATTTTTTTTCAGTTATTTCAAGGTCAGACACTAACCCTAAGGCAACATAAGGCATACTAATTAGAGCAAGGAATTTACCCCGAGATCCATGCTAGCTTCATGAACTCTATGCTTGTTCGTTAAATATGCATATATAGCTTTCAGCATACTATCTAAGGCAGTGCTGTTCAATAGACGTTCCTGCAGTGATGGAGATATATATAAAATTGTGTTGTTCAATATGGTAGCCACTAGCCACATGTGGCTGTTGAGCTCCTGAAATGTGGCTGGTGCTATGAGAAATTGAATTTTTAATTTTATTTAATTTTAAGTAAGTTAAATTTAAATTGCCAAATATGACTAGTAACTAATGTATTGGACAGTGTAACTCCAAAGAATTCATTACCTTCCTTATCTCCCCAAAAATAGTAAGCACAGATTTAAAACTTAGCAAATTTTGTCATAAACCTTGAATAGACAACCAAAAGCCAAATAAAATATTAAATTGAAACTGGAATCCTTTCAATATTACTCCCTACTGAATGAATTGTGGACCCAGCTTTGCAAAAGAATAACAAGAAGAAAAGCTAAGATGAGGGGAGATGGTGTTCGAAATGATGATTGGGTCTGGGCACAGTGGCTCACACCTGTAATCCCAGCACTTTGGGAAGCAAAGGTGGAGGCGGGCAGATGGTTTGAGCCCAGGAGTTCGAGACCAACCTGGGCAACATGACGAAACCCCGTCTCTACAAAAAAAATTTAAAATTTTTTTTAAAAATTAGTTGAGCATGGTGGCATATGATTTTGGTCCCAACTATGAGGGAGGCTGAGACAGGAGGATCGCTTGAGCCAGGGAGCTCAAGGCTTCAGTGAGCTGAGATCATGCCACTGAACTCCAGCCTGGGTGACAGAGTGAGGCCCTATCCCCCCCAAAAAAAAAAAAAAAAAAAAAATGAGGACTGGGGAGGTACTTGCTAGCTTTTTCTTTTGTTATGCATGTTACAAAGGTCCACAAAATGGCTTACAATTACAAAGGTCTCTTTTTCTTTTATATTACTCATCTGTAAGCTGTCTTTACTCTTGTACCCAGTGAATGTAGCAGCCCCATCTAGGACATGCCAGTCTTATGGCAGAGGAGAAGACATACACTTCTGTGATATGAAGCTTGGTTATGTAACAAATGGAGAGAGAAGTATATATACTTCTTCCTCAAAGAGGGGGAACGAAAGAAGAATTAAAGAAAACAGCCTGCATGTCCATCATAGAAAATGAGTTAAATAGAGCCATACAATATACTAGAGAGCAACTAAAAAATGAACTAAAACTGTGATACATCCATATGATATAATATTACTCAGCAATGAAAAGAATTAAGCTATCAAGCCAAAGAAAGGCATGGAGGAACCTATATTGCTAAGTGGAAAAAGCCAGTCTGTAAAGGTAACATACTGTATGATTCCAACAATATAACATTCTGGAAAAGGCAAAAATATTAGGTTGATGCAAAAGTACTTTATACAACCTAATATAAGTGATAGTAAAAACATCAGTGGTTGCTAGTGGCTTGGGGAAAAGGGGAAGGATGAATAGGTGAAGTGCAAGATTTTTTAGGGCAGTGAAATTATTCTGTATCATATTATTAATGGTGGCTACATGACATTATGCATTTATCAAACTATAGAACTTTATAACACAAAAAGTGGACCTCAATGTATGCAAATTAAAAAGAAATCATTTAGGAGGTTGGGAGAACCCAGACAAGAATTCAGACTCTGGCCAGGCACAGTGGCTCACGCCTGTAATCCCAGCACTTTGGGAGGCTAAGGCAGGCAGATCCTGAGGTCAGGAAATCGAGACCATCCTGGCTAACACAGCGAAACCCTGTCTCTACTAAAAATCCAAAAAATTATCTGGGCATGGTAGCAGTCGCCTGTATTCCCAGCTACTCAGGAGGCTGAAGCAGGAGAATTGCTTGAACCCGGGAGGCAGAGGTTGCAGTGAGCCGAGATCGCATCACTGCACTCCAGCCTTAGTGACAGAGCAAGACTCTGTCTCAAAAAAAAAAAAAGAGAATTCAGACTCTGACAGGGTACTCTATATTATAGTTACGTTAAACAACACCCTTAAAGGGGCAGGGTGAAAGTGCTGACATAAGTAACTTTGGAAGTGAATGGAGTTGGTAAGACTATAAGCAAAAAAAAAAAAAAAAAAAAAAAAAAAAAAAAAAAAAAAAACCTGCACGTAAGAACTGTACTCTAGTTGATAAAGTTAAATCCTGATATAGTAGTCCCTCATCATCTGCAGTTTCTCTTTCACAGTTTCAGTTACTGACAGTCAACAAGAAGATAGGTATGTACAATACAATAAGATATTTTGAGTGAGAGAGACCATATTCATGTAACTTTTATTATAGTATATGTATTAGTCCATTTTCATGCTGCAGATAAAGACATACCTGAGACTGGGAAGAAAAAAGTTTAATGGACTTACAGTTCCACATGGCTGAGGACACCTCACAATTACAGCAGAAGGCAAAAAGCAGCAAGTCACAACTTACATGGATAGTGGCAGACAAAAAGAGCTTGTGCAGGGAAACTCCTGTGTTTAAAACCATCAGATCTCATGAAACCAATTCACTATCACGAGAACAGCATGGGAAAGACCCCGCCCAAACCATAATTCAATCATCTCCCACTGGGTGCCTCCCACCACACGTAGGAATTATGGGAGCTACAAGATGAGATTTGGGTGGGGACACAGAGCCAAACCATATTAGTATATTTTATAATTGTTCTATTTCATTATTGTTAATCTTTTACTGTGCCTAATTTATAAATGAATCTTACATAGGCTGGGCACAGTGGCTCTTGCCTGTAATCCTAGGACTTTGGGAGGCTGAGGTGGGCAGATTGCCTGAGCTCAGGAGTTCAAGACTAGACTGGGCAACACAGTGAAACACTGTCTCTACTAAAATACAAAAATTGGCCAGGCGTGGTATCACAAGCCTGTAGTCCCAGCTACTCAGGAGGCTGAAGCAGGAGAATTGCTTGAATCTGAGAGGCAGAGGTTGCATTGAGCCGAGATCACACCACTGCACTCCAGCCTGGGTGACAGAGCAAGACTCCATCTCCAAAAAAAAGGAAAGGAGAGGAGAGGAGAGGAAGAAACTTTACCATAGGTATGTATGTATGTTTGTATAGAAAAAACAGTATATATAGAATTGGATACTATCCATGGTTTCAGGCATTTGGGGATATTGGAATGTATCCCTCACAGGTAAGGGGGGAATAATGTACTGCTATACAAAAATACTGCAATTGAATAATTAAGTAAATGGTTGGTGGATGGTGGGAGCCAGGTTTCTCACTGTTGGATTGGGAATTTACAGATAAGCAATGATCTATGATCTATACCACATAGAATGATATATGTGGTCATGGATTAGAGTTGGAGATATCAGTAAGAAATCATTTTTAATTTAATAACACAGTGAAACACTGTCTCTGCTAAAATACAAAAAAATTAGCCAGGTGTGGTGTCACAAGCCTGTAGTCCCAGCTACTCAGGAGGCTGAGGCAGGAGAGTTGCTTGAATCCAGGAGGCAGAGGTTGCACTGAGCCAAGATCACGCCATTGCACTCCAGCCTGGGTGACAGAGTGAGACTCCATCTCAAAAAAAAAAAAAAGAAAAAGAAAAAAAATATTTCTATATACACAGGTTAGTAAACACACGTATATTTCTTTTTTTTCTTTGAGATGGAGTCTCACCCTTGTCACCCAGGCTGGAGTGCAGTGGCACGATCTCAGCTCACTGCAACCTCCGTCTCCCAGGTTCACGCTATTCTCTTGCCTCAGCCTCCCAAGTAGCTGGGATTACAGGCGTCCGCCATCACACCTGGCTAATTTTTGTATTTTTAGTAGAGACAGGGTTTCACAATGTTGGCCACATATATTTCTTTGCTCTGTCAGAGGTGGCCTAAAAGAACCAACACCCTGGTAGCAACAAGCACACCTAATACTCAGATTTTGGTTTCTAATACCATTTTCCATTAAAGGAACTCCTTGGAGAAATGGCTTGAGGACTGGGCAAGAAATATACAAAATAAGCCTGGAGCACATTATAGTACCAGAAAATAAAGTGCTCAAAAAAAAAGTGATGGAGTGGCTGGGTATGGTGGCTCATGCCTGTAATCCCAGCACTTTGGGCAGCCAAGGCGGGTGGGTCACTTGAGGCCAGGAGTTCAAGACCAGCCTGGCCAGCATGATGAAACCCCATCTCTACTAAAAATACAAAAATTAGCCAGGCATGGTGGTCCACACCTGTAACTCTAGCTACTCTGGAGGCCGAGGCAAGAGAATCACTTGGACCCGGAGGCGGAGGCTGCAGTGAGCCAAGATTGTGCCATTGCACTCCAGCCTGGGCAACAGAGCAATACTCTGTCTCAAAAAAACAAAAGAGTGATGGGGGTATGTCAAAGGAACAAAAGAAGCAACGGAAAAAGCTCTCAATAGCCAAAGCTGGAATAAGTTTTTGTTTTGTTTTTTTTTTTGAGACAGAGTCTCATTCTGTCACCCAGGCTGGAGTGCAGTGGTGTGATCTCGGCTCACTGCAACCTCCACCTCCCACGTTCAAGCGATTCTCCTGCCTCAGCCTCCTGAGTAGCTGGGACTACAGGCGCCCACCACCATGCCTGGCTAATTTTTGTATTTTTAGTAGAGACAGGTTTCACCATGTTGGCCAGGCTGGTCTCGAACTCCTGACCTTGGGATCCTCCCGCCTCAGCCTCCCAAAGTGCTGGGATTACAGGCGTGAGCCACCGTGCCCAGCCTGGAATAATTTAAAAAATAAAGTATTGGATTATACCAAAAATGTAAAATGAATATCAACGATCTGAGAATGAAAGTGCATTTTTAAAAAAGAATATCCACGAGTTCATATCAGTATAAATAAATCCACAAATTAATATATGAAGAAAAGATGAATCTCCTGTGCAGAAAAATCTTAAGTAAATAAGTAGATACTTCATCCTAAGAGAGGAAGAGCATAACTCCTCACTCCTTAAGTGTAGGCAGTGCCTGTTGATTTTCTTCAAAAGAATACAGAATGGAGAAGGGGTGGGGAAGAGTAACTTTACAGTGGAGAATCCTGACAAACGCTACCTTAGCCAGGTGATCAATGTGAACAGTCATACAACATGCTGATAGTGTGCACCCTTGATATGATGTGATGAAAATGGTACTTTAGGCCAGGCGCAGTGACTCACGCCTGTAATCTTAGCACTTTGCGAAACTGAGACGGGCAGATTGCTTGAGGCCAGGAGTTTGAGACCATCCTGGCCAACATGGTAAAACCACATCTCTACCAAAAATACAAGAATTAGCCCAGTTGGCCGGGCGCAGTGCCTCACGCCTGTAATCCCAGCCCTTTGGGAGGCCGAGGCGGGCGGATCACGAGGTCAGGAGATCGAGACAATCCTGGCTAACACGATGAAATCCCGTCTCTACTAAAAATACAAAAAAAATTAGACGGGCATGGTTGCTGGCGCCTGTAGTCCCAGCTACTCAGGAGGCTGAGGCAGGAGAATGGCGTGAACCAGGGAGGCGGAGCTTGCAGTGAGCCGAGATCCCGCCACTGCACTCCAGCCTGGGCGACAGAGCGAGACTCCGTCTCAAAAAGAAAAAAAAAATTAGCCCAGCATGGTGGTGCACAACTGTAGTCCCAGCTACTCAGGATGCTAAGGCACAAGAATCGCTTGAACCCAGGAGGTGAAGCTTGCAGTGAGCAAGATCATGCCACTGCACTCCAGCCTGGGTGACACAGCAAGACTCTCAAAAAAAGAAAAACAGTACTTTATCTCTGTGATCTTCCTCTCCAAAAATCTAAAATCTGAGTCTAATCATAAGAAAAAAATCAGGCCGTATGTGGTGGCTCACATCTGTAATCCCAGCACTTTGGGAGGCCGAGGCAGGTGGATCACCTGAGGTCGGGAGTTCAAGACCAGCCTGACCAACATGGAGAAACCCCGTCTCTACTAAAAATACAAAAATTAGCCGGGCGTGGTGGCACCTGCCTGTAATCCCAGCTACTCGGGAGGCTGAGGCAGGAGAATCTCTTGAACCCAGAAGCCAGAGGTTGCAGTGAGCCGAGATCGCACCATTGCTCTCCAGCCTGGGCAACAAGAGCAAAACTCCATCTCAAAAAAAAAAAAAAAAAAAAGAAAGAAAGAAAAAAAGAAAATCTGAGTAAGTATGAACTTTATCACTATTGATTCTTAATTGTAAGAAATGTATTTGTTAACTATGTATATGATACACTTAATAATATGGGATGTTATTAGGCCAGGCGTGGTGGCTCCTGCCTGTAATCCCAGCACTTTGGGAGGCCAAGGCGGGCAGATCATGAGGTCAGGAGTTCAAGACCAGCCTGGCCAACATAGTGAAACCCCGTCTCTACTAAAAATACAAAAATTAGCCAGGTGTGGTGGCATGCGCCTGTAGAACCAGCTACTCAGGAGGCTGAGGTGGGAGAATCACTTGAACCCGGGAGACGAAGGTTGTAGTGAGTGGAGATCACACCATTGCACTCCAGCCTGGGTGACAAAAAAAAATAAATAAATAATATGGGATGTCATTAACAGGGGAAACTGGGATTATGTAGTATGGAATGGTACTATCTGCTCAATTTTTTTTTTAATTTAAAACTTTTCAGTGAAGTGTGTGGTCTGAGAATGAAATTGGGCCCAGGAACCGCTCTGTCCTCCTTTCCCCACCCTTACCCCTGCTTCCCAGTAACCTCTGAAGCACTAGGTCCCATAGGCCAGGCTGACCCCCTGCACCCCTGGTGTCTGCAAACTGCTGTCTCAGTTTCCTAGCCAGCCCAGGGGGTGGAGGAACAGCCTGGGCATGTGGTATGAGATCAAGGCCCAGGTACACAACATCCACCTGTGCAAAGACAAACATGGCAAGACTGGGCTGCAGCTGCAGACCACCAACAAGGGGCTCTTTGTGCAGGTGAGGTGGTCCAGGCCAACACCACTGCATCCCTCATGCTGCTGTGCTTTGGGGACCAAATCCTACAGATTGATGGGCATGACTGTGCCAAGTGGAACATGGAAAAAGCCCATCTGGCAGATGTGAGAGGGAATTGGCCAAGAAGATTGTTATGGTCATTCAGGACAGGATAGTCCAGTGGATTGTCACCATGCACAAGGACAGCACAAGCCATGGTGGCTTCATCATCAAGAAGGGAAAGGTCTTCCCTGTGGTCAAAGGGAGCTCTGTGGTCCTCAAGGACTCTTCACCAACCACCATGTGTGCCAGGTTCAAGAACGTTTAACAAGCACTGTGCAGAGTGTCATTGGGCTGAAAGAGATCTCAGAGATTCTGGCCACAGCCAGGAACATTGTCACCCTGATCATCATCCCCACTGTGATCTATGAGCACATAGTCAAAAAGTTTTCCCTGACCCATCGCCACCACATATGGACCACTTCATCCCAGATGCCTGAAGCCACAGGAGGGCAGCTTAGGCCCTCCCACCCTCCTGCAGGAAAGGCCAGCCACTCTTGAATGACAGGTTGCAGCCTGCCTGCTGCCCCAGGACAAGGCTTTGTTGAGGGGATGTATTCCAGATGGGTGGACATCAGATGGTGTGAGTCTGTCATTTGTACACACAGGCCTCCTTAAAGCCTCATACTCCTAGCTGGGCTGAGGCTTGGGCAGGGCCCACAGGCAACCGATCATAGCTCACTGCAGCCTTGCATTTCAGGGCTCAAGCAATCCTCCCACCTCAGCCTCCCGAGTAGCTGGGATTATAGGCGCATGCTATCACACTGTGCTTTTTTTTTTTTTTTTTTTTTTTTTTTTTTTAGTTTATGTAGAAATAGGGTCCCACTAAGTTTCCCAGGCTGGTCTCAAACTCCTGGACTCAAGCAATCCTCCCACCTCAGCCTCCCACAGTGCTGGGATTACAGGCATGAGCCACCATGCTCACACTTGACCTTCTGTGCTGGCTTAACTGCTGGGCATGGAAGCAGGCTGGCTAAACACTTAAACGTGCAATTGAATCCCAAGAAAACAGTTACATATTTTAAAAGAAGGAAACTACATTCTGAGAACTTTTTATTTGCCTTTATTTGCTCTTTGTCCGACTATAATAATTATAACCTTTTACAGTCTTTTGAATAAAGATTTTGTTGTAAACAAACTTAAAAAGAACTTCTAAAACCTAAAATCTATTAATAAAAATTGAATAATTATAAAATACTTACAAATGAAATTATGTGGGCCAGATGCAGTGGCTCATGCCTATAATCCCAGCACTTTGGGTGGCCAAGATAGGAGGATTACTTGAGCCCAGGAGTTTGGGACCAGCCTGGGCAACATAGTGAGACCCTCACCTCTATAAAAACAATAATAATAATAAATTTAATTTTAATTTTTAAAAAATGATGTGATGTCTAGAATTTGCTTCAATCTGGATATGGGAAATATGATAAAAACAAGATTATTGATAACAGGTGAAGCTAGATAATAGGTAAATTAAGTTCATTACACTGGTCCCTCTATCTTTGTCTGAAATATTTTGTTATAGAAAGTAAAAAAAAAATAATTAATTTTTTTTAAAAAAAGAATGAGTTCTGCCGGGCGCGGTGGCTCACTCCTGTAATCCCAGCACTTTGGGAAGCCAAGGCAGGCGGATCATGAGATCAGGAGATCAAGACCATCCTGGCTAACACAGCGAAACCTCATCTCTACTAAAAATACAAAAAAATTAGCTGGGCATGGTGGCGGGCACCTGTAGTCCCAGCTACTTGGGAGGCTGAGGCAGGAGAATGGTGTGAACCCAGGAGGTGGAGCTTGCAGTGAGCCAAGATTGCCACTGCACTCCAGCCTGGGCGACAGAGCAAGACTCCATATCAAAAAAAAAAAAAAAAAAAAAGAATGAGTTCAAATTCTATAGCCAGATACGGAAAGGAAAAAAGCTTGAGAGTAGGTTAAGAAGGGGTATTTTACTTGTCATCTTATATCCTTCTCTACTGTGTGTGTATTAAAAAATACAGCATTAAGCCTGGGCACCGTGGCTCATGCCTATAATCCAAGCATTTTGGGAGGCCAGGGTGGGTGGATTACCTGAGATCAGGAGTTTGAGGCCAGCCTGGCCAACATGATGAAATCCCATCTCTACTAAAAATAAAAAAATTAGCCGGGCATGGTGGTGGGCACCTGTAATCCCACTTACCCAGGAGGTTGAGGCAGGAGAATTGCTTGAACTGGGAGGCAGAGTTTGCAGTAAACTGAGATCGCGCCATTGCACTCCAGCCTGGGTGACAGAGCAAGACTTCGTCTCAAAAAAAAAAAAAAAAATAGAAATCTTGGAATACATTTTAATAACAGAAAAAGCTCAACAGATATGCATTTAACAGAGAATAAAACTGCAAAACTTCCCAGGTTCATAAAGGTGCCAGGTAGGCCAGGCGCAGTGGCTCACGCCTGTAATCCCAGCACTTTGGGAGGCTGAGGCAGGCAGATCCCCTGAGGTCAGGAGTTCGAGACCAGCCTGGCCAACATGACGAAAACCCATCTCTACTAAAAATACAAAAATTAGCCGGGCGTGGTGGTGGGCACCTGTAATCCCAGCTACTCGGGAGGCTGAGGCAAGAGAATCGCTTGAACATGGGAGGCGGAGGTTACAGTGAGCCAAGATAGTGCCATTGCACTCTAGCCTGGACAATGAGAGCGAAACTCCATGAAAAAAAAAGAAGAAAAAAAAGTTCCAGGTAAATTTAGGTTGTTTTTTTTATCATTGCTAGTTGTTGATATTGTTCTCTTCTTGCTTCACCTTTGTCTGCAATTACTCAAACTGCTGTGATAGCTGCTCCTCTTCTACAGAGCTGGAGTTCCGCATGGCTGGGGTTCAGTGTGCCAGGAAGCCCTTGGACCAATCAGACTCAGCAAGCTGACTCATGGCTGTTCTTCCTACATATGAGAAAAAATGTGACAATTCTTCCTATATATGAGAATAATAGTTTGATAAATGACAACTAGGAGAGCACGGCACTCAAGTATTGAGCCATTCCCTTCCAAAAAAGAACTTCTACAACTTACAATCCACAGGGTAGAGGGTAGGAGAAATGAGGAAATTAAATGTTCTTCAAAATCTTTATCTTCTGGCCAGGTGCAGTGGCTCACGCCTGTAATCCCAGCACTTTGGGAGGCCAAGGCAGGCAAATCATGGGGTCAGGAGTTCAAGACCAGCCTGACCAACATGGTGAAACCCCGTCTCTACTAAAAATACAAAAATTAGCAGGGAATGGTGATGCACACCTGTAATCCCAGCTACTCAGGAGGCTGAGGCAGGAGAATCACTTGAACCCGGGAGGCGGAGGTTGCAGAGAGCCAAGATCATGCCTCTGCACTCCAGCCTGGGTGACAGAGCAAGACTCCATCTCAAAATAAAATAAAATAAAACAAAACAAAATAAAATAAGGATGCAATCAATCAGTTTAGGCCCTGGTAAAGAAAATGAAGTGTTCTTGACTTTGGCTACAAAGTACCTTAAAGGATCTTAGACCAACTGCAGAAGGAGGCTGACTGTACCCAGACTCCCACAGTTAATGAAGTTTGTCCTTATGTAAATGATGGTTATTATGCTGAAAGATGATTGGTAAATGAACTTGGAAGTTCTTCCCTTTTCTCTTTTCCTTTTATGTATTTGATGATCTCTGGAGGAGTTTATGATGAAGACTGCTCTGAAAAAGTGTCCTAAAAATTCTAAGACAAAGGCTTCTTTGCCTCCTAAATAAGACACTGAAAAACAGCAAGCTTAAGAATCACCATAAATAAGATTCTAGCTCTACCTAGTGGCCAAAAATGGGATTAACCCCCTGAAATGAGGAATTTTACCAAATTTGCAAAAATGTGAGACATCTTAACAGAAAATAGGGAGATAGAGGGGGACCCAAATGTTGTTAAAAGGACAGGCACTAGGTTAAAATACGTATGTATGGTTGCTCTCTTCCCAGCACAGTCGCAGTCCTCAGCCCACTCAGGATAATGGCGACACCTGAGGTACTGAACATGAAAAAAAACTGTATGAGGCCAGGCGTGGTGGCTCACGCCTGTAATCCCAGCACTTTGTGAGGCCGAGCTGGGCGGATCACCTGAGGTCAGGAGTTCAAGACCAGCCTGGCCAACATGGCGAAACCCTGTCTCTACTAAAAATACAAAAATTAGCCGAGCGTGGTGGCAGACGCCTGTAATTCCAGCTACTCAGGAGGCTGAGGCAGGAGAATCACTTGAACCCGAAAGGTGGAGGAGGTTTCAGTTAGCCAAGATTGTGCCATTGCACTCCAGCCTACGCAACAAAAGCAAAACTCTGTCTCAAAAAAATAAATAAAAATTAGCTGGGCAAGATGGTGGGCACCTGTAGTCCCAGCTACTGGGGAGGCTGAGACAAGAGAATCACTGGAACCCTGGAGGCAGAAGTTGCAGTGAGCCGAGATTGTGGCATTGCACTCCGGCCTGGGCAATGAGAGCGAGACTCTGTCTCAAAACAAAACAAAAACTGTATGAAGGTAAAACAAAAGAAGTCTACAGATTGTTAGATGGTCCAGGAAAAGTCCTCCTGAAGTCCAAGGACCCAATTGCAGTGGTTAATGCAGCTAGAAAAAATCACCTGGAAGGGTGGTTTTCAGTTGTTACAGGAAGCAGGTATTAAAACTGTTTTCACCAGAAAATGTGGAGAGACAGCTTTCATTGCACCCTAGTGTGAAGTGGTTCCAATTGAATGGGTTTGCAGGATAGCAACTGGTTTGTTTCTCGAAAGAAATAAATCCCAGTGTCAAGGAAGGATATAAGTTTTATCCATCTAAAGTGAAGATGTTTTTCAAGGATGATGCCAATAATGACCCACAATGATCTGAGGAACAGTTGATTGTTGCAAAATTTTGCTTTATTGGACTTGTTATAGGCCAAACTGAAGGGGATATCATGAGTCATGCTACACAGGTTATTTTTGAAATACTGGAGAAATCCTGGTTACCCCAGAACTATACCCTGGTTGATATGAAGATTGAATTTGGTGTTGATATAACCACCAAAGAAATGGTTCTTGCTGATGATTCCTGGAGACTGGCCATTACGAGATTGAAGCCAACAGAAAGACAAACAGTCTTACTGGGAGCTCAAAGAAGTAACTCCTGAAGGGCTCCAAATGGTAAAGAAAAGCTTTGAGGCCGGGCACGGTGACTCATGCCTGTAATCCCAGCACTTTGGGAGGCCAAGGCAGGCAGATCACCCAAGGTCAGGAGCTCGAGAGCAGCCTGGCCAACATGGTGAAACCCTGTCTCTACTAAAAATACAAAAATTAGCTGGGCGAGGTGGCGCACGTCTGTAGTCCCAGCTACTCGGGAGGCTGAGGCAGGAGAATCACTTGAACCCGGGAGGCAGAGCTTGCAGCGAGCCAAGATCGCCTCACTGCACTCCAGCCTGGGCGACAGAGTGAGACCCCATCTCAAAAAAAAAAGAAAAAGAAAAAGAAAAGAAAAGAAAAGCTTTGAGTGGGTTGCAGAGAGAGTCAAGTTGCTTTTGAAATCGGAAAGTTAGTGCACAATTGTAGTATTGATGAGCTCTATTTCTGATCTTGGTCACTGTGAAAACATCAAGGTCTGTAGAAATGTTGGCACTCCATGTGAACTATCCACACATAGAGGACCAAATGAAACCCTAAAAATTAAAGCTGCGTGTGAAGGGGATGGCATTGCTGTTGTACTTGTGGCAGTGGCAGGCAGAAGCAATGGTTTGGGACCAGTGATGTCTGGGAACACTGCATATCCAGTTATCAGCTGTCCTCCCCTCACACCAGACTGGGGAGCTCAGGATATGTGGTCTCTCTTTGAGTACCTAGTGGTCTTGGCTGTTCAACCATCCTTTCTCCAGAAGGATTAGGTCAGTTTGCGGCTCAGTATTTGGATTAAACAACCATTTGGTATGGGGCAAACTGCAAGCAGGCATTTTGAACACATGGATTTCCTTGAAGCTGGCTGACAAGAAAATCAGATAATGTAATTTATGAGAAAGAACATCGTTGCATTTTTTAGGGGGAAAACTGTAAATTTCTAATTTAGCTGCAGGAAAATCAAGATGAAAAGGTTATTTTAGAGAACACAAGTAAAATTTATTAGTGAATGAATGCTTCCCTAGATCCATATTAATAAATATGACCACCTAACCCATCGTTTCTTGAGCTAGACACCAACATTTTTCAGCCAGTCTTTATCATTCCTCTGATTTTACCCGTTTTTCTTAAGTATTGGTGGTCTCTAGTATTGAGTTTCTTCCTTAATACTGATTGGATGATCTTAACTCTCTCAGCTAAAACTAGCATTACTGATTCCCAGCCATGTGCCTCTAGACTTGGTTTCTTTTTTGATTTTTGGTGGTGTTTGTTTTGAGTCAGGGTTTCACTGTCACCCAGGCTGGAGTGCAGTGGCATAATCCTGGCTGACGGTTGCCTCCTGCTCCTGAACTCAAGTAGTTCTCTCACCTTAGCCTCCCAAAGTGCTGGGATTACAGGAGTGAGCCACTGTGCCTGGCTAGATTCTTATTTTCAACTGTCCATTTCTCCCTGTACATCGCATGGCCATTCCCATAAAAACCAGAGTGCTCCCAATTTTATTAATCTTCCATCTAGCCTATAACTTTCGGTATACTCACTGTTGCAAGTCAGAAGCTTGATTTCATCTTTGATGTTTTTCTCTGACCTTTCATATCTCACTATCACCAAGTCATATTGATTTTAATTTCTGATTATCCCTTGAGTTTACCCTGTTTCTCATCCTCTGTACAAAAGCCTCAAGTGAGGATCAAATTCAACATTATCCTGATCTATACCAGTCCCCATTCTCAATCCAGCCTTTTCCAAGTTGATTGCCCAAGGACTTCTAACATAATATACTCTTAACTATTTTGCACCACAGACTTCTTTGAAAATATATATGCTGTTGACTCTCTCTGGAGAATATTGCACACATAAAATTTACCAACAGATTTCACTGGTTCTTGGGTTCTCCTGAAGCCGATCCATGGTTTGTAAATTAAGAATTGCTGATGTGGGCAGGGCATGGTAGCTCACACCTGTAATCTCAGCACTTTGGGAGGCCAAGTTGGGTGGATCACCTGAGGTCAGGAGTTCGAGACCAGCCTGGCCAACATGGTGAAACCCCAGCTCTACTGAAAATACAAAAATAGGCCGGGCGTGGTGGCTCACACCTGTAATCCCAGCACTTTGGGAGGTCGAGGCAGGCAGATCACAAGGTCAAGAGATCGAGACCATCCTGGCCAACATGGTGAAACCCTATCTCTATTAAAAATACAAAAAAAAATTTAGCCAGACATGGTGGTGGGCACCTGTAGTCCCAGCTACTCAGGAGGCTGAGGGAGGAGAATCACTTGAACCCGGGAGGCGGAGGCTGCAGTGAGCTGAGATCACTCCACTGCACTCCAGCCTGGGTGACAGAGCGAGACTCTGTCTCAAAAAAAAAAAAAAAGAAAAGAAAAGAAAATACAAAAATAAGCCAAGCGTTGTGGTGCATGCCTGTAATCCCAGCTACTCAGGAGGCTGAGGTAGGAGAATTGCTTGAATCTGGGAGGCAGAGGTTGCAGTGAGCCAAGGTCGTGCCACTTCACTCCAGCCCAGACAACAGAGCGAGACTCCATCTCAGAAAAAAAAAAAAAAAAGAATTGCTGATATGACCCATGAAGGGAACTTATTTTCCTCATAATTTTTGGACTGCCACACATTGCTACCTTTAGTTCTTTGAAGGCTTACATTTTTAAAATTAAAACCTATGTATTAGTAGAGCTTTATCTTCACTGCCTCCATGAAACCTTTTGTGACCACAATGACTACAAGTAATTCTTTCTCTGTTGAATTGTAAGCTCCAGAATAGAAGAAAATGTCATTGTACACTGTATTTGCCTCACATTGTGTTATGCTCTGATGTGCTATGTTTAGCTATCTGCCAGAGATGGATAAATTATAAAACTCATGTGTACTACTTAAGTTTCCATCTTATACTGGTTTGTCCAGAACAACTAAAAGGATTTAGAAAATTAAAAAACAAAAAACAACAACAAAAAAACCCTGTGGTCAGATGTTCAATCTTTGGCCGGGAGTGGTGATTCACACCTGTAATCCCAACACTTTGGGAGGCTGAGGCAGGGGGATCACTTGAGGCCAGGAATTCAAGACCAGCCTGACTAACATGGCAAAACTTCATCTCTACTAAAAATACAAAAAAAAAAAAAAATTAGCTGGGCATGGTGGCACACGCCTCCCAGCTATTCAGGAGGCTGAGACACAAGAATCATTTGAACCCAGGAGGCGGAGGCTGCAGTGAGCTGAGATTGCACCACTGCATTCCAGCCTGCGTGACAGACTGAGACTCCTTCTCATAAAAATAAAAATAAAATAAAAAATTAGTCAAGTGAGATGGCATGTACCTACAGTTCCAGCTAATTGGGAGGTAGAGGCAAGAGAATCTCTTCTGCTCAGGAGTTCAAAGCTATAGTGAGCTATGACTGTGCCACTGCACGCCAGCCTGGGTGACAGAGTAAGACCCCATCTTGAGAAAGAAGAAAGAAAAGAAAAAGATGACCAAAAAGAATTGGCTGATTATCTCTCTACCATGGACTTAGTCCCTAACTAAAAATGAAGAAAGTTGGCTATTTACAACATGTAGAAAAACACAACAACAGAAACAATCCTTCATAGCAAACCCATGAAAATAAGAGGATATGGAATGGAAGGAAAACTTCATAGTTAAGGTTGGCAGGTAAAATATAAGATGCTCAGTTAAATTGTATAAGTATCTCCCAAATACCTAATATTTAAGGATTTCTTTTCAACAATTGACATCACAAAGTTAACAAATGGGTGACAGATTTGAAGAAGATACTTGTAATACACACAGACACACACACACACACACACACACACACACACACAACTAAACTAAAAGACATTGATATGTAAACCATGGAAGGAATCCTTGCAAATAAACAAAAACAGGATCTGGATCCCCATAAAATAATGGCCAAAGAACATGATTAGGTAATTCACAGAAAGGGAAAATAAATGACTTACAAGTATATCAGATAATATACCTAACTGCTGGGAAATGCAGGTTACAACAATAAGGCACAGAAAAACCAAAGTCAGAGGACTGACAATATCTCACTTCAAGACTTAGTATGAAAGCTTGGCTGGGTATGTCTCTACTAAAAATATAAAAATTAGCCAGGCGTGGTGGCAAGTGCCTGTAATCCCAGCTACTCAAGGGGCTGAGGCAGGAGAATCGCTTGAACCCAGGAGGCAGAGGTTGCAGTGAGCCAAAATCGCACCACTGCACTCCAGCCTGGGCGATGGAGCAAGACTCAGTCTAAAACAAAACAAAACAAACACACACACACACACACACACACACAAATCTATTTTTTAAAAAATGATAGTAGGTAAGACAAGCTTCAGCCCATTGCCCACCTTGTGGGTATAAAAGGGAAGCTTGATCACTGGTAGAGATTTGATAAAGACAAGTGTAGAGAGCTTCAGAAGTACCACTCAGAGAGCTTGCCCTGTGTCCTCTAGAATTTGGGAATGGGGAGGCTGGTAACTGACCCATGCCTAACTAGTCCTAAGGCAAGAGGCTGGCCAGCTACCCTAGCTCCCACAAGCAAGAAGTGTCTTCAGTGAGAAGAGGTTACACGTCCATGAAAAGAGGAGCAAAGGCAGCTGCTTCCTGTGGACCAGATTGGAGCCATCGTTTGTTGTCTTGAAAAGGACACCAGCAAGATGGCCCAGGCCAGCAGAGTGGATGTGGTGGAAGCACAAAGCAGGCAAGAAGAAAAAGAGCAAGGATTCAGTTCAAGAGATAAAGTGAATGCTTTTGAGAGAAATCATGTTATGTGCCAGGCTGCAAAAATGATTAGACAGGGTTCCTGTCTCTGTGCTTTCCAGCCATTGGAAGGTAAGTGGGTATTTAAATAATTTCAATATAGCGTGATGCTGAGGAGGTTAGATTTTATCCTGTAAGGCTCGGATGTCAGTGCCACTGAATGATTTAAGGGGATTTCACAATCAGATTTGGTGGCAATGTGAAATAGAGTTATGATGGGGCTAAATATGGAGGCAGAGAAAACAGTTAGATCAAAACATCAATTGCTGAATTCAAAATGAGTGTTAAGAGCCTGACCTAAGAAAGTGGTAGTAGATACGGAAAAGAAAAGGCAACGCAAGAAAAATCTGTGCAAGAGCCACAACAGACAAAACAGGCACACAAGGATTAATATGAGATTTACAATCGTAGTACTTCCGATGGTCTTAACCCAAGTGACAGGGTTAAGATTTGCGAGGCCATCAGCAACTCCTGCAATTGCCTCAGTTCTTGGCACCAAATTTAAATGGGGGTGATAAAAAGAGTGAAAAATAACAAAATAAGATACTATTTTATTCATACAGTCTGACCAAAAAAACTGGGTATATGAAAATTTTGAGAATGGGAAGAAACTGACACAATGCATTTTTGGCAGAAACGAAGACTGGTACAGACATTCTGGTGCTCAATGTACTCATATTTAGTAAAATTGGTTATGAAAACCATAAACATATCCTACATCACAGAAAGCACACTCCGAGAAAATTATCTGAGAAATTTCCCCATGTGCCCATAGAGGATACTCATCACAGCAGTTTGTAGAAGTAGGGAACTAAAAGCAATCTAAATATCTAACACTAGGGTGAAGTATCAGTAAAATATGTAATGTTGGCCAGGCATGATGGCTCACACCTGTAGTCCCAGCACTTTGGGAGGCCAACAGTGGTAGATCACTTGAGGTTAGGAGTTCAAGACCTGCCTGGTCCACATGGTGAAAACCCATCTCTACTAAAAAATACAAAAATTAGCCAGGCTTGCTGGTGTGTGCCTATAGTCCCAGCTACCTGGGAGGCTGAGGCAAGAGAATCACTTGAACCTAGGTGTTGGATGTTGCAGTGAGCCAAGATCGCACCACTGCACTCCAGCCTGGGTAACAGAGCAAGACTGTCTCAAAAAAATAAATATTCCGGGCCCAGTGGCTCACACCTGTAATCCCAGCACTTTGGGAGGCCAAGCCAGGTAGACCACAAGGTCAGGAGTTCGAGACCAACCTGGCCAATATGGCGAAACCCCGTCTTTACTAAAAAATACAAAAATTAGCCGGACATGGTGGCGCGTGCCTGTAGCCCCAGTACTCAGGAGGCTGAGCCAGGAGAATCGCTTGAACCGGGGAGGCGGAGGTTGCACTGAGCCAAGATCCTGCCACTGCACTCCAGCCTGGGCGACGCAGTGAGACTCCATCTCAAAATAAACAAATAAATAAATAAAATAAAGAAATAAATCTCCAGGCGCAGTGGCTCACGCCTGTAATCTCAGCACTTTGGGAGGCCAAGGCAGGCAGATCACGAGGTCAGGAGATCGAGACCATCCTGGCTAACACGGTGAAACCCCGTCTCTACTAAAAATACAAAAAAATTAGCCAGGCGTGGTGGCTGGCGCCTTTAGTCCCAGCTACTTGGGAGGCTGAGGCAGGAGAATGGCATGAACCCGGGAGGCGGAGCTTGCAGTGAGCCGAGATTGTGCCACTGCACTCCAGCCTGGGCAACAAAGCGAGACTCCATCTCAAATAAAAAAAGAAAGAAAGAAATAATGTAATGTGTGCTTTGGACCACAAAGCAGCTATTAGAAGAAATAAAGATACACACAGAAATATATAGAGGGCTTAAGGGGGTGGTATTATATTTTAAAAGTAAGAAAGAATTAAATCAGCCAGGCATGGAGGCTCACCCTGTAATCCTAGCACTTTGGGAGGCCAAAGCTGGAGCACCATTTGAGCCCAGGCATTTGAGATAAGCCTGGCCAACATGGTGAAATCCCCTCTCTACAAAATATCAAAAATTAGCTGAGTATGCTGGCGTACACCTGTAATCCCAGCCACCCAGGAGGCTGAGGTGGGAGAATCGCTTGAGCCTGGGAGGTTGAGGCTGCAATGAGCTGAGATCATGCCACTGCACTCCAGCCTGGGCAACAGAGCAAGAATCCGTCTCAAAAAAAAAAAAAAAAAGAATTAAATATATAAGACAGTAACATCTGTGTAAATGTTAATCATATACATACACAGAGCCATACAATATTTTAACAAGGCCAGGCACAGTGGCTCACACTTGTAATCCCAGAACTTTGGGAGGCTGAGGTAGGCGCATCACCTGAGCTCAGGAGTTTGAGACCAGCCTGGGCAACATAGTGAGACCATGTCTCTGCAAAAAAATTTTTTTAGTCAGGCGTGATGGTGCGCACCTGTAGTCCCAGCTACTCGGGAGGCTGAGATAGGAGGAGATTGCTTGAGCCCAGCAGGTCAACGTTGCAGTGAGCCATGGATTGCACCACCGCATCCAGCCTGGATGCCATAGCAAGACCTTGTCTCAAAAAGAAAAAAAAAAGATAACTAGACAGTGAAGAAACTAGACAAGGCTGGCCGGGTGCAGTGGCTCACGCCTGTAATCCCAGCACTATGGGAGGCCGAGGCGGGTGGATCACGAGGTCAGGAGATTGAGACCATCCTGGCTAACACAGTGAAACCCCTTCTCTACTGAAAAAACAAAATACAAAAAATTAGCCAGGCATGGTTGCACGTGCCTGTAGTCCCAGCTACTCAGGAGGCTGAGGCAGGAGAATCGCTTGAACCCAGGAGACAGACATTGCAGTGAGCCGAGATCGCGCCACTGCACTCCTGCCTGGGTGACAGCGTGAAACTCCATCTCAAAAAATAAATAAATACATAAATAAATGTCCTGAATCTGGTAACTGTGCTATACTTATGTAAGAGATGATCCTTGTTCTTAAGAAATACATACTGAAGTATTAGGCCGGGCGCAGTGGCTCACTCCTGTAATCCCAGCACTTTGGGAGGCCGAGGCGGACAGATCACTAGGTCAGGAGATCGAGACCATCCTGGCTAACACGGTGAAACCCCGTCTCTACTAAAAAATACAAAAAAAATAGCCGGGTATGATGGCGGAGGCCTGTAGTCCCAGCTACTCGGGAGGCTGAGGCAGGAGAATGGCATGAACCTGGGAGACGGAGCTTGCAGTGAGCCGAGATCGCGCCACTGCACTCCAGCCTGGGCGACAGAGCAAGACTCCGTCTCAAAAAAAAAAAAAAAAAAAAGAGATACATACTGAAGTATTGAGGGATAAATGGACATAATATAGTCAACCTACTCTCAGATGGTTCCAAAAAATAATAATATATTACATATGTATGTGTATGAGAGAAAGGAAGAGAAATATGAGTGAGAAAATATATGTTGTGAAATGTTTATAAGGGTATATGGAAGTTCTTTGTATTATTTTATCTGTGAGTATGGAATTATTTCCAAATAAAAAGTTTAATTGTTTTGACATCAAAACACAACAAACTAAGAAATTCATCGAAATATGGAAGGTGGCTGGGCGTGGTGGCTCACGCCTATAATCCCAGTACTTTGGGAGGCCAAGGTGGAAGGATGGCTTGAGCCCAGGAGTTCAAAATGAGGAAGAACTCGCCAGGAGCGGTGGCTCACACCTGTAATCCTAGCACTTCGGGAGGCCAAGTCAGGGGGATCACAAGGTCAGGAGTTCAAGACCAGCCTGGCTAAGATGGTGAAACCCCACCCGACTAAATTAGCCGGGCGTGGTGGCGGGCACCTGTAATCCCAGCTACTTGGGAGGCTGAGGCAGAGAATCACTTGAACCCAGGGGGCAGAGGCTGCAGTGAGACGAGATCGCACCACTGCACTCCAGCCTGGGCAACAGAGCGAGACTCCATCTCAAAAAAAAAAAAAAAAAAAATATGAGGAGGAACTCAAGTGATCCTCCCAGTTTAGCCTCCCAAAGTGCTGGGATTACAGGCATGAGCTGCCTCACCAGTCGCTTAGTCTTTCTTATAAACCTTTTTTAACCTTAAAGAAATAATTTAAGAACTAATATCATTTGTGATGAAAAATGCTTATTTGAAGTTCAATATTTTCTTCAATTTCACCCCAGTTTTTCTTTCATCTATAAAATTCAAGTAAAACTAATTTCAATAATGTTCACATGTTAGTGGTAACAATTTCTAGTAGTAATGGGATGGGTGCTGTTTCTACCTTCATCTTTATACTTTTCTGTTCTGCTTGAAATGTGTTACACTGCATTAACTCAACTTTACAAGAATAATTAAATGATCATCCCATAAACAGGAAAGCAAATATGTAAGTGCATCAAGTTTTTTAAGTTGTTGATTTCTGATGGTGGGGATGATCCTTATAACTAGGGGTGTGTGTGTGTGTGTTGTGTGTGTGTTTTATTTTCAAAAAAAGATAGGAAGGCATCAAAATATATATGGTGCTCTGAACAAGAAACAAGTGTTTTATACAAGTGCCTCTTTCCTCCCAGTCAATATCCCCTAGGCCAGGTCAGGCACGGTGGCTCACGCCTGTAATCTCAGCACTTTGGGAGGCTGAGGCAGGCGGATCGTCTGAGGTAAGGAGTTCCAGACCAGCCTGGCCAACATGGTGAAACCCCATCTCTACTAAAAACACAAACAAATTAGACGGGTGTGTTGGTGAGCGCTTGCAATCCCAGCTACTCAGGAAGGAGGCTGAGGCAGGAGAATCACTTGAACCCAGGAAGTGGAGGTTGCAGTGAGCTGAGATTGTGCCATTGCACTCCAGCCTAGGCAACAGGAACAAAAACCCCATCACCAAAGAAAAAAAAAATTCCCTAAACCGAAATGTGATTCTCCAGATAGGTAGTGTCCTTGTCAATATGGTGGCAGGAGTTTTCGGCATGTCCTTGAGGGAAACTAATAAGGGCTCCTCTAGGCTTCTCCAAAGCTGCTGAATGTGCTTTTTTTTTTTTTTTTGAGACGGAGTTTCACTCTTGTTGCCCAGGCTTGAGTGCCATGGCACAATCTCAGGTCACCGCAACCTCCACCTCCTGGGTTCAAGCGATTCTCCTGCCTCAGCCTCTTGAGTAGCTGGGATTACAGGCATGCACCACCACGCCTGGCTAATTTTTTGTGTTTTTAATACAGAGAGGGTTTCCCCATGTTGGTCAGGCTGGTCTCGAACTCCCAACTTCAGGCGATCTGCCCGCCTTGGCCTCCCAAAGTGCTGGGATTACAGGCATGAGCCACGGCTCCCAGCCCCAGGGCACATTCTCTTGATCGTGGTGATGGTTTCATGGGTATATGTGTATATATATCGATAGTCAAAATTCATCAAATTGTACACTTTAAATATGTGTGATTTATTTCATCAATTATACCTCAGTAAATCTGTTGAAAATGCTCAAAAGCAAAACAAAATAAATAAACAACTAGATACCCGTACATATCTGTTAGAAAAGCTATCATTTTTGGCTGGCCACGATGGCTCACACCTATAATCCCAGCACTTTGGGAAGCTGAGGCAGGTGGATCACTTGGGGTCAGGAGTTTGAGACCAGCCTGACAAACATGGTGAAACCCCATCTCTACTAAAAATACAAATATTAGCCAGGCATGGTGGCGGGTGTCTGTAATCCCAGCTACTCAGAAGGCTGAGGCAGGAGAATCGCTTGAACCCAGGAGGCAGAGGTTGCAGTGAGTCGATATCACGCCATTGCACTCCAGCCTGGGTGACAGAGCGAAACTTCGTCTCAAAAACAAAAAAAAAATTAGCCCAGTGTGGTGGCTCATGTCTGAATTCCCAGCTACTTAGGAGGCTGAGGCAGGACAATCGCTTGAACCCGGGAGGCGGAGGTTGCAGTGAGCTGGGATCGCATCATTGTACTCCAGCCTGGGCAACAAGAGCGAAACTGTCTCGAAAAAAAAAAAAAAGCTAACATTTTTAAAATGATGACTTACCATGTCTCCCCCTGGCAGGCACAAATTAAAGGATTTATAATAGTAAATTGGGGATGAAGTAAAGTACAAATAGCCAATATTCCTCTCCATACACAAAATCCTCTGGGACAGTAAAAGATCTTAGTAATATCTACAAAGTACCAAATAACAATAAAAAATATTCCTATAAAAGCCCTGTAATAGAATGTTAAAATAGAGCTCTTTGTAGTTTAGCCTGAGGCCCCAAATCTAAGAAAAATAGATCCAAATACCCACACATTCTATTAGAGGAAGCTAGAGCATCGATGGAGGGCTTGCAAAGGGCTTGCTTGGCAAAAATCCAGCTCTACCAGCATTAGCCCATCACCCAACTCCAGTCTATGTACAGAAGGCTAAAATTTTAATGAGACAGTAAGGATTTCTTTAGAAAGATTGTGTTCACTCCCATGAGAGAGGCAAGGGATACTTCCCCAACCTCCTCCCAAGCTAAGAGAGGGGTCTTCAGAACTACCAAGATATTTTGTTCTGTGTCCTCTAGAATTGATGGATCACAGAGTCTAGTAAATAGCTGATACCTGAAATAGTCTACAGGCAAAAGGCTGGCCAGCTGCCCCAGTGGCAAAGCAAGGGGAGGTGACTAGAGTGGAATAGGCGGTGCTTCCCCTGCCGGTGGGCAAAAGTGCATGGCCTAGAGAAGAGAGCCAGCGTGAGTCATCCTGAGAAGAAGTCAGCCCAAAGAATTCCAAGGAGAGCATACATCCACTCCAGCTTTTGCAGTCCTCTTAGGAGGTCTTCAGAGATCCCTCTACCAGGGCCCTCTAACAGCAGGTTACCATCAAGAGTGAAGAGACCTCAGATTGAGTGGTCATTTATGATGCCCTCTATCCCCTGGCTGATATGAAACTGTGCTGGACATTTTCGTTTCTGAAAGTGAACCCCACACCCCCTACCCCTACACACACACACAAAAAAGGCTGTGAAACCTCGTTGAGATTTCATTTAGGAGATGTGGAAGAGTAATTTGACTGAGCAAATTGAATGGTGAATAGTGAGATTTGTTTTGTTTTGTTTTGTTTTTTTGCATGCACTGAGCCAAATCCAACTCAATAAAAACTAGTTACACTGGTAATACCTATTAGATACAAAAACAAAACTTGTTTAACGTGTCACTAGGCCATTTTGTAATTTTGTGAACATCATAGAGTATACTAACATAAACTTAGATGGTATAAACTGCTACAACCCAGTCTATACGGTGTAGCCTATTGCTCCTAGTCTACAAACCTTTACAGCATGTTATCATACTGAATACTGTAGGCAATTGTATGCATTCCATCATTGACTGAATCATCCTTACACGGCAGTGCATGACTGTGTTTGAGTGCTTAACCACCTGCCAGATGCCTTTCTAAGCCTTTAACATATTAACTCCTTTGATCTTCACAACTTCAGGAGGTACTACAATTATTACCCTTATTTTCAGATGGAGAAACAAAAACACAAAGAGTGTATCTAAGGACATACAGCTACTAAGTTTTCATAATGCTCAGCCACTTCCTTGTAGATAGAACAAGCAAAGAAAGCTCCCCTTCTCCACAAACACAACCCAGAGCAATTCTTTTCCTTATTAGATTCATGTTTGTATCATTTAAACAAGACCTGGGCAGGTGCGGTGGCTCAAGCACATAATCCCAGCACTTTGGGAGGCCAAGGCAGGTGGATCACCTGAGGTCAGGAGTTCAAGACCAGCCTGCCCAACATGGTGAAACCCCATCTCTACTAAAAATACAAAACTTAGCTGGGCGTGGTGGTGGGTGCCTGTAATCCCAGCTACTAGGGAGGCTGAGGCAGAAGAATCGCTTGAACCTGGAAGGCAGAGGTTGCAGTGAGCCGACACCAAGCTACTGCACTCCAGCCTGGGCGACAGGGTAAGACCTTGTCTCAAAAAAAAAAAAAAAAACAAGACCTATGCTGATGAATGTAGAACACTTCTTGTGTTCTCTTAACCTCCAAGGTAGAAAGGAGGCAAGAGTCACATTAACTGAATTCACTTATTTTTAAGCCAGTGGCTCTCAATCTTTAGTGTGCATCAGAATCACCTGGAGGACCTGTTAAACCATGGGTTACTAGGACCCACCCAAGAATTTCTGACTCAGTAGGTCTGAGGTGGATCTGAGAATCTGAATTTTTGTTTTTTTGTTTTGTTTTGTTTTGTTTTTGAGACGTTGTCTCACTCTGTTGCCTGGCTGGAGTGAAGTGGAGCAATCTGCCTCACTGCAGCCTCTGCCTCCCAGGTTCAAGCAATTCTCCTGCCTCAGCCTCCTGAGTAGCTGAGATTATAGGTGCCTGCTACCATGCCTGGCAAATTTTTTTATTTGTGGTAGAGACAGGGTTTCACCATGTTGACCAAGCTGGTCTCTAACTCCTAACCTCAAGTGAGGTCTTTCCAAAGTGCTGGGATTACAGGTGGGAGCCACCATGCCTGGCCTGAGAATCTGTGTTTCTAACAAGTCCTCAGATGATGCTGGTCAAGGGGCCACTTTGAGAATGACGGTATTAGGACCCTTAACTTCCTCAACTTCAGTTTTCTCACTGATAAAATGGGCATAACAATAGTGATGTTGTGTCTATTAATGGAGACATGGAAGAGGAAGTGCTTAGTTAATTGTACAGCTATAGAGGAACATGGTTAGCAATTACTATTATTGCACATTTGACTTTAAGAGTGAATGCTAGGCCAGACTCAGAGGCTCACACCTGTAATCCCAGGACTTTGGGAGGCCAAAGCAGGCAGATCATTTGAGGTAAGGAGTTTGACACCAGCCTGGCCAGCATGGTGAAACCCCATCTCTACTAAAAATACAAAAATTAGCTGGGCCTGGCAACCTATGCCTAGTCCCAACTACTCACGAGGCTGAGGCAGGAGAATCGCTTGAATCCAGGAGGCAGGGGTTGCGGTGAGCTGAGATCTTGCCACTGCACTCCAGCCTGGGGACAGAGTGAGACTCTGTCTCACCAAAAAAAAAAAAAAAAAAAAAAAAGCCGGGTACGGTGGCTCACATCTGTAATCCTAGCACTTTGGGAGGCTGAGGTGGGTGTATCACCTGAGGTCAGGAGGTCGAGACCAGCCTGGCCAACATGGTAAAACCCCATCTCTACTAAAAATACAAAAGTTAGCCGGGCATGGTGGCGGGTGCCTATAATCCCAGCTACTCAGGAGACTGAGGCAGGAGATCACTTGAACCCAGGAGGCAGAGCTTGCAGTGAGCCAAGATCACACCACTTGACTCCAGCCTGGGCAAAAGGGCAAAACTCCGTCAAAAAAAAAAAAGAAAAAAAGAAAAAGAAAGAGAGAGAGAGAAAGCAAGCAAGCAAGCAAGAAAGAACGGAAAAGAGAGGGAAGGGGAGGGGAGGGGAGGGGAGGGAAGGGAAGGGAAGGGAAGGGAAGGGAAGGGAAGGGAAGGGAAGGGAAGGGAAGGGAGCTGATGCTGCGCTACGGTAAGTGTAGATGTTTGATCTTTCAGACCTTACCATAGCAATCCATATTCAAATATGTGGGCATAAGGAGGGACTCAATATCATATGGAATGAAGGGAAGACCATCTTCACGTGTTAACTCCTCATCCAATCTGCCAATACAATAAATTTTCTTATATATCTTGCCAAGAATAAGAATGTTTCCCACACATACATACACACACTGGAGTTTCACTGTATACAAATTGTTGTTGTTGTTATTGTTGAGATGGAGTTTTGCTCTTGTCACCCAGGCTGGAGTGGAATGGCATGATCTCAGCTCACTGCAACCTCCGCCTCCCAAGTAGCTGGGATTACAGGTGCCCGCCACCACACCTGGCTAATTTTTTGTATTTTTAGTAGAGATGGGGTTTTGCCATGTTAGGCAGGCTGGTCTCGAACTCCCAACCTCAGGTGATCCGCCCGCCTTGGCCTCCCAAAGTGCTGGGATTACAGGCATGAGCCACCGCACCTGGCCCACTGTATATAAATTTAACTGATCCAAAGATCAGCGAGAATTCCTTTCAGCTACCCAAAGTGTGAATATCCCACTGGGCTGATAGATGATAGATGCACCTGAAAGCAATAACTGTGATATATGTTGTATGGCAGACAAACCTGAGAGCAGTAACTTAAGAAATGAAAGTTGCCATGTAGCACTTGCTGCCAGGTGGGTGCTAAATGAAGAAGCTATATAAACGGCATGCTTTTTGCAAATGGTTGTTGTTCTCCTGTCCAGTCCACTGTCACTGGACTGTCCCTGTCTATAAGTTCCCCCTAATAAAACCCTATGTCTCCTCCACTGGCTCCAGGTCTCTTCTTTGACTTCTTGAACCTGGTGCCATCCTTACTGAAGTTAATAGGGGTCTGGCACTACAGCTGACTGTTGGAGATATATATTATTCCAAAACCTAGGCATTAAATGCAGGCAAATTAATTCATATCATGTTCAACTTTTAGAGAAATATCTAGCTATGACTAATCATGAGGAATTTTGTACTCACTGTATTTTTGCACTAATTTTTGTACTAACTATATTTGGCACTTTTAAGCTAAAGCCCCTTAAAAATGCAAGTAGGTGGTATCTCCCTTTATATCCTGCACACAAGATTACATTTGTTAAACTGCTGTGTCAGAAAGTTCTCCACATTGAGCCAGAATCTGCATCCACAAACTTCCAAACACTAGAACTTATTTTGCCTTCTAAAATATCACAGAATAGTTCATCTTTTGTTGATGATAAAGCCTTCAAGATGTTAGACAGATGCCTTCTCTCACTGCACCCTAATCCTCCTTCATTCATCTTATGACATTATCTTAAAAAATTATGCTTACTGTTAAAGAAAATAATTCAAAATTAGTAAGCTTGCTTTTAGTTAAATAAAACAACTAATTTCCCTTCTTCAGGACATACTGAAGTTTTGCATGAAGGACATGACCCCTCAATCCTATTTACATTACCAAATGACTTGCTGGTAGATAATCATATCTGAATTCAAAAGACTAAAAAGTTTCTCTTTGGAGTAAAAATTAAAGAAACAAGAATTACCTCAAAAAGTTCCCCACACTCCTGGCCCTTCTCTCTAACCCAGAGATCTGTGAACTACATTTTTTTCTTTCACACGCAGCACCCCTAGGCCATGCAACAAGTATTTGAACAAAAAGGAACCACTTCAGAAACTAGAAATGGGACCTTCAGAACCATGTGGGCTGAGAACCAGCCCTAGCTTTAGCCCTCAGCCTCCCAAATGTTCAAACCAAAATATGATAGCCATTACAAATAAGGCTGCAAAGGACATTCTTTATAAAACAATTCCTAGAAGGTTGGTTTTTTTGGGCGTTTTGTTTTTGTCTTTGTTTTTTTTTGTTTGTTTGTTTTTTTCATTATCTCAGCTCATTGCAACCTCCCATTTCCCAGGTTCAACTGATTCTCCTGCCTCAGGCTCCCGAGTAGCTGGGACTACAGGCATACACCACCACACCTGGCTAATTTTCATATTTTTAGTAGAGATGGGGTTTTGCCATATTGGCCAGGCTGGTCTTGAACTCCAGACCTCAAGTGATCCGCTCTCCCCGGCCTCCGAAAGTGCTGAGATTACAGGCGTGAACCACGGTGCTTGGTCTCCTAGAAGTTATCTTGAATTGTAGTGTTGAGATGCAGAATATCAGGAACTTTTTCCAAATGGCATTGGTTTAAATGTCTGCCAAACTCACAGGTGAAAAAATGCATTTAATTGTGTCGGTGTACATTTCTAAGCTAGAGGCTGAATACTTTCTCTCAGAAGCATGTGGGTTATTTGCATTTCTTCATTTGCTGATTGTTCTGTTATGATATACTTACTGAGGATGAGCGCGGTGGCTCAACGCCTGTAATCCCAACATTTTGGGAGGCCAAGGTGGGCAGATTAGCTGAAGTCAGGAATTTGAGACCAGCCTGGCCAACATGGTAAAACTCTGTCTCTACTAAAAATACAAAAATTAGTTGGGTGTGGTGACATGTGCCTGTAGTCTCAGCTACTCAGGAGACTGAGGCAGGAGAATCACTTGAACCAGGAGACAGGGAGGTTGCAGTGAGCCAAGACTGAGCCACTGCACTCCAGCCTGGATGACAGAGCAAGATTCTGAAGAAAAAAAAAAAAAGAAAAAAGATATACTTCCTGAATTTTTTTGAGATGGAGTTTTGCTCTTGTTGCCCTGGCTGGAGTGCAATGGCGCTATCTCAGCTCACCGCAACCTCTGCCTCCTGGGTTCAAGCAATTCTCCTGCCTCAGCCTCCCAAGTAGCTGGGATTACAGGCATGTGCCACCATGCCCGGCTAATTTTGTATTTTTTAGTAGAGAGGGGGGTTTCTCCATGTTGGTCAGGCTGGTCTCGAACTCCTGACTTCAGGTGATCCGCCTGCCTCAGCCTCCCAAAGTGCTGGGGATTACAGACGTGAGCCACCTCGCTGGGCCTACTTACTGATTTGTGAGAATTATTTAACTACTCATGTATTAGCCACTTGCTCGTCCTTATATTGCTGATTTGCCCCTCACCCCACCTCATTTTGACTTTTTTAAAAGAATAGAGGCCAGGCACGGTGGCTTACACCTATAATCTCAGCACTTTGAGAGGCTAAGGTAGGCAGATTGCCGGAGGTCAGGAGTTCGAGACCAACCTGGCCAACATGGTGAAACCCCACCTCTACTAAAAATACAAAAATTAGCTGGGCGTGATGACACACACCTGTAATCCCAGCTACTCAGGAGGCTGAGGCAGGAGAATCGCTTGAACTGGGAGGTGGAGGTTGCTGTGAGCTGAGATTGTGCCACTGCCCTCCAGCCTGGGCAGCAGAGTGAGACTCCATCTCAAAAACATTAAAAATATAAAAAAAGAATGGGACTTTCCAATTTTTTTAGCTCCCTGATCTAGTATTATTTTGATTTATGATTTCTGCCTTTGATGTTGGGTTTACAGAAGCCTGATTATATAATTTATTATTTAAATATTTTTTTCTACCAGGTTTTTTTTTTTTTTTTTGAGACAGAGTCTTGCATTGTCATCCAGGCTGGAGTGCAGTGGCGCCATCTCAGCTCACTGCAAGCTCCGCCTCCCGGGTTCATGCCATTCTCCTGCCTCAGCCTCCCGAGTAGCTGGGACTACAGGTGCCCGCCACCACGCCAGGCTAGTTTTTTGTATTTTTAGTAGAGAAGGGCTTTCACCGTGTTAGCCAGGATGGTCTCGATCTCCTGACCTTGTGATCTGCCTGCCTCGACCTCCCAAAGTGGTGGGATTACAGGCGTGAGCCACTGCGCCCAGCCTTTTCTACCAGTTCTTACATTTACATTTTTAATTTATTTTTTAATTTATTTTTTAGAGACAGGCTCTTGCTCCATCACCCAGGCTGGAGTGCAGTGGTACAATCAGAGCTGACTGCCAGCTTCCAACTCCCGGGCTCAAGCAATCCTCCCACCTATCTCAGCTTTCCTGAGCAGCTGGTACTACAGGCATGTTCCACCACACCCAGCTAATTTCTTAATTTTTGTAGAGATCGCGTCTTGCTATGCTGCCCAGGCTGGTCTAGAACTCGTGGCCTCAAGCAATCCTTCCACCTTGGCCTCCCAAAGTGCTGAGATTACAGATGTGAGCCACAATTTTATTTTTAGTTTACAACAGGAACCTGGGGGTAGGGGGGTAAATCAAATAATCCTAAGTAATCATTAATCTTGGAAAATCAAGTTATAGGGCTTGAGTGAGAAGTGCCATCCTAACCAACCAACATCTTCTCATCACCCAGATGTCAGTAGGCTCTGCCAGCCTACCCCACCCACAAAATCACCATCCTGAACATGGGATAGCCCCTGACCCCAGCACTTGATTATCTGTATTCTTTAAAAGACAGATGGGTCTGGGACTCTTCTCATCAAAATTTACTAAAGCTTCAAAAAGAGATAAATTGTCTATCTGTTCCTCTTTTTAGTTCTTTTCCCTCCCACAGACCCCAAGCCCTATTTTCTTTTGCCCTAATACTCCTGTTTCTTTTGCCCTACTTGTCCCCATTAAATTCCCATGCCTGTGAAAGAAGTTTAGGCTAGGAGCCCTATGTTGCACATTTTCTTCTCCTTTTATAGTGGTACAATGAAATATTACAGTCATCTCTCCCTATCTGAGAGATTTGTTTCAGCACCCCCTCTCCCATACCAAAATCCACAGATGTTCAAGTTCTTAATGTAAAATGACATGTTTACATATAACCTATAAACATCCTCCCCTATACTTTTTAATAATCTCTAGATTACTAACAATACAAATGCTATGTAAATAGTTACATTGTATTGGGGTTTATTTGTATCTTTACTGTTGCATTGTTATTGTTTTCTTTCTGAATATTTTTGATGGGAGGTTGGTTGAATCCGTGGTTGCAGAACAGCGGATACAAAGGTTTGATCGTAGTTAATTTGGCTCTTTTGTTTTGTTTTACAGTACTGCTCCTTGCAGAACAGGGCTAACTCATGGGCAGTGATCCCAGGGTCAGCTAATTTGGCATTTTCATGAGGGTAAATCTTATCTATCCCCAATGCAACAATATTTAGACTGTTGAAGCTAGAAGGAAAAGAGGAATCCCATGAAACTAAGACCAGCTTTTGAGAATTGGAGTGAAGTTTGGAAAACCTGGTCCTTCCCTTTCTGCAGCAGAGATTGCAAAATGGCTACAAGACTTGGTGCAGCAGCCCCTCTCTGGACAAATTCCAACGCTGGAATTCTAGTGCCATACAGATAACTCCTCGAAAAAAATATTTCTGCCTCTGATTAGTTACCATACAATTTAATATTCCAAATTTCTTTCATGTAAGTAACACCCCAGACACTTGTTTTCTGAAAATAGTCTCTGAAATCCTGAAAATGTTCGTGGGCCACATTGTCATTTTTGTTTTCTTCCTAAAACACCACTCCTGAGTATGTAGCAAAGCAGACACTCAACAAATATATATTTAAATTTTTTCTTTTTTTTTTTTTTTTTTTTTTTGAGGAGTCTAGCTGTGTCGCCCATGCTAGAGCACAGTGGCGCAATCTTGGCTTACCACAACCTCTGCCTCCTAGGTTCAAGCAATTCTCCTGCCTCAGCCTCCCGAGTAGCTGGGATTACAGGCGCCCTCCACCACACCCAGCTTTTTTCTATTTTTAGTAGAGACGGGGTTTCACTATGTTGGTTAGGCTGGTCTCGAACTCCTGACCTCGTGATCCGCCCACCTCAGCCTCCCAAAGTGCTGGAATTACAGACGTGAGCCACCGCGCCCGACCTTCAACAAATATTTCAATAATGCCATTCAACAAATGAGTCGATGGGAACAGTGGAGAGACAGGGCAGAGCCATTAGAGAAGAATCAGAATCCAAACTGATCCTAGGATCCTAGCTGCCAGGGACAGGGAAACAGCTTATCTGAGTGGTTCCGGGTGGTTCCATAGTCACCTCCTGCTCAAAACCTTTGGATGGGTTACCTTTGCTCTCTGCAAGGTCTGCGAGGCCCCGGGGGGAACTGCCTCGCTCCCGTTCCGGCCATGCCCCAGCCGGCTCAACCTTCTGGCCTAGCCACCATCCTGTTCCCAGGGCTGCACTTCCCTTCCTCCTCGCCTGGCTCACTGCTGCCGGTCACTCAGATCTCACCCAAGGTGACTTCCTTGGGGGACCGTCCCTGACCTCCCTGCCCAGGTCTAGTCTCCAACATTTCAGCCTCCCAGCACAGCACCGGTGTTCATTTCTCGGATTCTTACATCCATGTGGCTCCTAACCAGACCGGAAGCTCCCGGAGGGCCCGCCTGTCTACAGAGGTTGGGAGACTTGCTCCAGACCACCCTGCAGGTGGCTTCAGTCCCAGGAGACCTAACAGCGCCTGCCTCGGAGCCCACTTGGGAATGAGTTGGGCATAGGTGACCCCGCGGGGCCCTGCGAGGAACACCCACACCCACTCTGGCTTCCCCTCTCCCGCTCTATCAGCCCACCCAAAGGGTAAAAAGTCTCATAGGGCCCGGAAGGGCGCGGTGGCTCACGCCTGTAGTCCCAGCATTCTGGGAGGCCGAGGCGGGCGGATCACCTGAGGTTAGGAGTTGGAGACCATCCTAGCCAACATGGCAAAACCCGGTCTCTACTCAAAATACAAAAATTAGCCGGGCACGCCGGCGCGCGCCTGTAATCCCAGCTACCTGGGAGGCTGCGCAAGAGAATCGCTTGAACCCGGGTGTTGGAGGTTGCAGTGAGCCGAGATCGTGCCACTGCACTACAGCCTGGCAACAGAGTGAGACTCCGTCGCAAAAAATAAATTAAAAATAAAAACATTTCATAGGGCCCCCAAAGAAATCACGTATACATTTAAATGTAAGACATAAATACCGGGAGGTGGTGTGATTGGTGGGATCTCAATTTCCTTAAATGGACAATGAGAATATTTTGAGAATTCAGTTAATAAAAGAGCCCAGCTTCTAGCCCCGCGGAGCTAGAAGCTCTCAATCAGCGTTAGCTATTGTTATTATTATTAGCCACTTTAGGGTTGGAGGATTACACTTGATTGGGTGTTTATCGCTTGTTATTTAAAGGCTTTCTTGGACTAAGCACTTGTTTTATCTCCTCTCCAAAACTCTTCCATCCCATTGTCAGACCCTCCTTAGGGCAGACCCCTCTCATCTGCATTACAAGAAAGCTTGAGGTTTCCTGTAATTGTCGCACTTAACCTTGGTGGAAAGCTGATCACCAGCTGCAAACTCAAAGAAAGAAATCCGCTCCAAGGCAAACCACCTTCAGACTTTTACTTCCAAAATTTTACCTATGAATTTTCTTAAAGTATTTTATTGCTGTTATTTTTGGTTTGGGGGATTGGGAAAGGGGAGCTGAAAAATTTTCAGTCCAGGACTTGCATGGAATTTATGGCAGATTCTTAAATTTCCCTCTTTTGCTACCATAATTGATACCTACTCAAAGTTTTCTGCATTTAGAAACTCTGCCTTTAAGAGGGAACTCTAGGCCAGGCACGGTGTCTCATACCTGTACGCTCAGAGCTTTGGGAAGCCAAAGCAGGTGGATCGCTTAAGATATTGAGTTCAATACCAGCCTGGCCAACATGGTGAAAACCCATGTCTACTACAAATACTGAAGAAAAAAAAAAAAAAAAAAAAGCTGGACATGGTGGTGCATGCCTGTGATCCCAGCTACTGGGGAGGCTGAGGCAAGAGAATCACTTGAACCTGGGAGGCAGAGGCTGCAGTGAGCCGAGATCATGCCACTGCATTCCAGCTGAGTGACAGAGACTCTGTTTCCAAAAAAAAAAAAGAGAGAGAGAGAAAGAATTCTAGACTTAAAGGACAAGGCTGTTAGTTTTATGTGCTTGATTTACACTGCAGAATTGGGGTTTCAAAAGTATCTGGTCTACATTCCCACATAGAGTCTTTCATGGCCAACTGATTCTCTGAAGGGTGCACTAGATGAGGGTCATCTGAGGGTGCTAACAACCAACTGTTAGTCCATAAAGCAAATTCAAGCTATCAGCACAAAAGACAGGGAAACTTCATCAGATTCAACAAAAAAGGGTGAGGCAATGGGGAAATAGGCAATCTCTATGATAATATTTAGCAAAATTATGTTTTTCCCCTTTGGACCAGCAATTCTCCCTCTGGGAATTTAACCTACAGACATACTACTGGCAGACTTGCAAAACAGTGGTATTGTTTTGGGCACAGTGGCTCACACCGTTAATTCCAGCACTTTGGGAGGCCAAGGCGGGTGGATCACCCGAGGTCAGGAGTTGGAGACCAGTCTGGCCAATATGGTGAAACTCCATCTCTACTAAAAATACAAAATTAGCAGGGCGTAGTGGCCCACACCTGTGATCCCACCTACTCAGATGGCTGAGGGAGGAGAATCGCTTGAATCCAGGAGGCAGAGGTTGCAGTGAGCCAAGATCACGCCATTACACTGCAGCCTGTGACAAAAGCAAAACTGTCTCAAAAAAAAAAAAAAAAGTTATTCAAAGTATTCATCTCATCTTTGTAAAAGCAAAAGATTGGGAATAAACTCAAAAGTCATTTTGTAGAGAATTAAATTGAATAATACCCAGCTGTAAAGGAGGGAAAATAATCTACACGTATAATTCCTTATATTTTTTAAAAACTCTTGAATGGACATTCAAGAAAATATTGCTTATTTTTGGGAAGTAGGAAATGTATGATATGAAATGAGATAGGAGGGAGACTTCTATCATTTTAGATTTTTTTTTTTTTGAGACAGTTTCCTTTCGCCCAGGGTGGAGTACACTGGTACGATCATAGCTCACTGTAACCCCAAGTTCCTGAACTCAAGCGAACCTCCTGCCTCAGCCTCTTGAGTAGTTAGGCCTACAAGCATGTGCCACTGTGCCCAGATAATTCTTTTTTTTTTTTTTTTTTTTTTTTTGAGACAGAGTTTCTCTGTCACCCAGGCTGGAGTGTAGTGGCACGGTCTTCCTCAGCCTCCCAGGTTCAAGCGATTCTCCTGCCTCAGACTTCCACATAGCTGGGACTACAAGCACCCGCCACAACGCCTAGCTAATTTTTGTATTTTTAGTAGAGACGGGGGTTTCATCATGTTGGCCAGGTTGTCTCGAACTCCTCACCTCGTCATCCACCCACCTTGGCCTCCCAAAGTGCTGGGAATACAGCCGTGAGCCACCACGCCTGGCCTTCCTTCAAAATCTTGAGCAGGAGCCAGGCTGAGTGGTCTAGGACCTTCCAGCCACAGGTCTCAGGGCTGGGACGGGGGAGGGTAAAAATGCCAATAGGGTACGTGACTGATCCCTTGGTCTCCACTCCAAATAAAGCTCAATAGCATGCCAAATGTGCCTTTGTCTTCTCAGGGACCCACAAGTGGTATGGCATCTAATGGTCCCAGAAACTGCACCCAGGACTTCCAGGGGGTAGAAAAACAATGCATTTACAAGACTTTCATGGCCCTCCCTCTGAGTCTTCAATGATGAGAACCTTAGAGGATAGGACTGGAAGCTGGAGTCCCTCCTCCCTCAGAACCTGTAATACAGGAGTCTACTCCAGTCCTGCAGTAGAGGAAGAGTAGCCTATTATTCATACATTCAAGAAATAATGCCCATTGTGTCAGACATTGTTTTAATACTTCGCAGATTTAGGACATAGTCTTATCTCATTTAATCCTCACTGCAACCCAATGAGGTAGATATAATTATCCCCATATTACAGGTGGAGAACTGAAGCACAAAGGCTAACATATGCCTGGTTCCCCAGCTAATAAGTAGCTGAGTTAAGATTCAAACCCAGGTATTCTAGCTGCTGTCCGTTTCTTACAACACTATCCTTAACCACTATGTACTATACCATATTGCCCCTCTTAAGAACAACAAAAAAATCAATGTCCCTGCCTTGTTGGGGTTTAAATCTTAGGAGTAGAGAGGAGGAAAATGACCAGTTAACACTATCGGTCGAGTTTATAAATGCCATAAAGAAAAAATAAAGCAGGTTAAGCAGACTGTAGAGGAGAGGATCTCCCCTGAGTATGGACCACCTGGGAGAAGAGAGCAAAACCCTTTGAAAATCTGAGATTTTGGCCAGTCACGGTGGCTCACACCTGTAATCCCAGCTACTCACCCATAATCCCAGCTACTCACCCATAATCCCAGCTACTCGGGAGGCTGAGGCAGGAGAATTGCTTGAAAGGGGTGGGGGCGGGGGAGGGGGGTCGAGGAGGTTGCAGTGAGCCAAGATCGCTCCATTGCACTCCAGCCTGGGTGACAAGAGAAAAACTCGTCTCCAAAAAAAAAAAGAAAAGAAAAGAAAACAAACAAAAAACACACACAAAACATGCTACACTAACAATGGTTCTGACTTCCCATATTTTTGTTGGACACATTTGCTTTTCAGCTTATATACAAAATGTCAACCTATTATAGGGTTGTTTTCAAGTGAGTCCAGGTCACTTGAGACAATCATCACATCTCCCATAGGTTTTTAGTTCAGTGCTGCATCTCAGGACCCTGGCTCCTCCACCCTTTTTGACACTAGCCAAGTGTGCCTTTGGACCCTCATTTTGTCTTTGGAGGATTTCAATTAAGGGTTAAGCTCAGGGCCACACTTCAGCTGTGCTTCAGAGATATTTAAGGTAGTACCTACAATCCATCAACCACACTGAACTATCAACTTATTTAAAACTTTATTGTTATTTTTAAAAATGGGAAAAAAGAAAAAACACTTTTTATTAACAATCATCAAAGAAATATTCACAACAAGACTCAGAGCCAAGGGTTTTCCCTTAACTCTTTAAGGGAACAAATGGTTTTCCCTTAACTCTTTAGGCTGGAGCAGATTTTAAAACAAGCTTAAGGAATCACTCTAGCTCTGGCCACAACCTAATCTCTGCAACCCGGCTTCATTGCATTGGCTGGAAACTGGTTCACTTCATCCAAGGGCCTAGTTCGAGGGCATTCATGGCTTCGGCAAGTTTGAGCATCCCTGCACCAGAAATAGCAACAGCGGCGTGAGTCTGGGGGAAAATAGTAAGCGCCCGGACTGTTCTCCGCCTCTTTCAGGGTTCGTTTCTGGGACTTCTGATCCAGGCGTTCTGGGCCTGAGAGTCAGGCCCAGAACCTTGGAACCCGAGACTACTCGGCCCATTCGAACATTCTCCAAGAAACTGAAGGGGGCGGGGAGACGGTTGAGATAGCTCAGATAACCCTGCCCAGTGGGTCCAGCACCAGCCGCCTTTCACCATAGTCTCACCCCTGGGTCTCCAAGACCGACGGCCGGCATTCTGGGGCCCCCATTCCCAAAGGGGTCTTGGGAAGGCCCAGATGCCAAGGGCACCCCTGGTGACGCCCAAGGTGCTGGCAGCGAGCAAGAGAGGAGAAAGAGGAGAGGGCTGGAGGAGAGGCGCGAAGCGGCCCCCGCGAGCCTGTGTTCCGCGTACCCAGTCTCTGGGCCTCTCACCTCGCTCCTGGCGCTGGCGGTGCCACTCAGCCATGGACTGGAGCATCCACTTGGTCCGGAGCTTGTACAAATAGGAGCCGTAAACCACGACCTCGGTGAGGTCTGAAGACTCCAGAGCCTTCAGCTCGAGCATGGCCTTGCTCACCTGCTCGATGTAAGGGATTCGAGATCCGTCCGGGCCTGTTGGGGAAAAGAGATGAGATCCCCGGGCCGGCTGAGACTCCCGAGCCGGGGCAGCCCGCCAGTACTGGGCACACTCACCGAAAATGGCTTTCAGCAGCCGCGTCTGGACCTGGAACACCTCTGGATCTTTCAGGTCTTCGGGAACTTTCACCCACGGCGGGATATGTCTACGTGCCGGGAGAGTTCCCATCTTATGACCCTCACAACCAAGACCACTCTCCAGCGCAAACCAGGCCTAATCACGCCGGCCGAGGCTCAGGGGCGATAAAGCCTCGCACCTGGTGGCCCCGCCCCCGGCCAGGCCCCGCCCCCGGCCCGGGCCAGGACCCTGAGTCCATGCCCCGCCGCCCTGGCTGCGGTCCAGCAGGTTGCCAACTCTTCCGCTTCCCGCGACTTCGGGAGAGCCTCACCCGGGCCCAGCTGTCTCCAAGTTAACTAGGGTTTCCACCTGCATTGACCTGTGTCTTTCGCACCAGAATCCCATGGGCTTGGGAATGGCTGGGGGCAAGGTGCTCTTGCCTCTTCCTCTAGGGAACAACCGGTGGGACCTGAACCTCGGAAAGCGGGCGTCCAGGCTTGAGGGTGCGAGGACCACCCAGTAGCTGCCGAATCGAGTTCCTGCCTCACACGTTCCAAAGAAGGGTCCGTATCCCCTCGGCCTTAAGGAGCAGGACCCGCGGCTCCACTTTGCTGGCGACCCGGACAACGTCCCGGGAACTCTGGAGGAACTCTTGCCATTGAACAAAAGAGAAAACCGAAATTCGGAAACTGATTATCTTACCTAAAGGGATTAGCGTTCTTCGAAGCCCCTGGCTCTAGAGTCTTTGAACCTACCCGGATTATAAAGCTCACCTGTGCCCTGCCTGCGCACTCCAGCCAAAACCGGTCCAGGCTTCTGGCTCCTCTGTAAATAAATTTGGTTTATTCGTTTTTTAAACATAGTGTTTGGAGCGATGCACTGGAGTCACTCGATGAGAGTGTGATTTCACTGTTTTATGGCTTTACAGATGGTGATTAAGCTGGCATTTCCAGTCCTGGTAACATCTAATGTCCCCTCAGCTGTCCATTATTGAGGGTTTCTTAAGGCAGACCTCTTCACACACACACGCACGCACACACACACACACGCACGCACACACACACACAATGGGTTCTTTTGCAACCACCAGTGTAGTTAATTTAGAAAATGATCATCAATAGCTAAAACTATCAGATGAAGACTGTTGAGGAACTAGATAGTCACAAGTTTGGAAGCCCTAGGCACAGATTATGAATTGCAAAGGAGAAAAAAACATTCCTTTACAGTAGAGACTTGGAAGAAGCCACCTTGACCCAAGTTAGCATCACCAATAATGGGACAAATGGATTTCTGGTTCAATATCTGAAAAACAAAAAGAGGACTGTTTTATTAATTGACTAAGACACTAAATGCTGTGTGCATAGTTCAAATAATTCTGAATCAAAGATGGGGGATGCATTTCAGGACAATGAAGGAAATTTTAATATGCCCTATATTTCAAAGTAGTATTAGAAACTTCTAAAGTTTAGAACTTCTAGAGTGGGATAAGTGTACTACAGTTATGTAAGATAAGGTCATTATTCTCAGGAGAAACATGCTAAAGTATGTAGAGTGAATTGGGTTTCTTTGTTTTTATTTTTATTATTTTTTAAATTAAATTTAAATTTTTTGAGACAGAGTCTCACTCTATTGCTCAGGCTGGAGTGCAGTGGCGCGATCTCTGCTCACTGCAACCTCCACCTCCCGGGTTCAAGCGGTTCTGCTTCAGCCTCCCCAGTAGCTGGGATTACAGGTGCCAGCTACCATGCCCGGCTAATTTTTGTATTTTTAGTAGAGACAGGGTTTCATCATGTTGACCAGGCTGGTCTCGAACTCGAACTCCTGACCTCAAGTGATCTGCCCACCTCGGCCCCCCAAACTGCTGGGATTACAGGCATGAGCCACCACACCTGGCCAAATAATCAAATATATATATATGGAGTCTTGCTCTGTCACCCAGGCTGGAGTACAGGGCACAATCTTAGCTCACTGCAACCTCTGCCTCCCGGGTTCAAACAATTCTCCTGCTTCAGCTTCCTGAGTAGCTGGGATTACAGGCACCCCCCACCACATTGGCTAATTTTTGTATTTTTAGTAGAGATGGAGTTGCACCATGTTGGCCAGGCTGGTCTCGAACTCCTGACCTCCTGATCTGCCTGCCTCAGCCTCCCAAAGTGCTGGGATTACAGGTGTGAGTCACTACACCCAGTCATAATAAACTTTCAATTTCCCATCTCCCATTCCACCTGCAGCCCAAGCTCCCTTTTTCCTGTGACCCAGACTCTTATGAAAAGCAACCCTCACTTCTATTTCTGTATACCTTACTTATTCCTAAACATGTTATTCCATGGTACCTTCCTTTGCATTTCAAGAAAAGTCACTCCGGACCTGCACTGTCCAATACAAAAGTCACTAGTCACATGAGGACTGGAAATGTGTCTAGTCTGATTTGAGATATGCTGTAAGTGTAAGCTACATGTAAAATTTTGATGACATTAATACCAAAAATTTAAATATTCTCATTAATAATTTTAGACTGATTATATGTTAAAATTATAATATTTTGGTTTTTCCTTTTCTTAAATTTTTTTTCAGTTAAGACAGGGTCTTGTTGGCTGGACGGGGTGGCTCATGCCTGTAATCCCAGCACTTTGAGAGGCCAAGGCTGACGGATCATCTGACCTCAGGGGTTCAAGACTAGCCTGGGCAACATGATGAAACCCCGTATCTACAAAAAAGACAAAAATTAGCCAGTTGTGGGGGTGCATGCTTGTAGTCCTAGCTAATGGGGAGACTGAGCCACAAGGAACTGCTTGAGCCCAGGAGGTGGAGGTTGCAGTGAGACAAGATTGCGCTATTGCACTCTAGCCTGGGTGACAGAGTGAGATCCTGTCTCAAAAAAAAAAAAAAACAGGGTCTCGTTATGTTGCCCAGGCTGGTCTCAAACTCCTGCTCAAACTCCTGCACTCAAGGGATCCGCCCACCTCAGCTTCCCAAAGTGCTGGGATTACAGGCACAAGCCACTGTGCCCAGCCAAAATGATAATATTTTGGATATATTAAAGTAAATAAGATATAATATTCAAATTCATTTCACATGTTTTTTTCTACCGAGGCTATGAGAAAGTTAGTATTATTTGTCTCTCATTCTATTTCAGTTGGACAATGTTGCTCTAGATGGTTTCCTAAGATATAATATTCAAATTCATTTCACATGTTTTTTTCTACCGAGGCTATGAGAAAGTTAGTATTATTTGTCTCTCATTCTATTTCAGTTGGACAGTGTTGCTCTAGATGGTTTCCTACAACTTTCTAAGTATCTAATCCAAAACTCTTTTATATGTACATAATTCATCATGCCTAGCTAATTTTTTTTTATTTTATTATATTTTTTAGACAGAGTTTCGCTCTTGTTGCCCAGGCTGGAGTGCAATGGCACGATCTCAGCTCACTGCAACCTCTGCCTCCCGGGTTCAAGTGATTCTCCTGCCTGAGTAGCTGGGATTACAGGCATGTACCACACACCCAGCAAATTTTATATTTTTAATAGAGATGGGGTTTCTCCATGTTGGTCAGGCTGCTCTCGAACTCCCGACCTTGCCAAGGAAAGAACTCTTGCCAAGGAAAATGGGATTGAGAAATGCTGCATGTGGGAAACTTGAGCCTGTCCTTGCATTTATCCCATGTGATCCTGGATAAAATCCACTCTCCCTCCTCCACAGCATGTTGAATGTGTCATCTTCCTCTCCAGTTGGGTTCTACCTGGTCCCTAGGGATGCCTGCCTTGCCCTCAGTCTACTTCGATCTGAGCTCGGTTTCTGTTGTTCAAAATGGTGGTTTCTCCAATACACCTCAACATCTTGGAAAGGGGGATTTTTGCTAGGATACTGAAGGCCGGAATTTCAGTGCAGCTATGAGCCAACATTTGGAAAGTTAAACCTTGAAGACTTGAGTTATTTCAACAAATTATTTGAAGAAAAAGTTTTATTTATTTATTTATTTATTTATTTATTTATTTGTTTGTTTTTGAGACAATGTCTCACTTTGTTATCCAGGTTGAGTACAGTGTGGTGATCTCGGCTCACTGCAGCTTTGGCCTCCCTGGTTCAAGCGATTCTTCCACCTCAGTCTTCCAAGTAGCTGAGACCACAGGCATGCGCCACCATGCATGACTAATTTTTTAGTTTTTATGGAGATAGGCTCTCCCTATATTGCCCAGGCTGGTCTAGAACTCCTAGCCTCAAGCAATCGTCCAGCCTCAGCCTCCCAAAGTGCTGGGATTGCAGGTGTGAGCCACCACGCCCAGCCCTGGAGAAAATTTTTATAACCAAATGTTAAAGATCACTTCTGCTGTAGGTCTGGGTTGCAGCAAGTGTCTTAGAGGACATCTGGCCATTGCATGGGCTCTGCTTGCCACCCATCGGTACTTGCATTTCCAAATAATGACTTTTTAGAAAGGTGGAACACTTAAAAGCATATGCATTGCTTTTAAAAGCATATGCATTGCTTTTATCCAAAATTAATGTCAATGTTTATCATATTATAATGTTAGCAACAAGGCTGGTGAGTATATAGGTTGGTTCGACCTCGGAGGGATGCCATTTGGCAATACCTTATCAATTGGAAATTTACAGATCCTTTGACTCAGCAATTCTACATTTGAAATTTCATCCTATAGTTATACTCCCCCTTGTAAGAAATGACATGTAGAAGGATACTGATTTCAATAGCATTACTAGCACAAGTAAAAGATACCATACAAGGTAAATATTCACGAAGATTGGGAAAAAATACATATTAAAGAAATAAGGCTGGGTTCCGTGGCTCATGCCTGTAATCCCAACACTTTGGGAGGCTAAGGTGGGAGAATCGCTTGAGCCCAGGAGTTCGAGACCATCCTGGGCATATAGTGGCCATGTTGCAGGCACTGAGACATGATGAAACCCCATCTCTATTAAAAATACAAAAATTAGCTGGGCTTGGTGGCGGATGCCTGTAATCCCAGCTACTCGGGAGGCTGAGGCATGAGAATCGCTTGAACCCAGGAGGTGGAGGTTGCAGTGAGCCGATATTGCACCACTGCACTCCGGCCTGTTGACACAGCGAGACTCCATCTCAAAAAAAAAAAGACAAAAACAAAAACAAAAAAAGACCAGCCTGTCCTAAAAAAAAAAATTAAAACAAATTAGTTGTGATGGCACATGCCCGTGATCTTAGCTACTTAGGAAGCTGAGGTGGGAAGATCACTTGAACCCAGAAGTTGGAGGCTGCTGTGAACTATGATGGGTCACTGCACGCTAGCCTGGGTGACGGAGTGAGATGCTGTCTCATCAAAAATAAATAAATAAATAAATCCATTATCAATATCTAGAAAAACAAAACTTTGTCAAGAAAAGAAATCATAGTATATACAACTATGAATAGTTTACAAAGTCGTAATAGTGCGAACACTGAATATTGATCTAACAAAATCATATCTCTGTTTTAAGATGATCTAGGTCTGATGCACATAGTTAAGTCCCAGCTTACCTGGGTTGGAAGAGGGTGAAAGATAGTGGTAGATATATAAATCCTAGCCTCCCAAAGTACTAGGATTACAGGCTTGAGCCACCGTGCCCCGTCGTTTTTTGTTTTTTTTTTTTTTGTTTGTGTGTGTGTGTTTTCTTTTTTCTTTTTCTTTTTCTTTTTTTGTTGAGAGGGAGTCTCGCACCGTCGCCCAGGATGGAGTGCAATGGCGCAGTCTGGGCACATCGCAACCTCCGCCTCCCAGGTTCAAGCGATTCTCCTGCCTCAGCCTGTCGAGTACCTGGGATTACAGGCGCCAGCCACCACGGCCAGCTAATTTTTGTGTTGTTAGTAGAAAGGGATTTCGCCATGTTAGTCAGGCTGCTCTCAAACTCCTGACCTCGTGATCCGCCTACCTCGGCCTCCCAAAGTGCTGGGATTATAGGTGTGAGCCACTGTGCCCGGACTTCTACGTCGTTTTTTGACATTTTTTATTTCTTTTTTTTTTTTTTCCGAGACAGAGTCTTGCTCTGTCCTCCAGGCTGGAGTGCAATGGCACGATCTTGGCTCACTGCAACCTCTGCCTCCCGGGTTCAAGCAATTCTCCTGCCTCAGTCTCCCGAGTAGCTGGGATTACAGGCCCCTGCCACCACATCTCGCTAATTTTTGTATTTTTAGTAGAGATGGGGTTTCACCATGTTGGCCAGGCTGGTCTTGAACTCCTAACCTCAGGTGATACGCCCGCCTTGGCCTCCCAAATTGCTGGGATTACATGTGTAAGCCACCACGCCCGGCCTGTTTTTTGACTTTTTTTTTTTTTTTTGAGACGGAGTCTCACTCTGTCACCCAGGCTGGCGAGCAGTGGCTCAATCTCAGCTCACTGCAACCTCCACCCTCTAAGTTCAAGCAATTCTCCCGCCTCAGTCTCCCAAGTAGCTGGGATTACAGGCACCTGCCACTGCGCCCGGCTAATTTTTGTATTTTTAGTACAGATGGGGTTTCACCATGTTGGCCAGGCTGGTCTTTAACTCCTGACCTTGTGATCCACCCGTCTCAGCCTCCCAAAGTGCTGGGATTACAGGCATGAGCCACCATGCCCGCCCTGTTTTTTGAGTTTTTAATAAAAGTCATTGTGACTGGTGTATGATGGTATATCGGTGTGATTTTAATTTGCATTCCTCTTCTGATTAGTGATGCGGAGCATTTTTTCATGTGTTTGTAGGCTGCCTGTATTTCTTCTTTTGAGAAATATCTCTTCATGCTCCTTGCCCAGTTTTGTTTGTTTGTTTTGTGGAGACAGTCTCGCTCTATCCAGCAGGCTGCAGTTCAGTAGCCTGATATCGGCTCATTGCAACCTCCGCCTCAGGAGTTCAAGCGATTCTCATGCCTCAGCTTCCTGAGTAGCTGGGATTACAGGTGCCCGTCACCATGCCCGGCTAATTTTTGTATTTTTAATAGAGACAGGATTTCGCCATGTTGGCCAGGCTGGTCTAGAACTCCTGGCGTGAGCCACTGTGCCCGGCTTTGCCCCATTTTTAATGGTTTTTTTTTTTCTTGTTGTTTTGCAAAGTACTTTAATCATCTCAATTAGCAAGTAAGAATTTCCCAACTACTAAATCATTCCTACATATGAAATATATTCAGCCGGTTGGGCATGGTCTGAATATATACATTCGGCCTATTAATGTGGCAAACCTGAAGTTCTCTTCAGTGTTTCAATACTGAATAAAAATAAATTATAAATTATAATTTGTCTTATAGCAACACATCTAAAACAGTTATTATTATTATTATTTTTGAGACAGGGTCTCACTCTGTCACCCAGGGGGGAGTGCAGAGGCACCATCACTGCTTACTGTAGACTCAGCCTCTCTGGGATCAAGGGATTGTCCCACCTCAGCCTTCCGAGTAGCTGGGACTACAGGTGCGTGCCACCTAGTCCAGCTAATTTTTGTATTTTTTGTAGGGATAGGGTTTTATCATTTTGCCCAGGCCAGAAGGATTGCTTGAGACCAGCTTGGGCAACATAACGAACCCTTGTCAGAAAGGGAAGGGGAAAAGAAAGGAAAGGAAAAGGGAAAGGAAAAAAGAAAGGAAGGAAGAAAGAGACAAATATAATTGTGTTATTTAGAGAACAGAGGCATCACTGGGCATGGTGTCGGGAGCTTGTAGTCCCAGCTACTGGGGGAGCTGAGGAGGGAGGATCTCTTGAGCCCAGGAGATGGAGGCTGCAGTGAGCTATAATCACACCACCGCCCCCTAGCCTGGGTGACACAGAGAGACCCTGCAGCAAATTTTAAAAATTAAAAATAAAAAAGAGAATAGAGATGTCAAAAATTTTCAAGGAATCTCATCTTGTGTCCAAACCACGAGAACTATCTGTGGTTAGGTGTGTTCATGGCTGCATTAATTAAAAGCGTGCTATAGTCCCACTACTGGGGAGGCTAAAGAGGGAGGATTTTTTTGAGCCCTGGAGTTCGAAGCCAACCTGGGCAACATAGCCAGGCCCCATAACTTTTTTTCTATCCATTTTTTTTTTTTACTATGCAAATCTCACTACACAGACCCTATAACAGAAAAAAAAAAGAAAAAGAAAGAAAAAAGGCGGGCGCTTATTCTGCTCTGTACTCAGCAGTCTCAGGCAAGTGACAGAATAATCTGAAAACCTGGTCCAGAGGGAGGAAACGTAGTGGCCAGGGATCAGAAGCGCGTGAGGGACCTATGAAGTATTCATTCTGCAAGTATTAGTTCTTTCCTCTGGGAGAGATACTGGGCTTGCCCACGCCTTCCTGAGTCCATGGTTAAGACTCCCGCTGGGCACCAGCGGATTCCTGGTGCCCAGAGCCCGGTTCCTCCTACCGGGTGCGCTGGGAAAAGGGCTGCTCCTGACAGAAGGGACACTCTAAGAGCAGCCCAGGAACCGGTGCACTTGGGCGGCCTCGGAAGAAGCCGGGGCTCCTGGAGGCGGAGGCGAGGCCTGGGACCCAATAAGAAGGGCGCGGCTAGAGAGGAGGGGCTGGCCAAAAGCCCTTGAAATAAGGCCCAGGCAGAACCGCGGTTCTAGTCTCCCAGCTCCAGCTCGGCCTTTGGGTTTGCTGTGGTGTCCTTGTCTCCTGCAGGACCGGCCGCAGCATGGACGCTCCCAGGCGGTTTCCGACGCTCGTGCAACTGATGCAGCCAAAAGCAATGCCAGTGGAGGTGCTCGGTCACCTCCCTAAGCGGTTCTCCTGGTTCCACTCTGAGTTCCTGAAGAATCCGAAGGTAGTTCGCCTTGAGGTTTGGCTGGTGGAAAAGATCTTCGGTGAGTGGACCAAGAAGGGGCAGCCCCCATGCGGCTTCTTTCTGCCACCCATACCCACAGCCCACATATTCTGGCTGCGTTCCAGGGCGATCCTCACCAGTAGCCAATGCCCTCTGGCTGTCTCCTCCTTCCACCTTCCCCTCCCAAGACCCCCGGGAGCCACCGGTCCCTCACAGCCTCTCTGCTACCCGCGCAGGCCGGGGCGGAGAACGCATCCCGCACGTCCAGGGTATGTCCCAAATCTTGATTCACGTGAATCGATTGGACCCTAACGGCGAGGCTGAGATCTTGGTATTTGGGAGGCCTTCTTACCAGGAGGACACAATCAAGATGATCATGAACCTGGCTGACTATCACCGCCAGCTCCAGGCGAAAGGTACGGGGCTGGGAATAGGGCTACCTGGAGCAAACCCTGGCTCCGTAGGAGTGATCCTGGGGTTTCCTGGCTGCTGGGGCGGCAGTCTCGCCCTCCCAGTCGGCCTGCGGTTGGTGGGTGGGGGAGGGGGCGGTTCTCGCTGCCACGGATCCAGAAGGCCAAATTGAACCCTCGTTCTGGGATTTCTGGCTCCTACTCCCGCAGGCCGCTTGGGTGACTGTCCTTTTTTGGAGAGGATATAGAGACACAGCTGTGGCCTCTGCACACTGCTCTTCTTCCAGGCTCAGGAAAGGCCCTCGCCCAGGATGTCGCCACTCAGAAGGCCGAGACCCAGCGGTCTTCAATAGAAGTCCGGGAGGCCGGGACGCAGCGTTCGGTGGAGGTCCGGGAGGCCGGGACCCAGCGTTCGGTGGAAGTCCAGGAGGTCGGGACACAGGGTTCTCCGGTGGAGGTGCAGGAGGCCGGGACCCAGCAGTCTCTCCAGGCTGCCAACAAGTCGGGGACCCAGCGATCCCCCGAAGCTGCCAGCAAGGCAGTGACCCAGCGGTTTCGCGAGGATGCCCGGGACCCAGTTACTAGATTATGAAGGCATCTCAGGCCCTGGAGCCAGAGCCAGTCAGGGGTTAAAGTGAAAGCCCGTATTTCCGCCCAGAAGCTGGGGTTGGGGAGAGGATGTGGATTTTTTGTTTTACCCTTTCTGTTGCATGGTTGCAAACACAAACTTGAGTTCTAATAAAGAATTGCAAAGTGGAAGCCCGCCCCCCGCCTCCCCCCCGCCTCACTTAAGTCCAGGAAGCTGGGGTGGCGAGGAAGGATGATGTGGATTGTTTTTGTTTTACACCTTCTGTTGAATGGTTGCCAACACAAACTTGAGTTCTAATAAATAATTGCATTTCCCTAACGTCTGTATTTTGGAAGGTAGAGGGGAGGGAAAGGCGCATTCCTCCAACAGCCCAGTTCTGCCCTGCGCAGCCCTCTACCTCGAGGCAGGTGGGGCCTGTGGTTCCTAGCCGCCCGAGGTGGCCATCTTCCCCGGCTGTGGTCCGGTGTGCCCCTTGTACTCCTTAACCGCGCGCATCTGGCTTTAACAGGTGAGAAGCCTCTCTGGCCCACTAGGAAATCTCTCCAAGCCCGCTGTCGTTCTACTCAAGGTGACTTGGGATGAGAAAACTGGGTCGCTTGGGGGCCAGCTGGATTTGGAAGGCCCTGGGTGTATTGCTACTCTGTCACAGAACACTTTCTCAGCTGGGGAAAATGACATCGGGGAAGGGGGAAACGAAGAGACCCGAGCTGCACTCTTGGGCTGCACTGTTGCAGTCTTCAGGTCTTGCTTGGGTCACCCACCTTCCACGAAGGTCGTGGACACCAGCAAGATACAGGCATCGGCTACTCTTTCCTCAGTTACTATGGCAGCGAGAAGCCCCAGCAGAGAACACTTTGGCTTCCCTAGGGTCACAGCTTTGGTCAGGGCGCTGGGATGCAGGTCCCTGAGCCTGCGAATTAATCTAGAAGGATGCAAGCCAACAGCTGGGTGCTAGGATTAAACAATAGCACGCAGTAATTCTATAATTAGGATTTTTTTTTTTTTTTTTTTTTTTTTTAACCAACCAAGAATCACTGGTAATCTTCATTTTATTTTGGAGACAGAATCTCTCTCTGTGGCCCAGGCTGGAGTGCAACGGCTCGATCTCGCCTCAACACAACCTCTGCCTCCTGGGTTCAAACGATTCTCCTGCCTCAGCCTCCCGAGTAGCTGGGACTACAGGCCCGCGCCACCACGCCCAGCTAATTTTTGTGTTTTTAGTAGAGAAGGGGCTTCACTATGTTGGCCAGGCTGATCTGACTTCAGGTGATCCACCCGCCTGGGTCTCCGAAAGTGCTGGGATTACAGGCATGAGCCACCACGCCCGGCCAATCACTAGTAATTTTTAAAAGTTCAAAGCTAACTTTAAATATAAGGTGAATGTCTATCAGACTCTTTTTGTCACCGCTAATTATCACTCCAGTTTAAAATAATCATGTATCTTACAATAAGGGAATTACCACATAAAGCTGAATTTACAATAACTTATTAGCAACTTTTAACCGCTAATCATTTTATTAAAATAGTTGACTAATTTTAGAAGAACTTTAGAACACTTTAAATTCAAAATCAACACAAAATCAGTTTCAAATGAGGCTACATCAGAGCAGAGCTAAAACTTAATGTGTATGTTGTCTTTCTCTGTGTAATACCCACCTTACCAGAATGTCAGGTTCTCTCCTTTACAAGCTGTTTTCACTGTCCTTGCCCAAACTCAGTGTTACCAATCTATTTTATGTTCATGTGTAACTTTTCTACTTTTTCTGATATCTACCCCCATTTTAATTAAGTAGCTTTATAGACTGTTTTAATATTTAAGAGGGCAAGTCTACTCTTTTTTTTTTTTTTTTTTTTTTGAGATGGAGTCTCACTCTGTCACCCAGGCTGGAATGCAACGGCATTCCACTGCAACCTCCACCTCCTGGGTTTAAGCAATTCTCCTGCCTCAGCCTCCCGAGCAGCTGGAATTACAGGCGCCCACCACCACACCTGGCTGATTTTTTTTATTTGTAGTAGAGACTGGGTTTCACTATGTTGGCCAGGCTGGTCAACACCTGTCTCAGCCTCCCAAAGTGCTGGGAATACAGGCCTGAGCCACCATGTCCGGCCCTCACAACCTTTTCAACTCATATCCAAAATATCTATGAACATCTTTCCCGGAACTGACACTTTAAGTTTCACCTATTCATATGGCTGCTTCTTTCTCTAAACACCCAGTAAATGGAAACTCTATATCATGCTGGAATTATAGATGCCATCAAGCCAAGCCAGCTGCCCAGCATGGAGGAACAGGAGAGGTTGCCCTATGCCAAGAGTCTTGAGAGTCAAAGATTTCAAATATTGCCCAAATATAGTCATATTCTGAGGTACTGGGGATTAGGACTTCAATATATGTTAATGTGTACAAAGGATGGAAGGAGTTTAGGATCATACAGTATTTTTGGAAAAATTAGAATAAGTTTTAAGCTTACCCCTTTTTCCCCAATAACAAAATATTTAATGGGCCAGGTGCAGTGGCTTATGCCTGTAATCCCACCACTTTGGAAGGCCAAGGCAGGTGGATCAGTTGAGGGCACGAGTTCGAGACCAGAATGGCCATTCTCTACTAAAAATACAAAAATTAGCCAGGCATGGTGGCAGGTGCCTGTAATCCCAGCTACTCGGGAGGCTGAGGCAAGAGAATCGCTTGAACCCGGGAGGCAGAGGTTTCGGTGAGCCGAGATTGCACCATTGCACTCCAGCCTGGGTGACAGAGTGAGACTGTCTCAACAAAAACCCAAAATGTTCAATGGTTTTATAAAAATTCCACCAGGGGTCAGGCACGGTGGCTCACGCCTGTAATACCAGCACTTTGGGAGGCTGAGGCAGGTGGATCACGAGGTCAGGAAACCGAGACCATCCTGGCTAACATGGTGAAACCCCATCTCTACTAAAAATACAAAAAATTAGCTGGGCGTGGTGGCACGCACCTGTAATCCCAGCTACTCAGGAGGCTGAGGCAAGAGAATCGTTTGAACCTGGGAGACGGAGGTTGCAGTAAGCCAAGATCGTGCAACTGCACTCCAGCCTGGGTGACAAAGCGAGACTCTGTCTCAAAAAATAAAATAAAATAAATAAATAAAAATAAAAATCCCACCAGGGCCAGGTGCAGTGGCTCACGCCTCTAATCCCACCACTTTGGGAGGCCAAGGCAGGAGAATCACCTGAGGTCAGGAGTTTGAGACCACCCTTGCAACATAGTGAAATCCCGTCTCTACTAAAAATACGAAAATTAGCCAGGTGTGTTGGCACATGCCAGTAATCCCAGATACTTGGGAGGCTGAGGCAGAAGAATTGCTTGAATACGGGAGGCGGAGGTTGTAGTGAGCCGAGATCACACCACTGCACTCCAGCCTGGGTAACAGAGCGAGACTCCATCTCAAAAATAAATAAAAATAAACAATAAAAATCTCACCAGGAAAGCTGGGCACGGTGGCTCACGCCTGTAATCCCAGCACTTTGGGAGGCTGAGGTGGACGGATCACGAGGTCAGGAGATGGAGACCATCCTGGCTAACACAATGAAACCCCGTCTCTACTAAAATACAAAAAAAAAATTAGCCGGGCATGGTGGCGGGCGCCTGCAGTCCCAGCTACTCGGGAGGCTGAGGCAGGAGAATGGGGTGAACCTGGGAGGCGGAGCGTACAGTGAGCCGAGATTGCGCCACTGCACCCCAGCCTGGGGGACAGAGCGACTCCATCTCAAAAAAAAAAAAAAAAAAAAAAAGGAATGAATAAAGAAAAATGTAAAACTGAAACAAAGAAAATATTCAACATCACCTCTAATCAAAAAAGCACAATTAAAGAGACTTGTGAGTTTAAAACGCTTGCAAAAGGCTAGAATACTTTATTGCCAAGGAGTGAATAAATTCCATGAGTCAAACCAATCCAAACTGTGCTTGAACCCACAGGGCTTTTGGCACCTTTCGCCCCAAAAATTCTACTTCCAGAAAGTGGGGCGGCAAGGATAGGAGCTGTTTTGCAGAGATTGGTAATTTCAGTACAACACGTAGTGGAAAAACAACCTGGCCCATGCCGGACACCCGTGCAGCCTCGCCTTGTAGAAAAAGGTAGACAGCCGGCTCCAAGGCAGGGCGCCATCCACGAGCCAAGGTGCCTGGGAACCCTGCTCTTCCGTGGTAAATCGAAAACTACCATTAATGAACGCTGACCGCCCAGGCTTGCTTCTTGCAACGTCATCCTCTGCCCAATGGATGCCCCACTCCAGGAAAACGCACAGCTGGTGCTCTTCGGGGGATCAATTACCAGCTTCAAAGTGAGAGCCTCAGATAAGCTGCTTTAGTAGTATGTGTGAGCTCATCAGAAATGAAATTTTAAGCCCCACCCCAAAAGTACTGAATCAGAATTCTCTGGAGAAGGAGCCAAGGAAATTGTGTTTTAACAAGCTCCCAAGGTGATTTCTTACAAGCTTTAAAGTTTGAGGACCAATTATGTAAAAACAAAACAGATCACCATTTGTGAGGTTATCTGCCCCTGCATATCCGCTCCCTGTGGGTGAGGGCCTCTCTCTGACCAGAAAATCATAAAAGGATTAGGAGTTTCAAAATGATGGGAATTCAGGAAAAAAAAACAAAAACAAAAACCTACAAAACTATCACCTGCCCACCCTTCATATCAAAACATGAGTGGGAGTCAATCTTTTATAAATTTGCTTTATTATAAGTGTGTGAAGATCTTAATGCTTTTGGCAAAATAGCCATTTCTTTATTAGAATAGTTCAAACTCACTCTTGCAACAAAATAAACCACAATCCATCAAGACACAGGAAAAAGGAATACGGGGATTTAAGAATGCTATACTTGCTTTTCTTCAACTTTAGCAGCAAAAGTTAGAAAGTTAAGATGTTCCCAACAGTAACTATGTTGTCTTAAGCAACAGGATCCTGGGGAGAGTGGGGGTCTGATGCATGGGCCTTCAAGTTCTTCTCAAGGTGTTTCATCTTCTCAGCTGGAAGAGAAGCAGTTGATACTAACCATGGACAGGGACAAGTGTTTGCTGTTTCGAACTACTCCGTGACTGGGAGTTGGGGAGGAGAGAAAGATCTGCGATAGTGCTGTAACCCAGGTGAGGCTGACTTGGGCAGTGATGGGTCTGAATCTATCAGATCTCTGCTGACTTTCCCAAGGTCCTACCCCAGGATCCCCTCCCAACAAACTTCGTACAGCTAGCTCCCTGGGGTCTGGAAACCAAGAAATTTTGAGAAGGTTAAGGGAGGATGGAAGGAAACCGAGCAAGGCCAGTATGGTCACTCGTGGCTTCCTCCACATGCAGGTTCTCAAAGACCCTCACCTCGGGCACGATGTTCTCGGTGAAACCATGCCAGGCACAGGAGCATGCTCTTCACCCGATTCTGTACACGGGGCCGCCCGAAAACGGTGATTTCGACTAGGTTCCCTGAGTCCACTATGTCCACTGTCAGCAGGGCCTGGCTCGTCCACTCCATTTCTGGAATTATGGCTCGGTCTGGGCCTAAACAAGTAAGGAAAAACTCTGAGGGGCTGCACGGTGGCAGGTTAGAAGCTGGATTTGAAGGGAATGTTGGCCAGGGAAGGGAAGAACTGGAAGGTGGGCATCACTGCAACACTCCTGGCTTGCGAATCTGGGAAAGAGACTGTAGAGAGCTGCTCTGCCAAGCCTCTCTCAGACTGGAGGTGGACAGCCCACTAGCACACCTGGGGTCGCTCACCAAAGAGCTCGTCTGCCAGCCATGCCTCTAGGTAGAACACCAAAGGGTCTCTCAGTTCCTGCACCGGAAACCACCAGGGCCGGATGCGAATCTGTGGCGGCGGAAGTGGTAACCTACGCAGCTGCTCCAGGGAGTGGGCCGGAGTCTGTTTGCCCCGCTGGGACTCAGCGGCACCAGCATCATCGACCATACTGGGACCAGCAGCCGCGGAGCGCGCTCGAGGCGGCTTTCGCAAGACCTCTTCCAGACCCAGGCGCGAAGCTCGGGCTCTCTTTTACCATATTCGACCCGCTCCGCCCCTTCCGGCGGCGCCTCGCACCGCGTCGGGGTGAGCGGGTGCAAGCGACGCCCCGGCATAGCGGCACCATTGGACACTTCCTGCGCTGCTTCAATCGCCGGGATTGCCTCTTTGACCTTGAACTAGTATTCATTTGGCCTCCTGTTGGGTCTCCAATGCTCTCCTTCGTCATCTCTGCTCGTAAGGTATGCTTAGCCTGAAAGTCCTCTGCCCACCTTATAGCTGATTAACAGTGTGAGTTTGAATTGACGACTCTATTAATAGACTGGGAATCACCTTTGCTGGCTAGGTTAAGGTTTCATCGTTGCCTCCCAAAGATAGGTATATCGGACCCAGGGCAGGCTTGTTCAATGTGTCAGTTTTCTCTGTTCTGCTCCCTGTTGTTATCTTCTGACTCTCCGGATGGTTACCATTTTTAAATCATTCAAGCAAGTGTGTCATGTTTTAAACAACACGTCAGAGGTGGTCTTATAGAACATGTAGCAAGTTAGACAATTTTCCTTTATTTCCAGTATCCTAAGACAACCATTATCGATGGACATTTTTTCCCAATGTTTGTAATTTTAATTAAAAATTTGGATTATGAAAGGTTTCACACATCCAAAAAAGTAATATAACACGGCCATGTACCCTCCCCGAGTTTAACAGATGTTGACATTTCCCCACATTTGCCTCACTCCTCTGTTTTTAAAACAGATATTACTCAAGCATCTTTCCTTTCCTTCTCCAGAGGAAATCATCCTGAAGCTAGTGTGTATATATCATCCCCATGCATGTCCTTACACATTTTCTACTATATTTGTAGAAATATTGTTTGGTTGTTTCAGAATAGTATCTGCTGAATATACTATTTCGTTCTTACAATTAACTATGTGTTTGTTTTAAAACTTCTATTTTTCTGAGATAGGTCTCACTCTCTTGCCTAGGCTGGAATGCAGTGGCACGATCTCGGTTCACTGAAGCCTCGACCTCCCAGGCCTAAGCGACCCTCCCATCTCAGCCTCCTGAGTAGCTGAGACCACAGGCACCTGCCACCACACCCAGCTATTTTCCAGCTCTTTTTGTTGTTGTTGTTGTTTGTCTGTTTGTAGAGACAGGGTCCCACTATGTTGCCAGGCTGGTTTTGAACTCCTAGGCTCAAGCAGTCCTCTCACTTTGGCCTCCCAAAGTGCTGGGATTACAGGCGTGAGCCACCACAGCCAGCATAGAAGAAAAAACTCAAAATAGTGAAAAGCATGTTCCAGACTCCACATGATCATCTAGGACTGTGTGGAGGTTCCAGTTTTCTGCCCCTGATCCCACCCCCTCTCACCCTCAATGGTTTCTGAGAAAACTTGACTATCAGGTGTGCAGGGCATACTTACAGGAAAACAAGATTTAGCTATGGCTCTGATGCAATAAACATTTAAAACCTTAACCTGGCCAGGCAAGGTGGCTCATGCCTATAATCCCAGCACTTCGGGAGGCCAAGGCAGGAGGATCACTTGAGGTCAGGAGTTTGAGACCAGCCTGACCAACATGGAGAAAACCGGTCTCTACTAAAAATACAAAAATTAGATGGGTGTGGGCCAGACACGGTCACTCATGCCTGTAATCCCAGCACTTTGGGAGGCTGAGGCGGGCAGATCACCTGAGGTCGGGAGTTCGAGACCAGCCTGACCAACATGGAGAAACCTAGTCTGTACTAAAAATACAAAAGATTAGCCGGACATGGTGGTGCATGCCTATAATCCCAGCTACTCAGGAGGCTGAGGCAGGAGAATCACTTGAACCCAGGAGGCGGAGGTTGTCGTGAGCCAAGATCACACCATTGCACTCCAGCCTGGACAACAAGAGCAAAACTCTGTCTCAAAAATAAAAAAAAATAAAAATAAAAAAATTTGGCCAGTGTGTGGTGGTTACCTGCAATCCCAGCTACTCGAAAGGATGAGGCAGGAGAATTGCTTGAACCCCAGAGGCAGAGGTTGCAGTGAGCCAAAATGGCACCACTACACTCCAGCCTGGGCTACAGAGTGAGACTCCATCTCAAAAAACAAACAAAAACCCCTTAACCTAATCAAGGCCAGATATTGTGGCTCGTGCCTGTAATCCCAGCCCTTTAGGAGGTGGAGGCTAGCAGATCGCTTAAGCCAAGGGGTTTGAGGGTGCAGTGAGCCATGATCACACCACTGCACTCCTGCTTGGGTGACAGAGCGAGACCCTAAAAATAAACCTAAAAAAATTAAAGCCTTAATCTAATCATGAGACGCACTTACATTACTGTAGACAAAGAATATTTTACCCAGCATGTATAGAATTTTAACAGCTTCTTTAGGGGGACTGTGGTGATCTGAGCCACACAGGAATAAGTTAACTTCTCTCAAATTCCACTTCCTGGTGTGGAAAAGATGGCACCCCATTATCTTGTGGGGATCTTCTGCCATAAACCCCACATAAATCCCCAGCATGCTGGACACCGTGAAGCAGTTAGTCTCAGATACAACTCAGTCTCAGGTGTAGCCCAACAGTGGCTAGTTCAGTTATTTCTTCCTCAAGGAAGAAATGATCCTGTGGGATTACTGCTCTCCCCTGAGGAAAGAACCTCCCTGCTCAGTGAGAGGCCAGAATCTGATTCGCAAGTGTTGGTTTCGCATCTCTCAGCTTTGGGGAGACCGATAGGCCTTTGCACCTGAGCCTGCCAAAACAGGAGGGCTATTGTGCAAGAAAACCTTTTGGGAGCTCAGTCAGTCACGTGGGCCTCCTTGGAAGCCTGGGGACAAGTGGGCAGTTTTCCCGAGTGCATGGAAGCCAACACCAGAGACTGAGGTGGAGAGATGCACTGAGCCAACTTGGCTGGGTTAATAGAACACTTTTCCCGCCATCTGGGTTAGCTTCTTGGGGTGCCAGGGATCCTGCAGTGGGCCTGACGCCAGCCCGAGATCAAAATGGGAAAGCGGCCAGAGCAAACTGACGTTTCACAGAGCTCTTAAGGGCCGGAAGATTCTTTCTCACCTTCTCTTTTTCTTTCCTTTTTTTTTTTTTTTTTTTTAAAAACGAAAGGCCTCACATATTTATTACTGAATCCAGCCAACCAACGTGTTCATAACAGATTCAGAGAGGAAAACACGTCGAAATCTCCAGATAGTGGTGACATTTTCAGCTTGATATGGTAACATGATCGTGACCTTCAGACAGCATAAATATGTGTGCCATCTCATGTGCAATTCCTTATAGACCCAGCTTGGTTCTTCTCCAATGTCTCCTTTTGGAGTTGTACCTGATTTTATTTCCAGTTTTCATCCGAATCCACTGGGGAATGGGACGATTTTGCTTTTGTTTCTTGGCCAGGAATCGCTTAATCCTGAAAGTCTTGTGAGAAGACATGGCGAGCAGCGGAGTCAAGAACACACCACGATGGCGGAGAAAGGAAGAGGGCTCCTTCTCTTCTTTTGTTTTCTTTTTTGAGACAGGGTCTCACTCTGTCACCCAGGCTAGAGTGCAGTGGCACGATCTCAGCTCACTGGGTAGCTGAGGCAGGTGCATGCCATCACACCCACTGTAGAGACAGAGGTCTCCCTATGTTGCCCAGGCTGGTCTCGAACTCCTGGGCTCAAGCAGTCCTCCTGCCTTGGCCTCCCAAAATGTTGGACTACAGGCATGAGCCACTGCAACTGGCCAGGGCCAGAAGATTTTAAGTATGCAATTATTTTTTATTTATTTATTTATTTAGAGACGGAGTTTTGCTCTTTTGCTCAGGCTGGAGTGCAATGGCGAATCTTGGCTCACTGCAACCTCCGCCTCCTGGGTTCAAGTGATTCTCCTGCCTAGGCCTCCCAAGTAGCTGGGATTACAGGCATGCACCACCACACCCAGCTAATTTTGTATTTTTACTAGAGGTGGAGTTTCACCATGTTGTCCAGGCTGGTCTCGAACTCCTGACCTCAGGTGATCTACCCACCTCGGCCTCCCAAAGTGCTGAGATTATAGCCTTGAGCCACTGCGCTTTGCCAAAAATATATTTTTTAAATATATTTTTAAAATATATATACATGCCTGTAATCCCATCACTGGGAGGCTGAGGCGGGAGGATCACTTGAGCTTAGGAGTTTGAGACCACCCTGGGCAACATAGAGAGGACCTGTCTCTACAAAAAATAAAATAATTAGCTGGTTGTGGTGACATGCGCCTGTAGTCCCAGCTACTCGGGAAGCTGAGGAAGGATAGCCTGAGTGCACAAGGTCGAGGCTGCAGTGAGCTATGATTGCACCACTGCACTCTAGCCTGGGTGACAGAGACCCCATCTCTAAAAAAATAAAATAAAGATAACGTACAATTTTATGTATTTTTTTAATGGAGGAAAGGGGCTCCATTAAAAGTACCTGGAGTCTATGAAAGTCGTAATGCCTGGCTGCCTTCATCCAGTGATGTGGAACCCCAGAGGCCCCAGTATGACTAGGCCCTTTCCAGGACCCACTCCCATGTGTTTGCCCAGCTTTCCACTTCTGTGGTACAGAGCCAATCAGATCTACAGGACCAAAACTTGAAGCCAATCCCAATCCTACCAGCAACAAATGATGATGGTTGCAGAGATGGTAAAGAAGGCTTAGATTCCAGGCCTGCCCCCAGCCCTGAAATTGTAGTCAAACACATACTTCTCCTTTCACCTTACCTTCTCTGTATATTTGCCTGTGTGATCATAGTCTGGAGTTTTTTGTTTTTGTTTTTTGAGATGTGGTTTCACCATATTGTCCAAGCTGGTCTGGAACTCCTAGGCTCCAGCAACCCTCCTGCCTTGGTCTCCCAAAGTGCTGGGATTACGACATGAGCCGTGCCCAGCCTAGCCTGGAGTTTTTACTGGAACTATTAAAATATGTCTCCTAATCGTTGTTTTGATTTACTGATGGGGGAAGGGAGACTGATCTCATACTTAACTATTTATTTACTTATTTATTTATTTATTTTTGAGACAGAGTCTCGCTCTTGTCGCCCAGGCTGGAGTGCAGTGGCGGGATCTTGGCCCACTGCAACCTCCACCTCCCAGGTTCAAGCTATTCTCCTGCCACAGCCTCCTGAGCAGCTGGGATTACAGGCTCCTGCCATCCATTCCCGGCTAATTTTTGTACTTTTAGTAGAGACGGGGTTTCGCCATGTTGGCCAGGCTGGTCTCAAACTCCTGACCTCAGGTGATCCACCCACTTCAGCCTCCCAAAGTGCTGGGATTACAGGCATGAGCCACCACACCCAGCCAACTCTTCTTTTAAAAAACAGACTTTCTTTGCTGACATACTTGAGTAGCTTTGGTTGTATTTAAGGTGAAGCTGAGCTTTCTAACCATTTCTAGAATCCCCTCCAAGGCACCTCTTTACTAAGAGAACTAACCTTTTCCCAGCTGAGAGAACAGAAAGTAAAAATTAGATTAGTGAGCCTAGAGGGATGGCTCAGGCCTGTAATCCCAGCACTGTGGGAGATAGGAGGACTGCCTGAGGCCAGGAGTTGGAGACCAGCCTGGGCAGCATAAGGAGGCCCTGTTTCTACAAAAAAATTAAAAATTAACCCGGTGTGGTGTCTCATGCCTTGTAGTCCCAACTACTCTGGGAGCTGCAGGCAGGAGGATCCCTTTAGTCAAGGAGTCAGAGGCTGCAATGAGCTATGATGGCACCATTGCACTCCAGCCTGGACTCTCTTTTCCTTATATATAAAACATATATATGCTTATATATAATATATATAGCTTATATATTATATACAGTATATATTTATATAAAATTAAGTTTTATATAACTATATCCTGAGAGAAAAGAGAAATCTGCCATCATTTATAGCAGGTTGAGACAGACACAGATAAAACCAGCTGCAAAACTAAATTTCTCCCAAAGACATGCTGCAGCTGTAAATTGTCATAATGATCTCCCTTTTTTTTTTTTTTTTTTGAGATGGAGTCTCACTCTGTTGCATAGGCTGGAGTGCAGTGGCACGATCTCTGTTCACTGCAACCTCTGCCTCCCAGGTTCAAGTGATTCTCCTGCCTCAGCCTCCCGAGTAGCTGGGATTACAGGCACCCGCCACCACGGCCAGGTGAATTTTTGTAAAGACGGGGTTTTACCATGTTGGCCAGGCCGGTCTCGAACTCTTGACCTCAAGTAATCCACCCACCTCAGCCTCCAAAAGTGTTGTGATTACAGGTGTGAGCCACCGCACCCAGCCGATCTCCCATTTTTGAATGACTATTATGTTCTTACTCAGTGAGAAACATTATTCTCTAAAATTACAGACTATCAGAAAATGTACTATTTAAATTTATTTATCAGTAACAATGAAACATCCATTCTTGCCTGGAGGATCTAAGTCACTTTATTTATTTTTTAATTTTGTTTTTCTTTTTTCGTTTGTTTTTCTAAGTCACTTTGATACAGAGAAACAGCCTTAATTGACAACTCAGTCGCAGCTGTTTTGGACAAGGGGTTGTTTTTTTTTTTTTTTTTTTTTTTTTTTTGAATACAACATTCCACATCTATCTCAATTAAGGACCCTGGGTTCACTTCACTGTCAAGATCTGATGCTGATCCTTATACATACAGCCCAACGAAACATGATTTTATTTATTTATTTATTTATTTGAGACGGAGTCTGTTGCTCAGGCTGGAGTGCAATGGCAAGATCTCAGCTTACTGCAACCTCCACCTCCCGAGTTCAAGCAATTCTCCTGCCTCAGCCTCCAGAGTAGCTGGGATTACAGGCGCCCACCACCAAGCCTGGCTGATTTTTGTGGTTTTTGTTTGTTTGTTTGTTTGAGATGGAGTCTCACTCTGTCACCCAGGCTGGAGTGCACTGGTGCGATCTCGGCTCACCGCAACCTCCACCTCCCAGGTTCAAGCGATTCTCCTGCCTCAGCCTCCCAAGTAGCTGGGATTACTGGTGCCTGCCACCATGCCTGGCTAATTTTTGTATTTTTAGTAGAGAAGAGGTTTCACCATTTTGGCCAGGCTGGTCTCGAACTCCTGACCTCAGGTGATCCACCCGCTTTGGCCTCCCAAAGTGCTGAGATTACAGGCGTGAGCCACTGCACCCAGCCCATGATTTTATTTCTCTCTTCCTCTCTTCCCTAAAATTGTAAAAAAATTTATTGTTGGTGAGATGCCCTATGGTTCTTTGGCTACATCCTTATATAATTGTGTTTTACCATTAGACTTCCATTTTCTTTCATTGTGCCATTGCCAGTTAACACAATTAGCTAGACATATGTGGTCTTATTACCATGGGAGAGAGAAACTGACTACAATCTTAAGCCAGCCTTGGTGTAAACTTTAAAGGCACATCCAAGGAAGTTTCTAGAGCTGTTCTATTTGCTGAAAATATAATCCTGTGAAAACTGTAAAGATGAGACACAAACTGGAGCCAAAACCTCAAGACCCCTTTTAAATGTAGGCAGCATGTTTTGCTTCAGCTGAGAGAGAACTATAGGGCTCTGCTCACAAAGCAATAGGGGTGAGTAGTTTCTGGGACGGCTTTATTATCTGCCTCAGGAGTAGATAAACAACCTGCTCATGCATGCAAGTCACCACACCTCGAACTTTCTCAAGTTCTCGTGAATATACCATTTCTACTTTATGAGTGAACTGTGCTATGCAACTTCCTCTCTACTCAAATGTTTCTCTGATATCACCCAAGATGTGATAGGTATTTGTGGCCTCAAAATTAACTCATGTAAGTGAGTTTGTTGGGTCTGGTTTTGAACAACATACTGTAAAAAGCCAGCAATATTTTTATGTATTTATTTATATTTACTTGTATTGATTCATTCATTCATTGACAGAGTCTTACTCTGTCACCTAGACGGGAGTGCAGTGGCATAATCACAGCTCACTGTAGCCTCGACCGTCTGGACTCAAGCAATTCTCCTGCCTCAGTCTCCTGAGGAGCTGGAACTACAGGTGAGTGCAACCACACCTAGCTAATATTTTTTAAAATTATGTTTTGTAGAAACAAGTTCTTGCTATGTTGCCAAGGTTGGTCTTGAACTCTTGGCCGCAAGCGAGCCTTCTACCTTGGCCTTCCTGAAGTGCTAGGATTATGGGTGTGAGCCACCACCGCACCTACAACCTATAGCTGTACCAGGCAGCTTTCAAGTTAAAAACCTGAGTTTTCACCAAGTAACCCTATTTAATTTATGCCAAATGCTCCAGCCTGCATATATTATTGTTACAAATTCTTCTTCTTCTTCTATTTTTTTTTCTTTTTTTTGAGATAGTATCTCACTCTGACACCCAGATTGGAGTGCAGTGGCATGATCTTGGCTCACCACAACCTCCACTTCCAGGGCTCAAGCGATCCTCCCACCTCAGCCTCTAGAGTAGCTGGGATGACAGGTGTGTGCACCATGCCCAGCTAATGTTTTTGTATTTTGTTGTAAAGATGGGGTTTCTTCATGTTGGCCAGGCTGGTCTTGAACTCCTGAGCTCGAGCAATCCACCCACCTCAGCCTCCCAAAATGCTGGGATTATAGGCCTGAGCCACTGGGCCGAGCTACAAACTCTAAGATCATCTGAGCCAGCAGTTCTCAAATGTTTGGGTCCCCCTGCTCTTAAAAATCATTGAGGCCAGGCATGGTGGCTCATGCCTGATCACACCACTGTACTCCAGCCAAGGTGACAGAATGAAACTCCAACTCAGAAAGAAAATCTATATATATATGTTGAGTACCAGCAGGGCGCAGTGGCTCAGGCCTGTAATCCCAGCACTTTGGGTGGCCAAGGCAAGTGGATCCCTTGAGGTCAGGAGTTTGAGACCAGCCTGGCCAACATGATGAAACCCCATCTCTACTAAAAAATCCAAAAATTAGCCGAGCGTGGTGACATATGCCTGTGGTCCCAGCTACTTGGGAGGCTGAGGTAGGAGAATTGCTTGAGCCCAGGAGGTGGAGTTTAAAGTGGGCCGAGATTTCACCACTGCACTCCAGCCAGCCTGGGCAACAGAGCCAGATACTGTCTCCAGAAAAAAAAAAAAAATTATTGATTACCCTAAAGAGCTTTTGTTTTGTAAGGTATAGATACTGATATTTACTATATTAGAAATTCAAACTTTGAGAAACCTAATTCAATGACTATAACTCACGTTAACATGGATAACCTTTTAATGAAAAATGATTATGATTATGATTATTATTTTTTGAGACAGGGTCTCTGTCACCCAGGCTGGAGTGCAGTGGCATGATCTCGGCTCACTGCAACCTCTACCTCCAGGGTTCAAGCAATTATCCTGCCTCAGCCTCCTGAGTAGCTGGGATTACAGGCGTGCGCCACCACGTCCAGCTAATTTTTATGCTTTTGTAGAGACAGGGTTTCACCATGTTGTCCAGGCTGGTCTCAAACTCCTGGGCTCAAGCAATCCTCCTGCCTCAGCCTCCCAAAGTGCTAGGATTATAGGTGTGAGCCACCATGCCTGGCCTGAAAAATAATTTGTTTCTCAAAACAAATTCAGTGGCCTGGCCAGGCATGGTGGCTCACGCCTGTAATCCCAGCACTTTGGAGGCCAAGGCGGGTGGATCACTTGAGGTTAGAAGTTTGAGACCAACCTGGCCAACATGGTGAAACCTAGTCTCTACTAAAAATACAAAATTAGCCGGGCATGGTAGTGTGCACCTGTAATCCCAGTTAGGAGGCTGAGGCAGGAGAATCGCTTGAACCCAGGAGGTGGAGGTTGCAGTGAGTCAAGATTGTGCCACTGCACTCCACTCTGGGCAACAGAGTGAGACTCTATCTCAAAAAAAAAAAAAAAAAAAAAAAGTGGCCTTATTTTACATGTTTGTAAATCTGTTTAATGTCTGGCCTAATAGACAACAGCTGGTTTCTCATATCTTTTTTTGTTTTTTAATGGTTTTTAAAAATTGAGACAGGGTTTTGCTATGTTGCCCAACCTGGTCTTAAACTCCAGAGCTCTGAGCTCAAGCAGTCTGCCCACTTCCAACTCTGAAAGTGCTGGGATTACAGGCATCAGCCACCATGCCCAGCCTCATATCCTATTCCAAATTAAATCTGTTGCAATATGTTGTTTTGACTGAAGAAAATCCAGCCTCACACAGATATTTAGATAATTGTGGACACTATTCTTTCTACTATACCAACACTCAGCAAACGGTAGCTTCTTACACTTTGAATGGCTTTTTTATTCGTGCATGATTTTGTAACATCACTCATTAGTCGTTAGGAAAATATTGGTTTATTGAAATATTTAATTTTCCAAATACTGACTCATTTCATTATACAGTATAATAAAAAATCACATTGATTAGTACCACCACCAATCTCATCAGAAAAATGTAATAATTGGGAAGGTGTCAAGACAGTGGTGATACAAGTTTTCCAAAATTCTTTTTTTTTTTTTTTTTTTGAGACAGGGTCTCGCTCTGTTGCCCAGGCTGGAGTGTGGTGGTGCAATCTCCACTCACTGCAACCTCTGTCTCCTGGGCTTAAGCGATTCTCTCATCTCAGCCTCCTGAGCAGTTATTGAAATGCACCAATAACAATGCTAATGAGTGTTCATAGTAGTGTTTTTCAACATGGAAATAAACAGAAATGACCAAATGTCTATCTATAATAGAATGGATAAATTGCGGCAGATCCATACAATGAAATGTTATATACCATTGAAAATTAATAAACTACTCCCAACATGAGTGAGCTAAAAGACACTATAGGATTCCATTTATATAAAGTTCAGAAAGTAAGCAAGTTTGATGTGGGTGGTTGTTACATCACTATTACTTTGAAATTTTCTTGAGCGTCACACTTAATGATTTATATAATTTTTAGTAAGCAGATTAAACTTTGAGTTGTTTTTTGTTTTTAAAGAGGACTTTAGAGATCTAGACACCAAATATGATTAGTCTCAACAGATTGTGATTTATCTACACATTAGAAACTATATGGTAGAGAGGCTAGAGAAGATGAAGTAAGTTGAGTCACATTTGGATGTTGATTAATACAATCAAGGCCAGGCACAGTGGCTCACGCTTGTAATCCCAGCACTTTGGGAGGTCTAGGCGGGTGAATCACTTGGGGTTAGGAGTTCGAGACCAGCCTGGCCAACGTGACTAAACCCTATCTCTACTAAAAATAATAATAATAAAAAAATTTAGCTAGGCGTGGTGGCGGGCACCTGTAATCCCAGCTCCTTTGGAGGCTGAGGCAGGAGAATTGCTTGAACCCAGGAGGTGGAGGTTGCAGTGGACCAAGATTGCACCATTGCACTCCAGCCTGGACAACAAGAGTGAAACTCCATTTCAAAAAGAAGAAAAAGTCAAAAAGATGAAACAAAACAAAAAAGTGTTAAAAAAAAAAAAAAAAAAAAAAAGAAGAAGAAAAAGAAGAAGATGGAGTAAGTTCCAGAACATAAAAATAGCAGTGAATGAGAAGGGAGGTGGATAGGCCCAAGTTCACTCACAAGATTTGGAATTCAGGCTACTTGGATTTCAGGCTGAGTCTTTGAGGTATGCCTTCAGGCACCAGAGAGCTTCACTCTGGATACCTAGAGTAGCCCGGAGGAAGAGCTGAAGGCCAAGACCATATGTTGGCAAATCTCAAAATTGAAAGCTAGTTGAAGAAAAGGTGTTTTAGGTGGGGAAGGAAAGGTTGAGAAAGTTAGTCCTCACTTTGCCAAAAACTGCAGTGTTCCAGTAAAGCAGGAACAGACACTACTTTGCATAGGACTAAAGGTAAGCATGGGCTGAGGAATTCAGGATGGCCAGTACACTCTTCTTGGTAGCCTGAATGTCCAGGGAAAGAGGTGGGCCGGCGTGGGGGGACAATTAATATAAAAAACCAGGCTGGGCGCGGTGGCTCACACCTGTAATCCTAGCACTTTGGAAGGCTGAGGTGGGTGGATCACTTGAAGTCAGGAGTTCGAGACCAGCCTGGCCGACATGGCGAAACCCATGTCTACTAAAAAGGCAAAAATTAGCCGGGAGTGGTGGCACCGTGCCTGTAAACCCAGCTACTTGGGAGGCTGAGGCTGGAGAATCACTTGAACCCGGGAGGCAGAGGTTGCAGTGAACTGAGACTGTGCCACTGTATTCCAGCCTGGGTGATACAGTGAGACTCTGTCTCAAAAACAAAACAAAACAAACAAAAAACAAAGGATTGTAACTTTGGGTTTTTGTTTTTGTTTTTCTTTTTGGTTTGTTTTATTTTTGAGATAGGGATTTGCTCTGTCACTCAGGCTGCAGTGCAGTGGTGTGATCATGGCTCACTGCAGCCTTAACCTCCCAGGCTCAAGTGATCCCCCCGCCTCAGCCTCCCTAGTACCTGCGACCACAGGCATGCACTACCACACCTGGCTAATTTTTTTTTTTTTTTTTTTTTGAGATGGAGTCTCGCTGTGTTGCCCAGGCTGGAGTGTAGTGGCGTGATCTCAGCTCACCACAACCTCCGCCTCCTGGGTTCAAGTGATTCTCCTGCCTCAGCCTCCTGAGTAGCGGGGATTACAGGCACGTGCCACCATGCCCAGCTAATTTTTGTATTTTCAGTAGAGATGGGGTTTCACTATCTTGGCCAGGCTGGTCTCGAACTCCTGACCTCGTGATCCACCTGCCTCAGCCTCCCAAAGTGCTGGGATTATAAGCATGAGCCACTGTGCCTGGCCACACCTGGCTAATTTTTAAATTTTTTGTAGAGAGCGGGTCTCACCATGTTGTCCAGACTGGTTTCAAACTCCTGGGCTCAAATGATCCTCCTGCCCCAGCCTTCCAAAGTGTGAGGATTATAGGCATGAGTCACCACGCCCAGCCTACTATGTTTGTTTATTGTAGCTAGGACTACAGGCATGCACCACCATGCCCTGCTAATTTTTACTTTTATTTTTATAGAGATGGGATCTCACTATGTTGCCCAGGCTAGGCTTGAACTCCTGGCCTCAAGCAATCCTCCTGGCTCAGCCTCCCAAAGTGTGGTGAGCCAATATGCTCAGTGGTTTTTAACTTTTTTTTTTTTTTTTTTTTTTGAGACAGAGTCTGACTCTGTCACCCAGGGTTGGGTGCAGTGGCACAATCTCAGCTCACCGCAGCCTCCACCTCCCAGGCTCAGCCTTCCAAGTAACTGGAACTACAGGCATGCGCCACCATGCACGTCTAATTTTTGTATTTTTTTTATAGAGATGGGGTTTCCCCCTGTTGGCCAGGTTGGTCTCAACTCCTGGCCTCAAGGGATCTGCCCACCTGGGCCTCCCGAAGTGCTGGGATTACATGTGTGAGCCACCACACCTGGCTGTAAATCTGAAGTAGAAGAAACCATCTATACAAGCAGTTCGCCTAAAAGATTTCTTAGGGCCGGTAACACTAAGGGAATTGTAGAAACTGATTCTAGTTTCTTGATCAAGTAGTTGGCAAAATCATCCAGGAGCCAGGAGACATAGCCTTATTTAGTGTGGGCTAACAACAGGGAAAATGACCAGGAAGGAAGAACAAACTAAAATCAATGCAGGGGCCGGGCACAGTGGCCAGCACTTTGTAATCCCAGCACTTTGGTAGGCCGAGGTGGGTGGATCACTTGAGGTCAGGAGTTTGAGACCAGCCTGGTCAATATGGTGAAACCCCATCTCTACTAAAAATACAAAATTAGCTGGGTGTGGTGGCACATGCCTGTAGTCTCAGCTGCTCAGAAGGCTGAGGCAGGAGAATAACTTGAACCTGGGAGGCGGAGGTTGCAGTGAGCCGAGATTGCGCCACTGCACTCCAGCCTGGGTAACAGAGCAAGACTCCATCTCAGAATAAAATAAAATCAATGCAATCAGTGCAAGAAGGAAGTAATAAAGATTAGAGTAAAAATTATGTAGAAAATAGAGAAAAATCAAAACTGGGTTCTTTAAAAAGATAAAACTGACAAGTATTTAGATAGAATAACCAAGGAAAAAAGACTCAAATTACTAAGATCAGAAATGAATGTAAGAGCCTGGTGCAGTGGGTCACACCTGTAATCACACTTTGGGAGGCTGAGGCAGGCAGATCACTTGAGCCCAGGAATTCAAGACCAGCCTGAGCAACATAATGAAACCCCATCTCTACAAAAAATACAACAATTAGCCAGGTGTGGTGGCACATGCCTGTAATCCCAGCTACTTCAGAGGCTGAGGCAGGAGGATCACTTGAGCCAAGGAGGTCAAGGCTGCAGTGAGCCAAAATCATGACAGTGCCCTCCAGCCCAGGCAACAGAGTGAGACCCTGTCTCTAAATAAATAAATATAATAAAAATAAAAAATGAATGAATGGAGGACCAGATATAAAAAGGATTATAAGGTAATACTACAGAACAACTATATGACATAAATTAGATAACCTAGATGGAATGAATAAGTTCCTAGAAAAACATAAACTACTCAGAATAAATAGAAAATCTGAATAAACCTGTCATAAGAGATTGAATTAGTAATGACAACATTTCCGACAAAGAAAAGCTCAAGCCCAGATGGCTTTACTGATGAATCCAACCAAGTATTTAAAGGAGAACTAATGTCAATCTTTCAAACTCTTCCAAAAAACAGAAGATGAAAGAACACTTCCCAGCTAATTATATCAGCATCACCTTAATACCATAACCACAGACATCACAAGAAAAGAAACAACTACAGACCAATATTCCTGAGTAATAAAGATGCAAAAATCTTAAATAAAAAATGAGCAAACTTGGTTGGGCATGGTGGCTCATGCTGGTAATCTCAGCCATTTAGGAGCCCTAGGTGGGAGGATCACTTGAACCCAGGAGTTCCAGGTATTGAGCCATGATTGTGCCACTGCACTCCATCACTTGAAGTCCTGGGCTCAAGTGATCAGCCTGCCTCAACCTCCCAGCATAGGCAACAAGACAAACAAACCTTTTTTTTTTTTTTTGAGATGGAGTCTTGCTCTGTCAACCAGGCTGAAGTGCAGTGGCACAATCTCGGCTCACTGCAACCTGTGCCTCCCGGGTTCAAGTGATTCTCCTGTCTCAACCTCCTGAGTAGCTGGGATTACAGGCACGTGCCACCACGTCTGGGTAATTTTTGTATTTTTAGTAGAGACGGGGTTTTATCATGTTGCCCAGTCTGCTCTTGAACTCCTGACCTCAGGTGATCCACTCGCCTTGGCCTCCCAAAGTGCTGGGATTACAGGTGTAGCCACCACACCCAGCCTCAAACCTGTCTTAAAAAAGGCAAATGGAGGCTGGGCGTGGTGGCTCACGCCTGTAATCCCAGCACTTTGGGAGGCCAAGGTGGGCAGATCACTAGGTCAGGAGATTGAGACCATCCTGGCTAACATGGTGAAACCCCGTCTCTACTAAAAATACAAAAAAATTAGCCGGGTGTGGTGGCGGGTGCCTGTAGTCCCAGCTACTTGGGAGGCCGAGGCAGGAAAATGGCGTGAACCCGGGAGAGGAGCTTGCAGTGAGCCAAGATTGCGCCACTGCACTCCAGCCTGGGCGACAGAGCAAGACTCCATCTCAAACAACAACAACAAAAAAGACAAATGGAATTCAGCATTATTAAAAAAAAAATTATATACCATGATTAAGGGGATTTATCCCAGGAATGCAAGGCTGGATTAAATCAAAAGTCAATTAATATGCCATATTAATAGAATAAAGGACAACAACTACATGAACATTTCAAGAGATGCAGCAAATGCATTTTACAAAATCAACACCTACTACTAGGAATACAAAGTCTCTTCCCCAGCCTAAATAAAAGCTCTCTTTTTTTTTTTTTTCGGAGTCTCACTCTATTGACTAGGCTGGAGTGCAGTGGCGTGGTCTTGGCTCACTGCAACCTCCACGTTCTGAGTTCAAGCGATTCTCCTATCTCAGCCTCCTGAGTAGCTGGGATTATAGGCGCCTGCCACCACGCCCGGCTAGTTTTTTGTATTTTTGGTAGAGACGGGTTTCACCATGTTGGCCAGGCTGGTCTTGAACTACTGACCTGGTGATCTACCCACCTTGGCCTCCCAAAGTGCTGGGATTATGGGCGTGAGCCACTGTGCCCGGCCAAAAGCTATTTTCAAAAAGCCCACAGCTAACATTATATAAGATACTTAATGGTAAAAAGACTGAATTCCTTCCCCTGAAAGATCAGGAAGAGGGCAAAGATACCTACTTTCACTTTTATTCAACATTGTACTGGAGGTTCTAGCCAGTGCAATCAGGCAAGAAATAGAAGGCATGCATATTAAAGAATACCAACAACATGCTTTTCTTTTTTTTTTTTTTTTTCCTGAGACAGAGTTTCGCTCTTGTTGCCCAGGCTGGAGTGCAATGGCGCGATGTTGGCTCACTGCAACCTCTGCCTCCCGGGTTCAAGCGATTCTCCTGCCCCAGCGGCCTGAGTAGCGGGGATTACAGGCATGTGCCACCATGTCCAGCTAGTTTTGTATTTTTAGTAGAGACGGGGTTTCTCCATGTTGATCAGGCTGTTCTCGAACTCCCAACCTCAGGTGATCTGCCTGCCTTGGCCTCCCAAAGTGCTGGGATTACAGGCATGAGCCCCCAGACCGGGCCAACAACATGCTTTTCTATGTAGGAAATCCTAAGGAATCCACCAAAAAATAAACAAACAAATAGAATGAATGAGTTCAGTAAGGTTGCAGAATACAAAATCAATATACACAAAGTCTAAATACTTTTACAAGTTTAGTAAGTGTATAATTTGAAAACTACAAAACCTTGATGAAAGAATTAAAGATGTAAATAAATGGAGAGTTATTTCATTCATGGACTAGAAGACTCAGAAGATGAATTTAGACCCTTACCTCACGACATACACAAAAATTAACTTGAAAAAGAACTGCAGCCGGGCGCGGTGGCTCATGCCTGTAATCCCAGCACTTTTGGAGGCCAAGGCGGGTGGATCACCTGAGGTCATGAGTTCAGGACCAGCATGGCCAACGTGGTGAAACCCTGTCTCTATTAAAAATACAAAAAAATTAGCCAGGCATGGTGGCAGGCGCCTGTAATCCCAGCTACTCGGGATGCTGAGGCAGGAGAATCACTTGAACCCGGGAGGCGGAGGTTGCAGTGAGCCGAGATCATGCCATTGCAGTCCAGCCTGAGCCACAAGAGTTAAGGGCAAAATTCCATCTCAGAAAAAAAAAAAAAAAAAAAAAAAAAAGAACAGCAGAGCTCAATGAAAGGGCTAAAACCAAAACTCTTAGCAGAAAACAGAAAAGTAAACCCTTCATGCTCACGGCTTAAAATATCTTTGTTTATATATGTATATATATACATATATGTATATTTTAAACAATGTAAAATGCAAAAGTGGTTTTAAAAATTAGTAAGTCAGAGTCCATCAAAATTCAAAACTTTGGAAGTATTAAGAAAGCAAAAATAACCACCAGGCATGGTGGCTCACACCTGTAATCCCAGCACTTTGGGAGGCCGAGGTGGGTGGATAACTTGAGGTCAGGAGTTTGAGACCAGTGTGGCCAACATGGTGAAACCCAGTCTCTACCAAAAATACAAGAAAAAAATTAGCCGGGTGTGGTGGCAGGTGCCTTTAATCCCGGCTACTTGGGAAGCCAAGGCAGGAGAATCGCTTGAACATGGGAGGCGGAGGTTGCAGTGAGCCGAGATAGCACCACTGCACTCCAGCCTGAGTGACAAGAGCAAAACTCCATCTCAAAAACAAAATAAAATAATATAAAAATAAAATCAGTGCTGGATTAATGTGAGTATTCATGTTTATATAATTATTTATTCTATTGATTGATTGATTGAGACGGAGTCTCACTCTGTCTCCCAGGCTGGAGTGTAGTGGCGTGGTGTTGGCTCACTGCAACCTCCACCTCCTGGGTTCAAATGATTCTCCTGCCTCAGCCTCCCGAGTAGCTGGGACTACAGGTACGTGCCACCAAGCCTGGCTAATTTTTTGTATTAATGTTTATATAATTTGAGGGTAAAAACAGACCCTTCTAAATCATGGCTCCAAAGGCTGCCACCATAAGGGAACGATGATAGTTCTGACAACATTAGAATTTTATTTTACTTATTCTGAGACAGGGTCTTGCTCTGTTGCCCATGCTGGAGTGCAGTAGCGCAATCTGGGCTGACCTGCAACTTCCGCCTCCTGTGTTCCAGCGATTCTCATGCCTCAGTGCCTCAGCCATCCGATTACCTGGGACGACAGGCATGCGGCACCACACCAAGCTAATTTTTGTATTTTCAGTAGAGACAGATTTCGCCATGTTGGCCAGGCTGGTGCCAAACTCCTGATCTCAGGTGATCTGTCCGCCTCGGCCTCCCAAAGTGCTGGGATTACAGGCGTGAGACACCGCACTGGGCCTGACAACAATGGAATTAAAATTTCTTTTCGTGAGAAAAAAAATCCTTATGCCTCCCCCTCCCCCAAAGTGAAATGAAAATACAAATTATAAACAGCGAAGAATGTATAACAAAAAATTATATGTCTAACAACATGGATGTTTATTATAAAATTTAAGGGGAAAAGTCAGAGTGCAAAATTGAATAGTAAAATCTCAAAAGTTTGCCTAGAAGAAAACTCAGAAGGACCAAATTTATCTCTGGGTAATACTTTTATTTTTATTTTTCCAAATGTATGCAGTGAACACGTTAATTCTAAGATCATCTTAAAGCCAAAGTTATTTATCCTAATGCCAGTAACCGTAGCTTTTTTCTTGAAAAAGGGATGGCAGCTGGAGGCTGGAATCCCCTTCCTCCTGGGAACTGCACCCATGGGTTCCTGAGAGGCAAAGTGGCAGAACAGAAAATGCTCAGCTTTGGCATCACCTCCACTTGGGTTCCCAAGTACTGGGCTCCTCTGACTTCGGTTTCTTCATCGTGAAATGGGGATACCCACATCCATCTCACAGGAGTTTTCTAAGAATTAAATGAGTCTGGCAGGTTGTAAGTGCCCAGTATAAGATATTGCCACCTTCTCTAGTCCAGGTGGTAAGTGAAAACTTAAGGAGCGGATTTTCCAAAATCAGCGCCTGCTGCTCCGAGAGCCAAGGGTGCGGTGTTTGCTGCCTCCTTGTGGGAGAGTGTGGCTCCTTGCCTGGCGGAGTCGGAGGAATAAGTTCTCGGAGGGTAGAGGGACCGTTCCTTCTCCTAGCTCCGCCAAACCCACATTGGGGGTACTCGCTCAGGGATCCCGCAGCGGTGCAAATGCGAAGCCGCGACGCGAGCTGGAACCTGGGGCGGTGCTCTGGCGCGTCGCTATCCAGGGGAGCTACGTCGAGACGGCAGGCCACTTAGCACCAATGCAGACCCGGGAGCTTTGAGGAAGCCAGAGGCTTCGGACAGAAGAAACCGCCTGGCAGGCGGAGGAGAAAGGCCAGGGCTTCCCTCCTGAGGTTGAGGCTTGCCGGAGGGAAATGGCACCGAGGACCTGGGGCGACTGATTCAGCTTCTACCCCAGGAGCAGAAGTCCCCGCCCTACTCCGGAACTGGCGGTCAACTCCCTCAGGTCACACCCGAGGCAAAAATGCAAGCTTGTGGAAATTTTCTGCCTTCAGGTCAAAATTGGGCGTGAACTCCACCTTTTTATCTTTTTTTTTGGTGGGGAAAAGTAGGTGGTAGAACGAACTTGAAAGGCCCGCAGGCATATCCAATTTCTACTTGCTTAGTGAATGGTTTTCTAACCAAGTTGGGATTTAGGATAATAGATTCCACCGCTTTTTATCGCAAAAGGCTTAGGCTTAGGCTGTCACAGGTCTAAAAAAGCAACTCATTTTGCTCTATGTTGTGAAAAAATTTAAAATAACAGAACTCATAGGTGGGAATTGAACAATGAGAACACATGGACACAGGAAGGGGAACATCACACACCGGGGACTGTTGTGGGGTGGGGGGAGGGGGGAAGGGATAGCATTAGGAGATATACCTAATGTTAAATGACGAGTTAATGGGTGCAGCACACCAACATGGCACATGTATACATATGTAACAAACCTGCACGTTGTGCACATGTACCATAAAACTTAAAGTATAATAATAAATAAAATACAGAACTAAAAATATTCGTGTTACCTGGAATTACCGTTTTAGATATCTTTCCTCACCACGTGAGAACACAGTATCAAAATGTTAAATCCGCCGGGCGCAGATCACTTGAGGCCAGGAGTTAGAGACCAGCCTGGTTGGCATAGTGAAACCCGGTCTCTACTGAAACTACAAAAATTAGCCAGGTGTGTGGCGCACCTGTGGTCCCAGCAGCTCAGGAAGCTGAGGGAGGAGAATCACTTGAATCCGGGAGGCAGAGGTTGTGCTGAGCCCAGATCCCGCCACTGCACTCCAGCCTGGCCCACAGGGAAAGAAAAAAAGAAATAAGAAAAAAAAGTTATTTACTAATCCACTGCCCAAACTCAAGGACATAGCTGATCCAATTAAAAACAAAACAAAAATGAAAAGCTTGACAGACACAAAATTCCCTTTTTAGACTTTATCTTTTAGAACAATTTTAGGTTCACAGCAAGTATTGTCGTCTCTTGGGATTTTGGGGGTATTGGTCCCAGGCCCTCCAAAGATACTTAATACCAGGGTTGCTCAAATTCTTTACGTAAAATGGCATAGTATTTGCATATAACCTATGCAGAGCTTCCCTTATACTTTAAATCATCTCTGGATTACCTGTAATACCTAATACTAGGTAAATAGTTATTCTACTTTATTATTTTGCTTTTTTTGTTTTATTTTTATGAGGTTTGATCTTATTTGTTACCCAAAAACTTTTTTTTTTTTTTTTTGAGACGGAGTTTCGTTCTTGTCGCCTGGAGTGTGATGGTGCGATCTCGGGTCACTGCAACCTCCGCCTCCCAGGTTCAGGCAATTCTCCTGCCTCAGCCTCTCACGTAGCTGGAGCTATAAGCATGCACCACCATGCCCAGCTAATTTTTTTTTTCTTTTTTTTTCTTTTTTTTGTATTTTTAGTAGAGAGGGGGGTATCGCCATGTTGGCCAGGCTGGTCTCGAACTCCTGACCTCAGGTAATCTGCCTGCCTTGGCCTCCCAAAGTGCTGGGATTACAGGCGTGAGCCACTGTGCCTTAAAGTATAATAATAATAATAAAAATAAATAAATAAATAAAATACAGAACTAAAAATATTCGTGTTACCTGGAATTACCATCTTAGATATCTTTCCTCACCACGTGAGAACACAGTATCAAAATGTTAAATCCGCCGGGCTTATTTTTGGCTGGACTCAGAAGCTCTCAGAGAGGACAGTCTGTGTCTCTTGGCAATTTGTTCCTGGTGTTTTTCTTTGGCTTCCTTTATTCTCTTGTCCAAAAGTTTAGTATATTCTGTGGCCTCTTCCTTATTTTTTTTAGTAGGTTGTTTCTTCAGAGCAATAAGCCAGGTGTTTGTGTTGCGGGACATGAGGAGTAACAACACACTGAGTCTTGGGTGCTTTGGCCCTGTGTGTCTTATCTTTGTTATAACAAAGAGCTTTCTTATAACATATTGGTGGACATCATCTTTTTAGAGAAATTGAAGTTTTTGGATTCTGCTAGCTCTTTTGGGTCCCGGGGGATGAGGCAGTATATTATCAGGCAGTTCAGGATTAGCCTTCTCTCTCTAACAATAACTGAGTTGAGAATACTCAGATTGGCATCCACAATACAACCTTGAACAGATTTGTGCATTCTTTCTTCAGTTCTCCTTGGAGGAGAGGAATACCCCTTACTCAGTAGCAGGCAGACACAGTCTTGGGTCAAAATACCCTGCTTCATGAGGAAGCCTCGTCTGTTGTCCCCACCACTGATTCCGACCACATAACCCTTCTATTCTTCACCTAGAGCATCAGCATCAACATCTGTGACTATAGCTTCTCAGAAAAAGTATGACATTTGCAATCCTCATCCACTTCAAAGAGATTCTGGCAGCCAGAGGCTGGGAAGGAGACATTCAGCTTCATGTTGAAGCAGCTGATTGTCTCTGAGGCACCATGAAAAGGAGAGGTTTTTATAAGTGTTGTTTATCAAGAGAAACTATTTCTTAGCCCACATATTCCCATTTCTTAGTTCACGAACACAGGTCAGTGACAAGCACCTGAGGTTTCTTCAAAGCACTGGAAGCCATTGTTTATGAGTCATGGTTATTGTCTTTGATGGGTATGTCCTTCCTGGCTGTTGAAAGTTCCTAGTTTACGTGAAGGTTCACTCTCAGTGTTAGAATAATTTTGGCCTCATAGAATGAGTTAGGAAGTATCCCTCTGCTTCTACTTTCTGGAAGAGATTCTATGAGGCCAGCATTACCCTAATACTAAAACCAGTCAAAGACATTACAAGAAAAGTACAGACCAGTATTTCTGACTAACATAGATGCAAAAATCCTTAATAAAATCTCAGCACGTTGAATCCAACAAAATTCCTTTCTAAAGATTGTTAATACTACCCATTTCAGATTAAAGATTAGAGAATGGAGATTAAATGCCTATCATTTATTTAATGTTTTTTTATCTTTTTTTTGAGATGGAATTTCACTCTTGTTGCCCAGGCTGGAGTGCAATGGCGCAATCTTGGCTCACTGCCAACTTCTGCCTCCCAGGTTCAAGCAATTCTCTCACCTCAGCTTCTCAAGTAGCTGGGATTACAGACATTCGCCACCATGCCTGGCTAATTTTTTGTATTTAGTAGAGATGGGGTTTCACCACGTTGGTCAGGCTGGTCTTGAACTCCTGACCTCAGATGATCTACCCACCTCAACCTCCCAAGGTGCTGAGATTACAGGTGTGAGCCACCGCGCCTGGCCTATTTCCTAGGTAATCTTTTTTTTTTTTTTTTTTTTTTTTTTTTTGAGATGGAGTCTCTCGCTCTGTCATCAGGCTGAAGTGCAGTGGCACAATCTTGGCTCACTGCAACCTCTGCCTCCCGGGTTCAAGCAATTATTCTGCCTCAGCCTCCCAAGTAGCTGGGACTACAGGCGCACACCACCACGCCCAGCTAATTTTTGTATTTTTAGTAGAGATGGGGTTTTACCATGTTGGCCAGGATGGTCTCGATCTCTTGACCTTGTGATCCAGCCGCCTCTGCCTCCCAAAGTGCTGGGATTACAGGCATGAGCCACCACATCCAGCCAATATTTTTTGCATTTTTATTAGAGATGGGGTTTCACCATGTTGACCAGGCTGGTCACGAGCTCCAGACCTCAAGTGATCTGCCTGCCTCACATTCCCAAGGTGCTGGGATTACAGCCATGAGCCACACCATGCCTGGCCTGGTGTCCACTGTGTTTGATGGATGATTGAACTGAAAAAAAAAAAATTTTTTTTTTTTGAGACAGGGTCTCTGCTCTGTTGCCCAGACTGGAGTGCAGTGACACCATTTCGGCACTTCGGCTCACTGTAGCCTCAACCTCCCTGGCTCAGTGATCCTCCCACCTCAGCCTCCTGAGTAGCTGGGACTACAGCCTGTACCACCACACCCGGCAGGGTCTCACTATGTTACCCAGACTGATGTTGAACCTTGGGGCTCAAGAGATCCTCCGCCTAGGCCTCCTAAAGTGTTGAGATTACAGGTATGAGTTATCCCTGCTGGCCTAAACTGAAATTTGTTCAGATAATTCAAAGATCCTAATCAAAGGAGTGCACTTGCAGCTGGCTTGAAGCCCTGGAGTAGTAGTATGTCCAGCCACAGAGCCAGGCTGCAGTGACGGTAATGCTTCAGGAATCTATTCAATTTATTTCCTTAGCTCTAAAATTATGGCAGGCCAGGCACTGTGGCTCATACCTGTAATCCCTCAACTGTGTGAGGCCAAGGCAGGAGGAGTTGGATACCAGCCCGGGCAACATAGGGAGGTCTTGTCTTTACAAAATAATTAGCCTGGCATGGTGGTGCACACCTGTAGTCCCAACTATTCGGGAGGCTGTGGTGGGAGTATCACTTGAGTCCAACAGGTCGAATCTGCAGTGAGTGATCGCACCACTGCACTCCAGCCTAGGCGACAGAGGTCAAAAACAAAACAAAAGAAAACAAACAAAAAAAACATAGCAAACATCCAGAAGACTGTGTAGAGCAATGAATGTCTCTCAAGCCAGTGATCTTTTTCTCTTCATTTTTCACATCAGGTGGGTAGTGTGCCCACTTCGTAACAAGGTTTGAGGGAGGCACATTTGACACAAGAGCATGAAAACCCAATCACACTTATGACTTACAAAAGGATCAAGTCAGTGATCTTTAAGCTGTGGGCCATTAAATACATTTTGTGAGCCGAGTGCAGTGGCTCAGGCCTGTAACCCCAGCACTATGGGAGGTGGAGGTGGGAGGATCACTTGAGTCCAGGAGTTCAAGACCAGCCTTGGGCAACATACTGGGAACTCCCATCTCTATTAAATTTTTTTTTTTTAATTTTGTGGATTACAACCATTTCAAAAACTAAAATAAGCGTAAATGTATCAAAATGCAGCTTACATAGCGAGGATAAATGCTGTTTTGTCAATCTGTTGTTTCAAGTTTTTTATGTGTGGATTGGGTCACCTTGTAACAGTGACTTACCTTTATGGGTCACGGTTGAAAACATTTCCGGTGCAGTGGCTGACTGTAATCCCAGCACTTTGGGAGGCCGAGGCTGGAAGATCACTTGAAGCCAGAAGCCAAGAGTTCAAGACCTGCCTGGGCAACACGGCGACACCCCGTCTCTATTTAAAAAGAAAAAAAAAAGTTTCCAAGGCACTGAGATGCCAGGAACCCGAGGTGTGTGTCCAGTAGGGGAGGGAGCAAATTGGGCGTTTGGAAAAAGTCCCACGCCTGGAAAGGAATACACAGTGGGGGGGTGGGGGGCGGGGCACATCGACTACTTCAAGGCACACTCCCACGGTTCAGAAAACCGATTGGCTAAAACTGGGAAAGTCCCGCCCACAACGCTCACTGGCCAATGGCTGCGTGAAATCAGTGCGAAGTGGGCGGGATAGAGAGCGTGGGCGGGGGGGCTAGCCTCGTGCGGGCTCCTTAAGTAGCGGCTGCGTGGCTTCCCTGGCACGCTACTCTTACGACGTCACGGTCAGGTGGTGCAGAGCTGGACGGCAACGACGTCGGACGCGCCCCTTCTTGGAACAATGTCCCACCACGGAGGAGCTCCCAAGGCCTCTACGTGGGTCGTTGCTAGTCGGCGAAGCTCGACAGTGTCCCGAGCGCCAGAGAGGAGGCCGGCGGAGGAGTTGAATCGAACAGGTCCTGAGGGATATAGTGTCGGCAGAGGTGGTCGCTGGAGAGGCACCTCTAGGCCCCCGGAGGCCGTGGCCGCTGGTCACGAGGAACTGCCGCTGTGTTTTGCTTTGAAGAGCCACTTTGTTGGCGCGGTAATCGGTGAGAATGGGAGTGGCTGGCAGGGCAGGATAGGTGGGGCCAGGGGCGGAGCCTGGGCGAAGGCATTTCCTCCCCACTGCCTCACCTCCAATCAGCTGCCACCTAGTGAGGTTCAGGTCTCTCCCAGAGCTATTTGTAAAACCTGGGGATAGAGTATAATTTAATCTGGCCGGGCGCGTTGGCTCACGCCTGTAATCCCAGTATTTTGGGAGGCCGAGGCGGGCGGATCACCCCAGGTCAGGAATTCGAGACCAGCTTGGCCAACATGGCAAAACCCTGTCTCTACTAAAAATATATATATTAAAAAAAATAGCTGGGCGTGGTGGCGCGCGCCTGTAATCCCAGATACTCCGGAGGCTGAGGCAGGAGAATGGCTTGAACCCGGCGGCAGAAGTTGGCAGTGAGCTGAGATCGCGCCACTGCACTCCAGCCTAGGTGACAGAGCAAGACTCCGTCTCAATTAAAAAAAAAAAAAAAAAGTAATTTAATCCACCTTTTGGTGTTTATACAGACAATGTATTTGGGAGAGCAACTCCTAGAAGACTTATGAAATCTTAGGGCTGAAGAGGGATGCTTAGAACAGGCCTTTTAACAGACAGCTAACCCCAGAATGAAAAACAAAACTTAATCAGTCTTTCTATGAGTACCATTTAGAGCCAGAAATCAAAGAAAAGCTATAAGGTCATTGTAGGGCTGCCTAGAGCAGTTGTATCTTGCTTTTAGTTTCCTTAATTTTTAAAAAGTTAAAAACTTTTCTTACTACATCTTGAGTGTTAACATTCAATTCTGAATTTTTAATTTTTTTCTTTCTTTTGATTTTTTTTTTTTTTGAGGCAGCTCTGTGGCCCCAGCTGGAGTGCAGTGTGGCGTGATCTCGGCTCACTACAACTTCCACCTCCCGGGCTCAAGCGATTCTAGCACCTCAGCCTCCCTAGTAGCTGAAATTACGTGCGCCACCACACCTGGCTAATTTTTGTGTTTTTAGTAAAGATGAGGTTTCACCATATTACCCAGGATGGTCTCGAACTCCTGTGGATCCACCCACCTCGGCCTCCCAAAGTGCTGAGATTACAGGCGTAAGCCCGGCCCATTTCTGAATTTTTTTGAAAAGCATTTAAAAATGATTAGAATGATTACCCCATTGATTGCCATTAAGCCCGAGTATAAATTGCCACATTTTACCTATTAGGTGTATTTCACCCTTTTTAAAACCTGAGAAAAATGAATAGATGGAGGCTGCTACAAAATAGTGCATTGTAAGACTAATTGCTGTACTACCCAGAGACTCATTGGCCTTTCAGAAGGCTTGGGCTCAGATCTGAAGAATGATGCTCCAAGAAAGAAAGCCACTAGGTTTGCAATAAAAATCACTTAAGTTAATACTTAGCAGATGAAAGGGCACTGTGCTACAGAGCACTCACTTGATGTTGGATCTGGATCCATCTTTTTTATTGTAAAAAATGAAATACCCTCTTTTAAACGTATATCACAATACTAATAATAAGCACAATGTTGTATCCCAGATCTCTGGAACTTGCATGACTAAAACTGTATACTCATTGAACAGCTCCCCATTTTTTCCTGCCCCATCCCAGGGACCCACCATTTACATTGTTTCTGAGTTAGATTACTTTAGGTAATCCATATAAGTAGAATCATGCAGTAATTGTCTTTGTAATTGGCTCATTTCTCTAAGAATAATATCCTCCAGGCTTACCCATTTTGTAGCATGAGACAGGATTTTTTTCCTTACTAAGGCTGAATGGTATTCCATTATTAAGTATATACCTTACTTTATCTATTAATCAGTCTATGATAAATGGGTAGCTTCCACCTTTTGATTTCAGTAGTGTTATTATGAAAATGGAAGTGCAATATATCTTTGAGACTCAGCTTTAAATTCTTTTGGATGTATACCCCAAGTGAGACTGCTGGATCATATGTTAATTCTGTTTTTAATTTTTTAGTTAATCTATACTGTTTTCCATAGTGGCAGCACCATTTTCAATCCCACCAACAGTACACAGGGGTTCCAATTTCTCCACATTCTTACCAACACTTTTTTTCTGTTTTTGATAATGGTCATCCTACCAGATGTGAGGTGACAATCATTTTGTGGTTTCGATTTGCGTGGACCTGATTAGTGATGTTGAACATCTCATGCCTGTTGGCCATTTGTATGTCATTGGAGAAATGTCTATTCAAGTGTTTGCCCATTTTTCAAAACTTATTTGTTGAGTTGTATGAAAGAGTTCCAATTTCTACATCCTCTCCACCAGTTTGGACCCAATTAAGTTTTGTGCAAGCTGATACAGAATCCATAGTCTCCACCTGTCTGGGATAAGAGTCTCCTAAAACCCACCAAAATTTGGAATAGAACCTCTTACTTCCCTCTTTCCAAACAAAAAATGATTGTTGAACCCTAGGAGCATTTGGGGGGAAGAACTAGAGAATGTTTGTTGAGGAAAATGGGTAAATTTTCAACTTACTAATTTCAACTTATAACAATATATTCCTTTATTTTTAAAAACAGGTCGTGGTGGGTCAAAAATAAAGAATATACAAAGTACAACAAACACCACAATCCAAGTAAGCCATCTGTGTTTTTCGGCCCTTAAGAGAGCATCATGCATTTCTAAGGGAGCACCTAACTCTACTTTTCTTTTTAAGACAGCCTCATTCTGTCTCCCAGGCTGGAGTGCAGTGACGTGATATCAGTACAACCTCTGCCTCCTGGGTTCAAGCAATTCTCCTGCTTCAGCCTCCTGAGTAGCTGGAATTACGGGTTCCCACCACCAAGCCCAGCTAATTTATTTTATTTTATTTTTTTATTTTTAGTAGAGACGGGGTTTTACCGTGTTGGCCAGGCTGCTCTCAACTCCTGGCCTCAAGTGATCCACTTGCCTTGGCCTCCCAAAGTGTTGGGATTACAGGCATGAGCCACTGCACCAGGCCTTAACTCTAATTTCTGCTGAGTTATTAACATACTAGGGTAAATTAGGTAAGTTGCCAAAGTTCTTCATACTCCTTATTCTCAAGAAGCCACCTGAATTTTAAGCTGTTCCAGGTGTAGGTTTTGGGACTCTTGGAGGTAAAAATCTTTTTTATTTTTTTGAGACAGAGTCTCACTCTGTCGCCCAGGCTGGAGTGCAGTGGCACGATCTTGGGTCACTGCAACCTCTGCCTCCCGGGTTGAAGCAATTCTCCTGCCTCAGCCTCTGGAGTAGCTGGGATTACAGGCCCCCGCCACCATATCTGGCTAATTTTTGTATTTTTAGTAGAAATGGGGTTTCACCATGTTGGCCAGGCTAGTCTTGAACTCCTGACCTCGGGTGATCCGCCCACCTCTGCCTCCCAAAGTGCTGGGATTACAGGCGTGAGCCACCAGGCCCAGTCGGAGGTAAAAATCGTTAGAGATAATCTGCATAAGAATGAGATCACTGGAATATTCGGAGGTAAAAATCGTTAGAGATAATCTGCATAAGAATGAGATCACTGGAATATTCATCATGTCCAAAAGGTCTTCCTTCCAGAGAGAACCCCTTTCCTCAAACTTTGGCTAGCTCTTGTATTCTCAATCTTAGTGAATGGTAGCAACATTCACTGAGTTTACAAGTTTGTAATCTGACTATCCACATTGGTATTTCCTTATTCTCATTCACCGCTAGGTCTTGACTATTTCTTGTACTTCTCAAGGGGAATGTCATCATTTGCCTTCCCCACTAACTGTATGTCCTGCTTCCATTTGTATCCTCTAATCATTCTCCACTGTGGTCAGAACAATAATTTTATTTTTTTATATTTTTTTGAGACGGAGTCTTGCTCTGTCGCCCAGGCTGAAGTGCACTGGTGTGCTCTTAGCTCACCGCAACCACTGCCTCCTGGGTTCAAGAGATTCTCCTGCCTCAGCTTCCAGAGTAGCTGGGATTACAGGTGCCCTTCCAGCTCACCTGGCTAATTTTTGTACTTTAAGTAGAGACAGGGTTTCACTATGTTGGCCAGGCTGGTCTCAAACTCCTGACCTCAAATAATCCACCCGCCTCAGCCTCCCAAAGTGCTGGGATTACAGGTGTGAGCCACTGCGCTTGGCTAGAACAATCATTTTAAAACACAAATTATTTGTGTCCTTTTCCTATGTGAAAGCCTTTCATAGTATCTCAGGCCTGTAAGTCTAGACTCCTTAAAGTTGCTGACTTGATTCTGGCCTGTTCACTCTCTCCAGTGTCCTCTCCCCTAATTCCTTGAGTACTCCACCCACTTCCTGACATACGCTGCTACCATAGCTTTTTCCTCATAAATAATTCCTTCTCACCTTTCAGGGAAGTCTAAGGCCCCCATTCTGTGTAGCTGTCCATTTCCATAGCATCCCATAATGGCCTCGTTTCAGCACTCATACAGAGTTATAGTGCGTGTAAATACTGTAGTTGATAAACATTGTTTGAATTGCCAACCTAAGACAAAATTTGGTGTATAGTATTTTCTAGATAAATATTGAATCCATTAGGGTATTTGAAATTATGGATGTTGATAGGTGTTACTTGTAGATTCTATTCACAAAATGTGTCAGTCTTGTAAACGTAAGCCCCTGACAGTATACATGAGTTAAGGATAGAATCCCATCAAGTTAAAAATTTACCTAAGTAACCTGGCAGTTCAGTGAACTCTCTATATAGTGCATAGATTATGTCATTTCAGCCCTACAATTCTGTAAAATTAGCGAAACAAATACCATTTTATAGGTTGGAGACCTCAGAATCAAAATAATATTACCTGTCAGGTTAGTGCCTTAATTATTTCTCTACACTATTTGCTGAGTTTATTCCCTAGCTATCCAATTTTAAATGTTCAGGTTGTCCTGCCCCTCTCCATCTGACTAGGAGGTAAATCCCAGAGTAAATATAAGTAGTATTCCTCTCTAACTAGAAATTTAGACATTGATTGGTGGTAATACTGTATTTACTTTATACTGTAATAGATTTTGAAGTTGAGTGATTGTTGGAAGGGGTTAGGGGCTTAGGGAACTTTTTATGTTTTTTAGGGAAATTTTAAGTCTCACCTCTTTTTCCCCTTGTACCTAGATAATACAAGAACAACCAGAATCATTAGTCAAAATTTTTGGCAGCAAGGCAATGCAAACGAAAGCAAAAGCAGTGATAGACAATTTTGTTAAAAAGCTAGAAGAAAATTACAATTCAGAATGCGGAATTGGTAAGTAATTTTCTCCCACTGAACCCCTTTAAAAGTTTTTAATTTCATTCAGTGTTATAAGCCATTATACCTGATTTCACTTTCTGATTCAAAGCATTAGGCTGCCATAAATGCAGTCTTAATGATTTTTTACTATGAATGAAAGCCCAGAATATTTTTCCTCAAATTAAAATACCAGAGCTCTATGTTCATGCCTAGCAGTTTTACTTTTAGCCACAGGTAAGTGAAAATGAAATAACCCTTTATTTTTATTTATTTATTTTTTGTCTTTGTATTAATCTAGTTCTCACAAGCAGGGAAATAACCCTTTAATACACACACTTTAGTGTTAGTGGGTAGAGTAAGGATTGGTCCCAGGATCCTAACCCTAGTCTTGTCTTCAGATTCATGGCTGACATTGAAAACTGCTTAAATATTTGGTTATTTTAAAAATCTCAGATCTGTTTAGAATAGAGAAAACAATTACTGAATCATATCTAGATGCAATGTGAAAGTAGAATAGAGACACCTGGGTTTAGAAGGCACCATTGCCTTTTAGTGTTTCTTGGGGAAAAAGACAAGGTCTAAGATTCTATTTTTATATCTGACTCATTTATTTATTTTTATTTTTATTTTATTTTTAAAATTGTTTTGAGACAGGTTCTCACTGTGTTTTCCAGGCTGGAGTGCAGTGGTGTGATCATGGCTCATTATAGCCTTGACCTCCTGGGCGGGAGTGATTCTCCCACCTCAGCCTGTCAAGTAGCTGGGACCACAGGTGTGTGCCACCACACCCAGCTAATTAAATTTTTTGTAGAGTAGAGATGGGGTTTCACCACGTTGCCTAGGCTAGTCTTGAGTCCTGAATTCAAGCGATCCTCCACACCAGCCTCACAAAGTGCTGGTATTACAGGAGTGAGCTACCAAGCCTGGCTCTTCATCTACTCATCTGAGATAATATCTGCTTCCCAGGACTATTATTCTAACGACTGAGTAATGGGTATGACAATATTTTAGCAAACATTAGACTTGTGCTATTTTACTTACCTTCTCCAATAAAATTAAATTTTTATAAGTTGTTGAATGATAACAAATGACAAGGTTGTCATGTTAATGTAGTACAGAAACCCCAAATTTTATATTTTAAGCATTGTCTGTTTATTAAAAAACAAAATAGAGGCCAGGCATGGTGGCTCACGCCTGTAATCCCAGCACTTTGGGAAGCCAAGGTGGGTGGATCACAAGGTCAGGAGATCGAGACCATCCTGGCTAACACGGTGAAACCCCGTCTCTACTATAAAATACAAAAATTAGCTGGGCGTTGCGGCGTGTGCCTGTACTCCCAGCTGCTGGGGAGGCTGAGGCAAGAGAATGGCGGGAACCCGGGAGGTGGAGCTTGCAGTGAGCCGAGATCGCGCCACTGCACTCCAGCCTGGGGGACAGAGCGAGACTCCATCTCAAAAAAAAAAAAAAAAAAAAATAGAAAAAAACTAATCGATACAAATGTTTTTAACAGATACTGCATTCCAACCTTCTGTTGGAAAAGATGGAAGCACAGATAACAATGTTGTTGCAGGAGATCGGCCATTGATAGATTGGGATCAAATTAGAGAGGAAGGTTTGAAATGGCAAAAAACAAAGTGGGCAGGTCAGTGCTGCTTCCTAATATTTACATATATTGTTTCTGTTAACTGCAGTTTTTATTCTCTGTACAATGTCTGTGCTTTATTTTTAGTAATGAAATGTATATGAAAATAGTAAAATCTAAAATGCTGCAATTAGTCCCTAGGTTATGATAGTTTCTATGTTATCAGCTGTCATTTATGCTGTAGGGGAAATATTAAACCTATTTATAGTCTGTCAGCGGTAATTCACTGCAAAGGGCTAATAAAATAGGAAAAAATCAGTCCCAATGGGAAAATAGGAAGGGAGTAAACATGCAAACCATAAGTTAACATTGTTGCTGTGATTGAGTAAAAATAGATCTTGGAGTATCCTGGTTGACAAGAGCAAAAAAAAAGGGAAAGCCATTAAATCATAAGAAGCATTACAGTTCTTGGCAGCATTTTGTTTGTTTGTTTAAATTTTGTTTTTGATTTTTATTTTTCAATTTAAAGATGAGATCTCACTATCCTGTCCAGGCTAGTCTCGAACTCCTGGCTTCAAGTGATCCTCTCCTCTTAACCTCCCAAACTGCTGGGATTACAGATGTCAGGCACTGTGCCCAGCCTTGTTTGAATTTTATTTTATTTTTTGAGGTAGGGTCTTGCTCTGTCACCCAGGCTGGAGTGCAGTGGCGTGATCTTGGCTCACCACAAACTCCATCTCCCAGGCTCAAGTGATTGCTGTGCCTCAGCCTCCCAAGTACCTGGGATTATGATGTGTGCCAGCAAGCCCAGATAATTTTTATGTTTTTAGTAGAGACGGGGTTTCACCATGTTGGCCAGGCTGGTCTCAAACCCCTGGCCTCAAGTGATCCACCTGCCTTGGCCTCCCAAAGTGCTGGGATTACAGGCGTGAGCCACCCCACCCAGCCCTTTTGTTTGAATTTTAAATGAGATTTCTCACGTGGAACATTATATATGGGGGATAATGCTTCATTATTCAAGCACTAGCCTTGGCTCTCGGGAGGAGGCAGCAATACAACATCTTTTATTTAAAATTCAAAAGCACTAATATGTTACCAAAATATTGACAGTTATTGCTACTATGTTGGTCAAGACCTCTGCAAGTTAAGTTTCCTGTGTGGCCTAAACAGTTTGTGTTGGGAAGATTTGGGATCAGAGACCAGGGAAAGGATTTAAGTTTGGAAGAGGTATAATAAGCTTTTAAGAAATGTAGTTAGGCCGGGCCCAGTGGCTCACGCCTGTAATCCCAGCACTTTGGGAGGCCGAGGCTGGTGGATCACCTGAGGTCAGGAGTTCAAGAACCAGCCTGGGCAATATGGTGAAACCCCATCTCTACTAAAAATACAAAAATTAGCTGGGCGCGGTGGCACATGCCTGTAATCCCATCTACTCAGGAGGCTGAGGCAGGAGAATCGCTTGACCCCAGGAGGTGGAGGTTGCAGTGAGCCGAGATTGCATCATTGCACTCCAGCCTGGGCGACAGAGTAAGACTCCATCTCAAAAAGAAAAAAGAAAAGAAAAGAAAAGAAATGTAACTTAAGAGAGTAGACCAAGGATATAAGTTTAATTTCTAAAAAAGTAATTGGATGGACCCTCAAAGAAAAGATAATCAAACTATTATGTGTGGGAGTATATTTATCAGTTGTGGTGTTTGATGTCTTACAAAGCATGCTTCATTTTAATTTTTATTAAATTTTTTTTGAGGGTTTCACTCTGTTGCCTAGGCTAGAGTGAAGTAGCAAAATCACAGGTCATTCCAGCCTCCATCTCCCAGGCTCAAGTGATCCTCCCACCTCAGCCTCTCAAGTAGTTGGGACTACAGGCACATACCACCATGCCAGGCTAATTTTTTTTTTTTTTTTTTTAAATGGAGTTTCGCTCTTGTTGCCCAGGCTGGAGTGCAGTGGCGCAATCTTGGCACACTGCAACCTCTGCCTCCTGGGTTCAAGTGATTCTCCTACTTCAGGCTTCTGAGTAGCTAGGATTACAGGCGTCTGCCACCATGCTCAGCTAATTTTTTGTATTTTTAGTACAGATGGGGTTTCACTATGTTGGCCAGGCTGGTCTCGAACTCCTGACCTCAGGTGATCCACCAGCCTTGGCCTCCCAAAAGTGCTAGGATTACAGGCGTGAGCCGCCGCCGCCGGCCCCTTTTTTTTTCTGAGACAGAGTTTCACTTTTGTTGCCCAGGCTGGAGTGCAATGGCGCTGTCTTGGCTCACTGCAACCTCTGCCTCTCTTGAGTAGCGGGGATTACAGGCATGCGCCACTGTGCCGGGAGAATTTTTGTATTTTTTTGTTTTTAGTAGAGATGGGTTTCACCATGTTGGTTAGGCTCGTCTCAAACTCCTGACCTCAGGTGATCCACCCGCCTCAGCCTCCTGAAGTGCCAAGATTACAGGTGTGAGCCACTGCGCCTGGCCACCAGGCTAATCTTTAAAAATTTTCCGTAGAGACAGGGTGTCACTATTTTGCCCAGGCTCAAGTGATCCTCCCATGCCAGCCTCTCAAAGTGCTGGGATTAGAGGTGTAAGCTACTGTGCCTAACCTCCAGAAAGGGAGATCTCTTCGATGGGAGCAAGCCTCGTTGGCAAAGTGTAGAACTATCAAATGGTATGCATGGTAAATAAAATATATTGTAGTATGATTTCTGTAGCTTTGACTAAGTATTCATGATGCTGTAAAATTTATCAAAGTGTGGATTTTCGCCTTTGTCCCAGATTTACCACCAATTAAGAAAAACTTTTATAAAGAGTCCACTGCCACAAGTGCCATGTCAAAAGTAGAAGCAGATAGTTGGAGGTGGGTAGTTTCATTACCTAGTTGTGTAAGTATTTGTATAGTTACGTTATTGGTATTAACACTTCGGGCAAATGTGAAATGATATTTGAAGGCTACGCCTTCAATATTCAAATGAAAATGTGTCAACTTACATGATATTTTAGAACATTGTTGTCTAGTAAAACTTCCTGCAGTGATGGAAAATGGTCTATATTTGTGTCTAATGGAGTAACTGGCACTTAAAGTATGGCTGGTGTAATTGAGCAAATGAATGTTTATATGAAATTGAAATAGCCATGTGTGGCTAGTGCCTACTATATTGGACAGCAATTTTAGAGAATTATTTCTCCAATAGTTGAATTGAAAAAAAAAAAAAGATCTAATCTTGTTAATTTCTTAAACTCTTCAGTCCTTGCTACCTGAAATTGGAAGGTTTTAATTGCAATGGTTTTTCTTACTATTAAAGTCTGATAAAACTAAGAGATGCATGGAATAGCAGAATGGTTAAGGTGAGGAGCAGGGTAACTTACTGTATGATCACCTGTCAAATTGAGAATACTTCCTAACACATAGGATTGTTAAGGATGCATTAATGAAATATGTGTGGAACATCGTAGGCCCTCAATGTTTGCCAAATCTGGTTTTAATTTATGAAGCATGATTTTCAGGCTCCTCATCTTTGATCCATGAAACATTCATTGACCTACTAATGTATAATGTTTTTAAGTTTCCCATTGCAACTATTCTCAGATAAGAGACAGATGGACTCCTGCTTCTATTTCTTTATGCATTTCATTATAACTTCCCTGACAGTCTCATTTTAATCAGTTGCAGTTGAATTTCTAGATAAGACCAGCACTGATTTTGGAGAATGTCTTGCTTGGGGAGTAAAGTGAGGAAAGCCACTGATGTTTTTTATTCTTTGAAGGAAAGAAAATTTTAATATAACGTGGGATGACTTGAAGGATGGGGAGAAACGACCTATCCCCAATCCTACCTGCACATTTGATGACGCCTTTCAATGTTATCCTGAGGTTATGGAAAACATTAAAAAGGCAGGTTTTCAAAAGCCAACACCTATTCAGGTATGCTTTCATTAATTACAATATTTCACTCAATGTTTTTCTTCGAAACCAGTGATATCTGATTGTTAGAAGACTCCAGGGAGCAACTGTCTTAGCATTCCACCAGCACCTTCTCCCTAGAGTTCAAAAAATCTTTGTTGAAAGAAGTTTGGAGCTGGGAAAGAAGGAACAGTTGGCAAAAAATATGTACTTTTTTTTTTTTTTTTTGAGACAGTTTTGCTGTTGTTGCCCAGGCTGGAATGCAGTGGTGCAATCTCGGCTCACCACAACCTCTGTCTCCCAGGTTCAAGCAAGTCTCCTGCCTCAGCCTCCCTTGTAGCTGGGATTACAGACATGTGCCACCACGCCCAGCTAATTTTTGTATTTTTAGTAGAGACGGTTTCTCTATGTTGGTCAGGCTAGTCTCGAACTCCCGACCTCAGGAGATCTGCCCGCCTCGGCCTCCCAAAGTGCTGGGATTACAGGCGTGAGCCACTGCGCCCAGCAAAAGATGTACTTTTTGTGTTAATGTTTATCATTCCGTTTCAGTCACAGGCATGGCCCATTGTGTTGCAAGGAATAGATCTTATAGGAGTAGCCCAGACTGGAACAGGAAAGACATTGTGTTATTTAATGCCTGGATTTATTCATCTGGTCCTTCAACCCAGGTAAGAATTCCTATGGCTGGTTTCTTCTTATAGAGGTTTAATAGATTTAGATATCAAAAATGTAATTAAAGTTTCTTTACCTATTGCTTGATCCAAAGGTAATGCCTAGCTTCAGAGAAGATGCAAGGAATTAAACACTTAGATTGTGCTGGTGAAAGTATAAACTGGCAAAACATTTTTAGGAGGCAATAGGTAATATCTACCAAAAGCCTTAGTAGTGAAACAGTGGAAACTGTTTAAACTATGTCCAATACACTTATCTATTCCATGATAAAATATTTGACATTTTAGATGTTAATGAAAAGACCATCTTAAACAAAAGGCTGGTATTGGGAAGTTGGGTTTTAGGGTGTGTGGCTTTTTAAAATTTCCCTACTTTATGGTAAATATATATTGGTTTTGTAATAAGAAAAAGTACATAGAAACTAACACTAATCTCTCAGTAAAGCAATCTTAAATCTGAGAAAATAATACATTTTCTTATGGGGAATTTGGCATATTCTGTGTAATATCAGCCATTTTTTAGGTACGTAGATCATAATTAGCAAAGTCTGTAATATATAGAGAGACTACTTTTAATCATATACCTTCTCACAAAAAGGCATAGTCTGACTATGTCTAACTGATACTCATTGCTACAAATTTTTTTTTTGAGACAAAGTTTTGCTCTTATTGCCCAGGCTGGAGTGCAGTGGCGTGATCCTGGCTTACTGCAACCTCCGCCTCCTGGGTTCAAGTGATTCTCCTGCCTCAGCCTCCCAAGTAGCTGGGATTACAGGCGCCTGCTGCCATGTCTGGCTAATTTTTTGTATATTTAGTTGAGATGGGGTTTCACCATGTTGGCTAGGCTGGTCTCAAACTCCTGACCTCAGGTAATCCGACTGCCTTGGCCTCCCAAAGTGCTGAGATTACAGGCGTGAGCCACCACGTCTGGCTTGTTGCTACAAATCTTGATGGTACTGAATAAATGTACCGTGCATCTGAGACAAGTAATTTAATATTAATCTGTTTTCTCTCCAAAGCCTTAAAGGTCAAAGGAATAGACCCGGCATGTTAGTTCTAACTCCCACTCGGGAATTAGCACTTCAAGTAGAAGGAGAATGTTGCAAATATTCATATAAAGGGCTTCGGAGGTAAGTAATTTTTTTTCCCATTCCTTCACCAGTATCATATTTTAATCATTTGTAGCTTTACACATCTTCCCCATCATTTTTCACACATTCAGAGAATCCAAATGGCTCAGCATGGGTCAGGCATTTAGCACTACTCTAATCAGTCAGAGCCTGGGTCAGGTGATGGTACAAATATTGCTCTTTAGGATACAACATTATGGATTGATGGGTGTACATAATTCTCAGAAAGGGGCAGATACCCCTAAAGGTACCTGATAATTGATTTTTATCCCTTTTATTGGATTTTAAGTTGTGATGAGATATTCTGTGCCTAAACATTAACCTTTAGATTTTTTCTTTTTAAGTGTTTGTGTATATGGTGGTGGAAATAGAGATGAACAAATAGAAGAGCTTAAAAAAGGTGTAGATATCATAATTGCAACTCCCGGAAGATTGAATGATCTGCAAATGAGTAACTTCGTCAATCTGAAGAATATAACCTACTTGGTAATCATGGAAATAGGGGTTTGAGATGCTGGGTTCAAAAATAACTGAACTGGCCGGGCGCAGTGGGTCACGCCTGTAATCCGAGCACTTTGGGAGGCCGAGGCAGGTGGATCACCTAAGGTCAGGAGTTCGAGACCAACCTGACCAATATGATGAAACTCCGTCTCTACTAAAAATACAAAAATTAGCCAGGTGTGGTGGCATGCACCTGTAATCCCAGCTACTCTGGAGGCTGAGACAGAATCACTTGAACCTGGGAGGCAGAGGTTGCAGAAAGCCAAGATCATGCCATTGCACTCCAGCCTGGTCAACAAGAGCGAAACTCCATCTCAAAAAATAAAAAATGACTGAACTATTATTTTATTTCTCTTCCCTCCCCTTGAGCTTTTAATAGTTTTAATCAACTCCCAAGTGCTTGGGTATCAGTTTCTTTTAGAATGGCTGTCGATTTTATTTTTTATTTTTTTATTTTAAGACACAGTTTTGCTCTTGTTGCCCAGGCTGGAGTGCTGTCGCATGATCTTGGCTCACTGCAACCTTCGCCTCCCAGGTTCAAGTGATTCTCCTGCCTCAGCCTTCCAAGTAGCTGGGACTGCAGGCTCCCACCACCACACCTGGCTAATTTTTTCTTTTTAGTAGAGACGAGGTTTCATCATGTTGGCCAGGCTGGTCTTAAACTCCTAACCTCAGGTGATCCGCCTGCCTCGGCCTCCCAAAGTGCTGGGATGACAGGCGTGACCCAACACGCCAGGCTATGGCTGTCGATTTTATAATGGCTGTAGGAATATTTCTCATTCTCTTTAGCATGTTGAAAGAATTAAGACTTCTATTTGAAATTATCATGCATGTTTACTTTAAATTTTGGAAAATAGGTACACAGTAATTAAAATCTACTTGGATATTTTAGACACTTAAAATTTTGTTTAAGGAGATTTGGAAGCTATTGGAAAGCCAACAAAAATCCATGTAGACAGTGTACAATGACAAATTGCTTAGTATTCTGACCTCTGGAGAAATTAGAATCGTGGCTTAAGTAATAGGGGAAATGAGAAAAGCCTTTCTTAGTGTTCTACTAATAAAGAAAGCATATGTATTATTACCTGCCTCCCATATCTAATCTAACCACATTCTTTTTTGTCAATGCAGGTTTTAGATGAAGCAGACAAGATGTTGGACATGGGATTTGAACCCCAGATAATGAAGATTTTGTTAGATGTGCGCCCAGATAGGCAGACAGTTATGACCAGGTACGTATATGCTTAATTACTGTGTGCAGAATAGAAATCAGTGGAATAGAATCTCATTCTGTTTGGATTTTCCCACAATATTTGAGCATTACTTGGAAGTGTTGAAATCTTTAGGTGAAAGATCTCATAACATTGGAAGTAGAACAGTGTAACAATAAGTGCTTATTCATGACTATTGGGTTTCCTAAGTTACAGATAGGGATTTCAACACAAACATTTACTTATCATAGTAAGGTCTCACTTTTGAATAAAGGGTTCACTTGTCTAAGGAGATAAGCATTTGATTACTGAATACTTATTGCTCACAATAAAACAGGAAGCAATGATTATTTGAATGAGTGATCTATAAAGAATGATATCTCCTAGGCTTATATCCTTTATTAGTATAAATAACAACATTGGCTGGGCAAACTGGCTCACGCCTATAATCCCAGCTCTTTGGGAGGCCGAGGTGGGTGGATCACCCGAGGTCAGGAGTTTGAGGCCAGCCTGGCCAACATGGTGAAACCTCGTCTCTACTAAAAATACAAACTTAGCCGGGCATAGTGGCGCACACTTGTAGTCCCAGCTACTAGGAAGACTGAGGCAGGAGGATCGTTTGAACCTGGGAGGTAGAGGTTGCACTGAGCCAAGATCATGCCACTGCACTCCAGTCTGGGCAACAAGAGTGAAAATCTGTCTCAAAAAAAAAAAAAAAAGAATGATATATCCTGGGCTTATATACTTTGTCTTTATTAGTATAAATAATATAAAATTTAAAAAATACAAAATCCCCTCACATAGTTTTATTACAAATAACCTTCCTATTTCAAGAAAAGTGAATGTATTTATTTATTTTGAGACAAAGTCTCGCTGACACTCAAGCTGGAGTGCAGCAGCGCGATCTCGGCTAACTGCAACCTCTGCCTCCCGGGTTCAAGCAATTCTCCTGTCTCAGCCTCCTGAGTAGCTGGGACTACAGGCACACGTCACCATGCCCAGCTAATTATTGTATTTTTACCGATGGGGTTTCGCCATGTTGGCCAGGCTGGTCTCAAACTCCTGACCTCAGGTGATTCATCTGTCTAGGCCTCCCAAAGTGCTGGGATTACAAGCTTGAGCCACGATGCCCAGCCCAAGAAAAGAGAACTTAGATTTTATTGAATTACTGTGAAGGTATACAAAGTGGTCACTTTCATTATTTTATATATAGTTGAGGAAACATTTAAATGCAGATATTCTTTGATCAGTATATTTTGAAGGTTTGTTTTGTTTTGCGTTTTGAGACAGGGTCTCACTCTGTCACCCAGGATGGAATGCAGTGGCACCATTTTGCCTCACTGCAGTCTCAGCCTTCCCAGCTCAAGCGATTCTCCCACCTCAGCCTTCTGAGTAACTGGAACTACAGGTGCATGCCACCACACCCAGCTCATTTTTGTATTTTTTGTAGAGACAGGGTTATCACCATGTTGCCCATGCTAGTCTTGAACTCCTGAGCTCAAGTGATCCACCCACCTAAGCCTCCCAAAGTGCTGGGATTACAGGCATGAGCCAACAACCTTTTAAAAGATTTTTATGGCCAGGCGCCGTGGCTCACGCCTGTAATCCCAGCACTTTGGGAGGCCGAGACGAGCGAATCACGAGGTCAGGAGATCGAGACCATCCTGGCTAACACGGTGAAACCCCGTCTCTACTAAATTTACCCGGGAGTGGTGGCGGGCGCCTATAGTCCCAGCTACTCGGGAGCCTGAGGCAGGAGAATGGCGTGAACCTGGGAGGCGGAGCTTGCAGTGAGCCGAGATCACGCCACTGCACTCCAACCTGGGTGACAGAGCAAGACTCCATCTCAAAAAAAAAAAAAAAAAAAAAAAAATTTATTTGGCTTAAATACTTGGTATTGCCTGCTGACCCTATGAAAAATTGGAATTTTTTTGTCGTTTATAAAGGCCAGGAGATAAAATTAACCTAATAGTAATCCCTTTTAGTACCTTTTTTTCTTTTCTTTCTTTTTTTTTTTTTGAGACAGAGTCTCACTCTGTCACCCAGGCTGGAGTGCAGTGGCATGATCTCCACTCACTGCAACCTCTGCTTCCCAGATTCAAGTGATTCTTCTGCCTCAGCCTCCCGAGTAGCTGGGATTATAGGCACGCACCACCACGCCTGACTTATTTTTGTATTTTTAGTAGGCACAGACTTTCCCCATGTTGACCAGGCTGGTCTCAAACTCCTGACCTCAAGTGATCCGCCTCTCCTCAGCCTCGCAAAGTGCTGGGATTACAGGCATGAGCCACCACACACGGCCTTAGCTTTTCATAGATTAGTATTTAGTTGAAGGTGTACAGGTATCCTTTGGTTCATAAAAACCTAGTATTTATTTACTTATTTATGAGACGGAGTTTCGCTTTTGTTGCGGTGGCTGGAGTATAGTGGCACAATCTTGGCTCACTGCAACCTCCGCCTCCTGGGCTCAAGCCATTTTCCTGCCTCAGCCTCCGGAGTAGCTGGGATTACAGGCGTCCGCTAACACACCCAGCTGATTTTTGTATTTTCAGTAGAGACGTGGTTTTATCATGTTGGCCAGGCTAGTCTTGAACTCCTGACCTCAGGTGATCCACCCGCCTTGGCCTCCCGAAGTGCTGGGATTACAGGCGTGAGCCACTGGGCCCAGCCAAAAACCTATTTATTAAACATATTTGTTTCATCTAATAGCTTTACAGTAGTTGAGTAATTAGTGAATTAACTGTTAAATTTGCCTTACTTATTGAAAAAATAAGTACTAAATTTGTCTTTCATGAGTAACTTGGTTCATAGCATGCTTAAGGAAACATAGTAATGTTTTTACAACAAAATTGTAATGTTTGTAACTTGTATTCCCAGTGCTACATGGCCTCATTCAGTTCATCGCCTCGCACAATCTTATTTGAAAGAACCAATGATTGTCTATGTTGGTACATTGGATCTAGTTGTAAGCTTTTTTTTATTACTATTGTTTAACATTTCTTATGAAAATTCTGAAGATAGCTAATTTTGGTGTGCCTAGTCTGCCCACTCCCCAATTTTAGGGCAAATCACACTTGCATATAGTTTTAATAGAGCTGTAATACGATTATCTCATTTGAAATTTCAATAATCAGCTAATACCATCAACCTCTAGTCAGGGCCTATATATGTATAGAGAGAGAGAGAGAGAGAGTGTGTGTGTGTGTGTGTTTGTGTCAGAGTCTCACTGTATTGCCCAGGCTGGAGTGCAGTGGGGTGATCTCGGCTCACTGCAACCTCTGCCTCCTGGGTTCAAGTGATATATATATATAGTGTGTGTGTGTGTGTGTGTGTGTGTGTGTGCGCGCGCGCGTGTGTGTGTGTGCGCGTGCGTGCGCACGCATGTGCAAGTGATATATAGCGTGTGTGTGTGTGTGTGTGTGTGTCAGAGTCTCACTGTATTGCCCAGGCTGGAGTGCAGTGGGGTGATCTCAGCTCACTGCAACCTCTGCCTCCTGGGTTCAAGTGATTCTTGTGCCTCAGCCTCCTGAGTAGCTGGGGTTACAAACATGGCTACTACTCCTGGCTAAGTTTTGTATTTTAGTAGAGACAGGGTTTTGCCATGTTGGCCAGGCTGGTCTCAAACTCCTGACCTCAGGCGATCTGCCCCCTTGGCCTCCCAAAGTGCTGGGATTACAGGCGTGAGCCACCGCACCCAGCAAAGTCAGGGTTTATATTTTTCTGATACCTAATTTTAACCCTGTTAGAATCAGGGTCTAAACGTAGGTCTACATATATACATAAATATAAGTCTGTTCCCTTTATGAAGTTAAGACTGAATATTGGGTTCATGTGTTGTCAGTGGGAACCCTCCATTATAATATAAAGTTCTCTTTCTGGCTTTTTGCTTAATCATTAATAAATGAAATTGGCCTTTCACTTAATCATTAATAATAATGGGTCATTGCTTACACCCCTTATTTCATTAGAGATTTACAAATGGTGATCCATTTAACATTTGTTTTATAAAATGGTTAGCGACATTGCGCCACTGCACTCCAGCCCTGGCGACAGAGTGAGACTCTGTCTCAAAAATAAATAAATGAAATAAAATGATTAGAGACAAATAGTTGGTTGAAGGAATGGTACCAATAGTATTTTGAGGTTAAGTGACATCTAAGATACAAATCTTGAGTAGAAACAGGTAATTTTTTTAGGACGTCTGCCATTTTGCTTAGCAGTTTATTAAAAACATTAACCAATGAGAGAGAAGATGCATTTTGAGCTGATGTATGCGGTCTCACCCTCAATCATGATGACCTTGATGAACTATGTTCTTTGAATCCTTTAGGCTGTAAGTTCAGTGAAGCAAAATATAATTGTAACCACCGAGGAAGAGAAATGGAGTCACATGCAAACTTTTCTACAGAGTATGTCATCCACAGACAAAGTCATTGTCTTCGTTTCTCGAAAAGCTGTGTAGGTATTTTTTCTTGTGTGTCCATTATAATTAATTAAATTGATTAGGATCATTTCTATTTGTATACTAATTCCAAATGGGGGTGATAAGTCTGTTATGTTACTTTAGATTTTTGCTAACAGAAGTAAAACTGGTGGCATTAGAATAAGCACCTAAGAATGCTGAGTTTATCTTTTGCTTCAGTGCGGATCACTTATCAAGTGACCTAATACTTGGAAATATATCAGTAGAGTCTCTGCATGGAGATAGAGAACAGAGAGATCGGGAGAAAGCATTAGAGAACTTTAAAACAGGTATGTTTATGTAATTAGTATTTCATACAGTTTAAAATTAGTGCAATACCTGGGCTTGGCTGAGTAACATCTTTTCATGAAACCCATTTATTTCTAAGATCTGTCCTCACCTTCTGTATCCTACAACTACACTCATTAGAGCTCTAAACATTAATCTGCCTTTAAGTATTAAATAAACACAAGACTTTAAACTTGGATATCAAGGTATTAATATGCAACAGAAAATATATCTGAAGTTATCTGAAAAATGTATCTTTCTGTCATGGTTCGAAGGGTTTAGGACCCATTTGCTGAACCATGGTATCTTGTAACTTGCCGGCAGTTACTTTTCCATTTTCACAAAGTAAGCATTTTAATGTAAACAGTAAGAAATAAAATTGATTAAATTAGTTAGGGCAAATATTATTTTTAGATCTTGGGTTGGTTTATACCAGAATGGTTCAGTGTTCATTTGGCTTTACTTTTTAGGCAAAGTGAGAATACTAATTGCAACTGATCTAGCCTCTAGAGGACTTGATGTCCATGACGTTACACATGTCTATAATTTTGACTTTCCACGGAATATTGAAGAATACGTACACCGAATAGGGCGCACGGGAAGAGCAGGGTAAGTAAGCTTAGTCCACCCATGAAAGGCCAATTCTAGATTCTCCTTATTCCTCTCACAAACTTCTTGCCCAGAAAACCATTTTATTCTATTACCTATAATTTTTCAGCTACTTCCCAGATTATACTTGCTACTTTATTTATCCCTGTTCATTTGGCTTGTTCCAGACTCAACCAGATTCCATCCATGATTAGCTTCTTATATCTGGTTCTATGTGTTTTATATCTAGTGTCACCGCTGAGCTCTGTACCCAGTGGTTACTCTGAAGGTTATTGACAAATTGGTATGGATATGAGACGACCTTTTTCCTCTTAAGAGAGCTACCACTGGGCCGGGCACGGTGGCTTACGTCTGTAATCCTAGCACTTTGGGAGGCCGAGGCAGGTGGATCATGAGGTCAGGAGATTGAGACCATCGTGGCTAACACGGTGAAACCCCGTCTCTACTAAAAATACAAAAAATTGACCTGGGCGTGGTGGCGGGCGCCTGTAGTCCCAGCTACTCGGGAGGCTGAGGCAGGAGAATCACTTGAACCCATGAGGCAGAGGTTGCAGTAAGCCGAGATTGCGCCATTGCACTCCAGCCTGGGCAACAGTGCAAGACTCCATCTCAAAAAATAAATAAATAAATAAATAAATAAGAGGTACTATCATATACCCCCTTTGCTGTTTAAACCACAGCAGATTTAGATTCCAAATCTGTTTGACCCTAAATCTTAATACATTCCAGCTTCTGTGAAAAAGTTTTCATTTGTCTTATTCTGTATTAACTGAATAATGAATACATGAGTTTTTTTCCCCCACACTAAAGGAGGACTGGTGTTTCCATTACAACTTTGACTAGAAATGATTGGAGGGTTGCCTCTGAATTGATTAATATTCTGGAAAGAGCAAATCAGGTGAGACTATGCAATTCATTAGAAATCTACCTGTTATCAGTATCTCAGTCAGTTATGCCGGGTACTATGGCTTGCTATTTATCAGGAAGCTTCAAATAAGTTTTCATCACGTTTTGAGGGCTTTAGCATGGCAGTGATAAGAAACTATGGGAGCATATAACTGGGAAACTTAACCTAATGGGGGTGAGCAATGAAAGCCCCGCCAAGGAAGAAATATGTAGAGTGGAGGTGGGGAAAGTTGTAGAAGATGGGGTAAATGTTCCAGCAGGGGGAACATATTCAGGCTCAGAGGTAAGAAAGAATATGTAGAAAATGCTACCATATAAAGGCACATTAAAGGCACTTGGAAGCAGCTGAAGCAGCAAATTTTATAGCCTGTAGATGGATGTAGGGTTTAATCGAGATACCTGTTTCTGTTTAAAGGATGTCATGTAACCAGCTGTGCGATTATCTGAAATGATTTGGATGCATTTTAGTGTTGTAGAAAAGAACTCAGAATCCTAATAACAACACGTTGAATAATTTCAGAGTATTCCAGAGGAGCTTGTATCAATGGCTGAGAGGTTTAAGGCACATCAACAGAAAAGGGAAATGGAAAGAAAAATGGAAAGACCTCAAGGAAGGCCCAAGAAGTTTCATTAATGTCTTCTGTACTAGTGGGGTAGAGGTAAAAGTTCAATAACATATGGACTTTAAAATGCCTGCTTACTTAAACTAGGCTTTGTTAATAATGTTTATTGCAATGAGCATGATCTCTAAGTCATTAACATAATAAACTAGGTGTTACTCATATCTATTACTTAATCCTTCTGGGTATACATGGAAAAGAATGAAAGCCAGGTCTTTTTGTACTCATGTTTATAGCAGCACTATTCATAATAGTCAAGGGTATACAACCCAAGCATCCATCAGTGAATGAGTAGATAAACACAATGGAATATCATTCAGCCCTAAAAAGGAAGAAAACTCAGTCATATAGATGAACCTTGAGGACATTATGCTTAGAGAAATAAGCCAATTACAAGGACATACTATATTATTACACTTGTAAGAGGTACTTAGAATAGTACAATTCACAGTGACAAAGTAGAATGGTGGTTACCAAGGACTTGGAAAGTGGGTAGGGGGAATTGTTTGGTAGAGAGTTTTTCATGGCATGAAAGTTTTGGAGGCCATACACAGTGGCTCACGCTTTTAATCCCAGCACTTTTTGGGAGGCCAAGGCAGGCGGATCACTTGAGGTTAGGAGTTTGAGACCAACCTGGCCAACGTGGCAAAACCCCGTCTCTATTAAAAATACAAAAATTAGCCAGGCATGGTGGCGCCAACCTGTAATCCCAGCTATATGAGAGACTGAGGCAGGAGAATCGCTTGAATCTGGGAAGTGGAGGTTGCAGTGAGGTGAGATCGGGCCACTGCACTCCAGCCTGGACAACAGGACGCTGTCTCCAGTTTTGGAGATTAACTGCACAACAATGAATATACACTACAGAGTTGCACAGTTAAAAATGGTTATGGTAAATTTGGGTATGTTTATTTAATCACAAGCTTTTTAAAAACAATGTTGGGGTCAGCAATTTACATTTTTTTTCTATTTTTCAGAATTCAAGATTTTTTAGAAATATAGTAAGACGGAAGTATTGGACATGTTGGCAGTATGAAGAGACCGGACTGATTTGACTGATTCTTAAAATAATAGTGTTTGAAAATATAGAATCCAGTGTTTTATACTTTCTTTAATAAAAATAGAAGTATTTAAACTTGGAAGTTGTTTCCTGGATTTTTATTAAGGAGTGTAGCATTAGAATGTTTTTCTTTTAATCTTTTAAACTGTCTCCTGTAATTTTGCTGTATGTCATAAGGCCAGTCTTTCAGAATTTAATGTTCAGATTTTGTCATGGCAGTGAAAAAGATGTTTTCAAACAAAGAATCAGCACCTGAAAAAATACTGTTAATAAATGTTCGTTTCTGTGATAAAAAGACAAGTTGATAATTTGTCTTTCTGTATAGCGTTTTAATTTTGTGTTTGCTAAATAATATTTTATTGGGGTATACTTAAATTATCCTTTACCCACTTTGAAATGAAACAGTAAATTATTTCATAAGGTCAAAATATGCAACAACAGTTTACCTTTTCATTTTAGCCTATGGCTTCACGCTAAAACCCTTGGAAAATCAAATTGCACTTCCATGAAATTTTCTTTGATCAAATTACCATCATCCTTCCCTTACAGTTTTATGTTATGTATTCCACCATAAATGAGGGTAACTTATATTAACTTTCAGAATTTATGAGTATATACTTGTGTATAATTAGTTTAAGCCTTCATCACGTGAATTTTTCATTACTGCAATAATTGCTTCCTGTTATTAGCGATAAGGTTAAATAGAGAACCTAATAGAGGAAAGAAAATAAAGGTAAAAGCAGAAATGAATAAATTGGAAAACAGTTCAGTGAAAACCAACAGCAGGTTCTTTAGTAAGACCAATCAAATAAGTTTCTGGTTAAGTCTGGGAGTGGGGAGTTGTAAGGATGTAGAGACATTAAAAAATGAGAACAATGCTGGGCGCAGTGGCTCATGCCTATAATCCCAGCACTTTGGGAGGCCGAGGCGGGAGGATCACGACATCAAGAGATCAAGACCGTCCTGGCTAACACGATGAAACCTTGTCTCTAAAAATACAAAATTAGCTGGGCGTGGTGGCACATGCCTGTGGTCCCAGCTGCTTAATAAAGATATACACAGGCATCTCATAATAAAACTCCAGAATACCAAAGACAAAAATCCTAAAATCAGTCAGAGAAAAATTGAGGCAGGAGAATAGCAGAGGAAGTCAGGGACAAAGGGAACCCTTTGATGTAGGCTAGCTTAAGTGATAGCAAAAACAAAACATGTAAGATAGCAGAAGCAGAACATACGAAATAAGGGAGTAAGCAGTGAGTTAAAACATACAGGATAAAAAATAAGTCACAAGGACTTGCAGTAGGAATTTGGTCACAAAAAATGAAAGTAAAGATGAGCAGCTGGGTGCGGTGACTCACATCTGTAATCCTAACACTTTGGGGGGCCGAGGTGGGTGGATCATTTGAGGTCAGGAGTTCGAGATTAGCCTGGCCAACATAGTGAAACTCCATCTCTACTAAAAATATAAAAATTACCCAGGGGTGGTGGGGCATGCCTGTAATCCCAGCTACTCAGGAGGCTGAGGCAGGAGAATCACTTAAGCCTGGGAGGCAGAGGTTGCGGTGAGCCGAGATCACGCTACTGCACTCCAGTCTGGGTGACAGAGTGAGACCCTGTCTCAAAAAAAAAAAAAAAGTAAGGTTAAGCAAGGATGAGCAATTAGCTTACAAGAAATAAAGTGAGGGTAAGCAAGTGAGGAAAAGAAAAGGCCATGAAATGTAACAAACCAGGCTGATCTCATCTCACAGAAGTCAGTCAGCTCTCCCCTTTGTGAGAGTGCTTAATAAGCTTTTGCTGCTTTGCTTTATTTACTATCTGTGTGTGTCTCATCCAAGTCTTTGTTCAAGACACCAAGTGCCAGGCCAGGCACGGTGGCTCACGTCTGTAATCCCAGCACTTTGGGAGACCGAGGCAGGCAGAACACTGGAGGTCAGGAGTTCGAGACCAGCCTGCCCAACGTGGTGAAACCCCGTCTCTACTAAAAATATGAAAATTAGCCAGGCATGGTGGCGCAGGCCTGCAGTCCCAATCAGGAGGCTGAGGCAGGAGAACCACTGGATGCCAGGAGGCAGAGGTTGCAGTGAGCTGTGATCGGGCCACTGCACTCCAGCCTAGGTGACAGAGTGAGACTCCGTCTCAAAAATGAACAAACAAAACAAGACACCAGGAGCCTGGAATTGCGTGGCACTACCCAGTAATAAAATGTTAGATTAATAATGCTATTTCTCTGTATTTTCACTGTTTGTTTTTTTTTACACTTTAACGTGAACATCTGACTTTTTCACATTGAACACATATTACTTTTTTTTTGAGACAGAGTTTCACTCTTGTTGCCCAGGCTGGAGTGCAATGGCACAATCTCAGTTCACCCACAACCTCCGCCTCCCAGGTTCAAGCGACTCTCCTGCCTCAGCCTCCCAAGTAGCTGGGATTACAGGCATCCACCCTCATGCCTGGCAAAATGAAAAAGATTTAAAAGTAATATGTGTTCAGGCCACCGCGCCCGGCAAAATGAAAAAATTTAAAAATAATATGTGTTCAGGCCGTGCACAGTGGCTCACGCCTGTAATACCAGCACTTTGGGAGGACGAGGCGGGCGCATCACCAGAGGTCAGGAGTTCGAGCCCAGCCTGACCAACACGGAGAAACCCGGTCTCTACTAAAAATACAAAATTAGCCAGATGTGGTGGCGGGCGCTTATAATCCCAGCTACTCGGGAGGCTGAGGCAGGAGAATCGCTTGAACCCGGGAGGTGGAGTTTGCAGTGAGCCAAGATTAGGTCATCGCACTCCAGCCTGGGCAACAAGAGGGAAATTCTGTCTCAAAAAAAAAAATTGTTTTCATTTTTATCAAAGTCAAATATACATGTAATGTATGGAAGCAAATGGTTCTACAAGACTTATTTATTTTTGTTTTTATTTTTTATTTACATTTCTCTGCCAGAAATCTTGGACTTACAAAGCTTATTTAAAAAGTAGTCTGTTGTCAGAAAAGATGGTAGCCTAGTCTTGGTATTCCTGTGGAGAACTTAGAAAACCTGAAGAGTACTTGTACCCAAATTGGATTGTGTTTTAATGGACAATGGCTATATTTTCCCCATGTCAAAAGAATACCAATGAAAGCAGCTGTTTTTCAAGTTCCTAGGGGTCCAGTTGTCCAGAATCCCCAAGGATAAGATGCTCCCTATAAGAGCAGAACCTTAACCTCACTCAGTGACATCGTAGGAACCTCTAGCTGTGGAATTTCTTAGGAACTCAAACTTTCAAAAGCATCCAGAGAGTCAAAGCTGGGGGAAAAAAAGCACATAAAAATAACAAAATTTTTAGGCCAGGCGCAGTGGCTCACGCCTTAATCTCAGCACTTTGGAAGGCCAAAGCAGGTGGATCATGAGGTCAAGCATTCAAGACCAGCCTGGCCAACATAGTGAAACCCTGTCTCTACTAAAAATACAAAAAATTAGGTGGGCGTGGTGGTGGGTGCCTGTAATCCCAGCTACTTGGGAGGCTAAGGCAGGAGAATCGCTTGAACTCGGGAGGCGGAGGTTGCAGTGAGCCAAGATCGCGCCACTGCACTCCAGCCTGGGTGACAGAGCAAGACTCCGTCTCAAAAAAATAAATAAATAAATAACAACAATAATAAAATTTTTTATTATTTTTAATTTAATTAATTTATTTAGAGATGGAATTTCGCTCTTGTTGCCCAGGCTGGACTGCAATGGCACAATCTCGGCTCACTGCAACCTCTGCCTCCCAGGTTCAAGCAATTCTTCTGCCTCAGCCTTCCTGAGTAGCTGGGATTACAGGCATGCGCCACCACACCCGGCCAATTTTGTATTTTTAGTAGAGACGGGGTTTCTCCATGTTGATCAGGCTGGTCTTGAACTCCTGACCTCAGGTGATCCGCCCGCCTCGTCCTCCCAAAGTGCTGGGATTACAGGCATGAGCCATGGCACCCAGCCATAAAATTTATTTTTTATATTCTACTAATAAATGCTGTTGTACTTGGGCATGATCAATCATATAACTGTCATTTTTTGGTTTTATGCTGTTTTGGTTTGGTTTTTGCCAACTATATTCACATTTACAAACTAACTAAATAAAATCATTTTATTTAAAAAAAAAAGTAGTCCCGAACCCTTCCACCCTTCATTTTCCACTCCCAAGATGTAACCTTTTCATCTTTTAGCCATTAATAACTTGCTTATACTGCAATTTCTTGGTTTTAAAAATTTGACATTTACTGACTTCCCACTATAAGGAAGATTAATTCAGTTTTTGCATACCTGTGACAGTCGGACCCTCAGGGTTGTCCTGTGGCCCCCCACCTCCTGAGGTTCATATCTATGTAGTAAGGAATTTAACCTAACCCAAAGAAAAGTCTCACCTTTGCCCTTGGCTTCTGAAAGGTAATGGCTGAATTCTTGGAATGTGCCAGAAAGTATAACAATGTGATTTATGGTGGGGTCTTTGGGTCATGGTATCAGCTTATACTGTTTGCCTTCCAGAGGAGCTGGAGACTGAGGTTAGACATATGTCCAGCCAACCATGAGCTGCAGTAAGAACTCTGGACATGGCTCAGGTGAGCTTCCCTGGCTGGCAATATTCTGCGTGTATTGGCACACATTGATGCCAAGAGAATAACATGTCCATGACTCCACCAAAAGACAACAGAAAGTGCTGTGTTTGCTACTCTCTTAAACTCTGCCTTACGCACTTCTTCCTTTGGCTGATTTAAACTTGCATGCTTACTATATAATAAACTGCAACCATGAGCATAGTGGTTTTAGTGAGTTCTGTGAGTCTTTCATCAAACCTCAGGGTGGTTTTAGGAATCCCTTGAAATTGCAATTGTTGACAGAAATGAGGGTGGTCTTATGGGAACTGTTTTCCCCCTAACTGTATCGCTGGCATCTGAGACAACAAGAACACCCTTGAGTGATTCCTCTCCTCTTGGGTATGAGAGGGACCTTTGACTTGCTTCCAATCAATAGAATACAGTACAGGCAACGGACTGTACATAATTATGTGTATGTAATTGTGTTAAACAAGTTTGTAGCACTCCTCTTGCTGGAGTACCTCCCTTGCTGGCTTTGAAGAATCGAGCTACTGTTGTGGGCTGCCTATGTTGGGAGGCTCACATGGTAAGGAACTGAAGACAGCTTCTAGGAACTGAGGGCAACCTCTGGCTGACAGCAAGAAACTGAAGCCCTCAGTCCTACAAATGTAAAGGAACTAAATTCTGCCAACAAAAATGGTTCCTTCTCCAGTCAAGCCTCAGATGAGGCTACAGCGCTGGCTGACGTCTTAATTATAGCCTTGAGAGACTCTGAGCAGAGCCACACCCAGAATTTTGGCCCACTGAAAATGTGAGATAATAAATATGTGTTGTTTTAAGCCTCTAAGGTTGTGGTTAATTGTTACACAGGAAACTAATGTAATCTCCCTACCACTGTCACCATACAGGAACTAAGCCTATTGTCCTATCCTAACCACAGAGTGGGTAATCATAATTTCTTTCTTTCTTTTCACATTAAAAAAGTTTTTTTTTAATTTTTTTTTTTTTTTTGAGATGGAGTCTCGCTCTGTCACCAGGCTGGAGTGCAGCGGCACTGTCTTGGCTCACTGCAACCTCTGCCTCCTGGGTTCAAGCGATTCTCCTGCCTCAGCCTCCCAAGTAGCTGGGATTACAGGCACGTACCACCATACTCATCTAATTTTTGTATTTTTAGTAGAGATGAGGTTTCACCATGTTGGCCAGGCTGGTCTTGAACTCCTGACCTCATGATCTGCCCGCCTTGGCCTCCCAAAGTGCTGGAATTACAGGGGTGAGCCACCGCCCCTGGTTTTTAATTTTTTTAAAGTCGACAACAGTCCATAACTTCAATAAGATTAATAGTCAATGGTTACATTACTATGACTTTGTCAATACTTAAACAGCTGAGCAATATTCTTATATCAGACTTTTCTTTCATGCATTCATTTTTCTTATGGAGTTAAAAATTGCTTAGATTGGCTGGGCACAGTGCTCACATCTGTAATCTTAGCACTTTGGGAGGCTGAGATGGGTGTATCACCTGAGGTCAGGAGTTTGAGACCAGCTTGACCAACATGGTGAAACTCTGTCTCTACTAAAAATACAAAAATAATTAGCCAGGCATGGTGGCGTGCAACTGTAGTCCCAGCTACTTGGGAGGCTGAGGCAGGAGAATTGCTTGAACCGGGAGGAGGAGGGTGCAGTGAGCCAAGATCGTGCCACTGCACTCCAGCCTGGGCGACAGAGTGAGACTGTCCCAAAAAAAAAAAAAATTGCTTAGATTATTTTATTTGCATAGTGGTTTATTTATCATTAATTGTCCCCAAAACTCTTCAAATGTCTAATGTTTCTCTTAGTATGTTCAAACATAGTAGGCTGTTAAACAAGATGTATAAAGCAAAAACCATAAAAAATTCAACTCCAATTTATTCTCAAAAGCTTGAATGAGAAAAGAAATCAACTCCATTAAAATTTAAAAATCTTTACAATAAACAAAACAATACAAAACAAAAAAACCTTGTTTACTAAAAGACACCAAAAAATGTGCAGACAACCCATATGGCAGAAGTTATTTGTTACACAGACAACGAATGAAAGATAAATACCCCAAATATATTAAGAACTTCCCAAAACAATGAGAAGAAAACTAACCCATAAGAAAATGTGCAAAATATATGAACAGGAAATATTTAACAAACAGCAGTTGCCTCTAGGCTGAATGCTACCTAAAATAAAAAAAGTGTTACTGAAAGTAAAAATAAATAGATAACAGAAAATAAGTTAGGTTTTACATTTAGTCACGTATATTAAAATAAAGTATCTTATGTTTTCTTTTAAGATTATGTATTTCAGCCAGGCGTGGTGGCTCACACCTGTAATCCCAGCACTTTGGGAGGCCAAGGCGGGCGGATCACAAGGTAAGGAGATCGAGACCATCCTGGCTAACATGGTGAAACCCCATCTTTACTAAAAATACAAAAAATTAGCCGGATGTGGTGGCGGGCACCTGTAGTCCCAGCTACTCGGAAGGCTGAGGCAGGAGAATGGCATGAACCCAGGAAGCAGAGCTTGCAGTGAGCCAAGATCATGCCACTGGACTCCAGCCTGGGCGACAGAGCGAGACTCCATCTAAAAAAAAAAAAAAAAAATTATGTATTTCCTGGCCAGGCACGGCGGAGAGCTGTTTTTCAGTAAGAACTTGATGAATTTAATTAAGGCAATATGTACTTTATCTTTTTTTATTCCAACCTAAAAATGTCATTTATTTATTTATTTGCCTGCATGATAAAGCAAACATGGTAATGTTTTTAGATTTCAAATACTACTTTTGCTTCTTATTCCTTGACTAATCTTTTTCCTAGGATAGTCAATCCTTTATACTGATTAGAGTTTATTACAACAAACTGAAAACTGAATAATTATTTACATTCATTTTAGTCAATTATTGCTGTGACAAATTTCAAACATTCCAATTATTACAGTCACTAATTTTTGTTATTTTGTTGCTTTTCTAAAAAATTATTTTAATAATTTCCTAATTTATTTTTCTTATTTATTTATTTATTTTTTGAGAGGAAGTCTTGCTCTGTCACCCAGGATGGAGTGCAGTGGTGCCATCTTGACTCACTGCAACCTCCACCTCCTGGGTTCAAGTGATTCTCATGTCTAAGCCTCCCGAGTAGCTGGGATTACAGGCATGCATCACCATGCCCGGCTAATTTTTATATTTTTAGTAGAGATGGAGTTTCACCATGTTGGTCAGGCTGGTCTCAAACTCCTGACCTCAAGTGATCCGCCTGCCTCGGCCTCCAAAGAGCTGGGATTACAGGTGTGAGCCACAGCGTCTGGCCCCTTTTCAAATTTTTCTTGTATTCTCCAGGATTTAGGGTGACTCTAGTTCTTAGATCTTTCTAAAAATACAATCTCAAAATTCATCAAAAACTGGAAACTCATTGTTTCTTTCATATTCAATTTGCTTTGTCAGAAATTCCTTACTTCTTTTGTCAATTAAGTTGCTAGAGAATAGATTGAATTCAGGAATAAAATAATTCTCAAGTTTTTCTGTCCTGAGGCACTGAAGAAAGTATGTCACGCAGTTATCAAAGCAGAGGCCCAGGTCTTTGCGGTCCCACTGACTGTCTTGAGGGTTCTGGGTACATACGTGAAAGAAGGCAGTTTTCACATGATAAGAAGAGAATTTATCCAGATGTTTTTTGTCTTTAAACCTTTCTTTCAGCTGTTCTAAAAGGTATTTCATTAGTTTTAAACAATCTTTCCTGTTGAATAAAAAAGGAAAACACTTATTTTTACTTATTTACATTCAACAAAGGATTTTAGGCATCTCATAGCAAAAATATAAACAATAAAGATATATAATAACATAAATATAGGCCGGGCGTGGTGACACAACGCCTGTAATCCCAGCACTTTGGGAGGCTGAGGCAGGGGGATCACCTAAGATCAAGAGTTTGAGTCCAGCCTGACTAATATGGTGAAACCCCGTCTCTACTAAAAATACAAAATTAGCTGGGCGTGGTGGCGCACGCCTGTAATCCCAGCTACTCTGCAGGCTGAGGCACGAGAATCGCTTGAAGCCAGGAGGCGGAGGTTGCAGTGAGCCAAGATCGCGTCATTGCACTCCAGCCTGGGCAACAAGAACGAAACTCTGTCACACACAGAAAACAAAAACAAAAACAAAAAAGCCGGGCGCGGTGGCTCATGCCTGTAATCCCAGCACTTTGGGAGGCCTAGGCAGGCGGATCACGAGGTCAAGAGTTCGAGATCAGCCTGGCCAGTATGCTGAAACCCCATCTCTACTAAAAATACAAAAATTAGCCAGGTGTGGTGGCGTGCACCTATAATCCCAGCTACTCGGGAGGCTGAGGCAGGAGAATCACTTGAACCCAGGAGGCAGAGGTTGCAGTGAGCCAAGATCATGCCACTGCACTCCAGCCTGGGCAACAAGTGAGACTCCATCTCAAAATAAAATAAAATAAAATAAAATAAAATAATAAAATAAAATGAAATAAATGAAATGAAATGAAATGATAAAATAAAATAAAATAAAATAAATACAACAGTCACACTAAAATCTGATTATGTTTTCAAATATATGGTTTGAAGTTTCAAAAACACATTTTTTCCCTCTCTTTCCCATTCTTAGCTTAAATATATTCTATGAATTTCTTCAACTGTATAAAGCTAACAGATATTTATACTATTTTTTTTTTTTTTGAGACAGGGTCTCACTCTGTCACCCAGGCTGGGATGCAGTGATACAATCTCGGCTCACTGCAACCTCTGACCCTCCCCTCACCCCCCTCAAGCGATCCAAAATCTTGTTTTGTTATAAAATTATTTTACTTTATTGAACTGCAAATTTAATATAAATTTTTTCTTTTCTAAAATCCACTGATTGTATCACAGAATTATTTACATTATTAAGAGTACCATAGATAATCTGCCATCTCATCTAGTTATTTAGTAGTTGACAAAATGTACTATTTATGAAACTATTTAGCCTTATCAACAATATTTCTTTTTTTTTTTCTTTTTCCTTTTTTTTTGAGATGGAGTCTCGCTCTGTTGCCCAGGCTGGAGTGCAGTGGTGTGATCTCAGCTCACCGCAACCTCTGCCTACTGGGTTCAAGCGATTCTCCTGCCTCAACCTCCTAAGTAGCTGGGATTACAGGTGCATGCCACCTCGCCCGGCTAATTTTTGCATTTTTGTAGAGACGGGGTTTCATAACGTTGGCCAGGCTGGTCTCGAACTCCTGACCTCAGGTGATCTACCTGCCTCGGCCTCCCAAAGTGCTGGGATTACAGGCGTGAGCCACTGTGCCTGGCCAACAATATAGTTTTCTTAATGCTTACTTCAAAGCCTGCATATGAGATCTTAAAGAACCTCTGTGCCTGCATGTTGGGCATTTTTGTTTTGACTTTTTAACTTTTGTGATCTTTATACTGGCCAACTTACTTTATTTATTTATTTATTTATTTATTTATTTATTTATTTAAGATGGAGTCTTGCTCTGTTGCCCAGGCTGGAGTGCAGTGGCATGATCTCAGCTTATTGCAACCTCTGTCTCCCGGGTTCAGGTGATTCTCTTGCCTCAGCCTCCTGAGTAGCGGGGATTACAGGCACGTGCCACTGCGCCCAGCTAATTTTTGTATTTTTAGTAGAGACGGGGTTTCGCCACGTAGGCCAGGCTGGTCTCGAATTCCTGACCTCAGGTGATCCACCTGCCCTGGCCTCCCAAAGTGCTGGGATTGCAGGCCTTGAGCCACCATGCCTGGCCAATACTGGCCAACTTTAGAAACTCAAATGAACAATTCCTTTTCAATCTTAGTTCTTTATGGTGTGTATGCCATCACAAAAAAAAATGGTGGGGTGCAGTGTCTCATCCCCGTACTTCCAAGACTTTGGGAGGCCAAGGCGGGAAGTTTACTTGAACCCAGGAGTTGGTGACCAGCCTGCCTGGGCAACAAAGGGAGACCACCATCTCTACCAATAAAAAAAATTTTTTTTGAGACAGGGTGTCACTATGTCACCCAGGTTGCAGTGCAGTGGCACGATCATGGCTCACTGCAGCCTTGATTTTCTGGGCTCGAGCCATTCTCCTACCTCAGCCTTCCAAGTAGCTGGGACCACAGGCACCAGTCACCATGCCTGGCTAATTTTTAAATTTTTTATGGAGGTGGGGTCTCACCATGTTGCTAGGCTGGGATTACAGGTGTGAGCCAACAGGCCCTCTACAAAATTTTTTTTTAAATTAGCCGAGCATGGTGGCATGCACCTGTAATCTCAGCTACTTGGGGGGCTGAGGTAGGATGATTGCTTGAGCCCAGGAGATCGAGGCTGTGGTGAGCCGTAATTGTGCCACTGCACTCCAGTCTGGGTGACAGAGTGAAAGTCTGTCTCAAAAAAAAAAATTACTCACTTAGTGTTGTTTTCAGTTTGGCCAATCAATCCCTAGCCGTCAACACAACCCAACTATCCCAAAGCAAGCCCAGTATCTAATAAGAGCGACCTTTTGGCCTCCTCCAATTATATGGCATTAATATCCATTACTTTTAAACAAGCAGAATACTAAGACCCATCGAATTGTCATGGCTAGTGCTCATACCCTCTCACTCTGTCCTACTGATACATCTATACAAAAACACATTCATCTGATCCAGGGTTCAGAACTACTATTCCCCGGCCTTGCCTTCTAACAACACCCTTTCCTTGGCCCTTTGGATCTAGCTTCTCTGGTTTCATACTCACACTCTCCCCAGCTCAACCCAATCCTGCCCTGCCCCCCAGACCCAACCCAGCTCAGCTCTTCAGGTCTGAGGTGTGGAGTCAACAAATAATTAAGCATACCATAGATAATCTGTCATTTAACAAAATAAGGCTGTTACCTGCAACATTTCTCTTCTTTGTTTTCACAGCACGTTTTAGATTTTCCATGATTGTTCAAAATTTCCTTTTCGATGTGAGAGAAGGATAGCCGCCATGTTTCTTCTTAATTTCAAAAAGAAAAACAAAAAAGCACTTTACCCAAAGCATCCATATCTAAACAATATTCAAGTGGTTTCCCTCATGAAAATATCCTGGGGCTGGGCATGGGGGCTCACGCCTGTAATCTCAGTACTTTGGGAGGCCGAGGAGGGTGGGTCACCTGAGGTCGGGAGTTCGAGACCAGCCTGACCAACATGGAGAAACCCATCTCTACCAAAAATACAAAAAAAAGTTATCCTGGCATGGTGGCACATGCCTGTAATCCCAGCTACTCGGGAGGCTGAGGAAGGAGAATCACTTGAACCTGGGAGGTGGAGGTTGCAGTGAGCCGAGATTGCACCATTGCACTCCAGCCTGGGCAACAAGAGCAAAACTCCATCAAAAAAAAAAAAAGAAAGAAAGAAAAAGAAAATATTCTGAAAAAATCTTAGGAGTGAATCAAAAGAAGTGAACAGATAAATAATTATGTATAAAAATAAGTACACTGAGACAAAAAATGGGCCTAACCGAAAAAAAAAGGAAGTCACAGTTTAATATAGTTAGCAATAGTAAGATGTATTACCTTTTATATATTGCTAAATTCCCTTTGTTAAATATTTTGTTTCAATAATAATTTGAATCAATTTATTCACTTTTTCTGTACCATCCTTACAGGTTTTATATTAATACAAAATGAATTGGGGACCATTTCCTTTATTCTTATTTATGAGAGTTTGTGTAAATATAGAATGATTTCACCTGGGCGCGGTGGCTCACGCCTGTAATCCCAGCACCTTGGGAGGCCAAGGTGGGCGGATCACAAGGTCGGGAGATCAAGACCATCCTGGCTAACACAGTGAAACCCTGCCTCTACCAAAAATACAAAAAATTAGCCGGGCGTGGTGGCGGGCGCCTGTAATCCCAGCTACTTGGGAGGCTGAGGCAGGAGAATGGCGCGAACCCGGGAGGTGGAGCTTGCAGTGAGCGGAGATCGCGCCACTGCACTCCAGCCTGGGCAACAGCACAAGACTCTGTCTCAAAAAAAAAAAATTTCTCCCCGAGTCTTACCATGGCTAGCTCTTTTATGCTCTGACCACCCTGTTACTTCGTGGTTTTATACTAGCAAAGTATAAGTAGTTTATAATCTGAATGATTTTTCAGAAAAATCAATCAATATAATCTGTCACATTAACAGAATAGAGGAGAAATACATGATTGTCTCAATAGATGAAGAAAATGAAGCTCTTAAAATCCTATAGTCGTTCATCATTAAAAAAACACCTCTTAGCAATCTAAGTCTAGATGGACACTTGATTCCATAAAAGGTAGATTTTAGAAAACTATAGCAACAATCATTATGTGAGGTAAAAAGTTGGAGAGAGAAATCAGAAAGAAGGCAAAACATCTGCTATCTCTATTTCTGTTCAACATGCACTGGGTGTCATAGCAAGCACAGTAAGGGAAGGAAAAACAGGGTTACACACTGGAAAGGGAGAAACAAAGCCATCATTATTCATAGGTGATGTAATTGCATATATAGGAAATACAAAAGAATCTACAATGCTGGGCATGGTGGTTCACGCCTGTAATCCCAGCACTTCAGGAGGCCGAGACAGGAGACCAGCCTGGCCAACATGGTGAAACACCATATCTACTAAAAATAGAAAGATTAGCTTAGCCAGTGTGGTGGCGTGTGCCTACACATACCACATGTATGTATGTATTTGTATATAGTCCCAGCTACTTGGGAGGCTGAGGCAGGAGAATCCCTTGAACCCGGAATGCCGAGGTTGCAGTGAGTCGAGATCACGCCACTGCACTCCAGCCTGGACAACAGAGCGAGGCTCCATCTCAAAAAAGAAAGAAAATGAAAAAAGAAAAAAAAAATTATGTAAATAAACTCACCAAATCAATTAAAAGAGTTACCAAGATTGTGGATACAAAAATCAAAGGTATTTTGATATATGGTAATAAACAAAAAATGAAATTTTGAGAAAGATGTTACTTACAATAGTATAAAAACTAGCAATTAGGCCAGGTGCAGTGGCTCATGCCTGTAATCCCAGCACCGTGGGAGGCCGAGGTGAGCAGATCACCTGAGATATGGGGTTCAAGAGCAGCCTGGCAAACATGGCGAAACTCCGTCGCTACTAAAAATACAAAAATTAGCCAGGCATTGTGGCACACAGTTGTAATCCCAGCTACTCAGGAGGCTGAGGCAGGGGAATCGCTTGAATTCAGGAGGCAGAGGTTGCAGTGAGCCAAGATCATGCCATTGCACTCCAGCCTGGATGACAGAGTGAGACTCAGTCTCAAAAAACAAAAACAAAAACAAAAAACAAACAAAAAAAAACACCCAACAGTTACCTTCTAGATCTAACTGCTAATGAAATATGGATGAGGCCAGGCACAGTGGCTCACTCCTGTAATCCCAGCACTTTGGGAGGCTGAGGCGGTGGATCACCTGAGGTCAGGAGTTCGAGACCAGCCGGACCAACATGGTGAAACCCCATTTCTACTAAAAATACAAACATTTAGCCGGGCATGGTGGCACAAGCCTGTAATCCCAGCTACTCTGGAGGCTAAGGCAGGAGAATCACTTAAACCTGGGAGGCGCAGGTTGCAGTGAGCCAAGATCGGGCGATTGCACTCCAGACTGGGCAACAAGAGCAAAACTCCCTCTCAAAAAAACAAAACAACAACAACAACAAAAAGAAATATGGATGAAAGCAGAACATGCTAAACGACACTTCTAGAATGCACTCTACAAACTCTCTTTGGGAAACTCTACAGGAAAAATAACCTGTTTCTTCAATGAGTAAATTGAAGTAAATTGAGTAAATTTTATTCAAGGAATAAAAAAGTTATGAAAGAGGAAGTTATGAGTTAAAAGAGATTTAACAGACATATTGGTCAGTCACAATGTATGAACCTTATTTGAATCCTGATCCAAACAGACTGATCCAAACATACAAAAAAAGTATGACACTTACAAGACAAGCGGAAATTTTAATACTGAATAGGTGTTTGATATTAGGGAATTATTACTTTTTTCTTTCATTTTTTGAGACAAGATCTCCCTCTATCACCCAGGCTGGAGTGCGTGAACACAGCTCACTGAAACCTCGACTTCCCAGCCTCAAGCAATCTTCTCATGTTAGCCGTTCCAATAGCGGGACCAGAAGCATACATCACCATGGCTGGCTAATTTTTGGATTTTTTTGTAGAGACGGGGTCTCTCCACCTTGCCCAGGCTGATCTCAAACTCCTGGGGTCCAGCAATCCTCCCACCTCCCAAAGTGCTGGAATTACAGCTGTGAGCCACTGTGCCCAGCTAATATAAGAAAATTATTATTTGTTTATACATTTATTTTTATTTATTTTTATTTTTTGAGATTGAGTCTCGCTCTGTTGCCCAGGCTGGAGTGCAGTGACACCATCTCAGCTCACTGCAACCTCTGCCTTCCAGGTTCAAGTGATTCTCCTGCCTCAGCCTCCTGAGTAGCTGGGATTACAGGCATGCGCCACCATGCCCGGCTAATTTTGTATTTTTAGTAGAGATGGGGTTTCACCATGTTGGCCAGGCTGGTCTCGCACTCCTGACCTCAGGTGACCCACCCGCCTTGGCCTCCCAAAGTGCTTGGATTACAGGTGTGAGCCACCGCTCCCAGTCATTGATTATTTTTTTAAGACAAGGTTTCACTTTGTCACCCAGGCTGGAGCGCAGTGACATGATCTCGGCTCACAGAAGCCTCAACCTCCTAGACTCAAGTGATTCTCCCACCTCAGCCCCCCAAATAGCTGGGACAACAGGTGCATATTACCACACCCAGCTAATTTATTTTGTATTTTTTGAAGAGACAGGGTTTTGTCACGTGGCCCAGGCTTGAACTCCTGGGCTCAAGTGATCCACCCACCTCAGCCTCCCAAAATGCTGGTATTACAAGCATGAGCCAACACTCCTGGCCCAGTCTCCTTTGGTACTGGTTTAAAATTTTCATAATAAAAAGTTTTGGCCAGGCGCGGTGGCTCACGCCTGTCATCCCAGTACTTTGGGAGGCCGAGGTGAGCAGATCACCTGAGGTCAGGAGTTTGAGAGCAGCCTGGACAACATGGTGAAACCCTATCTCTACTAAAAATACAAAAACTAGCCAGACACGGTGGTGGGCACCTGTAATCCCAGCTACTCAGGAGGCTGAGGCAGGAGAATCGCTTGAACCCAGGAGGTGGAGGGTGCAGTGAGCCGAGATCGCACCACTGCACTCCAGCCTGGGTGACAGAGCGAGACTCCATCTCAAAATAAATAAATAAATAAATAGTTTTAAAATAGATCAATTACCTATGAATAAATTAACAAAAGATATACAAAACCTCTGCAGAGAAAATGCTAATGAATGAAGCTGGGAAGTATTAGAGGAGATGTAAATAAGTGGATTGGGAGACTCAATATTGTTAACATATCAACTCTCTCCCATGTTTTTTTTTTTTAATACAGACAGTGTCTTGTTATGTTGCCCAGGCTGGAGTGCAGTGGCAAGATCATAGCTCACTGTAACCTCGAACTCCTGAGCTTAAGTGATTCTCTTGCGTAACTAAGACTACAAGCTACAAGTGCACACCACCACGCCTGGCTAATTTTTAAAAAGTTTTTATAGAGATGAAGACTCACAACTCTCTATAAAAACTTTTATAGAGAGTTTTTTTTTTTTAATTTTTTTTTGAGACGGAGTCTCTCTCTGTCACCAGGCTGGAGTGCAATGGCGTGATCTTGGCTCACTGCAACCTCTGCCTCCTGGGTTCAAGCGATTCTCCTGCCTCAGCCTCCCGAGTAGCTAGGACTACAGGCACGTGCCACCATGCCCAGCTAATTTTTGTATTTTTAGTAGAAATGGGGTCTTACCATGTTGGCCAGGATGGTCTCGATCTCTTGACCTCGTAATCCACTCACCTTGGCCTTCCAAAGTGCTGGGATTACAGGCGTGAGCCACCACGCCTGGCTAGAGTTTTTACACAGTGTTGTCCAAGATGGTCTTGAACCCCTCACCTAAAGCAACTCTCCTTCCTCAGCCTTCTGAAGTGCTGGAATTACAGGCATAAGTCATCATTCCTGGCCCCAAATTTATCTATAGATTCAACATTATCTCAATCAAAATTCCAAAAAGTATTTTGTGGAATCTGAAAAGCTGATTTCAAAATTTATATGAGAATGTAAAGGGTCAAGACTCTCTCAGACACCCTTGGAGAAAAACGAAGTGGTAGAACTTGCCCTAAAAGATATTGAGACTAATTATAAAGCTACATTATGTACAACAACATGGTACAAAGATAGACAAAGATTTTAATGGGACAGAATAAAGAGTTCAGGGATAGCTACACAATACGGTTGGCCCTCTGTATCTGAGGGTTTCACATCTGAGAATTCAACCAATCGTGAATTGAAACCCACAGATATGGAGGGCCAACTGTATTATATCATTTTATGTAAGGGATTTGAGCATCTGTGGACTTCGGTGTCTGCAGGGTACCCTGGAGCCAATCCTGAGGGTCAACTGTACATGACTGTAAAGAAAGGTGGCACGTACCGTTGATAAAATTTGATAAGGATGGCACTTTGCCTCTGTGACCTTCCTCCCCCAAACCAATAACTCTGATCTAATCATAAGAAACATAATAAAGAAATCTCAAGTAAAGGACATTCTACAAAATACCTAACTAGTACTCCTCAAAACTGTTAAAACCAAAAAACTGTCACAGTCAAGAGTAGCTTAAGGAGACATGACAACTAAATGCAATATGGTATCCTAAATGGGATCTTGGAACAGTAAAAGGACATTAAGAAAAACTAAGGAAATCTGGATAAAGTATATAATTTTTTTTTTTAATGGAGTCTCGCTGTGTCTCCTAGACTGGAGTGCAGTGGCATGATCTTGGCTCACTGCAACTCCACCCACCAAGTTCAAGTGATTCTCCTGTCTCGGCCTCCTGAGTAGCTGGGACTAAGTCACATGCCACCACGCCTGGCTAATTTTTGTATTTTTTTAGTAGAGACGGGGTTTTGCCATGTTGGCCAGGGTGGTTTCGAACTCTTGATTTCAGGTGATCTGCCCACCTCGGCCTCCCAAAGTGCTGGGATTACAGGCAAGACCCACTGTGCCCAGCAGATATAGCCCTTAGCTAACAATAATATATCAATATTGGTTTATTAATTATTAAATGTATTGTATTAATGTGAGATATTAATAATAGGAAAATGGGGGTGCTGCAGTGGCACGTGTCTGTAGTCCCAGTTACTTGATAAGGTGAGGTGGGAGGATCATTGAGCTCAGTTCAAGACCAGCATGGGCAACATAGTGAAACTCTGCCCCACTACCTCCCCCAGAAAAAACCCCAGGGGAATGGGTATGGGGTTATACGGGAACTCTCTGTACTATCTTCACAATTTTTCTGTAAATACAAAACTATGCTAAAACAAAAAGTTTATTTTTAAATAAACTACACTGAGATATCATTTCTTACTTTTTGAGATATCATTTTCTCACTGGCAAGAATTTCAATTGGCAAAAAGTTTAACAAGTCAGTGAGGTTGAGAGTGAAACAGGTACTCTGATACATTGCTGTGGAAAAGCAAATTGGAATGATGCCTATGGAGATCTGGGAAATGCCTAGCAATATTACATAACGATTTACTCTTTGACCAGCTGTAAAAATAGACTTTAAAAAGGAATGGGTGTTTTCTCTATATAGAGGTATGGAGTGAGATCGAAAATATCTTGTTAAATTAAAAGAAAAAAAGTGTTATATCTGAGAGCAGGGCGTCTATAAAATTAAAAAATAAACCAAATTAATAAAATTAAAAAGAAAAACATATGTCCTGGCCATGATGGCTCATGCCTATAATCCCAGCACTTTAGGAGGCCAAAGTGGGAGGACTGCTTTAGGCCAGGAGTTTGAGACCAGCCTGGGCAACATAGCAAGACCCTGTGTCTACTTTAAAAAAAAAAAAAAAAAAAGTGTACCTTTTATTTAAAAAGGGGGTAGCATACAAATATATTTTGTATGTATATAAATTACTATATTATCTAATATTTATGTTCAATCTACCTTTTTCAAAGTAATACCAGTATTATTACCAATAATACACTTATAAAAAACAGCTTATAATTTTTTTGCAGTTTTTTGTCCTTAAGATAAAAGGACAGTCAAAATACCAAGTTTTAAACCCACTTGAAAACATGTCCACTGATTACAGTGTCGTGCACCTGTAATCTCAGCTACTTGGGAGGTGGGAGACTGAGACGGGAGGATCACTTGAACCCAGGAGTTCAGCTCCAAGAAGAACAACCCTAACTCCTGGGCTCAATGATCCTCCTGCCTCAGCCTCCCGAAGGCTGAGGAAACTAGGACTATAAGCACATGCCACTGCACCCCCATTTCCCTATTATTAACATCCCATATTCATAAAATACATTGGTACAATAAACCAATATTGATACATTATTGTTAACTAAAGTCTATACTTTATCCAGATTTCCTTAGTTTTTACCTGACTTCTTTATCTTAAAAATATATATTAAATATAAGTATTTATATGAATATATTTACATAAGTATTTACATGTAATATATTATGTATAATTTATATGTAATATGTCATATAATATAAAACATTGTATATAATTTATATTATATACTATATACACATTTATATGCCATCCCCTTTTTAAAATAAAAGGGACACCTTTTTCTTTGTTTTTGAGACAGGGTCTCACTCTGTTACCCAGGCTAGAGTGCAGTGGCACCATCTTGGCTCACTGCAGCCTCAACCTCCAGGGCTCAAGTGATCCCCTGACATCAGCCTCTTGAATAGTTGGGACTACAGGCTTGCACCACCACACCTGGCTAATTTTTGTATTTTTAGTAGAGACAGGCTTTCACCATGTTGCCCACGCTGGTCTCGAACTCCTGAGCTCAAATGATCCACCCACTTCAGCCTCCCAAAGTACTGGATTATAGGTTTGAGCCATTACATGAATGAGAGAGAGAGAGAGAGAATATATTTACTTACACTTTTAAAACACGGAAGGCCAGGCACGGTGGCTCACGCCTGTAATCCCAGTACTTTGGGAGGCCAAGGTGGGTGGACCACCTGAGGTTGGGAGTTCAAGAGCAGCCTGGCCAGCGTGGTGAAACCTCATCTCTACTAAAAACACAAAAATTAGCCAGGCGTGGTGGCACACACCTGTAATCCCATCTACTCCTGGAGGCTGAGGCAGGAGAATCACTTGAACCTGGGAGGCGAAGGCTGCAGTGAGCCAAGATTGCCCCACTGCGCTCCAGCCTGGGCAACAGAGCGAGACTCTGTCTCAAAAATAAATAAATAAATAAAATAAAAAATAAAACATGGAAGGGTAAACTAAAAACAATTAAAAAGGTTTCTAATCAGGGAAGGAGAGAAGAGTGTGGAGAGGACATGAACAGAAGATGTTTCTCTAACTGTACCTTTTTCCATAGCTTTGACTTTGGAACCACGTATATGCTTTATAAATTTATGAAACGAATTAAATCAAAATTTAAAAACCAGTATCTAAAAACAGATAACATAATGAAACAAGTTAATTTACCTATGTTGAGTTAAACTGTCCAGAGACTTTTTTTTTGGCAGGCGGGGTATAGAGGACTTCTTGCTATGTTACCCAGGATGGAGTGCAGTGGCATGATCATAGCTCACTACAGCCCTGAACCCCTGGGCTCAAGCAATCCTCCCGCCTCAACTTCCTGAGTAGCTGAGACTATAGGCATGGGCCACTGCGCCTGGCTGAACATTTTTTTGAGTGGGTTAAAAACCTCATATTTTGACTGTCCTTTTATCTTAAGAACAAAAAAACTGCAAGTAAATCATAAACTGTTCTTTAAATAAATTATATCCTTGGTAATAAAACTAGTATTATTTTGCAACAGGTAAATTTTTAAAATTTAAAATTTTTAATCAAAAATCAATAAAAACAAGGCCAGGCACAGTGGCTCATGCCTGTAATCTTTGGGAGATGGAGATGGGTGGATCACCTGAAGTTGGGAGTTCGAGATCAGCCTGGCCAATATGGTGAAACCCAGTCTCTACTAAAAATACAAAAAATTAGCTGGGCATGGTGGCACGCACCTGTAGTCCCAGCTACTCGAGATGCTGAAGTGGGAGAATCTTTTGAACCCAGGAGGTGGAGGTTGCAGTGAGCCAAGATTGCACCACTGCACTCCAGCCTGGGCGACACAGCGAGACTCTGTCTCAAAAAATAAACAAATAAAAATAAATAAAAACAAAAACATAATATTTTTAAAAATATAGCTTGTGAGACCAGGGAATTTCTAGTAGAATGTTTAGAGAAAGAAAAGATATAGCAGGTGTTATAAGTGTCTCCAATCTAGTACAAGTATTTTCACTGTTAAGTCCCTCTGTTCACATACACTCACACACATACACAGAAGCAGAGTTTTGTCTAATTATACATAATCTGGAATGATGGCAGATGCAGAACAGCCAAGGGTAACAGAAAGCAGAGGTGAAGCTAAGCATCCAGCACCAGCCTTCACTTTCTTTCATTTTAATGGAAGAATGAAAAGAACTCCCTAACCATGGCTAGATGCAGTGGCTCACGCCTGTAATCCCAGCACTTTGGGAGGCTGAGGCGGGTGGATCACGAGGTCAAGAGATGGAGACCATCCTGGCCAACATAATGAAACCCTGTCTCTACTAAAAATACAAAAATTAGCCTCGCGTGGTGGCATGCGCCTGTAGTCCCAGCTACTCATGAGGCTGAGGCAGGAGAATCGCTTGAGCCAGGAGGCAGAGGTTGCAGTGAGCCAAGTTCACACCACTGCACTCCAGCCTGGGCAACAAAGCAAGAATCCGTCTCAAAAAAAAAAAAAAAAAAGAACTGCCTAACCACATAGGCCACAGGGCCACCAAAGGACTCTTCTTCATCTCTAAGGTGATTTACCTTCCAGTGTTCCTCAGGACAGTATGGGGTCAGCAAGAGATGGTATGGGGTCCTGTTGCAATTTTTGTATCACTTACAGTGAGGGTTTCCTGGGGCAGCTATTCTAAAAATTGTTCAGTTTGCAGAACAACCTCTTTGCAGAAAGCTATAATTCATTTTGTAAAAACATGAATAATGATATATGTAAGTACCCTTCATAGACTATTTTTCTTACAGAAAATGATTCCTCTATGTATGCAATATATGAAGTTATGATGTGTGTCCACAAAAACACAAACCATCAAACTAAGCATGATTGACTATTTCTGGGCTTTTTTCAGCAATACTCATTTATAACTTGGTTCATTTGTTTTATGGTCTCCTTCAATTTCCCTGGAATCCAATAGTAGTAGGTGCCAAAAGTCCTATATAAATCTATGGGAGAAAATGAAAATAATCAGCTACTTTCTTTTTTTTTTTAGACTAAATCACAAGGAAAAAAGCTACTTCCCAGGAGTTTGAGACCAGCCTGGCCAACATGGTGAAACCCCGTCTCTACTAAAAATACAAAAAATTAGCCAGGCATGGTAGCGGGCACCTGTAGTCCCAGCTACTCGGGAGGATGGGGCAGGAGAATCGCTTTAACCCGGGAGGCAGAGGTTGCAGCAAGCTGAGATTGTGCCACTGCACTTCAGCCTGGGCAACAAGAGCAAAACTCTGTCTCAGGAAAAAAAAAAAAAGAAAGAAAGAAAAAAAAAAGTTACTTCCTTCTACCTTCAAAAATATCACCATTATAAAGTTTTAGCTGTAGACCAACTCAGTCTGTTTCTTGGAAGTTGAATTTTACCCAAGAGCACAGCCTGAAAACCCGTCCTGATCTGTGAGGCTGAGACACGCTGCATAGGAGCAGTGGAATGGGAAGATGAAGGAAAGAGAGAACCAGGGCTGAGAATGAGAGTCTAGACTCTAATGATAATATTAATATGTAATAACGTATAACTGGCATGAACAGAATTGGCCACAGAACTGCATGCACATTTTATCTTTCCAGAATTTTTCAAGTACTTTTGGTTAACACAGTGTACGGATGAGCAAATGGGTTTAGAAAGCATCATAACTAGCTCGAATTCACACAACTAGTAGAAGGAGCCTCAGGATTCAGAACCAGGGCAGTCTGACTCCAAGGCCAATACTGCTTTTCTTTACCGAAAAAAATAAAATAAAATTCAAATATGGATTGCTAGACATTTTAAAGCTGAGTATTTGATATTAATACTACAACTTTGCCCTTTTCAATTCTGTCTGTCACCAGACTCCCATCTTATAACCTATTTTGCCTGATGGCTCTTGAAATGACAACAGCATTGGTTGGCTGTTGATCTTTTACTGCCTGAACATATAACATTAACAACTCTTTTACTTCTTTAAGTTAACTTTAATATTTAAAATACCTTGGAAACCATTTCCTTCCTTTGCATGCTTGGGTACAAGGTAAAATGGCTTTAGTCGTAGTTGCTTCCTAACTTTTGCTGAAAGCCAGTTTTGAATGCGCAGGCCTTCTTGGGTGCTAGCAGGCCAGCTACTTTTTGATTCCAAAGCCAGGGTTATATCCACAGATATTTTTTCACTAATAAGAAGTGTTACAGCAGGGCTCCCTCCTCTTTTCCTCTTCATGATGACATCTGTATCTGGTTGAACATATAAAAGAAAAGAAAGTATTTATTAATCCAATTTTCTCTGGAAATACAGGGGAAATAATGTAACTATAATTGAAGATCTCTGGTGTGCTAAGTATGAAGTAAACATTAGTGGTAAAACAGAAACTGGCTCTAAAAGGCAAAGTATTTTACTAAACCAATATTGGCTGGGCATGATGGCTCATGCCTGTAATCGCAGCACTTTGGGAGGCCGAGACAGGTGGATCACTTGAGGTCAGGAGTTCGAGACCAGCCTGGCCAACATGGTGGAACCCCATCTCTACTAAAAATACAAAAATTAGCCGGGCATGGTGGCGAATGCCTGTAATCCCAGCTACTCGGGAGGCTGAGGCATGAGAATCACTTGAACCCAGGAGGCGGAGGTTGCAGTGAGCCGAGATCACATGACTGCACTCCAGCCTGGGCGACAGATTAAGACTCTGTCTCAAAAAAGAAAAAAAAACAAAAAACAAAAAACACAATAATTACTGATATCTCCCATTGGGAGGCATTGTCAAGATGGTGTGGGGCATATATGATGAAGGGGTCTCTGTAGACTTTGAGGTTTAAGAGTGCTGTGATTAAATTTTCTTCTTTTCTTTTCTTTTCTTTTTTCTTTTTCTTTTTCTTTTTTTTTTTTTTTGAGACAGAGTTTCACTCTTATTGTCTTGTTGCCCAGGCTGGAGTGCAGTGGCACGATCTCGGCTCACTGCAACTTCTGCCTCCCGGGTTCAATTGATCCTCCTGCCTCAGCTTCCTGAGTAGCTGGGATTACAGGCATGTGCCACTGTGCCTGGTTAAATTTTCATTACAAATTATAGATGGCAGAATGGAGGGAAGCCTAGAGGAGAGGCCAGATGGGCAAGAGGGAAGAGACAGGCAGCAAAAAGACCACAGCAACAGCCTGGCACAGAGGCTGGGTGCCACGGCAGCACAGAGGTAGTGAGCATCAAGACACGGGGAAGAAGTGAGAGCAACTAAAGAAGTCCAAATCAACATAAGTGGTCATGAGTTGAGGCTACGATGTGAGGAGGAAAGTAGGAGCCTTGGGATGCCATCCCAGGATCTTGGCCTTCCTAGGCCTAATGGCTGATGTTGGTTCCATTCCTCAAAATAGAATAAGCAGGAAGAAGAAAGATTGGGCCAAGCTGAACTTCATGAGATACAATGAGCTCTAGATACCTGTGGGACACTCAAGTGGAGATGGCTGCTGGGTGGGTGGCTATGGTCAGAAATTTAGATGGCTTTGGGAGTTGGGGGTTTATAAGCAGTAAAGACTACTACTGTCAGATAAGACTTCCACAGTGACGAAGTAGAGCACAAAGGAGAAAATGCTAGAAAAATCTGCAAACCTGGCCACCTGTTACCCAAACCTGGCCACCTCTCCTGTTACCACTGAGGAAGTAAGTGTCCATCTACCTTACTTTTTTTTGAGACAAAGTCTTGCTCTGTAGCCCAGGCTGGATGCAGTGCAGTGGTGTGATATCAGCTCACTGCAAACTCCACCTCCCAGCTTCAAGTGATTCTCCTGCCTCAACCTCCTGAGTCGCTGGGATTACAGGCATGCACCACCACACCTGGCTAATTTTTGTATTTTTAGTAGAGACAGGGTTTCACCATGTTGGCCAGGCTGGTCTTGAACTCTTGAGCTCAAATGATCTGCCTACCTTGGCCTCCCAAAGTGCTAGGGTTACAAGTGTGAGCCACTGTGCCTGGCCCTCCATCTACCTTTCAAAGGCCACCTCTGCCCATAGTCTCTGGATCCCTTCCTTCTCAACTTCTCAAGTACCATGCTCTTCAAGTATTTCCTCTCCTACATCAGCCATCTCTCCCTCCCTGCTAGATTATTCTGAAATTCATACAAAGGGTTATAGGGTATACCTCTCCTTTCACCCCACATCTTCCTCCTCTCCATACTCACCCATCTTTCTGCTTCCTTCCAGCCCAAACTTTTTTTTTTTTTTGAGACAGGGTCCCGTTCTGTCACCCAGGCTGGAGTGCAGTAGCGTGAACATGGCTCACTGCAGCCTCAACCTCCTAGGTTCAAGCAATCCTCTTGCCTCAGCATCGTATGTAGCTGGGACCACAGGCACATGCCACCACTCCTGGCTAATTAAAAAAATGTTTTTTTCTTTTTTCTTTCTTTTTTTTTTTTTTTTTTTCTGAGACAGTCTTGCTCTGTCGCTCAGGCTGGAGTGCAGTGGCGCAATCTCAGCTCACTGCAACCTCTGTCTCCCAGGCTCAAGCAATTCTTTTGCCTCAACTTCCTGAGTAGCTATGATTATAGGTGTCTGCCACCACGCCTGGCTAATTTTTGTATTTTTAGTACAGACGGGGTTTCATCATCTTGGCCAGGCTGGTCTTGAACTCCTGACCTTGTGATCCGCCCACCTTGGCCTCCCAAAGTGCTGGGATTACAGGCATGAGCCACCATACCTGGCCTAAAATTTTTTTTTGTAGAGATGGACTCTCACTTTGTTGCCCAGGCTGGTCTTGAACTCCTGGGCTCAAGCAATCCTTCTGCCTTGGCCTCCCAAAGTGCTGAGACACCACAGTTAGCCCAGACAGAACTTTCTAGAGTGGCCTACACATGTTATCTCCACTGCAACCCTGCCTTTTCACTCTGTGTCCATCACCCCACTGACATTTCTCTTGTCAACCCCACAAGACCAAAGAACAAATCCATTGGATTTCTGGATGTCAGTAGCATTCCAAACACTGACCGCTCCTTCTACAAAACACTCATAGTCTCCTTTTGTTCATTCTCTTCTTCCCAAACTCTTTTTTTTTTTTTTTTTTTTCTGAGACAGGGTCTCACTCTGTCGCCCAGGCTGGAGTTCAGTGGCGCGGTCTCAGCTCACTGCAACCTCCGCCTTCTGGGTTCAAGAAATTCTCTGCCTCAGCCTCCCAAGTAGCTGGGATTACAGGCACCCGCCACCACGCCCGGCTAGTTTTTTGTATTTTTAGTCAAGACGGGGTTTCACCATCTTGGCCAGGCTGGTCTTGAACTCCTGACCTCGTGATCCACCCGCCTCGGCCTCCCAAAGTGTTGGGATTACAGGCGTGAGCCACGGCGCCTGGCTCTTCCCAAACTCTAATGGAATTCTCTTCTTACCACTCTACTTAACATTGCAACTTCCCCCCCACCTCCATCTCCCACATTCCTGATCCCTCTCACTTTGCTATACTTCTTCACAACAGCACTTACTACTTTCCAGTATACAAGATAATCATTTTTTCCATTTGTTATTAATTGTACGTCTGTGCTTGCAAGATAAAGCTCTTAATCTAATAGCGTAATAACATACAACACAAATTGCAGTGAGTGCTCTGAAGGGAATAAACTGGGAAAAGTGATAGCAATTAGGGTGGAATGGGGTGGTGGAGCCAAGCCCTGAGGCAGAAAAAAAGAGCTTGGAAAGATCTAGGAACAAAAAGAGACTCTTTCGGAAAAGATGAAGTTATATGAAATGAAGCTGAAGAGGCAGCCAGGGACCAGATTCTGTACTGACTTGTAGACCCTGAAAAGGACTTTAGATTTCATTTTATTTTTGAGACGGAGTCTTGCTCTGTCGCCCAGGCTGGAGTGCAGTGGCACGATCTCGGCTCACTGCAACCTCCACCTCTCGGGTTCAAGCGATTCTCCTGCCTCAGCCTCCCGAGTAGCTGGGATTACAGGCATCCACCACCACGCCTGGCTAATTTTTGTATTTTTAGTATAGATGGGGTTTCACCATCTTAGCCAGGCTGGTCTTGAACTCCTGACCTCGTGATATACCTACCTCAGCTTCCCAAAGTGCTGGGATTACAGGTGTGAGCCACTGCGCCTGGCCAGATTTTAATTTAATTTAATTTAATTTTATTTTATTTTGAGATGGAGTTTCGCTCTTGTCACTCAGGCTGGAGTGCAATGCCCCGATCTCGGCTTACTGCAACCTCTGCCTCCCAGGTTGAAGCAATTCTCCTGCCTCAGCCTCCCAAGTAGCTGGGATTACAGACATGTGCCACCACACCCGGCTAATTTTTGTATTTTTAGTAGAGATGGGGTTTCTCCATGTTGGCCAGGCTGGTCTCAAACTCCTGAGCTCAGGTGATCCACGCACCTCAGCCTCCCAAAGTGCTGGGATTACAGGTGTGAGCCACTGCGCCTGGCACCAGATTTTATTATCTGATCATTGAGAAGCCAGGTTTTCATCAGAGAGTAATGACTGGCTTTGTATTTTAAAACATTTACTCTGGCTTCTAAGGACAGATATTATAAGAAGGCAAATAGGGAGATTAGAAAGGAAAATGATGTAATAGTTCAGGTAAAAGATGGTGGCAGCTTAGGTGGGGTGGGAGTAGGGTGCTGGGATTGAAGCAGCAGACAGGTCCAAGCTGTAGCAGCACTTGCATCTGGATTAAGCGTAGGGGGTAACAGAGAGGATTAAATTAAGATGGTTCCCAGGTTTCTGGATGGTGCGTCTGGGTGGATTGATTGTGCCATTTTCTGAGATGGGAAGGACTGAGGCAAAACATAGTTTGGTATATGAATTAAGTTATGTTTATTCGCTTTGGATATGTTTGGTTATAGATTCCTGTGGTACATCAACATCAAAGTGGATATGTTAAGGACGTAGCTGGATATAGGTTTGGAGTGCAAAGGATATATTTGGGCTGCAAGTAAACATTTGGGAGTCATCATCATATAGGTGGCATTGGGAATGGATGAAATACCTAGGCAGAGAGTGTAGATTCATTTATCCATCAATTTAATAAATATTCATTGATTATTTCATATAATTTAATCATTTAATTTAATCAATATTCATTGATTATCTAATGTGTAGGTGTTCTAGTTATTTAGGATTCATTAGAGAACAAATAGATAAAGACCTCTACCCTTCTGTACTTTATAATCTTGTAATCATATTATAAGTAATTGCCAATGTACACTCCTCTACTGATGTTTCTTGACCTCTCTACTGCACTTTTTCTTACTGCAGAGAGGTCAAGAAACATGAGAATGGGAGTGTACATTGGCAATTACTAGGTATAATTAAACCTTTAAGAATCAAAAGGCAAAAGTCTTACCTTTAATGTCGTTAATTTCTTCCTTAATGATTTTCCTAAACTTTGACAGCATCTTAGAAGCTGATAATATTTCACCTTCTAAAAACTGACTCAGAGGATTTTCTTTCGGATTTCTTTTAAATTTCACAAAGTAATATGCACGAGTGTTGGAATATTCTTCTAGTTGAATTCTGGGGACTTCCAGTTTAAACATGACATCAAATTCATTAGGTGCAGAAATCTAAGAAACAGTAAAAATAGTACTGAAATATTTGCTTATGAATATTTTCCAAGTGACTGGAACTTTTTAAAAAATTTCCACTTAAAACTTTACTTTAAAAAGCAAGATTCATAATGTCTATATATACCCTCTGGGAGTGGGACTAGTGGAGCTGGCAGGAGGTGGAAGAGTATTACCAGTTTCATTTTGTAGGTTCTACACTCAATTAATTTTTTTTACCATGACCTAGTATTATTTTTATAACTAAAAATGATTTTAGGCCAAGTGCAGTGGCTCACACCTATAATTAAATTTTGTGGGGCCAGGTGCAGTGGCTCATGCCTGTAATCCCAGCACTTTGGGAGGCCAAGGCGGGCGATTCACCTGAGGTCAGGTGTTCGAGACCAGCCTGGTCCAACATGGTGAAACCCCGTCTCTACTAAAAATACAAAAATTAGCCGGGCATAGTGGCATGCGCCTGTAATCCCAGCTACTCAGGAGGCTGAAGCAGGAGAATTGCTTGAACCTAGAAGGCAGATGTTGCAGTGAGCCAAAATAGTGTCACTGTACTCCAGCCTGGGCAACAGAGCAAGACTCCATCTCAAAAAAAAAAAAAAAAAAAATTTGTGTATGATATGTGGTAGGGAATCAAGGTTCATGTTTTTCCTACATAGATATCCAATTGACCCAGCATTATTTATTGAAAAAAAAAAATCGGGCCGGGCGCGGTGGCTCACGCCTGTAATCCCAGCACTTTGGGAGGCCGAGGCGGGTGGATCATGAGGTCAGGAGATCGAGACCATCCTGGCTAACAAGGTGAAACCCCGTCTCTACTAAAAATACAAAAAAAAATTAGCCGGGCGCGGTGGCGGGCGCCTGTAGTCCCAGCTACTCGGGAGGCTGAGGCAGGAGAATGGCGTGAACCCGGGAAGCGGAGCTTGCAGTGAGCCGAGATTGCGCCACTGCAGTCCGCAGTCCCGCCGGGGCGACAGAGCGAGACTCCGTCTCAAAAAAAAAAAAAAAAAAAAAAAAAAAAAAATCGTCCTTTCAGCCAGGCGCGGTGGCTCACGCTTGTAATCCCAGTACTTTGGGAGGACGAGGCAGGCGAATCACAAGGTCAAGAGATCAAGGCCATCCTGGCCAACATGGTGGAACTTCGTCTCTATTAAAAATATGAAAATTAGCTAGGTGTGGTGGCATGCACCTGTAGTTCCAGCTACTCAGGAGGCTGAGGCAGGAGACTTGCTTGAACCCGGGAGGCGGAGGTTGCAGTGAGCCGAGATGGTACCACTGCACTCCAGCCTGGGCGACAGTGCGAGACTCCGTCTCAAAAAATAAATGAATACATATTTTAATCAGTTTGTCAATTTAATTTAAAAAACTGATCATATTTCAACTGATTGCATTAAATCTAGAACAATTTGAGGAAAAATGAACACGATATAGTTGTCAATTACTTCCTCTTCAAATTTACCCAGTTATGTTTTTAAGTTTTGAATATCTTTAGTGATATTTATTCCTAAATATTTGATTTTTAAATTGTTTTTCAAGTTTTCAGTTTTTTGTTTTTTTTTGAGACAGAGTTTCACGCTTGTCACTGAGGCTGGAGTGCAATGGAGCAAGCTTGGCTCACTGCAACCTCAGCTTCCTGGGCTCAAGCAATTCTCCTGCCTCAGCCTCCCAAGTAGCTGGGAATACAGGCGCGCACCAACACGCCCAGCTAATTTTTGTAGTTTTAGTAGAGACAGGGTTTTGCCATGTTGACCAGGCTGGTCTCAAACTCCTGACCTCAAGTGATCTGCCTGCCTCTACTCCCAAAGTGCTGGGATTATAGGCGTGAGCCACCATGCCTGGCCAAAGTTTTCAATTTTTATTTTTTAGAGATGGGGTCTCTAGGCTGGAGTACAGTGGCTACTCACAGATAGATCATAGTGTACTGCAGCCTCAAACTCCTGACTTGATGTGATTCTCCCACCTCGGCCTCCCAAATAGCTGGGACTATCAGAATGCACCAATGGACCTAGGTTTGATATTTTTGATGATATTCTAAATGGTATTTTCATTTTGTTTTTAATCTTGTTAGTATATTGAAATATTTTTATTTTTGTTTATTGACTTTGCAACCAGCAATTTTGCTAATTTACTAATTATTTCCAACAGTTTATATGTGAAGCCAATCAAGTCATCTACACATAACGATTTCATCACTCTTTTTCCCATCTTATGCCTTTATTTTCCTTGTCTTGCTGCATCAGCTGTATGTATTCCTTTACGTTCTTTTTGTTGTTGTTCAACATTATTTATGTAATTCATTTTCACTGTTCATGTTGCTGTAGTTTGTTCCTTTTCTTTACCAGTTAATATACCATTACTTAAAACCACTGGCCGGGCACAGTGGCTCACGCCTGTAATCCCAGTACTTTGGGAGGCTGAGACGGGTGGATCACCTGAGGTCAGGAGTTTGAGACCAGCCTTACCAACATGGAGAAACCCCATCTCTACTAAAAACACAAAAAATTAGCCAGGCATGGTGGTGCATTCCTGTAATCCCAGCTACTCGGGAGGCTGAGGCAGGAGAATCGCTTGAACCTGGGAGGCAGAGGTTGCAGTGAGCTGAGGCCACCCACGCCATTGTACTCCAGCCCAGGCAACAAGAGTGAAACTCTGTCTCAAAACAAAACAAAACAAAAAACAAACAAACAAAAAAAACTACAATTAATTGATTTCTATGTAACCTTTTCACTGAGTCCAAACTATATAAATAGTAAAGTACATTAACACTTAGAATGAAAAGAACATATGGACTGACAATTCTACAGGGAATTTCTACAAGAAACTTCCCATGTATTTTCGAGATTTTTTTTTACCTAGAATTTGTAGTCCCAGGTAGCTGGGACTACCTGTGTGTGCCACCACATCCAGTTAATTTTTAACTTATTTTTGGTAGAGCTGGGGTCTCACTATGTTGTCCAGGCTGGACTCAAACTCCCGCCTCAGCCTCCCATGGTGCTAGGATCACAGGCATGAGTCCACTGTACCTGGCCCACATATATCTCATAATCAGTAATAGAAAAAGTTTTAGGCTGGGTGTAGTGGCTCACGCCTGTAATCCCAGCACTTTGAAAGGCTGATGCAGGTGGATCACTTGAGGTCAGGAGTTCGAGACCAGCCTGGCCAACATGCTGAAACCTTATCTCTACTAAAAATACAAAATTAGCCAGGTGAGGTGACGCCCGCCTGTAATCCCAGTTACTCTGGAGGCTGAGGCAGGAGACTCACTTGAACCCGGGAGGCGGAGGTTACAGTGAGCCAAGATCACATCACTGCACTCCACCCTGGGTGACAGAGCAAGACTCCATCCCCAAAAAAAAAGAAAAAAGAAAAAGAAAAAAAGAAAAAGTTTTAGATAAAACAAATTTCACTGGATTTCTTTTCATTGGCATAATTTTTAAAAACAAAGTGGTTCTGGGCTGGGCATGGTGGCTCCCACCTGTAATCCCAGCACTTTGGGAGGCCAAGGCGGGAAGATCATGAGGTCAGGAGATAGAGACCAGCCTGGCTAACACGGTGAAACCCCGTCTCTACTAAAAATACAAAAATTAGCTGGGCATGGTGGCGGGCGCCTGTAGTCCCAGCTACTTGGGAGGCTGAGGCAGGAGAATGGTGTGAACCCAGTAGGCAGGGCTTGCAGTGAGCCGAGATCGCGCCACTGCACTCCAGCCTGGGTGACAGAGTGAGACTCTGTCTCAAACACACACACACACACACACACACACACACACAAAGTGGTTCTGAATGGAGACTGTCTTCTGAATGTCTTGTTCTCTAATTCTAACTAGTAACTTTCTTTTTCCTTTGGACCCGCCATATACAGTAATTGAACTGAATTGATACTTACATAATAAGAATCATGCTCAATCAGAGACATATCTGATGCTGAAAAGTAAATTAGTTAATTAAAAAGAATCATGCTCAAGACACAGTCTGGGCTGGGTGCCGTGGCTCAAGCCTGTAATCCCAGCACTTAGGGAGGCCGAGGCAGGTGGATCATCTGAGGTCAGAGTTCGAGACCAGCCTGGCCAACATGGTGAAACCCCGTCTCTACTAAAAATACATAAATTAGCCGGGAGTGGGGGCAGGCACCTGTAATCCCTGCTATTTGGAAGGCTGAAGCAGGAGAATCGCTTGAACCTGGAAGCCGGAGGTTGCAGCGAAACCTAGATGGCACCACTGCACTACAGCCTGGGCAACAAGAGTGAAACTCCATCAAAAAAAGAAGAAAGAAGAAAGAAAAGAAAGAAAGAACAAAATAAAGAGAGAGAGAGAGAGAGGAAGAGAGGGAGGGAGGAAAAGAGAGAGACAGAGAGATAGAGAGAAGAGAAGAGAAGAGAAAAAAGAAGAGAAAAGAAGCCGGGTGTGGTGGCTCACGCCTGTAATCCCAGCACTTTGGGAGGCTGAGGCTGGCAGATCACCTGAGGTCGGGAGTTCTAGACCAGCCTGACCAACATGGAGAAAGCCCGTCTCTACTAAAAATACAAAATTAGCCAGGGTGGAGGCTCATGCTTGTAATCCCATCTACTCAGGAGGCTGAGACAGGAGAATCGCTTGAACCTGGGAGGTGGAGGTTGAGGTGAGCTGAGATCGCGCCATTGCACTCCAGCCTGGGTAACAAGAGCGAAACTCCGTCTCAAAAAAAAAAAAAAGAAAGAAAGAAAGAAAAAGAAAAAGAAACAAATCTCTTGCTGGGCAAGAAACACGCTCCAGTCAGGAACCTGCTTCTAAACTTTCAATTTACACAGGAATGATTAATGACTCAATCACCCACAAGCAAATGGAGCTGTGTAATACACACGTCGAAGCAATTATACGGAATGTGTATCTAGAAAGCGTTTTAGTATCTGTAGGAGATATTCTTATTTGTTTGTTTAACATTATACTGTAAGCTTCCCATGATTTCTGTGTAAGAAACTGGGGACAGACGGCCGGGCGCGGTAGCTCACGCCTGTAATCCCAGCACTTTGAGAGGCCGAGACGAGCGAATCAAGAGGTCAGGAGATCGAGACCATCCTGGCTAACACGGTGAAACACCGTCTCTACTAAAAATACAAAAAAAATTAGCCGGGCATGGTGGCGGGCGCCTGTAGTCCCAGCTACTCGGGAAGCTGAGGCAGGAGAATGGCGTGAACCCGGGAGGCGGAGCTTGCAGTGAGCCGAGATAGCGCCACTGCACTCCAGCCTGGGGGACGCAGCGAGACTCCGCCTCAAAAAAAAAAAAAAAGAAAAGAAAAGAAAAAAGAAAAAAAAGAAATTGGGGTCAGACGGGATAGCAGGAGAGGGGGCAGGGAGGAAGAGGGGGAGAGAAACTGAAGATCTTTTTTTCTATGGAGTAAGAGGTCTTCCTCATAGGAAAAAGTCTACGTGGAATTTTTAACAGACCACTTCAAATTATCCAAGTCAATATCTGACTCGGGACCTCAGGTCCACACCATCAAACACTGCCCTGTTACGGAAACTCGATACATGTCGGCTTGCATGAATGAACCCATACATTTGAATTCCCCCGGGAGCAGTGTCTTGAAATTAGCCAGCAATCAGTACCGGTTGGTTGTCTGATCGTTGGATGTGTAGATGAATAAACGAACGGTTTGTCGTTTTACTTAGACTAGGCTACCGAAAAACATGCAAAAGTCTAAGTTACTTCCGAAGGGAAGTGAGGGGCGCGACCCGGGGAAGGTAGGGACTGCGGATTGCGGAAGGCCGAGCAGCGGGGCTCGGCGGGAGGGCGCCAAGCAGCTCACCTTCACGTGCTCATAGTAGCTCCCGGTGTTCAGCAGCCCGACGCCTCTGAACGCGGAGTCGCACTTCAGTCTGAGCAGCAGGTGGTCCACAACCCCTTTCACCATCCCCGCCGCCGTGGAGATATCATCGCGGCTGAGCTTCAACTTCTCCAAAACCGCCCGGAGCTTCGAGGCCCCAGGCGCCGCATCCCTCCGTACGAGAATGGGGGCCGAGACCGGCAGGCCGGGGCTGGGCACGTCCCAGGGCCCGGGCGGAGGTCTTGGCTTCGTGGAGCAGCGCGCGCCCCTCTGGCGGCAAGAACCAGCCCTGGAAAGAGCCGGCTCCCGAGCCGCAGGAGGCTCCAGCCCCTCTGCCCCAGGGGCGCTGGTGGCGTCAGACGGCTGCGTGTCCTGGGCGCGCTGAGGGGCCTTTTTGGCGCGGGCCCCAGTTGCGCGGACGGGCGGCCTCTCCTGGGTGTCCGGGGCGCTCTTTTTCTGCCGGGATCCCGACTTCCTGGCGGGGCCGAACTTTCCCGCCTTAGGCAGGGCGGCCTCGGGGGCAGCCGGAGACTCGGTGGGATCCATCGGGGCGCCCCTGGCATTCCGTGCGGAAGCCTTGGGGGCAGTGGCTCCGGCCTCGGAAGCTCTCTGCATGGCCTTTCCGTGCCAAGGCTGCATGGCTGGCGCTTTCTGTTCCCCGAAAGAAGAATCCGTTTCAGGAAAAGGCCGCAAGAGGAAGAGCCAGCAGCAGCTGTTGGAAACCAAGCACTACTGGCGGGCACACAAGAGTCTGCGACCCGAAGGGGAACCCCAGGCTGGGAAGTCGCTGGGAGCCACGCCCATGCCGCGAAGAGGCTGGCCGCGGCCTTTCCTGAGGCTACAAAAGTCTCGAAGTTTCTAACTCTCCAGGCAATCCGTGCCCCTGTCTTAAGAAGATGAGGTAGGGCCGGGCGCGGTGGCTCACGCCTGTAACCTCAGCATCCGAGAGGCCGAGGCAGGCGGGTCGCTTGAGCTCAGGAGTTTGAGACCAGCCTGGGCAACCCAGCAAGACCTGGTCTTTCTTATAATTAAATATATGTGTGTGTGTGTGTTGCCTGGGCACACTGACTCACGCCTGTAATCCCAGCAATCTGGGAGACCGAGGTGGGCGGATCACCTGAGGTCAGGAGTTCAAGACCAGCCTGGCCAACAAGGCGAAAGAAACCCCGTCTCTACTAAAAAATACAAATATTAGCTAGGCGTGGTGGCGGGCACCTGTAATCCCAGCTACTCGGGAGGCTGAGGCTGGAGAATCACTTGAACCCGGGAGGCGGAGGTTGCAGTGAGCTGAGACGTGCCACTTCACTCCAGCCTGGGCGACAGAGCGAGACTCTGTCTCAAAAAAGAAAAAGAGGCCAGGCGTGGTGGCTCACGCCTGTAATCTCAGCAGTTTGGGAGGCCGAGGCGGGCGGATCACGAGGCCAAGACATCGAGACCTTCCTGGCCAACATGGTGAAACCCCGTCTCTACTAAAAATACAAAAAATTAGCCGGGCTTGGTGGCGCCTGTAGTCCCATCTACTCGGGAGGCCGAGACAGAGAACTGCTTGAACCCGGGAGGCAGAGGTTGCAGTGAGCCGAGATCGCGCCACTGCACTCCAGCCTGGGCAACAGAAAAAGAGTCCATCACAAAACAAAACAAAACAAAACAAAAACATTGACAGAGAAACTTTTCTCTTTCAAGTGAAAGTTTTTTTAAATTTAATTTTGGTTTGAGTTAGGGGGGCGCAATCTCGGCTCACTGCAACCTCAGCCACCAGGGCTCAAGCGATCCTCCCACCTCAGCATCCTGAGTAGCTGTTACTACAGGTGCGGACACCATGCCCAGCTTTTTCTTTTCTTTTTAATTTTTTTGTATACATGGGGAGGTCTCACTATGTTGCCCAGGCTGGTCTCGAACTCCTAGACTCAAGCGATTCTCCCTCCTCAACCTCCCAAAGTGTTGGGATTGTAGGCATGAGCCACTGTGCCCTGCCACAGAAACTTTTTCTTTTCTTTTTTTTCTTTTTCTTTTCTTTCTTTCTTTCTTTTTTTTTTTTTTTTTTTTTGAGACAGAATTTCGCTCTTGTCACCCAGGCCGAAGTGCAATGGTGCGATCTTGGCTCACTGCAACCTCTGCCTCCTGGGTTCAAGCAATTCTCCTACCTCAGCCTCCCGGGTAGCTGGGATTACAGACGCCCGCCACCACGCCCGGCTAATTTTTCGTATTTTTAGTAGAGACGGGGTTTCGCTATGTTGGCCAGGCTGCTCTCAAACTGCTGACCTCAAGTGATCCACCCGCCTCGGCCTCCCAAAGTGCTGCGATTACAGGCGTGAGCCACGGCGCCTGGCCAGAAACTTTTCCCTTTTTTTTTTTTTTTTTCCTGAGATGGAGTCTCATTCTGTCCCCTAGGCTGGAGTGCAGTGGCACGATCTCGGCTCACTGTAACCTCTGCCTCCCGGATTCAAGCGATTCTCCTGCCTCAGCCTCCGAAGTAGCTGGGACTACAGGTGTGCGCCGCCATGCCCGGCTAATTTTTGTATTTTTAGTAGAAAGGAGTTTCACCATATTGGCCAGGCTGGTCTGGGACTCCTTATCTCGTGATCCACCTGCCTCGGCCTCCCAAACTGTTGGGATTACGGGCATGAGCCTCAGCGCCCGGCCAACTTTTTCAATGTAAATTTAAATAGGGTTTTTTAAAAATCAATAAGAAATAAAATAATAATTTTTAAAAAGAAAAAAATTAATAACAAATGAAAAATACTTTGAAAAAAGAAAAAAATAAGAAAGAGAAAATATTCAACTTTTACAAGATGGAATGAAACAAAGATTGACTGCAATTGGAGTAAATACTTCTATTTGACATTTTTTAAAAAGCACAGAAAATCTTTAAAATGTTGTGTAAAGTTTCTGCCTGGTGCGGTGACTCACGCCTATAATCCCGGCACTTTGGAAGGCGAAGGTGGGTGGATCACTTGAGGTCAGGAGTTCAAGACCAGCCTGTCCAGCATGGTGAAAACCCATCTCTACTAAAAATACAAAAATTAGCCAGGTGTGGTGGGCCATGCTTGTAAACCCAGCTACTGGGGAGGCTGAGACGGGAGAATTGCTTGAATCGGGAAAGCGGAGGTGGTAATGAGCTGAGATCAGACCACTGCACTCCATCCTGGGCGACAGGGCAAATGACTCTGTCTCAGGGGGAAAAAAAGTTGTGTAAAGTTCTCTCTTTTTATTTTATTTTATTTTATTCATTTTTGAGACGGAGTTTTGCTCTTGTTGCCCAGGCTGGAGTGCAATGGTACAATCTCAGCTCACCACACCCTCCGCCTCCCGGGTTCAAGAGATTCTCGTGACTCAGCCTCTTGCGCAGCTGGGACTACAGGCGTGCCCCACCATGCCCAGCTAATTTTTGTATGGTTTTGTAGAAATGTGGTTTCACCATGTTGCCCAGGCTGGTCCCCAACAAGCTATCTGCCCGCCTCAGCCTCCCAAAGTGCTGTTACTGGCATGAGCCACTGCACCGGACCTGGCATTTACATTTTAAATCATTCATACTGCTTCAGCTGTTGTGATTCTAGAGTATCTCAATACAGGCTTTCAAATATCTTTTTTTTTTTTTCGAGATGGAGTTTCACTTTTGTTGTCCAGGCTGGAGTGCAATGGTGCTATCTCGGCTCTCTGTAACCTCCGCCTCCTGGGTTCAAGCGATTCTCCTGCCTCAACCTCCTGAGTAGCTGGGATTATAGGCGCCTGCCACCACACCCAGCTAATTTTTTTACCTTTTTAGTAGAGACGGGGTTTCACCATGTTGACCAGGCTGGTCTCGAACTCCTGACCTCAGGTGATCTGCCCCCTTTGGCCTCCCAAAGTGTTGGGATTACAGGCGTGAGCCACCTTGCCTGGCCTTCAAGTATCTATTTCTAAAGCCCCTGATAGAAATGCATATTAGAGGTCAGGCGCAGTGGCTCATGCCTATAATCCCAGCACTTCAGGAGCCCTAGATCTTCTGAGATCAGGAGTTCAAGACCAGCCTGGCCTACATGATGAAACTTTGTCTCTACTAAAAATACAAAAAATTAGCCGGGTGTGATGGCACATGTCTGTGATCCCAGTTACTCGGGAGGCTGAGGCAGGAGAATAGCTTGAACCCAGGAGGCAGAGGTTGCAGTGAGTGAGATCCTGCCACTGCACTCCAGCCTGGGCAACAGAATGAGACTCTGTCTAAAAAAAAAAAATAATAATAATAAAAGAAATGCATATTAGACAAGAACCTCTTGGGTTTAGAAAGCCTTGACTACTTTTTTTTTCTTTGTACTATTTGAACCATTTTTGGGGGGTGTATAATTCAATGATATTAAGTATGTTCACATTCCTATGCAACCATCACTATCATCTGTCTTCAAAACTCTTCATCTTGCAAAACTGAAACTCTGTACCCATAAACAATAACTCATCTTTCTCTCCTCTCTCTAGCCCCTGGCAACCACCATTATACTTTCTGACTGTGATTTTGACTGCTCTAAGTACTTTATGTCAGTGAAATGATGCAACGTTTGTCTTTTTGTTACTGGCTTATCACTCTTAGCCAATGTTCATCTATGTTGCAAGAATTTCCTTCCGTTTTAGGGCTGAATAATATTGCTTTGTATGTATATATCACATTTTGTTTATCCATTCACCTGTCAAAGGACAAAAATGCCTTACTTTTTAAAAAGATTTCCCTGAAACAAGTATTTTTATATATCCTTCTGTTAAGTTCAAAGAGATTTTTACCACCCTGGAGCAATGAGCCGTAGTTTGAATTAGGATGCCAGAAAGGTGTATTTTTCTCTTGTGAAATATATAAGGAGGAGAAATAGAAGGAGGACCATTGCATAGTCAGACTTGTTCCCAAGCCAGCCAATTTCAGGGAAGAGTAAAATGGAAGTTGAAATGTGGAAATCCATTTCCTTGAAACTGCAAGAGCTGTCCAGGTGTGGTGGCTCATGCCTGTAATCCCAGCAGTTTGGCAGATCCACACAGGCAGATCACCTGAGGTCAGGAGTTCAAGACCAGCCTGGCCAACATGGTGAAACCCCATCTCTACTAAAAGCACAAAAATTAGCCAGGTGTGGTGGTGCATGCCTGTAATCCCAGCTACTTGGGAGGCTGAGGCAGGAGAATCGCTTGAACCCAGGAGGCAGAGGTGGCAGTGATCTGAGATCATGCCAATGCACTCCAGCCTAGACGACAGAGTGAGACTCTGTCGCCAAAAAAAAAAAAAAAAGAAAAAAGAAAAAAAAAAGAAACTACAAGTGCATCTGGATAGTCTTCCAGGATGTTCAGGGGTAACTACCACATTCTGAGGGCCTCTGCTCTATGGTTCTGTTTGTTTTCTCCAAGGACTTCAGCTGCTTGTCATGAAATCCTGTAAATGACTCTACAGTTAGTTTAGTGCTCTCTTCCGGGCTGGGTGCAGTGGCTCACTCCTGTAATCCCAGCACTTTGGGAGGCTGAGGCGGGCAGATCTCAAGGTCAGGAGTTCGAGACCAGCCTGGGCGAGATGGTGAAACCTGTCTCTACTAAAAATACAAAAATTAGATGGGCGTGGTGGTGGGCCCCTGTAATCCCAGCTACTCCGGAGGCTGAGGCAGGAGGATTGATTGAACCTGGGAGGTGGAGGTTGCAGTGAGCCAAGATGGCGCCATTGCACTCCAGCCTGGGCAACAGAGCAAGACTCCATCTCAAAAAAAAAATACATAAAAATAAATGCTCTCAGCCGGGCGCGGTGGCTCACGCCTGTAATCCCAGCACTTTGGGAGGCTAAGGTGGGTGGATCACCTGAGGTCGGGAGTTTGAGACCAGCCTGACCAATATGGTCTCTACTAAAAATACAAAAATTAGCCTTGCGTGGTGGCCGGCACCCATAGTCCCAGCTACATGGGAGGCTGAGGCAGGAGAATTGCTTGAACCTGGGAGGCGGAGGTTGCAGTGAGCCGAGATCACGCCACTGCACTCCAGACTGGGAGACAGAGCGAGACTCCGTCTCAAAAAAAAAAAAATAATAAAATAAAATAAATGCTCTCTTCCATCAGTTTCTAAAGTCCCCTTAAGTCACTGGTGGTTTCTTTAACCAGAAGCTGCAAGCAACAATCCACTGGGCCAGATCAAATATCTCTACTATTGGCCTACCAAAGGAGGAGAACTCATTCTTTATTCAACCTTTCTGCAGCAATCAGTGTCCAAATCACAGAGAAAATGACTGTTTAGTTGAGTCTTGATGTGGAACTTGGATTTTATCTAGTAGGAAACCCCAGGAAATTTATTTGTGGGTATATATTTTATCTAGTTGACTTTACCACTTCTTTTTTTTTTTTTTTTCTGAGACAGCATCTCACTCTGCCACCCAAGCTGGAGTGCAGCAGTGCAATGTCAGCTCATTGCAGCAATTCGTACCTCAGCCTCCCAAGTAGCTGGGATTACAGGCACACGCCACCACCCTGGCTAATTTTTGTATTTTTAGTAGAGATGAGGTTTCACCATGCTGTCCAGGCTGGTCTTGAACTCCTGGCTTCAAGTGATATGCCCACACTGGCTTCCCAAAATGCTGGGATTACATCTTACTCTGTATGCCTCATGTTTATCTCTAGTCAGCCTTGGGTATGAGAACATCTGGTAGAGCCTACCTCAGTCATAAGCCCAGAAAGTGATCTCCCTGTGACTTTGGAGCCTTGACCTATCTATAACCTGTCCACAGCCTTCTAGACAGAGAAACTAAAATTCCCACCTTGCCTGCATACAGCTGCCTGGGCCAGAGAATCATACCCCAGAAGCTGATCCTTTTGCAAGCCCCTCTGTGAAGCCCACCTGTGGCCCAGGAGGTCTACACAGAGCTGCTTCTTCCTCTGTAAACCCCCCACTTTGCACTGCACATGCTTTCTAAAGGCTTTCTGTACTTGAGATATGAACGCCTTCCCACTTTAATTTTTGGATACTTTCCCTCATCCCTAAGGTATCATCTAGAGTTTCCTTATGTCTTATTGTTATTTTTTTTGGATAGAAAAGTGTTCATGATTATTAAGTAAAGAATAGATTACAAAACAATGCACACACTATGATCTAATTTTTATTAAAAAATATTTAACCGAAGTTGCAGAAAGCGAAAAAAAAAATTTAAAGAAAAAAATATCAAAAATAGGCTGGGAGCAGGGCTCACACCTGTAATCCCAGCACTTTGGGAGGCTTTAGGCCAGGAGTTCAAGACCAACCTGGGCAACATAGTGAGACACTCCCTCCCTCAACCCCATGTCTACAAACAAACAAACAAAAAACAACAACAAAGAAACCAAATTAGCCAGGCCTAGTGTCCACCCACATCTGTGGTCCCAGCTATTTGGGAGATGGAGGTGGGAGGATCACTTGAGCCCAGGAGGCGGAGGTTGCAGTGAGCCATGATAGCGCCACTGCACTCCAGCCTGGGCAACAGAAGGAGATCCTATTAAAAAAAAATAAAGAAAAGAAATAATGTTTACTGTTTTTTGTTTTAAGGGTTTTTGTTTTGTTTTTTTGAGACAGGGTCTCAGTCACCCAGGCTTGAGTGCAATGGCACCATCTGGGCTCACTGCAACCTGTGCCTCCTGGGTTCAAGCAATTCTCCTGCCTCAGCCTCCTGAGTAGCTGGGACTGCAGGCACGCAGCACCATGCCAGGTTAATTTTTCTATTTTTAGTAGAGATAGAGTTTCGCCATATTGGCCAGGCTGGTCTCAAACTCCTGGTGGACTCAAGTGATCCGCCACCTTGGCCTCCCAAAGTGTTGGGATTACAGGTGTGAGCCACCACTCCCGGCCTATGTATTTAATACTTTTTATAATTAGAACAATAAAACTGCCACACTGTAGGGAGACCCCTGAAACTATTGCTACGGAATAAAAGATGAAATGCTCCTGATTATTGTAAATACAAAGTTGCATGCAGGATTGTGTAAAGAGAATGCCAGGTTGGACTGCCAGAATGAGCCAACAGCGGGTGATGTGCTTCCCCCTGCAGAGAGCCTATGAACGGACGTGCATCACCAAGATTCCTATCCCAGAAAAGCAGATGTTCATAGCTCTGGGAATGGAATGCAACCCTTGTGGAAAGCCTCTAAACGGACGCATGAGGGGCGCCTGTCCCTGTGGGTAAGATAGGGCTATAAATGCCCTCATCTTGCCACGGCTCTTCTAGGCCTTTTTAGGGTTAAGGCATACTCCCTTCTGAGAATTTCTGGTCTAACTGATTGTCTAGCTTCACATCCTGTTTCTATGGATTGTTTGTAACCAGCTTTTGCTGCAACTGTTACTGCTGATTAATATCTTGCTAATCATAGGTTATGGAAAGACTGTTTCTGTTTTAAGGCTCTGTTAGAAATTACTGATGCACACAATATATTGTAAATTCTTATCTCTGTATACTGTACTTCTGCATACAGATGTTATGTTAAAGAATTACTTCATCCCCATGTGACCATCTCACCTCATAATCAAATGACCCTAAATCCCTCACTAACCTACCCCTGCCCTCACTAAACTTAATAATAAATGCTGGTATATCCAGTGTATTAGCAGCATTGCAGGACCAGAAGGCAGTGACCCCCCTGGACCCAGCTTTCAATATCTTCTGTGTGTCTATTATTTCTCGACCTGCCAATCCGCCTGGGAACAAAGAAAGAGCCCCATTGCATTGTGGGCTGCTGGCCAGATCCTGCAATACCACACTTGTTTTATTCTCCAGTCAAACGTTGCCTTTCTGAGAAAGGCTGTGAATTGAGAAAGGCTGTGAATTCCAAAAGGCTGGACATTTAACCTCCAACCAACCGATTCTTCTAATTAACCAATTAGCCATCATGAATCTCTCTCTCTCTTTTTTTTTTTTTTGAGACAGAGTCTCACTCTTGTCGCCAGGCTGGAGTGCAGTGGCACGATCTCGGCTCACTGCAACCTCTGCCTACGGGTTCAAGCAATTCTCCTGCCTCAGCCGCCCAAGTAGCTGGGACTACAGGTGCATGCCACCACACCTGGCTAATTTTTTTTTTTGTATTTTAGTACAGACGGGGTTTCACCATGTTGCCCAGATTGGTCTCGAACTCCTGAGCTCAGGCAATCTGCCCCCTTCGGCCTTCCAAAGTGCTAGGATTACAGGCGTGATCCACCATGCCCAGGCACCATCATGAATCTTTCAGTCCACAAATATATTTGAACTCCTTTCGAATCTATTCTTTTTCTTTTCTTTTTCTTTTTTTTTTTTTGAGACGGAGTCTTGCTCTGTCGCCCAGGCTGGAGTGCAGTGGCACAATCTTGGTTCACTGCAACCTCGGCCTCCCAGGTTCAAGCGATTCTCCTGCCTCAGTCTCCTGAGTAGCTGGGATTACAGGTGCATGCCACCACTCCCGGCTAATTTTTTTTTTTTTTTTTTTTTTTTTTTTTTTTAGTAGCGATGGGGTTTCACCATGTTGACCAGGATGGTCTCCATCTCCTGACCTTGTGATCCACCTGCTTCGGCCTCCCAGAGTGCTGGGAATACAGGCGTGAGCCACCGCGCCCGGCCCGAATCTATTCTTATTTTCAGCCCTTAGTTTTTATAGACAAACAGAAGGTGACGGTGTATCAGATTGTCAGATCACAAAGATCTGATAAGGCAAAGTGATCAAATTCATTGATCGTAGGTGGCCACCTGGCGATAAGGACTGCAGGGCCTAAGAAAGTACAAAAGATGACCTTTAGTAGGAGCTCCCAACCCAGAACCACAGGAAATCAAAAAAAGCCCGCACGGGCGGATCACGAGGTCAGGAAATCGAGAACATCCTGGCTAATACGGTGAAACCCAGTCTCTACTAAAAATACAAAAAATTAGCCGGGCGTAGTGGCGGGCGCCTGTAGCCCCAGCTACTCGGAGGCTAAGGCAGGAGAATGGCGCGAACCCGGGAGGGGGAGCTTGCAGTGAGCCGAAATCGCGCCACTGCATTCCAGCCTGGGCAACAGAGCGAGACTCTGTCTCAAAATAAATAAATAAATAAATAAATAAATAAATAAATAAATAAATAAATAAATAAATAAATAAAAATAAAAAATAATAATAATAAAAAAAGCCCGCACGAACTAGGAAAGAAAATACACAACCGGCCCTCCGTGCGATCACCCATCTCCCTCACCAGGAAAGTAGCTCCAAACCGCCAATCAGCGGCGACGCTGGACGTAGACGTCCTACCCCGTGATATTAAAGCAAGATGGCCGCGCCCTGCAGATTGTCTCTTGTTGCGTAAGTTTTTTTGACCGTCACTCGTGTCAGCTTCAAAGTCAGATAGATTTTTCTCCCAGCATGTTCTACTTCCGAGGCTGTGGCCGTTGGGTCGCGGTTTCCTTCACCAAGCAGCAATTTCCGTTGGCACGGTTGAGCAGTGACAGCGCGGCGCCCCGGACTCCGCACTTCGACGTGATAGTCATTGGTGGAGGACATGCCGGGACTGAGGCAGCCACCGCCGCCGCTCGGTGCGGCTCTCGGACTCTGCTCCTCACTCACCGCGTGGACACGATCGGTGAGGAGCGCGGGTGCTGTGGAACTTGGCGTAGGACGCAGGCTGCTTCCTTCCCGCCTCCCCCGGTCTGAAGCGGGGGACCTCTTCCTTTCCTCAAAGCTAGTGAGAATCCTACCTTCTGTGGTTTTAGCCTCGATCAGTGTCTCGCAAGGATCAGGCGGGCCAGGCCAGAACTCTATATTAGTCTATTCTGCGAACCATAGATTATGCTGCTGCTGACAGTCGTCCGTTGTAGGAGGTTGGGGTTCGGGGTCAGTGCCTTGGGAAAGGGAGCTACCAACTACTCGCTGGTAGCTTCTTAGTTCATTGCTGCGTTTACCTTCTACTATGTTACTCCAGATAAAGGGTGAATTAACATTATTAACAATGGTTTATGGCCAGGTGCAGTGGCTCACTTCTTTAATCCCAGCACTTTGGGATGCCAAGGCAGGTGGATCACCTGAGGTCAGGAGTTTGAGACCAGCTTGGCCAACACGGCGAAACCCCGTCTCTACTAAAAATACAAAAATTAGCCGGGCATGGTGGCGGGCGCCTATAATCCCAGCTACTCGGGAGTCTGAGGCAGGAGAATCGCTTGAACCCGGGGGCAGAGGTTGCAGTGAGCCGAGATTGCGCCACTTCACTCCAGCCTGGGCAAAAGAGCAAAACTCCGTCTCAAAATAATGATAATATTAATAAAATAAAAAAATCCTTTATTAAACGGTTCTTGTGTTTTTATTTAAAAACATTTTTTTAGAGACAGGGTCTCGCCATGTTGCCCAGGCTGGAGTGCAGTGACTACTCATAGGCACGATCGTTGCACATTACAGGCTCCGCTTTCTGGACTCAAGAACTTTTCCTGCCTCTGCCTAACCAGTAGCTGGGATTGCAGGTGCTCAGTACTCTGCCCAGCCTGATCTTTGTGTTTCTGTCAAGATTTTGTGATGCCTTTTGGAAGAACCATGCTACCTTTTTTTTTTTTTTTTCTTTTGAGACAGAGTCTTGCACTGTCACACAGGCTCAAGTGCAGTGGCGCCATCTCGGCTCACTGCAAGCTCCGCCTTCCGGGTTAATGCCATTCTCCTGCCTCAGCCTCCCGAGTAGCTGGGATTACAGGCACCCACCACCACGCCCGGCTAATTTTTTTTTTCTTTGTATTTTTAGTAGAGTCGGGGTTTCACCATGTTAGCCAGGATGGTCTCGATCTCCTGACCTTGTGATCCGCCCGCCTCGGCCTCCCAAAATGCTGGGATTACAGGCATGAGCCACCGTGCCCAGCGCCATGCTACCTTTTGCATCCTATATTCCTTCTGGGTTGTCGTCCCTGGATTTTGTGTTTAGTACTGGACAGTACTTTTTTTGCTCTAATGGGTAATGGTTGGATGGCCGTTCTGTAGCATCATGATAGATACTAGCTAAAACATCAACTTGTAAATTATGTATACTTTTGTCTTTCCTCCTTCCTTTTGCTTAGGAGCGAGCAGTAATTAGAATATTTACTTGTTTTGTAAAAGTTGTGAATAAATCACTTATTTATTCCTGAAATTCTTCTTTAAAATAACCATTCAGCTCATAACTGTGAAGAAATATATACTATTAACTGCGGTTTTGTGGGTGGGGGAGAGGAGGCTATATGATTTCCTAAAAGATTATACTTTTCTCATCATACATTCAGGTGGGTTTTTTCTTTTCTTTTCTTTCATTTTTGAGACAGAGTTTTGCTGTTGTTGACCAGGCTAGAATGCAGTGGCGCGATCTTGGCTCACTGCAACCTCCACCTCCCGGGTTCAAGCGATTTCCTGCCTCAGCCTCCCAAGTGGCTGGGATTAGAGGAGTCTGCCACCACGCCCAGCTAATTTTTTGTATTTTTAGTAGAGATGGGGTTTCATCATGTTGGCCAGGCTGGTCTCCAACTCCTGACTTCAGGTGATCCACCCGTGTCAGCCTCCCAAAGTGCTGGGATTACAGGTGTGAGCCACCACACCTGGCCTGTTGTTTATATTTTTAAAAAATAAAGACCTAGTGCTTGCTTTGGCAACAACATAAACTAAAGTTGGAATGATATAGGGATTAGCATAGCCCCTGCACAAGGATGATGCACAAATTTGTGAAGTGTTCCATATTTTTAAAAAATAATAATAAAATAAAGACCTAGGCCAGGGGTGATTACTCACGCTTGTAATCCCAGCATTTGGGGAGCCCAGGAGTCTTCTATTTCAAAGGAAGAAGGAGGAAAATAATCTACCACAGCTGTCATTCCTGTTTTTACAGTAGAGAGACTAAGGTATGTTAGGTAACTTGCCATGATCACAGAGCTCATAAGTGGTAGGTCTAGAAATTGAGCCAGATATCTCTTTCACACACACTCCTCATAATGACACTTCATGCTCATAATCACAGTGCTATCCAGTCTCCCTGTGGAGACCATTAAAACTTGTGGAGGTCTTGTCTGGGCATGGTGGCTCATGCCTGTAATCCCAGCAGTTTGGGAGGCAAAGGCGGGCAAATCACCTGATGTCGGAAGTTCGAGACCAGCCTGACCAACATGGAGGAACCCTGTCTCTATTAAAAATAGAAAATTAAACACCCAAGAATGATCAATAAATACTAAAAAAAAAAAAAAAAAGAAAGAAAATTAGCCAGGCGTGGTGGCGTATGCCTGTAATCCCAGCTACTTGGGAGGCTGAGGCAGGAGAATCACTTGAACTCGGGAGGTGGAGGTTGCAGTGAGCTGAGATCGTGCCATTGCACTCCAGCCTGGGCAACAAGAGCGAAACTCTGTCTCAAAAAAAAAAAAAAAAAAAAAAAAAACTTTTGGAGGTCTTGATTCTTGATGTGGTGGCAGTGGATATGTGGATATTGACATAACTTGCCCATCCCTCCACCTCCCACAAAAACTTTTGAGGTAACCACATGGGTTTAGACCTCCAGGTAAGACTGGGTAAATGTAAGGGAAAGGTATAAAATATGGTCTTCACTCACAAGAAATTTGTAATTTAATTATATTTAATTCTGCAAAGTAAGTGCAAAAAGGAGATATCAGATGGCATTTATGGAAGACATAATTGGTTGTAACTGAACCAGTGCCAAGGGGCTTCTTTGTTTTTTCTTTTTTCTTTTCTTTTTTTTTTTGAGATGGAGTCACTGTTGTCACCCAGGGTGGAGTGCGATGGTGCCATCTCGGCTCACTGCAACCTCAGCCTCCCAGGGTCAAGCGATTCTTTTGCCTCAGCCTCCCAAGTAGCTGGGATTACAGGTGCAAACTGCCATGCCTGGCTATTTTTTTGTATTTTAGTAGAGACGGGGTTTCACCGTGTCGCCCAGGGTGGTCTCAAACTTCTGAGCTCCAGCAATCCACCCTCTTTGGCCTCCCAAAGTGCTAGGATTACAGGCGTGAGCCACCACACCCGGCCCTGTTTTTTATTTATTTATTTATTTTTGTCCTTATTTATGTTGAAGGACTAGGGACTTCTTACAAGTGTGCTTGATTTGGTAGATTCCTCTGGTGCTGTATCAAAAAAGAACAAATTTAAAAACCAAGTATACTTGGTTTAGAAAGGTTTCATGGGGTAAGGATTACATGTTTGAAAGGAAAAGGCAACCTAGTGAAACAGTAAAAATATGCATCAAGGAAGAGATTCAAAAGAAAGTTCAGGCCGGGCGCGGTGGCTCACGGCTGTAATCCCAGCACTCTGGGAGGCCGAGGTGGGCAGATCACCTGAGGTCAGGAGTTTGAGACCAGCCTGGTCGACATGGTGAAACCCGTCTACCAAAAATACAAAAATTAGCCAGGCGTGGTGCCGGACACCTGTAATCCCGGCTACTCGGGATGCTGAGGCAGGAGAATCGCTTGAACCCAGGAGGCAGAGGTTGCAGTGAGCCGAGATTGTACCACTGCACTCCAGCCTGGGTGACAGAGTGAGACTCCATCTTAAAAAAAACAAAAGGAAGTTCAGGAAGTGGTTTGTCATCCAGGTTGCCCTGGACACTTTTGCATCCCATTGGGTCTTTGGGATTTTCTTTGTAGTATATCTTTCACGTTTTCTATTTTTTATCATATGAGATGATTATAGTCACCTGTATAAATGTTTCCTTATTAAGTAGTCACTATGTGCAAGGTGCTCATATATTTATTTTGTTTATGTCTATTATCTTTAGGTCAGATGTCATGTAATCCTTCCTTTGGTGGCATCGGAAAGGGACATTTAATGAGGGAAGTAGATGCCTTGGATGGCCTGTGTTCTCGCATCTGTGACCAGTCTGGTGTACATTATAAAGTATTAAACCGGCGTAAGGGACCAGCTGTGTGGGGTCTGAGAGCTCAGATTGATAGGAAACTCTATAAACAGAACATGCAGGTAAGAATAGGGCATGAGCACAGGAAAGATTATAGTGATTGTTTAATTACCATGTTTCAACTGGCATTTTCTTTTGACAGAAAGAAATCTTGAATACACCACTGCTTACTGTTCAGGAGGGAGCTGTAGAAGATCTTATTCTTACAGAACCAGAGCCTGAACACACTGGGAAATGCCGTGTCAGTGGGGTTGTTTTGGGTACGTATTGGTTATAGATGGTGTATGATAACAGCATATCAAATTCCATGTGAGAAATTTATTTTAGAGCAAAGTGTGGAGATATGTTGCTTATTCAAGGAACTTGTTGCATTTTCTCTACCTGGATGAGGAAAACTATATAAATAAATATGTTTCTCTTTTCATCTTGGCATTTATGATGCTCAGTCAAATTCTAGGCTCATCAGTACCATGTTCCATCTTAGTGTAGAACTTTGTAATCTGCATATTTATGTCTCCCTCTCTCCCCATCTTTCTATTGTAATTTCTGTTTTTTCTGGTTCTGACTTTAATTTTTTAAAAAATTCATATTTTAACAGCTTATATATATTTTTATGTAAAAGAGTTATGTATGTTTTTTATCAAAATAACTCATGCATATAATTTTTTCTTAAAATATTAAAAGGGTCTGGGCATGGTGGCTCATGCCCGTAATCCTAGCACTTTGGGAGGCCGAGGTAGGTGGATTGCTTGAGCCCCAGAGTTTGAGACCAGCCTCGGCAAGATGGCAAAACCTCATGTCTACAAAAAAATACAAAAATTAGCCGGTGTGGTAGCAGGTGCCTGTAGTTTCAGCTACTCAATAAGCTGAAGTGGGAGGATTGCTTGAGCCCAGGAGGTTGAGACTTCAGTGAGCTGTGATTATGCCACTGCACTCCAGCCTGGGCAACAGAGTGAGACCCTGTGTCAAAAAAAAATAAAAAATAAGTTTGGGTGTAGTGGCTCACACCTGTAATCCCAACACTTTGGGAGGCCAAGGCAGGCAGATCACCTGAGGTTGGGAGTTCAAGACCAGCCTGAACAACATGGAGAAACACATCTCTACTAAAAATACAAAATTAGCCAGGTGTGGTGGCGCATGCTTGAAATCCCAGCTACTCAGGAGGCTGAGGCCAGAGAATCACTTGAACCCAGGAGGCGGAGGTTGTGGTGAGCCGAGATCACACCATTGCTCTCCAGCCTGGGCAACAAGAGCGAAACTCTGTCTCAAAATAAATAAATAAATAAATAAATAAATATAAAAGAAATTTAGAAATTTATGTGGGAAAACAACCATCTCCTTCCCTGGAGACAGACACTTCAGCTTTTTTAGTTGTCACTTATTGTATATACTTCCATATTTCTGAATAGCAGGCTTATCTTTTTACTTCCTAATTTACAGTTCTAGACATTATCTATTAACTTTTTTTGTTTGTTTGTTTTTGTTTTTGTTTTTGAGACGGAGTCTCACTCTGTGCCAGGCTGGAATGCAGTGGTGCGATATCGGCTCACCACAACCTGAGCCTCCCGGGTTCAAGCGATTCTCCTGCCTCAGCCTCCTGAGTAGCTGGGACTACAGGCACGTACCACCATGCCCAGCTAATTTTTGTATTTTTAGTAGAGATGGGGTTTCACCACGTTGGCCAGGATGGTCTTGTTCTCCTGACCTTGTGATCCACCCGCCTCGCCCTCCCAGAGTGCTGGGATTACAGCTGTGAGCCACCGCACCCAGCCATCTATTAACATTTTTTGAGACAGAGTCTGGCTCTGTTGCCTAGGCTGGAGTGCAGTGGTACCATCTTGGCTCACTGCAACGTTCCCCTCCCAGGTTCAAGCAATTCTCCTGCCTCAGCCTCCCAAGTAGCTGGGGTTACAGGCGACTGCCACCATGCCCGGCTAATTTTTTGTATTTTTAGTAGAGACAGGGTTTCACCATGTTGGTCAGGCTGGTCTTGAACTCCTGACCTCAAGCGATCCGCCCACCTCAGCGTCTGAAAATGCTGGGATTACAGGCATGAGCACTGTGCCCAGCCTATTAACTTATTATTATGGTAATTCTCTTTAATGTCCAATTTTCCTTCCCTCTCTCCTTCTGATATAATTATACCGTAATTTTTGGTTGATAGTATTTACATTATTGACTAAGTATTGTTTACTGCATGGAAGTGTATTATGTTTGTCCCTTTCTTATGCTTGGTTTTGCCTTGAGTTAATAATTGCTTTATTTTATTTATTTATTTTGAGACAGAGTCTCACTCTGTCACCCAGGCTAGAGTGCAGTGGTACGATCTTGGCTCACTGCAACCTCCATCTCCCAGGTTCAAGCAATTCTCCTGCCTCAGCCTCACGAGTAGCTGGGATTACAGACAGCAGCAACCACGCCCAGCTAATTTTTGTGTTTTTAGTGGAGACAGGGTTTTACCATGTTGGCCAGGCTGGTCTTGAACTCCTGACCTCAAGTGATCCGCCTACCTCCACCTCCCAAAGTGCTGGTATTATAGGGGTGAGCCACCACACCTGGCCTTCTCCAGATTTTTTAGTTCTGTTTATGTGTTTGGGCTGCTCTCTTTCATGTACACAACTTCCTTTAAGTATCTAGCGAACTTTGGTTTTCTGTTGACTTCTTTGCGTTTTTGGTTTTGGAGACAGGGTCTTACTCTGTCACCCAGGATGGAGTGCAGTGGCACTATAATCGCTCACTGTAGCCTCCACCTCCCAGAGGTGATCCTTCCACCTCAACCTCCCAAGTAGCTGGGACTATAGGTGTACACTACCACACCCAGCTTATTTTCAATTTTTTTGGAGACGTGGGATCTCCCTATGTTGCTTCCCTGTGTTGCCTAGACTGGTCTTGAACTCCTAGGCTCAAGTGATCCTCCCACCTCAACCACCCAAAGTGTTGGGATTACAGGCATGAGCTGCCATGCCCAGCCTGTTACATTTTTAAATGAGGCACTAGGTCGGGCATGGTGGCTCACGCCTGTAATCCCAGCACTTTGGGAGGCTGAGGCGGGCGGATCACTGAGGTCAGGAGTTTGAGACTAGCCTGGCCAACATGGTGAACCTGTCTCTACTAAAAATAAAAAAATTAGCTGGGCGTGGTGGCATGCACCTGTAATCCCAGCTACTCAGGAGGCTGAGGCAAGAGAATCGCTTGAACCCAGGAGGCGGAGGTTGCAGTGAGCCGAGATCGTGCCACTGCACTCCAGCCTGGGCGACAAGAGTGAGACTCCATCTCTAAATAAATAAATAAGGCGCTAAAACACTTAACTGGAAGATTTGTGTGTACACAGTTAATTTTATTGCCTGGCTGATTCTGGTGGTGATTAAGACTTGAACTGCTGGACACGGTGGCTCACGCCTGTAATCCCAGCACTTTAGGAGGCCGAGGTGGGTGGATCACCTGAGGTTGGGAGTTGAAGACCAGCCTGACCAACATGGAGAAACCCCGTCTCTACTAAAAATACAAAATTACCCAGGTGTGGTGGCACATGCCTGTAATCCTAGCCACTCGGGAGGCTGAGGCAGGAGAACCACTTGAACCCTGGAGGTGCGGGTTGTGGTAAGCCGTGATAGTGCCACTGCACTCCAGCCTGGTAACGAGCAAAACTCCGTCTCAAAAAAAAAGAAAAGATTTGAACCAGCCTTTTGGTTTGGTGAATTCTCAAATATCAATGTCTGTTAGTTCTCAGAAGAATCAGTTTTCCACCTAAGAGAGTAATATGGCTACCCACTAGCGTTCTGGGAACAAAATGGTAAGAGAGGCTGTGCCAGGGAGTGTCATCTTTTATTTTATTTTATTTATTTATTTATTTTTATTTTTTCTTTTTATTTATTTTTGAGACAGAGTCTCACTGTGTAGCCCAGGCTGGAGTGCAATGGCGTGATCTCGGCTTACTGCAACCTCTGCCCCCCAGGTTCAAGCGATTCTCCTGCCTCAGCCTCTCGAGTAGCTGGGACTACAGGCACGTGCCACCATGCCCGGCTACTTTTTTGTATTTTTAGTAGAGATGGGGTTTCACTGTGTTAGCCAGGATGTTCTCGATCTCCTGACCTTGTGGTCCGCCCACCTCGGCCTCCCAAAGTGCTGGGATTACAGGCATGAGCCACCGCGCGTGGCCCAGGAGTGTCATCTTTTAAAATACATATCTTAATTCCCATTTTCATTTTTATTATAGATTTATTAATTTTCTTGATTGGGAAATACATACTTAGGGCCAACAACTTAAAGGCTACAAAAAGCATATAGAGTGAAAAGATAGTCTGTCTTAGCTGGGCATTATGGGCATTATGTGATTATGGCTCACACCTATAATCCCAGCACTTTGGAAGGCCGAGGCAGGTGGATCACCTGAGGTCGGGAGTTTGAGACCAGTCTGGCCAACATGGCGAAACTCGTCTCTACTAAAAATACAAAAATTAGCCAGGCATGATGGCTCACGCCTGTAGTCCCAGCTACTCAGGAGGCTAAGGCAGGAGAATCACTTGAACCTGGGAGATGGAGGTTGCAGTGAGCTGAGATCTTGCTACTGCACTCCAGCCTGGGTGAGAGAGCAAGAGTCTGTCTCAATAGAAAAAAAAAAGATAGTCTGTCTCCTTCACTTTGTCCCCTCAACCAGCCAGTTTTCTTTCTCAGGAGCATTTGCTTTGTTAATCTGTTGTGTGGTCTTTCTACCTAGGCATATGTACATGTCTTCATGCATATGTATATGTATTTTTTGTTGTTTTCACAAAATCGTAGCATATTATACACACTGTTCCTCTGTACCTTTTTTTAAAAAAAAAACTTAATCTGTGTTTGCTTTGCTTTTGGAGGCCATGCTTTTTTTTTTTAAGTTTGTGGGTTTGTTCCGATGGTTACCTTAAAAGCTATGATTTTATATATAATATAATATGCTCACTGACTTCCCTCAAGTAACAATTACTAAATTAGTTTTACTTTCATTTCCTTTTCTCCCCCGACTTTCTTTATTTTCCAGATTTAATGGTTATATTGTTTTTATTAGTATTTATGTTTATACCCTTAAATTGTTTATTTTTTTATTTTTGAGACAAGTTCTCTCCCTCTTTCTTAGGCTGGAGTGCAGTGGCATGATCACAGCTCGCTGTAGCCTCGACCACCTGGACCCAAGTGATCTTCCTGCCTCAGCCTCCTGTGTAGCTGGGACCACAGGCATGTGTCACCACCCCTGGCTAATTTATTATTTTTTTTTGTAGAGATGGGGGTCTCACTATGTTGCCAGGACTGGTCTTGAACCCCAGGGCTCCAGTGATCTTCCTGCCCCAGTCTCTCAAAGTGTTCATATTATAGTCATGAGCCACTGAGCCTGGCCGATTTAATTTAATATCTTTAAATGCTATTTTGTGATCCTGTCCATATTTTATAGGCCCAACAATAACAATTTTTTTGTGGTAAAATATACAAACCATAAAATGTACCATTTTAACCATTTTTAAGTGTACAATTCAGTGCTATTAAGTACATTGACAGTGTTGTGCACCCATCACCACCAACGGTCTCTTGAACTTTTTCATCATCCCAAATTAAAATTCTGTACCCATTAAACAAAAAGTCCCCATTACCTGAAGAATAAACCTCCATTTTACTGTAAGGTAGAGCTATCTGAGGACAAAACCTTAATGTGTAAATTTCAGCTGTTTCTTTCATTTTCTGTTCCAAGTTTCATTTCTACATTCCTCCTCAGTTCTTATTCTCAGTTCTCTAATTTCTGAGCCTTTGCAGGGCAAATTAGTTCATTCTCATTGATATATCTTCTCTTCAGATATTAATACTTAAGTTATAGCTATCTCCCCTCTGCTAGATGAGTTACCATTCTTCCAAACACTTTCTATCTTTCAAAAATACATTGAAATTTCTCATCTTCTGACTGGTTCTTTTTCATTACTTGTCCTTTTGGTTTTATACCTTTTTTATTCCCCTATTTAATTTTCTTTGAGTTTTAGAAGGGAGAAGAAATGAGAGGTTGTATGCCATATTTATCCTGAAGTCTAAAATTAATTAATTTTTTAAATTAATTGAGACTAACTTTTTAGTGCTGATATGATTTTAGGTACATGTGAATTGGTGATAACACATTGTATTCTCTCTCCTAGATTGCTTAGATTGAGATTGATAACATATTAGCCTTCTTACTCATTTAAAATTCTTTGTCTGGGGTAGGGGAAATGGGAAGATACTGCTCAAAGGTTATACATTTTCAGCTGTAAGTTGAATAAGTTCTAGCAATCTAGTGAGCAGTATGGTAACTGCAGTTAATAATAATGTATGATATACTTGAAATTTGCTAAGGGAGTAGATCATAAGTGTTCTCACCACACAAAACGTGTAACTATGTGAGGTGATGGTTATATTAATTAGCTTGATTATGGGTATCATCACAGAAGGTATACTTGTATCAAAACACCATGTTGCATACTCTAAATATATACAGTTTTTTATATGTCTGTTATATGTCGATAAGTCTTGAAAAAACAAAAATATTAAAAAAGATTCTCAAGTTTTTAAAGACTGATAGTTTTTCTGTAGTTGTAATGTAAAATAGTCACATTCCATTTTGATCCATGGTAACAATTTAAAAAATGACTTTAGGCCGGGCGCGGTGGCTCACGCCTGTAAGTAATCCCAGCGCTTTGGGAGGCAGAGGTGGGTGGATCACCTGAGGTCGGGAATTCGAGACCAGCCTGACCAACATGGAGAAACCCCATCTCTACTAAAAATATAAAACTAGCTGAGCGTGGTGGCGCATGCCTGTAATCTCAGCTACTCGGGAGGCTGAGGCAGGAGAATTGCTTGAACCCGGGAGGCGGAGGTTGCAGTGAGCGGACATTGCACCACTGCCCTCCAGCCTGGCGATAGAGTGAGACTTCATCTCAGATAGATAGATAGATAGATAGATACATAGATACATAAATACATAGATACATAGATAATGACTTTATTCTTTTTTCTTGTTATTTAGTGGATGGAAGCACAGTATATGCAGAGAGTGTGATTCTGACTACTGGGACATTTCTGAGAGGCATGATTGTAATTGGATTGGAGACGCATCCAGCAGGACGTTTAGGGGATCAGCCTTCTATAGGATTGGCTCAGACACTGGAGAAGTTAGGGTTTGTGGTGGGAAGGTTGAAGACTGGGACTCCACCCCGAATTGCCAAAGAGTCCATTAATTTCAGTATTCTAAACAAGCATATACCGGACAATCCATCCATACCATTCAGCTTTACCAATGAGACAGTATGGATTAAGGTAAGATACTTTACGAAAACCTGGCTTACAGCTGGTATTGGCTATTCACAGCAGGAAGTACTGTAACTTTTTTTTTTTTTTTTTGGCAGCAGTTCACTTTATAGCACTATTGCTTATAGTGCAAAGAAATGATTTTTTTTTTTTTTTTTTGAGATAAGGTCTCACCTTGTCACCCAGGCTGGAGTGCAGTGGTACAATTATGGGTCACTACAGCCTTGACCTCCTGGGCTCAAGTGATCCTCCCACCTCAACCCCCTTGAGTAGCTGAGACCATAGGCATGAGCCATTGTGCCTGGCTTTTTAAAATTTTTTTGAGAAATGGGGTTTCACTATGTTGCCCAGGCTGGTCTCGAACTCCTGGGCTCAAAGGATCCACCCCCCTTGGCCTCCCAAAGTGCTGGGATTGCAGGTGTAAACCACCGAACCCAGCCAAAGAAGTTATCCTTTTTTTTTTTTGTGGTGGAGACTTGCTCTGTCACCCAGACTGGAGAGCAGTGGCACGATCTCAGCTCACTGCAACGTCTGCCTCCTGGGTTCAAGCAGTTCTTCTGCCTCAGCCTCCCGAGTATACAGGCACGCGCCACCACACCCGGCTAATTTTTATATTTTTAATAGAGACAGTGTTTCACCATATTGGCCAGGCTGGTCTCGAACTCCTGACCTCGTGATCCACCCATTTCAGCCTCTCAAAGTGCTGGGATTATAGGCGTCAGCCACTGCACTCAGCCTAAAGAAGTAATCTCTAAAAGGGATTAGCTAACTTGGCTAATTGGGTATTTCCCCATAAATCGTAAATTTCTTTTTTTTGTTTTTTTGAGACAGTCTCAGTCTGTCGCCCTGCTGGAGCGCAATGGTGAAATCTTGGTGCACTGCAACTTCCGCATCCTGGGTTCAAGCGATTCTCCCACCTCAGCCTCCCTAGTAGCTGGGATTGCAAGCACCCGCCATCATGCCTGGCTAATTTTTATAGTTTTGTAGAGACGGGGTTTCACCATGTTGGCCAGGCTGGTTTTGAACTCCTGACCTTAGGTGATCCGCCTGCCTCAACCTCCCAAAGTGCTGGTGCTGGGATTACAGATGTGAGCCACTGCACCCGACTTTTTTTTTTTTCTTTTTTTGAGACGGAGTTTCGCCATTGTTGCCCAGGCTGGAGTGCAATGGCGCAATCTCGGCTTACTGCAACCTCCGCCTCCCAGGTTCAAGCAATTCTCCTGCCTCAGCCTCCTGAGTAGCTGGGATTACAGGCTCCTGCCGCCACACTGGCTAATTTTTGTATTTTTAATAGAGACGGTGTTTTGCCATGTTGGCCGGGCTGGTTTCAAACTCCTTACCTTAGGTAATCCACCCTCCTCAGCCTCCCAAAGTGCTAGCATTACAGGCGTGAGCCACCGTGCCTGGCAAATCTTAAATTTCATTACTTTTATAACCTTACATATTTTGTAAATTAAGCTTTTATTTTAAAAAATTTTTTCATTTATTATTATTTTTAATAGAGACAGGGTCTCGCCATATTGCCCAGGCTGGTCTCGTACTCCTGAGCTCAAGCCATCCGCCCACCTCAGCCTCTCAAAGTGCTGGGATTACAGGCATGAGCGACCGCACCTGGTCAAATAGGCGTTTTTTGTTTTGTTTTGTTTTGCTTTTTGAGATGGAGATTCAGTCTTGTTGCCCAACCTGTGGTGCAATGGCACGATCTCAGCTCACTGCAGCCTCCGCCCCCTGGGTTCAAGCAATTCTCCTGCCTCAGCCTCCCTAGTAGCTGGGATTACAGGTGCCCGCCGCCATGCCCAGCTAATTTGTTTTTGCATTTTTAGTAGAGACAGGGTTTCACCATGTTGATCAGGCTGGTCTTGAACTCTTTTTTTTTTTTTTTCTTTGAGATGGCATTTCACTCTTGTTGCCCAGGCTGGAACGCAACAGCACAATCTCGGCTCACTGCAACATCCACCTCACGGGTTCGAGCAATTCTCCCGCCTCAGTCTCTTAAGTAGCTGGGATTACAGGCATGTGCCACCACACCTGGCTAATTTTGTATTTTTAGTAGATGGGGTTTCTCCATGTTGGTCAGGCTGGTCACGAGCTCCCGACCTCAGGTGATCCGCCCGCCTCGGCCTCCCAAAGTGTTGGGATTACAGGTGTGAGCCATCGCACCCAACTGGTCTCAAACTCTTGACCTCAGGTGATCCACCTTCAGCCTCCCAAAATGCTGGGATTACAGGCGTAAGCCACCATGCCCGGCCTAAATTAAGCTTTTGAAACGATATCAGGTGGTGCTGCTGGAAAGGCAGCCGCCCCCTTGCCCATTACACAATGCATTTTTATGGAGAACCCGACACTGAACCATTCTTAGATGACCTGCTTCTGGGGTGGGATTTCAGACATAGCAGAGCAACTTCCTCGCTGCGATCTATTGAAAGTTAACCCTCAGCTGGGCGTGGTGGCTCATGCCTGTAATCCCAACAGTTTGGGAGGCTGAGGCAGGTGGATCACTTGAGGTCAGGAGTTCAAGACCAGTCTGGCCAACATGGTGAAACTCCATCCCTACTAAAAATAAAAAAAAAATAAAAAAATTAGCCAGGCATGGTGGCTCATGCCTGTAATCCCAGCTACTCGGGAGGCTGAGGCAGGAAAATTGCTCGAACCTGGGAGGCAGAGGTTGCAGTTAGCTGTGATTGTGCCACTGCACTCCAGCCTCCAGCCTGGGCAACAGCAAGACTCCATCTCAAAAAAAAAAAAAAAAAAAGAAAGTTAACCCTCAACGCATATAATTTTATTTTAAAAAGACGGAGAAAAACAAAAAAAAGTAAGCAACATCGAGAAAAAGTTGTAAGACTTTTCTCAATGTAAGAGTTTTTTCACAACAAACTCCTATAAACCATTGAACGTCACTCACTGTTAATATTTTACCATATTTATCGCTATAGATATATCAATTTATGTCCATATTTACTGTGTAAGATGGTAATATACACATTTATTCTTATTCTTTTTTTTCTGGAATATTTGGGAGTAAATTGCAGAGATGATGAGCTCTTACCTTAAGCCTATATCTCAACTAAGCACAGAGACATCCTTTTATATAACCCTTATGCAATGATGAAATTCAGAGTACGATGCAGGGACAATAAAATTTAAATTTTTTTTTTTTTTTTGAGACGGAGCCTCACACTATCCCCCAGGCTGGAGTGCAGTGGTGCAATCTCGGCTTACTGCAATCTCGCCTTCTGAGTTCAGTCAGTTCTCATGCCTCAGCCTCCTCAGTAGCCGGGATTACAGGCACCCGCCAACACGCCTGACTAATTTTTGTAGTTTTAGTGGAGACAGGGTTTCACCATGTTGGGCAGGCTGGTTTTGAACTGCTGTTCTTAAATGATCTGCCCGCCTTGGCCTCCCAAGTGTTAGGATTACAGGCATGAGCCACTGCGCCTGACCAAAAAATTTTTTTAAAGACAGAAAAGAGTCCAGGCGCAGTGGCTCATGCCTATAATCCTAGCACTTTGGGAGGCCAAGGCAGGTGGATCACTTGAGGTCAGGAGTTCAAGACCAGCTTGGCCAATATGGTGAAACCTCACCTCTACTAAAAATACAAAAATTAGCTGGGCATGGTGGCATGCGCCTGTAATCCCAGCTACTCAGGAGGCTGAGGCATGAGAATCGCTTGAACCAGGGATGGGGAGGTTGCAGTGAGCTGAGATTGTGCCACTGCACTGCAGCCTGGGCAACAGCAAGACTATGTCTCAAAAAAAAAAAAAAAAAAAAAAGAAATTCGGAGAATTTAACACTGATACAGTGCTATTATCTAACATAAAGTCCGTAGTCACATTTTGCTAATTGGTAAATATTGTCCAAAGCAGCTTTTTTTTTTTTTTTGAGATAGGATCTCACTGTGTTGCCCAGGCTGGAGTGCAGTGGTGCAATCTCAGCTCACTGTAACCTCCGCCTCCCAGGCTTGGATGATCCTTTTACCTCAGCCTCCCAAGTAGCTGCGACCACAGGTGCTCACCACCATGGCTGGCTACTTTTTGTATTTTTTGTAGAGATGAGTTTTTGCAGTGTCACCCAGGCTGGTCTCAAACTCATGGACTGAAGGGATCTGCCTGCCTTGGGCCCCAAAAGTGCTGGGATTACAAGTATGAGCCACCAAGCCTAGCCCAAAACAACCTTTTTATTCCCAATCAAGGGTCATGCATTGCGTTTAATTGTCATTTCTCTTTAAAGTCTTTTATCTGGAACAGTTTGTCAATCTTTAATGGTGCCGACATTTTTGAAGTGTAGAGGCCACTTTTACCTATCTCTCGAGTTTTAAAAAAATGTGGCGTGGCATGGTGGCTCACACCTGTAATCCCAGCACTTTGGGAGGCCAAGGCAGGTGGATCACAAGGTCAAAAGATTGAGACCATCCTGGCCAACATGGTGAAACCCCGTCTCTACTAAAAATACAAAAATTAGCTGGGCATGGTGGCATGCCCCTGTAGTCCCAGCTACTTGGGAGGCTGAGGCAGAATTGCTTGAACCCGGGAGGCAGAGGTTGCAGTGAGCAGAGATGATGCCACTGCACTTCAGCCTGGCGACAGAGCAAGACTCTGTCTCAAAAAAAAAAAAAAAAGTATATTGTATGTGTTTAAGATTGAGGATGAAGAATTGGCCAGGCACAGTGACTCTCACCTGTAATACCAGCACTTTGGGAGGCCAAGGTAGGAGGATCACTTAAGCCTAGGAGTTCAAGACCAGCCTGGGCAACATAATGAGACCCTGCCTGTACAAAAAAAAAATAATTGATGGTCCTAGTTTCTGGTGAGTGTTATCCTGATGTATGGCTTCAAATATTCTGTTACTTTGAGCAAGATACTTTTATATATTTGCTTTGGTAGTATGCAAATTATGATAACCCTTTCTTCTTTTTTGAGACAGAGTCTTGCCCAGGCTAGAGTGCAATGGTAATGGCGCAAGCTTGGCCCACTGCAACCTCCACCCCCTGGGTTCAAGCGATTCTCCTGCCTGAGCCTCCCAAGTAGCTGGGATTACAGGCACCTGCCACCATGCCTGGCTAATTTTTTGGATTTTTTTAGTAGAGACAGAGTTTTACCATGTTGACCAGGCTGTTCTCAAACTCCTGACCTCAGGTGATCCACACACCTTGGCCTCCCAAAGTGCTGGGATTACAGGCGTGAGCCACGGCGCCCAGCCCAAACAAAGCAAGGAGTCCCTGGGTGGGCACAAAAACACTTTTTTTTTTTCTTTTTTTTTTTTTTGAGACGGAATCTCGCCCTGTCATCCAGGCTGGAGTGCAATGGTGCAATCTCGGCTCACTGCAACCTCCGCCTCCCAGGTTCAAGTGATTCTCATGCCTCAGCCTCCCGAGTAGCTGGGATTACAGGCACCCGCCACCATGCCCAGCTAATTTTTGTCTTTTTAGTAGAGACAGGATTTCACCATGTTGGCCAGGCTGGTCTCAAACTTCTGACCTCGTGCTCCACCTGCCTTGGCCTCCCAAAGTGTTGATATTACAGGTGTGAGCCACTTGCACTTGGCAATAACTTTTTTAAAAAAGTAACCATGGCCAGGCACGGTGGCTCACACCTGTAATCCCAGCACTTTGGGAGGCTGAGGCAGGTGGATCGCCTGAGGTCAAGAGTTCGAGACCAGCCTGGCCAACATGGTGAAACTCTGTCTCTACCAAAAATACAAAAATTAGCCGAACGTAGTGGTGCATGCCTGTGATCCCAGCTACTTGGGAGGCTGAGGCAGGAGAATCGCTTGAACCCGGGACACAGAGGTTGGAGTGAGCTGAGATCACGCTACTGCCCTCCAGCCTGGGCAACAGAGTGAGACTCCGTCTCAAAAAATAAAAACATTAAAAAAAAATTAAACTGCTAGTTAGATTTAGAGTTTTGCTTAAATTTAACTTCATCTTTTGGGATGTTTATTTTTGGCAAGAATACTTCATAAGTAATACTAGGCATTATGCACAAGTTTAGTGTCTATTAAAGTCAGTACGTATCATGTGGAATTTATTTGGATAAGAGAGAAACTAGTAGATAAGCAAATCAGTATTGCATCTGGTTACTGTTTTTTAGCCAGAAGATCAGCTGCCATGTTACTTGACTCACACCAACCCTAGAGTGGATGAGATTGTCCTTAAGAACCTTCACCTTAATAGTCATGTTAAAGAAACGACAAGAGGACCTCGGTAAGGACAAAATGTCAGTGCTCAGTTACTTTAAGGAATGACGTCAATCCTCTTTTGTTCATTTCAAGTTTATTTAAATGTTCTATTCTAGATACTGTCCCTCCATTGAATCAAAAGTTTTGCGTTTTCCAAACCGTCTACATCAGGTTTGGTTGGAACCTGAAGGAATGGATTCTGACCTTATCTACCCACAGGGGTTATCTATGACGCTACCAGCTGAGTTACAAGAGAAAATGATCACATGCATCAGAGGCTTGGAGAAAGCTAAAGTGATTCAGCCAGGTAAAGAAGATCACAAGTGCCCTTCAGTATAAGGTCAGCATTGTTTTAATGGTCAGTGAGGAGGCCTTAGCTACAGTCATTGTTGTTCAGAGCCTCAGAAGATGAAGCCCAACACCTATACATTTTAAATAGTCTGTTTTTTGTTTGTTTGTTTGTTTGTTTTGAGACGGAGTTTTGCTCTTGTTGCCCAGGATGGAGTGCAATGGTGCGATCTCGGCTCACCACAACCTCCCCCTGCCAGGTTCGTGATTCTTCTGCCTCAGCCTCCTGAGTAACTGGGATTACAGGCATGCATCACCATGCCCGGCTAATTTTGTATTTTTAGTAGAGACAGGGTTTCTCCCTGTTGGTCAGGCTGGTCTCAAACTCCCGACCTCAGGTGATCCACCCGCCTTGGCCCCCCAAAGTGCTGAGATTACAGGTGTGAGCCACTGCTCCTGACCTAAATAGTCTGTTTTTAAAGGGCATTTAAGGGTAATGCTTGCATCTCTACCTTGAGCAAATCCAGCTCTGTATTTACTTATTTAATGTCTTTGTTCTTTGGTCAGGCTACGGTGTTCAGTATGATTACTTAGATCCCCGTCAGATCACCCCTTCCTTGGAGACTCATTTGGTTCAACGACTCTTCTTTGCTGGACAGATCAATGGCACCACTGGTTATGAGGAAGCTGCAGCTCAAGTAAGAAGTTAAGATATTAATGTAAACTGAAAGGGACTATTTAACTGGTATTTCTCCTTTTAATGTCTGTTGTGTTAACTATGTAGATCTTAGATACAATTCATACTAATAGAAGACAATTTATGTTTCAGGGTGTTTGGAGATGGCTTTTGTAGATAATAGGGTTTTTTTTTTTTTTTTTTTTTTTTGAGACAGAGTGTTGCTCTGTTGCCAGGCTGGAGTGCAGTGATATGATCTCCCAGCTTCAAGCGATCCTCCTGCCTCAGCCCTCCCTAGTAGCTGGGACTGCAGGCATGCACCACAACACCCAGGTAATTTTTGCATTTTTAGTAGAGATATGGTTTCACTGTGTTGGCCAGGCTGGTCTCAAACTCCTGACCTCAGGTGATCCACCTGCCTTGGCTTCCCAAAGTGCTGGGATTACAGGTGTGAACCACCTTGCCCAGCCAATAATAGGATTATTAAAACACTATGGCTTTATTACTCTTTTCTGAGCTCCTGTGTGATATCATATTTTGATTAGATGTATTGCTTGTGAAGTTTAAAATTTATTTTAATATACTTCATTAGAAATTATTATATTATTATTCCTTGTAAGTCAGAAATTATTTTATTTTTATTTGCAAGTGGGAAAAGGCTAGAGAAGTTTCACAGGTGGGTTTTAAAAAAAAGATTAACCGGCTGGGCATGGTGCGTCACACCTGTAATCCCAGCACTCTGGGAGGCTGAGGAGAGAGAATTGCTTGAGCCAGGAGTTCGAGACCAGCCTGAGTGATGTAGTGAGACCCCCATCTCTACAAAAATATGTAAAAATTAGCCAGGTGTGACGGCATGTGCCTATAGTCCCAGCTACTTGGGGGGATGAGGTGGGAGGATTGCTTAAACTCAGGAAGTCGAGGCTGCAGTGAGCCAAGATTATGCCATTACACCCCAGCCTAGGTAACAGGGGAAGACCCTGTCTCCGGATAAAAAAAAGATTAGTCCCCGCAGAGTGCAGCTTATCAGGAAGATTAGATGGATATCTCTGAAAACAATGAATCATAGCCTTCTAAAGTGATATATTACCCATATTCTATTTCTGAATATGGATCACATTTTCTACCTCTATTATATCCCTTAGGGGCAATACTTGCTTTCTTCCTGTCCCATGCCATTGTTTCTGAGTAGTGTTCTGAATGGGATAGCCGTTTGTTTAGTTCATAATGGCCTTTTAAACATTTCAGTGCTCTTGTAGGGTGTGATAGCCGGAATCAACGCCAGTCTTCGGGTCAGTCGCAAGCCTCCCTTTGTGGTTAGCCGAACAGAAGGTTACATAGGAGTCTTGATTGATGACCTCACTACTCTGGGCACCAGTGAACCATACCGCATGTTTACCAGCCGAGTAGAGTTCCGTTTGTCACTGCGCCCTGATAATGCTGACAGCCGGCTCACACTGCGAGGTAACTCTTTCCTGAGTCCTGCAATCCAGCCAGGCATGGTGGCTCACACCTATAATCCAAGCAATTTGAGAGACCAAGGCAAGAGGATCACTTGAGGCCAGGAGTTTAGGACTAGCCTGGGCAACATAGTGAGACACTGTCTCTACAAAAAAATTTGCTTTAAAAACCACACTTCTCATTATATTCTCTTTCTCCCTTCCCTAGGGTATAAAGACGCTGGCTGTGTGTCCCAACAACGATATGAAAGAGCTTGTTGGATGAAGTCTTCTTTAGAAGAAGGCATTTCTGTGTTGAAATCTATTGAGTTTTTGAGCTCTAAATGGAAAAAATTAATCCCAGAGGCTTCTATAAGTACTAGTAGAAGTCTGCCTGTCAGGTATGCATTTTTAATATAGACCTTTCTCACTTTTTATAGAAAAATAAGATCATAAGATCATTTCATAGAGACATTACCTATGTGTTCCTACCTACACATTTCAAATGAATGTAGCTTGTTTTTGGCTTCTTTTCAAAATCCGTTAGCTGTAACTCATCTTTTTTCTTTCTTTTTTTTTTTTTTTTTTTTTTGAGACAGTCTCGCTCTTTCACCCAGGCCAGACTGCAGTGGTGCGATCTCGGCTCACTGCAAGCTCCGCCTCCCGGGTTCGCGCCATTCTCCTGCCTCAGCCCCCCGAGTAGCTGGGACTACAGGCGCCTGCCACCGCGCCCGGCTAATTTTTTGTATTTTTTAGTAGAGATGGGGTTTCACTGTGTTAGCCAGGATGGTCTCGATCTCCTGATCTCGTGATCCGCCCGCCTCGGCCTCCCAAAGTGCTGGGATTACAGGCGTGAGCCACTGCACCCGGCCTAACTCATCTGTTTTCTAAGTATTAAAAAATATATGGCTGGATGCAGTGGCTCACACCTATAATCCCAGAATTTTGGGAGGCCAAGGCAGTCGGATCACTTGAGTTCAGGAGTTTGAGACCTGCCTGGCCAATGTGGCAAAATCCCATCTCTACTAAAAATACAAAAATTAGCCGGGCGTGGTAGTGCACACCTGTAATCCCAGCTACTTGGGAGGTTGAGGCAGGAGAATCACTTGAACCTAGGAGGCAGAGGTTGCAGTGAGCCAAGATCACGCCTCTGCACTCCAGCCTGGGTGAGAGTGAGACCCTGTCTCAAAGAAAAGAAAAAATCACATATATATATATATTCTAAATTATTATTTTTATTTTTTATATGATTTCTCTGTGGCTCCCATTGAGTTCTTTTGGCTTTCATAAGATTTAGAAGGCTCAAACCAAGAAAAGTTGTTATCTGCTTTCTTTTCTAGTCTTGGAGCAATGTGGAATGATCTGATCTTGTCCATGAGCTATAGCAAGGAAACTCCTTTGTTTTTAATTTTTTTGAGATGGAGTTTCACTCTCCTTGCTCAGGCTAGAGTGCAATGGTGCGATCTCGGCTCATCGCAACCTCCCAGCTTCTGGGTTCAAGTGATTCTCCTGCCTCAGCCTCCCAAGTAGTTGGGATTACAGGCGCCTGCCACCACACCTGGCTATTTTTTTTTTTTTTTTTTTTGAGATGGAGTCTCACTCTGTCAGGAGTGCAATGGCATGATCTCGGCTCACTGCAACCTCTGCCTCCCGGGTTCAAGCAATTCTCCTGCCTCAGCCTCCTGAGTAGCTAGGATTACAGGCATGCACCACCACACCCGGCTAATTTTTGTATTTTTAGTAGAGACAGGGTTTCACCATGTTGGCCAGGCTGTGCTCGAACTCTTGACCTTAAGTGATCCACCTGCCTTGGCCTCTCAAAGTGCTGGGATTACAGGGATGAGCCACCATGCCTGGCCCAAGTTTTTATTTTCATGAGGGTTTCCCAAAGCACTAGCACCAGCAATGAAACAGATTTTTAATAATAGTAACAGCAGGTTTTAAAGAATTTGCGTAATCATCTTTCATATCAGGGGATCTCATTCATAGAAATGACAGCCTTATTCACAAATAAGGATGGTGGATATCTTTGTCCATTCAGACTGCTATAACAAAACACCTTAGACTGGATAATTTATAAACAACAGTAATTTATTGCTGACAGTTTTGGAGACTGAAGTCCAAGATCAAGGCACCAGCAGATTAGGTGTCTGGTGAGGGCTTGCTGTTTGCTTCCAAGATGGTGCCTTCTTGCTGTGTTCTCACATAGCAAAAGGGCAAAAAGCTCCCCAACCCTCTTTTATTGGGGCACTAATCCCACTTATAAGCGCCAGAACCCTCATGCCCTAATCACCTCCTAAGGGCCCCACCTCTAAAAACTGTCATATTGAGCATTAGATTCCAACATAAGAATTTAAGTGGGGGATACTACCAACATTCAGACTATAGCAGTGGATATATTTGTTTACTAGCTAACTGGCTTACACTAGGCACCAGGAAATGGTTGTAGTGTAAGCAGTTTAAAATTGACTCATTTCTCCAGCTGTTTATTCATTTGTTTAAATTTAGGAGGGTTCACATTATTTCAAAAGTTGGACAAATAATTTATAACACAGGCCAGGCACAGTGGCTCATGCCTGTAATCCCATCGTTTTGGGAGGCTGAGGTGGGCAGATCACTTGAGGCCAGAAGTCAAGACCAGACATGGCAAAACCCTGTCTCTACTAAAAATACAAAAATTAGCCAGGCATGGTGGAGCACACCTGTAATCCCAGCTATTCAAGAGGCTGAGGGAGGAGAATCACTTGAACCTAGAAGGCAGAAGTTGCAGTGAGCCGAAATCACACCACTGCACTCCAGCCTGCGTGACACAGCAAGTCTCTGTATCAAAAAAAAAAAAAAAAAGAATTTATATAACACTATGCTTTCTTTTATAACAAATATCACACTAATTCGTGTAATAGGAACTTGCATTGAATGTGACTGATGTGTATTGATGAATATTGAGAGTGTGGGAAGTGATCGTTTTCAGCAGTCTCAGATGCTAACTGATGAATAAAAAGATGAACAAATGAACAATGAAAACTTATCAGCTATGTTTTTACCATAACAATCCCAGGAGTAGCCATTTTGTTTAGATGGATTTTTTTTAAAAAGGTCAGTTTAAAAAGGTAATTTGGCCAGATTCCTTTTTAATTCAGGCATATTTCCCTTCAGGAGGAATCAGTCTACATATTTGATTTGAGAATATTTGCAGTCTACCACTTAGCCTTTCTTTCTTTCTTTTTTTTTTTTTTTGAGACGGAGTCTCACTCTGTCACCTAGGCTGGAGTGCAATGGCACAATCTTGGCTCACTGCAACCTCCGCCTCCTGGGTTCAAGTGATTCTCCTGCCTCAGCCTTCTGAGTAGCTGGGCCTACAGGCGCTTGCCACCATGCCTGGCTAATTTTTGTTTGTATTTTTAGTAGAGACAGGGTTTCACCGTGTTAGCCAGGATGGTCTCAATCTCCTTACCTCAAGATCTGCCTGCCTTGGCCTCCCAAAGTGCTGGGATTACAGGCATGAGTCACTGTGCCTGGCCTTAGCCTTTTTTAGCGAACTCACTTGATCAATGCCCAGACATATAAAGCTAAAAAGATTTTAAAATCCGGTTAAAAATACACTTGCTGCATACATGCCAGACTATGTAGTAAGCGCTGACCAGTTGAACCTGACTCTGAACAGGCATTTAACAGAAGAGATACACAAATGCATGTACATGTGCACCTATGCGTAACACATACACACACACACACACACATTTTCTGTCAGGATTACAGAGAAATGTATTGATGTGTTAGGTAGCTCAGAAATTCCCTCCTGGCTTTGTTGAAGTATGCTAACTTATCCATTCTTTGCCAGAGCTCTGTACTCTGAGGCTTAGGCTTGATTCAAAGCAGTTCTTGAAGTTTGGAGTTGAGAATAGCTCAAAGCCTTGTGAACAGATTTTTTTAAAACTATCTCGAATTCTGGTGCTCAGGTGATTCTCCTACCTCTGCCTCCCAAAGTGCTGGGATTACAGACATAATCCCCCCAAAAAAGAACATAATTACCATCTTAACTATTTGTAAGTGTACATTTCAGTAGTTTAAGTATATTCATATGGTTGCAAAATAGATCTCCAGGACTTTTTCATCTTGCAAAACTCAAACACTATACCCATTAGACAGTAACTCCCCCTTTCTCTCCTTCCCCCAGCCCCTGGTAACCCCATTCTACTCTGTTTCTATGGATTTGACTAGAATCATACAGTATGTGGCCAGGCACGGTGGCTCACGCCTGTAATCCCAGCACTTTAGGAAGCCGAGGCAGGCGGATCACCTGAGGTCAGGAGTTCGAAACCAGCCTGGCCAACATGGTGAAACCTCGTCTCTACTAAAAAATACACAAATTTTCCAGGCGTGGTGGCAGACATCTTAATCCCAGCTACTTGGGAGGCAGAGGCAGGAGAATCGTTTGAACCTGGGAAGCGGAGGTTGCAGTGAGCCGAGATCAAGCCATTGCACCCAAACCTGAGGGACAAGAGTGAGACTTCTCTCAAAAAAAAAGAAAAGACTCATACAGTATGTGTTTTTGTGACTGGCTTATTTCATGTAACATAATGTCCTCACGACCAGGAATGGTGGCTCATGCCTGGAATCCCAGCACTTTGGGAGGCTAAGGTGGGAGGATCCTTTGAACCCAGGAGGTCGAGGCTGCAATAAGCTGCATTTGTGCCACTGCCCTCCAGCTGGGGTGACAGAGCAAGACCCATTCTCTATAATAATAATAATAAATGTCCTCAGGGTTCATCTACCTTGTAACATGTAACAGGATTTTATTCCTTTTTAAGGTTGAATGATACTCCATTTTATGTATATACCACATTGTGTTTATCTATTCATCTGTTGATGGACACTTGAGTTGCTTTCACCTTATTGTAAATGTAAATGTTAATGTACATGTTAGTGCTGCTATGAACATGGGTATACAAAGATATCTTCAAGACCCTGCTTTCAATTTTTTTTTTTTTTTTTTTTGAGACCGTCTCACTCTGTCACTCAGATTGGAGTGGCACAATTTCTGCTCACTGCAACCTTCGCCCCCTGGTTCCAGCTATTCTTGTGCCTCAGCCTCCCAAGTAGCTGGGATTACAGGCACCCACCAGTAATCCCAGCTACTTTTTGTATTTTTAGTAGAGATGGGGTTTCACCATGTTGGCTAGGCTGGTCTCGAACTCCTGACCACCTGCCTCGGCCTCCCAAAATGCTGGAATTACAGGCATGACCCACCACACCTGGCCCCTGCTTTCAATTTTTTTGAGTGTATACCCAGAAGTGGAATTGCAGCATCATGTGGTAGTTGTAGGTCTCTGTGGGTTTTTTTTTTTTTTTTCTTAGTTTTTTTTTTTTAGAGACAGGATCTCGCTATGTTTCCCAGGCTGGAGTGCAGTGGCTTTTCACAGGCACAGATCCCACTATTGATCAGCACAGGAGTTTTGGCTGACCTGGGCTGGCTCACGCCTTCTTAGGCAACCTGGTAATCCCCCACTCCTGGGAGGTCACCATATTGATGCTGAACTTAGTGTGGAGACCCAATCAGCGTAGAGCACTACAGTCCAGAACTCCTGGGCTCAAGCGATCCTCCCGCCTCAGCCTCCCGAGTAGCTGAGACTACATGCTCGCACCACCACACCTGGCAGTAGTTCTAATTTTAATTTTTTGAGGAACTGTTTTCTATCGTGATCGCATCATTTTACAGTCCCTTCAACAGTGCACAAGATTGCCCATTTCTCCACATACTCACCAACAGTTGTCATCTTCTGTTTTTTGATAGTAGCCATCCTAGTGGATGTGAGGTGATATCTCATTGTGGCTTTGATTTTATTTCTCTGATGATTAGTGGATGTTGAGCATCTTTTCATGTGCTTGTTAGCTATTTTTATATCATTGGAGAAGTATCTATTCAAATTCTTTGCCCATTTTTTAAATCAGTTGTTTAGGTTTTTTTTCCAGAGACAGGGTCTCCCTCTGTCACCCAGGGTGGAGTGCAGTGGTACAATCATAGCTCACTGCAGCCTCAAGCTCCATGACTCAGGTGATCCTCCCACCTCAGCCTCCCAAGTAGCTAGGACCACAGGTGCACACCACCACATCCAGCTAGATTTTTATTTCTTGTAGAGACAGGATCTTGCTGTGTTGCCAAGGTTGGTCTTGAACTCCTGGCCACAATTAACTCTCCCACCTTGGTCTCCCAAAGCACTAGGATTACAGACGTAGTCACCATGCCTCGCCAGATTTTTTTATTGTTGAATTGTAGTTCTTTATGTATACTGGATATTAACCCCATTTCAGATATATGATTTACAAATATTTTCTCCCATTCTGTGGATTGTGTTTTCACTCTGTTGTTTGTATCCTTTGATGTACATTTTAAAAAAATTTAATGTAGGCTGGGCATGGTAGCTTGTGCCTGTAATTTCAGCACTTGGGAGGCTGAGGCAAGCAGATTACCTGAGGTCAGGAGTTCAAGACGAGCCTGGCCAGTGTGGCAAAACCCCATCTCTACCAAAAATACAAAAAAAAAAAAAATTAGCCACGCATGGTGGCACATGTCTGTAGTCCCAGCTACTGAGCGGGCTGAAGCACGAGAATTGCTTGAACCCGGGAGATGGAGGTTGCAGTGAGCACAGATCATGCCACTGCACTCTGCCTGGATGACAGAGCAAGACTCCGTCTAAAAAACAACAACAACAACAACAACAAAATGGATCTAGTTCCATTTGTCTACTTTTGCTTTTGTTTCTTGTGCTTTTGGTGTCAGCCAAGAAATCACTGGCAAAGCTAATGTCATGAAGCTTTTCCTGTATGTTTTCTTCTAGAAATTTTATACCTTAAGGCCTTTCCTTAGGTCTTTAATACATATTGTGTTGATTTTTGTATATGACATAAGGTAAGGGTCCAACTTCATTCTTTTGCTGTTTGGATATCCAGCTTTCTCAACATTATTTGTTGAAGAAACCCCCATTGGGTGGTCTTGGTATGCTTGTCAAAATCATTTGATTATATAGTGAGGGTTTATTTCTGGGTTTTCTTTTTTTCTTTTTTTTTTTTGTATATTATTATACTTTTAAGTTCTAGGGTACATGTGCACAACGTGCAGGTTTGTTACATATATATACATGTGCCATGTTGGTGTGCTGCACCTGTTAACTCGACATTTACATTAGGTATATCTCCTAATGCTATCCCTCACCCCTCCCCCCACCCCACAACAGGCCCCGGCATGTGATGTTCCCCACCCTGTGTCCAAGTGTTCTCATTGTTCAATTCTGACCTATGAGTGAGAACATGCAATGTTTGGTTTTCTGTCCTTGTGATAGTTTGCTCAGAATGATGGTTTCCAGCTTCATCCATGTCCCTACAAAGGACATGAACTCATCTTTTTTTATGGCTGCATAGTATTCCATGGTGTATATGTGGCACATTTTCTTAATCCAGTCTATCATTGATGGACATTTGGGTTGGTTCCAAGGCTTTGCTATTGTGAATAGTGCCACAATAAACATACGTGTGCATGTGTCTTTTAATTATAAAGCATGATTTATAATCCTTTGCGTATATACCCAGTAATGGAATGGCTGGGTCAAATGGTATTTCTAGTTCTAGATCCTTAGGAATCACCACACTGCCTTCCACAATGGTTAAACTAGTTTACAGTTCCACCAACAGTGTAAAAGTGTTCCTATTTCTCCACATCCTCTCCAGCACCTGTTGTTTCCTGATTTTTTAATGATCACCATTCTAACTGGTGTGAGATGGTATCTCATTGTGGTTTTGATTTGCATTTCTCTGATGGCCAGTGATGATGAGCATTTTTTCGTGTGCCTGTTGGCTGCGTAAATGTCTTCTTTTGAGAAGTGTGTGTTCATATCCTTTGCCCACTTTTTGATGGGGTTGTTTGATTTTTTCTTGTAAATTTGTTTAAGTTCTTTATAGATTCTGGATATTAGCCCTTTGTCAGATGGGTAGATTGTAAAAATTTTCTCCCATTCTGTAGGTTGCCTGTTCACTCTGATGGTAGTTTCTTTTGCTGTGTATGAGCTCTTTAGTTTAATTAGATCCCATTTGTCAATTTTGGCATTTGTTGCCATTGCTTTTGGTGTTTTATTCATGAAGTCCTTGCCCATGCCTATGTCCTAAATGGTGTTGCCTAGGTTTTCTTCTAGGGTTTTTTATGGTTTTAGGTCTAATATTTAAGTCTTTAATCCATCTTGAATTAATTTTTGTATAAGGTGTAAGGAAGGGATCCAGTTTCAGCTTTCTACATATGGCTAGCCAGTTTTCTATTTCTGGGTTTTCTATTACACTGGTCTATGTATCTGTCTTTGTGCCAGTACCATGCTGTTTTGATTACTGTAGCTTTGTAATATGTTTGAAATCAGGAAGTATAAGGCCTCTAACCATGTTCTTTTTTCAAAATTGTTTTGATTATTTGGGGTTCCTTGTGATTCCATACAAATTTTAGGATGAAATTTTCTATTTCTAAAAAAAAAAAGCCATGGCAATAACCTTCTAAGTAAATTACAGCAAAATAAAGGTATATGTAAATGAAGTAAGTAATAATTAACAGAGCAACAAGTGACCTAGCTAGGTCCATTTTAGGAGAAGGTCTGGGTCAAGTTGGGGGTGGGGGCTTTGTAATATCAAGAGGGGAGACCTGAGATCAGTATAAAAGGGATTAAAGTGGTCATAGGAGCTCCAGCACTTCTGAAGGCTAAACACAGCTGAAGTTTTGCTCACTAGTTTGATCTCAACAAGTGCCAATGAATTAAGTTATTGGAAATCTCACTGGATCTATGTGCATTAATACTTAGGCATGTTCTTTTGTTGGCCTAGGTAAGTTGCCTGGGAATTTTAGTAATTGTCCCTGCTATCTGCATACATTGCTCTCCTCTCCCAAGGAAAGGTAAGGCATTGGCCATGGAGGCTTTAGCCCATCCAGAGTGGGTAGTAGAAGCAGAATTGAGAAGTGACTATCAAAAATTTCCATGTGGTAAAAGTTGACATGTAGATTATACCAAATTAGGAAAAAAAAAAAAAATCAGACAGAATATTTATGAACCAGCCGGGCACAGTAGCTCACTCATGTAATCCTGGCACTTTGGGAGGCCGAGGTACGCAGATCACCTGGGCAACATGACAAAACCCTGTCTCTACAAAAAAAAAAAAAAAAAGAAGAAGAAGAAAAAGACTTATGAACCCCTATATCATTTTTATCAGTTTGTTTTGCAGAGACTTAAAACATGCTCATAATGGCCTCTTGTTCTTCCTTAGGGAGTTCAGTAAAAGAAAGCAGGAGATCACTGTCATGGTTCCTAGCATGCAAAAGGATGACTAATTCACAGGACTGTAGGACTTAACATGGCTTAGATGTAAAGTACATTCCAGTGCTTAGGGAATTCAGTGAAACCCTTGTTATGAGATGATATTCTATATGAAAGGAAAGACAAATGGATTACAGCCATGCCACCCTTACCAGCAACTTAATTCTCCAGATAAGGAGTTGGGGAAAATCAAATAATACATCTTATTGAGGTGCTACTGTTTAGCAGATGCTGCTGCATTTGCTCACTATACTTAGAAATAATCTTTTGGGGCCGGGCGCAGTGGCTTATGCCTGTAATCCCAGCAGTTTAGCAGATCACGAGGTCAGGAGTTCGAGACCAGCCTGGCCAGCATGGTGAAACCCCGTCTCTACTAAAAATACAAAAAAATAGCCGGGCATGGTGGCGCATGCCTGTAGTCCCAGCTACTAGGGAGTCTGAGGCAGGAGAATTGCTTGAACCCAGCAGGTGGGGATTGCAGTGAGCCAAGATTGTACCACTGCACTACAGTTGATGGGCGACAGAGCGAGACTCCATCTCAAAAAAAAAAAAAAAGAAATAATCTTTTGGTATTTATTCTGAGATCTGATATTATTTCAAAGAATCTTGTTCTTGATCTGCCTTATATGACATGGATCCTTATGTTAATGAAACTTTCATATATTTGCAGAGCTCTCGATGTTCTGAAGTATGAGGAAGTTGACATGGATTCATTAGCCAAGGCTGTTCCAGAGCCCTTGAAGAAGTATACTAAATGTAGAGAGCTGGCTGAAAGACTGAAAATAGAAGGTAGAAAATAATTTTTGACTTAACATACCTTTATCATATGTGCAAATTATGAATAGACAACAGATCCATTATTACTGTTGGACCAGCACAGTGTTAGCTTCTGTGCTTTTCAAAAGTGTGGTCCTCAGCTAAGAGCATTGCAACACCTACAAGCTTGTTAGAAATACAGAATCTTGGCTGGGCACAGTGGCTCATGCTTATAATCCCAGCACTTTGGGAGGCTGAGGTGGGCTGATTTCTTGAGCCTGGGCATTCCGGACCAGCCTGGCCAATATGGCAAAACCCTGTCTCTACAAAAAAAATACAAAAAATTAGCTGGATGTGAAGATACATGCCTGTAGTGCCAACTACTATGGAGACAGAGGTGGGAGGATTGCTTGAGGCTGGGAGGTGGAGGTTGCAGTGAGCCAAGATCGCTGTACTCCAGCCTGGGTGACAGAGCAAGATGACATCTAAAAAAAAAAAAAAAATTAAAAAAAGGAAATACAGACCCTCAGGCTTCACCTCAGACCCACTGAGAATCTATATTTAAACATGCTTTTCAGGTGATTTACATGCACATTTCAAATAAGTGGTACTGCAGAGTCCTCCTATAAATAAATATATATATAATATATGTGTGTGTGTGTGTGTGTGTGTGTATTTTTTTTTTTTTTTTTGAGGAGGAGTTTCCTTCTTCTTGCCCAGGCTGGGGTGCAGTGGCATGATCTCGGTTCACTGCAACCTCTCCCTCCCGGGTTCAAGTGATTCTCCTGCCTCAGCCTCCTGAGTAGCTGGGATTACAGGCATGCACCACCACGCCTGGCTAATTTTTTGTATTTTTAGTGTTCACGGGGTTTCACCATGTTGGCCAGGCTGGTCTCGAACTCCTGCTCAGGTGATCTGCCTGCCTCGGCCTCCCAAAGTGCCAGGGATTACAGGCGTGAGCCACTGCACCTGGCCAAAAATAAATATTTTTTATAGGAGGGCACCACAGTACCACTTATTTGAAATGTGCATGTATGTGTGTGTGTGTGTGTGTGTGTGTGTGTGTGTGTTTTGGTTTTTTCTTTTTTGAGATGGAGTTTCACTTTTGTTGCCCAGGCTGGAGTGCAATGGTGCAATCTTGGCTCACTGCAACCTACACCTCCCAGGTTCATGCAATTCTCCTGCCTCAGCCTCCCAAGTAGCTGGGGTTACAGGGCCCCGCCACAAGGCCCGGCAAATTTTTGTATTTTTAGTAGAGACAGGGTTTCATCACATTGGCCAGGCTGGTCTCAAACTCCTGACCTCAGGTGATCCGCCCGCCTTGGCCTCCCAAAGTGCTGGGATTACAGGTGTGAGCCACTGCACCCAGCATATATATATATATCTTTATATATTTTTTTAACCCTGAACTTTCTTTTTATACTCTCCCCACCTAATGTTTTAATAATGAGAAAAATAATACTATCTTTGGCTTTGACAGTATACTGAAATACTCTACCATTGACAAATACTTACTTTGTATCAATACTCTTGGTCAGTTTATAGACCATCAAAGCCACAGGTGTCTCTGGTAGTTGCTCTGCATTTTTTTAAGTTTTTCATAATGAAAATTTTTATTATGAAAATACTGAAGCTGGGCGTAGTGGCTCACGCCTGTAATCCCAGCACTTTGGGAGGCTGAGGTGGGCAGATCACCTGAGGTCAGAAGTTCGAGACCAGCCTGGCCAACATGGTGAAACCCCATCTCTACTAAAAATACAAAAAAATTAGCTGAGCATGGTGGCAGGCACCTATAATCCCAGCTACTCGGGAGGCTGAGGCAGGAGAATTGCTTGCACCCAGGAGACGGAGGTTGCAGTGAGCCGAGATCGCACCATTGCACTCCAGCCTGAGCGACAAGAGCGAGACTTCATCTTAAAAAAAAAAGAAAAGAAAATACTGAGAATAATATTGGCTTCTGCATTTTGATAGAAGGTGTTTTTTCATGGGTGGAAAATGATGTAGTGAAAAAAGCAGGGAACAGGATAACATGGTGAGAAGGGAAGACAAAGTTGGATGATGGTGTGCTGTTCAAACAGGAAAAGACTATGCTCTTTGGGAACCAGCCAGAATGGTGATCATGCTGCATTCCTTCTAGCAGTGGCATTTTCTTTTTTTTTCTTTTTTTTTTTTTTTGAGACGGAGTCTCGCTTTGTCGCCCAGGCTGGATTCCAGTGGCGCAATTTTGGCTCACTGCAACCTCCACCTCCTGGGTTCAAACAATTCTCCTGCCTCAGCCTCCTGAGTAGCTGTGAGTACAGGCATGCACCACCACGCCTGGCTAATTTTTTTATTTTTAGTAGAGACGGGGTTTCACTATTTGGCCAGGCTGGTCTTGAACTCCTGACTTCAGGTGATCCACCCGCCTCGGCCTCCCAAAGTGCTGGGATTACAGGCATGAGGCACTGCTCCTGGCCTTTTTTTTTTTTTTGAGACAGAGTCTTACTCTGTCACCCTGTCGCCCAGGCTGGAGTGCAGTGATGCAATCTGAATTCACTGCAACCTCGGCCTCCTGGGTTCAAGCCGTTCTCCTGCCTCAGCCTCTCAGGTAGCTGGGACTATAGGCGCGCACCACCACACCTGGCTAATTTTTGTATTTTTTTTAGTAGAGACAGTGTTTCACCATGTTGGCCAGGCTGGTCTCAAACACCTGACCTCAGATGATCTGCCCACTTCGGCCTCCCAAAGTTGTTGGGATTACAAGCGTGAGCCACCATACCCAGCCAGCATTTTTTTCAGTCCCACAAAGGCCTATCACCTTGCAATGCTTTGGATGTCTGTGTAGGATGACCCAAGTGCTACCTACCATTCCACCACACAAGTTTACAAAAGTCTAGCAACAAAAGGAAACTCATCAGAAACTCTAGAATTATTCTTCCAAATTATTAAACACTAGCAATATATTAAGGTAGAAGAAGGATCGTTGACCTGTTATTTTACCATCACAATTTCTCTATTGAGTAAAAATTTCTTTATTAAACACTTAGGGCTGTTAGCTCTGGGGAAGAGTGATTATATATTTTAAACTTGGTTTGCAGTTTAACTTTGTTCAATAAATCGTCAGGTTCAGGTTAGGATAATCCAGAAAAATTATCATTAACTTGTTCATAGAAAGCCCTGACTTCAAACATTGAATAGCTACTGTTTTTACTTGTTCTTTAAAGACTCTGGCATATATAAAGACTCTCATAACTATCATGGCTTAAAAAAAAAAACTATACTAGATTGAAATATAACACATATCAGTGGTTTTCAGATTGCTACCTGAATCCCTCCACTAGACAAAACATTTCTTGAGGGCATAAATCAGTGTGAGATTCTTCTTTGTATTCTCTCTCTTGTTTTGTTATATGTGAATACATATAACATTATACCCTTATATACCTTTAGCATATGCATTACCTCATATATTTCATGATACCTTGAAGAGTCTATTCTTGAGTCATAACATTATATTACAATTTGCTGTACTAATTTATTATATTACAATATTATATAAGCTATTTACATGCATTATTTCATTTGATACTTAGAACTGCCCTGTGAAGGGCAGATATTAGCATTGTTGTCCCAGTTTTACAGATAAGTGGTAATTGCCCAAGATCACACAGTTGGTGAGTGGCAGAGCTGGGACTGGAACCTACCTTGTCTGATTGCAAATCCTGTGTACTTCACAACTATTCTTTGTTGCCATAAAGACCCTCAGAAGTCATCTGGGCCAGCCCTTGCAATTTCTAGAAAAAGAAGCTAAGTCCCAAAATGATGATGATGTACGCATAGTCAGAGGGTAATTCATTGTTGGAGTCAGACACAGAGATGAGATGTTCTGGCTGCCAGTTAAGTGATGGGAAAAGATGCTACCAAAACCTCAGAGGACTCCCTTTCTTGAACAGGACAGAATAAGCACCTCAATTTAGGTTTTAAAACAGGTTTTTAATTTAATTTTCTAAGAGCAGAATGCTTTAAACAAAATAATTGCTGAATTATCTTCCTAACATCACTTTTGAACAATCCCTTAACTAAATTATTTAAATTATGTTTTGTCAACTAAGAAGCTTTACTTTTAAAATTTATAGCTCTATATGAAGATAATTTAAAAAACCATTTTCTTTTTTTTTTCTTTTTTTTAATTATTATTATTATACTTTAAATTTTAGGGTACATGTGCACAATGTGCAGGTTAGTTACATATGTATACATGTGCCATGCTGGTGTGCTGCACCCATTAACTCATCATTTAGCATTAGATCTCCTAATGCTATCCCTACCCCCTCCCCCCACCCCACAACAGTCCCCAGAGTGTGATGTTCCCCTTCCTGTGTCCATGTGTTCTCATTGTTCAATTCCCATCTATGAGTGAGAACATGCAGTGTTTGGTTCAAAAAACCATTTTCTTAGAGAAGTAGCTTATCTCAGCCGGGCATGGTGGCTCATGCCTATAATCCCAGCACTTTGGGAGGCCAAGGTGGGCAGATCATGAGGTCAGGAGTTCGAGACCAGCCTGGCTAACATGGTGAAAACCCATCTCTACTAAAAATACAAAGATTAGCCGGGCGTGGTGGCTTGCGTCTATAATCCCAGCTACTTAGGAGGCTGAGGCAGGAGAAATTGCTTGAACCTGGGACGTGGAGGTTGCAGTGAGCCGAGATCGCGCCACTGCATTCCAGCCTAGGCAACAAGCAAGACTCTGTCTCAAAAAAAGAGAGAAATAGCTTATCTCTAGGACATAAAATTCAACCTCACAGCCTGTTGAGAAAAATGTTCCAGCCAAGATTTGCACTGACAGCGGAAGCAAATTCTTTTTTTTTTTTTGAGACAGAGTCTCGCTCTGTCGCCCAGGCTGGAGTGCAATAGCGCTATATCGGCTCACTGCAACCTCCACCTCCGGGGTTCAAGCAATTCTCCTGTCTCAGCCTCCCGAGTAGCTGGGATTACAGGTGGATGCCACCACGCCTGGCTAATTTTTTATATTTTTAGTAGAGATGGCATTTCACCATGTTCCCCATGCTGGTCTCGAACTCTTGAGCTCAGACTATCCACCCGCCTTGGCCTCCCAAAGTGTTAGTATTACAGGCATGAGCCACCATGCCTGGCCACAAATTCTTTTTTTACTTTTAATTTTCCAGATATTTGAAAAGGACATGCACTAAACTACTAGACAGAATGTTGTAGTTAATATGCAAGACACTCCATTTATCTTAGCTTCAGTTTCCTCCTATGTAAAAGGGAACACCTACCCAACCCATCTCATGAAATGAGTGTTGAATGAGATGATGTACACAAAAGCTTTTTGTAAATTGTAAGAGGCTACATAAATGTAAGTTGTTAGTATAATATAATCTGGGTATTATAACATGATTCTGATTTTGTTGACCAGCCACTTATGAATCAGTGTTGTTCCATCAACTACAAGAAATAAAGGGAGTTCAGCAAGATGAAGCTCTCCAACTGCCAAAAGACCTAGATTATTTGACTATCAGGGATGTGTCTTTGTCCCATGAAGTTCGAGAGAAACTACATTTTAGTCGTCCACAGACGGTAAGAAAATAGGCAGGAGAATAGAAACAAGTTATAGATAAAGATACAGTGCTTTAATTTTTTAAACCTGGGGTTATAATGGCCATATAACTAATGTTTTATTTAGTAATAAGAAACTTCCAGCATGGGCAACACAGCAAGACCCCATCTCTACAAAAATACAAAAATTAGCTGGGCATGGTGGCATGCACCTGCAGCGCCAGCTACTCGGGAGGCTGAGGTGGCAGATACCTGAGCCCAAGACACTGAGGCTGCAGTGAGCCATGATTGCACGACTGCACTCCAGCCTGGGCAACAGAGTGAGACCCTGTCTCAAAAAAAAAAGAAACTTGACCTCAGATTTTTTTCTTGTGTTTCTAAGACAGATGTTGGTATGTTTGTATGAGAGATGATAAAGCTTAACTTTAACTAAATAACTGGAAGTCAAGAATTGGTTTGATTGGAACTATTCTCTAGTCCCAACCATGTGATAAAGCATCAGAGCAAACTATGCAAGATAGTACACGTGTATGGCTTAAAGGAAACCATACTAGATTAAAACATAACTCATATTTGTGATTTTCAAGTCACTACTTGGAGTCCTCCCTAGGAGTTCCATAGTGTTGCCTTGGGAACTAATGGGAGAAAGAGGGGAGCCAAAAAATGCCCCCACCACGTGCTTCAGACTAATTGTGAGAGGGTATATGCATGTTCCTTTGTGTAAACAAATAAACTTTTAATTTACTATATAGTAATTAGTATTGGGCTTCTAATAAATGTTTAAAGACTGATAAACTGTACTTACTGATTCTGAAATACACTTTTCTCCACATTTTAACATCTCTAAAATTGCATCTTTTTTTTTTTTGAAATGGAGTCTCACTCTGTCACCAGGCTGGAGTGCAGTGGAACGATCTCGGCTCACTGCAACCTCTGCCTCCTGGGTTCAAGCGATTCCCCTACCTCAGCCTCCCAAGTAGCTGGGACTACAGGCGCATGCCACCACACTCAGCTAATTTTTTTTTGTACTTTTAGCAGAGACGGGGTTTCACCATGTTGGCTGGGATGGTCTCGATCTCCTGACCTCATGATCTGCCCGCCTTGGCCTCCCAAAGTCCTGGGATTACAGGCGTGAGCCACCGTGCCTGGCCAGTTGCATCTTTACTATCTCAAAAATTGATGGTGTGTCACAGTTTAATGGACATTTTTTTTTTAGTAGTGTTTCATAAAATAAAGGGGCATATTACAAAAATATAGACTGTAGAAAAATTTGAAAAAAACTATTTTTACAGGGAGGAGTAATTTCATTAATATAAGATGGTATTCTTAGCAACAGTCATCATGGAAACCAGGAAAATAAGCCTTAAATTTTATGACTTTGTCCCTTCCTATTGATTTCAGGTTATGTTTGTATGGATAATCATAGGCTACACTGCCACACTGTCCAACATGATAGCCACTCGCCAATTGTGGTTATTTACATTAATTAAAATTAAATAGGCCAGGTGCAGTGGCATGCACCTATAGTCCCAGCTACTTGGGAGGCTGAGGTGGGAGGATCGCTTGAGCCCAGGAGGTAGAGGCTGCAGCAAGTCATGATTATACCACTACATCCCAGCCTGGGTGACAGAGTGAAACCCTGTCTCAAAAAAAAAAAAAAGAAAAAAATTAAATAAAATGTAAAATTCAGTTCCTCAGTCTTACTAGCCACATTTCAAGTGCCCAGTAGCCACATATGACTAGTGGCTACCATATTGGACACTGCATTATTGCAGTGCACATGTTATAGAAGATTTCCATCATCATAGAAAGTTCAGTTGGACAGCACTGGTCATAGGAGTTCAGAACTCCTTGCCCACAATTCTATAATACAAAAGGCTCTGGCAGAAGTTTGCCACAAGCTCATTTGGTAGCAAAACTGAGCTCAGCTCAGAAGAGGCTATATGGTCTTTATACTGTTCAGAGTGAATATTCATACATTTCACTGTAAAAATACACTGCAGAAATATTAATAGGATTAAAAATGTGGGGCGCTGCCCCACACACTGCTGAGGCTGTTACATTAGGTACCGCCTCAAGGATTAGATATATCTTATTACAAAAACATATGGCTTCAAGGATTTCATTTCATTTTATTTTTTTGAGAGAGGGGCTTACTCTGTCACCCAGGCTGGAGTGCAGTGGCATAATCACAGCTCACTGCATTCTCGACCTCCCAGGCTCAAGTGATCCTCCCACCTTTGTTTTCTGAGAGGCTAGTACTACAAGTGTGCACCACCATCCTAAGCTAATTTTTGTTTATTTTCTGTAGAGACAGAGTCCCACTATTTTTCCCAGGCTGGCCTCAAGAATTTCAAATAAGGGACTGTGGACCTGTATTTGAAGAAAGGAACTTGATTACAGTTTTTCTTAGTTTAATGGGACAAAAAAGTAGATACTCTAACATCTATTAGTTATGTAATCTTGCACAAGCTATTTTAACATTTCTGTGCCTCAGTTTCCCATTTGTAAAATGAAGACATAAATAATAATATTTCCTTTATCTACTTTACAAGGAAATATGTTAAGATAATACATCAAAATAATAATTAAGAAAATATTGTATAAACTATACTATACAGATTGTTATTTGGAGGAAAATAGATTTGATTTGACATAGCATAGCTCACTTAGTTTCTCTTGTGGTATTGATTTTTAGATCGGGGCTGCTAGTCGCATACCCGGAGTAACACCTGCCGCCATCATCAATCTGCTGAGATTTGTGAAGACCACTCAACGAAGACAGTCGGCTATGAATGAATCATCCAAGACTGATCAATACTTATGTGATGCAGACAGACTTCAAGAGAGAGAGTTATAGCTTTCAATTCATAAAAGATTTTTAAAGAGCATATAAATAATTTGATCAATACAACAGTATAGATAAAAGAATTATTTAGCACATGTTAAAATAGCTTTATTAGGTTACTATGGGTTTGCCATTAATTTCTGAGTGGGACAGAAATTATAATTGTGCTTTTTCGTGTATATGAAAAAACTAGTCGTAAACAATTTGTACTCTTTCTTTAAGGAGCTGTAATACAAATAACTTTGTGCAGTGTTCATCAAAGAGAGAGACAGTGAACCTAAAACTGAACCTGGAATAAAACTCAACATGCAGATTTGCCTACTCATAGGGACTTTGCCTATTAAGTCTACCAAATTAAAAGTCTTATCATTCAGCGTGTTTTGAGAGTTAATAATCTTTTGCTTGGTTATACTAGGCTAGGAAGCAATATCAAAGCCCTTAAATTCTCAAGACTAAAGACTTGAGATTATATAAAATTATCCAGAATCATTCAGCTAATACTATTGGAATATAGTATGTAGGGTGAAAGTTGACAGAAATCTGTACTTCTTCAGGAAATCCTCACTGGTAATTGTTTTGAACATTAATGAAAGCCCTATAAAATAGAAAGATTGGAAATCACCATTGTTTCCTATTATCCACAGTGTGGATGGATACTTATTTGGTGACCTAGTTATGGGAGAATTGAGTAACGTTAGTTATTTTATATCATACCATAAAAATATTTTCTTAAGAAATTGTCATGGCCATCATTTCTTAATAATGAAGACAGGTCCATAGTAACTGGTGAGTGGTGTTTCCCTGTTTTTAAGTCAGAATGACAGAAAAAACAGAATAGTGGTAGTACCCCTCTTCCTCTCCAGTACTTCAATGGTATGTCTTCACAGGGGTTAGAGTGGGATAATCAGCTGGGCCTTTTGACTCAGATACCTCAGATACCTCAACCATTCTAAATAGACTAAGGGATGAATACAGCCAAATGGGCCAGACAGCCCTGCTTGTCTCTGGAATTCCAACCCAGATCTCTGGTGTCAGCCTAGGGAGAAGCTCCCGTGTCACCTTCGGGCCAAAGCAGGTACTCAGGAGAGTTCTAAGGGCCCCAAAGTCACTTTGGCTACAGATGTGTATGTTAAGCCTGATTATGGGTGTGAGGCAACCAAGTATCTTGTTACTATAATTGCATATGGCCACTTGGAGGTAGCTTAGTTTTCTTGGGTTTATTTTATCTAATTTTAGTCTTTCCAGAAAGCAGTAAGATTAGTAGCAAGTAAAAAGTATTTGTAGTGCTGGATAATTTAGGAATGATGAATATTTTTTAATACTTGATTCAGTGATTTCAAAAGGTCGTAACTTTTAGTCATAGCTACTCCTGGGCAAAATTCTTCTTACAGAGACAATATTAATTACAATACCACATTGTGTATATATTTTGAAAAGAGGCTGGTTGCAGCAGCTCACGCCTGTAATCCCAGCACTTTGGGAGGCTGAGGCGGGTGGATAACCTGAAGTCAGGAGTTCAAGACCAGCCTGGCCAACATGGCAAAACCCCATCTCCACTAAAAATACCAAAATTAGCCAGGCGTGGTGGAGCAAGCCTGTAGTCCCAGCTACTCAGGAGGCTGAGGCAGGAGAATCGCTTGAACCCAGGAGGCAGAGGTTGCAGTGAGCTGAGATTGTGCCACTGCACTCCAGCCTGGGCGACAGAGTGAGACTGTTTCAAAAAAAAGAAAAAGAAAAGAAGGTATTTTGTGTTTTTGTGCTACCCGTTCAGCAAAATAATGAAATTCATTGTTTCTAAACTTTTTTTTCTGATTAAATACAAGAGTAAAAAAAGTGAATGGAGTGCCTTTTGAATAGAATATAACAAAAATTTATCTTAAAGAAACGGGAAGTAACCTGGCACAGTGGCTCACGCCTGTAATCCCAGCACTTTGGGAGGCTGAGGCAGGTGGATCACGAGGTCAGGAGATCGAGACCATCCTGCCCAACATGGTGAAACCCCATCTCTACTAAAAATACAAAAATTAGCTAGGTGTGTTGGCACGTGCCTGTAGTCCCAACTACTCAGGAGGCTGAGGCAAGAGAATCACTTGAACTCAGGAGGCAGAGGTTGCAGTGAGCCAAGATCATGCCACTGCACTCCAGCCTGGCAACAGAGTGAGACTCTGTCTCAAAAAAAAAAAAAGAAACAGGAAGTTCAAATATTTTGGGAGGTTCTTGACAGCTACAATTTGGGGCTAGTGACACTATACACATATAAAGAAACTTTAAAGTTTCTTAGTAATGAAGGTTTGTAATGCTATTCCATTACAATAGTAACTGTCTCACTGAAAAATGTTTCATGGAAAATACATATTTTAGATTCTATGATTTGCTTTAGGATGTGAACTTCTTTATTTTTTAGAGACAGGGTCTCACTCTGTTGCCCAGGCTGTAGTGCAGTGGTACAATCATAGCTCACTGCAGCCTTGATCTCCTGGGCTCAAGTGATCCTTATGCCTCAGCCTCCCAAGTGGCTGGGACTACAGGCACATGCCACCATGCCTGGCTAAGTTTTAAAAAAATTTTTTGTAGGAATGAAGTCTCACTATGTTGCCCAGGCTGGTCTTGAACTTCTGGCCTCAAATGATCCTCTTGCCTTGGCCTCCCAAAGTGCTCAGATTACAGGCATGAGCCACCACACGTGGCCTGAAACCTCTTTAAATCCACAATGTTTGTATGTTAACTTAAACAAAATTACATCACTTAATATGTCAAAACAGCCTACCCTCTGGTGCTGCTATGCAGAAGTACTACAGAATATGATGCCCTAGGAAGAAATCAGCTAAAAATGTAACCTTACTCAATGTAGTTACTTCATAGAAATCCCATCACTGACAATAATCAGCTGCCAACGAAAGCTGGCCATACTTGTGACTTCCTCTATTCACCACAGACCAGACTGCCTACCAGTTGAAAAAGCCAGGTATTTTTTCAATTCAATTCAACAGGAACACCAAAAAATAAGAAATGACTAAGAAACACTAAGCATTTGTAAAATTACTGGGGGAGGAAGGATGAAGATACGAACCTATGCTAAATTAAACGATTATGGCCTTGAAAATGAAGTTCCTTTATAGCCAAGAGCTTAAATTTTGTTACTGATGGTTTTAAAAGTATTTTGTCATTTTTTAGTTTCAACCTAGATTGGAATAGCCATGGCTTTTCTACTTCAGAAATTTCAACTCCTAGAAGAATGCCCTGTCCAGAAGAAGTGGTCAGGAGTATCAGGAAAGCCACCAGCAGAGACTAGGGGTTTATTCTGATCTGGAAGAGCCACTTAACACTGGAATGCACACAGTGAAAATTAATTGTTCCTCTTACACTCCCTCTCCACAATACTTCTATTATTACACTTACTTCGTTCTACCTTAATGTTTTTATTTAGAGACAAGATCTCACTCTGCCACCCTGGCTGGAGTGCAGTGGCATGATTACAGCTCACTGCAGCCTCAACCTCCCTGGCTCTAGCTATTCTCCCATCTCAGCCCTCCAAGTAGCTGGGACTACAGGTGTGCACCACCATGCACGGCTAATTTTTAAGTTTTTGTAGATATGGGGTCTTACTATGTTGCCCAGGCTGGTCTCAAAGTCCTGGGCTCAATTAATCCTCCCTCTTCAGCCTCCTGTGTAGGTGATAGTACAGGCATGAGCCACCATGTGCCTGGCCCTACCTTAATGTTAATATCTGTCTACCTTAAGAAGATATAAGCCTTGTAAATATAAGCAATATCACAGTTGTAGATACTCGTGCTTTTTAAATAGATTAATGAATACTACTAAAGGCAAGAAATGGTATTACTAAAACTCAAGTGAATAATTAAATGAGATCAAAATATTTGTGACAGGCCAGGCACGGTGGCTTACGCCTGTAATCCCAGCACTTTGGGAGGCCAGGCGGATCACTTGAGCTCAGCAGTTCAAGACCAGCCTGGGCAACATGGCGAAACTCCGTCTTTACCAAAAATACAAAAATAAGCCAAGCATGGTGGCACGTACCTGTTGTTCCAGCAACTTGGGGGCTGAGGCAGGAGAATCACTTGAGCCGGGGAGTTTGAGGCTGCAGTGAGTTGATAGCATGCCACCACACTCCAGCCTGGGCAACAGAGTGAGACCCTGCCTGAAAAAAAGCCCAGGTGTGGTGGCTCACATCTGTAATCCCAGCATTTTGGGATTACAAATCTGCCAGCGCAAGCAGATCACTTGAGGATAGGAGTTTGAGACCAGCCTGACCAACATGTTGAAACCCCATCTCTTATTAAAATACAAAAATTAGCTGGGCGTGGTGGCATGCGCCTGTAATCCGAGCTACTCAGGTGGCTGAGGCACAAGAATCGCTTGAACCTGGGAGATGGAAGTTGCAATGAGCTGAGATCAAGCCACTGCACTCCAGCCTGGGCAACAGAGCAAGACTGTCTCAAAAAAAAAAAATTTGTACAGTCATGTTCAAAGTAGCATTAATTCACAATAGCCAAAAGCTGGAAGTAGCCCAAGTATCCACCAATGAATGAAAGGATAAACAAAATGTGGCATATACATACAATGGAATATTATACAGCCTTAAAAAGGAAGGAAATTCATATACATGCTACAGCATGGATAAACCTTGAAAAAGTTATGCTAACTGAAATCAGCCAGTCACAAAAAGACAAATACTGTATGATTCCCTTTATAAGAGTTACCTGGAGCACTCAAATTCATAGAGACAGTAAAATGATGGTTACCAGGGGATGGGGGAGGGAGAAACAGGAAACTATTCTTTAGTGAGTACAGAATTTCAGTTTTTTTGTTTTGTTTTTGTTTTTGTTTTTGAGATGGAGCCTCACACTGTCACCCAGGCTGGAGTGCAATGGTGTGATCTTGGTTCACTGCAACCTCTGCCTCCTAGGTTCAAATGATTCTTCTGCCTCAGTCTCCTGAGTCTGGGATTACAGGCGCCTGCCATCATGCCCAGCTAATTTTTGTATTTTTAATAGAGACAGGGTTTCACAGGTTGGCCAAGCTAGTCTCGAACTCCTGACCTCATGATCCGCCCACCTCGACCTCCCAAAGTGCTGGGATTACAGGGGTGAGCCACCATGCCCAGTCCAGAATTTCAAGTTTTGCAAGATGAAAAGAGTTCTGGAGATGGTTGATGGTGATGGTTGCACAACAATTTGAATATTTTAAATGCCAATGAACTGTTCATTTACAAATGGTTACGATGGAATTTTTCTTTTTCTTTTTTTTTTCTTGAGACGGAGTCTCGCTCTGTCACTCAGGCTAGAGTGCAGTGGCACTATCTCGGCTCACTGCAACCTCCTCCTGCTGGGTTAAAGTGATTCTCTTGCCTCAGCCTCCCGAGCAGCTGAGACTACAGGCGCGTGCCACCATGCTCAGCTAATTTTTTCTATTTTTAGTGGAGACAGGGTTTCACCATGTTAGCCAGATGGTCTCGATCTCCTGACCTCGTGATCCACCTCCCTCAGCCTCTCAAAGTGCTGGGATTACAGGCATGAGCCACCGTGCACAGCCAAGATGGAAATTTTTATGTTCTTTGTTTGATATGGTTTGGCTGTGTCCCCACCCAAATCTCAACTTGAACTGTATCTCTCAGAATTCCCACATGTTGTGGGAGGGACCCACAGGGAGGTAATTGAATCACAAGGGCCGGTTTTTACCATGCTTTCTTGTGATAGTGAATAAGTCTCACAAGATCTGATGGGTTTATCAGGGGTTTCCGATTTTGCTTCTTCCTCATTTTCTCTTGCCACTCCCATGTAAGAAGTGCCTTTCGCCTCCCGCCAAGATTCTGAGGCTTCCTCAGCCATGTGGAACTTTGGGGACGAAAAGAGGTTTAATTGGACTTAAAGTTCCAATTAAAGTTTCAGGTATGTCTTTATCAGCAGCATGAAAATGAACTAATACAGTGTTTTATCACTTTTTTTTTTTTTTTTTTTTTTTGAGATGGAGTTTCGCTCTTGTTGCCCAGGCTGGAGTGCAATGGCGCAACATCAGGTCACTGCAAACTCTGCCTCCCGGGTTCAAGCGATTCTCTTGCCTCAGCCTCCTGAGTAGCTGGGATTACAGGCTTGTGCCACCACACCCGGCTAATTTTTGTATTTTTAGTAGAGACAGAGTTTCACCATGTTGGCCAGGCTAGTCTTGAACTCCTGACCTCAGGTGATCCACCCACCTTGGCTTCCCAAAGTGGGTGGATGACCTCTGGGATTACAGGCGTGCGCCACCGCGCTCGGTCTATATTCACCAATTTTAAGATGCACATCTTTCCATATTTTAGTATCTCTAAGTTGGAGTATGTCTTACAATTAATGGCATCTGACAGTTATAACTGGCAGCATTTGTGACTGAAAAACATCTTAGATGCAATGAAATACAGTGTGTGTGTTTGTATTGTGCTGCAATATAAAATGTATTTCAGGCCAGGTATGGTGGTTCACACCTGTAATCCCAGCACTTTGGAAGGCCAAAGTGGGAGGATCACTTGAGCCCAGGAGTTCAAGGCTGCAGTGAGCTCTGATTATACCACTGTACTCCAGCCTAGGCAACAGAGCAAGACCCAGTCTCTAAAAAATAAATGAAAATGTTTCTTATTGTGGATCACAGTCAAAAGTTTGAAAAAACACAATCTGTTTGAACAGCACTACTTTCTGACAGGAAAACCCCAACAGGTTAGGATCTGTGTATTCCTCAGAGTAAGAATTTTTCTAAAAAGTTTTTAAAAACTTAAAGTCTTACTGATCTCTTCCTATGCTCCAATTTTATAGATATAACTTAGCCTTGCGAGGTGATGTAATTAAAGTCTAACTTCAAGTTGCTGTTGAGCATAGATCTCAGGTCTTCTGACTTCACAACACCTTTCTGCCACTTTCAGTGGATTTTTCCCTCCTAGGGACCAGAGGTCCTCTACTGGATTAAAAGTTTCTCCATCCCGGCAGGGTGCGGTGGCTCACGCCTGTAATCCCAACACTTTGGGAGGCCAAGGCGGGCGGATCACGAGGTCAGGAAATAGAGACCATCCTGGCTAACATGGTGAAACCCCGTGTCTACTAAAAATACGAAAAATTAGCCGGGTGTGGTGGTGCGCGCCTGTAGTCCCAGCTACTCGGGAGGCTGAGGCAGGAGAATGGCGTGAAGCCAGGAGGCGGAGCTTGCAATGAGCCGAGATCGCGCCACTGCACTCTAGCCTGGGCGACAAAGCGAGACTCTGTCTCAAAAAAAAAAAAAAAAAAAAAAAATTCTCCATCCCTTTTGAACAATCTGGAAGTCTGTTTCTCTTAACCTTCAGTTCCCATTCCAATCCTTTGTAACCTATTTCAGGTTAAGCATTTATGGAGGTGCCATGCTTAATTAGCCATTATGGCACTCACTCTATTTCAAAGGTTATCCCAGAATTTGGAGGCTGTAGGGGAATTCAGAGTGTGAATTTCACTTGAACAGCACCCTCTGCAGACTTAAAATATTCCTCCTATATCTGAAGACAATAATAATTTCTTAGAATTTGCTAGGCTAAACAACTATTTTTTAGTCCAGTGGCTTGTAATTAAGTCATTTTTAGTCTTTAATTATGTTGGTTGCTTTTAGAATTCTCTTTTAGAGTTGGTCTACATCCTTTTAAAACATGGGCAATCCAAATTTATAACAGTAAATTAAGATACATAAAAAAAAACACTGGCTAAATTTAAAAGGAAACACTTCTAGAATATACTGTATTTTGACACAAGACCAGACTGTGCTATGTGTATGTGGTGTTTCAAGTAATTTAAGAAAACTGTTGGAATTTTCTGTATTTCCAGTTTCACAAGAAACAACCTCAAGGAGGGCAGTTTAACTGAAAATTCAGAGGTATTATAGCTCTGAAGAAAAATACTGATGAGCAGTTATACAAAATGAGAAATTGAGTTCTAAGAAATGCATCCCTAACTTCAACATAAAGATAGCTATGAGAAAACATTCTTTGTACCCAACCATAAATGAATAAAAATCACCTCATTTCTCATCAGATGTTTACTGGGTTGCTAGTTATATATAGAATCCTGCAAGAGGCTCAACAGGGAAGTCCAAAGAGTCAATCAAGAAGGTATGATAATGGCTAAAGATGGGGACTGTAGGTCAATGCTCCACGAGGTTCTTCTTTTGTTGCACCAATATAGCTGCACTGTTATACCCATATGGTTACAATCCAGGCCTCAGAAAATGTTGCAGATGCCCTCACCAGAAGGCTGAGAACCAGTTCCTCAGTTTGCATGCCTCCAGACAGCACTAGAAGTCAAACTCAAATTGCTTACATGGTAACTTGGTTTATCCCAACACCAACTAGGATATTCCCTCAATCACATGATTGTACTGAAAATATAACCAAGTTTTATTTATGTTTTTCATTTGGTATTAGCCATCTGGTATTTAACCTCTGAAAACCACACAATCTTCTATACGCTTTTTTCACTGGAATAAATGAAACTGCTTACTTTTGACTTAAGTCTATTTCGCTTTATACGAGCAATAACCCATATTTCGGACAATGTCTCAAAAGAGATTGTGTTAAAGGAAAATCCAGGCTGCATATTGTGCTTTTATCTGTTTTGAGTTAGCTTTAAATGTAAAGTTTGACAAAAGCAAAACTACATGAACTCTTTTAGGGAAACCATGACTGGCTAAAATAGAAACTTTTAATTCCTAATACAAAGATTATTTACTCCCACTTTGACCTTATAACTCTAAGTGGCAGAGCAAATTACTTTTGTGTGCCCAAAAATGGCAAGTAAATTTAAAGCTATCACCTTCTTCACCTTGCTTTTATTAAACATTTGATAAAATTTTCACAATTGCCTTGTGATTAAAATTATGAAATATGGCCTATGTTATAGTATTGTTAGGTAAATTTTCAACCACTTGGCCCACCATAATCAAGTAACAATTCTCTAGTGCAGTACCACAGACCTCTTAGATTTACTTTGTCTAGTACTTAAAGTAAAAACACAAAAACATAAATATCAGATCTGTAAATCACAAAGTCCACATTTTTACTTATTCATGCTAGAGAGCAGGCTCCAGATACAAAATTATCTAACGAGATGATAAGATACAGCGGTGATAAAGCAAACTCCCAACATTTGAGTTTTTAAAATTAACCATACAGTGGTATGGTGTCCTGAATTGGATCCTGAAACAGAAAAAAAGGCTATGGATAGAAAAATTGGTGAAATCTGAATAGTCTGGAGAGTAGTAACATAACAATGTAGGCTGGGTGTGGTGGTTCATGCCTGTAATCCCAGCACTTTGGGAGGTGGAGGTGGGAGGACTGCTTGAGCTCAAAGTTTGAGACCAGCCTGGACAATATAGTGAGACCTCATCTCTATTATTTTTATTAGAAAAAAAAGTGTCTTAGTTTTGACAAATGTACCATGATAATGTAAGATGTTAACATTAGGGAAGGCAAACTGGGTGAGGGTTATATGGAAACTCTTATCTTTGCAACTTTTCTGTGTATCTAAATTTATTCCAAAATAAATGTAAGAACCAGGCGTGGTGGCTCACACCTGTAATCCCACCACTTTGGGAGGCCGAGACAGGCGGATCACAAGGTAAGGAGTTCGAGACCAGCCTGGCCAATATGGTGAAACCCCGTCCCTACTATGAAAAATTAGCTGGGTTTGGTGGTGCATGCCTGTAATCCCAGCAACTTGGGAGGCTGAGGCAGGGGAATAGCTTGAACCTGTGAGGTGGAGGTTGCAGTGAGCTGAGATCACACCATTGCACTCCAGCCTGGGCAACAGGGCAAGACTTCATCTCAAAATAAAATAAAATATAAAATAAAATAAATAAAATAAAATAAAATAAATAAAATAAAATAAATAAAATAAAATAAAATAAAATGAAACAAAATACATGTAAGGAAAAGACCATATATGGGCAGATCACTTTAGGTCAGGAGTTCAAGACCAGCCTGGCCAACATGGTGAAACCCTGTCTCTACTAAAAATACAAAAATTAGCCGGGCGTGGTGGCACGCTCCTGTAGTCCCAGCTACTCAGGAGGCTGAAGCAGGAGAATCACCTGAACCTGGAAGGCAGAGGTTGCAGTAAACTGAGATTGTGCTACTGTACTCCAGCCTGGGCAACAGAGTGAGACTCTCAAAAAAAAAAAAAAATGCTGTCTGGGAAGAACAGCATGGGAAGAAACCATGTGACCTAAGATTAAGAAACAGCTGTAGGAACTGAAAGTGTTTAGCTCAGATGTGACTAAGGGGTATCAATTGGTGTCTTCAAGTATTGTGGCTCTCGTAGATAAGAGAATGAAAAACACAAAAAAGAAAAAAGTAAAAAGTTTTAAAAAGAGAATGAAGTAATTTAATTACACTAGAGCCCAGGTGCAATGAGAAGTTAGCCAGCAGGCAAATTTAAATAAATATTGAAGGGCTGGGCGCTGTGGCTCAGGTCTGTAATCCCAGCACTTTGGGAGGTCAAGGTGGGTGGATCAATTGAGGTCAGTTTGAGACCAGCGTGGCCAACATGGTGAAACCCCATCTCTACTAAAAATACAAAAATTAGCCGGGTGTGATGGTGGGCGCCTGTAATCCCAGCTACTCGGGAGGCTAAGGCAGGAGAATCACTTGAACTCAGGAGGTGGAGGCTACAGTGAGCCAAGATCACACCACTGCACTCTAGCCTGGACAGCAGAGCGAGACTCCATCTCAAAAATAGAAAATACAAAATAAATAAATATTGAAAACAAATTCATGGCCTGGTGTGGTGGCTCACGCCTATAATCCCAGCACTTTGGGAGGCTAAGCGCGGGGTGGATCACTTGAGGTCAGGAGTTCGAGACCAGTCTGGCCAACATGGTGAAACCCCATCTATACTAAAAATACAAAAATTAGCCAGGCGTGGTGGCATGCACCCAGCTACTTGGGAGGCTGAGGCAGGAGAATCACTTGAACTCAGGAGGCGGAGGCTATAGTGAGCCGAGATGGAGCCACTGCACTCCAGTCTGGGTGACAACATGAGACTCTGTCTCAAAAACAAAACAAAATGAAACAAAAACAAATTCATCTAGTAACAGGACAATTTAGGAGAAAGTAAACTCCCCACGACTTAACTTCTCTATGCATCAGTCTGTCATCTGTAACATGGGTACCTGCCCCCTGCCATGGCTGTTGTGAGGAATTCAGAGATGTCTTTGCCCTCCAATGTATGACATACACATCATCGAGGTAATCAAGGTCAGGCGCATGGCTCATGCCTATAATCCCAACATTTTGGAAAGCCGAAGCAGGATTGCGTGAGGCTAGGAGTTCAAGATCAGCCTAAGCAACATACCAAATCCCCTTCTCTACCCAAAAAAAACAAAACAAAAAAGCCAGGTGTGGTGGCACCTGTAGTGCCAGCTCCTGGCGAACCTAAGGCAACAGAATCGCTTGAGCCCAGGAGTTTGAGGTTGCAGTGAGCCATAGCCATGATTGTGTCACTGCACTCTAGCCTGCACTTTAGTGAGACCTTGTCTCTAAAATAAAAAAATAAAAAATAAACAAATTAAATATTTCAATAAATATATTCAAAGTTTATTTGAGTAGGTTAGATTCAAAGGTTTTTAAGTTTTCTTCTCAGATTTTCTGATTCTATGTGATTGTCCTGAGGCCAAATTAAGCCTTAAATACTGACATGTCTAAAAAGTAATACAAGCCGGGTGCAGTGGCTCATGCCTGTAATAGAAGCACTTTGGGAGGCCGAAGCAGGTGGATCACTTGAGGTCAGGAGTTCGAGACCAGCATGGCCAACATGGTAAAACCCCTTCTCTACTAAAAATACAAAAATTAGCTGGGTGTGGTGGTGCATGCCTGTAGTCCCAGCTACTTGGGAACCCGAGGCACAAGAAACACTTGAACTGGGGAGGTGGAGGTTGCAGTGAGCTGATATAGCATCATTGCATGCCAGCCTGGGCAACAGAGTGAGACTCTTGTCTCAAAAAAAAAAAAAGTGTCAAAACAATAAATAAAATAAAAATATATAGGGCTGGGTGTGGTGGCTCATGCCTGTAATCCCAGCACTTTGGGAGGCGAAGTCAGGTGGGTCATGAGGTCAAGAGATCAAGACCATCCTGGTCAACATGGTGAAACCCCATCTCTACTAAAAACACAAAAATTAGCTGGGCATGGTGGCATGTGCCTGTAGTCCCAGCTACTTGGGAGGCTGAGGCAGGAGAATAGCTTGAACCTGGGAGGCAGAGGTTGCAGTGTGGCGAGATCAAGCCACTGCACTCCAGCCTGGTGACAGAGCGAGACTCTGTCTCAAGAAAATAAATATATATGTATGTGTGTGTGTGTATGCATGTATATAATTATATATATTATATGTAGGAGTTGGGGAGAATATGAAAACATTGTGTGTGTGTATGCATATATATATTACACACACAATGTTGTCATATTCTCCCCTAACTCCTACTTATCCTTCAGGTCTCAGCTATTCCTGGCAAATACCTTCTCTGGCCAGTCTAAATTATGTCCCTTTCATTTACTCTTCTCCCTCATGGTATATTTCTCTTTTCCTTCATAGTACCATCACAACTCAAAAGTAGCTAATTTTATTTATTGAATCTCTATCTCCCCCACTAACTATAAACTCAAAGGTCAATAACCATGTCCATTTTGTTCATAGCTCTATCCCCAATGCCTAGAACGGTGCCTAGAACATAGTAAGCACAATATTTTATAAACAAATTACTTCACTGACCTGCAAAATATCAGTTTAACACTCAGGTAGTCTATTTGTCTTCCTCAAAAAAGTTGATCTCTTAATTACTAAATGGTTCAACCACTTTGGAAACAACTCGGCAGTTTCTTAAAAAGCATACGCTTTGCCACTCAGCCCAGTAATCACTTTCCTAGCTATTTACACAAGTAAAATAAAAACATTATTACATACAAAACTATATGTGGACATTTATAGCAGCTTTATTAATAATTGCCCCAAACTGGAAACAACTAAATGCCCCTCAGCTGGGAATGAATACACAAACTGTCATACACCCATTAAAAAGTAAGAGATTACTGATATATACAGGCTCACGCCTGTAACCCCAGCACTTTGGGAGGCCAAGACGGGCAGACCACCTGAGGTCAGGAGTTGGAGACCAGCCTGACCAACATGGTAAAACCCGGTCTCTACTGAAAATACAAAAATTAGGCAGGTGTGGTGGTGGGCACCTGTGGTCCTAGCTACTCAGGAGGCTGAGGCAGAATTGCTTGAACCTAGGAGACGGGGTCTCACTGTTGCCGAGGCTGGAGTACATAGCACCATCATAGCTCACTGCAGCCTCAGCCTCCCAGGATGAAGCGATCCTCCTGCCTGAACCCCCCAGAGTAGCTTGGGACTACAGGTGTGTACGACCATGCCCAGCTAATTTTTATTATTATATATATACTTTTTTGAGACGAAGTCGCACTTTGTCGTCCAGGCTGGAGTGCAGTGGCGCAATCTCGGCTCAGTGCAAACTCCGCCTCCCGGGTTGATGCTGTTCTCCTGCCTCAGCCTCCCGAGTAGCTGGGACTACAGGCGCCCACCACCATGCCCGGCTAATTTTTATTTTTAGTAGAAACGGGGGCTTCACCGTTTTAGCCAGGATGGTCTCGATCTCCTGACCTTGTGATCCGCCCACCTCGGCCTCCCAAAGTGCTGGGATTACAGGCGTGAGCCACTGCACCCGGCATCTTTATTTTTTGAGACAGTCTTGCCCTGTCACCCAGGCTGGAGTGCCCTGGCAAGATCTTGGCTCACCGCAACCCCCACCTTCCAAGCTAAAGGGATTCTCCTGCCTCAGCCTCAGTTGGGACTATAGGCATGTGCTACCACACCTTGCTTTTCTTTTGTATTTAGCAGATCTTCTCGCCTCAGCCTCCCAAAGTGCTAGGATTCGAGGCACTGCGCCCAGCCTTTTGCTTTTTTTTTTTTTTTTTTTTTGAGATGAAGTCTTTCTCTGTCGCCCAGGCTGGAGTGCAGTGGTGTGATCTTGGCTCAGCCTCGTAACTATAGGCACCTGCCACCACACCCAGCTAATTTTGTATTTTCAGTAGAGATGGGGTTTCAGCATATTAGCAAGGCTGGTCTGAACTCCTGACCTTGTGATCTCCCCACCTCAGCCTCCCAAAATGGTGGAATTACAGGCGTGAGCCATGACCTGGCCTGCTTCATTTTCTAATATCCCTTGCTTAGAATTATTGCAACATTAACGTTTATCTTCATTGTCATTGTCTCCCATAGAACCCACAAAACTAAACCTTGAGATCCATGGGCCTGCTAAAAACAGTCCCAAAGTAAATGACAAAAATGTTTAATTGCCAATAATTAGGTAAGAGAAAAAGGACAGTTAAATATCAGGGTAGTTCTAGCTGAATGAAATCTTTTAGAATTACACTAAAAAGTAAATGGTAAGTTACTAAGTTTGGAACTTCATCTCAAAAGAAAAAAAACCATGAAGATAACACAATGCTAAAATGTGGCCTGTCAGTGTAAACTGTCAACATTCTCCACTATAAAGAACTGAAACTGGGTTGAGGTTAGTAGGTCTGAACAAATCGTGTCCCACTAAGAGCACATGGGTTCTTCCTTGAGTCACTGCCGAGGCCCTGGCACATCTGAGATTTAAAAGATAAATATCAGATTAACTGGGAAAGATACAGTACAGGCAGATCACTTGAGCCCAGGAGTTGACCAGCCTTGGCAACATGGCAAAATACAAAAATTAGCCAGGCGTGGTGGCAAAAACCTGTGGTCCCTGCTATTCAGGGAAGATCACTTAAGCCCAGAAGTCAGGACTGCAGTTAGCCGTTAACTTCCACTCCAACCAGGGCAGGAGTAAAACCCTGTCTAAACAAAAAAAGCCAAGCACTACCTTGAAATCAACTGAAGTTAGCTCTCACTTTTGAAATCCACTCCAAAATTTGTAACCAATTCCAACATAGTAACTGTTAAAAGAAATGCCACTTCATCTTAAAGCTTAAAATTCATTTATTGTAGTGAGCAAGTTTGTAATGAATACCAGCAGGTGGTGCTCAAGCCACAGTTGTCTAAGACACTGGGTTTCACAGGAAGTTAATCTCAATCTCAGTATATGCAAGTAAACTGACTCATTCCTGCTTCCAGTGGGAACAATTTTTCAGTTAAATCTTGCTTCCTTGCATGTCAAGAATTCTCTACTGGTAAATCTTACAGGTGTCAACTTTCATTATCAGGGCATCTATTGGCCATCTATTAAAGGCCTTACCTGTTTTTTCTGTCATCCAGCAAATCTTAGACTATTTACTTGTGTAAACATTAGATAGCAAAGAAACTAAGGACAAAAATCTCTAGTTCAATTTAGACTTGATACCTCAGAGCACTGGCTGATGGGAAGGCATTTTATCTAATTCAGACTCAGATGAGGGAAAACGATAACACTTCATTACAGACTTGTCTATGGCCAATTCAAGTACCTTTGAATCTTGAGCAATACACATTGCCAGTCACTTTAAGAGGCCTTATCTCTTGGGCTGCTTTAACTCCTGCTTAGCATGTCCTTAAGAACACATGTCCTGGCCAGGCATGGTGGCTCATGCCTGTAATTCCAGCACTTTAGGAGGCCGAGGCGATCACCTAAGGTCAGGAGTTTGAGACCAGCCTGACCAACATGGAAAAACCTCATCTCTATTAAAAACACCAAATTAGCACATGCCTGTAATCCCAGCTACTTGGGAGGCTGAAGTAGGAGAATTGCTTGAACCCAGGAGGAGGAGATTGCAGTGAGATTTTGCCATTGCATTCTAGCCTGGGCAACAAGAACTCCATCTTAAAAAAAATTTTTAAAAACCATCACACAAACAGAAAGCATGTCCTTTAATTTTACCTATCCTTCAAACTTAAGCAAAAATTTTCCTTTTATAACCAAAAAAAAACCTTTAGACACTTTTACATATGGGAGGTCAGGCACAGTGGCTCATGCCTGTAATCCCAGCAGGAAGATCGCGAAAAGCATTTTTCAAATGCACAAATGCTTAAAGATTCAGGAGTAAGTGGGCTATTACACCTGTTAAGCCTATTACCATGTAGTTTCATTCCTAGTGACCAAGTAGACAAACTGCTAATTATCAAAGCATAAAAGGTATTAGACTCTGCAGGAGAAAAGCAATGTAGATTAGTCTAATTTTATAGCTACTTCAAATTGCCATCTTTTTCTATTAGAACCTTGTTCCTATTCTGAATAGCACTCAATAGAACTTGTGAAACCATCAAACTGGCATAAAGCTTACTCCACTGACTTCAAAATGGACCCTTCCACTCATAGGGTGTACACTAGCCACTACACTTATTTCTTATGTCATGGCAAATAGTCAACTTTCACTGCCCAGTCATTTTAACCCACGTTTCAACATGCACATCCCAGTAATTTGGAAACATTTTGTTTCCAAAGATTCACTTAACATTGGTTTAGCAACATGAAGCTTTCTATGCAACACAAGGACTCAGTTTTTGGCCTGTTTTAGTGACAGGCAATCAGCAACATGCTGCATTTCTCTCCAGTGTTGTAATCAAAGCAACCCTCCCATAGCTTTAAATGATATTCCTTCCCCTTCCAATTATGTGGGGGGAAAACAACCCTATTCTCCACCCAGAAGTGTTAACTCAAGAATTACATTTTCAAGAAGTTTCCAGATTCGTAAAACCAGAATTAGATGTCTTTCACCTAAATGTCTCGGTGTTGACCAAAGGAACACACAGGTTTCTCATTTAACTTTTTTAATGGGTCTCAAAATTCTGTGACAAATTTTTGGTCAAGTTGTTTCCATTAAAAAGTACTGATTTTAAAAACTAATAACTTAAAACTGCCACACGCAAAAAAGAAAACCAAAGTGGTCCACAAAACATTCTCCTTTCCTTCTGAAGGTTTTACGATGCATTGTTATCATTAACCAGTCTTTTACTACTAAACTTAAATGGCCAATTGAAACAAACAGTTCTGAGACCGTTCTTCCACCACTGATTAAGAGTGGGGTGGCAGGTATTAGGGATAATATTCATTTAGCCTTCTGAGCTTTCTGGGCAGACTTGGTGACCTTGCCAGCTCCAGCAGCCTTCTTGTCCACTGCTTTGATGACACCCACCGCAACTGTCTGTCTCATATCACGAACAGCAAAGCGACCTATTAAAAAAAAAGTTAATTATTACCCAAAGTACTGTTCAGTTGTATTTTTCATCTTTAACACAACTTTTTTACATTTAAGTAGTCATCCTTACCCAAAGGTGGATAGTCTGAGAAGCTCTCAACACACATGGGCTTGCCAGGAACCATATCAACAATGGCAGCATCACCAGACTTCAAGAATTTAGGGCCATCTTCCAGCTTTTTACCAGAACGGCGATCAATCTTTTCCTTCAGCTCAGCAAACTTGCATGCAATGTGAGCCGTGTGGCAATCCAATACAGGGGCATAGCCGGCGCTTATTTGGCCTGGATGGTTCAGGATAATCACCTTGGAAAAAAGATTTGCATTCAGTGCAAATCCAAAGTCTCAAATGACTTTAGCCTCTGCAATAAGTTAATGTTACTTTAAATTGTTACCTGAGCAGTGAAGCCAGCTGCTTCCATTGGTGGGTCATTTTTGCTGTCACCAGCAACGTTGCCACGACGAACATCCTTGACAGACACATTCTTGACATTGAAGCCCACATTGTCCCCAGGAAGAGCTTCACTCAAAGCTTCATGGTGCATTTCGACAGATTTTACTTCCGTTGTAACGTTGACTGGAGCAAAGGTGACCACCATACCGGGTTTGAGAACACCAGTCTCCACTCGGCCAACAGGAACAGTACCAATACCTAAAAATATTTACAGCATACTAAATACCTATGAAGGCAGACAGTACTCTATCAACTCAAATTCAACTTTGTTTACAGCCAACTTACCACCAATTTTGTAGACATCCTGGAGAGGCAGGCGCAAGGGCTTGTCAGTTGGACGAGTTGGTGGTAGGATGCAGTCCAGAGCCTCAAGCAGCGTGGTTCCACTGGCATTGCCATCCTTACGGGTGACTTTCCATCCCTTGAACCAAGGCATCTGAAACACAAGCATGCCAATTTGTGTAAGCATGAAATCGCCATTCCCAGAGCTTTTTAACAATGGTCTTGAAAGCCACTTACGTTAGCACTTGGCTCCAGCATGTTGTCACCATTCCAACCAGAAATTGGCACAAATGCTACTGTGTCGGGGTTGTAGCCAATTTTCTTAATGTAAGTGCTGACTTCCTTAACAATTTCCTCATATCTCTTCTGGCTGTAGGGTGGCTCAGTGGAATCCATTTTGTTAACACCGACAATTAGTTGTTTCACACCCAGTGTGTAAGCCAGAAGGGCATGCTCTCGGGTCTGCCCATTCTTGGAGATACCAGCTTCAAATTCACCAACACCAGCAGCAACAATCAGGACAGCACAGTCAGCCTTTAAAGAAAGCAAAGACATATCCCTGTCAACTCTCCAAATGACAAAACCAGTGTACAAAGCAAGCCTTTTGGGATAAAGAAACCTAGAATTATTAATCCCACCAACCTGAGATGTCCCTGTAATCATGTTTTTGATAAAGTCTCTGTGTCCTGGGGCATCAATGATAGTCACATAGTACTTGCTGGTCTCAAATTTCCACAAGGAGATATCAATGGTGATACCACGTTCACGCTCAGCTTTCAGTTTATCCAAGACCCAGGCATACTTGAAGGAGCCCTTTCCCATCTGTAAGGATTAAGAGTCGTTACTTGGTTACTAAAACACAAACTCCAGCTTCAATTTCCTTGTCCCCAGCCCTTAATTGGCAGTTTCCACTTTACAACTCCAAGTCCAAAGTGATTTTAGTCACTTTGGGTTACAGAAGCAACCAAAAATCAAACTTTTATAAGTCGGATCTTAACTATTAACATCCAAATCTACTCACTAGCAATACGATTACAGAAGTCACCAAAAGCAAAATTATTTCATAAGTAAGGTCTTAACTATTAGCATTCAGATCTAAACCACTCACTAGTTCTGGGGAAATCACCTAATGATTCTGCTGGTAAAACTCATTTTAGTTGATCTTTCCCTTTCTGGTATTAAACATACCTCAGCAGCCTCCTTCTCAAATTTTTCAATGGTTCTTTTGTCGATGCCACCGCATTTATAGATCAGATGGCCAGTAGTGGTGGACTTGCCCGAATCTACGTGTCCAATGACGACAATGTTGATATGAGTCTTTTCCTTTCCCATTTTGGCTTTTAGGGGTAGTTTTCACGACACCTGAAATGGAAGAAAAAAACTTTGAACCACTGTCTGAGGCTTGAGAATGAACCAAGATCCAAACTCAAAAAGGGCAAATTCCAAGGAGAATTACATCAAGTGCCAAGCTGGCCTAACTTCAGTCTCCACCCACTCAGTGTGGGGAAACTCCATCGCATAAAACCCCTCCCCCCAACCTAAAGACGACGTACTCCAAAAGCTCGAGAACTAATCGAGGTGCCTGGACGGCGCCCGGTACTCCGTGGAGTCACATGAAGCGACGGCTGAGGACGGAAAGGCCCTTTTCCTTTGTGTGGGTGACTCACCCGCCCGCTCTCCCGAGCGCCGCGTCCTCCATTTTGAGCTCCCTGCAGCAGGGCCGGGAAGCGGCCATCTTTCCGCTCACGCAACTGGTGCCGACCGGGCCAGCCTTGCCGCCCAGGGCGGGGCGATACACGGCGGCGCGAGGCCAGGCACCAGAGCAGGCCGGCCAGCTTGAGACTACCCCCGTCCGATTCTCGGTGGCCGCGCTCGCAGGCCCCGCCTCGCCGAACATGTGCGCTGGGACGCACGGGCCCCGTCGCCGCCCGCGGCCCCAAAAACCGAAATACCAGTGTGCAGATCTTGGCCCGCATTTACAAGACTATCTTGCCAGAAAAAAAGCGTCGCAGCAGGTCATCAAAAATTTTAAATGGCTAGAGACTTATCGAAAGCAGCGAGACAGGCGCGAAGGTGCCACCAGATTCGCACGCGGCGGCCCCAGCGCCCAAGCCAGGCCTCAACTCAAGCACGAGGCGAAGGGGCTCCTTAAGCGCAAGGCCTCGAACTCTCCCACCCACTTCCAACCCGAAGCTCGGGATCAAGAATCACGTACTGCAGCCAGGGGCGTGGAAGTAATTCAAGGCACGCAAGGGCCATAACCCGTAAAGAGGCCAGGCCCGCGGGAACCACACACGGCACTTACCTGTGTTCTGGCGGCAAACCCGTTGCGAAAAAGAACGTTCACGGCGACTACTGCACTTATATACGGTTCTCCCCCACCCTCGGGAAAAAGGCGGAGCCAGTACACGACATCACTTTCCCAGTTTACCCCGCGCCACCTTCTCTAGGCACCGGTTCAATTGCCGACCCCTCCCCCCAACTTCTCGGGGACTGTGGGCGATGTGCGCTCTGCCCACTGACGGGCACCGGAGCCTCACGCATGCTCTTCTCCACCTCAGTGATGACGAGAGCGGGCGGGTGAGGGGGCGGGAACGCAGCGATCTCTGGGTTCTACGTTAGTGGGAGTTTAACGACGGTCCCTGGGATTCCCCAAGGCAGGGGCGAGTCCTTTTGTATGAATTACTCTCAGCTCCGGTCGGGGCGGGTTGGGGGGGGTGGTGACGGGGAGGCCGCCTGGAAGGGACGTGCAGAATCTTCCCTCTACCATTGCTGGCTTAGCTCCAAAGGTTGTATTGAGATTAGGGTGTACCTTCGCCTCTCAATCAGCCTCCCGTCCTCAGCCTTGCCATCTCGCTAGTCCGGGACAAATCCCTAGAGCGTCTTCCTCTGCGGGTCTCAGCCCAGCCCGGGGTTGGCTCCTCCTCCGCCCCGGCTTCCGCGCCCCTCCCGTGTGGCAAGGAGTACCAGGCCCGGGGACCCCGAGGGGCTTGGGGCGAAGGGTCGGGACTGGGGGCCTCCTTAACGGCTCACGGACTTGCGAGAGGTTCGGCTCGATGGCCGTGAAAGCGACGAATCCGCTCCTGTGCTGGCCTCTTGGCTCCTTCCATTCAAAGCCAGCTGCTTTTATGGAAGCCCGTAACACGTCATCTCCCCCTGGTACTCCAGATGTCCAGGCTTTCAGTTTAGAATAGACTCAGTCCTACAGTTAGCTTTAGATCTAATTCTAGTTTTGTTACGCCAAAAAGTTCCTGCGAGTGTGTGTGTGTGCCTCATGGTACTTTTTAAATTAAAAGGTGTACAGTTATTTGATTGCAAACATAAGGAACCTAAAATGCTTTCAGATTTTCCACATGATCTCATGTAGAGGCTAAGATCTACAGCATCAGCAAGTTTATCCACCCAGTTTCCTAACCCCAACACTTGCTATGAAGTCACAGCTTCTCCTATTTAAATAAGTGCCTATTATATTTAAATAAGTGCTGTCGTTTTCTGTCATCCTATCGATTGTAACTGCATTTTAGCATAAATCTAGGGCAAGATTGGATGAGCTTGGCCTTTTTGGATGGCTATCAAGGCAGGCCTTGGGAAATGCTCCTCTGAGGAAAGAAGAACGTTTATTTTTAATGAGCTAATTACTAGATCATTATGTTTCTTCTTCCAGCTGTAGAATATCATTGCCCAGCTTCTCGAACAAACTTATTTATTAACAAGTATTTGAGAACCTACTATGTGGCCAACGCTAAGTACTGTGGAGTTCCTTCTGGAGAGGAAACCACAATCAAATTGGAAGAGGAAAACAAGTTGGGAAGCAGTTGAAGGCAAACGCTATGGTGCTTTCTTGGTTTCTGTATCTTTGTAGTGTAGTTTTTCTAGTCCTTTCAGTTTTCACAGTCCACTTTTTTTTCTTTCTTTCTTTTTTTTTTTTTTTTTTGAGACGGAGTTCTACTCTGTTGCCCAGGCTGGAGTGCAGTGGCGCGATCTCGGCTCACTGCAAGCTCTGCCTCCCGAGTTCAAGCGATTCCTCCTGCCTCAGCCTCCCAAGTAGCTGGGACTACAAGCGCGCCCCACAAATTTTTGTATTTTTAGAAGAGACGGGGGTTTCACCATGTTGGCCAGGCTGGTCTCGAACTGCTGACCTCAAGTGATCCACCCGGCTCGGTCTCCCAAAGTGCTGGGATTACAGGCGTGAGCCACGGTGCCCGGCCACAGTCAAAGTTTTTCCTCAAGCCCCTGTGATTGCGGATAATAGTAAACGCTTTATAAATACCTTACACAGAATGTTTTTTAAAATATCACGCAAGGAATGACAAAATTACATGAATCCTTGATTTATACCTAAGTAACATATTGTGCAACACAGACTGGGTGTTCTGAATGTTGCGATAGTGGCCGAGACTTTCATTAGGTGAAGGGAGATCTCAATTCTCGCGTTTAAGAACCAACACTGGACCGGGCGCGGTGGCTCACGCCTATAATACCAGCACCTTGGGAGGCCGAGGCGGACGTATAATTTGAGGCCAGGAGTTCGAGACCAGCCTGGCCAACATGGTGAAACCCTGTCTACTGAAAATACAAAATTAGCCGGGCGTGGTGGCGCATGCCTGTAATCCCAGCTACTTGGGAGGCTGAGGCAGGAGAATCGCTTGAGCCCGGGAAGCGGAGGTTGCAGTGAGTCAAGATCACGCAATTGCACTCCAGCCTGGGCGACCGAGTGAGACCTTGTCTCAAAACAAAACAAAAAACCAATACCTTTGAGCCCATCGGAGCCATATTATTGTGCGTTAGGGGTAGTCACTGGCCACGAGCATTTTCTCAGGGCAGAGATCACATTTCTGCTCTCAGTGGGGCCGGGGTGGGCCGGAAGCCGGAGAGGGACTGGAACGCCGGTCCGGGGAAGCCCCGCGCGCACCGGGGCGCACCCTGCTTCCTAGGGAGGGAGGCTGGGGCGGCAAGGCGGGCGCGGGTGGTCCTTGCCCCGCGCCAGCTCGCCAGGCCACGTCGCTGGCGTTTTTCCAGCGCTGGGTCACCTGCGGGCCGGCGGGTTCCCGCGGCGAACAGCTGGGTGGTATGGATACGCCGCTCGAGCCTCCGCAGCGTCAGGTCGCCAGGGTCCGCCCTGCCACTCGCCCCACCTTGAGGTAACTTTTCTTCCGCCTTCTGACTGCGGAAGGAAGGGCCTGGGAGGAAGCAGAAAACCTCACGTGGCTCGGGGTGAGGGTCGGTTTTTGTCACCGTGAGCTGGCCTCTAAAAGACTTTTTAAGTCCCAAGTCTTCTTTTTCTTCTTATTTTAAATCCCTTTTTCCCCAGACCCTATGTTTTCAACATAATCATAACGGATTCCCCGCACCCCTACGCCTTTACAGAGATCCAGTATGCTTTTTACTGCCTTAAATGTTAAAGCGGTAACAGTAACGATGTTGAGGCTCGTAAATGTGTTTTGGGGTCATAATCTAAGGTAGTATTTGCTGAAGATTTTTCTTAAACTTGCTCATAACCATTTAGAGTGACAAACTTAAAATACATTGTAAGTAAAAATCAACATGACCCCTTTTAGGAAGAAAAACAAAGATTTCAGTTATTTACATAGGAATAAGGCAAACAAGAATAGTTCTTTGAGGTACTTAATTGTGATTCACCAAGCTTTCAGTATAGTCTGACCACTCTGCTATTAGTCTAATTTAAAGCAGCCTTAAATAGTTACATTTTACCATGGCTTGCCACGTGAAAATGATTTTTAAATCTTTTCATCTGCTGTAGCTACCTCTGAAGAAAAGATGATGGCCCGGTGCGGTGGCTCACGCCTGTAATCCCAGCACTTTGGGAGGCCGAGTCAGGCGGATCACCTGAGGTAAGAGTTCGAGACCAGCCTGGCCAACATGGTGAGACTCCCGTCTCTACTAAAGATATAAAAATTAGCCAGGCTTGGTGGTGTGCACCTATAATCACAGCTACTTGGGAGGCTGAGGCAGGAGAATTGCTTGAACCCGGGAGGAGGAGGTTGCAGTGAGCAGAAATCGTGCCACTGCACTCCAGCCTGGGTAACAAAGTGAGACTGCATCTCAGAAAAAACTATATATATATATATATATATTTTTTTTTTTAAAGGGGTATTTTAGAATATGATTAAGCCAAGGAACTATTTGGACTGAGAATCCAATTTTTTTTTTTTTTTTTTTTTTTGAGATGGAGTCTCACTCTGTCACCCAGGCTGGAGTGCAGTGGCACGATCTCGGCTCACTGCAAGCTCCGCCTCCCGGGTTCATGCCATTCTGCCTCAGCCTCCCGAGTAGCTGGGACTACAGGCGCCGGCCACCACACCCAGCTAATTTTTTGTATTTTTTTTAGTAGAGATGGGGGTTTCACCATGTTAGCCAGGACGGTCTTGATCTCCTGACCTCGTGATCTGCCCAACTCGGCCTCCCAAAGTGCTAGGATTACAGGCATGAGCCACCACGCCCAGCCGAGAATCCAAATAAAATGACACTTTAGTGTGACAGGCACTGTTCTAATATTTGCAATATTTATTGTAATCCTACCACCCACATTGTATAGATGGAGCAGCAATGGGCAACAGGCAGTTTATGCGTAATAAGCACATATAGACATATATTCTTTTTTAAAGTTTTACCTTTTTTTGCACAAAATGGTAAAATACAATATGCCACCTTGCTTTTTTCACCTAATACAGCTTGGTGATCTTTTTTCATGGTACCTTAGGGCCCAGCAGAGCAGGATTGGAACCAGGGTAATCTGTCAGAGAGCTAGTCCTAACCCTTACCAGCAGGTCGAGGCAGCCTGATATAATGAAAATATCAGTGGCATCGGTGTCAGAAAATTAGGGATTTAGTCCTCGCTCTTCTGCTTAGACCTATGACAGCCCAGCAGTTCTGAGTACATCTGTGAAATGGGTTGCCTCTTTGTTCCTACTTAACACCTATGTCACAATTCTAATATGCAATGACATGAAAAGACATGGGGGCTCTTTATTAGTACAAAAGACAGTGTTTCTACATGCTTTTTGGAGAATGCCTGTCCTTAATTGGTATGCCTGTGACACCAACTTGAGTCAGTAGAGAAAATAAACTCATTGGTATCTTTGTAATTGTAAGCATTTTTACGTAGGTAATACATGTACATGGTAAGAAATTGTACAGAGGTTATACAATGAAATGTTACTCTCATTTTAGCAGTGTAAAGAAAGTCTGAAGAATACTCCAGGAAAATTGAGGAAACTAAAGCTATTTCTACTACTGGTCTCATAATTGCAAAGCCAGTGCCTACCATGATAAGTGCTCTCTTACTTGGTATGAAGGAAATGATTTTCTTCCCTTGCTATTTTTTTTAGTAAGTATATTATTTTATTGCTACATTAGAAATGAAAATACACTCTGAGAAGCTGCAAAGGCATGCAACTTCATAAAGATTATGAAGCAATGGAGACACTCATAGAAGGTTAAAATTGGCTTTTCCTGTAGGAGGTGCAAAGACTATACACACACAGGTCATCAATGGTTAGATTATTGGCAGCATCTGCCATGTGGAATTTATGTGCCAATGGGAAGATTTTTGGTGTTTTGCTTTGTTTTGTTTTGTTTTGAGACGGAGTCTTATTCTGTCACCCAGGCTAGAATACAGTGGCATGATCTTGGCTCACTACAACCTCCGCCTCCCGGGTTCAAGTGATTCACCCGCCTGAGACTTCCATGTAGCTGGGATTGCAGGCATACACCACCATGCCTAATTCATTTTTTTCTTTGTTTGTTTGAGATGGAGTCTCACTCTGTCACCCAGGCTGGAGTGCAGTGTCATGATCTCAGCTCACTGCAACCTCCGCCTCCCGGGTTCAAGCGATTCTCCTGCCTCAGTCTCCCGAGTAGCTGTGACTACAGACATGTGCCACCACACCTGGCTAATTTTTGTATTTTTAATAGAGACAGGGCTTAGCCATGTTGGCCAGGGTGGTCTCGAACTCCTGACCTCAGGTGATCCACCCACCTCAGCCTACCAAAGATTACAGACGTGAGCCATCATGCCCAGCCCCCATTATATGATGTTTGAACACCGTATTTCTCCTGCTGGATAGTTTCCTTGGAAGAAAGCCTATTTTTTTCTCCAGTGTTAGTTTTCTTCAATTTTGACCTGTCAAACTTCACTTCTGACAAGTTTGGGTTTATCACTCATCTTGATTAAAAGAAAGCCTGAAGGCTTGAAGACTCGTGAAACGCTGGGCTGAGACCATACTGCTCACTCTGGACCAGATTAGGGTTCCTGAGCAGAGCCCAGCAGTTGTAAGCCCAGTAGCAGGGCCCCCTCACTCAGTATTCATTTGTGAATCCATATTTTATAAATCATATGAATTTTCAGTATTTCTTTGTCTTCATAGGTGATATAGTTAACAGAGCACTTGACTAAGAGACAAGCTGGAATATATTCGTAGTCCCACATAATTTCTTTATCAGAGTGATCTTGAATAAATCACACTTGAGCTCATTATTTCTTTTTTTTATTTTTATTTTTTGAGATGGAGTCTCGCACTGTCACCCAGGCTGAAATGCAGTGGTGCAATCTCCGGTCACTGCAACCTCCGCCTCCTGGGTTCAAGTGATTCTTCTGTCTCAACCTCCCAAGCAGCTGGGATTACAGGCGCCCACCACCATGCCTGGCTAATTTTTTTGTATTTTTAGTAGAGACGAGGTTTCACTATGTTGGCCAGGCTGGTCTTGAACTCCTGACCTCATGATCTGCCCTCCTCGGCCTCCCAAATTGCTGGGATTACAGGCATGAGCCACCACGCCTGGCCTGAGCTCATTATTTCATAGTAAAATAATCTAACATCTATTTCATAGAATTGATCATAAGGATTAAATAAGATAATGGACCAGATGATGCAAACCATTTTTACAAATGTCAGCGCTCATTATACTTAGAAAATAATCATTAGCGCTTTTATTTTATTTATTTATTTTTTTGAGACAGAGTCTTGCTCTGTTGCCCAGGCTGGAGTGCAGTGGCATGATCTCGGCTCACTGCAACCTCCACCTCCCAGATTCAAACAATTCTCCTGCCTCAGCCTCTGGAGTAGCTGGGATTACGGGCACATGCCACCACCCCTGGCTAATTTTTGTATTTTTAGTAGAGATGGAGTTTCACCATGTTGGCCAGGCTGTTCTCGAACTCCTGACCTCAGGAAATCTGCCTGCTTTGGCCTCCCAAAGTGCTGGGATTGCAGGCGTGAGCCACCGCGCCCAGCCAGCTCTTTTAAAAAGCAAAAATCTGTCCGGGCACGGTGGCTCATGCCTGTAATCCCAGCTCTCAGGGAGGCAGAGGCGGGAGGATAGCTTGAGCCCGGGAGTTCTAGACCTGCCTGGGCAATATAGCGAGACCCCGTTCTCCACAAAAAGGAAGAAAAAAAAAAAGACACACACAAAAAAAGCAAAAATCTGTTTAAAATGTAGAGTACTTTACAAATTCTCAACATTTATCCTAATAATGAGTACTATTTGGTCAATTTCATTTAAGTATTAGAATTATAGATTCACCAATCTATACAAGTGTTATACATACATGTGACAATGTGTGTGTTCTGTAAGTGGCAAGGACTTTTGAATTATGACATTCAATATATGTTGGTGCTGGGCATGGCAGCTTGTGCCACTAATTCCAGCTACTCAGGAGGCTGAGGTGGGAGGATGACTTAAGGCCAGGAGTTTGAGGCTGCAGTGAGATATGATTATTGCCATCTGGGCAACAGAGTGAGACCCTCATGTCTGAAAAGAAAAAAAAGATGATGGTAATTGTGCAGGATTTCTGAAGTCAGTCTTTATTCATCTATCCATCAGACATTTATTGAGCATCTGTTCTGTGCCAGGCACTGAGCTAGGCACTAGGAGACAAAAAGCAATCTCTGCTGCATAGCATATGTGGCAGAGCCCTGGAGAGGTAGGGGAAGGAAGACAAATAGTAAACAGGTAACTCCAGGAGAGCATGAGTCCTGGAACCAAGTATGCCTAAGGTGCTTTTGAGCATTCAGGACAGATTCAGACTCAGGGAGGGGATGAGGACAGCAGCACGCAAAGCTTCCCAGAGGGCAGAGAGTCTCACCTGGGTTTGGAGGACAGCAGCAGGGAAACCTTCTCAAAGGACAGAAAGTCTCACCTGGGTTTGGTATGAACTGTGGGCATAAGCCAGTGAAAGGAGGCTATGAAGGTGGGAGGCTATGGAGTTGACTGCTCTAGGAAAGAAAGTGGGAGGAAGAGTTTACTCCTACAAGACAGTAACAGATAGCAAGATAGATCTGTCTGGGGGCATTCACCAAGGCCCTCAAGGAGCCTGCGAAGAACGTTGAATCTCTGGAGACAGACCAACCTGGATCCAAGTCTCGCGTCCACCACTTGCTGAACATGTGGCTCTGGGCAAGGTGTTTGGTCTGTTTAAGCTTCAGATCCCGTGTCTGTAAAAAGGAGATAATAATAACTATTCCATAAGACTGCTGTGAAAAATTAGATAAGAAAAGTATTTCAAATGTCGAGCAAGATTTATTTGCACCAAGTTAGAATAGCAATTGGCAGAAACTTTTTCGTTTGTTCTTTTTTGTTTGTTTCAATCCATTGTGTTTATTACATATTACTTTAAGAGCAAAGAAGCTCTGAAGTTAGAACATTTTCACTCATATCTCTGTTGGCTCTACCACAACCAGAGGTAGAATGTTTAGCAAGTGATTTAACTTCACTGAGCCTCATTTTTCATATCTATAAAGTGATGATAATAATAAATAATATCTACCCCATAGGCTCGTTGTAAGGATTAAATGAGACAATCGATATAAAATACTACTTAACCCAGTGCTGGACATGTAGTAAGCATTCAGTAAATTTTAATTGTTCTTTGATATGTTATTTAATTTTTTGTTATTTGGGATTCCTCATTAACTAGCATCTTATTATAGAATGAAGTTTCTTTACTAAGAAAATGCCATAATGACCTTGCCTTGAGCTCTGTGTTTAATATTCCTGCATTTCAGGTTTCCTTATTAATTTTCCTATAACTTGCATTTTCAGAATCTTAAAGATGCTGTTCGCTGGGCATGGTGGCTCATGCCTTTAATCCCAGAATTTTGGGAGGCTGAGGCAGTCAGATCAGTTGAGTCCAGGAGTTCAAGACCAGCCTGGGTGACATGGCGAAACCCTGTCTTTCTTTTTTCGGAGACGGAATCTCGCTCTGTCGCCCAGGCTGGATGGAGTGCAGTGGCGTGACCTCGGCTCCCTGCAGCCTCTACCTCCCAGGGTTCAAGCATTTCTCCTGCCTCAGCCTCCCAAGTAGCTGCGACTAGAGGCGTGCACTGCCAAGCCCAGCTAATTTTTTTGTATTTTTAGTAGAGACGGGGTTTCACCATGTTGGCCAGGATGGTCTTGATCTCCTGACCTCGTGATCCGTCTGCCTCAGCCTCCCAAAGTGCTGGGATTATAGACGTGAGCCACCACACCAGCCTATTCTATTTCTAAAAAAAAGAAAAAAAAGATGCTGTTTTAGTCCACTTGGGCTGTTATTACAAAATACCTTAGACTAGGTAACTTATAAACAACAGAAATTTGTTACAGTTCCGGAGCCTGGGAAGTTTAAGATCAAGGCACTGGCAGATGCTGTGTCTGGTGAGGGCTTGCTCTCTGCTTCAAAGATTGTGCCTTTCAGCTGCATTCCCACATGGCAGAAAAGTCAAGGGAGTTCCCTCAGGCTCAGGCTTCTTTAATACGGGCATTTATTAAAGGATAGAGCTCTGCTGACTTAATCACTTCCCAAAAGCCCTACCTCTTAGTACTATCAGACCTATTACATTTCAACTTATGAATTTTGGAGGGACATCAACATTCAGACCATAGCAGATACCATGGTTTTTGTTTTTGTTTTTGAGACAGAGTCTTGCTCTGTCGCCCAGGCTGGAGTGCAGTGGGCGATCTTGGCTCACTGCAATCTCCCTCTCCTAGGTTCAAGCAATTCTCCTGCCTCAGCCTCCCTAGTAGCTGGGACTACAGGTGCGTGCCACCATGCCTGGCCCTGGTTTGTTTTTTTGAGACAGTTTCATTCTGTCACCAAGGCTGGAATGCAATGGCACAATCATAGCTTATTGCAGCCTTGACCTCCCAAGCTTCAAGCAATCCTCCCACCTCAGCCCCCCAGAGTAGCCGGGTCTATAGGCGTGTACCAACACACCTGGCTAATTTTTAAATTTTTTGTGGAGATGGGCTCTCCCTCTGTTGCCCAGGCTGATCTCAAACCCCTAGGCTCAAGCTATCCTCTGGCCTCCGCCTCCCAAAGTGCTAGGATTACAGGTGTGAGCCATAGAGCCTAGCCAGATGTCATGGTTTTTTTTGTTGTTTGTTTGTTTGTTTGTTGTTTTTTTTTTTTTGAGACAGAGTTTCGCTCTTGTTGCCCGGGCTGGAGTGTAATGCCGTGATCTCGGCTCACCGCAATCTCGGCTCACCGCAACCTCTGCCTCCTGAGTTCAAGTGATTCTTCTGCCTCAGCCTCCCGAGTAGCTGGGATTACAGGCATGCAGCACCACGCCTGGCTAATTTTGTATTTTCAGTAGAGACAGGGTTTCTCCATGTTGGTCAGGCTGGTCTTGAACTCCCAACCTCAGGTGATCCGCCTGCCTCTGCCTCCCAAAGTGCTGGGATTACAGGTGTGAGCCACCACGCCCAACGATGTCATGTTTTAAATAATTGTGGACGAGGTAGGAGGATTGCTTGAAGTCAGGAGTTCAAGACCAGCCTCGGCAACATAGTGAGTGTGCATCTCTACAAAAGACTTTTAAAAATTCGCTGAGCATAGTGGTGCACAGTGTGATCTCAGCTACTTAGGAGGCTGAGGCTGTAGGTTCGCTTGAGCCCAGAAGTTCAAGGCTGCAGTGAACTATGATTGTACCATTGCACTCCAGCCTAGGCAGCACAGTGAGATACTACCTCTAAAAAGATAAAATATAATGTAAAAATACCAGCCTGGCCAACATGGCAAAACCCCGTCTCTAATAAAGATACAAAAATTAGCTGGGCACGGTGGTGCACGCCTGTAATCCCAGCTACTCGGGAGGCTGAGGCAAGATAATTGCTTCAACCAGGGAGGCGGTAGTTGAGGTGAACCAAGACTGCACCATTGCACTCCAGCCTGGGTGACAGAGTGAGATGATGTCTCAAAAAAAAAAAAAAAAAAGGTAAAAATAGATAAATTATTATGAACATTATGGAGTTAGAAGTATTAAGGAAAACAAGTTTGTTTGATAAAAAAAACATGTAGGATTTTTGTTTTTTTTGAGATGGAGTCTCACTCTGTCACTCAGGCTGGAGTACAGCGGCACAATCTCGGCTCACTGCAACCTCTGCCTCCTAGGTTCAAGCGATTCTCCTGCCTCAAGCCTCTCAAGTAGCTGGGACTACAGGTGCCCACAACCATGCCTGGCTAATTTTTTTTTTGTATTTTTGGTAGAGATGGGGTTTTGCCATGTTGGCCAGGCTGGTCTCAAACTCTTGACCTCAGGTGATCTGCCCACCTCAGCCTCCCAAAGTGCTGGGATTACAGGCATGAACCACTGTGCCTGTCCAAAAACCTAGGATTTTTAAAAGATGAAAAGCAGCGTAAACAATCACTTCTAATTCTAAAATCCTGTCATTTCTTTTCTAAGATTAAATCTTCTTTATTCTTTTTAATTTTTTCCTTTTAAAATATAGTATCTCTTGAATTGTTGCTATGTCATTGCCTTTGTTTATCTAGTACCATCTGCTTCTGCTATATCTATTGGCAAGCTGTTCTTGCTGCAAAAGGAACTTTGCAGATTTAGTTTTAAAAAACGCCCAACCATTTCATATGTCACATATTCATCAATGAAAAGGGAAAACCAGGTCTCAATAACTAGAAAACCGCTATGGTAAGCTCTTAGATCATCATCTTCTTCTTCTTCTTTTTTTTTTCTCACAATGAAGAAAGAATCTGGAAGAAGCCATCATGTGAATACAAACTATTGACAATTCTCTCCATTAACTTGTTGTTGTTGTTGTTGTTGTTTTGAGTCAAAGTTTTTGCTCTCGTTGCCCAGGCTGGAGTGCAATGGCGTGATCTTGGCTCACTGCAACCTCTGCCGCCTGGCTTGAAATGATTCTCCTGCCTCAGCCTCCCGAGTAGCTGTGATTACAGGTGCCCACCACCACACCCAGCTAATTTTTTATATTTTTAGTAGAGACAAGGTTTCACCATGTTGGCCAGGTTGGTCTCGAACTCCTGACCTTCAGGTGATCCACCTGCCTTGGTCTCCCAAAGTGCTGGAATTACAGGTGTGAGCCACCACACCCAGCCTCTCCATTAATTTGTATATCTGCCACCTGGGGACCCACTGTAAAATAAATACTACTGTTCCTTTATGGATAGTACTGTATTGTTTTCACACTTGATTTCATTAATTCCAGTTAACGTATACCAACCTTTGTGCTCAAGATCTAGAACAATAAACTCTTCACTTTGGAAGACAGTTTAATCTCCATGTACTGAAAACCACTAATTTTACAGGTGAGAAACTGTGGGAATGACTGAGTGATTTGCCCAGTGCTCATGTGGCTAAAGATCAAGCCTGCCCGCCCACCTTATGACTTCCATTTTTTGCCTTTAGCGAGTAAAGCAGTAGGGATTAAAAGTGTATGTTCTAGAGCCAGACTAGCTGGGTTCCAAGCCCAACTCTTAATATTTAATAGCTATGTGACCTGAGGCATATTAAACTCTTTAAGTCTTAGCTTCTTTATTTGCAAAATGAGGATAATATTCCTCATTTATAAAATTATGACAAATAAGTTAATATACGTATTCTAAATTATTTACATTGTTTAAGTATTAGCTATCATGTTTTGTTCATTATTCTACCTTCAGGACCTAAAATAGTACCTGCACAATGACTTTGCTAAATGAATAATTGAATGGATAAAGGGTAAGCTGCTTCCCTATGCCATCATTGACTAGTTGACTTAAAAAAATTTTTTTAACATATATTTTTGTGGAAGGATGGTTCTCACTGTCAGACATCAATAGGTTAGTTTGAGTTGCAGAAGGTAAATGAAAATTGTAGGTAGGACTACTTTTAAGATTTTTGATCTACATTAATATGTTATGAAGAAATAATATGGCTGAACATTTCCCAAATTTAGTGAAGGATAGATTCAACCCAATGAATGAAAACCAAGCAAGATAGTAAGACTTCGTTTAGGCACATTGTAGTCATCAGTCAGACTGGTGAAAACTAAAGTTTAAGAAAAAAACTTGGATGGGCTTGGTGGCTCATACCTGTAATCCTAGCACCTTCGGAGGCCGAGGCAAGAAGGGATTGCTTGAGCCCAGGAGTTCAAGACAAGCCTCAGCAACAAAGTGAGACCTTATCTCTACAAATAATTAACTGGGCATGGTGGTATGCACTTGTGGTCCCAGCTACTTGGGGAGCTGAGGTGGGAGGATCACTTGAGCCCAGGAGGTTGAGGCTGTAGTGAGCCATGATTGCGACACTGCACTCCAGCCTGGGTGACGGAGCAAGACCCTGTTTCAAAAACAAAAACAAAAACAAATGACACAACAAAATACTCCTTTTGGAGGGCAGTGGCCAAGTCTGTAAATGCCACTCCAGGAATGGGAACTGTTATATTCCTTCCTCTTCCACTTTCCATTGCAACCAATAAAGATGGTTTGTAACATTAAAAAAAGAAGGAAGAAAGGAAGGGAGGAGGGGGGGAGGGAGGGAAAGAAAAGAAAAGAAAAAGAAAAAACTGAAAGTTCTCAGAGAAAAATACATTACATACAAGGGACACATTACATACATGGGAGCAATGGTTGACTGCTTCTCATTAGGGACATGGAAGCTAGGAGGTAAATGAACAACATCTTAAAGTACTGAAGGAAAAAACAAAATATGTCAACTTAGAACTCTATATCTGGTGAAACTATCCTTCACAAATGAAGACAATAAAATCACAATGAGATATCACTACACACCCACTAAAGTAGCTAAAATTAAAGAAAGACTAACAATACCATCTTTTGGCAAGCAATTAGGAGTCTTATACAGCTGGTGAGAATGTAAAATGGTACAATCTTTTAGGAAAACAGTTTAGCAGTTTCTAAAAAAAGTTAAACATACATCTACCATATGACCATCCATTCCACTTTCAAGTGTTTACCCAAGAGAAATGAAAGCATATATCCAAACAAAGAATTGGGCCAAAATGTTCATAGCAGCTTTATTTTATCCACAAACATGGAAACGACCCAAATGTCCATCAACAGGTGAACGGAAAACAAATGGTGGTATATCCATATACTAGAAAACTACTTAGCAATAACGACGAATGAACTATTGACAAATCCAAAGACATGAATGACTTTCAAAGTACTTGTGCTGGGCAGGGCATGGTGGCTCATGCCTATAAATTCCAGCACTTCAGAAGCCCACGGTGGGAGGCTTGCTTGAGGCCAGGCATTTGAGACCAGCCTGGGCAGTATAGCAAGACCCCCATCTCTATTTAAAAATTAAAAAAAACGGCTGGGCATAGCGACTCACGCTTGTAATCCCAGCACTTTGGGAGGCTGAGTGGGCAGATCACCTGAGGTCAGGAGTTCAAGACCAGCCTGGACAACATGGTGAAACCCCATCTCTACTAAAAATACAAAAATTAGCCGGGTGTGGTGGCTGGTGCCTGTAGTCCCAACTACTTGGGAGGCTGAGGCAGGAGAATCTCTTGAACCCGGGAGACAGAGGTTGTAGTGAGCCAAGATCCCACCATTGCACTCCAGCCTGGCGACAGAGCAAGACTCCATTTCCAAAAAAAAAAAAAAAAAAAAAGAAGGTCCCCTGTTACTTTCCATTATAGCGTCTTCTTTGTTTCCTTCTAAACACTTACCACAACATGTAATTATCTTATTCATTTGACTATTTTTTCAGCTTTGTCTCCTCTCCTAGAATTGAAATTCCAAAGCAAAGATCTTTCCTGACTTTTTTTGTTTTAACCGTGGTATCCAGTGTGTGGTGCATAGTAGATGTTCAGTAGACATCTGTTGAATGAATACATAGAGAGGGAATCTGGGAATGGAGTCTGCTTCTCCTCAAGTACATATATTTCACTGACATTGTCTTCAGTTTTAACTATGAAAACCTGCCCTTGGGTATTAAAAATCATTCTATAATTCATATGTTTTCCAGCCGTCTTCCTAATGTGCCTTGGTCTTTCTTCTTTTCTAGTTTGGACTTGCACTATGTTTTCTTGCTTTTTTTTTTTTTTTGACGATGGTGGAGACGGAGTCTCGCTCTGTAGCCCAGGCTGGAGTACAGTGGTGTAATCTCGGCTCACTGCAACCTCCGCCTTCCGGGTTCAAGCAATTCTCCTGCCTCAACCTCCTGAGTAGCTGGGATTACAGGCACGCACCACCATGCCTGGCTAATTTTTGTATTTTTAGTAGAGATGGGGTTTCATCGTGTTGGTCAGGCTGGTCTCGAACTCCTGACCTCAGATGATCCACCCGCCTCGGCCTCACAAAGTGCTGGGATTACAGGTGGGAATCACCCCACCCAGCTTTTTTATTTTTTCTTTCTTTCTTTCAAAGAAAAGGTCTCATTCTGTCGCTTAGTCTACAGTGCAGTAGCATGATCATAGCTCACTATAACCTCCAACTCCTGGGCTCGAGGGATTCGCCTGCCTTAGCCTCCTAAGTAGCTGGGACTACAGGCCCACACCACCATACCTAGCTACTTGCTTGATTTTTTAAAGTTTGCCTGGGAGTGAGGGGTTCACCCAGGCCCTGGTAGAGGTAGGGAACATCCTTAAACATCGTTGCCTTGATGTCTACTTAGCAAATAAAGAATGACGTTTTCATGTGGCCTAATCAGAAGAGTTGGTCACACTTATAACTAGGACTGGCTTAAAGACAAGTAGGGGATGGTAAGGGCTGAAGGAACTCATTGAGAACAGAGACATGCCTCTGTTTCTTTATCATCCAACCATTAATCCATCCCCTCTTTCAGTAATTATAGTGTTTACTGATCTCAGACCCAGACAAGAACCATTCTACATGTTTTATACATATTAACTAATTTAATTCTTACAGTTACTATAAGGGTAAATACTGTTAATATCCCCAGTTTATAAATGAGAAAAGTTATGGCCTGGTGTAGTGGCTCACACCTGTAATCCCAGCACTTTGGGAGGACAAGGTGGGTGGATCACCTAAGGTCAGGCGTTCAAGACTAGCCTGGCCAATATGGTGAAACCCCATCTCTACTAAAAATACAAAAAAAAAAAAAAAAAGCAGGGCGTGGTGGCAGGTGCCTGTAATCCCAGCTACTCGAGAGGCTGAGCAGGAGAATTGCTTGAACCTGGGAGGCAGAGGTTGCAGTGAGCTGAGATTGCGCCATTACACTCCAGCCTGGGAGACAAGAGCGAGACTCTTTATTATTTAAAATAATAATAATAATAAAATAAATGAGAAACCTGATAAGCACCTATTAAGCATTATTGTTCAGTGGTCTTTGAGAATGATCAGATAACCGTTATAGGGTCAGATAATGCAGTTTACAAAAAAAGCTATGATAGTGGCTCACACCTGTAATCCCAGCACTTTGGGAGGCTGAGGCAGGCAGATCACAAGGTCAGAAGTTGGAGACCAGCCTGGCCAATATGGTAAAACCCTGTCTCTACTGAAAATACAAAAATTAGCTGGGCCTGGTGGTGGGTGCCTGTAGTCCCAGCTACTCGGAGGCTGAGGCAGAAGAATTGCTTTAACCCGGGAGGCGGAGTTGCAGTGAGCCGAGATAGCACCACTGCACTTGAGCCTGGGCAACAGAGTGAGACTCCATCTAAAAAAAAAAAAAAAAGCTGTGATAATTTTCCAAATCATTTTTGAAATGTAATGATGATAGGACAGTATTTAAGCAAAATTACATATACTGTTTTAGGATTATGGAAAGTGTTGTTGCCATATAAATTACACATTTTAAGATAAAGTCAGTGCTAAACAGGAGAAATAAAGTGCTGTGGCTACAGGAAGGACACTGGGGGAATGGGAAGAACACAGTATTGGGTTTGGAGAGACTTGGCACTGAATCAGGTCTCTGTTCGTCACGAGTTCTGTGATCTTGGGCAAAGTGCATGAGCTTGAGTTTCTATAATTCTGAGTAAGAGTAATGAAGCCTCTGGAGGTCTTGTGAATTCCCCACATTGAGCTGTGCCCTTCTCTGTGCTTTCCCATCACTCTTTGTGATGTCTTGCATATCATTTGCCACATGGAAAGTACCTTTATTTTTTATTCTATTTATTTATTTATTTATTTTTGAGACAGCATCTTACTCTGTCGCCCAGACTGGAGTGCAGTAGTGTGATCTTGGCTCACTGCAACCTCTGCCTCCCAGGTTCAAGCGATTCTCCTGCCTCAGCCTCCAGAGTAGCTGGGACTACAGGTGCCTGCCACCACGCCCAGCTAATTGTTGTATTTTTTAGTAGAGGCGGGGTTTCACCATGTTGGCCAGGCTGGTCTTGAACTCCCGACCTTAAATGATCCAACTACCTCGACCTCCCACAGTCCTGAGATTACAGGCATGAGCCCCCATGCCTGGCCAGAAAGTACCTTTTTTAAAAAATTAACTTTTTGTTTTGTTTTTAGAGACAGAGTCTCCCCCTGTGGCCCAGGCTGGAGTGCAGTGACACTATCACAGCTCACTGCAGCCTGAAACTCCTGGGTTCAAGTGATACTCCTGCCTCAGCCTCCTGCGTACCTGGGAGCACAGGCGCATACCACCATGCCTGGCTAATTTTTTGTTTTTTGTAGAGATAGGGGTCTCACTGTGTTGCCCAGGCTAGCCTCGAATTCCTGGGTTCCAGCGATCCTCCCACCTCAGCCTCACAAAGTGCTGGGATTACAGGCGTGGGCCACCATGCCCATTACAGGCATGAATAAGCCACAATGCCCACTTGTCTTAGTTTGTAAATATACATGAATTGTAGTGAATATTAGATAATTATCTCCTTTGTCCCTTGACCCATAGGCCTCAAGAAAGCAAGGACCAGACAGATAATGGTTCACCACTAGATTGCACCTGGGGAATCCTCATAGAGAATATGGGTCTTGAAAGATATCAAGAGGCGGGGCGTGGTGGCTCACACCTGTAATCCCAGCACTTTGGGAGGCTGAGGCAAGTGGATCACCTGAGGTCGGGAGTTTGAGACCAGCCTGACCAACATGGAGAAACCCTGTCTCTACTAAAAATACAAAATACAAAATTAGCCGGGTATAGTAGCAAGTACCTGTAATCCCAGCCACTCAGGAGGCTGAGGCAGGAGAATCGCTTGAACCTGAGAGGCAGAGGTTGCAGTGAGCCCAGATCATGCCTCTGCACTTCAGCCTGGGTGAAAGAGGGAGACTCCACCTAAAAAAAAATAAAAAATAAAAAAAGAGATGTGAATTCATGGCTTGTTTAAGGAAAACTGAGTAGTCCTGTGTGGTTCTAGAACAGTGATTCTCAAACCAAGAGTGTTCATTCCCCCTGTCCCCACCCCCTCCCCTGGGACAATTGACAATGTCTGGAAACATTTTTTTTTGAGATGGAGTTTCACTCTTGTCACCCAGTCTGGAGTGCAATGGCAGGATCTCAGCTCCCTGCAACCTCTGCCTCCCAGGTTCAAGCGATTCTCCAGCCTCAGCCTCCCAAGTAGCTAGGATTACAGGTGTGCACCACCACGCCTGGCTAATTTTTGTATTTTTATTTTTTTATATTTTGAGATGAAGTCTTGCTCTTGTCCTCCAGGCTGGAGTGCAGTAGCACAATCTTGGCTCACTGCACTCCTAATTTTTGTATTTTTAGTAGAGATGGGGTTTCACCATCTTGGCCAGGCTGATCTTGAACTCCTGACCTCATGATCCACCTGTCTTGGCCTCTTGAAGTGCTGGGATTACAGGCGTGAGCCAACGCGTCCGGCCTGAAAATCCTTTTTTTTTTTAATTAATTAATTTATTTATTTTTGAGACTGAGTGTCGCTTTGTCACCCAGGTTAGAGTGCAGTGGCACCATCCCAGGTTAGAGTGCACAGGCAACATCCACCTTTGGGTTCAAGTGATTCTTCTGCCTCAGCCTCCTGAGTAGCTGGGATTACAGGTGTGTACCACCACGCCCAGCTAATTTTTTGTGTTTTAAGTAGAGACGGAGTTTCACCATGTTGGCCAGGCTGGTCTCGAATTCCTGACCTCAGGTGATCCACCTGCCTCGGCCTCCCAAAATGCTGAGATTACAGGCGTGAGCCACCGTGCCTGGCCTGAACATTTCTTATTGTCATGACTTTGGAATCCTACTGGCATCTAATGAGTGGCAGCTAACGATGCTGCTAAATGTCTTACAGTGCACAGAACAGCCCCCTACAACAAGGCACTATCCAGCCCCAAATGTCAACAGTGCCAAGGCCGAGAAACCCTGCTCTAGAAAAAATAAAGCTAGGTACACAGTTTGAGGCTCTATCATGGGACTCCAAGTCCAGTTTTACAATCTCCAACAGTGATTAGGACTAATAAATACTTGTGGAATAAATTTAAGCCTTGAAAAACCAGTTAAATGGTAAATTCAGAGCAAATGTTGAAGAAAACTTTATCAGATACAGAAAGGAAGAGGAAGTACTTTTCCTCTTCAGTCAGGCCATCTCTTCAGACATATGTCATCTTTTTTTTTTTTTTGAGATGGAGTCTCGGTCTGTTGCCCAGGCTGGAGTGCAGTGGCACAATCTCGGCTCACTGCAAGCTCCACTTACCGGGTTCATGCCATTCTCCTGCCTCAGCCTCCCAAGTAGCTGGGATTATAGGCACCCGCTGCCACGCCCTGCTAATTTTTTTTTGTATTTTTAATAGAGACGGGGTTTCACCATGTTAGCCAGGATGGTCTCAATCTCCTGACCTCATGATCCACCTGCCTTGGCCTCCCAAAGTGCTGGGATTACAGGCGTGAGCCACTGTGCCCAGCCATATGTCATATTTAAAAGGATTTGCAGGCTGGGTGTGGTGGCTCACGCCTGTAATACCAGCACTTTGGGAGGCCAACCGGGTGGATCACCTGAGGTCAGGAGTTCAAGACTAGCCTGGCCAACATGGTGAAACCCTGTCTCTACTAAAAATACAAAAATTAGCTGGATGTGGTGGCGCGCATCTGTAGTCCCAGCTACTCGGGAGGCTGAGGCTGGAGAATCGCTTGAAACTGGGAGGTGGAGGTTGCAGTGAGCTGAGATGGTGCCACTGCACTCTAACCTGGGCGACAAAGCGACACTCGGTCTCAAAAATAAATAAATAAATTTTAAAAAAATGATTTTCAGGCCAGACGTGTTGGCTCATGCCTGTAATCCCAGCACTTCAAGAGGCCAAGACAGGTGGATCACGAGGTCAGGAGTTCAAGATCAGCCTGGCCAAGATGGTGAAACCCCATCTCGACTAAAAATACAAAAATTAGCTGGGCATGGTGGCAGTTGCTGTAATCCCAGCTACTCCGGAGGCTGAGGCAGAGAATCGCTTGAACCCAGGAGGCAGAGGTTGCAGTGAGCCAAGATCGCACCACTGCACTCCAGCCTGGGTGACAGAGCGAGGATCCATCTCAAAATAAAATAAAATAAAATAAAATAAAATAAAATAAAGGATTTTGCTCAGCCGGGTGGGGTGGCTCACGCCTGTGATCCCAGCACTTTGGGAGGCGGAGGTGAGAGGACTGCTTGAGCCCAGGAGTTTGAGACCAGCCTGGGCAACATAGCAAGACCTTGTATCTATGGGGGGAAAAATGGATTTTCCTCTAATAAGGACCATTTTCTATTTCATGTAAGGATGGACATGTTTGAAACTTAATCCACCAGTTTAAATAATATTTAATTCTTGTTTAAAATCTTTTTTTTTGTTGTTGAGACGGAGTCTTGCTCTGTCGCCCAGGCTGGAGTGCAGTGGCGTGATCTCGGCTCACTGCAAGCTCCGCCTCCTGGGTGCACGCCATTCTCCTGCCTCAGCCTCCCAAGTAGCTGGGACTACAGACGCCCGTCACCACACCCGGCTAATTTTTTGTATTTTTTTAGTAGAGACGGGGTTTCACCGTGTTAGGCAGGATGGTCTCAACCTCCTGACCTCGTGATCCACCTGCCTCGGCCTCCCAAAGCACTGGGATTACAGGCGTGAGCTACCGCTCCCAGCTAAAATCTTTTTAATTTTAATTTAATTTAATTTTTTTGAGATGGAGTGTCACTCTGTCGCCCAGGCTGGAGTGCAGTGGCGAGATCTCGGCTCACTGCAACCTCCACCTCCCAGGTTAAAGCGATTCTCCTGCCTCAGCCTCTGGAGTAGCTGGAACTACAGGCGCGTGCCCCCACGCCCTGCTAATTTTTATTGTATTTTTAGTAGAGACGGGGTTTCACTGTGTTAGCCAGGCTGGTCTTGATCTTCTGACCTCATGATCTGCCTGCCTCAGCCTCCCAAAGTGCTGGGATTACAGGCGTGAGCCACTGCGCCTGGCTTTTGATTCTTTCAGTTACATTTTCTAGGCAATTTAATTATCTTTGATTATCTTGTTTAAGCCTATTTAATTGTCTGTTAGATTTCAGGGATGGATAATGGAAACAAACAAAAAGTCTTTGCACATTTAGCTTTATTTTTTTTTTTCTGGAGACGGAGTCTGGCTCTGTCACCTAGGCTGTAGTGCAATGGCACAATCTCAGCTCACTGCAACCTCTGCCTCCCGGATTCAAGTGATTCTCATGCCTCAGCCTGCCGAGTAGCTGGGATTGCAGGCACCCACCATCATGTCTGGCTAATTTTTGTGTTTTTAGTAGAGACAGGGTTTCACCATGTTGGCCAGGCTGGTCTTGAACTCCTGAGCTCAGGTGATCCACCCACCTTGGCCTGCCAAAGTGCTGGGATTACAGGTGTGAACCACCACACCCGGCCATTAAGTATTCTTAGTTTCTTGACTGGGCATGGTGGCTCACGCCCATAATCCCAACACTTTGGGAGGCCATGGCAAGAGGATTGCTTGAGCTCAGGAGTTCAAGTTCAGCCTGGACAACATAGGGAGACCCTGTCTCTACAAAATATAAAAATAAATTAGCTGGGCATGGTGTCACACCTGTGATCCCAGCTACTTGGGAGGCTGAGGCAGGAGAATTTCTTGAGTCCTGGAGGTTGAGGCTGCAGTGAGCTGTGATCACACTGCACTCCAGCCTGGGTGACAGAGAGCTTGTCTCAAAAAATAAAATAAAATTATTCCTTGTAGTTACTAAGCATACATTTGAATTTCTGAGGTTAACAGTATGGGACTCCTTTTAGAAGTAAACAGATTACTGAATCAAAAAATAATTAACCAGGCCGGGTGCAGTGGCTCATGGCCTGTAATCCCAGCACTCTGTGAGGCTGAGGCGAGTGGATCACTTGAGCCCAGGAGTTCCAGATCAGCCTGGGCAACATGACGAAACCCCATCTTTACAAAAAAAAGTAATAGCTGGACGTGGTGGGGAGCACTTGTGGTTCCAGCTACTTGGGAGGCTGAGATGGGAGGATCACTTGAGCTCTCGGGGCAGAGGTTTCAGTGAGCCATGACTGTGCCAGTGCACTCCAGTCTGGGTGACAGAGCGAGACCCTGTCTCAAAATAAAATAAAATAAAATAAAATAACCAAAATGTACAGCTATTAATATAGAAAAGGCACAATATCAAGCTGAAAATAGCAAATGAGTTCAAGAGTAGGGAATAACTACAGTAGGACTGTTTGTGCAAAAAAGAAAAAAGAGGGTATAATGCTGTGCGTATCACTCAAGAGTTTCCAAAGGATAGTATTAGAGATTGTAAAACACTATTAAGATACAGTCACTAATTTCTACTTTAGTCAATCTTTTGCCTTATTTTGTTTAAAAAAAATGGACATCTTAAGGTTAAAACTCTTAATAAAGTCACAGAGCTTTTCTTTTATAATGCTCAATTAGAAGTTAAGGAGAGGCCAGGCATGGTGACTCTCAAGCCTGTAATCCTAGCACTTTAGGAGGCTGAGGCGAGCAGATCACTTGAGCCCAAGAGTTCGAGACCAGCCTGGGCAACATAGTGAGACCCCGTCTGAAAAAAAAAACCCAAAAAATTAAAAAGAAAAATAAAAGAAGTTAAGGGGGAAAGTTTTTAATCAGAATGCATAGCTGGTTGGTAGGAAGTCAAGACAGCCTTGTAATACTGTCTAAAGCCCAGAGTATTGAAATGCAAATGTCTGCATTGAAACAACTGATCTCAACATAAGTGTGATTGCTTTGTTCTGGGTTATGGCTATTCCTATGTTGTCTTTTTTAGGATTTATAAGTGACCCTGTGTACTGTTTGAAGATTTGTGTGAGAGGCTGGGCGTGGTGGCTGACACCTGTAATCCCAGCACTTTGGGAGGCCGAGGCAGGCAGATCATGAGGTCAGGAGTTCAAGACTAGCTTGGCCAACATGGTGAAACTATGTTTTAGTCTCTACTAAAAATACAAAATTTAGCCAGATGTGGTGGTGCACCCTTGTAATCCCAGCTACTTGGGAGGCTGAGACAGAAGAATCACTTGAACCTGGGAGGTGGAGGTTGCAGTAAGCCGAGATTGTGCCATTGCACAACAGCCTGGGCAATAGAGTGAGACTCTGTCTAAAAAAAAAAAAAAAAAGAAAGAGAAAAAGAAAAGAAAGAAAAAAAAAGATTCATGTGAGAGCAAATGAAAACACTTGACACTTCACAAATCAAAACACTAGTTTTATTACAGAAGGCTGCCTTAATGCTAGAAGGCTAGAAGGCAATCAACAGGAATGATCAGCCCAAGACTGGAGAAGATAGAGCTGCATGGAGAATAGGCAAATGTTTGCATCGTTCTCATAGATACTGGGCTTCTTTTACACTAGACATTCCATAATTAGTTATATAAGTGGCTATTTTTAGAGCCAGGTCTGCTTGTTACAGAGGGTTTTCTTTTCTTCTTAGACAGAGTCTTGCCATGTTGACCAGGCTGCTCTCAAACTCCTGGGCTCAAGCGATCCTCCTGCCTCAGCTTCCCAAGAAGCTGGGACTACAGGCATGCACCACCATACCTGGCTTTCTCCTTTCTTCTTTCTCCTCCCCCTCCTTCTTTCTTTTTCCTCGTCTTCTCTCATCTTCATCGTTTTTTTGTTTGTTTGTTTGTTTGTTTGTTTTTTGAGACAGGGTCTCATTCTGTCACCCAGGCTGGAGTGTAGTGGTATAATCTTGGCTCACTGCACCCTCTGCCTCCTGGGCTCAAGTGAGCCTCCCACCTCAGCCTCCCAAGTAGCCGAGACTACAGGTGCACACCACTATGCCTGGCTAATTTTTCTCTTCTTCTTCCTCTTCCTCTTCTTCTCCCTTCTCCTTCCTCCTTCCTCCTCCTCCTCCTCTTATTTCTTCTTCTTCTTCTTTTTTTTGAGACAAGGTCTCTCTCTGTTGCCCAGGCTGGAGGGCAGTGGCATGATCACCGATCTGTGCAGCTTTGACCTCCTAGACTCAAGTGATCCTACCACCTCAGCCTCCTGAGAAGCTGGGACTACAGATGCACACCACCCCACCTGGCTTATTTTCTTTTCTTTCTTTCTTTTTTTTTTTTTTTTTGTAGAGATGGGGTCTTGCTGTGTTGTCCAGGCTGGTCTTGAACTCCTGGGCTCAAACAATCCTCCTGCCTCAGCCTCCAGAGTCAATTTGCAGACATTCTTACATCTCCTTCTCTACCTCTACACCTCTTTTCAACAAAATCCCTATTCTTGTTTCATTAGGACTACGTTAGGACTACAAAAAAATCCCTATTCTTGCTGAAGTCAGGAGTCTTTTTTTTTTTTTTTTTTTTCTTGAGATGGAGTTTCGCTCTTTTTGCCTAGGCTGGAGTGCAATGGCATGATCTTGGCCCACTGCAATCTCTGACTCCCAGGTTCAGGCGATTCTCCCGCCTCAGACTCCCAAGTAGGTGGGATTACAGGCGTGTGCCACCACCCCAGGCTAATTTTTGTATTTTTAGTAGAGATGGGGTTTCACCATGTTGGCCAGGCTGGTCTTGAACTCCTGACTTCAGGTGATCCACACATCTTGACCTCCCAGAGTGCTGGGATTACAGGTGTGAACCACCACACCCGGCCAGGAGTCTTTTAAAAAGTCAATCAATTAATCAATGAAGGTCAGGCTCAGTGGTTCACACCTGTAATCCCAACACTTTGCGGGGCCAAGGGAAAAGGCTCGTTTGAGACTGAGGGTTGGAAACCAGCCTGGGCAACATCGTGATACATCACCTCCACAAAAAAAAAAAAAATGAGCTGGGCGGGGTGGCACGCTGTAGTCCCATCTACTTGGGAGTCTGAGGTGGGAGGATCACTTGAGCCTGGGATGTCGACACTGCAGTGAGCTGTGATTGTACCACTGGGCAACTCCAGCCTGGGCAACAGAGCAAGACATTGTCTCAAGAAAAAAAAAATGAGTGCATTTTATGATATGTAAATTGCACCTCAATAAGTTGATTTTTAAAGATCAAAGTGTCTCAACTACTCATCCCTCTTCCCAAATCATTTTATTTCTTTTGGCAGGATACTGTTAAAATACCAAATTCTTGGCCGAATGCGGTGGCTCACACCTGTAGTCCCAGCACTTTGGGAGGCCGAGATGGGTGGATCACGAGGTCAGGAGTTCAAGACCAGCCTGGCCAACATGGTGAAACCCCATCTCTACTAAAAATACAAAAATTAGCCAGGCATGATGGTGGGTGCCTGTAATCCCAGCTGCTTGGGAGGCTGAAGCAGGAGAATTGCTTGAGCCCAGGAGGTGGAGGTTGCAGTGAGTCAAGATCAGGCCATTGCATTACAGCCTGGGTGATAGAACATGACTGCATCTCAAATAAATAAATAAATAAATCAAATTCTTTTCTAAAAGCCCTTCAGGTCATTAAGTTACCATGTGTTTATATGTGCATAAAAGCATACTATCCACACATATGCACAAAATTTAATTGAACTCACTGGGCCTCCAGTTATGTTTTAGTGACATATAATGACTATATTTGGCCTGGTGCAGTGGCTCATGTCTGTAATCCTAGCACTTTGAAGGGCCAAGGTGGGTGGATTACTTGAGCTCAGGAGCTCGATACCAGCCTGGGCAACATGGCGAAACCCTGTCCTCTACTAAAAATACCCCCAAAAATTAGCCAGATGTGGTGACACATACCTGTAGTACCAGCTACTCAGGAGGCTGAGGTGGGAGGATCGCTTGAGCCCAGGAGGCGGAAGTTGCAGTGAACCAAGATCGTGCCACATCACTCCAGCTTGGGTGACAGAGTGAGATCCCCATCTCAAAAAAAAAAAAAAAAAGACAATATTGTTTGAAATCACATTACCAGTTTTTGGACCCAAAAGCTGAAACGGCCTCTTTTGAATCAACAGTAATAGAAAAGAAATTCTTAGAATCCTGTAGAAAGAGGGAAATAGCATTCATATTCTTCTCACCACTACTCCATTTCTCCCAGTTCCTGATTTATGTATTGTGTGGTGTTTTGTTTTGTTGTGTGTTTTTGTCCTGGTACTGATTGTTTTGTTTTGTGGTTTGTGATTGTGAAACTTGAGTTTGAGAATTGAAAAGAAATTGATTACTAACTCAAGATAGAATAAAAATAACCCTAAAGATTGAGCTTGAAGAGGTCAAATATTTTTTCTTCCTTCTGTGCTATAAACAAAGTGCAAGGGCAGGTACATTCCTTGTAGAAAATCATCAAACTTTTGAAATAGCCCAAAGATAACTATTTTTTTTCTTTTTGAGACAAAGTCTTGCTCTGTCACCCAGGCTGGAGTGCAGTGGCACTGTCTTGGCTCACTGCAACTTCTGCCTTATGGGTTCAAGTGATTCTCCTGCCTCAGCCTCCTGAGTAGCTAATATTTTTGTATTTGCAGTAGAGGTGGGGTTTCACCATGTTGGCCAGGCTGGTCTTGAATGCCTGACCTCAAGTGATCTGCCTGCCTCCCAAAGTGCTGGAATTACTGGTGTGAGCCACCACACCCAGCCTGATAACTTTTTTTCTCCCTGGGAGGTGGCAAGGTTTATCGCGATAAGATACATAACATAATGTCCATCATTTGAACCACTCACAAGTGTACAATTCAGTGGCTAAACTATATCCACAATGTTGTGTAATTATCACTATCTATACCTAAAATTTTTTATCATCCCTGACAAAAACTTTGTACCCATTAACTAACAACTCTCTTAGACAAGGTGGTGGAAATTAAACAAAACAAAACAAAACAAAAACCTCTCCCTTCCCACTCCCCATAGTCCCTGGTAGACTCTCCTCTACCAGAGTGTTTTAAATATTTGATTTTTTTTTTTTTTAAGACAGAGTCTCGCTCTGTTACCCAGTCTGGAGTGCAGTGACGCTATCTCGGCTCACGGCAACCTCTGCCTCCCAGGTTCAAGTGACTCTCGTGCCTCAGTCTTCTGAGTAGCTGGGATTACAGGTGCATGCCACGAGGCCCAGTTAATTTTTGTAGTTTTAGTAGAGATGGGGTTTCAGCACGTTGGCCAGGCTGGTCTCAAACTCCTGACCTCAAGTGATCCACACGCCTTGTCCTCCCAGAGTGCTGGGATTACAGACATGAGCTACCGAGCCCAGCCCTTCTGCTCTTTATTAATACGCTTGTTTTTACAGAGGTCTTTATAGCTTATTTAGGCCCCCTGAATTTCACAAGTTGTGAACACTTCAACATTTCGTTAGACTGTCAAGTCCTATTCGTGTCTGAACAGTGATAGTACTGATTAAAAAAAATAAGATCTTATGCTAACAAGTTATTATTCTTTAAGATAAAACTACAAACTCTACCTTAATTAACAGCCTTGCTATTCTTTTCCAAAGCTCTTTTTGAAGTTACGCACCCAACTGGTCACATGTGAGGCATTTTCTCATTCTCTGTACTTCCCAAATCCAATCCATTCATAGTTTGTCCTTCTCAGTAACTTAACTTATGCCTTCATCAGTATTAAACTATTCCAGTCCACGAAAAGTAGTTTTGTAAAGACCTAATGAAATAGCTAGGGTTTTATTTTTTATTTTTATTTTTTAAGCTAAAACATTACTCAATTTGTGTGGCCATGTTGCAACTGTGAGAGTTTTGGCGAGTCAATATTAGCTCACGGGTAACATTCATTAAAATTCAAACCAGTTGTTAACTTGGAAAACAGCAATGCAATAATACAGCCACTTGGAGTTTACTCCCTGTTCAGTGCTGTCCTGAGTTCCCAGGGGATACAAAAGGATCACACTGGCCAGGTGTGGAGGCTCACACCTGTAATCCTAGCACTTTGGCAGGCCAAGGTGGATGGATCACCCTAGGTCAGGAATTCAAGACCAGCTTGGCCAACATGGTGAAACCCTGTCTCTACTAAAAATACAAAAAAATTAGCCGGGCATGGTGGGAGGCACCTGTAATCCCAGCTACTCGGGAGGCTGAGGTAGGAGAATCGCTTGAACCCAGGAGGCAGAGGTTGCAATGAGCCGAGATTGCACCATTGCACGCCAGACTGGGTGACAGGGCGCAACTCTGTTTCAAAAAAAAAAAAAAAAGAACCACACTATCTTTGAGGAGCTTCCATGTCAGTGGGAAAGACAAAATAAATGTACACAAAACTATAATGCATTTATTAATAAAGTGGACAACTCCCATTTGCTGCAAGTCACTGTATTATAAATTATTTAGTCCTTACAGCTATTAAATAAGATAGGTATTATAACCACTTCACAGATAAGAGAACAGAGGCTTTGAGAAATTAAGAAACTTGCTTAAGATAGCAACCCACAAGTGACTGCCTGGATCCAAAGCAAATTCTTTTTTTTTTAAAATAAATTTAAAAAAAATAGAGATGGGGTCTCGCTATATTGACCAGGCTTGTTTTAAACTCCTGGCCTCAAGAGATCCTCCCATCTCAGCCTTCCAAAGTGCTGGAACTACAGGCATGAGCCATCATGCCTGGCCTCCAAAGCAAATTCTTTTCCCCCCTCCACCACTCAGATTATCTGGTCCACTCTCCTCCATTTAAGAAATAAAGAGTTAGCATGGGGAAAGCAACTTATTTTCTTCCTAATTTATAACAATGGCTGTTGTTAAAATCAGTTTAACAAGAATAATGTGCTTAAGCAAAAAGGTCATGCTGATGTAAGAAGCTCATACCAGACAATTCATTCATAAGAATATGTTTTGCATGGGGTAAATGCTATAAAGAAAAAACATTTAAACTAAAATTTAAAATATTTAATCTAAATTTAACTTAAATTTTTAAAATTTTGCATTTAACTCTAAAGTTATTTTAAAAGTAAAGCTACAGTGCTAGAATCTACCAAGGAAGGTAGATATAATTGTGATTTGGTGCCTATCATGCTTGCAGAGATCATTTAAGTCAGTCCCCAGAAGACCATGTCATCCAGGCCTCCAAGGTTTGTTTCTGGCAGACTAGGAAGAAACCAGAATGTCTCATACTTAGATTTGCAAAAGGGGTAGCTCATTTAATTAAAGTTCCTGTTGGTCAGCACTGATAATGTCATCAATAGGTCAAGGCCAGGCTGCCACCAGGGTATTCAACATGTAGGCCCATGCCAAAATATGCCAAAATTCCTAGGACTTAGAATGGAAGGTGGAGAGAGCATTAGCATCCCCTAAAGAGCTTTGTCCAGAGATTCAGTGAGATTAGGAAATGATAACATAGACACAAAAAAAGTAAGGGGGAAACTTGCCTAGGATGATCAGCAAAACAACCAATTAATCAAGATTATGATAGGATGTTGTGATTGACGGTTACACATAACAAAGTACTTAGGATTATTTCTAAAAATAAATCTTATCCTGTGTGAGTGTATAATGGGAACTTTCTGAACTATCTTTGCAAATTTTCTGTAAATCCAAATTATTCCAAAATAATTAGAGAAAATAGTTGAAGAAAAAATCTTATCACTTCCTTGATGGGATTAAAGAGTGGAGGAGTCTGGCGGTGGAGTTAGGGGTGGAGGGTAGGGAAAGCGGGGGTGTTGGAGGGATGCACCCCCCTTCCCCAGCAATGTATTTTGGAAGCCCCAAGAAACCCACGAAATCCTAATAGTCTTTTACTGTTAGAATGGGAAGTAAAAGCACTAAGAAGTTACCCTAAGAAGCTAACTATCCTATATGTGAACTTAAATAATCAGTATTTGTGGCTGGGCACGGTGACTCACGCCTGTAATCCCAGCACTTTGGGAGGCTGAAGCAGGAGGAACACTTGAGGTCAGGAGTTCGAGACCAGCCTGCTCAACATGGTGAAACCCGGACTCTACTAAAAAAATACAAAAATTAACTTGTTGTGGTGATAGGTGCCTGAAGTCCCAGCTACTAGCAGGCTGAGGGAGGAGAATCGCTTGAATTTGGGAGGCAGAGGTTGCAGTGAACCAAGATTGTGCTACTGCACTCCAGCCTGAGTGACAGAGCGAGACTTGGTCTCAAAAGAAAAAAAAAATTGCATTAAATAAAAATAACAGGCTGGGCATGGTGACTCATACCTGTAATCCCAGCACTTTAGGAGGCTGAGGTGTTCAGATCACTTGAGGTCAAGAGTTTGAGACCAGCCTGGCCAACATGGTGAAACCCTGTTTCTACCAAAAATTGAAAAATTAACCAGACGTTCTCGCTTGGACCCAGGAGGCAGAGGTTGAGGTGAGCTGAGATTGTGCCACTGCACTCCAGCCTGGGCAACAGAGGGAAACTCTGCCTCAAAAAAAAAAAAAATAATAATAATAATCGATATTTGTTCTCACATGGAAATCCATTTTAGTTTTTGTTTCAATTTTATTTACACTGTTAGTGCAATAACTCTTTTTCAAGTTCACCTGCAAAATAGACAATTAAAAGTTACATTACATTATTTACTTTTTTTTTTTTTTTTTGAGATGGAGTCTCGCTCTGTCGCCAGCCTGGAGTGCAATAGCGCGATCTCAGCTCACTGCAACCTCTGCCTCTCAGGTTCAAGCGATTCTCCTGCCCCAGGCTCCTGAGTAGCTGGGACTACAGGCATGCACCACCACACCCAGCTAATTTTTGTATTTTTAGTAGACAAGGTTTCACCATGTTGGCCAGGATGGTCTCGATCTCTTGACCTCGTGATCCACCCGCCTCGGCCTCCCGAAGTGCTGGGATTACAGGCATAAGCCACCACACCAGGCCATTTACATTTTTAAACAACTGAGGCATTATAATAAGGAACGGAATAAAGTTATAGTACAGTAAAGATTTTCTAATGTCTTCAATATAAAACCAGTTTGCCTAGGAGCAAACAAGATCAGAGACAAAAACTTTCTATAGATCTTCAGCCAGTCGGCGCCTGTAGTCCCGCTACTCGGGAGGCTGAGGCAGGAGAATGGTGTGAACCCAGGAGGCGGAGCATGCAGTGAGCCAAGATCGCGCCACTGCACTCCAGCCTGGGCGGCAGAGCCAGATTCCGTCTCAAAAATAAAATAAAATAAAATAAAATCTCCAGCCAGTAAAAAAGTGGCGGCAAGTTCTGATGGTAGATCTGACAGATTTAAAAGTGTTTTGCCACCACCCTACACTGTTTAGCAAGGAATGTAATACTTCTCGCCCATTTATTTAGGTATTTTCTTCCTCACACTTACGTGATTGCTAAATTTAATGCATATGCTTGGCACGGTAGTAATCCTAGCACTTTGAGAGGCCGAGACAGGTAGATCACTTGAGGTCAGAAGTTTGAGAACAGCCTGGCCAAAGTGGTGAAACCCTGCCTCTACTGAAAATACAAAAATGGCTGGGCACAGTGGCTCACGCCTGTAATCCTGGCACTTCGGGAGGCTGAGACGGGTGGATCATGAGGTCAGAAGTTCAAGACCAGCCTGGCCAAGATGCTGAAACTCCGTCTCTACTAAAAATACAAAAAAATTAGCCAGGCGTGGTGGTGTGTGCCTGTAATCCCAGCTACTCAGGAGGCTGAGACAGGAGAATCGCTTGAACCCAGGCGGCAGAGATTGCAGTGAGCTGAGATCGTGCCACTGCACTCCAGCTTGGGTGACAGAGCAAGATTCCATGTCAAAATAAAATAAAATAAAATAAAAATACAAAAATTAGCTGGGCATGGTGGCACATGCCAGGGGGTCCCAGCTACTTGGGAGGCTGAGGTGGAAGGATCACTTGAGCCCTGGAGGTGGAGGTTGAACTGAGCCGAGATCATGTCATTGCACTCCAGCCAGGATGGCGGAGTGAGACCCTGTCTCAAAAAAAAAAAAAAAAGAAAAAAAATTTTGTAATGCATACAGTGTTTCAAAGCATGGTCTATGGCCAAATACATCAGAATTACCCAGGCTACAGGGTAAAAATGCCAATTTTGGGGTGCTGCCCAGTCTCTGATCAATTGAACCACAATCTCTGGGGTGGGGTCTGGAAATATGCCCATTTAACCAGTTGTCCCAAGTAGATTTTTTTTTTTTTTTTTTTTTTGAGACAGAGTCTTGCTCTGTTGACAGGCTGGAGTGCAGTGGCACGATCTCGGCTCACTGCAATCTTTGCCCCCCGGCTTCAAGTGATTCTCCTGCCTCAGCCTCTTGAGTAGCTGGGATTACAGGCATGCACCACCACACCCAGCTAATTTTTTTTTGTTTTTTTAGTAGAGATGGGGTTTCACCATGCTGGTCAGGATGGTCTCGATCTCCTGACCTCATGCTCCTCAGCCTCCAAAAGTGCTGGGATTACAAGTGTGAGCCACCTCACCCGGCCGTCCCAAGTAAATTTATATGGATTTATTTATTTATTGAGATGGAGTTTTGCTCTTGTTGCCCACGCTGGAGTGCAATGGTGCGATCTCAGCTCACCAAAACCTCCGCCTTCTGGGTTTAAGTGATTCTCCTGCCTCAGCCTCCCGAGTAGCTGGGATTACAGGCATGTGCCATCTTGCCCGGCTAATTTTGTATTTTTAGTAGAGATGGGGTTTCTCCTTGTTGGTCAGGCTGGTCTTGAACTCCCGACCTCAGGTGATCCACCCGCCTCAGCCTCCCATAGTGCTGGGATTACAGGCTTGAGCCACTGCACCCAGCTTTATATGCATTTAGTATGAAAAGAGAGTGGGGCAGTGGGTGAGGTGGCTCATGCCTATAATCCCTGTAGTTTGGGAGGCCGAGGCAGGAAGATTGATTGAGGCCAGGAGTTTGAGACCAGCCTGAGCAACATAGCAATCCCCTGTCTCTACAAAATATTTTCTAAAAAATTAGCTGGGCATGGTGGTGTGTGCCCAGCTATTCAGGAGGCTGAGGTGAGAGGACTGCTTGAGACCAGGAGTTTCAGGCTACAATGATCTGTGATCATGCCACTGCACTCCAGCCTGGGTGCCAGAGTAAAACTCTGTCTCAAAAAAAAAAAAAAAAAGTGATATTTTTCTTTTTTTTTTTTTTTTTTTTTTTTTTTTTTTTTTTTTTTGAGACGGAGTCTCGCTCTGTCGCCCGGGCTGGAGTGCAGTGGCGGGATCTCGGCTCACTGCAAGCTCCGCCTCCCGGGTTCACGCCATTCTCCTGCCTCAGCCTCCCAAGTAGCTGGGACTACAGGCGCCCGCCACTACGCCCGGCTAATTTTTTGTATTTTTAGTAGAGACGGGGTTTCACCGTTTTAGCCGGGATGGTCTCGATCTGCTGACCTCGTGATCCGCCCGCCTCGGCCTCCCAAAGTGCTGGGATTACAGGCGTGAGCCACCGCGCCCGGCCTAAAAGTGATATTTTTCAACAGTTCATCCATATTTTCTTAAAAAGTGTGTCTTTTTAAAAAAAAAATTTAACCGAATAGAGACAAAATCTCACTATGTTGCCCAGGGTGGTTTTGAAGCTCTGAGCTCAAGTGATCCTCCTGCCTCAGCCTCCCAAAGTGCTAGGACTACAGGCATGAGTCACCATGCCCGGCCATAAATTATGTTTTTTAATAACTTTTTTTTACATTATTTCAAGTTACACTATGGGTTTGTTGTTGTTGTTGTCATTTGTTTGTTTTGAGACAGGGTCTGGCTGTTTCACCCAGGCTGGAGTGCAGTGGCTCAATCTTGGCTCACTGCAACCTCTGCCTCCAGGGCTCAAGCGATCCTCCCACCTCAGCCTCCCAAGTAGCTGAGACTACTGGCATGTGCCACCATGCCCGGCTAATTTTTGTATTTTTTGTAGAGATGGGTTTTGCCATGTTCTCCAAGCTGGTCTTGAACACCTAGACTCAAGTGATCCGCTTGCCTTGGCCTCCCAAAGTGCTGGGACTACAGGCATAAGCCACCATACTGGGTGATCCACACTTCTTGAACTCATGTCCTCTCACAGCTGCTGCCAAGAACTCTCAAAGTCAATCACTTCACTTGGATGGATTTTTGTTGGTAGCTTTGATCTTGAGGTCGTTAGGGGGAAGCAAGCGTTTCTGCGTTAGAAATGTAAACAATAACAGTAACAAGAGTTAGAGGCAGGGCATGGTGGCTCATGCCTGTAATCCCAACACTTTGGGAGGCCGAGGCAGGTGGATCACCTGAGGTCAGGAATTTAAGACCAGCCTGACCAACATGGAGAAACCCCATCTCTACTAAAAATACCAAATTAGCTGGGCATGGTGGCACATACCTGTAATCCCAGCTACTCAGGGAGGCTGAGGCAGGGGAATCGCTTGAACCCAGGAGGTGGAGGTTTTGGTGAGCTGACATTGCACCATTGCACTTCAGCCTGGGCTACAAGAGTGAAACTCCGTCTCAAAAAAAAAAAAAGTTAGAAATTACAGATCTATTTCATTTATTTATTTATTTTAATTTAATTTAATTTAATTTAATTTAATTTTATTTTATTTTATTTTATTTTATTTTATTTTATTTTATTTATTTGAGACAGAGTCTCACTCTGTCATCCAGGCTGGAGTGCAGTGGCATGATTTCAGCTCACTGCAATCCCTGGCTCAAGCACAGATAACATTTTAAAAGCAAGTAGATACGGCCGGGTGCAGTGGCTCAGGCCTGTAATCTCAGTACTTTGGGAGGCCGAGGTGGGCGGATCACGAGGTCAGGAGTTTGCGACCAGCCTGGCTAACATGGTGACATCCCGTCTCTACTAAAAATACAAAAAATTAACTGGGTGTGGTGGCGGGCGCCTGTAATCCCAGCTACTTGGGAGGGTGAGGCAGGAGAATGGCTTAACTTGGGAGGTAGAAGTTGCAGTGAGCGGAGACTGCGCCACTGCGCTCCAGCCTGAGTGATAGAGGGGAGACTCCATCTCAAAAAAAAAAAAAGCAAGTAGATACAACACCTTAGTTGTTGCCTTCCATTGTTACAGATGGCTCCTCTGAGAGACGAATGTACTTGGCCTTCCTACATAGCATGATGCTTTCAACACTTGATGCTATTGAAGATGTAAATGTTTTTCATCTTCTCCCTCCCCTTTCATTTTCCTTCCTATTTCTTCCCCTGTGGTTTCTCTTTTCTCTCTCTGGTATAAAAATGCTGGAAAGTGATACACTAAAATGTTAACAGTAGTTGTCTCTAGTGAGTGTGACTGTGGATAGGTAATTTTCTTTACCTCTCCACTTTCTACTTTCACCTTTGCCAATGTTAAGTCAGTCAGCAAACTTAAAAAAAAAACAAAAAACATGTGGCCGGGCATGGTGGCTCACGCCTGTAATCTCAGCACTTTGGGAGGCCAAGGCGGGTGGATCACTTGAGGTCAGGAGTTCAAGACCACCCTGGCTAACATGGTGAAACCCTGTCTCTACTAAAAATACAAAAATTAGCTGGGCAAAGTGGTGGGCGCCTGTAATCCCAGCTACTCAGGAGGCTGAGGTAGGAGAACTGCTTGAACCCAGGAGGCGGAGGTTGCAGTGAGCTGAGATCGCACCACTGCACTCCAGCCTGGGCAACAGGGAGAGACTCCATCTGAAAAAACAACAACAACAAAGCCACATGTATATGAGAAGGGAGAACCCTGTGGAAGGGACCACTGGCTAACTTAAAGAGAGGGAAAGTAGGGAGACTCGTGATATGTTTGTGTTTCTTCACCACTTACATGTAGTTTTTGAAAATAGTTAAGGAAAAATTAAAACTTTCTCTAGTTTTTTTTTCCTGCTCTATTTTCCTCCTTTTCTTGCTGATCCTATCTTCTCACCCTCCCCAACTGAGAATTCTTTATTAGCAAAGCAGCTGGCTGACACTTGCTGGAATGAAAGAGCCACTGTCCAGTCTTGCTATTTAAGTTTAAGCCACACTGCATTTATGTATAGCCTCTTTCTCCTGGAGGATTGAGATACCTCTTTATAATTCCACTGCTATTTTTAACATCCTCACAGAGCAAAGAGAAAGCTAGTCCCTTCATCTTTGAGCTGGTCACTCGTTTTCTGAATCTCCATTTTCCCAGGGCAGATAATACAGAGCAGGAGAGATCTTCACAGTTAGAACATGGTCTTTGGTCATTACCTCTTTCCATACTCTTAAAGAATCCAGACCTCTTAGTTATTAAAAAAGCCATAGGGAAATCAGGAAAACACATGTATATTGCTTTGTATTGGGAAAATGATCTTATAATCATTTATTACCTCAGCAGCATCACACAACTTTGGTCTCTAATCCTGAATGAAGAATGCCCCAGACAATGAATAGCTCAGTACATCTGCAAAGGCAAAAGATATTCCAGCAGGCGCTCCAGGCTCTCAGTCCCCGGGCCATATGGCCTTGATAACTTCCCCAATTACTCTGGAAACTGTTAATTTTTCAGTCTGCACTTGAAACAGAGCTATAATTGTCCAGTGAATGCAGAGGAAGAAGGTAAGTCAGCCCCTGGAGAAGGTACCCTGAGCACTGCCCTGTTGCCTTGGCTGTGCCCAGGGTGCTCGGATTGCAGACAGAGAATTATACCCAAGAATACGAGGCCCAGGCGAGGCTGCCCTGCTCAGTGAAGAAGGAAATGAATTTTAACTCCAGACGCAGCACTCACTTTTAGCTATGGGGATTATTTTAGCTATCTCCAGTTCTCTAGTCTGGGTTTGTGTTCCAAGTGTGAAGACATCAACCATCCCTCCCACCCCGACCCCTTTTTTTTGAGACAGGGTCTCGCTGTGTGGCCCAGGCTTGAGTGCAGTGGGACGATCATGGCTCACTGCAGCCTGGACTCCCAGGTTCAAGGGATACTCCCAGCTCAAACTCCTGGAGTAGAAAGACTCACAGGCATGCACCACCACACCTGGCTGTGTGTGTATGTGTGTGTGTGTACCATGCCTGACTGTGTATGCGTGTGTATGTGTGTAAAGATGGGGGTGTCACTATGTTGCCCAGGCTGGTCTGGAATGCCTGGGCTGAAGTGATCCTCCCCCTCAGCTTCCCAAAATGTTGGGATTACAGGTGTGAGCCACTGTGCCCAGCTTAAATATTTTAAATAGTCCTAAAGGCAGAAGTCCCTTGACTCTTCAGAAAAATGGGAAAATAGTTTAAGGCATTCTCACCACCACAAATGGCTGTGGCAGTACATTCACATTTATAGTTGTCAGGGCATTTATAGTTGGTTAGGGACTTGTCCTTTATAAAACTACTTCAACCAATCTTGCTCTCATCTTTCTTTTGATTTTGGGTTACTTTTTTACATTAGAGACTAAATGTAGGCTAATGGATGAGACTTCAGGGAGAAACAGAAAATGGGAAGTTTTAATCAGGGTTGTAAGCTGAAAGGAATATTTTAACTTGAATTGCCCAGTATAAATATACATAGATAAACCAAAAGCAAAAAAGATTTGGAACCTCTCTATTTGCTGCGTTTATGCATAAGAAAGCCTAGCTAAAATCAGATTCTCTTATCAACAGTAATCTATATGCTTTTCCCAATTAAAAGAACTTTAACACTCCAGTGGGTGTTGTGATGAATGACTACTGATATCATTCAACCACATTAATTCACCCAATATGTCCCAAGGAGTAGCTGTAGCCTTAGTGATCCAGAAACACAAAAGACAGGTCGGTCAGGTCCTTCACCCTCTGGAGGGCAGGTGGGGGTGGACTGATGGCACTGGAGGGGACAAGTGTGAACAGAAAGTGATACGTATTTCAGTATGGTATTAACAGGCCCCCACATCCTTTCAACCTTGAAATATGAGGTTTCTGGGCAGCTAAGAAAAGGGATGTCTTACAGGGTTGGGGGTGTCTAGGACTGAGCTTATTGTCTTGCTTTGCCCAGGACAGTTACAGAGCTGGGAAAGGGAGGGGGAGGAGCCCCATCCTCCAGGAGGGGGAGCAGCACCTGGGGTCTACTAGGGAACAGCTCACCCACACTGAAGACAGGCTGATTTTCCCTCACGTTTTTTCTGTCTTCACTAATTTGACCTCTGCTGTTACAGAGGTCAAATTTTGTTCTTTCTCCATCCTCATTCCCTACCTTGCCCCTTCCTTTGTTCTCCCTAAACAAAAATAACAAAGAGCCTTGGGCTCTAAACTGAGCTAGAGGTATGTTGCAGGTGGTGGGCTTGGTTAGTTAAGGTTCTAGAGGCTAGGGCTGCACTTGGTCCTGTTGTTTCTCTCTACTCATAGAGAAACTTCCATACTTGTACATTTTCCTTTCTTTCTTTTTTTTACCCCCAGACAGCATCTTGGTCTGTCACCCAGGCTGGGTGCAGTGGGACGATCTTAGTCCACTGCAACCTCCCACTCCGGAGCTCAAGTAATCCTCCCACCTCAGCTTCCTGAGTAGCTGGGATTACAGGTGTGTGCCACCACATCCGGCTAATTTTTGTAGAGATAGGGGGTTCTGTCCATGTTACCCAGGCTGGTTTTGGACTCCTGAGCTCAAGAGATTCTCCCGCTTTGGCCTCCAAAATTGCTGGGATTAAAGGCGTGAGTCACACTGCCTGGCCTCGCGCCTTTCTTTTCTAAGTGAGCGTGTGTGTGTGCATGTGTGTGTGTGTGTGTGTATTTTATTGTATTTTTTTTTTTTATTTTTGAGATGGTGTCTCGTTCTGTCACCCAGGCTGGAGTGCAGTGGCGCGACCTCGGCTCACTGCAACCTCTGCCTCCCGGATTCAAGTGATTCTCCTGCCTCAGCCTCCCGAGTAGCTGGGATCACAGGCGCCCGCCTCCACGCCTGGCTAAGTGCTTTTCAAAATGGCTACCGAACCTTTTTGCCTCGTTTGGTTACAAACTTCACCTAGAACCCGGTTCTTCCCATTGTTGACTCTTGGCATTAACAAAATGAACAGGCCGGGCGCTGTGGCTCACGTCTGTAATCCCAGCACTTTGGGAGGCCGAGGCAGGTGGATCACCTGAGGTCAGGAGTTCAAGACCAGCCTGGCCAACAAAGTGAAGCCCTGTCTCTACTAAAAATACAAAAATTAGCCGGGTATGGTGGCGTGCGCCTGTGGTCTCAGCTACTCGGGAGGCTGAGGCAGGAGAATCGCTTGAACCTGGGAGGCGGAGGTTGCAGTGAGCCGAGGTCGCACCACTGCACTCCAGCCTGGGCGACAGTGAGACTCTGACTCAAAAAGAAAAAAGAAAAAAGAAAACCCCAAATGAACAGAAATACATGTTCTTTTTGATATAGGATCTGTGACATCATCCTTGAAAAAACCCAGGAAAAGCCCACAAGTACCTATGAAATAGCTTTGAAGCACTTTTAAAAAAAAAAATCTGGCAGAAGGCCTAAAAAACTCCGAGGTAGCTGGTGATATTTTCTATTTTAAATACTAGGGAATTAAGGCACAGAGGTGACTAAGGTTTACACAGCAGAAAGCTGCAGCGCCTAGAGTCAATGCAGGTCGTCGTTAGCCCTGGACTATTTCTGCCACTACCAGGGTTTTCAACAAAGAACAGTACGTGTGACAAAAATCCATCTGTTTGTTTCTCTTTTTGAATTACTTAACCTTTGAATATTCAACCTTTTGCCCTCTTTTGCTTTATGTTTTCACACCATCTTATCCTCAAAGAAGGGGAAATACTTATCTTCTTCTGTAAGCCTTTGTATCTAAGAACACAAATGAAGTATTTAGGGACAATTGCTTTGATTTTTACAAGAAAACTCAGTGGCTATTTTGGGTGACGGTATGCTTTGCTAGCAAATAGAAATAGAGAAAATCTGGCATCTCAAGGTGAAATAAGAGTAAACAGTTTCCAGAATTTTCTCCCTCTCTCCTTCCTTAATAATTGCAAATTGCCACTGCTTATAACCATAATAGAAACTAGACATGTCTCCCGGCCTTCCTCAATGAAAAAAATAAAAAAGAAAAGAAACTAGACATGACATAGAGATGTCACTTATGAAAAAGAAAAAAAAATTCAAAGGAATCTCACTTCTGCTTTCAACATTTCTTACCAAATCCAGTTTCTAGGACACAAATCATTCCGCAACCCCTCCTTCCAATTTCTAATCCTATTTTAATCACTGAAATGGGCAGAGTCAGATTTTATGTATGACAATTAATCCCCTATGCAAAGTTAAAACTAATTTTAGGGTAAACAAAAAGTTAACTTCAAAGAGCTAGAGGCTGGGCGCGGTGGCTCACGCCTGTAATACCAGCACCTTGGAAGCCGAGGCGGGCAGATCACTTGAGGTCAGGAGTTCGAGACCAGTGGCCAACATGGTGAAACCCCGTTCTCTACTAAAAATACAAAAATTAGCTGGACATGGTGGCAGGTGCCTGTAATCCCAGCTATTTGGGAAGCTGAGGCAGGAGAACCTCTTGGAGCTGGGGGGTGGACGTTGCAGTGAGCCAAGATCGGGATACTGCACTCCAGCCTGGGTGACAGAGTGAGACTGTGTCTCACACAAACAAACAAAAACATACACAAAGAGGAAAGAATTAAAATCTCAGTAAACACCCTAATCCCATCACTCTATTACCGTAGCTTTCTTTCTTTTTTTTTTTTTTTTTGAGACGGAGTCTCGCTCTGTTGCCCAGGCTGGAGTGCAGTGGCGCCATCTCGGCTCACTGCAAGCTCCGTCTCCCGGGTTCACGCCATTCTCCTGCCTCAGCCTCCCAAGTAGCTGGGACTACGGGCGCCCGCCACCGTGCCTGGCTAATTTTTTGTATTTTTAGTAGAGACAGGGTTTCACCGTGTTAGGCAGGATGGTCTCGATCTCCTGACATCGTGATCCGCCCGCCTCGGCCTCCCAAAGTGCTGGGATTATAGGCGTGAGCCACCGCACCCGGCCCTATTACCATAGCTTTCTTGATACCTGACTGATAACTAAATGTCAGTGCTAATAGCTCAAGCTCTATCTCTAAAGTTTAGAATTTTCTTTTTTTTTTTTTTTTTCTGAGACAGAGTCTCACTCTGTTGCCCAGGCTGGAATGCAGTGGCACGATCTTGGCTCACTGCAACCTCCAACTCCCTGGTTCAAGTGATTCTTCTGCCTCAGTCTCCAGAGTAGCTGAGACTACAGGCACACGCCACCATGCCCAGCTAATTTTTGTATTTTTAGTAGAGATGGGGTTTTGCCACATTGGCCAAGCTGGTCTCAAACTCCTGACCTCGTGATCTGCCTGCCTCGGCCTCCCAAAGTGCTAGGATTACAGGTGTGAGCCACTGTGCCCGGCCAAGTTTAGAATTTTCTAAGTCACCAAAAGGCTTCGACATTTTAACCATTGACCCAGACATTTGACAGAGGCCCCTTTGCAATTGGGAAAAGACTTGGAAAATAATAATGTTCACTTGCTACTGGAAATTTTCAAAGGGATTAGTTGAATTTATCCAACAGTGCATGAATACCTAGTATCACCAGGAACCAATTTGGGTCTACATGGGTACATTCAGGGGTTACTACCTTCTAACCTTATCAGAAGGTAACTAGGGAATGGATAAGCAAGGAATTCATCCTATTCCTGTCATTGGCCTAGTGACTATTCCCCAAAGAGAATGGAATCTCATTCCCATTTGCCTTTTTTCTTTTTTAATTTTTTTTTATGCTTTAAGGGGGTGTATAATGTAAGAAATGATTTGGATTTCTGCTCCTGGATGTTATAGTTTTGGAGATTTAGGCTCCAATCTCTAAAGTTCGTATCTGTGATTGTGCAATCATTAGGTATTATTTTATTTGTCTATGAAGTATGACTACAGTTATATCATAAAACAGAATTATTAATCGTAAATCTCAGTTGAGATCTTTTTATTTGTTTTTAACCTTGTATCCTGAAAGCCTAAAACAGTGTTTGATTCCTTTTTTTTTTTTTTTTTTTTTAGATGGAGTCTTGCCATGTTGCCCAGGCTGGAATGCAGCTGCAGGATCTCGGCTCGCTGCAACCTCTGCCTCCTGAGTTCAAGCGATTGTCCCACCTCAGCCTCCTGAGTAGCTGGGACTACAGGCACTCGCCACCACTTCTGGCTAGTTTTTGTATTTTTAGTAGAGACAGAGTTTCACCATGTTGGCCAGGCTGGTCTCGAACTCCTGACCTCAGGTGATCTGCCCACCTCGCCTCCCAAAGTGCTGGGATTACAGGAGTGAGCCACCGTGCCCAGCCAGTATTTGATTTTTAATGAATATTCTTAGATAACAAACAGATAAATTTAAAAAAAAATTTTTTTTTTCTTGAGACAGAGTCTCGCTCTGTCGCCCAAGCTGGAGTGCAATGGCGTGATCTTGGCTCACTGCAACCTCCACCTCCCGGGTTCAAGTGATTCTCCTGCCTCAGCCTCCCAGTAGCTGGGACTACAGGCGCCCGCCACCACACTCAGCTAATTTTTATACTTTTAATAGAGACGGGGTTTCACCATGTTGGCCAGGATGGTCTCGATCTCTTGACCTTGTGATCCGCCCGCCTTGGCCTCCCAAAGTGCTGGGATTACAGGCGTGAGCCACCACGCCCGGCCACAAACAGATAAATTTTTGTCGAGTAAACAAATAAATGTTCCAGTGAATGATCTTTTTGGAAATAAAGTTGATTCCTAAATTACAATGGAGAAATTTAAACAAAAACCATCTCATGGTTCCTATTGTAAAAAGTGACATGCTGGGCGCAGTGGCTCACGCCTCTGATCCCAGCACTTTGGGAGGCCGAGGTGGGTGGATCATGAGATCAGGAGATTGAGACCACTGCTTGAACCCAGGAGGCGCAGGTTGCAGTGAGCCAAGATCGTGCCACTGCACTCCAGCCTGGGCGATAGAGCCAGACTCTGTCTCAAAAAAAAAAAAAAAAAAAAAGGGACAACATAGGTTGGGTGTGGTACCTCACATCTGTAATGGGCCTTTGGGAGGCCCAGGTGGGAGAGTCACTTGAGCCCAGAAATTTGAGACCAGCCTGGGCAACACAGTGAGACTCGGTCTCTATTTAAATACAGAAAAAAAAAAGTGATAACATGGACATATTAGGCAAATATTATTCAAGTAATTGTTAGCAAGAACTTAATAATATATGGTATGAGGAACTGTGTGCATGAAATGGACCATAGAAAACAATAATAATTCTAAGGTCGGTTTTTATGGAAGAGACAGAACTGAACTGAGCCCTAATTGCTTAGTTTGTAGAAAGCAAAGGAGATAAGCAAAAATATTCCAGTGAAGGGGATATGTCACAGTAGGCTAGGAACAGTGAAAAATCTACTTGACTAACCTGAAAGTGGGAAGGCTCAGAATAAAATGGGAAAGGGTGTGTCAGATACTAGAGGGCCTTGAAGATCACACAGAGGTGTTTAAACTTGATCCAGTGGGAAACAGGGAGCCACAAGGGGTTTTAATGGGGTGACTAAATTAGCGAAAATAATGTATAAGGAAGTTAGCTGGAAATGCCAATAATATTAATTTCCTTCTATTGAAGACCTGATGTGTGCCAGGCACTAGGCAAACAGCCCTAAGATAAGAATTTTTGCTCCCATGTAACGGTTTAGTTAAATGAGAATCCAAGAGGCGACTTACTTGAGCCATAGAGTTAGTAAATGGCTGAGTTAAGACCTACACTTGGGTCCCTATGTCAGAGGCGTGTGAACCAGAGCAACTCCATCTTGAATAGTGGCTAGGTAAAATAAGGCTGAGACCATCTGGGCGGCATTCCCAGACAGTCTAAGTCACAGGATGAGATACGGGGTCAGCACAAGATACAGGTCATAAAGACCTTGCTGATAAAACAGGTTGCACTAAAGAAGCATCAAAACCAAGATGGCGACGAGAGTGACCACTGGTTGTTCTCACTGCTATACTCCTACCAGAACCGTGACAGTTTACTAATGCCATGGCAATGTCAGGAAGTTACCCTATATGGTCTAGAAAGGGGAGGAGCTCTCAGTTCCGGAAACTGCCCACCCCTTTCCTGGAAAACTCATGAATAAGACACCCCTTGTTTAGCATATAATCAAGAAATAACCATAAAAGTGGGCTGGGTGTGGTGGTTCATGCCTGTAATCCCAACACTTTGGTGGGTCGAGGCAAACAGATCACCTGAGGTCAGGAGTTCGAGTCTAGCATGGCTAACATGGCGAAACCCCATCTCTACTAAAAATACAAAAAAGTTAGGCGTGGTGGCGGGTGCCTGTAATCCCAGCTACTGGGTAAGCTGAGGCAGGAGAATCGCTTAAACCGGGGAAGCGGAGGTTGCAGTGAGCTGAGATCGTACCATTGTACTCCAGGCTGGGTGAAAAGAGCAGAACTCTGTCTTAAAAACAAAAACAAAATAAAAAAACACCATAAAATAGCCAACCAGCAGCCCATGCTGCTGCTGTGCCTGTGAGGAGCCATTCTTTATTTCTTTACTTTCTTAATAAACTTACTTTCACTTTATGGATTCAGCTCAAATTCTTTCTTGCTCGAGATCCAAGAACCCTCTCTAAGGGTCTGGATCAGGACCCTTTCTGGTAATACACCTATCATTTACATGTTCTGTCTGTTTTCATGCTACAACAGCAGAATTGTGCAGTTGGACAGAGACCCTATGTCCCACAAAGTCTTAAATTTGTACTATCTGTCCCTTTTCAGAAAAAGTCTGCTGACTCCTGTAGAGCTTTGCTATTCAGTGTGGCCTGTGGACCAGGAACAAGGGGCAACCTCTGGGAGTTTGTTAGAAAGGAAGCATCTTGGGCACCCCTTAGACCTGTTGAATTCAAATCTGCATTTTAGCAAGATTCCAAATGAATCTGTATGCACATTAAGTATAAGAAGCATTGTTGGCCAGGCACGGTGGCTTACGCCTGTAATCTCAGCACTTTGAGAGGCTGAGGCGTGCGGATCACCTGAGGTCAGCAGTTTGACACCGGTTGGCCGATGTAGTGAAACCCCGTCTCTACTGCCAGTATGGTGGTGGGCACCTGTAATCCCAGCTACTTGGGAGGCTGAGGCAGAAGAATTGCTTGAACCCAGGAGGCAGAGGGTGTGGTGAGCCGAAATTGTGCCACTGCACTCCAGCCTGGGTGACAGAGCGAGATTCCATCTTAAAAAAAAAAAAAAAAAAAAAAGCATTGTTAAAATACTGTGCTATTTTGGCTGAAAAGTTAGAGCAGGACAAGCCTAGAAACTAGGACACTGGGTAGCTTAAGACTAGGAGACAGAGGCGGAAGGGACAGGGTCCACAAACATTTAAAGAATGTCTGCCATTTGAGTGTGCACAGGCAGCTACACATTCCTGCCCCAGGCCTCTGGGATTCCTGCATATTTAGTGTAGAGAATAGGAAGCCATATGCAAGTTAAAATACAAATCTGTATTCCTTATTATTAAAGTGTGTTTTGCCATGGCATTTTGAACCAACGATAATCAAATGAGCCACTATTCAACTTCCCACCTCCCCAAAATTGGCCTGAAGGACTGCTTGGAGGGAAGTTTTAAGAGATAGTAGCTCAAATATTTTGCTAATGCAGTTTCGAAAATGCTAGAGTAGATGTGAGTAAGATGATGTAGCCTGCATCTTCCGTCAAAGGTGCCATTTGATGGTTTTCTAATTTCTTTCTTTTCAGAGTCTCACTCTGTTGCCCAGGCTGGAGTACAGTGGTGCAATCTCAGCTCACTGCAACCTCCACCTCCTGGGCTCAAGTGATTCTCCCACCTGTCCCAAGTAGCTGGGACCACAGGTGCACACCACCATGCCTGGCTAATTTTTTATAGACATGGGGTTTTTCCATGTTGCCCAGGCTGGTCTTGAACTCCTGAGCTCAAGGGATCCACCCACCTTGGCTTCCCAAAGTGCTGGGATTACAGATGTGAGCCCCCGTGCCCAGCTTCTAGTTTGCTTTTTAATCATTACTCAAATTCACGGAAGAATTTACTGGCTCTCCAGTTTGAAACCACCCTGGAATTTACATTCATAACCTCCTATTATATGCCACTAAACATCAAAAAAAAATTTTTTTTGATTTCCCATTGTTTTGAGGGAGCCAGGATAACACATCCTAGCTGGTGGCCCCACAGTTATTCCCGGGAGGTGGGGCTTCCTGGTGAGTTTCTGGTGTATTCTTGGTGTGTTCTCGGCTCACAGGGCGGAGTCAGGTTTTCCTCATGCTCAGCCAGCTTGGTGACAAATTGAGGTTGCGTAAGGGAGCGGGGTACAAAGTACATGTGCTGTGCTTCAGTTTGCATCCGCCTGGTCTGTTACACATATTATCTGGAAAATACTGTGGGGTAGGTGGTGTGAGGGCAAATTGGGAAGAAGACCAAGTGAAGCATTAAGGTGAAGCCGAGCAGAGGTAGGGAAGGGTATGGGACTAGCAGCCAAGGATTTAGGATTTAGACTGCCAAAGATTGTGAACTGAGGTAGGAAATGGGTTCTTGGAGTGACTATGATTACAGCAAGCCAACTGGGGCTGCCTGGTTCCAGATTCCATGCAAGCCAGGATGATGATGATCTGCTTGATGTCTTTACTCTGGAGCTACGGCAGAAGGCTTCAGCACTTTAAAATAATGTTTGTCATACCTCACAATACACCCACCACATTACCTGGAGGCCAGGTGAACTGAAAACACAGATTGGTAGGCCCAGAGTTTCTAATTTTGTAGGTTTGGGTAGGACTCAGTAATTTCCTTTTTTTTTTTTTGAGACGAAGTCTCGCTTTGTTGCCCAGGCTGGAGTGCAGTGGACTGCAACCTCTCCCTCCTGGGTTCAAACGATTCTCCTGCCTCAGCCTCCCGAGTCACTGGGATTACAGGTGCCCACCACCACACCTGGCTAATTTTTGTATTTTTAGTAGAGATGGGGTTTGGCCATGTTGGCCAGGCTGGTTTCAAACTCCTGACCTCAAGTGATCCTCCCGCCTTGGCCTCCCAAAGTGCTGGGATTACAGGCATGAGCCACCGTGCCCAGCAATAATTTGCATTTTAACAAGTTTAAAAGTAATGCATATTCTTTGAAACTACTGGTCCTTATAGTACACTTTAAGAACCATTGCTTTAATATGATGCCTGGTTAAGAAACTCTTTGCCTTGGCCAGGTGCGGTGGCTCATGCCTGTAATCCCAGCACTTTGGGAGACCGAGGCGGGCAGATCATGAGGTCAGGAGATCGAGACCATCCTGGCTAACACGGTAAAACCCCGTCTCTACTAAAAAAAAAAAATACCAAAAAATTAGCCGGGTGTGCTAGCAGGCGCCTGTGGTCCCAACTACTCGGGAGGCTGAGGCAGGAGAATGGCATGAACCTGGGAGGCGGAGCTTGTAGTGAGCCGAGATTGCGCCACTGCACTCCAGCCTGGGTGACACAGCGAGACTCTGTCTAAAAAAAAAAGAAACTCTCTGCCTCAGAAATCAGACTCAGAAACCAAGTGGCTTGCTGGGTGGTCAAGAAGTGTGCCCCAGGGCCAGTTCTACAAATTTCCAAGCTTCTTCCTTCCCCAAATCCTGCCAGCCTGCAAGCATCAATTCAGAAATAGTTATTTCCCAGTCATTTTGCCCTTGTTACATATCTTCCAGTTAGTTTATGTGCATGTTGAATGTAACAGTTGAACAAGTATGTCTTTGAATATAATAATGTCTTTTTTTTTATTTTTTTATTTGAGATGGAGTCTCGCTCTGTCGCCCAGGCTGGCTGGAGTGCAGTGGCACAATCTTGGCTCACTGCAACCTCTGCCTCCCGGGTTCAAGCGATTCTCCTGCCTCAGCCTCCCAAGTAGCTGGGATTTCATGTGTGTGCCACCATGCCCGGCTAATTTTTGTATTTTTAGTAGAGACAGGGTTTCACCATGTTGGCCAGGCCGGTCTCGAACTCCTGGCTTAAGTGATCCGCCCACCTTGGCCTCCCAAAGTACTGGGATTATAGGCATGAGCCACCATGCCCTGCCAGATATAATAATGTCTTTATAAGTCAAGAATACCACTAGAGAGCCTGTAGGATAATTTCAAAGAATTCATACTTATAAAATGGAATATTAGACTATTCTCTTAGTAGGACTGCCTTTGGAAAGCATGTGGTCAAATCCTGTGGGTTCCAGCAATCTTGCTAGTGTCTCCTTATTACATTGCCTGCCCTTTATTCTGGCTCCCAGCTGTTGTGGTTTTCCTCTCAGCTCACCTGAATATGTGTATTGGCCTACAGTGTTCTCTGGAAAAACTTGTGGGAACAGAGCAGTCTGGGAACCGAACAGCAGGATTTGGGCAAGGGATGATGAGGAAGCAGGCTTTCAACTGAGGCAGTCGTTCATCATTGTAAAAATTACTACCGCTGCACTGATCTTGCTCCAAACTCCAGAGGCACATAGCTCCAGGGACTCAGAAGGGCCAAGAACCGTAGCATGGAAGCCCAGCTGTGTTTGGCACACGTAATCTGCATCTCCCTGTTTAACTTAAACAGATACTTGGTTAAGTGCTTCCTCTTTGGGTTTGTATGCATTTTACTTAACTACTTGGCTGTAAATTCCCTGGCACATAAGCAAATGATTTTATTTTTAATTTTTATATATTTATTTATTTATTTTTGAGATGGGGTTTCGCTCTGTTGCCCAGGCTGGAGTGCAGTGGCACGATCTCGGCTCATTGCAACCTTTGTCTCCCAGGTTCCCCAAAGCAATTCTCATGCCTCAGCCTCCTGAGTAGCTGGGATCATAGGCGTTCACCACCACACCCGGCTAATTTTTGTATTTTTAGTAGAGGTGGGATTTCATCATGTTGGCCAGGCTGGTCTGGAACTCCTGACCTCAAGTGATCCACCTGCCTTGGCCTCCCAAAGTGCTGGGATTACAGGCGTGAGCCACCGTGCCCATATTTGCTTATGTATGCGTGCATCTGCACGTGTATGTGTGTGTGTGTTTTCTAGTTTAGTGTGCAGGGCCAATTATTCTGCGAGCCAGGCTGACATAGCATGTTCTCCTTCATCTTTAGATACAGGGGACCAAGAAGCTTAGTTCAATGTGGTATGTATTTCCTTGGCTGGGACAGAAGGTGTCTGTGAGCCATGGGTATTAGGGTTAGAAGGAAACAAGACGTGGTATTCAGATGTGACATACTAGGGTCAGAAGGAAACAAGATGTGGTACCATTCAGAGGGCCTAGGGAGCTGGATCCTACACCTTGGCAAACTGTTTTGTAATTAGATGCTGTAACTGTTTTGGAGTGTCACCCCTGATGTATAAGCCTTATTTTTTACATTCTTTTTTTCCTTTTCCTTTTTCTTTCTTTGTGAAATGATCAGGAAGAAGACGTATAAGCCTTTAAGCTTAGTAAACCTTTGGGTTCTGTGCATTTGGCCATCATTCCAGTTGTCAGCATTGTGCAGGACAGGTACTTGAGGTCTGTTTTTGTGAACCAGGGACCCGAGGCACAGAGCAAGTAAGTGGATAGAAACAAATGCTGTAAGAACAAATAATTGTATTTAAAAATTTATGATTTTCATTTATTTTTCAGAGGAAGCATTAATGAGTAGGTAGTAATTTCTGGGTATTAAAAAACCATCAGAGACATTTCTTTTTCCTTATAAAAGAAGTCATAACAGTGAACATTTATAGCACTTAGCTTACTAAGGGTTTCACGTCCTATAATCCCCAGCACTTTAGCAGGCTGAGAGGGGAGGACTGCTTGAGGCCAGGAGTTCAAGACCAGCCTGGGTAACATAGCAAGACCCTGTCTCTATTTAGAAAAATAATAAAAACAAAGGGTTTCACATGTATTTTAGAAATTAGACCTTCCGAAGTTGTGAGATTTGTAATAATGTTCATTTTAGAGACTAGAAAACTAAGCCTCATGAAGGCCATGTGACTTGTCCACCATTGCACCAGTGCTGAGTGGCAGATCTCTGGTCTGGAAGCCACGTTCTTCTCACTATACCATGTTGCCATTTTTCAGCAACTGGTGCACGATGCATATTCTCCAAGACAGAAGGGAAGGAGGCTTGATTAATTGTGGCTCAGCCTTTCCTCATAGTTTTGGGGCTGTAAGACCTGTGCATTGTAAGTGAACCATAAGGTCTGTTTGCCTCAGAGCAGGTTAGTTCACACCGTGCTGCTGCTGCTTTTAAGCAATGCAGGATGAACGGAGCTTGGGAGCAATTTTCTCTCACTCCCATGGTGGCATCTCTTCAGTTCACTTTCTTTGTACTGCTCCTCTTAGGTTTATGGCCGTGCAGTTGTCAGTGCTCCTGTCAGTCTTTCCAACCTTCCCTCTAAATTCCTGGCACCAGCAGTTGGCCTAGAACATGCTGATCTTCAGCACCCTGACAGAAAAGGCTGCTATCACAGTGGAAAGTGTGGCTTCCTGGGCTGCCTCTTGGCAAAGGGCTCTAGCTTGTCCAGATTTGGGTCAGCCCCAGGGTCTATCAGTTCCAGGAGAGGTGTTGAAGGGCTGTGACAAATGCCTGCCCTGGCAGATGGAGGAAGCTCTGGCTAGCTTGAGAGCGCAGTGTAATAACAGCTGCCCTGAGAAGGGACTTCCAGCCATTCTTGTGCTCTGAGATTGTGTCCGGAATTGGTGGGTTCTTGGTCTCACTGACTTCAAGAATGAAGCCGCAGACACTTGCGGTGAGTATTACAGTTCTTAAAGGCAGCGTGTCCGGAGTTTGCTCCTTCTGATGTTCAGATGTGTTCGAAGTCTCTTCCTTCTGGTAGGTTCGTGGTCTCACTGGCTCAGAAGTGAAGCTGCAGACCTTCACGGTGAGTGTTACAGCTCTTAAGGTGGCGCATCTGGAGTTGTTCGTTCCTCCTGGTGGGCTCGTGATCTTGCTGGCTTCAGGAGTGAAGCTGCAGACCTTCGCGGTGAGTGTTACAGGTCAAAAAAAGCAGTGTGGACCCAAAGAGTAAGCAGCAGCAAGATTTATTGCAAAGAGCGAAAGAACAAAGCTTCCCCCGCGTGGAAGAGGACCCAAGCGGGTTGCCACTGCAGAGTTTGGGCAGCCTGCTTTTATTCTCTTATCTGGCCCCACCCACATCCTGCTGATTGGTAGAGCTGAGTGGTCTGTTTTTACAGGGCGCTGATTGGTGCATTTACAATCCCTGAGCTAGACACAAAGGTTCTCCACCTCCCCACCAGATTAGCTAGATACAGAGTGTCAACACAAAGGTTCTCCAAGTACCCACCAGAGTAGCTAGATACAGAGTGTTGATTGGTGCATTCACAAACCCTGAGCTAGACACAGGGTGCTGATTGGTGTGTTCACAAACCTTGAGCTAGATACAGAGTGTGGATTGGTGTATTTACAATCCCTGAGCTAGACATAAAGGTACTCCAAGACCCCACCAGAGTAGCTAGATACAGAGTGTCGATTGGTGCCTTCACAAACCCTGAGCTAGACACAGGGTGCTGATTGGTGTATTTACAATCCCTTAGCTAGACATAAAGGTTCTCCATGTCCCCACCAGACTCAGGAGCCCAGCTGGCTTCACCCAGTGGATCCCGCACTGGGGGGGCAGGTGGAGCTGCCTGCCAGTCCCAGTGCGTGCGTGCGCCCGCACTCCTCAGCCCTTGGGTGGTCGATGGGACTGGGCGCCGTGGAGCAGGGGGTGGCACTTGTCGGGGAGGCTCGGGCCGTACAGGAGCCCATGGAGGGGGTGGGAGGCTCAGGCATGGCGGGTTGCAGGTTCCGAGCCCTGCCCCGCGGGAAGGCAGCTAAGGCCCGGTGAGAAATCGAGCCCAGCGCCGGTGGGCTGGCACTGCTGAGGGACCCAGTACACCCTCTGCAGCCGCTGGCCCGGGTGCTAAGCCCCTCATTGCCCGGGGTCGGCAGGGCCGGCCGGCTGCTCCGAGTGCGGGGCCTGCCAAGTCCACGCCCACCCGGAACTCCAGCTGGCCCGCAAGCGCCACGCGCAGCCCGGGTTCCCGCTCGGGCCTCTCCCTCCACACCTCCCTGCAAGCTGAGGGAGCCGGCTCTGGCCTTGGCCAGCCCAGAAAGGGGCTCCCACAGTGCAGCGCTGGGCTGAAGGACTCCTCAAGTGCCGCCAAAGTGGGAGCCCAGGCAGAGGAGGCGCCGAGAGCGAGCGAGGGCTGTGAGGACTGCCAGCACGCTGTCACCTCTCAAGCTGACATCGGCAGCTGTGAGGACCCACCTGTTAGGTGAGGCCTTCACAAGCACTAGCATCTGTAGGGATCTTTACTTCCAATTCATTGGCAGTTACCACTACTGTGCCACAGAAAGAATCAAAGAGGGATCCAAAAGAATTAGCCAAAATTCGGCTGGGCATGGTGGCTCATGCCTATAATCCCAGCACTTTGGGAGGCTGAGGTGGGTAGATCATTTAAGGTCAAGAGTTCGAGACCAGCCTGGCCAACTTGGTGAAAACCCATCTCTACTAAAAATAGAAAAAATTAGCTGTGTGTGGTGGTGTGCACCTGTAATCCCAGCTACTCGGGAGGCTGAGGCAGGAGAATTGCTTGAACCCAGGAGACAGAGGTTGCAATGAGTTGAGATTGTGCCACTGCACTCCAGGCTGGGCCACAGAGCAAGACTCCGTCTCCAAAAAAAAAAAAAAAGAATTAGTCAGAATTCTTTCTTGAGAGCCATCCTTGTCAAGAAACCTGGATGTAGGAGGCTGTAGACTTGGATTCCAGGGTTAGCTCTGATGTTGGGATATTGTTGGATGCTACAGAAAACTGACTCAGTCTGGCTTAAACAAAGGGGAAATGTATTATTTTTCATAACTAGAAGTAGGGTGAGCTCTAGGCCCGGTCTGATCAATGGCTCAGCAATGTCATTCAGGACCCAGGGTACTTTCTGTCTCCCTACTCCTCCTCAATGTTGGTGTCATCCTAACACCAATGCTGCTGATTTTTCCTTATGGTTCCGAGATGATTCCTACTAAGGCTGCCAGTAGCAATCAGAGTTATAGGCTTCTCTTGTAACTACCAGCAGGCAGAACCTCTCCTATTATGGACTATAAATCCTTTGTTTCAGTCTGATCAGCTCAACTTAGGCCTCCAGCCTACACTCCTGGATCAATAACTGTCACCATGGGAATGTTGTGCTAATGGGCTCAGAACTGCCCTGTCTAATATGGAAGCTACTAGCCATATGTGGCTATTGAGCTTTTAAAATGTAGTCCGAATTAAGTTGTAAGTGTAAAATACTCCAAAAACTTCAGCTGGGCATGGTGGCTCATGCCTGTAATCCCAGCACTTTGGGAGGCCGAGGGGGGCTTGAGCCGAGGAGTTTGAGACCAGCCTGGCCAACATGGTGAAACCATGTCTCTACTAAAAACATAAAAATTAGCCGGGTGTGGTGGTACACGTCTGTAGTCCCAGCTACTCAGGAGGCTGAGGCAGGATAATTGCTTGAACCCAGGAAACGGAGGTTGCAGTAACCCAGGAAACGGAGGTTGCAGTGAGCCAGGGGGGATCACGCCACTGCACTCCAGCCTGGGCGACAGAGCGAGACTTGGACTCAAATTAAAAAAGATAAAATTCCAAAAACTTCATAACATACACACACGTAAAATATCTATTTAATGTTTTTTTTCTTTTAAAAATTAGTTTTATTTTTATTTTTTACTTAGAAATAAGGTCTTGCTATGTTGGCTAGGCTGGTCTCCAACTCCTGAATTCAAGTGATGCTCCTGCCTCGGCCTCCCAAGTGCTGGGATTATAGAAGTGAGCCACTGTACCCAACTTATTTATTTATTTTTATATTGATTACATGCTGAAGGCTAGGTGTGCTGGCTCACGCCTGTAATCCCAGCACTTCAGGAGGCTGAGATAGGCAGATCGCTTGAGAACAGGAGTTCGAAACCAGCCTGGCCAACATGGTGAAACCCTGTCTCTACTAAAAATACAAAAATTAGCTGGGTGTAGTGGTTCATGTCTGTAATCCCAGCTACTCAGGAGGCAGGAGAATTGCTTGAACCCATGAGGCGGAGGTTACAGTGAGCTGAGATCGAACCACTACACTCCAGCCTGGGTGACAGAGCAAGAACCTGTCTCAAGGCCGGGCGTGGTGGCTCACGCCTGTAATCCCAGCACTTTGGGAGGCTGAGGCGGGCGGATCACAAGGTCAGGATATTGAGACCACCCTAGCTAACATGGTGAAACCCTGTCTCTATTAAAAACACAAAAAATTATCCGGGTGTGGTGGTGGGCACCTGTAGTCCCAGCTACTTGGGAGGCTGAGGCAGGAGAATGGTGTGAACCCGGGAAGCGGAGCTTGCAGTGAGCCAAGATCGCGCCACTGCACTCCAGCCTGGGCGACAGAGCAAGACTCCATCTCAAAAAAAAACAAAAAAAAAACAAACAAAACCAACAACAAAAACAACCATGTTGAAATAATATTTTTGATATATTGAGTTAAATAAAATTTATTATTAAAATTAATTTAACCTGTTTATTTTTTTTTTGGTCTTTTTTTTCTGTTTGTGGAGAATGGGGCCTTGCTATATTGCCCAGGCAGGTCTCAAACCCTTGAGCTCAAGCTATCCTCCCACCTCTGCCTCCCTAAGTGTTGAAATTACAGGCACGACCCATTGTGTTTGGCTATTTTTAATTTTTTTATTTTATTTCATGTTGCAGGAAGTCAGGGACCCTGAACAGAGGGACCGGCTGAAGCCATGGCAGAAGAACATGGATTGTGCAGATTTCATGGACATTTATTAGTTCCCCAAGTTAATACTTTTATAATTTCTTATGCCTGTCTTTACTGCAATCTCTAAACATAAATTGTGAAGATTTCATGGACACTTATCACTTCCCCAATCAAATACCCTTGTGATTTCCTATGCCTGTCTTTACTTTAATCTCTTAATCCTGTCATCTCGTAAGCTGAGGAGGATGTATGTCCCCTCAGGACACTGTGATGATTGCGTTAACTGCACAAATTGTAGAGCATGTGTGTTTGAACAATATGAAATCTGAGCACCTTGAAAAAGAACAGGATAATAGCAATGTTCAGGGAACAAGAGAGATAACCTTAAACTCTGACCGCTGGTGAGCCAGGCAGAACAGAGCCATATTTCTCTTCTTTCAAAAGCAAATGGGAGAAATATTGCTGAGTTCTTTTTCTCAGCAAGGAACATCCCTGAGAAAGAGAATGTGCCCCTGAGGGTAGGCCTCTAAAATGGCCCCCTTGGGTGTGGCCATCTTCTATGGTAGAAACTGTAGGAATGAAATAAGCCCCAGTCTCCCATAGCGCTCCCAGGCTTATTAGGATGAGGAAATTCCTGCCTAATAAATTTTTGGTCAGACCGGTTGTCTGCTCTCAAACCTTGTCTCCTGATAAGATGTTATCAATGACAATGGTGCCTGAAACTTCATTAGCAATTTTAATTTCGCCCAGGTCCTGTGGTCCTGTGATCTCGCCCTGCCTCCATTTGCCTTGTGATATTCTATTACCTTGTGAAGCATGTGATCTCTGTGACCCACACCCTATTCATACACTCCCTCCCCTTTTGAAAATCACTAATAAAAACTTGCTGATTTTACAGCTTGCAGGGCATCACGGAACCTACCAACATGTGATGTCTCCCCCGGACACCCAGCTTTAAAATTTCTCTCTTTTGTACTCTGTCCCTTTATTTTTCAACCCGGCCGATGCTTAGGGAAAATAGAAAAGAACCTACGTGACTACTGGGGGCAGGTTCCCCGATAATTTCATTTTCTTTTTTTTTTTTGAGATGGAGTCTCACTCTATTGCCCAGGCTGGAGTAAAGTGGCATGATCTTGGCTCACTGCAACCTCTGCCTCCTGGGTTCAAGTGATTCTCCTGCCTCAGCCTCCCCAGTAACTAGGATTACAAGTGTGAGCCACCATGCCTGGCTAATTTTTGTATTTTTAGTAGAGACGGGGTTTCACCATGTTGGTCAGGCTGGTTTTGAACTTCTGACCTCAGGTGATCCACCCACTTCAGCCTCCCAAAGTGCTGGGATTACAGGTGTGAGCCACCTTGCCCAGCCTATTTTTTATTTTTTTGAGACAGAGTCTCTCTGTGTCGCCCAGGCTGGAGTGCAGTGGTGCCATCTTGCCTCACTGCAACCTCCACCTCCCGGGTTCAAGCGATTCTCATGCCTCAGCCACCCAAGTTGCTGGGATTACAGGCGTGAGCCACCATACCTGGGCTATTTTTAATTTTTTAATGTGGCTACTAGAAAATTTTAAATTACAGGCTGGGTGTGGTGGCTGATGCCTGTAATCCCAGCACTTTGGGAGGCCAAGACGGGCAGATCACTCTGAGGTCAGGAGTTTGAGACCAGCCTGGCCAACATGGCGAAACCCCATCTCTACTAAAAATACAAAAATTCTCTGGGCTTGGTGGCATGCGCCTGTAATCCCAGCTATTTGGGAGGCTGAGACAGGAGAATCGCTTGAACCTGGGAGGCAGAGGTTGCAGTATGAGCCGAGATTGCACCACTGTACTCTAGCCTCGGTGACAGAGCGAGACTCTGTCTCAAAATAAATAAATAAAATAAAATAAAATTACATTTGTAAGTTGATTTCTGTTTCTGTTTGATAGCACTGGCTCAGACAAATCAGGATCTATTTCCAGAAATGGAGAGGGATAAATTCCTGAACAAAATCATGTTTTTTTGTTTGTTTGTTTTTAAGAAGGAGGAAGTATTTTCTTTTTGAAATAATGCATTATATTTCTCTACAGATATTTAACAGAGAGGATGGATGGAGGGCAAACAATGAGAGACTATACATTCACTGAGAACTATTTATGTGCAAATGTGCTGTGCTCAGTGTTGTGGGGAAAAGAAATTGCTGACCACGTAGGGAAGATAAGATATGTAGGCATGTGAGTGGTGAAGACAAAGGCTGTAGAATTTCAGACTTCAGAGATATTCTGTCTTGTGTGACAATGAATGCTAGCTTGATCTGGGCCTTGAAGGTAGATGGGGTTTCAATAAAAGAAGTCAGGTGGAGAGAGATGGCTTGGGAGGCATTCTAGGTGGAGAGAAAAGCACAGAGAAAATGCTGAGGCAGGAAAGCATAAACTGAATTTTAGTTTAGCCGAAGCTGAGTGCTAGAGAGAAAGAAGACTGGGTCACACTGCTAAAGGCCTCACAGAACCAAGTTGAATCTTAGTGGTAGCTTTATTATGGGATGCCCGAAGGGAGCATTTATTAGAGGCATAGGCAGCAGTAAAACACATCTTAATGTACTTTAGCAAAGGAGCTTAATTAAGCCAGGTTGTACCTCTCCTATGGCTCTTAGGAAGCATTCACAGGTCAGATCGGCATAATTTAGTGCTTGGAGCATGGTTCTAATCCCACCTGTGCAATTTTACGAGTTTTGAGATTTTGGGCAATTTATTTAACCTCTCTTTGCCTCAGTTTCCCTACCTGTAAAAATGGAAATGAAGGCCAGGTGAGGTGGCTCATGCCTGTAATCCCAGCACTTTGGGAGGCTGAGGCAGGCGGATCATTTGAGGTCAGGAGTTCAAGGCCAGTCTGGCCAACATGGTGAAACCTTGTCTCTACTAAAAATACAAAAATTAGCTGAGCGTGGTAGTGCGTGCCACTTGGGATGCTGAGGCAGGAGAATCGCTTGAACCTGGGAGGTGGAGGTTGCCATGGGCCAAGATTGCGCCACAGCACTCCAGCCTGGGTGACAGAGTGAGACTCCGTCTCAAAAAAAAAAAAAAAAAAGGGAATGATAATAGTAGTACCTACTTCATAGAGTTGTGAGAATTAACTGAATTAACATATGTAAGAGTAAGACTACACAGTGTCTGCACATACAGTACCTACTATAAGAGTTTGTTTAAAAAAATTTGGTTTGCTATTGCTAACTACACATAGGCAGCTAGGAAGCCACAGTCAGGAAAAAAAATCTTTTTCCCCCAAATCTGTATCTATGTAAGTAATAACTCTATGTGTATAAAGATAATGCACAGAGAGAATCCTGTGGGAAGAAATACCACTGTTAGGTCAGTCTGGCTAGTTCTACGTCCCCTGCAGCACTTGCTAACCCTGCTTTGCTGATGTCAACAGAAATTGTTGCGTGCGTTTACAGATAAATCTCCAAGTATTTAAGAAAAGTGGAGCAAAATACACTTACTAGGTCTAAGCATTTTTAACAAAACAGGATATTTTTCAAAGTGTAGTGCTGAATTAGGCTGTCTTTTTTTTTTTCCTTTTTTTTTTTTTTTGAGACAGAGTCTTGCTCTGTCACCCAGGCTGGAGTGCAATGGCGTGGTGTCGGCTCACTGCAACCTTTGCCTCCGGGTTCAAGCAATTCTTCTGCCTCAGCCTCCCCAGTAGCTGGGATTAAAGGTGACTGCCACCACGCCTGGCTAATTTTGGAATTCTTAGTAGAGATGGGGTTTCACCATCTTGGCCAGGATGGTCTTGATCTCTTGACCTCATGATCCACCCACCTTGGCATCCTAAAGTTTAGGATTACAGGCGTGAGCCACTGCACCTGGCAGGAAGGAAGATTTAGAGGGCAACTTGTCAATTTGGATGGCATCCTGGGCTGTGGGGCTGGCAGGAAGCTGTCCTGGACAGGGCACAGAGTGGCCAGGACAATAGGGAGGAGAGGCACCGGCTGGGGGGATTTGCCAGAGGCGGTGCCTCCCTTCCCCAGCAGGGCATGTGCTCCAGATCTTGTGCCACTTGACATGCAGAGCCTGGGTGCAACCTGCAGAAACCATGTGGGCTGTGCCCCAGCCTTGGGGTGGGTGTGGACCTGGTCTCCCTGGGGATACTGGAAGGGCCTCTGGGAGATATTTAGGGCGCAGCCTGGACATCTATACCATGCACTGGCAAACATACAAACAACAAAAAAACAGGGTATTCTATATATTCTATTGATTTTTAAATGTTGGCTGCAGCTGCTACATTCCTCGAGAGTAACTGAGTCCCACACAAGAAACCCTAAGCTCAACAGATTCTCTATTAGATGATTGCATTTTTTCAGAAACAATCTCCTAACCACCAGGCCTCTGGCCAATTTCTTTTCTGAGTTCCTGTTCCTGCCAGAAAGGGCAAATTCATTATCCTGTGAGGTCCAAGCTGGCCTCTTGGAGGTACAGCAAAGACTTTTACCCTTGGCCTGGAAGCAAAGGCTAGCCATGTGGCGCCCTTGGGCTTTTTTTTTTTTTTTCTAGAAAGTTTTCTGGTGAGTTAAAAAAACGTGCTCAGAGTCCTACCCACCCCCACCCCCATCCCCAGCCCAGGCGAGTTGATGTGTGGATTCCTGGCATTTGTTATTTGCTGCCCAAATGACCCTGGCCTCTGGGAATGAGGCCCCGGACCTTTGCTTTTATGTCCCAGAGCTCCTGTGAGTTTTACAAAATTATCATAATTATATTTCAATCTTAAGAGCTAGTTCTGCATTTTAGGCTAAAAAGCAAGAAATGAGGGACAAGAAAGTCACTTTTTGCCTAGTGTCCCTGCTGCCCCCAGCGGTCAGCAGCCTCTGACGCTGAGGGTGTAGACCCGGGTTCTGAGGCCCCAGTGTGACTTTCCATTGTTCGCGAGGCCCTCACCCGCTGCGCCGCCCGGGCTGAGTCATTCTAAATTCCTTTCTTTGTGTTTTCTCTCTGCAGTCACGCAGAAATAGTTGCTCCACTAGTCATCTTCTTTCCTTAAACCAAAAAGAAAGAAAAAAAAATCTAGCCTTTGATAGTTCTTATTCACGAATCAGCTAAAATATGAGTCAAACACAAGTTTCCTGAGAGCTATAAATATTTGCTGCACCCCACCCTACTGGGAAATACCCACAGTCCGTGTTTCGCCACCGAGTGGCTCAAATCTGGAGGATTTCTTTGGTGTCCGGGGTAAAACGATCCCTGCTGTGAGTGGTTTTTAGGGCAGTGAATCTGTAATGTATTCCAAGCTTCTGAAGACAGGGTGTGTGTGTGTGTGTGTGTGTGTGCGTGTGCGTGTGTGTTTATGCTGTAACAATCGGTTCTTTAAAACGTATTTTTTAAAATACAAAGTCCTTATGGTGAAAGTTATGGACATTGACACTGGGATAAGAGAGTGGAGAAAGTAGTGAGCTGAATGGCATCCTTCAGGAGTGTCAGTGTTTTGTTTTTTGGTGTTTTTATTGGCAAGTAAATATGGGTCATTTGGCATGGCCAGTGGGCTGACATGAATATCAACAAGGGCCACTTTGTAGGCCACAGAAGCCACCTTATCATCCAGTCTGAGGTGTAAAGTTTGAGGGTGGATTGGGGAGGGTCACTCCAGCCTGAAGCCCAAGAGCCAGAAACCCTAGATTTGGGGTTCTAAAGTCAGGCGGAAGTTTTGGGGCTGACCTTGAGTTTTTGTATTTGTTTTTTACAATGCATTCTTTTTCTGATTGTTATTATTATTTTTAATGACCCAAAGCAATCTATAGCAATGCAATTGCTATAAAAATACCAATGACATTCTTCACAGAAATAGAAAAAAAATCCCTAAAATTAATATGGAACCATAAAGACCCCAACTAGCCAAAGCTATACTGAGCAAAATGAACAAAGCTGGAGGTATTACACTACCTGATTCAAAATATACTACAAAGTGATAGTAACTGAAACAGCATGGTATTGGTATAAAAACAGACACCGACCAATGGAACAGAATAGAGAACCCAGAAATAAATCCATGCATTTACAGCCAACATTTTTTTATAAAGGCACCGTGGACATACACCAGGAAAAGGATGCCTCCTTCAATAAATGATGCTGGGAAAACTCGATATCCATATGCAGAAGAATGAAACTAGACCCCTCACCGTCTCTGGACACACTGCCTATGAGTTAGCCCTGCTCCTCACACAGCAGCAGGAAAAAAAAAAAAAGCAAATAGACCCCTATTTCTTACCATATACTAAAATCAACTAGTCTGGGTGTGGTGGCTTATGCCTGTAATCTGAGCACTTTGAGAGGCTGAGGCAGGTGGATCACCTGAGCCCAGGAGTTTGAGACCAGCTTGGCCAACATGGCAAAACCCCGTCTCTACTAAAAATACAAAAATTAGCCAGGCATGGTGGCATGTGCCTGTAGTCCCAGCTACTCAGGAGGCTGAAGTACGAGAATCACTTGAACCCAGGAGGTGGAGGCTGCAATGAGTCAAGATCACACCACTGCACTCCAGTCTGGGCAACAGAGTGAGACCCTGTCTCAAAAAAAAAAAAAAAAAAAAAAAGAATAAAACACCTGTACGTGAATGTTCTAGCAGTGTTATTCATAACTGCCAAAAAATAGAAACATCAACTAATGAAAAAACAAATAAATAATAATATATCCATTCAATGGAATATTATTTGGCAATAAAAAAGGAATGAAATACAGATACATGCTACCAGAGGATGAACCTAGAAAACAGGCTAAGAGAAATAAGCCAGTCATAACAGATCACATATTCTATAAGAAATGTCCAGAATAGTCATATCTGTAGAGACGGAAAGTAGGTTAGTGGTTGACTGGTACTGGGAAAAGAGAGGGAATGAAGAGTGACTGTGAATGGATATGAGGTTTCTTTACAGGGTGATGACGTGTTCTGTAATTAGACATTTAATAGTTGCACAACCCTGAATATACTAAAAAATCACTAAATTGTACACTTTTTTAAAAAAGAGATGGGGTCTTGCTATGTTTCCTAGGCTCAAGTAATCTTCCCTCTACAGCCTCCTGAGTAGCTGAGCCCTACAGGTGCACTCCATCATGCCCAGCTGACTTGTACACTTTTATTTTATTTATTTATTTATGAGATGGAGTCTTGCTGTGTTGCCCAGGCTAGAGTGCAGTGGTGCAATCTCAGCTCACTGCAACCTCCACCTCCTGGGTTCAAGTGATTCTCCCGTCGCAGCCTCCCGAGTAGCTGGGATTACAGGCATGTGCCACCACGCCTCGCTAATTTTGTATTTTTAGTAGAGACCGGGTTTCACCATCTTGGCCAGGCTGGTTTCAAACTCCTGACCTCAGGTGATCTGCCTGCCTCGGCCTCCCAAAGTGCTGGGATTTCAGGCCTGAGCCACCGCGCCTGGCCTACTCAACATTTTTGAGGTCTCTATATGGTCCTGAATTATATTATTCCATAATAAACATCCACCAGATTTAACTTATATTTCCCTAATCATGGACACCTGGGTTGCCTCCAACTCTGTCACAATAAACAGTGTGGAGTATACGCTTTCTTAGGGACTTCAGCAAATCACTCTGGGACATATACCCAGATGTGGGGCATATATACAGGGCCAAAGGACACATTTTTATTTAATTCAAATACAAACATTTTGCTTTCTGGAATGGGTTTGCCAGTTTATATCCCACACTCACTCCCTTTGTGGACAAGAATTTTTGTCTTCCCACATCCTTTGCCAACACTTAGCATCAGGTTTTATAATTTTTTTTTTTAGATGGAATTTCGCTCCTGTTGCCCAGGCTGGAGTGCAATGGCGTGATACTGGCTTACTGCAACCTCCGCCTCCTGGGTTCAAGCGATTCACCTGCCTCAGCCTCCCTAGTAGCTGGGATTACAGGCGACCACCACTACACCCAGCTTTTTTTTTTTTTTTCTGGTATTTTTAGTAGAGACAGGTTTTGCCGTATTGGCCAGGCTGAGTCTCGAGCTCCTGACCTCAGGTGATCGCCTGCCTCGGCCTTCCAAAGTGCTGGATTACAGGCGTGAGCCACCATGCCCAGCCATATTTTCTAATTTTTGCCAATCTGATGGATCTAAAGTAATATTTCATTATAGTTTAGTGTGCATTTCTTTTCTCCTTTCCTTTCCTTTTCTTTTTTATTTTTTGAGACGGAGTTTTGTTCTTGTAGCCCAGGCTGGAGTGCAGTGGCGCCACCTCGGCTCACTGCAACCTCCGTCTCCCGGGTTCAAGCAATTCTCCTGACTCAGCCTCCCTAGTAGCTGGGATTACAGGCGCCCACCACTACGCCCGGCTAATTTTTGTATTTTTAGTAGAGACAGGGTTTCACCATGTTGGCCAGGCTGGGTTCGAACTCCTGACCTCAGGTGATCCACCTGCCTTGGCCTCCCTAAGTGCTGGGATTACAGGCGTGAGCCACTGTGTCTGGCCTTCTTTTTTTTTTTTTTCTTTACACATTTTTTCTTTCTTTTCTTTGTTTTATTTTATTGTTTTATAGAGGAGAGGGTCTCACTATGTTGCCCAGGCTGGTCTTGAACTCCGAGGCTTAAGTGTCAGCCTCCCAAAATGCTAGGATTGCAGATGTTACAGATGGGAGCCACCACACCCAGCCTGAAATATCTTCTTAGTGTTAAAAAAAAAAAAAAAAAGAGAGAAGTGCATTATAATAGATATTGTAGGCCGGGCGCAGTGGCTCACGTCTGTAATCCCAGCACTTTGAGAGGCCGAGGTGGATGGATCATGAGTTCAGGAGTTGAAGAATAACCTGGCCAAGATGGTGAAACCCGGTCTCTACTAAAAATACAGGCTGGGCTCGGTGGCTTACGCCTGTAATCCCAGCACTTTGGGAGGCCGAGGCGGGTGGATTACGAGGTCAGGAGATCGAGACCATCCTGGCTAACACGGTGAAACCCCGTCTCTACTAAAAATACAAAAAAATTAGCCAGGCGTGGTGGTGGGCACCTGTAGTCCCAGCTACTCGGGAGGCTGAGGCAGGAGAATGGCATGAACCCGGGAGACGGAGCTTGCAGTGAGCCGAGATGGCACCACTGCACTCCAGCCTGGGCAACAGAGCAAGACTCTGTCTCAAAAAAAAGAAAAATAAATAAATAAATAAAAATACAAAAAAATTAGCAAGGTATGGTGGTGGGCGCCTGTAATCCCAGATATTGGGGAGGCTGAGGCAGAGAATTGCTTGAACCCAGGAGGCCAAGGTTGCAGTGAGCTGAGATCGTGCCACTGCATTCCAGCCTGGGTGACAGAGCAAGACTCTGTCTCAAAAAAAAAAAAAAATTAGATCTTATATGGGTGATTTATTCAATATACAGACTTGAATTTCCTCTAACAGCATTCATTACTTCATACAAAACAGTTCTTTTTTTTTTTTTTTTTTTTTTCTGAGATGGAGTCTTGCTCTATTGCCCAGGCTGGAATACGGTGGTATCATCTCGGCTCCCTGCAACCTCCACCTCCCGAGTTCAAGTGATTCTCCTGCCTCAGCCTCCTGAGTAGCTAGGACTACAGGCTCACGCCACCATGCCCAGCTAATTTTTGTATTTTTAGTAGAGACGGGGTTTCACTATGTTGGTCTGGCTGATCTCAAACTCCTGATCTTAATGATTCTCCCGCCTTGGTCTCCCAAAGTGCTGGGACTATAAGCATGAGCCACCATGCCCAGCCCAAAACAATTCTTAAGCATTAAAAAGATCAGACTCTTTATCCTTTCCAGATCACTTTTAATATCAACAAAACTTCTGGGGAAAGTTCAAGTTTCAGACTGTAGAGTGAAGGCTATAAAACGTGCTTAACACAAGGGGCTATTTGTAGTGCTCTAAAGCATGATTGGGACCAGGATGCACACTTGATCGGAGAGGTGATAACACTGTTGGACATGTTAGCGTATTTCAGTTGTTTCTGACAGTGAGAGTGCTTAAGAAAAAGATTTAATACAATATATATGTATAATCCTACCCCTCTACCAAAGTCTAGACGATTATGGACTGAGAATGTGTATGAGGAAACTGATAGTTTCAATAGTTTTTTAGCTCAGTTGGGCAAAAGTGGCTTCTCACTCAAGCACAGGACTGGCAGTGATGTAACACTTCTAAGTTTCCGCCTCCCCCAACATCAAGATAAAGTGAAAGTAAACAGGCACTTGGAAAATTACTAGTGTTCTTCCTCCTCCAGGCACATAAGAAAAGGGGGCAGAAAATTCCTTACATTTCATTTCTTTTCAGTATTGCTTATGCTCACAGCTTTCCTTTGCACAGCTCCTAGAAATAATTTTCTATATTATCCTTTGAGAGTAAAAACTTTTATAATTGGCTTTTCTGCTTATGGTTGCTCTAAAAGGCAGAGGCATCTGAAAAGGCTTTGTGATCCATCTTAATTTACATGTCTATGAGAAAGATAATTTATTCTTTAACTGAAATTAAACATTTACCCCATGTCTCTTCTTCTGAGGCAGTAACATGCTTTTACTGAGAGGAACCAGGCCATTTCCTATAGTGGTCTTCCTGCCTTCACATTTAAATGTTACATCAGTCTTTTTCTGTTTGGGGGAATTTCTCTCTCTCTCTTTTCTTTTTTGTGAGACAGCGTCTGGCTCTGTCACCCAGGCTGGAGGGCAGTGGTATGATCTTGGCTCACTGAAGCCTTGACCACTTGGGCTCAAGCTATCCTCCCACCTCAACCTCCTGAGTAGCTGAGACCACAGGCATGCACCACCATGGCTGGCTTTTTTGTTTGTTTGTTTTGTTTTTGTGATAGCTTTGGTCCCAATATTTGGGGGAATTTTATTTTGAACATCCAGAGGGGAGATAAGATAATCTACTCTGCAACAAAGTCTAAACTCAGATATCTCTATTTCTGATTTCCTGAAAACGAAACAAAGGCTGAAGTAAGAAAGACATTACCATGGCTAATACAAACTGCTGTCTTCAGCGTTTGTCTCAAGTTCTTTCATAAACTGGACTCTCAAGGTCAGTTGGCACGCTTCTTCCCCATTGGATTTGCTTGTTGGGTGGATAATAATGCTTTTACATGAGAGGTTTTGAAGGCTGGAGCTTATAAACAAAAACGCTTGATAAATAAAAATGTGAGCTGCAGGAGAAAAGGGACTTGGCTTATTTCTTTTTTTTTTTCCACTTCCATGTCGTCGTGCAAAAAGCAATGCCTGGTACATAGTGGATGCTCAGTAAATACTTGTTGAATAACTGGGAGAAGTATTTTGCATATACAAAACTAAGCTACTCTCAAATACTTTCAAAACTATTTGCTAATAATTACCATTTATAACTTATTTTGATGTTAGCATATTTATTCATTAAAAGCTTGCACTACTGTTGACCTGGAGCCTTATTGAAAAAAAAAATTGAAAAGCAGTCGGCACATTTATTTAATTTTTTGGGTCAGCAGAAAACATATGAAAAAAACAATATATGAGATCAAAAATTTCTATTTATTGGCCAGGTGCTGTGGCTCACGCCTGTAATCCCAGCACTTTGGGAGGCCTTTGTGGGCGGATCACATGAGGTCAGGAGTTCGAGACCAGCCTGGCCAACATGGTAAGCCTCGTCTCAACTAAAAATACAAAAAGTAGCCGGGCATGGTGGCAGGCACCTGTAATCCCAGCTATTTGGGAAGCTGAAGCAGGAGAATCTCTTGAACCCGGGAGGTGGAGGTTGCAGTGAGCCAAGATCGTGCCACTGCACTCCAGTATGGGCAACAAAAGCGAAACTCCATCTCAAAAAAAAAATTATGTATTTATTTATTATTTTTTGAGACAGGGTCTTGCTCTGTTGCCCAGGCTGGAGTGGCTTGGTGTGAACATGGCTCACTGTGGCCTCAACCTCCTGGGCTCAAGTGATCCTCCCACCTCAGCCTCCTGAGTAGCTGGGACCACAGGTCTGTGCCAGCACACCTGGCTAAGTTTTTAGAAAATTTTTTGTAGAGATGGGGTCTTGCCTTGTTGTGCAGTCTGGTATTGAATTCCTGGGCTCAAGCAATCCTCCTGCCCTCAGCCTCATAAAGTGTTGGGATAACAGGTGTGAGCCTTTGTGCCTGGTCAAAAATATCAATTTTTAGTCTATTTAACTAAAGGGTTGTTATTTAATAAGCATCCTAAGTGAACTAAGCACATGTTGTTATGAGTGAGACCATGCTGAGATGAATGGAATGAACCCTGCCTTCAAGATGTTTGTGATGAATCTATTCCTGGGACAGACACAGACATGTGTTCATTAAGTATTATAAAGAAAGAGGGCCGGGTGCAGTGGCTCACGGGAGGCTGAGGCTGGCGGATTGCCTGAGCTCAGGGGTTCGAGGCCAGCCTGGGCAACAGGCTCTACTAAAAATTTAGTATTTTAGTCTCTACTAAAAATACAAAAAATTAGCTGGATGTGGCGGCATGGACCTGTGGTCCCAGCTATTCGGGAGGCTGAGGCAGGAGAATTTCTTGAACCTGGGAGGCAGAGGTTGCAGTGAGTGGAGATTATACCACTGCACTACAGCCTGGGCAACAGAGCAAGACTCTGTCTCCAAAAAAAAAAAAAAGGAGGAAGGGGATCAAGGAGTCAAGGAGTCAGAAGGAGCTCCAGGGAGGGAAAGGGCTGTGTCAGATGCATCTTTGTATCCTTGTTGCCTAGCAAAGGGTAGATACTTAGTATTCGCTGAATGAATGAAGAAATTCTCTCTTCCACATAATTGAGCCTAAATCCTTGAGTTTAAAATAAAGGGAAACCCCAAAATAAATAAATAATGTGGCACTTTAGTAGGTTAAAGGGAGACACCACATCTAGATCAGGGAGGGTGGAAGAAATTAGGGGTCATGAAGGAGGTGGCAAGGTTGAGGAGAGACCTTCCAGACCCAGGGAAGGAAATTAATAAAGGTATGAAGAGGAAAGGGAAGATGGAGAGAAGGCATGGGGAAGTGAAGCAGCCAGATCGCTGCAACAAGGCATGGCTCCCACCATAAGATAAGGGTAGGGTAGGCTGAACCTAAGGGTGAGGAGGGCACAGCTGCTGGGTGGGAGAGTTTACTGGGTAGGCCCAGGGAAGCCATGGGGCTCACCATAGGGGAGCACCTTAATCAGAGAGATTAGTTGTATTGGGACAATGAACTCAACACTGGTGGGAAGCTGGGATAGAAGAGGGCAAGACTAAAGGCAGTGATACCACTTAACTTTTCTACTCTAGGTGTAAACAAAAGCCACTAGACTCTTACTTAGGAGATGAGAGTGGGTTTTTTTTTTGTTGTTTTTTTTTTTGAGAAAGACTCTCGCTCTGTCACTCAGTCTGGAGTGCAGTGAGATCTCAGCTCACTGCAGCCTCGATCTCCTGGGCTCAAGTGATTCTCTCAACTCAGCCTCCTGAATAACTGGGGCTACAGGTATGCACCACCATGCCCGGCCAATTTTTTGTATTTTTTGTAGAGACCAGGTTTCACCATGTTGCCCAAGCTGGTCTCAAACTCCCGGGCTCAAGCCATCTATCCACCTTGACCTTCCAAAGTACTGGGATTTCAGGTGTGAGGCACTGTGCCTGGCCTGGAAGAAGGATTAAGAAAAAAAAAATTCCAGGCCGGACATGGTGGCTTACACCTGTAATCCCGGCACTTTGAAAGGCTGAGGCGGGAGGATCACTTGAACCCAGGAGACTAGACTGGACAACATAGTGAAACCCCATCTCTACAAAATACAAAAATTAGCTGGGCATGGTGGTGCAGACCTTTAGTACCAGCTAGTCTGGAGGCTGAAGTGGGAGGATCTCTTGAGCCTGTGGGGTAGAGGCTGCAGTGAGCTGTGATCATGCCACGCCCCCCAGCCTGGGTGACAGAGTGATACTCTGTTTCAAAACAAACAAAAAATTCCAGAGACATGAAAAAACTGAAATGGAAGAGCCAGGTGTTTTTTTTTTTTGTTTTTGTTTTTTGACGGGGTCCCCTTCTGTCGCCCAGGCTGGAGGGCAGTGGTGCGATCTCGGCTTACTGCAACCTCCATCTCCCGGGTGGAAGAGATTCTCCTGCCTCAGCCTCCCGAGTAGCTGGGAACTACAGGTCTGCACCACCATGTCCAGCTAATTTTTTGTATTTTGTAGGACTGAAGGCGGGTGCCACCATGCCCGGCTAATTTTTTTGTATTTTTAGTAGAGAAGGTGTTTCACCACGTTAGCCAGGCTGGTCTGGAACTCTTGACCTCAGGCAATCCACCCGCCTTGGCCTCCCAAAGTGCTGGGATTACAGGTGTGAGCCACCGTGCCCGGTCGGCAGGTGGTTGTTTTGGCACAGAGTAGGGGGTTTGGTGGGAGGCTAGGGAGGAGGAACAGAAATGACTTTGGGCCAAGCCTAAGTGACTGGGGAAATGTACTTTTAAGAGAAATATGAAGGTGGCAGGAACAGCCAGTTTTATTTAGAATGGGGGTGGGGGAGTGAGGTTGGATTTAAATAGTCTCAGGTGCAAGGAAGGATAGCCAGCTGGGGATGTCCAGCAGGTAGTTGAAAACCTAGCGGTGCCAGGCACGGTGGCTCACGCCTGTAATCCCAGCACTTTGGGAGGCCGAGGTGGGCGGATCACAAGGTCAGGAGATCGAGACCATCCTGGCTAACACAGTGAAACCCCGTCTCTACTAAAAATACAAAAAATTAGCCTAGCGTGGTGGTGGGCGCCTGTAGTCCCAGCTACTCGGGAGGCTGAGGCAGGAGAATGGCGTGAACCTGGGAGGCAGAGCTTGCAGTGAGCTGAGATCGCGCCACTGCACTCCAGCCTGCGCGACAGAGCGAGACTCCGTCTCAAAAAAAAAAAAAAAAAGAAAACCTAGCGGTGATTACACAACAGCTTGGGCAACAGGTCTTTTGTTTTTAAAACAATATATTTGGCCAGGCACGGCAATCCCAGCACTTTGGGAGGCTGAGGCGGGCAAATCACGAGGTCAGGAGTTCGTAGACCAGCCTGGCCAACATGGTGAAACCCCATCTCTACTAAAAATACAAAAATTAGCCAGGTATGGTGGCGCATGCCTTTAGTCCCAGCTACTCAGGAGGCTGAGGCAGGGGAATCGCTGAACCTGGGAGGTGGAGGTCGCAGTGAGCAGAGATCGCGCCACTGCACTCCAGCCTGGGCAACAGAGCAAGTGTCCGTCTGAAAATAAATAAATAAATGAAACAATATATTTATTTGAATAGGTCATACTGCCACATTTGGTAAAGTGAAAATTAATTGTCCTTCCTATCCCTAGTTGCTGATTTTATCTCTATAGAGGTAACCGTTGTTTGTGGAAAAATCTACTCAAACTGTGTTTTTTTTTTTTTGTTTTTTTTTTTTTTGTTTTTTTTGAGACTGAGATTCGCTCTTGTTGCCCAGGCTGGAGTGCAATTGCGTGATCTTGGCTCACCGCAACCTCTGCCTCCTGGGTTCAAGCGATTCTCCTGCCTCAGCCTCCCGTGTAGCTGGGATTACAGGCATGTGCCACCATGCCCGGCTAATTTTGTATTTTTTAGTAGAGACAGGGTTTCTCCATGTTGGTCAGGCTGGTCTCGAACTTCTGATCTCAGGTGATCTGCCTGCCTCAGCCTTCCAAAGTGCTGGGATTACAGGCGTGAGCCACCACGGCGGGCCAAATGTGTTTTTTTTCTTTTTCTTTTTCTTTTTTGAGACGGAGTCTCACTCTGTCGCTCAGGCTGGAGTGCAGTGGCGCGATCTCAGCGCACTGCAAGCTCCGCCTCCCGGCTTCATGCCATTCTCCTGCCTCAGCCTCCGGAGTAGCTGGGACTACAGGCACCTGCCACCATGCCTGGCTAATTTTTTTGTATTTTCAGTAGAGGTGGGGTTTCACCATGTTAGCCAGGATGGTTTCGATCTCCTGACCTCGTGATCCACCCGCCTCGGCCTCCCAAAGTGCTGGGATTACAGGCGTGAGCCACCGCGCCCGGCCCAAATGTGTTTTTTTCTTATCTCTCATTCAACAATAAACACAGAAGACTTCTGTGATTAAAAGGGTGTGGGTTTTTCCTCACACACCAACTAAGCAATCAGTTCTGCAACAGACACCGACTGGGTGTCTCCCAATTCAGTACTGACACTGTCTACCTGGAGGTAGCATCCGATTCCACAGGTTGAAGGCCCAGTCCCCAGGATTGCCCACCACTGGAGACACCAGTCCCAAGTCTAGGGTTCTGGAACTTGTGACCTGCTGGCTTCAAGTTGAGGTTTTCACAACTGCCTCTTTTGGTTCAATCGATTTGCTAGAGTGGTTCGAAGAACTCAGGGAAACACTTATGTTTATCATTTACTATAAAGGATATTACAAAGGACACAGATGAAGAGATGCACAGGGCAATGTCTGGGGAAAGGGATGAGGAACTTCCATGCCCTCTCTGGGCGTGCCACCCTCCAGGAACCTCCATGTGTTCAGCTATCAGTAGCCTCCCCAAACCCTGTCTTATTAGGCCTTTTATGGAGACTTCATTGGATAGTCATGATTAACAACCATGTAGAAATGTGATTGGACAGAAAGGGTGTGATCTAACACTAATAGACTCAGAGGGAAACCCACCAAGTCCTGTCCAGATTCTTCTTGGCCTCTCTGTGCAGCATTCCTTCCTCCAGGGTATGGAGAGGACCTCTTCTCAAACGTGGGCATGGGGTCTTATGACCTACAGTCCAACAAGGTAGGCCACATAATTTTTTTTTTTTTTTTTGAGACGGAGTCTCACTCTGTCACCCATGCTGGAGTGCAGTGGTGCAATCTCGGCTCACTGTAACCTTCACCTCCCGGGTTTAAGTGATTCTCCTGCCTCAGCCTCCCGAGTAGCTGGGACTACAGACGCCCGCCACCACGCCTGGCTCATTTTTGTATTTTTAGTAGGGACGGGGTTTCACCATATTGTCCAGGCTGGTCTCGAACTCCTGACCTTGTGATCCGCCCGCCTCAGCCTCCCAAAGTGCTGGGATTACAGGTGTGAGCCACCTCCCCAGCCACAGAATTTCTTTATGACCAGTTCCAAGACAGAAAGGTGGGGGAAGATTCCTGCCTTGGGAGAAAAAGCAGCAGGTGAAAGGAGGAGAGGAGAGGATCAGAAAGATTCTGTTTCCTGAGGCTACTTCTAAGGGCTAAAGGCGCTCAACATAACAAGAGCTACGGGAGTTATGAGCCTCGAACCATGGATGAAAATCTATATCTGTATCTATATCTATCTATAAAATCACACACTGTTTTCCAGTTTCTTGAGTATTATCTTAGAGATATTCTGTACACTTGTGATTTAATGTCTCCAGGAGACTTCTGTATTTTTATTTAAGGACTAGAGAAGACGTGTGTATCTCTGAGATAGAAGGAAAAGAATAAGGGGAGAGACTGAAGAAGTAAATGAAAGAGGAGCTCCTAACTGGGCGTGATAGCACATGCTGTGTAGTGCCAGCTACTTGGGAGGCTGAGGCAGGAGGATCGCTTGAGCTCAGCTTGGGCAACAAAGCAAGACCCTGTCTCAATTATTTAAAAAAAGAATTACTGAAGCAAGTCCTTAGAGGAGGTGGGAGAGAGAGAATCAGTGTAGTGTGGGCATATGCTATAGCAAGAAGGACTGACTCTATTCAGAGCTAGGAAGGGCAGGTTGATGGCAACAGAGATTTCTGATGCTGTATCCCTTAGGAGGCCCAAGTTCCTCGGCTTTGTGGTAGCAGAAATGTGTGTAGAGAAGACGATGGCTCGAGCAGGATGCAGAAAAGATGTCAAAGAGTCACTGTGGACACTAGGAAACATCACAGAACTGTCAGATCCAAAAATCAATTCACAAAGGTTTATTTTGATGATTTATAAAAGAAACATTGCCATAGCAATTTAAAGCTATTTACAAATTTAAAAATAAATGTACATAAATGTATTCACATCACATTAAACAGTTTTAAAATATTACACGTAGTGTTGAACACAAAACATAAACTAAGTTTTAAGCCACATAGGTGTTCTGAAAGCATGCTCAACAACCACAGCCACTGGAGGATGGTCCACTGGAAAAATATGATTTCAGGAACCAGAAGTAAAGATGATTACCCTAGTCTCAGGTGATGTGGCCTTTAAAAGTCACTTTAACTTTAAACTGCAACACAAACTTAGATGAAGACAGACTGAACAAACAGTGAGAATTAATTAAAAAAAAAATTCTCGTGTAGCTTAAAAACATAGAACAGGCTGGGCACAGTGGCTCATGCCTGTAGTCTCAACACTTTGTGAGGCCGAGACAGGAGGATCGCTTGAAGCCAGGAGTTCAAAACCAGCCTGGGCGACAAAACGAGACCCCATCTCTACAAAATACAAACGAACAAAACACAGCACATAGAAATTTATACTGTGATCCATGTGAGAGTAGATTTAAACCAGGATGATCTTATTTGTGATTGACTGGGCATCGCACTTTTCTTTCTTTATTCTTTTTTTTTTTTTGAGTTGGAGTCTCGCTCCATCGCCCAGGCTGGAGTGCAGTGGCGTGATCTTGGTTCACTGCAACTTCCACCTCCCAGGTTCAAGTGATTCTCCTACCTCAGCCTCCTGAGTATCTGGGATTACAGGCGCCCGTCACCACGCCCAGCTAATTTTTTGTATTTTTAGTAGAGATGGGGTTTCACCATGCTGGCCAGGCTGGTCTCGAACTCCTGATCTCATGATTCGCCCACCTCAGCCCCCCAAAGTGCTGGGATTACAGGCATGAGCCACCGTGCCCGGCCGCTTCGCATTTTTCTTTTGCAGGTTGCATGCCAGCCAATATTCCTCTGTGCTGGGAAGGGAAAGTTTGAGGATGTATCAAGACCATAGCAGTGGATCTCACTGCTCTTGCCTACTCAGGGCTTTATCTACACATTGATAGCCCCTCAGAGGAAAGGCACCAGCCGAAGAGTCGACACTGGCTCTGGGCTTGGATGCTGCCTCTGATAAACGCTGGGCACTCTGACCCTGAAGCCAGGGAGGGAGTGCTTGGCAGCTGCCTGGGCACACTCCCCTCAGTCCAGTTGCCAGGCGAAATTATACAGTGGATGGCAGCTCCACAGAGATGCTAAAGTTTGAGGTCTAAGTGTCAGAGAGAGCTGACAATTTTTATGAGGAAAGTGAACAACAACAGGTGTTTATCAGTACCTGAGAATTATCATCTAGTTTAATTAAGCAAAGGTATCAGGAGGTCTGTTTCAGCTCATTCCCTTTAGTATGGCCCTAAAAAATCAACAGAACTGTCCTACTTCATGTTGCCCGACTAGCAGGCAGGTATGTGAACCTAAAGTAGAAGTCCTAGCTTACATATTATTCATAATTAAACACAGTTCATTTTATTATTCTGGCAACTAGTGATATTTCATGATTATAGGCCTTAAAAATCTAATACAAGTACAATTAAAAAAAGACATAGAATGCTTACACAATACAGAAGGCACTTTGAGGTTACATGATAAATAAAAATACATTAATAGAGGCAGGATTATTTATTGGTTCCTTCAGTGTCTGTGTCCATGGTGATCATTGAGAGCCCAGTTTTGTACTTCACCTTTGGCGAATAGTGTAAAGAAAATGGCACCAAAAACATTAATAGCAGCAGCAATATAGAACACGGTTTGCCATTCTCCAACAGTGTTCTATAAAGGAAGACAAAAAATGCAAGTGAAATAAAATTTTGTGTGTAGTTCACTTCATTAAAAAGATAGTGTCACAAGAGTGTTAAAACAGCCACATTATTCATAAAAGCCTCATCCTTGAAACAACCCAAATGTCCACCAGCAGTAGGATAGTGGTATATTTGTTCAACGTAATACAATACAGCAATGAGAATGGGCTACAACATCATAAATACAGCTCACAAACAAAATATGAAGCAAAAGAAGCCAGACAAAAAAGGTACATACTAAATTATTCCATTTATATAAAGCCCAAAGTCAGACCATACTAATCTATGGGGTTAAAAGTTGGGAGAGTGGTTCCACTTGGTGAGGGTGAAGGAAAAATAGGAGGAAATGGTACCTGGGGTCTTACTGAGGGAGGTAATATTCTGTTTCTTGATTGGGTGCTGGTTACACAGATGTATTAACTTTGTGGAAATTCATCTAGCTGCACACTTTAGATTAGTGCATTTATTTATTTTTGTTTTTATTTTTGAGACAGAGTCTCACTCTGTCACCCGGGCTGGAGTGCAGTGGCGCAATCTCGGCTCACTGCAGCCTCCACTTTCTGGGCTGAGGCAATCCTCCCAACTCAGCCTTCCAAGGAGCTGGGATTAGAGGTGCATGCTACCATGCCTGGCTAATTTTCTTTGTGTGTGTATATATATGTATATATATACGTATATATATACATATACATATATATATATATACGTATATATATACATATACATATATATATATATTTTTGGTAGAGATGGGGTTTCGCCATGTTTCCCAGGCTGGTCTTGAACTCCTGGGCTCAAGTGATCCACTCGCCTCAGCCTCCCGCAGTGATGGTACTACAGGTGTGAGCCACCACGCCTGGCCTGGATTTGTGCATTTAAAAAAAGTTATACTTCAATAAAAAGTTTACTGAAGATAGATAGATATACTTCAATAAAAAGTGTACTGGCATGTCCCTGAATCATGCCTAACACTAACTAACACTAAGAAAGTCTTATGCCTGTGCACGGTCTCCTGGGTTCTCAGGTGAAAGGTGTCAGGTGGATCAAGTAAATACTGTTAAGATGAACTCAAGTTCAGCTTTGAGGATCTGTGACATCAGAGAGAGGCCTGGCAAGTATAAAAGATCTTGAATGGCATACAAAGCAGGATATAACATGGGATCTGTCAGTAAGACAACTGTTCAGTGTATAACCCTGTGGCATAAAAATATCAGACAGTTATCTAAATTTCTGGGTCATGTGACTACCTTTAACAACCATTTTTTGGATTTTTTCAATTTCAGTCTAACCAGAGTGGTGACTACATTTGCAGCATTAACTAAGAAACACACGGCCGGGCGTGGTGGATCACGCCTGTAATCCCAGCACTTTGGGAGGCCGAGGCGGGCGGATCATGAGGTCAGGAGATCGAGACCATCCTGGCTAACATGGTGAAACCCCGTCTTTACTAAAAAAATAAAAAATTAGCCGGGCGTGGTGGCTGGTGCCTGTAGTCCCAGCTACTCGGGAGGCTGAGGCAGGAGAATGGCGTGAACCTGGGAGGTGGAGCTTGCAGTGAGGCTGAGATCGCTCCACTGCACTCCAGCTTGGGCAACAGAGCAAGACTCCCTCTCAAAAACAAAACAAAACAAAACTGGTTGGGCGTGGTGGCTCATGCTTGTAATCCCAGCACTTTGGGAGGCTGAGGTGGGTGGATCACCCGAGGTCAGGAGTTCAAGACCAGCCTGGCCAACATGGCGAGACCCTGTCCCTACTAAAAATACAAAAATTAGCTGGGCGTGGTGGCAGGCTCCTGTAATCCCAGCTACTCGGGAGGCTGAGGCAGGAGAATTGCTTGAACCTGGGAGGCGGAGGTTGCAGTGAGCTGAGATCATGCCATTGCACTCCAGCCTGGGGAACAAGAGTGAAACTCCGTCTCAAAAATAAATAAATAAATAAACCAGGCCAGGCGTGGTGGCTTACGCCTGTAATCCTAGCACTTTGGGAGGCCATGGTGGGCGGATCACGAGGTCAGGAGATGGAGACTGTCCTGGCTAACAAGGTGAAACCCCGTCTCTACTAAAAAGACAAAAAATTAGCCAGGCGTGGTGGTGGGCACCTGTAATCCCAGCTACTTGGGAGGCTGAGGCAGGAGAATGGCGTGAACCCGGGAGGCGGAGTTTGCAGTGAGCCAAGATCGTGCCACTGCACTCCAGCCTGGGCAACAGAGTGAGACTCCGTCTCAAAAACAAAACAAAACAAAACAAAAAAAACCAAGCAGGCCAGGCATGGCGGCTCATGCCTGTAATCCCAGCACTTTGGGAGGCCGAGGTAGGTGGCTACCTTGAGCCCTGGAGTTTGAGACCAGCCTGGGCAAGGTGGTGAAACCCCATCTTTACAAGAAGTAGGAAAATTAGCTGGACATGGTAGTGTACATCTGTAGTCCCAGCTACTTGGGGGGCTGAGGTAGGAAGATCACCTGAGCCTGGGGAGGTTGAGGCTGCAGTGAGCCATGATTGCGCCACTGCACTCTAGCCTGGGCGATGGAGACCCTGTCTCAAAAAACAAAGAAACAAACAAACAAACAAAAAACCCAAACAAACAAGCAGTAGAACTAGCAATGAGGAAGTGAAAGAGAAGGCACTGGGAAGCCAGTATGAGGTCATTTATTTGGGAAAAAAGGAGAAACATGAAGAAAGAAACACCCTGTGGTGGCTATACTTGTCTGAGATGAGTGCATTTTAATGAAAAAAAATCTTAGATACTCATCTTAAATTCTGCTGAGGAATCAGTCAATAATTACATCTTATACCAGAAAGAAATGTTTGAAACAGCTTCTTAGGATTACTAAGACAAAGCTGCCCTGTGTGGTCTCTGGGACAAAATAATACTTCAGTGTTATCTGAAGGCAATGAGTGAACTTAAAATCAATCGTTGTACTACAAGTCTCACACAGCTCCTAGTTTGTTTTTTAACAAAAATTCCACCAGTTTTTAGAGAATACTGTTTTGTTTATAACAACATTGAACCTCAGACACACTTTGAATTTTAATTATTGCATTATTTATTTATATGCTGACTCATTCCACAAAGTTTTTGAGGCAGTGCTCAAAGTAAGAAATTACAGGCTGGGCGCGGTGGCTCATGCCTGATATCCCAGCACTTTGGGAGGCTGAGGCGGGTGGATCATTTGAGGTCAGAAGTTCGAGACCAGCCTGGCCAACATGGTGAAACCCCATCTGTACTAAAAATTCAAAAATTAGCCGGGTGTGGTGGCACGTGCCTGTAGTCCTAGCTACTTGGGAGGCTGAGGCAGGAGAATTGTTTGAACCTGGGAGGCGGAGGTTGCAGTGAGCTGAGATCACGCCACTGCCCTCCAACCTGGGGGACGAGTGAGACTTCATCTCAAAAAGAAGAAAGAAATTACAATTGTGAAGGTAAGTGTGTGCTTTTCCTTTTTAAAAATAATATACTTTAGAGTTTTATTTGGCCGGGTGCAGTGGCTCACTCCTGTAATCCCAGCACTTTGGGAGGCCGAGATGGGCGGATCACCTGAGTTCCAAACCAGCCTGACCAACATGGAGAAGCTCCGTCTCTATTAAAAATACAAAATTAGCTGGGCGTGGTGGCACATGCCTGTAATCCCAGCTATTCGGGAGGCTGAGGCAGGAAAATCGCCGGAACCCGGGAGGCAAAGGTTGTGGTGAGCTGAGATTGCGCCATTGTACTCCAGCCTGGGCAACAAGAGCGAAACTCCGTCTCAAAAAAAAAAACCAAAAAACACACACACACACAAACAAAAAACAAAAATTAGCAGGGCATGGTGGTGAGTGCCTGTAGTTCCAGCTACCTGGGAGGCTGAGGCAGGAGAATCGCTTGAACTTGGGAGGCAGAGGTTGCAGTGAGCTGAGACTGCACCACTGTACTCCAGACTGGGCAACGGAGTGCGAAACTTATTTTATTTTGTTTATTTTTTTATTTTTATTTTTTATTTATTTTATTTTTTTGAGACAGGGTCTCCCGCTCTCACCCAGGCTGGAGTGCAGAGGCATGATCATAGCTCACTGCAGCCTCAAAACCCTGGGCTTATGCATCCACCTGCCTCAGCCTCCTAAGTAGCTGGGACTACAGGTACAAACCACACCCAGCTAAAACAGTGATATCCTTTTAATAGCATTAAACAAATGCTGTAACATATCCCAAATCAAGCGCAGTTCCCACTTGTAAACATACAAGACTGTAATTCAGGAATCCATATTTCCCTAGCAGAAGTGCTGGCATTATCAGTAAGTGAAATGAACACATGGTAGTGAGCTGACTTAGGTTCTGGTGTTGCCACCCTGCTCCATGAGGACAAGGTTAAACATTTTGGACATGTCCATATTGAGACACAGAACTTTAGAAAAAGCATTTCTACAACATTCCTTTTTATTAAGTGAGAGGAAATAGTAACAGGTACCGTGTCACTTAAGGAATTAGAAATGGTAGATGTGGAGAAGAAGTAGGAACACTATCTGTCGGATATATGTCTGAAATCAGTATATTTGGTAATAAGAAAGTCTGTAAGTATGTCCTGAAATTCTTTTTTTTTTTTTGAGACGGAGTCTTGCTCTGTTGCCAGACTGGAGTGCAGTGGTGATGTTGGCTTACTGCAACCTCCGCCTCCTGGGTTTGAGCGATTCTTGTGCCTCAGCCTCCTGAGTAGCTGGGACTACAGGCACCTGCCACCACACCGGCTAATTTTTGTATTTTTAGTAGAGACGGGGTTTCACCATGTTGGTGAGGCTGGTATTGAACTCCTGACCTCGTGATCCACCTGCCTCGGCCTCCCAAAGTGCTGGGATTACAGGCATGAGCCACTGCACCCGGCCAATATCACAACTTTTAACTACTTGTGTGGTTTCAGCTACAGTGTCTTCATTTGACTTAGTTCAATTGTTTTGTCTAAAATCCAAAAACTGTTCTTTGAAAATATACTTTCCCATCCATTAAGGCATTTAGCTTTTTGTTGCTAAAAAGAATTTCATAAGAACATTTAGAATTTTAAACTTAATTAAAATACACTGAACTTTGACACAGATGTGCAGCTCCAAAACCTTTCCAGTTTACAAGTAAATTATCTACTTACATCAGGGGTCAGACTTTTAGCAATGACGGGCCCAACCATTCCTGGAATAGTGGCAAATGTATTTGTGATGCCCAGGAGGATACCAGCATACCTGTAGAAACATTTTCATAGACGTTTATTATTGTGATACACATTTAAACAGCTTCATTCTTTCCTTCTTTTTTTTTTTTTTTTTTGAGACAGAGTCTCACTCTGTGGCCCAGGCTTGAGGGCAGTGGGATGATCTCAGCTCACTGCAGCCTCTGCCTCCCGGGTTCAAGCATGCCTTAGCCTCCTGAGTAGCGGGGACTACAGGCATCCACCATCATGCTGGGCTAGTTTTGTATTTTTAGTAGAGCCGGTGTCTCACCATGTTGGCCAGGCTGCTCTCGAGCTCCTGACCTCAAGTGATCTGCCTGCCTCGGCCTCCCAAAGTGCTGGGATTTCAAGTATGAGCCACAGCGCCTGGCTGCTTCTTTCAATAGACAGCTATTCTGCTCCAGGTTGTGTTCTTGTGAAATTTTATGTCTAAATAAAATGTCTTATTGCAATGGGATTTTATATTCAGCTGGTGAAAAACTTGCATTTCAATAGTTAAGTAGCATTTTAACATTAACATTAGGCCCGGCCGCCACCCCGTCTGGGAAGTGAGGAGCGTCTCTGCCTGGCCGCCCATCGTCTGGGAAGTGAGGAGACCCTCTGCCTGGATGCCCAGTCTGGAAAGTGAGGAGCGTCTCTGCCCGGCCGCCATCCCATCTAGGAAGTGAGGAGCGCCTCTTCCCGGCAGCCATCCCATCTGGGAAGTGAGGAGCGTCTCTGCCCGGCCGCCCATCGTCTGAGATGTGGGGAGCGCCTCTGCCCCGCCGCCCCGTCTGGGATGTGAGGAGCGCCTCTGCCTGGCCCCGACCCCGTCTGGAAGGTGAGGAGCGTCTCTGCCCAGCCGCCCCGTCTGAGAAGTGAGGAGCCCCTCCGCCCGGCAGCCGCCCCGTCTGAGAAGTGAGGAGCCCCTCTGCCCGGCAGCCACCCCGTCTGGGAAGTGAGGAGCGTCTCCGCCCGGCAGCCGCCCCGTCCGGGAGGGAGGTGGGGGGGTCAGCCCCGCGCCCGGCCAGCCGCCCCGTCCGGGAGGGAGGTGGGGGGGTCAGCACCCCGCCTGGCCAGCCGCCCCGTCCGGGAGGGAGGTGGGGGGGTCAGCCCCCCGCCCGGCCAGCCAACCCGTCCGGGAGGTGAGGGGAGCCTCTGCCCGGCCGCCCCTACTGGGAAGTGAGGAGCCCTGCTGCCCGGCCAGCCGCCCCGTCCGGGAGGGAGGTGGGGGGGGGTCAGCCCCCCGCCCAGCCAGATGCCCCGTCCAGGAGGGAGGTGGGGTGGTCAGCCCCCCGCCCGGCCAGCCGCCCCGTCCGGGAGGTGAGGGGCGCCTCTGCCCAGCCGCCCCTACTGAGAAGTGAGGAGCCCCTCTGCCCGGCCAGCCGCTCCGTCCGGGAGGGAGGTGGGGGGGTCAGCCCCCTGCCCGGCCAGCCGCCCCGTCCGGGAGGTGAGGGGCGCCTCTGCCCGGCCGCCCCTACTGGGAAGTGAGGAGCCCCTCTGCCCGGCCACCACCCCGTCTGGGAGGTGTACCCAACAGCTCATTGAGAACGGGCTGGGATGACAATGGCGGTTTTGTGGAATAGAAAGGGGGGAAAGGTGGGGAAAAGATTGAGAAATCGGATGGTTGCCGTGTCTGTGTAGAAAGAAGTAGACATGGGAGACTTTTCATTTTGTTCTGTACTAAGATACATTCTTCTGCCTTGGGATCCTGTTGATCGGTGACCTTACCCCCAACCCTGTGCTCTCTGAAACATGTGCTGTGTCCACTCAGGGTTAAATGGATTAAGGGCGGTGCAAGATGTGCTTTGTTAAACAGATGCTTGAAGGCAGCATGCTCGTTAAGAATCATCACCACTCCCTAATCTCAAGTACCCAGGGACACAAACACTGCGGAACGCCGCAGGGTCCTCTGCCTAGGAAAACCAGAGACCTTTGTTCACTTGTTTATCTGCCGACCTTCCCTCCACTATTGTCCTATGACCCTGCCAAATCCCCCTCTGTGAGAAACACCCAAGAATGATCAATAAAAAAAATAAAAATTAACAACAACAACAACAACAAAAAACATTAACATTAGAGGAAGGCTGGGCGCGGTGGCTCACGCTTGTAATCCCAGCACTTTGGGAGGCCGAGGCGGGTGGATCACGAGGTCAGGAGATCGAGACCATGCTGGCTAACATGGTGAAACCCCGTCTCTACCAAAAATACAAAAAAATTAGCCGGCCGTGATGGCAGGCGCCTCTAGTCCCAGCTACTCGGGAGGCTGAGGCAGGAGAATGGCGTGAACCTGGGAGGCGGAGCTTGCAGTGAGCAGAGATCGCGCCACTGCACTCCAGCCTGGCCGACAGAGCGAGACTCCGTCTCAAAAAAAAAAAAAAAAAAATTACATACAGGAACACAGCCATGGAAATAACCCCTTTTTATAGTGATATAGGAAAGTTCTGAGATATCATTTTCATACAGAAAGCTTAGCATGTCTAGCTTAAAGTTTTTTAAGTTAAAAAAAATTTCTTTCCTGATTTGAAAATTCAATTGTAATTAATTTTTGAAAATTAATACGAAAAAAGAAAAAAATAATGAAGTAAAATTACCTATAATTCTTCCCCATAGAGATGATCAACATTAACATTTTCATAAATATCCTATTTTTTTCTGTCTGTATATATTTCTAGTATGTTATTATAGACGTGAGATCATATCAAACATAAAATTTGCTTGTTCCATTAATTACATTTTTTTTTTTGAGACGGAGTCTCTGTCGCTCAGGCTGGAGTACAGTGGCGCGATCTCAGCTCATTGCAACCTCCGCCTCCTAGGTTCAAGTGATTCTTCTGCTTCAGCCTCCCAAGTAGCTGGGACTATACACGCATGCCATGTAGGTCAGGCTGGTCTTGAACTCCTGATCTCAGGTGATCCACCTGCCTCAGCCTCCCAAATTGCCAAATTGCTGGGATTACAGGCGTGAGCCACTGCACCTGGCCCGATAATTCATTTTTAAAATTGCTGCCTCTTTTTTTTTTTTTTTTTGAGACAGAGTTTCACTCTTGTTGCCCAGACTGGAGTGCAATGGTGTGATCTTGGCTCATTACAACTTCCACCTCCCCAGTTCAAGTGATTCTCCTTCCTCAGCCTCCTGAGTAGCTGGGATTACAGGCATGCACCACCATACCTGGGTAATTTTGTATTTTTAGTAGAAACGGGGTTTCACCACGTTGGTTAGGCTGGTCTCAAACTCCTGACCTCAGGTGATCCACCTGCCCCAGCCTCCCATAGTGCTGGGATTACAGGAGCGAGCCACTGCGCCTGGCCTAAAATTGCTGTCCCTTTACTAGGATGTTTGTCCTGTATATATTCATGAATTCTGGACTTTGAAGATTGTATCTCTTAGGTATCATTTCACATAATCTTATACCTCCTGTATTTCCTGTACACTGATAGTTTCTAGACTCTAGATCCTAGGGGGTTCATTAGATTTAGGTTTAATGTTTTTGGTAAAAAACAAAAACAAAAACAAAAAACAAAAAAAAAACACTTAAAGGAGAAGGAGGAGTTCAGTTAAAAAAAGTGCTGCTTAACTAATTCAGTTATGTATAAAGATCACAAAGTTTTATGTTCAAAACTTGTGCATACACACAGCACTATAACAAAACCATGAAGTACAGATCTTTTTGGCTCATCCCCTTTAGGGGTGTATCTAAATTAACCAAGCTTGGCAGAGCCTCTCTTTTTTTTTTTTCTTTTTAAACCATTAACACCTTGGCAGTAAGAGGAGTCAACTGCAATGTTGCCAGCCTTTCCAGTGACAGATATTAAGTGCAGACGAATGCCATGAAATTCTAAATGTCAGCAACAAGAAGCTCATTCAAGTACTTATATTTCACTTGGCCAGGACAGGCCATGAAAGATTGATGACCACTTGGAAGAAAACAAGTTGTATGGACTCAGTCTGGATTCTGTGCTGTTGGAGTACTATTGGAATTAATAGCTGAAAATCTATCTAATTCCCATGAATTCGGGCAACAAAATTACCATAGAAAAATCTCTATTTTGGGGCCGGGTGTGGTGGTGCATGCCTGTAATCCCAGCATTTTGGGAGGCTGAGGTGGGAGAATTGCTTGAGCCCAGGAGTTTGAGACTAGCCTGGGCAACATGGTGAAACCCTCTCTCTACAAAAACTAAAAAAACACACAAAATTAGCTGGGTGTGTTGGCTCAGGCTGTAGACCCGCTCGCTACTCAGGAGGCTGAGGTGGAGGATTGCAGGAGGATTGCTTGCGACTGCAGTGAGCCGTGGTCTTGCTGCTGTACTCCAGCCTGGGTGACAGGGTGTGACTCTGCCTCAAAAGATAATAAATACATTGATAACATAAAATCTCTATTTCAGTCTATAGAAGTAAAGGCCTATAAAATCCAAGTACACATTTATATGTTAATAGGAATATTATTTATTGGAAAACCTTGTATCTGTTTACTGACTATGTATTGGAAAACCTGATATCAGACATGTTTATAAGGGTTTTATATATCATATTATATCATTTTAATTATAAAATCAACCCCATGAGGAAGGATTATCTTCATTTTATTTTTAAAATTTTAAAATTTTGTTAAGTTTTTTAGAGGTACGATCTTGCTATATTGCCCAGGCAGGTCTTGAACTGCTGGGCCCAAACGATCCTCCCACCTTGGCCTTCCGAAGTCCTGGGATTACAGGCGAGAGCCACTGCACCCAGCTGGATTATCTTCATTTTATAGATGAAGAAAAACCATAAAATGTCACCCAATTTGTCTGATTCTGAATCAGTACTTAATATTATAATGTTATAATCTACAATGCTACCTTGTTAAAAAAAACAAAACACAGTAATCACTGAACCCAATCTGTAGGAAAGATAAATTTTCTCATGCTTCATTTTTCACCACAAGCCCTGGTGTTGAACTTGTTTATGGCTTGTTTATGGTCCTCAAGTGCCTCTGTTTTAACTAGTAGCGTATTACACTGAATGGGCCCTCAGTTGTTACCACAACAAAAAGCAACTATGAAAAACCTAAGATATGTAATCCCCAATAAGATATGTAGCCAAGACTCCTGCAACTAGAAATAACTGATGTGCTTTGAATGAAGAAATTCCAGTTGGAAAAGAAAAACTAAAAAGCTCATCTGAAGAGCTGAATCAAAATATAAGAAAGTTATCCTTTGAGCTAGAACTGCAAGGTTTAAACACACACACACACACACACACACACACACACACACACTAAGGGAGATAAATAATTTTGACTTTGGGCTGGGCATGGTGGCTCACGCCTGTAATCCTAGCACTTTGGGAGGTTGAGGCTGGCGGATCACCTGAGGTCGGGAGTTCGAGACCAGCATGACCAACATGGAGAAACTCCCTCTCTACTAAAAATACAAAATTAGCAGGGTGTGGTGGCACATGCCTGTAATCCCAGCTACTTGGGAGGCTGAGGCAGGAGAATCACTTGAACCCAAGAGGCAGAGGTTGCGGTGAGCTGAGATTGCACCATTGCACTCCAGCCTGGGCAACAAGAGTGAAACTCCATCTCAAAAACAAAACAAAACAAAAAACAAATAATAATAATTTTGAATTTGATGAGATTTATTTATTTATTTATTTATTTAATTTTTTGAGACTGAGTCTCACTCTGCAGCCCAGGCTGGAGTGCAGTAGCACAATCTCTGCTCACTGCAACCTCCAACTCCTGGGTTCAAGCAATTCTCATGCCTCAGCCTCCTGAGTCAGTGGGATTATAGTCGCCCGCCACCACACCTGGTTAATTTTTGTATTTTTAGTAGAGATGGGGTTTCACCATGTTGGTCAGGCTGGTCTGGAGCTCCTAACCTCAAACGATCCAACCGCCTCAGCCTCCCAAAGTGCTGGGATTACAGGCATGAGCCACCTCACCGGGCCTACTTACATTTGGAATAGTTGTGTCTCAGTCAGCTGAGAACCAGTACAGCAGTCCTCATTATCTGAGGCACAAAGGCACTTGCTTACCATCCTCCCAACTGCTACAACTATTTGCTGGCATCATTTATGTTACTAAACCTGTTTAGCTTCTTATGATATCTAGATAAATGTCTTTTTCGGCTTATAAGACTCATAAAATTTCAGGGTTGGACCTGGGTCTTTAAGATGTAGACTTCAACCACCCACCTGATGCTTGAAGCTCAGGCACAGGATCCCCCTGCTGCCTGTCCAGCATTATACTTCATGACATGACCCACCATCATCCAGGCCAGCTTAAGCTTATACAGATGCCAGCAGGAATCATGTTACTTTCATGTTTGTGTCTTCAACATCTGGTACAGTGCCTGGCACAGTGTTTCTCAAATGACTAGATCCGTTAATGAGCATGCTATTACACTGAAATTTAGTAGTGACAAATTTATCTAATTGTACATCCAATTCATCTTTCTCCACCTTGTCCAAAACGGCATCTATCATAGGAGGCCTGGCTGAAGTCCTGACATATCAAATCTACTATATTTTCTTTATTCTATTAGGCTAAAAATTATGTTGAGAAGTTAGACTGTTTTGCCATTTTGGCTCTTAGTGACCCAATGGTGGCTCTTTAGTGGTCAGCATTTTCCTTTCTGAAAGCACACCAATCATCACTTTAATATTTTACTTGGATTGATCTGTGACCCTGGTCACCACACCTGACTCAAAGTTAGCCAGAAAATAATTACATCTATTGCATTATATGCAAATACCTTTATTGCATTATGAGCAAAGTGTTCTGTGCGTGTTCTATTTAATCTTCACAACGATCTTATAAGGTAGGTACCATGGATATTTGGTTTTCTTTTTCTTCAGCATCTATTTTCATCTTTTGACAATAGCACTATTTTTTTTTTTTTTGAGATGGAGTTTCACTCTTGTCACCCAGGCTAGAGTGCAATTGCTCACTGCAACCTCCACCTCCCAGGTTCAAGTGATTTTCTGCCTCATCCTTCCAAGTAGCTGGGATTACAGGTCCTACCACCCCACCTGGCTAATTTTATATTTTTAGTAGAGACAGAGTTTCACCATGTTGGCCAGGCTGGTCTTGAACTCCTGACCTCAGGTGATCTGCCCACCTTGGTCTCCCAAAGTGCCGGGATTACAGGCATGAGCCATTACACCCGGCCGACCATAGCTCCAATTTTTATCCGATGATCCAATTTTCTTTCATTGCTAGTTCAAGAGAGCAGGGGGGGCCCTCATCAGATTCCAGAGATTCTAATAAGACTTCAGGAACCTGATGAATCCTAAGCTACCTTTCAGATTTATTAAATGGTGTGGGTGACTTACCACCTTCTGGCTGGATGGCTGCTGAACCAATTTTATGTTCCTTATAATTTTTTTTTTTTTTTTTTTGAGATGGAGTCTCACTTTGTCACCCAGGCTGGAGCACAGTGGCACAATCTTGGCTCACAGCAACCTCTGCCTCCCGGGTTCAAGCGATTCTCCTGCCTCAGCCTCCTGAGAAGCTGAGACTACAGGTGTGTGCCATCACACCCTGCTAATTTTTGTATTTTTAGTAGAGATGGGGTTTCACCATGTTGGCCAGGCTGATCTCGAACTCCTGACCTCAGGTGATCCACCCGCCTCAGCCTCCCAAAGTGTTGGGATTACAGGCGTGAACTACCGTGCCCGGCTCAAAATGACTCATGTTTATTTACATCTTCATGTGTTATAATGGATGTTACCGATGGATTCCTCAGCATCCATTCCCACTCCCCACCCCCATCTGTGTAGCAATAGTGATGTCTGAGGGGCACTGACCCTTTGACTTCTAACTTTTGGGGTAGGTGCTGATTGTCCTAAAGTCACATGATATTCTCTTGGCCATTGGGGTTGGTTCATGTGACTCAGTTTGGGTCAACCAAAATGAAGCCCAGGACTTATTTCCATGGTGGAGAGAGGAAAAGATCCTTTTCTTTCTGCTTGATGTGAATGAAGAAGCATGTAGTCCTGATTGTTGCTGGCAATCATTTCATTGTGTGATTTTATAAGCAGACCCAGTCTTAGGACAAAACTACTACTGTAAAAGACAGAGAGTGAGAAAGAAACAATCTGTGGTGATATTAGTAGGCAGCTGGATATCAACTCTTGCCTGAAGCCTATTATTTCTGGATACAATTAAGTGAATCAATAGATTATGCTGTTTAGCCCAGTTTAAATTAGAATTTCTATACTTCAACTAAAAACATCCTAAGCGATAACATAGCCTAGAACTATTTCTTGCCAAAACTCTCAATTCCCATATCCCTTTGACTATTCGTCAATCCTAGGCTTGACAAAACCTCAAGTCTTGGCCAGGTGCTGTGGCCCACGCCTGTAATCCTAGCACTTCGGGGGGCTGAGGCGGGAAGATTACTTGAGGCCAGGAGACTGAGACCACCCTGGGCAAGATAGGGAGACCCCATCTCTACAAAATATTTTTTGAAAAATTAACCAGGCATGGTGATGTATGCCTGCAGTCCCAGCGACTCAGGAGGCTGAGCAGGAAGGATTACTTGATCCCAGGAGTTCAAGGCCACAGTGAACTACAGTGGCGTCACTGCACTCTAGCCTGGGTGACAGAGTGCAGCTTATCTTAGAGTATTTATTGAAGAGATAGGAGACTGAGGATTCATAGAAATCAGAAGATTCTGTAGGAGTCCAGGTGTGAAGATTTTGAGGTAGTGAAAAGAGGGTAAGAGTCCATCTGTCTTTTCTCCAAAATAAATTTATATCTATTATTTTTACAAATAAAGTGTATTAAAACTTTTGGGTTAAAATATTTACATAGCTCCCTTATTTACCTTGTCAGCTGGCACAAAATGGTTTTAGAAGTATGTGGCTCAAAGAATATTTCCAGAGAGGTAGCTGTAGAAAGAATTTTGGGCTTAAAAGTAAAAATTTTAGGTTCAAGTTTTGGCTCTATCATTTATTATATTAGCTGTGTGCTGCAAGATAAATCACTTAACTTCTCTTAAGTTTCTTTAGCGTTCAAATAGGGCAAAAATACTTACTTCAAAGGAATGCTTTAAGGGTAAAATGGATAGTGTTTATGAAAGTGATGTGTAAACTATCAAGGGCTACACAAATATATTTGCACATAGGTAATATAGTTAGACAAATCAATTGGGTCTACTCTTTCACATTCATTCATCTGACAAAATGCCTACTACATGCCAAGTGCCATGGAGAGCCCTGAGGACAATAAGGGAGTTTCTGCCTTCACAGAGTTCCTAGTCTAGTTGGGTGAACAGACACAGTAATGAGTTATTGCAATGTTCTAATGAGAGCACTGTGGACAGAGGTGATGATAGTTAAAAGTTTAAATTTAAAAACAACTTCCTGCTTTAATTATTGTGTAAATTAAAATCCTGTTAAGAATTTAAAGTCATTCCTATAGTAGTCAAATCCATAGAGGCAGAAAGTAGAATGTTGGTTGCCAGGGCCTGGGAGGAAGGAGAAATGGGAGATTGTGTTTAACGGGTACAGTTTCTGTTGAGAAGATGAAATTGCTCTAGAGATTGTTGGTGGTGCTAGTTATGAAACAATGTGAATACTTAATGCCACAGAACTGCATACTTAAAATGGTAAGTTTTATATCATATCTATTTTATCAGGTTTTTTTTTTTTTAGATGGAGTCTTGCTCTTGTTGCCCAGGCTGAAGTGCAATGATGCGATCTCAGCTCACTGCAACCTCTGCCTCCTGGGTTCAAGCGATTCTCCTGCCTCAGCCTCCTAAGTAGCTGGGATTACAGGTGCCCGCCATCATGCCTGGCTAATTTTTGTATTTTTAGTAGAGATAGGGCTTCGCCATGTTGGCCAGGCTGGTCTCAAACTCCTGACCTCAGGTTATCTGCCTGCCTTGGCCTCCCAAAGTGCTGGGATTACAGGTGTGAGTCACCGCCTCTGGCCTTTTATCAGGATTTTTAAAAATATAATTTAAAGTCAATCACAGCAAATCTTTATATTAGTACTCACGAAGGAGCAATATCCAGATGGTTGATGCTAAATCCAGAAGAGCAAAAGCCTCCCAGTGTTGTTGATATAGTTAGGAAAGCAACGGCCAAAGAATAATCACAGCCAATGAAGCCAGCAGCTACCAGGAATACTGCAGGTCCAATCATTCCTGGAGTTAAAAAGTTATAAAAGGGAAAAAACACCCAGCATTAATATTTGCTCTACCTTAATATGGTATAAATCTGAAATTTGAAATTGCTGCCACCTACTGTAGAAACACTATATTGCCTGGAAGACTAACAAATTTCATGAGAAAAAAAAAATGCTGGAAAACATGGGCGTAATACAACTAATATACTATAAAAGGAAAATCTCATTATGCAATGTTATTAAATCTACATGTGGCCAAAACTCAGCTAAAATTCCATGGTGTTAGAGAAGAACAAGACAAGAACAACTTAAAAATATGTTTCTAGAGAGAAGCAATAGCTGACACAGAATGTGGTTTAAAATACATATAACCAAAGGAGATAAACTGAATAATAAACTCTGTTGGATGAGGTTAGAATAATACTCCATCTTGCCTGGGTGTGGCAGCTCACACCTGTAATCCCAGCACGTTAGGAGGCTGAGGCGGGAGAATCACTTGAGGCCAGGAGTTTGAGGCCAGCCTGGGCAACACAGCAAGACCCTGTCTCTACGAAATATTAAAAACAAAATTCGCCAGGCATGGTGGTGCACACCTGTAGTCCTGGCTGCTCAGGAGGCTGAGGTGGGAGGATTGCTTGAGCCCAGAAGTTCAAGGTTACAGTGAGCTATGATGGCACCACTGCACTCCAGCCTGGGTTGTCAGAGCAAGACCTTGTTTCTTAAAAAGATTTTTTAAAATCTCTGTCTTCATTCTCTCTCTCTTTTTTTTGAGCTGGAGTCTCACTCTGTCACCCAGGCTGGAGTGCAGTGGCGTGATCTGGGCTCACTGCCACCTCTGCCTCCTAGGTTCAAGTGATTCTCCTGCCTCAGCCTCCTGAATAGCTGGAATTACAGGCCTGGGCCACCATACCCAGCTAATTTTTGTATTTTTAGTAGAGATGGGGTTTCGCCATGTTGGCCAGGCCGTTCTCGAACTCCTGACCTCAAGCGATCCACCCACCTTGCCTCCCAAAGTGCTGGGATTACAGGTGTGAGCCACCATGCCCGGCCTTGGTTTTTTTTTTTTCTGCCCCACCTAATATGCAGGAATCCTCCCTATTATTAACAACTGATAAGAATACACATTGGTCATTACAGGCAGTTAAGCGTAAAATATGAGAAGAGACTTAATGAGTGGGCTGTCAGTTTTTCTGTGTCTACAGCAGTGCTATCCAATAGCTCTCTGTGATGATGGAAATGTTGTATTTGTATATACTGCAACTGAGGAACTTTAAAAAAAGTTCAATTACATTTATTTACTTATTTATTTATTTTCTTGTTTTTTTGAGACAGGGTCTCACTGTCGTCAGGCTGGAGTGCAGTGGTGCGATCATGGCTCACTGCAGCCTTGACTTCCCAGGCTCAAGTGATCCTCTGCCTTGGCTTCCTGAGTAGCTGGGACTACAGGTGCACGCCACCATGTCTGATTTAATTTAATTTCATTACTTTTATTTATTTATTTTGAAATAGGGTCGCATTCTGTTACCCAGGCTGGAGTGCAGTGGCACAATCTGAGCTCACTGCAACCTCTGCCTCCCAGGTGTAAGCAAGTCTTGTGCCTCAGCCTCCTGAGTAGCTGGGATTAAAGGCATGTGCCACCATGCCTGGCTAATTTTTTTTTTTTCACTCTTTTTGCCCAGACTGGAGTGCAGTGGCGAAATCTTGGCTCACTGCAACCTCTGCCTCCCAGGTTCAAGCAATTCTCCTGCCTCGGCCTCCTGAATAGCTGGGACAGCCACACACCACCACGCCAAGCTAATCTTTGTATTAGAGATGGGGTTTCACCATGTTGGCCAGCCTGGTTTTGAGCTCCTGACCTCAAGTATCTGCCTGCCTCCGCCTCTGCCTCCCAAAGTGCTGGGATTACAGGCAACAGCCACCGAGCCCAGCCAGGGTCTTTTTATAATGTAATTACTGAAGTATAGTCACTGAGACTTCCAGGGTCTCTACTGGAGACTTTTAAAAAGTTAAATGATTGTCTTAGACAGTTTTATTTCTACGTACATTTTTTTCTAACTATTTTTAGAGATAGGGTATTGCTCTGTTGCCTAGGTTGGAGTGCAGTGTTGTGATCATAGCTCTCTGCAGCCTCAAACAACTAGGCTCAAGAGATTTTCTCACCTTAGCCTCTGGAGTAGCTGGGACTACAGATACATACCATCATGCCTAACTGATTAGATAGTTTTAAAAGTTACCTTTCTAGGCCAGGCACAGTGGCTCACGCCTGTAATTCCAGCACTTTGAAAGGCTGAGGTGGGAGGATCGCTTGAGCCCAGGAATTTGTGACTAACCTGAGCAACATGGTAAAACCATGTCTCTACAAAAAATCAAAAATAATTAGCTGGGTGCTGTGGCGTGACCTGTAGTCCCAGCTGCTCAGGAGACTGAGGTGGGAGAATTACTTGTGCCTAGAAGGTTGAGGCTGCAGTGAGCCATGGTTGTCCATCCTGGCCAACGGAGCAAGACCCTGTCTCAAAAAAAAAAAAAATTACCTTTCTGAAAGCAGAGTCTGAAACACATGATTATTTATGGGTTCTTTGAGTTCTTTGATTTATAGCTCCTTATTTGATATAATAATGCTAGTAAATATTTTTGGATTGAAACTTAAAATGCATTCACTTAGAAAAGGGATGGAGGCTTAAAAATACTTTGATTACATCTTGTCTAAAGTTGATATAAAAATCTTCATTGCAAAGTCTGAGCTGAAAGCACAGTGATATATAAAATTGTGAGGGATGATGTTTGGCACAGCAAGCCATTTTAAAAATAATTATAAGCCATGGTGGAGATAAATCTTTTATAAATTTTTTTTTTTTGAGACAGGATCTCACTCTGTTGCCCAGGCTGGAGTGCAGTGGCGCGATTTCAGCTCACTGCAACCTCTGCCTCCTGGGTTCAAGCAATTCTCCTGCTTCAGCCTCCCAGGTAGCTGGGATTACAGGCACTTGCCACCACGCCCAGCTAATTTTTGTATTTTTAGTAGACAGGGTTTCACCATGTTGGTCAGACTGGTCTTGAACTCCTGACCTTGTGATCTGCTCACCTCAGCCTCCCAAAGTGCTAGGATTACAGGCATAAGCCACTGCGCCCAGTGAATATTATAAATCTTAATCCTCAAAATGTATGATTCAAAAAGAAACATATTGTAAAGAAATGCACTTAAATGCATCATAGTGTTTTGTTATGTGAACAAAATAAAAGACTAATATTATCATTTTTATTTTGTCTTGAACTGTTGTGATATTGTGATTTTAAAAAATATGGCTGGGGGCTGGGTGTGGTGGCTCACACCTGTAATCCTAGCACTTTGGGAGGCTGAAGCAGCAGGATTGCTGAAGGCCAGGAGTTCAAGGCCAATGTGGGCAATAAAGCGAGACCTTGTCCCATTAAAGAAAGAAATTAAACAAAATGGCTGGGGCTGGGTGTGGTGCCTCACTCCTGTAGTCCCAGCACTTTGGGAGGCCAAGGCGGGCAGATGACTTGAGTTCAGGAGTTAAAGACCAGCCTGGACAACGTGGTGAAACCCCGTCTTCAGTAAAAATTAAAAAATTAGCTGGGTATGGTGGTGTGTGCCTGTAGTCCTAGCTACTCAGGAGGCTGAGGTGGGAGGATCACCTGAGGCTGAGGAGGTTGAGGCTGCAGTGAGTCAAGATCATGCCACCACACTCCAGCCTGGGCTAAGAGTGAGCCCCTGTCTCAAGAAAAAAAATAAGAAAAGAAATATGGCCAGTGTGGTGGCTCATGTCTGTAATCCCAACATTTTGGGATGCTGAGGCAGGAAGATCACTTGAGGCCAGGAATTCAAGACCAGACGGGGCAACATAGCAAGACCCCATTTCTATTAAAAAATTGTTTTAAAAAAGAAATATATATTTGGTCTCTGCCCCCGGTTTTTTGGCACACAGCTCCTAAAACTTTTGGAATTTCTGGAGTGGTAACAGTGTCTTTTGTATGCTAATGAGACAATTGGTGGCTGGGGGTCCCCATACAGCTTCAGGATGGTGGCTGGATTAGAGGTCTGGGACTTTTGGCACCACCCCCAAACTCCAGAGAGGGGAGAGGGGCTGAAGGTTGAGCCAGTCACCAATGGCCAATGATTTAATCAATCATACACATTTAACGAAGTCTCCATACAAACTCAAAGGGACAGGGTTTGGATGAACTTTTGCGGTCGGGGTTCTTGGAGGGTGGTGTTCCAGGAGAGGGCATGAAAACTCCCTACCCGGTCCCACATATGTTGCCCTATGCAGCTTTTCCATCTGGCTGTTCATCTATATCCTTTGCAATACCCTTTATAATAAGTGGGTAAACATAAAATAAAGTGTTTCTCTGAGTTCTCTGAGATGCTCTAGCAGATTAACTGAACCTGACAAGACAGTCATGGGAACCCTGATTTATAGCCGGTCAGTCAGAAGCAGAGGTCACAAGCTGGGACTTGTGATTGGTATCCGAAGTAGGGGGGCGATCTTGTGGAACTGAGCCCTCAACCTATAGGATCTGATGCTACCGCCAGCTGGACAGTGTCAGAACTGAATTACAGGATACCTAGCTGGTGTCCGCTGCAGAACTGGTTATGTGTAGGCAGAAATCCCCACAAACATTTTGGTGATTAGAGCGAGGTGTTCTGTGTTGAGTATTGTGTTAACTGTGTGTAAAAGTGGGAAACACACTTTGTTTTCCTATCTCCTATAACTGTAAACATGGTAAATAACTGTAAACCAAAACAAAACCTGATTGCTTCACTTACCTATAAGGCTAAAAATTCTGCGAACACATAAAGTTGAAAAATTCCATTTTGCCCTTAAATTGTCAGCAGCTTGACCAGACAGGATCATACATAACCAAGAGCCTAAATAAGGCAATGAAGATAAAAACCCATTCTGGAAGGAATAAGAAGATACAGGATTAATTACGGTGAGAGAAAAAAACAAAACATACACATTCATCACAGCCAATGACCACCACTTGAAAGCAAAGGAAATGCATAGCAATATGTTGTTAATTTTTTAATATAATTACAGTAAATAAGTCTGGCTGTCAGAAGGATTATAGGGTTCAGTCCAAGGCAGTCCCTAAGAGTCTGTCTCAGAGGGAAATAAGCCTTGCCCTAGTCCTGTCTGCTTCGGGTAATCTTGACTGTTTCTCTGGGATCTGGGTTGTGAGAGAAGACAAACCTTCCTGTTAGCCTATGGATTCTCCCTACTGAACATTTTCATCTTCCATTCTCACTCATTTATTTAAAAAAAATTTTTTTTACTATAAAATAAAATGCAGATGCAGAAAACCACATAAACATAGCTTAATGAATCATTCTTTTTTTTTTTTTTTTTTTTTTTGAGATGGAGTCTTACTCTGTCACTCAGGCTGGAGTACAGGGGTGTGATCTCGACTCACTGCAACCTCTGCCTCCTGGGTTCAAGTGATTCTCCTGCCTCAGCCTCCCGAGTAGCTGGGGTTACAGGTGCCTGCTACCACACCTGGCTAATTTTTGTATTTTTATTAGAGACGGAGTTTCACCGTCTTGGCCAGGCTGGTCTTGAACTTCTGACCTTGTGATCCACCCACCTTGGCCTCCCAAAGTACTGGGATTACAGGCATGAGCCACCGCACCCGGCCTCATGAGTCTTTCTAATGACCATCTAGGTCAAGAAATAGAACTTTGCCAGCCTTGCCAGAAGACACTTCATGGTCCTAGTCCTATCAGAGCCCTCTTCCTCCCCCCTTAAATAAGCATTAACCTCGTTTTGGTGTATAGTAATCATGTACTCACTTTTATTTATAGTTACATCACCCAAATGTACATCCCTAGACACTTCGATTTAGTCTTGGCCATTAAAATTTTTTTGATTTGCCTTTTATGTCTCTTTAAATCTGTAAGTTCCCTTCCATTCATTTTTTTCTTACAATTTATCTATTTCTTAAAATTTATCGGTGCCCAGTAAAACAATAACTCAAAAGTGCATTACATGTTTATTTACTACACACACACACACACACACACACACACACACACGTTTATTTTTAACAGAACTGGAGAGTCTTTTTTTTTTTTTTCTTTTGAGACAGAGTCTTGCTCTGTTGCCTAGGCTGGAGTGCAGTGGCGTGATCTTGGCTCATTGCAACCTCCACCTTCTGGGTTCCAGCAATTCTCCTGCCTCAGCCTCCTGAGTAGCTACGATTGCAGGCGTGTGTCACCACGCCCGGCTAATTTGTATTTTTAGTAGAGACGGAGTTTCGCCATGTTGGCCAGGCTAATCTCGAACTCCTGACTTCAAGTGATCTGGCCGCCTCAGCCTCCCAAAGTGCTGGGATTACAGGGATGAGCCACCGCGCCTGGCCTCTGAGAGTCTTTCCTGATGGTTTCTTTTCCCTCATTTTTCGCGTCCAATCATCAAGCATTGCCTATTCTACTTCCCTTAAACAAACAAACAAAAAAAGCTTGGCTGGGCACAGTGGCTCATGCCTGTAATCCCAGCACTTTGGGAGGCCGCGGAGGAAGAATCACTTGAGGACGGGGCTCAAGACCAGCCTGGTCAACATGGCAAAACCCTGTATCTACTAAAAATACAAAAAATTAGCTGGGCATCATGATACATGACTGTAATCCCAGTTACTTGGGAGGCTGAGGCAGAAGAATCGCTTGAACCTGGGAGGTGGAGGTTGCAGTGAACCAAGATTGCTCTGGTGCAGTCAGTCCAGCATGGGTGACAGAGCAAGACTCTGTCTCAGAAAGAAAAAAAACAAAAAAAAGAAAAAAAAACACAATTCCATTTAGACTTCTGCACGGTGGGATCACATCTATCATTATTTGTGGCAAAATCCTGTATAAGAATAAATGGTTTCAAAATATTAGTAGGAAAGTAAAAAAGAATAAGCTGTAGTAAATCAGATAAGTGAATTTTCTGATCTTGATTTTGTTTCCTGGTGGGATAAGGTTGATAATTCCTCACAGTTAGTAATATTGCCACTTCAAGTTGCAATGCTAAAAACTGCCGGCTAGGCACGGTGGCTCATGCCTGTAATCCCAGCACTTTGGGAGGCCAAGGCAGGCAGATCACCTGAGGTCAGCAGTTTGAGACCAGCTTGGTGAACATGGTGAAACCTCATCTCTACTAATAATACAAAAATTAGGTGTGGCGGTGGATGCCTGTAATCCCAGCTACTAGGGAGGCCGAGGCAGGAGAATCGCTTGAACCTGAGAGGCGGAGGTTGCAGTGAGCCAAGATTGCGCCACTGCGCTCCAGCCTGGGCAACAACCTAAATACACTAAAGTCTTCAGCATTTATACATTCCACAGGCACCTTCCACAGTTGTTAAGTTTTCTCTTCAAGGATAAGATCCCTTGTATTCATTTATTTAAAAAAATTGATTCCAATTTTTTTGCAGGCGCATTGGCTCACGTCTGTAATCCCAGCCCTTTGGGAGGCCAAGGCAAAGGGATCACTTGAGGTCAGGAGTTTGAGACCAGCCTGGCCAACATGGTAAAACCCTGTCTCTACAAAAATAAAAAATTTAGCCAGGTGTGGTGGCACACACCTGAAATCTCAGGTACTTGGGAGGCTGACAGAGGAGAATCGCTTGAACCCGGGAGGTGGAGGTTGCAGTGAGCTGAGGTCGTACCACTGAACTCTAGCCTGGGCAACAGAGCAAGACTCAGTCTTAAAATAAAATAAAATGAAATAAAATAAAATAAAATAAAATAAAATAAAATAAAATAAAATAAAATAAAATAAAATAAAATGAGTTTCTGGTTGTGACGACCTACCGACGAGAACACACCTCTTGCAAAAAATTTCCTTCATCCCTCTCCAGAAGAGGAGAAGAGGAAACACAAGAAGAAATGCCTGGTGCAGAGCACTAATTCCTACTTCATGGATGTGAAGTGCCCAGGACGCTATAAAATCATCACGGTCTTTACTCATGCACAAACAGTAGTTTTGTGTGTTGGGTGCTCTACTGTCCTCTGCCAGCCTACAGGAGGAAAAGCAAGGCTTATGGAAGGATGTTCCTTCAGGAGGAAGCAGCACTAAGAGCACTCTGAATCAAGATGAGTGGAAAACCATCTCTATAAACACATTTTAGATAAAAGATTTAAAAAAATGAGAGATATGTGACTCTTGCTTTCACTTGAATACTTGCAGGCCATCGTAGGGTTATTTATTTTGTTTTTCTGTACAGACGGAGTCTTGCTCTGTCACCCAGGCTGGAGTGCAGTGGTGTGATCTTGGCTCACTGCAACTTCTGCCTCCCAGGTTCAAGGAATTCTCCTGCCTCAGTCTCCCGAGGTGCTGGGATTACAGGCACGAGCTGCCATGCCTGGCTAACTTCTTTTGTATTTTAGTAGAGATGGGATTTCACCGTGTTGCTCAGGCTGGTCTCGAACTCTTGAGCACAGGCAATCCGCCCGCCTCGGCTTCCCAAAGTGCTAGGTGCGTGAGCCACTGCGCCCGGCCACTGTAGGGTTATTAACCAGCCTAATTTCAATATTGTTGTGTCTCAGGGAATAGGGAAGCTCAAGGAGAAGGAAAGAGATGGGGTAGTGGCTGGTTGGCAGAGCCGTCAGAAGACACTCAACATTTATTAAGTTTGCCATCTTATATGGGGAAGGATTATGGTGCCCCCCAACAATTACAACACTAACTTCAAAGATCAAGAGCCCTGAAGTGAGCACATGCTGTTGGAAAAATGGTGCTAACGGATTTGCTCCATGCAGGGTTAGCACAAATCTTCAATTCATAAAAAATACAATATTTGCAGAGTATAATAAAGCAAAGTGCAATAAAAGGAGGCATGCCACGCTTCTCAAAGCAAGCTTATTTTGAACAAAGGCCATCTGATGGCCAGGCAGGGTGGTTCATGCCTGTAATCCCAACACTTTGGGAGGCTGAGGCAGGAGGATCATTTGAGCTCAGGAGTATGAAACCAACCTGGACAATAATGGGAAACCCCATCTCTACTATTTAAAAAAAACAAAAACAAAAACACCTAGGCCATTTCATGAATGTAACACATTGATTTTCAAGAAAAAAAATCAATTAAAAAATAGGCTATATAATTATAGAATTATTTTCAAACTCTATTCACATTTCTTTTTATTTTACAGAATGAAAGAAGGTCCTATATTCACATTTCTTTTAATTTTAATTAAGATAAACCTTTTTGTCTATGAAAATGCAAGATAAAAGATCCTTGTTTTAAAGTACACAACATTAATTACTGGCCAGCTATTGATATTTTATTTCTTCCATATATAGTTCTTCCTGGAAAATCTCAAATAGAAACATCAGTGTAGTAATCTTTAAATATACTTTATAAGTAAAATAAGATATTTTGTTAATATGATTTTGAGAATTTGTTTTTTTTTTTTTTTTTTTGAGATGGAGTCTTGCTCTGTTGCCCAGGCTGGAGTGCAATGGCATGGCCTCAGCTCACTGCAACCTCTGCCTCCTGGGTTCCAGTGATTCTCCTGCTTCAGCCTCTCGAGTAGCTAGGACTACAAGTGCCTGCTACCATGCCTGGCTAATTTTTATATTTTTAGTAGAGATGGGGTTTCACATGTTGGCCAGGCTGGCCTTGAACTCCTGACCTCAAGTGATCCACCCACCTCGGCCTCCCAAAGTGCTGGTATTACAGGTGTGAACCACTGGGCCCGGCTGGATTTGCTATTTTTAATCTTCCTGTGGATCTCAGTTTTACCCCAAATGATAATTACCAAATTAACCTTTCAATGCACAGTTGAATGCAATTAATCACTGTAGTAGTATATTATTTATTTCTTTCTTTTTTAAAAATCAGCCCCACTTTATAGTTGAAATGTAGTAGTAGATTATAATCAGGCTCTGTTAACAGAGAACTTGGGAAAAATAAGATTGCTCACAATGAATCCATCCCATTATGTTGCCAAAGCCTAGTTTCAATTTAACTTCTGTCAGTGCAATTTGTGGAAATATTTCTATATAGTGATCTTGTTTTTCAGAAGTAGACAGAGGAGTTCTTCACAGCTTAGCTGCCTGAAGTTTTAAGGTTTGGTCCACATAGCCAGGCCAATGTTTATGGTATACTTTGGAATGTGAGTGACTGAGGATTCACTTTAATAGTTTTTAAAGCAGGTAAGTCCATGTAGCCAGTGCAGTTGTGCAGTCAGCCTTGTTAGCATTTTTTTTTTTTTTCCTGGGACAGAGTCTTGTTCTGCTGCCCAGGCTGGAGTGCAGGGGCATGACCTCAGCTCACTGCAACCTTCGCCTCCTGGGTTCAAGAGATTCTCGTGCCTCAGCCTCCCTAGTAGCTGGGATTACAGGTGTAGGCCACCATGCCCGGTTAATTTTTTTGTGTGTTTTTAGTAGAGACGGTTTTGCTGTATTATCCAATCTGTATTATCGAACTCCTGGGCTCAAGCAGTCCTTCTGCCTCAGCCTCCCAAAGTGCTGGGATTAATTATTATTATTATTATTTTTTGAGATGGAGTTTCACTCTTGTTGCCCAGGCTGGAGTGCAATGGCTTGATCCTGGGTCACCACAATTTCCGCTTCCCGGGTTCAAGCAATTCTCCTGCCTCAACCTCTCGAGTAGCTGGGATTACAGGCATGCACTACCACGCCTGGTTAATTTTGTATTTTTAGTAGAGATGAGGTTTCTCCATATTTGTCAGGCTGGTCTCAAACTCCTGACCTCAGGTGATCCGCCTGCCTTGGCCTCCCAAAGTGCTGGGATTATAGGCGTGAGCGACCGCGCCTGGCCTTTTTTGTATTTTTAACAGAGACAGGGTTTCACCATGTTGCCCGGTCTGGTCTCAAATGCCTGGCCTCAAGTAATCCACCTGCCTCGACCTCCCAAAGTGGTAGGATTGCAGGCGTGAGCCACTACACCCGGCCTGATGTCGGGCATCCTTACATGTGCTTATTGGCCATCTGTGTATCTTTGGAGAAATGTGTATTCGTATTCAAGTCCTTTGCCCATTTTAAAAACTGAGTTGTCTTTTTATTATTGAATTGTAAGAATTCTTAATATGTCTGGATACTAGACCCTTATTAGATGTTTGATTTATAAATGCTTTCTCCCATTCAGTGGGTTGTTTTTCATTTTCTTAATAGTCCTTTGATGTATAAGAATCTCTAAAATTTAGGACAGCAGAGTAAAATGGAAGATACAGAATAACTGAATTTTATACAGATGAGAACAAATTCTGTGTATGGTCTTATACTATATATATAAGAAGCAGATGATTATTTTTTCTTACCTCTTGAACATTGAACCTTAGGATCTCCTTCATATAAGTAGGCAATAATGTCAATAAAGTATAAAAAGTCCAGTTGTAAGAAAAGTGTGCAACTACGATAGCCCAAAGTGGCAGGGATTTTAAAATGGGTACCCACGGCACTGACTTCTGTGAAGAAAGCTGAAGAAAACAGGAATAATTAGGATAAACTACGGCTATGTTAATGCTTAGATCTGTACCGTATCAGCTAAAACTCTATCCAGAATTCATACAGAATATCACCTTAATTAGTAAACTCCAAATTTTTAAATCAACTCCTTTGAAATATTAAATAGCAAAATACATGATAAATATTTAGTTGTTTGATTTTTTAAAAAATATATTAACTAGAAAGTCCATGATTCAGATTAGAGGAAAAAGTAAAAATGTATTCGTAGAGCTATAATGTCAACCCTAAACATTCTTTATGAATGTCAGAAGTCACCTGCAGCATTGATTTATCTATTTCTTTCTTTCTTTTTTTTTTTTTTCTTTTTTGAGACAAGTTTCACTCTTGTTGCCCAGGCTGGAGTGCAATGGCACAATCTCGGCTCACTGCAACCTCTGCCTCCTGAGTTCAAGTGATTCTCCTGCCTCAGCCTCCCAAGTAGCTGGGATTATAGGCATACTCCACCAGGCCTGGCTAATTTTTGCATTTTTAGTAGAAACGGGGTTTCACCATGTTGGTTAGGCTGGTCTTGAACTCCTGACTGCAAGTGATCCGACCCAAAGTGCTGGGATTACAGGCGTGAGCCACCGTGCCCGGCCTGAATTCTCTATTTCTAAAATATAGTTTCACGGTCAGATTCAGAGGTTGACATAAGGATAAAGGAAAGAGATTGGAAGGTCCTGTTAGAATTCATGTTTAATTATCCAATCTTTATTCAATTGAAATGATTTATAAAAATTAGGCAATACAAGGTTTCTGTATGCAGCCATATGCAGTAGTGGTCTTTAAAGCAGGGTAAAAGCACCATAGGGGTATGCAAGATGATCTGTTGGGGTGAGGAAAGACATATTTCTATTTATTTCCATTTTTACTCATTTTTATTATAAAAATAAAAAAACACACTCTATTAATATTTAATAAATATGTTGGCCCTGGAGTATGTCAGGTGATTACAAATCGTATGAGTCCCCCAATTCAGAGAGGTTAATAATGGCATCCTCACTTGTTTGTTTGCCCTCAGAGTATTATAGCATATTGCAGTTTAAGTACTATTTTATTTTATTTTAAGAGAGTCTTGCTCTGTCACCCAGGCTGGAGTGCAGTGGCATGATCTCGGCTCACTGCAACTTCTGCCTCCCCACTTCAAGTCGGATTCTCCTGCCTCAGCCTCACGAGTAGCTGGGACTATGGGCATGCACCACCATGCCTGACTAATTTTTGTATTTTCAGTAGAGACAAGGTTTCACTATGTTGCCCAGGCTGGTCTCGAACTCCTGACCTCAGGTGATCCACCTGCCTTGGCCTCCCAAAGTGTTGGGATTACAGGCGTGAGCCACTGCACCTGGCCTATGTATTTTTTTTTGAGATGGAGTCTTGCTCTATTGCCCAGGCTGGAGTGCAGTGGTGCAATCTCAGCTCACTGCAACCTCTGCCTCCCGGGTTCAAGCAATCTCCGGCCTCAGCCCCCCAAGTAGCTGGGATTACAGGTGTGCACCACCACATCTGGCTAATTTTTGTATTTTAGTAAAGGCGGGGTTTCATCATGTTGGCCAGGCTGGTTTCGAACTCCTGACCTGAAGTGATCTGCCTGCCTCAGCCTCCCAAAGTTCTGGGATTACAGGTGTGAGCCACTGCCCCCAGCGTAAGTGATTTATTTTAAGTGTCTTTTATTTTTATTTATTTATTTATTTATTTATTTATTTATTTATTTATTTATTTATTTTTGAGATGGAGTCTCGCTCTGTTGCTCAGGCTGGATTGCAGTGGCGCGATTTCGGCTCACTGCAACTTCTCTCTCCCAGGTTCAAGTGATTCTCCTGCCTCAGCCTCCTGAGTAGCTGGAATCACAGGCACGTGCCACCATGTCTGGCAAATGTTTTGTATTTTTAGTAGAGACAGAGTTTCACCGTGTTAGCCAGGATGGTCTCGATCTCCTGACCTCGTGATCTGTCCGCCTCAGCCTCCCAAAGTGCTGGGATTACAGGCGTGAGCCACCGTACCCGGCTGAGCTGCCACTTTTCTTGATGAGTCCTTTGTCAACTACTTCGCCAAGCAAAATAATGGCAGATCATTAACTATAACATAGTCAAACACATTGCTCCCTTTAAATATTATTATATCAACAAATTATGGCTGGGCATGGTGGCTCACACCTGTAATTCCAGCACTTTGGGAGGCCGAGGCGGGCAGATAACTGGAGGCCAACAGTTCGAGACCAACCTGGGCAACATGGTGAAACCCTGTCTCTACTAAAAATACAAAAATTAGCCGGGTGTGGTGGTGCGCAGCAGTAATTCCAGCTGGTTAAGAGTCTGAGGCATGAGAATTGCTTGAACCCGGGAGGTGGAGGTTGCAGAGAGCTGAGATCACGCTACTGCACTCCCGCCTGGGCGACAGAGCGAGACTCTGTCTCAAAAAATAAAAACAACAAATTATTTGTAATTTTTAAGTTATAGCAAAGAAGTTTTTTTCTATTAAGATGTAAATTTTATGTATATTCTGTTTATTTCATCTATCAATCCTTTAAAAAGTCTATTTCTGTATATATTTTATGATATACATAAGTATCATAGTACATATAGATAACTTAAGAATAAATATACGGCCAGGCGTGGTGGCTCATGCCAGTAATCCCAGCACTTTGGGAGGCCGAGGCAGGCGGATCATGAGGTCAAGAGATCAAGACCATCCTGGCCAACATGGTGAAACCCCGTCTCTACTAAAAATACAAAAATTAGCTGGATGTGGTGGCGCGACCTGTAGTCCCAGCTACTTGGGAGGCTGAGGCAGGAGAATCGCTTGAACTCAGGGAGCGGAGGTTGCAGTGAGCTAAGATCACATCACTGCACTCCAGCTTGGCGACAGAGCAACACTCTGTCTCAAAAGAAAACAATATATATATATACATTCAGATTGTGAGCCTCCCACCTGTTTATTGATTCTTGCATGATCAAGAAAGCTTGGATACCACTGATATTTAGGGCATCAGATTTTTATATTTTCTATACGCTAAGACTGTTGTTTTTCTCAAAAGCAAGAGCAATCTATGTTTCTGCCTTCAGAGTTCACAGTTGCTGTTATTTTAAAAAGAGGAAGAACCAGTATTGCCCAACCTTCTTCTGGCCTTTTTCATATGGACTTTTTACTTGACATCTTTGTAGATATGCTCTTGTGTTTTTTAATTACAAATTTTAAAAAATTATTATTTATTTATGAGATGGAGTCTTGCTCTGTTGTCCAGGATGGAGTGCAGTGGCGCGATCTTGGCTCACTGCAACCTCTGCCTCTGAGGTTCAAACGATTCTCCTGCCTCAGCCTCCCGAGTAGCTGGGATTATAGGCACCCGCCACCACCCCTGGCTGATTTTTGTATTTTTAGTAGAGATGGGGTTTCACCATATTGGCCAGGCTGGTGGTGAACTCTTGACCTCAGGTGATCCGCTAGCCTCGGTCTCCCAAAGTGCTGGGATTACAAGCGTGAGCCAGTGAGCCATTGCGCTTGGTTGTATTTTTTAATATGATCAAAGATGTACAGATATAGGGAAAGAGAAGGAGAGAGAACATTGATTCTTTTACAGCAGTGGTTTTCAACTCCAGCTATACTTTACAATTATAGGGGCCTGTGTTCTACTCTCTGCCTATTGAATAAACAAAACAAAAACAAGTAAGGCAAAAAAACTCTGAGTGTAGGGCCAAGGAATCTAAGTTTTAAAAGGCTTCACTGGTGATTCTATAGAGCAGTGGGTTCCCAAACTTTGCTGCATATAAGAATCACCCAGGGGAGCCTTAAAAACACTGAGACCAAGGTCACACCACAGACCAATTGAATAGGTTGTGGGTGGGTGGGAGGTAAGTATCCCTAGTTTTTGAAGATCCCTGGGTGATTTCAATGTGCAGCAAGTTTGGGACCCACTGCTGTAGAGATCAGATTTTAAAAAGTCTGCCCTTATCCTTCTTGATTGAAAAGCTCAGGGCAGAGAGGATTTTAGAGTTTGAAGGAATTTGGAACATAGCTCTTTTTATATGGCTTTGAAATCCACAAAGGAAGTGAAATCATTCTTTTATGCTGAAAGGTACAAGTGTAAATGTATTTGATCTCTGAAAACTGAATGTATTCTGAAGAATGTACCCTACCTCTTGGAAACATAACCTGAAATAAGAAATATTTAATTTTAGTCACACTGGTATGTTTTCACAACCTATAAATATCAATTGAGTTTTTGATAATCTGATGTTTTTGAACAATCACCCAACCAAGATGAGCTGTATGTCTAACACATAAGCCCTTCACATGGCAGGTTCTCAATAGCTGCTTATCAAACGAATACAAGGCTCACAGGGTTAGAGGCTTAGAAAGAAGAATGTGAAATGTATGTATTCCAGCTTAGTGTTCATTTGTAATCTAGGTACAACACAACAGTTTTCTGTTCTCCCAATATGAATTGTAAGATCAACTTATAGTATTTCCACATTACAAGTTATATTTCAGGGGGAAAGTCTTCATTTATAAAAACTTTCAAGTTAAAGATGAATTTTCAAATGTTACTAGGAGAAACTATCCGCGTATCTAGCAGACATTTATAAAAAAATCCTTCAAGAGTTTAAGGTAGTGCTGTCCAGTAGAACTTTCCATGATGATGGAAATGTTTTATATGCACATTGTCCACAGGGTAACCAGTAGTTACATGTGGTTATTAAATCTTGTCCTTCTAACAGGTTGATGAAAGAAAATGAAGTGAAACAAAACCCTTGTCATATGTGTGACATATGTGTGACTGAATAACTAAATTTTTTTATTTTTAGATGGAGTCTTGCTCTGTTGCCCAGGCTGGAGTTCAGTGGAGCGATCTCGGCTCACTACAACCTCCGCCTCCTGGGTTCAAGTGATTCTCCCACCTCAGCCTCCCGAGTAGCTGGGATTATAAGCACTCACTGTCATGCCTGGCTAATTTTTGTATTTTGGTAGAGATGGGGGTTTCACTAAGTTGACCAGGCTGGTCTTGAACTCGTGACCTCAGGTGATCCACTCACTTTGGCCTCCCAAAGTGCTGGGATTACAGGCGTGAGCCACCACGCCTGGCCAGAACTAATTTTTTTTTTTTTCTTGAGACGGAGTCTCGCTCTGTCGCCAGGCTGGAGTGCAGTGTCGTGATCTCGGCTCACTGCAACCTCCACCTCCCAGGTTCAAGTGATTCTCTTGCCTCAGCTTCCTGAGTAGCTGGGACTACAGGCGCGTGCCACTATGCCTGGCTAATTTTTGTATTTTTAGTAGAGATGGGATTTCACCATGTTGGCCAGGATGGTCTCTATCTGTTGACCTCGTGATCTGCGTGCCTCAGCCTCCCAAAGTACTGGGATTACAGGTGTGAGCGACCGTGCCTGGCCAAAACTAAATTTTTAATTAAATTAGTTAAATTAAAAATATAACAGCCACGTGGAGCTAGTGGCTACCATACTGGACAACACAAGGTTGGGCTTAAGAAGGTACAAAACAGCTTTTTTTGATGTTCTGGATCTAGAAATTATTCTCTTGCTATTGTTTCTAACACACTACTATCTTGCCAATCAAGCAATGTAAACACATACTCTCGATGGCTTCATCATATCTAATTGTTGGCAAAAAATTAAAAATTATGAAAGCATTTTTTTTTTTTTTTGAGAAGGAATCTCACTCTGTTGCCCAGGCTGGAGTGCAGTGGCACGATCTCAACTCACTGCAGCCTCTGCCTCCCAGGTTCGAGCAATTCTCCTGACTCAGCCTCCTGAGAAGCTGGGATTATAGGCACCTGCTACCACACCCGGCTAATTTTTGTATTTTTAGTAGAGACAGGGTTTCACCACGTTGGCCAGGCTTGTCTAGAACTCCTAACCTCAGGCGATCCACCTGCCTCAAAAGTGCTGGGATTACAGGCGTGAGCCACTGTGCCTGCCACTTTTTTTTTTTTTTTTGAGACAGGGTTTCGCTCTGTCGCACAGGCTGGAGTGCAGAGGCGCGATCACGGCTACTGCAACCTCAACCTCCTGGGCTCTAGTGATCCTCTCACCTCAGCCTCCTGAGTAGCTGAGACTACAGGCATGTGCCACCACACCGGGTAATTTTTAAATTTTTTGTAGAAATGGGGTCTCCCTATGTTGCCCAGGCAGGTCTCTAACCCCTGGGTTCAAGTGATCCTTCCACCTAGGCCTCCCAAAGTGATCGGATTACAGGCATAAGTCACTGCACCTGGTCCTGAAAGTTCCTATTAGAGGGCTACATTATTCTAAAATACCACTGCTGATAAAAGAAAATACATATGCGTGGCTGGGCGTGGTGGCTCACACCTGTAATCCCAGCACTTTGGAGGCCAAGGCAGGCGGATCACTTGAGGCCAGGAGTTCGAGACCAACTTGGCCAACACAGTGAAACCCTGGCTCTACTAAAAATATAAACAATTAGCCGGGAATGGTGATGCGTGCATGTAATCCCAGCTACTCGGGAGGCTGAGGCATGAGAATCGCTTGAACCCGGGAAGCAGAGGTTGCAATGAGCTGAGATAGTGCCACTGCTCTCCAGCTTGGGGAACAGAGGGAGACTCTGTCCTCCCCACCCCCACCCCCCAAAAAGGAAAATACATACAGGCAAAAAAATTTAAAATTGCTCAGATCATTTGCTCAGCCAACATTTTGAAAGCAAATATACTTTGGAGATTTAAATGATAATGGAATTTGTGAAGGAAAAATCAATGAGATCCTGAATCTTGTATTCAGAATGTATCATCGAATTTCTAATAATAGCTCAATCAACTTTTTTTCCATATAAGTTGAAACAGAAAAGGACAAACTATAAAAATTATTTGTCATGAAATGTGTGAAATATAGAGGGTAAGATCACTCGACAAATACTTGAATATATTCTAATATGCCATTTAAAAAAAATTTTTCTTGTCAAATGCAAGTAACAGCAAATTGATTTAGCAAAGTTACATGTAAAAAATGCTCTTAATTTCTGTCTTAATTTGACAACTAAATATTCAAACCAAGGTCCCCATTTGATTTGCTTCGCAATGCTGCAAAATTGTATACTCTTCCTAAAAGGCATAAAGGAGAAGTAAAACAGTTACAAAACATGCTATCTTCAGGCTGGGCATGGTGGCTCATGCCTGTAATCCCAGCACTTTGGAGGCTGAGGCAGGCAGATCACTTGAGTTCACAAGTTCAAGACCAGCCTGGGCAACATGGCAAAACCCTGTCTCTACAAAAAATACAAAAATTAGCCAGGCTTTGTGGTACACACCTGTCGTCCCAACTACTTGGTAGGCTGAGGTGGGAGGATGGCTTGAACCCGGGAGGCAGAGGGAGGCTGCAGTGAGCCAAGATCATGCTACTGCACTCCAGCCTAGGCAACAGAACCAGACTTTGTGTCAAAAAACAAAACAACACACAAACAAAAACAAAAAACAAACCCAGAACCAACCAAACAAGAAAACCCCATGATATCCTTGGAATTAAGAAAAGAAGAAGAAGCCGGGTGTGGTGGCTCACGCTTGTAATCCCAGCACTTTGGGAGGCCGAAGCTGGTAGATCACCTGAGGTTGGGAGTTTGAGACCAGCCTGACCAACATGCAGAAACCCTGTCTCCACTAAAAATACAAAAAAATTAGCTGGGCGTGGTGGTGCATGCCTGTAATCCCAGCTACTTGGGAGGCTGAGGCAGGAGAATCACTAGAACCCAGGAGGCGGAGGTTGCAGTGAGCCAGGATCGCACCATTGCACTCCAGCCTGGGCAACAAGAGAACAAGAGCGAAACTCCGTCTCAAAAAAACAAGAAGAAAGAAAAGAAGAAGAACAAAAATAGCAGATATATAGGAAAGAACACTTCAATGGGTGAAGTGGTAATGTCTTTCCATAATTCATTAAAAGGAGATCTTCAACATAGAGGAGTAGCTGATGATCTTAAAGCACTCGCTAGTCATGAGATGGTCCTTCTGAATTTAACTGCAGCGTGCAATGAAGATTTTTATTTCTCTATTTTTTTTTTTTTTGAGATAGAGTCTTGCTCTGTCGCCCAGGCTGGAGTGCAGTGGTATGATCTTGGCTCACTGTAACCTCCGCCTCCCAGGTTCAAGTGATTCTTCTGCCTCAGCCTCTCGAGTAGCTGGGACTACAGGCACACGCTACGACGCCTGGCTAATTTTTGTATTTTTACTAGAGATGGAGCTTTGCCATATTGGCCAGGCTGGTCTCAAACTCCTGACCTCATGATCCGCCTGCCTTGGCCTCCCAAAGTGCTGGGATTACAGGTGTGAGCCACCGTACCCAGCCTATTTCTCTTCTTGTAGAAATTTCTGAATCAGAATTAGAACTATATATGCTATCATAATTGTAAAATCCACTTATTGTAAGAATGAAATCACATTTCTACCTATAAGTACTGACTTTTTCTTGGTTGGATAACTGAGAAAACATTTGAACTGCAACTCTTGCTTGTCCAGCTCAGATCTCCTTCGACATGACTGCCAGCATAAGCTATCTACAATGCAAATCTGATTCTGTCACTTCGAGCTTACAAATACTTCATGGCATCCCAGTGCCTAAAGGATAAAGGCTAAGCTCCTTAGGGAGGCACAGAGGACCCTCTGTGACCTGACTTCCAGCTGTTCCTCCTCCTGCTGTTTTTTGCCTTTACCTTATGCACGAGAGCAACACCCAACAGCCACATTTCCTAGAAGGTGTCACTCTCTCTCTAGAAGATATCACTCTTTCTCTCAGGAAAGTGAGAAAGAAAAAAAGCAGTCAGGCCGGGTGTGGTGGCTCCCACCTGTAATACAAGCACTTCGGGAGATGAAGGCGGGCGGATCACCTGAGGTTGGGAGTTCGAGACCAGCCTGACCAACGTGGAGAAACCCCGTTTCTACTAAAAATACAAAATTAGCTGGGTGTGGTGGTGCACACCTGTTATCCCGGCTACTCGGGAGGCTGAGGCAGGAGAGTCACTTGAAACTGGGAGGCGGATGTTGCAGTGAGCTGAGATCGTGCCATTGTACTTCAGCCTGGGCAAAAAGAGCAAAACTCTGTCTCAAAAGAAAAAAAAAAAAAAAGAAAAAAAGCAGTCCTGGGCTGCGGTAAGCTAAACTGTCCTGGTTCTAACATCTAGGCCTGGGGTTGTCCTGTTGAACCGAAACCAGGCCACTCTATGAGCATGCTGGAGCAAGACAAAAATAAGACCACTTTACAGTGAGCTGAGATCACCCCACTGCATGACAGTCCGGGAGACAGAGCGAGACCCTGTCTCTAAAAAGAAGAAGAAAAAGAAAAAAAACCACTCCACAGTCATGTCTGAGCACAGACAAAAACACAAATGCCATAAACTACAAAAAATGCGAAACATCTTCCTCTCCCAGCTAATATGAGTGACTGCTGTGCCCTTACTAATCACAGCTTTACCCCACCTTCTAGATAAAAATTCATCATAGAATTATCAAATCCAGAGCAAAATATTGATTCTTTAAACCCTTCCCAAAGTCACCTACTGCAAGTCTAAACTGCAACAAGTTCCTCTCAACTCTGCACTAAGATGCCCCATGGTTCTTCATGGTGTGCTTTCTTCCTCACTGCAACGAACCAAGAAACCCAACTTGTTCAACTACAAGTGTGTTCCTTTGGCCAAAAGGCACTGACACAAGGAAGCTTTTCCTGTCTGCCCCAGGCTGGCTGAGGACTGCCACCTTCTCTGTTCCAAAGATGTCCTGTACCTTACAGCACTGCATTATGCAGGCTATATTGTATTGAAATTCTGTCCATCCATGTCTGTCTCCCTCTGGAGACCTTGGGCCCCACAGGAACCATGTTTTATTTTTTTCCTCTTATTCATTTTTAAGTCCTCAGCTGACAAAGAACCTAGGTCATAGTAAAGTTTCAAAAAAAAATGTTTAAAGAATGAATGAGTAGATGCTGCACATTTCTTGGGTCCAAGATTTAAAGATGCAGCTTCACGTAACACATCATTTTACAACACTGTCAACTATAACGTCATGTGCTTTAAGAATGCAGTCTGGTTGTACAAGGTGACTCATGCCTGTAATCCCAGCATTTTGGGAGTCTTAGGCAGGAAGACTCCTTAAGCCCAGCAGTTTGAGACCAGCTTGATCATCATAGCGAGACTCCGTCTCTACAAAAAATAATTAGCTAGGCATGGTGGTGTGCACCTGTAGTCCCAGCTACTCGAGAGGCTGAGGTGGGAAGACTGCTTGAACCTGTAGGGTTGAGGCTGCACTGAGCTGTGATGGTGCCACTGTACTCCAGCCTGGGCACTGAGCTAGACTCAAAAAAAAAAAAAAAAAAAAAAAGGAATGCAATCTGGGCTTCTCCTCCTAACTCTCTTGCCTCTGAATATTCCTTTTTCCGAAGTGTGTCGAGAAACAACCTAAGTTTGGAGAGATTAAGACACATATCGATGTAGAGAAAGCTTTTTTTTTTTTTTTTTTTTTTTTTTAAGACAGGGTCTTGCTCTGTTGCCCAAGCTGGAGTGCAGTGGCACAAACACAGCTTACTATACCGTTGACTTCCCAGGCTCACTCAATCCTCCTGCTGCAGCCAGCCGAGTAGCTGGGACTACAAGTGCATAACCTCATGCTTGGCTAATTTTTAAATTTTTTGTAGAGATGAGGTCTCGTCATGTTGCCCAGGCTGGTCTCAATTCCTGGGCCCAAGCAATCCTTCCATCTTGGCCTCCCTAAGTGTTGGGATTACAGATGCGAGCCACCACCCCTGGCCAAGGGAAAGCTTTTTAAAAAATTTAAACAAACTCAAAAGTTTTATCAGTTCTGGAAGATCATGATAAAAATGAAATATTGGAGAAAGCAAGCTGTTACCCATCAATGTTGAGAAAATGACAAAACATATCAAGTTTTACATGGCAACATCTGTTTATAATGTGTTAAATTTTTTTTACCTGTTCCTTAAGGGGAAAAAAGTGGGTAACTCAATTAACATCAGGTAGGACTCTAAACTTTCAAAGTAACTTAACTTATTTATTTGAGACATGGTCTTGCTCTGTTGCCCAGGTTGGAGTGCAATGGCTGATCATAGTTCACTGCAACCTTGACCTGCTGGACTTAAGCAGTCCCCTTGCCTCAGCCTCCTGAGGAGCTGGAACTGCACTTGTGTGCCACCATACCCAGCTAAAACTTTCTTTTTTACTTGTATTAATTTTTTTTTTTTTTTTTTTTGCTGGGAAGACTCAGACCCAAGTAACCTTGGATATGAGCTCTCCACCTGGTTAAAACTTTATTACAGTGCTGATTTCTTCTGTTTCTAAGTTTTTGCCAATCTTTGGCAAAGATCAAGACAGGTCATAATTCTTAAAGTTCAGCTGCTTGTAGAGACATTTATAGCAAAATAAAAAACTTAAAAAGAAATGTTAAAGAGTACATTTTTCCTTCTTTTTAGAGATGGGGTCTCGCTATGTTGTCCAGGCTGGTCTTGAACTCCAGGGCTCAAGAAAACTGCCTGCCTTAGCCTCCCAAAGTGCTGGGATTACAGGCGTAAATCACCATGCCCAGCCAAGACTAAGTTTTTAATTTTACTGCCTGGTTATATTGTATATAAATATTTAAAATATCAATCTTGGGCTAGGCACAGTGGTTCATGCCTGTAATCCCAGCACTTTGGGAGGCCAAGGTGGGAGGATCGCTTGAGGCCAGGAGTTCGAGACCAGCCTGGCCAATAAGGTGAAATCCCGTCTCTACTAAAAATACAAAAAATTAGCTGGGAGTGGTGGCATGCACCTGTAATCCCAGCAACTCAGGAGGCTGAGGCAGGAGAATTGCTTGAACCAGGGAGATAGAGGTTGCAGTGAGCTGAGATTGTGCCACTACACTCCAGCCTGGGTGAGAGAGCGAAACTCCGTCTAAAAAAAAAAATAAATAAAATAAAATAAAATATCAATCATGACAATTTAATAGGAAAAGTCTTAAATATTTTATGTTCTTAAACTAATAAAGTGACTTTGAAGCCAACAAGAATGCTGAAAACAAACTGTGTATATTTTAATCTTTCCTAATGTTTTTATGTTCTTCTTTTATTCTACTCAAAAGGCAAACATTTTGTTTCCATGGTTTGAGAATTTAGTATATTGAATTATTATAGATTTTTATTTGTGATTTGCCTTTGTGCTCGATTAAGTGATTGAAATCTGGTTTTAATAAGATATAAACTTTTTTCTAAAGACCTACTCTAGAAGAGCAAACAGATGTATATCATATTATAATATTATATCATAATAAATGTGCTGTTCTCTTTCTTTAATGACACTCATTTAAAATATAGATACAGGTCCAATATCCCTTGTCTGAAATGCTTGGAACCAGAAGTGTTTTGGATTCTGGATTTTAGAATATTTGTATCACGTACCTTCCCAATTAAGCATCCTAAATCTTGTTTTTCTTTTCGAGATGGAGTCTTGCTCTGTCACCCAGGCTGGAGTGCAGTGGCACGATCTCAGCTCACTGCAACCTCTGCCTCCTGGGTTCAAGGAATTCTCCTGTCTCAGCCTCCCGAGTAGCTGGGACTACAGGTGTGTGCCACCATGCCCAGCTAATTTTTGTATTTTTAGCAGAGATGGGGTTTTGTCATGTTGGCCGGGCTGATCTCGAACTCCTGACCTCAGGCGATCCGCCTGCCTCAGCCTCCCAAAGTGCTGGGATTACAGGAGTGAGCCATCAGGCTGGCCAAGCATCCTAAATCTTAAAATCCAAAAATCTGAACTCTGAAATGCTCCAATGAGCATTTCCTTTGAGCATCATGTGGGTTCTCAAAAACTTTTGGATTTCAGAGTATTTTGGATTTAGAATTTTCAGATTTGGGATGTACAACTGTATAAACACACTAGTTGGTTTTCTAACAACTAATGGTCAGAATGAGAATCCTTTCATGAATAACACATTTTATTTTCTACTAATCAAGTGGAAAAAACAAACTTAAGACTCATTTGATAATCACTACACTAAAAGGTTTTAAAATGACTTAAAAATATTTTTTATAGTTTATAAAACTATACTTTCTATAAAAAATGAAAGAACTGAAATTCTTCAGACAATACTTTGTTCATATTTATGTATTTAAAATTTTTTTTTAAATATTTTAAATGTTTTGTAGAGAAAGGGTCTCACTATGTTGACTAGGCTAGTCTCCTGACCTCAAATGATCCTCCCACCTAGACCTCCCCAAAGGACTGGGATTACAAGTGTGAGCCACTGCACCCAGCCAGACAATACTTTGGATGTTCATTTCATTTGCCTATTCTACTTTGTCTAGAGCATGCACAATAGGAATATATATTTTTAAAAACTGATATCTTAATTCTGAAGAAAAAAAGTTTCTGACATTATTTTTAAAATGTGTCAAAGTCCATACCTGATTTCTTAATGATGAAAGAATGTATTCCTTTTCATAATGGGAAATTCTCTTGTGTTTTTGTGGTGTGTCACTAACTAACCAGATCCACAAAAGAAACCAAAATATTCCAATAGTACCTTAAAATAGAAAAATAATAGTTAGATAAAATTAGAATGTACCAAATAACAAACAAAACAAAACAAAAACACAAAATTAGAAAGCACCAACAACAATTTTTACATGTCTTGAAAAAATTATGTAACTATAAATTCAATGTAAAACTGACTTCAGTTTGGATTCAATTTCAAGTTTCTCTCAATTCTTTAATGGGATAATTGCTATAACTGTATTATTGCTTATACATTTTGAAGAAAACAACTTTTTTTTTTTTTTTTGAGATAGAGTCTTGCTCTGTCTCACAGGCTGGAGTGCAGTGACGTGATCTCGGCTCACTGCAACCTCCGCCTGCTGGGTTCAAGCAACTCTACTGTCTCAGCCTCCTGAGTAGCTGGGACTACAGGCACGTGCCACCACGCCTGGCTAATTTTTGTATTTTGAGTAGAGATGGGGTTCCACCATGTTGGCCAGGCTGGTCTTGAACTCCTGACCTCGTGATCCACCCGCCTCGGCCTCCCAAAGTGCTGGGATTACAGGTGTGAGCCACTGCACCCAGCCAGAAGAAAACAACTTTTAACCACATGACTTTGCCTATCAGGGTCTACCAGACAAATCTTTTTGAAGATACATTTCCACAATCTACATATTTCCAAAGGTGTCTGTTTTTGTTAGTTGAGTTTTAAATTTTGATTGCAGATATATTTCTTGCATGACATGTCTATGTGAAAATCTAATTTATTAAAAATGTGTATCATGCTGCCAAGGAAATTGAGCAATAAAATGCCTTGGGACTAAGTAAAAAGAAAAAAAAAAAAAAAACATTAAAACTACCAAGTGAGAACATCCTACTTTGCTTGAGAAGAAATTCAAAATACCTAAGATAGTGATTTTTTGATAGCAAATGTACTATTTAAGTACAGGATCAACAGTCATTTCTACTGAGAAATATTCCAAAACTAACATCAGCTCGTAACTCAAATAGGTCAAGTAAATCATACCAACTTGAAAAACAGGTTATCAGGAAGTGTTTCAGAACTGTGGTTCAGTGATTTGGAAGATATATTTTTAAAACATTATTAGGCTACTATTATTACATTTTGAATTTGTTACATTATAATTTAGTTAAAATTTTAAACTTACCAAAAAAGTAGAAGACATAAGTCCAATTCATATAGTAGCAAATTATTCCAGAAAGAGGAAGAGAAATTACTGTCCCAAGCTGTGCTCCTAGAACAACACATAAGACTATTTTATAAACTTTGGAGAGAGAAACAAGGATAGGACAGACAAGTCTACTGCTTACAGAGGATGGGTAACAGGCTGGGCACAGTGGCTCATTCCTGTAATCCCTGCACTTTGGGAGGCTGATGTGGGTGGATCACCTGAGCCTAGGAGTTTGAGACCAGCCTGGGCAATATGGCAAACTCCTATCTGTACTAAAAATACAAAAATTATCTGGGTATGGTGGTGATGCACGCCTGTAGTACCAGCTACTTAGCTACTTGGGAGGTTGAGGTGGGACGATCGCTTCAGCTGTTGAGGCTGCAGTGAGGGGCGATTGTGCCACTGCCTTCCAGCCTGGAGTGAGACCCTGGCTCAAAAAAAAAAAAAAGGCTAAAATGTGGTCCCATAGAAACAAGATTAGAAAAAAGATATAGAGGTAGTATAACAGGACAAGCAAAGGAATGGAAGTAGTAAAGCAGAGAGTAGGCTTGGGAACTTCATTTGGGTAAAGGAAAGGAAAAGCAGATAAAGCTGGAAAAATAGGTTGGACAGTTGAACAGTTACTGAGTACCTACTCCATGCTAGGCACTATCTGCCAGAGATATAAGGCTAGCTGCAACAAAGTAGTGAAGACTGTAAAGAATCTTGCCCCTAGTTCAAGGAGTTTGGGATTTATTCAATAGGTAAAAGGGAACCTTAGATAGTACCTGTTCTTGAACCTATCATCAGATTTCTCATGTCAATCTCAACATAGCTGCAAGAATAATCTTCTTAAAATGTAATTGAATCATGCCTCTTAAAAAACAATCTACATTTTTTCCTGTAGCCTGTAAGACCTGATATAACCCGGCTCTTATCTCTTTCTCTAACCTCATCTTATGCCATCATCCTCCTTACTCACTGAGTTCTAGCCATCCAAGGTAGTTTTCCACTTCTTTTAACCCTTATGTTATTTCTTGCCTGAGTGCCCTCGTACATGCTGTTCTGATTGGCTGAAATGCTCTTCTCCCTGCATGAATGGTTTGTTCTTATCCTTCAGATTTTAGCTTAAAAGTACCACAGAGAGGCCTTTTCTCAACTACTGTATTTAAAAAGCAGTCCGGTGGAAAAATTTTAATTTAGTCAATGAAAGAAAGGCTAGAATTTCTTATGCAATCTGATAAAATTATAATTCACATATATAAAACTCATGTTATCTCACCTGTAGATCAAAATGATGGCAAATAAAGATGCAATAGAAAAAAGATGCATGAAGAGAGGGGTTGAGAATCATGATACATTCATTAGTTAATCAAAACAGAAATCACAATTTAAGGACAAAAACACTCAATTTTCTAGCTACTGGCCTTTTTTTTTCTTTTTTTTAAATAGCATCTCTAAACAAACAAAAATAAAATTTAAAACCCCCAAAAAAGTAAACAGAAAAAGAAAAAAAATAGCATCTCTATACCAATATCTGAAAACACAACATACTTTGAAATAGATGATGGCAGATGGGGAAAATGACATTAGTCAATTAAGCTGCATTACTATAAGTTGTTGAGCCAAAGAGAAAAATTGGTAATAAAGTTATACTACCGAAACTTAATGTTCTCCCCAAAGGGGCATCCAATCCAACATTGCATCGTTCTGGTATGCAGGCCCTTTTTCCCAAAGGTTGATATATACATAACATATTACAGCAAAATTTGGTAATTGTTATCTCACCTGCATATGAAATGCTAAGAAGTTTGCTTCTTTCAAGAGGGGGAGCCCAAGAAGACCACATGGCATGCATGGCTGGAAATGTAACACCCTGAGAGAAGGGAACATGATATTTCTGATGAAATGTAAGGTAGTTTTGTTAATGCTTTAAAGTAAGTTAAGTATTTTGCTACAAAAGCATTTTCTGGATAAGAATCAAACGAATCAGGTTCCATGAAATGAGAAATTTTTACAGTGTTAAGTGAAAATATCTTATAATGAAGTACTTTCAGAATTTGAGGCTGGGTGTGGTGGCTCATGCCTGTAATCCCAGCACTTTGGGAGGCCAAGGCAGGAGGATTGCTTGAGCCCAGGAGTTCGAGATCAGCCTGGGTAACGTAGTGAGACACCATCTCTTAAAAAAAAAAAGTAAAACTCCCCAAAGATTCATGGATTTTGGAACTGGTTTTAAGACAACAAGATAAGGGTTACAATAAATCTAAAATAATTGTACTGAGTGAGGACATAAAGGGATCTTGCTCAAGGTTAATTTTACTCATTCACTTTATTAATCACCTGAATGAAAGGGAATATTACTAACTTATAACTTTAAAAAATACTGAGCTAATATTTTGGGATACTGAAAAAAAATTCAAGCTGACAATCAACCAGAAAAACAGTCCTATTAAAAAAAGGATGAATTCAATTAGCATGTTTACAGCCTTTCTTCTTTTTTTTCCTGTGATAACAAGCCTAGTAGATGCCAATTACTGACACGGAGAGCTAACAGGATGTGGAAACAGGGAGTTTCATAGAGACTGGGTAAATGAGGAGATACCACAGGACAGTGAGAGAGAACGGCTCTCCTTGGACACTCTCTGTGTCACTTCAGAAAGATTAGTTAACCTCCCTGAACTTCAAGGCGGTTGCATAATTGTTGTAAAGATAAATGGTAACTAGTGCTATTATTAGTGGAGAGAAGAATAAATGTTTTAATACTTTGTACTTTCCGCTGACTCTTTCAAAAACAAAAACAAAAGGAATTAAAAAAAAGTAATACCAATGGAAGGCAAAGATGATTTAGGTACATTGCAAATCAATAAGAATCTATATGATGGAGCATCCACAGGATGAGTCATTATAGAAGAAAACTTGAGATGTTTGGAAATGCCCACAGAGATTATGTTGTAGAAAACTTTATTATAAAACCTAGGGACAATGTAGGTATATTTATGGTGAATCAGATGGTAGGAATGCAAGATAGTAATCTAAGTGTCCTTTATGAATGAGGAAATGCACCTGTGATACATATTGAAGGGATGAAGAAGGACGAGAGAACCTGAGTATAAATACAACTTAAATTCTATTTAGTTGTTGGCTGGACACGGTGGCTCATGCCTGTAATCCCAGCACTTTGGGAGGCGGAGGCAGGTGGATCACTTGATGCCAGAAGTTCGAGACCAGCCTGGCCAACATGGTGAAACCCCGCCTCTACTAAATATACAAAAATTAGCCAGGCATGGTGGCGCATGCCTGTAATCCCACCTACTTGGGAGGCTGAGGAAGGAGAATTGCTTGAACTCAGGAAGCGGAGGTTGCAGTGAGCCGAGATCATGCCACTGCACTCCAGCCTGGGCAACAGAGTGAGACTCCGTCTCAAAGACTAGAAAAAAATAAATAAATGAATAAATAAAATGTCACCTGAGATAACAGTGGTAATATGATCAATATGCCGTAATGTTAAATTAGTGGCATAAACTGGAAGTAAAATATGGGAATACATTCAGCAAGGAGATTGAATACTAGGATCAGAGAAAATATGCTAGATTTAAGTATATTTTACTTTGTCAAGAAGAACAGGAACCTGGTAATAGAGGAGTAATTTTAATTTTGTGATCAGGAAGGGTTTACTTAATGGACCTCTACTGATAAGAACAAAATAAAAACATTCAGATGAATGAAAAATCTTTTAATAGTACCTGGCAATTTCCAAAGTATTCTAGCAATCCTTATCACATATGAATTTTATATCTAATCTGTGACTGAAAACAGGGAAGGTATTTTAGTCCCAGTTTAAAAAATGATGGGACTGAGATCTAGAGATTAGAGCTTACCTAAGGTTTCACTGTTAGATACAATAGAGCTATTATTCAAACTCTGGTCCAGTGTTCATTCCAACAGCATGATACACTGCTACTTAAAATAATCTTCATCCTCTACACCAAGCCCAGTGGCCATTATCTTGCTTGAATTAAAGAAATGCAAGAGAGCAAAATACACCATTCCCTGGATTTCAGAGGTAGAAGTTCGAAGTTATAAAGGAAAAGTGAAAATTATTAAGTATGGGGGTACACATGATGAAATACAAAAGAAAAGTGGGAAGGAAAAGAAAGACAAGAATCAAAATTTTAAAAAATGATAAAACTATTAAGAGGAGGGAAATAAAAGAGGCAAAAATCAATAATACTTCTAAAAAGAGCAGAATCATAGAACTAAATTGAGATAGTTATATAAAATCATAAAATATTTGTCTCTAAGTTACAAGACCAGAAAAAATAAAAGAATAAGCGATAAAAAAGAAATTAAATGCAACTCAACAGTCTATTGTGTAAAATGTGCTTCAGACTTGGGCATCAATGATAGAGCAGAGTTTAACGGTGGCAAGAGCACAAGAGGTAAGGATGGTCAATCTTAACCATTTTTTTTTCTTTTGAGATGGAGACTTGCTGTCGTCCAGGCTGGAGTGCAGTGGCGCGATCTTGGCTCACTGCAACCTCTGCCTCCCGGGTTCAAGCAGTTCTCCCACTTCATCCTCCCGAGTAGCTGCAATTACAGGTGTGCACCACCATGCCCGGCTAATTTTTGTATTTTTAGTAGAGATGGGGTTTCACCTGTTGGCCAGGCTGGTCTCAAACTCCTAACCTCAAGTGATCCACCTACCTTGGCCTCCCAAAATGCTGGGATTACAGGCATGAGCCACCACGCCCGGACTATCTTAACCATTTATTAATGGTTTATTTTCTTCTCTCCTAAAGTATGAGCTATGAAGTCTCTTTTGGAAAAAAGTTTTCTCTGGTTTTTGAGTAAAGGTTCCAATTTCGGGGTGCTCCTACTAGAGACCTCATTTACCACAAACAAAATCTATTCAGGTAATTTTCTAGTTAGTCCTTTCTCTAAAAAATAAACCCCTGTTATCATCCAACGTTATTTTTTGGTTCATATTCATACCAAAGAATGACATCTTTAAGAAGAAGAGAAGGAGACACACGGTAAGAAGTAAAACAAGAGAGAAAAGAAAATTACCTCTCCTAGTCCTTCTAGTGCTCTGAGTACAATGAGTGGTCCAACTCCTAAATCTGCAGCAATGGGAGTGAACAGGGTGAGGACAGCAGTGCCAAGGATCCCAAATCCTAGCAGCATTTTCCCCCCTATTTTGCTGGCAACATATCCTCCAGGAATCTGTGTGATGATGTAGCCATAAAAAAAGGAACCGAGAATCCATCCTTGAGTTTCTGCATCCCATTGGTACTTCTTACCCTACAAAAATCAGAAAAGAATAAAACAATCCTTTAAGACCTTCACAGAGCAGCTCTTTTCTCTTACTGGCATGTAAGTACATATAAATGAGATTTTGAACCACTATTTTGGACTGAAGAACATGCAAACTTTCTAGTAGGTGGGTGAGTCATAACAATATAGATATACAGTATTTAGAAGTGAATGAAAAAGAACTGACAGTCGTAAACTTCAAGAAGGCTTGCAATTTTATAAAACTAGACTGCAGGATGAGCTGCCAGAAGCTTTATAATAACTATGACCAAGAAGGCTCACAAAAGAATCACAAAAAAGGCTTGGGTATCTCTGAGCCTACTATGGCTCGGGAGGCTGCCGCCCCCCCGGCCCTGCCTCCCCCTCCCAAAAAAAGAGTCACAGGCTTAATCCAGAAAGCTATTAAGCAGAAAACTGTAGTGGCTGAGCTAGGCTTTGGGAACCAGGCTTGGTTTTAATCCTAGCTCTATTACTTACCGAATGTGTGATCTGGGAAGAGGAAATGAAATAGGCACATAAAATAAGGCTTGATGTACAGTTAGTGTTCACTTAGTGCTGGCTATTAACATGCATAAATGTAGATATTAATAATATCTCCCCATTTCAGACGAAGCACTTAAACAAGCACATGGAACAATTCCAAAGAGCAAGAATTTAAATCAAGCCACAAACTTCATGTGAATAGAACCTGTGTTTTCATTAGTAACAGCACACAGCAAGGTACTAATGAAGATTTAGTGACTGATCTGAGTATCTGACATTTTTAATGCAGTGTAGCTGTATAACAAAGCCAACATGTCAAGAACCATTCCGGGATTTCTTTCTACTGCTGATATAAGGCAGATGAAGATAAGTAGCAGGGTCAACAAAAGCACTTTGCAAAGAAAAAGACACAAAGCAAACTCTTACTTTTCCTTATTTAGGGTACCAATTTGCAGTTTATCTGTGGAATTCTAGGATTTCATGTACATTCCAGCAGTATTGTCCCTGAAGGTCACAGGTTGGAGTGGAGAAAGTGAGTGATGTGTACCCAAATGTTACTCAGCAACATTATTAAAGTCAAATATAAAGATTTTCGGAGAGATTTATTTTGTTTAGAGAGAAACCCTCTTTCCTGCTTGAATGCTCTGCTTGTGAATGATAGAGGAGATTCATCTAAGTATGAACTAGTATCTTCGTGAGCACTGAAAATGGGTGAAAATTTATTTATTTATTTATTTATTTATTTTTAAATTTTTTTTTTGAGACGGAATCTCGCTGTGGCCCAGGCTGGAGTGCAGTGGCGCGATCTCGGCTCACTGCAGGCTCCACCCCTTGGGGTTCACACCATTCCCCCGCTTCAGCCTCCCGAGTAGCTGGGACCACAGGCGCCCACCACCTCGCCCGTCTAATTTTTTGTATTTTCAGTAGAGATGGGGTTTCACCATGTTAGCCAGGATGGTCTTGATCTCCTGACCTCGTGATCCATGTGCCTCGGCCTCCCAAAGTGCTGGGATTACAGGTGTGAGCCACCGCGCCCGGCCAAAAATTTATTATTTTTTATTTATTTATTTTTTTGAGACGAAGTCTTGCTCTTGTTGCCCAGGCTGGAGTGGAATGGCGTGATCTCGGCTCACTGCAAACTCCACCTCCCAGGTTCAAGCAATTCTCCTGCCTCAGCCTCCTGAGTAGCTGGGATTATAGGTGTGTGCTACCACGCCCAGCTAATTTTTGTATTTTTAGTAAAGACAGGGTTTCACCGTGTTGGCCAGGCTGGTCTCGAACTACTCACCTCAGGTGATCCACCTGCCTCAGCCTCCTAAAGTGCTGGGATTACAGGCATGAGTCACTGCACCCAGCCTGCAAATGTACTTCTAAAAAGAATACTAGCTTTTCTTTCTGTACTATCTCCTCGTGTGATAAGCAACATAAAATGAAGTATATATAACTTAATTATAAACAAATGATGAATACACATTTATTAATACCACTATAACATAAGGCAGGCAAAATGACTTATGTGGCTTAGGTTGGGCATGTGTACATTCAGAAAAGAATGTCCTAAGAAACTGGCCAGTTCTTGTTTTTCATCTTGCAACTGAGATTACCTAAACTCTCTTGCAGCTGTAACTCTATAAGTGATATAGGGTTATAAATAATACTCCTATAAAAGCTATTTAGAAAATTTAAAACAGTTTAATTTTCTGTTATATAAAACAGGTTTTTCCAAATTTTCTTTAAGCATGGTATGTTTATAGAGGGAATGGAAGAACTACTTTTCAAACAGATGAAGGTGTATTACGGCATAGCAGTAGTAGCTATAGTTACAAGTTATTGCCCAATCAGTTCCTGGGAAAACACAAAAAGAAAGTGATTCAGAGTATACACAAACAAAGTATAGTTTCTGTAGGATGAAAAAAGACCTTTTAATATTTTTACTTGCAAGTATTTTAGGATAATTAAAATTGTTTCCTTAAAAAATAGCACCTACCGTTTGATTATGATGAACTTTTATGGGAGCAGAATGCTCTGGACACGCCTTGGAAGTTCTATTATCTTCTAAAGTTGTATTTGAATCTACCATATCCACTAACGCAACACTCAGATTCACACGTAATGCATACACAATGAAGAAACCAAAAAAGGCCAAAATTGCTAAGTTGTAACGAGCAGAGCAGCACACTGGAGCTGAAATAAAGATTGGGGAAAATTTTTATTTATTTTTAAATTTTTATTTTTAGAGACAGGGTTTTGCCATGTTGCTTAGGCTGGTCTTGAACTCCTGGGCTCAAGCCATCCACCCACCTCAGCCTCCCAAAGTGCTGTGATTATAGGCATTGGCCACCATACCCGGCTGCTTTAATTAAAAAAGTTAATTACATGATATTGTCTAAATAATGAAAAAGGTTGCTTTTTAAAAGTACAAAAATAATTATGAAAAAATGTTAAAGAATATTCTTAGATTAAGCAAATCTAAGAAACATTTGTCAAAGATTAGCTGTTTCTCATATCTGTAGTTTTGGTAAAAATTTCACACATGAGAGCCTGAACTATAAAAAAGTTCATTAAAACATGGAGGTAGTAGTTTTATCACCTTTGCTGAGAAAAAGATCTATTCCAGATTCAAACTGAACCCCTACTCCTTGTCAGCTGGCAAAGATATACGGCATGAGAAAAGCAGGTAAGGAGGTTTAATGGCATTACTATTTCTGAAAAACTATCTGAAACATGGTCAATAAGTACTTGAGTACTTACAATGACATGATATATTACTGATTATGAGTTAGTAGCCATCTCATTGTTAAATGTAGCATAGCAAAAAAAATTTACTGCCAAGGGTAGGGCATGAAATTTCTCTTGATAAATTTCTTACCTCGAAGAGTATCCTCAAAGGCTGGGTTTGAATCAGAAGCCATGATTAATACTTAAAGCCATCGTAAACTAAATGCATTTAAGAATCTAGAAGCAAACTTGCAGAACCTATGACAGTTGCAGCATCTGTGACAGTTGCTCAGTAGTTATCAAGCGTAAAGGGCTCACAGTAAAAAGGGAAATCAGTGAATGTACCACCATGATTAAAAAAAAAGGATGCCGGGCACAGTGGCTCACGCCTGTAATCCCAGCACTTTGGGAAGCCGAGGCGGGCGGATCACCTGAGGTCAGGAGATCGAGACCATCCTGGCTAACTCGGTGAAACCCCGTCTCTACTAAAAATACAAAAAATTAGCCGGGCGTGGTCGCGGGCGCCTGTAGTCCCAGCTACTCGGGAGGCTGAGGCAGGAGAATGGCGTGAACCCGGGAGGCGGAGCTTGCAGCGAGAGGAGATCGCGCCACTGCACTCCAGCCTGGGCGACAGAGACAGAGACTCCGTCTCAAAAAAAAAAAAAAAAAAAAAAAGAATGCAGAGTAGGTTGGAGGAACCAATAAAAGGATCATGTGAGAGGAGGAGTTTGACCTATTTATTACTCTAACTGTGGGCTTATGCATAGTTTCTCTTTTTTCTTCTTTTATTGAGTTGCAGAATTGGAGAGGGATAGGATTCAGGATGCTGACTAAGGATAATCAACCTCTTAGTAACAAAGAGAAATTAGCTAATCCAGAGTCTGAACATCTTTAAGTTTAGTAAACTCTGAGTGGCTGATAAATACCTCTTTAAAGATATAAACATGTATTTCATTAAGCAATGACATATTAAAATTAAATGAAAATATGTGTGCTTTTATTTGGTAATGACACATCAACATCATATAAATGTGTGTATGTTTTTCCCCTACTTAAGAATCCTGGTGTTTTCATTAACCTAGCATCAAAGGAGAGAATATATTTTACAGAATACAAAAGTCTTGATACTGGCTCAGATGAACTGATTTAGACTGAAACATTAATGAATATGCACAACTATACTTAGGTTTATATTAATATATTATGATCCAACTCACTTTTCTGTATGCCCTCCTATGTTTAACAACTGCTATTATTTTTTTTTCCCTGTGTAAGATTAACTTCTTTTAACAGGAAACTTTTCATTTGGCATTCTTAAATCCTTTCTTCAGGGGTACAGCTATGAAATTTATGGTACCACTACCATAGTTAGATCCAGATCTGTAAGAACTGAATTTCTAAAGTTCTATTCACATTGTCTCTATTACTAGAATCTAGGCGAATTTGCTTTCTGCTGCAACCAAATGGGCAGTTGTCCAGTTAATGACGGTTTGGATATTGTGAGGCATGTTTTGTAAAAAAACACATTTTCTTTTTTCTTTCTTTTTTTTTTTAGAGACAGGGTCTTGCTCTGTTGCCCAAGCTGGAGTACAGTGGGTGATCATAACTTTCTGTAACCTCGAACCCCTGGACTCAAGTGATCCTCTCACCTCAGCCTCTTGAGTAGCTGGGACTAAAGGCATATGGCAGCATATCTGACTAATTTTTAAATTTTTACTTGTAGAGTCGGGGTCTCACTATTTTGCCCAGGCTGGTCTTGAACTTTTGGCCTCAAGCAATCCTCCCATCTCAGCCTCCCAAAGCACTGGAATTATAGACGTGAGCCACTGTGCCCAGCAGAACATGTTTTCTTTATCATTGCTCTGTGTCAGGTGATATTACCTAGAAGTCTGGATGGGGGACTCAAAAATCTAGCTAAATGTGTGCATTAAAATGTGTTACTTTGAGCAATTTGGAGCAAGAAAAACCCAGATTTATGTACTATGTCTGTTTTGTCAATGCAGCATTTAAAAAGATCATTACCTATTTCAGCAAAGGAGTGATGAGATGTGATTTATGGTTTAAAAAGCTTATCTGGTTGATGGTTTAAAGAGCTCATCTGGACCCTGCATGGAGACTATAGAAAGGAGAAGTGTGAAGGGTGTAAGGAATGTACAGTCAGGGAGATCACTTAAAGGACTACTGTAGCTTTCCAGCTAAGAGATGAAGGTGGCTTAAACTACAGTGAAAGCAGCAGTGAAGAAAAATGGGCAGATCTGAGATGTTTAAAGGCAGAATTAACAGGCCTTGCCCAAATGTTAGATGTGGGAGTAAGTGAAGGGGAGGGATGAAGTTATTAGTAATTCTCTTACTCTAAAAAACTCTATTTTATGCTACTGTAATTTGTAATGTTATTACTTCATTCTATCCTTATTTGCAGTTATCTTATTTTACTGTACATTATTAGTTTTCCCTAAGTGATGCTTTATTGGGACTATGATATACCTTATCATGTGAATTACAAGGGGCTAGAATGTTGAGAAATGAAAGAAAGGTAAGTAAAATGATTTCAAATTACTCGTGGTATTACTTGGAAATCTGACCTACAAGTTATAGATCAGGCAACTTTAACTTTTGGATGCATAGTCAGTAATTAGAAAATAAAAAGCGGCCAGGCACGGTGGCTCACGCCTGTAATCCCAGCACTTTGGGAGGACGAAGCGGGTGGATCACCTGAGGTCAGGAGTTTGTAGACCAGCCTGGCCAACAAGGTGAAACCCCGTCTCTACTAAAAATACAAAAATTAGCCGGGCGTGGTGGCAGGCACTTGTAATCCCAGCTACTCGGGAGGTTGAGGCAGGAGACTCGCTTGAACCTGGGAGGTGGAGGTTGCAGTGAGCCGAGATCACGCCATCGCACTCCAGCCTGGGGGACAAGAGCGAGACTTCGTCTCAAAAAAAAAAGAAAATAAAAAGCCAACTCAGGTGTCACAAAGTATATTACTATGAGATTCTAAGAAATATTAAAAATAAACAATTACTAGCTAATAAAATGGTTGCTGATTACAAATATATTCAATCAGAAAATTTTTATTTCAAGAAGGTATAGCAGTAAAGAAAAACATGCCTGGGAATGTGAATATTCTTTGAAATTGATCCAACAAAAGCATGCTTGCATGACCAAGAGAGAGAACATCCATTGAGCATCAAGTTCAAAGCAAAATCATGCTTGCATAAGGAACATGGCACCCATCAAAAACAAACATCAGCTTCTAAAATGTGTTTTAAACTTAGGAATGTGTGTGGGTGTAACTGAAAGTACACAGGCTAATTTAGAGTGGGACCTGGGAATGAATCTGTTTCTGATTTTTCACTGGCTGTGTGCTTTTGTAGAAATTACTTACTAGTTTTCATTCTCAGGTTTCTTAGCTATAATATGTAGAGACCACCATCTACCCACTGGGCTGCATGGGGATTAAATGAAATACTGCAAGACATTATAGCAGGCACTTAGTAAAAAGGATTTCTTCCTCCTTTTTATCTGGAGAAAGTTATGCCAATAAGACAAAGTACTATGTACGTATATATAAAAAGGAACAAAAGAGGCACATTAATCTGATGGAGGGGACAGTGGAGACAGTCAGAGAAGGCCTCTTGGAGAAGTCTCTTCAAGGAGCAGGAAGTCACCAGTAGGGACAGATGGAACAATCCAAGCAAAAGCAGCAGCATGTACAGAGGTATGGAAATGAGACAGATAAACATAGGGAGAGCAGGACATTCTAAATGATCTGCAGTATCTAGATTATGTATTGTAGTAACTCTAAGAACTAACACTATTGAGTGGGATAGTGGGTATTAAGTTTAATAACATAAAATAATATATAATTTTTTTTTTTTTTGGAGATGGAGTCTTTCTCTGTCTCCCAGGCTGGAGTGCAGTGGCACAATCTCAGCTCACTGCAACCTCCATCTTCCAGGTTCAAGCAATTCTCCTGCCTCAGCCTCCCGAGTAGCTGGGACTACAGGCATGCATCACCACACCCAGCTAATTTTTGTATTTTTGGTAGAGACAGGATTTCACCATGTTAGCCAGGCTGGTCTCAAACTCCTGACCTCAGGCAATCCGCCCACCTTGGCATCCCAAAGCATTGGGATTACAGGCATAAGCCACCATGCCTAGACAATAATAGATAATATTTATTACAAGCCGGGCATGGTGGCTCACACTCGTAATCCCAGCACTTTGGGAAGCTGAGATGGGGAAGGATTGCTTGAGCCCAGGAGTTCAAGACCAGCCTGGGCAACATGATGAAACCCCATCTCTACAAAAAATTTCAAAATTAGCTGGTTGTGGTGTTGTGCACCTGTAATCCCAGCTACCTGGGAGGCTGAGGTGGGAGGATGGCTTGAGTCTGGGAAGTTTAGGCTGCAGTGAGCTGTGATTGTGCCACTGCACTTCAGCCTGGGCAACAGAATAAGACTCTTGTCTCAAAAAACAAATATTACTAAGCATTTTCTATACGCTTGGCACTAGTCGAAGTATTTTGCCTGAATTAGGGTTATTATAAGGATTCACTGAGTTAGTAATGTAAAATACTTAGAAGAGTGCTTGGCACAGAATAACTGTGAATTATTATGGGTTTTTTTTTCTGGAAATTAGGAATTGAGGTTATTTCTTAGGAATTGAGGTTAGTTCTCATTTGTGAGAAATTGGGATCTGGGAAAAGTAAGAAATTGTTGAAGAGAGTGGGGGCATGAGGTTCTCAGTGAAACACAGGAATGCTGAGCAGATACCCATACAGAATTGGTGGGAACAATCTGCCCTAGTGTGTAACTTCATAAGCACTGCATGCCTGTGCTCAGGAGTAGGCACTAAGAAAGCAGATAGCTGGCACCGAGATGGATGTGATGACAAAGAAGGGGGCAAGGGAATCGAGAGTATTGGCAAGAAAATAAAGTGTTGGGCTGGGTGCTGTGGCTCACGCCTGTAATCCTAGCACTTTGGGAGGCTGACGCAGGAGGATCACTTGAGCCCAGGAGTTTGAGACCAGCCTGAGCAACTAAGTGAGACCTTTTTTCTACAAAAAAAAAAAAAAAAAAGAAAGAAAAAAAGGCCGGGCACGGTGGCTCACGCCTGTAATCCCAGCACTCTGGGAGGCCGAGGCAGGTGGATCACGTGGTCAGGAGATCGAGACCATCCTGGCTAACACGGTGAAACCCCTTCTGAACTAAAAATAGAAAAAATTAGCCGGGCGTGGTGGCGGGTGCCTGTAGTCCCAGCTACTCGGAGGCTGAGGCAGGAGAATGGCATGAACCCGGGAGGCGGAGCATGCAGTGAGCCGAGATAGCGCGACTGCAGTCCAGCCTGGGCGAAAGAGCAAGACTCCGTCTCAAAAAAAAAAAAAAAAAAAAAAAAGAAAAAGAAAAAAATTAGCCAGGTGTGGTGGCACATGCCTGCAGTCCCAGTTCTTCAGGAAGCTTAGGTAGGAGGGTCACTTGAGCCTGGGAGGTTGAGGCTGCAGTAAGACCTGTTTGAGCCACTGCATTCTAGCCTGGGCAACAGAGTGAGATCCTGAAAAAAAAAAAAAAGAAAATAAAGTGTTGGACTTTGATTGTAACCCAAGAAGAAAGCAAAATGGAGAGGGCTGAAAGTTTAGGAAAATATACACTAGAATATAAAAGTCTATAAGGGCAGGAGCTTTTGTTCTGTTTTGTTTACTTCTTTGTATCTCCAGTGTCTAGAGCCGTGTATGGGAGAATTAGCATGCTGACACAATTCTACTTTCTACACTTGTATTCTACTTATGGAATAGTCATGACGGTAATTAAGACAGACAGACTCATAATCCTATCAAATCTTCAGATCTACTAATTACCAATTTACAGTAAATCAGGAGGGCAGAAGATGTTAAAGGACAACATAAGGATATAAAATTGCAGGGAAAAGAAAAGGAGCGGGGCAGGGGAAACAGATTAAAAGAGACAAAAAACATTTCAATCATTTGGAAGGTATGGACATTATTGAGATCCTGATTTGAACACACTATAAAAAATTAGGACATAGGCCCGGCCCGGTGGCTCAGGCCTGTAATCCCAGCACTTTGGGAGGCCAAGGCGGGTGGATCACCTGAGGTCAGAAGTTAGAGACCAGCCTTGCCAACATGGTGAAACTCCGTCTCTACTAAAAATACAAAAATTAGCTGGGTGTGGTGGCGTAGGCCTGTAATCCCAGCTACTCGGGAGGCTGAGGCAGGAGAATCACTTGAACCGGGGAGGCTGAGGCTGCAGTGAGCCGAGATCGCACCACTGCACTCCAGCCTGGGCGACAGAGCAAAACTCCGTCTCAAAAAAAAAAAAAAAAAAAAAAAATCAGGACATAATTGAGGAAATATGAACACTGAGTATTTTGTAAGTATTATTATTATTTTATTATTATTATTTTTTGAGACGAAGTCTTGCTCTTGTCACCCAGGCTGGAGTGCAGGGGCGTGATCTCGGCTCACTGCAAGCTCCGCCTCCCAGGTTCACGCCATTCTCCTGCCTCAGCCTCCCGAATAGCTGGGACTACAGGCACCCGCCACCACACCCGGCTAATTTTTTGTATTTTTAGTAGGGACGGCGTTTCAGGCGTTTCACCTTGTTAGCCGGGATGGTCTCGGTCTGCTGACCTCAGGTGATCCGCCCGCCTCGGCCTCCCAAAGTGAGTAAGCATTATTTTTATTTGCTGTGATAATAGTACTGTAGTTATGTTAAAAAGAGTCCTTATCTTTTAGAGGTAAATAATTGAAATATTTACATATGAAATGACATGGTATCTGGGATTTGCTTCAAAATACACAGTATGTATGAGCATAAGGCAAGACTGGCCATGAATTGATAACTTTAATCTGGGTGCTGGTTACATGGGGGCTCATTATATACTTCTCTTAATTGCCATATATGCTCCTTCTCTATAAAACTTATCATATTCTAAATAGCAAAAACAGTATGTTACTATTATTTCCACTTCACTTGCTCTCCAGTGGGTATGTAAAGAGGGAAAATAAAAAAGGAAATGGTTGTAACAAACGTAGCCACCTAAAGCCAGGAAGGACAGGGCCAGTACCATAAGATCCATACACTCAACACATGAATCAAGTAGGGATTGTTTTTAAAAGGGATGCTATAAGCTACTTTTTTAAAAATCAACTTTATTGAAGTATAATTTACGTGATAAATGTATACATTTGTCCATCTCAATCTTTATTGAGATGTATAACTTTTCTATCCACATCTCTGCTAACATTTGGTATTATCAGCCTTTTGGATTTTAGCTATTCTAGTGGGTGTATAGTGCCTCGTTGTAATTTTAATCTGCATTTTCCTGAGAATAATGTTTAACATTTGTGCTAAATTTTGATTATACATATACATATTTTTCAATTGTAACAATGTAATAATCTCTGGCAAATATCTTTATTATAACTTTTATTTCTGTATTTCTATATTATTTTATGAGGAATATTATACAATTTGAACACTACAAGCCACAGAAAATGATCAGTTTATGGAACTAAGTCCGACTTCCAGGTAAAACGTAACTATGGTATGGTATTTACAGTTTGTGTTGACTAAAATAAGCTCCCGGCTGCCAGATGGAGCTATAAGGTTGCCACCTCTACTGCCACCATCTGGTAACATTAAAAACAAATAAAAATATAGAAACTATACAATTCTGGGTTAGCCAAAGTCAAATTTCCAACACAACTCTTTCTCACGCACAGATCTTTGAAACTATAGAATGCATTCAAACTGATTTGTTCTTTAGTTTTCGTTACTTTTAAATAAACTATATTACAAAAGTGTCAAATAGCAAAATATTTTAATTTTCTCAAATTCAGGGAAGATGCTTTATGACGTACCTGCTTTTCGATTTGTTCCAAGACCTTTGGCAAATTACTTTAGAACTCCATAGGTATCTTGAGGATAACTGAACCTTTTCCTAACTTAAATCATAGACTGCCAGACGGAAAAAAAATGTCCTCGATGTTTTTAGTCTCTTACTGCACAATGTCAAGATATCAGCTGGGTTATACAATAGTTGCCCTCTGCATACTCACAAATGTTAACTCCAGTCCTTTTTTGTCTTCCCTCCCCGCCTAAGAAGCTACCAGGTCACATGCTGGCGGATACGCAGTGGCGGAAACCTAGCGGTGACAGGGAAGGACAGCCCTCTGCCTACTGATCTGCAGGTTTCTCCTCCAGTTTGCTCTTACACCGGGGTCCTCCGCTCGGACCTTAGCCCATTCATTTGATGATTCTCTCCCAGTTCGTTCTTCCACTGGGTCCCTTGCTCAGCACTACCCAAAATAACCACCAGCTCAGCGCCGGCTGCACCGCCGCTCCCCCGCCCCCGCCCCCGCCCCCGCCCCCGCCCGGTGGGGCTGCACCTGCCGAGGCCCCGGCTCGGCTCCGCGATCACGGTCGCGGCCCCCGGGGTTCCCGAGGGGCTTCTGCGCACCGAGGCAGGCGGGACTGAGCGGCACTCTGAACGGGCTCCCCTCTTAATGTCCCCTCGCGCCTGAGCAGCTCCGGTCCCGCCGGCGCAGGGTGCGGGTACCCGGGCCATGCCGGCCCAGAGACCGCCGCCCCCGGTACCGCTGCCCACTCGAAGCCCCTGGACGACCCCGCCGCTTACCGGCTTCGGCCCGTGGGGCGCCCGGTAGAAGAGGCGTGCGGTCCGTGCTCTCCTCGCCATCGTTCCGGGCCAGGTCTCGAACCGGAGACCTCATGACGCCTACGTGAGCAGGTGTACTCGCCACCTGGCAGAGAAGGGAGCGCCGGCCCGACAGCCCGAAGCCCCCGGGCCGAGCTGGCTGGACCGGGCGGGGCGGGGGCGATGACACCGCCCCGCGGCCACGTCTAGTCCCCGCGGTCCCGCCCAGAGGCGGCCGCGCCGACTCCGCCCCCGCCGCCATCTTAGGTGTGGGCAACTCTGGCTTGGGTTGGACTAGGGAAGCGGAGTTCTGGGAGTTCTCGTAGGATTGGCGCAAAGTGAGCCCGCTCCGCCCGCCGGTCTACGCATGCCGGGGAGCCGGTGTTCGGACGACCGTCTCCCGCTCCTGCACCCCCTTGTAAAGTGCAGGGGCCACCCTGCCCGCAGCGAGGATGAGTGGGGGCTTGCGGGCGGGCAGTGGGGACTTGAATTGCACATAATTAAGGGGAGGGCTTCGACCGAACTAGGGAAGTGGGTGGTGTGCATTTCACAACTTGACATTCGCTTGTTAGCGGTCAGTTGCCATACTGTTAGCAACCTTTGTACGATCTACCTCGTGACTGTGGCGGCATATTTACCTCGTGACTGTGGCGGCATATTGTCCCTAAAATAGCTTTTTTTTTTTTTTTTTTTTCTCCCAGGCAGGGTCTTGCTCTGTTGCCCAAGCTGGAATGCAGTGGCGCAATCGCAGCTCACTGCAACCTCCAACTCCTGGACTCAAGCGATTCTCTTCAGCTCCCCCAAGTAGCTGGGACTACAGGAGCATGCCACCACATCTGGCTAATTTTGTTTCTACTTTTTATTTTTGTAGAGGCTTGGTCTTATTATATTGCCCAAGCTGGTTTCGAACTCCTGGGCTCAAGCAATCCTCCTCGGCCTCCCAAAGTGCTGGGATTACAGGCGTGAGCCACTGCTCCTGGTCCTAAAATAGCTTTTAGGCGGAAAAACAGCAATGGAAATTTGTTGAGTCCTATGATGTTGCTGGTTTTATAGGTAAAAGTAATCAACATAGGTAGTTTCATATGGTTCGACCTATGGAATCCTCTGATGTATGTGTGCATGCTTTATCTCCACGATAGAATTTGGATAGATTGTGCTAGCATTTGCGGACTCTGAAAGTGAAACTAGGAAAACCCAGCTTGCCTTGGCAGGGCAGATCTGGATCCGCCAATAAAGGCTGTCTCTGTGGAGGTAGAAAATAAGATGTAGATGCTCTCGGAGAGTTTGGTGTAGACAGGGAAGACCCACAAGCCACTAATTCAGTAAACCAGGTTAGAAGCTTAGTGAGGTTCACGTGAGAACAAAGGGGAGGGTCCTTTACCTAGAAGGGAGGGCGAGGATTTCTGTAGGCATCCCTACCTCCAGATCAGTAAATGCTAGAAAAGTTCTCAAGTTAAAGCAGCAAATCAAGCCTTGTTTCTGAGTTACTGAATTACCATGTAGATTTTTACACTCTCTAAGGGTTGTAGAAAAATGCAATTTTCAAACTGGATTATGCAGAGTCACCTGGCAAATCCTTTTAAAATGTAGATTCAGATTCAGCAGATCTGGTGTGATGGTTAATTTTATGTGTTAACTTGCTGGTTGTCTTTGGATGAGGTTAACACTAAAATCATTGAACTCTGGGTAAAGATGGCTGCCTTCCATAATCTGGGTGGGCTTCCTTCAATCAGTTGAAGGCCTATCTAGAATAAAAAATCCGACTCCCCCACTTCTCTTGCCCAAGCAAGGGAGACTTCTCCAGCAGAGTGTCCTCAGACTTCATCTGCACCACAGGTCCTCCTGGGTCTCCAGGCATGTGCACCATCATCTGTTTTGGGTCGAGTTGGCCAGCCTATATTGTGAAAGCCAAAACTTTATTACCCAAACTACCCAATTGGGGCTGTTTCTCTGAGAAGCCCAGTACATCTGGGATGTGCCTGAGATTCTGTATTGCTAACAAGCTCCCAGATGACCAAGGTTATAGATAACTTGGGCCAGGGAATATAGTTGCAACAGACTTGAAAGACTTCAAACCAGAGGAATTCTTTTTTTTAATATTTTTTATTTTAGAAATTTTAGGTTTACATAAACGTTGCAAAGATAGTACAGTGAGTTCTCCATACCCTTTGCTTAGTTTGACCTATTATTAAGATCTTACATTAGTATCATGCATATATCATAACTAACGAGCCAGTATAGATAATTATTAACTGAAGTTCATACTTAATTTGCGTTTCTTTAATTTTTACCTAATATCCTTTTTCGGTCCCAGGATCTCATCCAGGATGCCACATTACATGTCTCCTTAGGCTCCTCTAGATCGACAGTTCCTGACTTTCATTGCTTTTGCTGACCTTGACAGTTTTGTAGAGTACTGGTAGGTTTTGTAGAAAGTGTCTTAATTTGGGTTGTCGAATTTTTTTTTGAGACGAGGTCACGCTCTGTCGTCCAGGCTAGAGTGCAGTGGCACGATCTCGGCTCACTGCAGCCTCCACCTCCCAGGTTCAAGCGATTCTCCTGCCTCAACGTCCCGAGTAGCTGGGACTATAGGTGCATGCCACCACGCCCGGCTAATTTTTTGTATTTTTAGTAGAGATGGGGTTTCACCATGTTAGCCAGGATGGTCTCCATCTCCTGACCTCCTGCCTCAGCCTCCACCTGCCTCAGCCTCCCAAAGTGCTGGGATTACAGGCATGAACCACCACCCCCGGCCTGAATGTTTTTCTTATAATTAGACTGGGGTTATGGATTTTTGAGGGAAAGGTCATAGAGGTAAAGGGCCATTCTCATCATGTAATGTCAAGGGAATGTGCTGTCAACTTATTTATCACTGATGTTTATCAGTAGTGATGGTAAGCCTCATTGCATGCCTGAGGTTGTGTTTGTCAGGTGTTTTCACTGTGAAGTTAACTCTTTTCCCCCGGCCTTACTTTTCTCTTTGGAAGGAAATCAGTATGTGCAGCCTTCACTTAAGGGGTGGGGAGTTATCTATACTCCACCAGTTTCAGGGGAAGAATTCTTTTGTTTGGGAGATTTGTTTATTCTCCTACATTTATTTACTTATTCAATCATTTATTTTTATTAGTATGATGTCATGGTTATTATTTTATACTTTGGGTTATACTCCCAACACTATGTTATTTATTTTGTTGCTCAAATTGTTCCAGCTTTGGTGACTAAGAGCTCTTTCAGTTGGCTCTTGTGTCTTGCATGCCTCCATTGTTGTGTTTTTTGAGCATTCCCTTACTTTCTGGTACAACAAGATGTTCCAGGCTCATCTTGTGTATTCTCTACCCCTGCCATTTCTATAAGGAGAATGATATTACAAACTAACATCTGAGCATTGGGTGTACTTCTTCCTATTGCAGTGTCATTGATTCTAGGTTCAGAGGAGGTACTTTGGTTTTTGTTTTTATAATCTTCCCAAGAAGATTTTGAGACAGGATCTTACTCTGTCACCTAAGCTTGAGTGCAGAGGTGTGATCACGGCTCCCTGTAGGCTCCACCTCCTGGGCTCAAGTGATCCTCCTACCTCAGCCTCCCTGGTAGCTGAGACCACAGGCATGTGCCACCACGCCCTGCTAATTTAAAAACATTTTTGTTAGAGACAGGGCCTCCCTGTGACGCCCAGGCTGGGCTCAAGCAGTCCTCCTGCCTTGACCTTCCAAAGTATTGATATGATAGGTGTGAACCACTGTGCCTGGCCCCAAGAAGATTAAAAAAAAGTATGATGACACATTTTTTCCCCCTTATATCTGGCATTTATTTCCTGATTGCACACTACCATAAAAGATCATTGTTGGTGTTATTTATTTATTATTATTATTATTTTGAGACAGAGTTTCACTCTTGTTGCTCAGGCTGGAGTGCAGTGGTGCAATCTCAGTTCACTGCAACCTCCTGGGTTCAAGCGATTCTCCTGCCTTAGCCTCCGGAGTAGCTGGGATTACAGGCGCCCACCACCATGCCCGGCTAATTTTTTGTATTTTTAGTAGAGATAGGATTTCACCATGTTGGCCAGGCTGGTCTTGAACTCCTGACCTCCGGTGATCCAACCATCTCGGCCTCCCAAAGTGTTGGGATTACAGGCGTGAGCCACCATGCCCAGCCTATTTTTTTTTTCTCCTTTCCTGGTCTTTTTTTTTTTTTTTTCTTACATGGTTTGTTTGAATCTGGATCCATTCATGTTCAGACCTCACATACCGTAGACATCTCTCACATGTCTTTATGTTTTCTCCTTGCAATTTCTTCCTTTTTCTTTTCTTTTCTTTCTTTCTTTCTCTTTCTTTCTTTCTTTCTTTTTCTTTCTGTCTCTCTCTCTCTTTCTTTCTTTCTCTCTCTCTCTTTCTTTCTGTCTCTCTCTCTCTCTCTCTTTCTTTCTTTTTTTTTTTATGGAGTTTCGCTCTTGTTGCCCAGGCTGGAGTGCAGTGGCACGATCTTGGCTCAGTGGAACCTCCACCTCCCAGGTTCAAGCAGTTCTCCTGCCTCAGCCTCCCGAGTAGCTGGGACTATAGGCATGTGCCACCACGCCCGGCTAATTTTTGTATTTTTAGTAGAGACGGGGTTTTGCCATGTTGGCCAGGCTGGTCTCAAACTCCTGACCTCAGGTAGTCCGCCCGCCTTGGCCTCCCACAGTGGTGGGATTATAGGCATGAGCCACTGCGCCCGGCCTCATATTTATTCTTTAGTTGATACTTTTCCTTTATCAACACTTTAGACTAGCACTGTTCAGTAGAAATATAATGCAAACCATAGATGTAATTTTAAATTTTCTAGTAGCCACATTAAAAAAGTAAAACAAAGCAAAACAAAAATGGGGAAATTAATTGTATGACATGCATTTTTAATCCGATATATCAGTTCAACATGTAATCAATATAAAATGATTAATGAGATAAGCTCTTTTGTTGGTACTAATTTTTTTTTTATTTTTTATTTTATTCTATTTTTTTGAGACGGAGTCTCGCTCTGTCACCCAGGCTGGAGTGAAATGGTGTGATCTTGGCTCACTGCAACCTCCACCTCCCGGGTTCAAACAATTTTCCTGCCTCAGCCTCCTGAGTAGCTGGGATCACAGGCACCCACCACCACACCTGGCTAATTTTTGTATTTTTAGTAGAGACAGGGTTTCACCATGTTGACCAGGCTGGTCTCGAACTCCTGACTTCAGGCTATCTGCCTGACTCGGCCTCCCAAAGTGCTGGGATTACAGGCGTGAGCCACCAGGTCCGGCCTGGTACTAAATTTTGAAACCCAGTGTGTATTTTATACCTACAGCACATCTCCATTAGGACCAGCCACATTTCAAGTGCTCAATAGCCACATTGTGTCTGGGTCTACCGTATTGGACAGCATAGTTCTAGACCATGTGAGGGCTTACACTCTCTGTCTCTCCCATCTGCCATCCTGTCTTTGGATGGGAAAGGAACACCTTTTGGATAGAGTATCTAGTTCAAAAGCCTCTAGCTGTTTTTCTTAGTTTCTTCTTCTCTCAAATGAAGATAATAATAGAAACATTTTCATAGGGGGGGTTGTAAGAATTAGATAATTAAATAAGATAATACCTGTAAATTACAGTACTGTACCTGGTGGGTACTGTACTGTAATTATTACATTTCAATATATGTTAGCCATTAGCATTTTTTTTTTTTGAGACGGAGTTTAACCCTCATTACACAGGCTGGAGTGCAATGGCGTGATCTTGGCTCACTGCAACCTCCACCTCCTGGGTTCCAGCGATTCTCCTGCCTCAGCCTCCTGAATTGCTGGGATTACAGGAGCCTGCCACCATGCCCAGCTAATTTTTGTTATTTTTAATAGAGACGGGGTTTCAGCATGTTGGCCAGGCTGGTCTTGAACTCCTGACCTCAGATGATCCACCCCCGCTTGGCCTCTCAAAGTGCTGGGATTACAGGCGTGAGCCACCGCGCTTGGCCGCCATTACCATTTTTATTTTATTTTGTTTTATTTATTTATTTATTTATTTATTTATTTATTTATTTATTTTTTATTGATCATTCTTGGGTGTTTCTCACAGAGGGGGATTTGGCAGGGTCATAGGACAATAGTGGAGGGAAGGTCAGCAGATAAACAAGTGAACAAAGGTCTCTGGTTTTCCTAGGCAGAGTACCCTGCGGCCTTCCGCAGTGTTTGTGTCCCTGGGTACTTGAGATTAGGGAGTGGTGACGACTCTTAACGAGCATGCTGCCTTCAAGCATCTGTTTAACAAAGCACATCTTGCACCGCCCTTAATCCATTTAACCCTGAGTGGACACAGCACATGTTTCAGAGAGCACAGGGTTGGGGGTAAGGTCACCGATCAACAGGATCCCAAGGCAGAAGAATTTTTCTTAGTATAGAACAAAATGAAAAGTCTCCCATGTCTACTTCTTTCTACACAGACACGGCAACCATCCGATTTCTCAATCTTTTCCCCACCTTTCCCCCCTTTCTATTCCACAAAACCGCCATTGTCATCATGGCCCGTTCTTAATGAGCTGTTGGGCATACCTCCCAGACGGGGTGGTGGCCGGGCAGAGGGGCTCCTCACTTCCCAGTAGGGGCGGCTGGGCAGAGGCGACCCTCACCTCCCGGATGGGGCAGCTGGCCGGGCGGGGGGCTGACCCCCCCACCTCCCTCCCGGACGGGGCGGCTGGCCGGGCGGGGGGCTGACCCCCCCACCTCCCTCCCGGACGGGGCGGCTGGCCGGCCGGGGGGCTGACCCCCCCACCTCCCTCCCGGACGAGGCGGCTGGCCGGGCAGAGGGGCTCCTCACTTCCCAGTAGGGGCGGCTGGGCAGAGGCGCCCCTCACCTCCCGGATGGGGCAGCTGGCCGGGCGGGGGGCTGACTCCCCCACCTCCCTCCCAGACCGGGCGGCTGGCTGGGCGGGGGGCTGACCCCCCCACCTCCCTCCCGGACGGGGCGGCTGGCCGGGCGGGGGGCTGACCCCCCCCACCTCCCTCCCGGAGGGGGTGGCTGCCGGGCGGAGATGCTCCTCACTTCCCAGACGGGGTGGCTGCCGGGCGGAGAGGCTCCTCACTTCTCAGACGGGGCGGCTGCTGGGCGGAGGGGCTCCTCACTTCTCAGACGGGGCGGTTGCCAGGCAGAGGGTCTCCTCACTTCTCAGACGGGGTGGCTGGGCAGAGACGCTCCTCACCTCCCAGACGGGGTCGCGGCCGGGCAGAGGTGCTCCTCACATCCCAGACGGGGCGGCGGGGCAGAGGCGCTCCCCACATCTCAGACGATGGGCGGCCGGGCAGAGACGCTCCTCACTTCCCAGATGGGATGGCTGCCAGGAAGAGGCGCTCCTCACTTCCTAGATGGGATAGCGGCCGGACGGAGACGCTCCTCACTTCCCAGACTGGGTAGCCAGGCAGAGGGGCTCCTCACTTCCCAGACGATGGGCGGCCAGGCAGAGACGCTCCTCACTTCCCAGACGGGGTGGCGGCCGGGCAGAGGATGCAATCTCGGCACTTTGGGAGGCCAAGGCAGGCGGCTGGGAGGTGGAGGTTGTAGCGAGCCGAGATCACGCCACCGCACTCCAGCCGGGGCACCATTGAGCACTGAGTGAACGAGACTCCGTCTGCAATCCCGGCACCTCGGGAGGCCCAGGCTGGCGGATCCCTCGCGGTTAGGAGCTGGAGACCGGCCAGGCCAACACAGCGAAACCCCGTCTCCACCAAAAAAAATACGAAAACCAGTCAGGCGTGGCAGCGCGTGCCTGCAATCGCAGGCACTCGGCAGGCTGAGGCAGGAGAATCAGGCAGGGAGGTTGCAGTGAGCCGAGATGGCAGCAGTACAGTCCAGCTTCGGCTCGGCATGAGAGGGAGACCGTGGAAACAGAGGGAGAGGGAGACCGTGGGGAGACGGGAGAGGGAGAGGGAGAGGGAGAGCTGGATTTCAAAGCTTCATCCATGCTGAGCTGCAAGGGGAATGGACAGAACTGGAAACTGGGGCAGACTGGAGTTGCCAGCCTAGGCTGGGCTGTGAGCTCCATGGAGCAGATGCCGGGCCATCCTGCCCCGGCTCTAAGCCCAGCCCCAGGCCAGGGCCGGCACCTGGTAGGCTCTTCATGAGTGCTTCCTGAATGAATGCTGCAGAATGAAAATCCACCCAGAGGAGGCCAGGCCTGCCATTTTTTTAGAGTTAAATTTGCTTTGCAAAATGAGCTTACCTATCTTAGGAACAACCCATTTGATTTTAATTATATCTCTTTTAGGATACATATCATTTTCTGTATGGAATTTTATAGTTAGTAGTTGATTATTTAATGTTTTAGTTTCCTTTTATAACTGTAGGTTTCCTAGGAGCTGGAACAAAGTCTTATTTATTTTCTGCAACCTGAGCAGATCCCAGTTCTTGTCCTTTCACTGTGTTCATTGTGTTTCACAGTGCCTCATCATATTGGCCTTAGTGAAATTTTCAAGTATGTAGGAATATATGGGGAATAAAAAGTAAATGGAGGGGCAGATATTTAAATCACCAATTTAGTAATTAATTACTTTTTGAGATGGAGTCTCACTCTGTTGTCCAGGCTGGAGTGCAGTGGTGCAATCTGTGCTCACTGCAACCTCTACCTCCAGGGTTCAAGCAGTTCTCCTGCCTCAGCCTCCTGAGTAACTGGGATTACAGGCACCTGCCACCACACCTGGCTAATTTCTGTATTTTTAGTAAAGACAGGTTTCACCGTGTTGGCCAGGCTGGGCTCAGACTCCCAATGTCAAGTGATCTGCCTGCCTCGGTCTCCCAAAGTGCTGGGATTACAGGCGTGAGCCACTGCACCCAGGCTGAATGATTAATTTAGACTTGATAAACTTGGTAAAGGAATTTTTTGATGAACAATATGGTTCTATAAAATAATCCTTTTTTGCCGGGCGCAGTGGCTCATGCCTGTAATCCCAGCACTTGGGGAGGCTGAGGCAGGCAGATCACCTGAGGTCAGGAGTTCAAGACCAGCCTGACCAACACAGAGAAACCCCGTCTCTACTAAAAATACAAAATTAGCCGGGTGTGGTGGCTCATGCCTGTAATCCCAGCTACTCGGGAGGCTAAGGCAGGAGAATCACTTGAACCCAGGAGGCGGAGGTTGCCATAAGCCGAGATCATGCCATTGCACTCCAACCTGGGCAACAAGAGCGAAACTCTGTCTCAAAAAAAAAAAATTATAATAATAATCCCTTTTTTTTATACCAGCTTTTCCTCTAAAATAAATTATAATAAATTATAAAGATTATTGGCCAGGCATGGTGGCTCATGCCTGTAATACCAGCACTTTGGAAAGCCGAGGTGGGAGGATTGCTTGAGCCCAGGAGTTCGAGACCAGCCAGGACAACAAAGCAAGACCCCCATCTCTATAAAACAAATAAACAAACAAAACCTAAAAGAAAAAACTGGCCGGGCGTGGTGGCTCATGCCTGTAATCTCAGCACTTTGGGAGGCTGAGATGGGCAGATCACCTGAGGTCAGGAGTTCGAGACCAGCCTGGCCAACATGGTGAAACTCCGTCTCTACTAAAAATACAAAAATTAGCCAGGCATGGTGGTAGGTGCCTGTAATTTCAACTACTCGGGCTGAAGCAATCAGCCTACCTTGGCCTCCCAAATTGCTGGGATTACAGGCATGAGCCACGGTGCTCGGCCTGTTATCCCTTTTAAAAACTTTTCAATAGTAGCTTATTGCTTAGATATTCACATTTTTGATTGTGCATCCCATCACTAAAAATTTTGAATATGCACTGATAAGGGCAGAATGAGATATCTTTCCTCACGCATCATAAGGGGCACAGCTGACGCTCTATAATGAAAGACAGGTTAACAAGATAAGATAACAGATGACAAATTTAATCAAAGTTTTTATTATTATTATTATTTTTTTGAGACAGAGTCTTGCTCTTTTGCCCAGGCTGGAGTGCAGTGGTGCGATCTCGGCTCACTGCAAGCTCCGCCTCCCGGGTTCACGCCATTCTCCTGCCTCAGCCTCCCGAGTAGCTGGGACTACAGGCGCCTGCCACCGCACCCAGCTAATTTTTTGTATTTTTAGTAGAGACGGGGGTTTCACCGTGTTAGCCAGGATGAGTCTTGATCTCCTGACCTCGTGATCCACCAGCCTCGGCCTCCCAAAGTGCTGGGATTACAGGCGTGAGACACCGCGCCCGGCCAAATTAATCGAAGTTTTATGTGATATGGGAGCTTCAGAAATGAATCTCCAAAGACCCAGGGCAAACTGTCTCTTTTTATGCTCGGGTTCAGTGAAGAATGGAGAAATGTGATTGAATAAAAGGGTATGATCTAGTGGCAACAGACTGAGAGTGAGGAAACCCAGCAAAGCTTGTCAGTTCAAAATCTTAGTCTCTGTGTAGCATTCTTTCCTGCTGGATATGGGACAGGGTGCCTCTGGAATGAAGGCCTTCAAGGGAGAAAGGAGAAGTGACCTTTCTATGTTTTATGGCTTGCTTTGGGGGACAGGGGTTCTAGTTTCTATGACCTGCCTTGGAGAAGAAGAATCCCGGTTTCTATTACTCAGTTTGAAGAAGAAAGGGGACCGGGAGACAGGAGGGCAGGAAAAAGTCAGAGAGACCTTGTTTCTGAGATTGCTTCTGAGGCTTCCCAATCTCCTTTAGTTCAAAGTACTCAGCATGACAAAGTGCCATACTTTGGGATACCTTTTTCTGAGCCACAACATATCCAATATGTATATATTTCTCTATAAAGTACACAGACACTATAAACACTCAACAAACACTTAAAAAGCATGAATTGCAGACTATTTATAAGCAGAATATATAAGGAACTCAAACAACTCAATGGCAAACCCCACAAATAATCCAATTTAAAAATAGGCAAAAGACCTGAATAGACATTTCTCAAAAGAACACATACAAGTGACCAACAGGTATATTACAACATGCTCAGTATCACTACTTGTTAGGGAAATGCATACCAAAACCGCAATGAGATATCATCTCACCCTACTTAGAATGGCTATTACAAAAATACAAAAAAATGACAAATTCTGGTGATGATGCAGGGAGAGGAATGCTTGTACACTGTTGTTGGGATGTAAAGTAGTACAGTCATTATGGAAAACAGTATGTAAGTTCCTCAAAAAACTAAAAATAGAACTATCATATGATCTGGCAGTCCCACTGCTAGGTATATATCTAAAAGAGAGGAAATCAGTATATTGGGGAGATACCTCCACTCCCATATTTATCGTAGCTCAGCTCTAGTCTCAGTAGCCAAGATATGAAATCAACCTGTGTCCATCAAGAGATGAATGGATAAAGAAAATGTGGTATGTATATATGATGGAATATTATTCAGCCATAGAGAAGAATAAAGTCCTGTCATTTGCAACAACATGGATGGTACTGAAGGTCATTATGTTAAGTGAAATAAGCCAGGCACAGAAAGACAAATTCATATGTTCTTACTCATGTATGGGAGCTAAAAAAGTGGATCTCATGGAAGGCAGAGAATTGAATAGTAGTTACCAGAGGTTGGGAAGGGTAGGGAGAAGGGGGGATGAAGAGAAGTTGGTTAATGGGTACAAAAATACACTTAGATAGAAGCAATAAATTCTAGTATTCAATAGTATAGGAAGGAGACTAGAGTTAACAAAAATGTATTATGTATTTCACAATAGCTGGAAGAGAATCGGAATGATCCCCACACAAAGAAGAGATAAATGTTTGAGGTGATGGATATTCCCATTACAGTGATTTGATCATTACACATTGTATACAGGTATCAGAATATCATATGTACCCCCCAAAATAAGTATAACCATTAAATAGTAACAAAAAAGCTCATCTAAAGAATTAAAAAGGATGAGAAAAAATATAAATGCTCTGATTTTTTTCTGGATCATTTGCACATGCTCTCGGGTGAGTGCACCCCACTTTGGAGATCACTGTCTAGAGGACAAAATCAGAATTCTTTGGTATAGATCACAAGGCCTTTACAAACTGGCCCCAGCTGACATTTCCAGTCCCATCTTCCACAACTGTGGCCACCTGCTCTGTGCTGCACACGTTGTTCTATTCATTGAACTTCATAGATACCATGTTTTCCTTGTGTCGTTTCCTCCACCTGTTTGCTTCTTTTGTGTATGGTAAGTTCTTATTTGTCCTTTGAGGCTAAAAGATAACCTTTTATTTAATGATTCCTTTATAATCTCTCCCTTACTCTGTGCTCTTATGTATATTGTACACACCTTTGTTATAGCATACTGTGTTAAAGTTATCTAAGGCAGTTGAATGGTATGTGAGTCATTCCTTGAGAGCAGGAACCTTGACTTATTTTTCATTTCCTGCTTTAAGCAGAGATGAGTATTTATGGAGCCCCATATTATCTGTAAGGCACTGTCCTGGTTGCTATGGGGGATATACACTATTAGTGGAGCAGATAGATATACAAGATGTATAAGCATGGTTTCTGCTTTCAAGGAGCTTATGAGTGAAAGGCACCTTGAAGGAAATATTTCTTAAAACTGTGCAAGGGAAATATAAAGTATTTTCCTAACAGTTATGGAAGTCAGAGGACATATTTTTATATCTATTTTCTATTAAGCAAGTGGCATATGATTAATGTATTCCAGAAGAAGAGTGATTAATATTTTTAGCAAAGGGTTTCAATAATGGAATCTGGACATACTTTCCCATATCCTATTTCCTCTAGGCAGCTGTACTGTCAGATGTCCTCAGATAGTGTTCAAAATAGGAGAGGCATATGTGCATGGTTTTCTGCTTATCTTATGGCATGCACTCATTGTTTTTATAGCAGAATTTGGATTTCCTCAGTGCTTTTCAACTTAACAATTGGGTAGTTCTTGTGACATACCCACAGAGACATGAGTATTATTATAACCATTTTAAAGAGGAAAACTAAGAGATGGCAACCGAATGAAGTGATTTGTCCGAGGTTAGTGACAGCCACTATTACAATTCAGATTTATTGCCTTTCATAGTATTCAAATTCTAAGTGGTGCTTCTTCATAACTGTCTTAATTTTGTACATGTTGTATGTTATTTTTGCATCTTAAAACTTGGAACACAATTTCACTTAGTCTTGGAAGTCATTTCAATGATAAGTATATAATATGTGTTCAATTGCTGATTACAAATTATGTGGCATTTTCTTTGTCAATTTCAGTTACTTGCTTTAGGGGAGCTGAAAACATAGCCACTGTAAATACACACACACACACACACACACACACATACACATTAGTAATGTTACATCTGTGAAAAGCTTGGAAGAGAGCAATCTTTCAAATTTAAACACATTGAAAAATATAAAAAGACTTGTCACAGTTTTATCTCTTTTTTTTTTTTTTGAGATGGAGTCTCACTCTGTTGCCCAGGCTGGAGTGCAGTGGTGTGATCTCGGCTCACTGCAACCCCCACCCCCTGGGTTCAACCGATTCTCCTGCCTCAGCCTCCTGAGTAGCTGGGATTACAGGTGCCTGCCACCACGCCCAGCTAATTTTTGTATTTTTAGTAGAGACGGGGTTTCGCCATCTTGGTCAGGCTGGTCTTGAACTCCTGACCTCGTGATCCACCTGCCTTGGCCTTCCAAAGTGCTGGGATTACAGGTGTAAGCCACCACGCCCGACCAGTTTTATCTTTTTGACTCCAGAGAATTTAAAATAAATCAAATTTTGCAGGTATTGTAAAATATTAGTGGATCAGATAGAAAATCAGCTGGTAGAATCACACAAGAAACAGAATGACCTTTAGACATGAGCTAAAAGTGCATGCAAAGCAAGTAAAAATTGCAAGACTCAGGCAGATTAAAAGATTAAGGTTAAAATCTATTCTTTTAAGTAATATGTGAAGCCAAAGAGGGCTGTCGAGTCAGCCTTTCCTGTGAATCCTTTTTGGTCTGAAATCTTTTCACACATCATATATTCATATTTTCTGACCAAGGAAATATACAGGGGCTCAGAAACGAATTGCTGTTGTTTTATAACAGGGAAAAATCTCAAAATCAATGGAATTAAAAAACTGCTATATTGAAGTATAACTGATATATGAAAATTGCACTATTTAATGTAGACAATTTGATGAGTCTAGACATATACCCACATCTCTGAAACCATCACCACAATTGAGGTAGTAGACACATACAGCACCTTCAAAAGTTTCCATATGCCTCTTTGGTTTCTTCTTGTTGTGAGAACACCTAACATGAGATCCACCCTCTTAACTTTTTAAGTGCACAGTACAGTGTTACTAACTATAGGCATTGTGTTGTACAGCAGATCTCTAGAACTTATTCACATTGCATAACTGAAGTTTTGTAGATATTAAACAAAAACTCCCTATTTTCTCCCCCTCTAACCCCTGGCAAGTTCATTCTATTTTTTTGCTTCTATGTGTTTGACTATTTTAAATACCTCATACAAGTGGAATCATGCAGTATTTGAACTTCTGTGTCTGGCTTATTTCGCTAAACATAATGTCTTCCAGGTTCACTTCATGTTGTCACAAATGACAGTATTGCCGTCTTTTTAAAAGCTGAATAATATTCCATAGTATGAATATACCAGATTTTCTTTACCCATTCATCCATAGATGAAAATTTGAGTTGTTTCCATGTCTTGGCTATTGTGAGTAATGCTACAATGAATATGAGAGTGCAGATATCTCTTCCAGATACTGATTTCAATTCTTTTGGATATACACCCAGAAATGGGGTTGCTGGATCATATGGTAGTTCTATTTTTAATTTTGTGAGGAGCCTCTGTACTGTTTTCCATAGTGGCTGCATGATTTTACATTACTACCCTAAGCATACAAGGGTTCCCTTTTCTCCACATCCTTGCCAACACTTGTTATCTTTTATTTCTTTGATAATAGCCACCCTAACAGGTGTCAGATAATATCTCGTGGTTTTGATTTGCATTTCTCTGATGATTAGTGATGTTGAGCATGTTTTCAAATATCTGCTGGCCATTTATATGTCTTCTTTTGAGAAATGTCTATTCAAGTCCCTTGCCTATTTTTTAATATGATTATTTAGTTTTTTTTTGCTACTTATATATTTTTGGTATTAACCTTTTATCAAATGTATAGTTTGCAAATATTTTTTCCCATTTAGTAAGTTGTCCTTTCTCTCTATTGTTTCCTTTGCTATGTAGAATCTTTTTAGTTTGATGTAGTCCTACTTGTCTAGTTTTGCTTTTGGCTTTTTTGTCTGTGCATTTGGTGTCATATTCAAGAAATAATTGCCAACACTCTGTATTTCTATGTTTTTTTCTAGGAGTTTTACAGTCCTGTTTTTTTTTTTTTTTTTAGTGCACTGCCCTAAGGAAATGGGATGGGTGGTTCATGGCAGTCTGATGACTCTGCGAGGTTGGGAGAATGTACACAACCCTGAAATTACTCCTCCAGGAAAAGGGAGGAATGAATGTGCACATCATAAGAAACTATTTATTTACTTATTTATTTATTTATCCTTTAAGCACTGAGTATCATTCAGGACATAGAAAACATTTGAGAGGCTCCTAGGATCTCTAGCCTGGCCTATTGGTAAAGGTCTTTCTCCACTGAAGCCAGTCCATGAATCAATGGATTTTGATATTTCATGTTAAAACATCATCACAACCTGCCAATTAATACAATTATAGCTCTTTTTCTGATAAATATATTCTTCGAGTTTTATATAAATTCAATCATATTTAAGATGACACAGTAGAGTTTATGATGTATAGAGAAGCTGTGATTAATTCTTTTGAAAAGAAATAGCTGGATTTTCATTTTTTAGGTGTTCTTTTAATAGGGCACATTTATACTGGTTTTTCCATTCAGTAATTTCAGTAAAATGAGAAATGTAGTCATGCTTTGTTTATCTTTATTTTTTTTTAATGAAAAGATTTAATACTTCACTGGCAAGTATCTAGAGCAGAGCAATAGTTTATCCATTCAATTCCTCATGAATAAAAATTGTAACCTTGTAAGTCAGTAGTTATAATGCAATGAATCAGAATATTTAAGTTCAATCCTATTAAAAAAATTCCATCAGAATTGGTTATATCAGTTGGTGAAATGACTCCAATCCCTACTGACAGGCCTCTTTGTGGAAATAAACAAACACAAAGACCCCAAAGAACAAATACCCAACAACAGAAAACCAAAACTTAATCTACAGAATGTGATTGATTGATCTACTCCCTAAACCCCAAATAAAAGCCAACAGCAATAAGTAGATAATTAAGCATGCTGTGTGGTGTCATCCTTACATATAAAGGAAAGCACAAGGCTGAGGTGAGAGGATTCCATGAGGCCAGGACGTCAGTGCGCAGTGAGCCATGATCGTGCCAGCCTGCCAGTCTGGGCAACACAGTGAGACCTGGTGTCTAAAAATAAAAAATAACAATAAAGGGATGCACTTCTACTAGGTTTTAGTTTTAACTTGTGAGCATAAAATAATGAGATGTGTGAAGGAGAGAGATCTAAGAAATAGTTGTTAAGACAGTTCTAGGACAAAAGTTCCAAAAGTATTTTGAAGGCTAGAACAATTGAGAAAAGGTATTTAATCTGTTAAATTTGCATTCTCTTTTACATTAATTTGTGTTTATTTGAAAAAATTCAATCGCTCTATTGCTTTATCGTTACCTGATTATCTCTCATGTAGCCAAGTTGCCAGCTTAGCCATTGTGATGTCAAGAGAGGCAGACCTGATACAATACTTTTTGTGGAGAAGAGCCTCAGTGAGTTAATAAGGAAATGATAATGCCTTTTATGGGGACAACAGGGTTGCTTTTGTTTTTCCTGGAAAAAAATCATGGGTGGACTGTGGGGAGGACTTTTACCTAAAGGAGAAGAGATGTTCATAGTAAAGCCAGAAACTAAGGTTATTGATATGGTTTGGCTCTGTGTCCCCATCCAAATCTCATCTTGTAGCTCCCATAATTCCCACGTGTTGTGTGAAGGATCTGGTGAGAGATAATTGAATCACAGGGGTGGATCTTTCCTGTGCTGTTCTAGTGATAGTGAATGAGTCTCATGAGATCTGATGGTTTTAAAAGCGAGAGTTACCCTGCACAAGCTCTCTTCTCTTGTCTGCTGCCATGTGAGACATGCCTTTCACCTTCTGCCATGATTATGAGGCTTCTCTAGCCACTTGGAGCTGTTAAGTCCAATAAACCTCTTTCTTTTGTAAACTGCCCAGTCTCAGGTATGTCTTTATCAGCAGTGTGAAAATGGACTAATACAATTATTAACTTCTTAATAACTCTGTGGCAACAGTGCTTGCAAGCTAAAACTCACATGAAAAGAATATACCTGCCACTGCTTTGGTCCAATGTAAGAAGAAGCAAAAGAAAATGAATACTCAGTGCCTGGTATGTGTCAGACACCATAGTAAGCAGTTACACATGTTATTTAACTCTCTAGCGTCCAGTGTTTGGTATCTTAATTTTTTTTTTTTTTTTGAGACAGAGTCTTGCTCTGTTGCCCAGGCTGGAGTGCAGTGGCGCAATCTTGGCTCACTGCACCCTCCGCCTCCTGGGTTCAAGCGATTCTCCTGCCTCAGCCTCCTGAGTAGTTGGGATTACAGGCACGCACCACCAAGCTTGGCTCATTTTTGTATTTTTAGTAGAGACGGGGCCTCTCCATGTTGATCAGGCTGGTCTCAAACTCTTGACCTTGTGATCTGCCCGCCTCAGCCTCCCAAAGTGCTGGGATTACAGGCGTGAGCCATCACGCCTGGCCTAAAAAAAGAAATTTAACTGAAATAGAGATGGAGTCTCGCTATGTTGCTCAGGGTGATCTTGAACTTGTTGGCTCAAGAGATCTGCCAGCCTCAGCCTCCCAAAGTGCTGAAATTACAGGCGTGAGCCATGGCACCTAGCCATGTTTGGTATCTTTATTCTCATTATGTAGTTGAGAAAATCTGACATCAGAGAGAGTAACCTGCTTAAGCACAGGGGTTAGAATGTATGTCAGGCTTACTCCAAATCCCCTGCTTTTTCCATGCTGAGTTCCAGTAGATCATTTATGTATTCCTCATGCACAGGGAGGTACAAGATGGTAGAATGGGAGATAGATGGAACAAATTTGGCAAAATAGTCTGTAGTAGTTGATTAACCTATTCTTTACCTAGTGTAGATTTGAAATTTTTCATAATGAAAAGGTTTTTTAAGGAATATACTGTTTTTAAAGGATTGTGTGGATCTGTTTCCTCATGACAGTAGGGTATAAGAAACGGAATTAGAATGTTGTCTAGGTTTCCAAATCACCACCTGTTGCACAACAATGAAGAGGGACAGGGTGGGGATGACTGGGTTTTAACTATGTAATAATTGGAATTCCTTTTGAAGCCTTGTGTTGTATTGGCCATTGAATCCAAAGGTAGGATAATTTCCTTAAAACTTTATCATAACATTCAATTTATACATTCCCATGCCTAAGTAATCAGAAATAAACCAATGAGAAACAATGACTCTGAGACAGAACTGAAGCTATCATTTAAAGTCCCTTCAAGCCTGGACAACATGGTGAAACCCTGCCTGTACTAAAAATACAAAAAATTAGCCAGGGCGCACGCCTATAGTCTCAGCTACTCGGGAGGCTGAGGTGGGATGATGGTTTGAGCCCTAGAGGCAGAAGTTGCGTGAGTCCAGATAGTGCCACTGCAGTGAGCCTGGGCGGAAAAAAAAGGAAGTCTATCCCTTCTAAGCTTTATAAAGTCATGATAGCTTTAATTTCCTTAAACCAGCGTCATAACATTTAATTCACTCATTCCTGTGCCTAAATAATCAGAAACTGTCAACAATGAAAACACCCACTGAGACTTAATTGAAACTATAGAAATAATGTTGGCCGACTGAGCTTTCCCAGAATAGTTGGAATCATACAGTATGTAGTCTTTTCAGATTGGCTTCTTTCATTATCAATAAGCATTTAAGGTTCCTTCATATTGTTTCATTGTTTGATAGCCATTTCTTTATTTTCTTTTTCTTTTTCTTTTTGAGACAGAGTCTTGCTCTGTCACCCAAGCTGGAGTGCAGTGGCACCATCTTGGCTCACTGCAACCTCCTCTTCCTGGGTTCAAGCAATTCTTCTGCTTCAGCTTCCTGAGCAGCTGGGATTACAGGCGTTTGCCACCACAACCGGCTAATTTTTGTATTTTTAGTAGAGATGGGGTTTCACCATGTTGACCAGGCTGGTCTCAAATTCCTGACCTCAGGTGATCTGCTTGTCTCGGCCTCCCAAAGTGCTGGGATTACAAGTGTGAGCCTGGGGTGACAGTTTTTGTATAATTTGATTTTATGTTAACTGATGGGATAAAAAAAATGTCTGGCCAATAAAGAGTTAAAGCTAGTCAAGGTCTACTAAGCAGTGCCTATTTCTTTTTTTCTTTCCTTTTCTTTTTCTTTTTTCTTTTTTTTTTTGAGATAGAGTCTCTGTCTGTCTCCTAGGCTGGAGTGCAATGGCATGATCTCCGCACACTGCAGCCTCCTGCGGGGTTTCCCCACGTTGGCCAGGCTGGTCTCAAACTTCTGACCTCAAATGATCTACCCACCTCGACCTCGCAAAGTGCTGGGATTACAGACGTGAGCCACTTGAGGTCAGGAGACTAGCCTGGTGAACATGGTGAAACCCCGTCTCTGCTAAAAATACAAAAAATTAGGCCGGGTGGCACGGTGGTGGCTCATGCCAGCACTTTGGGAGGCCGAGGCAGATGGATCACGATGTCAGGAGTTCGAGACCAGCCTGACCAACATGGTGAAACCTTGCCTCCATTAAAAATACAAAAATTAGCCGGGCATGATGGCGTGTGCCTGTAATCCCAGCTACGCAGGAGGCTGAGGCAGGAGAATCATTTGAACCTGGGAGGCAGAGGCTGCAGTGAGCAAAGGTTGCACCACTGCACTCCAGCCTGAGTGACAGAACGAGACTCCATCTAAAAAAGAAAAAAAAAAAAAAAAAATATATATATATATATATATATATATATTAGCCAGGCGTGGTTGCACATGCCTGTAATCCCAGTTACTCCGGAGGCTAAGGAAGGAGAATAGCTTGAACCCAGGAGGCGAGGCTTGAACCCAGGAGGAATAGCTTGAACCCAGTGAGCCGAGATTGCATCACTGCACTCCAGCCTGGGTGACAAAGTGAGACTCTATTTCAAATAAATAAATAAATAAATAAATAAATAAATAAATAAATAAATAAAACAAAAACTAGCCAGGCACAGTAGTGCTCACCTGTAATCCCAGCTACTCAGGAGGCTGAGGTGGGAGAATCACTTAAACCTTGAAGGCCAAGGTTGCAGTGAGCCAAGATGATGTCACTGCACGCCAACCTGGGCAACAGAGTGAGACCCTGTCTCAAGAAAAAAATAAAAGAATTACTTTTTTGGCTGGGCGCGGTGGCTCATGCCTGTAATTTCAGCACTTTGAGAGGCCAAGGCAGGCAGATCACCTGAGGTCAAGAGTTCGAGACCAGCCTGGCCAACATGGTAAAACTTCATCTCTACTCAAAATACAAATAAATTAGACAGGTGTGGTGGCGCACACCTGTAATCCCAGCTAGTAGGGAGGCTGAGGCAGGAGAATAGCTTGAACCTGGGAGGCAGAGGTTGCAGTGATCTGAGATTGTGCCACTGCACTCCAGCCTGGGCAACAGAGCAAGACTCCATCTGAAAAAAAAATTACTTAAAAAAAAATTTTTTTTTTTTTTACAGTTAGGAGCATCTTTTCATAGTTTTATCAATAACTGTATTACCATTGTCACACTGTGCTAAGGTCTGAATGTTTATGTCCTTCCACCCACTACCCCAAATTCGTATGTTGAAACCTAATCACCAATGTGATGGTATTAGGAGGTGGAGGCTTTGGGAGGTGATTAGGTCATGAGGGCAGAGGCCTCATGAATGAGATTAGTGCCCTCATAAAAGAGGCCCCAAGAGAACTGCCTTGCCCCTTCTATCATGTGAAGACACAGCAAGAAAGTATTATCTATGAACTAGGAAAAGGGTCCTTACCAGACACTGAACCCACCAGCTCCTTGATCTTCCAGCCTCCAGAACTGTAAGAAATAAATTTCTGTGTTTATGTCTATTTTGTTACAGCAGCCTGAATGGACTAAGAAACATTGTTACAGACATATCTTTTTTTTTTTTTTTTTGAAATGGAGTCTCACTCTGTCACCCAGGCTAGAGTGCGGTGGTGTGATCTTGGCTCACTACAACCTCGATCTCCTGGGCTCAAGCAATTCTCCTCTCTCAGCCTCCCAAGTAGCTGGGATTACAAGTGTGCATCACCTTGCCCAGCTAATTTTTGTATTTTTTATAGAGACAGGGTTTCACCATGTTGGCCAGGTTGGTCTCATACTCCTGACCTCAAATGATCTGTCTGCCTCAGTGTCCCAAAATGCAGGGATTACAGGCTACAGGGGTGAGCCACAGAGCCTGGCCAGAAATATCATATATATATATATATATATATATATAAAATATGTGTATATATATAATATGTATATATATATACACACACACACACAATTTATATATATATATATATCAAATTTTTAAATTTTAAATATATAAAGATGGGGTCTCGCTATATTGATCAGGCTGGTTTTGAGTTCCTGGCCTCAAGCGATCCTCCTATCTCGGCTTGCCAAAGTGTTGGGATTACAGGTGCAAGCCACTGCTGCTGGCTTGTAACAGAAATATCTGTTCTCTTTCCCTTGATTTTACCCAGTAATCATTAACTCTGAGACACGAGAGAAGGATGAGGCTATATGGGGTTCCTGTGTTATCTCCAATAATATGTTGCATCAACTTCCTTGACCACTAGGTGGCAGGCTGGTGCAGAATGGCAGCTGCTAGGGAAACTGGACAGTGTTCTGACTGACTTCTATGGACACCAGCATGATGATGACCAGCTGCAGCAGGCTTTTCCTGTATTCAGAATGTAAAATGTAGATGAACTCAAGTGTCTGTCACCTTATGGACCTTCAGCCCCAATGACTATTCTTCATTTCTGCTTTAGACCTTCATACACAAAAAACTAAGTGTCTTATTGAGGAAAATTATTATCTTACTGTTATTCCAGGTGTCCTTAGAGAGACATCTGGAATGTACAGGGGTCACAGTCTAAAATTTTGAGTCACTTCTGAAAACCCATATAAACATGTAACGAAGATTAAAAAACAAAACAAAACAAACAAAACACCATAGAACCCAGAAGTGGTGATGGGAATTGTAAAGAAAGTATTAACTACGGTCCCTGGAGAGACACTGCAGCCCAATAGAATTATCTCCACTTTTCACTGTTTATGAGAAGTCAAAGGTTTCAGGCTGAATTGGCTTTCAGGGATCCTTCCCTGGTAAGGATCCAGATCTTTTATCTTTTACTTTACTCTTTTCTCCTTTGTAATGTTATTACTTCCAGTATTGGGAGGGGAAGGCCAGTATCTTAACCAAAATAAAGAAACTTTTGCTCTCAAGCTTTTTATATTGAACAAATTCTATTTTGGAGACTGACAAATTGATCTGCCATAAATGACCTCCATGGGAGTGACGTTGTTGTCTGGTTGAGCTACTGCCTCTGGTTCTTGAATCTTCCCAGACTCTCTCCTTCCCTCTCTCCTTCCACCCCAGCTCTTGTCTTTCATGGCCTGACTTCTGGTTCCAGTGCTAGCCTGTCCCCCTGAGGTGAGCTATTTTATATCCTTGCTCAGTATTCCAAGGTTGCCTTGTTAGTCCTGTTGCTGTGTTATTGATGAGGCTCTACGGCTGGCACCTGAACTTCTTACTTATACTACACTTCTATTTTGAGACTCTTAGTGCTATTCACACTCAAGGCAATTCACTTTTACTTTTTTTTCATTTCCCTGTGGTTTCTTTATGGAAACAAATTAATAGAAAATTCAAGAGGACCATGTGTGGTGGCTCATGCCTGTAATCCTAGCGCTTTGAGAAGCCGAGGCAGGCAGATTGCTTGAGCTCAGGAGTTTGAGACCAGCCCGGGCAATATGGTGAAACCCTGTCTCTACTAAAAATACAAAAAATTAGCCAGGCATGGTGGCTCATGCCTTTAGTCCCAGCTACTTGGGAGGCTAAGGTGGGAGGATGGCTTAAGCCCAGGAGTTTGAAGCTATAGTGAGCCGTGATTGTGCCACTGCACTCCAGCCTGGGTGACAAAGCAAGACCCTGTCTCAAAAAAAAAAAAAAAAAAAGAAAAAGAAAGGAAGAAAATTCAAAAGACTTTACAGACATACTTTTAGAACTTATAAGATTTCAATAGGGTTGTTGAATACAAGCCCAACATGCAAAAAATCTTGTATATCACCAATAACCCATCAGGTAATGAAATAAAATAAAATACACCATTTACAAGAACATTAGGCATATAAATCTGACATAGGGTACGTAGACATTTATGGAGTAAAGTACAAAATATTATTGTAGTACACAAAAACATAAATATGGAACTATACCATGCTCATTCAATTTCATAAAGGTGTTGATTCTAAGTTAATCTACAAGTTAAATGGAAACATGATGGCAATAAAAATGCTGCCACACTTTTTCCTCTGAAACTAGACAGACTAAAATTCAAATGGAGGAGTAACAGTCTAAGAACAGTCAAAAACAATTCTGAAAAAGAACTAAGGGAGGAGCTTTGCCTATTAGATATCAAAACCTAACACAAAATTATATTAATTAAAGCATGAGGTGTTTGGCCCAGTGATACACGAACAGATCAATGGAAGAGAAATGAGAACTCGGAAATAGACGGAAGGATACACAGCAAATTGATATACATGTAGTACATTAGTTATCTCTTTCTGTGAGTGATAGAAAACTCAAAGTCGCAATGGCTTAAACAAGATAGATTTTTATTTCTCTCACAAGAAGTCCAGAGGAGGGTGGGGGAGTGGTGGCTATGCCTGTAATCCCAGCACTTTGGGAGGCCGAGGCGGGCAGATCACTTGAGCTCAGGAGTTTGAGACCAATCTGGGCAACATGGTGAAATTACAAAATTAGCTGGGTGTAATAGCATGCACCTGTGGTCTTAGCTACTTGGGAGGCTGAGGTGGGAGGATTGCTTGAGCCCAGGAGGCAGAGGTTGCAGTGAGCTGAGATTGCCCCACTGCACTCCAGCCTGGGTGACACAGGCAGACCCTGTTTTTTTTTTTAAAGGATTGATAAAGGATTCAGCCCAAGATCTGGAGGCAGGTAATTTAAGAAAGTAAAGCCAAGACCACAAACCCAGAGATATGAGTGAATTCGTGATTCATTTCTATTTGGTTTGTTTCCATTTCAAGCCATTTTTATATTTCTACAATGACTATTTTCTAAATATATTACATACAGATTTATGTAATTATATTATTTTTTTAAAAAAAAAAAAGAAAAAGAAAAAGAAAAAAGAAGTCCGGAGGAGTCAGGTGTGATGTCTTACACCTGTAATCCCAACGCTTTGGGATTTGGGAGGCTGAGGTACAATTGCTTCAGCTCAGTAGTTCAAGACCAGCCTGGGTAACACAGTGAGACCTTGTCTCTACTAAAAATAAAAAAAGTTATCCAGGTGTGGTGGCATGTAGTCCCTGTGGGGAGGCTGAGGTGGGAGGATCACTTGAGCCCAGGAGTTCGAGGCTGCAGCGAACTATGATCCAGGCATTACACTCCAGCCTGAGTGACAGAGCAAGACACTTCAAAAAGAAAAAACAAAACAAAAAAAAAGAATTCCAGAGGAGTCAGGGACTTAGACTTCTATTACTGGGCATGGCCTCTTTTTCTTTTTTTTTTTTTTTTGAGCTGGAGTTTCACTCTTGTTGCCCAGGCTGGAATGCAATGGTGCAATCTTGACTCACTCCAACCTCTACCTCCCAGTTCAAACGATTCTCCTGCCTCAGCCTCTCGAGTAGCTGGGATTACAGGTGCGTGCCACCACACCCAGCTAATTTTTGTATTTTTAGTAGAGACGGGGTTTCGCCATGTTGACCAGGCTGGTCTTGAACTCCTGACGTCATGTGATCCCCCTGCCTCGGTCTCCCAAAGTGCTGGGATTACAGGCATGAGCCACCGCGCCCGGCCATCATGGCCTCCTTTTCTAAAGTCAAACTACTGGTTCCAGATGGCTGCTCCAGCTCCAGCCACCATGTCTGTATTCCACTAGAAGGAAAGAGGGAAAGAAAGGGAAATGACATGCCTCCGCCCTTTGGGGACATTTCCCAAAGGATGCACACACTATTTTCACTAACAACTCCATGGCCACACCCAGCTGCAAGTACGACTGGGAAATGTAGTTAATTTTGGGTGCCCATGTTTCAAGCTAAAAATTCTTTTACTATTTTTAGAGCTGAGCCTGGCAGGGTGACCAGAAGTGAAAATGTGGCAAGTGTGTGTGAACAACGCAGGCTCAGGGTGAGTCTTGAAGTGGGGACTGCATGGCAAGGCAAGTCCAGCCAGGATGGATGAGATAATGTCAGAACTGAGTCTAACAAAGTATATTTTGCTTGTAGAATGTCATGTGAAATGTAAAGGAATCACCATTGTTAATATAAATTTTGGAGAAAAAAGTTATATTCCAAAAGGTTTTAGAGCCCACTTCTAAAGGTTTCTGCCGTTTACAATTAAAACGTCCCTAATCCTGTACCCTTGGATAATTAAAAAAAAAAGTTTAATATTTTATCAAGCAGGGAAAGGCAGCATTTTATATTTCAGTACTAGCAACAATAGAGAAAACAAATGAGAAAAAAATAGAGAAAACAAATGAGAGAAAAATCATAGATGTTTTTCTTTTCTTTTCTGTTTTTTTTTGTTTTTTGTTTTTTTTGAGATGGAGTTTCCCTTTGTTGTCTAGGCTGGAGTGCAGCGGCACGATCTCGACTCACTGCAACCTCCGCCTCCTGGGTTCAAGTGATTCTTGTGCCTCAGCCTTTGAGTAGCTGGGATTATAGGCACGAGCCACCATGCCCAGCTAATTTTTGTGTTTTTAGTAGAGATGGGGTTTCACCATGTTGGCCAGGCTAGTCTCGAACTCCTGACCTCAGGTGATCTGCCTCCCTTGGCCTCCCAAAATGCTGGGATTACAGGCGTGTGTGACTACACCCGGGTATAGATGTTTTTCAGTGTTGTTTTTGGTGAACCATGTTTTACGTGGAAAGTTTATCATAGTGTTTTGTTTTAGAGGAAAATAAAACTATATGTGGCTGATAAAGGATTCAGCCCAAGATCTGGAGGCAGGTAACTTAAGAATGTAAAGCCAAGACCACAAACCCAGAGATATGAGTGAATTCGTGATTCATTTCTATTTGGTTTGTTTCCATTTCAAGCCATTTTTATATTTCTACAATGTCTATTTCCTAACTATATTACATACAGATTTATGTAATTATATTATTTTTTATTCTTTTTCTTTATACAATTCTTTTTGAAGAAATCTGAATTGCTAGAAGTTCAGGCAAACACATTTTTGCATAAGGAGGTAAATATAATCTTATAACAGCCATTGAAGCTTGATTGATGATACCTTTGACTAAAATATGCCAGTGTAAGGGTGTGGCATACTTAAAAATATTTAAGAGTGGGTGGAGAAATTGCCCCTAAGCCAAGACAGCTTAACCTTGATAGAAATAATTGACCTCAAGGGTGTGTTCGTTGTATTTTGTGGGGGCAGACAGGATGTGAAAAATGAGCTTTTGTGTTCTGGATGAGCAGTGAAAGGGCAGTGGCTGAAGAGAGAGCTTTGAGGCAATGGTAGACTCTCCACGTAGCTGGCCAATCTTGCCCAAAGAGAGACTCCTGCAGGGGAAAGGTCCATGCCTGAAAGTCTGGCACTTAGTCAGGACTTCCTTCCTGCAAAGAGGTGGATTGATGGGGAAGAGGGCATTTGGCCCAGTCCAGGGCTGCTACAACTGCTTAATTGTGCACTTAGTGATCCAGTGCTTTCTACCTCTCATTCCAATCTTCCCTTCTTGGGTGTCGTTTGTCTTCTGAGTTTCAAAGCACGGCGCCTGGGTTCTGGGCAGGACAAAAGTGGAAGAGCCAAAGACTGGTTCCCTTGAGGTGTTGTCTCCATTCAGGAAGAGAATGCTTTCTCTTCAGTCTTCATTTTACATCTCCTTATCCAGGATTACCATACATGGACACGTCTAGCTGGATTGAGCCTAGAAATTTGCCTATTTTTGCTTTCCAGACTCTGGCAAAGGAATACACAGCACAGGAAAGGAATGGATAGCTTTTCAGTGGCCCATCTGCAGTGCTCCCTCGTAAGACAAGTTGGTAGTTACATAGAAAGTGTCTGAAAACCAAAAGTCCATTTAAATCCATGGCTTTGTTCTATTCTCTCTCTTTTTTACCCCAGTGATATTGAGGTGAAATTGACAAAATTTTATATATTTAAGGTATACAATGTGATATATGTGATGTTTGATATACATATACATTGTGGAATAATTACCACAGACAAGCTAATTATAATATCCATCACCTTACAGTTACCATTTGTGTGTGTGTGTGTGTGTGTGTGTGTGTGTGTGTGTATGTGGTGAGACATTTAAGATCCACTCTTTAAGCATATTTCAAGAATACAATATGGTATTATTGTATTAGTCTGTTTTCACGCTGCTGATAAAGACACACCAAGACTGGGTAATTTATACAGGAAAAAGTGTTCCGTGTGACTGGGGAGGTCTCACAATCACGGTGGAAGGCAAGGAGAAACAAGTCATGTCTTACATGGATGGCAGCAGGCAAAGAGAGAGCTTGTGTAGGGAAACTTCCCCCACTTTTTTTTTTTTGAAATGGAGTTTCGCTTTTGTCACCCAGGCTGGAGTGCAATGGTACAATCTGGGCTCACTACAACTTCCGCCTTCTGGGTTCAAGTGATTCTCCTGTCTCAGACTCCTGAGTAGCTGGGATTACAGGTGCACACCACCACACCTGGCTAATTTTTATATTTTTAGTAGAGATGGGGTTTCACCATGTTGGCCAGGCTGAGGTCAAACTCCTGACCTCAGGTGATCTGCCCACCTTAGCCTCCCAAAGTGCTGGGATTACAGGTCTGAGCCACCGCACCTGGCTGGAAATTCCGATTTTAAAAACCATTAGATCTCATGAGACTTATTCACTATCATGAGAACAGCATGGGAAAGATCCCCCCTGCCATGATTCAATTACCTCCTACCAGGACTCTCCCACAACATGTGGGAATTCAAGATGAGGTATGGTTTGGGACACAGCAAAACCATATCATTCCACCCCGGCCCCTCCCAAATCTCATTTCAAAACCAGTCATGCCTTCCCAACAGTCCCCTAAAGTCTTAACTCACTTCAGCATTAACTCAAAAGTCCGCAGTCCCAAGTCTCATATGAGATGAAGCAAGTCCCTTCTGCCTCTGAACCTGTAAAATCAAAAGCAGGTTAGTTGCTTCCTAGATACAATGGAGGTACAGGCATTGGGTAAATACAGCCATTCCAAATTGGAGAAATTGGCCAAAACAAAGGGGCTACACGTCCCATGCAAGTCCAAAATCTAGTGGGGCAGTCAAATCTTAAAAGTTCAGAATGATTTCCTTTGACTCCATGTCTCACATCCAGGTCATGCTGATGAAAGAGGTGGGTTCCCATGGTCTTGGGCAGTTCCGCTCCTGTGGCTTTGCAGGGTACAGCCTTCCTCTTGGCTGCTTTCACTGGATGATGTTGAGTGTCTGCAGCTTTTCCAGGCACACAGTGCAAGCTGTGGGTGGATCTACCATTCTGGGGTCTGGAGGACGTGGCCCTCTTCTCACAGCTCCACTAGGCAGTGACCCAGTAGGGAATCTGTGTGGGGGCTCCCATCCCCCATTTCCCTTCAGAGGTTCTTGCCCTAGCAGAGGTTCTCCATGAGGACACTACCCCTACAGCAAACTTCTGCCTGGGCATCCAGGCATTTTTATACATCTTCTGAAATCTTTCCCAAGCCTTAATTCTTGACTTCTGTGCACCTGCAGGCTGAACACCACATGGAAGCTGCCAAGGCTGAGGCTTGCACCCTCTGAAACCACGGCCCGAGCTCTACATTGGCCCCTTTTAGCCACTGCTAGAGTGGCTGGGACACAGGGCACCAAGTCCCTAGGCTGCACACAGCACAGGGACCCTGGGCCCAGCCCATGAAATCACTTTTTCCTCCTAAGCTTCCAGGCCTGTGATGGGAGGGGCTGCTGCAAAGTTCTCTGACATGCCCTGGAGACATTTTCCCCATTGTCTTGGTGATTAACATTCAGCTCCTCATTACTTATGCAAATTTCTGCAGCTGGTTTGAATTTCTCCTCAGAAAATGGGATTTGCTTTTCTATTGCATTGTCAGGCTGCACATTTTCCAAACTTCTATGCTCTGTATCGCTTTTGAAACTGAAAGCCTTTAACAGCACCCAAGTCACCTCTTGAATGCTTTGCTGCTTAGAAATTTCTTCCACCAGATACCCTAAATCATCTCTCTCTAGTTCAAATTTCCAGAAATCTCTAGGGCAGGGACAAAATGCCACCAGTCTCTTTGCCAAAACATAACGAGAATCACCTTTGCTCCAGTTCCCAACAAGCTCCTCATCTCAGTCTGAGACCACCTCAGCCTGGATTTCATTGTGCATATCACTATCAATATTTTGGTCAAAGCCATTCAACAAGTCTCTAGGAAGTTCCAAACGTTCCCACATTTTCCTGTCTTCTTCTGAGCCCTCCAAACTGTTCTGACCTCTGCCTGTTACCCATTTCCAAAGTCACTTCAACATTTTTGGGTACCTTTTCAGCAGTGCCCACTCTACTGGTACCAATTTACTGTATTAGTCCGTTTTCACACTGCTGATAAAGACATACCCGAGACTGGGCAATTTACAAAAGAAAGAGGTTTAATGGACTTACAGTTCCATGTGGTTGGGGAAGCCTCATAATCATGGTGGAAGGCAAGGAGGAGCAAGTCACATCTTACATGGATGGCAGCAGGCAAAGAGAGAGAGCTTGTGCAGTGGAACTCCCATTTTTAAAACCACCAGATCTCATGAGATTTATTCACTATCATTAGAACAGCATGGGAAAGACCTGCTCCCATGATTCAATTACCTCCCACTAGGTTCCTCCCATGACACTTGGAAACTGTGGGAGTTACAATTCAAGATGAGATTTGGGTGGGGACACAGCCAAACCATATCACTATTTATCTGTTGATGGGCATTTAGATTGATATCATAGCTTGGCTATTGTGAACAATGGTGCAATGAACATGGGAGTATGGATCTCTCTTTGATACTAATTTCAGTTGTTTTTGATATATATTGAGAAATGTGATTGCTGGATCATACAGTAGTTCTATTTTTAATTTTTTGAGGAGCCTCTGTATTGTTTTCTCTTTTCTTTTGTCGTTCTTTCTTTTTTTTTTTTTTTTGAGACAGGGTCTTGCTCTGTCACCCAGGCTGGAGTGCAGTGATGCAGTCTTGGCTCATTGCAAGCTTGGCTTCTCAGGCTCAGATGATCCTCCCACTTCAATCTCCCAAGTAGCTGGGACTACAGCTGAGTGCCACCACTCCTGGCTAATTTTTGTATTTTTTTGGGGAGATGAGGTTTTGCCATGTTGTTCAGGCTGGTCTCAAAGTCCTGGGCTCAAGCGATTCACCTGCCTCAGCCTCCCAAAGTGCTGGGATTATGGGTGTGAGCCACTGCACCTGGCCAACTTTTGTCTTTTTTTGATGATATCCATTTTAACAGGTATAAGGTGATATCTCTTTGGTATTGATTTGCATTTCCCTGATGATTAGTGGTATTGAACATTTTTTCATGTACCTGTTGGCCATTTTATATGTCTTCTTTTGAGAAATGTTTACTCAATTCCTCCCCCTTCCCCTCTTTTTTAGAGACAGGATCTTACTCTGTCACCTGGGCTGGAGTGCAGTGGTACAATCATAGCTCACGGTAACCTCAAACTCCTGGGCTCAAGTGATCCTCTTGCCTCAGCCTCCTGAGTAGCTGGGACCACGCTACCATGTCTGGCTAGTCTTTTTAGTTTTATTTTTGGTACAGACAAAAGTCCTACTATTTTGCCTATGTGGTCTCAAATTCTTGCTTTGCCCATTTTTTTTTCTTTTTTTTTTTTTGAGGTGGAATCTCAAAAGGATGGAGTGTAGTGGCATGATCTTGGCTCACTGCAACCTCCACCTCCCAGGTTCAAGTGATTTTCCTGCCTCAGCCTCCCGAGTAGCTGGGACTACAGGCACAGCTAATTTTTGCATTTTTTAGTGGAGACGGGGTTTCACTGTGTTGGCCAGGATGGTCTTGATCTCTTGCCCTCATGATCCACCCGCCTCAGCCTCCCAAAGTGCTGGGATTATAGGCATGAGCCACTGTGCCTAGCCTGCTTTGTCCATTTCTTTATTGGGTTGTTTTCTTGTTATTGAGTAGTTTGAGTTCCTTATATATTCTGGATATAAGCCCCTTACTAACTAGATATATGGTTTGCAAATATTTTCTCCTATTCAATAGGTTGTCTGTTTACTCTGATGATTTTTTTTTCCAGAAGCTTTTTAGTTTGATGCAATCCCAGTTGTCTATTTTTGCTTTTGTTGCCTGTGCTTTTGGTGTTATATGCAAAAAAACATTGTCTAGATCAATGTTTGTGGATTTTGTATCATACAACATCAATGAATTTATTAGTTCTAACTTTTTTTTTGTATGGAATCCTTAGGGTTTAAAAAAATTAAACAATTTTTAAAAAATTTTATTTCAATAGTTTTTGGGGTACAGGCGGTTTTTGGTCACATGAATAAGTTCTTTAGTGGTGATAATTCTGAGATTTTGTCATACAAGCAGTGCACACACTGTATCCAATATGTAGTCTTTTATCCCTTACCCTCTGTTGTCCATCCCCTCAAGTCCCCAAAGTCCATTATATCATTCTTATCCCTTTGCATCCTCATAGCTTAGCTTTCACTTATAGGTGAAAACATACAGTATTTGGTTTTCCATTCCTGAGTTACATCAGGTTTCTGAAAATATATAAGATCATGTCATCTTTGCAAACAGAGACAATTTTACTATTTCCTTTCTGATTTGGATGTCTTTGTATTTCTTTTTCTTTGCTAATTGCTCTGGCTAGGACTTGTAGTACTATATGGAGTGAAGGTGATGAGAGTATGCATTCTTGTCTTATTCCTGATCTTAAAGGATAAGCTTTCAGCTTTTGACCATTTTGCATGATATTAGCTGTGGGCTTTTCTCTCTCTGTGCTATGCTGTGCTGAGTAGGCTTGGGAAAGGGGTAACTTGAGTAATGTGAAACTGTCTTTCCTACCTTCTTCAATGTGTCTTTTATTGTTTCTGTGCTCCAACTAGGTGCTGTAATCTCTCACCTGGAGTCCTCAGCACTGGTGAAGGTACTCTTGTGTGTGGATGGCTGTTCAAATTGATGTGTCTCTGAGGGGATGAGCCCTGGAAACTCCTATTCCAGCATCTTGTTGATGTCCTCTCTATTTTTCCTTGAAATTTATTTGTTGAAGGAATTGGATTATTTGTTTGATAGTGTTTTGCACAGTCTGAATTTTGCTAATACATCTGTGTGATGTTTAATACGTTCCTTCACATTTCCTTGCAAATTGGCATTTAAATCTAGAAATTTAATCAGATTCAGTTTAGAATTTTTGGCAAGACCACTTCTTAGGTGGTGCTTTGTTCTACTGGGCGGCATATAGTATCTGAATATCTCCCTTTGTGATATTAGCAGCCATTTATGATCACTGCTGAGTCTATACAATCCAATGTGGTAGCTATTAGCCACATGTGGCTACTTAAAAATATAAATTAAATTAAATTAAATTAAAAATTCAATTTCTCAGTTATATCAGTCCTCTCTCTTTCTTTCTTTTTTTGAGACAGAGTCTTTCTGTGTTGCCCAGGCTGGAATGTAGTGGCACAATCTCAGCTCACTGCAAACTCCGCCTCCCGGGTTCAAGTGATTCTTCTGCCTCAGCCTCCTGAGTAGCTGGGATTACAGGTGCCTGCTGCCATGCCCAGCTAATTTTTGTATTTTTAGTAGAGATGTGGTTTCACCATGTTGGCCAGGCTGGTGTTGAACTCCTGACCTCAAGTGATCCACCCGCCTGGGTCTCCCAAAGTGTTGGGATTATAGATGTGAGCCACTGCACCTGGCCTATCAGTCACATTTCAAATGCTAAATAAATTCATGTTGGTTATAGCTACTGTATAAGATACAGAACATTTCCATCATCACAGAAAGTTCTATTGGACAGCATTGGTCTAGATCTATTAATTCACAAAGAGTAGTGATATGGTGCTATTCTAACATTAATTTTACATTTATTAGTTGGAAAACTATAGAGAGAAATCCCTCATATCTACTATTTGGTTACCCAGTGATCAGTTCACGTAGGAAAGGCAGGATAAAGGTTAATTCTTTACCTTTAATGAGTTCATATTGCAGCATCCTCCAAAAGTGAATAACTAAAAAAAACCATGCATGATTTTAGACATTGGATACTCCTTCCTCCCTTCAGTCTTTCTTTCCTTCCTCTTTCTTTCTCTTTCTCCTCTCTCTCCTTCCTTCCTTCTTTCACATGCATGCTCTCTCTCTTCCCTTCTTCCTTTCCCCCTCCCCTTCCCTACCCTCCCCTCCCCTCTCCTTCCCTCTCCTCCCCTTCTTTCCTTCCTTCCTTGATAGGCTAATTGTCCTTCATGGAAACATTGTCTTGATGAACAGAACACAGCTTTTGGCAAATTTTGCTAACTGTCTGTGGTAGATTGAATTATTTGTCCCAATTTTCTCCCATCCATATCCTTTCCCACATAATTAAGTTTGCAGTTCCTCTAACCAAAAGGTGGAGTATTCTACCCATCCTTGACTTGGTCCTTGACCATGAAACTTGCTCTGGGCAACAGGATCTTCACAGATGTCAAGTAAACAGGGACCTAAAATGTGCTTGAGCAGTGGGGCTTGTTCTCTTGTGCTTCTACCATGACCGCAAGAAGGACGTGCTTTTCCCAGACTACTGTTCCAAGGAAAAGGAGAAACACAAAGTGGGAACTGCCTCAGCTGGCCTGCAAACTTGGGATCTGAAGCAAAAGTTTATTGTTGGTGTGATTTTGAGGTTGTTTCTTTGCTTATTAATAGATTAATAAGTTTACAAATTGTCCCATTAGGTGAGAAACTCCCAACTGGCATTGGCAGATGTCATCTCAGATTAATGTATCTTCCCCAGATAGTACTTTGCTGTTCAAAATATAGTAATTAAAATCATGCACTAGAAGAACACTAGAAACTTTGTAAGAACTCAAATTAATTGTGATTTCTTTTTGTCTGGTAGATTTTTTTTGGAAAACATACCTTTGCTTTTACTATTTATGATAATATATTAGTATTTTAATTTCTAATTGGCTGTTGTGCAATAAAAAATACACATATTGGTCTCTGCCCCCCAGTCCCTGGCACAGAGTTCTTAAAACTCTTGTAGTTTCCTGAGCAATAGGAGTGCTAGGAGAATCTTTCATTCTAATGTTTGGTTTCTGCTCTGGTTCTTGAAACAGAGTTCTTAATACTCTGTTAGATAGGGGTGCTAGGAGAATCTTTTGTTCTAATATTTGGTCTCTGCTCTGGTTCCTGACACAGAGCTCCAAAGACATTTGTAATTTCCTAAGTGTTAGCATCTGACACAGAGCTCCTAAATCCCTTGGAATTTTCTGTGCGATGAGAGAGTCTTTTGTACTAATGAGGTAACTCTTGGTAGGCTGCTGGATAGAGGCTGGTCACCAGAAAGACCAAGCTATGATTAGAAGCCTGGAACTTCTAGTGCACCCTCATCCTCTGGAGAGGGGAGAAGGGCTGGAAATGGCATTAATAATTATTTCTACTTGATGAAGCTTCCATAAAAATTCCTGGATTATAGGGTTCTGAGAGTTTTTCTTTGTTTTTTTTTTTTTTTTTTTTTTTTTTGAGACAGGGTCTCCTTCTGTCACTCAGGCTGGAGTGCAGCGGTGTAATCAAGCTCACTGCAGCCTCAATCTCCCAGACTCAAGTGATCTTCCTACCTCAGCTTCCTAAGTAGCTGGGACTACAGCCACGCACCACCACATCTGGCTAATTTTTTTGATTTTTAGTAGAGACAAGGTTTTGCTATGTTGCCCAGGCTGGTCTCGAACTCCTGAGCTCAAGCAGTACTCCTGCCTTGGCCTCCCAAAGTGCTGGGATTACAGGCATGAGCCACCAAGCCCAGCTGCTTCTGTTAATTAATTAATTAGTTTATAAATTATTCCATTGGGCGACATCTTTCAACTTCCAAACTAGAATTGGCAGAGGTCATTTATTATACCCTTTATTAATAAACTGGGAAACATAGTTTCCCTGAGTTCTGTGAGCTGCTCTAGCAAATTAACCAAACCCAAGGATGGGATTGTGGGAACCCCAATTTATAGCTGTTGGATCAGAAGCACAGGTCACAACCTGAGTTTGTGATTGGCATCTAAGGTTGGGGGCAGTCTTATGGGAAGGAACCCTCAACCTAGGGGATCTGCTGCTATTTCCAGGTAGTTTGTGTTGGGATTGAATTGACTTAGAGGATGCTCAGCTGAGTCTGCTGTAGAATCTGCCAGAGAATTGATTGCTTGGTCAGCATGGGAGAAGCTCTTCTATGCATTTTGGTGGCCAGTGTGTTATATTGAGTGTATAAAAGTGGGAAAACCACTTTGGTTCAGTTTTTCTTATATCCTTACACTACTTTATAGTCTTAATATGCTTATGACATATTTCTTGATCCAAGAAAACTGTAGACACATTTTTTTTTTTTACTTTATAAGGCTCTTAGTGTCTCAGTCAATGCTTTAATTCTTCATCCCTCTTTGACTTTGTAAGTTTTTGTCATCTGTGCTCTTTTCAAGTATTAACACCATTTACATTGTTTTGTAAACATTGTGTATTTCACATATTTCATCAAATCTAAGATACACCACTTACTTTAATACCAAGAAAGAAAATTTATTGTCAATTATTATTATGATACCATTGATTATAAGATCAGAAATGTTACAAATGTGAAAAACATATATTTTAGAAATGGTGAAACAGTGTAATTAAATCTTCTTTGTCAATTCTTTTATTCTGTTATAAATCAGTAAACCATACTTACATCAACACAACTAATTATTTTTCACTGCAAAGCCAACTAATGAATCATGATATATTCTTTTTTATTCAGTGTTTGCTTTTCCCTTGAATTTCTAAATTCCCTTCCTTTTTACTGCACTATTTTACTTTATCATAGTCTCAGTTTTCTTGTATTTCATTATGTACATCTATTCGATTAAGATCCCTTTTATTTCCCTTAAGAGCTTACTCCTGGAATTTTTCCTATTAGAAGTTCTCTCTTCATTTTTTTCTGGGGTTATATATACATTTCCCTTTTTCTTGGCTTATTTCACTTCGTTGCTAAATATGTCTTCCTAAAGTAACTTCCTAAAATGAATTTGTGAAAGGCGAAGTTTCTGAGCCATTCCATTTCTGAAAATGTTTTTATTCCTTTTGTTTGTTTTATTATGCAGGTGATAAACATTTTTTTTGTTTGTTTTTTTGAGACGGAGTTTCGCTCTTGTTGTCCAGGCTGGAGTGCAGTGGTGTGATCTCGGCTCACCGCAACCTCCGCCTCCCAGGTTCAAGAGATTCTCCTGCCTCAGCCTCCTGAGTAGCTGGGATTACAGGCATGTGCCACCACGCCTTGCTAATTTTGTATTTTTAGTAGATACGGGGTTTCTCCATGTTGGTCAGGCTGGTCTCAAACTCCTGACCTCAGGTGATCTGCCCGCCTCGGCCTCCCAAGTGCTGGGATTACAGGCGTGAGCCACCGTGCCCGGCTGCAGCTGATGAACATTTTATTTAAAAAAGGTTTGTAAAACATGAGGAAATGCTTATGATGGAATAATTAAATGGGAAAAGTAGGACACAAAGCACAAAGTTGTATTATATTTATAACATAATTACTCTTTAAAAAAGATACCAGCAAATTATGTGGAGAAAGAAAGAGAGGAAGGAAACACAACAAAATGAAATAATGCTTGTCTCTGGGTAGTGGTAAGACTGTAGCAGATTTTTTTTTCTCATCATCTTTCTACATTTTGTGTACTGAGCAGCTACTCTACCTGACCTCTCACCCCTTCTCCAGGGGAATAGATAGGGTCACCTTCATGTTTCTGCCGTGTTCCTCCCCTCTTCCCTTTCAGCCACCCACCTGCTCTCTGCTTTCCTGCTCTTCTCCCCGGCCACCAGAACCCACAGGCAATTAACACTTTCTGGACAAAGAAGGAGCCAAGGTTTTCCCCATCATTTTTCTAAAGGCAAAAGTGCATGGCTAGGGAGGGAGACTAGAAAGGCAACTAACTGCTCCCTGCCAGTCCTGGTCTCACCCCTTCCAATGTCCATCTGATTGGGGCCTGGACTCAGGTGGCCCCAGGAAAGCCTCCAGCTGGTGTTATGGACAGAGCAGACTATAAAGGGGAGGTGGGGTACCCCATACACCTGTATTTTTTACTTTCTGAAGCTTGGTTTAGAGTGCTAGGCAGTTGGGAACACTTGTCCATACTGTTACTAATGTGCCAGTTCACTTTGTGGGTTCAGGGCCACAGTCAGGCCTGTAGCTCCTTTAGTTCTCAGAGGCTCTCTTCCTTCAGTTTTTCTGAATTGTGGGCCAAATGTACATGAAGCTCTGGACAAAGGACACCAGCTTCTCCTGCAGGTTACTCATGACATGGAAGTTGGAGGTGGTAAGATGGACATGGGTTCCACTTCTCAATCAGTTTTTCTTTATTCTTACCCACATTTAGCTTTTCTCCCCTGGCTGACTCATAGTTATGTTATGCTGCACACCACACACAGGGGCAATGGTTTGCACAAACTGCCCTACCAGCTCCCATGATTGCTTAGGGTCTGTCTCACTCATAGTGGTTCTGCCTTTCTCATTGAATTACTCTGTTCTTGCATTGCTATAAAGTAACACCTGAGACTGGGTAACTTATAAAGAAAAGAAGTTTAATTGGCTCACAGTTCCACAGGCTATATAGGAAGCATGTCAGCATCTGCTTCTAGGGAGGCCTCAGGGAGCTTTTACTCATGGTCTCAACTTTAACATTGCCAAAGTATGGCAGAAGGGGCTGATGTATGGGCTCGTGGTATCTTACATGGCAGGAGAAGGACCAAAAGAGGTGGGGGGAGGTGCCACATACTTTTAAACAACCAGATCTCATGAAGATTCACTATCGCAAGAACAGCACCACGGGGGAAATCTGCCCCCATGATTCAATCACCTCCTACCAGGCCCCACCTCCGAAATTGGGGATTTGACATAAGATCTGGGCAGGGACACAGATCCAAACCATATCAACACCTTAAAGACAGCTCAGGAGGGACACAGGAACAGTGTGGGGTTCTTATCCAAGAGACCATTAGGTTTTCATGCAATAAGCATAGATGATATTTTTGGTATCAAAATTCAGAAGTTTTATGCAAAAGAGCTTCTAAGATGCCCCCTCAAAAACTATTTACTAAAATAATATTATTATTGTTTTCTTCTTAAAGGAGATATAATATATATTTATTGTAGGAAACTTGGCATATCCAGGTAATCACCAGGATACTGATAATAGCATTTTGGTGAATATCCTTCAAGTCTTTCTTCAGTGCATAGATCTGTAATGTCTATGTACACATAAATACACTTTATTTTTTATAAAAATAAAATGAAATTTAAATTCTGTTTTATAAAACAGACTTCCCCTCTGATATGGTTTGGCTGTGTCCCCACCCAAATCTCATCTTGAATTGCAGCTCTCATAATTCCCACATGTCACGGGAGGGACCCAGTGGGATGTAATTCAATTTTGGGGGTGGGTCTTTCCCATGCTTTTCTTGTGATAGTGAATAAATTTCACGAAATATGATGGTTTTATAAAGGGGAGTTCCCCTACATATGCTCTCTTGCCTGCCACCATGTAAGACTTGACTTTGCTCCACATTCGCCTTCCACCATAATTGTGAGGCCTCCCAGCCATGTGGAACTGTGAATCAATTAAATCTCTTTCCTTTATAAATTACCCAGTCTCAGGTATGTCTTTATTAGCAGGGTGAGAACAGACTAATATACCCTCCTTAATAACATATGAATATTTGTCTCTAGATGGTTAAACAAGCTCCAATTAAACAAATAGTTTTTAATTATTTCAGTATTCCATTGCATGGATATACTGTAATTTATTTAATCCTGTTTTTGTCTGTTTTGTGTTGCTATAAGGTAGTACCCAAGGCTGGGTAATTTATTAAAAAAAAAAGTTTACTTGGCTTACAATTCTGCAGGCTGTTCAAGAAGCATGACATTGGCATTTGCTTGGCTTCTGGTGAGGTCCTCAGGCTGCTTCCACTCATGTGGAAGGGGAAGGGGAGCTAGTGTGCAGAGATCCCATGGTGAGAGAGGAAACAAGAGAAGCAGGAGGTGCCAGGCTCTTTTTAACAACCAATTCTTGTGGGAACTGAGTACTCACTCACCCCCCGACCCCCAGGGAGGACATTCATCTATTCATGAGGATCCACCCACAGAACCCAAACATCTCACATTGTGCTCTACCTCCAACACTGGGGATCAAATTTCAGCATCAGCTTTGGGCGACAAACATCCAAATGACAGCAAACCCAATATCTTATTGTTACATGTTCAGACCATTTTCAGTTTTTCTTTTGAGACAGAGTCTTGCTCTGTCACCCAGACTGGAGTGCAGTGGCACCATCTTGGCTCACTGCAGCCTCCACCTCCTGGGTTCAAGTGATTGTCATGCCACAGCCTCCTGAGTAGCTTTTATTACAGGTATGTGCCACCATGCTGGGCTAATTTTTGTATTTTTAGTAGAGACAGGGTTTCACCATTTTGGCCAGGCTGGTCTTGAACTCCTGCCCTCAAGTGATTTGCCTTCCTCAGCCTCCCAAAATGTTGGGATTACAGGCATAAGCCACCATGCCCGGCCCATTTTCAGTGTTTCTTTTTTCTTTTCTTTCTTTTCTTTTCTTTTTTTTTTTGAGACGGAGTTTTGCTCTTGTTGCCCAGGCTGGAGAGCAATTCTGCGATCTCGGCTCACTGCAACCTCCAACGCCCAGGTTCAAGCAATTCTCTTGCCTCAGTCTCCTGAGTAGCTCGGATTACAGGCATGTGCCACCATCCACACTTGGCTAATTTTGTATTTTTAGTAGAGATGGGGTTTCACAATGTTGGTCAGGTTGGTCTCGAACTCGTGACCTTAGGTGATCCACCCGCCTCGGTCTCCCAAATTACTGGGATTACAGGTGTGAACCACCACGCCTGGCCTCATTTTCAGTTTTTCTTAATAAAAAATCCCACTTCTGAGATGAACATTTTTCATTAATCCTTTTAACACATTTTTATTGAATAGCTACTCTGTGCCAGGCATGTAATAGCCTCATCTCTATGCAAATCCATATGCCTAAATTTTTGCATGACTACGCCTTTCGACAAGTGTGTATTGTGGGAAGGAGGGCATAAACAGGAAGGTGGCATCACTTTAAAATCCACACAGATTTATACAATGTGGTTCTAAGACTTTCTGTAAGTCTTCTCGGGAGGCAACATTATCATCTAATCTTTTGCAGTCCCTCTTATGTTTGCCTACCTCTAGAATGAACCTGAATTTATTAATCCACCTTTATGAAGTGAAAGATTGAGAAGAATTTTCTGTGTTCTTAATTGCCTTTGCTCATCAAATTGCCCCCAAATTGCCCCCACTTGTAGAGTCTCCATGGCCTACTGTCTGCTAAAGTAAAGCAGAATCCCAGTCCTCGTTCCAGACCTGCCAAGTCAGAGTCTGTTTTCATGTGATTCTCACACACATTGGCATGTGAGAAGCACTGAGTTAGACCTTGGTGCTTGGCCCACCCTTGACCATGGTCCTCCTCTCTGAACAACGGAGGTGAGGAGACCAGTAGTAACAGCTGTGTCAGGAACAGGTCAGCACCCAGGGATCCACACAGACACTTTTGACCATTCCTAAGTCCTGCCTGCACAGGAAGTTGGCCACTAAAGATAGGCTGCCTGAAGGAAAGGACATAAGGACCTTTGCAAGCTGTTCAGCAGGGAGAAAAAGGGTGGAACAGGAAAGGGAGGAAAGCAAGTTTCTGGATTCCCCAAACCACAGTTTGTCTAGGTGCTACTTTCTCACTTTTCCTTATTTAGCACATAGCTTTGTCATGAGACATCTTTTTGCTGACCTCTTTTCCGTTTGCATTTTGCCCCATATTAGAATGCTACCATCTAAAACCGCTCCATGAATTAGAAAGTTTAAGTTGTCAGGGACTGAATGTGTCTGTTTTCCAACAGTTTCTGGCAGTTCCCTGCTTTTATGGTGTAGTCATGGTGAAACCTGAGTCATCTGAAGATGGTGGCAGTGCCAGAGAGCAGGAGAGAGGAGCTGCAAAGAAGCCAGACAGCGTTGGGCATCAATAACTCCTGGGCACCACCGGCCACTGGCCTTCATTCTGACAGGAGAGCCAACCCAACCCTAACTGTGTTCAGAGATTGCTCCAAGCTTTACAGTTCTACCAAATTCTTTCTGTAGCAAAAATATAAAGGCATCTTCTTAGGTAATTTTTTTTCAGGGTTCCAAGTAGCAACACCTAACGTCTGCAGTGCGAGTTCTCTTCTTCTTTTTTTTTTTAAGGTGATAAATCATAACATTTTCCTGGAAAGGAAAGCAGTAGACCTCATTTTTTGTTTTAAGGAAAAATAGTTTTTCTGTTTCCATTCATATACATTAAATAACTACCCAGGAAATACGCCCCGGTTTTGCGCGCGTGTGCGTGCGTGTGTGTGTGCGTGTGTGTGTGTGCCGTTTCTCTAAAATTCTGACTCATAGTCTGGAGGACAATGATTGACTTTTTTCCACTTCACATAGTTGCTATGAATTTCTCCTCACAAGGATGGGCCTGTTTACTCACCCTGGGCATCGTTGGTAGAGCGCTAGTGTAAACAGCCTGAGGAACCCGGTGGGCCGGGGAAGTGGGCGCGCTCTGTTCTCCGCGGCCAGCTGGGACGCCGGGCCAGGTGGGGCCGCCTGCGTTTAGCAACTGCTTTCTCACCCCCTGGATTTGCGATGTTTGCCACAGCAGCGAGAAGCGCCATTGTAATGGGGATGGGAGGGGTGGAGCCTCCAAGTCCTGTCTCAATTTAGATCTCTCACTCTGCTGTTAGGCGCGCCCATTTCAGATTACTAAACTCGAATTAAGAGGGAAAAAAAATCAGGGAGGAGGTGGCAAGCCACACCCCACGGTGCCCGCGAACTTCCCCGGCAGCGGACTGTAGCCCAGGCAGACGCCGTCGAGATGCAGGGCCCACCGCTCCTGACCGCCGCCCACCTCCTCTGCGTGTGCACCGCCGCGCTGGCCGTGGCTCCCGGGTAGGAACGTGGGCGCGCGGGGGGCGCGCGGGCGCGCGGGCCTGGGCCGCTCTGCGGCTCTGGGCCAGGGCTTCGGGGAGGTGGCGGCTGCTGTGCAGCAGCGGGTGGGAAATGCCCTCGCGGCTGCAGTCCCCAGCCTGGTACTGGCCTGGAGGTTTGACCATATGTAGCTTCAGCGTGGCTCTCCATGGGACAGTTAACTTTCTCCACTCATGAAGTTGTTTAAGCGTCTCCCCGGCCATAACAACTTTCTGAAGAGAGTCATTTTATTTTTAGTCCACATTGCCTCTGCCTTTTGCTTCTCAACTTTTTGCTCCCAGATTGCGATTCTTCTCTCAAAGACATGATATATTTTTTCTAACCAAGATGTCTCAACCTTAGCATTGCCAAAGTGTGGCGGAGGGGACTGATGTATGGGTTCAGGGGCAGACATTATAGGAAGAAAACAACAGCACCCAATAATGGCAAGCCCCATTCATTCCTAAAGATTTCTGTAGTTGAGCCCTAACCCCTAGTTATAGCAGAGAAAGTGCTGCTTTAGTGACTTCTTTTATGATTCGCTATACCTGGAATTTTCACCAGTTGTAGTTTATTTTCAAATGGTATATTTCAATCAATGGTATTGGTTAAATAATTTTTTACCCTCGTTGGGCAGCTACTCAAGGATAAAGGTTTGAATAAGAAACAGGCAAAATCTTAGTTAAAAAATAACAACAACAACAAGAAAATAATCACGCTGGGATAAGGTCCTCTGTAAAGGAGAAGCTTAGAGACTTTTGCTTTGCCAATAACTCCATTATGCCCCGGTGCAAGCCATTTACATCATGGTTCCTTCTGTGCGGTTCGTGGTTTATAAAATGGAAATAATAACACAGGCCTTCCTCTAGTAGTGATGCATGAATTACTGCATTAAAATTGATTTATGGGAATTATTGTTGTTTCAGTAGCATTTCAATTCAGTTGCCAAATAGAGCAGTGGGCAATGTTAACGGAAACAACTGCAATTGGCGCAGTATGGAGTGCCTATCGCACTAGGAAATCTGAGGGTCACAAAAGAAAGGAGATGTGAGGATAAGAAACTTTGTTTTTCCCTTGTTGGGAACTCTTTAGGCCTCGGTTTCTGGTGACAGCCCCAGGGATCATCAGGCCCGGAGGAAATGTGACTATTGGGGTGGAGCTTCTGGAACACTGCCCTTCACAGGTGACTGTGAAGGCGGAGCTGCTCAAGACAGCATCAAACCTCACTGTCTCTGTCCTGGAAGCAGAAGGAGTCTTTGAAAAAGGTAAGATAAACAGCATAAAGTCTTACCCTTCTGCAGTAATAACTGGAATATGTTAATAAGGTCATGTGTTAGGTAGTATAGCAGAGAAACCCCAAATTTGCAGTATCTTACCTAATATACTTTTAATTCTCACTCATGTAAAGTCCTAGATGGTGTTCCTGGATGCTCTTCCAAGTGCAGATTCAGAGACCCAGTTTCCTTCCATTTTGTGGCTCCATTATCATCACTTGGCTCCCAAGACTGCAGGGGAAGATCATGGAGTTTCTTCATGGGAGAAGGGGAAGAGGATGGGAAGAGCATATGGAAGGTTTTTATGGGATAGGCCTAGAAATAGCTTACATCACTACTGCTCATATTCACAGGCAAGGGAGGCTGGGAAGTGTAGGCTAATGTGTGCCCCAGAAGAGGAAATGGGCTAGTCTCTAACACAAAACCATATTTATTGAGTGCAAAGTATTTTACAGAATAGGCCTGTAGGAAGGAAAGGAAAAGCTACACAATAGTTAAAATCCAGTTTTATGGAATATTTCTTAAGTTTTAAAGTAACAAGAGAAAAAAAGAAAATAGTGTGAAAGTGGGAGCCATTTGTAGCAGAACCAAGTTTGGTTCTTGTTTCAAGTTTGGGTTCTGACATGGCCCAAGATTAAATTGGGCCAATGAATGTCTTCTTTTTCAGTGCTAAGGGAAAAATAATTTTGGGAGGAAGAGGTAAATACTTAAATACTTAAAACATTTTTCATTAAAATGAACTTTTATTGCATTTTTTTCTTTTTTTAGATTCTTATAATTATTTTTAGAGACAAGCTCTCACCATGTTGCCCAGGCTGGTCTCGAACTCCTAAGTTCAAGTGATCCACCCACCTTGGCCTCCCAAAGTGCTGGGATTACAGTCCTAAGCTACTGCTCCTGGCCGAGACATACATTTTTATAATGTTAAGAGTTATTTAAAAAAAAAAATTTAAGGCACGTAATGAAGGGTGGTTGGTATTCATTACATAAGTGTTTATTCTCTACAAGCGTAGAGAAATGAACACCATCATGAAATGAAATAAAAGTAAAAGTTTATCTGCATCTGTGGTTCTTTCCCCACTGGAAGTTCACTGGGTAGGTATATTTGGAATAGGAGTCAGGAAGAGATGGTGTGTGTAGGGGCAAGTCACTTTTGTCCCTCATAGAAGCAATGTCAGGGAAGTGGGAGGTCTTATTTCCCTGGAGGGGAAGTATAGGTTAGCCCTTAAGATCTGAGTTTGAATCCTGGTACTACTTTGCTACTAGTTGTATGATCTTAGGTAGGTTACTTAACTGCTTTGAGCCACAGTTTCCTTGTCTATAAAATGGAAATAATGAAACTGATTTCCCAGGGCAGTTATAAAGTTAAAATCTGTATATAGTACCTCTTAGGCATGCAATAAACAACAATTGCTAATATTATTAGTGTAATAATACTGCAGAAGAGGATGCAGAAAGTCCATTTCCTTTTTACATGGGGGCAGACTTCAACTTTCGTTATTGGACTATCATTTCTGAAAATGAATGACCCCTGATCTTATGATAGTCGCTAAAGAAAATATTGAAATATTAAATCACAGGACATAATACTTAAGGTAGTTCCACATTCATTATTTATTCATTAAGAATTTATGAGTGGGAAGAGGGAGGGTATTAAAAAACCACCTATTGGGTACCACACTTATCACCTGGATGATGAAATAACATGTACACTAAAGCCCTATGACAGGCATTTTACCTATATAACAAACCTGCACGTGTATCCCTGAAACTAAAATAAAAGTTAAAAAAAAAAGAATTTATAATATTGGCTCCACTAGTGTGGCAGTTTTCCTGCAATGCAGAGATCCAGAATATATATGGATGTTTTTGATAAATATTTGAGCTTTGCTTGGACATTTACATACTCTAATTCTAGAATTTCACCTGTTAGGTCTTTTCTGTGATCTCTGTTATCAGTCTCTCTTTTTTTTTGCAACAAATAGTACCTACATTGGGGTGCATGTTGTTGTGGCTTGGTTTTCAGCTTTATTCTTAGATCTTCTTTTGGGAGAAGGGTTCCTTGTATGCCCATAGGAAAGTTCAAGTACTCAAGACTGGGGCGGGCAAAGCTGTCCTGGGAGCAGAATGGATCTGTGGGAAGGAAGGAGGGAAAACGCTGCTTCTTTCATGGGCTGTTTTTGACTCTATTGACATAGAGTTTCATTGAAAATGCCATTGCTAGGAGCACTCTCCTGTTTCAAAGGAGAATGTTACTGTATTATCAGAGGCTGGGAGTTATTGTTCTCAGAGCAGATGCTTCCTGTAATGTGAGGACTTGAGGATCAAGACACTTCTCCCTGCTTGTCTTCACATCCTTTGCTTTATCTGGCTTCTCCAGTTGTAACAATATGTAGATAAACCAGGACTTCTAAATCAGGGGTCTGGATCTTCAAGTATCTGGATGTGGATTCATGTTTTGTTTTTTCTCCATCACATAAACACCAAACACCAACAAATAAATACCTTTTATTTTTAAGGGACAGAGTCTCACTCTGTTGCCCAGGCCAGAGTGCAGTGGTGAAATCATAGCTCACTGCAACTTGGAATTCTTGGGCTCAAGTGATCCTGCTGTCTCAGCCTCCTGAATCAGCTGGGACTACAGGCAAGTGCCAGCATGCTAGGTTTAAAATTTTTTTTTTTTTTGTAGAGATGGGGTCTTGCTATGTTGCCCAGACTGGTCTTGAACTCCTGGGCTCAAGCGATCTTCCTGCCTCAGCCTCCCGAAGTGCTGGGATTATGGGTATGAGCCTGATTGTTTCATTTTCCTATGAGCCACCCCCAGCCCCCCAACAGAAGGTTGGTTTTAATAAAGATTTATCTTCTAGTAAAGTTGGGTAAGGCAGTAGACTGTGTCTTAGTAGCTTATTTCCAGCAGTTTTGGATTTCTTAGAAATCCTCAGGATAGGGAGGTGTTTTACCCAAACCACAATAGATTTCTGGCTCAATTTGTGTTGGAAATAGTAATAACTAAATTGTTCAAATGGAGAATGTATTTAATAAAGGTGAAAAAGTATGGCATTTCTTCAGGGAAGAGTTCATTTGTTTGTTTGACAGATATGGGGGAGATTTTATTTACATTTCCACTTTTATGGCCAGGAGTGTAGGTTATATTACTGTTATTCATTTAAAAATACATTAATTCTACATTTATTGGGGATTGATTGTAGTTTTTTTTTTTTTTTTTTTTTTTTTTTTTGAGACACAGTCTCACTCTGTCACCCAGGCTGGAGTGCAGTGGTGCGATCTCGGCTCACTGCAACCTCTGCCTCCCTGGTTCAAGCGATTCTCCTGCCTCAGCCTTCCGAGTAACTGGGACTACAGGCATGTGCCACCATGCCTGGCTAATTTTTTGTATTTTTAGTAGAGACGAGGTTTCACTGTGTTAGCCAGGTTGGTCTTGAACTCCTGACCTCGTGACCTGCCTGCCTCGGCCTCCCAAAGTGCTAGGATTATAGGCGTGAGCCACCGTGCCCAGCGATTATGGGCTTTTTTTTTTTTTTTGGTGAATAATAGACCTTTAGAAAAAGTATTTCTGCTACACTTTGCAGAGTTCTGGGAAGGTGTATCAATGCCTTTCTAGTAGTGAGATTCAAAAGATTGCTTGTCACTGTTACCACTGTCACTGCCTCTACCACTATCAGCATCATTGCCATCAGCTCCATAGTGATTAGAACTATGTTCCTAATCTTATCTTCCTTTGCATAAAGAGTTAGTTAAATAAACATAACTGGCAAAACGTAGTAAAAGTTCAGCAGGTAATAATTACCAGAGGAAAGAAGATGGCACAGCTATTGGCATTTAAAATCAAGTCAGATTACTGTTTTGGGTGGAGAGTGAGTCTGTCCCTTTGTCTCTTCCCATATTTTTTTTCTCTTTCCTTACTGTGAAAGGAGTTCCTTGCCAAATCAAGAAAAAAGAAATTAAGAACATTTTGAGAACTGTCCTCTCATCTGTTAAGGCATATAAAATAATTTAATTTTCGTGATGTCCTTGAAACCATAATTTCTGTTTTATTTTCCCTTCTCTTGCTACAATTTGACATTTTCATTTGTAAACTTTCAGTAGTTTTCCTGAACAAGAGTCACTTCAAGTAATAAAGAATATAACCTTTCTCCCTCATTAATGAATTCATCATCATTAGTTTCATGTAAACCTGATTTAAGAAAAAATGCTAGAGGCTGAGTGCAGTGGCTCACAACCGTAATCCCAGAGCTTGGGAGGCTGAGGTGGGAGGATTGCTTGAGCCCAGGAGTTTGAGACCAGCCTGGACAACACAGTGAAATTCTATCTCAAAAACAAAAACAAAAGAACCCTTAAAACCAAAAACTCCCAAAAACCTAAACTGAAAATGCCTACTGAAATTTTGGGAACTCTGCATGGGCGTCTCCAGGTGAGTGCCTGCTGGTTTGGGGGCACCATTTTTTAAATGCTGCCAATCCTACTTCCATCTTCCCATTGAGTTACTGGGGTGGAATGTGCTCTATAAATGTGTCTGTAACTCGCTTTTTCTTTTTGCCCTAAAATCCTGGAGAGTTAATGGAGTGTTAACCTTTTTTTAAAGATTTTTTAAAAAATCTATTTTTTCCTTTGTTGTCTTTCTCACATTGACTATGATATATTTTATTTTCCATCTTGGCTCAGTAAGGGTGGGAAATTTTTAAAAATTGAGATATTAGCTGAAAAACTTAAAAAATCATCCAATTTGGTTTGGATGGTTTTCTGGTGGAAACAAAGCTCCTGAACATGCATTTCATGCCTCGTAGATAAAAATCAGTCCCATGGTCTTTATGAAAGTAGATTAATTAGTGTAGTGTGTGGGCAGATCTCCCAGAGCAGGTTTTCACAGGCAGCTTTGCCAACATAACTCAGTCTGAACCTGCAGTTATGTTAGAATTATTTTTAAAGGGTGTAGGCTTTTCATTCACACATCGTCTTTGTTCTTGTGTGTGATGTATATTAACAGGTAGGTGGTACCTGAGAATAAAGGACCACAGCATAATCACGATGTGCCTGGGCTCTGGAGCCTGGCTACCTGGGCACAGGTGCTGGCCATTCCACTTAGTGGTTGTGTGGCTGTGGGCAGTCATGATCTCACTAGGCTTCAGTTTCATCATCTGAAAAATAGTGGTTTCTGCCTTATACAATTATATGGATATTGTGAGGATTAAATGAGGTAACATATTCAAGGCACTTAACACAAAGGAATTATTCAAGAAAATGGTAGCTATTGTTACTAGAAGAGAGTAGCAACAGTTTATGTCAAAGGCAATTATTAATCACCTATTGTGACAATCTTGAACCGGGAACTCTATAAAAGACACATCCCTAGGAGGGGATTGGAAGGGATTTAACATATTAAATATCCAGTTTCCTCATAGTGCCAAGGACTTTATGCACTATATTTAATTTTAACAACTTGATGAAGTAGATACTCTTGTCTTCATTTTGGAGGTGAGGAAATTGAGGCAAAGAGAGAAGAATTAGTTTTTCTGAGTTAACCCAGTTAGTAAATGGTGAAGCCTGAATTTGAAGTTAGTTGTATCTGAGGTCCAGAGACCATAAGGTTTTCTATTGCTGGGAAGAGAGTGAAGTATTTTTATTTCCTTGATTTTGGGATATTGATGCAATGTTGCAGTTGTCTTCCACTAAAATCATTTTCACATTTGCTTGCAGTAGATAGACCTGGATCTAATGAAATCTAATTTGAATCGAAAGAATTACAAAATGAAATGCCAGCTCTCCTCTTAATTTACTTTCAGCCTCATAGAGTTTTGGAGCTGGAGGGGACCTCAAAGATAAGCAAATTCAATAGCCTAATATATGGCTGGGAGACTGAGGTGAGGCATGGGATCTGGGGATTTTCCCAAGGTCAAATCACTTATTGGTGGCAGAGCTGGAAACAGATTGCAGTTTCCCAAATTTGCAGTCCAGTGCTATTTCCAGTATACTCTACGAAAGTTTCCTAACATATGGAGAGCTGAGCTTAAGACCTAAGATATATTTACAAATGCTGATTCTTCTGATATGGAAGAAAATAAGGCTAACTAAGGAGTTTAAAAATGCTTACTTGCATACTGTGAAAGTTTCTTATTTTAGCTCAAGGTGGAGTTGCTCTTTATGCACTATTTGTTCTGTATAAGGGGTGGGGGCTGGGTTAGAAGCTTCATAGACCTTTTAAAAACTAAATTCTGTTGCTTTGTTTCTCAGAGTCCAAATTGTATTTATTAAAAAGGCTGATTCATGGCCTCCCTCAAGACATGGGTAAGAATCAAGAATCTCAGCTGGGTGTGGTGGCTCACGCCTATAATCCCAGCACTTTGGGAAGCCAAGGTAGGTGGATCACTTGAGGCCAGAAGTTCGAGACCAGCCTGGCCAACATGGTGAAACCCCGTCTCTACCAAAAACACAAAAATTAGCCAGGTGTGGTGGTGGGCGCCTATAGTCCCAGTTACTTGGGAGGCTGAGGCAGGAGAATCGCTTGAACCCAGGAGGCAGAGGCTGCAGTGAGATTGTACCAGTGCACTCCAGCCTGGGTGACAGAGCAAGACTCCATCTCAAAAAAAAAAAAAAAAAGAGAATCTAACCTTTATGTTCCACCATGACCACAGGTGATTCTTAGTCACATTAGAATGAGAACAACTGCCCTTTGGTATCTCACAAATTGTACTCGACCAAATACTGGAAAGCTCGAGGGTGAGTAGCATGCCCCTGCAAGCCTGTGATGATTCATGGCGGCGGAGGGAAGGCTCCTCGTGGACTTTCATGTTTGCTTTTAAGCAACCCTCAACCCTAAGCGCTGGTGTTCATTTTCAGCCGCAGAGAAACATGACTTGGGGTTTGATTGTGAATCAACGATTGGGTGAAGTTAAAAGTGAACACACTGATTCTTTAAACTCCAAGTTAAACATGTGCTGCTCCTCTTCTAGCACTGGATGAGTCACTGTCCTAGTGACTCACTGAAGGATTGTGGTGGAAATAGAAAACAGATCCCATAAGAATTTGGGCTGGGTTACTGTTGATCCTTTATGTCCTGTGAAGAGGGCTTTATAATGCTGAAACTAGTTGTTTCCCCACAGACATTTCTTCTCATTAATGTATTATTTATTGATTATTTGCTGTATGTGAAACATGAATGAATGGGGAGTGGGGAATAAGAGAAAGGAAGGCACTGGAGGACATTCAGAGGTCCCAGAAGGATAATATAATATTAAAAGTGCAGAAGGCTAGAGGAGTTTTTATTTTTTGTATAAAAAATACAATGCGGTTTGTAAATAGTGCTTCTTGTATGTGAGCCTGTGCCTGGTACTATTATCTTTTACTTCCAGAGCTATACAGATGTCCATTCATAAATGTCCCACCTCTGCTGACATATTTGGCCTTTGGAGGGAACAGTTACTTCACGTACTAGAGACGGGAAGGGTGTGCCGGAGGAAAGAGCTGCTGGCTGGTGTGGCAGTTATGAAAAGGAGATAGGGGTTTGTGTATATATTTTCTAAAAAGATGTTTCATTCTGCTTTGGATATGAGTTTGGGGAGACATCCAGGTGGAGATGTCCAGCAGATAGTTTTGAAATTGCAGCTGGGGAGAGAGATTTAGGCATTATTTTCATAGAGGCAGACAATATTTTGAAGTCCTGGAAATACATAAGATGCACAAGAGAGACAGAGCTCATGGAAAGAACAAGTCTTTTGAGAGAAGCTTGGAAAGAGGAAAATAAGTTAATGAAGGGAAAAAGACCAGACACAGTGGCTCATGCCTGTAATCCCAGCAACTTGGGAGGCTGAGGTGAGCAGATCGCTTGAGCTCAAGAGTTTGAAATCAGCCTGGACAACATATTGGAACCTCATCTCTACTAAAAATAAAAAAAAGGTAGCTGGACGTGGTGACATGTGCTTGTAGTCCCAGCTACTCAGGAGGCTCAGGCAGGAGGATTTCTTGAGCTACAGTTATAGTGCCGTTGTACTCTAGCCTGGGTAACAAAGCATGGCCCTGTCTCAAGAAAAAGAAAAGAAAAGAAAAGAAAAGAAAAGAATAGAATAGACAACGAGCAATCAGAGAAGGGTAAATTGAAAATGTCTCAGAAGCCAAGGGAAGAAGAAGTTCCAAGAAGGAAGGTTTAATAGTTAATAATCAATTCTCTCAGGTCAGAGAAGAGGAGGACAGAGGAAAGAACATTGGTGACGCTTAAGTAAATGGCTTTAAGTTGAATGTTGGAAGCAAAAGCAAATTTGAGGGAATAAATGGATGGTGAAAAATATAATCAAAATTTATTCTTTCCAGAAGTTTGGTAGTTGAAAGGAGAGAGGTGGACGGTCTCTCAAAAGGCACATTAGAAAGGTGAAAGTGGTTAAGGCAAAGGAGAGGGTGGATAATTCCTGGGTTAGAAGTGGTGAGATCAGTATTGGGGCAGAGGCAAGTGGATTATCCTTAAAAAACCCTCATACTTTCTTCTTTGAAGAAAGAAAGAAATAGAAGAGAATCATTAAGGAAAGAAATATTTTGAGGTATGAAATTGAGATGAAGAATAAAATTGAAATACAGTTTTAGGAAAACTTATTTACCGACTTGTAAATTGCACAGATCTGGCCACCACTTTATAGGAAATGGGGGTAAAAGTTAAAAGTAGTGGCAGACCAGAATGAGAAACACAGGACTGGAGATCTTCCCTGGTGGTGCCCTAAACTGGGTCACCGCTGGATTGTAGGAAATTAGAATACAGGGGCAGGAAGTCATATTTGTATCTGGGAGAGCTAACACAGGGAGGAGAGAGAAGAGGAAAGGGCTGTTTACGATGAAGATATGCCTCAGTTGAAGCTCGAGAGGACTGGGTGGAGTTACTTTATTACTGCCATGGTTGTCAGTGAATTTGTAATTCACTCTTAGTGTGGGCCAAGATGACCAAGGTGCAATGATAAAACTTGTCTAGGAGGATTAAAGTGGATCTTGGTCTTGCTCTATCTCTTTCACTCTTCACTTACCTCGGAGAATTCTATGAGGAGACTTTCTTCCGTTGCAAGGCTCAGGGTGAAATTGGTCAAAGATTTGGTGGAGGGGGTAGCAGTAGGTAGGTAGATGACAGGTCTATAGGTTGTTAGTTCTGAAGAAACGATTCATAAATTAAAATCCGAAAACCAGACTGGTAAAGAGCTTGGAAATAAATGAAGAGGAAAATTTTTAAAGAACACCTAGTAGCTCCCTTTTGGCAGGGCTGTGTTAGGAATTTACATTTATGAAAATATAGCTGGCAGAAATGATTTAGTATTACAAACTTAAGTTTCACTGCAATATATGTTAAAGCTCCTCAGGAATATAGATAAGACAGGGAATTTATTATTCTGAGCAATTCAAATTTATTCAGCACCAAATTGCCTATGGCACAATGCTGGGTGACATAAATATTTGGTGACCACATGAGGTTCCTGTGCCTGTGCTCTTCGCAGGGAAGCAGAGTAGGCTTCATTTGATGTGTCCTCCCACGTTGATTATAGAGGCTTGTTCGGGTGCCGTGTTGACAGTTTCAAAGTCAAGCGTGGGTTTACTGGACTAGAGAACTGGATGAATTAGCTGTGTCTGCCATGGCCATGGGAGTTGGGGAGTGTGGTATGAATGCTGCGAAGGATTCTGTAGCCCATCCATAAACTTTATTTATGGATCAGTTGAAGAGGAATGGTCTAAGAGGAACGGTTATCTACGTAGCTACATAGGGGCTTGAGGTAGTAACAACATGGATAAGAGAGAACAGACGAAAGAGTGGGTGTATCCAAATAGTAAATGAGAGTGGAGTAAGCTACAGAGGAGGAACAAGGAGGGAAGGGATATGAGGTTATGTTTGCACTACTGTTTTGGAAGGAATAGCTGGGTCTGTCCTGCACTGTTTGGGAGGCACAGTGGGTTAGAATGGGTGCTCAGGAACCACACTGAAATTGAACCCTAGCATCACCTAATAGTAGTACCCACCTCGTAGCATTGTTGAGAGGATTAAATGAGATAATACTTAAGAGCTGTATCATCCAATATGGTAGCTACTAACCACATGTGGTTTTTGAGCACTTGAAATGTGGCTCATACAAATTGAGATGTGCCAGGAGTATAAAATACATAATGGATTTTGAATACTTAGTTCCAAGAAATGCAATAAAACTTATGATTTTAAAATAATGATTTCATGTTCAATGTTAATATTTTGGACATATTGAGTTAAATAAAATATGTTATTAAAAGTAATGTCACCCAATTTTTTCTTTTTTTGGCACATAAAAGACACCTAATTTAATAAATATTAGTTATTATTTTCTCTTTTATTATGCAGTTAAGAACTTTGATTTAAAATTGTTATCTTTATATATATATATATATATATATATATATATATATATATATATATATTTATTATACTTTATGTCCTAGGGTACATGTGCACAACATGCAGGTTTGTTACATATGTATACATGTGCCATGTTGGTGTGCTGCACCCATTAACGCGTCACTTACATTAGGTGTATCTCCTAATACTATCCCTTCCCCCTTCCCCCATCCCACGACAGGCCCCGGTGTGTGATGTTCCCCGTCCTGTGTCCAAGTGTTCTCATTGTTCAATTCCCACCTATGAGTGAGAACATGCGGTGTTTGGTTTTTTGTCCTTGCGATAGTTTGCTGAGAATGATGGTTTCCAGCTTCATCCATGTCCCTACAAAGGACATGAACTCATCATTTTTTATGGCTGCATTGTATTCCATGGTGTATATGTGCCACAATTTCTTAATCCAGTCTGTTGTTGTTGGACATTTGGGTTGGTTCCAAGTCTTTGCTATTGTGAATAATGCCTCAATAAACATACGTGTGCATGTGTCTTTATAGCAGCATGATTTATAGTCCTTTGGGTATATACCCAGTAATGGGATGGCTGGGTCAAATGGTATTTCTAGTTATAGATCCCTGAGGAATCACCACCCTGTCTTCCACAATGGTTGAACTAGTTTACAGTCCCACCAACAGTGTAAAAGTGTTCCTATTTCTCCACATCCTCTCCAGTACCTGTTGTTTCCTGACTTTTTAATGATCGCCATTCTAACTGGTGTGAGATGGTATCTCATTGTGGTTTTGATTTGCATTTCTCTGATGGCCAGTGATGATGAGCATTTTTCCATGTGTTTTTTGGCTGCACAAATGTCTTCTTTTGAGAAGTGTGTGTTCATATCCTTTGCCCACTTGTTGATGGGGTTGTTTGTTTTTTTTCTTGTAAATTTGTTTGACTTCTTTGTAGATTCTGGATATTAGCCCTTTGTCAGATGAGTAGGTTGCAAAAATGTTCTCCCATTCTGTAGGCTGCCTGTTCACTCTGATGGTAGTTTCTTTTGCTGTGCAGAAGCTCTTTAGTTTAATTAGATCCCATTTGTCAATTTTGGCTTTTGTTGCTATTGCTTTTGGTGTTTTAGACATGAAGTCCTTCCCCATGCCTGTGTCCTGAATGGTATTGCCTAGGTTTTCTTCTAGGGTTTTTATGGTTTTAGGTCTAACATTTAAGTCTTTAATCCATCTTGAATTAATTTTTGTATAAGGTGTAAGGAAGGGATCCAGTTTCAGCTTTCTACATATGGCTAGCCAGTTTTCCCAGCACCATTTATTAAATAGGGAATCCTTTCCCCATTTCTTGTTTGTGTCAGGTTTGTCAAAGATCAGATAGTTGTAGATGTGTGGCATTATTTCTGAGGGCTCTATTGTGTTCCATTGGTCTATATCTCTGTTTTGGTACCAGTACCATGCTGTTTTGGTTACTGTAGCCTCGTAGTATAGTTTGAAGTCAGGTAGCATGATGCCTCCAGCTTTGTTCTTTTGGCTTAGGATTGACTTGGCAATGTGAGTTGTTTTTTGGTTCCGTATGAACTTTAAAGTAGTTTTTTCCAGTTCTGTGAAGAAAGTCATTGGTAGCTTGATGGGGATGGCATTGAATCTATAAATTACCTTGGGCAGTATGGCCATTTTCCTGATACCAAAGCCTGGCAGAGACACAACAAAAAAAGAGAATTTTAGGCCAATATCCCTGATGAACATCGATGCAAAAATCTTCAATAAAATACCGGCAAACCAAATCCAGCAGCACATCAAAAAGCTTATCCACCATGATCAAGTGGGCTTCATCCCTGGGATGCAAGGCTGGTTCAACATATGAAAATCAATAAACGTAATCCAGCATATAAACAGAACCAAAGACAAAAACCACATGATTATCTCAACAGATGCAGAAAAGGCCTTTGACAAAATTCAACAGCGCTTCATGCTAAAAACTCTCAATAAATTAGGTATTGATGGGACATATCTAAAAATAATAAGAGCTATTCATGACAAACCCACAGCCAATATCATACTGAATGGGCAAAAACTGGAAGCATTCCCTTTGAAAACTGGCACAAGACAGGGATGTCCTCTCTCACCACTCCTATTCAACATAGTGTTGGAGGTTCTGGCTAGGGCAATCAGGCAGGAGAAAGAAATAAAAGGTATTCAATTAGGAAAAGAGGAAGTCAAATTGTCCCTGTTTGTAGATGACATGATTGTATATCTAGAAAACCCCATTGTCTCAGCCCAAAATCTCCTTAAGCTGATAAGCAACTTCAGCAAAGTCTCAGGATACAAAATCAATGTGCAAAAATCACCAGCATTCTTATACACCAATAACAGACAAACAGAGAGCCAAATCATGAGTGAACTCCCATTCACAATTGCTTCAAAGAGAATAAAATACCTAGGAATCCAACTTACAAGGGATGTGAAGGACCTCTTCAAGGAGAACTACAAACCACTGCTCAACGAAATAAAGGAGGACACAAACAAATGGAAGAACATTCCATGCTCATGGGTAGGAAGAATCAATATCTTGAAAATGGCCATACTGCCCAATTTTTTCTATTTTTTTTTTAGTGCACATCTTTAAAACATTTATCACAATGCTTGGTACATAGAAGACACCGAGGGAATGTTAACTATGTTGTACCTGGTGTTTCTCAGTATCAGATATTAATACTGATGCCTGACCACAAGCCTGTGGCATGAGTCCAAGTCTCCCTGCTGATGACTCATTTTGGCTTAGGTAGATCTTCACCCTTATCCCTTATCCCTTGAGGAAGAAGAAAATCTCCCTAAAGAGAGCCACAGGGGTCGGCAAAATTTCTGTAAAGGGCCAGATGTTAAGCATGTAGGTTTTGCCAACCTTCAGGTCTTTATTACAGCTGCTCAACTCTGCCTTTATAGCTCGGAAGCAGCTGTAGACGGTTCATAAACAAAAGAGCATGGTTGTGTACCAGCAGAACTTTATTTATGGATGCTGAAATTTTGAGTTCATATAATTTTTACTTATCATGAAATATTCTTCTTCTTTTGATATTCCCCCCAGCTATTTAGAAATGCAAACCCATTCTTAGTTCATGAACTGTACAAAAAACAGGCGTGGGCCAGACTGGATCTGTAGGCTGTGGATTGCTGACCCTGCCATTAAAAATGCCCTGTACATTTAGCAGCCAAGAACCTTGCTTGACTCTGGGTTTTTCATTTGTACTTAACCTAACATTTGCTTTATAGTGTACCATTTTATTTATTTTACTTTTAGTAGGTTTGTGTTTGACCTGCTTTTTTTTTTACTCAATGTTTGTGTTTAACCTGCTTTTTTTTAGACAATGGAACAAAACTTTGTTTATGAAACTCAAATTTATTAAGATATTTGTAAGCAAAGGGAAATAAGAGAGAAAAATATAAAAGGAGTATGTAAGGGACCAAAGGAGATTTTTTGTTTGGTTTTGTTCTGCTCAGAATACTTGTGTTTTCTGTGTAGACTGAATTTACCCAATAGTTTTTTTGCCTTAAAGTGACATTAAACTGTGAAGCAGAAACATTGTATTTTTAAAATCGTACTTTAAGTTTTTTTTTTTTTTTTTGAGACGGAGTCTCGCTCTGTCGCCCAGGCTGGAGTGCAGTGGCGGGATCTCGGCTCACTGCAAGCTCCGCCTCCCGGGTTCACGCCATTCTCCTGCCTCAGCCTCCCAAGTAGCTGGGACTACAGGCGCCCGCCACTACGCCCGGCTAATTTTTTTTTTGTATTTTTAGTAGAGACGGGGTTTCACCGTTTTAGCCGGGATGGTCTCGATCTCTTGACCTCGTGATCCGCCCGCCTCGGCCTCCCAAAGTGCTGGGATTACAGGCGTGAGCCACCGCGCCCGGCCTAAGTTTTTAAAATATTTTATTTTTATAGATTTAGGGGGTACATGTGCAGTTTTCTTACATGGATATTTTGGGTAGTGGTGGAGTCTGGGCTTTTAGTATAAACATCAGCCAAATAGTGTATGTTGTATCCATTAAGTCATTTCTTATCCCTTACCTCCCTGCCATATGAATCTCCAATGTCTATTATTTCACTCTCTAAAAAATATTGTATTTTATACAAAAATTAGCCGGGTATGGTGGCGCATGCCTCTAATCCCAGCTACTGGGGGGCTGAGGCAGGAGGATTGCTTGAACCTGGAAAGCGGAGGTTGTAGTGAGCCGAGATCATGCCACTGCACTCCAGCCTGGGCAACGAAGCGAGACTCCGTCTCAAAAAAAAAAAAATTGTATTTTAAAGTTTTGTTTTCCATGAATTTGTGGGGGGAAAACCCTTATTTCTTACCTTATCTGTTGATCAAAGAAACTGCTGAAGAATGAGGAAAAAAATTTAGTAACTTGATAAAGAGATCAAAATTTTCAGCTAAAAAAGTGATAATAAATTTATTATTGCATAAGACTGAGTAGCAAAAGGCTGCCAAAAATAATTAAGCAGCAAACACTAAGTCAGGCATATATATATATCTAGTGGAAAATCCACTTTTTTTTTCATAGAGAGTATTTCTGTACCTAGTTGGATTTCCGGTTACACACTACTCCTTCCCTTCAATGATTTTCCAAAGTTATTTGGTGAGGACAGATGTCAGAAGAGGCAGCATATAATGGTATTACAGAGTATGTTTAAAAAGTTAAGGAAAGGTTAGTTTTTGTGTATGCTTATTACACAATTTAAAAATAGCTTTGACTCTATTTGTAAATCAAATGGCCAGTTCTCAGGCTGTGCCAAATGCGAAGCCTTCAAACAAGGTTTCTTCTGAGTTGCTTAAGCAGCCCTGGGAAGGAGAAAGCATCTGAAAGGGTTTTCAGATTGATTGTCTCTGGTTATACACAGAAATGATTGGAGTTTTATAAAGTTATCTATAAAAACACTAAGAAGAACCTTACATAACAGAGTGTGTCTTTAGTTAGTGATTTAAAAGAGTGCCATACTGGGTTTCAAGAGGTGGTGACCATTTCCCGTGTCTGAATGGAGCCTCGCCAAAAGGGAGAAAAATGTTCACAACAGTTTGCAAATACTATCTATTTAATTCTCAACCTAGCAACAGCAGAGAAAGAGATTATTATTCCTCTCTCATCTATGCTGCCCCCACTCTCCTCCCCGCTGCCCCCGATTTTATGTTTTGGTTGTGTAAATTATTGCTAAATGAATAGAACTTTCAAATAAGTCCTATGCTAGGACTTCATAAGTGCCTAGGAAATTCCAAGCTGTATTTGTAAATTTAAAGGGAAGATCAGCAGAAAAAAATGTCAAGTACTTAAAATCGACTTTTTATTAAGGACGCATGAGACCAGTGAGTAGGCCTTAGATTGGATGTGTCCACATATCCTCTGAGTCGCTCCCTGGATCCAGCAAGAAATAGGGGTGGGTGGGACATCTTTGTCCCTACACCATAGCGTTGGGGAAGAGTCTTTGTATTTTGTATTTTTATTTTTTTTTTAATAGAGATGGGGTCACACGATGTTGCCCAGGCTGGTCTTGAACTCCTTGCCTCAAGGGATCCTTCTGCCTCAGCCCTCCCAAAGTGCTGGTATTATAGGCGTGAGCTGCCACACCTGGCCTGGGTAGGACTTCTGTTTCTAGCTCTGTATCTTTCTTGCATCTGTGAACAGATAAGGTCATGTGTCTGAGCAGTAGGACCCAGGCATGCAGTTGAACTGCTCGTCCAACTTCTCTCTGGTGAGAGAATTCCTCAAAGATTTGACTTCATTCAGAGCTGCATTAAAAACAAAAGACAAAACAAAAAACACTTCTACTATGAAATGAGATTTCCTGCACTTCAAATCTGTTTAGCTTGTTTTGAAGTGCCAGAATGCTTGGCCTCCAATTAGTCAATCTCCGAGAGCCTCATTTGGATTGTAGACTCCCAACTGTTTTTTTACTTTCTCCTTGCTGATGTCATTGGATAAAAATAAATTACCACCCCTCCCCCGTCGTTCTTCATCTTTGTAAATTTGCTGCCGGTGGGTGGTAGCTGGTATCAGACCAGGGCAGGAAGGAAGCACATTGCTTCCTCCAGTTATGGAGCTAGCATAATAGTCAACCCCTGATGATTTATCTTAATACAATGAAAAATAAGTAACTCTCAATAATGGAGGGTGCTGGTTTGTTGGGGCGAAGCTCACTGCAGTTTGTTTCTATTTTATTCCAATGTGGGACATTGTGGTGGATGCTGTGTTTTAGGGCCCAGATCGCTCTTTAGGGATGAAGGACTTTTTCCCGAAAGCTGCTAGGAGTGTTGTGCCCGACTGCCTTCAGAGCCAGTTGTCTCTGATGATCGTATCAGCTAGAGAATTGCCTTGCCCATGGTGGCCTCCCTCCTGGGGATGGCCTGTATTATGTGACTGATTGACGTGGGGTATGAAGGTCTGGCCCTTTCGCCCCAGTTCAGGACAACTCTCACTGGCCCTGACTGCTTCTGAGCTGCCCTGGTGGATGCCTCTTTGGAGCCTGCATTGCAGCCCCACTGCTCTCTCCCCTAGTGCAGTTTCCCCCTTTCCCTTCTGCAGGTGCTGATCCACCGAATACTCCTTAGTAAACCTCCTGCATTGTAATTACCGTCTCAGAGTTGGCTACTGTTTAACTTTCCTTTGAAGAGGAATGTTTCAGATCTTGGAATCAACTTCAAACATGTCAAAACTGTGTAGTGTGAAGAATTGACATGAGTTGGGAAAGTCTTTCGTTTTTATATCCTTTTCAGAGTTCTTGTATGACACAAAATATTTTAGAGTTAGCTCCGCTACTGCAGTGCTTGGAGTATAACTCTAAGTTTCTTCTAAGAGAAACTTCATGGAAGAAGAATCCACAGGTTTTGGTGAGTGATAAACTTAGAGTTGAGGAGAGAAAAGAGTTCAAGATGATTGAGATTTTGAACATCCATGATTGAGGAAGTGGTGATAGCAACATATACAAACAGGCTATACAGGCAGTGGAACTTTTACTATAATCAAAGATATGTATAATGAAAACAATGGTGAGGCACAAGGCTGGGTCCAGTGGCTCACGCCTGTAATCCCAGCACTTTGGGAGGCTGAGGCGGGCAGATCACTTGAGGTCAGGAGTTCGAGACCAGCCTGGCCAACATGGCACAACCCTGTCTCTACTAAAAACACAAAAAATTAGCCAGCTGTGATGGTGCTTGCCTGTAGTCCCAGCTACATGGGAGGCTGAGGCATGAGAATCTCTTGAACCCGGGAGGTGGAGGTTGCAGTGAGCTGAGATCGTGCCACTGCACTCCAGCCTGGGTGACAGAGCAAGACTCTGTCTCAAAAACAAACAAAAAACCAGTGATGAGGCACGGTGACTCACATCTGTAATCCTAGGGCCTTGGGAAGTCAAGGTGGGAGGATCACTCGAGCCTAGGAGTTTGAGAGCAGCCTGGGCAACATAATGAGCCCCCATTTCTACAAAAAAGTAAAAAAAATTAGCCAGGCATGGTGGCCTGTGCTTGTAGTCCTAGTTACTGGGGAGGCTGAGGCAGGAAGATCGCTTGAGTCCAGGAGTTTGGGGTGGCAGTGAGCTATGATTGCACCACTGTACTCCAGCCTGGGTGACAGAGTGAGACCCTGTCTCCAAAAAAAAAAAAAAAAAAGGTATGTATAATAAAACCAACTATACAACTGATTCTTTTTTTAATTTTTAATTGTTGTGGATACATAGAAGATGTATATATTTACAGGGTACATGAGATACTTTGAAACAGGCATGCAATGTCAACAACCACATCATAGTAACTGGGGTATCCGTTCCCTCAAGCATTTGTCCTTTGTGTTACAAACAATCCAGTTATACTATTTTAGTTATTTAAAAATGTACAATCAAATTGTTATTGACTACAGTCCTCCTGTTGTGCTATCAAATACTAGGTCTTATTCATTTTTCTAACTATTTTTTGTGCCCATTAACCATCCTCACTTGCTCCCTAACCCTTCACTACTCTCCCTAGCCTCTGGTAACCATCCTTCTACACTCTTATCTCCATTATTAGTTAAATTGTTTTAATTTTTAGCTACCACAAATAAGTGAGAACATGCAAAGTTTGTCTTTCTGTGTTTGGGTTATTTCACTTAACATAATGACCTTCAGTTCCATCCATGTTGTTGCAAATGACAGGATCTCATTCATTTTTATGGCTGAGTAGTACTTAATTGTGTACATGTACCACATTTTCTTTATCCATTCATTTGTTGATGGACACTTAGGTTGCTTCCAAATCTTAGCTATTATGAACAGTGGTGTAACAAACATGGGAGTGCAGATAGCTCTTTGATATACTGATTTCCTTTCTTTTGGGTATATACTCAGCAGTGGGATTGCTAGATTGTATGGTAGCTCTATTTTTAGTTTTATGAGGAACCTCCAAACTGTTCTCCATAGTGGTTGTGCTAATTTTCATTTCCATCAACAGTGTATGAGGGTTCCCTTTCCTCCACATCCTCATCAGCATTTGTTACTGCCTGTCTTTTGGATAAAAGCCATTTTAACTGGGGCGAGATGATATCTCATTGTAGTTTTGATTTGCATTTCTCTAATGATCAATGGTGTTGAGAGGGCCTTTTCATATACCTGTTTGCCATTTGTATGTCTTCTTTCGAGAAATGTCTATTCAGATCGTTTTCCCATTTTTAATTGGATTATTAGATTTTTTCCTGTAGAGTTATTTGAGTTCCTTATGTGTTTTGGTTATTAATCCCTTGTGAGATGAGTAGTTACAAAGATTTTCTCTCATTCTGAGTTGTATCTTCATTTTGTTGATTGTTTCCTTTATTGCGCAGAAGCTTTTTAACTTGACGTGATCCCATTTGTCGATTTTTGCTTTGGTTGCCTGTGCTTGTGGGATATTGCTCAAGAAATCTTTGCCCAGTTCAGTGTCCTGGAGAGTCCCTCCAAAGTTTTCTTTTAGTAGTTTCACAGTTTTAGGTTTTAGGTTTAAGTCTTTAATCCATTTTGATTTGATTTTAGTGTATGGTGAGAGACAGGGTCTAGTTTCATTCTTCTGCATATGTACATCCAGATTTCCTAGCACCATTTATTGAAGAGACTATCTTTTCCTCAATATATGTTCTTGGCACCTTTGTCAAAAATGAGTTCACTGTAGGTGTATGGATTTGTTTCTGGCTTCTCTATTGTGTTCCATTGGTCGTGTGTCTGTTTTTATGCCAATATCATACTGTTTTGGTTACTATAGCTCTGTAGCATAATTTGAAGTCAGGTAATGTGATTCCTCCTTTTTTTTTTTCTTTCTCAGTATGGCTTTGGCTATTCTGGGTCTTTGGTGGTTCCATAAAAATTTTAGGATTTTTTTTCTATTTCTGTGAAGAATGCCATTGGTATTTTGATAGAGATTGCATTAAATCTATAGATTGCTTTAGGCAGCATGGACATTTTAACAATATTGATAATTTCAATCCGTGAACATGGAATATCTTTTCATTTTTTTGGTGTCATCTTCAATTTTTTTCATCAGTGTTTTATACTTTTCATTGTACAGATTTTTCACTTCTTTGATCAAGTTAATGCCTGGGTATTTAACTTTATTTGCTGCTATTGTAAATGGGATTACTTTCTTGATTTCTTTTTCAGATTGTTCACTGCTGGCATATAGAAATTCTACTGATTCTTTTTTTTTTTTTTTTTTTTTTTTTTGAGATGGAGTCTCGCTCTGTCACCCAGGCTGGAGTGCAGTGGCGCAATCTCGGCTCACTGCAAACTCCGCCTCCCGGGTTCAGGGCATTCTCCTACCTCAGACTTCCAAGTAGCTGGGACTACAGGCGCCTGCAACCACGCCCGGCTAATTTTTTGTATTTTTAGTAGAGACGGGGTTTCACCGTGTTAACCAGGACGGTCTCGATCTCCTGACCTCGTGATCCGCCCACCTCGGCCTCCCAAAGTGCTGGGATTACAGGCGTGAGCCACCGCGCCTGGCTTCTACTGATTCTTGTATGTTGATTTTGTATCCTGCAACTAGACTGAGTTTATCAGTTCTAATCGTGTTTTGGTGGCATCTTTAGGTTTTTCCAAATATAAGATCATATTGGCTGGGCGTGGTGACTCATGCCTGTAATCCCAGCACTTTGGGAGGTGGAGGAGGGCCAGATCACTTGAGCCTGGGAGTCTGAGACCAGCCTGGGCAACATAGGGAGACCCTGTGTCTATTTATCTTTAAAAAGTAAATTAATTAAAAATATTATATCATCTGCGAACAAAAATAATTTGACTTCTTCCTTTCCAATTTGCCTGCCCTTCATTTCTTTCTCTTGTCTGATTGCCCTAGCTAGGACTTCCAGTACTATGTTGAGTAACAGTGGTGAAAGTGGGCATTCTTGTCGTCTTCCTGATCTTAGAGGAAAGGCTTTCAGTTTTTCCCCATTTAGTATCATACTAGCTGTGGGTCTGTCATATATGGCTTTTTTTATGTTGAGGTGTGTTCCTTCTATATGCAGTTTTTTTGAGGGTTTTTATCATGAAGAGGTGCTGAATTTTATCAAATTTTTTTAAATTATCAATTGAAATGATCATGTAGTTTTTGCCCTTCATTCTGTTGATATGATGTATCACATTGATTGATGTGCATACAACTTTTTTTTTTTTTATATTCAGAGTCAGTGCAGAGCAGTGGTTTAGAGCTCAGGCCCATGAGTCAGGTGGTTAGGGTCAGAAGCTTGGCCCCACTACTTTTTGTCTGTGTGACCCTGGGAAAGTCATTTCACATGTCTATGTCTCAGTGTTCTCATTTGTAAAATAAGGGTAATAATACTTAATAGTATTGTTGTGAGCTTTAAACTCAATGTATGTAATGCTTTAGAACACTCTGTAAGTGGTATGTACTATTATTATTATTTTATTCATATAACTAAAAAATTGTATTCTGTCTGATCTGTTGGTTGTTTCATTGTTGCTAAACACAAATTTAAGTCTTCTATCCCCGTGACCAGTTCTGTCCAATACAAGTATAAGTCAACTACATAAGTTATTGGCAATTTTCTAGTAGCCGCACTAAAAAAGAAAGAGAAACAGGTGAAATTAATTGTAATAATATATTTTATTTAACCCAATAATTTACAAGTATTATTAGTTCAGCATTTAATCACTATAAAATTATTGACATGACATTTTACATTTTTTTGGTTGTAAGTCTCAGAAATATGGGGTGTATTTTACACTTGCTGCTTATTTCAGTGGCTCAATAGCCACATGTATTTAGAGGCTCCTGTATGTGACTGAGCAGCTTTAAAGAGTTGCTAGTTAATCTTGCTCATTTCTGAAGTGTTCCAGTCAACTGTTGCTGTGAAATAAGCCGCCCCCAGATTTAGTAGATTAAAACAACAATGGTTTATTATTTCTCACAATTCTCATTTAGCCTATACATGCTAGATTGATGATTATTGCCATTATTTTTGTGATAGTTGTGAATTCCATGATAGTTTTTGAATTCCACGATTCCTTCTACATTTATTAGTTGGAATTCTGTGGTAAGGAATAACTCTTTCTTCTCTTTCACTCAGTCATATATTTAATTGTACATCAGCATGAACTCATAGATTCTTGTTGTATTCAGTAGGTTGTAACCCATTATTTATTTTATTATTCAAGTGATCTGACCATAATATTTTAAATTAAGAAAACACCCTCTCCACACATGCTCAGGTACCTGATGAGATCAGAACAAATTCTGCTACATGGATGGTATTCTCAATTCCATCCCCCAACACCCCCGTATTGCAATGTTTAAATGTTTCAGCCCAAATATTTCACAGGGTCTGCTTGCAGAGCCCCATGCTTCTCTTCAACAAATGTTTTTACAGGACAAAATTTGTCCAGTAAATTGTCTCTATTTATGGTTCCTTTGAAAGTTTTACCAAGTTTACTTGCTGAAATATCCTAGGGCTTTTCAATTTCACTTCAATTCAGTATAGAATATAATAAGTCTTTCCCATTAAAAGTAAGCTTAATGAACAGAAGTTTCTTCCTACAAGGTAAGATACTCCCAAAGTATAACTGGTGTATATCCAAAGATATGAAATCAGTATGTTGAAGAGATAGCTGCACCCCCACATCCACTGCAGCATTATTCCCAATATCTAAGATATGGAATCGATGTCAGTGTCCATCAATGGATAAATGGATAAAGAAAGTGTGGTATATATACGTAATGGAACACTATTCAGCCATTTTTTTTAACAAAAAAAATGTAAAAAGAAGGAGGTCTTGTCATTTTCAGTGACATGGATGAACTTGGAGGACATTATGTTAAGTGAAATAAGCCAAGCACAGAAAAACAAATATTGCATGATCTCACTTATATGTGGAAGGTAAAAAAAGATGAACTCATAGAAACAAAGGGTAAAATGGCAGTTACCAGAAGTGAAAGGAATGGGGAGATGTTGGTCAATAGACACAAAATTTCAGTTATACGGGAGGAATAATTTCAAGAGATCTAGTGTACAGCATGGTGACTATGGTTAATATCAACATATTGTATACTTAAAAATTGCTTAGAGTAGATTTTAATTGTTCCTTTCCACAAGTAGTTATGTGAGGTAAGGCACATGTTAAATAGTGTGGTTTAGCCATTCCATAAGTTATACCTCATTCCATAAGGTATACATCTATCATCTATATGTCGCATACCATAAATATATTCAATTATTACTTGTCAATTAAAAAAAGAATAAAACATTTTCAGAGTTAATTTATGTGCACATTAAACCCATCCTAGAATAATATTTTGCTAACCAAAAAAAGATCCAGGACAAATGCTAAATCAGGATGCTGGAATAACAGCGTCAACTGGGATAATCCTGGTGAGGCCTCATCTTGTCCAAAGACCCCCTTTTGATTGGGCCAGGCCTCCTGGCTACTGCTGTCTTTCTGGCTGTGGTCTTTGCTCACCCAGCTCTTTGGTTTGGTAGACTCAGGTTGATCTCCACTGCTTTGCATTTGCTGCTCTTTTGCCTGTAACATTGTACCCCTCCTTGCTCATATGGCTAATTTCTCCATATCCTACAACCTTAGACACTGGCATCGTTTTCTCTAGGTGCCTTCCCTTCATCCCTCCAATGTGCTCCTTGTCCTACCTGTACTATGTATATCTGTTCCACGATACTTCCTTCTTCACCTTTTTGAAACACCATGTTCAATATCCTGTTATTTAAGAGTCTTGCTCTTTGCTTCCTATGATAACAGTTATTAGAGGAACTGATCTGTGCTAGGTGGTAAGTGATGGTGATGAATTACTTATCTGTTCCTGAAAACATACTTGTATTTCATGGAGGCCCACTGGGGTGGTAGTCTTCAAAGTGAGTGTGCACACGTCTAAGAGTATATGAGACCATTTATAAGGATGGAAGTAGAAAATGTAGTAATTTTTATTTCTTTTTTTTTTTTTTTTGAGACAGTATCTCCCTCTGTAGCCCAGGCTGGAGTGCAGTGGCACGATCTTGGCTCGCTGCAAGCTCTGCCTCCTGGGTTCACACCATTCTCCTGCCTCAGCCTCCCGAGTAGCTAGGACTACAGGCGCCTGCCACCACACCCGGCTAATTTTTGGTATTTTTAGTAGAGATGGGGTTTCACCATGTTAGCCAGGATGGTCTCAATCTCCTGACCTCATGATCCACCCGCCTCGGCCTCCCAAAGTGCTGGGATTACAGGCATGAGCCACCCACGCCCGGCCAGTAATTTTTATTTCTATTATTTTATTAAGCAAAGCTAAGAAGTTAAAGTGTTTCTCTTTTTCTTTTTATTGATTTATTTATTTATTTTTGAGACAGAGTCTTGCTCTGTTGCCCAGGCTGTAGTGCAGTGATGTGATCTCAGCTCACTGCAACCTCCACCTCCTGGGTTCAAGCAATCCTCCTTCCTCAGCTTCCCAAGTAGCTGGGACTACAGGCGTGCCACTATGCCTGGCTAATTTTTGTAGTTTTTAGTGGAGATGGGGTTTTGCCATGTTGGCCAGGCTGGTCTCTAACTCCTGACTTCAGGTGTTCTGTCTGCCTCAGTCTCCCAAAGTGCTGGGATTATAGGTGTGAGCCACTGTGCCTGGCTATAAAGTTTTTCTAATGTTTAATATTTTGGTTGAGAAAATACATGTATATAATTTTATAAATCTAATTTGACATTGGTAAGGTATACTAAGTATTTTTATTGATGGAGTACTCTATCATAAAAATTTGAAGACTACGTCTATAGGGGCATATGACATCCTCAATGGAAAACTCTTCAAGCTTTTTGACACTATAATAGCTAACATATTTCAAGTGTTTTCTATGTGTCACGCACTGTTCTATATGCTTTACAGGTATCAACATACGTATTCCTTATAACCACCTCATGAGATTGATATGATTATTAGCATCCTCATCTTATGGATGAAAAAAATTGAGCTAGAGAATCAGGTAATTTGTTCAAGGACAGGGCCAGTACATATCAAATTCTTGATGTGGTCTGATTCCAGATGCTGCTAGCTTAACCCCTGCTGTGTACTGTGCTGTGCTCTGGTGCCTCTGCTCTCACATGATAGACCCATTTGGCTTCCTGGAGGAGAGGGACCACATCTGTCTTGCACATTGTGCTAGTTTTTACGGGGCCTATTATTTCCTTCTCTCTCTTTAAAATCATCTTTTGCTCCATTTTATTTCCCAAGGGCCTGCCATCTTCGATAGGAACTTTGGACAAGTTCTCTTTTATTTTTAACATGAAACCATTTTTCCCCTTGAAATAAATGGATCTGATGAGAAATTGGCATGAGTTTAATTAGCAGTCCTATGTATAGAAACTTTACACGAAAAAAGTCTGCATCACCCCAGTACTCACGAGTCAGTTATGAGTCCCAGCTCACCCCTGACATGACTAATGCCTTCCTTTCTTCCTTTATCACGAGGGTATGAGGACAAGAAATAAACCTCAGACTACTTCTGTACAGCGTGTGAAGTGTCCCGCAAGCACGTATAACCTTAAAATAGCAACAAGGGCAGCAGCAACAACGACAACAAAAATGATAATGGCAAAGAGAAGCAGAACCTAATGTTTTTTGGGTTTGCCCACTGATACCCTTTTAATCCTGATTTTTAATTGTTTGGCACAAAGATATGTAATAATTTCTTGGGTCTTCTGGGCATTTAAATGTCATTTTGGTTTCACCAAATGTATTTATGATTCCACCTACACATGTAAGAGTATTGGGAGAGTTTTGGAAGGTTTGTATTCTATCATCATATTCAAATTGTGCTAACTCTGTTTTCTTTCCTGTTTTCCTTGTAGGCTCTTTTAAGACACTTACTCTTCCATCAGTAAGTATCCATTTAAAAAATTTGGTTTCAGAAATATATTGTATCAGTGAACTAAATAAATTAATATTTTATTGGATTTTATGTCAATTCACACATTTCACGTTTCATGTAAGTTTGGCTTGAGTTTAGTTCAGCCTTCAGATTATTTATGAATAATATTATTTCAAGGAGATTGATTATGAGGCTCTTCAAACTCTTGGCAGAGATTTTCCTCTTGTAAAATAGAAGACTTCACTGAAGGAAACTGGCCTGGACTATTAGCACAGAAATCTGGACTGGTCATAAAAAGGAACGAGACCATGTCCTTTGCAGGAACATGGATGGAGCTGGAGGCCATTATCTTTAGCAAACTAAAATAGGAACAGAAAACTAAACACCACATGTTCTCACTTATAAGTGGGAGCTGAATGATGAGAACACATGGACACATAGAGGGGAACAACACACACTGGGGCCTACTGGAGGGTAGAGGGAGGGAGGAGGGAGAGGAGCAGGAAAAATAGCTAATGGGTTCTAGGTTTAGCAACTGGGTGATGAAATAATCTGTGCGACAACCCCCATGACACAAGTTTACCTATGTAACAAACCTGCACTTGTACCCCTGAACTTAAAATAAAAGTTAAAAAAAAACAAGGCATCTGGGCTGGTTTGCTCCTGCTTCTGTCGTAATGAGCCTTCTAGTGTGGAACTCTGCTCCTCAGTTTCCTTGTGCTTGAAAAGAGCAGTGCCATGCTGAGACATACTAGAACTTGAGGCAAAAGGAAAAATCAGTAATATTGACCCTGTCTTTGTTTAAAACTTCGACTTCTTTGTTTATAATTTTTTGCATTAATTTTGATATTTTAAAATATTGTATTAAAATATTATTTTCTTGATTGCTAAATTTTTTGGTACCCCCTTAAATTTTGCACCTTAGACAAGTGCCTCACTCACCTCACCATAGCCCTGGCCTTGGAAAAGAGAATGAAGATACCATCTTTATCTCACAGCATGTCCTGGAGTGAAATGAGATGTGGAAGTGTTGTAGCACTTGCTATAGAAATGGAAAGGAGTTATTATTTTGTTGAGAGATTCATAAAACCTTATTATTAAATGTTTGTGGATGAATCTTCCTATAGCTTTGATTTGGAAGTTTATACTTTCATTACTATGCTTTGTTTTGGGGCTTTACATGCTTAATGTACAGTATAGTAAACCACAGCATCCAACATCAGGTGCAGTTTGATATATGTACTTTTCTGAGAACAGAGGACTAATGACTTAGGCCCTGACACACTGTATACCTGATTAGTATCAGCATTACCTCATAAGCCAGGTTCGCTCATTACCTTAAATTTTTTTTTTTTTTTTTTTGAGACAGGTCTTGGTCTGTTGCCCGGGCTGGAGTTCAGTGGCACAATCATGGCTCACTGCAGCCTCAATCTCCCAGGTTCAAGCAATCTTCTCACCTCAGCCTCCCGACTACTGGCATGTGCCACCATGCCTGGCTGATTTTTTATTTTTTGTAGAAACAGGTTTCCCTATGTTGCCCAGGCTTGTCTCAAACTCCTGGGCCCAAGCATCCCTCCTGCCTTGGTCCCCCAAAGTGCTGGGATTACAGGAGTGAACCACCATGCCTGGCCCACTTAGTACCTTTTGAAAGTTACTTGTCAAGTACATTCAGAAACCACATTTATTTTGGGGGGTTCATAGAGAATATTATACTCTCAAACAATACTTTATAAAAATTACTTAGTATGCTATATCTATTCTGTTTGTTACATATTATATTTGTACTTTCTTTCCTAAGAAATATACTGCTGCTAATAATAGAAAGTGGAAGAAAAAAGGCATAAGCAGGCAGAAGTGGGGGAAAAAAACCCTGCAATCTTTGTGGCAATAAAACATTAGATTGCATTAAAATAACCTAAAACATTAGATACTGGCCCCAGTGCCTGGGCGCAGAACTTTGTTGAAAGGGTATTCCAGTGGTAAGATGAAAATAAATCCTGTGTCGTATATTTGCCCTATAGCAGAAGGAGGGTGGGGTTTAAGCTCAGGAATCACAGCCTAAAGCACAATAATTGTCTGGTTTCCTCAAAGGAGTTTGCAGTTTCACATACCGGAAGTGTAGAAAGGCTGAAAGGAGAAGGCGGGGCAAGGGCATGAGAGTTTCTTTCAATGATACTAGTATAAACTGTACGTGTCTGAGCTAATATTAACTAGAAATTTGTCTACTACACTTCTTTTTTTTTTTTTTTTTTTTTGAGACAGAGTTTCTCTCTTGTTGCCCAGGCTGGAGAGCAGTGGCGCGATCTCGGCTCACTGCAACCTCCGTTTCCCGGATTCAAGAGATTCTCCTGCCTCAGCCTCCCGAGTAGCTGGGATTACAGGCATGCACCACCATGCCCAGCTAATTTTTTTTTGTATTTTTAGTAGGGACAGAGTTTCGCCATGTTGGTCTGGCTGGTCTTGAACTTCCAACCTCAAGTAATCCGCCTGCCTCGGCCTCCCAAAGTCCTGGGATTACAGGCGCAAGCCACTGCGCCCAGCCTACTATACTTCTTTTAAGTCTTAAGTATATGAAATACTAACTCTGACATCCAGTATTTGTCTTTAATATTATGTCATTTCAATTGTATATAAATATAGCTATTATCTATTGAAAGCTTTATTAGAGATTATATTTTGGAGTGTATCTCTTTTTAGTAAAGCACAGTATGAAAGACTTAGAAATAAAGTGTATGGACAAATTTGATAATGCTTGACAAAAAAAGAAGGCTCTGCATTTTAATGAGTTTTCAATTAAAGCAGAACCAACTTTCTTTTTCCCCAGTGAGAACATACCTGTGAATAGAACCACCTTTTAAAGTGCACTTGCATTCTGACACTTGTAAGTGTAATATTTTAAATTATTTTTCAGGTCTTTATGGCTTTTTAGTGTAAAATATAAATATTTCAAGAATGTGTTAACACAAATGTGTTTTTTATTTCTGATTTACTCATTGTACTTCAAGACACTAAAATAACCCCCAATATGAAGTAAATAAAAAACATAAATTGAGACAATATAAATATTGTTTTGTACACAATATGGCAGAAAAACTTCTTTTGTTCTCTTTGTCAAATGAAGGAGTGGTTTTATTTGATTAGAAATGTTTTTAATGTGTAAGTATAATTACTAATATATTTTTAATGGAAACTATCATCTTAGATTTCTCAATTTTATTTTGAAAAATTGTCTCCGTTATGTTTGGTAACTGGCATTATTCCTGAAGTATATGAGGATAAATACTATTGTGTTGTCTCAGTTTCCTTACAGCAGTGAATCTTTCAGAGAAGGTGAAATGGCTTTAGACAGCCCAGATTAGAATAAGTAATCCTTATTTATTGTCTAGCAAGAATGTTTTTGAATGTGCTTACCTTATGTATCCTAGGCAGAGAGCTATCATCTCCTCAGAGAGTTTGCATTTATGTATACACGAAATAGATGTGCCTAAGTGAGAGTCAACATAGCCAATCCAGAGGCTGATTGATATTCTGTTGGTCAAAGCTTTGGGATATTGTCAATTCCCAGACTCTTGTCCTGCTTTCAGACAGCCTCTCACTGTGGGAACTGCACCTTCCTCCAGCCCTGTGCCCTCTGGTCAAGGAGTCCAAAATCTCTGTGGGTAAATAATTGACTCCTGTTTAAGAGCCATGGAAGTCACTTATCAAGGAACAGCTTTTTTTCCCCCTTTCCCCCACCAATTTCGGGAACCTTTTTCAGTAACTGTGGCCCCAAGACGGCAGAAGGCAATTTACCAGTAAAGATGCAGGAGCTTCTGTTACCTCATAGTGTCCACTCTGCTGTGGGCAGGTTATAACCCACTCCAGATCTGGCACAGAGAGAGAAACTTTTATAAAAATTGCTTAAAGTCAATAATCTTTTCTTCAGTCTCATTATGCGCCCCCATTGTTAACCATGGAGCACCGAGGTCTGCATTGACACCACAAGACTCTGGAGCACCACCCAGAGTACGTGGTGACACCCCGAGACATGTGGTGATGCCCCATGCTTCATACAGGCACCCAGGTCTAATGATTCACCAAGGCCCATATTGTCATCTCTGGGTGGCTTGCCCTGGGACTAACACTGAGTCTTTGAGGATCCCAAATTACCTAAATTTTATATATGGCAAGGTGGGGTTTTTAACGGGGAAAAGTTAAAAAAGCAAATTAGTTAAGGTAACCCAAAGGAACAGGAAGATAGTCAGTAATGTTTCCCCTGAGTCAGTGTCAGCTCCCTGAAGGAGGATAGAGTAGGAGGTAGAATAAAATGTTTTCGGGCATATTTGCATTTATTTTAATTCTCTGACCCTTTAGGCTGCTTGTGGTTAATAGGCTTCTTTAGCTCTAGGCCTCTGTGTCATTAATTTGACATCAGTCTTCAATCTAGCATCTGTTCTGGGGCCTCTGTGCCACTAAAAATGATAAACATATCAAATCAGGAAGAGCAATCCCATCAAATATATTTTTAAACATGAAATATTTAGAAATCGATGCCATTTATAAGCATATAATATTCTGGTTCCTGGTGTATATATTTTCTTGTTTATAGTATTAGGAAATCTGATTCAAAGAGTCTGAGGACTGAAGTATCACTTGAGAAAATAGAATTTAAGATTGCAAGTTCCAGGCTAGACTCTGCTCTACCAGGGCACAGGTCTTTGGTTCATGTTGTATCCCAAGTACCTAGGGCGTCCTGGTACACAAAGGGTGCTCAATAAATACTTCTTTAGGCTGGGCGCAGTGGCTCACATGTATAATCCCATCACTTTGGGAGGCCGAGGTGGGTGGATCACTTGAGTTCAGGAATTCGAAACCAGCCTGGCCAACATGGTAAAACCTTTTCTCTACTAAAAATACAAAAATTAGCTAGGCATGGTGGCGCACACCTGTAGTCCCAGCTACTTGGGAGGCTGAGGCAGGAGAATCGCTTGAACCCAAGAGGTGGGGTTGAGATTGGGCCACTGCACTCCAGCCTGGGCAACAGAGCAAGAGTTCGTCTCAAAACAAAACAAAACAAAACAAAACACTTCTTTATTGAATAAAAGCAAAAATTGACACCAGAAGTCATTTGAAGGTGACATACTGATTGTTTTTCCTAACATTTTATTATTAACTTTTCAAATATACAAAAAACTTGAAAATGTTTCATAATGAACACTCCTATACTTGCCACTTAGGGTCTACCATTAACATTTTACTATACTTGCTCTATCATACATCTATCCATCTACCCATCTTTCTATCCATCCATTAGTTCATCTTATTTTTAAATGTATTTCCAAGTAAATTGCAGACATCAATACTCTTCTCCCTAAATATTGCTGCTGACCATTTTATTGTTGACAGTGGTTTCTTGCACTTTCTTCATATTCTTAACCACATTGATAGCATTCTGATGTCTGCTATTATTGGAAAATCCCCTTTGAGCTATCTGTAGACAAAACTTATTTGCAAAAATGAGTCAGGATATAGTTTCGGGACCTCAGTTTTAATATGAAAATCAACTAAAAGTCAAGCATGCTAGTTATCTATTGCTAAGTAACTCTAAAACTTTGCTTCAAACAATAATAAATTAAACTTTTATTACTTCTCACAGTCTTTGTGGGTGAAGAATTGGGAACAATATGGTTGGGCATTTCTGATTTGGAGTCTCACGAGGTTGCAATCAAGATATCAGCTAGGGCTGCAGTCATCTGAAGGCTTCATCAGGGCTAACACATTCTGTGAGGCAGCTCATTCACTAGGCTGACACGTGGTTGTTGGTGGTTGGTGGGAGGCCCTGGTTCCTCCCAATGTGGGCCTCTCCACAGACTTCTTTAGTGTCCTTACCACACCACTCTGGCTTCCTCCAGAGTGAGTGATCCAAGCGAGAAAGAGAGACAACAGGGAAGAAGGTATTCTTTTTCTGACATAGCCTAATTCTAGGATTTGGAAGGAAATCACTAAGTCTGGGGAATTAGGCTTCACCTTTTGAAGGGACTAAAGTCAGAGAATTTTTGGACATATTTTAAAATTACCACATCAAAGTGTGTGTGTGTGTGTGTGTGTGTAGTGTGTGTGTCTGAAATGATTTTAATAAGAATATCCACCTGAGGGATTGTTGTGAATTAAAATGATATAGTGCAGGTAAACTGCTCAGTATGGCTCTGGTCTGCTAATGCTAGAAGGTAGGACTTCTATTGTTATTATTATTATTATTATTATTATTATTATTATTATTATTATTTTGAGACAAATTCTCGCTCTGTTGCCCAGGCTGGAGTGCAGTGGCACGATCTCGGCTCACTGCAACCTCCATGTTCAAGCGATTCTCCTGCCTCAGCCTCCCGGAGTAGCTGGGACTACAGGCGCATGCCACCACACCTGGGTGATTTTTGTAGTTTTAGTAGAGATGGGGTTTCACCATGTTGGCCAGGCTGGTCTCAAACTCCTGACCTCAGGTGATCTGCCTGCCTTGGTCTCCCAAAGTGCTGGGATTACAGGTGTGAGTTAACGTGCCTGGGAAGGATTTCTGTTATTAATAGTAGTAGTAGAAGTAGCAGCATCATCATCCCTACCAAGACTATGACACATATGCGCAAGATGCATTAGGAGAATGCATCTCAGAAAACAGGTTGAGAGAATATAGCAAGAAACAAATTTTGTGCAGAAGAGCCTTTCATCAGCTGACTGCCTCAAATAGGGTGAGCGTGGAAAAGAAGGTTGAAGGATGTTAGATATTCTGACCTGCAATAACTGTTAGGGAGGATGAATTTGCACTTGGAATAGGAAATGGCAAGGTGACTCCTGCTGAGGGAGAGCAGTGGGCTATGTGTCCCCCATTCCAGGAGCCCTGTGATGTAACTGGAGAGCAAACTGCAGGAAGTTAAAAGAGGGAAAACAAATTAACTCTGATGCCTGGGAGGGGCAAATTTTCAACATCGCAGTTACTTTTGATAATACTGTGTATTTACTTTTTTTATTCTAACTTGCAATTAAAACATTTTTGAGGTAAAATAATGAGACCTTGATGTGTGATCTCTTTTTCCCCCCAGCTACCTCTGAACAGTGCAGATGAGATTTATGAGCTACGTGTAACCGGACGTACCCAGGATGAGATTTTATTCTCTAATAGTACCCGCTTATCATTTGAGACCAAGAGAATATCTGTCTTCATTCAAACAGACAAGGCCTTATACAAGCCAAAGCAAGAAGTGAAGTTTCGCATTGTTACACTCTTCTCAGATTTTAAGCCTTACAAAACCTCTTTAAACATTCTCATTAAGGTAAGTGCCAGACAGAAATGAAGCAAGGAATTCTAGCCATCTTACTAAACCCCTCTGGGAAGTTCTGCTTGTGTTACTGACACTGGAATATTTTAGAATTCACCTAAGATAAGCTTCCCTCCCAACATGGAACTCCTCTAATAGGAAAGAAGGTGGTGCATGCACTGGGTTAAGAGCTCAGCCTCTAGAGTCAACCTGCTTGAGTTCCAGGCCTGGGGTCTTCATTGATTTATACAGTTGTCAAACATTTATTAAACTTCTGTGTTCCAGGCACAGCGATAGGGCAGTGAACAGAAGAGATTAAGTCCCTGCTGACACTGAGTTTATTTTTCAGTGGGTAGTAGGAGACAGACATAATAAATAAACATACAAATATATATTTATAAAGGGACAGATATGTATGTATTTGTGTGTGTGTATGAGAGAGAAAAAGGGAGTGAGAGACAGAGAGTTTGTGTTTGCTATTTTCTTTCTTTCTTTTTTTTTTTTGAGATGGAGTTTCACTCTTGTTGCCCAGGCTGGAGTGCAATGGCACGATCTTGGCTCACTGCAACCTCCGCCTCCTTGGTTCAAGCGATTCTCCTGCCTCAGCCTCCTGAGTAGCTGGGATTATAGGCATGTGCCACCACGTCTGCCTAAATTTGAATTTTTAGTAGAGACGGGGTTTCACCATGTTGGTCAGGCTGACCTCGTGATCCACCCACCTCAGCCTCCCAAAGATGCTGGGATTATAGGCGTGAGCCACTGCGCCCAGCATGTTTGTTGCTTTCTCTAGGGTTGTCTGGGAAGACTGATTTGAGCAGAGAGCCAAAGGCAGTAAAAGAAAATAAGCCCATACAGAGGGGGAAGCACATGGAAAGGCCCTGAGGGGGAGCTTGTTTGGCGCATTGGAGGAACAACAAGCTGGCAGTGTGCTGGAGCCCCGGGGCGAGGGGACAGGTGCTAGGACATGAGGTCCTATACAAGTAGGTGGGTTAGGGTGGGGCTCATGCAGGGCCTTATTGGCCATGATAGGGACTTTGAAACTTATGCTAAGTGAAGTGAGAATTCACTGGAGAATTCTGAGGCAAGACTTGATGTAATCTAACTTAACATCTTAAAAGGATCACTGTCAGCTCTAAGAAGAATAGATGCTAGATGCTAGCTGTGTGATCCTGGGTAAATTTATTAACCTTCTAGAACCTCAGTTTCCTTATCTAGAAAATATGTAATAATAAAACCTCAAAAGGTTTTTATGAGGCTTAAGTGAGATAATTCAAGTAAACCATTTAGAACTGTGTCTGGCACATAGTACATGCTCACTAAACGTTAGCCATTATTATTATTTTAGGAACCCCTTTTGAAAGGTAGTAGTTTTGTCTCTGCTGCTTAATACTCTGATGATTTGGAGGCACTGTGGTTAGCACACTGAGTGCTTTCCTGTGAGAATCAAGTTGAAGACAACTGAGATCCAGCTGGGCCTGGTTTTCTGTATTTAAACGGAGAAGAACACTGGACATTTGATCATTACTTGGAAATAGGGTGACTAACATCCCAGTCTGCCTGGGATGCCTCTGATTTTAAAACTGAAAAGTCTCTGGTCCTGGGAACCTCCTTAGTCTCAGGACATTGGTTACTCCAGATATTCTAATGAATAACATAGTGTGGAAGGTAAAGTAGGCCTTTTAGTTTGGTATCTTCCTATTCTTAGTTTATTTGTTGTTATAAATTAAAACAACAAAACCCAATCAAATAAACATGTATACATTTAACTTTGAGCCAAGATATATTTGTAGCCAGTATCACATTTGTTGCCATGGTGTTCAATGCATATTGCTTGAATTGAACTAGCATTATTTCAGAGTTTGCCTTTGGTATGTAATGGAATGTTTATAAAGCAGGTTGACATAGTGAATAGTATTTCTAAATTCATGTCACCCCCCTGAGCAGAGTTGAACTGACTCCATTCATACCATCTTTCATCATTTATCCACATATATGGAGAGCTTACTGTATGTCAGAAAGGATGTGTACAATAGATGGTTTAATAAATGTCTGGCTATCTCTGGGTGTTTACATTCAATGCTTCCTTCTACTGCAGGCAAATAAAAGTTAGCACTGCATAAATTGCCTGTTCTAGACATCAACCCAGAACTAACCCTGCTGGTTCTGGATAATTAGTCTGTGCATTTTCATAGTTCTGCCTGTCTACTCTGCTCTAGTATCTTCCTTTGAATCTTTGATTTGCAGATTCTTTGGGCTCTTCTGTGCAGTTTGGGACTTAGCAGACCACGTTTGGCTTTCTGGAAAGGGCTCAGAGAGACTTTCCTCTTATTAGCTCTGGTACTGATATGACTCTCTTGGCCAGGGGAGGGGAGTTTAAACTAAAATTCTACCTGGAACCCAAAGTGTTTTGGAACTATGAGTGAGGGGTGGCCATGCTCCTGTCTCTGTACCTGGGAAGTGATGCTCAAATGTGGACTTAGGTCTAGCTGCCTTCCTCCTTGTAACTTGCAGAGGCCAGGTGGGAGCAGTAATGTGAACTCTTTCAGCTGAAAACAGACATTTGGGCCAGGTTTACAAGTCTATGATATTTTCTACATCTTTCAGTGTGGAATAATTGGTGTCTTGGCAAAACTTTTCAGAACAAATTGGGACTTAGCCTGAACTGGAGCCCCTGACTGAGACAGTTGTACTCCTTGGCACAGCACCACCTGCAGGCTGATGTGGAGAAGTGCACCTGAGAGTTAACGGGGCCCATCTTGCCCAGCTAGAAATGGCTGCAGGATGTAGCTAAGATACTGACTGTCACAGCACCTTCAGGGTGTTCATTGTTGTTCTTGGGGACTGCAGGCCATCTTTGGGTGTTATTCATTTTGCATGCCCCAATAACTGGTCTTCTCAGGAGGGAAAGGAGCTTCGAGGCCTTTTGGCAGTAGAAAAAACATAACCTATGTCTCCCACGCTTCTGGCCTCCTCTAGCCAATTTGGCCTGACACAATGGAATTGAGTGCCTCTGACACTGCGATGGCAGCTGGCATGGCTGGCTTCTGCTCTGACCTCTCCATCCAGAAGTTGTTGGTGCTAGTACGGGTGAATGATCTTGTAGGGGAACAGGTGTTATTGGCTTGGGGGTATATCCTGTTATTGTGCCCTGACACTCAGTTTTGGAGCAGTGGTGGCTAACTCAGAACCTGACCGCTGGCCAGGTGAAGAAGCTACCTTATTTGAGTGATTTGAATTCTCTAATTCTACAGGCTGGACAGACATGTTATTCACACATAATCCAGAAATAGTCCTCACAGACATATTCTCCAGCCAGGGAGCTTACTGCTTGAGACAATCAGGTACTGTGTGCTGTGTTGAGGCATCTCAGAGATCCAGAGCGATCTAAAGGTGACTCGAAGGGCATGTGGGGCCACTATTCCAGGATCTCTGGCCTGCAGCTTTTCTGGCTGTGACGGGGGTATTGCTCATACTGTACATGGCTGTGTCGTAGCAGCAGATGGCCGCATGCAAATGCTGGGCTCCGCTGTGACATCACCATGCTTGGCTGGTTCAAATCCTGATGTGTCTTGTAGACTTCTGGTGTTTCTGCATTCTCTCCCTCTGCCTTATTGGTAACAGTTAGACCTAGGTCCAAGACAGGCTTGGGAAAGCAGAGGAATTATCTCATTCTCCCCCAACCCTCCAGATCCCCCAGGTACAAAGCCATCAATGAGGTCAGTTCAGACTTCATTGTCCAGGAGAAATGTATGCCCTCACTACCATAATGTTTCAGTAGAATATGGACATTCCATTTTCCTACACTTCAGGTAACACCAAGAATTATTGTTATTATTATTTTTATCTTTGTCAGACTGACAGAAGAAACACAATATTGTTTTCATTTGTATTTCCTTAATTACTAGACAGCATATATTTATTGGCTATTTGTATTTCTTCCTTTGTTCCTGAGCCTTTGAACTTCATAGCCCTCCCATGCGTCATGCTGTGGCAGGCACAGTAGGGCCAACTGCCCATTACAATGCCTGGCCCAGGAGTTTACCAAGGATACAGTGACCTGCTTGTTCTTGACTTGCTTTTGGTCTCTGGTTTTCACAATTGGTTTCTGGCTTATTAGACTGCTTTCTGCACAGTTCTCAGCATTGTACTTACCCCTAACTGTCATATCTCCACTCTGGGAGAGAGGTTTCTTCTGTTCTAATAACTGGCCCCACTCACTACTTCTAGGCAAAGTTTAGAGGATAAGTCTAAGGGAAAATATTCAACCCCTGCTCTCAGTCACAGTCTAGTTGGGAATAATAAAATATAGATTTTTGGCAAAATAAAATATGTAAAATAAACATATTTTACTGCCTTTAACAAAAATATGTATTCAAGAGAGATAAACTCCAGATATACTAGGGACTTTCCAGGAAGAAGTCACCTCTGCCTATTGGAGGCATGTATAGGAGGCAAGAAACTGAAACTGATTTCACCAGTGGACAAGGAAGGGAGGGATTTCCATGCAGCAGTTGCAGAGACCTACATGCATGGGCTTTTTGGGAATAAACTGCAAACAAATCCGTATGTTTGGAGGAAGATGAGCCTAGAAATGTAGATGGAGTAGTATTAGTAAGGGCCTTGTAAACTAGGCAAAGGAGTGTAGACTTCCTGTAGGCAAACAAAAGCCATGGGTACCTAGTGGTCTAGTATAATCATCATATACTATAATTAGGGACTATAAAAAGTGTATAGCCACTGCTTTTTATATGCCAGGGACTGTGCCAAGTATTTCAACCACTGTAACTCATTCTCAGATTTGCGTTTCAGATGGATCACACTGTTGGCAGTGGGGAAGATGTATTGTAGAGGGCAAGACTAGAGGGGGAAGATTAGTTGCATTAGTTAGAAAATAGGACATGGTGGCTGGATGTGAGGATGGAAAGAAGGAGACAAATTAGAGATATATTAACCTAACAAAGTTAAAATGTCAGGAAATGTGAGAGAGGAATCTAGGATGACTGCTGGAATGGCTTGGATAAATGTTGCATGAAGGGATTGTTGTTTGGGAGGTTATAGGAAGAATGAAGTGTTTTCCATGTATATCCGTGATTAAACATCTCTCTAATATGCTTTTGTTGAGTTAAAAGGCAGACATGAGTTTGGATTCTGAATTTCATCATGCACTGGTGCTGTAATATTGAGTCATGCCAGTCACTTGAATGCGTACCTCCCTCTCCAGGCATCAGTTTTCTCAACTATAAAGTGAGGATAACCATGTCCTAAAGGAGAATTGTAATGATTAGAGATAAGGCAGAGTGCCTGACACATATTGGGCCTTTAATAAATGGGGCCTGTTATCTCTACAGTTAAATTTTCTTTTAACACTACTACCACCACCGCCGCCACCAGGGGTTTGGTGACGTACATGTTGTAGTGTTTCATGTAGAAGGAAATAGGGTGCCAGGAATTAAAAGGTGGAGCAGAATCAAGATGAACTTGGGAGAAATATGAGAAAAGAATAAACTTTGATTTGTCTTCTTTAGAAATATAGAGCCTACGTTTTCCAAAATGTTCATGCAGCATTCATCCAAGCCATTCCAGCAGTCATCCTAGATTCCTCTCTCACATTTCCAGACCTTTTAACTTTGTTAGGTTAATATATCTCTAATGTGTCTCCTTCTTTCCATCCTCACATCCTGCCATCCAGCCATATTTGTGCCGTATTTTGGAGTAAAGTTCTGGACCTGGGTGGGAATGCTGCAAGGCATTATTCCTAACCTGATAGGATACACATGCACATGGGCAGCCTCTACATACTTACATGTCTGGTTTTCATTTTAGGACCCCAAATCAAATTTGATCCAACAGTGGTTGTCACAACAAAGTGATCTTGGAGTCATTTCCAAAACTTTTCAGCTATCTTCCCATCCAATACTTGGTGACTGGTCTATTCAAGTTCAAGTGAATGTGAGTATAAATATATTTTTTGGGGGGAATGTTAAAGTGATTTAATTAGGTCAGGTGGGGGAAAATCTCCAAAGTCATTTATACAATGAAGAGAAAAAAATTAATGTGAACATTTAGACAATTTAAACGGTTTATTTTTAATTTATGATGTTTATCAAGGGTTTATTTAGCTTTCATTCTAACATATTAGAATTTTCATAACTGTTGTCTTTTTCTATGATATGATGTTTAAAGGTTAAAACATTTTGACATTTTAGTACACAATGTTTACTTATTTGTTTCATGCATTATTTTAAAACTAAGTAATGAACACATAGCTATTATTTGGCAAATTTTATGCCTTAGAATAATGACTCCTAATGAGTGATTAGATTAACCTACTTTTATCTTTGTTTTAAGAAACAGTGACTTAAATAGCTACACCGACTGCTATTCCCCAATCCTTTTTCCCTAGCTTCTACACCTATTGCCTTTACTTGCTGCCAACTTGTATAGCTCTGAAATCTAAATGGAGGGCATTAAATGGCATATAAATCTAAATGGGGGGCATTCATTGGAATGAATGAGACATAAACACAATGGGATGGAAACAATTTTAAAAAGCAATGAGACTTAACTGTTTTATGTGATATAAATTGGTCATTTAGTATATAACATGTAAACCTTTATATTTTTCTATATTTATGTGACATATAAACATATAAGATATAATCAACTTTTTCTGTATCTAAAGGGGAAGATATGTAATATGAAATGCATGAAATTGTAGCTTATTCTAAGCATTGTTGCTGAGCCTTGAGTAGGTGGGACTCGTGTGTGAATTGACCTGTATGAATGAGAACAGTGCTGGAGGCACAATGGACTCTCAATATTTGCTTCATGGCCACCCTGCATCTTTATGGGTGTTTGTATGATGTGTTTACCAATATTATTCTTTTTAAGGTAGCAGAAGCTCTACCGAATGAATGTATGATGTGGTTTTAAAGAACATTTGAGGCAATATTATGAAAGGGGCTCATACTGTTAGAGAACAATGTAATGCATAACCATTAAAGTCATGGACAATTTTCAGTGAGGTCTTTGCTTATTTCCTTACTTATAACAGTGTAATAATAACCACTGTTATAAATGGCAGCCTAGAGCAGGATGTGATGAGTTCTAGGGGAAGTGGAATTCTTTATATCTGAGCTTGTAGAGAAAGTGGAAAGAGTAGGCATTTGTGAAACTTAGAAAATAGGGAAAAATTTGTGTGGGAGTAGGGAAAATGGAAGAGAACGTTATGTGTCTGGGGATTTGGGAGAAGTTGATGTTACTGGAGCATGTGGAGAATGATGGCGGTGTAGATTAGGAAGCACGTTGTGAGTTTAAAGTAGTTTGAATATTATTTTCAGTTCCCACTTAAATTCTTAAGAATCACTTTTTTTGGTCCATCCATCCATCGATCCTTCTATCCACCCACCCACCCACCAACCCAGTATGTGTTAAGGACTTTATGGCTGTGATGAATACAAAGAAGGTAAACATATGACCTCCATTTTCAAAGGTCATTGTCATGGTGACATGAACAATATGATAAAAATTAAATGACATAAGGGGGACAGACAAACACAGGGCAGTGCAATAGCAGAGGAATTGTAAGGTGTTCAGTCCAGCTTGGTGATAAAGAGGGTTTATTGTTAGCACAAGCACTGATGTTTTGGGGCCAGCTGCTCCTTCTGTCTCCCATGGTCTGCTCTGTTCTCCTTTCACTCTTCTGCCAACCTTTGAGGTGTTCTTCAGTTCTTCTGATTCCATTAGCTTAGCTAAATAACCATCATGCCCAGAATCTTTAAAGCAAGCCTCTGCACAGGTGGCTGGCAGCCTGTGGGTGGGCCGCCCTGGGTCAAGGTGTCCATTTTTGGTCCATTCAGATGCCACCTATGCACAATGACCAGCAAGAGCAGTTTTAGCTGGATAACAGGCGCTGAGGGATTAATTTGTTCATTGAATGGTGGACAGAATAAGTACCAGAAGAGAGGGGGATAGAATAGCAGAGGGAGACTTTGCAGAAGATGTGAGATTATACTTTGAAAGATTTATAGGATTTATCATGTTGTGGTTTGTGGACTTGGCTTGTCATATTGCTTTTATAGAAAACAAATGCTCTTAAGGAAATTTAGGTGCTTAAAAAATGAAAAGCATTTGCAGGATCTGGCCCTTGCCCAACTTTTCAGTCTTGTAAAGTGCCGCCCTTCCTCTTGAACTCTATGCTTTAGACATCTTATGTCCCTTAAGTTTCTTAAACTCACCGATCTGTCTCATTCTAGAGCCTTTCATCATGCTGTTCCCTCTGCTGAGAATGTTTTTTCTTCCTTATTCTCGCTACTTGCTTTTAACCTGCAGCCATTCTCTAAAGTGGCCTGGCTGTTCCAGACATTCCCATAGTACTGTGTGCTTCCCTTAATTCATTCATCTCACTTTTAATTAGTGGTCCATGATAGACAGTAGCCTTTGTAAAGCTGGTGACCTTCTGGTCTTGCTCACCTCTCTATTCCTGGGACCAAGTTCAGTGCTTTTGCATGTAAGTAGAAAGCAGTATTTTCTTAAAACGAATGTGTGAAAACTATATAGCAATAATTTGTCTTGAACCAAATGCAATTTTCCCTTTTGTATATTCTATAAAGCATCTTTATCTTTTTGAAGACAAGTATACTGATCAGGTACTTGTCATTTGAGGTATGTTAATTTGAGGCATTCAGCTAAGAAAAAATAAGCCCCTTAAAAAAAAGAGCCCTTTTAGAACCACCAGGGGTCAGTATAACCAAGGAAATGTTATGAGAAGCAACTGTGGCCTTGGTCTCTGGCTTTTGTTTTTCTTTGACTACTGCGCAGCATTAAAGGACTGTATATTTCTTGTTATTAAACCCCTTTTCTTTTAGTAGTGAATAATAACATAGAGGAAATGTATTTATTATTTAAATAGCCCACCATTAGAGACTATATTTTTACTTTTCGGTGGCAGTCACCATTCTCAATATAAAACTCAGGGAAGGAAAATATTTATTTTCAAGAAAGTATTGGCTGGGCGTGGTGGCTCACACCTGTAATCCCAGCACTTTGGGAAGCCGAGGCGGGCGGATCACGAGGTCAGGAGACCGAGACCATCTTGGCTAATACAGTGAAACCCCGTCTCTACTAAAAATACGAAAAATTAGCTGGGTGTGGTGGCGGGCGCCTGTAGTCCCAGCTACTCGGGAGGCTGAGGCAGGAGAATGGCGTGAACCTGGGAGGCGGAGCTTGCAGTGAGCCAAGATCATGCCACCGCTCTCCAGCCTGGGCGACAGAGTGATACTCTGGCTAAAAAAAAAGGAAGTATTTTTTAAATTTTTTAATTTGTAAGAGACAGGGTTGTCGTCTGTCACTCAGGCTAGAGTGAAGTGGCACAATCATAGTTCACTGCAGCCTCGAACTCCTGGGCTCAAGTGATCCTCCTGCCTCAGCCTCCTGAGTAGCAGGGACTACAGGTATGTGCCACTACGCCTGCCTAGTTAAAAAATTTTTTTTTCCTTTTCATAGAGACAGGGTCTTGTTATGTTGCCCAGGCTGATCTTGAGCTCCTGGACTCAAGCAATCCTTCTGCCTTGGCCTCACAAAGTGCTGGGATTACATGTGTGAGCCATCATACACAGCCTTTGGGAGAGTTTTGAAATTCCATTTTGTCTGTAGAAAAAATATGGAATGATATGAGTATTCCCACTGATGGACAATCTCTTTAAGAATTACCGGAGTTATCAGAGCTTTGATTTGTAATGACTATACAGGTAATCAGAAAGTGGTATTCTTCAGTTACCCTTTGTCCTAGGTCAGGAAAAGGATCCTTTAAGTAAAACATACTTGACGGCTCCTTGGCATTTCTCCACTTGTATTAATAACATGTTTGTTTGTAGAGTAAGAGTGAATAAGTCCTTTATGATACCGTGTTAACCTTTCTGGATTAATCTAAATTGTTTGCCCTTCAAGTATTGTATTGCTTTTCACCTTCAAGGTTTTTTATGATAGTAATGGTGAGTAATTATTTTGGTCTAGTATGATTTCTAGTTTTCTTTTCTTTCTTTCTTTTTTTTTTTTTTCGAGACAGAGTCTCGCTCTTTTGCCCAGGCCGTGGTGTGATCTCGGCTCACTGAAACCTCCACATCCCAGGTTCAAGCGATTCTCCTGCCTCAGCCTCCTGAGTAGCTGGGATTACAGGCATGCACCACCATGCCCAGCTAATTTTTGTATTTTTAGTAGAGACGGTTTCATCATGTTGGCCAGGGTGGTCTTGAACTCCAGACCTCAAGTGATGCACCCTACTCGGCCTCCCAAAGTGCTGGGATTACAGGCATGAGCCACTGTGCCTGGCCAAGAAAGGAAACAAATGTTTTGGGGGATTAGTTAAGTGATTTGCCCAATGTCCCACAACTTACCAAACTAGGATTAGAACTCAGGCCTTTTGACACCAAATCCAAGGTTCTCTCTACCCTGCCACCTTGGTTTTCCATCTTATGTTTTATCTCTGTCATTGTTCAGCATATGATGGTGGGACATCATAAGTTCTCAATATATACATAGACTTTTTTTTTTTTTACAATGCTAGTTTAATCAAATTGCAAAGAAACTCTTGATGATTATAATGTTTAAGACCTCTTAAAATCAGTAAAGTTTAGTAAGAGCCCTGGCTCTTTTTGTGCTACTTATACGTGTGCTTAATTGACACACATATTCTAGTGTGAATAGTTCTTTGCTACTTTGGGGATTGTACTTCTTCTCTTGAGAATGTGACCAAGTCTTCTACTTCTGCCATACTTTGATTGCCCTGCTCTTTTTCATCATTTCTTTGTCTAGAGCACCAAGCCCTCCTCTCAGAGGGCAGAGGTATATTTTAGCTGTAACATCTTTTCATAGAAGTGTGTTTTATAGGGCCGTTATACTTTAGGTACATTATAAGTTGAGTGTGGGAATATGTTCTGATTTAATAATTGACTTGAAAATACACCTTAGGAAGATAATGTGTTTTAAAAGTTAGACATTCCTTTATTTTCATTTCTTTGCAATATAGTTCTCTAGGTACCTTATCTCTAGGTATGTTATCTCTTGATTGGTGTTGACAGTTTTCTCAAATAATTGCACATGGTTTTTTTGTTTTGTTTTGTTTTGTTTTTTGAGAAAGAGTCTCACTCTGTTGACCAGTCTGGAGTGCAGTGTGCAATCTCAGCTCATTGCAACCTCCACCTCCCAGGTTGAAGTGATTTTCCTGCCTCAGCCTCCTGAGTAGCTGGGATTACAGGTGTGCACCATCATGTTCAGCTAATTTTTGTATTTTTAGTAGAGATGGGGTTTCACCATGTTGGTCAGGCTGGGCTCGAACTCCTGACCTCAGGTGATTCACTTGCCTTGGGTTTCCAAAGTGCTAGGATTACAGGCATGAGCCACTGTGCCTGGCCTGCAAATGGTTTTTCCCTCCATTTTTTATTTTCTGTAGTAAAATACACATAACGTAAAATTTGCCATTGTAACCATTTTTAAGTGTACAGTTCAGTGGTATTAAGTACATTAATATTGTTGTGCATTCATCACCACCATCCATCTCTGTAACTCTTTTCATCTTGCAAAACTGAAAATCTACACCTATTAAACAATAACTCTCCATTCCCTCCCACCCCCCAGCCCCTGGCAGCCACTGTACATTCTATCTCTGTGGTGTTGATTAGTCTTATATCAGCAGAATCATACAGGATCTCTTTTTGAGACTGGCTTTTTTCTCTTAGCATAATGTTATTATGGCTCACCCATGTTGTAGCATATATCAGAATTTTCTCTCTTTTAAAGGCTGAATAATATTCCATTGTGTGAATATACCACATTTGGTTGCGAATGTTTTTGCATCTATGATTTAAAAATTATATTCGAGGTTATTAGAAGGTGATTTTAGGGGTTCTTTAAAAGAAAGGCTAATGTTGGTGTCTGAGAACCAGGCTTCTGGGAGCCAGGAGGCATCTGGCCAGAGCAGTGCAGCCTGCAGCCCAGAGCTCCAGGTCTTTGCGTGACCCACGCACTGGTGCTCATGTTCCTCCAAGAGCCCGAAAGAAGAGCCTGAGTCACTGAGAGATTCCTGGTCATTTGATGACGGCAGCCCTGTGCTGTCTTTCCTCATTGTCAGATGGAAGTCTCTTCTTCTTTCTAGAGTGGCTTAGGCATTTGAGTTTACCATAATGGCCACCTGAGGCTGCAGCTGGTTCTGAAACATCAGTGTGCCACAGAATCAATGGACTGGGAGCTTGTTTAAAGATGCATAGTCCAGGTCCCACCCCCAGATCACAATTTACTAATTTTGGCATGGGAGCTAGGAGTTTGAATTTTAAATAAGCACTCAAGGAAATTCTACTAGTTTTTTGAACCACATTTTGAGAAGTGCTCATAAATGCCCGCAGCTAGGCATCTTTAGAATCCATCTTTTCCATTGAGAGGCAGTGTTGGGCAGTGTTGGGCAGTCAACAAGGTATGGAACTGGGGACAGGCCATCTGATTTATTCTTTGAATTCCTCAGCAGTGCTACTTTCTGCTATTTACTTTACCTTTTTAGGTAATCAGCTCAGTAGAGCTCCCCAGCACCTTAGACATACTAAGTCAGAATTTCTGGGACAATGTATATCCTTTACAACAGCTTCTCTGATGCTTCAGATGCACAGCCAGCTTGGGAACCACTGAACTTGATAATCATCTTTTCTATCTGTCACTAACTACAATTTCGTAACCGTTGTCTCAATCTTAAGCCATTGTTAGAGGTGGGGAACAAGAAATAGCAAGCAGAAAACTCAACAGGGTTAAGGCTTGAAGTCACTCTTCTGGAGCCCTGTATAATGAAACGGGTTATCAAATTATTATGTAACTCAGAAGCAATCTGCATTGAGTTATTTCTTTGCATCTAACAGTTATATCTAGTTTCTCTTGAGTTACTTGTTTTTTCTAGATTAGGTGAGGGTTGCCAACACCTTACTGCTTTTTATAACCTTTCAGGATATTCCTTATTTTTTCTGGACTTGTTGTCCAGCCTCTGCCTGGGTCAGCTTGCTGCTTCTGTTAAGTATCTCTGGAGCCGTTTTTCTTTTGCAAAAGAGCACATCTTTGTTTGGACAGTTCTTGTCCCTAAAGCACTCTACCAGGAGCATCTGCTTAACCCGCCTGGCTTGTGACGACAACTTAACAGAAAGCATGGAGCAAAACTTTGACAGGTCAGAAAACAGTGGCATTCTCTCTGAAATGTGGTTGTGGCTTCCAAAATACTTTCACTAGTCTTTGCTTATAAGAAGAATGCTTTGTTTGGGAAGGATCTCAAACTCTTACTTCCTTGTTCAGTGAGAAAGGGAGGGAGGAGATGGTTTTAGAATATTGATTTCTTAGAGCATTATCTGGCAGAGCTCAGCACTTTCTCCTCCATTCTTCCAAAGGCCCCGATAAACACCTCTAGAATAGCATTTATTAATCAGTGTAGCGTTATTTTCGTTTTTTAAAAACTGTGGTAAGATATATATGTAAAATTTACCATTTTAACAATTTAAAAGTTAAGTAGCATCAGGTGCATTCACATTGTGGTGCAACCATCTGCCACCATCCATCTCCAGAACCTATTATTATCTTCAGATATTTAAAAAAATGTCTGCCTCATTTCTTAAACTGTGAACTCCTTGAAGACAGGAATTCTATTTTATTAATTTTCATATTTGTTCTGTCTAATATAATATCTGACCTGTTATGGGAACTCATTCATGCTTGTGGGATGAAAGAATGAGTGAATAGAGCTTCTTCTAGATGATTGCTGTTATTATCCTTTGTGATGTTCTTTGACTTCTAGTCTCACTCTGCTATATCATCTTGCAACTTAGTAGAAATATCTTTGTATATTTTCATTTTGAGAATATATATGGTTGCTGTATTTGATGAACCTGTGAGCTAATGGAAAACAGGACTTTTGGATTAATGCCCTGGACTTTCTCATTTTGAAAATTAAAAAAAATCTCAGGCAAGAGCTGAATATTCTAGTTTGTTATAAAGTCTAAAATAGACTTATAATTTTGGTGCCATATTATTCTTGTGTCTTTATTCAGCCATTTGATCTGCTAGTGCCAGTCCTTTGGCAGTGTGCATTTTAATTTCTAGGCCCCATATGCAAATTTTCATGAGGAGTTCTTTGTTTTGTTCTTTCTCTACAGAAGCCACCCTAGGAGGACCCCTCCTTTCAAATGTGTCTTCTGTACCCCTCTCTGAAGAGACATGTTTTTGGCATCAGTTAGAAAACTTTGGGGCCAGACTTTAGGATGTTGTGTTCATCAATGAAATGGAGGGTCTGAGTATGTAGCATCATCAGTACATAGGATAGGGACTCAGTGCTATAGATGATCTTAGAGGTCGCCTAGATCCATCTCCCCACTTTATGGAGGAAGAATCTGAGATAAGTGACGTGACCTGGTTAGGCTCACACAGTGTGTTGTGGGAGGGTCAGGACTAGCAACTAGTTTACTCATACTTTCAGTTCTGTAAAATTAAATTATTTAATATGTGCAGCAATTGCTGTTTTATTTATTTATTTATTTTTGAGACAGAGTCTTGCTCTGTCACCCAGGCTGGAGTGCAGTGGTGCTGTCTCAGCTTACTGCAACTTCTGCCTCCCAGGTTCAAGTGATTCTCCTGCCTTAGCCTCCTGAGTAGCTGGGATTTACAGGCATGTGCCACCATGGGCCTGGCTAATTTTTGTATTTTTAGTAGAGACAGGGTTTCACCATGTTGGCCAGGCTGGTCTTGAACTCTTGACCTCAGGTGATCCGCCCGCCCTGGCCTCCCAAAGTGCTGGGATTACAGGCATGAGTCATCATGCCTGGCCAGCAATTGCTGTTTTAATATGGCCTCCTTTTAAGGTTGAATTTAGATGTCAACAGGGCTTGCTGTATGCATTGGTGGAGAAGATACCTACTTCTTTTATATGACTTGTGGATGCCACGGGATCACCTTGTTTGCACGTTGGATTGTTCCCAACGTGTCCCAGATTCTGACCACAGCAGCCATGTGTTTAGATTGAAGATTTGAGTCCAGCATGTAGGTTACTTGGTTCATCTATTTAATATCCATTAATATACTATTAAGGATTAGGCTGCTGTCACCTCACAGCCTCTATAACCTTGGTCATATGAGGCTTACAAAGATTAATTTTTTGTTGTTTGTTTTTGAGACAGAGTCTCGCTGTGTCACCCAGGCTGGAGTGCAGTGGCACAATCTTGGCTTACTGTAACCTCCGCCTCCCAGGTTCAAGCGATTCACCTGCCTCAGCCTCCCGAGTAACTGGGATTACAGGCATCCACCACCACGCCTGGCTAAATTTTTGTATTTTTAGTAGAGACAAGGTTTCGCCACATTGGCCAGGCTGGTCTTGAACTTCTGACCTCAAGTGATCCGCCTGCCTCTGCCTTCCAAAGGGCTGGGATTATAGGCATAAGCCACTGTGCTCAGCCAAGAAGATTAATTTTAAAAATAACTGTTTACCTTTAGGTAGATTCACAGAAAGTTGCGAAGATAGCACAAAGCGGCCCTATATTATCTTAACGCAGTGCACCCAGTGGTTATATCTTATGTTATTATAGTACAATATAAAAAGCAAGAATTTGACGTTTGTGTGGTATGTGTGTATGGTTCTGTATGATGCTTTATTTTCAGTGGCATAGAGGGAGTTTTGGAAAATGATAACTCACTGGGCTCTGACCAGTGGTGGCAGCCCTGGGTGAGGGGGAAGGGGGCACTGAAATGAGTACCAAGTCCCTGGGTGGAGTGAGGAAAGGGAGAAAGAGCAAGAAATGGAGTTATTTTCCCTCAAGGGTAACTTTCCTATTCAGTACAAACCTGTAGCTATGCTGCTGCTTTTGCTCCCTTGCTTGAGATAGGTGCCCAAGAAAGGTGGTCATGTTACATGTCTTTAAAAACCATAGTTCCTTCTACTTTGAGTAGGAACAGAGAGGGTTAAATGGGTGATTTTTGTTTATTGTTTGTTTTTAAAGAGAATATGTTTCTAGTTAGTACTTTTTTTTTTTCAACACCAAGGAAACAAGTTTGTCCCTTGTACTGCATAATGTATTTGTACTGCAGATGGTAACACTGTTTTAGGAGTATGAATGTGCTTGTGATCCCTGGATACCTGGCCACTATTCTGCTAACTGGAGGCTTGTATGGTCTATGTCTTGGTCATTGGTTAGATCCATTATTCCCAAGTCCTGTCACTATGAGTGACTGTCAGGTATAGACCAGCTTCAGTTCTTCAGGTGTTTAGTTCCAGCCTTGATAAGAACCAGAATATTTGTAATCCTTTCTAATGAGAGAAGGGATCCAGGAACAAAACTGTCTCCTGGGGAGGTTCTGATTCCTCCCTCCTCACACTCAGTAGATTATCTTCCTTTCCACTTCACAGAGAACACAGTCATCAGATGGGAATTTCTTTCACTTTTTCTGCCAGATTTGCATGTGTTGCCTGTGCCCATCTCATGCTTATTCTCTTCTTTTTAGAGGAAAGGTCCTATTCTTCACATCTAAGACCAATATCCCGATTTCTGCCTTGGCTTCTTTCTTCCTCTACTTTGTCAGAAAACTTGCAGTGTTGACAGTCTCTTTCTTCTCAGTCTTCAAACTGGATCTCTTTCTGTCTTAGATCTTTTTATAAAATCTAATATGTTTAATTCTTTCTCATTGAAAAAACAAAAAATATAGAGAAGTACTGTACTTTAACTCTACTTCCTCTTCAGTGACTTCACATTCCCATTCTAGCCAGTCTTCTAAAAAAAAATGTCTGATCTCTCTGCCTCCATTTTCCCAACTCACTCCAGTTTGACTGAGATTTCTTTCTACTTGTTTGGATTCTTCTTCTTGGTCACTTTCGTCATTTACTCTCTATTACATATTGGCACATTGCAAGTTTGGTTTTAAGTTTCTTTCATTTCTCACTCTAGGGAAGTTCACCCGAAGGCATGGTTTCAGTTTCCATCTATACACCAATGACTCTCAAATTGGCCTCTCTGAGAGAACCTATACCTCTGAGTTCTAGACCTTTAAAACTATCTACCTTTAAAACTATCAACATCTGTATTTGGATGTTTCAAAGCACCCCAAACTCTTCATGTCCAGTATCATTCTTAACAATCTTTCCCCACCACACCTGGCTCCTCTGCAGCATTTCCTACCTTATTTAATTCTCTATCCATTCGGCTGTGCAGGCTGGTAACCTTAGAGTTCTTGACACCTCATGCTGCCTGACCACCCATATTCAGGCCTTCATCAATTCCCACAGCTTTTTCCCTTAAATAAATATATTTCTTTCTTTCTTTTTTTTTTTTCCTACCCTGAGACAGAGTCTTGCTCTGTCACCCAGGCAATCTCAGCTCACTGCAACCTCCACCTCCCGAGTTCAAGTGATCTTCCTGCCTCCATCTCCCGAGTAGCTGGGAGTACAGGCGTGTGCCACCATGCCCGGCTAATTTTTGTATTTTTTGTAGAGATGGGGTTTCACCATGTTGCCCAGGCTGGTCTCTAACTCCTTAGCTCAAGTGATCTGCCTGCCTCAACCTTAAATATATTTCAAATCCACCTACTTCTCTATTTCCACCTCTCCCTCCTTTGTCCAAGCCACTATTATATTGTTCCTAGATATTACAGTGTCTCTTAATCTCTCTGCATTTGGTTTTTTTCCCCTTTGCAACCAATTATCTACACAGCAGTAAAAATAATCTCAACATTAGCTGGATCATGTTATTCCCCAGCTTAAAACTGTCCAAAGACTTTCCACTGGCCTCAGAACAAAATTCAGATGTTTTACCATGGCCTACACAGGGTCTTACCTGATCTGACTCTGTTTTTCCCATCTCATCTCCAGATTTCATAACTCTCTGTAAATGTTAATTCACAGCTTTTATCATAATTTGTAATACATACTCACATATGTGGTTATTTGATAAATATCCTTCTTTCCACTAGATCAGAAGGTCCATGCGGGGTTGTATTCCCATTACACCTGCCACTCAGGCGCAATGAATATCTCTTGAAGGAATGGATGAATGAATGCATTTGTTGTGTTTGGGCCTCAGCCCTGGTAATTCTGATTCAGTAGCTCTGGGGTAGGAACTGGACACCTCTATTTATTAAACCCACCACAGCTGATTCTGATGCTGAGTTTGGGTTGAACCCCATAGAGAAATATGTTGCAACTACAGTTTAGACCACAGGTGTTTAGACTCTAAACAGGAAAGGGAAGGAAAGGATGATGTAAATGTTAATAAACATTTTCTCTCATTTTGCAAACCCTATTGACTCTGTCATTCCTCTAAGTAGGACAGTGTACATCAGCTGACACTTTTACAGGATGATATTTCCATTGTGATTTCTTTTTTATTTTTAAGCTCTCCCAATTTTATGGTAAAAATAAAAGAGGGGAAAAATAGGGTATTACATGATTGCTATTACGTAGGCAATAGGTTTAGGCATAGTCAGGTTAGTAGGGATCGGAATAAAGCTAAAAATATGAAGCTTTTGTGTTGTATGCGAGGGTGGGAAGAAACACCAGTCAGTACACATCTAAAGGTGACAAGACACAGACCTGGCTTTCAAGGAGCTTACAATCAGAAAAGCTTCGTGTAACAAATGCAAAGAGCATTAGATTAGGAGTCCTAAGACCTGGGTACTGTGCTCTAGTTAAGTGATGGTGGGCATGGCATTTCAGCTGTGGGTCTCCGTTTCCTCAGCTGTAAAATAAGGGGTTTGGATCAAGGGATTTTTAAGGATCTTCACAACTTTACAAGTCCAAGATAGGGCTGGAGGGGACTGTAGGATTTGGATGGGAAGTGGTGGGCTCTGAGCTGGCTGACAGGGCTGTGGGGCTGGGAGCAGGCACTGGCTGGCATGGAGGGCTTGTAGAGAGTAGTAGTTGAAGAGAAAGGTGGGGAAGTTTGTGGGCCGAGCTGTGGAGGATATTGGCTATCAGGCTGAAATTTTGTATTTCATTTTGTAGACAACAGGCAGCTCTAAAAACTTTTGTGTATTTTACTTTGAATTTCAATCAGTGATGCAAATTTCAATATAGGACTTCTGAGGACAAAGGAAACAAAATGTGTGTGAATGGGTCTCTCAAATTATAAAAGTTATAGGATCATACCTTCATAATTTTCCTCTGGTTATAAAAGTAATGCATGAGTAAGGTAAAAACATCCAAACATGATAGTGTAGAAAGTATGACACCCTTATGGTAAACTTCCAAACAAACAAAAATCATCAGTATGTGTTGTCTTCTTATTGCTTTAGTAGAAAGTTTCTATGTAAAAGTATGACATGATTAAAGTTGTATTTTAGGAAGATCACTTTGGTGGCAGCATGTAGGGTGATTAGAGGGAGAGAAACTAAAGTCCAGGAGACTACCAGGGGGTTAGTATTATTGTTTAACAAATATACGAATACCTTCAATGTTAGCTTATAATCGAATACCTTCAGTGTTAGTAAGTTCAAAGGTAATGGGGGACTGCGGTAAGAGAGCAGAAAAAATTAAAGAGGAATGGATGAATTCAAGAGACACTTAAAGGCAGAATCATTAGGATTAGTGACTGGATTTCGATTGGAGCAGAGAAGAAAGAGGAGCAAAAGGTACCTGGGAATTTCAAGTTGGGTCTTTGGGAGAATCACCCATATCAGTTCTAGGGAAGTTAGGGATGGAAGCTCAGTTTGGGTGAGTGGTATGAGCTAGATGTATTTGGACTGAGCCATCAGAAATCACATTTAGGAGCAAAGCAGAGAAGCCATCCAAAGCAATAGAGAAAGAACAGCCAGTTTTGGGAAGAGAAAAGCAAGCAAGTTCAGGCACAGAGCAGAGGGCAAGAGATTCAGAGAGAGTGGCTTTCCAGGTGCTGCAGAGGCCTCAAAGGGAGTGAGGCCTGAGAAAGGTGACAGGCGGTTAGAGGAAAGCAACCTGGCATACCGAGCATCTTCTGGGGTCAGTGAAATGGGAGAGGCAGAATCGAGATTTCAAGAGCAATAAAGCGCATAAATAGCTATACATAACATAGCTATGTAATGTAGGGTAATGTATATAATAGTCTACAACTTCTGTTCCTAAGAAGGAGAGAATTAATATGATTATCTGGTGGAGGCAGCAGCAATATAATTTCATTTATGTTATGGTATTCCTATTCTTACTTAACATATTCATGCCCAGTTATTTATGTGTAACTGTGAGGTTGAACATTTATTACTTGACAGGTGAAGTAAAAAAGCACATTATTTTTGTGCCATTTTGTCCTGTTCTTTGGGACGAATTCTTCCCTACTCCTTGGATAAAATGTAGGGAAAATCTCATCATTTTTATGGTTACTCTTTGGTAACAAAAGGTCCTGTCATGTTCGGTTACTTTCATATACACAGTCTACATTCAGTAATTAATATGTCCAGTCTAATAAAATAAAATGCTCCCTTCTCCAGCTCGGGTCTTCTTTGGTCTGGATGCCTGCCTCCAACTCACTAGGCTGCCTTTGACTCCTCCAGACTGAATTGGGTGGAGGAAAGAGAAGTGAGGGGTAACAAAATTCTCATCTGATGTATAAGGATGAGTCATGTGAACTTGCTAATATTTGTCCTGCAAAAATGTCAATTTAATATGGTTCAATGTAATACTGTTGTCATCTGCATGAGACCTGTCTGGGCTAAGACGGCATTTAAAACTACATTTTTCCTTTTTAGAACTCCTTTCTGTATTCCTAGGAGGACCCTTAAGATTGTGGGGAGGTCTTTCATCCAAAGTACCCTGGATGCTTTTGAATCTGTCTCCTCCAAATGGCAGCTCATAACTCCATCTTTAGCTGCTGGGCATCTAGATCACACACCTCAGCTTCCCTCTTCTGAGGGCTTGCCTTATTCCTACTAAGGCTGTTTTGATCAGGATAGAAAACAGTTCCATGCTGACTTGCTCTTTTGGCATATCTAGTTGAGGGAAAATGCTCATGCTTTCTCTGATCCTGAACATTCAGGAGATGCAGACCACTCCTAGCATAGCACACTCTTAGCTCCACTGCCAGCACAAATATTATACCCTTTAGAGTTTTCAGGTGTGTCAACAGCCTGCTCACTGACAGCTTGAGGATGCTCCCAGGGACACATACCTAGTTGTCTGCATTGTCTATGGAAGCCCGTTTCCCTAGGCTTGAAATGAGGGCCAAGCAACTCTACCTGATGCCCCAGGGTGGGGTGAGTGCCACTCCTAGCTCATCGAAAGCTCTCTCCTGAAATTCCCTTCTAGTTTTATTTTTATCTTGACCTTTCCACCTTGGTGATGGGTTAAGAGTTACAAAACCAGTTTTTGGAAACCTCCTTTACAGGTCCTGCATCCTTCACCTGTGGAAGGTGGACATAGTTGACATCTATTGTCTTGGGGGCTAAACGCAAAACTGAGTCTGAAATAGTTCCCTTTTAACCTCCCGTTATGTGCAGATTTAACAAATTCAGTGCCTTTCTTAAAGTAAAAGGTACATCCAGACACTGGAGAGTAGTGCTAAAACAAACTATTAGGGAATTGAAATGACCATAAAAGAACATAATGAACAAACAGAAATAATCCAACCAGCACCTTAGTTTTGATTCTGGCATTGCTTTTTACTCCAGAAGCAAGAGTTGAAAGAAACTGACCTGCATTTTAAAATATATTTTTTAATGGTCATGTAATATGCTATATTTCTTCAAATCTGTTAAAAATAGAAACTCAAGAGTTGGATGGCATCATGGTTAGGGAAGAAAAATTCTGTAACTGGAATAGATGGTTGTAGTAATTCACATGTCTCAATTTGTATTCTAGTCATAACATACTTCTTAAAAGGGTGGTAAAAATAATGTGTTTTCTCTTTCCCACTTCATTTGTCTAATTTCTGTAACATACACCCTCACAATGAATTATTGACTCAGGGACAAGAGGTAGAGAAATTACAGAGGTTGCTAAGAATACCTGCTGACTCTTATTTTCTACTTCTGCTTTAGAAGTTGTTTAGAAAATCTAATCAAGGCCGTCTTACATCCAGTAGAAACAGAGAGTTTCTACTGGATGTGCTTTGGAGCAGGTTTTTAAGAGAGAGCTTTCCCCATGGAAGAGTGACCATATTGGGGAAAGAAGAGCTCAGGAGACATGAGTTATGCTTCTCTTGCCTGGGGAGGTGTTTGCTTAAAAGACATGCTGCCCAAGTATTTAAGCCTTCAGGTTAGGGTCTTTTTTCCAGTTGTTGGCAGAGTGAATGAGCATGAACTGTATTTGATGAACTACAGTTAACACAAATACTCATTTTGAAGCAGATAAAATTATTTTGAAAGTGAAGGAAAATTGTTTCATAAGAGAAACTTGTACTTCCTACGAAAAGACTGTGTTTTTTTGCTCCATGTTTTTAGTAAAGTTTAGTCAAATTTAGTTTAGTTCACCTAGAACGAACACTGAACAATTTGGAAATACATTTTATTCCTTTTTTTAAACTAGAGGTTAGCAAACCCTGGCAGAAAAACCAAATGTAGCCTGACACCTGTTTTTGTGAATAAAGATTTATTGGAACATAGTCGTGCTCGTTTGTTTACAAATTGTGTCTGGCTACATTTGCATTGCAACAGCATTGTTAAGTAGTTGGGACAGAGACCATATGGCCTGCAAAGCCTAAAATATTTACTATCCCACTCTTTACAGGAAAAGTTTGCAGATCCCTGTTCTAGATTAATGAAAGTACTCAGTATCAGTGTTTTTGTGGTTATATATGGCATAAATGGCTATTAATTCTCTGAATTATTATTAATTTTAAATATTTCAGTATCTTTTGTACTTGATTATATATCTCATTAAAATAATTGAATTAATTCTGAAAATTGGTATGGTCTGTTTGCCTAATGGACAATACACTGGACATTACAAAACTAATTTCTGCTTTTCAAATCCCTTGGACAGTAAAATAATTTATTTCTTGATTTGCATTTTACCACATATGAGCACCTTGGGAAGACATTGTGTAGTAGAAAGCATACTGTCAGCACCCACTTCCAAAATGTTTTCTAGATTTATTGGAACAATTTAAAATGTCAGTGAAAAGAAGTACTTTTCTTCCTTTGTGTTCTTCATTTTTCTATGATGGCTGGATGCATTCACTCCTTGGGGCATTCATGTTCCTTCCTTAAAGGGCAGAGTTAAGGTTACTCTGTGGGTCATTTGCCTCTTCAGGGTTGTTTGATCCTTCTCAAGAGAAGATTATTTTAATGTATTGCAGGAGATGCTGCCTGATAACTGAGGCTGATCTGTTGAGCACTGTAGGAACCAGACTGGGGACAAGAATTGACTCATTTATTCATTTATACTTATGTTTATTCAACAAACGTTGAAGGCATGCTTTACTAGGTTCTGTGCTCTCAAGGATTTCATAGTCTCTTACAGGAGATGGACACAAAGCAAATGATTATCATATACTGTGTTAGGCAAGATGATTGAGTTATAGTCAGGATATTATAGGAGAGAAGGGGCATCTAATCCACCATGGGGAGAGGGCAATCAAGAAAAGCTATTTGAAAGAGGCTAAATCCAGATCAATAAATCCAGGACATTCTGTCAGAAATTCAGATGGAGATGTCTGGCAGGTGGATTTGAGTCTCAATCTGGGATAGAGATAAGGATTTAGGTGTCTTTATTCTAGGAATGGCAGTTAAAACCCTGAGAGCTGATGAGAGCCTGAAGAGTGGGAAGAGGGCTCAGCATGGGAAAGGCCAACATTTAAGGATCAGAAAGAGATGCATAAAGGAAACAAGGAAGGGGTCAGAGAGATAATTAGGAATACCAAGAGAACAAAAGACAATGGTGTTTAGAGACTGAGTGAGGGGAAGGAGACGGTCAATGGAAAGATGGAAAATCCAGGATTGATCAGGGACTGGCAATGTAGGAGGCAGAGGGGAGATGGAATTCATTTCAAATATTCTAATGTAAACTACTTATGTGTTAAACAAATGATGACCTAAAACTTAGTTTCAGGCTGTTGTTTAAAGTAGGCTCAAATAAGTAAGTTGATTTCCTATATTTGTAAAAGCTAATAATTTTTATTTAATCAAACACACATTTATTGAGCACTTATTTTGTACTAGGTGCTATAACAGGTTGGCACCCTAAGGGATAAACTATGCGGGATATAAAAATGATCAAAAAGTGAAGTAGTAATATTTAAGCTAAGCCCTGGAAAATGGGGAGGGATGGAAGTACATATAAGTCAAGAATAGGCAAGAGTTAGAGCAAAAACACAGTGCATGAAACCCCAGGACACTGTCAGTCTTGAATTATTGTTCTTGACTATGTCTGTCTCCACCACTAGACTCTCTAATGCTGAGGACTGTGATTTATAGAGCCTCACATGGTGTTTTGCATGTTGTATTTACTCAATTAATGTTTGCTATATGAATGAAACTTGAGAAACAGAAACATCATAATTGTTACTTATTCCATAGTCTTGTCTGTGCTGGCCTCAGTAATAAAGCAAAAACTAACTTAAAGACTAGCATTCTTATGTTCATTAGTAAAACAGGTAATAGATAAATTACCTTCTTGATTTGACTTTTGAGAATGACGTGTTAGAACTTATAAATGAATCAAATACGTGTAATTTATAATGTTACTATATGATATGAAAACAATTTGAGATAGAAGTCATAAATATGAAGTTTCTTAAGACTTTGATCAAAACAACAAAATTTCTTTGAGATTTTCTTTTTTTAAAACTTTTATTTTTCAACAACAGCTAACCAAAGATGGGATCTTCTTTACATGACAATGTTGAAGCCAATTGATACACAATTTATTTGTTAGCGTGTTAGTGGTTCTATTTGTTTTATATTTTGAAGTGAACTATGGCCTTCTTTTAGGACTGAAAAATAACTTCGTGGTGTACAGATATTTTAGATTAACCAAGGGTACTTGTTAACAAAAGCTATTATTTTATAGCTGCATCTCCGTGTTTGATTTGATAAATTTGGGAATTAAATTTACAATGCAAATTTCATTAGTGGAATTACATAGCCAATTTGGAGAGGTTCTATTTAATGTGCTACCTTGATTTAGAATGAGCGATTTAGAAATATGAAGAGTTGACTGGGCATGGTGTCTCATGCCTGTAATCCTAGGACTTTGGGAGGCTGAGGTGTGATTGCTTGAGCTCAGGAGTTTGAGACCAGCCTGGGCAACATGGCAAAATCCTGTTCTACTTAAAAAAAAAAAAAATTAGCTGGGCATAGTGACTTGCCCCTGTGGTCCCAGCTAGTTGGTGGGCTGAGGCAGGAGAATCGCTTGAGTCCAGGAGGTTGAGGCTTCAGTGAGCTGTGTTTGTGCCACTATACTCCAGCCTGGGTGACAAAGTGAGACCCTGTCTGAAAAAACAAAAACAAAAACAAAAGCAACAAAAAAAGGAGAAATATGAAGAGTTAGATAAATGATACGATAATAGCCCACGTTTTCTTGTTGATTGTGGAAAAGGAAATAATTAACAGTATCTATTATAACCACATAGGATGTATTGATTTAAGAATTACAGTAGAAAATAATTCAAGGAATTGGAAAAGTGAGGCATGTTGTTCTATGAAGATTTTGCATCCTTAATTATTTATAAGTATTTGAGTTATGTGTAACTTCATTTTCTCCATTAATTTTTGATAATGATATCCAAAACAAATCTGCAGTTATTTGTTAGTTTGACCTGTGTTATCTTTGCTTCATAAATTCCTCAATTATCTAGTTTAATCTAGTTCTTATTTCACAAATGATGGAAGTCAGATTAAGCAGTTTGTTTAAATGACCCGCAATGAATTATAGAGATAGGTCACCATTTTATGCTAACGGGTTGGCAAGAAAAATTCATGAAATTTTACAGGCTTCATGTTGCAGTTGTCTACAAATACACTTCCATAAATGAAAATAAACAAGTTTGTTCATTGCATCATTATAAATGTAATTTAAAAATTAATTTTCTAAATTGTTTTATGCAAGTAAGTAAGCAAGCAAAATAAATAAGAACTCATATACTTTCCTGTCTTTTTTTTCTCCCCTGCCCAATAGGACCAGACATACTATCAATCATTTCAGGTTTCAGAATATGGTAAGAGTTCCTCAATCTATTTTGGAAGAAAAAAACATTTGTTACTTTCAGCAGAGATTAGAGAAATTTTTAAGAGATGTATTATTTGAAGTAAAAATCTCAATGGAGTTAAAATTCTGGTGTTTTTTAAAGGCCTAACCATATTTTTTTTCCTTTGTAAAAATTCTAAAATCTCATTATACAGAAAAAAGTAGAAAAAAATCACCTATAGTTGCATTGTGCTAGTCTTTTTCTTATCCACAACATGATTTTTCTATTTTTCTACTTTGTTGTGATAAAAAAATATTTAAAGTGTTGCACTTAAAAATACTTAACAAATTCTCTTCCATATTTTTCATTTGATTGACATTGGTAAAGATGGTCTGTTTCTCAGGTAAATCCTCTTCTTGCAGGTGCCATACTTACAATATCTGTTAGAAACCCATAGATAAAAACAGTGGGACCCATCTATTTTGTTGGTGAATGGAGAGGAATGAGAGATGAGACTGAAAGCATAGGATCTTAGTATTAGTTATAATTTGAATAGTTATTTTGAGGTTGCACATGCAGTTTTTCATTTGATTTGAGCTTCTTTTTTGAGATTGGGTTTTATTTAGGCAGTAGAAATTATAATATACAGGTAGTAATACCTCAGGCTCTGTGGGCCATATGTCTCTGTTGTTACTACTCAATTTTGCCGTGGTAGCATGAGAGCAGCCAAAGATAATATGTACATGAATGTTGCTGTGGTTCAATAAACTTTATTTTATGGGCATGAAAATTTGAATTTCATATAATTTTCATATGTCATGAAATATTCTTCTTCTTTTGATTTTTTTCAACCAGTTAAAAATTGTAAAAAATGTTCTTGGTTCATGCTGGTCATAGTTTGCTGAACTCTGATCTGTAACTGTGCTCTCCAGTAGCGGGGCCACTTGCCATGTGTGGCTGTTGAGCACTTCAAATGTGGCTAGTCCAGATGGAGACAGCAGATGTCAAAGACTTAGTACAAGAAAAATGAAAGAAAGAAAAATAGTTCATTAATAACCATTTTTAAATTTTTATTATTTGTTGAAAAGATACTATTTTAGATATATAGGGTTAAGTAAAATATAAAAATTAATTTCACCTGCTTATTTTTACTTTAAAAATTTGACTACTAGAAATGAAAAATTACACATATGGCTCCCATTTTATGTCTTTTAGACAGCCCTGATCTAGAAGAATAAGTCATAGGGGACCAACATTTTTATAGGCTATCTTTATATCCCATTGTGATGGTATGCTGGGTGGTTGTATGTTGTTGAATGAGGTATAGTGGAGGTGGGGAATTGATTGCAAACCTATGATGTTTGAGGAAGAGGCATTTGGATTTTCTTGGTGGTGGGGGTTGCGGGGGCGGGGTCATAGTTGACTCACGTGACTTTTTGGTCTCCCTGTCCTAGACTGATCTAGAGTCTAGGAGTGTCTTGGTACATTCAGGGCCATTAGCCTTGATTGGAGCTGAAGGTCTGCCCTATATTGTTGACTATTTGGCTTTTTTGATACTTCTCTTATGTTAATTGAATGGTGAGGTGCCTTGTTATGAGAGTGGCCTGTTTCTTTGGTCAGAGAACTATAGAAAAAAAGTTTTATCGACTGTAAAGAAACACACATTTTTTACTCTGGTGGAGTGCTTTATATCAATTATAGTATTAGTACTTATAAAATAGTTTATACCTTAATTATTATTATTATTTTTCGAGACGGAGTCTCACTGTGTCACTCAGGCTGGAGTGCAGTGGCATGATCTCGGGTCACTGCAACCACTGCCTCCTGGGTTCAAGCGATTCTCCTGCCTCAGCCTCCTGAGTAGCTGGGATTACAGGCATGCACCACCATGCCCAACAATTTTTGTATTTTTAGTAGAGATAGGATTCACCATGCTGGCCAGGCTGGTCTTGAACTCCTGACCTCAGGTGATCCACCTGCCTCTGCCTCCCGAGTTCTAGAATTACAGGCGTGAGCCACTACTCCCAGCCTCATACCTTAATTATATAAAGCTGACCAAATTAGGGATTTCTAGTTTTGGGTGAAACAAAGGGCTTTTCATCTGTCTTAATATGTATTTGGATTCTAATAAATTTAAGTTCAAATAGTACAAATTATTAACTCCTTCACAACAATTTTATTTTTCATTTTATTCAGTGGAAGATGATAGTGAAGTAGATTCTTTAAAAGATTTACCCTTGCTTCTTCGTCTCAAAAAGAAAAAAAGATTTACCCTTGCTTTTCTTTTCCAGTATTACCAAAATTTGAAGTGACTTTGCAGACACCATTATATTGTTCTATGAATTCTAAGCATTTAAATGGTACCATCACGGCAAAGTAAGTGTCATTTTTCTTTTGATATGACTCAAAACCATTATAAAACTGTGTGACCAAAAGCTGATTGTATACTTCAGAATATTAGGGCAATTTTTGCTTATTAAAATACCTTAGTGGACAGTAAATGACTATTTATAATAAATAATTAAGCATGGGACAGAGCTCCACATTTCACTGCATCTATCACTCTGCTTGCAAGCCGACCCAGTCTTAAAATATTTCCCATATTTCTTAGACTTATTAAGGGATTTATATTATAGATAGCACTGTTTTTTTTTCAGATGACATGGACTTGAAGCCACCACGCCTGGCTAATTTTTTTTCCTTTATAGAGATGGGGTCTTGCCATTTTCTCCAGGCTGGTCTTGAACTCCTGGCCTCACATGATACTCCTGCCTTGGTCTCCTAAAGTGCTGAGACTACAGGCATGTTCCACCACTCCTGGGCTGATTTGCTTTTTAAAAATTAGTCAAGCTTTTATTTTCTGAGTGATTAACTTATCCCAAATGCTTCCCGGTTCTATTTGGGACAATAATTGTATCTTTGTTTCACAATTATTATAACCAGCTTGGTGTTTGGAAAACTAAATCTGCTTCACATTAAAGTCAAAATTAAAAATTTTTATGTCTGAGAGTACTTTAAATTATATTTGGATTTTAAAGATCCTTTTACTACCATGTGATATAACTCTGTTAAAATACAATATCCTGGCATTCTAGTTTTGCTTTTATTTAATCTTTAGCACGATACAAGTAGAGTCAGGTTTCGAAGACTCTTGAATGAGTGAATTTGATGCTCAGGTTGCTAACCAGGGTTTCCACTGACTTTACTGTTTTTGTTTGGAAGTGTGGTGCATTTGAACTTGGATTTTTTTTTTTTTCTTCTTAGTTTGGAATATGCTATATTTTAAGATTTGCTTTTGAGTTGAGTTGATCCAGATGAGGGGCTGTTTCTGTGTTCAGTTAATGGATTCAGGAAGCCGCCGTTTACTGCTGTGATTTATAGACTGCAAAGCAAAATTGACTTCCATGTCTGGCTCAGCATTTCACAATAGAGATAGAAGCAACCCAGGAAATGTACTTAAAAAAGGCTTTCTGGGCCGGGCGCAGTGGCTCACGCCTGTAATCCCAGCACTTTGGGAGGCCGAGGCGGGCGGGTCACAAGGTCAGGAGATCGAGACCATCTTGGCTAACACGGTGAAACCCCGTCTCTACTGAAAATACAAAAAATTAGCCGGGCGCGGTGGCGGGCGCCTGTAGTCCCAGCTACTCGGGAGGCTGAGGCAGGAGAATGGCGTGAACCTGGGAGGCGGAGCTTGCAGTGAGCCGAGATTGTGCCACTGCAGTCCGGCCTGGGCTAAAGAGCGGGACCCCGTCTCAAAAAAAAAAAAAAAAAAAAAAAAAAAAAAGCCTTTCTGGCAGTAAAATGTATTGCCTCTTCTTCACATGAAGAGACTTTCCTATAATGAGAGAGGATAAAATTAATACATAGAAAGAAAAGTAGCAGAGAATATTTGACTTACGAAGCTAAGTTTGGGCCAGGTGAGGTGGCTCGTGCCTATAATCCCAGCACTTTGGGGGGCCAAACTGGGTGGATCACTTGAGGTCAGGAGTTTGAGACCAGCCTGGCCAATATGGTGAAACTCCATTTCTACTGAAAATACAAAAATTAGCTGGGTGTAGTGGCAGACGCCTATAATCCCAGCTATTCGGGAGGCTGAAGCAGAGAATTGATTGAACCTGGGAGGCAGAGGTTGCAGTGACCCTAGATCGCACCACTGCACTCCAGCCTGGGTGACAGAGCGAGACTCTGTCTCAAAAAATAAAATAAAATAAAATTCGCTGGACGTGGTGGTGTGCGCTTGTCATCCCAGCTACTCAGGAGGCTGAGGCAGGAGAATCTCTTGAACCCCTGAGGTGGAGGTTGCAGTGAGCCGAGATCATGCCACTGCATCCAGCCTGGGTGACAGAGTGAGACTGTGTCTAAACACACACACACACACACACACACACACACACACACACACACACACACACACACACAAACCCAGAAACTAAGTTTGGTACTACAGATTTTAAAAATTATTCTTATTTTAAATTTTTTGGCAAAAAATCAATTTTTGACAGCCATGAGCACATTTGGTGCTTCAGAATCTATGGTGTAATAAACCTTCCTCGCTAATATTGGAACATGTAGCAATAGACCATGGTGATTGCACTATCAGCTGACATTTAAAAATCTTCTAAAGCTGCGAAGTTTCGTGGGCATTCAGTTAATGGGCCAGTCCAGATTTCTAGGAGTGAAAGATTTATGTAATCTTTAAAAAATCTTTGGACAGGAAACTGTCACTTCCAATTATGATCAGGTATTTTCTGGAGTCTTTCAGATGGTCAGAGGTTGGGCAGAGTGTGTGTTAAGAACTGTTTTAAGCTACTATAGTTAAAAGTCTTCCCATTTTGGAAACTTAATTTCAAGGATCACCATTTATTTTTTATTTATTTATTTATTTTTTGAGTTGGAGTCTCACTCTGTTGCCCAGGCTGGAGTGCAGTGGCACGATCTTGGCTCACTGCAGCCTCCACCTCCTGGGTTCAAACAGTTCTCTGCCTCAGCCTCCAAGTAGCTGGGATTACAGGCACCCACCACCACGCCTGGCTAATTTTTTTGCATTTTTAGTAGAGATGGGGTTTCACCATCTTGGCCAGGCTGGTCTTGAACTCCTGACCTCGTGATCCACCAGCCTCGGCCTCCCAAAGTGCTGGGATTACAGGCATGAGCCACCGTGCCCATCCAGGATCACCGTTTATTAAAGACATTTTTGTTGGGTTTAGTTTAAAAAATTATAGTAGGAGTATGTTTTTAATGTAACTTTTTTCTTTTTAAAATTTTCTCTTTTTAGTGTTTTGCCATCCCATAATGTATTTTTTTTTAATTTATTTATTTTGAGACAGAGTCTTGCTGTCTTGCTGTGTTGTCCAGGCTGGAGTGCAGTGATGCGATCTCGGCTCACTGCAACCTCCACTTCCTGGGTTCAAGCAGTTCTCCTGCCTCAGCCTCCAAAGTAGCTGGGAGTACAGGTGCCTGCCACCATGCCCAGCTGATTTTTGTATTTTTAGTAGAGACAGGGTTTCACTATGTTGGCCAGGCTGGTCTTGCACTCCTGACCTCGTGATCCACCCGCCTCGGCCTCCCAAAGTGCTGGGATTACAGGCGTGAGCCACCGCTCCCAGCCCAATGTAATTTTTTAAAATGTTAGATTGCTAATTGCTAATGTATGCTATTGAAAGTAGTATTTTTATTGTGTTCTGACAATATCAAGTTGATACATAAAAAGACTATGTTTATAATTATTCAGGTATACATATGGGAAGCCAGTGAAAGGAGACGTAACGCTTACATTTTTACCTTTATCCTTTTGGGGAAAGAAGAAAAATATTACAAAAACATTTAAGGTAACTTTTGCAGACACTTTATAACTTGTGATGGGTAAAATATGTGTATTTTTCTAGAAATAAGATTTAGTACTGAATTAACAAAAAGTTAAGTGTAAGAAAATCAAGAGCTTTCCAGCATTGAACAAATGAGAATTTATGCAATTATAGCGATTAAAATGGTACCAGAGCTATCATATTGTTGTGACTTAGTTTGAGTTTTATTTCTAAAATTTGAATTGCTAAAATGGTAAATAATACTGAACTTTTAAACAAAACAGATAAATGGATCTGCAAACTTCTCTTTTAATGATGAAGAGATGAAAAATGTAATGGATTCTTCAAATGGACTTTCTGAATACCTGGATCTATCTTCCCCTGGACCAGTAGAAATTTTAACCACAGTGACAGAATCAGTTACAGGTTTGTAGACTTTAAAGTGGAGGTAAAACTATTCATGTGACACTGCTTTATCATCTTTCTTATTATAACTGGCACTTTCATTTGGGAGCATCATTGACTTTCTAAAGATGCTATTTAATGTTGAAATTGTTATGACTGTTAGTCTAAGTTGCAGGATGATTTTATAAGGGGGACCTTATTTTCTATGAAAGTCACTACTTCAACCACATGTGATAGCTCTTCTTAATTTTTTTTTCCATTTCTACTCTTTCCCCCTGAAAACTACATGGAAAGGCTTACATTTTCAGCTGGTAACCTTCTTCTTTTTAAAATCACTGAAATCTCAGCTGTTCCTAGACAGTTTTCACTTTTAATAAGAAAATAAAGTTGAGTTTCTTGGACCTTTCTGTTACTATTTCAACAACTTTAGCCAATCCCTGAAAGAGCAAAAGACTATTCTTTCATTGGCCTTAATTTGCTGCTGTTGTACATGTCACTGCGGTAGAATGGCAGCAATGGTGCTTAGAGGGGATCCATAGAGAACATAATAGAACTGTGTGGTGCTTGTAGTGTCAAAGTCAATATGGGAATGAGGCTTATGTGCCCTGATATTTTTAACCCTTTTTGCAATAGGTTAGATGGAGAGATTTGGTGGATAGAAGCTTTGGGTGAAACATTACTTTTGCTTTCTAAATTGTGCAATTTCCAAAAAAGGTATTTCAAGAAATGTAAGCACTAATGTGTTCTTCAAGCAACATGATTACATCATTGAGTTTTTTGATTATACTACTGTCTTGAAGCCATCTCTCAACTTCACAGCCACTGTAAGTTGGTATATTTATTTCCAGTCCATAGCAGTAAGTTCAGCTTAATGAAATAGAATGGGAAATAATATTTTCAATGCTTTTCTAAAAATTTAAGCCAAAAAGTATATAACTTTGTCTCTTTAGACATGTGGGGCATGTAGATTTGTTTCCAAATGACCTTTGTCTATTTTTTCTAAAAAAGTAGTTTTCAACAACAGTAAAAATATTTTTTGAAAATGTATTTTTTTTTACAAGCAATTTAAGTTAGATGTGGATTGCTACACTGAAGCTTTTATTAATTAATTGAAATAATTACATGGTAGTCAAAAATTTCAATTTCAATTTGGTTTTTATAATGATTAATTGTAGTTCTAACAAAGATGTTACATTAAAAAATTATCAACAAATCTCATTTTTTGGAGATAATGTTGAATTAACACATTAATTGTGTGAATGTTGACAATGAGCAAGGCATGGTGTTGGGCAGGGCTATAGAGCCAAGAAGGGCTCAGTCCCTACCCTCAGGTTCACAGTTTTTGTGATGGTGACAGGAAAATATATACTTAACTATAACTCATGGCAGATTAAGATTAGTGTTACAAATTAATTTCTGTAGGGATTTAAAGCAGGGGTTGCCAAACTTTTTCTGCAAAGGGCTAGAGAGTAAATATTTTCAGCTTTGTGGCCATGTGGTCTTTGTCACAGCTACTCAGCCCTGCCATTGTAGTGTGAAAGCAGCCATAGCCAATTTATAAATAAGTGAGAGTGGAATGTGTTCCAGTAAAACTTTGTTTACAAACATACTGGATTGGCCTATCAGCTTGCAGTAGTTGGCTGATCTCTGATTTAAAGAAAGGAGGAGTCAGGCCTGGCGTGGTGGCTCATGCCTGTAATCCCAGCACTTTGGGAGGCCGAGGCAGGCGGATCACCTGAGGTTAGGAGTTCGAGACCAGCCTGACCAACATGGAGAAACCCCATCTCCACTAAAAACACAAAAAATTAGGCGGGCGTGGTGGCACATGCCTGTAATTCCAACTACTCGGGAGGCTGAGGCAGAAGAATCGCTTGAACCCGGGAGGCGGAGGTTGTGGTGAGTGGAGATTGCGCCATTGCACTCCAGCCTGGGCAACAAAAGTGGAACTCCATTTCAAAAAAAAAAAAAAAAACAACTAAAACGACAAAGAAAGAATGGAGGGGTCACTTGTTGAATGGGTCGGTAGACGTTTCAGGTAGTTTCTGATTTCAATGATCTTAATTTAGGCAGTTTGAAAAGGTCAGTTTAAAAAATTGAGGCTGCAAATGGTAATTTCTGAATGAGTAGAGTGAAACCATGGGCGTTCAGAGGGGGAGAGTTGGCTGTGGGATAGGCATGGGGGTTACTATGGGATGCTTTATGGAAGAGGATGGTCTAAACTGTTTTTTAAAAGATTAGTTGTGTTTTAAATGCTTGGGCATGGGAGTGGGAGGTGGGGAGCAAGATAAGAAGTGAGACAAGAAGGAGAGGTCTGGCTGGCAATTTCGGGGTGCACTCAGGTAGTGTTTGAGGGAGACTGCTCAGGCTGTGTGCAGGAGGATGGCTGTAGCCCAGGAGTGAGGGGATGGGCAGCCTTGTGGTGGTAGCTGTGGGAGTGGAGAGGATGGAAGAGAGAAGCATAGGACTTTGGTGTTCATTGGATTTGGGGGGTGGGGAGAGGGAGGGAAAATTCAGAAATGTAAAGTCTTGCAAAATCCTGATGTTAGCGAAAATAGGAAAATGACATGGTTGCTCATTTTAGATATGTGAATTCAAGGTGTCCAGGATATCCAAGTAGAAATTTCCTGCAGGTAACTGGAGGTGTTGGGCATGAACTCCAGAGAAGGGCAAGGATGGGAATTTTGGCTTTAGGGTACAATCACAGAGATGACAAGCTAAGCAATAGGATTGCTGAGACCTTGGAGGAAGGGAGAAGAACAGATGTCCAAAATTCCCACATTTAGGGAGAGGAAAGAGGAACTGAAAAGGACACTGAGAGGATGCAGAAAGAGAGGTAGGAAGTGAAGGGGGTTATTTTGGAGCCGCGGAAGTTAAGGGAATCCATAATATTAACAAGGGAGTAATCAGTGATGTTGGATGCCTCCTAGAGAGAGGCCACTGAATCTGGATATTATAGTGCTACCAATAATTTTTGAGAGTTCAATTTCATGAGAATACTACAGACGGAAACTGTATTTAATCGTACTTAAATCCTTTGTGTTTTTAAGATGTTTTGTTTTGACCATTAGGTGAAGGTAACTCGTGCTGATGGCAACCAACTGACTCTTGAAGAAAGAAGAAATAATGTAGTCATAACAGTGACACAGAGAAACTATACTGAGTACTGGAGCGGATCTAACAGTGGAAATCAGAAAATGGAAGCTGTTCAGAAAATAAATTATACTGTCCCCCAAAGTGGAACTTTTAAGATTGAATTCCCAATCCTGGAGGATTCCAGTGAGCTACAGTTGAAGGTGCCGTCTGTTTCCCATCATTGTGTCACTGCAACAACACCATTACAGTTGTAATCTTGTGGTAGGCACTCAACCTGTCAGAACTGAAAGTACATAGGAAGTGGACACATGTTTCTGTTTCACAAAATGGAGGAGAGTGGTAAAAGTAATTTAATGACAGTGGCTGAAGGTTAGACTAAATTTTTCCTTGTAAGTTCATTTTGAAGAGCACAGTAAAATATAGCAATGTGAAGATATGATGGAGAATTTCCTCAAATCCCCAGTCTAGTGTTTGAGGTCAGTCATTTGAAATTTTATTTTGGCAGGAATTGAAATGAAAGATAAATATATATACATATATATATATACACACATATATATGTATATGTATATGTGTGTGTGTATATATATATATATATATTCCTTTCCTGTGTTTTAAAGCTATCAGTTTCTTTACAGTATAAGCTATAAAATGATGAAAATCCAATGTCTGGTGAATGTATTTTTCTTGCATTAAAAAAAAGTGAAGATGAATTTGGTCTTTAATAATTGTTCAGCAGGTAACATCTTTTCTCAAGGTGTTACTAAAGATGAACATTTACAGCTCCTTTTTCTTTTATTATAGGCCTATTTCCTTGGTAGTAAAAGTAGCATGGCAGTTCATAGTCTGTTTAAGTCTCCTAGTAAGACATACATCCAACTAAAAACAAGAGATGAAAATATAAAGGTAATGCTTACAATTCACTTGAGAATTACAATATAATTGGACTATCTTGCTTTTGATATGTACATATTAATTAAGGTTTTTTTCTAGGTGGGATCGCCTTTTGAGTTGGTGGTTAGTGGCAACAAACGATTGAAGGAGTTAAGCTATATGGTAATCTCTTATAGAATCTAAATTTATGATCTATTATAGAATCATCTTTTTATTCACTTTTAAGTTCTGGGGTACATGTGCAGGTTTGTTATATAGCTAAACTCATGTCATGGGGGTTTGTTGTACAGATTATTTCATCACCCAGGTATTAATCCTAGTACCCATTAGTTATTTTTCCTGATCCTCTCCCTCCTCCTACCCTCCACCCTCCCATAGGACCCAGTGTCGGTTGTTCCCCTCTATGTGTCCATGTGTTCTCATCATTTAGTGTGCACTTATAAGTGAGAATATGTGGTATTTGGTTTTCTGTTCCTGCATTAGTTTGCTAAGGATAGTGGCCTCCAGCTCCATCCATCTTCCTGCAAAGGACATGATTTTATTCTTTTTTATAGCTGCATAGTATTCCGTAGTATATGTGCACCACGTTTTCTTTATCCAGTCCACCTTTGATGGGCATTTAGGTTGAGAATCATCTTAAATGGTGTCTACCTTATATCTACACTAAACTTATTAATTTTTATAACTCAGCCTCATACCTTTTTAGCCTGTCGTTTTAACATTGCAATCAAATAAAAAACCTTTTTTATTTCTTCACCTATGTTTGCATTTCCAATTTAAAATAGATAACTAAACCTTGTTTTATGTTTAAAATTTAAATTTCTATTTGATAAGCAATATATATTCATTATAGAAAATTATACAATGTAAGAAAAATGAAAAAGAAAATAAAAAGTGCTATCCATGACCATGTAATTTTGCTAATTCAGCTTTCCCAATGGTGCCCTGTATTCCTTGCAATCAAAAATAGATTCTTGACTATGAAGCTACTGTTGCTCCAATCAGTATTACTTTAATCTTACCATTTTCTTTTTCTCAGTGTATGCTCTCTGTGTTTGTCAGAGAGGTTTTCCTGCATTCCAAAAGACTTTGAAGCTGGTTTAATTCAAGAATTTGTGTGTATGCATACAATTATGATTAATGTAGCTTCAGATGAGATCCTACTAGGTTTGGCAATAAATTAAACCCATCTACTGTTCTTTTCAGGTAGTATCCAGGGGACAGTTGGTGGCTGTAGGAAAACAAAATTCAACAATGTTCTCTTTAACACCAGAAAATTCTTGGACTCCAAAAGCCTGTGTAATTGTGTATTATATTGAAGATGATGGGGAAATTATAAGTGATGTTCTAAAAATTCCTGTTCAGCTTGTTTTTAAAAATAAGGTAAGATTTAAGGTAATGATGTTTAAAAGAAAACTTTATATTAGTGAAGTCTGAGAAATGTAATATTTCTTTAGAAAAGTATCATTAAGCCAAACTGGTTAGAAATTTATATTATTCTATTTCTAGAACTATGGTTAAACTTTTCAATATTTAGCATTACATATATATTTTCACTTGTGGAGTTATTGGGGATTGATAGTCTATTTGTAAACTATGGTTCTGGTCTTTAAGACTTTAACTCAGATCATGAAGCTGTTTCAGAATTTTTCAAATGGTTGAATTAATATTGCTCAGGAGTGAAATTCCAGTGGTAACATAGAATTCGTGTGGTGTTGATATTGCAGTGATATAAAGGGTGTGGGAAGGAGTGAGGCCATCTAGGATAATACGTAGAAGCAGAGCTGGGCTTTCATTAATCTATTTAATTAGCTGGAAACTAGCCCAGGGCAACTTTTCAATGAGCTTGATTACCCTGCATGTGAGGATCTGTGTGGAGTCTGGTCTCCAAGTGCACCAGTGCCTTTTATAGCCTAATGTGACCAGCTTGAGTAGGAAATCCCTTTGGACCCCAGCTCTGAAAAGAAACCTGATTGCATCATCTCATGTATATAAGAATGAGCCATTGCTGTCACTAACAACTGCTGCCCTCTCCATCCTCTTATGTAAAAAATTATTCCTTTAAATAGTGATTTGCAGAGTATGGTTCTTCTATTTCTTTTTCCTTTATTTGTTAAAATATTTGAGAAGTAACAGTAGTGATCTGTACTTTCTTTTTTAAAATTTGTATTTATTTATTTTTTGAGACTAGGTTATAAGACTGGCTAATTTTTGTATTTTCGGTAGAGAGAGGGTTTTGCCATGTTGCTCAGGTTGGTCTCTAACTCCTGGGCTCAGGAGATCCACCTGCCTCAGCCTCTCAAGGTGCCGGGATTACAGACATGAGCCACTGCGCCAGGCCTGTACTTTAGTTTTGTTGAGAATTATTACTCTCACTTTGATTGTTAAAATATAATACAAACTTCTATTTTTTTAGCTTATGAAAAGAGTTCTTAAAAAGATAACACTGTGTTTTGTTAGTGGTAGAGCACAATTTTTGACTTCTAGTGATCCTAGTAATTGCCTGACAAAGGTGAATTTTAAAGTAGAAGTTATGGAGGCTTAAACATCTCAGAAAGCAAGACCAGGTTCTAAAGCTGGTTACAGTGTAAAAGATCACGGACTTTGAGGAAGCAGAGTATATGAATAGCATACTTTCAAGTAATTTCTTAGCTATAAGAGAAAGGAATTAGTTTCAGTTCCATTTGCAACTATATATCTTTCTCTTATTTTTATGTGATAATCATCACATTTATAAAGAAACAACATAATTAGAAATGGAATATGTCTAAGCAAGAGAAAGTTAGTGAATGTTTATTAATGTTCAGTAATGACTATGGAATAAATAAATGAGCTGTAGGAGCGGCAAGAGATTTAGGTTTAGAAATCATCCACACAGAAGTGCAAGTTGAAGCCATGGGGCTCTGAGGTACAGAGTATAGAGTGAGAAGTACAAGGTCTAAGACTGAGTCTTGAACATGCTGCTCCCTCTCCCCCATGCTTTAGTGTGTAGGTGGAGAAAGTAACCTACATACAGTGGTTTGAGAGGCATGTCAGAAAAAAATTGCACTGGACAAGTTAAACAGGTAAGGAAGGCTTTATTCAAGACTATTGCAATGGAAGAGAGAGATGATAAACTCAACTCTGCTGAAACAAAAGGCAGAAGAGTTTTTAAGCACTGGGGTGAACTCATATGAAAGTGCTGGAGGACATTGTTGGGAGGTTGGTCAATGTGATTAGGTAGTCTGTGTTTGCTAATTAGTACTTACTGAAGTTAGGTTTCCACCCTCCCACAGAGAATGAGATCAATTGGGACTCTGTCTTTCTTGATGATTATACTTCAAAGGGATGGCTCTGAGGACCTTGAGAAAGACATGCCTGGGTTGTAAAACTGGCCAGAGGCTGGGAAAAGATTTACATCTCAGAGAGTTGGAGAAAGAATTTATAATTGCATGTTTTCTAAAATAAATGCTCTAAGAAAAGGGAGCTCAGGGGCTTATAGTTAGGAAGAAGCCTGTCTTTGTAAAGTCGAGTCAACTTGAGGGGAATGTTAAGGCCCTCTTTGTCAGGCATTATAATCATTGGCACAGCAGAATGTTGAGATAGAGCTAGATGAAATGAAAATTCCCAGCAGGGGCCAGGCACTGTGGCTCACGCCTGTAATCCCAGCACTTTGGGAGGCCGAGGCAGGCGGATCACCTGTGGTCAGGAGTTGGAGACCAGCCTGGCCAACATGGTGAAACCCTGTCTCTACTAAAAAAGTTACAAAAATTAGCCGGGCATGGTGGTGGGCGCCTGTAATCCCAGCTACTTGGGAGGCTGAGGCAGGAGAATCACTTGAACCCAGGAGGCAAAGGTTGCAGTGAGCCGAGATTGTGCCATTGTACTCTAGCCTGGGCAACAAGAGGGAAACTCCATCTCAAAAACAAAAAAAGAAAATGCCCAGTAGGCAGGGGCCTCATGACAAGGCCATTTGGTTCAGCGGTGATGCGATGACTGATGCTCTTTATAAAGTATTAGTAGGTCCAGGACCATGCTTTCCTGAGGGTAATGGTGAGGAAGTTTAGAAGGCCATGGAGACAGAGCATGAGGGCCTGGACTAGTGTTTGCTCTAACCACCCACTCCCTTGGAAAGGCCACCCCTCACCCTCAGTCCAGGTGGTTCTATGAGTCCCCGAGGAGCTCTCCTTGCCTTCACTTCTGAGCTCACGTCACCAACATGTAGGCATCTGCAGTTTCTTTCCTCTTTCGTGTTTCTCCTTTGTATACTGGCCTTCCCCAGGTATGCTAGACACTGCTGTCTTCTACTCAGCACTGGCTGGGATCTGAGGGGTGGGAGATGGAGAAAGGGAAGAAAAAAGATACAGAATTAAAGAATAATTCAGATTTATACCACTGTGAGAAGTTCTATGACTTGCAAACACTCTGGGCGTAGTTTTTTTATTCCTTTCCCTAGAGAAGGGTTATGCATGGTTTTAGAATTATCCCTGAGCCAAGGCAAATGTAGAATCTTTGCTATATTTTGGGCCAGTGGTCTGCTATTGGCAAGAATATGCTTTAAAAAAGTGAAATAAGTTAATCCTCCTTTCTCTCTTTTTTAGATAAAGCTATATTGGAGTAAAGTGAAAGCTGAACCATCTGAGAAAGTCTCTCTTAGGATCTCTGTGACACAGCCTGACTCCATAGTTGGGATTGTAGCTGTTGACAAAAGTGTGAATCTGATGAATGCCTCTAATGATATTACAATGGAAAATGTGAGTTTAGCTATTTTTTCATTATGAAAATATGTATTACAAGAGAAAGAGGAAACTTTATTGTACTACTTTAAATATTTAAAGAAAATTTCATTAGTTCCTTTGCATGTGTAAGTCAATAATTAGTAAAGCTTCCAAATAAAAAGTAATCTGTATCGTAATGGTTATGTTGGAAAGAAGCTTATGTGGTTAAGTGTCCTTGCTCTCTTTCATCAGAATTATCACCTAAAGTTAGATGGGAGGAATAAATTCTGGAGGTCTGTGGTACAACATGGTGACTGTAGTTAATGATAATGTACCATATACTTGAAAATTGCTAAAAGAGTAGATTTGAAATGTTCTCACCACAAAAAATGATCAGTATGTAGTATGCAAGGTGATAGATATGTTAATTAGCTTAATCATTCCACAGTATATACAAATATCAATATATCACATTGTACTCCATAAATATATACAATAAAAAATGCCACCTATAGTTTTCCTTCATTTTCATACTACATTTTAAGACACTCAAGAAAGTACTAGGAAATTGACTTGCATTATTCTGGGTTACGTTGGATAAGAGAGCTTTAGATAATTTTTGAAGTGTGTTCTATTTTGGTTATACGTAATGGTTATAAATAATTACAGCACCCATTGTGCCGGGCATGGTGGCTCATGCCTGTAATCTCAGCACTTTGGGAGGCCGAGGTGGGTGGATCACGAGGTCAGGAGATCGAGACCATCTTGGCTAACATGGTGAAACCCCATCTCTACTAAAAATACAAAAAATTAGCCGGGCGCGGTGGCGGGCGCCTGTAGTCCCAGCTACTCGGGAGGCTGAGGCAGGAGAATGGCATGAATCCCAGGAGGCGGAGCTTGCAGCGAGCAGAAATCGTGCCACTGCACTCCAGCCTGGGTGACAGAGCAAGACTCTGTCTCAAAAAAAAAAAAAAAAAAAAAAAAAATTACAGTTCCCATTGAATCAGGAATTTGCAGTATATTGAGGGGGTGAAATCATGTTACTCTGCAGAAAACTTACAAACCAAGAAGTATATGAACATCTAGCATTGCATAAATGAATCCCATATTCATTAGTCATTTGATTTTTATTTATATGTCCTTGATATATTCTTGTGTACCATTGTCAGTTGTAAACTAGATTGTATAATTTTTGTCTATTAATGGATTCAGTAGAGTGATTAACAATACATCAGAAAGAAAACTATATATAGTTGGGTTGATTTGGTCATTATATTGTAAAATTTAGTTTACTTCAGAAAAATTGTACATTTTCTTCAGTCTACACAACTATTTTTTTCAATCTTTTCTTTTTTTTGAAAACTTTTTTTTTTTTTACAACCAGTTGGTCATTTTTCTCTCTTTGACTTTTCCTGAGTTCACATTAGTTTTATGTCTGTAGATCTTGCATTTGATTTAACTGAATATAATAGTATCTGTTATTTTATAGCTTTCTAAATATCTTGGTAAATATATTATTTCATTTTTTCTTCCCTACATATGTGTATGTTTGTGTGTGTGTACGTGTGTGTATACATACACATACACACACACCCCATCTGATGTGCTGCGCACTCTGTCTCTATTTACATTTATATATGTGTGTTATATATATATTTACAAGTATATTTATATATACATATAATATATGCATATTTACATTAAATTTTTTCAGATATTAAGATTGCTTTCTCAGCTTTCTTTTGGTTCATATTTTCCTGGTGTATTTTTACATTTCTTATTTTCAACCTTTTGTAAATTTTTAAGTGTATCTTTTAAATAGCATATTATTATATTTTGCTTTTGTTTTTCAATCTAATCTAATAGTCAACATCTTTTAATAAGCTTTTATTTAATCCACTTATAAGTATGGTAATTCTTTTTCTAATGGGGACTTTTTCTGCTTTTCTATATTTTAAAATTTAGATTCTTTTTCTGTGGGCTAGATTAAATTTGTTTTGGTGATTTAGAAGTTATGCGTTCTATTTTTGTTACTCTGTTAGTTACAAACTGTACCCATATTAATTTATCCTTGTTGGTTTCTAAAGGTTATCAGTATTTGAATCTTCTAGTATGCTCCTATTCCTTTTGGTCTCTACCTCTGTCTCCTCCTTCTCCTCCTACCCTGGCCAGATCATTTTGCTCGTGTACAGATTTTAGTTCCATGTTACCATAGATTGCCTTTCAATCTATGCTGTTCTTTCATTTTTTAATTGTGGAAATCTGTGTTGATTATTTCTTCCTCCCCATTTTATTTTTTCTCTCCTTCTGGGACTTTTGTTTTTCAGAAATTGGCACTTTTACTTCCTCCTTCACATCTCTTAGTTTTTTGTTTTATGTTTTCTATCTCTTTGTCTTTTCTGTGTTTCTCTGGGAGAGTTCTTCAGTCAACTCAGCTTAGTGATCATTCATTAGCTGTATTTTAATCTACTTTAATCTCTCATATTGTGTCTTTTATGTCAGCTATTATGTTTTTAATATCTATTATTTTTCCTTTGTTTCTTGTTTTTGTTTTATATTCTGATATTTCCCATTATCTCCTTGTGTATATTTGCTATGCGTATTTTAAATTATTGAATTGAACTTTTCAGTAATTTTGTGTCACATGCTATATGTTGTTTAGTTGGATGTCTTACTTCTACAGTATTTATACTCTTTGGAAGTCTAGCTGATTTGGCAGATTCTCTGATAATATCTATTGGTGAAGGCTGAGCATAAGGTTCCAATCTGTGTAAGTCCTATGACCCCTTCCTGAGGGGAGAGGACTAGCCTCATGGACTAGAGAATTACTCTTGATCCTTTCTGCTGCTTGCCTCTATTCAGTGTTTCACTCTTAAACCCTTGGGGAAAAGAGCACCAGTAAGAGAAGGTCTCCTGAGGTTATGATTCACCAGCCCTGAGGGTTTGGAGGAGGAGGAGAGGAAGAGTGAATGCTTGAGGGACATGGGTCTGTCTGCATGTTTTCTTCACTTTCCCACACTAGAAAGGCAGAGGTGCTGACCTGGTATTATCTTTTGGATACTTGCACAGGCCGTCTGAGCTGCTACTGCTGTTGATTTTGGCAGTGAAGTTGCCAGGACTGTGTGTCCTGAGGCTACCCCCTGGAGGGAAATAAGAGCAAAGTTTAAAAACCTCTCCTCCAGCCTGTTTTCTGACTATGTCTGCTGCTGTGTCTAGCTGCCTTCTGCCTTAGACTGAAGCGATGCACTTTCTCCCAAGACCAATTCAAGATGTCCACCACTCTTCCTGGGGTTTTCTCACTGTGCACGTTAAAGTTTTCTGCTTGCTTTTATTGTTTCTCCAGTTGGTTCTGGAGGAGGGAGTGAGGATCCTGTCATAGTAGACTGTTTTGGCTTCTTTTTTTTTTTTGTTAAATTTATATGTGTTGTCAATAGCCTCTTGAATGCCTTGGAATAATTTCAGTATGTGGATCTTCCAGGAATAATTTTTAGACATTAGCCTTCTTTTCGTTAGCCTATGCTGCAGCTTTGACAGTGCTTTGTTTATTGAGCCAGTGAGAACAGGAAGATTTCTTTATGAGATAGATGCTGCTTTTGCTTTTTTTAAAATAAATTTTATTGTGTATATTTGAGGTTATGTGTATATATATATATGTATATATGTATATATGAGGTTATTGTGTATACATGAGGTTATGGAATACATATAGGCAGTATAGTGGTTACTGTAGTGAAGCAAATTTACATATTTATCATTTTGCATAGCTACATTTTTGTGACAAAAGCAGTTAAAATCGATTTAATGAAAACTCCAAATATCATACAATTCTATTAACTATATCTCTCATGTTGTAGATTATATAACTGCATTTTTTCATCCCACATATCTGCTATTTTGTATCCCTTGACCTCTATATTCCCATTTTCTTCTTCCTTTCCCCCTCGCCCCTGTAACCATCATTTGTTTATCTATTTATTTATTTAAACTTTTAAGTTCAGGGATACATGTGCAGGTTTGTTACATAGGCAACCTTGTGTCATAGGGGTTTGTTGTACAGATTATTTCATTACTCAGGTATGAAGTCCAGTACCCATTAGTTATTTTTCATGATCCTCTCCCTGCTCCCACCCTCCACCCTCTGACAATCTCTACTGTGTGTTGTTCCTCTCTATGTGTCCATGTGTTCTCATCATTTAACTCCCACTTATAAGTGAGAACATGTGGTATTTGGTTTTCTGTTCCTGAGTTAGTTTGCTAAGGATAATGACCTCCAGCTCCATCCATGTACCTGCAAAGGAGATGATCTTGTTCTTTATGGCTGCCTAGTATTCCATGGTGTACATGTACCACATTTTCTTTATCCAGTCTATCATTGACGGACATTTAGTTTGATTCCATGTCTTTGCTTTTGTGAATAGTGCTGCAATGAACATATGCATGCATACATCTTTATAATAGAATTATTTATATTCCTTTGGATATATACCCAATAATGGGATTGCTAGTATTGAAATGGTGTTTCTGTCTTAAGTCTTTGAGGAATTGTCACATTGTCTTGTACAATGGCTGAATTAATTAACACTCCTACCGACAGTGTATAAGTGTTCCTTTTCTCTACAACCTCTCCAGCATCTGTTATTTTTTTGACTTTTAAATGATAGCTATCCATTCTGACTGGTGTGAGATGGTATCTCATTGTGTGTTTTTATTTTATTTTATTTTTTTGAGACAAAGTCTCACTCTGTTGCTCAGGCTGGAGTGCGGTGGTGTGATCTCGGCTCACTGCAACCTCTGCCTCCCAGGTTCAAGTAATTCTCCTGCCTCAGCCTCCCGAGTAGCTGGGACTACAGGTGTCGCCTCCACGCCTGGCTAATTTTTAAACTTTTTTAGTAGAGAAGGGGTTTCACCATATTGGCCTGGCTGGTCTCAAACTCCTGACCTTGTGATCCATCTCCCTTGGCCTCCTAAAGTGCTGGGATTGCAGGCGTGAGCCACCACGCAAGTGGCCTTTTTTTTTTTTTTTTTTTTTTTTGACAGAGCCTTGATCTGTCACCCAGGCTGGAGTGCAGTGATGTGATCTTGGCTCACTGCAACCTTCACCTTCTGGGTTCAAGCGATTCTCCTGCCTCAGCCTCCCAAGTAGCTGGGATTACAGGCGTGAGCCACCATACCCAGCTGATTTTTGTATTTTAATAGAGACAGGGTTTCACCATGTTGGACAGGCTGGTTTCAAACTCCTGATCTCAAGTGATCCTCCTGCTTTGGCCTCCCAAAGTGCTGGGGTTACAGATGTGAGCACTGTGCCTGGTGGCCTCCTTATGGTTCTGATTTGCATTTCTCTAATGATCAGTGATGTTGAGCTTTTTCTCATATGATTGTAGGCCTCATGTATGCATGTATGACTTCTTTTGAAAAGTGTCTGTTCATATCCTTTGCCCATTTTTTTTTTTTTTTTTTTTGAGATGGAGTTTCCCCCTTGTTGCCCACGCTGCAACCTCCACCTCCCGGGTTCAAGTGATTCTCCTGCCTCAGCCTCCCAAGTAGCTGGAATTACAGGCATGTGCCACCATGCTTGCTAATTTTGTATTTTTTAGTAGAGATGGGGTTTCTTCATGTTGGTCAGCCTGGTCTTGAAAACTCTTGATCTCAGGTGATCTGCCTACCTTGGCCTCCCAAAGTGCTGGGATTAGAGGCATGAGCCACTGTGCCTGGCCCCTTTGCTGGCTTAAAAAAATTTTTTTTTTCTTGTAAATTTGTTTAAGTTCCTTATAGATGCTGGATATTAGATCTTTGTCAGATGCACAGTTTGCAAAAATTTTCTCCCATTTTGTAGGTTGTTTACTGTGTTGATAGTTTCTTTCACTGTGCAGATCTCTTTCATTTAATTTGATCCCATTTGTCAATTTTTGCTTTTGTTGCAATTGCTTTTGAAATCTTTGGCTGTTCCTATGTCCTGAATGGTATTGCCTAGGTTGTCTTCCAGGGTTTTTATAGTTTTGGGTTTTACATTTAAGTTTTTAATCCATCTTGCGTTAATTTTTGTATATGATGTAAGGAAGGGGTCCAGTTTCAGTCTTCTGCATATGGCTAGCCAGCTCTCCCAGCACCATTTATTGAATAGGAAATCCTTTCCCCATTGCTTGTTTTTGTCAGATTTGTTGAAGATCAGATAGTTGTAGATGTGCAGTCTTATTTCTGGGTTCTCTATTCTGTTCCATTGGTCTATGTGTCTGTTTTTGTGTGAGTACCATGCTGTTTTGGTTACTATAGCCTTGTAGTACAGTTTGAACTCTGGTAGCATGATGCCTCCAGCTTTGTTCTTTTTGCTTAGGATTGTCTTGGCTATACGAGCTCTTTTTTGGTTCCATATGAATTTTAAAATAGTTTTCTCTCGTTCTGTGAAGAATGTAGTAGTTTAATAGGAATAGCATTGAATACATAAATTGCTTTGGGCAGTATGGCCATTTTAACAATATTGATTCTTCCTATCCATGAGCATGGGATGTTTTCCCATTGGTTTGTTCATCTATGATTTCTTTGAGCAGTGGTTTGTAGTTCTCCTTGTAGAGATCTTTTACCTCCCTAGTTAGCTGTGTTCTTAAGTATTTTATCTTTCTGTGGCAGTTGTGAATGGGAGTTTATTTCTGATTTGGCTCTCTGCTGTGTGTTGTTGGTGTATAGGAATGCTAGTGATTTTCACACATCGAGGCTTTCCTGAAGTTGTTTATCGGTTTAAGAAACTTTTGGGCTGAGACTATGGGGTTTTCTAGATATAGGATTATGTCATCTGCAAACAGGGATAGTTTGACTTCCTCTCTTCCTATTTGGATGCCCTTTGTTTCATTTTTTCTTTCTTTCTTTTGCCTGATTGCCCTGGCCAGAACTTCTAGTACTATGTTGAATAGGAGCGGTGAGAGAGGGCATTCTTGTCTTGTGCTGATAACCACTGTTTAGATGCTGCTTCTTGAATTGGTGTCTGAGCAAGAGCGGAAGCAAATCTTCATGTATTTGTATTTTGTGACAGAGTTGGAGTCATGGAACTCTAGCCTTTTCTCTCCAATATGCCTGGCTCTGGCTCCCTTGTCTACTTGCCAGCTTCTTGACACATTATGAATTTTTTTTCTTATTTTATTGTTTTCTTATTGGTGCCTGTTCTAGTTGCTTACTGTGGATGCAGCCATGGTTGTTGTTAGCATTGCAGAAATAGTGGTTGCAGGTGTTTAATTTTATGCTGGAATGTGTTTTTTTCAACTTAGTTTTTTTTGTGATTTTTAATTCTGACTTTGTCTTAATTTGTCTGGTTAATGTAAATTTTTAGGGAGAAGTATCAAAATTATTACCTAAAAAGGTATAATACTTGATTTTTATTGAAGTTAAATATATATAAAATAAAATTTGCTATTTTTACCATTTTAAGTGTTTAATTCAGTGACATTAATTACTTCACAATGTTATATGACCATCACCAATATTTCCAAAACATTTTCATGGCTCCAGACAGAGACTCTGTAATCATTAAGCAATAACTACTCATTTCCCCTTCCCCACAGCCCTTGGGAACCTCTAGTCTACTTCTGTCTTTATGAATTTACCTATTCTAGATATTTCACATTTATATAATATTTGCCCTTTTGTGTCTGGCTTATTTCACTTAGCACAGTGTTTTCAAGATTATTCCATGTTGTAGCATGTATCAGAGCTTCATTTCTTTTTTTTTTTTTGAGACGGAGTCTTGCTCTGTTACCCAGGCTGGAGTGCAATAGCGCGATCTTGGCTCACTGCAACCTCCGCCTCCCGGGTTCAAACCATTCTCCTTCCTCAGCCTCCCGAGTAGTTGGGACTACAGGCGCCCACCACTACGCCCAGCTAATTTTTTGTATTTTTAGTAGAGACGGGGTTTCACTATGTTGGCCAGGCTGGTCTCAAACTCCTGACCTCATGATCCGCCCGCCTCGGCCTCCCAAAGTGCTGGGATTACAGGTGTGAGCCACCGCACCTAGCCTCAGAGCTTCATTTCTTTTTACGGCTGAATAATATTGTGTTGTGTATATATACCACATTTTGTTTATCCATTTTTCTGCTGATGGACACAGGTTGTTTCCACCTTTTTGGCTACTGTAACTATTGCTGCAATGAACGGTGGCATACAAGTATCTCTTGGAGTTACTGTTTTCAGTCCTTTTGTGTATATACCTAGGAGTGGAATTACTGGGTCATATTCTAATTCTATGTTAATTTTTTGAGGATCTGACAGTTTTACTCTTTTAGCCTGTTTTACCCACTCTTGCTAGCAATGAGTACTATTCTTAAAAAAAAAAGCATTGCTAATGGGGTACATGCAAATATCTCATTTTTGAAAAAACCGTATCTCATGGATGTTGTCATTTGCATTGCTTTGATTATCAGTGAGGCTGAATATTTTTCTGCTTATTAATAACTTATATTTCTACTTTTGTAAATTGCCTCTTCAGTTTTTTTTTTTTTTTGTAAATTTAGGTCACTGACATTTTGCAGAGTTTATATTAATCTCCAACAAAGTTAACCTGTTTATCTCTGCCAAAAGTGTGGGTCATTTTTAATGCTGACCTCTGCCTGTTGGTCTTGTCAAACAGTAACATCTAAGTTCTCCCTGGCAGAACTCAAGTCCAGACTTCTTAGGAACTCTGGATTGCTGAACAGAGTAAAAGTAAGTATAAGTAAGAAATGTAATTTTGGCTGACTGACTGATGAACAAAGCAATTACATATTCATTACTCCTCAATTTGTGTCATTTTCAAAGTTGATAAACATGAAGGCTAAGTCTTATCTAAGTTACTTGGAAGAAGTGTGGAAAGTTGTTATGAATCCATTCATTCCGTATATTTTATCTTCTCCTTAGGTGGTCCATGAGTTGGAACTTTATAACACAGGATATTATTTAGGCATGTTCATGAATTCTTTTGCAGTCTTTCAGGTATGTTTTGCTTGCTATATTGAAAAGATATTAATATTTTTTACTATTGCAAACCCTTTCAGAATTAGTGATCATTTTGAGATGTTAACCTTTTATTAAATGTGTCACTGAAGCGCAGTCTTATGTAAGTATAATTTGAAATGAAAAGATAATCATCTTTCCAGTTTTAAAAGCAAATGGAACAATTCACCATTGGAAAAGTTAATGGAATTGACATTAAACAAATAATTTTTCCTTTATGTATATGTATTTCCATATAAATATATTTTATGTATATATATAATATATAAATATATTTTATGTATATATATAATATATAAATATATTTTATGTATATATATAATATATAAATATATTTTATATATATTTCCTTGACTTTGAAATGGCTCTTATGCATGAGTGTGTGTGTGTATGTGTGTGTGTGTAAGACTGATGTGTGTATGTGTGTTTGAGAAAGATCAATGTGTATGTGCGTGTGTGTGTTTGAGAGAGATCGATATGTGTATGCGTGTGTGTGTGTGTTTGAGTGAGAAAGATCGATGGGCATGTGCGTGTGTGTGTTTGAGTGAGAAAGGTTGATGTGTGTGTGCGTGTGTGTGTGTGTTTGAGTGAGAGACAGAAAGGTTGAATGTATGTGCATGTGTATACCTAAGCTCTCAAAAATGAGCACAAGTGAGTCAGGAGTTTGGGAGACTGCCTTGATAATTTAGTGAGCATTTAAACTTGTGTTTTAAAAGAAAATAAAAATTATTCTTTTTAGGAATGTGGACTCTGGGTATTGACAGATGCAAACCTCACGAAGGATTATATTGATGGTGTTTGTAAGTAATACATGGCGACATGCTTGTATTTGTCTTTCACATGATATTCAACATTACTTATATAGGTATGGATATTTTTTAGATGAACATAGAGATTGTGATTTTCATTTTTTTGTTCTCTTCTCCCAAAATGTTTGGAGTTTAATGTACTTAGAAGTACATCTGGGCCATGACATGGAACGTTCATCTGAGCTCCTGTCTAGATATTTGAAGTGAATGCTTTCCTTTTTCTCTAGGTAATTCTTTGAGGTAGTTATATTTTTGGACATACTGGAAGCTGCTTTTCTTCTGATTTGTATCACAAACTGTCCTATTCTTTTGGAATTATTTAAAAGGAGCAACATATTTTTGAAATATTTTTGTACTCCAGCTTTTTGATGTTCACCTAGAAAATAGCCCAGATGCCATCATGCCATAAAGTATTCTGGTACACACACACACACACACACACAGACACAGACACACACACACACACAGAGACATAGACACACACGCAGACACACACACACACACACACCCCTCATCAATCTGAGTTCTTCCTGGGCAGGATTATATCTGTACATCCTAGTTTCTTGAATTGCCAAATAGAGTTGGCTGCCAAGTAATAATAAGTGTGCTTTTAGAAAGACGTCATAAAATGTTTTGACTGAAGGAAATGTATAAATGTATAAATTAGAATGGTTAACCTTAGAAGGGATTCTCTTTTCTTTCAGGTTAAGTTATACTAACATCATCTTGAAAGGCTTCTAGAACTGTCACAGTTTCTATCCCTGAATTCCCTGTTTCTGTCAGGTATTCTGTTATTCCATGCTAAGCCCCCGGGTCTCTTTGGGCTGGTTCTTGCCCCAACAGGACACCTGATCCTCTGTCCTGAAACTTAAAAGATAATTTTATAGTCTTGAAGATGTTATGAAGTCATTATGATCTCTCTACATTAAAGACATGTGGTACATTTAGCTTTCCTCATATAACCCTCTATCCTAGACAATCTTCCAAGCATGTTTTTCCATTTTTCAGTCTCAGTTTTTACCCATCTTTGTTCTTTTTTACATATTGAATCCTTCTTGATGCCCACTGTAATACCCATTCTATTGCCAGTAATACTTACTGTATCCTTTACCTTTTCTGAAAACCTTCTTCTACCTTTTCACTGTAACAGAAGGAACCTGATACTCTCACTGGCACATTATGTCTCTGGACACCTCAAGTGATTGACATTCATTTTGTATGTGGAGTTTACAATTCATTCTCTCCAGTGACTGTTTTTCTAACTACTGTCAATGTTTATTTATAGATGACAATGCAGAATATGCTGAGAGGTTTATGGAGGAAAATGAAGGACATATTGTAGATATTCATGACTTTTCTTTGGGTAGCAGTCCACATGTCCGAAAGCATTTTCCAGAGACTTGGATTTGGCTAGACACCAACATGGGGTAAAAATTTATAAAGTTCTTTGCCCATACATATTTTGTTTAGTGTTTGTTTTAAATAAGCTTTGCCCGCTTTCTAATGTTTAAGTACAAACATAGTGTAACTAAGAACTAAGTAGACCAAAAGGATTTTTTAGGAAATGATATTTATTGAATCTAAATACAGTTTTTGATAAAGCCACACATAAATTATGGCAGGAAGGTCTCATCAATGAGAAGATAGGCCTTTTTTTTTTTTTTTAACTGAAGGGTGATTTTGACTTCCTTGAAGTCTCATGATTCTTGTTGAAGAAAAATTGCTGGGAGTACATTTGTTGTCACAGGATGGGAAGCACTCATGATTACCTCCTGTGACCCCTGGCAGTGCTGCTAACTGAACCCTGCTCCTCACAAAGCATTCCCAGGAGTCACAGGGAGAAGGGGCATGGGTGGTGGAAAGAATTCAGCTTGGCTGATAAACCCCGTACCACCTGGCCTGATAATTGAGCAGGTAAATCATGAAATCCACATAGTATTTTATAGTCAGCTGTTTAAAGATACTTGAGTTAACACATGAGTGAAATCTCAAGGAAACAAATAACAGCATTGACAGGGATACAGAGAAAAACTTCTGCAAATTTAGAGAAAAAATTGGAGTTAAGTTTGAAAATGTGTATTTATTATCTATAAAAAATTTGTGAAAAAATAATGTTTATTCTGAAGATGTAAATTTTGCAGGAAGATTTTATTAGAATATGGATCAATATGCAGTATTATGACCTTATGATGACCTATTCTTTGAAAAGTTGGGATTTACTGTTTTATACTTAAACCTTTTAAATGGTTTTAAATTCAGATATGTAAACAATAGGAAAAATTGAAATTCTTCCAAAAATAGTTTAGATTATTTTGGCTTATTTCAAAATGTATCAGTTCTTGGTTTTGTGATGTTTATATTTATTATCTTGACTTCAGTTACAGGATTTACCAAGAATTTGAAGTAACTGTACCTGATTCTATCACTTCTTGGGTGGCTACTGGTTTTGTGATCTCTGAGGACCTGGGTCTTGGACTAACAACTACTCCAGTGGAGGTATTGTATTAAAGAGCTGCTTATCAGTATTACGGTGACATTAAGCTAATACAGCGTCAGCTCCTCAATTTTTTTTTTAAATGACTGCTTATAATGTTTATCACAGTTTAGAGATTCCTTGGCTTTGTCTTTTGGTTTTTATCTGTTTTATATTTAAGAATGTGAGCTATATATAGCTATATAAACTGCTAAATGTGCAAAGTCCGTATTAAGATTTGGGTAGAAAAGTTTATTATTGACCTGAACTAACCATCTCCAAAGGCCAGAAGAGAGAGAAAGAAAAAGAGAGAGAGAGAAAGAGGAGAGGAGAGAGAGAGTGAGTCTTTCTATTTGTCCTCTTCAAGAATGAACAGAACTTCTCAAGATGTTCCCTAGCCAATATTCCATCATGTCTTTTGGTCAAATTGCATCATATATTGTTTCCTAAGCCAGTCACTGGCAGGAGGAATATAATGACCATGAGTGGCCTGAATTTTCTCATTTGAAATTGAAATGTAATTTTGATTTACAAAATAATCGTATTCATGAAAAATACAGTGTAGATTGAAAAATGCTTTGGGTTTATATAGAAATTGGAATTAGATTGTAAGCTCAGGCCACTATAAACAGACAATTCAGCAACATGAATGTCTGAAGGGACATTCAAGAATCATTAGGAACATGGGGCAATTTTTCATTGTCTGGGGCTGTCCTGAGTATTGCAGACTGTCACCCACTAACTACCTATAGCACCTTCGAGTCATGGTGACAATCTAAGACACCTTCACAAATGTGCAGATAAACTCTAGAGGGAGTTACTGCTGCCAGCAAAACCACTGGCCTAAACTAACCCAGGTTTAGCTTTAGATGCAGGTGTGGGGCTTGGCCTTTTCTGTAGGACTTGGCCAACAATATCAGAATTGGGTCACTGAGGAGGAAGCACATGTATTCAGATGTCCCACACATTTTCTCATCTGTATGTAAAAATAAATCATATATATGTTTTAGAAATAATTTCCAATTTCCTCTTTAAATTTAGTCAGGAAGCACATGTATTCAGATGTCCCACACTAGAACAGGGGCTGTTGGATTTGGCAGGGCTTTTAAAGCAGATTGGTGGAGTCAATACAGCATGAAAGAAGAGCAAATTGCTTCGGGATTAGACAGGCTGGGTTCTAGTTCTGGCTCCTCTACTTGCCAGCAATATGAATTTGTACTAGTTACAAAAATCTCAAAAATTTAATTTTCTTTTCTATAAACTAGGAGACTAACAGTAACCTTATGGGGTTGTAATAACCAAACAAAATAATTTATGTGAAGTGTTTGGTTGCTATAAGGCACTTAATAAAGTATAGCAATTATTATGTTAAGTAACATAAATCAAGTCAATTTGCCGTCATTCATTTGTGATAAGTTGCTGTTTGCTTTCTGTTGATAGCAAGTTGACATTTCTAGCTGAAGTTAAAAGCTTCACAGGTTTTATAAAGATTGCATTTAATTGCATAAAATGTGAAGAATTTTGACCTGAATAAAAATATGTACTCGTTGTGTTCTTTCCAGCTCCAAGCCTTCCAACCATTTTTCATTTTTTTGAATCTTCCCTACTCTGTTATCAGAGGTGAAGAATTTGCTTTGGAAATAACTATATTCAATTATTTGAAAGATGCCACTGAGGTAATGTATTCAAGCTTTTGTTGATCATTTACACTACAGGAGAAAATCGAGGTAGCATGAAGGGATTGGGTTGTGTAGTATCTGGGCATTTGGGATTCTAAGCACTTTATACATTTCTGGGAGGCTGAAAATAGACATGTCTTGTCAGTGATTTCTTCTGCTAATTAATGTCTAAGGATATCATTAGCATGTCTACACATTACCTCCTTGAATTTTCAGCATAGGTTTTCCTCTTTTGCCATGTAAGTTCCTTATTGTCTCTGAAGCATGCCTTTCTCTTTCCTGCCTCCCTGCATTTTCCCCTGGTTTTCCCCACATCTAGAATGTGTGGCCACTTCTCACTGCCACTCTGTGCCCACTGCAGTTTTGTTTTTTTTTTTTTTTTGAGACATGGTCTTGCTCTGTTGCCCAGGCTGGAGTGCAGTGGCGTGATCTCGGCTCACTGCAACTTCCACCTCACAGGTTCAAGTGATTCTCCTGCCTCAGCCTCCGAGTAGCTGGGATTACAAGGGTGCACCACCACGCCCAGCTAATTTTTGTGTTTTTCATAGAGACAGAGTGTTGCCATGTTGGCCAGGCGGGTCTTGATCAAGTGATCTGCCTGCCTTGGCCTCCCAAAGTACTGGCATTACAGGCATGAGCCACTGCACCCGACTGCCATTCTGTTATGTTTGTAGCCCCCATGTTTATATTTTCAAGGATTCACTATTGGATTCACGTACCTTGTATCTCCTTAGCTAGTCATTTCCCTGGGAGGCAGGAATTAGGTTCACTGTTTGTGTTGTGCCCACAGTATGTTAACCAAGTGACTGATTTTTCTTCCCCCAGAATAAGTAGAGATACGTAATTAACTTTATTACATGGATGAAAATGACATGATATCTTTAGGCACTTTATATATAATTTTTTTTAATTTAAATTTTAATTTTTTAAGCTTTTTATTGGCATATTTGGCTGACAAAGTGGGAAGTAAATTTTTTTAATTTTTTAATTTTACTTTTTAACCCAGTTATCATGGTACCATGTAACAAGCAAAAGATCTAGAGTCTAAAGGCCTGGATTCAATGTTTAATCTACCACTTACCAGCAAATGACTTAATTGTAGTTTCCTCATCTGTAAAATGGAAATGATAATTATTACACCCACAAAAGATACCTTGAGAAGCAGATGAAAACATCAATGGGAAAATAATTCGTAAAATTTAAGGCCTAGATAAATGCTATTATTGATGAGACTTGCAACTTTGGGATAATTTACAAAAGTTTACAACCAAGATATGCTTCAGGACTAATATCTGAGTTGTACTTTCCTTGGAATAATTTTTTACAGAGACTTCAATAAATTCAATAACATTTCATGCTGTTTTCTTCAAATTTTTCTAATGAGACCAGTATGTTCCAGGATGACATAGTTAAATCAAGCTAGTAGTAATATCAATATATGAAATAGCCTTTCTGTGCACATCCTTACCATCTAATGGCTTCAGATAGTGAGAGAATTTAAAGTTAGTGGGAGGACTAGAAATGGGGCTGAAGATCGCCCTTTCCCCATGTATCTTGAGGTTGAGGGGAAAGCATAGAAAAGAAATGAAGTTTTTCCTGATACTCTTTGATACTCTCCTTGGTCGAATCTTTGTCTCATCTTTTCGCTAGTCTTGAGCCTCACAGATTTGACAGTACTTAAACTGGTGATAAAAGAGCACTTTACTGAAGAGCATCTATTATACAAAAGCTTTGATTTATTTTTTTCTTTCAGGTTAAGGTAATCATTGAGAAAAGTGACAAATTTGATATTCTAATGACTTCAAATGAAATAAATGCCACAGGCCACCAGCAGACCCTTCTGGTTCCCAGTGAGGATGGGGCAACTGTTCTTTTTCCCATCAGGCCAACACATCTGGGAGAAATTCCTATCACAGTCACAGCTCTTTCACCCACTGCTTCTGATGCTGTCACCCAGATGATTTTAGTAAAGGTAAATATTTGATGTCTGAAAGAAGTGAAATGGAAATACGTAATTAAAAAGGAAGCAGAAGGTTTTTTCTCTTGGTTAAATTTGTTGGCATATCTAGTAGGTCATCTTCTTTACCCTTCTGGTAATGCCTAATCACTTTCTAATCTGTATGTAAAAATAAATCATTTAGAAATAATTGCCAATTTCCTCTTTAAATTTAGTCAGGAATGTGACTATAAAGACTAACGTCTCTTTTGCAGTCATTTACATCTACAGACTGTGTTACGTTGGGATCCTATTAAAACACGGCCAAGTCGATTTGTAGATTTGGAATTTTGGAATTTTTCAGTGAAGGTAAAAGAGATTTTGTAGATTTTTTTCAGAGAAGACATTCTAGACAGAAAGATAATGAGCATAGTGGATAAACACTTGTATTCTGGGGTGAGGCAACCCTGTGTTTGAATCTCAGCTCTGCCAAGTGTGATTTTGAACAAGGCATTTAATCTCCCCCTCTTTGGATAATAATAGGAACTACCTCAAAGGGTTTTTTTCCTTACATTTTCATCTTCTTCTTTGTCATTTTCAAGGCCAGTCCATGAGATGCCTTATCTAATTTAACTAGAACTTACTAACAGATTTGAAGTAAGAATAACAAAATGGTACGCGCTGTGTCATCAGATTTAATTCATTTCCATGGAAATGGTGCCTATTAAGTGTAAATCCTGTGAAAAACACGTTTCAGTTAATGAAGGGTACTGTACTTAGTGAGAAAATCTAAAAGGAAAAATTAATCAAAGTTATGGTAATTTTTTGTAATACAGACTAACAAGAAAAACTCATTCTGTGAAATGAATGTATTACTTGTTTAAATAAAATATCTAATTTAAAGAAAACAAAATAAGAAATGATAGGTGCCTATTTAGCCACACACAAACCTCAGACACAACAGGTCAGATGTTTGTGCTCATATCTGCGTATAGTTCTCTGTAAACATGTGAGTAGAGACCATGTTAATTGTGTTCATTTTTTTCAACAGGCTGAAGGAATAGAAAAATCATATTCACAATCCATCTTATTAGACTTGACTGACAATAGGCTACAGAGTACCCTGAAAACTTTGAGTTTCTCATTTCCTCCTAATACAGTGACTGGCAGTGAAAGAGTTCAGATCACTGCAATTGGTAAGAATAGAGTATATCACCATCTATTGGTTTAATTGTATATGATCATATATGTTGTTCTTGTAATTATAGATGTATTTTCTTATTGAGTCCTAATAAGAAGAGATGGCAAAAGTTTTTAATTGGGCCCAACAACTCATTATAATATGAAGGCTAGCAAATTATGTATCCTAAAACTGTTCTCAATCTTCAATGTGCATAAGAATCACCTGGGAGTCTTGTTTAAAAGCAAATTCTGGTTTAGTAGGTCTGGAGTGGGGCCTGGGAATCTGCTTTTCTAACAAGCTCCTAGGTGTTGGTGATACTCTGGCTTGTAGACCACACTTTGAGTAGCAAGGCCTCACTATACTGTGGCTGGAGGGAGGGTTCATTCCTAAGAGCAGAGCTTCTGGCTTCTGTGGCTCTCCACCACTGGTGAATATCAGAATCTTCTAAGGAGCTCTGTAAATACAGAAACATCTGGGTTCTACTCTAAACCTACTAAGTCAGAATCACTTGGGCTATGGCTTGGTCATGTATATCTTAAAAAACTTTCACAAGTGATTCTGATAACCAAAGGTTGAGTACTCCTCCCTAGGGCAGTTCTCTGTGCAGGATATGAGTAACCTTTACAGTAGGAAGTTACTCACTGACTTCGGTCGCCTCTCCTAGTTACTTTCCATAACATAATAGTACTTTTCAAAAATTGGCAATTTATAATTGTATAAATTTATGGGATACAAAGTGATATTATGGCTTATGAATGCAATGTGGAATAACTAAATCAAGCTGGTTGACGTAGTCATCACCTCAAATACTTAACTGTTTTTTTTTGTGGGAAGAACATTTGAAATTTGCTGTCTGAGCATTTTTTTTTTTTGAGGCGGAGTCTCGCTCTGTCGCCCAGGCTGGAGTGCAGTGGCGCGAACTTGGCTCACTGCAAGCTCTGCTTCCCAGGTTCACGCCATTCTCCTGCCACAGCCTCCCGAGTAGTTGGGACTACAGGCACCCGCCACCATGCCTGGCTAATTTTTTTTTTTTGTATTTTTTAGTAGAGATGGGGTTTCACCATGTTAGCCAGGATGGTCTCCATCTCCTGACTTCATGATCCACCCGCCTCGGCCTCCCAAAGTGCTGGGATTACAGGCGTGAGCCACCGCGCCCGGCCTTTTTTTTTTTTTTTTCCTTTGATGGAGTCTTGCTCTGTCTCCCAGGCTAGAGTGCAGTGGCAGGATCTTGGCTCACTGCAACCTCTGCCTCTTGGGGTTCAAGCGAGTCTCCTGCCTCAGCCTCCTGAGTAGCTGGAATTACAGGCACGTGCCACCACACCCAGCTAGTTTTTGTAGTTTTAGTAGAGATGGGCTTTTGCAGTGTTGGCCAGGCTGGTCTCGAACCCCTGACCCAAAGTGCTGGGATTACAGGTGTGAGCCATGGCACTCAGCCTTTCTTAGCAATTTGGAAATTTACAATACTCTTGTTATTAACTATATTTACCATGCTAAAAGTCCTTTTTTTTTTTTTGAGATGGAGTCTTTCTCTGTAGCCCAGGCTGGAGTGCAGTGGTGTGATCTCGGTTTACTGCAACCACCGCCTACTGGGTTTAAGCAGTTCTTATACCTTGGCCTCCTATGAAGATGGGACTACAGGTGTGTGCCACCATGCCCGGCTAATTTTTTATATTTTCATTAGAGACGGGATTTCACCATGTTGGCCAGGCTGGTCTCAAACCCCTCACCTCAGGTGATCCACCCACCTCAGCCTCCCAAAGTGCCAGGATTACAGGCATGAGCCATTGCGCCCAGCCTAAAAGTACTTTTTAATTAGACATAGTGTCTACACAAATGGTGTTATTAATCAGGGTTCTCCAGAGAAACAGAACCAATAGGAGATACTTACATATAAAAGGAGGTTTATTATGAGGAATTGGCTCATGCAATTATGGAGGCTGAGAAGTCCCATGATCTGCTTTTGCAAGCTGGAGACCCAGGAAGGCTGGTAGTACTCACTCTGAGTCCAAAGGCCTGTGAAGCAGAGGAGCTGATGATGTAAATCCCAGTCCTAGGAGAAGATGAGATGAGATGTCTGAGCTCAAGTAGTGAGGCAGGAAAAAAAGGGTGAATTCCTCCTTCCTCAAGCTTTTGTCTATTCAGGCTGTCAGTGGATTGGATGGTGCCCACACACACTGGGGAGGACAATCTGCTGGACCCAGTCCACCAATTCAAATGCTAATGTCATCTAGAAACACCCTCACAGACACTCAGAAGCAATGCTTAATCTAGGCACCCCTTGGCTCACTTAAGTTGACACACAAAATTAACCCTCACAAATGGTTTGTTTATATAGTTGTGCTTTACAAATAACTGAAGAAAACATTTTAATTAATGACGTCTAATAGTTTGTTAGGTCTTTAAGGTGTTAGGACCTAAAACACTTTTTTACAGTTCTTTTATATTTCACTGGCAGATGTAATGCTTTTTTATTATAACCCAAACAACCAATCCATAGGCAGAGGACTTTATTTGGAGGCATATATATACATACATACATATATATATATATATATATATATATATATATATATATATACACACACACACATACATATATATATATATATATATATATATATAATTTTTTTTTGGAAGAGGCAGGGTTTAGCTATGTTTGCCCCAGGCTGGACTTGAACTTCTTGAACTTCTGAGCTCATGTAGTCCTCCTGCATCAGCCCCTTGCATAACTGGGACTACAGGCATGCACCACTGTGCCTGGCCAATTCTTAAAAGGAATTAAATAAGCTCTCTATTTAGGGGAATAAATTCTGCTTAAGCATCTCCCACAGTGTTGGGATGCTGGGACATGCACTACACATACATACACACACACACACGCACACATATACACAGAGGGAAGGAGCCTGGCTTTTTAAATATGTACCATCACTCCTTACACAGGAACGATTCTGTCTGTCGTCATGGAAATACCCCGAGGCTTAATTTTTATGCTTGATGTAAAGAACGGATTTTCAAGTTTTATTTTTACATGTTGTTTTAAAGACCTATTTTGTATCCCAGAATGTACGAATTTTAGCTTGCTTCTTTGAACTTTGATAGTCTATGTTCACTTTGAATATTAAACACATAGCCTGCAGTGGTAATAATATAACCTCTATTTTTTTCTTTGTATTCACATCTAAAATTTAAGCTATACTGGCACAGCTTCAGTCTATTCATATGAAACAGGTTCTTTTCCCTTTTTTTTCATATTCATTTTTTAGGATCACATTTTCACTAGGTATTTGGACTTGGCTTGGTATAAGTTTTCAAAATAAACTACATAGAAAGATACTCTTATCTATACAGCTTAACAATGGCAGGGCCAAAATTAGAACTCAGCCTTCATATTTCTGAATTTTTGCTACTTTCCCTGAGTTGTGGTGTTAGGATGTGGGTAGAGGGTTTTTAAAGCATGTGTTTTGTTTAATTTTAGATTACTAACTTTGAATCCTTTTCCGAATCCTTTTGATCCTGAGATTAATTGAAATACTTATATTTGTTGTTACTAAACAGAACACATTGGAAAACACTACAATCCTCATTGTTTTTTTAAAAAATTATTTCTCAAGTTCTTGTGGTGTATTAGTAAGAAATAAGAATAAAATTTTGTTTGCGTGAAGAATACTACTAATAAAATGTTTCTTTCCTGTATGAGTGATGGTGTCTTACTGATCAATTCTGTACATTTTTTTAAAGATTTTTAAAAAAATTATTTTTTGCCTAATTTATGCCACATGCTTAACTGAGCTAAAAATGTCCTCTTTCATCACATGACCTACAAGTTCAGTACCAGAGCATTGTTATTTTTTTGACCAGTCTTCCTAAAAGCTTGGTGTAAAGTTCCAACTCTGTTCCAAGCAGTGGAATAATGATATTGCTTCAATGACAGAGGTCTTCTGTACTCAGTGGAAGTCTCTTTGCCACCAGCAGGTCGTTGTTACTGAGTATTTACTGAATGAACTGCATGTCTTGTGCTTCCAGGAGATGTTCTTGGTCCTTCCATCAATGGCTTAGCCTCATTGATTCGGATGCCTTATGGCTGTGGTGAACAGAACATGATAAATTTTGCTCCAAATATTTACATTTTGGATTATCTGACTAAAAAGAAACAACTGACAGATAATTTGAAAGAAAAAGCTCTTTCATTTATGAGGCAAGGTAAGCATTTTAGAGACCTACATTTGTTCGTAGAAAAAAATTTGTTTTTTTCAGGTAGGGTTCATTCTAGACCATATTTCAAAATAGATGGATTTTGTCTTAGGTAAGTGATGGGCTACACGGTGTTGACATGTGCAGGAAGTGCAAACAATGGAAAGCTGTTACAATTCTTCCTTTAGCTAACTATTCACTCACTGCTGCTAAGATGTTTGTTAGTAATGGCTTAAGAGTTAGTTTCTGGTGGGAGGGCTTGTATTATACTAAGGGATCTGAAATTTAAAACTCTTTAAAAATCTAGAGGAATACTCATTCATTTTATTACACATTTGTGGAGTGTTTCTTAGTGCCAGGATCAGTTTTCGTGCCAAGAAAACAGAGGGAGCCAGGGCCTCTCTTCTTAAAGAATTCGCTGCTCAATGGAGAAGATGGTTTGTATGTAAACAGACGCAGTGCCGTGTGGTGGGGACCTTCTCAGTGCATTTAAAATGATGAGGAGGACCTGCTGGACCCTGAGGAAATGTCATGCTAGTGAAGACTGTATCTTGACACCTTGAAAGGTGGAAACTGTTCACAGGCACCAGATCCTTTGTTTTGGCAACTTGTTAATAACAGCAGCTAACATGAGTTGAGTGTGCACTGTGTGGCAGGCAGTGTTCTAAACACTTTACATCTCATACCTCATTGGAGGCTCACCATTAGTATTAGCATGATCCTGTTTTTTTGCAGATGAGGAAGCTGAGGTGCAGAAAAGTTAGCTAACTTGCCCAGGGTCATATAGTCATACAGAGCTTGGATTTGGACTCTGAGCCTATGCTCTTGACATCCATACCTAGGAGGAAACAAAGAGATGTGAGACACGTTTGATGTTAATAGTAAAGTAAATTTGATTTTCTGAAATACTCCAAAAGCTTACCAAAGTTACAGTCTCAGTTTTGTATTTCCTTATTAGTGGACCTCTAGCACAAACTCTCTGTGGCTGAGTTTTTCTCTCTGCACAATTTGTATGATATATCCCGTCCATCAAATTCATGAGGATTAGAAGGGTTCACACAAACTGATTAAAAATGAGGATTCACTATAATCTAAGAGAAATATAGTTCAACGCTTTCCAACTCCTAATTTTTTTAGTTTTTGTTTTTTTATAACAAATGGATTAAATGAAAAGTAGGGGCAAGCTATTAATTGATTGCTAATTTCTCCATAGGAGAATTAGAAAACTCAGTAAAGACGCCATTGTAATGTGAGCTTTTCTTCCAGGTTCCATTATTGTGTAGAGACCTTTTTATTCTAAAATAATTCTATGTAATGACAGTAATAACAACTAAATCTGTTTAAATGTTTTATGCATGTTTCATTTAATTCTCACAAAAACTCTAGGAGCAGGTGTCCTATTATTATTTCCATTTTATAGATGAGGAAATTGAGGCACAGAGAGGTTAAAGAATTTACCCATGGTGGTCTGGTTCCACCGTCCACCTTGTTCCTCAGAACACTATGGGATAATTCTGATTTGCAGTGTTCTCTGGTTTTTAGAAGCAATGGGATATGATGGAAAGGACCAGGAATCGGGACGGGATGCTTGAGTATCACCACCGTGTAAGAAGTCTCACTGGAGGTTTTGATAAAATATTAAGGGAGGAACATGGGGTCCTGTAGAGAAGGAGGCACCAAAGGTTAGAATATGGGGTGTCAGATTAGACTGAAGTAAGCTGTAAGGTGTTGGGTTTAAGTAGATGAGCTGGAGTCAGTGTCTGAAGATCTCCCTGGGATAGGATGGCACAGACAAAGGCTGAATGGGAGTCAAGGGGTTGCGGGTCAGGAACAATGCAGTGTATGAGATCACAAACCAAGGGAGACCAGCGTTTAGAATCAGGGCTGAGTGTGGCCTGAGTTCTGATGTGGGGAAGGACATAGTGGTATATTTTCCCTTAGATTAGGGCCAGACCATGCAGACACTATGACCGGCCCTGAAATGCACCAGGTGGTTAGGTCCTCTGGGATATTTGTAGAGATCCAGCAGTTGGAATTTCCTGTATAGAGTTGCCCATGTAAAATTATCCCTGTTTATACACATTTGTGGATTGGTCGTGTTTTAAATATATACGTACAAGAATAACCTTTGTCAAATTTTATTATAATTAAATTTAAGTGGTACCAAGTGGTCTCTGTGGTATATTGTGTGCCATGCTAAACACAAATGAGATCTTTACACATTGGCATAATGGCTGTAATTAAGGAGATAAGTAAAAATTATTTGGGATTGTCATGAATGAACGTTGTACCTTTTGAAAACAAGATTCCAATTTGTATTCAAGATTTAGTTTTTCTGGTTTGAAGTAGAAACTACATAGGAATTAGACTGGTGCTTTATAATTTGGCATACATTCTTTGGGATAGTTTAATACAATAAGGTAAAATATTTCAGAAAATGCCACATATAACTCCATATTTACATATGCTTTATGAACTGTAACTCTGGCTAATCAAATATTAATGCTTTAAACAGAAAGCATAAATTTTACATAGCTTGAAACATGTAAGCAGTGAAAACTCATTCCTTAAAAATAATTTCAGTGTGTGTCCTAGATACTTTTGCTGTGGATCAGCAGCCATCCTACAAAATGAATGGTCCAAATCCTCAGTATCTGTTGTTTTCCCAAAGCAGTGCTAGTCCCTCAGGTCAGTCCTGGCCAGGTAGGTGGCCAAACTGTAGTTTTTCAAAGTAACCCAGAAAGGGTCTCTACTGATTGCCTGAGATCCCTCCTCACATCTGTTGGTTGTTAGAAGGTACAGTGGCCAGAGTGCAAAAAAAGCATCGTTCTCTAAATGCCAAGCAGTCCTCCCAAGTGTTAAGAATGCCGAGCGCTACAGCTGTAAGTAGGCGAGTTTCCCCTTGGGAGGAAGTAGATCAGGGGCATAGCACTGGCTGTGGAGGCAGTCACACCTGGGCTTGAGTCCTGGCTCCCACCTTGGAACAGGTTCTTAGTGTCTCCAAGGCTTGGTTTTTTTACCTGGAAGACAGGGATAATAAAAGAACCCACTTAGTAGGGTTGTTTTTAGGAGTCAGTGAGAATAAAAGAACCCACGTGGTAGGGTTGTTTTGAGGAGTCAGTGAGATATGTCAGCATTTTATTCAACACGTAGTAAGTGCACAACAAATATCAGCTATAGTAGAATTAGTTGCCTCTAACTAGGGAGTTAGAGGTTAATGTCAGTGAATAAATCCTGTCCATTCTCCCTCTAAAAACCTGTATGAAATTCTTCTATTTCTCTCCATCCCACTGCTAATTGTTCCATTCAAGCATGATTGCTCACTGGACTACTCCAATGGCTTCCTGACTAGTCTTTTTCTGTGTTCCCTCCCCTTCAGTACATTCTCCATATAATGTAAAAGGGATCTTAGAAAATGTCAAGATCCTGTCACTTGCTTGCTTATGATCCTGCAGTGGGCTCCCGGCTTCAGCCTACAGGGTCCTGGGTGATCTGGCTTGGCCTCCCTCCTTAGCCTCATCTGGAGCTGGCTGTATCTGGAACACTCTGAGCTCCATGCTGCTTCAGGGACATGATGCTTTCCCTTCCTTCTCCTGGCATGCTTTCTCCCTAGGTCTTTCCATGGCTGCTCCTTTTCATCATTCAGTTGATGTTTGCCTCAGAGTGGCCTTCCCTGACCACTTAGTAACTCCAATTTGTACTACTCCATTTTATTTCTTCACTTAACATTATTTAAAATTATCCTGTCCATCATCTGTCCTGGCATTTAGAGGGGGAGCTCTGTGACAGTGGGGACCATGTTTGACCTTCATTGTATAGCTATGTGGGCATCTCAATAAATCCAGAATGGGCGAATAACTTATTACCAATATTAACTTTTTTGGACTTTAGGTCCATCATCCTAATGTGGATATTGGGTCCAGAAGATCTCTGAAGCGCCCCCACAGTGTAGCATGATGATCTCTGGGCACTAATGGGTCGACCTGGCCTTGGCATTCTCTTAGCAGCTAAGAAATGTGACCAGTGATTTCCATGTGCTACTCTTTTTGCTGGTGAAGTGGCTGGTGAAAGTCAGCACAGTGGAGCTCCCCAAAAATACATCATCTCACATGCTGAACTAAATTATATTTCAAAGTAGTGGACGAAAGCTTCTTGGTATAATGCTTTTCATTATGAAATCAGTGTCTCATTTCAGAGACTCTCTTTTTTCTTTTGCCATCACATTTGCCAAAGTCCTTTAAATATACTGTAGTTGTTTTTATTTTTTAAGAAATTAAAGTGGCTTCAGCGTGAGTCATGATTATATTATTTAAATGTCATTTATGAACAGCGCATTGTTTTACTTAAATCATGCTTGGCCCAGGAGTTCTGTAACCTAACCCATTATTTTGTTGGTCGAAACAACAGCTACATCATTGAATGAAGTGTCTTTGCTGTCAAAAAGGAAAATGGAACCATAACATGAAAACTGTTTTTGATAAGGACTGGAAATCCAGAACCTGTTAATTGAAGATTTAAACCATTTGTTTTCCTCAGATATTTAAATCACAGTGCCTGCAGTTCAACTTTTTAAAGTGAGACTCAAACCAAGTCTAATTGAAAACACTATATTTCCTCCATTGAAATAAAAATAAGAGAAAGAAAGCTTCAGAATTCGGATGTTGCCATTGGTCACAAGTATGGCTAGTGGCCATAGCTTAAAAAACTGTGATGTTCTCACTTTCCATTTCATGTCATAGAAAGTAAACAAATTCATAATGATTTCTTTTAATACAGAGAATTTTTTTTATCAGCTTATTACCAGAGAAAATTCTTGAAATAGTCACAAATAGCCGACTTTACTTCCTTTATTTACATGTAATTTTGACACGAGGTAAATCAAGTCAAACTATGTTTAGAATGTTACTTTTTCATTGTTTGTGAGCAGTATTTTTATCTTTATTATAATAAATTTTGAAATTTTACATTCATGGTTATCCCAAAGAAAATTCATAACCCAGAACAGGATGTGTCTTATCTGGCCCTTTATGAAGGGCTCATGGGTTTTTATCTTAAGAGCCTCTGGACTTCTTCTGCATTTCAATTTTCAGAAGTCTATGAAAGTTCTGAGCATATGATTACTTTTCAAACTCAAGAGCCATTCCTAAAATGATTAACTTAAAGGTGATACTCTTATTTCTTCATAAACTTTTGGAGAGAGCTATGTTTTTGCTTTTCTCGTCTGTTGTGATGCAGAGTCTCCAACTTAGATGACTGCACTGGAAGGCTGAGTTGTTGTATTAACAACAAACATTATAGACGAGTCATCAGTGTCCTGTTTTTTTTTTTTTCTTTTTTTTGTGATGGAGTCTTGCTCTGTCATCCAGTCTGGAGTACAGTGGTACGATCTTGGCTCACTGCAACCTCCGCCTCCCAGGTTCAAGCGATTCTCCTGCTTCAGCCTCCCGAGTAGCTGGGACTACAGGTGTGTGCCACCACACCTGGCTAATTTTTGTATTTTTAGTAGAGACGGGACTTTGCCGTATTAGCCAGGCTGGTTTCAAACTCCTGTCCTCAGGTAATCCACCCGCCTTGGCCTCCCAAAGTGCTGGGATTATAGGCATGAGCCACTGTGCCTGGACCTGTTTTGTTTATGGGATGGAAATTAGGCCTGATACACTGGGACGATTTGGAGGACAGTCGAGGGATCCACAATGATGCATGCTGGTTTAAGATGAGGAAGGAAACCTCACAGGACACTCCCACAAGGAGACATACAAGTTCTCTCCAGGTTGTGAATTTCTCCCTTACTTTTCCATGGGAGCAGAGCTGGTGGTTTGGATTCTCGGTGTTATCTAAGCCTGCTCAAGAAATTCACTGCAAAACTGGTGATTGTCTGTGGCCTCTTCTCTGGGCTGGCTGCCTCTAGTGGAAGAATGGTGCTAGTTGTTGATATTAATGGGGAATGTTGGAGGTCAGCCACCTGAGGGGTAATTTCCATAAGCACTGATCTCATCTCCATGATCTCATCTCTGACCAGTTTCACAATATCTCATACTTGGAACTGCCGTTGTTGATGTGATCTGGGGGTGTGGAGGCACATGGTCCTCTCCTTGAGGTTGGTCTTTCTGTCACAAAAGTACCTCAAACTTTTGTGTAGGGATTGAGGGCCTCAAACCTATTTTCTTTTTTCTTCTTCCCTCTCCTCTCCTTCTCCTCTCTTCTTTCCTTTTCCTCTTTTTTCTTAGGTTGAATTCATAGTTAAACTCTGGCTATCTGGAGAATTTAGTCCTTAATTAAAAATTGAGGGAGAATGTCCTGGACTCTCTTGCTGATTTCTTTTGTGAACATTAATTATTTTGCTTCTCTGTGATCCCTGGCTGCCTCTGAAAAATGAGATAATATACTGCATTTTTAAAGGTTATGTGAAAACTAAAACATGATAAAATGAACTAGAGTAGTGATAATGCCTATCATTTAATTTTTTCCACTTTTGTTTATGTTTTGAACATGTAGAACATTAACATGCTTCCAAAAGACAAACTTATTTTGAGACATATATTCAAAAGAGTGTCTCTTCTTCCCCTTTTCTTTCTCCCTACCTCTCATTGGTAACTATATCAGGCGGTTCTTGCATTACTATAAAGAAATACCCGAGTCTGGGTAATTTATAAGGAAAGAGGTTTAATTGGCTCATGATTCTGCAGGCTGTGCAGGAAGCATAGCGCCGGCATTTCCCCCTAGGAAGGTCTCAGGAAGCTTACAGTTGTGGCAGAAGGTGAACTGGGAACAGGCACATCACATGGTGAAAACAAGGACAAGAGAGACAGTGTTGTGGGGAGGTGCCACACACTTTTAAATGACCAGATCTTACAGTAACTCACTCACTATCTCAAGGACAGCACCAAGATCCAGTCACCTCCCACTGGGCCTTACCTCCAACATTGAGGATTATAATTGAACATGAGATTTGTGTGGGGACAAATATACCAGTAACCTACTTCATTAGTTTCTAGACTATCTTTTCTCTCTCTCCTTTTGCGAAAATAAATGTATACATATATGTTTTCTCATTTCCCCCCGCAATTTTTTTTTTTTTTTTAAAGACAGGGTGTCTCCCTTTGCCCAGGCTGAAGTGCAGTGGCACAATCATGGTTCACTGCAGCCTTGACTTACTGGGCTCAGGTGATTCTCCCACTTCAGCCTTCTGAACAGGTGGGACTACAGGCACATGCCACCATGCTAATTTTTTTTTTGTATTTTTGTAGAGACAGGCTTTTGTCATATTGCCCAGGCTGGTCTCAAACTCCTAGGCTCAAGTGATCCACTCGCCTTGGCCTCCCAAAGTGCTGAACCTTGGCAATAGGTGAACCTTGGCGCCTCGCCTCATTTCCCCTTTTTATTACACAGAAGATAGTATATCTATATGTACTATTTTACACTTTGCCTTTTTCACTTAACAGTGTATCCAGGAAATTACTCTGCATCAGTTGACCGAGATATTCCTCATTCTTTTTTTCACAGCTGCATAGTACTCTGTCATGTGTGTGTACCATAGTTTATTCAATCAGTCTCCAGTTTTGGGGCACTAAGATTGTTTCCATTATGTTACAATTACAGATGATGCTGTAATGAATAATCTTCTGCGTATATATTTTTGTATTGTTGGAGGTGTGTCTTCAGGGTAGATTCCTAGAACTGGGATTACTGGGTCAGAGGGTAAAGACATTCCCCTACATGGTAGTTGTAACCTTCTGAATTCCCTCTAGCAGTGGATCAGTGCTGGTTTCCATACAGCTCACCCAACAGAAGGAGTGGTCAGACTTTTGAATCTTAATGCTAATCTGATGGGAGAGAAATGGTATCTCAGTGTAGGTTTAATTTGAGTTTCTCCTGTTATGAAGTTGAATGTGTTTTCTATATTAAGATTTGTTTTTATATTTTTGTCTTTTGTGACTTATCTGTTTTGCCTTTTATTCACTTATTTTTATAGGGCTTTTTATCCTTTACCCTAATTTTTAAAAAGTTCTTTATATATGTATATACATGTAAGTAATAACATATAAACATACATAAAAATTACATAATATTGATATTAGCTATTTATCCATCTTATATGTTGCAAATATGGTCTTAATTTATTTGTTAAGCCTTGCTTATAGTGTGTTTTGCCTTGGAATAGTTTAAAAACTTTAAAAAAATAGTCAAATGCATCAATTTTTTTATTTTATTGCATCTGGTGCTTAGAGAGCCTTCCTCTACACCTATATTAGAGAGTAATGCCTATTGTTTGTTGAGAGCTTTCCATGTAAAAGGTACTTACTGAAGTCTTTTCTTCTTTTATCATGTTTAATAATTGGAAGAGCTCTGTGATTTACTAGGAGACAGTGGCCTTGGAGCCAGTGAGAAGTTGGCTAATGCCCAACTTCACTCCCTGTTAGCTGTGTGACCATGCACATGGTATCTGTATCCGCTGAGTTTCAGTCTCATTATCTGTGAAAAAGGGAATAATAATAGCATCTATGTCAGAGGGTCCTTGTGAGAATTACCTGAGTTAATCCTGCAAAGGACTTTGAACAGTTCCTGACATCTAATGAGTGCTGAATGAAAGTTGGCTAATTACTGCACCGTAATAATTCAATTAGAAACATAAAGGTATAATCTAATGTTCCCTTCTTCAAATTAAGCAAAGTTTTGTCATCACTTTAAATGTTTATATTTCTTTTACCATAAGTCTTAAATATCACCATGAAACAGAGTATCTTGTTTTCTTTTTTTCTTTATGCATTTTGTTTTATTGTAACTTAAATCAGATACTTAAATCTAGGGTTTCTTTTGGAAAGACTCAGGGAGAAGTTTGGGACTTGAAGGTGAGAACACATTAACTGTAATTTCAAACCATTAATGCTTATGTTTAGTTAGTCAAATATGAATTTTACTTATAGTTCTGGATGCTTCTAAAATATGGTATTTATAAAGTCAAATTTGTTTATTACTGCAGTTTACTGGGGAAGGATTTCAACATTTCACAAATGAGTATGGTTGCCAAGCTTTGCCATGTCTGTGCTGCAAAGCTCAGGCTGTGTGCCCTTACCTGCTAATAGTGGAATTGTGTAATTTTTAGAAGGATTTTTGGCTATCAGAGAGTCATTGATAATGCCTTGAGCTGGAAATGTTCCTGCTAATGGTTGCTTTTTTAGTGATAAGTTATTGCTATCTTAACTTTATTTTTAGCAAGTTAGTTTATTGTGGGTTGTTTGGTGAATCCTTTAGAGTTTGGCCTATGTTTTCTCACACTGGACTTTGAGATCTGTATGCATTGCTTTGCAAATATGAAACATCTGCTTTTTATTTGCAATCATTTATTTGTAACTATTTGCAAATATGACACATTTGCTTTTATTAATGCAGATACGTGAGCCTTAACCCCCTACCTAATTTACTTCTGTAATGATACTTCATTGCCACCACTGAGCATGTGTATATGTGTGTGTGTGTGTGTGTGTGTGTGTGTGTGTATATATATATATATATTTTTTTTTTTTTTTTTTTTTTTAGTGGAAACATGGAATTGGTGGGTAGGCAGGCAAGTTGGTTTTTTGGTTTACCTCAGTTGGCCATGGCCCCAAAATTTAAGAGCCACCGTTTTAGATTATTTTGCATTTCCTCCTCTGTATTGCTGGTCTAAGAATAGAAAATACTTTTATTTTCTACTTTGGCCTTAAACTTAAATTAATGATACCCTACATAGTATTTTTCTTCTGTAGCAAACAGTGCTAGATGACTAAGCATTGAAACAATTTTGATGAACACTAGACAGTTAAATAAAAGTCTGCCTTTAATTTGCTTGCTTTTGAATGGCTAGAAGCATCATCTATGCCATAGTGATCTTTTAATTTACTTTAATTTGGGATATCACAGGCTTTTTTTTTTTTTTTTGAGATGGAATTTTATTTGCTCTTGTTGCCTAGGCTGGAGTGCAATGACGCAAATCTCGGCTCACTGCAACCTCTGCTTCCTGGGTTCAAGCGATTCTCCTGCCTCAGCCTCCCGAGTAGCTGGGATTACAGGCATGTGCCACCATGCCCGGCTACTTTTTGTATTTTTAATAGAGATGGGGTTTCACCATGTTGGTCAAGCTGGTCTCGAAGTCCTGACTTCAGGCAATCCACCTGCTTCGGCCTCCCAAAGCGCTGGGATTATAGGTGTGAGCCACTGCACCCGGCTGGGATATCACAGTTTTTATTTTATGCATTCTGCTTGAAAAGTCCTGGCATTTTAAATTTCCAACAGCACTTAAAATAGAAAGTACTCAATATTAGCTCTTGGTTTGATTTCTTCTTTCCCCCTCTCTGCCCATATTTCCTCAATATGAAGTCATAATTAGAAACTTTCATCCATTGCAAGTTAATGATTACTTTGACTATCTGTCTATTTTTGTGTCTAGGTTACCAGAGAGAACTTCTCTATCAGAGGGAAGATGGCTCTTTCAGTGCTTTTGGGAATTATGACCCTTCTGGGAGCACTTGGTAAGTGTTTTTGCCAACTGAACAAATCCGTGTCATGGAATGGGCTTTCACTAGGTCACAATAGCCACGAAATTGACAGATATATCTCTATATATTATAGACTGGGAGGTTGCTTTTTCCTTAGTCTGGCTTTAAAAAGAGATTTTCTTTTTAAAGTATTATTTTCAAACATTAACAAATCAAATGTTTTTATTTAGAAAAGATAAGTTATAAATCCTCTTTTTTGTGTGTGTGTGTGTGTGGAAGAAACAGAAATAAAAATACTTTATGATGATGGTGCAGCTGATAAAATCAGTTAGAAATGCCGGGTGATTGTGACACAGCTTTTTTCTTAATCTTCCATGACTAATACAAGTGTTGTGTTACTGCGGTCAATGTAGTTTAAGTTTGTGTGTGTGTGTGTGTGTGTGTAAAAAACAAACACTGATGGAATTAAGTATGAACAGCCAGTTTCCTCCAGACTGGAATCTCTATGTGGCTGATTTTGGATGATTAATCTCTCTTCTTGTACTTATCTTCAATTTCCTATTTTACTCAGAAAAAGATTGACTCACTGTATCAATCAGGATAGACTAGGAGTGCTGTGGTAACAACCAACCTACTCAATCTAAGCAATTAACAATGAAGGGATTTCTTGTTCATGCTGCCTTTCCATTGTGGTCAGCAGGGGGCTCTGCAGCTGCCAACGTGTCCACGTCTCCAAAAGGAGGCTCCAGGTTTGCCACAGCCCGGAAAGAGGAGGCTGGAGTCTATAGCACTGGCAATTAGAGACTTCATCCTGAGTGTATCATTTCTACTCATTTTATCCTTCTCAGAGCTGGTCACATGGCTATGCCTAACCTCACTGGGGCAGGAAAGTGAATTCCTCTGTGTAACCAAAGTAAAAGAGAACTGTATATTATTGAATATCAGTAATGTTTACCACATGAAACTTTATATAACATGAAACAGATCTGCTTCAAATTTTCTCTTGGCCTTGGCCTGACTCAGGATATAGAACCATAAATAGAAAGCTTTCAGTGTTGTATTGCTTGATGTTCTTTTTACCTCAGTATAGTGTTTTGTAGCAGGGACTGGCAAACTTTTCTGTAAAGGGTCAGATTGTAAGTATTTCAGGCATTTTGGGCCACGTAGAGTCTCCGTTGCATGCTCTTCCCTCTTCCTCCCTCTCCTCCCTCTTTCTTTCCTGTCTTTGTCTTTTTCTTTTCCTTCTTTTAAAACCCGCTCTTAGGTGGTGGTGTTGGCAGGTGGGGGCTGGGTTGGTGCACACATAAACAGGCCCTGGGCTGTATTTGGCTTGAGGGCCAGATTTGGGCCAGGCAGATTTGGCCCACAGGCTGCAGTTGGCTAACTCCCATTCTATAGGAGAGAAAAATATCATTTTCCCCACCTGAAGTACTACAGTTTGCTTGTGAACTATGTATGCATTCTTCACCCACAGCTTTGGGGCTGACTGAAGCGTGTTGGAGCTCTTCTTTGGTAAATATCTAGAACAGTCCAAAGATGAATAACCTTGGACAATTTATTTAACTCTCTTGGACTGTCAGATTCTCAGTCTACAAAATAATGGAGCTGGATTCAACAGACACATTAAAAAATGCTCATCATCACTGGCCATCAGAGAAATGTAAATCAAAACCACAATGAGATACCATCTCACACCAGTTAGAATGGCGATCATTATAAAGGCAGGAAACAACAGGTGCTGGAGAAGTTGTGGAGAGATAGGAATACTTTTACACTGTTGGTGGGACCATAAACTAGTTCAACCATTGTGGAAGACAGTGTGGTGATTCCTCAAGGATCTAGAACTAGAAATACCATTTGACCCAGCTGTGGGGAAAAGAAAGAGAGATCAGATTGTTACCGTGTCTGTGTAGAAAGAAGTAGACATAGGAGACTCCATTTTGTTCTGTACTAAGAAAAATTCTTCTGCCTTGAGATGCTGTTAATCTGTAACCTTACCCCCAACCCTGAGCTCTCTGAAACATGTGCTGTGTCAACTCAGGGTTAAAGAATTAAGTGCTGTGCTTTAGATATGCATACACATAAACATCTCAATGCCTTAAAGAGCAGTATTGCTGCCCGCATGTCCCACCTCCAGCCCTAAGGCAGGTTTCCCCTATCTCAGTAGATGGAACATACAATCGGATTTTATACCGAGACATTCCATTGCCCAGGGACGGGCAGGAGACAGATGCCTTCCTCTTATCTCAACTGCAAAGAGGTGTTCCTTCTGCTTATACTAATCCTCCTCAGCACAGACCCTTTACGGGTGTTGGGCTGGGGGACGGTCAGGTCTTTCCCTTCCCACGAGGCCACATTTCAGACTATCACATGGGGAGAAACCTTGGACAATACCTGGCTTTCCTAGGCAGAGGTCCCTGCAGCCTTCCGCAGTGTTTGTGTCCCTGGGTACTTGAGATTAGGGAGTGGTGATGACTCTTAACGAGCATGCTGCCTTCAAGCATCTGTTTAACAAGGCACATCTTACACAGCCCTTAATCCATTTAACCCTGAGTTGACACAGCACATGTTTCAGAGGGCACGGGGTTGGGGGTAAGGTTACAGATTAACAGCATCTCAAGGCAGAAGAATTTTTCTTAGTACAGAACAAAATGGAGTCTCCTATGTCTACTTCTTTCTACACAGACACAGCAACAATCTGATCTCTCTTTCTTTTCCCCACACCCAGCCATCCCATTACTGGGTATATACCCAAAGGATTATAAATCATGCTGCTATAAAGACACATGCACACGTATGTTTATTGCGGCACTATTCACAATAGCAAAGACTTGGAACCAGCCCAAATGTCCATCAATGATAGACTGGATTAAGAAAATGTGGCACATATACACCATGGAATACTATGCAGCCATAAAAAAGGATGAGTTCATGTCCTTTGTAGGGACATGGATGAAGCTGGAAACCATCATTCTCAGCAAACTATCGCAAGGACAAAAAACCAAACACCACATGTTCTCACTCATAGGTGGAAATTGAACAATGAGAACACTTGGACACAGGAAGGGGAACATTACACACCGGGACCTGTTGTGGGGTGGGGGGATGGGGGAGGGATAGCATTAGGAGACATACCTAATGTAAATGACGCGTTAATGGGTGCAGCACACCAACATGGCACATGTACACATATGTAACAAACCTGCACGTTGTGCACATGTACCCTAGAACTTAAAGTATAATAAATAAAAATAAAATAAAATAAAATTAAATTAAAAAATGGAGCTGGATTAGATCATTTCTAAATTCCTTTTCAAATCTGAGATTTTTGAGTCAACATGGAATTTCTTGGCCAAGCCCAAGTGGAAACCAGTTCTGCCTGCTAGAGAGAGTTGCTTACCTTGTCCCTTTGCTCTTTCTTTTTTGATTTTTTTCTTTCCTTGTTCCATCTTCAGTGATTCCCCCTTTGATGAATCTTCTGATGGGGGAAAAAGTGTTGTTGTTTTGCTTGCTCGGTGTTATTTGGTGGACCTTATAAAGTGTATTTTATGTAATTTTTTTCTCTTTTCATAAAGGTTGTCAGCTTTTGTTTTAAGATGTTTCCTTGAAGCCGATCCTTACATAGATATTGATCAGAATGTGTTACACAGAACATACACTTGGCTTAAAGGACATCAGAAATCCAACGGTGAATTTTGGGATCCAGGAAGAGTGATTCATAGTGAGCTTCAAGGTGGCAATAAAAGTCCAGTAACACTTACAGCCTATATTGTAACTTCTCTCCTGGGATATAGAAAGTATCAGGTATTTCGTATTTAATTTAATAAATGATAGATGGGAAATTCAAGGAAGGTAGGTCTTAATGGGTCAAATATGTGTGTGGAAACTTAACAAGTTGCAGCTTTACAACACATGTGAAATCTGAATTTGAGTACTCTTTTGCTTTGCATTTGTGGCCATGTTCCAAAATCTGAGAATAAAACATTAACCCACTCTTTCAGAATAACTAAGAGAATTCTAAAAATGCTTTTTAATGTATGTATTGTACTTGCTATTGGTAAGATAAGTCAATACATGTTTTATCATTGAAAAAGTTAATTTCTGAGGGGAAAGAAAATTATTTAAAATTTGACAATGTGTTCTAGCAAGTTTAGATTGCAAAGGATTTTTTACTTATAAAACATCATGGAACAGTTACAATATCTGTTAATTTAGTGCTGAGAACACCCATACCCTGAAAAGTGTGTTGAATGGGCATGGATGCCTGGATGAGAATGAGTATGCGTGGAAAGGTATGCTGACGAGCTTAAGTTTGCTCCAGAGCTGTCCTGGTGATTGATGCCTTTACTGCTTACTGCCTGCTGCATTTTATGAGATCACCAAAGTCATTCTCTTTATTAGGACCCCCACTATTTTCCTATTCTACTAGTAGGCATGTAGAAGCTAAACTTTTCCTGAACTTAGGGCCGCACTACCAGAGATCAAATATAAGAAATATATTTCTCAAGCAGTTTGCTGTTCTTATCTGAGTCTGTGATACTGAGTGGGAGAAACACTGGCAAAAGCTCTACTTTTTTCTTCTAGGGAATGACACCTGTTTACTTATAAAAACTGAAAAACAGTATTATTTTCAAAATGCATGGCAAATCTTTAAATGTCAATGATCATGGTTGATTTTCATTGCCTAGTACAAGGTCAGGTACTTCATAGACACTGAACTTATTTTTTAAATGCATGTTTCAAAGTACTTTTTGTTTCAGTATGTGGTAATGGGTTACTCTGAATAGTAAAAAACATACTTTTTTTCTTCCAAGCCTAACATTGATGTGCAAGAGTCTATCCATTTTTTGGAGTCTGAATTCAGTAGAGGAATTTCAGACAATTATACTCTAGCCCTTATAACTTATGCATTGTCATCAGTGGGGAGTCCTAAAGCGAAGGAAGCTTTGAATATGCTGACTTGGAGAGCAGAACAAGAAGGTAATGTGCTGGGCCCACTTGAGGTTGTTATGCTTTATGAAATATATAACTTACATGAGAAAAATTTTTAGCCAGGTTTGAAATTGATTACATCTGCATCTTTTGGTGAAAAGTAAAACACATAATGAGATCAGGATGGGCCTGACATGGCCACAATGCTTCTGGTCTCCCCAGGGTTTTTTTAACAGAATTTCAGGGCTCAGATGTCTCTTTATTTTAGATATGTGATGCCCTATGTCAGTTACCCTTTGAGTGTCTGATACCATTTCTGGTTTGGCAGCCTTGTAGTTTGCTAAGACCTTGGGTTCTGGAGAGACAGGTTAAATCCTGGTTCTGCAACTTACCTTTATGAGGTTCAGTTTTCCCAACTGTAAAGTGGAAATGGCACCTATTTTAGAGTGGCTGTGAGGATTAAATGAGATAATGTGCAATGCTGCTGCATAGCAAATGCTCAAAAATAGGAACTAAAATGCTAATTAAAAGAAATGTGAATACCAAAAAATGCTGCTAGTAAGTGGATTATGTGTATTTTATATACAAAGTGGACAGGGATCCAGGTGTGTGTGTGTGTGTGTGTGTGTGTGTGTGTGTGTGTGTAAGAAAGAGAGAGATGGAAGTGGGTGGGCAGAAATAAGATAATGTCCAGTGATTCAAATTTCTGTTAATTCAAGAAGGGATAATTGTAGAAAGTGTTTAGAGGCTTCTGAGACTGTAAAAAATATTGTATTAACAGTAACTTAGATTGAATCCTTGTTACCTATTCCAAAGCTGGGGACTAGAAGATTATTGCTTAGAGGCTGAAGCAGTCTTTGACATTTTTTCTTCTTGTCTGCTTGGCTAAGTGGTAGTTATTTAATATTCCACCTAAGTGTAGTCATCATCTAAATAGTAATATTTGAGAGAGGGCACCAAGTAGGATGGTCCTCTGGGGACTAGAGCAGAATTATCTCTAGGAAGGTTGTTGAGTTAGCTGGGGATCCTAATTTTTTTTCCTGGGGGCTTGAACCTCAAACTGTTAACACCAACCTTCAGATAATGAAAATGGGAGAGTCCAGAATATTAGAGCTAGTTAATGGCAGATTCCCAGAATAGGATTCTTTTCAATGTGTCTTAAAATATTTTGGGGATGGCCTGGTCAGATAAGTAACGTGCATTATCTTCTGAAATATATTATTTTTTCCTTTTATTTATAGCTATTTAGTCTTGAGCCAAATATAGGGAATTTCTCATAGGAAAACTATTTTCATCAAAACATCCTCAAATGTAGGCAATGGGAAAAGGATGAAAATTTACAAGTATATAGGTTGAGCATCCCTAATCCAAAAATCTGAAATCCAAAATGCTCCAATGAGCATTTCCTTTGAGTATCATGTCAGTGCTCAAAAAGTTTCAGATTTTTGAGCATTTCAGATTTTGGAATGTATGTATGCTGTAAATATTCCAAAAATTCAAACAAAACAGAAATTGGACACACTTCTGGCCCCAAGCTTTTTGGATAAGATATACTTAACTTGTAATAGTTTAAAAAAGCAACATATAGGCACATGTATACATATGTATGTGTGTGTGTGTTTGTGATAAATAAATACATGTCTGGCATAAATAAATACATGTATACAAGTATATATTTTTTATGCTAGTTAAGTACAACTTGGACCAGAGTAGGAATATTTAATGGTATAAAATGTAATTTTTCTGGATAATTGATCAGAATGTTATTACTTTTCTCTTGCAGGTGGCATGCAATTCTGGGTGTCATCAGAGTCCAAACTTTCTGACTCCTGGCAGCCACGCTCCCTGGATATTGAAGTTGCAGCCTATGCACTGCTCTCACACTTCTTACAATTTCAGACTTCTGAGGGAATCCCAATTATGAGGTGGCTAAGCAGGCAAAGAAATAGCTTGGGTGGTTTTGCATCTACTCAGGTGAGAGATGATAGTTTTTTCCCTTTAAACTATAATATATAATATAGATTTATTTATTATATATATTTTATATATAATATATAGTATATATTATATAAATCATATGTTATATATAAAAAATATTTTTAAAAGTATGTGGTTGCATTTTTTCCTTGATTTCATAAAATTACTTGGCAGTTTCAAAGTTTAGTAACTTAAGCAAAAGGCTAAATTGATTAATTTTAATTTTTTTCTCCTCATTACTATGAATTTCATGTCTGATATTTATATGGAATAAATCAGTTCCCCATCTGCCACTTTTCATCTGTGGTAACTGATATAAGAGTAGATGTTCAGTTCCATATAGCAAATATTTTCTATTTTCTTTTCTTCTTTTTGGAAAGGAAAAACTGAAACTTTTAATTTACTGATAATATGATCATTTATGAGCAAAATTCAGTGGGATCTACAGAAATGCTACTAGGATTAACAAGTGAATTTAGTAACATTGTGGTATAAAAAAATCATTGTACAGAAATCCATTGTATCTATATATAAGCAATGGAAATGCAAATCAAAATAGCATAACATGTGAACTGTTTAGGGATTAATCTGACAAAAATCAATAAGATCTATACACTAAAAACTATAAAACATTTCAGCAAACATTTTCTGAGCCTCTCCTGTACTCTAGGCCAAGGACATTCAAATATGAATCAGGGAGCATTCCACTCTGAAGGAAGGTGTATGAATATCCAGCAACAAAATACTACTAAATTTACTCTTTGAAGACCTTGATATATACTTATATGTACAAATGTTTTTCTTCCCTCAACAGGATACCACTGTGGCTTTAAAGGCTCTGTCTGAATTTGCAGCCCTAATGAATACAGAAAGGACAAATATCCAAGTGACCGTGACGGGGCCTAGCTCACCAAGTCCTGTAAAGTTTCTGATTGACACACACAACCGCTTACTCCTTCAGACAGCAGAGGTGTGGGCAAGGGGCAGTTATTTAAAAATCAGTGTAGACAATTCTTTATGCTGGAATACTGCTTTATTTGTAATCTGTTGATTTCAACAAAGACTTGTTTCCAGAGCTCTGTAGAGTAATAGGGAGAAGTGGTGCCCTTCTTTGGCTGAATTTGCTGAGCTCTGGAAGGGTGGGGAACTTTGGAAAGATTGGTGGAACAGGAGAAAACACGGGCACTGTAACATTGGGAAAGGAATGAACATAGAAACCTGTTGAGTTTCTATTCTTCATAGGCACTGTGCTAGATTACTTTACGTATGCTATTGCATTTACTTCTCAAAGTAACTCTAAGAAGTAAGTACATCTATCCCCATCATACATATGATAAAACTGAGGCTGAGAGAGGTTAAGTGACTTGCTCAAGATCATGTTACTAGTAACAGTAGAGCTAGGATTTGAACTCATCATTCCAAAGACCATGTTCTTTTCAGCTGCTCCACATGTCTTCTTAGGAGAATTGATAGAACCGGTAGTAGAATTCTTACTTTAACTGGAATAAAAGAATATGCTAGTTCTTAACTTTATTCCCTTGATCAGTTTTGTGGGAGGTTAAGTACAATGGATGAAGGTGATAACTTCAATTCTGGAAAGTGATGAAGAGTGGTGATGATAAAGGAAAAGAAAGAATAAAGTTAGGCACAGTCATAGACAATGTGTTATTGTGTTCCTGGGAGAGCCAGGGGATTAGGCCCTGATTAAGGGAGGTCAGGGGAGGGAGATGACTTTAGTTTCTTGTCTTTTATGCTTCAGCCCCAACAGGAGGACAGACTTGTCAGTAGCACTAATGTGCCCTCCCATGGGCAGAGGTGAGGGAGCTTGGGGAGTGTGCACTTTTCCTTTCATCACCTTGCTTACCTATTTGACCCATAGCTTTTGATATGTGAGACAGTGCAAAGCTCTTAGTGCTGTCAGTGATTGCTTCTTTTCCTAATGAGGGATAGGACTGATCTGTTTTGCTACTTGGAAGGATCTAGATATGGAAAATTAGCCTCATTCACTTTTTTTCACCTTGATTCAGCTTGCTGTGGTACAGCCAACGGCAGTTAATATTTCCGCAAATGGTTTTGGATTTGCTATTTGTCAGGTATGTAACGATGCTTATTTTTTTAAGTTAAATATGACTTTTTATAATAATTATTTGGTTTGGGGCTTTATTAAATCTTAGATAACTTGAATATAATTCCTAATGATTTACATCTGTGACTTAAGCAAGATATATCACTGTCTTTAATAAAAAGTATTAGAGATGTTGCCAGCCAATGAGTAGAGAGCAATTATATAGATTGATTTTCTGTTTGAAAAGTATTTCTTGGAGATTATTTGCTTTTTGAAGTGAGGGTTAATGTCCTCCAATATGATTCCTGATAACAAATACATGTTTTACTTATAATTTCTTAATATTCATCTGAGAATATAGAAGTCAACATGGTAGAATTATTGACTTGAGGGGAGGAATTGTGTCCCTTTAATGTAAAATCTTATATAATAGTAAATATAACAATTAAAGCATAATTATGCTCAATCCTCTGGTACAGAAAGAAAATATAAAGAAATCTACATTTTTATAGTGCAGCAGGAGCTACAATAAAATGGAAGTAGTATGAAAAATACTGAATAAGATAATCATCACACTAAATAGCACATAAAAATATTGAGGACTTTAAGATCATCTCATTAGAACCCAAAGATAATTTGTGATAGGACCAAAAATGGTTGTGTGCTTGGGTAGAAACAAACGACCAAACAAAAACACTGAAACACTTACTGAGAAAGTAAAAAAATGGCTATTATGGAGAAAAAGTACTTTTTTCAAAAACCAGAACAACCATTCTAGTAGAGAGAACAGGTATACTTGCTGAGTAGGGCGGGTATACCTTGCTAAGCAGGTATAATTTAGAAACTTCCAAATAATTCTAAGATTATTTTGCATTATTCTCAGAATACAGTAAACATTTTTTAAAACTAAAGGAAAAATGATCACAATGAAAAGGAATGGTATTCAGTGAAAAGGTCAGAAAGAGAAAGTAAACAATTTATTTCGATCTTTACTAACAAAGACCATGGGAAAATTCTCATTCTCAAGCTGTCTTGCAATCCAAGAGTAAATCCAGAAGTAAATATGCTGTGTATTCTAGATAAAATTGAAAAATTATATGTACTTAAATCACCAAGTTGGTTGGAATTCATTTTTGATAAACCAAATGTAGAGAAATTAGTGAAACCAAGTGATTTTTTACTTGAGGCTTGAAGCACACAGGGGTAAATGTGGTACCTGTTGGTCAGAATGTTCATCAATCCCATGTTGGTCTCAAAATGCAGAAAACAAAAGGAAGGGACTAGTAGGCACCTCTCATGAGGGAGGAAAAAAATTACAAAGAAGTTGGTCACTCAGAAATGGGTATTGAGATTTCTTACAGTTGATATTTTTATAAGTGCTCTGGAACAAGGAAGGCAAAGAAAACTCATGAGTTTGCAGTAAATATTACCCTCTTTTGGGTAATAAAATACTAAACTGTTGGAAATAAACTGCAAGATCTTTTGAAGTTCCCTGAGTGAGCAGTTGAGCTTTATTGCCAAATGTAAACCCTAATACTTAGTTATGGATGGGCATTAATTATGACCCAAGAGACAGAGTAGTCCTTGTTTGTTTCCTGATAGCATTGGTCTCTAAAGGGACAATTGCATGCCACCGAAAGGGGAATGATGGAAATAATAGAAAGCATTTCTCCAATTTTATGGGACTGTTCTTCAGCTGCTTCAGGAATACTCTATAATTTAATCATTATACTTTAAGAAAGAGTTGACAAATGTCCAAAGTAAGATAACCAGAAGGATCGAGTGGATGAAGGATTATATCAGTTTGGATTGTGGCAGAATAAGAAGATTGCAACTTTTAGATTTGAAAAATGAAGGCTTAGAGGATTTTTTTAAGTATGCAAATCCATGAGGGGTATTAGATGTTAGTTCTGAGGGGTGTGTGTGTATGTGTGTGCACGTGTGCATATGTGTATGTGTTTTAGGTATAAGTTAAAAGAAAACACAACCTTACAAAGCAACAGTAAGCTTTATGAACCTTGTTATAAAAAAGGGGATGAGGTAAAACATTTAAATAGATTCCAGTCCATCTGGAGATGAGATTGGACTAGGAAGTTTTGAGTACATTCCTAAGCTTCTGATTTAGGATCCCTTTGAGAAAGACACGGGTCCTCAGGCTCTCCCAGTGTGTCTACGGCACCTTTAACATCAGTGGTGGGTACAGAGTAGATGCTGAGAAAGACCCAGTTGACTTGAAAGCTATCATTTATTTTATCATCTTTGACAAACATTGTATGAACAAAAATAATCCTCAGCAATGTTCAACTAAGGCTCTTCAATGTTTTAGTTTTGATTTATCCTACTGAGAGTTTTTGAAGTTCTAGTTAGAGAAAAATGACTCCATTTGGGCAACAGGCCTTAGAAATTAGTGAATGCTGTCAAGAAAGTTTTTTCCTCAAGGGAATGTTTGCCCTCTTTGGCAAACCAGTATCCCCAAATATCACCCATAGTGTTTTATTGTACTTGTTTTGGAATATTACTTAACAGTTTTCTCCATTTAAACATAATTTTATAAATTTTAATACTATTTGTTAATAGTGATACTTTGTGAGCAAGTTAAATTAATTTTTTTCTAGTTTGAAGATTAAAAATCTTACTGGGTCCATCCAAAGAGAATCATTACCTAATACAGTATTTAGAAGGCAAAATGATGGAAATTTATGTCCAACTTGTTATTTATGCTAGTTTATTTTTTACAGCTCAATGTTGTATATAATGTGAAGGCTTCTGGGTCTTCTAGAAGACGAAGATCTATCCAAAATCAAGAAGCCTTTGATTTAGATGTTGCTGTAAAAGAAAATAAAGATGATCTCAATCATGTGGATTTGAATGTGTGTACAAGGTAAGTGTCTGCTTAGGTCTCTCTTCTTTTTTTCCTTTAAAAAATAGACTTGAAGGTTTAATTATGTATAGTTGTCTATATCAATCTAAGAGTTATATTGAACAAAGAATTCAGTTATGCACTACACTTCAGATTACAAACTAGAAATACTACTAATTATATTCAAGCATTTATTAGATGCATACAAAAATTATTTACAAGTTTTCCCTGGACGTATAACACATTTGAATAGAACAGTGTATATATAAATTAATAAAACTCAGGTCTAATTTAGGAAAACTTTAAATTAAGTCAATCATATTTAATACTTCAAAAATGGTTATTTCTTGTTATGAGTTATTTTTCTGTAGAAATAATTATTTCGGGTTCATATTGAACCTTAACTGTTAGGCATTTAACCCAAAACTTTATGATAACATGCAAATTCAATCAAGAGGATAGTTTTTTTTTAGGTACATTGAAAATATTCCAGTTTAGGAGTTTCTCATCTTGGATAATTAGACACTTAACAGCTGAAGCTTCTGGGAGTACTTTTTAAGTTGACTCTTAAATTGTTCTATATCCAAAGCATCTGAGAATCTTGTTAATAAGGAAAAAGGGTTCTACCTCAACCCTACCGACTTCACAGTAAGACTGGGAAGCTGCAGATTTTTGGTCATTCCACTGCACACAGGAGTTTGAGCACACTCCTTGTGAAAGTTCTTGAATAGAGGCTTCACTTTTTTTTCTTTCATGAATCTATTCTCTTACATCTGCATTATTTGGTATTGAGCTGGGACTTAAAGATGCACTGGCATTGAGGAGCTGCTGTTTGCTCTTCTAAAATATCCCATAGTGTCCTGGTTTAACTTAGCTTATTGTTGGGCTAGAAGTCCCTGATGTGGTCCTGAGCTGGCAGATGTTCTTCAAGGTCATCTCTGGGTGTTCATCCAGGTGGCCAGCCTTCACAGCTATTGCCTGGACCCAGTCTCCGCCATTACTGCTACTGTCTGTCTTTATCTTTGGACCTTCTTGTTCATGATTTTGGGGTAAAATGTCCCACATTTGTCCCATTCTTCACCTTCTTGGGCATTTTGGGCCAGCAGCAAGGGGATATCAGAATCTCTGTGTTGGCATCCTTTTCAGCTGAGAAAAAAGTAGGACTCCAATTATTTTTTACGAATCTTCCAATTGGTCTCTGTTATAGAATAACAACTTCAAGTTATTACTATTATTATAAACAATAACAACCTACAGTAATTACAAACTTATATGCCAGGCACGGCACCAAACACTTTTACATGCATATCATTTAATTCTTACAGGAACTCTGTAAAGTATGTGTTATTATTATCCCTGCTTTTCTCAAATTCCTGGCCTCAAGTGATCCTCCTGCGTTGGCCTCCCAAAGTGCTGGGCTTACAGGCATGAGCCACTGTGCCCCACCTATTCTTGCTTTTCTCATTCATTTATTTATTACCTCAGCAAGTATTGCTTGAGTCTCTACTATGTGCCAGGCATGGTGTCTGTGTGTCAGGCGTGGGAATATAATTGTAAGCCAAAAAAGATGCAAGCTCTGCCTTGTGGAACTTGCTGTTTGAGGGGGATACAGAAATTAATGGAAACAATCCCCTAAGCAAGCCTAAAATTCTAATTTTGAAAAGGGCAAAGAAGAAGACCCTCATGGAGTTAAGAGAGGGAGATTTTTACCTCTTAAGAGACATCAAGTGAAGAAACATGAGAAAAATGAGGTGGGGAACCAGAATTCAGACTGTGAAGAGGCCTCAGCATTTATAGGGGTTCATGTAAGGATGCAGGATTTCCAGTTTTAAGCATCAGGAATCAGGTGGACAACAGAGTTTGGGTGGTAGGTAGAGCCTGAAGAAGGGAAATGTTTTCATGTGAGGGTAGGGGTTTTATAAAAAGGATTTAAATGCTGCTACTAGTTTTCTGAGAAAAATCTGGTATGAAGGACAAATAACATTTAGGTGTATTTTTTCAGCAGCACATTATAAAAAGATTACTTGATATTTCAGACACTTTATTCCTATCAACAGGGTCCAAGACCTTACCTCATACCAGGCTTTCTGTGTGGCATGATAGTTTAACAAATTCTGCCCCAGGCTTGGTAGAGAGATCAGATCAACCAAGGTACTTTTAATATGTACTGAAAGTATAATCTGCATTGTGCTTTTAAATGTTTAAGCATATTGACTGTTTTTTTCTCATCTATATTTTTTTCTCATATGCAAACACCTCCAGTTTCAATCCATTTATTAGTTCTCAATAACATCTATTTTGGCTCAGTGCATTGCCAGCAGATGGTTTCAGTTGCTTCGGATTGCAGAGCCAGCTGAAGTCAGCAGTTGTACTGTATGGCTTTTCAATCAGTCATGTTTGGCAGGCATGGGTTTTCTGCTCTAAAAAGCAAGATTTTTCTAACAGCCCTTCTTTCTTTTGCCATTTAAAAGGACAACAGGTACTAACTTAATGCTATGATTCTTTTAAATTGGAGGCAAACATCTTTCCATAATCACTTAGCTGGGCTCCTTCTGCTCTAAATGAAAAGCTCTTGCCATCAATTCATTTTATAAAAATATTTATTTCCAAGCAGACAAAATGTTGTTGGTGCCCAGATCCTTTGATGCTCACATCACGTACAACAGGGCGAGAGAAGGATGCAGTGTAATAAAACTTTCCAAGGCTTGTAATTCCCTCACGGTGGCCAAAGAAAACAGAAAATGTTCTTCAAGTATATGGGAGAACAAAGGGATGGCTTCTCCCTACTGGTCTGATGTTTCTAAAATCAGACGAATAAAAGGTTGCTAAGACCTTGGATGGGACCTATCACTAAGTGGTCAAGTGATGCCTCCTTCTCAGGGCCTGGCTTTCAGCTTGCAAGTTTGGTGCTGTCAACTTTTGAGAAAAGGAAAAGTGCAATTCTGTTTGGAATCACCACTAGAAAATAGAGTTGTCTGTTGAAAGGATGTATATTGTACTGTCACAGTTTATAAGCACAAGCCTCTTACATTGCAGGCATTGCATACTATCTGTCAGATGAACACATTGTTGTATCATTATTCCTTATATGGTTAAAAGTTTCAAGATTACCACACATGTAAGAAAATGATAACCTGTTTTAAAATTCTCTATAGGGAATTTTATTTGAACTCAAACAGTGTTTGGAATAACATTTGGTGGGTTTGATTTTTGTATGAAGATAATTTGATAACAGCTATGGGTTTTTCCTGAGGAGTTTTCATTCATCCTCCCTCTTTGATTTAGCTTTTCGGGCCCGGGTAGGAGTGGCATGGCTCTTATGGAAGTTAACCTATTAAGTGGCTTTATGGTGCCTTCAGAAGCAATTTCTCTGAGCGAGACAGTGAAGAAAGTGGAATATGATCATGGAAAACTCAACCTCTATTTAGATTCTGTAAGTAGTAAAACATAAGGTAACTGTTGACAAAGCCACTGTGTTTTGTATTCAGGTGTCTACCTTACTTTAAGTATGTTTTCTTTAATTCATTGTTATTTCAACTTTTTGTGTCCCTGAATGAGTTTAACATGGCAACCATATATTTATCTCCATTAGAAAGACATAAGTATAAAATCAGTTTAGAGAGTTGCTATTAATGACGAGCCTGATGAAGGCCTTCATAACTAAATCTTTATGTCATGCCAGATGTGAAATACATAGAAATTTCCATAGTATAATTAAAAAAATTCAACCCAGATCTGAATTTGAGAGCCTGTCTGCCTCAGGGAGTTGCCTAGGCTGGAGTGCAGTGGTGCAATCGTAGCTCACTGCAACCTCCAACTCCTGGGCTCAAGTGATCCTCCCACTGCAGGCTCCTGAGTAGCTGGGACCACAGGTGCATGCCACCATGCCTAGATAATTTCATGAGAATTTTTTGTGGAGATAGGGTCTCATTTTGTTGCCCAGGCTGGTTTTGAACTCCTGACTTCAAGTGATCTTCTGGTCTTGGCTTCTCAAAGTGTTGGGATTACAGGTGTGAGCCGCCATGCCTGGCTGGAAGACGAAAGTCTTAATTACACATTTTAAAATTCTTCCATGAAGCTTTTAACAAACCTTAAAGGGGTTCATATTCTTACCTTGAAAAATTAGGTGCTAAATCATGGAAGACTATTCTCAGAGATTTGATCTTGACATAGAATTGTTACATAACCTTCGTGTACTCTTTCCATTGCTGAATGAGTACTACTGATTCAAGAATAAAGTGCACACAGTGTGTAGGGAAAGGTAAGTGAAGAATTCCAGACTCTACTTGGTATGTCTCAAAACTGGTGGTATGTAAGTTTATTCTTTTCTTATAGCATCTATATGAGCTTCATAGGTTGAACTGATATTGAGTTCATAGTATTCTAAGGATTTCATATTACATGGGTGGGTTTGTATGTTTCTTATTTCAGTTTTGCTAAGTATGAATCAGAAATATATTGCTGAATATATGCTTTTAAAAAGATAGTTCTTGAATGGTCTCATTTGTTTTAGCACTTCAAAACCACTTTGGTTAAAGCCCTGTTAAAACTAATTCAGTCTCAATATAATGTTAAATAACAGTCTCTAGATTCTTTTGCTGTTTAGGAATTATCTTACATTAAGCACTGCTCAAAAGCCATTGGCCTGATTTGGAACTTGAAAAACAAATTTAAGGTTTTAGTTTAGTTGTGTAATTGGTTTTGGAGTTTGTCTTCTATCTTTGATGCTCTTGTTAATGGTTATTTTAATTTGAGTGTCCAGTACTCTTTGAGTGGTCAGTTTGACTTTTCATTTACTACTATTGGCAAATAAGGGAATGTTTGAAGGAATTTACTAATTTCTGATTCTTTAATGAGTGTTGTTGCCAAATTGGCCAAATCTGTCTCTCTTGGAGACAGATAGGCTGGCTTTGTGTACCCCATCTCAGTCATTGGCTGTGGAGTACAGCCCCATCTTAGTTACCTCACCTACTGGGTGACATGGCTTGCATGAGCTGAGGGTGATTCCCAGGAGAAGGAGGCTGCTGTGAGCCATTAGTAGTAACTGGGGGTGGGGTGCACCATCTGAGACAGGAGATCTAGGTGCATGCACCCTAAGGCTTGCTGCTTACTTAACCACTCTAATTCTCAGTATCCCATTCAGCAAAATGGAACTAAGAACAATACCTTTTTGTAAGCATTGTTTTACAAGTTAAATAAGATAGTTCATAGGAAGTACTTACTGCAGTATCTGACATGTAGAAATCCTCCCTAAGTGTTAGTCTCTGTTTCCTAAAATGATGAGAAAAAAGAAATGTCTTTACTTAATCATGAACACACAGTGTGCCAACCCCTTAAGACTCTTTTGTATTTCTCAAGGTAAATGAAACCCAGTTTTGTGTTAATATTCCTGCTGTGAGAAACTTTAAAGTTTCAAATACCCAAGATGCTTCAGTGTCCATAGTGGATTACTATGAGCCAAGTAAGTATGCTCTGGAGTTCTTAATACTTTAGAAATTAAGCCAGGCATTCATTCATTTATTGGAAGTGACCACACATTGGATTGGTTCTGTGGCGAGGGCAGGATTTGGTAGGAGAAAGTACAGGAGGCGGGGGGGCAGGAAGTGAGCATTCCATTTCAGTGAAGACTATTGATAATTTACAAGGGTCACATGATAGGTTTTAGCATATGAAATTTAAAAATGATATATTTTTTCATAATGTTTTAGATTTTTAACTCACAATTATAAACTTTACAAAGAAAAATTGGCATATAGAGTCCAGTTATGTCTCATTTGCAAGGTATTGCTTCTATTCCAAGCACCCATTCCATCTGTTTCCAGCTTTAAAATGGGAGTTCTTAATGTGGCACATATACACCATGGAATACTATGCAGCTATAAAAAAGGATGAGTTCATGTCCTTTGTAGGGACATGGATGAAGCTGGAAACCATTCTCAGCAAACTATCGCAAGGACAAAAAACCAAATGCTGCATGTTCGCACTCATAGGTGGGAATTGACCAATGAGAACACTTGGACACAGAGAGGGGATCATCACATACCAGGGCCTGTCATGGGGTTGGGGGAGGAGGGAGGGATAGCATTAGGAGTTATACCTAATGTAAATGACGAGTTAACGGGTGCAGCACACCAACATGGCACATGTATACATATGTAACAAACCTGCACGTTGTGCACATGTACCCTAGCACTTAAAGTATAATAAAAAAAATGGGAGTTCTTCTAAAAGTAGAGCTACCATTTGACCCCACAATCCCGTTACTGGATATATACCCAAAGGACAATAAATTGTTCTACCAAAAAGCCACCTGCACTCATATGTTTATCACAGCACTAATTCACAATAGCAAAGACAGGTCATCGACCTAGGTGCCCATCAACTGTGAATTGGATAAATAAAATGTGGTAGATGTACATCATGGAATACTATACAGCCATAAAAAAGAACTAAATTATGTCTTTTGCAGCAACATGGATGCAGCTGAAGGTCATTATTCTAAGTGAATTAATGAAGAAACAGAAAACCAAATATCACATGTTCTCACTTATAAGTGGGAGCTGAACATTGGGTACACATGGACATAAAAATGGGAACAGTAGACACTGGGGACTTCAAAAGTGGGGAGGGAGAGGGGGAATAAGGGCTGAAACACTCTCTATTGGGTACAATGTTCATTATTTGGGTGACAGGATCAATAGAAGCCCAAACCTCAGCATCACATAATATACCCTTGTAACAAACTTGTACATGTACCCCTGAACAGTAAATAAATAAGTAACAAATAATAAATAAAATGGGACTTCTTCAGGAGAGAACATGAACAGCATCTGCAATGCAGTAGCATCGGCTGGAGTTAGCTGTTTCTTTATTGAGGGAGTCTGGTGTTTTGCCGAAACTTACACTTGATAACAGATTTTTAAAAGTGTGTCAAGAAAAATATAGCCTGTTTGGAAAATAACTTGAGCTTCTTTGATTTTACTGGTAACTTCTTATTTGTATAAAATGATGGAAATTTAGGACGTAAAAATAGAGAGCTGGTCTGGAGATGGCCCAAGTTTAATAGGATGAATCCATGTTCAGTCAGAGGGACTTTTTGTATGTGATCTCTGGCCTAATGTTTCTAATTGTAATATGTCTTATTTTGAATAAGCGCTTGTGGTGGCTCAGAATCATCACAATGCATGAGAAGCATGAACATTTTTGTGTGTTAGGTAGTTGTAGATAATTACACTTTAAATGAGATGAACTTGTTCCCATTGTTGTTAGTGTTTCATAGAGTATTCAAGACTAAGGTGTAGCACCAGTTCTCTCCTCATAGTCAACAAGCCAGTTCCTCTTGTCTTTTGCCTCCTGTTGGCACTGAGGAAGAGGGTTCACCCAGGTTCTTGTGGGACATTTGGGAAACACTGGTGTGGCACTTTTTTTCTAGTGGAGGGATGGAATACACTGTGGAGACCCAATGACAGTAACTAGTTGTCCAACTTTATTACTTTACTTAGTTGCAAAATTCCCCAATTTATATTTCTTGGGTGCATGGGGAACATTTTAAACATTTAAGAAACAAAAATAATTCAGTCTATGCAAATTTTTATGGAAAACAACTTACTTATGAGGAGGCCATTTTAAAATGAAAATATGGGAAAGATCAGAATAAGCTAAACCTTCCAACCCATTTTAAAAAATCTCAAAACACATTTACGATATGGAAAACAGTCTCTGAAAAATCATGAATAAATTTGAAAATAGAATATGTTTTTTAAAAATTATAAAACTCATTTATGTTTTACAGTGAGTTCACTGTGGTGTTATAGGTACTTTAAGTAGTTTTTGTCATGTTCGCTTTTAGATACTATATGCTGAGTGTTTTAAAACAAGGTATTGCATAGGCAGTCTTCCCTTCATATTTATGTATTTTTTTACTAGAGCCCAGGGTAAATGCCCCTTTTCAGTAGTTCTAATGATTAGAATTTGATTTGAGTGCATAGAGAATGTCATCCTAAAATAAACTCTTGAGGAGGTTAAACAGTCCTTAACTGAAAATTCTCCCTGATGCAGTAAGAGATTAAAGTGGTGCTTGTGATTGCAGTGTGCAGCTGCAGTCTATTTGCTCTCTTTTAATGCTGGCCAACTGCTGGTGGTAGACAGATTGGACTGAGCGCATTGTTTCTCTCTTGGATTTGGTTAGTACTTTGGACCACTCTTGGACATTTCAGTTGTTTCTTGTAAAGAAAAATAAAATTAGGTTAAGAATGGAAAACTCAGAAAAGTGTATCGAAATGCTCTTATATTTTGGCAAAGTCAATGTTTCTAAACAAGGGAGCCGTGTGAACTGATGTCTGCTTCTTTGAACAGGGAGACAGGCGGTGAGAAGTTACAACTCTGAAGTGAAGCTGTCCTCCTGTGACCTTTGCAGTGATGTCCAGGGCTGCCGTCCTTGTGAGGATGGAGCTTCAGGCTCCCATCATCACTCTTCAGTCATTTTTATTTTCTGTTTCAAGCTTCTGTACTTTATGGAACTTTGGCTGTGATTTATTTTTAAAGGACTCTGTGTAACACTAACATTTCCAGTAGTCACATGTGATTGTTTTGTTTTCGTAGAAGAATACTGCTTCTATTTTGAAAAAAGAGTTTTTTTTCTTTCTATGGGGTTGCAGGGATGGTGTACAACAGGTCCTAGCATGTATAGCTGCATAGATTTCTTCACCTGATCTTTGTGTGGAAGATCAGAATGAATGCAGTTGTGTGTCTATATTTTCCCCTCTCAAAATCTTTTAGAATTTTTTTGGAGGTGTTTGTTTTCTCCAGAATAAAGGTATTACTTTAGAATAGGTATTCTCCTCATTTTGTGAAAGAAATGAACCTAGATTCTTAAGCATTATTACACATCCATGTTTGCTTAAAGATGGATTTCCCTGGGAATGGGAGAAAACAGCCAGCAGGAGGAGCTTCATCTGTTCCCTTCCCACCTCCAACCTAGCCCTACTGCCCACCCCACCCCAACCCACCCCATGCCCAGTGGTCTCAGTAGATACTTCTTAACTGGAAATTCTTTCTTTTCAGAATCTAGGTGGTGAATTTTTTTTAAGTGGCACGGTCTTTTTCTGCTTGAAATCTGATCACACCCCCCAGCCATTGCCCTCCCTCTCTTTTTCCTCTGTAGAGAAATGTGAGGGGCAGTACATTTACTGTGCTTTTCACACCATCTCAGAGGTTGAGGAGCATACTGAAAATTGCCCTGGGGGGTGCTGGGTGTGCTGTCTCCTTCCCACATCCTCAGCCCCACACCAGCTCTATTTCAGGGGTGAGAGTCAGAGAGCACTGCAATATGTGCTTCATGGGATTTCGATTCGAAGATCCTAGACCAGGGAGACACTGTGAGCCAGGGATACAACAAAATACTAGGTAAGTCACTGCAGACCGACCTCCCTGCAGTTTGGGAAAGAAGCTGGGTTTGTGGAGAATCAGAGCATCTTGACATGACTGCTGACCTAAAGATCCCTGGCATTGGCCAGGGATCCTGTGGAACCTCTTCTAGTTCAGGGGTGTGAGCATTAGACTGCCAGTTGTCTAGTGACATCTGATGCTTGCTGTGAACTTTTAAGATCCCCGAATCCTGAGCACCTCAATCTTTAATTGCCCTGTATTCCGAAGGGTAATATAATTTATCTGGATGGAAATTTTAAAGATGAATCCCCCTTTTTTCTTTTCTTCTCTCTTTTCTTTCCTTCTCCCTTTCTTCTTTGCCTTCTAAATATACTGAAATGATTTAGATATGTGTCAACAATTAATGATCTTTTATTCAATCTAAGAAATGGTTTAGTTTTTCTCTTTAGCTCTATGGCATTTCACTCAAGTGGACAGGGGAAAAAGTAATTGCCATGGGCTCCAAAGAATTTGCTTTATGTTTTTAGCTATTTAAAAATAAATCCATCAAAAATAAAGTATGCAAATGTATCTTTTAAAGTTAATTTTTAAAAATGCTCTTATTTTAGTGAATTTTCAGAAATTATAGTGGAATGGATGCTCATATATTGCTTATGGATATTTTGGATACCAAAGTAGGAATAACTGACATTCAGTATTTTAAAGCTGGCAAACCTGTACATAGAAAATAGATCCCCAGACAGTGGTCTATGAAGAGGGCAGTTAAGTATCAAATACTTAATTTTCTTGCCTTTTTTTCTTAAGTGGGGAAAAGTTTCTAGATCTCTTACACCTCTGACACAATCTGTTCTAAAACAGGCACTTGTAATGTTGGGGCCTCCTTGTAAACGTGTTTTTGCCCTTTACTCTCTGGGAGTTCTTTAAAGGTGAAATCATCTTACAAAGAAATTGGGGGAGGGTCTTGGCAAAGGACTTTCCCCTCCTCTTTCCTGGCCTGGGAACCTTATACTGACAATCAATACTTTATATTTTAAAGTATATAATTTATAGTTAACTTCTAGTGTAATATATTAGGAAACACTAGAATGGAAAGGCCATTGGAAGACAGGTTGTATCTTTTTTAGACCATATTTCCTTGTTTAAAAACTATCATTTGAATACTTTTTTGGTGAAGAACTCCATGTTTTCAAGTTAAAGGTCACCTCGTAGGCCAGGCGCAGTGGCTCATGCCTGTAATCCCAGCACTCTGGGAGGCTGAGGCGGGTGAATCACAAGGTTAGGAGTTTGAGACCAGCCTGGCCAATATGGTGAAACCCCGTCCCTACTAAAAATACAAAATTTAGCCAGGCGTGGTGGCATGCACCTGTAGTCCCACCTACTCGGGAGGCTGAGGCAGGAGAATCACTTGAACCTGAGAGACAGAGGTTGCAGTGAGCCGAGATCACGCCACTGCACTCCAGCCTGGGGGACAGAGTGAGATTCTGTCTCAAAAAACAAAAAACAAAAAAGTCACCTTGTAACTCATCTCTTTTTATTGTAAGTTTATTAAAAATGAAGAGGACAACAATGAGAAGGAACATAAAGGGTTAGCTAGCACTGTCTCCTGGTGCATGGGGCTGTGCAGATGTCCCGGCCACTTCTTCCTTCATACTTCCCTTAGAGAACTTGCTCTGCTACAAGCAGTGGGCTTGGACTAAAAGTGATTAAAATACCACAGGCATAAGGAGAAAAGGAGTATATGTAGTAGTAATAATTACTAGTATAAATTATTTTCTTCACATGCTATGAGTAATAATATTAAAAAACTCATTTTACCATTAAGATTCCTTATGCTGAAGCTCTTCCATTTAGAATACTGTCAATGTCATTTACTGGTATGAACTAAAGTCCCCCTTCTTTTCCACTCACTGGGAACCTTAGTAAAACACCAGCATATCTTACCTCTCTTTCTGACTGGCCGATGCTTCCAGAGACTGAATGTTGGGAAAACCTAGTAGCCAAACAATTCTAGGACAGAATAACATTTTTATATTTGGTTCCACCATCTTATTACATTTAGTTATAGTTTTAAAAAAGAAATTCAAGCCCATTAAAATATGTCTGGTCAATGAAATGCTTCCTTTTATTGTGTTGTGCTATTGTACTTTGTTTTTCAAAACATTGTAAAAATAGTATCTTTGGTTTAGTATTTTGGATTATATATTATAATCTGAGGAGTGTTTTGCTTATGTAGAATCCAGATATATTTCTGTTACCTAGGAGATGTTACTTACATATGTAATACTGTATCCTGCACGTGGAAATATTCAGAATTGTAGATAGCATAACTCTCCCTGCTCCTATTCTTTTGAGCCTAGGTATAATTTTTTTTTTTTTTTTAGAAAAAGACATATTTAGCTTTAATTTCTATTTATGCTAAACATATTTATAAGTAGTCTGTCAATATAATACCAACTATTTTTATTTTTACATAATTCAATTATTTCATTTGACATGTCTGGCAGACTCAAGACATTAAGTAAAAAATTGGAACTATGATTTTTCTTTGTCATTTTTTAAAAAAGAATTATTTTATTAACCTGCTGGCATATAATCTGGAGTTCTTTTCACAACCTTACTTTTTCTGATTTGCTTTATTGAATGATTGAATACTCATTTCTTTCTAAAAATATGTTGTAAATTCTCCCTTGGCAAGATTTCTCCCTATGAGGGTAGTTATTATTTGAGTCTGCCAAGTGGTTACCATGGGGCAAGGTGCCATGATGTATTCTTGGGTGCATTGGTTTTTTGCGCATTGTAAATTTAAGACACTTATAGTAAGTGGACTCATTCATAGATGAGTTTCAGAACCTTTTACGTTCTCGGTAGAGGCTTCTGTCGGACAGGCAGAAGAGTGTATTCCTCACTTTTTTTTTTGTCTTCAAATTCCAGTAAGGCATAGCACTTTTAAGAAATTAGAATTTTTCTATCATCTATGCAAATGATATTTATGTTAATATTAAATATCTTATGTTACACTGGGAGTAATTTGAGGTGCAATTATTTTTATTACTACTTTGAATAGAGGACCATTATCCTTCTTTCTTCAGAAAACTAAGAAGTAAGTGTAACTTTTAAAGTAAGTATATATCAGTGAGAGTAGGCTTGTTTTACAACTATTTCTAGCCAGTGAGTTGTGTTTTCATGTCTCATCAAAAGACAATACCACATTGCATCATTTTACAAAATATGTTGTCATTTTCATTTCAGTTGTAACATAGGAAAATAGATATTTCCTAGATGATTTCTGAGTTTCTTACTGCAAAGAACAGTTATAAATTGGTATACATGTGTCTCTGTAATAGGGATAATATTGATATATCTGTTGCTACATATTTAAGAATCATTCTATCTTATGTTGTCTTGAGGCCAAGATTTACCACGTTTGCCCAGTGTATTGAATTGGTGGTAGAAGGTAGTTCCATGTTCCATTTGTAGATCTTTAAGATTTTATCTTTGATAACTTTAATAGAATGTGGCTCAGTTCTGGTCCTTCAAGCCTGTATGGTTTGGATTTTCAGTAGGGGACAGTTGATGTGGAGTCAATCTCTTTGGTACACAGGAAGCTTTATAAAATTTCATTCACGAATCTCTTATTTTGGGAAGCTGTTTTGCATATGAGAAGAACACTGTTGAAATAAGGAACTAAAGCTTTATATATTGATCAAGGTGATTCTGAAAGTTTTAATTTTTAATGTTGTAATGTTATGTTATTGTTAATTGTACTTTATTATGTATTCAATAGAAAATCATGATTTATTAATAAAAGCTTAAATTCTCATCTATTTATTATGTGTTCTTTTTATTTTAGCATAAAGCATGTCTATAGCACACCTCCCTTATTTAAGCTTATTTATGAGAAACAGGATATTTGAGGCTAGCTTAGAGTAGGGATTATTGTGTTGCAAGGTAGCAACATAATGAAGTTGAAGAAATTTGATTACCAGCCTCCTTTACCTCCCCGCTCAGTGGAGAGGTAAGTAATACACAAATTAAAAAAATTAATGTGAGGTGAGCACTCACTTAATCTCTGGAAATTATATAGAAGTATATAGAACACATAGTTTTTATACACACAGGAAAATGGAGGCACAGATTGTCTCAGCCAGAACATAAGATTTCATGTACATTTTCTTAATTCCCACCCAGTGTTATTTAATATTTCTGTTGCCATGAATTTTCTGGGCTTCTGTGAAATACTAAAGATAGCATTTCACAATCGGGGGTTCTCAACTGGAAGTGATTTTGCCTTCAGCAACCATTTGCCAATGTCTGTACATTTTTTGGTTAACATAATTGGAGGTAGTGCTGTTGTCATCTAGGGAATGGAGGTCAGGGATGCTGCTAGACATCCTACAATGCGCCAGACAGCTCCTTACAACAAAGAATTATTTGACCCAAAATATGAAAAGTTCTGAGGTTGAAAAACCCTCTAGCTCAGTGATGCTGGGCCCTTCTAGATCACCTCATGATGCCAATTGTTTAATATGATTAAGTTAATACACTCTTATATAAGAATAGAGTCGTTGGAATCACTGGACAGATACTTAGATTAACAAATAAGTTTATATCCCAAGTCTAGGAAACTTCACTTGGAGACTGGGAAAAGATGAAGTAATTATTTTTTGAAAATATCTATAATGGTAGTTTCCAAACTTGATAGACATTAGACTCTCTTAAGAGCTTGGTTTGACAAACATTTCTGGCCTTACTTTAAGAAATCCTAATTCAGCATATCTAGAATCAGGTTCTGGATCTGAATTGTTAAGCAAATAGGTGATTCTGATGATTATTTTAATCTGAGAACCACTGGATTATTTAATGAGTTTTCCAGGCCTCACTGGCCTGGGTATGAAATGGGATCCTGGAAATAGCATCATCCATGCCATCTAAGTGATGATGCAGGGCCTCCAGCCCCGCCGACAGTCCTTCCCAGTGATTCCTGGGGGCTTCCAGGACTGTTCTGTGCTCTCACAAAAGATCCCAAGAGCTGTCCCCTGGGATTTGCTTTGTTCTTTCTCTCCTATCTGGCACACTTTGTTGATGTTCAGTGTAGCAGAGACTGCTACTTTCTTCCTCCTATTCAACCCGTTCTCTTCCTCCTCCTTAGTCTCAGGAGGAGCTACATTTCCCAGATGACTTTGCAGCAAGGTAGAGTCCTGGACCAGGTTCTGGTCAGTGGGATATAGGCTAAAGATATTAGTGATACTTGTGAGAAGTATTCCTAAAAGGAAGGGAGTAGGTGCCTTGCCCTTTTTTTTTTTTTTGCTTTTTCTTCATCCTGCTGCCTGGACTGTGGATGACTGACTGAAGCTCTATCAGTTTTTTGGTCCTTTAGTGGGAAGGCCAAACCCTTAGGACTGGAGGTTGGAGATCTTGAAGGAGCCGGGGTCCCTAATGACTGTGGAGCCACCCTGAACCACCTACCTTTGGATTTCTTCTGCAAGTGAGAAAACATCTACTTTGTTTAAACCAGTTGTGGTGGTGGGTAGGCCCTAGGGTGGGCCCCATGACCCCTGCCTGCTGATGATCAGGCCATTGTGGATCCCCTCCCTTGAGTATGTGTGTGACCTGTGACTTGCCTCTGGACAATAGAACATGGCAAAGGTGACGGAGTGTGCATTAGATTGTAGCTACCCTCTTGCTGGAGTCTCTCCATCCTTTTCTGGCTTTGAAGAAGTGAGCTGCCCATGTGGGCTGCCAATTTTGGGCAAGAAATTAAGATCAGATTTTAGAAGCTGACAGCAGCCTCCAGCTGACAGCCAGTGAGAAACTGAAACCCCTACAGCTGTAAAGAACTGAGTTCTGCCCACAAAAGTGGATCCTTCTCTCGTTAAGCCTCAGAACAGACTGCAGCCCCAACTGATTCCTTGATGATAGCTGTAGGAGACCCTAAACAAGGAACCCAGCTATGTGGCCAGTCTATTGACTCAGAGAAACTGTGAGATAAAAATGTGTGTTGTTTTCAATCACTAAGTTTGTGCTAATTTGTTATATAACAGTAGAAAACTAATAAACAAGAAAATAAGTTAAAAAATTAATTCTGGTGCATGCAGCTAACATTTCTAACTGGCAACACTTGGTGTTGCCATCTTTTCTACCATTTCAGGGCCTATAAACACATGAGCATTAGCCCTGGTGCCCACTACTCCCTCAGTTCTGCCATTTCCATCTCTGTGCCAAAGATGAGCTGTGTTCGCTGGAGGCTTAATTGCTCTCAAGCCACGGTGAGTTCCACAATGAAGTGATGAGTTGTTCTCTCCCTGTCTCTGTGATATACTTTATCTTTTTGTATTCTTAGTAGGGCTGGTTGTGGCTCAGTGCTTACAGAGTTTTTAAATGACAACTGTTCTTTTAATTTCTGCCCACCCCCCTCCCCCCTATTCTCTCTCTCTCTCTCAGACCTAAGATCAGGGGGCTGGACCATATGCCATGGGGTACAGATACTATACTATCCTCCTAATCTCTCTTCTTTCCGACACAATCTCAATCTCAATCTCCCTCTCTCTCTTTCTGTCTCTCTCTGTTATTGATCCAAAATTTTCCAGCAAAATTGACTCCTTGTAGCCCTCCCTGCCAACAGTGCACTAGACACATTCATCTATGGATACTGTGATGGGTAAGAGCATGGGCTTTGGTGCCAGGCAGGCCTGGCCTCGAGTCTTGGATCTGCCTCTTGTTAGAGGGGAGAGAGTTTTCTTCCCTGGTGTATATGAGGTGGAATTTTTCCTTAAATTTTCTTAGAGTCTCTCCCTTCACTTGCTCCATCCCAAAGGAGACAGAGTGCTTTTCTGCACTGTTGAGTTAGGAAGAATTAAATGGCAATGGTGAGTTCATTTCCCTCTTGGGTTCCACCTTGACATCATCCTCAGTTCCCCTGTGCTGACCTAGGTCTTGCCTAGGCCCAGAGCTGCCTGCAAAGGTTGAGGAATTCTGGCCAAGAATGGGCTATAGTGGGAAGATCCACTGGGTACTCACATCAGGTTGTGTCCCCCCATTTAGCCTTTATCAGTAATAGAGTGAATATTTTGGTTCCTTCATTTGTTGGCTTTTGTATACCAGATGGGGATGAAGGATTTATTACATTTCCTCAGTAACCCCAACACCTTCACCAAGAGCATGATCTTGGTCAGGGTTTGCAATATCTAGTACATATTAGGTGCTTAATAAATCATGGTTTTAACTATATGTGTGCATACATCGGTGGATACAGTTTAGGTGTTAGCTGTATATGTGTAACTTTGGGTAGGAAGGAAGGGAATTCTACTATTCACTAGCTGAGCTGCTGCCAAAGGGTGGGTCTCTGATGCCCTGTAGCCTGTACTGATGTTATCTCTAATAATTACAATGGGCCAGAGATGGTACTTGGCTTGGGGGTTGATGGATTCTCTTCTCCTTCCTACTACTGCCTGTGCAACCATTTCTACTATAGTGAATTCACAAATGGGACCATGAAGAAGGGAACAATTTATTCAAAATCATTGGTGATAAATCAAAATTATAGAGATTCAGATATAGGAATATTGTGCCCCCTGATCTAGTTACGTTGTCCTGTCAGCCTGTATAGGAACATGAGGCCTCACTGCCCAGACTTTGACAGTGTCCTATGCTAGCTGAAAAACTTGTGGGTGGATTCTCACTGCTTTGTTTAGGCTATCTCCCTCTTCTTCCCTACAGAAATCCCCTACTTTATCTCTTTCTCCATTCTGAAATTCCCACGTTTTCCACTTTTCCTGTCAGTTACTATGTTTCAAAATCAGCAAGTCCCAGGTCTCCCTTTTTCCCTTAAGTTTTCTGTTTGTTTCATGGAAGTTGTGGGCCAAAGCTTTCTGTCTTCTGCCCATCTACTGCTAGGTCATATCCCTAGGGTAAAGAGGTGATGAAAGAACTTTGGATGATTCTCCACTCTGATTGGTAGTTGGCTTTTATTCCCTTTTATGTTATTCCAATTATCTAAAAGGTCAGACAACTGTGTGAGTTCAGGATGAGAGAGAAATTAAATTGCAGCACCCATGAGAAAGACTTGATGGTTAAGAAAAGTATGAGTCAGTGACAAGGGAGCAAATGCTTCCCGTTTTCACATGAAGGAGGGTATTAGTTCTGCATGTTTCAGGGTATTATGTCCAGTTACTAATGTCACAATTTAGGAAAGTAGACCAACTGGAGTCCACATGGAGCAGAGCAGCCGTAATGGTGTCAGGATGAAAGATTAAAGGATATGCAGAGGCTCAGCTGGTAGAAGAGACAACCCAGACTCTAACGCTTGTCTTCAAATATCCGAAAGACTGCTATGAGCAAGCTCAAGTCGCAGAATCATTCCAAGTGGGTAGAGTTTGGCTCAATATTAAGAAGAACCAAATGGAGCATCCCTGAATCAGAAGGTAGTGAGTACATGGTCCCTGAAGTTGGTTAGTAGAAGCTGATGCTAATTAGTGGCTGACACTTCTTAAAATGGTTTCTAATCCATTACTATTTTTTTTTTGGCATTGAGTGTTGAAAATGGTAGAGGTTGAAAGGTTTGTAAATTTAGCTTGTGTTATGGGTTGAATTGTGTCATCTCCAAAAAAGTATGTTGAAGTCCTAACCCCTTAGTACCTTGGAATGTGACCTTATTTGAAAATAAGGTCATTGCACATGTAATTAGTTAATATGAGGTCATACTGGAGAAGAGTGAGCCCCTAATCCAATATGACTGCTGTCCTTATAAGATTATAAGAAGATGGCCATCTGGAGACAGAGGCATACAGGGAGAGTACCATGTGATGATGAAGGCAGAGGTTGGAGTTATGCAGCTGCAAGCCAAGGAATGCCTAAGGTTGCCTCCAAGCCGCCAAAAGCTAGGAAGAGGAAAAGAAGGGTTTCCCTACAGGCTTCAGAGGAAACATGGCACTACAGACATCTTGATTCAGACCCAGCCTTCAGAACTGTGAGACAATAAATTTCTGATGTTTTAAGCCACCCACTTTGTGGTACTTTGTTATAGCAGTCTTAGGAAACGAACACAGCTCCCCAATTATACTAAGACCCAGGGAGATGAAGTGCCTTGCACAAGTTCTAAAACATCTATTTTTTCCTCCCTCCACAACTTCTTAAGAGCAAAATCGAGACTTCTGTGTGGCATGAAGCAGGGACTCCATGACTATTTGTGGGCATTAATTTCCTTAAGTCTGAATTCTAGCAGGTTGATGGCTTTCCCAGTTCCTGCTTCCTGTCCTGTTCCTAGCCAGTGCTGGTAGCTCAGCCCCAATGCTTACCCTCTGCTCTTGGCACACCTGCCTGTAGTCACAGATAGGAGGACTGGAATTGCCATCCATTCTAGGATAACTTACTCATTTTTAAAATAAACTCTTACAGTTAGGATGCCAAATTGATGTCCTCTTGAGTACCAGCTGAAATCAGTTGGAAATGACTGCCCTGGGGGATTCTGCCAGAGTTTTGGAGGCCACTTCTGAACCTGGTGGGAATAAGAGCCGGAACTAGCTGTGGATGTCTGCATGGATGAGGCAAGGCCAGATGGTGGCATTTGAGCGGGAACTTTGCCATTCCTGATTTAGGATCTGTACTATACAAGTTACCATTTAAGTATGTTGCCTTGCATTGTGAACTAATTTTTTTTATTGGTGTTGGTCTTAATTCACAGTCCACATCTTAAATTCATATCTTTAGAATTTCTACCCTATACCATAGAGTCTATCATCTGTCTATCTATCTATCTATCTATCTATCTATCTATCTATCTATCTATCATCTATCTATGTATCCATCTATCTAATAAATCTGACTGAGGTACTCAGTGTACTCTGTAGGCTTTACACTGAATAATTTAGAAATAATGACAATGTTATAATAATAAAGTTATGCACTAAAGGTCTTGGCATCCCAAACAAGCAAAAATGGACAACTACTTTTCTTGAAGTCTTTGATTTTGTAGTTTTCATTCCCCCCACATCCCCCACAAGTTACCATACATTTTGTTTTCTTAGGAATTGGTTGACAGATATTGAAGAACAGGGTAAATTAATTATGAATATAAGATTATATGGCAGGTTGGTAAGTAAAAACTCATGGTTTGCAGGATTTTATTTTTCTTTTTTACTATAAAGAAACACATAGGAAGGGACTTTTTTCTATTATTAGGAAATTCAAACTAGGTTTACATTTCTCTTGGTAGCTTCTGAGAGTCCTATTTTCACCTCTACTATTGCCCCATTTCCCTTTATCTATTCTTTACTCTGCATATCAATGCAATGAGAAGCACATTGCTGGAGGGCAGGGGTTATACCTTACTTAGTTTTTAATCTTCGCTATCTACACAGAGTTCAGCATATAGTAGATACTCAATATGGCAAATGCCAAAAAATTTAGTTTATTTAATGAAGGAAATATTATTTATTTTTAAGTCCCATTGTCTGATATTCTCCAGAAACTCAGTTAATTTGTTTAGCTACTAATTACAAGGATGAGTACAATGCTGTCTCACAGCATCTAACATTACCTTTAATGCTGTGCATGTTCAGGAATGTTTAACTGAATAGAGTTTGAGGTACCAGCAATGAACAACTTTCCCACATGAATAAATAAAAGATAAAGAAATGGCAGAAGAAGAAGTAAAGGGAGAAAATGATGGAAAGAAAGAAATGCAAATGAGAGGGAAATAAGAAATAGTTCTAAGCATGACCAGTGGGGTGATTTGTTAAATTTCAATTATGGAGATTAGTGCAGAATCTCAGCTGAGTCTCAAACACCATAGATATTTCAGTCCTGTGTTTAAAGTGCCAAATAAAAAGTTAACCTCATTCATACAATTATGAGCAAATGCTGCTCTGTGTGTTCTTATTTATTTTTATTTTTTTATTTTTTATTTTTTATTATACTTTAAGTTTTAGGGTACATGTGCACATTGTGCAGGTTAGTTACATATGTATACATGTGCCATGCTGGTGCGCTGCACCTACTAACTCGTCATCTAGCATTAGGTATATCTCCCAGTGCTATCCCTCCCCCCTCCCCCCACCCCACAACAGTCCCCAGAGTGTGATATTCCCCTTCCTGTGTCCATGTGATCTCATTATTCAATTCCCACCTATGAGTGAGAATATGCGGTGTTTGGTTTTTTGTTCTTGCAATAGTTTACTGAGAATGATGATTTCCAATTTCATCCATGTCCCTACAAAGGACATGAACTCATCATTTTTTATGGCTGCATAGTATTCCATGGTGTATATGTGCCACATTTTCTTAATCCAGTCTATCATTGTTGGACATTTGGGTTGGTTCCAAGTCTTTGCTATTGTGAATAATGCCGCAATAAGCATACGTGTGCATGTGTCTTTATAGCAGCATGATTTATAGTTCTTTGGGTATATACCCAGTAATGGGATGGCTGGGTCAAATGGTATTTCCAGTTCTAGATCCTGATGAATCGCCACACTGACTTCCACAAGGGTTGAACTAGTTTACAGTCCCACCAACAGTGTAAAAGTGTTCCTATTTCTCCACAGCCTCTCCAGCACCTGTTGTTTCCTGACTTTTTAATGATTGCCATTCGAACTGGTGTGAGATGGTATCTCATTGTGGTTTTGATTTGCATTTCTCTGATGGCCAGTGATGATGAGCATTTTTTCATGTGTTTTTTGGCTGCATAAATGTCTTCTTTTGAGAAGTGTCTGTTCATGTCCTTCGCCCACTTTTTGATGGGGTTTTTTGTTTTTTCTTGTAAATTTGTTTGAGTTCATTGTAGATTCTGGATATTAGCCCTTTGTCAGATGAGTAGGTTGCGAAAATTTTCTCCCATTTTGTAGGTTGCCTGTTCACTCTGATGGTAGTTTCTTTTGCTGTGCAGAAGCTCTTTAGTTTAATTAGATCCCATTTGTCAATTTTGTCTTTTGTTGCCATTGCTTTTGGTGTTTTAGAAATGAAGTCCTTGCCCATGCCTATGTCCTGAATGGTAATGCCTAGGTTTTCTTCTAGGGTTTTTATGGTTTTAGGTCTAACGTTTAAGTCTTTAATCCATCTTGAATTGATTTTTGTATAAGCTGTAAGGAAGGGATCCAGTTTCAGCTTTCTACATATGGCTAGCCAGTTTTCCCAGCACCATTTATTAAATAGGGAATCCTTTCCCCATTGCTTGTTTTTCTCACGTTTGTCAAAGATCAGATAGTTGTAGATATGCAGCGTTATTTCTGAGGGCTCTGTTGTGTTCCATTGATCTATATCTCTGTTTTGGTACCAGAACCGTGCTGTTTTGGTTACTGTAGCCTTGTAGTAAGTTTGAAGTCAGGTAGTGTGATGCCTCCAGCTTTGTTCTTTTGGCTTAGGATTGACTTAGCGATGCGGGCTCTTTTTTGGTTCCATATGAACTTTAAAGTATTTTTTTCCAATTCTGTGAAGAAAGTCATTGGTAGCTTGATGGGGATGGCATTGAATCTGTAAATTACCTTGGGCAGTATGGCCATTTTCACGATATTGATTCTTCCTACCCATGAGCATGGAATGTTCTTCCATTTCTTTGTATCCTCTTTTATTTCCTTGAGCAGTGGTTTGTAGTTCTCCTTGAAGAGGTCCTTCACATCCCTTGTAAGTTGGATTCCTAGGTATTTTATTCTCTTTGAAGCACTTGTGAATGGGAGTTCACTCATGATTTGGCACTCTGTTTGTCTGTTGTTGGTGTATAAGAATGCTTGTGATTTTGTACATTGATTTTGTATCCTGAGACTTTGCTGAAGTTGCTTATCAGCTTAAGGAGATTTTGGGCTGAGACAATGGGGTTTTCTAGATATACAATCACGTCATCTGCAAACAGAGACAATTTGACTTCCTCTTTTCCTGATTGAATACCCTTTATTTCCTTCTCCTGCCTAATTGCCCTGGCCAGAACTTCCAAGACTATGTTGAATAGGAGTGGTGAGAGAGGGTATCCCTGTCTTGTGCCAGTTTTCAAAGGGAATGCTTCCAGTTTTTGCCCATTCAGTATGATATTGACTGTGGGTTTGTCATAGATAGCTCTTATTATTTTGAAATATGTCCCATCGATACCTAATTTATTGAGAGTTTTTAGCATGAAGGGTTGTTGAATTTTGTCAAAGGCTTTTTCTGCATCTATTGAGATAATCATGTGGTTTTTGTCTTTGGCTGTGTTTATATGCTGGATTACATTTATTGATTTGCATATATTGAACCAGCCTTGCATCCCAGGGATGAAGCCCACTTGATCATGATGGATAAGCTTTTTGATGTGCTGCTGGATTCGGTTTGCCAGTATTTTATTGAGGATTATTGCATCAATGTTCATCAAGGATATTGGTCTAAAATTCTCTTTTTTTGTTGTGTCTCTGCCTGGCTTTGGTATCAGAATGATGCTGGCCTCATAAAATGAGTTAGGGAGGATTCCCTCTTTTTCTATTGATTGGAATAGTTTCAGAAGGAATGGTACCAGTTCCTCCTTGTACCTCTGGCAGAATTCGGCTGTGAATCCATCTGGTCCTGGACTCTTTTTGGTTGGTAAACTATTGATTATTGCCACAATTTCAGCTCCTGTTATTGGTCTATTCAGAGATTCAATTTCTTCCTGGTTTAGTCTTGGGAGGGTGTATGTGTCCAGGAATTTATCCATTTCTTCTAGATTTTCTAGTTTATTTGCATAGAGGTGTTTGTAGTATTCTCTGATGGTAGTTTGTATTTCTGTGGGATCGGTGGTGATATCCCCTTTATCATTTTTTATTGCGTCTATTTGATTCTTCTCTCTTTTTTTCTTTATTAGTCTTGCTAGCGGTCTATCAATTTTGTTGATCCTTTCAAAAAACCAGCTCCTGGATTCATTAATTTTTTGAAGGGTTTTTGTGTCTCTATTTCCTTCAGTTCTGCTCTGATTTTAGTTATTTCTTGCCTTCTGCTAGCTTTTGAATGTGTTTGCTATTGCTTTTCTAGTTCTTTTAATTGTGAAGTTAGGGTGTCAATTTTGGATCTTTCCTGCTTTCTCTTGTGGGCATTTAGTGCTATAAATTTCCCTCTACACACTGCTTTGAATGCGTCCCAGAGATTCTGGTATGTTGTGTCTTTGTTCTCATTGGTTTCAAAGAACATCTTCATTTCTGCCTTCATTTCGTTATGTACCCAGTAGTCATTCAGGAGCAGGTTGTTCAGTTTCCATGTAGTTGAGCGGTTTTGAGTGAGATTCTTAATCTTGAGTTCTAGTTTGATTGCACTGTGGTCTGAGAGACAGTTTGTTATAATTTCTGTTCTTTTACATTTGCTGAGGAGAGCTTTACTTCCCAGTATGTGGTCAATTTTGGAATAGGTGTGGTGTGGTGCTGAAAAAAATGTATATTCTGTTTATTTGGGATGGAGAGTTCTGTAGATGTCTATTAGGTCCGCTTGGTGCAGAGCTGAGTTCAATTCCTGGGTATCCTTGTTGACTTTCTGTCTCGTTGATCTGTCTAATGTTGACAGTGGGGTGTTAAAGTCTCCCATTATTAATGTGTGGGAGTCTAAGTCTCTTTGTAGGTCACTCAGGACTTGCTTTATGAATCTTGGTGCTCCTGTATTGGGTGCATATATATTTAGGATAGTTAGCTCTTCTTGTTGAATTGATCCCTTTACCATTATGTAATGGCCTTCTTTGTCTCTTTTGATCTTTGTTGGTTTAAAGTCTGTTTTATCAGAGACTAGGATTGCAACCTCTGCCTTTTTTTTGTTTTCCATTGGCTTGGTAGATCTTCCTGCATCCTTTTATTTTGAGCCTATGTGTGTCTCTGCACGTGAGATGGGTTTCCTGAATACAGCACACTGATGGGTCTTGACTCTTTATCCAATTTGCCAGTCTGTGTCTTTTAATTGGAGCATTTAGTCCATTTACATTAAAGATAATATTGTTATGTGTGAATTTGATCCTGTCATTATGATGTTAGCTGGTGATTTTGCTCATTAGTTGATGCAGTTTCTTCCTAGTCTCGATGGTCTTTACATTTTGGCATGATTTTGCAGCGGCTGGTACTGGTTGTTCCTTTCCATGTTTACTGCTTCCTTCAGGAGCTCTTGTAAGGCAGGCCTGGTGGTGAGAAAATCTCTCAGCATTTGCTTGTCTGTAAAGTATTTTATTTCTCCTTCACTTATGAAGCTTAGTGAAGTTTCTCCTTCACTTATGAAGCATATCAACCCAGATATGAAATTCTGGGTTGAAAATTCTTTTCTTTAAGATTGTTGAATATTGGCCCCCACTCTCTTCTGGCTTGTAGGGTTTCTGCCGAGAGATCCGCTGTTAGTCTGATGGGCTTCCCTTTGAGGGTAACCCGACCTTTCTCTCTGGCTGCCCTTAACATTTTTTCCTTCATTTCAACTTTGGTGAATCTGACAATTATGTGTCTTGGAGTTGCTCTTCTCGAGGAGTATCTTTGTGGCATTCTCTGTATTTCCTGAATCTGAACGTTGGCCTGCCTTGCTAGATTGGGGAAGTTCTCCTGGATAATATCCTGCAGAGTGTTTTCCAACTTGGTTCCATTCTCCCCATCACTTTCAGGTACACCAGTCAGACGTAGATTTGGTCTTTTCACATAGTCCCATATTTCTTGGAGGCTTTGCTCATTTCTTTTTATTCTTTTTTCTCTAAACTTCCCTTCTTGCTTCATTTCATTCATTTCATCTTCCATTGCTGATACCCTTTCTTCCAGTTGATCGCATCGGCTCCTGAGGCTTCTGCATTCTTCACGTAGTTCTCGAGCCTTGGTTTTCAGCTCCATCAGCAACTTTAAGCGCTTCTCTGTATTGGTTATTCTAGTTATACATTCTTCTAAATTTTTTTCAAAGTTTTCAACTTCTTTGCCTTTGGTTTAAATGTCCTCCCGTAGCTCAGAGTAATTTGATTGTCTGAAGCCTTCTTCTCTCAGCTGGTCAAAGTCATTCTCCATCCAGCTTTGTTCCGTTGCTGGTGAGGAACTGCGTTCCTTTGGAGGAGGAGAGGTGCTCTGCTTTTTAGAGTTTCCAGTTTTTCTGTTCTGTTTTTTCCCCATCTTTGTGGTTTTATCTACTTTTGGTCTTTGATGATGGTGATGTACAGATGGGTTTTTGCTGTGGATGTCCTTTCTGTTAGTTTTCCTTCTAACAGAGAGGACCCTCAGCTGCAGGTCTGTTGGAATACCCTGCCGTGTGAGGTGTCAGTGTGCCCCTGCTAGGGGGGGTGCCTCCCAGTTAGGCTGCTTGGGGGTCAGGGGCCAGGGACCCACTTGAGGAGGCAGTCTGCCCATTCTCAGATCTCCAGCTGCATGCTGGGAGAACCACTGCTCTCTTCAAAGCTGTCAGACAGGGACATTTAAGTCTGCAGAGGTTACTGCTGTCTTTTTGTTTGTCTGTGCCCTGCCCCCAGAGGTGGAGCTTACAGAGGCAGGCAGGCCTCCTTGAGCTGTGGTGGGCTCCACCCAGTTGGAGCTTCCCGGCTGCTTTGTTTACCTAATCAAGCCTGGGTAATGGCGGGCGCCCCTCCCCCAGCCTCGCTGCCGCCTTGCAGTTTGATCTCAGACTGCTGTGCTAGCAATCAGCGAGACTCCGTGGGCGTAGGACCCTCCGAGCCAGGTGCAGGATATAATCTCGTGGTGCGCCGTTTTTTAAGCCCGTTGGAAAAGCGCAGTATTCGGGTGGGAGTGACCCGATTTTCCAGGTGCCATCCGTCACCCCTTTCTTTGACTCAGAAAGGGAACTCCCTGACCCCTTGCACTTCCCAAGTGAGGCAATGCCTCGCCCTGCTTCGGCTCGTGCGCGGTGCACGCACCCACTGACCTGCGCCCACTGTCTGGCACTCCCTAGTGAGATGAACCCGGTACCTCAGATGGAAATGCAGAAATCACCCATCTTCTGCGTCGCTCACGCTGGGAGCTGTAGACTGGAGCTGTTCCTACTTGGCCATCTTCTGTGTGTTCTTATTAAATTATCTACTTTCTTTCTACGCTTGCCCAAGTCTGCAGGAATAAGGTTTCAATTGTTTTTGGTTTTAACTAATTTCAGTAATTAACATAGTAGTTGTGAATTATTAAATATACTTTTTAAGTATTATAATGACAAAATAAGAGATATTATGAAAAGATAGTAATTGACTTCTTTATACCAGAATTGAAAAAAACCCTAAAGCTTCCCCTTAAAAATTCTGCGTCTCTCTCAGCTTTGACTCTATCTCATCTCCTTTCATAGCTAAACTTCTTGACAGAGTTTTTTATATTTATTACCTACATTCCTTTGCTTATCATTCCTCAGACCACTAAAACCTGGACTTACCTTGCAGAAGCTACTCTAAATCTAGTGATTGGCTCTCTTATTCTCCATCAAATGGACAGTGTCCTTGCTTGTCTTCTTGACATCTTAGCATTTGGCACTGTTGACTACTCTTCTTCCTCAATCTCCTTTTTCCTTTACCTTCTTTTAAAAAAATTTTTAATGATTGTGGGTACATAGTAGGTGTATACATTTATGGGGTACATGAGATATTTTGATACAGGTATGCAATGTGTAGTAATCACATCAGGGTAAATGGGGTACCCATCACCTGGAGTATTTGTCCTTTGGATTACAAACAATCCAGTTATAATATTTTTGCTTTTAAAATGTACAATTAAATTATTATTGACTCTAATCCCCTGTTCTGCTATCAAATACTAGGTCTTATTCATTCTTTCTATTTTTTTGGACCCATTAACCATCCCCACTTCCCCCCATCCCCATGACTACCCTTCTGAGCCTCTGGTAACAATTCTCCTACTATCTCCATAAGTTCAGTTGTTTTAATTATTAGCTCACACAAATAAGTGATAATATGCAAAGTTTGTCTTTCTGTGCCTGGTTTATTTCACTTAACACAATGACCTCAAATTCCATCCATGTTGTTGCAAGTGACAGGATCTCATTCTTTTTTATGGCTGAATAATACTATGTTTTGTATATGTATCACTTTTCTTTATTCATTCATCTGTTGATGGACACTTATGTTGCTTCCAAATCTTGGCCATTGTGAATAATGCTGCAACAAACATGAGAGTGCAGATATTCCTTTGATATACTGATTTCCTTTCTTTTGGGTGTATACCCAGCAGTGCCATTGCTGGATCATATGATAGCTCTATTTTTAGCTTTCTGAGGAACCTCCAAACTGTTCTCCTTAGTGGTTATACTACTTTACATTCCTACCAACAGTGGATGAGGTTTCCCTTTTTTCTACATCCTCACCAGCATTTGTAATCACATGTCTTTTGGATAAAAGCCATTTTAACTGGGGTGAGGTGATATTGCATTGTAGTTTTGATTTGCATTTCTCTGATGATCAATGATGTTACACACCTTTTCATAAGCCTGTTTGCCATTTGTATGTCTTCTATTGAGAAATGTCTATTCGGATATTTTTCCCATTTTTGATTTTTATATTATGGTTATTAATCTCTTGTCGGATGAGTAGTTTGCAAATCTTTTCTCCCATTCGGTGGGTTGTCTCTTTATTTTGTTGTTTCCTTTGCTGTGCCAGTAGTTTTATAGTTTGAGGTCTTAGATTTAAGTCTTTAATAATCCATTTTGATTTGATTTTTGTGTATGGTGAGAGACAGGGTCTAGTTTCATTCTTCTGCATATGGATATCTAGTTTTCCCAGAATATTGAAGAGACTGTCATTTCCCCAATGTATGTTCTTGGCACCTTTGTTGAAAATGAGTTCTCTATAGATGTACGGATTTGTTTCTGGGCTCTATTCTGTTCCATTGTGTGCCTATTTTTATGCTAGTACCATATTGTTTTGGTTACTATAGTTTTGTAGTATAATTTGAAGTCAGGTAATGTGATTCCTCCAATTTCATTTTTTTTTTCTTGGTATAGCTTTGGCTATTCTGGGTATCTTGTGATTCCATATAAATTTTAGGATTTTTTTCTATCTCTGTGAAGAATGTCATTGATATTTTGATCTTTTGTATGTTGATCTGCAACTTGACTGAATTTGTTTATCAGTTCTAATAGTTTTTTGGTGGAGTCTTTAGGTTTTTCCAAGTACAAGATCATATCACCTGCAAACAAGGAAATTTGACAACTGCTTTTCTAATTTGGATACCCTTTATTTCTTATTCATGTCTGATTGCTCTGGCTAGAACTTCCAGTACTGTATTGAATAACAGTGGTAAAAGTGGGCATCCTTGTTGTGTTACAGATCTTAGGGGAAAGGTTTTCATTTTTTTCCCCATTCAGTATAATATTAGCTGTGGGTTTGTCATATATGCCTTTTATTATGTTCAGGTATGTTTTCTTTTATACCCAGTTTTTTGAGGGTTTTTATCATGAAGAGGTGTTCCATTTTATCAAAAATTTTTTTTAGTGTCAGTTGAAATGATCATATGTTGATATGGTTTGGGTGTGTCCCCACCAAATCTCGAATTGTATTTCTCAGAATTCCCACAAGTTGTGGGAGGGACCCAAGGGGAGGTGACTGAATCATGGGGGCTGGTTTTTCTGTGCTAGTCTCGTGATAGTGATTAAGTCTTATGAGATCTGTTGGGTTTAGCAGGGGTTTCTGCCTTTGCTCATTTTCCTCATTCTCTCTTGCTGCTACCATGTAAGAAGTGCCTTTTGCTTCCTGCCATGATTCTGAGGCCCCCCCAACTATGTGGAACTGTAAGTCCAATTAAACCTCTTTTTCTTCCCAGTCTCGGGTATGTCTTTGTCAGCAGTGTGAAAACAGACTAATACAATAAATTGATACCAGTAGGGCATTACTGAAAATATACCTGAAAATGTAGAAGGAACTTTGGAACTGGGTAACAGGCAGAGAATGGAACAGTTTGAAGGGCTAAGAGGAAGACAGGAAAATGTGGGAAAGTTTGTTACTTCCTACAGACTTGTTGAATTGCTTTGCCCAAAATGCTGATAGCGATATGGACAATAAAATCCAGGCTGAGGTGGTCTCAGATGGAGATGAGGAATTTATTGGGACTGGAGCAAAGGTGACTCTTGTTATGTTTTAGCAAAGAGATTGGTGGCATTTTGCCCATGCCCTAGAGATTTGTGGAACTTTGAACTTGAGAGAGATAATTTAGGGTACCTGGCAGAAGAAATTTCTAAGCAGCAAAGCATTCAAGAGGTGACTGGGGTATTGTTAAAAACATTCCATTTTAAAAGAGAAACAGAGCATAAAAGTTCATAAAATTTGCAGCCTGACTATGCAATAGAAAAGAAAAACCCATTTTCTGGGGAGAAATTCAAGCTGGCTGCAGAAATTTGCATAAGTAACAAGGAGCCTCATGTTAATCCCCAAGACCATGGGGAAAATGTCTCCAGGCCATGTCAGAGACCTTCATGGCAGCCCCTCCCATCACAGGCCTGGAGGCCCAGGAGGAAAAAACAGTTTTGTGGGCTAGGCCCAGGGTCCCCATGCTATGGGCAGCCTAGGGGCTTGGTGCCCTGCATCCCAGCCACTCCAGCTGTGGCTGAAAGGGGCCAACATACAGCTCAGGCTGTGGCTTCAGAGGGTGGAAGCCCCAAGCCTTGGAAGCTTCCATGTTGAGCCTGTGGGTACACAGAAGTCAAGAATTGAGGTTTGGGAACCTCTACCTAGATTTCAGAAGATGTATGGAAATGCCTGAATGCCCAGGCAAAAGTTTGCTGCAGTGCTGGGGCCTTCATGGAGAACCTCTGCTAGGGCAGTGCAGAAGGGAAATGTGAGGTGGGAGCCCCCACACAGAGTCCCTAGTGGGGTGCTGCCTAGTGGAGTTGTGAGAAGAGGGCCACCAATACCTTCAACCTTGCACCTGGAAAAGCCACAGACACTCAGTGCCAGCCCGTGAAAGTAGCTGGGAGGGAGGGTGTACCCTGCAAAGCCACAGGGGCAGAGCTGCCAAAGATCATGAGAATCCACCTCTTGCATCAGCGAAACCTGGATGTGAGACCTGAAGTCAAAGGAGATCATTTTGGAGCTTTAAAATGTGACTGCCCCACTGGATTTCAGACTTGCATGGGACCTGTAATACCTTTGTTTTGGCCAATTTCTCTAATTTGGAATGGCCATATTTACCCAATATCTGTACCCCCATAGTATCTAGGAAGCAACTAGCTTGCTTTTGATTTTACACGTTCATAGGCAGAAGGGACTTGTCTTGTCTTAGATGAGATTTTGGACTGTGGACTTTTGGATTAATGCTGAAAGGAGTTAAGACTTTGGGGGACTATTGGGAAGGCATGGTTGGTTTTGAAATGTGACGACATGAGATTTGGAGGGGCTAGGGGCAGAATGATATGGTTTGGCTGTGTCCCCACCAAATCTCAACTTGAATTGTATCTCCCAGAATTTCTATGTGTTGTGGGAAAGACCCAAGGGGGAGGCAATTTAGTCATGGGGGCTGGTTTTTTCTGTGCTATTCTCATGATAGTGAATAAGTCTCACAAGATCTGATGGGTTTATCAGGGGTTTCCACTTTTGATTCTTTCTCATTTTCTCTTGCTGCTGCCATGTAAGAAGTGCCTTTTGTCTCCTGCCGTGATTCTGAGGCCTCCCCAGCCATGTGGAACCTCTTTTTCTTCCCAGTCTCTGGTATGTCTTTATCAGCAGCATGAAAACAGACTAGTACATATGGGTTTTGTCCTTCTTTCTGTTGATATGATGTATCACATTGATAAATTTGCATATGTTGAGCCATCTTTGCATCCCTGGGATAAATCCACTTGGTCATGATGAATGATCTTTTTAATGCATTGTTAAATCTGATTTGCTAGTATTTTGTTAAGGATTTTTGCATCAATATTCATCAGGGATATTGGCCTATAGTTTTCCTTTTTTGATGTGCCTTTGTCTGGTTTTGGTATCAGGGTAATACTGGCCTTGTAGAATGAGTTTGGAAGTATTTCCTTCTCCTCTACTTTTTGGAATAGTTTAAGTAGAATTGGTATTAGCTCTTTAAATGTTTGGTAGAATTCAGCAGTTAAACCATCAGGTCCCAGTTTTTTTTTCCCGGGAGACTCTATTATGACTTCAATCTCATTACTTGTTATTGGTCTATTCAGCTTTTGGATTTCTTCATGGTTCAATCTTGGTAGTTTTTATGTGTTTAGGAATTTATCCATTTCTTCTTGATTTTCCAATTTATTGGCATATAGTTGCTCATAATAGCCACTAATGATCCTTCAAATTTCTGTGGTATCAACTGTAATGTCTCCTTTTTAATCTCTGATTTTATTTATTTGGTTCTTCTCTGTTTTTTAATATTGTTTAGTCTGGCTACAGGTTTTTCAATTTTGGTAATCTTTTCAAAAAACCAACTTTTCATTTCATTGATCTTTTTTATTGCTCTCTTCATTTCAATTTCGTTCATTCCTACTCTGACTTTTATGATTTTTTCTTTTACTAATTTTGAGTTTGGTTTGTTTCTGCCTTTCTAGTTCTTTAAGATGCATTGTTAGGTTGTTTATTTGTAGTTTTCCTGCTTTTTTGCTACAGGCAGTTATAGCCATAAACTTTCTTCTTAGTGTGACTGTCTCTGTATCACATAGGTTTTGGTATGTTGTATATCCATCGCTTATTTAAAATTTTTTCAATTTCTTTCTTAATTTCTTTATTGACCCACTGGTCATTCAGAAACATATTGTTTAAGTTCCATGTGTTTCTTATACAAAAATTAATTCAAGATGGATTAAAGACTTAAACATTAGACCTAAAACCATAAAAACCCTAGAAGAAAACCTAGGCATTACCATTCAGGACATAGGCATGGGCAAGGACTTCAGGTCTAAAACACCAAAAGCAATGGCAACAAAAGCCAAAATTGACAAATGGGATCTCATTAAACTAAAGAGCTTCTGCACAGCAAAAGAAACTACCATCAGAGTGAACAGGCAACCTACAAAATGGGAGAAAATTTTCACAACCTACTCATCTGACAAAGGGCTAATATCCAGAATCTACAATGAACTCAAACAAATTTACAAGAAAAAACAAAAAACCCCATCAAAAAGTGGGCGAAGGACATGAACAGACACTTCTCAGAAGATGTTTATGCAGCCAAAAGACACATGAAAAAATGCTCATCATCACTGGCCATCAGAGAAATGCAAATCAAAACCACAATGAGATAACATCTCACACCAGTTAGAATGGCAATCATTAAAAAGTCAGGAAACAACAGGTGCTGGAGAGGCTGTGGAGAAATAGGAACACTTTTACACTGTTGGTGGGACTGTAAACTAGTTCAACCATTGTGGAAGTCAGTGTGGCGATTGCTCAGGTATCTAGAACTAGAAATACCATTTGACCCAGCCATCCCATTACTAGATATATACCCAAAGGACTATAAATCATGCTGCTTTAAAGACATGTGCACAAGTATGTTTATTGTGGCACTATTCACAACAGCAAAGACTTGGAACCAACCCAAATGTCCAACAACGATAGACTGGATTAAGAAAATGTGGCACATATACACCATGGAATACTATGCAGCCATAAAAAATGATGAGTTAATGTCCTTTGTAGGGACATGGATGAAATTGGAAATCATCATTCTCAGTAAACTATCGCAAGGACAAAAAACCAAACACCGCATGTTCTCACTCATAGATGGGAATTGAACAGTGAGAACACATGGACACAGGAAGGGGAACATCACACTCTGGGGACTGTTGTGGGTTGGGGGGAGAGGGGAGGGATAGCATTAGGAGATATACCTAATGCTAAATGATGAGTTAATGGGTGCAGCACACCAGCATGGCACATGTATACATATGTAACAAACCTGCACATTGTGCACATGTACCCTAAAACTTAAGGTATAATAATAAAAAAAAAATCAAAGACTGCAAAAAAAAAAAATAAGTTCCATGTGTTTGTATAGTTTCCAAAATTCATGTTGTTACTGATTTCTAGTTTTCTTTCATTGTGGTTAGAAAAGATGCTTGATATTATTTCAGTTTTTTTTTTAATGTTTTAGACTTGTTTTGTGACCTATGGGCTATCCTTGAGAATGATCCATGTGCTGAGGAGAAGAATGTGTATTCTTCAGCCACTGGATAAAATGTTTTGTAAATATTTATTGGGTCCATTTGTTTTCTAGTACAGCTTAAGTCTGATGTTTCTTTGTTGATTTTCTGTCTGGAAAATCTGTCTAATGCTGAAAGTTGGGGGTTGAAGTCTCCAGCTATTATCATGTTGGGGGTCTATTTCTCTCCTCAGCTCTTATAATATTTGCTTTATATATCTTGGTGTTCCAGTGTTGGGTGCATAAACATTTACAATTATTATATCCTCTTGCTGAATTGATCCCTTTTATGATTATATAATGGCTTTGTCTGTTTTTGTAGTTTTCATCTTGAAATCTATTTTGTATGCAATAAGCATAGCTACTCCTGCTCTTTTTGGTTTCCATTGGCATGGAATATCTTTTTCCAACCCTTCATTTTCAATATATTTATGTCTTTATAGGTAAAGTGTGTTTCTTGTAGGCCAGAGATTACTGGGTCTTGTTTTTAAAATCCATTCAGCCACTCTTTATTTTGATTGGAGAGTTTAGTCTATTTACATTTAATATTATTATTGATAAGTAAAGACCTACTCCTGCCATTTTGTCATTTGCTCTCAGGTTGTTTTGTGGTCTTCTCTTTCTTCTTTCCTTCCTTCCTGTATTCCTTTTAGTGAAGTTGACTTTTTCTTGTGGTATGCTTTAATTTCTTGCTTTTTATTTTTTATGTGCCCATTGTATATATTTTGATTTCAGTTTATGGCTTGCAAATAATATCTTAAACATTATGTTAAATTGATGAGAAGTTAACACTGATTGCATGATCAAACAAACAATAGGAAAATGAAAAAAAACTCAACACTTTAACTTTGTCCGCCTGCTTTTTAACTTTTCATAGTTTCTATTTATAGCTTATTGTACTGTCTATTTCTTGAAAAGTTGTTGTAGTTATTATTTTTGATTGGTTTACCTTTTAGTCTTTCTACTTAAGAGTAGTTTATGTACCACAATTACAGTGCTATAATATTTTGTGTTTTTGTGTGTACTTAGAATTACCAGTGAGTTTTTTATCTTCAGAAAATTTCTTACATTCATTAATTTTTTTTTCTTTCTGATTGAAGTACTCCCTTTAGCATATCTTGTAGGACAGGTGTTGATAAAATCCCTCAGCTTTTGTCTGGGAAAGTCTTTATTTCACCTTCAGGTTTCAAGGATATTTTTGCTGGATATACCATTCTAGGATAAAAGTTTTTTCCCTTCCAGACTTTAAATATGTTATGCCACTCTCTCCTGATGTGTAAGGTTTCCACAGAAAAGTCTTCTGCCAGGGGTATTGGAGCTCCATTGTATGTTATTTGTTTCTTTTCTCTTGCTGCTTTTAAGGTCCTTTCTTTATCCTCAACCTTTGGAATTTTGACTATTATATGTTTTGAGGCAGTGTTCTTTGAGTTAAATATGCTTGGAGTTCCATAACCTTCTTGTGCTTGGATATTTATATTTTTCTCTAGGTTTGCAAGGTTCTTTGTTATTATCCCTTTAAATACATTTTCCACTCTTATATATTTCTCTGCCTCCTCTTTAAGGCCAATAACTCTTAGATTTGCCCTTTTATGGTCATTTTCTAGATCTTGAAGGCATGCTTTATTCTTTTTTATTCTTTTTTTTCTTTTATCTCCTTAAATGATGTGTTTTCTTTTTTCTTTTTTTTTTTTTTTTGTGAGCAACATGGTTGTTTATTTCACCTGGGTGCAGGTGGGCTGAGTCCGAAAAGCGAGTCAGCGAAGGGAGATAGGGGTGGAGCCGTTTTATAGGATTTGGGAAGGTAATGGAAAATTACAGTCAAAGGGGTTGTTATCTGGTGGGCAGGGGTGGATCTCACAAAGTACATTCTCAAGGGTGGGGAGAATTACAAAGAACCTTCTTAGGGGTGGGGGAGACTACAAAGTACCTTCTTTTTTTTTTTTTATTGATCATTCTTGGGTGTTTCTCACAGAGGGGGATTTGGCAGGGTCATAGGACAATAGTGGAGGGAAGGTCAGCAGATAAACAAGTGAACAAAGGTCTCTGGTTTTCCTAGGCAGAGGACCCTGCGGCCTTCCGCAGTGTTTGTGTCCCTGGGTACTTGAGATTAGGGAGTGGTGATGACTCTTAAGGAGCATGTTGCCTTCAAGCATCTGTTTAACAAAGCACATCTTGCACCGCCCTCAATCCATTTAACCCTGAGTGGACACAGCACATGTTTCAGAGAGCACAGGGTTGGGGGTAAGGTCATAGATTAACAGGATCCCAAGGCAGAAGAAGTTTTCTTAGTACAGAACAAAATGAAAAGTCTCCTATGTCTACTTCTTTCTACACAGACACAGCAACCATCCGATTTCTCAATCTTTTCCCCACCTTTCCCCCTTTTCTATTCCACAAAACCGCCATTGTCATCATGGCCCGTTCTCAATGAGCTGTTGGGTACACCTCCCAGATGGGGTGGTGGCTGGGCAGAGGGGCTCCTCACTTCCCAGTAGGGGCGGCCGGGCAGAGGCGCCCCTCACCTCCCGGATGGGGCGGCTGGCCGGGCGGGGGCTGACCCCCCACCTCCCTCCCAGACGGGGCGGCTGGCCGGGCGGGGGCTGACCCCCACCTCCCTCCCGGATGGGGCAGCTGGCCTGGCAGGGGCTGACCCCCCACCTCTCTCCCGGATGGGGTGGCTGCCGGGCGGAGACGCTTCTCACTTCCCAGATGGGGTGGCTGCCGGGTGGAGGGGCTCCTCACTTCTCAGACGGGGCGGCTGCCGGGCGGAGGGACTCCTCACTTCTCAGACGGGGCGGCCGGGCAGAGATGCTCCTCACCTCCCAGATGGGGTCGTGGCCGGGCAGAGGTGCTCCTCACATCCCAGACGGGGCAGAGGCGCCCCCCACATCTCAGATGATGGGCGGCCGGGCAGTGACGCTCCTCACTTCCTAGATGGGATGGTGGCCGGGCAGAGACGCTCCTCACTTTCCAGACTGGGCAGCCAGGCACAGGGGCTCCTCACATCCCAGATGATGGGCGGCCAGGCAGAGACGCTCCTCACTTCCCAGAAGGGAAGAGAGGCTGCAATCTCGGCACTTTGGGAGGCCAAGGCAGGCGGCTGGGAGGTGGAGGTTGTAGCGAGCCGAGATCACGCCACTGCACTCCAGCCTGGGCACCATTGAGCACTGAGTGAACGAGACTCTGTCTGCAATCCCGGCACCTCGGGAGGCCGAGGCTGGCGGATCACTCGCGGTTAGGAGCTGGAGACCAGCCCGGCCAACACAGCAAAACCCTGTCTCCACCAAAAAAATACGAAAACCAGTCAGGCGTGGTGGCGCGCGCCTGCAATCGCAGGCACTGGGCAGGCTGAGGCAGGAGAATCAGGCAGGGAGGTTGCAGTGAGCCGAGATGGCAGCAGTACAGTCCAGCTTCAGCTTGGCCTCAGAGGGAGACCGTGGAAAGAGAGGGAGAGGGAGACCGTGGGGAGATGGAGAGGGAGAGGGAGAGGGAGAGCAAATGATGTATTTTCAAAAGTTTATCTTCAAGCTCACTAATTATTTCTTCTGCTTGATCATTTCTGCTACTAAGAGACTCTGATGCATTATTCAATATGTCAATTATATTTTTTAACTCCAGAATTTGTTTGATTCTTTTAAATTATTTCAATTTCTTTGTTAAATTTATCTGATATAATTCTGAATTCTTTCTCAATATTATTTTGAATTTTTTTGAGTTTCCTCAAAATAGCCATTTTGAGTTCTCTCTGAAAGGCCACATATCTTTGTTTCTCCAGGATTGGTCCCAGGTACCTTATTTAATTCATTTGCTAAGGTCATGTTTTCCTGAATGGTCTTGATGCTTGCAAGTGTTTGTTGGTGTCTAGGTATTGAAGAGCTAGGTATTTCTTGTAGTCTTCACAGTCTGGGCTTATTTGTACTTGTCCTTTTTGGGATGGCTTCTCAGGTATTCAAGGGTACTTGGGTGTTATGATCTGAGCCATATCTGCATTAGGGAGCACGAGCACCTCCAGCCCAGTAACATTGTGCTTCTCGCAGACTTAGTGGTCTTGGATAAGGTCTGGAAGAATTCTCTGGGTTGCCAGGCAGATACTGTTGTTCTTGTCACTTACTTTCTCCCAAACGTCTTTCTCTCTGTTCTGAGTCACCTAGAGTTGAGTGAGGGGTGACCCATGTACTCCTGTGGCCATCGCTGAGACTGTACTGGGTCATATCTGAAGTCAGTACAGCACTGGGTCTCACCCAAGGCCCACTGTAACCACTACCTGGCTACCACCTATGTTTGTTTAAGACCACAGGACTCTACAGTTAGCAGGTGGTGAAGCCAGCCAGGCTTGTATTCTTCCCTTCAAGGTAGCAAGTTACCCCAGCCCCTGGACAGGTCTAGAGATGCTATCCAGGAGCCAGGGAGTGGAGTCAAAAACCTTAAACATCTGCCTTTTGTTCTATTTTACTACAGCTAAGCTGGCATTCAAACCATGAGACAAAGTTCTTCCCATTTTTCCTTCCCCTTTCCACAGGCATAGGAGTCTCTTCCTATGGCCATCACCACCACAGGCCTATGGAAAGTACTGGCAGGCTATGGCCAATGTTCTCTTAAGGCCCAAGAGCTCTTCAGTGAGCTTGTGGTGAATGCTGCCAGGCCTGGGACTCACCCTTCAGGGCAGTGGACTCCTCTCTGGACCAGGACAGGTCCAAAACTGTCATCCACAAGCCAAGGCCCAGAATTGAGGACCCCAAGAGCCTTCTTGGCATTGTACTCCACTGTGGTTGAGCTGGTATCTGTATCCTGATTTCTGCTTCTTATAAGATGTTCTTTTTTGTATAGATAGTTATTAAACTTGGCTTTCCTGCAGGGGGGACAATCAGTGGAGGCTTCTATTCAGCCCTCTTGCTCTGCCCCCTCCTTTGCCTTCTATGTTCGCACACTCTCCCATTTGTCAGATGCATTTTCTGTTTCCTTTGAATTCTCATTTCCTTTTGTATATTCTTTATGTGCAGACTTGAGGTATTTTGGAGGTATTATCAGTAAGACTTGGGAATAGATGGGATGTAGGAAGTGAGGAAAAGAGAAGATTCAAAAAGTCTGGCCTTACCTCTAAATATGAAGAGCCCAGAAAAAGAAAAAATGTCTGGCCTTAGTAACTAGGGGATAGGAGAAAGGCACTTATTGAGATGAAGAAAGACTGAGAAAGTGAAAATGTGTGTGTGTGTGTGTCTGTGTTTATCAAGGATTCATTTGAGTGAAGCTTATTTCATCTCATTTCATCCCAGTGAGGAGAACCAGTAGATAGTCAGGACCTGTGAGTAATCTGCCAACGCACAGAATAATGACGTATTAACTAATTATTCTTATATAACACTCTACTCCTATTTTTCTTCTTTTGTAATTTAGAGGAATTTAAACATTATTGAGGAATTCAGAAAAATCCAAAGGAATTCATACTGTGAACATTGGTGTGGGCCATAGAATTTTACTTTAAAAAATTTTTAATTTTGAAATAATTATAGACTCACAAAAAGTTGTACAATAGTACACAGAGGTCCTGTATGCCTGTCATCCAGTGTCCCCCAACAGTGACATCTTATCTAACTATGGTGCATTATTGAAGGCAGAACATTGATTAGCAGGAAACAGTTAACTGGACTACAGACCTTACTTGGCTTCAAGTTCTTTTTACAAGCATTTATTTTTACATGTTTTTTTGTATAATTTTAGGACATTTTCATCACAGGTACAGATTTATGTAACTACCATTTATAGTTAAGACACAGATTTGTTTACTCATCACAAAGGGACTTCTTCATGCTGCTTAGGGTCATCCCCTCCCTATCCTTCCTTAATCCCTAGTAACTACTTATCTATTCTCTGTCTTGATAATGGTAATTTTGAGAATGTTATACAAATGAAATCATACAGTATGTAAGCTTTGATGATTTTTTTTCCATTGAGCAAAATGCACTTAAGATCATCCAAGCTGTCGTGTGTATCAATGTTCATTTCCTTTTACTGCTGAGCAGCATTTCAAGGATTTGGTTTTGATACCCTGCTGGAGTTTTAGCTATGGAGTGTATATTACTTTGCCAACCTGATATAGTGTTCAAATAAAATAATTGAAGTTGATATATTGGGGCATAATAGGCATGACAAAGGAAGAAGAGTCACAAAGAATGAAATCCTCAGCCATTCTCAGGAGAAAACAATAGGGTTGAGAATAATGCTTAGATACCAACACTTCCCCAAATGGTATTTTATAGGATGCTAGCAGGTCTAACGTGAAAAAAAAGTATTTAATGGCAAAGTTTAGGAAATCACAAAAAATGTCATTGCTGTAGGATTTATCTTTAATATAACAATGTATATTTTGAATTCTAAAAGGATATGATATTCCATGCTTTCTGAACCTTTAGCCCACCACATGAATGTCATTTCACCCAGAATATCTCTGGGCTTTTTCCAGGGAAAATATTTTAGATAAAGCTGTTGTAAGTTAATACACAATATGTAAGTACTAAAATAATCGTGAAGTTTTATTGAGTAGTCAGATGTGTTTATTAAATTGGTTTTAAGGTTTATGACAGGGGTAAAATACAATAGAGTTACTCTAATGGTGGAAATATAACAACCAGATATTCAAAATGGAAATTATCTTGTATGACATAAAAATATGCGACCACTAGGGGGCAGAAGAGGATTAGAGGGAAGAAAGTACCTCCCCCAAATTGTTGCCTAATTTTAATGTTCCTGTTGAATACTAAGAATGAAATGAGATCGGAGGGCTTTTTCTCTTTTCTGGGAAAACAGGTGATAAGGTTATTACAATAATCTGCTTACTTCTGTTACCACATACTTTTTAGGATGCATTCTTATTTTTGGCATGTAATTTATGCATAATAATTTGTTATTCTTAGAGTAAAAAAAAAAACCACGTACAGAGTGGGAGTTTCTTTTTGACTTTATAAAAGTAAATCCTGATTTTCAAAACTGAAGAGATCATTAACCTTTGGACAGTTTAGAAAGAGGTACTATTGCCAGATTCTACTGTCATTTCTCTAGCCTGTTTTGGTTAGGGAATAAGTTATGGCAAGTAAAGTTTGACCTAGAATTTGTGGAATTTTAATCTCCTAATGGAATCAAGAATCCTGATTAATCATAGAACACGTATTTATTACTATCTTTTTCCACCTACTTTTGCTTTGTACTTGAAGTATGTTTCTCCCCAGTGCGTCCTCTTTTATAGTCATAGCTGGAGAAGAATAAACATAACAGAAAAAACAGCAAAATGGACTTGTTAGTGGAGGTTTGGTTGCCTGGAGGGCTTCTCAAAGCCTATCTTCATTGTACAGCACTCACCTTCCACATGTTCTTTTTCATTGTGAACTAGCTTTTCTATATAGACACGTTTTATGATAATCCAGGAAACGCTTCTCGTTTGGGAGGACTGTCTAGAAATTCTCTAACAGGAAAGTGCATTACTGGATTTGATACCATAATGAAGGAAGCTTACCTCCATAAGGCCCAGCCATCCTCTTTTTCCCTTCCTTCAATTGAATACTTGTTTGTGATACACTTGTCCTGGTGAGAGAGGGAAGGTCCTGGGGTGGGAGTTTCATCTCCCTAAAGGAGACAGTAATTCCTGGGGCCATCATCTGGGGAAGTTGTGGGTCTTCAGAAAGAAAACTGGAAACCAGGAGGTGGGAGAGGGAGCTCTTGCCTTTCTCTGGGTATTGCTGTCTTGACTTTGGGCAGGGATGTTTAGATACACCCGAGGATGCTCTCAGGAAGGAGGGGTTTAAGATGCCTCTGCCATACAGACAGGCTGGGAAACAGGGAGAAGGGTGAAGATGGGTGAACTACACCACCTAAACCAGATTATTTAGTTGCCCATTTTTTTTCCTTATTCTGTTTTCCCTTAGATGTTAGTGATTTCTAAATGTTTTGGACCTATTTCAGCTATACTGAATGGAATTTAAGGAAGTTAAAATTGTAATGGCAGAGCCATGCCTCCAGGTGAGGCCAGTGTAGAAGTGGTAGCTTTAATAGATGAGATGTTGAAAGCAGAAATTTGAATGTCAGGGTTAAAAAGCTAGAGTCACAGGGCCTAGCCCTCCTTTCTCATGAGAGCTTTTGTTTGTTCATTGCCACCTTAAAGGGTGATGGGGATTCCACTCAGAGTAGGACCCGTGCAAAGAGGGGACAGTTGGTATTTCTTTTCCCATAAAATGCTACAGAGAGCTGCACTCTAAGCTTCCCCCTTGACAGAGTTCTTTCAAATCTATCAGTGATTAGGTAGAAGGAGAAGGCCAAGTAGGGGACTTATCTGTTTATTATCAATTTAGAACTGACTCTCTCACCCAGCTGTTTTCAGGTGAGGAAACCAGAAACAGGTTCAGAGAGGCCGAGTAATGTTCCCAACGTTACAAGGTTAAAGTTGGGGCAGGGGCTAAAACAGGTTTCCTGCATCCAAGTTGTTTTCACATTTCCCCAGATTGGGATGTTTTCACTTTCTTGGCTAGATCTTACTCTGCAATGATACAGAAGTGTCAAGGTACAAGAGACAGAGACCAGTGAAAAGAGGTTTCTACAGGTTCTTTACTTCAAGACAGTGCTGAGCAATATTAGGTGTTAATTGCATTGTCTGCAGGCCCTGTGTTGAAAGTGGGGTTATTTCAAGGACTCTGGGACCCCGAACTTTGTGGCCTATTGGTTGAAGGGCTGAAATAGAAGGATTCTCCTGTGCCTGCATTTGAAAGCATGACAAAGTGAGTGCTTCAGAGGAGTGTGTGTGTGTGTGTTTGTGTGTGTCTAGGTGTAACTCCTTTTACTGCTTCTTTGGGAAAGATATGTTGTGCCAGGTTGCCAGTGTGCCAGATCACTACCCTCTTCCTTTATCCAGTACACAGAAGGATAAATCCTCTCTAATGTTGGGGGGACGTGAAAGAAGCAAGCCATCCCAATTTTAAACAAAGGGGCATTGAGCAGGAGAGTCCAGATGTTTCATTTTCTTTTCCTCAGGGCCGTTTATTTCCTGGGAAAAGAACACCAAGATGTTGATGACAATTGCTTAATAATCACAGAGTATGGACTCTGCTCCTGTGAGAAAGGAAAATCATCATATGACATTGTCAAGGGGCTCATCTGTAACACTTGTCCAGTTTTCTCTCCAATAGGGCAGCTGTTGCTGACCACCATGTGCCACTTGTGGCAGCAGCTGACATTGATTGCTTGACTACAATGTGCCCGGCATTGTTCTAAGTTCTTTACATGTTTAATGCCAGGTAATCCTTCCAAATGCCTTACAGGGTAAGTGCAATATTACAGACAGAGACACTGACAAATGAGGTGAACTATATATCACATGATAGTAGGTGTATAACCTGGACTGAAATCCTAGCGATCTGGTTCCAGAGCATGTATTACTAACCATTATACCACCCTGCCACCTCATTTCACTCACCTGACTTTCACCAAATCCTATTGACCAAGATTAAATCTTTCAGAATTGATCCACAATCCCCTAGCTCCTGGTGTGATCACATACGTTGAAGATGTATGTTTTGCTTGGGGAAAGCAATCTAGAGTAAAAACTGGAGTTTGATGATAAAATAATACAATGCCATTTCAGGAATAATGTTATCTGGGATGTCATTCTGTATTCTTAACTTGATATTATCTTCAAATATACAACTAATATGTATCAAAATATTATTTAGTACTTAACTAAATGGAAAGCAAATGCTTTAAATTTATTGCCTCTTAATTCATCTAGCCACCAAATGGAGAAAGTACAATTATTGTCCCTAGTTTAAAGATGAGCTTAGGGTTGTTGAGTTATTTCCCAATGTTATATAGCTTCTTAAGAGCAGATGTGAGATTTGAACCCACACTGTGACTCCAGTGCCCACATTCTTAATCACCAAGTTTATATCAGCATTCTAGTTGGCTCTCTTGCAATTCAGGACAGACATCTTTCCAATCAGTGAGCATTCCTGAGGATCTGGGAGCAGTATAGGCTTGGTCTTTATGTTCTTGAATTTTGTTTTGCTGATTCTGTTCTTCTCTTGAACCATCTGTGTGCCATTCTTTCTTTCTTTAGTATTCAGCTTTTATCATCTGGCTTTGATTTGCTCAAACTCTTTTCTTCATGCAATTTGTATTGTTTTGGTTTCTTTTTCTATGGAAACCATTTTTTTGGTAGTTAATACAATAATACATGTTTTTACTACTTTAAAGTCTTCTTCTTTCACTATAGTAAAGGAATTCGTATAATATGATGATTGGTGTTTTTAGTAAAAATTACACATAATGATACACATATATAATTTTAAGTTTATAAACTTTAAGCCCTGTAATTATCCTTATGAATTGTTTGTCAAACACCACAACTGACCCAAGCTTGCTTGCCAATGCCACCTTTTCCCTGCGGTTAGATTTGTAGAGTGTAGAAAAGTTTCTGCCCTAAAATATTTGTTAATGGCATAGAGAAATAAGGTGTTATATCCAGAAAGTCTTGTGAAACTGCTCATAGGATCACTCAAGAAGGACCATGTATTATCATAAGAGCCAAATGGATTGTTTCGATTTGCAGAGTGGGATGCAGCCCTTGGGAAAGGGGTTTGGGACATGTAAATTCCTCCCTAGTACAGAGCAGTTTTTTTAAGGTATGTATGGGTGGACCAGTGAACTTACAGAATCTGATAACTTTGGAGAATGTAGGTGCCAGTAAGAGGAAAGGATATGAAGAGAAAATGAGGAATTTGGAAAAGTATGGAAAGCTAAATATGTGTATGGGTTTGTAACAGACATCCATGTAGCTACCTGGCCACCCCAGGGGTTTTTCCTTCTCGTAACTCCTCATTCCTTGTCCCTGCTTCACTGCCCCCCACCCCAAGGCCATTTACGTGACTACAGTGGGAGCATCCAGGTTCACACAACCTGTCTCTGCCTTCACAGGTGATTGGACAAATGTGGGACAATGTGTCCCTTCTCACATTTAGCTCTGAGACCAAGAGATTCAAGACAGTGGTTGTTCTCTCAAACAGAGGAAATACAAACCAAGTCTGCAGTGAGCAAAAAGAATGAGGCAGATGACAGACAGTGGCAGAGATAAGAAATAGGATCTTCTGGTTCTCTCCAGTGGTCCAGTCACTTTTTCTAATTGATTTCCCCAGGACCATGAGTAACTCTGCCGTTGCCATTGACAGATTCCTCTGCCTTATAACTTATCTTCCTTTTTGTTTGAATTAGGGCACTTTATTGAACTCCCTTCATGCATAACTTGTCACTCTTTTATCATGGTAAAATATATATCATATAAAATTTTACCATTTTAACCTTTTTAAGTGTATAGTTTAGTGGCATTAAATGCATTTCACATTGTTGTGCAACCATTAGCACCATCAGCTCTGGAACTTTATTTCCCTAAATGGAAACTCCATATCCATTAAAGAACAACTCCTCATTCCAGCTCTCCACAGCCCTGGCAACCACCATTCTGCTTTTTGGCTCTAAGTACCTCATATAAGTGGAATCATACAGTATTTGGCCTTTTGTGACTGGCTTATTTCACTTAACATAATTTCGTCAAGGTTCATCCATGTTGTAGCATGTCAGAATTTCTTTCCTTCCTAAAATTGAGTAATATTCATTGAATATATATACTTTATTTTGTTTCTCCATTCATCCATCAATGAACACAGGTTGCTTCCTTTTGGTTATTGTGAATTATGATGCTATGAACATAGGTGTACAAATATCTGTTTGAGTCCCTGCTTTCAATTATTCTTTTTGAGTATGTAGCTAGGAGTGAAATTGCTGGATCAAGTGATAATTCGATGTTTAACTTTAGGAGGAATAACCATACTATTTTACACAGAATCTTCATCATTTTACATTTTCACTAGCAGTGCACAAGGGTTCCAATTTCTTCTCATTCTCACCAATACTTGTTATTTTCTGTTATTCTGAAAGTAGCCATCCAAATGGGTGTGAAGTGACATCTTGTGGGTTTGATTTGCATTTCCCTATTGACTAGTTATGTTGAATATGTTTTCATGTGCTTACTGGCCATTTACATGTCTTCTTTGGAGAAATGTTTATTTAAGTATCTATTTTTTAGTTGGCTGTTTCTTTCTTTGTTGCTGAATTGTAGGAGTTCTTTATATATTCCAGATATTAATTCCTTATAAGATATATGATTTGTAAATATTTTTTCCCATTGCATGAATTGCCTTTCACACTGCTGATAGTATCCTTGGATGCACAGAAGTTTTAAATTCTGATGTAGTCCCACTTATTTATTTTATCTTTTGTTGCCCATACTTTCAGTGTCATATACAAAAAAAATCATTGCCAAATCCAATGTCATAATGTTTTCCCATGTTTTCTTCTAGGAGTTTTACCTCTTACATTTAGCTCTTTGACCCATTTTTAGTTAATTTTTCACCTGGCGTAAGTAAGGGTCTAATTCCATTCTTTTGGTTGTGGATATTCAGTTTTCCCAGTGGAATTTGATGAAAAGACTGTCCATTCTCCATTGAATGGTCTTGGAATGCTTATAAAAATCATTTTATGATATATAGAAGGATTTATTTCTGGGTTTTCTATTCTATCCCATTGGCCTATGTATCTGTCTTTATGCCAGTACCACACCATTTTTGTTACTATAGCTTTTATTTATTTATTTGACCTGCTCCTCATTCTGAGACATGATTACTATAGCTTTGTAGTAAGTTTTGAAACCAGGAAGTGTGAGACATCCAAATTTGCTCTTCTTTTTAAAGATTGTTTTGGTTATTCATACTCCCTTGAGATTCCATATAAATTTTAGGATGGATTTTTCTATTTCTGCAAAATTGGCACTGAGATTTTTTTTTTTGAGACAGAGTCTTGCTCTGTTGTCCAGGCTGGAGGGGAGTGGTGTGATCATAGCTCACTGCAGTCTCAACCTTCTGGGCTTTAGCCATCCTCCACCTCAGCCCCCCTAGTAGCTGGGACTACAGGTGTGCACTACCATGCCCAGCTAATTTTTGTATTTTTTGTAGAGACGGGGTTTTGTCATGTTGCCTAGGCTAGTCTCCAACTCCTAGACTCAAGCAATCCACTTGCCTTGGTCTTCTAGAGTGCTAGGATTACAGGCATGAGCCATCATTTTGATGAGGATTTTCTTGCTTGAACTCCTGCATTTTTGCTGTGAGCTCCTGATTTATAGAACTAATTAGTTCATTAAATTTTAAAGTTTGCTTTTATCTGCTGCATGGAAACAATTTTTCTTGTATTTTTTACCATTTGTTTTATCAGTTATCTCCTCTCTTTTTTTCTTTCTCCCTCTTTTATACTACACACACACACACACAGACTCAAACACACAAATAGACACACAGACACACAGAGACACATATATGTACGTTTTCAGGTGGTATTTTGGTGAGGTTTATCTGATGGCTCCTTTTTGTTTTTTCTTCTCTCATTCTTGAGCCAATTGTGTTCTTTCTGTACTGTATAGTAGAGGAGATTTATGTGAAACAGGGGTTAGGGAATTTTCCTGGCTTGTAGAAAATTCCCCTTACAAGTAAAATTCCTTGTGACACAGGGTTCTGTGGGTAAACTCTTTTAGCTTTTATTTCTTCCCAGCCACCTGAGATTGGCAGGCCAGCATGAACATAATGTATTCTACCCAGCCTTACCTCCCTTCCTGACAATTTTCTGAAAATATGGTGTGTATGAGTGATTGCTGGTTTACCCCTACCTTTCCTGCTTCTCCTTGATCCAGGCTACATACTCTCTCTGGTTGTCCTACAAGCCATGGAGACCTGTGCTCTGACGGCTTTGTTTGAAATCTTCAGCTAAATACTTCCTCTCTGGGTGTCTTCCCATGACTCCATTTGACCTTCAATGCGTTTAGCAGCTCATCCTTATGCATTATGTTTTGGGATTACAAAAGTCTCTGAATTTTATTAAAAATAGAGCTTACTTTTCTGTTTCTTATTTCACTAGTTGTTTTTGGGTGATTTCCTGAAGGAGAAGAAACTAGCCTTATGGTTTCCAGCACTGAATCTGGGAAGCAAGAACGTTAGCTGGTTGAAATAACAATTATAGAAAGTTGACTTTCATGAGCAAGAAATGTGAGGAGAATGGATAATATCAGAATACTAAACAATTTCTTTATGGTGAATTTTAGCTAAGTAAAGACACCTGCGGCCAGGCGCGGTGGTGGCTCATGCCTGTAATCCCAGCACTTTGGGAGGCTGAGGCGGGCGGATCACGAGGTCAGGAGATCGAGACCATCCTGGCTAACACAGTGAAACCCTGTCTCTACTAAAAATACAAAAAAAAAAAGAAAAAAGAAAAAAGAAAAAAATTAGCCGGGCGTGGTGGTGGGCGCCTGTAGTCCCAGCTACTCAGGAGGCTGAGGCAGGAGAATGGCGTGAACTCATGGCGTGAACCCGGGAGGCGGAGCTCGCAGTGAGCCAAGACTGCGCCACTGCACTCCAGCCTGGGTGACACAGCGAGACTCCGTCTCAAAAAAAAAAAAAAAAAAAAAAGACACCTGCATGTCTGGGAGAACACATAGATGATGAATGACAACACATGAAATGCATAACTGATATGAATTTGCTGCAATTGCCCTTAACAGTTAACCTTAGGGTGCTCTGGACATCTCTGCTTTAGTGTTGTGTGTGTTTCTCAGATTTTGCTTTTGAATCTAGTATTGTCATCTGGTGTTTCCACCTCTAACTATCCTGGCTCAAATGCTTTTCATATTCTTCCCTGTGACCTTTATTTTATCTTGCTTGGTCCATTGTCTCTATTGTCCTTTCTCCCTTCCACCCATCACCAGTAAACAAGTACCTGCTTAGAAGACTGGGTAGATTTCTGGATTTTCAAGATAATGTGAATGTGACAGGAAAACAGTTGTCTTCATTTCTATTAAGGCTGTTGTAACTGGAATTACAAAGAAGAGATAAGAAATCTATGGTTGTCACCACGGCACACATTTACCTATGTAACAAACCTGCGCATCCTGCACATGGAACTTAAAAATAAAATAAAATAAAAAAAGAAATCTATGATTGTATCTTACATTCAGGACATTATCAGAAACTGGAATCAGGGTATAAGGAAGAATTTTGCATTCCACATGAGATTGAAAATGTTCAAATAACGCTAGTGCTTGGCCAGTCAAAAAGTGGCAATGGATATTGTAAGGAGGTAATGTGCAGAGAGGCTTAGATAAGGGTTTGTTTCCTTTGTAGTTGACACCTACAGAAATATTATCTGGAACAAAGTGCTCCATAAAATACATTAATGGGTAATATCAAAGTGGTGTGGTGAAGAGGAGTGGCTAGGTAGAGTCTTTAAAGCAGTGGATTCATCCAAGTAGTGGCATATAGTAATAGTCCATAAAACATTCTCAAAGAAAATGGGTTGGACTTCCTCTTTATTTTTCCAGTTCTGCCCTTTTCATATTTTTCTTCTTGTGATTCCTTTTCTCCTTCAGATCTGCTTTAGATGTTCATTTTGTCTTGTATAAAATTGTGAGGTGTGGCAGATGATTGAAGAGGTTGATGAGCTCACACCTTAGAGAGGTCCTTATGTTAAGCCATGTAGATTCCTTGATATTACAACAAAGAATAGAAAAGTTATTTAACCAAGGCCATAAGATTAGCCATCAAAATACTAGAAGTAGAATACCTTTTAAAGTTCTCCTATAGACATGGTTACAGCTTCCCTTATGTTAAAGCATATTACTTCTAGGTGTTGCTTCTACAGAGAAATAATGTGTCTCCTGAACCCATATATTAAGGGAGGAATAGATGTGTATATGCTGTTATCAAGCATAACCAAGTACATATGTTCTAAATTATATAGTTAGTTGTTGAAATTTTTTAAAAGAGCAAATTTCATAATATACATTTCAATTTCCTGGCAGCTTAGGGTATTAACAATTATGCACTTTACAAATGAAGAAAATCAGTTATATTAGAAAAATTAAGAGAAACCATATACTTAAATGAAATAATGTGTTGTCACATTCTTTTGAAGTTGTCTAAAATATCTTATGTGCTGTATATATATCGTAATAAGAATAAATTGATCTCACTCTTTTCCAGCTGCATCTCTTTCTATCATATGGAATATATGTTTTTCAAGTTCCAGGAAAGATTCTTTGTCAAATTTGTATTTGGCTCCTTTAGTTCCTAGAGCTTGAGAATAATGTCAGAGTGCGAAATATTGTGAATTATTCCAAATAATTGGAATTTTGGAAGTCAAATTATTACTCCACACAAGTAAAATAAAATTTTTGCCTGTAGTATGTTAATTCTAATTTTATTACCCATCTTATTTGTAAAATTTCCTTACTTTTTATACGGAAAATGTAAGGAATAGAGTGGCTATAGACATTTCAATTATGAGAACCTCTATAGTAAAATAAGCCAAATTGTTAAAAATGTGCAACACATTTGTGCTTCTAGAGTAAATATTTCCATACCTATTATATAAGAAAGGGGATCTTTCAGTGCCCTTTTCCAAATGAAATATATCTTTTAAAATAGCACATGGAACGTTTATTTGAATGATGGACCCAGATTCTAGAGAGTTCAGTTTTTCAGATGTCCAAAGTAAGATAACATCCAGAGTTCTAACCAATTTTTCTTCCCCTCAAAGAAGAAATAGAATTCCTATGTTTTTCATTTACATAGTATAGAATCTTGTTGGCAGAGATCTAATTTACATTTTAAATCCATAGAGGTTACTTTTTTTCAAGCTATTTGATCCAAGAATGATGGGCTTCTTCTTGATTGTTTGTTTCCTGGCCATGTTAGGAAGCCATAACTTAGTCAAGGGTTGTTAAACTATAACATCAAAGAAGGAAGCTTAGGTTAAAAATAAAAACTGTGCATTGTGATTGGGTGCTAAATTTGGCAGCTATTTTTGTGCAATCTCCTGGTATCCATTAAATGGGTTTGATACATCTGTAGGAAATGATGCCCCAGTGCTTTATAGATTGATTAGATGAATTTCTAGTTTAATGGCTGATATTTTCATTAAGCATTTGTAGTGTAAGTAGTAACATTTAAAATCTGATCTGTGATATGAGGATAATGTGATTCTAACAAGATGCATATCTTCTTATTGTTAAATATTATGTAAACATTAGAAAAATTTATTGAGTGCCTAATATGAAAAAAATCATTTTATTTTCATATTGTAGCACATATATGCTTTTACATAACATAATGCACTATTTCTACCTGCAAGATATATTGCTAGATGCTGTGAGAGATAAAAGATGAGGAAGGTGCAATTTCTCTCTTCCAGGAAATTAAAATCTAGCAGAAGTGATACATGTACACAAATAAATGGAACGTAAAGCAGAGTAAGAAAAGAGCTAAGGATAATGTTATTAATGGAGTTTCAAATGTATGTAAGAAACATTTATAAATAGAAAACAATACATAGTTTACTTGCATGTTAATTAATATTCAATTTTATAAAAGGTGTACATTTTAAAACTTTGTTTTTTTATGCCTGTAAAACCAACTTATTAATTTTGCTATTTTACTAATAAATTTGATTTTTTTGCATTGCAGTCACTTTTGCATTTGTTTTTGGAATAATGTTTAATAAATCTTAAAGTTTTAATATATGAAGTGTTTAATGTATAAATATTTAATGCCATTTGTATGCTTGATTAAATTCTCTTAGTCATTTCAATCTTGCTGTGGTTTGAGTTTGTCCCCACCAAAACTCATGGTGAAATTTGATCCCCAGTATGGCAGTGTTGGGAGATGGGGCCCAGTGGGAAGTGTTTGGGTCATGCAGGAGGCTCTCTCATGAATGACTTGGTGCTGTTCTTGTAGTGCATGAGTTCTCCCTCTGTTGAGACTGCATTAGTTCTCTTCAGAGTAGATTAGTCCCTTGAGAGTAGATTCTTTTAAAAAAAGCAGGACATCCTTCAGGTTTTGCCTCTTCACATGTGTCTACTTCCTCTTTGACCTTCTCTACCATATTTTGACTCAGGATGAAAACCCCCATCAGAAGCCAGGGCAATGCCCTTGAACTTCTCAGCCTGCAGAATCATGAGCTAAATAAACTTCCTTTCCTCATAAATTACTCACTCTTAGGTATTCTGCTGTAGTAAAACAAAATGAAAGAAGACAAATCTGCATTTGCAAATTTAAAATAATTGATTCATGAAAACTTGTAAAATACTTATAAGGTAGTGTTATACATTTAACAAACACAATATATCTTATAAATATTATATTATAAACTTCATATACTTAGTATATCAGATCATGTTAGTGTTTCAAAAAGTCTTTAAAAAACAAAATATACACAAAGTAATATAATAATTACAAAACCTATAAACACCAAAACTTAATTTACCCCCCAAATTAATACTATGTGATTGATTAATTTATTCATCATATCTTTAAATTTTCTTTGCCTCTTCCTGGGATTGCAAGAGGAGCAGAATCATCTGCATGAGGTTGCAAATTTCCTTGTTTTGGTATTTGAAATTGAAATATGGCACTTGAGTGAACTTTCTAGGATGGTTTGTTCTAAACAGGTGCTTTTCAGGATAACCCTCGAAAGGTAGGTATGAAATGTGTTGTGTCTCAAATGTAAGGCTAGGGATTTGAACTTTGGTAAAAACTATTGTAGACTTTTGAGTGGAGAAAGTACACAATCTGCGTTGGGTTTTAGAAAGATTGATAGTTTCAAATTGTTTTCATGTATGTAAGTGCATAAATTCTTCTTTGAATAATTGTAGAGAACAAAGTTTTGTTCTATAATTTAAAAAAGTCAGAATATATAGTAGATAAAACCAATTCAGAATGAACATAACTTCCCTCCCTTCTTTCTTCCCTCCCTCCTCTCTCTCTCCTCTTTCTTTGTTTTGCTTTCATCAGTCATTTTATGTAACTTGTTCTCAAATAGGGAAGAGTTTCTATCTTCCTCCCCAGAGTACATTTGACAATGTCTGGAGACAGATTTTGTTGTCATTTCTGGGGAGAGGTGGAGGGTATGTGCTGCTGGAATCTAGTGTTTAGCTGAGGCCAGGGACTCAGCTAAACATCTTACAAGAGTAGGACAGTTATCCACAACAAACGATTATCTGGGCCAAAATGTCAGTAGTGCTGAGGTTGAGAAACCCTGGTCTACACATGTTGTGGGAATACTCTATGCAAAGCACTGAACTAAGCTTGTCACGCTCTAGTTTTCAGTCCTGTTGTGGGAATATAGGCCTCTTTGATAGACGTGGGTGATTATTTGTATTTTCTAACATCTGGACTATTATGTAGAATATGTTTTGAAATTAAGTTTTCAAAACAATACGGTATTAATAGTAACTTTGTTTTTATTTAGATATGTTTTATTTAAGTAATATTTCCTGAAATATAATGTACGAACATAGTGAAAAATCAGTAAACAGCTTACATCACAGGTATTACTGGGGCCTCACAAAACTAGAGTTATAGAAGGTCGAAGTTCATATGAAAGGACAGTTTAAAGATTATATGTTATTTACCTCAACTATAGTAATGTTGTAGTTATTTTTTCAAGGTAAACTTTTAGTAGCTTAAAAAGCAACAAGAAATGGTGATCATATTTTTCAGATATTCTTAGGAAGTCAATCTAAAAATATATTTGATTTTGAAGTAACTCAATTTTTAGAAATCAAGACCTGCATCAAGACCTGTGCCTTTGTTAAAGGATTTTAAACTTGTAACACTTTTTATTTTGAAAAATTTCAGATCTTGCAAGAATAGAACAATGAATTTGTGCATACTTTTCACCTAAGATCTCTAATTACTAACATTTTGTCCTATTTTCTTTCTTTTTCCTTCTCTTAATAGGTGTGTATATACAGATATTATGTTTACTTCTTTTCTGTGCCTCCTAAAAACAAGGAATTCTTTTATATAACCATAATCACACTATAATGATCAAATTAAGAAAATTTAAAATTAATGCAATAAATATCTGATATAGAGGTCCTATTCAAAATTTGCCAACTATGCCAATATTGACATTTATAGCATGCCATATCTCCCTCATCTCTTTAATCTGGAATATTTCCTCAGTGTTTTTTATGACTGATATATATTGGAGAAGACAGGCCAGTTATTTTGTAGAACATTTCTTAATTTAGGTTTGTCTGATTGTTCTTCATTTTTTCCAGATTATGATTATTTGGTAGAGTTATTACTATATAAGATATGCTGTGTCCTTCTCACTGTATCATACCAGGAAGCACCTGATGTCAGTTTCTCCTATTATTGATGGTAACTTTGATCAGTAGGTTCAGGTGGTATTTTCCAGATTTCTATACTATAAAGGTACCATTTGCCCCCTTTTTTAATTAATTAATAAATTTTCTGTGGGGAGATATTTAAGGCATTGCAAATTATCTGTTCCACACAAATATGCATTAGGTCATTTTAGCATCCAGTGATAGTTCTTGCCTGAACAAATTATTAGTATAATAGTTGCAAAAGAGTGATTTTTTTCCAGTGCTATTATTCCTTCTACATTTATTAGAATGTGGCTTTCTAATTTAAATAACATTTTCTCTTAATTAATTTGTTGTTTGTTTTAGTATCAGTATGGATTATTTTTATTCAAGGTGCTATATAATCTGTGACTTTGATTAGTCATTTTGATGCTTAAATTGTTGAATGTATGAACACTAGAAACTGTCAGGCTGGTTTCTGTGTCATTTTGATAGGTCCCCATCATTTCTTGAGCCCCACTTTACTTATTGGCATATTAAGATATTCCAGGTTCAATTTACACTTTCACTGGAATCAGCCTTTCTCCCTTTGGTTGGAAATGGTATTTAGAAAACAAGATCTGGATGTCAGATATGCCCACTGCTACTGGGGTATCGTTGCCTCTAGGCCATTTCAGTAGTCAGAACTAGAAATATATATATATATTTTCTTTTAAAATTAGTTAAAAAATTTAATTGTAAAAGATACATAACATAAAATCTACTATCTTGACTAATTTGAAGTGTTCTGTTCAGGAGTATTAGGTATTTTCACAATGTTGTGAAGTCAATGTCCAGATCTCTTTTTGTATTGTAAAATTAAAACTCTGTACCCAACAACTCCCCATCTACCATCCTCTAAGCTACTGGCAACCACCACTCTACATTATATCTCTATAAAGTTGACTTCTCTACCTCATGTAAGTGAAATTATATGGTATTTGTCTTTTTGTGACTGGCTTATTTCAATTTAGGTTTATTTTTTAATCATGAATTCAGTAAGAGTATTTTTGAAGCATTATGTAATGGATTTTATTAAAGTTGATGAAACTTTTTTTGACAAATGCCATTTCAGAAATAAATAAAACTTCCAAATATATTTATTATAGTTAAGGATGTTGATCAAGTATTTGGTATCTAAATAACTGTCAGTTTCATTAAATAGTAAATGTTTGGCCTTAGTAGCTTATGAATCTCATCTATTTCTTTCTGAACACACTTATTCTTTTCTTCTGGAATTGTGTGAGTACTTAGAAAAGAGAATATGATTTAAGGTGTATTCTCTTAAATAGGACTTGGATAAATAAATTTATAAGTAAGTAAAACTATCACTGAAGAATATGAATTTTATGTTATATTTTCTAGCTGGAGCACTGAAAAGTCACTGAATCACATTTTAAGATACAAAATATATATCTACATATCTATCTATGTATAGGACAGACATATATTGAAATAGTAAATATCTAATTTCCTAAGGGAGTGTTTCAAATATATGAGGTGATGCTTTTGATAACTGACCAGTGAAGCCAAGAATTACTGGGGGCTGTAAAAGATGGACACTTTGGAACTGCATGTAATTTAGCAGATTTTTGGATGGATTCCCAGAGTCTGGGTTAGGCAGAATAGTTGAACAAATTTGGATTTGATTTGTGAAGAATTTTCTTATCATATCATGTAGTAATGAAACATGAACACCAGCTAAATAAGACAAGACATTCTAACTATCTCCTTTCCCTTTAAAAGATCTACTTTAGTGTACTCATTATTTAAAATGATATAAATTAGCACTGTCTTTTGGATTTGGATTGAAGAGATCTGATGAAATTCACTGTGAAATATGGGTCCAGGAAGTAGGTATAGGGAATAGAATTGGTTCCCCCAAACGAGTTTTTCATTACGGCCGCTTAATCACTGGGCTAGAAGGCTCTGGAACTATAAAGATCATCTAGTCCAAAACTCTTTAACTCTCTCACAGAGATTGCCAAACCTACACCCTCACCCTTTTCTAAGGCTTATGTTTCCATCATTAGAAATCTCTTGCTGCTAGAAAATTGTCTCCTGATAGCTTTCACCTACTTATCCTGGTCTGTGTAGCCATAGGGAAATGTCTAATCTCTCACACGTGACCGGCCTTCAAATCTTTATAGACAATATTCTATTTTCAAAGACTGGAATCTTTCATCAATATAGCCCAGGGCTCAATTCAAGAGGCAGAACAGATTGCAGAAGAGGAAAACAAAGAACTGACATATCTGTCCATTCCCCTTCCATCCCCCACTTCCCATTGCTTCATACATCAGAACAAGATTTGCTGGTTCTGCCAGCCAGGTGTGGTTTCCCCACTCTGCCTCCTACATGCAGCCCTGTTGTCAGTTGGTCTAGTGCAGGTATACTTCAAATTCCATAGCCACCTCTCACAGTATTTTGTTGCTTTTGATTAAAAAAAAGTTGGCACGTGTGGATAAATTTTATACTCCAACTTGTAGCCATTTAAGGATGAACAAAACTTACTATTTCACAATTAAGGACAAAACAGGAAAGTGGAAGTTACCATTCTTATCAAAATCGCCACTGCATCCCAACCTGGGCAACAGAGAGAGACCCTATCTCACAAAAATAAAATTAAATTAAAAAAAAGCAGGGACTGAGTGTGAAGGTCATTATGTTCATCTTTTCATTTGACTAGAACATTGACTTTCCTACATGTATCATGTTTGGAGTGCTAATTGTTATAAAAATCATGTAAAAACTGTGTAAGATTTATGATGTGTGAATCTAAGAGCTCAGAAAGAAAGAAGAGTGGCCGGGCATGGTGTCTCATGCCTGTAATCCCAGCACTTTGGGAGGCTGAGGTGGGTGGATCACGAGGTCAGGAGATAGAGACCATCCTGGCTAACACAGTGAAACCCCGTCTCTACTAAAAATACAAAAAAATTGGCCAAGCGTGGTGGCAGGCGCCTGTAGTCCCAGCTACTCGGGAGGCTGAGGCAGGAGATTGGCGTGAACCTGGGAGGCAGAGCTTGCAGTGAGCCAAGATCGTGCCACTGCACTCCAGCCTGGGCGAAAGAAAGAAAAATACCTTGAATTCACTTCCAGCATCCTCACTGTCTTACTGCTTTCACTGGTTTGTACTCCACAGCAGGTACTGATGGTGCTGTCAACAGCAGAACCATGATTTTGCCCCAGGACTCACACTTCAGTTGACTGTGTGCTTCGAAGGAGAAGGCCCTGTATCCAGCCCCAAGGGCTGATGCCAGTGATTCTTAAAGTTGGGAATCCGTAGTTTAGACAACAGGTGAATTCTTTGTTTTGTGGGAGCGTATAATGCATTGCAGGACATTTAACATCCTTGATCTCCATTGTCTAAATTTCAAAAACATCTCCGATCACTGTATCACCTAAATACTCCCAAACATTTCTAAGTGTGCGGGGAAGTGTAGGGGTACATGCCGAAGTGTGGGTAGGAGGTCTGGTTCCATGTGAGAACCACAAGTCCAGGGCAATCACAGGGGCCCCTTTCCTCTTGCCAGTGATTGGTTAGGCATGGGGATCTGACACAATTCTGACCAATGAGATGAGAGGGAACGTCTGCTGGATGGCTTCTGGGAAAGTTTTAAGCCATTGATAAAAATGATACATGAGAAGAAATAGTTTCTTATTTGTGTCTTGCCATTGTCATGAAGATATGATGTGTAGAAACTGTGGCTGTCATTTGTCAGAGGATGAAGTTGCCGAAGACAACTGAGAAAAAGAGGAAAAGAATCTGATCCATAATGGTGCCAGTTGAGCTGCTAAATTAATCAGTCCTGGAACATTTTTTATTTTGACTTCTTACTATGTGAGATCATAAATTCCTTATTGATTGAATAAATTGAACCGAAGTTTTCAGTTACTTAAGTTAAAAGCATATTAAATGATGTGCTTTATCCTGTTTTGTTTCTCCCCCCCCAATATCTGAAAGATCACTTTGTTAACACAAATCAATATTAAAAAACATCTACATCTGAAGAAACATCAATCCTCTTTGAAAGACAGACCTGGGTATGTATTCTACAGTCTTCATTTGTCAGATTGAAAAGTCTTCTATTTTAACAGAATGATAATAACTTCAACAATCTGAATGTTTGGACCATGATATAGTTGGGATATTTGTCCTCTCCAAATCTCACATTGAAATGTGATCACCAAAGTTGGAGCTGGGGCCCAATTGGAGGTGTTTGGGTCATGGGGACGATCCCTTTATGAATGGCTTGGTGCCCTCCCCATGGTAATGAGTTCTCACTCCATTCATGCACAAAGGAGCTGGTAGGTATAAGGCATAAAAATAAAGGCTGTGTCTTAATTCAAATAAATGATTCCAAAGCTAGAACTAATTCTATGAGTAGTTAAACATTTTCCTTTTAAGAGTATACTGGTATTTGAATACTATTCATATAACATCATGTCATGTCACAACATTTAGTCATGGTGGCCTTTTCTTTTTATGTTTGTATTTTTACTTGAATCATAACATTAATTTTAAATGTTTTTTTCCAGTGGGTATTTCCCAATTTGACCATGGCTTTTGCCTCAAAATAAACACATGCTTGGAAACTAAGGGCAATGTCTCATAAATGAATCTATTAGTGGTGATCTTATATCTTATTTTAACACCTCAGATCTGTGGAATTTTGGTGCTTGGGTGGACATCAGAGGTAATCTAGTATGCATAAATCATTTTAAATCTATAATTGGAAGGGGGAAATTGGGTGGTAGAGTGTATTTTAAACTTGGTATAAATTATTTAAGAAATAGCATGGCATGGTGAAATAAAAGGCACAGGTATTGGGGATGAGAACACTTCATTCTTCTGATCTTAGGTATAACATTTCCCAGGTGCATGGTATGAGTAAATTATTTACCTCAGTTTCTTTATCTATAAAATAGGTTTAAAAATAATGCTCTGCTTGTCTTGGAAAATTGTAATGAGAATTAAACAAAACGTGTGTTATCCAGATGGCAGATTTTTTTTCTTTTCTTTTTTTTTTTTTTAGACAGAGTCTCACTGTGTCACCCAGGCTGGAGTGCAATGGCGTCAGCTCAGCTCACTGCAACCTCTGCCTCCTGGGTTCAAGCAATTTTCATGCCAGCCTCTCAAGTAGTTGGGATTACAGGTGCCCACCACCACCCCTGGCTAATTTTTTGTATTTTTAGTAGAGATGGGGTTTCGCCATGTTGTCCAGGCTGGTCTTGAACTCCTGACCTCAGGTGATCTACCCACCTCAGCCTCCCAAAGTGCTGGGGTTACAGGCGTGGGCTACCACGCCCGGCCTGATAGGAGATGTTAAAAACAACCACAACTACCACAACAACATCCTGTTGGGTGAATTTATTTTGAGTAAGAAACATTGTAGATACAAATTAAAAATAAAAACTCCATTGCTTGCTGGAACTACCTTTCTCCTTCTGTCATCAGGTTCACTCATTATCTGTCATCAATCTCTGCTCAGACATCACTTCCTTTGAGAAGCTTCTGCTTTCTCTCAAGAGCAGTTGAGGTCAGGTGCTCTGTCTTATGCTCCTTTAGTCGAGGACAGCACTTATTTGTCTCTGTCTTGCTCTTCAGTGTGCCTAAGAATCACTGGGAAACTCATTAAATAAGAGATTATTGGGCCCACTCCTGGAGATGGCGATTCAGTAGGTCCTGAGACCTGGGAACTTCAATGTTTAGCAAGTCACTACTGGTGCTCTAATGGTCTTTGAGCCATACTTGGGGATCTTACTAATCTTGAAGATGATCTCCATGAGATCCGGGCTCTTATTTTCCTCTTTGATCCCTTGTACCTAGAATATATGTATTATTCATTTGACTTCCCACATATAATTCAGACATATTGCAAAAAGCCATACACACCTAAAAAGTTTTGCCTTTTGTGGTCTGTATTAGTTTGTTTTGGAGTACTATAAAGGAATACCTGAGGCTGGGTAGTTTGTAAAGGTGTTTATTTGGCTTATGGTTCTGTAGGCTGTACAAGCTTGGCATCAGCATCTGCTTGGTTTCTGGCTTGGCCTCGGGGAGCTTTTATTCATGGTGGAACATGAAGGGAGCGGGCAGGTGGGGCACATGGAGAGAGAGGAAGCAAGAGATGTAAGGCTCCTTTAAACGCCAGCTCCTTTGTGCATCAATGGAGTGAGAACTCATTCCTATGGGAAGAGCACCAAGCCATTCATAAGGGCATCGCCCCCATGACCCAAACACCTCCCACTGGGCTGCAGCTCCAACATTGGTGATCATATTTCAACATGAGATCTGGAGAGGACAAATATCCCAACTATATCATGGTCCAAACATTCAGATTGTTGAAGTTATTATCATTCTGTTAAAATAGAAAACTTTTCAGAATGTTTTCAGATGTCAGAGAAATGCAGAGAAAGTGCTCATTAAAATAATAATTTATCAATTGATTTCAGCATGTGTACACTGTATTGAGTACCACAAAGATGGAGGTATTACAAATAAATGTAAGAGTTCAGATGCTCAGGAAATAAAAGGTGTATAAAATAGCTCTGCACTAATATGAATGATAGAATGTAAATTAGATGAAGCACAGGGAGTAGGATTATTTAGGAAGAGATTTGAGGAGTCGCTGAGCCTTGAGGAATTGGAAAATGAGACGGAAATACTTTTGAGGAAGGTGGAACCATCTTATAAAAGGCTTAGAATCAACACTAACATGACTATGTCAATATAAAAAAAATGAAATGATGGATATGTTAATTTGCTTCCCTGTGGAAACCATTTTGCTGTCTATATGTATCTTATAACATCATGTTGTATATCTTAAGTGTATACAATAAAATTTATTTTAAAAAATAGGCCTGGTGCGGTGGCTCCCGCCTGTAATCCCAGCACTTTGGGAGGCCAAGGGGGGCGGATCACGAGGTCAGGAGATCGAGACCATCCTGGCTAACACAGTGAAACCCCGTCTCTACTAAAAGTACAAAAAATTAGCCGGGCGTGGGGGCATGCGCCTGTAGTCCCAGCTACTTGGGAGTTTGAGACAGGAGAATGGCGTGAACCGGGGAGGCAGAACTTGCAGTGAGCCGAGATCGTGCCACTGCACTCCACCCTGGCCGACAGAGCGAGACTCAGTCTCAAAAACAAAAAAATAAAAAGTAAAAAATAAATAAAGAAACAAATAAAGCAGGTAGGGAGGATATGCGGACAGAGTCAACAAGAAATGACCACCCACCAAGACCATAATAACAGTATTGATACTTGCTGAGAAAGGCAGCCATGAACAGCTTGCTTGAACCTTGCAGTGTCTGATACAATTGTGCCTCAGGCCTGGAGCATTTCCTTCAAGGGAGACAGGGAGCCCTCACAGCTTGTGCTGGACTCATCACCTTGTTTGGAAGTATCTTTCCCTGTTGTTTCTTGATGTGTGCTTTGTTTGGCTTGAGTGTGTTCATCTCATGGCTCCTGGCCAACCCTTAGAGGGTTGCATGCAGACTATCTACCTGCATTGGCTGTCGGGTGAGACGAGCTGGCTGTGGGGGACCAGTGCTCACTTATTAAAGCTGATCTTGCTCTGTGTCTTCTCTGTGAGTAAAATGTTACTCCATTTACAGTGACAACAACAACAACAACAAGAGGCATGGCTCTAGCAGACAAATAGTGTTAGAGGAGTAGTGGGGGTCTCAATAAACAGTGCCTCCTCCTCCTTCCCTTAGGGCTGAACAAACAGAAATAAAACAAAGGAATGGCAGATGAGAAACCAAGACATCACATTCATTTCTAATAAAGGCTAAATCTGAGTTTCTAGTCTTGTGTGAGACCCAAAAGACCTCATAACAGATCCCTGAAGGAGTAGCAGAATGAATGATATCTACAGGCAGCTCACTCTTAAGAGGAGGAAAGAACTGAAGTGGGCATGCTGCCCACATTTGCTAATCATGTAAGTCACTGCATCTCATCTGCTTTGAGAGAGGAAAGTAAGCAGCAAGAGGTCAGAATCGCCACTTCAGTTTAGCAACCTCCATCTGGAAGGAAACAACAGGAGTGTCGAGGAAATATTTCCCCTAACATTCTCTGCCTTGTGCTCTCCCGCTCATTGGGCTCATCTGGGACCAGCTGCTAGGTAATATAGATTTTGACCCAGAAAGTACACATGTGGTTAAAACATATTAACTAACTAAACTCAAAAACCACTTTGTGTCCAAGGGTGAAAGTTATTTCCTCTTCTAATTGCTATCCCAATTTATGCCCAACATTGTCTCTCAAGGTTTTGTTGATATCATATGACTATTAAATACACATGACAATAAAACCCAGCATAAATCCTTTGCCTTCTAAAGCAGTAATTAGTTTAGCTTTTCCCACAACTTTGGGATGTCCAAAATCTGAATTCGAACTTCTGCCGTTATAAAATTCCCTGAGAGAAATTAAAACTTATATTAAAAAATTAAGGCCACAAATCATGTTATATTGCTTTTATGAGTTAATAACATAAATTAATGTCCTTCCCAGTTTCTCGTTCTGTTCAGATCCCGTATGCCACTCATTTGTATGGGTACGATTGGTTTAGGGCCTCAGAATCTCTAATGCTAATTCTCTGACAAACCTCCTTTTCGAAAAGAGTACAAAGAGTCAACAGAGCCTCATAGTGCTAGTCCCACACCCAACAACTTTAGTGAGTAACCTAAATTATATTCCCAGAACCCAGTATATAGTGTTGCCAAAGGTCACAGAAGAAACTCAATAGTATCTGATGTTGGAAGTTTAGATGAAACCAAACAATAATACCCAACCAACCAACAACAGAAACCAATAGCTGGTTTTAGTTTTATCAGGATGCCAATCAACGCCAGTTGTCCAGAAACCACAATGAATTAATAACCTAATATCAACTGGAAGAAATTTCTGGTCAGTTTTGTTTAAGGGAAAAAAATCCATCCTATTTTCACTCTCAGAAAGTGGTACCTGAGACATTGCTACCTTCTTGCAAAGTTGAGAAATTTGCAGTGGCCGCAGCCCTAACACCCTCTCCTGTGCAACCATTCCTCTGCACCCCTGTGGCTGTTTCCACTATTTCTTCTGTGGAGTTGCGTAGGCCTGTGAAATCTGCCCCCTGGGGAAGGGTGCTTTCTCATGTATGATTAAATTCAGAGCCTACGTGATAGTCTTTGCTAGTGAGTAACTGTAGATGTATTGACAAACTATGAGGTTGGTCGTGCTACAGCTCCCTCTTTGGAAATGCAGAATGAAATTCTGTGCAGCCAGCCCAGAACATAGTCCTGGCTGTAATGAGTTAAATCTAGAACCTTGAGAGTGCTCAGTAACACTGGTAAAATTCATCTGCCCTGAAGACCTGGCTGAGAAACACGACAGCCTGAAGGACTGGGGAAGAATCTGTTCCACCTATAACAGAATCTTTACCCCAGTCTGCCTTTGTGGCTCACTGGCTTATTTTGGGATGCCCAAGGCACAACTCCCTCCTTCCACTGCAGGTTCCCTCAGATTTACAAGTTCTCGATTAAGCTCTACAACTGTGTCCTGAGGCTGCCTGTGAGGGCTCACTTACCATTTGCCTTAGCCCACCCTGTATCTCACTGCAAGTGAGAGATTCAAGTGAAAAGTCCCATGTCTTTGCCATTCCTCATGATGCTCTCTATTCTTCCTTGTTTTTACTTAAGGCCAGGCTTGCTAAAGACCCTCCCCTTTGCTGAGGCCCTCACAGCCCATTATTACCTAGTTCATTTCCACTTCAGGCTGTCCAGGCCAAACTGTCTGTGGTTAGCTGCATTTGGCTGAGTTCTCTCTAGTCCTTGCAACTATTATCTGTGGGCAGGCATTTAGGATAGGAAGGGTGAGTCTAGTCTGGATGTTGTGGTGAGCCATTTGAACAAGAATTGTTTTTGTTGTTGTCATTCATTTGTTATTGAGTTGGGGAGTGTCAAACTGCATAAACTTTTTTTTTCATAAAGGCAAATGTGGTGTGTGGGCTGATTTGGATTAGATAGAAGGGTTGATTTTGGGGTGGCTGTGGGGATTTTGGGAGGTTATTCCAGTAATCCAGATCACAGAGGTGGCAGGGACTAAGGGAATATTTTCTGAGATATTTCCAAGCATTGGAAGGAATAGATGACAAGGTCAAGGGGTTGCAAAATCCTGCAAGCAGTCTTGGCTGCAGACTCAGGGATGCCCTTCCTGCCTTTCCTTTCTTTCTGCCCCTATGGCTTTTGAGGGGAAGGGCACATCACCTAGGGGGATTCAGGGTGTACATTTATTAGGTGACAATGGAGTAGTTATAACAGATGTCCTGAAAGAGTCTTGGCATGTCTTGAGTTATGTTGTTGTACAGCATTGGAATGTGTCTGCTTTTCCCTCTCAGGTAGTTAAATGATGCCTTCCTACCCTGAGATAGGATCCATCCTGATGGTAGTTTTAGACATCTGGGGCTAAGACAGTGCTCTTGATGAACAGCTAATATTTTTAATAAAGGAAAATATTGCATCAGAGGATTTTGCTTATTTCTCAAATGGCACTGAAGCCACTAGATGTGTCATTGTTAAAAAGTCTCCTGGACTCTAGAGAGCTGGAAGTAATGAAGAGAATTTTGCATTTTTTTCCCAAATTTCTAGGCCCTAATTTAAAGAGCATTCCCCTGACAGACTCATCGCCTTGCCTCCTGTAAAGGGAGAGAAATTACTTTTTATCCAATGACTATTTGACCATCATGGTAATGATGTCCACCTGTTTTCTTTTTTTTTTAAACAAACACAGCTGTTTTCTTTCATTCCAGGAGAACTGGGCATAAAATGTCTCACCCACCGTAAGCACTTGGCTTCTAGGGCCTGAGCAGAATCCAGATTGACATAAATTCCTAGCGATCTTCTAATGAAACACAGCCTTACAATCCATAAGTGATGTAAGGTGTCCTGGCCTAAACTGGGCCCCATGCAATTCACCCCAGAAGAAATGGGGATGAGATGTTTTTGTTTCAGGGAATTTTCAATTTTCCCACTCCTGACCCCAGGGCCATTTGTAATCCATCACTGCGATATTTTATTTAACAAAATATTTCACTAAACTCCAAGTAAGATGGGAAACATCTGGAGGAAAACAAGAGTCTGTTTTTGTATTACTTAAAGGAAAAATGCCACTTGATAGTTGCCATAAAAATGGGACTGTGGAGGAATTGAGCATTGCTTAATGATAAGGCATCGGGCCTAATGCTGAACAAGATTAAACAACGAAGATGATCTAGTCCCTGCCAGCAAGGGATTTGCAATGTAGGCGGGGCCTTCTTGCTGTTGGCCACTGGCTGGCCTGACTTGACAGGCTGCTGGCCCCCTTCGCCACCTTACAGCGGAGACCTTTCCTGGGCAATCTGTGCCTTATTCTCCCCAAACCACCAAACTAGCTGTTTAGGTGTTTGCAACTTTCTTTACTAAAGGGCCCAGGCAATTAAAAATAAAAATAAAAAGAACTTAAAGGAAGTGGGGAGTAATATAATGTACTTAGTGATATTTTCTCCAAAGTCCAAAGAGCAAGCAGTTAAGAAAGAAGCAAGCCTTTCTGTTTGAGAGGGTTTGGAGCACAAGTCTCTCTGTAGGTCCAGGGCAGGTGAGAGCCCATCTAGTTATTTACCATTACTCCTGTTAAACCCAGCAAGTGCTCACATATCTCCCAAGGTTAAGTTTTAATTCTTGGGCAATGGATCATTTCAATTCCTAAAGAAGACAAAATTGTTTTCTTGTCATATAGTTTGTAAGCTGTTTCTCTCTTTTCATGTAGGCTAGCATTCTTTTTATTCTTGTTTCCGGATCAGGCACCTTAGGGACTACGAGGGCAGGAAAGGATCTATATCCCTTTCTTTTTCTTTGCATGTATAAAGGCAATCTGTGAGATGAGTATTCTAGCAATGATTTTTCTTAATCAAGGAGCTTATTAGTCTCTGGGGCAAGGCAAGAGGTAGGGCCCGTAGTCCAGTCACATGATTTCTAATCTTGCTAATAAGGCTAAATATCTTAGTTATTTAATTAGCACCTTCCAAATACTAATAAAGTCAAACACTTTCACATATTTATCTCCCGATTTGTATATCTTTAGAAAATTGCTTGTTCATATTTCCGCAGGCATGTCATGTTTTTTTAAAATTAATTTGTAAGAGTATAAACACAAAATTTGGTAGTGTATCCCAGCATGCAAAATTAATGTGTTTTTTTCCCTCCTCTTGTATAGTAACTATTGTGTTCAGAGAAAGGCCAGATAAAGCCCTTCTGATTCTGTTTGTGGTAGAATGTTTGTCGTAATTTGAAGGAACAAGATTAAGGATTTGTATTAAATAAGAAGTATGATACCTTATTTATATATTGTTTTACAACTTAAAAAAGATCTTTTACACATGCAATCATATCTGGAACCCAATGAGGTGTTCTCTGAGTTCTTAGACCAAATGGAATGAAGTCTCTGCATATATCATAATGATTTGATCTGTATTAACTTGTTATTGTTTATATTTCATGAGACTTTCAACTGTTTGGCTGTGGGCTTTGTATTACAGCTAAATGCTATAACTCTACCCTGGTTAATGCTAAGCGATGGAAGAGAAAGGAGTGTGTTCCTTGGCTCTGATGTTCAATTTGGCTGATTCAGAGTTGGATTGGGATTCAATGTATCTCAACTGGAGGTGCCATTGCATTTTTAAGGCTCATTTTTAATGGTGGTAAAATATATGTAACATAAAATTTACCATCGTAACCATTTGTAAGTGTGCAATTCAATGCTATAGAGTACTTCACTTTGTCGTGCAACCAATTCCATTGTCCATCTCCAGAACTCTTTTCATCTTGCAAAACCGAAACTCTGTACCCATTAAATAGTGACTCTCCATTTCTCCCCCAATCCTCATTCCCACCCGCTGGTGACCACCATTATACTTTCTGTCTCTGAATCTGACTACTCTAGATACTTCATATAAGTATTTCTCTTCTTGTGACTTGCTTATTTTACTTGGACAACTTGCATTATAGTGGGGACAATTCTTGGTTATGTGGGATTGTCCTCACATGATGTTTGGCTCCTTGGGTTACCCTCAGATGGGAGATGCCTGTGGAATTATCACCACAATGTGGCAATCAAAACTGTGGGACAGTATTTCTCCCAGTCGAGGACTCAGCCTTTGACTCGGTCTCCAAATAAAACCTCCAAGCCATCTGAAGTTGATTCTTTCAAGGGCAAATATGTATTTGAAATGTAAATAGCTTTTTATCCCAATCTGTGTAAACAAGTCCCAGAAGCCACTCTCTTAGACCTGCGAAAGCCAAAGCCAAGTTTGATCAAAGGCTCTTTCAAAGTTCAGCTCCTTACCAGGCACTTGTAAACATGTTTAAACGCCCCGCTTAAAGTGTGTGGTTTGCATTTGGACTGTTAGAATCCAGAGCTCTTGACTTCTTCCAGCGGAAATAGACTACAGTCTTTTCCTCAACTCCCCAACCAACGGCTTTTGATAGTCTCACTTAATGCTCTCCGCATAAACAGTTCACCATCACATTTATTACTTATTGCATTTTTCCATATATTATTTTAGTAGAAATGCCACAAATAGCTTTGAAATACTGCAAGTAGCAAACTTGTTTTAAATGCCAGCATGGAAGTTGGACTTGAGGCAAATAGCCTTTCTAGTAGAAATGGGCACCCTGATAACTCCAGGCTTTCATGAGGCACAAAGAACAGGTCATCTTGAGGGTCATTATTGTGAGACATATTCACCAACTGACCCTTTATTTTTAAAAATTTCTTTGTATTATAAGAGTCCAGGTTTACACAGGTGGTGATGTTTCCATTTTAGGAACTCCTTTTAATGTGGAATAACCACGTGGCTGGTCTCTACCACGTGGTTAATGCACATCTTGAGGATTCAGTGATGATTATTTGTGCATTGAGTCTTCCTCATAGACTGTACATTCCTGGAGAGCCTGACCTGTAACTTACATTTCCCATGACTTCCTTATGGCATAACACACAGATGCAGAGCCCTCGTGTGCATGGGTTCATGCCCATCTGCAGTAGGGTTTTCAGTAGACTAGTTTGAAGAGCACCACTGCACACAGGGTTGCTTTGAATGCAGGGCTAGGTTGGTAGTAGAAAGAGGAAGAAGTTGATGGGTGATTTGGGGATATAACCTTAGGCATCAGTGAAGGGAAGAGAGAAAACAGAAGGATGGAAAGAAAGGCTTCAGATTACCAGGATAAATTTTATCTACATTCAAATTTTCCTAGAGGCAGGACTGAAGGTGGAAAGAGTTTGGCTCATGTTCAGTCTTTTGGACAAGAATACTTGGAGAGAAGGACATGTACGCTACTTCACAGGTCAAACCCTACCCTGCCACCTCTGCTCAGGTGTGCTTCCTGCTTTTACCTTGTCATTCAGATCTGGGAACAAATGTCATTTCTCTGACATTTCCCTGTCCACTCAAGCTAAGGTTACCCTGTCTTCTACCTCCCTGAAGTGATCGCTTTTTTGATGCATTGTGGATGTCTTTCTCTATGGTCCTTATCATTAGTTGAAATGTTACTAACTCTTTTATAAACTTGCCAGTTTATTGCTTGTTTTCCCCAGTAGATCATAAGTTCTAACTCTCTCTCTCGATCTCTCTTGTTTGCTCTTAGAACAGTTCCTGGTGCTCAAGAAATGGTGGTTGAATAAATAAACAAGTAAATTACATATAGTCACAATTAACTATAAGGAGACATCTAATTATTTTGTTGACTTGAAATTTTATTATCAAATGTTTCTTTAAATTTCACCACTTATTGGGAGGCTGAGGCGAGTGGATCACCTGAGGTCAGGAGTTCGAGACCAGCCTGGCCAACATGGTGAAACCCTGTCTCTACTAAAATTACAAAAATTAGCTGAGTGTGGTGGCATGTGCCTGTAGTCCCAATTACTAGGGAGGCTGAGGCAGGAGAATCGCTTGAACCCGGGAGGTGGAGGTCGCAGTGAGTTGAGATTGTGCCACTGCACTCCAGCCTGGGTGACAGAGCAAGACTCCACCTCAAAAAAAAAAAAAAATGTTGCACCATTTGGATCAGTGTTGGAACTACTTAAGCACATTTTTTTGTAGGGGAAATGCAACTTGAACTACTATTATTATAGTACCTATTATGTTACCACTACATGGCCACAGAAGATGGTGGTTAGTAGTTAGGATAGAAAAGCAAGCCACTATAACATTGGGGACCAAACAATGGATCAGGTGTAAGGCTCTCTTATCTTAGTTTTATCTCAACTGTCAGATGACAACGTTGGTGTACTGATGTTCTCCAGAGGACACTGTAATTATGTGAGCTTTTTGTAAGAAGAATTAAGAAAAAACAGAGAATCTTAATATGTGCATATAAACTAACATGTTAAAACATTTCTTTAGAAGAAAATAGGACACAGGAAGGGGAACATCACACACTGGGGACTGTTGTGGGGTAGGGGGAGCGGGGAGGGATGGCGCTGGGAGATGTACCTAATGCTAAATGACGAGTTGATGTGTGCAGCACACCAACATGGCACGTGTATACATGTGTGACAAGCCTGCACGTTGTGCACATGTACCCTAAAACTTAAAGTATAATAATAAAAAAATTAAAAAAAAAGAAAATAGGACATCCTTTTAAGCCATTGTGAAGCATGTCAATGAATTAACTGATTATGGTTCAGTCTTGTGGGAAGAGCTTAGAGAAAATATGAGGGAGGAAACAATTTCCAACATTTCATTGTTGAACAGATAGCCGTCTAGTCAATACAGGAATTTTCCTTTAATTTAGACCCTAGTTGATGACATAAATTGGCTAATCCAAGCATACTGAGAAATTTGTAGCCAAACTTGAAGTGTTCTTTTTTAATCATTAGTTTTAATCAGAACTCATGCCCCAACTCAAAGAATAAATTACTGCTGTTTTCCTTTCCAGCTGCAGGCTATTGCTTTTAATTTTATCTGATTGTTATCTTGGCACTAGGTTTGGTATGTGTGCTAACAAAAGCATTTAAAGTAGAAGCTAGTAGAAGGCCAACGGTTCACTTATAGATGCAGGTAATTTGGAATCCTCCCCGTTTCCCTTTTAAAATCCACTACAAATAAATACATAAAATAATGGCAATGCTTAACGAATGGAGAAGCTGAAAAAGGAGTGCCATCGTAGTGAATTGTGACAGCAACATGCTGAATGATGGAGGGTCTCTGAGCAGGTATAACTCACTTTCATTAGATACTAGATCCTTCCTACTTTCTCTTTACCTTATTACATTAACCATTTAAGAAAATGAACTTTCAGCTGGGTGTGGTGGCTCAAGCCTGTAATCCCAGCACTTTGGGAGGCCAAGGTGGGTCGCTTGAGCCCAGGAGTTGGAGACCAGCCTGGGCAACATGCCGAAACACTGTCTCTACAAAAAATACAGAAATTAGCCGGGCGTGGTGGTGCGTGCCTGTAGTGCCAGCTGTTTTGGGGGCTGAGGTGAGCAGATCGCTTGAGCTGGGTAAATTGAGGCTGCAGTGAGCTGAGATTGTGCCACTCTCTCTAGCCTGGGTGACAGGATGAGACTCTGCCTTAAAAAAAGGAAAAAAGGAAGTTAACTTTTGTCTTTTTTATTTTTCTGTTAATGAGTGTTAAGGTAATTTTTTCCAAATAAATGAAAAAAAAAAAAAAAAAAAGCATGTATAGAGCAAATCCCAGGCAGGAAATCTGGATTAGTTAATTACCATTTGTTTCTGCTGTGCTTATTTAAGTAAAGCTATAAATACCGTTGATGGTTTTATAGGGAGACACAAATATGTTCTGATAGCTCAGCAAAATTTCTTGGTTGTGAATTAAAACATGAAGGATTTAATGAGATTTCCTTTAAAAATTTATCTTTGGCCGGCACGGTGGCTCACGCCTCTAATCCCAGCATTTTGGGAGGCTGAGGCTGGCGGATCACGAGGTCAGGAGATGGACATCATCCTGGCTAACACTGTGAAACCCCGTCTCTACTAAAAAAAAATAAAAAATAAAAAATAAATTAGCTGGGCGTGGTAGCGGGCGCCTGTAGTCCCAGCTACTCGGGAGGCTGAGGCAGGAGAATCGCTTGAACCCGGGAGGCGGAGGTTGTGGTGAGCCGAGATCACGCCACTGCACTCCAGCCTGGGCGACAGAGTGACTTGTGTCTCAAAAAAAAAAATCTTCCAAAATGTGTATATGCTTAATTATCAGAAAAGTAATATAGAGTGGAAAAAATTCTGGACTAGTGGTCAGAACATCTGGGTTCAAGTCCTGGCTCTATCTCTTTTTATAAGCTGTCCTACAGCTTCCTTATTTATAAAATGTTTTGATTTGGACTTCTTTCTGCCGCACAATCCTACAGAATTTAAGATTTATGTAAACATTGTATTGATCTTTGAAAAAATGAATATGAGGAAATCAGAATGAAATTATATGATTTTTAAGACAGTCTTTGATTATTACTAGGATTTCCTAATTCTTGCTTCATCCTCTTTTTGCATGGGAACACAAACTCCCTAAAAGATTTAGGAAAAAATATTTTTCTACCCAGTTGAGGGGTAAAGTTGATTCATCCTGGGAACAGTGCCCCTGGTTGGATACATCATTCAACTAAATATTCCTCCTGTCTTGCCCCCCAGCTGAAAGGCAGGAGAATGAACTAGAAAATCTTGAGATGTGGCTGGATTGGCTGCCCCAAACCTTGGTGTCTTCTGGACTTTCCTGTGTGTCTTGGGGCCTCTGCCCAGGGGCCCAGCTCCTCTGGTCTCTCTCTCTCTCTCTCTCTCTCTCTCTCTCTCTCTCTCTCTCTCTCTCTCTCTCTCTCTGTGTGTGTGTGTGTGTGTGTGTGTATATCTGTGTGTGTATGGAGGGTAGGTGAAAGGGGATGAGGAATTTATTTTTGTCTTCCTGGAAGGATAGATTCTTCTTTTTTGAATTAGCCTCATTAAACTTTTAAGTAATGACTCCTGAAAAAGGACAAAGGGATAAGGCTCTTTTCCAAAGAGTTATCTTTTTGTGCCAGCAATCAGTCATTACTCTCCTACCATGCCATGTGACACAGGATGTGGTCTGATATTTAGTCTAAATACATGCTTCACTTTTTTTCTGCTACAGAGAAGGCAATTATAATGCTCCTTTTGTTATGCAAATAACTTCTCAGAAAAGTGCCCTCTCTCCTCCTTAAAAACTAGATTTACTCAGACTAGGGTGAAAAATAAAAGTCAATCCTGGCATTTAAGTGGTTTCTGGCCCTCAGAAGCCATCTTAGTAGAAGGTGATGAATATGTTTAGTGGCTTCCTACTTCTGGAATATGAGCAGGGTCAGTCTACAGCAGAGTCAGAAGGGCTGTCCCTCCAGGGATCCAGGAAGGCCTGCTAACCTCACTGTATAACCCAGTCTTTTGGGGAACAAAGTTGACACTTCTGAATTGTCCTGTATTTCATTTCTTTGGACCCTACCCCACTAAACTATAATAAAATTGGGGTAAGTGGAATGAATGTAATAAATCAACCTTTTCACTCACATACGTTAGTGTTATATTATTCTTTTATGTAACAAAATGCCTTAAGTTAGTTATTGTATTTATCTAGAATTTTCCATGTGATGGGGAGGTTATTTCTTATACAGGGTCATTTCAAATCAAAGCAATATAGTTGTATGATTTGCCTACACATACGAATAGCTATTGATATTTTCATTAATTTGCTGATGTTCTCCTTAAGTGAATAAAGCATATCATTAAATAAAACTTTTGTGAGGCCTTTAACATTTCTGGAATGCTGGCTTCCCTGCCCCCTATGTTGTTTCAGTTACTTCTGTTGGCTTTAGCTACGTTTATATGTGACATGTGCTTATATTTTCTTTTCTTGCCCTGTTCTTATATAGTTTTGGGGAAAAAAATGGCCTGATTGAACAGGCTTACATTCTTTTACTGTTTTTGTGAATGACTAGTAGTAATATAGAATTTAATGATTCAGTCACACAAAAAACTATTTGGTCTTGTTTTTTCTTTTTCTTTTTCTTTTATGGGGGAAGTGAGATCTTTACCTTTTCAGATTCTTTAGTCCTAATTGGTTTATCTAAGTTTTCTATTTTTTCTTGCATCAATTTTTGCATTTAAAAATTTTCTAGCAATTTAACATTTTCATCTAGATTTCAAAATTATTCACATATAATTATTTATAAAATATTTATTATTTTTTTTTAAATTCTCCAAAAATTTCTATGGTTAGTTTCCATTTTTTCATTCTGCATTTTATTGGTCAATATTATTAGTCTGTTCTAGAATCAGTTTTTGGTTTTATTACTTTTCTCATTATTTAATATTTGGTCTCTATTTTATTTATTTTTCTCACTGCCTTTATTACTTCCTTCCTTCTTATTTAAGTTTATTCCGTAGCCCTTTCCGTAACATCTTGAGTTGAATGACTCATCAATTTATTTTTAAACTTTCTTGTATCTTGACAAATGTAAAGTTAAAATTTCTTTGAGTACTGCTTTAGGTATGTCCAACAAAGGCTGAAAAGCAAAGTTTGTATTACTCGTCAGTTCTGTATATTGCTTCTTTTCCTCTTTAACACACGGACAATTTGGTAACATATATTTCCAAACAGGTGAGATTTTTTTTTAAAGCTCTCTGTTTGTTTGTTAGTAGTAACTAATTTTAATGCATTGGTGCTAGGAGAATGCAGTATATAAACCATTGATACTGTGGAATGCATGGAACCTTCCCTTATAGACAAATACAAGATTTAACTTTTTAAGTGTTATATGGTATGCTTATAAAGATCCAATATTCTCTGTTAGGTGAAAAGTTCTCTATTGTCTAATAGTTGGAGCTTATTGTCTAAATTCTTCAGGTTATTGATATTACTGCATATTTTTTTTTCTGGCTGATATATTAGTCTCTAAGAAGGTATATGAAAATCTATATCTAAAATTGTTGATTTATCTATTTATACTTATTATACACTCTGTCGTTGACTGATACATTTTTCAATTGTTCCTGTTTTTGGTAACATTCTTCTTTATCTCTTATGATTGTTTTTGCCTTGCATTTTTATTTTTCAGAAATTATGATTGCCATCCCATGTTTCTTTTTGTTTAAATTTTTAAATTTATAATGGACACATAATAATTGTACATATTTATGAGGTACAGGGTGTTTTTTCAGTGATTATGTACATAGAATAATGATCAATTTGGGGGTAATTACCATTTCTATCACTCAAAATATTTGTCATTTCTTTGTGGTGACAATATTCAAAATCTTCTCTATCTTGCTAATTTGAAATATATACTACATTGTTTTTTGCTATAGTGACCTTACTGTATATCAGAACACCCAAATGTATTCTTTCTAAATGTAACTTTCTACCCATTGAACAACCTCTGCCAGTTTCCCCCTCTCCCTACCCTTCCCAGCCTCTGATAACCACTATTCTCTCTACTTTTATGAAGTCAACTTATTTAGATTCCACATATGAATAAAATCATACAGTGTTTGCCTTTCTGTGTTTGGGTTATTTTACTTAACACAGTGTGCTCCAGGTTAATCCATGTTGCCACAAATGATAGAATTTCATTCTATTTGATGGGTGAATAGCGTTTCATTAATATATATTGTATTTTCTTCACCCATTAATCTGTAGATGGGAATTTAGGTTAATTCCATGTCTTGGCTATTGTGAATAGTCCTGCAATAAACATAGGTGTGCAGATGTCTCTTTGACTTACTGGTTTAATTTCCTTTCGATGTATACCTAGTAATGGATTGCTAAATCATGTGGTAGTTCTATTTTAAGTTTTTGAGGAGCTTCCATACCATTTTCTATAAGGGCTGTACTAATGTACATTTATTTCCACCAACAGTATATAAGAGTTTCCTTTTCTCGACATCCTCACCAGCATTTGTTATTTTTTGTCTGTTTGATAATAGCCATTCTAACTGGGATGAGGTGATATCTCACTGTATTTTCGATATGCATTACTCTGATGATTAGTGATGCTGAACATTTTTTCATATATCTATTGGCCATATATATGTCTTCAAAGATGTCTATTCAGGTTTTTTACTCATTTTTTTATTTTATTATTTGGTTTCTGCTATTGAGTTGTTTGAGTTCCTTATATATTCTGGATATCAACCCCTTGGCAGATGCGTAGTTTGCAAATACTTTCCCCTATTCTATAGGTTTCCTCTTCACCCTATTGATTGTTTCTTTTGCTGTGTAGGTTTTTATTTTGATATAATCTAATTTGTCTATTTTTGCTCACATTGTGCTTTTCAGATCTTATTCTAAAAAATCTTTGCCAAGTCCAATTTCTTTAAGGATTTCCTCTATGTTTTCTTCTAGTAGTTTCATGTTTTACATTTAAGTTTTTTAATCCATTTACAGTTTATTTTTGTATATGGTGAGAGATAGGGGTTCAGTTTCATTCTTCTGCCTATATATATCCAGTTTTACCAGACTCATTTATTAAAGAGATTGTCCTTTCCCCAATTTATGTTCTTGGTGCCTTTGTTGAAAATTAGTAGGCTTTAAATGAATTAATTTATTTCTGGGTTCTCTATTCTGTTTCATTTTTCTAGTTGGTTTTTATGCCAGTACCATGCTCGTTCAGTTACTCTAGCTTTGTACCATATTTTGAAGTCAATTGGTGATACAGTGTGACTCTGCATCCCCACACAAATCTCATCTCAAATTATAATCTCCACATGTCAGGGGAAGGGCTTGGTGGGAGGTGATTTAATCATGGGGACAGACATTCCCCTTGCTGTTCTCCTGATAGTGAGTGAGTTTTCATGAGAGCTGGTGGTTTGAAAGTGTGTGGCACTACTCCCCTAACTCCTGCTCTGCCATGGTAAGATGATGTATTTTCTTCTCTTTTGCCTTCTGCCATGATTGTGAGTTTCCTGAGGCCTCCCGGTCATGCTTCCTGTTAAGTCTGTAGAACTGTGTGTCAATTAAACCTCTTTTTTTTTCATAAATCACCCAGTCTCAGGTAGTTGTTTATAGCAGGGTGAGAATGGACTAATACAGAAATTGGGGAAATCCAATTTTTGTATTAGTGGGGCATCCCTATAAAGAAAACGTGGAAGCAACTTTGGAACTTGGTAATGGGCAGGGGTTAGAACAGTTTGGAGGGCTCAGAAGAAGACAGGAAGATGTGGGAAAGTTTGGAACTTCCTAAAGACTTGTTGAATGGCTCTGACCAAAATGCTGACAGTGATATGGACAATGAAGTCCAGGCTAGGGTGGTCTCAGATGGAGATGAGGAACTTATTGGGAACTAGAGCAAAGATTATGTGAAAAGACTTGTGGCATTTTTCCCCTGCCCTAGAGATCTGTGGAACTTTGAACTTGAGGGAGATGATTTAGGGTATCTGCTGGAAGAAATTTCTAAGCAGCAAAGTGTGCAAGAGGTGCACTGGCTGCCCCTAACAGCATACATTCATATACGTTCACAAAGAGATGGTGTGAAATTGAAACTTATGTTTTAAAGTGAAGCAGAACATAAAAGTTTGGAAAATTTGTAGCCTGACCATGTGGTAGAAAAGAAAAGATCCATTTTCTGGGGAGGATTCAAGCCAGCTGCAGAAATTTATATAAGTAATGAGGAATCAAATGTTAATAGCCAAGACAATGGGGAAAATGTCTCCAGGGCATGTCAGAGGCCTTGCTGGCAGCCCCTCTCATAACAGGCCTGGAGGCCTATGAGGAAAAATGGTTTTATGGGCTGGGCCCAGGGCCTTGCTGCTCTGTGCAGCCTTGGAGCATGGCACCCTGCATCCCAGCCACTCCAGCTCCAGCTGTGGCTAAGAGAGACCAAGGTACAGCTTGGGATGTTGCTTCATAGAGTGCAAGCCCCAAGCCTTAGTGGCTTCTACATGGTGTTGTGTGTGTGGGTGCATGCAGAAGACAAGAAGTGAGCTTTGGGAACCTCTGCCTATATTTCAGAGGATGTATGAAAATTCCTGGATGTCCAGGTAGAAGTCCACTGCAGGGGCAGAACCCTCATGGAGAGCCTCTACCATGGGAAATGCAGAGGGGAAATGTGGGGTTGGAGCCCCCACAAAGAGTCCTCACTGGGGCACTGCCTAGTGGAACCGTGAGAAGAGGGCCACCGTCCTCCAGACCCCAGAATGGTAGACCGACCAATGGCTTGCACCGGGCACCTAGAAAAGCCACAGACACTCAATGCCAGCTTGTGAAAGCAGCAACTGGGGCTTTCCCCTGCAGTGCTATAGGGGTAGAGCTGCCCCAGGCCTTGGGAGCCCACCCCTTCCATCAATGTGACATGGATGTGAGACATGTGAGAACATGTCTCATATCCATGGCATCAAAAGAAATTATTTTGAAGTTTTGAGACTTAAAGATTGCCCTCCTGGGTTTCAGACTTGCATGTGGCCCATAGCCCTTTTGTTTTAACAAGTTTATCCCATTTGGAATGGGAGCATTTACCCAATGCCTGTGCCCCCATTGTGTCTTGGAAGTAACTAACTTATTTTCGATCTTACAGGCTCATAGGCAGAAGGGACTTGCCTTGTCTTAGATGAGACTTTGGACTTGAAATTTTGAGTTAATGCTGGAATGAGTTAAGATATCATATGACTATCGGGAAGGCATGATTGGTTTTGAAATGTGAGAAGGACATGAGACTTGGAAGGGGCCAGGGGTGGAATAATATGTTTTGGCTCTGTGTCACCTCCCAAATCTCATCTTAAATTGTAATCCCATGTGTCAGAAGAGGGGCCTGGTGGGAGGTGATTGAATCAGGGTGGGTGGACCTCCCCCTTGCTGTTCTCAAAATAGTGAGTGAGTTCTCATGAGATCTGGTTGTTTGAAAGTATGTGGCACATCCCTTCCTACCACCCCTACTCTGCCATGGTAAATGTGCGTGCTTCCCCTTCACCTTCTGCCATGATTGTAAGTTTCCTGAGTCCTCCCAGTCACACTTTCTGTTAAGCCTGTGGAACTGTGAGTTAATTAAATCTCTTTTCTTCATAAGTTACCTGGTCTCAGGTAGTTCTTTACAGCAGAGAATGGACTAATACAGGTAGTGTAATGCCTTTAGCTTTGTTCTTTTTGCTCAGGATTGCTTTGGCTATCTGGAGTCTTTTACGTTTCTGTATGAATTTTTAAAGGTTTTTTTCCTATTTCTGTGAAGAATGCCATTAGTATTTCGATAGCAATTGCATTGAATCTGTAGATCACTTTAGGTAATATGGACATTTTAACAATATTCTTCCAATCCATGAACACAGGATATCTTTCCACTTATCTGTTTCCTCTTTAATTTCTTTCATTATGTTTAGTAGTTTTCATTGTAGAGATTTTTCATCTCCTGGGTTAAGTTTATTCCTAGGTATTTTATATTATTCATTGTAGCTATTTTGAAAGGAATTATTTTCTTGCTTTGTTTTTCAGATTGTTTGCTATTGCTATACATGAACACTACCTATTTTCATACATTGATTTTGTATTCTGCAACTTTACTAAATTCATTTATAAGTTCAAACAGTTGTTTTTGGTGTAGTCTTTAGGGTTTTCTCTATGTATAATCTTGTCATCTGCCAACAAGAACAATTTGACTTCCTTTTTTTCAATTTTGAGGCCCTTTATTTCTTTTGCTTGCACAATTACTTTGGCTAGAACTTCTAGTACTATGTTGAATAAAAGTAGTGAAAGTGGGCATCCTTGTCTTGTTCCATATCTTAGAGAAAAAGTTTTAGCTTTCATCATTTAGTATGATGTTGGCTGTGGGTTTGTCACATATGGCCTTTATTTTGTAGAGGTATGTTCCTTCTATGTCCAGCTGGTTGGGTTTTTATGATGAGGGATGTTGAATTTTATCATATACTTTTTCAGCATCTATTGAAATAATCATATGGTATTTGTCCTTAATTCTTTTAAAATTTTTTCATTGACTCATTGGTTATTTATAAGCATGTTGTTTAGTTTTTATTTATTTACATAATTTCCAAAGTTCTTCCTGTTATTGATTTTTAGTTTTATTGCACTGTGGTCAGCAAAGATACTTGATATGATTCCAACTGTTAAAAATTTGTTGAGACTCGTTTGGCCTAACATATGGTTGATCCTGTAGAATGTTCCATGTGCTGTTAAGAAGAATGTGTGTTCTGCAGCTGTTCTGTGGAATGCTCTGTAAATATCTGTTAGTCTACCTGGTCTAGAGTGCCGTTTAGGCCGGGCACTGTGGCTCATGTCTGTAATCCCAGCACTTTGGGGGGCCGAGGTGGGTGGATTACCTGAAGTCAGGAGTTCGAGACCAGCCTGACCAACATAGTGAAATCCTGTCTCTACTAAAAATACAAAAATTAGCCAGGTATGGAAGCGCATGCCTGTAATCGCAACTGTTTGGGAGTTTGAGGCAGGAGAATCACTTGAACCAGGGGTGGGGTGTGGTGTGGGGGTGGAGGTTGCAGTGAGCCAAGATGGCGCCATTGCACTCCAGCCTGGGCAACAAGAGTGAAACTCCGTCTCAAAACCAAACCAAACCAAACCAAACCAAACCAAACCAAACCAAACCAAAAAAAACCCAAAAAAACGATGTAGTTTAACTCCAATATTCCTTTGTTGATTTTCTTCCTGGGTTATCTGTCTGTTGCTGAAAGTGAGATTTTGAAGTCCCCTACTGTAATTGTATTACAGTAAATCTAACCCTTTAGCCCTGTTAATATTTGCTTTATATACTTCAGTGCTTCAGTGTTGAATGTATATATTTAAAAATTATTAAATTATCCTGCAGTATTGATGCGTTGGTCATTATATAATGGTCTTGTCTTTTTAAAAAATAATTTCTGACTTAAAGTCTATTTTATCTGATAAGTATAGCTACTCCTGTTCTTTATTAGTTTCTGTTTGCATGGAATATCTTTTTTTCATTCCTTTGCTTTCAGTGTATGTGTGTCTTTATAGGTGAAGTGAACTTCTTGTGGGCAGCATATGATTGGGTCTTTTTAGCCATTCAGTCACTTTCTGTCTTTTAGTTGGAAAATTTAGTCCATTTATATCCGAGGTTGTTACAGATAGATTAGAACTTAATGCTGATATTTTGTTACTTGTTTTTTGGTTATTTTATAAATCTCTTTTTTTTTTCCTCCTTTCTTTTAGTCTTCCTTTGTGGTTAAGTGATTTTCTCTGGTAGTATGTTTTAATTCCTTGCTTTTTATTTTTAGTGTATCTATTGTAGTTTTTTGCTTTGTGGTTATCACAAGGCTTACAAAAAACATACAAGTTACAATATTTTTCAGACCTTGTATAATTGAGAATGTTTTTTACTATATGCTCAATGTTGAATAACTGGATATAAAATTCCATATTCAAGACTTTTGCTTGAATACCTTAATAACTTCACTGTTCTTTTTCATCTAATTTTCCTTTGAGAAGTCTAATGCCAATCTAATCCTTGATCTTTTGTAGGTGATGTTCTCTTTCTTTCTGGAATCTGCCCTTAACATTCTAATTTAACTTTAGCATGTCTCTGTGGCTCTCCAGTCTCTTCTGTTTGGCACAGAATTGGCCTTTTTTAATGTGAGGTCTTTCATCTTTGTCTAATTCTAAGACATTTAATTCCATTATTTTTTCTAATATTTCTTCATTTTTTGCTTCCTTTTAAGACTCTTATTATGTGGATGTTGCTACATCTAGTTTTGTACTCTGTATTTTTTTCCTTTTCTCATTCTCACTGCCTTCCGGGGAAACTTCTCAACCCAGTCTTCTTACAGTTGATTTTTAAATCATCTACCTGCTATTACACCAATCCACTATGTTCTTTCTTTTGAGTATTTTATTTTCATATATAATATTTCCACTTGGTTGTTTTAAAAAATTTTTCTTTATTTTATTTTCCTCATCTTCTAAAGAATATCTATCATGCTTAATTTAAAATCTTGACCTTTCTGTTCCAACAACATTGTTTCCAATGATAAATATTTTTCAGTTTGTTGACTTAAAGAAATAACTTACACTTCCCAGATATCTTGTTTGTTATTTGAGTCTGTGAGGCAATGTTTCCCTGGGACTACCAGCTATTCTGTTTGGCAGTGTGTTGGGATGGAGATAAGTACTAGCCCCTAGTCAGTCAGCAAATTAGGAAGAGGGAGGAGGAGAAGCCCAGGAGCCACAGACCCTCATTGATAGTTCCTGCTTGCTGCCATTCTGCTCAGCTACTCTCTGGTCAGGGACTGATCTTGAAATTCCTGGAAAGAGGCATCATTGGAGGAGACAGCCTCCTGTGTTATAATCCACAGCCCTAGATTTTGAAGAGTTGAGGATGGGTGGTCAGTCAGCATATTTCCCAAACTCTTTACCTCAAATGCACTTGTGCACTGCTCTGATATTTCCCCTCCATGATCACAAATGGCCCAGGAAGTTGCTACTATCTGTGATATAGAGTCAGGAAATGAGTTTTCTAAGACAAAGTGGGGTAAGAGTGGAAAAAAAGCTTTCCTCCAACCCATTCCCTGGCTCCAACCAAGCCCACTGGCTCCTGGGCTTTGGTCACCCTACTCTCACACAACTCAGTTTATAGCAAGCTTCAGTCTGTGGAGTTTTCTTACCTTTTTTTTACTTGTTGTTAATTGCTGCATTCTGTGTTTCCATCTAGCATCTATAGTTTTTCTAGAGTTGATTTTGGGGGAGGGATCCAGCAGCCTGTCCTAGATTAACTCTTGGCAGGAATCAGAACTGTCTTACAATTTCTCTTCCTGTAGCCCTGACCTCATTAATACTTGTTCAAAGTGTATGAAGCAAATATTTGGGAGGTAATTTATGAATTCTATTTATTTTCATCCAGCAAATTATATAAGCAGTTGGGGACCCCTGTTTATCCTCTTAGTAGGAAAAAGAAGCTTCATTTGGGCAGTGACATGTAGTAGCAAAACTTCCCGCGTTCTCTTTTATTTTTCAAAAGACATCTAGAAAACAAATTTTACACTGGATAAAAGTAAAGCAGCTCAGCTGGAATAGGAGAGGGGCTGCACTAGGCACCCAGCTTATCCACTTCACAGTACAGCACATGGGGTGGCCTCCAAGGCACTGCTGCAGAACCTGAGGCTTCCATCAGTTAGGACATTCACTTTTTTAGTCTTCAGAATATTTTTCCTTAGTAGCTCTACTTGAGACTGACTAACAACGCAGGAGGCCATTTGCTTGAGGATGTCTCCATACTTTGAGTTCCTATGTAACAAACTGCAACCTAACTTAATGTGTAAACAAACAAAAGCCTAACTTAAGAATGTAACAAACAGCCAATTCTCAGCCAATCATAAACAGCCAAGCGTCAGCCATTATGGGCAGCCAGATGATCAGACCATACCCAACTAACACAAATGCTTATCTGCAGTCAATCAGATGATTTCTCTACTTTGCTTCCATATTTGTGTTATAAAACCTCACTGTTCATGCTGCTTGGTGGAGTTCTCTGAACTTCTCTGGTTTTGAGTGCTGCCCAACTCATAAATCATTCTTTACTCAAACTCTGTCAAACTTACTTTGTCTAACTGGGCACAGTGGCTCACACCTGTAATTCAAGCACTTTAGGAAGCTGAGGTGGGTGGTTACTTTGAGCCCTGGGGTTCGAGATCAGCCTGGGAAAAATAATAGGGAGATCCCGTCTCTACAAAAAAAAAAAAAAAAAAAAATTAAAATATTAGCCAGGCATGGTGGTGCATGCATGTGGTCCCAGCTACTCAGGAGGCTGAGGTGGAAAGATTGCTTGAGTCCAGGTGGTAGAGCCTGCAGTGAGCTGTTATTGTGCCACTGTACTCTAGCCTGGTGACAGACCAAGCCTCTATAAAAAAAAAATTAATTTGTCTGAAGTTTTTCTAACACAAGTAGTTCGCCATACCTTGCCTAATACTTTTACTTTATTCTTCCTACAACTTCCTCAAATAAAATAATTCTACCCATTAGTGACAATTACTTGGTCTTTATTATATTAATAAAGTCATTATGTTTTTTTGTTAATCAGTAGCCATTACTTGTATAACATATGTCATTTTAATGTTGGGTGAGATAAACTTTACTTATTTTTACAATCATTGTGTTAACATTTTTGAGTACGTACAAATAGACTATATTATAAAACACATTTGTAAAAATACATATGCTTTAGAAAAACAGGCTTCAAGATTATTTTCCTTTTGCTACTATTAAGTACATTGAAGAAATAATAATTTTATTAATGTGAGTCCATATAGTTTTCAAATAATGGTAACACTTCTTTTGGCATATATTAAATTTAGTTTTACTATCAGATTGTTATATATTCATGGTAAAAACTTAGGAAACAAAAAAGAGAAAAGGAAGAAAGAAAAAATGGAAAGAAAAGTCATTGACAATTCCATTATTCATTGCTAACATTTTGGGCTATAGCCTTAGTCTCCTCCCCATGTATATGCATTTTGTGCTTTCTTTTTGGTACAGAT